>NC_000009.12:78220552-80720552 GCF_000001405.40 Homo sapiens | reverse complement strand
ACTATGTTAGTCCATTTGCATCACTATAAAGGAATAACTGGGGCTGAGAATTTATAAAGGAAAGAGGTTTATTTTGCTCAAGTTCTGCAGACTCTACATGCGGCAAGCGGCCAAATCTGATCCTTGTGAGTGCCTGAGGAAGCTTACAATCATGGCAGAAGGCAAAGAAGAGCCAGTGTGTCACATGATGAGAAAAGGAGCAAAAGAAAGAGACAAGGTGCCAGGCTATTTTAAATGATCAAATCATACATGAACTCATGGAGTGAGAACTCAGTCATTATGTTATGGACAGCACCAAGCCATTCATGAGGAATCTGCCTCCATGATCCAAATACTTCGCACTAGGCCCATCTCCAACATTGGTGGTCACATCTCAACATGAGATTTGCAGAGGACAAAACATCCAACTCTTAGCAACAACCTAGGTGTGTAGCAGGCTGTGCCAGCTAGGTTCGTGTTAGTAGACTCTACGACGTTCACACAATGATGAAATCGCCTAATGACATATTTCTCAGAATGTGTTCCTATTGCTAAGCAATTCATGACTGAATTTTATCTGACACAAAACTCCTCTGCTTATGACACCTTAATGGTCCTCAGGAAAATAAATTTTTCGGCTCTGCTTCATGATGTGCTTCTTCCTACATCCAAAGACTCTTCTACCATAATTCCACCACAAATATATTTCACTGTCCTTTCTCCAACAACACAGAAATGCTTAACTGCTTTTCAAACCTATTATTCTGTGTCATGCAGTTGCCTTTACACTTCTTATTCCCTGTGCTTAGAATAGCTTTTGATTATTTCATCAGGCTGTTTTCTACTTATTTTTTTTCAGCACTTGTATATCAGGTATCATTTTCTCAGAGAAGCTTTCCCTGAATTCAGGCTAATTTTGATTAATAAAGCAAATATGGTTTGAGCACCCACTATATGATAAACAAATATAGGGGATTCCATTCCCCATTGTGCCATTACTTATATTTTATTATTTGTATATTTTTACATTTGTATTATATATATATACATAAAAAAATCACTGTGAAAAATCAATTTTATATCTACTGCCTATCTTATAGACTGCAAAATTTCCTACTGGAGGAAATAACCTGCTAGTTCCTGCAATGTCTACTTCATTTCTTGAATGAAGAAATGGATGAAAAACATGAGTAAACAAATGAGCAAATACTCTTTTAGACTTCCAGAACTTATCCGGTGGTAGAGCAGAAGTCAAAGCCTCCTTCTAATGTCAAGAGTCCATGTCATCCTTCTATTTATGAAATACACTCCTGGGAACTATTCATTTCCAGGATAAGCAAGTACTGTGGTTAAGGCTACTGAGTAACTGGATTTACAAAAATAAAATACGATATTTAGCATAATGGAATTTTTATGAAAATCAAGGATTAATATGAACAAAATAGATCTTTATCCTCATCAGATTTTACTTAATACTATTGCAAGTAGTATTATCTCTTATTAAATAATAGATTTCAACTATACTATCTAATATAAGAAAATCTCTATAGTGGGTTTGCCTCTCTCCAAAATTCATGCCCCTAGAGAACCTCACATTAGGAACTTATCTGAAAATATGGCCTTTGCAAATGTAATTACCTAAGTTAAGATGAAGTAGTACTGGATTAGAGTGGGCCCTAAAGCCAATGACTGGTGTCCTTATAAGAACAGGAGAAAACCCACAGAGAGACACATGGAAAGGAAGTTCTTGCAATGATAGAGGCAGAGATTGTAGTGATTCAGGTATAATCTAAGGAATGCCAAGATTATATTCTCCCTCAGAGCCTTCAAAATGAACCAACCATGCCAACTCCTTGACTTTGAACTTTTGGCATCCTCAACTGTGAGTGAATAAATTTCATTTTATTTGGCCACCTAGTTTGTGGTAATTTGTTACTGCAGCCCTAGGCAACTCAAATGTTCTACATTTCACCATTTTACATTGAAAAATAGAAAAGATAAAATAAAAGAGCATGACTCATTAAATGGTCATGTGTGATTTCCATTCAATCACTGAATCAGTCTTTATCAAAGAAAATGTGAGTATGTGTAGTAACAAGTGGTTACATTGAAGCCAAGGCCCATCTACTTTATATGGTAGAGTACGATTTTATTTTGAGATTTCCCTTTTTTCTAGATAACCACCCTACCTCACCCCGAAACACATGCACGCATGCACACACACACACACGCGCGCGTGCCCAGTGGACTTCTCTTTAGCCCACTGACTCACTCCTATCGGGCACACTCTATGTGAAGGCACTGGCTCTCTGCACTTTCCTAGAAGATCATGGCCAAAGAGGAGAAGAGGAAAGGCTGTTTGTGGTGTATCAGTCAGGGACTGTTAGCTAAAAAAGATATGGTAAAACTAGGTTATTGGAGGAGAAACTGATAAAAAGCCACTCTATAAATATGTGGATAGAATGTAGGGAAACCACAAGAGACAGAGCATATGAAGAGCAGGAGTAGGGGAAATGGGAAGGAGTGATTACAGGGAACTGGAAAGAGAAGCTCTTCTGGAGATGACTATGAGACCTGAGTGATGGGATCTGTGACATTCAGTTCATGATGCAGCCTGGGATAGGGAGTAGAACTCTAAATACTTTGATGCCGCTCTCCACCTTCACTGGCCCACAGCAAAGGAAAATCAGTTTCTGAAGACACAGAGCAAAGCGGAGTATAGTGAGGAGTAGCAAATAGAGAAGGATAAGAAAAGATACCAGTAAGGTTGAATCTAGAGACAGACCTCCTATTTAAGAATTGAAAATTTTGTCTGGGCATGGTGGCTCACACCTGCCATCCCAGCACTTTGGGAGGCCAAGGTGGGTGGATCATGAGGTCAGGAGATCGAGACCATCCTGGCTAACACAGTGAAACCTCGTCTTTACTAAAAATACAAAAAAATTAGCTGGGCGTGGTGGTATGTGTCTGTAGTCCCAGCTACTCGGGAGGCTGAGGCAGGAGAATCACTTGAACCCAAGACGGGGAGGTTGCAGTGAGCAGAGATTGTGCCACTTCACTCCAGCCTGGTGACAGAGCGACACTCCATCTCAAAACAAAACAAAAAAAGAATTGAACATTTTATCCAGTTTTGAAGTATTTATGTTCCAGGGGATTGGGAAAACACTTAACCCACACAGTCATGGACTACTTTTTGACATTCACAATTCCAGAGATTCAAATTTGGACCTGTTCTTACTTTCCTGGGGTGTAGGGTAGGGTATACAATGATACAACTAACTGATAAGTAAATTTTGTTTGTGGGACACAAAGATTTACTAAAGGAAGAGTACATGTTGCAGTACTAAGTAAGGGAACATTTTACTTTCAGCTGCACCTGCAGCCAACCTTGTAACCCTTGCATTTGGGCAGCTGGATGTAAAGTGGGCAGAGCCATATTGGGGAGTGAAAGCAGAGAACAAAGCAATTGAGTTGTAAAACTAAACAAAAGACTGATTCAATAATACTGGAAATATTTGGAACAAAAATTAATAATTCCCTATTCTGACAATGTCTAATGGGTTTCAGAGATAGAAGGACATCCTCAACTTCTTAGAATTTGAAGAAGGATTTGATGTCTAGTAAACCTATCCATTTAACAATGAAAAAGGCTTTTTCTTGCCTTCTACCCAAATAAAGTCCTTCTGGTCTTTGAAATCAAAGTCAAACAGAAAACAAAACAGAGTAAACGTCTTACAGGAGGGACAGTAAGCTCAGATTGAGCACTCCAGGGCTAATTCTAAAAGCAGGCCCTTTTTCTGAGGGAGGTATGAAACGAGCACAAATATAACCTTTTCCATCTCAATCTTATCCACCCCCATTGCCCTTTAAACACTGTGACCCAACCCATTCTATTCCACCACAGGCTTCTTAGAGATTCTATATACATTTTACAAGTTCATCAATATTACTCCTACTCCTGTGGCATCACTAAGGTTTAGTACAAGAAGGGAGCCTGTAGCTCATTTGTTTGTTTGTTTGTTGAGATGGAGTCTCGCTCTGTCACCAGGCTGCAGGCTGGAGTACAGTGGCACAATCTAGGCTCATTCCAACCTCCACCTCCTGGGTTCAAGCGATTCTCCTGCCTCAGCCTCCCGAGCAGCTGGGACTACAGGTGCGCGCCACCATGCCCAGCTAATTTTTGTATTTTTAGTAGAGACGGGTTTTCACCGCATTGCACAGGATGGTCTCCATCTCTTGACCTCATGATCCACCCACCTCGGCCTGCCAAAGTGCTGGGATTACAGGCGTGAGCCACCATACCCAGCCTTCCTCACTGTTTTCATCTGGTGTCAAATCATTTTAAATGTTTGTTTTTAAACAAACTCATCCAATTAATATTTTTAAATAACTCAGCTTTCTAGATGTCATCCCTGTCTCTTACAAATCAATCACTGCTGCTTTTCTGCATAGAAATCCTAAAGCCACTGTTTGTTAATGTGGTCTGAGATTATAGCTACAAAATGTGGCTAAGCTAAGGTCACAAAACAATTGTCTGGAAGTCAGGAAAAAGTAGTAGCAATAAAATCTTTTATATTTTACCTCCAGAGAAAAGTAGCTATTGTTTCTAACCAAAAAAAAAAAAATTTTTTTTAAATGTTGATGTTGATACAGTAAAGAGCCCTTTGCTGACACTCAATATTCAGTAACTCCAACTTGAAAAGTTCCAACTTGAGTGACCTTTTTTGCATTTGCTTTTTTTTGAAACGGAGTCTCACTCAATCTTGGCTCACTGCAACCTCCACCTCCCAGGTTCATGCGATTCTCTTGCCTCAGCCTCCCGAGTAGCTGGGATTACAGGCACCCTGCCATCATGCCTGGCTAATTTTTTTGTATTTCTGTAGAGACGGGGTTTCGCCATGTTGGCCAGGCTGGTCTTGAACTCCTGACTTCAAGTAATCCTCCACCTGACTCGGCCTCCCAAAGTGCTAGGATTACAGGCATGAGCCATCACATTTGCTTTTTGTTTTTTTTTTTTTTTTGAACTGGAGGGAAAAATCCAAGAAAATGGTTTGGTCACCTGGATGTACTTATCCAAGTTTTCTACTGTATTTGTCTTTTTATACTGCAATTTTGCAAATGTTACCAGATTAAGGCAGACAATAAAACAGGAGCTTTACTGCTGATCCCCAAATCTGATATTTTTAGAGCATATAGAAACTTCTCACTGACATTAACTAATTTCCCTGAAATGTAGCAAGGAACAGACATCAGATCATCTGAAGTGACACATAAGCAGAAAAAGACAGATTCATTCAATCTTCAAGTTTTGGGCAAGTGATTTAAGACAATTACCTCAAGTAAGTTCTTTCCCGAAGAATAACAACAACAACAAAGCCACTTGTATCAAAAGCAAATATCTGGATTTGTGTGTGAGAAAAGATTAACCATGCATTTTAGAGTGGTCATTGTAAGGGCACTATGCGAAATTAAGATCACATAAAACTGTAATAGCGGCTATTAATTGCCTGAAGCCTATTAAGCCTTGCAAATCAGGGAAAGCAATCCTATGCTTGCTAGCCACACTTTATAGCCTTCTCTGTCTGGCTCTTTTACAACTACCATCTCTTGCAAAATGCTTTGTTCCAACTTAAAGAAATGAAGCAGGAATAACTCCTTTTTTTTCCCCCTCAGCTGGGTTTTGGCAAGTAGATTTTAAGTTACTTGCACGCTAGGGAGCGAAGCACTAATGAAAGCGTATGAAAAGTAATGTACCTAAGGAAAAGGTAAATGATAACCGGGTGCACAACTTTTTATGACTTAGACTTTTAAAGTGAAAAGCACTTTCTGTAACAATAAATGTTCTGTGTTATATAATGTTGCAATAACACACTAAATCACTGAACAATAGTTGTAATATTTCCTCACTGCAACAAAACGTGTTTGGAATCAGAAGACAAAATATTCTTTTTCCCTTTACTGTTTCAATTATGTGTGTATTAAGCTTTGACAGATCTTTTAAAAATTTATTGTTAAACCCCAAAAATGAATACTTGAAGCACTGTTGACTCATAAGTCATTATTGAACATATTTTGTTTTGGTATTTGTTTTATATGAGACTAGCCATAGGTCAGAAAGGAATAACCCCAGAGACTTAGATTTAATTCTTTTTAGAAAATTGATTATGCTCTATGTGTTGAAAGAAATTTACATAAAAGACTGTAGACTGGAATTGAGTACCATAGAATCTTTGCTCTGTTATGTGGAAGACCAGATGTAGTGAGTTATCACATAACTCCTTTACTCTGCTACTGGAAATAAATAAAAGCTCCAGAAACATATTATTTTGTCAAAATACAAACAAAAATAAACAAGCCCAGATCGCTTAGGTCATGCAAAAAGGCATCAGAAGTTCCTTTAATGCAGCTATCACTAGGTAAATGATCAGTGTGTTTCTTCTAATGACATCCAGCTTATTTCACGTAAGGTAACCATTTTCTTAACCACTATCTAAACATCAAAGGAAAATGTTGTATGAACACATTCATATTTCTCAAATGCAATGGCTTGAGAGGGCATTGGCCACCCCACTGTCTTCATCAACACACCACAAATAAATACATAATTGAGTAAAACACCATTATGCTATGTGAAACACTTCAAGGAATGTCATCTGTCTCATATTTCAATCACTGCTCCTACCTTTCTGTATAGAAATCCTGAAGCCACTGTTTCTTAATGTGGTCTGAGATCAGAACTACAAAACATGGCTAAGCTAGAGCCACAAGACCACTGAACAGAAGTCAAGAAAAAGTTATAGCAATGAAATCTTTCATTCTTTATCTCCAGAGAAAAGTAACTATTGTTTTTAACCAAACAGGTTTTTAAAAAAATAAATGTAGTTCTATACTCCTATTAGAAATTTATATACTCCATACTTTTGATGATTTTCTTATCAAGGCAGAGCATCTGTTCCAATAAAGCTAGCAAATCAATGCTCCCATAGCCACTTTGTCAAAGTTTAAAAAGAATTCTTAAAAAAGATGATTGAGATTTTGTGGTCAAAGACTGAAAGTTTGGTGTTACTTCATTTCACTTTCTATAAGCAGAAAAAGAGCACGGCTCATGTATCCTTTTCAATTGCACAATTACATTGAATGAAGGACTTGCAACAAAAAGATTATAAAAGAGGACCAGGATATATGTGGCACTCTTACGTCTCATGCTTGTGGTGGCCGTTGTTAACAAAGCCATGTCATTCTTTCCCTCTGAGCCTAGACAGAGCTTTCAATCTCTCTCAAATGGTGCTCCAATCAGCTACTATTGACTAATGAGAGTTGGTATTCAAGATGAAACATTTGTTATCTCTTTTCAGTGAGTAAAACTTTCTATTAATCATTTTTTTACCAGTCAAAGAAGATTCAATCCTTATTGGCTTGTTTCTGGCTAAAATGGTTCTTCATGAAATTCTAGTTCTTAAACGATGTTTCCTTTTTGAATAATTTTAAAATGATTATATATTAAACTAAAACATGTCTTATGAAGACTGCTACCATGATTCAATAGTAACAGAAGAAGACAGAGCAAACAATTTTATCCGTGTGCATTGCAAAATTTTGAAATATAAAACCCATAATGATTTACAAAGAAATTCCATTATTTTCTTAAATCACTAACTTTTTAAGGGTTGGACACATGCTTTAAAATATTTGACTTTAACTTTCTCTCACAATGTAAATTGCAGTTTGCATTTGAAATATATTTTTATATAAATTATACCTTGTTGCTTAAGTTTGTGCAGTATGCATTTTTGATTAGTCTTGTTTTTGGTAATATTCTATTAGTTCAAACTTGATTTTGGCTCAAAAGTGACTCATTGAATAAAATATGCAGTTCTGTAATCTCTCTTTCATTGGTATGAAATTGTTACTTAAATATCAAGATAAAGTTTAATAGTCACTAATCATTTAAAAATATATTTACTTAAATGTATCAGTAAATGTGTCTGCCAAGCTCATTAATATGCAAATATTAAATACTTAAGCACTATGCTAAAGAGTCTTTTGAGTCCAATTGATCTCTAAAATTCCATGACTCTGATCGTTCAATTCAGTGTTGACTAGAATGTAATGAGATACATGAAATTTTATACCCTGTGTATTAGTTCTCATGCTGCTAATAAAGGCATATCTGAGACTGGGTAATTATAAAAGAGAGAGGTTTAATGGACTCACAGTTCCACATGGCTGGGAAGGCCTCACAATCATGGCAGAAGGCGAAAGTCACGTCTTACATGGCAGTCAGCAAAAAGAATGACAGCCAAGCTAAAGGGGTTTCCCCTTATAAAGTCATCAGATCTCATGAGACTTATTCACTACCAAAAGAACACTATGGGGAAAAGAGCCACCCTTGATTCCATTATCTCCCCTCTGATTCCCTCCCACAACATGTGGGAATTATGGGATCTACAATTCAAGATGAGTTTTGGATGGGGACACACCCAAACCATATCACCCTGGTATACTTTTGGAAAGCTGTTAGTAAACTGTAATCTGTATATAAAAGTGACATTACTCTTTAACCTAGAGTATACTTTATGTAACATTTCTTATCCTAATATTTTCACAATACTTGATGTTTACGGACAATACAATTTAAATAAAATAACTATAGTTATGTTGATAGTATGATCAGGGGCAACGAGTTTGTTATTAAAGAAGTAAGAAACAACACATGTCTAAGATCCTTAGGTACTGGAGTTTGAATAATAGAGCTATCTGTTAAATTTGAGAAATAGATAAGGAATAACACTTAAGACTTGTTCATCTTGTCAGATTTGAGACAAAAAATCTAAATCAGGCCCGTGGGAAGCTAGAAATTACACAAGGATTTATTTCTATGTTGGTACCAATACATACATTAAACAATCCTTAAAAATTTTAAAAGCACTGTGCATCTGCAACAAACCTATTTTACATTTAAAATTGTTTTATATCAACTAAAATAAAAATGCAATTTTAGTACAATGTGGTTACCTTTGAAAAAAACATTTCTTGTGGTTTTTAATGAAAAAGATTTGCTTTATCATCACCAGGGCTATAAGTCTTCTTGCCAAAAGGAAGAGAAAAACAATAAAAAAGAATGAAACTTTTAAATAAACACTTCATAAAATAAGAGATATAAGTAGCTTACAGACACATGAAAATGTTCTCAACATGCAAATGTTGTATTTAACATTTATACTGTAAAATATTACTTTGCACCCACTACTGCAGTTATAGTTAAAAAACTGACAGCACCAAATGTTGGTGCAGATGTGGAGCAACTGGAACTCTCGTACATTTCTGGCTGGAGTGTAAAATGGTGTAACAATTTTGGAAAACTGATTGGTAGTTTATGAAGGTAGTCATATACTTACCCTAAGACTCTGCAATTCTATTCTTACCAAACTACTGTTCTTACCAAACTATCTAAGAGTAACAAAAACAAATGCCCACGAGGAGAAAGAGACACAGTTTCTTTTTTTCATGGAAATTTAAGTCAAGTGAGGCTCATTAGCCAGTTCTTCTGAGATTTGTATAGGTATACTGTTTATGCAGTCATGCTGATTGGATCTCCCTCATGTCCATCTTCTTTGGTTCTCTGTACACTGACTCCTCATTTCTTTGACATACACATTAAACACACATTTCTGATTTGAAGCTTGGATTCTCTTTCATACATGATGCCTGTCCTTAGGCTGCCCAAAGAACTCTGAATCTGAGCTCTTATATTCTCTTCCAGCTTCTCAGTGACCACAGTAGTTTGGATTACCTGGCTTCCTGGCCAGGATAACAAGAGGATGGCAGCTAGAAGAAATTAGTAAAAAATAATTTTGTTCTTTTTTTTTTTCTAACTGTTTACTCTCTCTCACTTTTGTATTTTAAATCTAATTTATTATCACTTTTGCCTTCCCCTTTTTGCTTGCCTCCATAGTGTCTTTCCTCTTCTTACACTGGTTTATCTCGTATTTTCCTTCCTTAATTTTTCATTAGTATCATATTTTAACTTGGCTATTTCTTCATTTTGTGGCTATTCCTTTTCCAGTATTTCCTTCTCTACCGTCTCCCACCTTTACTTTCTCAGATGATTACATTTTCATAAAAGCTTTGGGTTCTTCCCAGAAGTAAACCCTGAAATGAGGATGTGAGAAAAAAACTGTTTATTTGGGAGTTGATCCCAGGGAAGCACCAGTAGGGCAATGGTGTAGTGAGACAGAGAAGGCAGGCAGGCTGGAGCTGTCAACAAACCAGTTGTCATCAACTGAGGTGCCATCCAGAGGGGGATTTCTGGGAGACAAGGGAGAGCATCTCTCAGAGTAATTTCTCCCAAAGGGTGAGGAAGAGGCTGTATTTATTTACAAACTCCTATTCCTCATTGTTTGAGGGCTGCTCCCAGAAGTCTTAACTATCTATCCTACCTCCTAACACTCCCAGCCTGACCTATGAGTGAGCAGAGCATGCTCCTGTGCACAGGGGACACAGAGGAGAGGAGGAAGGTGCATTTGCTATCTGATGGAGAGTGCATGAACTTGTTAGGAGCAGGGCACTGCTGGCATCTGCCTCTAAATTCAACCTTTTATGGTTGAATGTTTATCACTTTATAAATCAACGGGTAACATTTTGAAAATACTTTAGGGACACATGGAAGTGAGACCAATGCAAAAATAAAAAGAGCTCAAGTTTTTATGTGTTTTTCTGAAATATAAATACCAAAGAGATGTTGATATACGTGCTCCTACTTATAAATATGTGCAAATGAATGTCTTCTTTATACAGGTGAATAGAAGTTGCATACAAAAATTTTAAACATTATAATCTTATAATACAATTTTTGAACGTACAATCTAGTTCATAGTTGCTTTTCATATTAGTTTTGCTTTATTCAGTCTTTCGGTTTTTTTTTTTTTTTTGGGCATGGATACCCTTCAAAAAACACAGAATAATGTTAAATGTTTAAAGTATACATGGTTCCAATAATCTTTCTAGTAACTTCACTGCATTCTCCATGAGATGCCAATATTTTGTTTTTTTTCTTACTAAAACCAAACATAAAATACAATCTAATTAAGTCACTTAAAATTGAGGCTTCAATGAGAGAATTATAAAAGCTCCCTTAGAAGAGCTTTGGCTGCCTAAAATCAGCTCTCTTTACCATAGGATGTTCAAATTTCAGGAATCTTTCCTCTCGTGGCACAAACCCCAAGTTAAATTAAAGAGCCCCACATAGAATTAAGAGGTCTTAAGTTTCATCAAAGCAAATATGAGCTAGACTGCATGCTAGATCTGATATTTATCAGAGTTTTAGAGAAGACAAGATCATTTTATACTTACAAGATTGATATATTCAAATGAAGAATGGCTCAGTTTACAGAACACCTATAAGCAGCATTTTAATCGTTCTATGAGTGATATGTTTTCCTACAATTTGTATAGTATAATTTCCTACAATTTGCTTAAAAGTGAGGATTTACCCCTTATATTTTAATCTCTAAATAACATCCCTAACTTGCTTTCATAGCTCTAGGAGTCCTTTTACTCTTGAAATATATCCAGTGCTGATTCTACTACAGTAAAGACCTTGCAGACACTGGGACAGATAGCCACAACAACACTGAGACATAGGGTACCAGTGATCAGCTGAAATCCGCTTTCCAATGGCTGTTTTATAAAAAGTAGATTAGTAATACATGTCACCACCATGATCCAGACAATTTTCTCCAAGAAATAAAAAAAGCCTAATTTTTCTGGATCTCATCTTTGGCAACTTTTTGCTTCTTAGATTTGATCTGGTTTTGATTTCTGGTTAAATTTCAATTAAATATTTCATTTTAGTTAAATTTAAGAATATATACTATTTCCATTAATCATTGGAATATTTTATGGAATATGTTTGATTTTGATTTATCTGGCTTTCAAAAAATTATTATTGGCTACAGAAAGAAGGAACCTGTCTTTCCTTTCAAATGTTTTTTTTGTTTGTTTGTTTTTTGTTTTTTATGCGGCGTAGTCTCCCTCTGTCGCCCAGCCTGGAGTGCAGTGTCTCGGCTCACTGCAAGCTCTGCCTCCCGGGTTCATGCCATTCTCCTGCTTCAGCCTTCAAATGTTTTGAATATGAGATTTCCTAGATTTTGAGTCTGCCATCTTACTCTACAACTTCTTTCAAATGCTCATTTCTCTCTGCCCATCTTGGTGATGATCTCCTCTTTAGATGCTCTAGCATTTTACAGTAAGGAAAGGGAGCGTTCAGGGAGATTATTACATTGTGCAACACTGGAGCTCCAGGATCTCTGAGTCCCATAGGAAGCCAAATATTTATTCAATTAATCTCAATTGAAATTAAATATACTGAGAACTTCTCTATCACTATGATATAGTTGTGAGCAAGAATGATAGACATAAGCTCATTTAGCTTGCACTCCAGTGAAGTAAACAATGAAAAAAAATCATTTTTAGTGTGATGGGTAGATTAATGTTTCAAAGAGAAAGTGCAAGTGTTATAATGCAGACCTAATATGGAGAAGAATTAGAGCACAGGTTTGGACCTTTTCTATATTCTGTATTGGGAATAAACTGTTGAAGGGTGAAAGTCAGAAGTAAGAAAATGAATTAGGTTAATGTTTTAATAATATCGGTAAAATATGATTTTAAAATAGACAAGGGTAGTAGCAATAGAGGGAGAATGCAGAGGAGGTAGTTGTAAGAACGAGTAGTGTAAGTTAATGGAAAAAAGATCAGAAGTGAAATTTGGGGCTTGTAAAGTTTGAGATGCCTATGAGACATTAAAGTAAAATGTCACATATGTACTTTCTGGTATGATTCTACATTTAAAAGGAAAATCTGGGCTGTAGATATAGATTTGGCAATGTTTTAGCATGTAGATAATATTTAAAGACATAAAACTGGTTGGCTAATTATAGAGTAACAAGGATTAAATCCTGAGACAGTCCACTGGTAGATACTGGAGAGTTTAGAAATAACCAGCTAAGAGAACTGAGAAAGGAGCCGCCAGTGAAGACAGAGGAAAACCAAGAAAATGTGGGAGGCTGTGTAATAAATAATTTTAACTGCCTTTATTCCAAGTTCCTCAGAGGGGATCTCTAAATCCTTGGAATTTCTGAAGTAATAGGAGTGTCTTTGTTATTCAATAAATTTTTTGAACAAGAACATGTTATTCATGTTGGGTCTCTAGGTATCTTATGCCAATAAGATGAGTCATGATTGAAATGAGCCATACCAGAAACACCAACCATGTGATTAGAGGGTTGAGGAGTTTTGAGTCATGTGATATCAATGCAACCTCTGGTGGGAAGAGGGAGGCTGGATATCAAATTAAACTGAATGGGTTAATGGTTCAATCAATCAGGCCTATGTAATGAAAGCCCAATAAAATCTCTGGACACTGAGACTCACATGAACTTCCCTTATTGACAGTACTCTACATGTTATTGCACACTGATGTTCTAGGAGAGTAATGAGTCCTGAGGACAAGAAAGCTGTTTGTTTGGGACCCTCCCACACCTTGCCCTATGAGCAGATTTCTTTGAATGGTAATGATTTGTATCTTTTTGCTATTAAAATTATATTTGTAAGTACAGCACTTTCCTGAGTTCTGTCAGGCATTCTAATGAATTACTCTAGTGAATTCTAGTGAATTCATTATATCTAGTGAATTATTAGAGGGTAGTGTGAACTCCTTAATTTGTAGAGAGCGGATCAGAAGTGAGAGTGGTCTGGGGAACTCCAGGCTTGTGGCTTGTGTCTGAAGTGAGGGTAGACTAATGGAGAACTGTATTCTTAACTTGTGCAGTTTGACATAACTCGTAATAGTTGTATCAGAAGTCAATGCTGAGGCCAAGGGAAGAAAATGTTTCAAGGAGTAGGTAGTGATTATCTGAATCATGTAATATGAGGAATGAGAATGGAGGTTTCTTTTTAACACATGGAAATTATAGTTCACTTGAGAAAATAAAATTTCATTGAGTTAAATTAGTAAAATTTTGATTCGAAAGCCTTCTATCCATAACAGGAGGACAAAAAGTTTACAGACTACCCTTTTGAGAAGTTTTACTATCAACCAAAGGAGATGTGTGGTTTTAACTGAAGGTATATGTGGGGTCAAGGGATATATTTTTCTTCTTCAAGGTAAGAGATTTCATAGCATGTTTATGCTGATGAAAATATATTGGAAGGAAAACATAGATGACATAAGAAATAGTTGGGATAATGTCTGAGAAAATGTCCTTGGCTGTGTGGAAGGCACTAAATTAGGTGCTTCACTGTTAGGGTTGGCCTTGGAAAAAGAATACAGAAAATGCTTTCATAGTAGTAGAAGAGAAGAAACAGCATGAGCATAGATGTTGTCAAATGGATAGATGCGGTAGTTTGAACTTATAGAGAAATTCTCTTTTTTGATGGCCTCTATCTTTAGTAGAATAAAATATAAGGTCATGGAGTGATAGTGAAGATAACGTAAGAATGACTGAAGGCTTGAGGAGAAAAAGGCAGGTATGAACCCCAGTCTGCAGTAATGGCTCATGAAAGGATAGAGGTCATGAATTTAAAGTGAAATGAGTCAGCATGGTGACAGTGAGTAGCAATAAGGAGCATGGAGAATACTGTCCCGCAGAGTTAGAAGTGGCTAATAAATATGATGGCAAAATCTGTCATTACTTGAGAAGGCTTCCAGGGAAGAAGTGCATTTGTGGGAGATTTGGGTTTCTCTTAAGTGAAAACGGTAAAGTGAACATTTAGGATATTAAGGTGTTTGCTAATAACAGATTAATGAAACAGAACAGAAAATTCATACATAATTCCGCATATGTGTATATGTGTATGTGCATGCATTCATTATGAAAGTACAATTTCACATCAGTGCAGAAAAAATTAGATTATGTAATAAATACATTGTGATAACATGGGAGGGTGTTATCACAATGGTTTTATGCCAAGAAATATTCATACAGATCAAATATTTAAATATGAAAAAGTAAATTATAAATTTGTTAGAAGGAAACAAGAAATTGAAAAATAATTTTAGAATTGGTAAAACATTTCAAAATATTTTCAAAAATGCAGGAATCATTATCTATTTTATTGACCAATTTTACCATTTAAAGTTTTAAAAAATATATTATAAAACATATATAGGCAAAGGCCAAAGGCAAATTGTAAAATGAAAAATAATATTGTTTTTTACATTACAGAAAATAGCTAATATCCTTTATTAGTCAGTAATCACATATAGTTAATAAGACCAATAACCCATATAAAAATGGGGAAATAATATGAACAGCCAATTTATTTAAAAATAAAAATGAAATGCAGATAGCTTTAGGCATATTACAAGATACTCTGTGACTCATATTAAAATTGCAAATTAAAACTATAAAATTCCCAATTTTACCCATCAATCCGGCAAAAATCAAAAAGATTGATTTATCATTGTCAGGGAACAGACACTATACATTGCAGCATCTAAGTGTAAGATGGAAAACAAATGGAATATCCATTAATAGGAAACTCTGTTAAATAAGTTATGGTACATTATTATAATGGAATAGCGAATCAAAAGAATGAGCTGAATTTTATATACTGCATTTAAATGTGAAAAAATTACAATAATAATTTGAAGAGGAAGTAATATTTGCAAAGAGTAATACTGTGAAGTAAGCTATGAAAAGGGCTATTCAAGACAGTATATTTTATGTAATAGTCTCTTTGTTAATAAATCAAATAAAAATATTCATACACACACGCACAAACACACAAATAGGTATGTAGACAAATATTTGTGTAAAATATGTAGGAACATATATAAATGCTAACGTGTGCTTCTAAAATGGGGATTTGGAGTCTATGGCAGAATAGGAGACCTTCTGAATTTTATAACATCTTCTTTTATATCCTATTTATGTTTTCCTCTTCAAAAATTTTAAAGAAATATTTATAATTATAACACAGCTGGAAACTATTAAAACATTTTAAGCAGGGGAGTTTCAAAAATATAAATAATGCAATATTAACTATAAACAACAACCTTTGGAATATTTAAAAACATACTTGAACTAAATTTTAGAAAATAATATATAATAAGACAGAGTGATTTCATGAGGTGGTTGAAGAATACTGAGGTAGACCTTTAAGAAGGAGGATGTGGTTTGTTTAATTCTACATTGGGTAAAATATTAAGATAAGCATGTTTGCTAGAAGTTTTTGAAATTAAATAGAATGTATCTCCTCTAAACCAGACATGAAAAAAATAAAAAAAATTAAAATGTTAATCAAGAAAGATAAAATGAATCACAATAGCAGTAAATAAAAGTCAGAATACATAATGATAGAAATACATCAGTGACTACAATAAATGTAAATGCAGTAACTTTTAAAGTCAGAGCTACACATCCCCTATCTCTTTCTCTGTTAAGAAAAAAAATCAAAGGCAGTTGTGTTGCTTTTGCTATTAGAAACAATGTGGTTTTGCAGATTGTGACTTATATTTGGTGAAATTCTTGGTTTGCATATGTTTTCCTAGATATGTGTGTTCTGCTGTTTCAGTCTGTTTTGGCCTCGGCAGAAACTTAAAATGTGTGTCCAAATGTCATGTTGTAGGTCACAACAACGTTTCAGAGTCTCTGCTCTCCTCTGAATGCCTGTCTTTGCCATCTATCTGTGTAGAGCCCTCCCACTACTCTGGCTGTGGCTTTGGCTTTGACTAGGTGATTTTCTTTGACCAATGGAATGTTAACAAACATGGCCAAGGGGAGGCTTGGAAAGTGTGTACATACGGGATTTACCTGCTTCTGCACTTTGCCCATATAAAATAAGAGCACGGCTGCTTGAGGAGGAAAGACAGGAACAGAGCCAAGTCACAGCAGTCATTCTATGCAAGGCCATCCCAGATTAGCCAAAAGCCAGCCGTCCCCTATAACATGGGAACAATTCCCACAAAGTTGGATATGAAAAATTGTCCTATTAACCCACAGATTTGCTTATTGTTTTAAGTCATTGAGTTTTGACATGATTGGTTAGAAAACATTATGGTGCTAAAAGATGAGATTCATGGAGTTGGCTTTCTCAGTTAGTGTAGAAAAGTGCAGTGGTGAAATGCCTGTGTTAATATGTTAAGAGACCTCATACATCAATATAAACCAATGAACTCAGGGAAGTGAAACACAATTCTCTCACTCACAGTCACTGAAGGGCTGTTTTACAATTTTCTTCACCAAATAATCAAAATATATTTGACTTTTAACAAGTATCAAAGGTCTAATAACCCCTGCTTTTCCATACTTCTATTAGCATCAATTTGTGCTCCTTCAAGTCTTTCTGTTCACCTGCTATGTAATTCTTCTCATTTGCCAGTCTTATCCTGCTGTCTGACAGTTGCCTTCTCTTTTCTGGCTCTCTTGCCTCTGTTTAACCTGCCAACACCTTTTGTTTTCCCTTCCATGCTTCAGGAAAAGGAAGATAACTTGGCATACCTGCCAGAGACTTATGACAGTAATATATGAGCAGGGTGCTTCACTGATGTTGTAGGATAAAACAGTACCCTCAAGAAGACAAACCCTCTGTCATTTGGTTTCCAGGGATACAAACATATCTAAAAATGCGGAGCTAAATACATTTTAAAATAAGAAATTCTTTTAATAATTGAAGTATAGAAAAAGATACAGAGGGAAAAACAAGGCTTTGGAGTCAGACACTGCTGAAAGTGAATTCTGACAACCGTTTACCCCAGGCAAGTTACTTAACTGCTTGAGTATCCCTTTTATCTTCTGAAAGATGTGAGGATTATATGAGACAGAATAGCTAAACTCCCGGCACAACCAGCATGTTTCTTCTCCTGTCTCTCTGGCTTCACCAACAACTAAGGCTTTTTTTATTTTTAACATTATTCCTAAATATCCCCCAAATCCTTCAGCAAGTCTGCTCTGTCTCAGCCTCTTCAACCTGGTATTCATTCTGAGCCAGATCTCTTTAAGAGCAAAAGCCCTGTGGTTACTTGAACTTAACTGCCTAATAGGACAAAAGAAAGAGAAAGTTATAATGTTACTATAAATTCTACTTGGATACATTTTCAAATTGGAATATTTTATCCTTCTCACATGAAAATAATACTTTCACTAATCATTAACAAAACAGTGTTAAATTCCACAACTTGCAGAAGAAATCTGGATGACTACTTACTAGAGTAACTATGAAAACACTACTAGACACAATTATGTGCCCTAATAGGGCTATAACTAATCAATTGGATTGATAAGCTTATGGAAGATGACAATGGTCATATCCTGCAGGAACATCTCATGCGATGAGTATGTGACAAAGTAAAAATTTCTTACCTTGGTTGACTGATACTAATTTTTCTAACTGCTTATTTTACTAGATTACCATCTATTTAAACATCATCTTAATTTAAGGTCTCAATATGTGCCACAAACTGCTTCATAGACGTTGATATGTAAATGTTAAAGTGTGCAATTCTTTTTGATCAATAAGGCAGCTTTCTTGTTCTTACAATATTCCATAATAGGACAATGGCAAAGAGGAACACAATTATATCAAATGAAGCACTAGTACTTATGTCACAGCCAAAAGATAAAAACAGAAGCTACTATTTATCTAATGTTTTAGGTATGCTAAGCACTCTGCGCACATTAGTTTTTACGAAAACCCTTCAAGGTAAATATCTTTAGCCCATCTTACAGGGTGAAGGTACCAATAATTTGAGAATAAGTAAGTTTCCCAAGTTAAAAATAGAATGGCCATTTTTGTATACATTTGGCCGCAACATTATTAAACCAACAACAAAGTAACCATAACAATCACCCAGCCCCACTTTTGCTGCATCCATCTGAAAATAATGTTCCCACAAATGTCTCTTCCCTCCATGCTATAATCCTTTTATATCCTAGCCAATCTTAGATGTTGTCAATTTCTCCTTACATTTCGTCCTCTCAGAATTCACCTGCCACCTTACCTTACTCATTTGCTATTTTTGTTATTCAGGCAAACTGTTTATGCTGTTCTTAAAGGGTTCTAGGGAAGGGCATTTTCATGTCAATGTCCAGGTGGAGGTTGAATTTTAAAGTAAAGATGAGGAGAAGATGAAGAATGGGATTCTTTTCAACTTTTTGAAGACATAAAACAAATAAGAAGATACTGGATTAAGAATCAAATATCAGAATATATTTAATGAATTGGAGCTTGGGTTGCTATCAAGAAGCATGTAAGTGCAACATCATGCTTTGTTAGTCATTTTGTCCTTGGACAAAATAGATAGGAAAAATTCTTACAGTATGATGTAACAAATTAATGAATCATTTTTAAGTATATTTTTGGCACATTGATGTTATTAAAAAGTGAAGAAACATTTACTTCAGCCATTCTTGTATGAAATATGAGAAAAAAAAAGGTAGGAACTCAGACTTGCTTTTTATGGAATTAATCTTAAATTCCTCAGAGTTTTGGTTCCAGATTTTTACATCTACAGGGAACAAAGGAAGAATAACATAAGAAATGTTAATTTCATTTGTTGCATGTTACTTTTTTTTTCTTGGATGCTTTGTAAAACTTACACAAGGCACCATGAGTTTTCAGGAATTCTATCATGCTGTTGACATCTTGCTCTTATCTAATAGTAATGATCCAAGTTGGAAGCTGCCATCAGAGCATAATTCCTGCTTAATGATGATAAAGTAGGTATTGGTGAGATAATACAATATCTATGTATACCTGAAGCAGAAGACTTTAACTTGTTAGAATCGTCTTATCTAATGAAATCTGGAAACAAACTATTCTGATAAGGAAACATAGTTTTTATTTTATATCACTCCTCTATTGGATTTTCCTATCATTTTCTTCCCAAACATGGCCTGAATCTCAATTCTATTTCTCTGGAGGATTGAACTGATTATGTTATAGCATTTTGCTTGATATTACACTTTTGTTTTTCTTTCCCTTCAGCATCCCATTTTCTCATATTCCCACCAATTTTTCCAGGGAACACTTCCTGATAAATCACTTTTGTACGAAACCTCATCCCAGGATTTGCTTCTGGGGAACCCAAGCTGAGATAAGCATACATTAAAAATGTGAACACTTGTAATCATCAGGATAATCTACTTAGACTTTATTGAGTATTTTTTTTTTGCACTCTCAAGGCACATTTTGACATGGTTTGTATTCCCTATACTAAAATTTTCCTGGAGTTGATATTTGGATATTTTTCATTCACTTGTTTCAAGTTTAGGTAACACATAGAATCAAATATTTAAAATTGCATATGATTTGTGCCCTGAAGAACTTTCCAGATTATTGAAACTAGTTCTAGTCTTTCAGAGATGCTTCAAGAGAAGCTAAACAATTTAGCCATAATTGTAGAACTTAATAGCGGTAAAAGCCAGAATTAGAAGCTTTTTCTCTTTTTTCTAGCCAGTACCCAGTGGTGTCTTCCTGTTATAAAATGAACACATTTTTTCCCCTTTATCTGCCTTTGGTGGAGATACAGAACAGCTGGTCACCATCCTTCCTATTTGGTTAAAGAGTGCAGGAATGGATTATTATGGAAATCACTTCCTTCCCTCCAGTCTAGTAGGTGCTGACTCCACTTAAAGGAAAGAGCAATAGAGGGGAAACTTTGAATGCTGCTGGCCTGCTTCCATATAGTCTGTGGATAATGGAGCTCTTTGATGTCTGGTACATTCATAACCACTGAACTCAGCTTTCCAGTCAACAGAAGAGCTATTTTACACTACTTTTGATGTGATGAAATAACTTAACTAGACATGGTTAATCACATAGCTGGTGATTATGCCATGCAAGGAAAAGCCACTAAAGTAAGCTGACTGCCTCTATGCAGAACAAAGGAAAACTCCCTAGCAGGCATACACATAGCTGACTCAAGTGCTCTGGCATGACTCGGTTTTTTACCGTCCAGATTCACTCTTACTATTTTAACAACATGAAACATAATCATCACTGTGTCCATGACAACTCTGCATACCTGCCTGACTTGCCTATTGCTTATCCTGTGTGGCAGTCATTAGTTTCCTTCACTCTGTTCCAGAGATATCTGACTTTGATCACACTACCAGGCTGAAAACCAACCATATCTGGAACTAAAGCAGAGAAAGCTCTTTTGTAAAAGTGTAATCCCACTTAGGTCATCTGTTTATTACTTTGTCCAAAAGATCTAGATTTTCAGATGATTTGACTGGTATTACGAACGCAAATCCTATAATAAATGAGTGTCCCTATAGTTCAACAGCATCAAGGGAAAATATGATCTGGGAGAATAGCACTGACAAGTTGGTTTATTAGTTCAGCTGGCTTTAAAGACCAGCCAAAGTCCTGTTTTCAACTAGACTGTTTATTTGCATCAACTATTTCAAGAAAATAAACAAACTGGATCTAGTAGAGCAGATTCTTTCCATGCAGAGGAAATTCTAACTTTTCCAACTCTAAATGAATGGCAAGCTAATGAAATATATATTCAAGTATTTACAAAAGCTTGGCAACTAAACAAATCAATGGTCTTGAAATTAAACTATAATTGTAGTATAGAGTTTCATTTTTTAATGTAACCAGAGACTAAATAAACAATGAGTTGTCTTTTAAAAACCTTCCAAGAAGTCTTTGGTGGACTATCTAATGTTGGTTAAACATAGAGGGCACTATTATTCTAAAAATGATCCAAGGAACAATCTATGCCTAAGAAGATACAGTTTCAGAAACTGGGACATCAATTTCAGAAAAATTTTAGAGAAAATTAACCAGTGCTGTAAAAATAATTGGGGTTTTGTGCTTAGGTGAGTAAGCTTTTAGGAGGTAGTGTGACAAATCACTAAAAGCTCATTCAATACAAGAGAAGTTGTATTTTTCAATAATAGAATAATTTGTTTAACTGTAATCAAAAATAAAATACCAGCAGACCATTAAAAGTTTAATTACAGGTGTTTACAGTGTCTGCATTATGATATGAAATGACAAGGAAACTCATCAGGCACCCTGTGCCCTAGTTTCCTCATCAATAAACTAATGAGGCTCAGTCAAAAATATTTATACGATTCCCATTATGTACTGCAGAATTTAAAGTGGTAGGCCAAACAGGCAAGTCTTTGCCCTCTTAGAATTTATACTCTTGAACAAGAAATATAATAGATATGTGGATATGAAGATAATTTCAGGTGGTGGGAACAATTCTGAAGCCAATTCTGTGACATGACACAGGGACCTGGGGAAGAAAGAGCTGCTTTAGTTTGGGTAATCAAGGATAATGTTGGGAGGTGGTGTTTGAGTTGAAACCTGGTGGGTTTGAAGGAAGCCATACAAGTATCTGGTAGGGAGAAGCGTTTGGAGGAGAGAATTCCAGCCAGCACTAAGGACCAAAGCCAAACAAAGGCCATAGACAATATCAAATTTATGACAGAGGCATACAAAGAAAGCCAGGAGAGTAGGTAAAGAAAAGCGTAATTGGTCAGGTCAGAGAAACTGGAAGAAACTAGATGTGTGACATTTGGACTATGGTTTGGAATGTGGACTTGAGTCAGTGTACTGGGAAAGCATCAGAAGATTTTTAGCAAGAGAGTGAGTGAGACAGTACTTACATATTCTAAAGAGACCCCTGGTATTTGAAGTAGAATTGATTCTAGAGTAACAAGAATGGAAGGAGTAAAATCAGTGAGGAAAATAATAATTAACTAGGACTGAGATTAAGATGTTTTGGATTAGGGCAGTTAGACTAGATCAGAAATTCTCCATCTTTCTTGCACAATGGATTAGTTGTCAGTCTAAAAACGTCTCTCAAACTAATGTTTTTAAATAAATAAATGTACAGAATGAAAAAACTAGTATATTCAAATGTAATCAAAATGTTTTTAAAATATGTCAATACATTAAATAATACACTTTAATGTAAACAATATGTTAATAAACTGTAAGGTGATATAAAAATATCTGATTTATATTAATGACTAGGTGCTTCTAATATTACTGCGGTTAGAGCTACAGTCATGATTAAAGAAAATGCTAAATCTTCAAGATGTAAAAAAATAAAGATGTAAATTTTCCCTTAGAAATTCACAGATTCTTGAACAGGTGCTGTTCCCTTGCTAAATGATTTCTATGGAAAGGAACTTGCACTTGGTCATTCTATTTGCAAGGTAAATTATCATTGGTAATGCTGGAGGAAAAACAAATTTCCTGTGCCATTGGCCATATCATGGCTGCAGTTTCCTCGGTGAGATAGTTTGGATATTTTTCTCCTCCAAATCTCAAGTTGAAATGTAATCCTCAGTGTTGGAGGTTGGGGAGGCCTGGTGGGAGGTGTTTAGATCAAGGGGGCATATCCCTCATGAATGGCTTAGCACCATCTCCTTGGTGATGAGTGAGTTTTCACAAGATCTAGTTGTTTGAAAGTGTGTAGAACTCCCTCCTTGCTCTCTTATTCCCACTCTGGTAATGTGAGATGCCTGCTCCCCCTTTGCCTTCCACCATGATTGTGTTTCCCAAGGCCCTCACCAGAAGCAGACACTTGTATAGCCTGCAGAACCATGAGCCCATTATACCTGTTTTCTTTGTAAATTACCCAGCTCCAAATATTTCTTTATAGAAACACAAGAATGACCTAACATACTCAGTTTACACAACTTTTTTTTATTCTTCCAATGAACCCTTTTCTGGGGTGCTCAAGTTCAGAGTAGCTGTACCTTTTCTGTCTCTAAAAAGAGTCTTGTTGCTAACAAGATAAACTCTACGTATTTTTCACTTAATCGAGGTATCGTGACTTCTCCTACAGTTAACTTCCACCATGGAGGCAACAGTATTAATGTAATTCAATGTCAAAATTTAGATGTCAGGTGTGAACAAACAATAAAACCAGGGCTTTGCTACCCTATATGTCTATTACTGATTTGAAAACATTAATAAGTAGTGTGTACATTTTTAGCTCCTGTTTTTGTTTTTTTGTTTTGAGATGGAGTTTTGCTCTTGTACAATGGCACAATCTCAGCTCACCACAAACTCTGCCTCCTGGGTTCAAGCGATTCTCCTGCCTCAGCCTCCCGAGTAGCTGCGATTACAGGCATGCACCACCATGCCCCGCTAATTTTGTATTTTTACTGGAGATGGGGTTTCTCCATGTTAGTCAGGCTGGTCTCTATCTCCCAACCTCAGGTGATCTGCCCGCCTTGGCCTCCCAAAGTGCTGGGATTACAGGCATGGGCCACTATGCCTGGCCTTAGCTCCTGTTTATATACAGAAACACTTTCTTCTATCTTAGCAGAAACAATGGGAAAGATCTGACTGGAAATGAAATGTCCTAGGTTTTAGTCTTGGATCATCTCAATTGCTTGATGGCCTTTGGCAAATTACATGACTCATCTGTTTCCCCACTTACAATTTAAACTTAAAGTGCATCTGCTTTATATCCTACCACCTCTAGAATGTTACATTTCTATGAAAAACAGATAAAATGGAATAAATTTCTTCACACTGTTGATATCATTATATGGTGTATTCCTCATGGTTATTGTATTTGATTATGCTACACATTGAAGGAGAGTTCCAATTGTTTTGACAGGCTTACCACTTTTATTAGCTCACAGATATTATATATGAAAGACACAAATTTTAGTATTGATGTTTGTCTCTGAGATATGAAACAGTTTTCTCCTACATGTTTTAGTATTCATTTTATTTTACGTAAATTTTGTTCAATACTCAATTTTCCTTTCCTATAATACTTCGAGCAACCATTGCTTTCAAAGTAATTTTCTAATAAATAATGCAAGTAGCAATTTAGGGGGGGAAATCTTGGCTTTAATTATCAAAAAAAATGTGAAAATACAATAATCTTCTCTCTCTAATCTTAAAGTTTATTTATGCATCTAGCCTTAAACATAAGTATGGGTCATATGCCCTATGCCTGTAAATCCATCAGGACCAACCTAATGAGAATCAGATCTTTGTAAACCTACTGTTAACAATTTCAGTGAGCCATTTTGGCATCACAAAATCTAAAATCCATGATAGAATATATAAATTAGCTAATATGGCTAGTGTAATACGATTTGAGTGTTGAAAGCTACATTTCTGTGACTGGTATCATAAAATGTCACATGGCATTTATCATGAAGATATACTCAAAGTGTTTAGATAAACATAGAGTTTTAAATGTCTACTATCATTTTGGAAATCCAGGAAGATGACTTCAATTTGTACTTTTTGGCCAAAATTGACAGGCATTTCTTCATCAAGGACATAAACCCAACACCAATGCCAAGACTGTTAATAATCAAGGAGTCTTGTATACCTACGTACCAGTTAATCCTATTTCTGAAGGAACATGAGACAAGATGAAAGGTATTACAAAGGACATACATAGTTGTTTTTATTACATAAAGAGTTTGAGGGAATTGATGAGAAGGAAGTTTGACTGTATCAATGTCATCTTTGATGTAATATAAACATAAGATAGGAGCAAAATGGCATAATTGAACCATGATTCTTGAAAACAGCTACATATTAATCTAATTTCTCATTTTACAAGGCTGTCATCTTGGACAGGTTACTTAAAGTTTGTCTGCGGCTTCGTTTTCTAATCTGTAAACACAGTCGTGATGACAGTGACTAACAGAACTGCCATTAAGGAACAATGGAGTAATTCATGAGACAAAATGTTTTGCAATTGATTAGGCACTCAACGAATGTTAGTTTTCCTCTTTTCAAATAGTGCCTCTATTTGCTAGCGTTGTACTAACTTGACTAAATGGAGTTACTCCTTAATATTCAGGCATTATACCATAGGAGGATGTCCTGGATAAAATTCCTTTTTTGCTTGGTTTTGATCTTCCATATCTTTGTTTCTTCTTTTTCCACACCATTGTCTGTCTGCTTTCCTTTGTTAATGTTTTATTTTCGCTTTTTTCAAAATGGTGTAGCTTATACCAATCATGTTTTTACTCTTCTTCCCTTATCACTGATATTTCTCCTTCCTCCTACTCCTGTCTCCTTCTCTTTCCTGCTCATCATTGTTTTCCTTCTTCTCTTTGGTGCAGCTTCAACACTCATTTGTACTGTGACCTCATGTGCCAGAATGGGTTTAGTTGCATGCTTGTCTTTCCAGCCAATGTCAGGACACTTTGATCTTACAGCGACCTGACCAATCATGACATTTCTTTGGCTTTTCTCAGTAGTGCTTCCAAAATTCTGCCTGCAAATTTTGTATTCCCTAGAATTTCATTTGTTTAAAGATGCCATTGTTTAGGTGCCAAATATTTGAGGTTTGTTATATGAACAAAAATTTTTATATTTTATATCAGAGAACTCTAACAATGCTCCAGTGCTTAAATAATTCTTAATAAATGTACACTCAAGACTTAATGCAAAACAAGCTATATGAAAAAAATTAAGAAAATGGCAAATATGAAAAAGATGCATATATTTTATTGCTTCTTATCAGAGAAATAACAACTTTTTTTTTTAGTTCTGAAAAACATTTACTGAATAACCTCCCTCAAATTGTAAGGTAAGCAACTTAATAATTCTATAAAATTCATTTTTACCAATCTCATGTGCTTATTTAAACTGTCATTATTATTAGGATGGAGAACTGTTGGTATAAAGAATGTTAGAAAATCATAACTTGCAAAAAATATGGAAAAGTATATAGTAGCAAATCCTAAAAGGAATATTGAAGCAATTATTCACATTGACTTAGAAAGTTCATAATAGATTTGCATGTTACATTCATCAAGATTTTTTTTCATTTGCAAACTGGACACAATGTAACTCAATTGTTATCAATTCTCACTCTCTCACTTTTTGTCTATTGATTATATTTAAATAACTGACTTACAAATTTCACCTGGGGAAAGAGCAAAAACCTTTGGCCAGGCATAGTGTCTCACTTCTATAATCGCAACACTTTGGGAGGCAGAGATGGGAGGATTGCTTGAGCTCAAGAGTTTCAGACCAGCCTGTGAAACATAGCAAGACCTCATCTCTACTAAAAATAATTTTAAAAATTAGCTGAGCATGGTGGCATTCACCTGTAGTCTCAGCTACATGGGAAGCTGAGGCAAGAGGATAGCTTGATCCCAGGAGTTTGAGGCTTGCAGTGAGTCGTGGTCACCTGGGCGACAGAGCAAGACCCTGACTCTAAAAAAAAAAAAAAAAAATTGTTTTGAAGGCCCTAGCAAGTAGTATGACATTATTTGTGACACTGAATTGTTACTACACTGACTATAGCTATAAAATCCAGTGGGTTGGTGGTTTATGAAATGTAGCTGGAGGCTCTCTGGGTCAGCTTCCTTTATAAATAGAAAGGAGAAAGGGAAGCAAATTACATTTACAATGTGTGTAAGAAATTTTCCAAGGAGTTTAAGAAAGGAAGGAAGGAGGAGGAAAGGAAGGAGGGAGAAAGGGAGGGAAGAAGGAAGGAAGGAAAGGAGAGAGAAAAGAAAAGGCTTTCTTCACCCTTACATTGAAAGTTGAAACCTGATACTCTAACAAGATTGAGACTTTGACATGTTGGTGTAAAAATTGTACTAATTTGGAGGTGTCTGAGACTTGGATTGTGGGGCTCCTAGAGGAGGAAGATTGAACATGTATGCCATTTGTGTGTCAAACCCTTCAGGAAATTTCTGAGAATCTGAGAACTGTCTCTTGCAAATCACCCTATTCTTGACATTGGCTGGAACCTGAAAATCCATTTGTTAGAAGTGAATTCTTTATTTGAAGCTGTTATCCCTTTGTAAAGCATAACTTCCCCTAAGATGGAATCATTTATGCTGTTTCAGTCACTTACAATGTGAATAAAAATAGCTAACATTTCATTTTGGCTAGAATAAGAATAGCCCCATGAAAGAGTGTGTTACCTAATGAAGGAACACTGGACAAGTAAATCACTAAAGGTAGTTATATTTGTCTGTTCTCTCATTGCTATAAAGGAATACCTGTGACTGGGTAATTTATAAGAAAAGAGGTTTAAGTGGCTCATGGTTCTGTAGGCTGTACAGGAAGCATGGGGCAACTGCTTCTAGGAAGGCCTCATTAAGGCAAAGCCGGAGCAGGCATCTTACATAGCCAGAGCAGGAGCAAGAGAGTGAGCTGGAAGGTGCCATATACTTTTAAATGACCAGATCTCATGAGAACTCACTTGCAACTCAAGGACAGTGCCACAGGGGAAGATGCTAAACCATTCATGAGAAACCACCCCCATGATCCAACCGTCTCCTACTAGACCCCACATCCATCTTTGGGGATTGCATTTCAATATGAGATGGGTGGGAATGCACATCCAAACTCTATCATTCTGCTCCTGGTATCTCTCAAATCTCACGTCCTTCCTGCATTTCAAAGTGCAGTCATGCCTTCTAAATAATCTCTGGTCTTAACTCATTTTATGTCCAAAGTCTCATCTGAGACAAGTCTAGTCCCTTCCACCTATGAGCCTGTAAAATCAAAAACAAGTTTGTTATTTTCAAGATACAGTGGGAGTACAAGCATTGGGTAAACATTCCTGTTCTAAAAGGGAAAAAGTAGCCAAAAGAAAGGGGCTACAGGCCCTATGCAGTCTGAAACCCAGCAGGGCAGTCATTAAACCTTAAAATAATTTCCTTTCACTCCATGTCCCACACCTAGGGCACACTGGTGTGAGGGGTAGGCCCCCAAGGCCTTGGGCGGCTCCACCCCTGTGGCTTTGCAGGGTTCAGCCCCCATAGCTGTGCCAAATGGCTGACATTGAGTGCCTGCTGCTTATTCAAGCACAGGGTCAAGCTGTCGGTGGATCTACCATTCTGGGGTTTGGAGGACAGTGGCCCTCTTCTCCCAGCTCCACCAGGCAGTGCCCCTGTGGGTACTCTGTGTGGGGGCTCCAACCCCACATTTCCCCTCTGCACTGCCCTAGTAGAGGTTCTCCATGGGGCTGTGCTCCTGAAGCAGGCTTCTGCCTGGACATCCAGGCTTTTCCATACAGCCTCTGTAATCTAGGCAGGGGCTCCCAAGCCTCAACTCTTGCACTCTGTGTACTCACAGGCTTAACACTACATGGAAGCTGCCAATGCTTATGGCTAGCACCCTCTGAAGCAGTGGCTTGAGCAATATCTGGGGCCCTTTGAGCCAGAGTTGGAGCTGCCAGGATGTAGGGAACAGTGTCCTGAGGCTAACAGGGCAGTGGGGATCTTGGGCCTGACCCAGGAAACCTAGACCTCTGAGTCAGTGATGAGAGGGGCTGCCATGAAGTTCTCTGAAATTCCTTTGAGGCCTTTGTCCCATTATCTTGGCTGTTAGCACTTAGCTTTTAGTTATGCAAATATTTCTAGCAAGTGGTGACTCCATAGCCCACTTGAATTCATCTCCAGAAAAAGCTGTTTTTTTTTTTTTCTGCCTCATGGCCAGGCTGCAAATCTTTTAAACTTTTATGCTCTGCTTCCCTTATAAATGTAAGTTGCCACTTTAAGTCATTTATTTGCTCCCACATATGAAAATAGGCTGATATGAAAATAGGCTGATAGAAGCAGTCAAGTCATAGCCAGGCACAGTGGCTCACACTTGTCATCACAGTACTTTGGGAGGCCGAGATCAGTGGATCACCTGACATCAGGAGTTCGAGACCAGTCTGACCAACATGGTAGAACCCCATCTCTACTAAAAATACACAAATTAGCTGGGCATGGTGGCAGGTGCCTGTAATCCCAGCTACTCGGGAGGCTGAGGCGGGAGAACTGCTTGAACCCAGGAAGGGGAAGTTGCAGCAGTGAACCAAGATCGCAGCAGGGCACTCCAGGCCGAGTGACAAGAGTGAAACTCCATTTCAAAAAAAAAAAAAAAAAAAAAGAACCAGCCAAGTCGCTACTGCTTAGAAATTTCTCCCACCAGATATCCTAGATCATCAATCTCAAGTTCAAAGTTTGACAGATCCCTAGGGCAGAGGCAAAATGCAGCCAAGTTCTTTGCTAAAGCATAACAAAGTGACCTTTGCTTCAGTTCCCAGTAAGTTCCTCATTTCTATCGGAGACCTCCTCAGCCTGGACTTCATCATCCATATCACTGTCAGCATTTTGCTCACAACCATTTAACCAGTCTCTAAAAAGTTCCAAACTTTCCCTTATCTGTCTTCTGAGCTCTCCTCACTCTTCCAACCTCTGCCTGTTACCCAATCCCAAAGCTACTTCACATTTTCAAGTATTTTTATAGCAATGCTTCACTCCCAGTACCAATTTTCTGTATTAGTCCACACTTGCATTGCTATTATAGAAATACCTGACACTGGGTAATTTATAAGAAAAGAGGTTTAATTGGCTTATGGCTCTTCAGGCTGTACAGGAAGTATGGCAGCATCTGCATCTGGGGAGGCCCCAGGGAGCTTCTACTTATGGCTGAAGGCAAAGCTAGAGCTGGTACTTCATATGGCAGAAGCAGGAGCAAGAGATCAAACAGGGAGGTACGACAAACTTTTAAATGACCAGAACTCATGAGAACTCATTCACTACCATGAGAACAGTACCATGGAGGATGGTGCTAAACCATTCATGAGAAATTTCGCCGTAATCCAATCACCTCCCACAAGCCCCACCTCTAACATTGGGGATTACACTTCAGTATGAGATTTGGACAGAAACACCCATCCAGACTATGTCAACATTTGTAATAGGCTTTATTGTTTTTAAAAATTTTCCCCATGAAACTATTGAATCCATATCTCATTGATCTGAGATCTATATTTCCGTAGTTTTTTCACTAAATATCTAGTAAATTTTTACTAATGCCAAGCCATTGTTCAATAATCTAGAGATACCAAATACACACACAAAAGCATTATGAATTTTTTAAAATTGCATATATTAACATAATACACAGGTGTTAATTCACCCAACCTTCTTTCAGTAAGTAGTTACAGTAGTCCCCACTTATCCTCAGTTTTGTTTTCTGTGTTTTCAGTTACTCATAGTCAATCATGGTCTGAAAATAGTAAATGAAAAATTCCAGAAATAAACAATTCCAGAAATAAGCTTTAAATGCTACATCACAATGCCTCTCTATGTAATTTACCTCACTTTATCTCATCATGTAAGTATTTTATATTCTCATGTCATCACAAGAAGGGTGAGGATAGTACAACAAGATATTTAGAGAGAGACCACATTCATATAACTTTTATTATAGTCTATTGTTATAAATTTTTATTATTGTTATTAGTCTCTTACGGTGCCAAATTCTAACTTAAGCAATCCCATAGGTATGTATGTATAAGAAAAAAAAAAACACACAGCATATGCAGGGTTCAGTACTATCTGCAGTTACAGTCATTCACTTAGTGTCCTGGAACATATGCCCTACAGATGGGGTGAAGGGGCTGTGGTAATGAGTTTCTAATATATGCCGATTAATGATCTGGGTGCTAGAAATATTGAAGTGACTAGTAGAGGAAATTTCCCTTCTTTGATGGGGCTTATTTTTTGAGAAATAAGCAAAAAATAAATATGATTGTAGAGAGAATTGTCACATGAAAAAATGAGATTTGAGATCATGGAATAACTAAGGGAAAGTAGGCATTTCAGATATGAACTAAAAGAAGAAGAAACCAATCATACAAAAATTAGAAGCAAGCATATTTCAGCTAGAGGTAAAAAGCTCAGAGACATGAAGGAGTCTAGTGTGTTGAAAATAAGAGCTACCTATGCCATAAGGCTTCATCAGAGTGAGCCAGAAGGAGAACAATATGAGTTGAGTGGTGATATAGACAGCAGCCAGATGATGAAGGGAATTATGGGTTGTGGCCTGAAGTTTGTATTTTAAGAGCGATAAGAAATCATTGTAGAGGTTTTAAGCAAAAAAGTGACAACATAAAATGTATGCTTTCAGATTTGTATTCTGCTTGAAAAATAAACTATGTGTATATTCTGTGTTTTGAGTCCACTGCTTTGGGTCGCTGTTTGCTAAATGCCTTTTAAAAGACCATTGCCAATTTCAATCCTGCTTAAGGTATAGAAAGCTACAAAAGAACATCCATCCTATCTTAACAAGGAAAAGGTGGATAATTTAGAAAAGCACACCATTCTTGAATTCATCAGAAACTTGAGATTACAAGACATTCAAGCAGACTTAATTCCAAGGAATAACAATCACCTTCAAAGAGATGAGACTGCTGGACTATTTAATCTTTGAAAGAACATAGGAGGGACAGATGACTGCCAAATAAGTGGGTAATAGTCAGCTAAAATCGTAATGCAATAGAAGAGACTGACTGTGAGTTAGCACATTCGTTTAGAAGAACTGAGAGCTACACGAACAATGGTAGTTCTCACTCACTCACAAAATCATGGGACTCACAAAAAAGATGGGTCCAAGGCAGGAGAACAGAGTGAGCCCCCTTCAGTGGCACACATATGAAAGAGGTTTTTGGCTACCACTGAGGGACAAACATACAATATTAATTCACCAGACCCTACTTTTATGAGAAGCAAAATCCCAAGCCATTGAGACGGGGGCAGCAAATCTCCCACTCACAGGACTGCTGGAAAATGGCAAAAGCAAAACTATTGGAGGAAGGGTAGAAAACACTCCTTTTTGCCTGAGAAACCAAGCAAAGAGTCACAGCTTCTGGCAAAAGGGTAGAAATAGAAGCTCCTCTAGGGACAAGAATTTTGAATGATATATAGCAGCATTTGCTACTGCTGATGGAGGGGCAAAAAAATCTTTCCTGCCCAAGACCTGTTAATGATACATAACGGAGTTTGCCTGTCACTGGAGGAACAGGAAGGAATAATAAAGAGATGCCATTTCCCATGCTTAGACACAAAGACTCTACAACTGAATCTCGACCAGAAGAATAGAGAAATTCCCTGCTCCTGTCACAAGCTTAACATAGGCTGCCAAGCAATAACAACGTAGCAGTATGTGTGTTGAGTGGGTATGGCCAGTAAGAAGGTAGAGAATAGGTGTTGGATTTTGTCAAATGCTTTTTCTGCATCTATTGATATAATCATGTGACTTTTTTTCTTCTCTAGCCTGTTGATGTAACAGATTAATTGATGTCCAAATGTTGAATCAGCTCTGCCTACCTGGGATTGATCATGGTGTGTAATTCTTTTTAGACATTATTTGACTTGATTTGCTGCTATTTTGTTGAGAATTCCTTGCTTCTATATACATGAGAGATGTTGGTCTATAGTTTTTTCATTCTTGTAATGTCTTTGATTTTGGTATTATGGCAATTCTAGTCTCCTAAGATGAGTTAGAAAGTATTCCCTTTGCTTCTACCTTCTGAAAAAGATTGTGCAGAATATAATTTCTTCCTTAAATGTTTGATAAAATTCACCCATGAATCCGTATGGGTCTGGAGCTTTATGTTCTGTGAGATTATGAAATATTGATTCAATCTCTTTAATAAACATGGGCCTATTTGGATTGTCTATGTCTTCATGTGTGAATTACGGCAGATTGTGTCTGGCAAGGAATTGGCCTATTTCATCAAGGTTATCGAATTAGTTGGCATAGAGTTGTTCATAGAATGCCTTTATTATCCTTTTAATATCCATGAGATCAGAAGTGATGTGACTCTTTATTTTTGATGTAATTTGTGTCCTCTCTTTTTCTCATAGTTAGCTTGACTAGAGGAATATTAATTTTAATGATTTTTCAAATAATTAGCTTTTGGTTTTGTTGACTCTCTTGATTTCCTGGTTTCAATTTTATTAATTTTCACTCTGGCTTTTATTATTTATTTTTTTCTACTTACTTTGGATTTATTCTTTTTTTTTATTTTCCTAAGGTGGAAGCTTAGATGATTTATTTTAGAGCATTCTTCCATTCTAATATATGCATTAAGTGGTATAAATTTCTCTCTCATCACCGCATCTTACACATTTTGATAAGTTATATTTTTCATTTTCTGTTAGTTCAAAATATTTTTAAATTTTTTCTTGAGATTTCTTGTTTGACTCTTATATTACTTAGAAGTATGCTATCTAATCTCTAAATATTTTGGAACTTTCCAACTGTTTTTCTGTTATCAATTTCTAGTTTAAATCCATTGTGGTCTGAGAGCAGACATTATATGATTTCTATTATTTTAAATTGGTTAAGATTTTTATGTCACTCAGAATATGCTCTATCTTGGTGAATGTTCCACAGGAGTTTGAGAAGAATGTGTATTCTCCTGTTGCTGAATCAAATAGTCTACAGATGTCCATTATATCAAGTTACTTAATAGTGTTGAGTTCAACTAGATCCTTACTAATTTTCTGCCTGCTTGATTTGTACATTTCTGATAGATGGGTGAGAGTACTGCAAAAGTACAACAAAATAGGATATCCAAGAACTGTGAGACAACTACAAAAGGTGAAACATACATATAGTGGAAATTCCAAAAAGAAAAGTCCTATATAGAACAAGATAGCTAGAGTAGGTTCGAGTTGGATATTCCTCTTCTCCCAAATCAGTTAGGCTCTGTTAAAATCTCAGTTGATTATTTTGGTTACAGTTTCTCCTGAAGGCAGACCTGGTTAAGAAGAACAGAATACTTTGACATATTTAAAAGTTGTTTCCTTTCCCCTTCTGGGCCAGAAGCACAAGGAAATCTTTTCTGAAATTCATTGTGAGGACCTGGCAGAGTTGCTGCTGGAGGCAAAACTCATAATAGTGATCACATATGAAAGAATTTTCTTCTTTCTAAAAGCTAAATATTCATATGTATATACACACACACACATACACACATACACACATACACACAAACACACACACACACACACACACACACACACACACACACACACACACACAGAGTATTTTCTTTATCCCTTTATCCATTGATGGACATTTAGGTTGTTTCCACATTTTGGTTATTCCGTATAATGCTGCAGAGAACATGGAAGTGTAAATATCTTTTCAAGATCCTGATGTCAATTCTTTTGGATAAATACCCAGAAGTTGAATTGTTGGATCATATAGTACTTCTATTTTTAATTTTTGCGGAATCTCCATGCTGCTTTCTATAGTGGCTGCAACCTTTTATATCCACAGCAACAAAGTACAAGGGTTCCAGTTTCTCCATATCCTTATTAACATTTGTTTTTACTTTTTTCATAATAGCTTCCTAACAGGTGTGAGATGATATCTCATAGTGGTTTTGATTTCCATCTCCCTGATAACTAGTGATGTTGAGAACTTTCTTACGTACTTATTGACAATTTGTATGTCTGTTTTGAGAAATGCCTTTTCAAATCCTTTGCCCATTTTTAATTGCGTTATTTGATTATTTTCACTATTGAAATTTAGGAGCTCCTTATATATTTTGGATATTAACTCCATATCGTATATATGCAGTTTTCAAATATTTTCTCCCTCACATTCTGTAGGTTGTCTTTTTACTGTTAGTTGTTTCCTTTGATATGCAGAAGCCTTTTAGTTTTATCTAGTTCCACTTGTCTAATTTTGCTTTTGTTGCCTGTGATTTGGGGGTCATATCTAAGAAGCTGACAAGACAAAACTCATGAAGCATTTTTCCTATGTTTTCCTCTAGGCATTCTACAGTTTCAGGTCTTATGTTTACGTCTTTAACCTAGTTTAACTTGATTTTTGTGTATGGTATAAGATAAGTACTTGATTTCATTCTTTTGTATGTGGATACCCAGTTTTCCCAACATCATTTGTTGAAGAGGCTATCCTTCCTCCATTGTATATTCCTGGTACCATAGTAAAACATCAGTGGTTTATATATGCATGGATTTATTTCTAGAGTTTTTATTCTGTTCCATTAGTCAATATGTCTGCCTCTATGCTAGATAAAAATAATCTTCAATAAAACACCAGCAAGCTAAATTCAACAGCATAGTAGCCTTTCATCATTCATCACCACCAAGTAGCCTTTATCCCTGGATGCAAGGGGGGTTCAACGTATGAAAATTAACATGATAGACCACAGTAATCACATAAAGGATAAAAACAACATGATAGTCTAATTAGATTTTAAAAACCCAGGATTTGAAAACATTCAACACATTTTCATGACAAAAACTCAACAAACTAGGAGTAGAAGAATTTACTTAAGATAAGAAAGAAAATACATAAAAAGACCCCAACTAACATCACATTCAATAATAAAAAAAATCGAAAGCTTTTCCTCCAACATCAGGAACAAGGAAATGATGCCCACACTTGTCTATCCTATTCAACATAGTACTAGAAGTCCTAGCCTGACTAATTAAGCAGAAAAATAAATAAAAGGAATATATAAGTCATAAAGAAAGAAGTAAAATTATATCTATTTGAGATGGTATGATCTTAAATGTAGAACACCCTAAAGATTCTACCGTAAAAACCTATTATAATAAACAAATTCAGTAATGTTGCAGGGTATAAAACAAGCATACAAAAATTGGTTGTGTTTCTATGTACAAACAATGAAAAGAAATTAAGAAAATGACCCCACTTACAATATCATCAAAAGAACAAAGTACTTAGAAATAAACTTAACTGAGAAGGTGAACAACTTGCACACTGTAGATTGCAAAAAAAATTCATGAGTAAAATTAAAGACGACACAAATAAATAGATATCCTGTGTTCATGGATTAGAAGACTTAATATTGTTAAAATGTTTATACTACCCAAAGCAGTTTACAAATTCAGTGAAATTCCTATCAAAATCACAATGGCATTTTTTAACAGAAATAGAAAAATATCCTAAAATTCATATGGAAGTACAAAGGATTTCAAATACCCAAAACAATCCTGAGAATGGAAAACAATGCTGTAGACATTGCACTTCCTGATTTCAAAATATATTACAAATCCACTGTCATCAATTCTTGATAAGACCATCTTTGGTTGTACAAAGGATTTTAAATCTGAGCTCTGGGCTATCTATCACTTGAAGATATTTTAAGTACTTACATTCTCTACCTGACTTGATGGACCAATTAGAATGTTTCATGTTATCAATAAATGGAATATCACAATAATTATTTTTTAAATCAGTGATTTTTCCTATGAAAGCATTATATATGCATGCGTGTATCTATATATAGAGACACACACACATAAATATATATACATACATAATCTGGAGATTGTGTATATACATATAATCTTCCAGATGAAGGGAATATTGTGAACCAGGTTTTTTGTTTCTCCTTTCACACCCTTTAATAATATCTACTCCTCCCATCTAATGGATCCAATATCCTCATAGTCATACCTTAGGTAAGGAGCAAGCAAATGAAGTTAGGAGAAAACAGACAAGGAAAAAGATGAAGGCCTCATGTGGCCTATCAATATCAGATTAGAGGAAAAGACAAGAGCAAAGGCAAGTCAACTAGTATTTGATGTTTAAATCCATAAAGAAGGGCTCAAATTCGTACTTTCATGACCAAAAATTAAAGCTTTCTGAAGAGGTAGCCTTTAAGATATTTTTTATGTAGGTAGATTAAAAGAGTTGATAAAATTTTCAGGACTTCGTGACCATGTTGTATCCCTAAAGTCTAATTTTAGCCTGAAATTTGATGTGATTCTGCCCATGATTCATACCCTCACAGGAGTCTCTGGCCTTTTAAAGCTCTCTAACAAATACCTGAAATCATGCAGTAATACTTTAAAGTTCCATTCAGCAATAACTTTTATGTTTCACTATTAGATAAATCCTGGATTTTTACTAATATAGATTTATTTCTATAGCTCAAGTAAAAAACATATTCCTCTGGAGAGGTAAAATTATATATATACATATATATACACACACATATATATGCACATATATATGCACATATATATATGAAATACACTGTTGTATAATATTCCCAATAGATTTGCAATGCAAGCAGTATCATTCTTATGTATAAAATGAAAAGAAGCGAAGGGTTGGCTTTAATTAAAATCATCTTACTTAGATCACATACATAGAAAAAGATAGAATCTGAATTAGAAAACAAGGATGTCTAAATAAGAAGAAAGCCTGTGTTCTTATTACCTTCCATTACTTCTCATACAAAAAATCACATTAAGTCTTGGAGTTTGCTTCTTTCCCCAAGCTTTATATAGCTTTAAAAAATGGACTATGAGATGTACTCCTATGTCTTTTACTCTGGCTACATGTGTTGTTTATGCTGTGATTTTTCTGCTTTATCCTTGGCATGGTGAATTTTTATTCTTGGTTTCCTGTGATAACACTGTGTTCCAGATTTTTCTTTTTTTGCTATTTGTTTATTTTGGTGGGGGAACATCAGATACAAAAAGTTGAATGAATAATATTTCTTTCTTCATGGCCTGATAACATCGTTCCATTATGCAAGGCCCCTAAACTGTTTTATATATATTTAAAATTTATTTATTTTATCCTTATTCCTTTCTCTCTGCCCAAGGAACTATTTCAGTTGTCATGTCTTTTCTTTTTATTGATGTACATATCTTATACGTGGTTTTGTTTGTATGTGTGTGTATTTTAAAATACATTATAGATCTTGCAATGTTCTAATTCTGTTTTAGTTTTTAAGATTGATGTGTGAATATCTAGTCCACTGCTTCTAACTTTTGAAGAGCATTCCATAATTTTTCAGTGACAAATACTTAGATTATCTTCAAATTTCCACTACCATAAGCAATGTTGCAGTATGGCCACACATTTTCCCGCAGAAATCTGAGATGAGGTTGGGGTTGGGCAGACTATTCTGGACTATATGCTCTGAAATAAGTTTGTTGGATCACAAGTTCTCCATAACTCAATCTAGGAACCATCTCTCCAACCAGCAGTGCTCGAGGATTCCTGTACCTCTAGGTTTCTGTCAGCCTTTGTCATCAACCAGTTTTACATCTTTAATGAGTTTTAAATTCTCTTTGTCTTTCCTTTGCATTTATCTATGTACTAATGAGTGTGAGGTTCTTCATATGGTTATTAGCAATATAGTTCTTCTGGTAATTACCAACTACCACATTATAATCTTTGTCTATTTCTCCATTTGATTGCCTTCTTTTATGTGTTTATTTTTAAGAGTTCATTACATATTCCAGATATTAATTCCTTTGTTTTTAAGCATTGTAAATATTTTCTTCCAATACGTTGTATTTGTTGTTAGTGATGTGCCTTATTGAACACAACACTTCAATGAAAACAAGCAGAATTTTTTGCCTTTTGTGTTGTAGAGGTTTTAAGAAATCATTTCTCAACCGTAGATCCATAAAGACATCCCAATATATGAGCTTCTATTATTTATAATTTACCTTTAATATTTATGCTTTTAGCACAGCTGAAGCTCATGTTTGAATGTGTTGCTTGGTATATTCTATATTTTAAATGTTTTTCACTTCCTGAGATAATACTATCTACTGATTTCCTTTCCCAGTTATTTCTTCATCACCTTCATTATACATCAAGTTTTTACATGTGAATGGGCCTGTTTCCAATCTCTATTCAGTTAAAGATGAACTTTTTTGTCTCTAAGTATCTTGAACAATTCTTATTACAGAGAATTATTCAAGAATATTGAAATAAATTTATTCTATGAAGCAGTGCTATTATGAATTTCTACTGAAATATTTTCACATATCTATATCTCCAAAATTTTAACTTTAGAGAGATTTAAGAAACATAGTTGATTTGAGGGCATGTCTCTGATCTGCCATTGATGAGAAAAGGCAATGTAGGGTTATTCAACATCCTAAAAGAGATTATCCCTAAAGTTTTGTACCATCTCCAAATTCAGTTTCTGTGGTGGAAGGCAAAATGTATTTGAATGAATGAGGTAGCACATGAGTATAGTGAAAGCTGAAAGTGTATTTCCCGTGTCCTTAAAAGTGTTAGTGTGAAATTCCATTTTCTTTATTAGACATTACCCATTGTTATGGATTCTCACAAAAGTATTTTATAATCTACAACTTTTTCTGTATTCTGATTGAAACCCAGATGTCTTGCTTAACCACCTAGACCTTCAATATTACATCAATGGAAGAATAGTAGGTGCCAGTGGATTGCACAGATTTTCTGATTGTGAATATTAGGCAGCATATATATTCATCACATTCTTCACTGGAATGTGATTTTGTTGCTTGCTGGTAGCTATTTCATTATACCAAACTAGGCTGCAGTTGGCCAAATGATTACTAGCCATTTGCTAAAAAGGGGAACAGGGCAGATAATCCATTTTTATATCAAAACATAACTTTGAAAGAACCTGGATGTATCCTGGAATGGAACATCACATGTATATAAATCTAGGAGGCATGCTCTTAATTTAGATAGCCCAATCTGCCCTGTAGTAACCTTGCCATTACAATGTATGGGATAGGATTGTGTTTAGGTGAGAGCAATAGAAAACATGACTTAAAAAGGTAAAATGTTTAGTTACACCACACAAAAAGCAGCCCAGAGAGCTGTCCAGCTACATTAAGTTTAAATGAAGTCATCAGGATTCCACACTCATTTTCTCCTTCTACTCTGTGGCTTTTGTTCTCCTGGTAGCAGGATAGCAGAAGCATCTCTGTGCATCTGTTTTCTTTCAACCAGAAAGAAAGTAGATAGTCTAAAAGCCTTGTACTCTAGGAGGCTTTGTCTTATAAAAATGAACCCTCCACAAAACTTTATGCTACAGCTCATTGGACAAAAATGTGCTAAAAAATCATCCCTTGTTGCAAAGGTAGTCTGACAAGGTGAATACTTTAGCTCTCTAGCCTTTTTGATAGAGACTGACAATAAAAAGGATAATTATCAGTGGCTTTAGAGAAGCTCATCTCCATTGCTTGCTACACTTAATGAATCAAAAAACTATTATATACATTTATGTACACTCTCTAAAGAAACTTCTGATGATTTTAAGTCTACTCTACATTTATTTAAGCAGGAAAAATAATCCTAATAGATAATATTTTAATTTTAAATGTTAAAAAATGTTAATAATAATTGAACCTTATTTTATATCATTATTTTCCTGGATCATCACAGTAACCATAATGTGAGTATTAATTCCCTGACTTACAGATGAAGAAGCTGAGGTCTGGAAAGGTTGCATCCTCACCAATACCACATTATCTACTAAATGCCAGACAAGGAATGCAAACCCAGGTCAAGTCATTATGACTTGAAATTTCCTTTCCAATCTGCTCTTCCGTATACACACCTACTCATACACATTCAAGTATGAATATGAGGTATATATTCCATCTGTACTCACATTTTATATCTCGGTTTGCCATCTCCACTGGGCATCTTGAAGTTCTGGCAAAAATAAATGTTTTCCTCTTATTTTATCTTTGGCTGCAATTTTTTGTCTTTCGGAGAAAACATCATAGGAAATTGAGCCTCTTGTGTAGGTTGTAGAGCCTGTTCTTGTACTGAACTTATTTTGTAGGATAAATGGATTGAGCATTGTACAATTACAACATTGTAAGGAACCTGAGAGGTCAGTCATGATCTAGTTCAGTAATTTACATTCCTTCTTTTCCAACAAGTAAGTCAATCATTCAGCTTCTGCCTGAACATGTCCAGGGACAAGAATTTCACTGGTATTGTACTCGATTTTTTATTTTTATTTTTGAACAAGGTCTCATTCTGTTGCCCAGGCTGGAATGCAGTGGTATGATCACAGCTCACTGTATCCTTGAACTTCTGGGCTCATGTGATCCCCCTGCATCAGCTTCCCAAAATGGTGAGATTACAAGGCATGAGCCACTGTGCCCAGCTGCTAGAATATTTTTAACGATTGAAAACCCAAACTTTCTCTCCAATCCATTCACAACTTCATTTCTATAATGATCACTTCAGTGAAAACATTTGGGGGACAGGAGAAGAAAGTTAAATTATTTCCACTGCTCTACCTAGTTCTACTTAGACTTACTGTAGTCACCCTCCAATCACTTTCTCACACTACAGGAAAAGCAATCTTCTCAACATGAAACCGATCATATTACACTTATCTTAGAGTCTTTTTTTTTTTTTTTTTTTTTTGGCGGAGTCTCACTCTGTCGCCAGGCTGGAATGCAGTGGCACAAACTTGGCTCACTGCAACCTCTGCCTCCCAGGTTCAAGCGATTCTCCTGCCTCAGCCTCCTGAGTAGCTGGGACTGCAGGCATGCACCACCAAGCCCGGCTAATTTTTTTTTTTATTTTTTTTTTAGTAGAGATGGGGTTTCACCATGTTGGCCAGGACGGTCTCAATCATCTGACCTCATGATCCACCCGCCTCGGCCTCCCAAAGTACTGGGATTGCAGGCGTAAGCCACCGCGCCCAGCCATCTTAAAGTCTTGTAATGCTTTTGCTTCTTGGATAAAGGCAGAGGTCCTTAATGTGACCCCTGCTTGTGCATTGCCTAAGACCACACCAACCTTTGAGTTTCGTGGATTTGTTCTTTTGGCTTCAGGATGTTTGTATATACTGTTCCATCATCTTGGAAAACTCTTCCCTTTGCTAGTCAGTGTTTCAATGTCTACCAGTTTTTGGAATTCATATCAGCCCTCCTGTTAGCTCCCTGACTAGGTAAAATCCTCTACTGTATGCTCTCCTAGTATAAATACTCTCCTAGTATAAATACTATCTACTTTATGGTAAAAATGTTGTATTTCATTTTTATGATTATTGAATTAATGCCTATTTTTTCTCAGTAAGCATAAATACATAAAGCAAACATTTTTTCCATTTTTATACTAAGACTGCACAGTGTCTAACACATAGAGGATGCTCAGTTAATATTTTTGAATAAGTGACTAAATCATTCTATGATGATTATTCTATCCTTTGATCCTAGTTTTTTTTTAAATGAATATAATTCTCTCAAATGGTACTATGCTTATAACATTTGAAGGTATATTATCTCTTAATATGCCTTAACACTGTGGACTTTTTAGCAATTCTTCTTATAACATTATATACCCATATTTCATTACTTAGTCCATTTTCTTCTGAAAATGACCCAGTGTTTACAATGTTCTTTTGAAGTGTGTTGTGCACCAATACAGATACATTTTGATCAGTTAATTATTGCCCCAATCTAAGGGCTCTGATAAAAAATAAGACATTATAATTATACAATAACATTTAAATAAATACCAAATAATGTATAAGTATATAATTTTTTTGAGAACTTATGATATAGTAGCTTTCATCACTAACTGCTTGATGTGGAATAATTCAGTTAACCTCAACATAAACTTCAGCCATAAGCATATTAATATCTCCATTTACAAATGAGAAAATTGAGTCTCAAGAGGACAAGAACATAAACACTTGCCTAATGTCACACAGCGAATGAATGGAACTGAATTTTCAGGTACTGAATTTAGGCAATATTGTTCTAGAACCACTTTTTCATTTTTTTTTTTTTTTTTTTTTCAGATGGAGTTGCCCAGGCTGGAGTGCAATGGCATGATCTTGGCTCACTGCAACCTCCAACTCCCGATAGAACCATTCTTCTTAAACACCATGATACACTGCTATACTTTTTAATTTTTTTAAGAGACGAAGTCTAGCTCTGTTGTCCAGACAGGAGTGCAGTGAGGTGAGATCACAGTACACTGCAGCTTTGAACTCCTGCACTCAAGGGATCCTTCTGCCTCAGCCTCCCGAGTAGCTGGGACCACAGGCATCACCATGCCCAGATAATGTTTTACCATTATTATTATTTTGTAGAGATGGGGTCATGCCATCTTGCCCAGGCTAGTCTCAAACTCCTGGGCTCAAGCAATCCTCCCACCTCGGCCTCTCAAAGTACTGGGATTATAAGCCTGAACCACTGTGTCTGGCCTATACTGCTATACTTCTACAAATAAAGTCTAAGTTTTTATATAGCAATTTTTGCCAAGTTATTATATATTACATGGTTGTTTTTATTGAACTATTCAGCTTAAAGTCACTAAATCCCTAGATATTTTATCTTATAACATTTAAAAATATGTAAGTACTTGTGGTGGAGACATCTGTGACCTATATCTGTGTGTACATGTGCTATTGAATTGATTTTGTAAAATACTAAATGGTTTAGTAAAGGACCTTGAAATGCACGTGGGCCCTACATTGTATGCCAAATTTTACAATTATATTTTTTTCTCTAATTAGTCTAACCTCATCCATCTGAGTTTTGGCTCACTTTTGGCAGGATAAATAAAGGCCTTGCTACAAAGAAAGAATAAGTTAAATGAAGTCTTTGATTATTGTCCATATCCATAAAATACACAGATGTGGCCATAATGTATACTAGAAATTCCACAGGTTTTATAAATCAAGACGTTTGGAACAGCTCAGTAACCTTTTTGGAGGGGAATATCAATCATCATGATATTGGTTAAACAATAGTTCTCGAATCTACACTGACCAGCTTTTATCAAGTACGTTCAGATCCACTTATGTACTGATGTCATTTGGAAAAGCTATTAACACATGGGTATATATTTTCAGTGTTAGAAGGAAGTTAAGTTTTAATTAATATAACATATGCAAATTTTCATTTATAATTTCCATGAATGTGCTTGTGCATGAGTTAAGGGCTGTTATATTAGAGAATAACAATAAAAACAATGCCCATATTAATCTATATTAACCATTGTCAAAGGCTTTTAAAATAATGAATTTCAACACAAGCTTTGTCAGTAACCAAAAGGGAAATTAGATTATCCTTTGACAGCAAAAGAGGCTGCAATTTGTTATAGACCATTGACTACCTTTAAAATATACAAACCTTTTGCTTGACAAAAATAAAATGTCTTTAGGAGAAATAATTGCTCAATTCATTTCATGAACCAATGGATGTGATATCAGTATTAGACATATATAGTATAAATATGTCTAAATAAACATATAGTATAAATGTTTTTGCCCCTGATTAGTGAAATAGCTATATTTTTCAGAACAGCAGATGAGTAATAGATGATCCTTGCCTACTGCCATGTAAATGGACAGAATCAGCATCATTAGGTGGCAATTGCTTTGGGAAATGTAGAGAAATATATGCAAACTCATATAAATAGATTAGTTCATAAGGTGAAGGTTTCTGAGTGTATTTTAACCTAAGTCTGGCCTGAGTGTAGATTGCCAGATACAGTTTAGGGGACAATTAATTGTCTATTTCTTTCCTTTCGAAACATGGTCTTCTTGTCTTTGGGGCCTAGGGGCCTTCTTGATGGCATGGATACCTTTAGCTTTCTTAAGACCTTTTTGTTTTTTCCTATTTTAAAGTCTCTGATTCCCTGTGATCTACCTATTCAGTTACAATTTCTTGGCTATGGGGCCTAGGGGCTTTTCTTGATGGCATGGATAACTTTAGCTCTCTCAAGACCATTTTTTTTTTTCTATTTTAAAGTCTCTGATTCCCTGTGATCTAGCTATTCAGTTACAATTTCCTATATGATTATCTGCTTCAAACTGTCAGAAAATCTATGTAAGAGAAATGCTTGATATGCTTTGACCTCACTGAATGATCACAGTCGTTCTGGTTACCCATCTCTATCCATCTCTTACAGTTTTTTCTGGTAAATATTTCCTCATTTCCTCCATAGGGAAGATTTTCAAGAATCTTATCATTATGACTTTATAATACTGCTTGAAATTGAAAAGATTTACCACTTATCTACATCACCATCCCTAAATTATTTATTAATTTATGGGCTGAGATAAGGAGAGTTATCATACCGAGGCTTTCAGATAGTCAAAAAACATCATTACCACTGAGAGAAAATATTCTATCTTCTCTCCAAAGCCACTTCCCCTCTGTTATTTCAATGACAATATTATTTCCAGAGGAAGAGATATATGATTCCCCAGAAATGTCCATAAATGGAAAACATTTGAGAAAGAAGGGTGTGTCACTGAGTTTTTAATGTTGATGAAGTACATTGCTTTAGGACCAGACAATGTCCAGATGCAAGGGTCAAATTTGTAAAGATGATCAGAAAATTAGAGTTCCTGCACAGATTGAACTGTCTATATATTAATATCCTTTATAACCCATTATCTTTTAATAGAGTTATTGCAGGAGTCCCTGGTTTCACCCTCCTCCAAACCACTCTCTAAAGTAACCAGAGTGGTCTTGGTAAAAGAAGGATCTAATCAGACATTACTCCTGCTTGAACCTTTGGATAACCCTTAACCCAGGACCATGTCCCTGTATTATCTAGCTCCATCCTCTCCTTCCTCATGCTTTGCATTCTAGGGCCTGGTCTTCTTTCAGCCCCTCAATTCTACCATGATTGTTTCATCTCCTAGCCTTTACATGGGCACTTCTCCCTTCCTAAAGTGATTTTACTCTTCACCTCCTCCAAATGTTCCTCTAACCGTCACAATTAAATCCTCATCATTATTGCAAGTAAACACTTGCCTCCACTTTGGGTCCACCCACCCCAGGTCTGTGTGAGTGGGATCCCTGGCACATTTTCTGGTACTTAGTGGGCCTACTTAACTGAGCAACTTTGTCTGGGGAACCGTGTTGGGGGTAAGATGGAGGGGAGGGTGGGCACTCTGCATGCGGAGCTCCAAATTCAAATCGCTGTTTACTGTCAGAGACTAGGGGGGAAAAGAAATCTTTGAAACTTAATATATGTCTATATATTTGTGATCAATCAGATATATGTCTCAGATAAATACCTGTGGCAGGAATTTAAAGTATTCAACAATGTTAATGGGCCCAAGTATGGGAAACGGATGAATTAGCTAACTTTATCTCCAACAAATCCTCCATCCTAAGGCAGGAAATTAGTTATAACATTTATTGAAAATGATCACATTTTCTATGTAATTTTCCTTTAAAAAAATCCAGATGGATTTGGAATTGGAATTACAGATAATGCCACATAAGCATTCCTAATGTCGTCAGCTCCACTGGGATGAAGTGTCTCACCCCAACCCCTCAGATGCTCAATTATGACTTAAATCCTCCTGAAAGCTCCCTTAAGACTCCATGTTACCTAATGTCAATTGCTCAGTTACAAATCAGGTTTCAAATGCCTCCAAATTCTGCACATTGAAGAGGTAAATGGAAAAATTTGAGAGATGGAGAAGGACCAGATCAATTTGGACTTTCATTAAACTACACATAATTAACACAGAACAGATGCTCCCCAATTAACTGTGCTGGCTTCAGACCCAGGAAAATCCTTACTGATTCTCTTGAACAAAACTTAGCAGGGGGAAAAAAGCTAGTAGAGCCAACACATATTCTACAATAACTTATAACATTACCATTATCTTATCTTAAAATATTTATGTGGCTCTGTGAACATCAGAGAATTAAATACCATGTAAAGTTATTTAAACAGAGGCAGGCACTTCCTTCTCAAGGCACAAGATTTAAGACAGACAATATTGATCAGGATAATGAAAAATGAACAAGTATTAAGTTAGATAAAAAGCAAAATCTATTTATCTAACTAATGAAAGAAACTTTAACATACACATGCACATACACGTACATATGCATATATGTGTTTATAAATTTATATATTTTCCTAAATTATTTATATGTAACATATGTAAATAATATTTATATAGATTTATAGATATGTAATCTATATCTTTATCCATATATAAGTCTAAGAGCAAAATACTCTTGGGCATTCACAAAACATTTATATAAGAATATAACCTTGATACCATAGAAAATATTATACACATACTTTCTCATAGTAAAGCGAAAGAGTTCTACATAAACCCATGAAAGAACACCATCTACTAGAAAGAGACCAAAACTTTGTCTAAGTAACAATTCCAAAAAGAAAATAAGTTTTGAAAGAGTAATAGAATGGTAAGTATGTGGTTATTAAATGCCCAATACATTATTTCTAGTTAAAAAAGAGTATTCTATTCCCTTAAAAAGTTGGATTTTAAAAATTTTATTATTTTTCATATCTTGTGTGTACACACACACACACATGCCACCTAAAGGGATATTGCTCATTTTATATTAATAACATATTTTGTTTTTTTTAAACAATGATAGGTTCATATCCTGGGTTAGCATGTGGTCATTAGAGATTATGCAAGTATTTCCCATACAAAGAGCAGAAAAATAAGATGTAAACTTAATTGGAAAGATGGATGAAAGATGTACAATCAATCTATCTAAAAAAGGCACAAAATTATAGTTACAGAAAATAGTCTAATGTATGTCACAGCACTCATAGTGGATGTATCAGGATGGTAAGAATTAAGGCTTATTTTAATTATATCTTTAGAATGTTCTACAATTTAGCTCTAGTATAGCGCTTAAGATCTATGGAGTTAGTTTATCTGTGATTTGATTCTGTTTTGTTGTTCACTACCTATGTGACATTGTATAAGTTACATGAACTAGCTAAGCTTCAGTGCCATTATTTAGAAAACAGCAAGAACATTTCCCACATCATAGTACTGCTGTAGAAATTCCAAGCAAAATGAGAAAATCCAAGAAAAATACTTACCAAGGTACTTAAAACTTAGCACAGAATGTTTGAGTTGTGGTATGATGATAATGATGATAATTTTAATTACAATAAGTTATAATTAACATTATAGTGATAGTAGGTATTATATAAAGAAGATTTGACTATCTTAAGAATCAATAAAATTTAGGTTTCAAAAAAATTGGGACTGGTTGTGGTGGCTCAAGCCTGTAATCCCAGCGTTTTGGGAGGCCGAGGTGGGTGGATCACGAGGTCAGGAGTTCGAGACCAGCCTGGCCAACATGGTGAAACCCCATCTCTACTAAAGATACAAAAAGTTAGCTGGGCGTGGTGGCATGCGTCTGTAATCCCAGCTACACAGGAGGCCGAGGCAGGAGAATCGCTTGAACCTGGGAGGCAGAGGTTGCAGTGAGCCAAGATTGAGCCATTGCACTCCAGCCTGGGTGACAGGGTGGCACTTTGTCTCAAAAAAAAAAAAAAAAAAAAAACCTTTTGTTTCATCAATTAGTCTTTTGAACAAATTTTGTAGCCAACCTATGCCTGTCAAATAATCATTCAATCTTGTAAATAATTAACAAAATACCATTAAAAGACCTTTAGCAAAATGCCAGTGTAAAACATGAACCTTTGAAGTAGTAATCTATAAATAACTTGATTCTTGGTGTATTACTAAGTGTTAAGAGCTCTTACCATGTCACCTTGGAATCTTCAACTTCCTTAGCATCTATCAATGCTGAGCAATGGGTTTGTCTGGGTTAAGTATACAGAAATGTTATATCCCAAACCTACTAATTTCCTCCTAGAAATTTTCACACTAAATTTGGAGGCTGACACATTTCGTTTGCCAGTCCTTTGCATCGTTAAAGGAATGTAATAGAAAATAGCATCTATTAATTATTTACTCAATCCAGACACTATGCTAGGCAGAGTGAAAGGAAGGCATAATCCCTCTTTCTATAAATATCAGATTTTAATGTGAGATACATAGCAGTACAGAGAAATGTACAGCACAGTGTGATAAATGTTATGAAAGTAAGGTGTATGCTGCCCATATGGGGATCCCCTGGGTTTGGGAGAAGGTCCTAGAAGACTTCCTGAAGGAATCGAGATCTTAAGAATTCATTGAAATTAACTGAATACCAAAATAAGAAAATATAGAATAACATATCCACATGCCCAGATTAAAGACAGAACATAGCTTGTTCTGCAAAGTAAAATATAGCTACAGAAGAGTACATAAAAAAAAAATCAGTTAACAAAGCTAGGAAGAAGTGGACATAACAGCAAATTTCTGCTATAAAGGATAGCTCTATAATAAAGTAAATATAAATGCCCTCTGAAAATACCCATAAAGATGAGCTCAAAATAAAAAATTATTATGCAAATCTTAAAAAGAATGCAATATTGAAAGTTTTAGAAGTAGGGAGAGGGGTTCAAGGTGGTTGACTAGCTGCAGCTACTGCGTGCCTCCTCCACAAAAACGAACCAAAATATCAAGTAAATATTCTCATTTCAAATAGATTGTCTAAGAGAGAACAATGGAATTCAATGGAGAAGCAATGGGAACCACCAAAAACAAAGGAGAGGGAAGTTAGGCACCCTGCTCAGCAGAGACGAGCTGGGAACTGGGAGAAACAGCTGGATGAGGGAAAAAGGTAAGTGACAGTCTCCCAGGGCTCCGCATTTCTGCCATGAACTTTTACAGTCCTAGCTACAGGAGAACCCCTCAATCCATGCAGGCCTCAGGACTAACATATGGAGTTGCCTAGAGGCTATACCATGGCATTGCTTTAGAGAGAGAGAGAACTCACACTGCATCCCACAGGCTTTGAGTCCTGAGCTGCTGCAGCTTGGTGCCATTCTGAGAACTAAGCTCTCAAGAGACTGTGTCCTGCCTTGAGGCCAAAACTGCTGCTCTCCTCCCTGGCCAAGGAGGAAGAAGGAGAGGCAGGTACTTTCACATACCGTAAGTACAAATCCCACTGCTGTTGCTGTGGGCTTCTGTGGAACCAAGGCACAAGCAAACCGGACTCCTTTCTGCTACCCACTTATGCTGCTCCAGCTGAGAGAGGGCACCCCCACCACTCATCCTCCAATCATAGGCCTGCAGCTGATACAATTCTGAGAACCTGGATTCCAAAGGCCTGCGTCTTGCCTTCGGGTCAAAGCTAATGCTGATGTTACTGCTCCCAGGCCAAAGAGGGAGAAGGGAGGCAGGCCCTTTCACACTTTGTGAGGACAAATTCTACCATCAGTTCTGTGGGCTACTGCAGGACCAAGGTGTGGGGAAAACACCTCTCTCACAGCTATCTGCCTATGCTGCTGCCATTGAGAGTAGCCTGGCCCTCCCCAGTGGCAGGCGTATAATGCAACTGCCACTGCCCACAGCAAAGCATTTTGACAGGGGCCTATAGACCATCCTGTCCCTGCCTATCACAGCCAGTGCCTGAATGCACTACCATGGTGCCAGAGAACAAGTCCTGCAGAGCACAGTGTCATGCCCGTAGTATTCAAACATATCTTCCAGGGGCCTGGAAATTGCCCACCACATTTGCCCAAATTTCCCAAAGCTGAATCCACCACTTTTGGCATCTGAACACTCCTCCTGGGGTCTGAGGTTAGGCCAACATAATCTACCAATACCAACACAGCATGTATCATCAGTGGGCCAGGAAGGATGCATACAGAATAAAAGTAAAGGGATGGAAGAAGATAGTCCACAAAACCCAAAAGCAAGCAATGGTAGCTATTCTTTATTCAGATAAAACAGATTTTAAATCAAAAAGAGTAAAAAAAAAAAAAAAAAAGAGAAAAGACAAAGTTATCACATGATGATAAAGGGATTGATTCAGCAAGAAGATACAACAATTACAAATATATATGCACACGACATTGGAGTACCCATAAAGGAAATATTACTAGATCTAATAGATGGCAATGAATTAATAGTGGAGGGCATCAACACCCCACTCTCAGCATTAGACAGACCATATAGATAGAAAATCAACAAAGAAACACTGGATTTAAACTGGACTTTAGACTAAATGAATCTAACAGATGCGCAGAACATTCTGTCCAACAACTGCAGAATATACATTATTTTCATCAACACATGGAGCATTCTCCATGATAGACCATACATTAGGCCACAAAATAAGTCTGAACATATTTTTTAAAAATTAAAATCAGCTGGCGTGGTGGCTCATGCCTGTAATCCCAGCACATTGGGAGGCTGAGGTGGGGAGATAACGAGGTCAGGAGATCAAGACCATCCTGGCTAACACAGTGAAACCCTATCTCTACTAAAAAAATACAAAAAAATTAGCCAGGCGTGGTGGCAGGCGCCTGTAGTCCCAGCTAATGAGGAGGCTGAGGCAGGAGAATGGTGTGAACCCAGGAGGCAGAGCTTCCAGTGAGCCGAGATTGTGCCACTGCACTCCAGCCTGGGTGATGGAGTGAGACTCCGTCTCAAAAAAAAAAAAAAAAAAAAAAAAAAAAAATTAAAATCTTATCAAGGATCTTCCCAGACTACAATGGAGTAAAACTAGAAATCAATAACACAGGACCTTTGGAAGTTTACAAATACATGAAAATTAAGCAAGATGCTCCTGTACACTATTGGGTAAAGGAAAAAAATCAAGGAAAGAAAAACAATCTTGAGACAAATGAAAATTGAAACACAACATACCAAATCCAATGGGATACAGCAAAAGCAGTGCTAAAAGTTTATAGCAATAAACACTTACATCAAAAATGCAAGAAAAATTCAAATAAACTAATGTTGCACCTACAGGAACTAGAAAAGCAAGAACCAACCAAACCCCAGATTAGTGGAAGTAAAGAAATAATGAAGATTACTGCAGAACTAAAAAAATAGAGACAAAATAAACAGTTGAAAGCATTTCTTCTAAGAAATGGAATAAGATAAAGATGCCTACTTTAATCACCTCTACTCAACATAGTACTGGAAGTTCTAGCCAGAGCAATCAGGCAAGAGAAAGAAATAAAAGTCCATGTGTTCTCATTGTTCAACTCCCACTTATGAGTGAGAACATGCAGTGTTTGGTTTTCTGTTCCTATGTTAGTTTTCTGAGAATGATGGTTTCCAGCTTCATCCATGTCCCTGCAAAAGACATGAACTCATCCTTTTTTATGGCTGCATAGTATTCCATGGCCTATATGTGCCACATTTTCTTTATCCAGTCTATCACATGTACACAGAGAGGGGAACATCACACACCAGATCCTGTCAGAGGGTGGGGGACTGGGGGAGAGATAGCATTAGGAGAAATACCTAATGTAGGTGATGGGTTGATGGGTGCAGCAAACCACCATGGCACATGTATACCTATGTAACAAACCTGCACGTTCTGTACATGTATCCCAGAACTTAAAGTATAATAAAAAATAAATAAGAAATGAAAGTCATCCAAATTGGAAAAGGGGAAGTCAGATTGCCTTTTTACTGATAACATAATCTTATATTTATAAAAACCTAGAGACTCTACACCAAAAATACTCTAGATTTGCTAAATGAATCTGGTAAAGTTTCAGGATACAAAATCAAGGTACAAAAATTAGTAGTGTTTTTATATACAAATAATGATATAGCCATGAAAGAAATCAAGAAGGCAATCCATTTACAATTGCTACCAAAAATGAAATACCTAGGAAATTTAACCAAGGAGGTGAAAAGCCTCTGCAAAACTCACGCACACACACACACCATACAGAGAAATGAAAGAAACAGAAAAGGAGACAAAAAATGGAGACATCCCATGCACATAGATCTGAATAATATTGTTAAAATGATGATACTACCCAAAGCAATGTACAGATTCAATGACATTCCTATTAAAATGCCAACATCATTCCTCGCAGAATTAGAAAAAACAATCTTAAAATTCATATGGAATTTAAAAGACTCCAAATAGTCAAAACAATCCTAAGCAAAAAGAACAAAGTTATAGGTATCACATTTCCTGACTTCAACATATATTACAAGGCTATAGTAAGCAAAATAACATAGTATTGATATCAACAAAGAAAGCCCAACAAAACTGAATGGAGAGCCCTGAAATAAAGCCACATATTTACAGTCAACTGATCTTTCACAAAGCTGAAAAGAACTTACATTAAGGAAAGGATACTCTGATATGGTTTGGCTGTGTTTCCACCCAAATCCCATCTTGAATTCTAGTTCCCATAGTACCCACATGTTGCGATAGGGATGGGACCTGGTGGGAGGTAATTTAATCATAAGGTGGTTACTCTCATGCTGTTTTCATGATAGTGAGTTATCATTAAATCTGGTGGTTTTATAAGGGGCTTTTCCCCCTTTGCTCAGCACTTCTGTCTCCTGCTGCCATGTGAAGGACATGTTTGCTTCACCTTCCACCATGCTTGTAAGTTTCCTGAGCACCCCCCACCACCCCCGGCCAATCCATGCGGAACTGTGAGTCAATGAAGCTTCTTTCCTTTATAAATTACCCAGTTTCAGGCAGTTCTGTATAGCAGTGTGAGAACAGACTAATATACCCTCTTTAATAAACGATGCTAGGAAAATGGGATATCCACACACAGAAGAATAAAACTGGACCCCTGTCTCTCGCCATCTACAAAAATCAACTCCAAGTGGATTAAAGACTTAAATGTATACCAAAAACTACAAAATTACTAGAAAAAAGCCAAGGGAAATCTCCTAGTCATTGGCCTAGGCAAATAATTTTTGACTAAGACCTGAAACGCACAGGCAACAGAAAATAAAAGTTGGCAAATAGTACTTAATTAAACTAAAAAGCTTCTGTACAGCAAAAGAAATAATAAACAGAATGAAGGAGACAACCTACTGAATGGGAGAAAATATCTGCAAACTATTTTCCAACAGGATGCTAACATCCAGAATGCACCAGAAACTCAAATAACTCATCAGGAAAAAAAACAAAATTATCCCATTATCAAGTGGACAAAAGGCATGAATAGGCATTTCTCAAGAGAAGAAATACAAATGACCAACAGGTATACAAAAAAATGCCAACAGCACCAAACATCTGAAAAAATGCAAATAAAACTACAGTGAGGTATTATATTACCTCAGTTAAAATGACTATTATTAAAAACGCAAAAAAAAAAAATGATAGATGTTGGCAAGGATGCAGAGAAAAGGAACTCTTACACGCTCTTGGTCAGAATGTAAACTAGTACACCAACTCTAGTAAACAGTATGGAGGCCTCTCAAAAACTAAAAATAGAACTACTGTTTTGTCCACCAATCCCATTACTTTTCAAAGGAAAAGAAATCAATATATCAAAGGGATACTTGCATTTATGTGTTTGCTGTAGCACTATTTATAGTAGCAAAGATATGGAATCAACCTAAGTGTCCATCAATGGATGAATGGATAAAGAAAATGTGGTATATACACACAATGACACACTACCCACCCATATAAAAGATTACAATCATGTCATTTGAAGCAACATGAATGGATCTGGAGGCTATTATCTTAAGTGAAATAAGCCAGGCACACACACACACACACAAAAATATTGCATGTTCTCACTTATACATGAAAGCTAAAACAGTTCATCTCATGGAGGCAGAAAGTAGAAAGATAACAGAGACTGCTAGGGGTGAGTGACACAGGGAGGGAAGGATGAAGAGAAATGGGTTAAAGTGTACAAACATACAGTTAGATAAAAAAAAATAAATTCAGCATTTGATAGCAGAGTAGGGTGACTATAGTTACTAAAAATGTATTTGGTTGGTGAATACCTTAATAACCTGACTTGTTCACCATGCATTTAATACATGTAACAAAATTTCATATGTGCCCCATAAATTTGTACAAATTTAAAAAAAAGTTTGAGAAACAGTAAAATGTATGGTTTACCACTGCACATATAAGTGTCAGGGTTCTAGCAGGAAACAGAATTCACCCCAGATGCTTCAAATGAGTAGATTTCAGAAATCTACTTACAGATATATTTTAGGGTTAATTGAACAATCAAGTTATAATTAACTATCCAAAGACTAACAATAGTAAAAAGAGTTTCTTCCCACTAGGTCTTTCATGAAGGAGATTGAATTAAGACGATGAGGAGTTTACCTAGATTTTAGATTTATTGTAGGTGTGGTTAACCTCAGTGCAACACAGGATTCCAATTCCTGTAGAGACACCTAGTGTTTACATTGGGGTTGATTCACCAGCACAGTAAGAGTCTGATTGTCCTGTTAAGGTCATCTCTTTGTACTCTGTCTCAGAGAAAGTCTTGTCACATGCTTTTGTTACTCATTTTGCCCTTCCCCAGCAATATTCTGCTTTTACTTGTTAAATACGTTAATTTGGTGATGGGAGTTATTTGGAGTGGTGGGGGCTGGAAGGATTTGCAATCTTTGTCGTTTTGAGCAAGGCTCAGTCTTAGTGTGTAGCCTTCTTGGTTCTAGCACCTATGCCCTGAATTTGTTTATGGACTTCATTAATCATCTTAGCCTTATCCTAGTGGCAGGGTTCTTCTATTGCCTACTCTGGCTGCAGTAAGTTTTGACTAGTGTCCCAACTGCAGCAATGCCTGTTCTCCTTTTGTCACATATTAAGGCTTTTTTTTTTTTCCACTGCAGAAGTTTGAAAGAAGGATGTGGTCAGCGTTTCTTGTCCTTTCCTTGCACATGCTCCTCCCTTTTCCTGGCCTGCACCACAAGTACTTTTTAGTTCTCTTTCCAATCTGTGCCATGAGTACTCAGTAGATTTTGTGAAGGAAGAGCCTACAAGATGATGCAGACTCTACCAATTTCTTTACCTCCCAGAGCTTTTATGCTAACTCACAGCCTGCATTTAACTTTTATCAATAAAATGAAACAGAAGGGTGGGTGGAGCCATGATGGCTGAATAGGAACAGCTCCAGTCTACAGCTCCCAGTGTGAGCGATGCAGAAGACAGGTGATTTCTGCATTTCCAACTGAGGTACTAGGTTCATCTCACTGGGGAGTGCTGGACAGTGGGTGCAGGACAGTGGGTGCAGTGCACTGTGCATGAGCCGAAGCAGGGCGAGGCATCGCCTTACCTGGGAAGCGCAAGGGGTAAGGGAATTCCCTTTCCTAGTCAAAGAAAGGGGTGACAGACGGCACACGGAAAATAGGGTCACTGCCACCCTAATACTGCGCTTTTCCAATGGGTTTAACAAATGGCACGCCAGGAGATTATATCCCACACCTGGCTCAAAGGGTCCTATGCCCACAGAGCCTCACTCATACCTAGCACAGCAGTCTGAGATCAAACTGCAAGGCAGCAGCAAGGCTGGAGGAGGGGCACCCGCCATTGCAGAGGCTTGAGTAGGTAAACAAAGTGGCTAGGAAGCTCGAAATGGGTGGAGCCCACCACAGCTCAAGGAGGCCTGCCTGACTTTGTAGGCTCCACCTCTGGGTGTAGGGCACAGACAAACAAAAGGCAGCAGTGACCTCTGCAGACTTAAATGTCCCTGTCTGACAGCTTTGAAGAGAGTAGTGGGTATCCCAGCATGCAGCTGGAGATCTAAGAATGCACAGACTGCCTCCTCAAGTGGGTCCCTGACCCCCGAGTAGCCTAACTGAAAGGCACCCCCTCCCCAAGTAGGGGCAGACTGACACCTCACACGGCCGGGTACTCCTCTGAGACATAACTTCCAGAGGAACGATCAGGCAGCAGCATTTGCGGTTCACCAATATCCGCTGTTCTGCAGCCACCTCTGCTGATACTCAGGCAAACAGGGTCTGGAGTGGACCTCCAGCAAACTCCAACAGACCTGCAGCTGAGGGTCCTGTCTGTTAGAAGGAAAACTAACAAACACAAAAGACATCCACACCAAAAACCCATCTGTACGTCACCATCATCAAAGACCAAAGGTAGATAAAACCACAAAGATGGGGAAAAAACAGAGCAGAAAAACTGGACACTCTAAAAATCAGAGTGCCTCTCCTCCTCCAAAGGAATGCAGCTCCTCACCAGCAACGGAACAAAGCTGGATGGAGAATGACTGACGATTTAAGAGAGGAAGGCTTCAGACAATCAAACTACACTGAGCTAAAAGAGGAAGTTTGAACCAATGGCGAAGAAGTTAAAAACCTTGAAAAAAAATAAGATGAATGGTTAACTAGAATAATCAAAGCAGACAAGCCCTTAAAGGACCTGATGGAGCAGAAAACCACGGCATAAGAGCTATGTGATGAATGCACAAGCCTCAGTAGCCGATTCAATCAACTGCAAGAAAGGGTATCAGTGATGGAAGACGAAATGAATGAAATGAAGTGAGAAGAGAAGTGTAGAGAAAAAAGACTAAAAAGAAATGAACAAAGCCTCCAAGAAATATGGGACTATGTGAAAAGACCAAATCTACATCTCATTGGTGTACCTGAAAGTGACGGGGAGAATGGAACCAAGTTGGAAAACACTCTGCAGGATATTATCCAGGAGAACTTCCACAATCTAGCAAGGCAGGCCAACATTCAGATTCAGGAAATACAGAGAACGCCACAAAGATACTCCTTGAGAAGAGCAACTCCAAGAAACATAATTGTCAGATTCACCAAAGTTGAAATGAAGGAAAAAATGTTAAGGGCAGCCAGAAAGAAAGCTCAGGTTACCCACAAAGGGAAGCCCATCAGACTAACAGCTGATCTCTCAGCAGAAACTCTACAAGCCAGAAGAGAGTGGGGGCCAATATTCAACATTCTTAAAGAAAAGAATTTTCAACCCAGAATTTCATATCCAGCCAAACTAAGCTTCATAAGTGAAGGAGAAATAAAATACTTTACAGACAAGCAAATGCTGAGAGATTCTGTCACCACCAGGCCTGCCCTAAAAGAGATCCTGAAGGAAGCACTAAACATGGAAAGGAACAACCAGTACCAGCCACTGCAAAAACATGCCAAATTGTAAAGACCAATGAGGCTAGGAAGAAATTGCATCAATTAATGAGCAAAATCACCAGCTAACATCATAATGACAGGATCAAATTTACACATAACAATATTAACCTTAAATGTAAATGGGCTAAATGCTCCAATTAAAAGACACAGACTGGCAAATTGGATAAAGAGTCAAGACCCATCAGTGTGCTGTATTCAGGCAACCCACCTCATGTGCAGAGACACACATAGGCTCAAAATAAAGGGATGGAGGGAGATCTACCAAGCCAATGGAAAACAAAAAAAGGCAGGGGTTGCAATCCTAGTCTCTGATAAAACAGACTTTAAACCAACAAAGATCCAAAGAGACAAAGAAGGCCATTACATAATGGTAAAGGGATCAATTCAACAAGAAGAGCTAACTATCCTAAATATATATGCACCCAATACAGGAGCACCCAGATTCATAAAGCAAGTCCTGAGTGACCTACAAAGAGACTTAGACTCCCACACAATAATAATGGGAGACATTAACACCCCACTGTCAACATTTGACAGATCAGCAAGACAGAAAGTTAACAAGGATATCCAGGAATTGAACTCAGCTCTGCACCAAGCAGACCTAATAGACATCTACAGGATTCTCCATCCCAGAACAACAGAATATACATTCTTCTCTGCACCACACTGCACTTATTACAAAATTGACCACATAGTTGGAAGTAAAGCACTCCTTAGCAAATGCAGAAGAACAGAAATTATAACAAAGTGTCTCACAGACCACAGTGCAATCAAACTAGAACTCAGGATCCAGAAACTCACTCACAACTGCTCAACGACATGGAAACTGAACAAGCTGCTCCGGAATGACTACTGGGTACATAATGAAATGAAGGCAGAAGTAAAGATGTACTTTGAAACCAATGATAACAAAGACACAACATACCAGAATATCTGGGACACATTCAAAGCAGTGTATAGAGGGAAATTTATAGCACTAAATGCCCACAAGGGAAAGAAGAGAATATCTAAAATTGACACTGTAACATCACAATTAAAAGAACAAGAGAAGCAAGAGCAAACACATTGAAAAGCTAGCAGAAGGCAAGAAATAACTAAGATCAGAGGAGAACTGAAGGAAATAGAGACACAAAAAACTCTTCAAAAAAATCAACAAATCCAGGAGCTGGTTTTTTGAAAAGATCAACAAAATTGATAGACCGATAGCAAGACTAATAAAGAAGAAAAGAGAGAAGAATCAAATAAACGCAAATAAAAAATGATAAAGGGGATATCACCACCAATCCCACAGAAATACAAACTACCATCAGAGAATACTATAAGCACCTCTACACAAATAAACTAGAAAACCTAGAAGAAATGGATAAATTCCTTGCCACATACACTCTCCCAAGACTAAACCAGGAAGAAGTTGAATCTCTGAATAGACCAACAACAGGCTCTGAAATTGAGGCAATAATTAATAGCTTAAAAACCAAAAACAGTCCAGGACCAGATGGATTCACAGCCAAATTCTACCAGAGGTACAAGGAGGAACTGGTACCATTCCTTCTGAAACTATTCCAATCAATAGAAAAAGAGGGAATCCTCCCTAACTCATTTTATGAGACCAGCATCATCTTGATACCAAAGCCTGGCAGAGACAACAAAAAAAAGAGAATTTTAGACAAATATCCTTGATGAACATTGATGCAAAAATCCTCAATAAAATACTGGCAAACCGAATCCAGCAGCACGTCAAAAAGCTTATCCACCATGATCAAGTGGGCTTCATCCCTGGGATGCAAGGCTGGTTCAATATATGCAAATCAATAAACATAATCCATCATATAAACAGAACCAAAGACAAAAACCACATGATTATCTCAATAGATGCAGAAAAAGCCTTTGACAAAATTCAACAACTCTTCATGCTAAAAACTCTCAATAAATTAGGTATCGATGGGATGTATCTCAAAATAATAAGAGCTATCTATGACAAACCCACAGCCAATATCATACGGGATGGGCAAAAACTGGAAGCATTCCCTTTGAAAACTGGCACAAGACAGTGATGCCCTCTCTCACCACTCTTATTCAACATAGTGTTGGAAGTTCTGGCCAGGGCAATTAGGCAGGAGAAGGAAATAAAGGGCATTCAATTAGGAAAAGAGGAAGTCGAGGGAGGAGCCAAGATGGCCGAATAGGAACAGCTCGGGTCTACAGCTCCCAGCGTGAGCGACGCAGAAGACGGTGATTTCTGCATTTCCATCCGAGGTACCGGGTTCATCTCACTAGGGAGTGCCAGACAGTGGACGCAGGTCAGTGGGTGCGTGCACCGTGGGCGAGCCGAAGCAGGGCGAGGCATTGCCTCACTTGGGAAGCCCAAGGGGTCAGGGAGTTCCCTATCTGAGTCAAAGAAAGGGGAGACTGACGCACCTGGAAAATCGGGTCACTCCCACCCGAATATTGCGCTTTTCGGACCGGCTTAAACAATGACACACCACAAGATTATATCCCGCACCTGGCTCGGAGGGTCCTACGCCCACGGAGTCTCGCTGATTGCTAGCACAGCAGTCTGAGATCAAACTGCAAGGCGGCAGCCAGGCTGGGGGAAGCGCGCCCTCCATTGCCCAGGCTTGCTTAGGTAAACAAAGCAGCCTGGAAGCTCGAACTGGGTGGAGCCCACCACAGCTCAAGGAGGCCTGCCTGCCTCTGTAGGCTCCACGTCTGGTGGCAGGGCACAGACAAACAAAAAGACAGCAGTAACCTCTGCAGACTTAAATGTCCCTGTCTGACAGCTTTGAAGAGAGCAGTGGTTCTCCCAGTACGCAGCTGGAGATCTGAGAACGGGCAGACTACCTCCTCAAGTGGGTCCCTGACCCCTGACCCCCGAGCAGCCTAACTGGGAGGCACCCCCCCAGCAGGGGCACACTGACATCTCACAAGGCAGGGTATTCCAACAGACCTGCAGCTGAGGGTCCTGTCTGTTAGAAGGAAAACTAACAAACAGAAAGGACATCCACACCGAAAACCCATCTGTACATCACCATCATCAAAGACCAAAAGTAGATAAAACCACAAAGATGGGGAAAAAACAGAACAGAAAAACTGGAAACTCTAAAACGCAGAGCACCTCTCCTCCTCCAAAGGAATGCAGTTCCTCACCAGCAACGGAACAAAGCTAGATGGAGAATGACTTTGACGAGCTGAGAGAAAAAGGTTTCAGACGATCAAATTACTCTGAGCTACGGGAGGACATTCAAACCAAAGGCAAAGAAGTTGAAAACTTTGAAAAAAATTTAGAAGAATGTATAACTAGAATAACCAATACAGAGAAGTGCTTAAAGGAGCTCATGGAGCTGAAAACCAAGGCTCGAGAACTACGTGAAGAATGCAGAAGCCTCAGGAGCAGATGCGATCAACTGGAAGAAAGAGTATCAGCGATGGAAGATGAAATGAAATGAAGCTAGAAGGGAACTTCACAGAAATAAGAATAAAAAGAAATGAGCAAAGCCTCCAAGAAATATGGGACTATGTGAAAAGACCAAATCTACGTCTGATTGGTGTACCTGAAAGTGATGGGAAGATTGGAACCAAGTTGGAAAACACTCTGTAGGATATTATCCAGGAGAACTTCCACAATCTAGCAAGGCAGGCCACCATTCAGATTCAGGAAATACAGAGAACGCCACAAAGATACTCCTCTAGAAGAGCAACTCCAAGACACATAATTGTCAGATTCAAAGTTGAAATGAAGGAAAAAATGTTAAGGGCAGCCAGAAAGAAAGCTCAGGTTACCCACAAAGGGAAGCCCATCAGACTAACAGCAGATCTCTTGGCAGAAACCCTACAAGCCAGAAGAGAGTGGGGGCTAATATTCAACATTCTTAAAGAAAAGAATTTTCAACCCAGAATTTCATATCCAGCCAAACTAAGCTTCATAAGTGAAGGAGAAATAAAATACTTTACAGACAAGCAAATGCTGAGAGATTTTGTCACCACCAGGCCTGCCCTAAAAGAGCTTCTGAAGGAAGCGCTAAACATGGAAAGGAACAACCGGTACAAGCCACTGCAAAATCATGCCAAAATGTAAAGACCATCGAGACGAGGAAGAAACTGCATCAACTAACGAGCAAAATCACCAGCTAACATCATAATGACAGGATCAAATTCACACATAACAATATTAACTTTAAATGTAAATGGACTAAATGCTCCAATAAAAAGACACAGACTGGCAAACTGGATAAAGAGTCAAGACCCATCAGTGTGCTGTATTCAGGAAACCCATCTCACGTGCAGAGACACACATAGGCTCAAAATAAAAGGATGGAGGAAGATCTACCAAGCCAATGGAAAACAAAAAAAGACGGGTTGCAATCCTAGTCTCTGATAAAACAGACTTTAAACCAACAAAGATCAAAAGAGACAAAGAAGGCCATTACATAATGGTAAAGGGATCAATTCAACAAGAAGAGCTAACTATCCTAAATATATATGCACCCAATACAGGAGCACCCAGATTCATAAAGCAAGTCCTGAGTGACCTACAAAGAGACTTAGACTCCCACACATTAATAATGGGAGACTTTAACACCCCACTGTCAACATTAGACAGATCAACGAGAGAGAAAGTTAACAAGGATACCCAGGAATTGAACTCAGCTCTGCACCAAGCAGACCTGATAGACATCTACAGAACTCTCCACCCCAAATCAACAGAATTTACATTTTTTTCAGCACCACACCACACCTATTCCAAAATTGACCACATACTTGGAAGTAAAGCTCTCCTCAGCAAATGTAAAAGAACAGAAATTATAACAAACTATCTCTCAGACCACAGTGCAATCAAACTAGAACTCAGGATTAAGAATCTCACTCAAAACCGCTCAACTACAAGGAATCTGACAACCTGCTCCTGAATGACTACTGGATACATAACGAAATGAAGGCATAAATAAAGACGTTCTTTGAAACCAACAAGAACAAAGACACAACATACCAGAATCTCTGGGACGCATTCAAAGCAGTGTGTAGAGGGAAATTTATAGCACTAAATGCCCACAAGAGAAAGCAGGAAAGATCCAAAATTGACACCCTAACATCACAATTAAAAGAACTAGAAAGGAAAGAGCAAACACATTCAAAAGCTAGCAGAAGGCAAGAAATAACTAAAATCAGAGCAGAACTGAAGGAAATAGAGACACAAAAAACCCTTCAAAAAATTAATGAATCCAGGAGCTGGTTTTCTGAAAGGATCAACAAAATTGATAGATCGCTAGCAAGACTAATAAAGAAAAAAAGAGAGAAGAATCAAATAGACACAATAAAAAATGATAAAGGGGATATCACCACCAATCCCACAGAAATACAAACTACCATCAGAGAATACTACAAACACCTCTACGCAAATAAACTAGAAAATCTAGAAGAAATGGATAAATTCCTCGACACATACACTCTCCCAAGACTAAACCAGGAAGAAGTCGAATCTCTGAATAGACCAGTAACAGGAGGTGAAATTGTGGCAATCATCAATAGTTTACCAACCAAAAAGACTCCAGGACCAGATGGATTCACAGCCGAATTCTACCAGAGGTACAAGGAGGAACTGGTACCATTCCTTCTGAAACTATTCCAATCAATAGAAAAAGAGGGAATCCTCCCTAACTCATTTTATGAGGCCAGCATCATTCTGATACCAAAGCCGGGCAGAGACACAACCAAAAAAGAGAAATTTAGACCAATATCCTTGATGAACATTGATGCAAAAATCCTCAATAAAATACTGGCAAAATGAATCCACCTGCACATCAAAAAGCTTATCCACCATGATCAAGTGGGCTTCATCCCTGGGATGGAAGGCTGGTTCAATATACACAAATCAATAAATGTAATCCAGCATATAAACAGAGCCAAAGACAAAAACCACATGATTATCTCAATAGATGCAGAAAAAGCCTTTGACAAAATTCAACAACCCTTCATGCTAAAAACTCTCAATAAATTAGGTATTGATGGGACGTATTTCAAAATAATAAGAGCTATCTATGACAAACCCACAGCCAATATCATACTGAATGGGCAAAAACTGGAAGCATTCCCTTTGAAAAGTGGCACAAGACAGGGATGCCCTCTCTCACCACTCTTATTCAACATAGTGTTGGAAGTTCTGGCCAGGGCAATTAGGCAGGAGAAGGAAATAAAGGGTATTCAATTAGGAAAAGAGGAAGTCAAATTGTCCCTGTTTGCAGACGACATGATTGTATACCTAGAAAACCCCATTGTCTCAGCCCAAAATCTCCTTAAGCGGATAAGCAACTTCAGCAAAGTCTCAGGATACAAAATCAATGTACAAAAATCACAAGCATTCTTATACACCAACAACAGACAAACAGAGAGCCAAATCATGAGTGAACTCCCATTCACAATTGCTTCAAAGAGAATAAAATACCTAGGAATCCAACTTACAAGGGATGTGAAAGACCTCTTCAAGGAGAACTACAAACCACTGCTCAAGGAAATAAAAGAGGATACAAACAAATGGAAGAACATTCCATGCTCATGGGTAGGAAGAATCAATGTAGTGAAAATGGCCATTCTGCCCAAGGTAATTTACAGATTCAATGCCATCCTCATCAAGCCACCAATGCCTTTCTTCACCGAATTGGAAAAAACTACTTTAAAGTTCATATGGAACCAAAAAAGAGCTTGCATCGCCAAGGCAATCCTAAGTCAAAAGAACAAAGCTGGAGGCATCACACTACCTGACTTCTAACTATACTACAAGGCTACAGTAACAAAAAAAGCATGGTACTGGTACCAAAACAGAGATATAGACCAATGGAACAGAACAGAGCCCTCAGAAATAACGCCGCAGATCTACAACTATCTGGTCTTTGACAAACCTGAGAAAAACAAGCAATGGGGAAAGGATTCCCTATTTAATAAAGGGTGCTGGGAAAACTGGCTAGCCATATGTAGAAAGCTGACACTGGATGCCTTCCTTACACCTTATACAAAAATCAATTGAAGATGGATTAAAGACTTAAACATTAGATCTAAAACCATAAAAACCCTAGAGGAAAACCTAGGCATTACCATTCAGGACATAGGCATGGGCAAGGACTTCATGTCCAAAACACCAAAAGCAATGGCAACAAAAGACAAAATTGACAAATGGGATCTAATTAAACTAAAGAGCTTCTGCACAGCAAAAGAAACTACCATCAGAGTGAACAGGCAACCTACAAAATGGGAGAAAATTTTCGCAACCTACTCATCTAACAAAGGGCTAATATCCAGAATCTACAATGAACTCAAACAAATTTACAAGAAAAAAACAAACAACCCCATCAAAAAGTGGGCGAAGGACATGAAAAGACACTTCTCAAAAGAAGACATTTATGCAGCCAAAAAACGCATGAAAAAATGCTCATCATCACTGGCCATCAGAGAAATGCAAATCAAAATCACAATGATATACCATCTCACACCAGTTAGAATGGCAATCATTAAAAAGTCAGGAAACAACAGGTGCTGGAGAGGATGTGGAGAAATAGGAACACTTTTACACTGTTGGTGGGACTGTAAACTAGTTCAACCATTGTGGAAGTCAGTGTGGCGATTCCTCAGGGATCTAGAACTAGAAATACCGTTTGACCCAGCCATCCCACTACTGGGTATATACCCAAAGGACTATAAATCATGCTGCTATAAAGACACATGCACACGTATGTTTATTGCGGCATTATTCACAATAGCAAAGACTTGGAACCAACCCAAATGTCCAACAATGATAGACTGGATTAAGAAAATGTGGCACATATACATCATGGAATACTATGCAGCCATAAAAAATGATGAGTTCATGTCCTTTTTAGGGACATGGATTGAACTGGAAATCATCATTCTCAGTAAACTATCACAAGAACAAAAAACCAAACACCGCATATTCTCACTCATAGGTAGGAACTGAACAATGAGATCACACGGACAGAGGAAGGGGAATATCACACTCTGGGGACTGTTGTGGGGTGGGGGGAGGGGGGAGGGATAGCACTGGGAGATATACCTAATGCTAGATGACGAGTTAGTGGGTGCAGCGCACCAGCATGGCACATGTATACATATGTAACTAACCTGCACAATGTGCACATGTACCCTAAAACTTAAAGTATAATAAAAAAAAAAGAGGAAGTCAAATTGTCCCTGTTTGCAGATGACATGATTGTATACCTAGAAAACCCCATTGTCTCAGCCCAAAATCTCCTTAAGCTGATAAGTAACTTCAGCGAAGTCTAAGGACACAAAATGTGCAAAAATCACAAGCATTCCTATACACCAATAACAGACAAACAGAGAGCCAAATCATGAGTGAACTCCCATTCACAATTGCTTCAAAGAGAATAAAATACCTAGGAATCCAACCTACAAGGGATGTGAAGGACCTCTTTAAGGAGAACTACAAACCACTGCTCAATGAAATAAAAGAGGATACAAACAAATGGAAGAACATTCCAATGCTCATGAGTAGGCAGAATCAATACCATGAAAATGGCCATACTGCCCAAGGTAATTTACAGATTCAATGCCATCCCCATCAATCTACCAATGACTTTCTTCACAGAATTGGAAAAAACTACTTTAAAGTTCATATGGAATGAAAAAAGAGCCCACATTTCCAAGAAAATCCTAAGCCAAAAGAACAAAGCTGGAGGCATCAAGCTACCTGACTTCAAACTATACTACAAGGCTACAGTAATCAAAACAGCATGGTACTGGTACCAAAACAGAGATATAGACCAATGGAACAGAACAGAGCCCTCAGAAATAATGCTGCATATCTACAAATATCTGATCTTTGACAAATCTGAGAAAAACAAGCAATGGGGAAAGGATTCCCTATTTAATAAAGGGTGCTGGGAAAACTGGCTAACCATATGTAGAAAGCTGAAACTGGATCCCTTCCTTACACCTTATACTAAAATTAATTCAAGATGGATTAACGACTTAAATGTTAGACCTAAAACCATAAAAACCCTAGAAGAAAACCTAGGCAATACCATTCAGAACACAGGCATGGGCAGGACTTCATGTCTAAAACACCAAAAGCAATGGCAACAAAAGCCAAAATTGACAAATGGGATCTAATTAAACTAAAGAGCTTCTGCACAGCAAAAGAAACTACCGTCAGACTGAACAGGCAACCTACAGAATGGGAGAAAATTTTTGCAACCTACTCGTCTGACAAAGGGCTAATATCCAGAATCTACAATGAACTCAAACAAATTTAGAAGAAAAAAGCAACCCCATCAAAAAGTGGGTGAAGGATACGAACAGACACTTCTCAAAAGAAGACATTTATGCAGCCAACAGACACATGAAAAAATGCTCATCATCACTGGCCATCAGAGAAATGCAAATCAAAACCACAGTGAGATACCATCTCACACCAGTTAGAATGGCAGTCATTAAAAAGTCAGGAAACAACAGGTGCTGGAGAGGATGTGGAGAAATAGGAACACTTTTACACTGTTGGTGGGACTGTAAACTTGTTCAACCATTGTGGAAGTCAGTGTGGCAATTCCTCAGGGATCTACAACTAGAAATACCATTTGACCCAGCCATCCCATTACTGGGTATATACCCAAAGGATTATAAATCATGCTGATATAAAGAAACATGCACACGTATGTTTACTGAGGCACTATTCACAATAGCAAAGACTTGGAACCCAAGTCCAACAATGATAGACTGGATTAAGAAAATGTGGCACATATACACCAAATGTCCCAAATGTCCAACAATGATAGACTGGATTAAGAAAATGTGGCACATATACCCCATGGAATACTACGCAGCCATAAAAAATGATGAGTTCATGTCCTTTGTAGGGACATGGATGAAGCTGGAAACCATCATTCTCAGCAAACTATCGCAAGGACAAAAAACCAAACACCACATGTTCTCACTCATAGGTGGGAATTGAACAATGAGGACACATGGACACGGGAAGGGGAACATCACACAGTGGGGCCTGTTGTGAGGTGTGGGGGGAGGGATAGCATTAGGAGGTATACCTAATGCTAAATGAGAGTTACTGGGTGCAGCACACGAACATGGCACATGTATACATATGTAACGAACCTGCACGTTGTGCACATGTACCCTAAAACTTAAAGTAAAATAATAAAATTAAAATAAATTAAAATAAAACAATAAAATGTATTATTACTGCACACATATTTTTCATCTATTTTTGCTGAGTTCTTAGCATTTCTGATTGTTTCTACCGCAGCTTAGTGTATATTCACATTTTCCTTCCTGTAAGCACCATTTCTCCTTAGATTTGGGGTCTGTTGGTTGTTGAGCAACATCAGCTCTCTATTAGTCCGTGATTTTGAAGTTAGTCTGGCTAATTTTTGCTGTAAGACTGAGAGGAACCCTTCTTCCAGATTTTCTGTATCTAGGGGATAACCCAGAAACCTGGTCAGCAAAGTACTAGCTAACGTAGAAGTGTTTGCCTTGAAGAATATCCTATATTCCCAGTAAATAGTGTGAATGAGAAAACGTTGTTGTTTTAAACCACAGAAATTGTAAGGTTGTTTATCACAGCAGCAGCATCTAGCATGTCTCCACTAACACAGTGTTTAAACTAGGATGGCCAAGGTGACTGGCAGAGGGACACAGACAGGTATATGTAAGGAAAGATAACCTATAGGCCTAGGAAATTCATTCTAGGGTCTCAGGAGTCTGGAAGAAGCTGGAGTTCAGTTACTATAATTATGAGGCAAAGACTAGTTTCTAGAGTTAGTTAAGAAAATTTCAGAGATTTAGTTACAGTATAAACTGCAGGCAAGGCCAAAACACACGGGAAACAAGATAAGAACAAGTCACTCAGCAAAACTGCCTCAGTGTGAGCAGTGAGTCATTGAGCTCCTTCTGATTCCCAGAGTCTTAGGAAGCTTTCTAAATGGAGTGGTTAACCGGCCTAGTATTGTGGGCTACAAGGATATAAAGCCAAAGAGTTATCACAACTCCAAAGCAGGCCAAGAGCCTCTCTTGCAGGAAAAGTCCCTTCAATAACAAAAATATATCATGTTGATCAAAATGCCGTTGTGAACTTTTCCTTCTGTGGCAAACAGCTTGAATTCTATGACACCATCACCCACGTCCGTATGTCTCAGTGTTTGCTCTGCCAAGATGTCTGCTTGCCATTTGCTCTGTCTGTACAATGCCAAACACCCAGGTGAAAAGTGAAAAATTTAGTCAGTGTTTCTAAACACCCAGATGTTTGGCACCAACTATGTAAAATATCTGGATGCCTGACAGCATTTCTCACTTTTTCATCTGGTTGTTTGGCATCATATAATATGAACAATGGTGTAGATGCTAAGTACTCTTAGGAGTAAGAAAATATGAAACATTATCATAACCCAGTACATTTTTTTCCTAAAGTATTAGAGAGTCTTAGTCTTGAATTGGACTTTAGAGGACATCTAATACAACTTCCCTCATAATATATTTGTGGTGTCTCTGCAATCAAATCGAGGAGACTTCAGTAAAACCTGTCTGGTATCAGGAAAGATGAATCTGATTTCTGATTTTACATTACAAACATGAATAAACTTCATTCAAAAAATGTTAGCTGGGTGACTCTTCTGACCCAGGCTTTGGGACTAGAAAGGATGAAGATGTCTTCAAGGAATTAATGTCAGTCTAGTAGAGGGAAGACATTAGACAGCAGCAGGGGAAATGAAAATAAGGGGACACTGAGTCAAGAGGACTTAACTCATTAAATATACCCACCACTGCTTGACCATCTCTTAGTACCAGCTATTATGATAGGCAGGACACCAATTTTCCACATTTAGTCTGCATAAAACCCTTAGCACATAGAGGTTCTTATTCCTATTTGATGGCCGTTTAGGGGGATTAAGTAAAATTCCAAGGCCATACAACTTCAAAATTCAGATAAGATGGTGCGTAAAACAGTATATGCTGCCTCCAAACACCTTTCGCTGAATTGCTTTGTCTCCCTTCACACTTCTCTAACAAAGCTCAGGTCCTCAGTATCTCAATCTTGTCGTCTCAGGGATGATCAGACCCTGGAGAAGAAGGTTAGGATCCCCAGGCACTTACAGATTTCTTCAGAAGGAATATAATTACTCAAGACATCAAAATCAGCCAGAAGAAAATAACATACAAAAAGAATGATTGGCACTAAAAGGTGGAAGAGAATCCAGCCTCCAACACCGGAAAATGAGAGAAAACAAAATGAGCATAGATGTTAAGTCAACAGAGTTACTCAGACAGAACCGGCATATTTTCTAATCAAAAGAGGCCATTTCCCATCTTTAGGATGTGAGATCCAAACTTAGATAAAGAGAGACTTTATTCAATAAGACCATGGCAAGAAGGAAAATGTCTCAGTCTCAAGATCTGCAAATGTCTCAAAAAATCAAACAGAAACAAAGGCTTCTCTTTTAAAGGAAGGGGTAATCAGGGACTTTCAAGGGAAAGTGATCAAGGGGAGGAGTTCTGATGGGAAGTGTTCCTCACGGTGCTCTGCTGATTCTCAAGATGGGAAGCTGGAGCTGGGGACTGTTCTGCATTTTAGTGCTTGCCAGATTTGGGGGCAAGCCAAAGTTCTGGGCCCTGTGTTAACGAAAGAAGTCTAAAGTTTGGTCAATCCAAGGCATAAGGTAAGAAATGGGCAACTGTAGACACTTGGTCAACAGTCATCTGTGATATTGACTTCAGAAAGAATCATCTATTTTATCTCCCACTGTTTACAAATGTATTTTACTAATTTTAGCAGCTTTCTCCTTTCTTTGCAGACTCATTCATGTCTCCTTTTAATGCTGCTATGGTTATAACATGCTGCTATAAACGACAACACTTAGGACCCTAGTTGTCCAACCCTGACTTCTTCCAACTGCTGAATCAGCTTTCTCTGGATAGAGGTATACAAATCCACCCAACGCTGAGACCTTCTCTGCCCAATAACAACAGGTTGGTCCTGACTGGCTGGGAGACTCCCATGAAGTGTTTTGGTGACTAAGGCCTTGGCTCAGAAAGCCCTGCTGAATGCAATTTCCTGGATTTCAGCTTGGAACTGGAGCATTCCTCACATTTATTCATTTTCATCCTGATGAAGCAACGTTTTGAAGTGGAAATTCTGAATTCCTACCTCTGGCCTGCTAGGAGACTAAATAATCCACTCCTAAATTCTTAGGAGAGCTAAAATATAACTGCTTTCACAGTGGACAGCTGTTTATTGTCTCTTTATGTTTCTAGTAAGAGATATGTGGTTTCTCTGGCCACATGGAATCTCCCTTTAAGCACTCCCAGCTTGATGTAATGTATAATTTTTTATCAATGACCACAACAAATTCCCCACACACCAACTTTTTAAACCAAAATCATAGCTATTAAAAGTTAATGATTAGAATGCATGTTTTATTCTGTAATTTGAGTGATGTGAAAGATGCAACAAAGTTTGATTCCCTTATTATGCTGTTTTTTTCCTTTTCTCTTAGGGGAGTTACAAAAATACAATGAATAACTTAACAGTATATAATCCCTTTAATTTACCTCCTCCTTTCCTATATGGGGGCTATTTCTTTAAAATTTTTCTTTATCCCTTACTTTTACCATGATAATTGCTAATTGTAATCCAAGGTTTCTCTTGTAGAGATTGACTTATATATCCAGAGAAGGAGAAATAGTCTCTGGGGACTGTAGCAGGTGAGTCATTATGGAATAATGTTGATCTTCCAAGCGCAATATTCAAGTTAGAATGAAATACACCAGGGGTCTGGATAATTCACTGAAGATCATCATGCATATCTCAGAGGTGAATGCTTGAAATATTCAAAGTTTGAGAAGGCAAACTGAAGAAATACTTTTTATAAAAATAAACCTACAAAACTCTGGTTACAATGTGCAGTTGAGTTACTGGCAACAATTCAAATTTCCTGAGTTTTTCAAAAACTAAAAAGAGAAGAAAGTAATACAAAAATGAACACCATAATGTCAGAATGCTGTCATGGGTGAAGCTATTAGCAGTGATTTAGGCCTGATTAACATTACAGAGAAAAAATTAGCCTATATACATTGTATGGTGTTTTTCCTCTGTAAATGAATACTTAGAAAACCATTGAAAACTTCATTTCCTACAGCCACCATATATTATTTCTGAGATTGTGATGCCAAGTACATCTGACTTATCTTTCTGCCTACTAAAACTTATTTTATAAGGAAAACTATGCCTGAAGTTGATCAAGAGTGAATACTGGTTGCCTAGGAAAGAAATATAATTCTTACCACTATTGTATGCTTTAATGAGGAATTGTATCCTTTTAATTATTGTATGCTATGTGAAAGTAGTAAACAATGCTATAAATCTCTGGAATCCACCCTATGGTAATAGTGCATTAAACACTTGGGCAGCTAAGATTCATATGGACAAATAGAACTGAGAGGGCACACTACCGTATAATTCTATAAAGATTATGAACACAACAGGGGCAGGAAATTGGCTACTCAGCACCAATACTGCTTTGTGTCTTATCTAATTGTACATAGCCTAGGTTAGCTGAGCTAAGGACATCTCCTGCTGTGCTCAAAATAGATAAACAGTGCCTAAAGTTGATAATAATTGACAAAGAAAAATATTGTGCTGCAAATGACAAGACACCTCTGAGGATTATCAAATTTATTATCTTGAAAAGATTGGATTTTCACAAGACTATCAAATGGGAAGAGGAAACTGAGGGGAGTAAGAAAACCGAGAGTTAATTGAATTTGCAAGATATATTGGCTGTCAACAGGAAAAAAATCAAGGGAATTACATGGATAATTTAAGGGAAAAGAACCCTTTTCCTTAAAGTTTGAATATTCAGTTTACAGTTCATGTAAATATGTATTGGGTGTGTGTGTGTGTCTGTGTGTGTGTGACAGAGTTTTAGAAACATCTTAATGGTAATAAAGTCAATACTATTCTCACATGGCTTTGGTCAAGTGAAAAAAATAACATATTTGTGTTTTGAAGTGTAAAAAGTATTGTCTCAGGAGTTATGGAAGCTGGGCTTTGCTGCTCACTAACTGTGTAACGTGGCTAATTCATTTACATATACAACTACGTTTTTCTGCTTTGCAGTGGTCCACAGCATCTTGAATCTTTCTACTATTTACCTGGGAATCAGATATTTACATATTTATCATCCAGGATTGTGTTGAGCTATAGCTAAATCCAACCAAATAATTGATTTTAAGAATGTTCAATCTATATTCTAAAACTGCTGCCCCTTCATTTGAACAATCTGGATTTTCACACACACACAAAAAGTTTAGCGGCTGTCCCTTTGTATTTTCTTTTTAATAATTAGTAAAAACTATTTACAGAGAATTTATAAAAACTACAGTGTAATAATCAAACTTCCTCAATACTTAAATACTGATAGATTTATGTGTAAACATATTCACAGCTTTGTGCATACATATATACATACACACATTATATATACAGTATATCTTGTGGATTACATTCAATTTATGTATCATCTATAGATATATAAGCTGTCTATATATGTATATATATGTTAACTAATAGATGCTAATAGATGACCTCTATATATATGTGTGTGTATATAAGCAAATTTTTATCCTTTGATTCATAATATATTTAATTTAAAGAGAAAAGAAATTTGTTTTCATTGACTAAAGAGGAGGGAGAAGAAAAAGGCAGGAACAGAGGAAACGTGTTTCGGTTACTTCAGAAATCACTCACTGTATTCTTACCTCCCCAAATACACTTAATATGAACTCTAAAGAGACAACCAAACAGTCCTGAGAACCTAGTTTTCTGAAGAGTACTGTAAAGTTCATGACTAACCCAAATCATCAATCTCTGTGGGTTTCAGTTTCCTGATCTGCAAGACTGTCTTAAAACACTAAGTGTATACACACACACGTATGTACATATAGTGCTCTTTTTCAATCCTAAAGTTTATTAAGTCTCCACTGCTTAAACAATGTTGGTGGGGTGGGGTGGGGTGACAGAGTCGGATAGAAAAGGTTGAAATCCTAGCTCCGCCATCTAACTTGTTATGTTATCTTGAGAAAATTCCCTAAACTTTCCAAGGCTCAGTTTTCTTATTTTTGAAACAAGGCAGATAATACTTGTCTTCTAGAATTGTCTTTCATCGTTTTATACTTACCTTGGCTAGTGCCTGGTAGATGGCAGATTCTCAAAAGATATTTGTTCATGGAAAAATGAATGAAAGTAGAGGAATATATAGTATACAGTATAAATTATAGCTATTGATATTAACCTCTACTATTGCATACAGTGATGTCTATATCTACTCATATATACTTTGGAATATTGGGATAAATAGTACACACATAGTAGTGCAAAGATATATTTTTAAAAACCTATTATAGGGCTGGGTTCTCCAGAATCATGTTGTATAACATATAACAGAATCAATAGAATATATATGTGTGTGTTTGTGTATCCTATTAATCCTAAATAAATTCAAAGATATTTATTTCAAGGAATCTAGCTCACATAATTGTTGGGACTGGCAAATCTGAAATCTATAGGCCAGGCTGGTAGGCTGGAAACTCAGGCTGGAGTTGATTTTGAGTCTTGAAGTAGAATTTTTCTTCTCAGGAAACCTTCAGCTGACTGGATGAAGTCCACTTAACTATCAAGGATAATCTTTAATTAAAGTCAACTGATTTAAAATGCTAACTACATTTACAAACTATCTATACAGCAACACCTGAGATTAGTGGTTGATTAAAAACTATGTACTATAGCCTAGCCAAGTTTACACATTACACATAATTACACCAAACAGATGAAAATCCTAAAAACAAAACAAAACCTAGGTTCTTCTTATGTTGGCTTAGAAATGTTACTTGCTATTGGTCTCCATCTGAAACTGGTCCAATTGTCCCATAGAGCTAATATTTACATTAAAAAAATAAACATAGAAACGGACTCTCTGGTTCTCAAAACTTGAAATTCACATTGTCCCATCTGAGTTCCTCCCTCAGGAAACCAAACTTCAGGCAAGGGACTGGAACTCCCCAGATCACTGCATTCAGACAAGACTGCCAGGGCCCTTATCCATCATGAGGGCCTCTGTATTAGTCTTTTCTCATGCTGCTAATAAAGACATACCCGAGATTGGGTAACTTATAAAGGAAAGAGGTTTTGTTGACTCACAGTTCCACATGGCTGGCGAGGCCTCACAACCACGGCAGAAGAACGAGGAACATCTTAGGCGGCGGCAAGCAAGAGAGAATGAAAACCAAGCGAACGGGCTTTCCCCTTATAAAGCTATAGGATCTCGTGAGACTTATTCACTACCACAAGAATAGTATGGAGGAAATTACTCCCATGATTCAATTATCTCCCACTAGGTCCCTCCCACAACACGTGGGAATTATGGGCGCTACAATTCAAGATGAGATTTGAATGGGGACACAGCCAAACCATATCAGCCTCCTTCCTTTCCCTAATTCCTGTTTTCCTGCCTTCCCCACTATATAGATGCCCCCAATTTTAGTTGCTTGGGAGACAAACAACAGCTGAGGAGGTCTGCCTCAGCTGCAGCACCTGATTAAAGCCTTCATCCTTGGCAATACTCGTCCCAGTGCTTGGTGTTCTGTGCAGCAAGCAGGAGGACCTAGACCGAACCCCTTGCATTTGTGTAACGTCTACCCATTTTCCATACAGAAGTATGTGGACAGATAATGACATTAAAACTTGGACTAATAAACAATTCCGCCTATATAAAATAAAACTAATATGTTAGAGCAGATTTCTTTCTGGTGAAAGAAACGCTTTATCAGCCAGGCACAGTCACTCATGCCTGTAATCCCAGCACTGTAAGAGGCAGAGGTTGGCAGATTGCTTGAGCCCAGGAATAGGTGACCAGCCCGGGCAACGTGGTGAAACCCTGTCTCCACAAAAAGATACAAAAAAAAATTAGCTGGGCGTGGTGGCTCACACCTGCTGCCTGGGAGGCTGAATCTGGGAGGTCAAGAGTGCACTGAGCTGTGATTGTGCCACTGCACTCCAGCATGGTAAACAGAGTGAGACTCCCTCCCTCTCTCTCTCTCTCTCTCTCTCTCTCTCTCTCTGTGTGTGTACCTATTTTAGACACATGATGTTTAGAGCAATGTGTTACTAAATGTTTAACTTACACAATGTAAATATGTAAACTTGGCAGTGACCTGGCTCAATCACCATAGAAAAGTGAATGATAATTTTGTTTACCATTAACAATTGATAGCCTAAGTGACTAAAATTGTTGATACTAATTGAAATGAAGAAAATAATCTACTTTTCTTTATACAATATCAGTGCAATTATTCTACATTTATATCCCAAGTAATTTTTTGATAATTCTAGAAGTTATCTAGCTTGAGAGTTTATCCTTCAAACTTAATGTGACACATCATGAAAGTCAGCTTTAATTTTCTTGAGTTGTGTATGGATCTAATAAAGTAAAATCAACTCCAATATCTTGCATTTGCCCACTTTGTATTAAGCTGGCCCTCATGGGAATGACAAAGACATCTTGGAAATGGTCTTGAACCAGTTAACAATAAAAATCTTTTTCCCTGAATAAATCAATACACCATTTTGGGCATAATTTATCATTACATATTCATTTTAGGCCGAACAGCAGGCAGCCTCAAGTAGAGATATTGTAATACTGTTCTCAAAGTCCCTGCCTGCTATTGCTGCTCAGAAACCTACATACTTCATTGTTATTTCACATCAATTTTCCACACATTTGGAAATAGCTACCTAATGCATCAATTAATTAAATTTAATATCAAATATGTAAATGGGTGAAAAAGTCGTTAAAACTTTTTTACTTATAGATGTTCTCTTTATTTTATTCATCTTGAATTATTAGACAAAAATAAAATTACATAAATGTTAAATACAAAATGTCATATATATATATATAGTTAAAATTAAGAATGTTATAGATGTATAGAAAAACCAGGCCTTAATTCCTATAAAAATACTACTAATTGTTCAATATAGAAAAATTCAGAAAATATGAGCTAAAAAAATTGGTCTCTCTATTCTCATACTAATTGGCAATTCTTAACAGGGTCTATAAATTACTAGTTATCAAACTGAAACATCACTCATCTGTATCCTTTGCCAGGCCGAAAGGCCACCTTACTTCTGTATATCCTAACTGAATGAGAATATAGTGAGCTCATAGTAAGATTTTTTGAAACCCACGGTGAAACCCTGGTCTGGTCTTAAGCAAAAAGGGAAGCCACACATTCAGCAGAAAGCACTACAGTGTGCAGCAGTGCATTGAGCCTATGATGGAGCCAAATCCAGGCCCTGGACAGGATTCTGAGACAAGTCCAGTGGTGAGACCCGACACGCTTGGCTTTAACAATCAGTGGGGCCACTAGAGTCTTCTCTGATATAGTCCTAGGGAGTGTTTCCTCAAGACCTAAGAGAACAGTCATATAATAAAAGAACACTGAAAGTGGCTCTTTCCATCCGGAGATCCAATAAGAATGAGGCCCTACCTGAAGTTGTGAGAAGAGCTAGACTGACGTCAACCAAGCCTAGTATTAGGGATTGATGGACTGATACTAAGTAAATGCTAGTTACTGAATGGACAACAGAAGGGCCTGTAACACATACATGGAAAGATAACAATTGCCACAAAGAAGAGGTAGGGCATCAAGAACTCTGAAGAATAAGGGTTGAGGAGCCTGAGATTCCATTGACTTTTCCAAATATGGATTAAAGACATTTTTTCAAACTTTTATTTTTCTTTAAGGTCCGAGATACATGTGCAAAACATGCAAGTTTGTTACATAGGTATACGTGTGCCATGGTGGGTTTGCTGCACCTATTGACCCATCATCTAAGTTCACCCCCCTGGCCCCGCACATCCCAACAGGCCCTGGCATGTGTTGTTCCCCTCCCTGGGTCCATGTGTTCTCATTGTTCAACTCCCACTTACGAGTGAGAACATGAGGTGTTTGGTTTTCTGTTCCTCTGTTAGTTTGCTGAGGATGATGGCTTCCGGCTTCACCTATGTCTCCGCAAAATACATAATCTCATTGCTTTTTATGGCTGCATAGTATTCCATGGTGTGTAGGTACCACATTTTCTTTATCCAGTCTATCATTCACGGGCATTTGGGTTGGTTCCATGTCTTGAGTCAAAGACATTTTAATTATATGCATTGCTTTATAGTGCTTTCAGGACTGCTTCCTTAATAACTACCTAAAATATTGAGTAAGCGCACTTTGCTGAATCAGTAGGCCTCAAAAACAATCTCACTCCTCAAAAAGTTTTGTATGATCACACTAAGATATGTGAGCACCTATCCTGTATGCAAGATTCAGCTTCCAGCTGTCACTTCTCATCTCATGTTGCATCCCATTACGTGAAAGGAAACTTTGAACAAGTCACCCCAAGAAACAGTAGCTTGATAAACTGTTTCTACCTCTGAGCAGTAAAAAGTTGCCCAAAGGAACCCTGTCACCAGTGAGATGCTCCTTCTTCTGACGATACCAAGACAAGAACCCATGGGTGCATTTTAAGTCCTCTCCTCTTGGGCTCCAGGAAAGTTATAGTATCAATCAACACCTTGTGAAAGAAGCCTGGGGCCTCTACCCTTGTTTTCTGTAGCTACATAAATACCCTTGAGGTAAAATATCATTCTGTGAAAGAGGAAAGTTAAGGAATTTTAAGTGGATTTCTTATTGTTTGTTTTGAAGTGTCAAGCCTTGTGGAAGACTGCTCTGAGCTCTGTTACCTGGAATAATTTGACTTTTTCATAGACGAGTATCTCATTTTCCTGAAAGTTATCTCCTTCAAAGGATATCCTTTAAAGATAAGTTAAAGGAAGAAAAAAGGCATTGCCATTCATGAGTCAGACCCAATTCTGCCAGAAATCATCCTTGATTCATATTTCCCATTTCTGATCATCCTGGGATGAAATAGCTCTTTGCAGCCCCAGGGCCTGAGTCTTGAGGGTGACATGAAGATAGTTCTCAAGGCATCTAAATAACTATCCAGCAGGGCCTAACTATATGGGAAAACATAACCCATTCAGAGGATAGTTAATTTTTTGCACTGGTTTTTAACGTTAGTGTGTACATCCTAAATTCTTCTCAGTCATTTGGCTGAGTTTGTATTTTTAATGTGCCCCTTTCAGAATAATGCAAGCCTTTATATGTACAAACAACATATGATATGAGAAAAAGATTTGAATTACATAAGCTTACTGTGTAGAGATATTCAATTTGGGAGTACATCCTTTATATAGAATTTCTGTGATCAATAATTATCTGTCAGATATTTAACTCATGCATAAAACATATATAGGCATAATTTGTGGCATGTCCAAATAAACTTTAAAATCATTTTCTTCTTTTTGCTTTTTCTACTCCCATCTTTCTTCAAATAAACTGGGCACCCAATCTATTTTCCATGAAATTACTTTCCAGACTCTTCAATGTATTCTTCTCAGAGCTGTTCTCTTAGAGCATTCATTTAGTTCCGAAAGCAGCATTCATCTGATTTGTATCTGCAATCATTGTTTCAGATGAGCGTATTCCCAAGGACAAATTTAAAAGCACTAATGCAGTTTTATCTATTTGAAGTGGCCTGCTCTGTCATCGACATTCATGGAGCTCTCAGACCCAGCTCTAGTATTCTCAGTAAGTACCTCCAAGTTTTTATTCTGCCTTCACAAGAGCACTGTACTCTTTACTCTCAGTATGTTATGGAAGGTGCTTTTCCAAGGAAGGAGGACAGAGGATCCCAGAAAGAAAGGGAATGGTTACAGCTGGAAGAGAGGAAAAAGCTTTACCATTTATCCAGTCTCGGTGAAATAACTATTTCATGGAAGCGACTGTGGATCTTGCTGTTTATAGGGTTGGAAGCATATATTTAATCAGAGCTATCAGAGCTGCATATGGTTAAGCTGACATACATATGTGGGCTGTGTGTGTGTGTGTGTGTGTGTGTGTGTGTGTGTTTATATGTAAACCTGTGATTTATTTCAAAATGAAATGATTCCTAGTTAAAAACAACTTGATTGTGTAGTGCAATACTTCCTATTAGAAGACTTGTTAAATTAGTATTTGCTAAGAAGTACTTCTTAGCAATTCCGAGAAACATAATCTTGGGTAAAATTTTCAGGCGCCTCCATCCTGTTCACATGTCTTTTCGTAACAGTACCTGAAAGGTTTTTTCAACTTAAGATTTTATAATAGCAACAAAAAAATTAGCTAAGAATTACTGAACCCACTCTATGGAATGAAATCTGGTGCTTAGTAAACATTGAACTTAGCATCAAGCAACAACTAGAATTTATACCAAGAGGATTTTACTGTGATCCCTAAGAAATAGGAGACATTCTTTGGCACTTGAGGTTAAGAAATTTATGTGTGCTTTCCCTCAAAAACTTCTCTTTTGGCTGTGTTGTTCATTGGAACTTGTTTTCTATTTTCTATGTCCCAAGATATAGAACCATGACTTAGAGAAAAGAACATGATGTTAAAAAGTGACATTTGGAATTAACTACTTTCTGTATTCCTTCCCATGTATTAGAATTGGGCAAGCTACTTAACCTCTTTGACCTCAGATTTATTCCTCTCTAAAACAGAAGTAATAACATTACAGTTATTGAAAAGTTACAACAATACTGTCAGGCCATCAGGGCTGAATTGTCTCAAGGAGTGTGGATCATCTTACCAAACAGCAGGTCTTCAACACACTACAGAATCCTGTAATGCTGGAACAGAAGATGTTTACTTCTCTGTAGCACATTATTGCAAACCGTTCTGAACTGATGTAAACCAATTTGATTTCATACAACTCAGAAGTTCTTTTATAGAAAAAGCTGAACATTTTGATGTGTGTGAGTATTTGTTGCTCATTGTAAGCAAGCTTTGTTACCAGTTGTAATAAAAGCAAGTTTCAGACCAAAATCTATGTTCATACAGACATACATAAACATGAATGCACAGGCAAACCCGAAAGAGTGAATACAATATTGTTTAAGTTTGATAAAGACCCAGATCACTGTGCTTTTAGATGAACAAACTATACATATTTGTTACATGAATGATTTACAGGAGACAAACATAGCAATATTTCAGAGGCAGATTTTGTTACCTTTACAAATTTGCATCAGTCACTATGAAATTCTCTCACCCAAAGACTGGACTCAAGTCCATTTAATGATGTAACCTTCGGGGCCATCCCAACAGATCTCATAGATTCTAATTTCCCATTTTATGCAAGTGTTAAGTATGTTTCTATAATACTTTAACCAATTCACTATCTTGATTTCTTCTAATTTCACAATTCAGAACCCATTTCTAACATTCATTATGCTGATTAACAAGCCACTAAATTCACCAATGAAAACCCATTTCTGATGTTAATTATGCTAATTAGCCACTTATCTGGTGTTTTGCTGAATATGAAGATAGATGAAGCTTATGATGCAGAGGCCTCTGAAGTGTGGCTGCCCTGGGATAAAACTGGCTGACCACTCAAGGAGTGCGGGGTCTTCATCAGAACAAATGACAGTCTGACAACCCTAAAGAGAAGTAAAAAGCATTGCTATATACATTCATATTCCACTTTATTCTGAAGAATTTTAAAGTAATTTATCAACATCATGACAGCAAGTATCTCAACTCCCCTTCTTCTCTCTCTGACCTATACTTTCTGTTCCTCTTTGACACTTGAATGTAGTTTGCCAGGGAGAGTGTCTATCAACTGCTGCAGTTTTTTGGCAAATTTATTTCTCCTTGAATCCACACCAAGAACTATTCCTCTCCCCATCCACACATACCCTTTGCAGAAGTCATGACTCTCTGTTACTTCCTTCCACCAAGTATAGCTTTCTGGATTCAGTCCCCTGAGGATTTCACAGTTTAACAATTCCATAATCACTGTGTGTGATCTATAATCACCTGGCATTGGTTCACACCGCTTTATCTTTTAGGATAGTAAAGGCAAACATATGGAGTGAATAATGGAGAAGATTTTCTAGGCCAGGGAATATAGTACAGTCTTCTACTTCACTTGGGCTACACATTGGCCACACATGACACATTATTGTCCAACCAATTGCCTAAAATCTTCTTTGCATTTTCACTTCATATTGCATGCTTACTCTTTCAATCCATTTGTAGAAACCCTATGCTCTGAAACATAGCAACCAAAAAATCAACCAGTAGCTGGGATTGTGCTTGTGGAGAGAGCTCAAATTTCAAAAAGCCAGGTGTAGTACAGTCTAAACACACATAATGTGCCCGTTCAGTAGTTTTACATGGAAATGTAAATTTGGAACAGTTAGTAGTGTGTGCAATTGGATTAACTATCTTTGCTGTTGCCAACATAAAATTTGTGGGTCTTTCAATGTGCATCTGTGAGTAAGGGTTTAAGGAAATGAGTATGGGTGATATATGCCTACTTCAGTCTCCCATCACCTCCCACACTTTGGCAAGATTCAAAGGTTTTGGCTGGAGAATTAGCCTTTTCTTGGCTTTGGTTTCTCTTTTTCTCACCTTACAATTTATATAGAAACTGCTTCCTCCTGAGTTCATTCTTATATGTAATTCAGTGGCCGATTCTAGTTTATTTTTTCCAGAAGTTTCTTATTTATAGCATGAAATACACAATGTATGACACTTGTGTTAGCCATGTTTTTCATTGACCCTTATATCAGATTTCTTGGCATCCTAAAATTTGTTAGGTGATGATATTTCATGCAACGTAGTAACAATATTTTACATTATCTGGTATTATATGCACTTCATATAACTTTAAGCATTTACAAATAGCACATCCATTCATTTTGTTTGGCTAGAGAAGATAAAATTTCAGATGTCTACTTGTTAGGCAGGATTTAGAAAAAGATTTTATTCTGTCTTGGAAAACCTGATTGATTCAAACTACTAGGTTGTATGCACATTGAAAGAAATGTGAAGAATTAATTGGAAGAGAAATTGATTGTACTAGAAATTGAAAATGGATGAAAAAGTAATTATTTAATGTATATGTTTTAGGGAGGCTGAAAAGATGTAATTGCATGGATAAATATGCTTAGAATTATTCTGAGTGTTATGTTTGAATAAATATTATAAGTGCTGGATTTGAAAAACAAAGAAATAAGTGACCTGTAAGAGAACGCTGCAGTGTTTATATTATTTTGATCCAATAGCGAGGTGATCCCAGAATGTGTTAGATTTTGACTAAACTAGAAATACACATAAAATACATAAAAATGATGAAGCGTTGAAAATTTTTAAAATGAAAAATAAAACTATTTTAACTTGTTTAACAGTTGTTTGCCAAACATATTTGATCATAGAACCACAATAAGATATCATGATATTTCCAATTCTAGCTCCAATATGTAAAAAAGTTGGAAGTTGTTACTCCTATCCTTACAGAAAAAAAAAAATGAACTGAAAATTAATTACTTTTCTTGGGTTTATCGGAGAGCTGAGGTTGCAAGACAAACTACCATTCTGTAATCTGGAAATACTAGCGATTGGAAGAGTCACAATAAAAATCTGCTTATCTGGAGCAGAAGACACTGGAGCCATAACTAGGAAGATCACTTAAATAGTAATTTTGATAAATTGCTAAAGAATAAGTTTGGAATAGCATGAGAATGAGGGATTTCTGCTGGCTGCAGTCTTCATGGGACACCCACATTTTTGTGGGGGTTACCTTTGGGAACAACACCTTGTTCTCTCAGTGAAGAGCTGAGAAAGAGTCTCTCAGGCTCTGGCAGGGAAAGAGTAGTCATTATGAAATATACTTGGAACATTTATTATAGCAAAGGCCTACTGTCCAAGAAAATTGACTTTACTAGAACTTTATCTCACCTGGGAAAAGGCATTTCTCCAACTTCAGCCCTATCCAGTCTTCCAGTCTCACCTAAAATGGGTGAAACAGAGAAAGCTATAGAAAGCTTGTGAAGGTCACAGAGTAGGTACACAGGTCAACACAAAAACTGAGATTTAAATATAATATTGTAACACTTTGCTTCCCCCACATCTTACTATAACAGCAACAGATCTCCAGTATAATGACAGTGGATTAGAGTTAATAGAGCCGCAAGACTTTTTCTGGAAGGATTTAGGGGTTCCCAAAGTCAAAAGGAAAGATAAAAACAGGGCTGGTAGGGGAATGTGCACCATCTGGCAGCTACAGCAAACATTAAACACAGCTCAACTTCTAGCCAGATTAATATAAAACTTCCCACTAAAGACTTATTTATCTCAATTCCTATTACCTGCTATATCATGTGCAGTTTTCAAACAAAAAATTTGCAAAGTATGCAAACAGAAAAGAAGAAGCACAGTATGAAGGTCAAACATCAAAACAAGCTACAGTTATGTCAGGTATTGAAATTATCATATAAGGAATTTCAAATAACTATAATTATATGTTTAAAATCTAATGGAGAATATACACAACATGGAAGGAGAGATGGGTAATGTAAGCAGAGAGGTGGGAACTCTAAGGAAAAATTAAAAGAAAATATTGGAAATAAAAAACACAGTAACAGAAATGAAGAATCATTTTGATAGGCTCATTATTTGAATAGACACAGCCAAGGAAAGAATAAGATGGCTAATAGAAACTTCCTAAACTGAAGTACGCACAGGATAAATAAGTAAATATAATAGAGCAGAACATCCAAGGACTGTGGGGCAATTTCAAAAGGTGTAAGATTATCTCAGCTTGAATACCAGCAGAACAAGAAAGAACAGAACAGAAGAAATATTTAAATTAATAATTGTGGGGAAATCCTGATAGTAATGACAGACACCACATCTAAGAAATTTAGAAAACACTAAATAAAATGATTTTTAAACTACAAATAGGTGTATCATATTCAGACTTAAGAACCAAAGATAAAGAAAAAGCTTGAAAGAATACAGACAGGGAAAACAAACAAGAAGCCTTCCTTATAATGAATGAGGATAAGAATTACAGCAGACTTCTCTTCAGAAACCATGCAAGCAAGAAGAAAGTGGAGTGAAATATTTAAAGTGTTGAAAGAAAAGAAAATAAACACCCGTCTAGAATTCAATATCCAGTTATATTATCCTTCAAAAGTGAAGAAGAAATAAAGGCTTTCTCATAAAAACAAAAACTGAGGGAATTTACTGCCAGCAACCTGCCCTGTAAGAAATGTTCAGAGGAATTTCTTCAGAGGGAAAAAAATTGGTGTAGGTCGGGAACTCAGATCTAGTTTTTAGCATTTTAAAATGGTAGAGGAAACTGGGAGGAGGACATCTGGAAAATCTTGCAAAATCATCACAACATTTCTGTAAACCTAAAACTATTTACAATTTGATCTACATAAAGAAAGGAAGGTAAATAGAGAACAAGTAAATGAAAGGAAGATAGAATTACAGTGAATCTGGAATATCATATATTGTCAGAAAGTAAAGAATTGCTCAAAAAATTCACAATGATGGGGGAATAGGTCAAAAAGACACCAGTGCCAACTGACAGAGTAGCCTGTAGCTAAAGTTAGAGCAGTTTGAGAAAAAAAAATCCACTGGATTGTGATTGTGTACTCATATACACAGTATATATACTCATATATAGACTCATGTATACTCCTAGACTCATAGAGTCTATATACTCGTATGTAGACTCATGGAGTCTATATACTCATATGTAGACTCATAGAAACAAGTCTATACACTCATATATGAAAGATAGATAACTCTTCATGCAAAAAAGTCCAAATTATTAATGTAGCTACTCTGCCCTAAAATAGGTAGAGCATAATGCCCTACTTCTGAGGTGTGAGCTATGCATAATGACTTTCTTTGAAGGTATACAATATGGAAAGAGGCTAAAAAAACAGTAACTTTACAGTGGAGAAACCTTACAAAAACTACTCCAGTCAGTTGATCAATACTGACCTCAATGATGATAAGTTAACTCTGATAGTACGCGGGCTTGATATGATAACAATGAGAATGGCAATTTACGTCTGTGGTTTTCCTCCCCCAAACTCATAATCACTGTCGTCTTATCATGCGAAAAACATCAGAGAAGCCTGAATTGAGAGACATTTTGCAAAATATCTAACTAGTCCTCTTCAAAACTGTAAAGGTCATTGAAAACAAGGAAAGTCTAAGAAACTGTCACAGCACCAAGGAGCCTAAGGAAACATGATGATTAAATGTAATGTGAAAGCATAGACTCTTGGAACAGGAATCCTGGCATCAGATAAAAACTAATACATCTGAATAAAGTGTGCACTTTTATGAATAATAATGTATCAATATTGGTTAATTAATTGTGGCAAATGAACTATACTAATATCAGACATTAATAGTAGGGGGACCTGGGAGTAGGGTATATAGGACATCTTGTAACATCATCACAATTTTTCTATAAATCTGAAATTGTTTACAATTTGAAAATTATTTTTAAATGATCAGGACAAAATGTCTGAAAACTTACAGAATTATGATTGAAGGTAGATTAAAAGGACTACCCTTTACAGTTCTGCTGCTTAAAAAAACAAAACAAAAGGCCAGGTGCGGTGGCTCATGCCTGTAATCCCAGCACTTTGGGAGGCCGAGGTGGGCGGGTCACTTCAGGCCAGGAGTTTGAGACTAGCCTGACCAACATCATGAAACCCCGTCTCTACTAAAAATACAAAAATTATCCAGGTGTGATGGACGCCTGTAATCCCAGCTACTTGGGAGGCTGAGGCAGGAGAATCGCTTGGATCTGGGAGGCAGCTGTTGCAGTGAGCAGAGATCATGCCACTGCACTCCAGCCTGGGTGACAGGACAAGACTCTGTCTAAAAAAAAAAGTTAAATTTTGCCTTTGTTTCTCAATAGTGTTCCACTATATCTCTAGATAGAAGATCTAAGTATAGATTAGTAAAGGTAGCAGTCATTTAGGCTGTAGTTTCTATGAATAGAAATGGCAGTGGTGAGTCTGGAACAGTAAAGAGGTAGAAGGTTTTGAATATAGGGAATGAAAAATGAAATAATTTAAGTACATATTTTTGATAACTTCTCTGCTTGGTTCACTGTGATCTGATCATTTCGCAAAGTCAAGGTCCCCAAGAATTGATCAGTGGTATTACCTGCATCTGTCACAGAAAATAAATGACAACCCTTGGTTTCCATTTAATTTCATTTGGGAAATTCACTATAGTCTTTTTCTAAGACAGTGGTTCTTAACTTTTTCACCATATGTACCTTGGAGAATCCAATGAAAGTTTGGATCTTTTCCTTAATTTTTATAAATACACATAATTTACCATACTGTTTCAGAATTGTATTAAAACCCCTTCATGCCCCTTCATGAATCTCAGATTTTATCCTCCTGTTCTAAGGCATTTTGCTGTGACTTACTTAAGTCTGTATAAGATCAAATAATGGGGCTTAGTGGGAATGCTTGGTCTTCAGGGTAATGTTATTTCCAACTGTCATTTCCGTTATACTGAATTGCACTTCCTAAAATCTAGCAAAGTCCCACCTTCAATTTACTCGGCGTATACAAAATAACCAAATGTTTTTGTTTTGAGATTAACTATTTGAGTCTCTATCATTATATTTGTTCTTGTCTGTTTGAAAGTAGACATGAAGACCAATGCTATTTTAGCTAATGTTAGACCACCACACTCTGGGAGACAAGTAACTAAATATCAGATAATAACACCATGCTTTCACTGTGCTTTTCAATGATTCTACACATTATGAGCAAATGGAAATGGAATAAATTGTTCCAGATTTTTCCCAGAATAAAACTCTTTTTAGAGAGCAAAGTAAGGGCCTTGAAAACTGCATTAACTCTTTGGATTGTTAGCTTACTATTCCATAAGTATTTCAGTAGCTTCTTAAAAAATTAGACAAATTTAGCTCTTCCTTTTGTTATTTTTCTGACTAGAATCCTTTTGTTTCTAGTTTCTCTGGAAGCATGAAGAGTTTCACTGAAATATGCAGATTAGTCATTTAATGATTTCAAGTGCTCTGCTGAAGTTGCTTAAAAACCAAAATCCTCTCTACCAGGAAGAACAGATTCCAAGAGAATTGTTAAAATACACTTGAGGGTAAAATAGCAAGATATTTTAGGATTTATGATTAATATAACAATAATAATAAAAAGTAAAATATAAAAACCAGAAACATTATTTGAAGGAGCTTCTTAAACACTTTCTCAAAAGCAGCTCTCTCTCTCTCTCTTTGTGTGTGTTTACGGCAGGAATTGTGCATGATTTTTGTGTTGGTTAGAGTAATATATTTAAATTGGAAGAGTATTTTTCCATTAATGTTATAAAATAACTCAAATGCTAGAATGTGATGAATGTAGCCATTTAGTATAATAAATAAATGAAGAAGAAAATGACATATTGTACTAGGCTCATTCTTAAATCTGAAAGTCTCTACCATTCTAACACACTGGCTTATGAGTTAAGTGTTCTTTTTTATCTATAGAGCTGTTAATGACCCCTTCCGTTAATTATGATTTTGAGTAGTGATACTAACAGTGATAGGTGAGCACTCATATTTCCAGTCCCATTTGACCTCAGTGTTTCTGCCTTATGAACTATAGTGATGCAGGCAGCATAAAGAGGATGATCCAGATAACAACAACAAAAATGAAAACCTCAGTGTTTCTGCCTTATGAACTATAGTGATGTGGGCAGCATAAAGAGGATGATCCAGATAACAACAACAACAACAAAAAGCAATATGTCACTCATGGACAGCCAAGATTTGACTTGGCTATTTGCTTTGGCCACATCTCTGAAGCCCACAGACCACAGTCTTCTCATCTACAAAATGCAGATATTAAACATAGACGTAGGCAAATGCCTTCTAAAAGTTAACAGTCACATTTACATAAGAAGCAATGTTAAGATATTGGGTAGGAAGGCTATGAATATCGATTAATTTTTCCCCAGGTAAAGATTTTTTTGGAGAATAAATATGTTTGGTCAAATTAGCTACACATGCTCTTTCAGTGGTTTTTACATGTTTGGTTAAAGAATCACTGGATAAAGGTATTGTAACCGCCCAATGGGTTTACCTTACCCGCTGCCTAGACAGGGGAATTGAAAAAAAGGAAGAGCAATTCACGCAGAGCTGGTTGTGCAGGAGACCACAGTTCTATTATTACTCAAATCAGTCTCCCCAAGTTTTGGGGATGAGTCATTTTTTTGTTGTTGTTGTTGTTTTTTGTTTGTTTGTTTGTTTTGACAGAGTCTTGCTCTGTCACCCAGGCTGGAGTGCAATGGCGCGATCTCGGCTCACTGCAACCTCCATCTCCCAGGTTCAAGTGATTTTCCTGCTTCAGCCTCCTGACTAGCTGGGATTACAGGTACGCGCAACCACACCCAGCTAATTTTTATTTTTAATAGAGACAGGGTTTCACCATGTTGGCCAGCCTGATCTCGAACTCCTGATCTCAGGTGATCTGCCTGCCTCAGCTTCCCAAAGTGCTAGGATTACAAGTATGAGCCACCGCGCCCGGCCGGGGAGCAGAATTTTTAAGAACAACTTGGTGGGTTGTGGGGTAAGCCAGTGAGCCAGGAGTGCTGATTGGTCAGGGATGAAATCATAGGAGTCAAAGTTGTCTTCTTGCACTGAGTCAGTTCCCGGGTGGGGGCCACAAGATAAGATGAGCCAGTTAATCTATCTAGGTGTGCCAGCTGATCCATCAAGTGCAGGGTCTGCAAAGTATCTCAAGCACTGATCTTAGGAGCAGTTTACAAAGGGTCAGAACCTTGTAGCCTTCAGCTGCATGGCTCCTAAACCATAAGTTTTAATCTTGTGGCTAATGTCAGTCCCTACAAACACAATCTAGTCCCCAGACAAGAAGGAGGTCTGCTTTGGAAAAGAGCTGTTATCATCTTTGTTTTAAACTATAAACTAAGTTTATCCCAAAGTTAGTTTAGTCTAAGCCCAAGAATGAACAAGAACAGCTTGGAGGTTAGATGCAAGATGGAGTCGATTAAGTTAGATCTCTTTCACTGTCTCAGTCATAATTTTGCAAAGGTGATTTCAGCACTAGTCTTGTCAAACATTGAGAAATCACACATGTAAGTACACAGATCCATCGTTGTTTATTCCTGCACTCTGTAGTGAACCAATTTTCCTGGAAAGTTGCATTCTTTGTTCTAAATCGTAATTACTATGACTAAATGTCATAGTAATTACATTATTTTGTCTTAAATAGCAATAACTTTGTCCTAACAATAATTCCCAAGTAGTAATAGTACTTAGTTTCTTGGAATTTAAAAAACCCAGTTTCTTTCCATTTTAACATTTTGCTCTTTATTCGTAAAAATGTTTTACTATTTTACATGTTATTAAACCATGTTTTGGGATTATTTCAATATGCAGGTAGTTTCCAATATTTAACAAATTTTATTTCAAAAGTTTGTTGGCCAGGCGCGGTGGCTCATGCCTGTAATCCCAGCACTTTGGGAGGCTGAGGTGGGCGGATCACAAGGTCAGGAGTTCCAGACCAGCTTGACCAACATGGTGAAACCCCCTCTCTACTAAAAATACAAAAATTAGCTGGGCGTGGTGGCACGCACATGTAATCCCAGCTACTCAGGAGGCTGAGGCAAGAGAATGGCTTGAACCTGGGAAGCAGAGGTTGCAGTGAGCCGAGATTGCCCCACTGCACTCCAGCCTGGGCGACAGGGCAAGACTCCATCTCACAAAAAGAAAAAAAGTTTGTTTATAAGCTGCCTTTGAAACCTGGGATAAATTTTCCATTAAATTATGGTCTACATTAATACAGGAAAAAGTTAACACTCCTATACAAACATAAAAATTCTTCATGAAATATTATATTAAAAAACAACAAAGTAACCCAGTCATCTCAAAATTGACATCTATGAATTCCAGAAAAGTTAAGAGTGATGTTAAAACTAGAGCAGTGAGGGGAAGCTGAAGTAGAACCATTCCCAGGGAAAAGAAACAGAGTTAGGCCTTCATAATGAGGGACATGAAGGAGAATCAAACTCCATCTGCAGAAGACGGGAAGCTAGACGCCAGGCTCCAAAGAAGAGCCAAGGTTCATACATGACTGTCCACAGTGATGTCATAAGACATTTATCAACCAGTTTATAAAGAAGACTAGGACTTTCCTTAAGGGTTCAGAAGTGAATAACCTTCTTCCTTACTGAATATAAAACAGAAACCAAGAGGCAGCATGGGATCACAGGAGGAGAAATCTGCCAAGAAAGGAGCCAAAACCAAGAAAGCAGACGCAAAGAATAAAGAGTCCCGCTCACATTTCTGAGCCACCACATCAGGCCAGAGGATACTGGATTCTCCTCTCCTACTCTTCCTTCTGGTGATGCCAAGTTTTGAGAACTGACTTAAAAATACTGCTTAGATCAGAGTGAATTATTATAATCCACTTATGCCAGAGCTATTCATGTTGTATGATTTTTTTCCCTTTTATGCTGATCTTCACTTGCTTTTGCCTACCTACCATAAGCTTCCACGTTAAAAATCTTTGCCACATGTATATCTCTGCAAGCAGCCTTCTAAAATAACATTAAGTTTTACATGCATATGTGTTCTTAATTTACATTAATGGTATTTTGCTGTAAATTTTATTACAGTGCCCTGAAAGTCTATTTATGACACTGTCTATAGATCTGTTGGTTTAAGCTGCTGAAGAAAGTTCCATAGGATGCATCCACTGCATTGAGCTTCTTCACCCTTTGGAAGCAAATGTGTAGTTTGCCTCCTCCTTGCTTCTAACTGCATGCTGTTTACGGAAACACTGAGTTGGAGGCAAAATACTATTGCTACTGTGGTAAACAACTTAGGATATGATCTCTGTTGGAACTTTGCAAATATATTTCTGTGATATATGCCCAAGAGTAGATTCTTTTTTTTTTTTTTTAAGACGGAGTTTCCCTCCTGTTGCCCAGGCTGGAGTGCAGTGGCGCGATCTCGGCTCGCTGCAACCTCTGCCTCCCGGGTTCAACTGATTCTCCTGCCTCAGCCTCCCAAGTAGCTAAGATTACAGGCGCCCACCACCACACCTGGCTAATTTGAGTAGATTCTTTAGTTCAGAAAACATATATACCATGCAATTAGCTGAATACTGCCACTTGCTTTTCTGAATGGCCAATTTATGCTTTCACCAAAAGTTAGTAAATGTTCTCTTCTTCCTACATCCTGGCCAATATTTTGTATTACCTCCCTACACAGTCTTGTCATTCTTATGTATATAAATTATCACATTATTTTATCGGTTTACATTTTTCTAGTTATTGGGTTCAATCTTCTATACTCCTTTTTCTTCATTTACAGAAGTTTTTTGTATAAACAATTTTTATTTGTTAATTATAGACATTACAAATATCATCTCTCACTCTGTTACCTAGCTGTTAATTTTGTCTATCTGTCCTTTGAGGAATAAACGTTATTAATTTTGCTTAAGTCAAATATGTCAATGCTTTCATTAATGATAGGCAGTTTGTGGGTCTTGCTTAGGACATTTTCTCATTCTCAATTTATAAAGATCTTCTTCAACATCTACATATTAGCATTTTTATTTTGTCTTTCACATTGGGTCATTAATCTCCCATGAGTACATCTTTGAATATAGCATTGATTAGGGAGCCAGTTTTATATTTAGTAAGTCAATTGCTCTAACACCATTACTAAACTCCCTTCTCCATTGCTTTCTGTTGCCTGCTTTATCATGTATAAAATTCCTTTATACACATAGGTCTGCAGCTGATGTATATGTTATTATCTATTGGTCTATTTGTTTCTATACTAGTTCCATACTCCTGTTGTTGCATTTTTGTAGTGTGCTTTAACATCTGGTGGAATTAGTTACCCTCTTTCAATTTTCTTTACCAACATAGATTTAGCTACTGTGATACATTCTTCTATCTGAATTTTAGAATTTACTTGTTGAATGCCCTAAATACCTCAACTGCAGTTTGATTTGCATAACATTGAGTTTGTAGATTAATTTGGAAGGCGTAACATCCTTGCACTTTAAGTTTTTTCATCTCTGCATATGCTACATCTGCCTAATTATTCAAATAATATTTTATATAATAAGCTAGAGATTAAATTTTTTCTTTATCAAATCTTGAATAATCTTTATTAGTTTCGTTACTTAATACCTTATAATACCTTCTTTTTTTGGCCCTTACCCTTCTCCAGCCTGTTCCCATGCCACCTCGTGTGTATACTTTCATAGTGACATTCAGTGTTACTCTCTCTGTGGTCTCTCATGAATTCTGCATTAGTTCTTCAGACTCCAGTACTTTCATTTTTATTCCATAGCATCTCTGGAGTTAGAATGTGGGAAATGACCTAGAACCTGTGTTGTTTTGCCCAGAGGGCCCCATTGGTTTTTCTACAGTGGTTTGAGCTGGACGTTTTGTTACTTGCAACTGAATCTCCTAATTGATATGACATATCAGTATGGGGCACACATACCGTGTTGATCATGGGCATCATTTTATAATTATCATACAGTCTCTTTCACACCTTCTGATTCTTTTCAGTCTCAGGTACCTTCCCAGTCATTTAGTACCCAGGGTTATCATAAGCCTTCTTTCTACCTGCCCTATCAAATAAAATTGTTCAATATCAAAAAGGACTGGCTCTTCCCTCTATCACCAAATAATGCTTTCTTCTTCCTTATTGTTTTCAGTTATCTGATTCTAAAAATTAAAATTAGATCAACTGATTGCTTATACCATGGGGATTTGCATCCTAATCGGGACAGTTTCAACCCAATCAATTCATAATTGGTGAAAACTTTCAGAGTGTAACAAAGAAAAACAATTCATCAAGTACAGTGGAGAATGTTTCTGGGCTATATCCTTACCAGGTAAGCAAACAGTTCTGCCTGTGAGGCTGTTCCATAGGTGGTCAACTGTTCAGAAGTATTTTCCCCTTTTCTGTAGCTTCTTTTCTATGTTAATTTTGAGAACCTTCTGAGTACATGAGATTTATAAAAAGCTCTGCATATTTTGTTTGTGTGTTTCTTTTCCTACACATTCACTCTCATGATATTGCAATGTGCATCTTTAGCATTCTGAGAAAGAGGTCTATTCATCAAGTCTGTTGAGCACAGATCAATCTTTAGAGCTAAACTATGTGGTACACAAATTGTTAAACCTAGACCTCCAAAGTCTAGACATTAACCCAGCAAACTTCCAAATTCTAATTAGCTTTCTCTTTAACCTCATTTTACTTTCCCTTTCCATTTTCATTGTGCAAAATTTCAAGCTGTTAATAGGATAAAATTGCTTCCACCTTTGTTTGCGAGATATGTCATTTCAAAATTTAATATCTGAAAAATGTCCAAAGGGGAATTTCATCAGATATACTCCACTCATTAGTAGAAAGGTTATTGAGGTTCTCTATAGAGTATATGTAGAATATAAGAATCATTCTTTTTGTTTCTTTCTTGTTTTATTATTGGCTCCTAATCTATTCATATTTACAAAGGTAGAAAGTTACGGATCATGCCAACAGAAGTCCACCAGCATTTTAATATGACAGTTGTTCAATTAAACATTTTAAAATTTGTCTTAAGTTAAAGTCTCTAATGAATTAGAACTGTGTTCCTGAATTGCTTAGTGTGATTTTAATAAATCAGAGGAAAATAATGGGGAGATTGATGAATGTACTAATCAACTTTTTCAGTAATTAAAAAGTACTTGGAGATATAAAATACAATCATTGTTGCAATTTATGGCGTTTATATTTCTAAAACATGACATGGTTATTTGTTTTGTGATTATCAAGTATCAGGTTATACTGGAAACCTACTTATTAGTAAAAATATTATTCCAGATTTGGGGTATTTTCATTAGCTATACCCAAATAATGTAAAGAAAAGTATTTCTTAATGTTAGTTGTAAATAGTTATTCTTATTAATCTACTTACTTTCTTAGTAATACGAAATTTAATATTATTAATATACTTATTATTCTACTTTTGATATTATCAGCTCAAGGAAATTGTAGAAAATGCTTTAGTAAGTGCCATAGGCACAGAAAAGACTCTATTGTTTAGGTGGTGGTTTCATAGTTTAAAGGAAAAAATTAATTTGGTTTTGTTGTTTTTACTTTTGCTTGCTTTTCTCAAAAATCTCTCCTTAACTGGTAAGCTCAAAATGTCAGATCTGTAATCCCAGGAAGAGCTTTACCATGTGTGTATACTGCCTGGATCACATAGTTCAATGAACTTTATTATCTGCCTCAGTGCAATCTCTTCTCTAGCCAGTTACTGATGCCGTAATCACAACCTTGAAATGTGTGGCTAAATAAAGAATTTCTTTGTCAGAAATGTGTAACTTCTCATTCACTTTTCTCAAGGGACTCTTAATGGTAAAACTATGGAAAAATGAACAATCTTTATTCTCTTTACTTGAAAACAATAAAACGTAACCCATGATTTCAAGATTTCTTTCCAATACCTCATTACGCTGGCTCCCATGTTATATGAAGCCCTCTGTGAAGACTAGGTTTCCAGAGGAAACTTGTTTCTTTGAGGTCTCAGTCAAAACCTTTCCTCGAGCTTTATTTTGATCCAAGAAGGGCTACAGAGACGGCCCATCTCTTCCTTGAGATTATTTGATAAATAATTTTCCCATATATTTCCCCATGCATAACAATTAATAACAATACAAAATTAATCCAGTCATTTCCTCTACATGTCTCATATGCAGGTCCTATTTTGGGTTGGCATGTGGGATAGATTGGGCATGTTGCAATACTGAAACATTTACATACAAAAAGCCAAACTATTTACCTAGGAAGGGTTTCTTATTTTTCTTTTCTCAAAGGCTGGGACACACTAGATAAAGCATTATTTCTGTCCACAATAAGCCATAAAATTAAAAGAGATAAATGGATTTTCCAGGTTTAATAAGACTTAATTCAAGTTTACTGAAATTGAATCATATTCTCTCCATATTCAGATAGTTTAAAGCCATTCTATAAGGTTTTTCATATTTTCTCTTTTAAAAGGTCTGTCTTCAAAAGTTTTACACTCCAGATTTAAAAACTTTAGTCATTTGGTTTTGGCCAATTTATGAGAGGAATAATAAAATATTTTTCTTCATGTTCAGCCATGCTTTCTTTGGTCAATGCCATTTTAGTTTTCCTGGTTTATTTCCTATGAATTTCTAGGTCATGATTCTTCACTACTTAATTGGGAAAAAATTACCTAAACATTCCTTTTTCAAATTAGGCTTTTGGTAAAGAGTACTGCTGAAAGGTCAAGGCAGATGAATCAATCAATAAATAATCAATAATACAATCAATAGATACATATTCCTAATAATTAAAAAGAAGGTCTAACTTTAAAACTAAGATCTAACTTTAAAACAGGAATAAAATGTAATGACTAGTTTGTACCTCCGCTTTATAGACTACTTGATATTTTCCGTAAAAATGGAATTCAAGACTTCAGAAATGAAAGCGAACAATTCATTAAGTATTTGATAGGTTTCATTCTAGCTTACAGTTCAGTTCTTTTTAAAATATTAAATTTGGAATAGCTCACACAAAATGAAATTTTTAGGAAGGCATCTAACCTGATTTTCCTTTCCAATATTTCCACAGTTTTACGGTTATTAGATGGCTTTCTCCTCTTTGTTCTTTGTCTTAGCTAGATTGCATTGCAAGTTGTCACTCTTCTGAAATAGCTGGTTATATGAGCATGTTACTAATCAAGTGACATTGACTACCACTAAGTAAAGTTTATCCATTTTACTTTCTAAAAAAGTATTGTAGATTATCTGTGGAATTGGCTAACAAGCATCATTCAGGTAGAATTTTAAAAAATAAGTGGACCTTCAACTTTTCTCTTACCAATTTTTGAGTTTACAGTGTAACTCCATTTTTTCTTTCCACTACTGAAAAAGGCAGTATGGAATTCTACTTATAGGTGGAATCGTGAATGCTAATTTTTCATTTGAAACCACAGCACTTTCATTTCACCGTCTTTCAGAAATCCCACTATTATACACCAAGAGCAATTCAGCCCCAAATGGGAAAATATATAAGAATTATTTCTTTTTAAAAACGTTATTTTTTTCCTCATTTTAGACTTCTGCATTGGGAAGCAACTTATAATTTACATATATATATATGATACCAGAGTATTTCTCTTAGTTTATTCTCACAAAATGTTTCTACATTAATGGTGCCTTAGAAGTGAGGAAATAAAATATTTTTATCATTTACTAAGTCCTCACTATGTAATATAATTACTGTAAGAACAGTCTGAGGTGGGGTATGTTTATTTCTATTTACAGATAAGAAAATTAAGGCTCAAAAGGCCTAGGTAACTTTCTCAAGATCATAGTGCAGAACATGTAGAGAGAGCTGAGATTAAAGCTCAAATTTATTTTATTCTTAAGTCCAGGTTTATAACTACAATACTTTACTAACTTCTAAAGGCTATGTGGATATCTTAGTGGACATCAGAATGGTGTCACAGAAAGTGAGAACTGGAAGAAATGTTAAGATTACGTCATTCTAGACAAAAGAAATGGAAGTCAATAAGGGCTATGTCCTTAGTGTCATATTCTTAGTGACAGAGGTCAAATATCCTCCCATTCAAGTGTATATTAAAGATTGATTATTCATAATTTTATTTTAAAACCTTTTGGCATTACTTCTACAGTATAGTAAATTCTTATGACCCCCACACATATATTGTTTTCTTACTGCTTTATTCTTAGAATACTCAATTTGAAAATAAGCTTTTTTTCACCAAAGAAGTTACTAATTCTCTGACAGATGATTTCAAGCATGGTTGTTTTAAACATTTCAGAAAAAAGTTGAAAGCCTGGTCTGTAACTCTTGATGGTTTGGTTCCTATTCATCATTTATTATCAATTGCTGCCTAAATAGTAGGCAAGAGAGATAACTGCTTCAATAGATGCAATAATTTGGATTTCTCAGAAGTATACTGATTTTCAATAATTTATGTAAGTTTAACTTTTGTTAGAATGCAAAAGCTTGTGAGAAACCATTGCTTCTTCTATAACAACAAGGGAAAATGTAGACTGTGTGTGTGTGTGCGTATAAAATATTACATATATTAAAAAGTCCATATTATCTAATGCATATTATATACACTTCTATATACTATATATATATTAAAAAGTCTTTTTAAGAGATTTTATTTTTAGAGCAGTTTCAGGTTCCCAGAAAAGTTGAGCAGAAAATATGGAAATATCACATGCTTCCACACATCTACAGCCTCCCCTATTATCAATATCCTCCACCAGCAGCATATATTTGTTACAATTGATGGGCCTACATTGACATATCATTATCACCCAAAGTTCATAGTTTACACAAGGCTTAGCTCTTGCTGTTGTAGATTGTATGGGTTTGGGCAAATGTATAGTGACATGTACCCACCATTAGAATATTGTATTAGTCTGTTCTCACATTGCTATATGGAAATACCCAAGACTGGGTAATTTATAAAGAAAAGAGGTTTAATTGACTCAGTTTCACGTGGCTGGGGAGGCCTCAGGAAACTTATGATCATGGCAGAAGACACCTCTTCCCAGGGCAGCAGGAGAGAGAATGAGTGCCAGCAGAGGAAATGCCAGATGCTTATAAAACCATCAGATCTTGTGAGAACTCACTCACTATCATGAGAATAGCATGAGAGAAACAATCCCCATGATTCAATTACCTCCCACTGGGTCTTTACCATCACACTTGGGGCTAATGGGCATTACAATTCAAGATGAGATTTGGGTGGGGACACAACCAAACCCTATCAAGTATCATACAGAGTAGATTCACTGTCTTAAAAATCCTCTGAGCTCTGTCTTTTCATCCCTTCTTTTCACCAGAGATCCATTTACTGTCTTCACTGTTTTGCCTTTTCCAGAATATCATATAGTTGGAATCATACAATATGTAGCCTTTTCAACTTGACTTCTTTCATTTAACAATATGCATTTAAGTTTCCTCATATATTATTTTTAAAAGATATTCAAGAGTTGCAGGTCAAAAAATAATAATAATAAAAAAACTAAATGAAGTCAGTTCTATAGAAGAATGAGATCTTCTTGATTAAATGCAGGATGTTGGCCCTTTCTTCTCTAGGGTCATTAGCTGTATCTGGGCATATGAGTAGAAGGTCACTCCTACCATATAGGTAGAGGAAATCTGCTGGGGTAAAGAGAAACTAGTGAAATTTTTAATAACCATGTAGGTGCCATGATTGACTGAAATCTGGCAGATTTGTTCTTCCTACATACCAGGCCTCACTTATGAAACATTTACCAAGAGTATGGCAAAAGAAGGCTAAATTGGAAAGAGAAAATGATCTTCATAATCTTCTTGCATATGATCCCAAATTTCTGCTAGAATGACTTGCCTATAATGCACATAGCACAGATACATATAATATTCTCAAAACCTTTGATACCAGACATAAATTAAAACAAACTGACACTGCTATCCATTGCTGACATAGAACATCTTTTGAATGAATTAATATATATTCAGCTCCTCATGCTAGCTGCTAGAAATATAAAAGGGTATATTCTCTGAGGGAAAATAATATCCATTTTAGTCTTTGTTTTTTTTTTAATATAAAATATCTGACATACACCTGCAATTTAAAAGGCAAGGGAAGAAGCAAGAAAATATAACCCTAAATCAAGAGCAAAAATAAGACACAAAAGCAGAAATGTAGTTGCCTCAGAGTTTACAATTTGTTGATAAAGAGTTTAAAATGATTATCAAACATATGTTAAAAATAGAGGCAAGGATGAACAAAATATCTGAAAAATTAATAATTGTAACAAATAAGTAGAAACCCTAAAAAGAAAATCAAATAGATATTATATAACTGAAAAGTGTCTGAAATTAAGAACTTTTTGGATGGGTTTAAACAGTAGATTGGCATAGCAGAATAAAGAATCAGTGAATTTGAATTCTCATCAATATAAGTTATAAAAACTGAAGCAGAGAGATAAAAAATAACACAGCATCAAATAATTTTCCCTGCGTGTATACAGTTTGTAGTATCAGTAGAACTCATATTTTTTCTTTCAAAAATAATGGTTTCATATATCCGACAGTATGAGAGAGGAGAAGAACAGTTTTGTTTTTCTTTTTTCCTCAATGAGTGATATGTAGCATTGATTTTTTTTCTTCCAAATATAAATTCCTTGGGTATACTCATTTAACTAATATTTATGAAATCTACTGTGTGCCAGGTTCTGAAGATATATAAACCTATAACTACTATATTCTAGGGTCTGGATATAGGGTAGTGAACAAATAGTTAAACTTCCCAAAGTAAATACATTTTACTTCCAGGGGAATGTGACAGAAAATAATGTGTGTGTGTGTTTGTGTGTGTGTGGTGTGTGTGTGTGTGTGTGTGTGTGTGTGTGTGTCAGAGAGAGAGAGAGGAAGAGAGACTATGTTCTACAAAAAAAGCAGTAAACAGAGAAAGTTGAACAGGGAATGGAGGACTGAATAATATTTTAGATAGGATGGTCTGGAAATGCCTCTCTGGTAAGTTGACATTTGAGTAGATAACAAGAAGAAAATGAGGTGACATTCCATGAAGATAACGTGGAAAGCATTTGCAGCAAAAGAGGTGATAAGTGCTAAGGCAGTGAACCAGAGGTAAGCATGCTGTGTTTAAAGAACAGCAAGGAACTTAATCTGTCTCCAATGGAGAGATCAAGCAAGATTATAGTAAAAGAAAAGGCAAGAAAATTAGTGGGAACCAGATCTAAAACGGGAGTTAGACCATGATAAGACCTTGGCCGTCACCCTAAGGGAGGTGGGAGGCCCCCTATATGACATATTTTAAAAGAATCCTTCTGCTCCTATGTAATAAAGTAGGATGGAAGGTGTAGAAACAAGAAGAACAAGTAGGGAGCAATGGTATGGTCAAGAGATAATGGTGGCTAGGCTAGGATGGTAGTCACAGAGGTGAAAAGATGTTATCAGAATTTAGATATAATTTTTAGATAGAGTTAATAGCACTAGGATAGATTGGATGTGGAATAAAAGAGAAAAAGAGAAATTGATACATGAGTAACTTAAATTTAGGCTGTTTAAAATGTTAATGGTAAATCATGTCTATCTTGTTTGCGAATTGGCAGTGGTTACCTAGAAATGTTGAAAAGATTATTTTGAGTCAAAAATTTTGTAAAGTGTTGAAACAATTAGTAATATTGAACATGTGTGGAGAAGAAGGAAATACCGGGATATAAGCCATGTATTTGTAATCCTTACTTGAAACTAAATAGACTGAAATTTGTTTTTATTCACTGATCCATCTGATTTTTCTGCCCTCTTTTGTTCTAAGGTTATCAGTGTCCCTCTTTTGCTTTAATTTATCTACAAAATTTTCAAATATTCAGTTTGTTACCTCTTTCAGAGAGTCTTTATTAGTCTACTGAGATAAAATTTACATAAACTAAAATGCACAGAACTTAAGCATACGATTTGATGGATTTTCTTGAATACATAAACACATACACACCCATGTAAGCCCACTTAAGATAAAGAAAGTTTTGAAGGAAGACTTCAGAAAGTTTTCTCACACCTTTTCAGTTAGTCCCAACTCCCTACCCAGAATCATTATTCTGACTTTTATTACTGTCCATCGGCTTTTCCAGATCTCAAAATCTGTGGTCTGGCTTCTTTCATCCAGGATGTTTTCAAAATATATTCATATTGTTTTGTGTATCAGTTGCTTTTTCAAAATTAATGCTGAGAATTATTTCATCATAAAAATATATTCCTATATGCTTATCCATCCTCTTGCGGATTGGTATTTTGGTTGTTTCCGATTTGAGAATATCAAAAATAAAGCAGCAATATACATTCTTATACAAATTACAGTCTTCATTTTAATTTACATTAATGGATGATATCTTCATAGGGAACAGGAGACAAAAAATAGGACCCATACAAATGATGTTATAAAATCTCACATTAAAGCTAGAATTCTCGAAAGGTGACATCCCCTTCGTGCCCATTAAAATACAACTTATTTTTTTAAAAAAGAGAAATAGTGAAAAAAAAAGTCCCTGAGTGATATTCTTTTAAATAAGAAAAAGAAAAATTTTCTCTTGAATGTTTGAACTACAAACTAGTACTCACACAGGTATGGAGTTATGACTGATGCTGTCTAGGTGTTCTGAAAATTTCCAGACTCAAAGTGTTCAGAATTTCTTGTTTATCCAGGCACCTAAAAGAAGAAAAAACAAATAGTCAATGGAAAAGTGGTGTTTAAGTTCAACTCTTAAAGTTTACCATAAAGTTCCAAGGAACACATCCTCCATTTCCCCCATGCACACACACACACACACACACACACACACACATTCATGAAGACATGAATGAAGAAACAAGATGCTATGAATGAGAGTTGACAGAAGCACCAAACTGAAAAATTCAACTCACAATTTTGAAGATACTGGAATTATCAGTCAGAGATAATTAAAATGTTTGTTGAATACAATTAAAGCAAAAAAAGAGGATATTAAATACATGTCTTAGAAACAAGAGAAAAATGACTAGAAAATTTAGAAAAAGATCCAAATATAATATCTTAAAATGAAAAATATAATAATTAAAATTCAGATGTCAATATAGGTTTAATAGGTGATCAGACACACTTTTGAAAAGAAAAACTTAAGAACAGTAAATTAGAAAAAAAGAGATGGCTTACAATGGAGCAGATAAGCATAAAGAAGTAGAAAATTTGAGACTTGGGCAATGCAATGAAGCATTCTACTACACAGATTCGCCGATGGAGACAATGGAGAGTACACGAAGATGCAATACGCAAACAACCCACATTTCACAATTACAAGTTGGCTTACTTTTTCTTCCTCATACATTTTTTAAATTGAGATACTATTTACATTACTTAACATTTATGTTTTAAAAGTATGCTGTTCGTGTTCTTTAGTAAATTCACAAAGTTGTGCAATTACCCTATCTAGTTCTAGAATATTTTCATCATCCCTAACTAAATCTTATGCTCATTAGAAGTCACCCACCATTCTACTTTCTGTCTCTAGGGAATTGCCTATCCATTTATATAAATGGAATAATTCAATATGTGGCCTTTTGTATCTAGCTTCTTTCACTTAGCATAATATTTATAGGATTTATCCATGTTGTAGCATGTATCACTGCTTGACTCCATAGGCCACTGTATGGATATACCACATTTTGTTTCTCTATTCACTAATGAGGTTCATCATTTGGGTTGCATCCACCTGTTGGCTACTATGAGTAATGCTGCAATTGTTTCATTTTCCCTGATGGATGTTCCATCATCAATCCATTACTACCATCGCTCTCCAAACATCAATTTTCAGCAACTGTTTCTGCCATCCTCAACCTCAACTGTAGGTTGCTTTGATACCATGAACCTTGTCATTAGGTAATTTATCTTTAGATGCAATAAAATATAGAATACCAGTTCTATACATGGATTTTACGGGCATCACTCTGTTAGTATTTAGGCTGAATGTAAACGTACTCAAAATATTCCATACTTTCACCAACTCCATTCTCTCTCAAAGCAAAAATTAAAAAGTTAAGCCATTTTAACTCCTACTATTACCAGGTGTCCCGGAATAGATTATTTATTACTCTCTAAGGAAATTAAAATACCTTATCAATATTTTATTGTTTTCTTTTTTCCCTTAGAATTCCAGAGAGTTTGGACCAAAAAATGTAGTTTTAAAAATCTGTTAGACAAAACCATTTCCTAATAAATTCTGTTTATTCTTTTTTACAGATATCTACTTTCTCTGGTCTGAGCAGCATTTGATTGAGAGTGATTTTAAGTGACACACCAGTATGAAATCAAATAGCATAACTGGGCAAAGGGAAGCTTAGTGGAATTGAACGACATGCCTCAGTTCCAAACACAGTCTTATTTCTGTCCCAATTCACAAACCTCCATGTCTGAGCTAGAGTATGCTGTTCTTTCCACTTTGTTTAACATCCGACGTGTACAACCAAAGCACTCACAGCTGGCACTGATCAGACCAGGCCAATGCTCAAAAACTTACATCAGTGAAGTAAGGCCGGGGGTCAGACATCCTTGGCAAAACTAGCCCAACATTTTTGTAAAATTAGTTGCAGATTCATCAAGTTACCAGTAATTTTTCAGCATGAATGGGAGCCAAAATGCATTTGTGTGGTGTAGATGTGCTTTTTAAACTCAAACAAAAAGTAAATAATTGCCTAATTTTGCATTACTGAAAATATGGGACCTGGGGGGTGGGTGTGGAAAGGGGCAAATTAAATGGGAGGAAAAATTAGCATTCCCAGAGAGCAACTATACTAAAAGTTATCAGGACCACTTTTAAAAAGAAAATAATCTTGAGCATTGAAAGTCTATTAGAAAAACATATATATATATATGAACTCTATGTAGTCAGGGCTGCGATCCAGAATAAAAAGGAAACAGAAATGCTTTAATATTGTCCCTAAAGCAATGGAAATTTATTATGTGTATTTGGATATAGATTTTACAATTTTTACTACTTTGGTGGATAAAATGAAAAAAATCAATTTCTTCCATTTTATGACATTATCGCCCTTTTGAATTGAGACTCGGGCCATTGGCAAGAAACATTAGTTTGGGCAAAAGGTTAATCCAAAGCTAACACACCCTTTTTAGCTGGTTTGCCAAATAGACTCTTCAGCCACATGCACCTTGAAACTGTGGAAAGGCAACAATTTGTAGGAAACGTAAGTTTGTGATAGCTACGCCAGATACTTTATTGCCACAGAGTAAACAAATCTTATTTTCTCACCTATGAAATGAACAAAAAACATAGACTCCATTGAGTTTCTATTGCTTCAACAGGTATAACTCAAGTCTCTCCCATGGGAATGCAAAGGATTATAAACCTTTGCATTAAACCCAAAGGATTTATATGGTTTTAGACAAAAAAAAACCTTAATAAGGAATAATTACCATAATCTCAATTAATAATACAGGATGTCCTTTTCATAATCTTGATTGTTGCAAGTGAATGTTTTAGTATGTGTACATTTATTGAGCAGCTGCTCTATGCAAGATATTGGGAATGTGAAAATGAATAAGATATGGTCTCTTCTGTCAAAGAGAGATGGGTTCAAATAGTAAGCAATTATAAAATTTAAGGGCTAAGTAAGCAAAAGTTGCAAAGAGAGCACCCCCCAAAAAAAGATATCTGGAAGGTTTCAGTGGATTGACCTTCCTTGAGAGACAGCCAACATTTTTTCTGGTGATCCATAATTGCAATAAAGTGAGGACAGCCATTTAGATATTCTTTCAGCAGTTCCTAAATTAGTCCAGATTCATAAAAGAGTGTGGAGGGGGAGACAGGAAGGAAGACAAAGAAGAAGATAGAGGCAGAAAGAAAGGGAGGGGTAGAAGGAGACTATGTTTGTCCTAAGACATTAACACCTTTTATGTAATTATGTAATTTCGGCCCCAGATTTTATTTTTACCACTTGTGTTTTGTTTTAAACTAATTCCTAGAACTTTTCGTGAAATATTCTTAGTTCAGCATTACACTAGGGTCCAGTTCAAGAACCTATTTCTAGATCTCACACTTTAAGCTTCACATGCCAGGAAAAATAGCCATGCTATTTACCATCTGGATCCAATGTACTTTCAAATTTTTTTTATCTTTTAAAATCATTTAACAAATAGTTCACAACAGTAAGACTAAAGGGATACTGAAAGTGACTTAGAAATTCAAATAAGAATTTAAGCAGCGTAAACTCAAATTTTATTCCACATTTCCCTGATTTTGATGTTATATATATGGACCCAAGGGACAACATCCTCTGAATTAACTGATTGATCATCAGCAGTCATGAATGAACCTGGGACATATCCATCTTGTAAATACAGATTTCATATTTCAAATATATATCTAAATAAGTTTTAGCTTATCATTGATTTTTGTTTTTACATTTGCATCATCAAAATTCAATACCTAAGTTTTTGAAACTTTTCAATGACTCATAACGTTGGTTGAATCTTCTTTGGTTTTTAATTCCAAATCATTTTCAGCTTTACCTTTATAAATACCATTGAGTGATTTTTTTTCATTTCTACATTATTTATATTTTTTTCTAAATATATTTTTATACACACTTGCTTTCAACATTTGTCTCTTACAAACTATATCAAGTAAAATTTGACATGCAGACATCAAAATAAGTAAAATAACAATTTCACTTTTTTTTTAACATAATAGCAAGGTCTAATTTTTGTCCCAAAACATTGTAAGATGATGTCCTTCCTGTTGAATGATTAACTATATGAGAAAACCGTATTTATTTTCATCCATAGAAATATATTATTCACTTGCTGTTTCTTAAATTTGAGAAAATTCATCTGAGATATTGTCATCTGAATATTTATAATCTGAAATTTTATGTGATGAATTTCACTATCATTGTTAGAATATACTAGAGTGCTTCTATGTGTCTGTTTGCGTTAATTTCTGATTCATCTTGCAGTTGTGAAATATCTTCCTCTCTCAGTTTTCTTCTGTTTGCTCTTATGGGCTGAAGATGAGAAATTCTGAATTCAAAATTATGTTCAATTAAATCTAAAAGTAGACTACAAAGATCATGTCTCCAGTCTCCTGTTATACCTTCTCAAATTATGATGCAGTACTTCATACAATGCAATAAGAAAACTGAAAGATGATGGAATTGTTATTAATTTGACCTTTTAAACATCTTTCTGGGTGGCTTCATCATTCTGACTTCCTGTTAAAAGTTTCTTTGTCTTTAGCATAGCTGAGAATAATTGATAAGTAATGAGAAAAATAATTTCTAGGATAATGAAACAGCAAATATAGAAAAAAAAAATCACTAAGAACCTGTAATGGATCTTATACTTAAAGAGTCCAATGAATCAAATGATAATTATGAAACAGAATGAGTTTTATTTTACTTTAATTTAAAAAAGTGAATCATTCTCTTTGTTCTTTGGAAGATCCCTAAGAGAAAGTCATGAAGTATCTACTTATAAATAGAACTATTCTCATGTGTTTTTTGGCTCCATAAATGTCTTCTTTTAAGAAGTGTCTGTTCATGTCCTTCACCTACTTTTTGATGGGGTTGTTTTTTTTTTTTCTTGTAAATTTGTTTGAGTTCATTGTAGATTCTGGATATTAGCCCTTTGTCAGATAAGTAGGTTGCAAAAATTTTCTCCCATTTTATAGGTTGCCTGTTCACTCTGATGGTAGTTTCTTTTGCTGTGCAGAAGCTCTTTAGTTTAATTAGATCCCATTTGTCAATTTTGGCTTTTGTTGCCATTGCTTTTGGTGTTTTGGACATGAAGTCCTTGTCCATGCCTATGTCCTGAATGGTAATGCCTAGGTTTTCTTCTAGGGTTTTTATGGTTTTAGGTCTAACGTTTAAGTCTTTAATCCATCTTGAATTGATTTTTGTATAAGGTGTAAGGAAGGGATCCAGTTTCAGCTTTCTACATACAGCTAGCCAGTTTTCCCAGCACCATTTATTAAATAGGGAATCCTTTCCCCATTGCTTGTTTTTCTCAGGTTTGTCAAAGATCAGATAGTTGTAGATATGCGGCATTATTTCTGAGGGCTCTGTTCTGTTCCATTGATCTATATCTCTGTTTTGGTACCAGTACCACGCTGTTTTGGTTACTGTAGCCTTGTAGTATAGTTTGAAGTCAGGTAGTGTGATGCCTCCAGCTTTGTTCTTTTGGCTTAGGATTGCCTTGGTGATGCGGGCTCTTTTTTGGTTCCATATGAACTTCAAAGTAGTTTTTTCCAATTCTGTGAAGAAAGTCATTGGTAGCTTGATGGGGATGGCATTGAATCTATAAATTACCTTGGGCAGTATGGCCATTTTCATGATATTGATTCTTCCTACCCATGAGCATGGAATGTTCTTCCATTTGTTTGTATCCTCTTTTATTTCCTTGAGCAGGGGTTTGTAGTTCTCCTTGAAGAGGTCCTTCACATCCCTTGTAAGTTGGATTCCTAGGTATTTTATTCTCTTTCGAGCAATTGTGAATGGGAGTTCACTCATGATTTGGCTCTCTGTCTGTTGTTGGTGTATAAGAATGCTTGTGATTTTTGTACATTGATTTTGTATCCTGAGACTTTGCTGAAGTTGCTTATCAGCTTAAGGAGATTTTGGGCTGAGACAATGGGGTTTTCTAGGTATACAATCATGTCGTCTGCAAACAGGGACAATTTGACTTCCTCTTTTCCTAATTGAATACCCTTTATTTCCTTCTCCTGCCTAATTGCCCTGGCCAGAACTTCCAACACTATGTTGAATAGGAGTGGTGAGAGAGGGCATCCCTGTCTTGTGCCAGTTTTCAAAGGGAATGCTTCCAGTTTTTGCCCATTCAGTATGATATTGGCTGTGGGTTTGTCATAGATAGCTCTTATTATTTTGAAATACGTCCCATCAATACCTAATTTATTGAGAGTTTTTAGCATGAAGGGTTGTTGAATTTTGTCAAAGGCTTTTTCTGCATCTATTGAGATAATCATGTGGTTTTTGTCTTTGGCTCTGTTTATATGCTGGATTACATTTATTGATTTGTGTATATTGAACCAGCCTTCCATCCCAGGAATGAAGCCCACTTGATCATGGTGGATAAGCTTTTTGATGTGCTGCTGGATTCGGTTTGCCAGTATTTTATTGAGGATTTTTGTATCAATGTTCATGAAGGATATTGGTCTAAAATTCTCTTTTTTGGTTGTGTCTCTGCCCGGCTTTGGTATCAGAATGATGCTGGCCTCATAAAATGAGTTAGGGAGGATTCCCTCTTTTTCTATTGATTGGAATAGTTTCAGAAGGAATGGTACCAGTTCCTCCTTGTACCTCTGGTAGAATTCGGCTGTGAATCCATCTGGTCCTGGACTCTTTTTGGTTGGTAAGCTATTGATTATTGCCAGAATTTCAGCTCCTGTTATTGGTCTATTCAGAGATTCAACTTCTTCCTGGTTTAGTCTTGGGAGAGTGTATGTGTCCAGGAATTTATCCATTTCTTCTAGATTTTCTAGTTTATTTGCGTAGAGGTGTTTGTAGTATTCTCTGAGGGTAGTTTGTATTTCTGTGGGATCGGTGGTGATATCCCCTTTATCATTTTTTATTGCATCTATTTGATTCTTCTCTCTTTTTTTCTTTATTAGTCTTGCTAGCGGTCTATCAATTTTGTTGACCCTTTCAAAAAGCCAGCTCCTGGATTCATGAATTTTTTGAAGGGTTTTTTGTGTCTCTATTTCCTTCAGTTCTGCTCTGATTTTAGTTATTTCTTGTCTTCTGCTAGCTTTTGAATGTGTTTGTTCTTGCTTTTCTAGTTCTTTTAATTGTGATGTTAGGGTGTCAATTTTGAGAAAAAAACAAACAACCCCATCAAAAAGTGGGCAAAGGATATGAAAAGACATTTCTCAAAAGAAGACATTTATGCAGCCAAAAAAACCATGAAATGCTCATCATCACTGGCCATCATAGAAATGCAAATCAAAACCACAATGAGATACCATCTCACACCAGTTAGAATGGCAATCATTAAAAAGTCAGGAAACAACAGGTGCTGGAGAGGATGTGGAGAAATAGGAACACTTTTACACTGTTGGTGGGACTGTAAACTAGTTCAACCATTGTGGAAGTCAGTGTGGCGATTCCTCAGGGATCTAGAACTAGAAATACCATTTGACCCAGACATCCCATTACTGGGTATATACCCAAAGGACTATAAATCATGCTGATATAAAGACACATGAACACGTATGTTTATTGCGGCATTATTCACAATAGCAAAGACTTGGAACCAACCCAAATGTCCAACAATGATAGACTGGATTAAGAAAATGTGGCACATATACACCATGGAATACTATGCAGCCATAAAAAATGATGAGTTCATGTCCTTTTTAGGGACATGGATTGAACTGGAAATCATCATTCTCAGTAAACTATCACAAGAACAAAAAACCAAACACCGCATATTCTCACTCATAGGTGGGAACTGAACAATGAGATCACATAGACACAAGAAGGGGAATATCACACTCTGGGGACTGTGGTGGGGTCAGGGGAGGGGGGAGGGATAGCATTGGGAGATATACCTAATGCTAGACGACGAGTTAGTGGGTGCAGCGCACCAGCATGGCACATGTATACATATGTAACTAACCTGCACAATGTGCACATGTACCCTAAAACTTAAAACATAATAAAAAAAAAAAAGAAAAAATGCTCACCATCACTGGCCATCAGAGAAATGCAAATCAAAACCACAATGAGATACCATCTCACACCAGTTAGAATGGTAATCATTAAAAAGTCAGGAAACAACAGGTGCTGGAGAGGATGTGGAGAAATAGGAACACTTTTACACTGTTGGTGGGACTGTAAACTAGTTCAACCATTGTGGAAGTCAGTGTGGCGATTCCTCAGGGATCTAGAGCTAGAAATACCATTTGACCCAGCCATCCCATTACTGGGTATATACCCAAAGGGCTATAAATCATGCTGCTATAAAGACACATGCACACGTATGTTTATTGCGGCACTATTCACAATAGCAAATACTTGGAATCAACCCAAATGTCCAACAATGATAGACTGGATTAAGAAAATGCGGCACATATACACCATGGAATACTATGCAGCCATAAAAAATGATGAGTTCGTGTCCTTTTTAGGGACATGGATGAAATTGGAAATCATCATTCTCAGTAAACTATCGCAAGAACGAAAAACCAAACACCACATCTTCTCACTCATAGGTGGGAATTGAACAATGAGAACACATGGACACAGGAAGGGGAACATCACATTCTGGGGACTGTTGTGGGGTGGGGGGAGGGAGGAGGGATAGCATTAGGAGATATACCTAATGCTAAAAGACGAGTTAATGGGTGCAGCACACCAGCATGGCACATGTATACACATGTAACTAAGCTGCACATTGTGCACACGTACCCTAAAACTTAAAGTATAATAATAATTTTTTAAAAAGTAAATAAATAAATAGAACTATTCTTTAAAAAAGTATTCAGAAACAAAAACTGGGCCAGATAAACCCTAATGATGTATTGAGTTAATTAGATAATCAAATACTTTTTGAGAACACACATTAGCACTTTATGTTTGTGATTATGTTGAAATATGCCATCCATTCTTCTACATTATGTACAATGTTGAGGCTAACACTCTGGTGATACACTTCTGTTTTATTCATTGCAAATTTCCTTGTAAATCCAATTCGGCATCAGTTTTGTTCTGGATCAGTCCTGAGGACTTTGATCTAGTTCACTGCACCCATAGGTAGAAGACTGTGAAAATCTTGATTCTGTAAACAACTTCAGCTTTTGATCTGAAAATAAACAGCTTCTAGGGAAATAGGACCAAAATACATTTTATTTCCCTGGCTCTGTTTCTTTTTCTCATCCAGAAATTCCAGCTGTATACAAATCACCTACCTCCACATTATATCTGGAAGCACCTTTTGGGTACCTCAGATGTATTCAAGAAAATGTTCACTGTCTTGCAGGCACAGTGCACTGTGGTGTGGCTGGGTTAGGAATAGCAATGTTCCTGCCAATGGTTGCTAAGCCAAGTGCAAAGTCTCTCCCTTTGAGAAACCAAGGACTCAATTTTTAAATTAATAGCTTCTGTAAGTTTTCAGGGTATCAGTGCTAAAGAGGAGTGAAGAGCACCTATTTTTTTTTCTTTTTACCTGACAATCTGTTTAAGGGATTTCAAAGAAGTATTGTTTGAACCCAAATGTGTTAGAGAGTTTAGAGAAGCAGCATGTACAGGTTTTTACCTACAACTCTCTTCCCCTCCCCCCCCAATATAGGAAGGATTCCATAGGTTTAGACAGGGCTAGCTTTGAGTCTAGGCCGCATATTAATAATATTTTTCTCTGAGGGTGACTAAAATTATCTAGCTCTTGTTTCTTCACTTGGTTCTGCCATGTCCCAGCAGGTTTTCTGCACACTCTCCAAATAAACTTCTAAGGAGTCCCCTTAAGTGATCAGTCAGACATGTAAATTTAAATCAGATACATTTTATCACAACATTCCTTAGCCCTTTGGAAAATTCAGATAAAGTATAATCAAATTCATTTGGGCTCATTCAAAAATTTGCCAAACATGGTCAAATTTTCTTAAACATAATAGTGTAAAGTAAAAGACATATCTTAAACTACAATCCATCTGTAGTTAAATTATTTATTGTTTTACTTTCTGTCAATAAATGTTCTATGTTCTTATGTTAGAATTTGAAGAACAATAAAATGTACAGAGAAGTAAATTATAATCTTATGAAAATATAGATTGTACCAGTCTATGCTCATGATAATTAATATGAGCTTCAGATAGACGTGGATAGAAAAGAGAAAAGAGTATTTTATTTTTAATCTTGCAATTCATTTGTCTTAAGGTTTTATGCTTTGACAATATTTTGGTTGAATACTTGAAACACGTTGAATAAAAATAATTATATGAAATGCTCAGTATTACAAAATTGGCATCACATTGTAAATTCAGTTTTATATCCTCCTTTTTCACTTAAATTTATTTTTGATCATTTTCCATGTCATTAAACAGTATTTGAAAATGCAGTTTTAATGGCTTCATAATAGACTATTGTAAGAAATACCATAATATATTTAATTAATCTCCTATTGTGAGACACTTAAATTGTAACTAGTTTTTCACGATTACTAAAAAAAAGTTATAAACAGCTAGAAATATAGGTTTTTGACTGCATATTTCTGATTGTTATTTCTCTGGGAAGACTTTCTTGGAATAGAATTACTCCCTCAAGGTTTATGAATATTTCTTATGGTTTTGAACATATCACCAACTTGCCCTCCCAAATGGGTATATGCATTTTCAGTTTAAGTGTCTTTCAAAGTATTGATTCTAAATGTAAATATATATACATGTTTTGAAATTTTCTGTTCTCCCCTACTCCAGGGCTGGGATATTCAAAAGATTTCAAATCAGATGGTTCACTTAATAATTTATTTAGCTGACGTTTTCACAGATGGGTGCAAAATATGTTATTGCAATATTTTAGCACTTCTCCTAGATCATTAAGATCATCTGACCTAATCAAAATATTTCATTTAAAAGTGAGAGATTACACCTCTGGCTGGGTGCCCCTATTTACTTAGAAATGATTTCTTCTGTTTTTGAGTGTCTGTTTTGAGTACATAGTTATTAGTTGTCCACATGATTTTGGCAGGGAAGCATTGTTAAGTCTCATTATTTGTATAAATATTGAAGGCAAGGTTCAAAGAACTTAGCCTAATATGTGACACATAAAATACATGGTAAAGCTATGCTTCAAACCTAGGTCTAGTTGTTTATAGAAACTCCGTTAAGTCCCCTCTTCTCTTCTTGATGTCTAATTAGTAGATTTGTGGGTTTTTGTGATACAAGCACGGCTTTTGATGTAGCTGACTCATAAGCATTAGGCATTGGAACAGATTGAAATGGAGGGATTTATTACTTTATCTCCAATTCAATCATTCGCATATCCACCTCTGTTTATTCAGCACCGTCTATGTACTAAATCTTATGTGAAACACTGTTCTTCAAGATATCTGGATTTGAAATTCAAGAAATCCACACTTATTTTGGTCAAGGAATATTAAATTCTCAACATGTACTGTGTCAGAAAGTGCAGCACACAGGCAGAGAAGAGCAGGCTCAAATAAATCCCAGGATCTGCTGTGTCAAACTTGACACTTCATATGCTCTGATTTCTCGAAATTAACAAGTGAATACTCTGAAGGGCCTTTCCCATTGTTATTTGTCAGGCCTCAGATTTTTCCCCATTTATTTTTCTCCCAAGATATTTTTGCCTACAACTATATTGTTCAGTGTGTTTAGGGAAAAGAAATAGCAAAGTGATGTGATATATCAGAAAAATAATACTAAAAGCAAATGGAGAAAAATGGGGCTGAATCCACAAGGAAACCACACTTCAGGTGACATTGATTTGTATCCAGGAATAACTAAAAGGCTTTCTAGTGATTCTAAATACTTAAGAGCATATTCATTTCCTTCTAGAAGAAACCAAAATTACCCAGTAATTTAATTCATATTGAACTAGAGAGGCAGTCAGTTACATACACACATAACACGTAAACTCATGGTTTAGCTATGCCTGTTTCCAAGTACTTGAAACTGAAGGGTTAGAAGCGTATTTATACAACATCAAATGAGGAAACAACCTTCGGCTATTGTTAGCTTGGCCTTGGGGTTCTTGGAATGTCAACTTATAGATCAAAGAGTTGTAGCCAAATTGCCTATGACAGAATATTTTCTCTTAGAGAAGCAGACAAATGTCTATCATGCAAAGTTGCTGTTCTTGGCAACAGCAATAAAGGTACTAGCAGTATAATGAGTTAAAAAATGAAAAGGAGGAGGTTGGTAAAACTCCACAACACACATAAATTCCTTCTCTTCACTCTTTCTTTTGCTCCTGAATTGTTTAGGAGTTTTTGTTAAAAAAATTATTAATATTTTTGTATTACCCATAAAGATAACTAATAGTTGGTTACTGACAGATCTGTTTTGGCAAAGGATTGCCATCTGAAAAATTTACTATAGAATGTAATCTATAGTTTTCATGTTATATTTTTGAATAACCAACACTTTTCCATATGAAAATAAGGTATCAGAGGTATACCTACATCAATAAGAGCAAGTTGGCTGGAAAAAACTGTCTTCACCTTTTGTTCAGAATGCAGAGTTTTATGCAAGAGACCTTTCTCCTGCTAATAAAACCTCTCCTAATGTAGATTTTCTCTACAGGTTCTTTGCAGCAAACAACCTACCTGATTTGTACAAAAGAACACTGCTCTCTAGTGGAATAAGGGAAAAGAAATCCATTACCTCATTCACTTGCTTTTCTTGCATTGTTGGCTGCTGCTTACGAAAGGCTACTGAGCTTTGTCCTGGACTTATGACATGTTATGATATATGGCTATAATTATTATGATATTATACTGTGAAGTGGTTTTGCTCTCGTAATCAAGCAAAAATATTTTTCCCCAAACCCTCTTTTGTAAATTGAAACCGGTAGGTCTCACTATCCCTTCCTTCCTAGTGCAGCCTCTACCAACACGAATAAACCCTGCAACTAATAATAATTTAATTTACACAGGAACTTGCAATAATTTAACTCACATCAGGTTAATTTGGAAGTGATTAATGGCAGCATTTATGGATCTGGAAAGTTTTAATAATGGTTTACTTGTGAATTTATAGTGTTCGTGTTCCAGATCATGGGCTGCCTTTTTGTTGAGCACTTCGTCTGTCTACCCTCATCATCCCCATGCATGATATTCATCCTCCCTTTTCTGTCCTCCAATGTGTCACAGGTTGACGGAGACATGGCACATTTTTAATGCCACATTTTCTGTCTTAGTGGAAATAGGCCACAACATTATTACAAATATGCTCTGATGGGGGACTCTTTGCCCTGGAAATGTTGTTCTATGGATCACTTTTAAACAATACTTCCGGGGATCACTGTCTCCTTTGATATCTTTGATCACCATTTTCATGCATTTTGAGCTGGCCAGCAAGAAATGGGCTTTTTGGATTTGCCATAATAGTTTTGTAGCACTGGGTGGGTGCAAATGCAAATGGGAATGTGTAGTAACTATGCATTCTGAACAGACACACATTTTGAGGATTAAAACTGCACCCGGCAGCCCTCCAAAGACTTATCAGCCTTCTCTATTTGTAAGGCTCTGAAAAGTAACTTTAAATTTTTTTTTCTTGTAGCTCCCAAGAATTGAAGGTGGGAGAAGCCCCTCTTGTCTCAGAATCTTCATATGCAAATAAACATGCCTATATGGTACCAAGTAAGGATGCATAATTACCTCCTCCAACAGACATTATTTAAATTCTATTTTCTGATTAGCATTAGAATTTTAGTATAAAACTGTAAGTAGCAATTTGAGGAAGCAACTTTTTATTTCAGAGACTGTTGGCAACAAAGGTGAGCTAGAGGCCTTGACAGACTTATAGCCCTGCTAGTCAGTAGAACACACTTGCCCATTCCACAGCCTGTTTTGCTTCTGTTCTGATTCTGCTCTGGTTTTGTGGACCATCAAATACGGTTGTGAGCAGCAGAAGTCAAGAGCAAGGCAAACAAAAGGCGTTTTGTGAAAGTGAAAAGCACATTTCTCCTTTCTTATGCTTAATATTTACTTTATCTTCACCCTTTTTCACATCTGGACGAAATTAATAATCTCTAACTAAATCTCTTTTCAAAACCATTAAAGAATATCACACTGAACTAAGTGTTCTGTTATTGAGAAGGTAGTAAAATGATGTTTCTTTGTAAAGTTATCTTTTCTAAATCAGTGGAAAAAAGCAAAGCTCAACTTCAAAATTCTGGTCAATGTGGCTTGTTAGTTACCATTTTCACATATGTATGAACAATAGAATGCCATTTTTTAGGTGGTAGGAGCTGCTATTGAAAGTGAAGAGGCTTATAAAGAGGTGGAAAGAGCATTGATAGAATAAATACATTCAAGCTTCAGCTCTTCCACCAAGATATTTTGAGCCTTGAGTTTTGTCACTTCTATGTGACTCTATCTTTTTCATCTGTAAGAACTACCTACATTAATAATTGCTATGGAAATTAAATAAGACAATATATGAGAAAGATTTCTGAAAACCAAACATGATGTACGGCACATATGGAGGACTTTGAATATTATCTTGTCTCCATGTGAGCTGTGTAACCAACTCTGGTTTCTTAATCTCTCCAAACTTGAGTTTCTGCTCAGTAAAAGGTCTAAAAGAACAAGCTATCTGCAACTCTCCATAGTTTTACCATTAAGCAAGAATGGAGCAGATACAGAATGCTCACAATGAAATCCTTTTTAAAAGGAAATATTCCAGCCATAGCAACTTTGAAGGCCTCCTACTTTGAAGGTGAGGACGTTTTCTAAATCAATCAGGATTCTTGGAGATACCTCTTGTTCATTGTCCTTCATAACCCCAGGTGCAGAAATATTTGAGATTCTTTTCGGTTTGTTATACTTCAGCACCATATTTGAAGTGAAAATTATGACAAGTGCACAATTTGGAGACTGTACGCTTTCTTCAGGCTCCCTCTCACTCACGTAAATGTGGGGTATCAAGAGTTATTTTAAAGCTTGGCCAGTCAAAGATTTTTCAAAGATTGAGCTTATGGTTTGTCAGTACACTTTCTTCCACGATTTAATGGAACTGTGATCCCTTTTTTTGTAGAGAATGCCATGTCCCAGTAATTCCTGACAGTGTTGAACTTCATCTGATCTCTGTGCTACTGAAAAAGAGTGATGGTTAAGAAATCTCCCATCTTTTTGTGTTCCTGGAAATAACTTACTACAAAGAACCACCCTTCCTAATATGAATAAGACGAAACTCAAGGATGGCCCCTTGTTTACCTAAGACGACGCTAGACACAGAACTTCCACGTTCACATTATCATATCACAAATGATTGGCTGAGCTGTTTGCCTCCATTGATCAATCTGTGCAAAGTGCCCGTCAAATTGACCTGACCAATCTTTAAGCAGCCTCTCTCCTTCCTCCAGGCCCCAGAACTTCATTTTGCTTCTAAGCTTAAGCAAGCGCCAAAATGCCGAACAACTCTCGTACACAGCCAACCCCTCCTGAGAGCTGGCTGACTGTAGGGAAAATAATTTCCTGATTGACTGTCCAATCATACTTCCTGCTTAGCCGCCTCTCCAACACTGTGTTCTTTCCAGCTTTGTTTACTCTTGCCTATAAAATGAAAAGCCCTTTCTGCCTAATCTTTGCAGATCTTGTCACTGGTGTATTCTCCCTATTGCAATAATCTTTTTGAATAAAGTCTTTGCTTATTTTAGATTTGTTTTTGACAATACCAAAGCTATTTTCTAGACAAAATTCTTAAATTTATTTCTTTGTTTTCTCATTTCCACTTCTCATTATTGCTTACAGTCTTTCAATCTTAATATCATTTGAAACAACTGGTGGGGAGGCTACTTTCTTAAGCCAATCTCAGCCATGAGTCATTTTATTCAACTAAGAGATATAGCTGGGCCATGATAGCTTCATGACAAATGGAAAATCTCATATATGTTAATGCCCAGTTATTTTATGAATCTGAGATTGAAACATCCGCCAAGTGTCACATTAAGCGTCTTAAGCAGCTTCATTTACACCTCCCACAAGCTGCCCCTAAAGTGAAGAACGAAATGGAAGATGAGAATTCACAATGATGAGGTAGCATGAATTAAATAGGAGAGATTGAGGAAAAGTTCTTGGAGAAAAAAGATATATATATAAATATATATATATTCATATATATGTGTGCAAGTACATATATATGTGCATATATACACATAAAAAAAGAAGACATTATTAATAGTTCATTTACATCTAAAAAGCATTTGAGCTATTTAAAAGAAAAATAAAGCAATCTAGATAAGAATAAAATCTTGGGAATCATGTAAAGCACAATGACAATGATAACACAAATATTCAAAAACATGGATTAAGAAAATGTATTTAGGTTTGAGCTCTCTGAAAAAGCACAGACAAAATAGGATTGGATTGATCATACAGTGTTCAATGTAAGCATCTGTGTGTAACAGGATGAAAAATAAATTGGGATCTGTAACTACAACTCCTTTTGAAAAAAGTAAAGCTGTGATAATGGGAGGCCCTTTGTTCTGCAGGGCACATTGATAGATTGGGACTTTCAAGTTTGGGAATAAGAGAGGTGGGAAGCTGTGTTTCTCTCCATAACAGGGAAAAATGTGAAGCTTATGAAGCCACCTGGGGTCAATGGGTAAGTCAGTGAGGTGACAATAGGCCTTACCAACACTATTTGAACCATCTCCATTAGCTCCCACATTTTGAATAAAAGTTACTAAACTCATGAAAAGCTGGTGTTTTTTGAAGAAATGGGTGAAACTGTTATGCGCATTTTCTGGAATTATAGCAAAGTATAAGAAAAAAATTATGTCTATATATCTCAGGGAGAAATGATGACTTGGTATAACTAGCTTAAGAGAAGAAGCAAGTTTTTCTTCATTCTTTATATTTACATCCTCATATAAAGGAAACTAAATATGTGATAAATTGTGACCTTAAAAATAAAGCCTCCAACACTTTGAAGACGTCAGATATCAAGCCATCCCTTATAATTACCTTCAATGAAAGCCAATTAGATCAGCTTTTAATTATAATTTTGAAAATCCAACACTAGGAAGGATCAGAGGAATATTGCCCAGGCATACACAATTTTGGGACTCATACTAATAACAGAAACAGTGTATAATCCTAATCCCACTGTGAACCAGTGTGATGCATTAATGCATTTTTTTAATTTAGGGGCCTAGCATTACAAAGTTTAAAGGCTGCATAACTAAAATTTAAAGAAAAACTTTCTAACTTATCCATAATTAGAGAATTCAGGCACAAGCAATATAGCACACAAAGAAGCACTCTTTCAAAAAATTTATTTCTATTGATGGAAATATTTGAAATCAGCAACAAAAAATTAACATGGCAAATAGCAAAATAACACTTAATGCAATTAGTTTGTTGGTTAAAGACATAAGCCTAAAGCCAATAGGGAGTTTGTAAACAGTGATCACAGCCATAAACTGAAGGGAGAGGTTTATATGTAAACTCTTCAGAAAGACTCACTGGTCATCTCCGTTATTATGTATCATGATGTTCTGCCCCAGGAAGGCAATAGTGCATACTATTCGAAACACAGGAAATTAATGATTATGAGATCCATGGTTTCTGCAGTTCCAGGTTAGGATCATTATTCCAGTTTTTAATATTCACATTCTTTATAATGAGTTTTGCATTTTCTTCAATTTTCTCCGGGCAGATATATTTCAATTCCACATAACATAATAGGGAAATTGTGTTAAGATAATACACGAATAAAAGGTGCCCCTTCATTTTCTTTTTTTCCTAAGGGAAAAACAAAATACAAGAGATAGTAAAGTGAAACTTTGCTAAAAAATATAGCACGAGGTTTTCACATTGCTATTATTGGGAAAAGGCTCAAAATCCACCATACAAACAGGGCTCTCTGTGTCATTCAAAGATACTAAGATTTCAGGATATATACCAGAAAAGTTCCTTTATCGTTTCTCTTTGTTTATTGTTATTATTGTTATTATTATTGTCATCATCGCAGTCATCACTATTATCATTATTTTTGTGATTGTCCTCATCCTCATGATGATTCGTGGCCAGGAAGACTAGCTCATAACCAAGTAGATGTAGCAACAGATCCAAAGGAGTAATGTGTCTAGGTCTTGGGGATAAAATATTTTGTTAAAATAAATAGGTTCCCAGGAGAAGGGTCTATTCTAGGAGTGGGAGCAAATAGGAATCCTGCAAAGAAGGTCAGATTATGACAAATTCACTAATTTGTTGCCATTCTGTGAGGAATCTCAGGAAACAACCTGTAGACATTACCCTGTGGGCCCATCCCCACAAACGTCTGTTAAATATTGTTTTACACTTTAGAATGCCTTTCTGCCTGGGCAACTGAGAAAAACAAATCCCTAGTTCACTTTTATAAATGAAAACGGATTTGGTTTTGCACAATAAAAAACACACTAATTTATTTTTCTTATGAAATAGTGTAAGTGCAAGGGTTTAAAGAAATAGAAATGAATTGCAGTTTTATTTTTGAGCTCTGACCTTTTTAAAACTGGTTTACTTTTCTCCCAGTTACTGGTTGTACCAGATCTTTGTCACTGGTTTTAATAACCCCAGTGTGGTTCAGTGTATTCCAGCTGTTAGAACAGAGGTGCTAAGTGTCTTATTAGCACCTTCTTGTTGTTGTATTTTTAAAACTCAGCACAGTGAAAGAGGGTGGATGCCAAGTAGATCTTAAATGGGAATCTGCTTTTCTGCTTCTACTTGATAGACTTGGAACAAGATATCTAACCCCTTTGATTGTCAGTTTTCTCATCTGTAAAATGGAAGAATTGTAAAACATAAAATTAAAAGAGAACAAATAAAATACTATAAGTGAAATTGTTGATACATTATTAATTCTCAGTAAATGTTAGCTCAACTTTGTCTCCCTTTTCTGAAAACCAAATACCCCCAAATATAAATTGTCCTAGTGAAACCAGGCTAAATACATTTCTGTTCTTTCACCTGATTCTCAGGTGAAAGGTCTTTTCAGCTTTTATTTATTTTTTATTCTGAATTGACAAATAAAACAGTAAAGTTGATTAAGGAAACCAAACCAGTATTTATGAAGCACTAACTTCACAGAAAGTGGGGCATTTGATCATCCAGTCATTCTCATGAGGCTCGTATTATTACCCCATAGAATAGGTGATAAGGACAAGGCTTAAAGTAACTCACCTGACATATTTAATAAATCTCAGAGAAAGGTTTTAAATTTCTGCTGTATCTGGCCCCAAAGTTTATGATTTTAACTAAGTGTCCTCCATGAGTCCTTAATTATCTTTCAAAGTAGGTGGTATTCTCTCTCTCTCTCTCTCTCTCTCTCTCTAGCTTGTATTGAATAATGCAAGGTCTGCAATGAGATAAACATAGCTCTAATTTTCTGGGATATAGAAAAATGAACCAGAGACAGAGTACTTACTGAAATGATGCTTACAAAGACTGGAAGTGTGGTAGGGAGATCAGGCAGTAAGCAAATACATGTATAATGTTTCCAGGGGTATTAAGTGCCATGAAGAAAAATAAAGCACAGTGCCATGAAGAAAAATGAAGCACAGTGCCATGAAGAAAAATAAAGCACAGTAAAAGGTTAAAGACTGACAGTTGGGAGGGATGCTCTCTTACATCGGGTGGCCAGGAAAAGCCTCTAATGAAGTGCCTTTCCAACAGAGAGAAGCATAAAACGAGGGAGCAGCTATCACAATATCCATGAAGGGGGCTCCCCATGCAGAGAATGTGCATGTGCAAAGGCCCTGTGGTAGAAGCATGGCTGTCATGTTTGAGGAACTGAAAGAAAGCCAATGTGGACAAAGCAGATAGTCAAAAGTAGAGAGAAGCAAGTGATGAGGTCAGAATTAGTATCGGCTAAGATCATTTAGACTGTGTAGGTCATATTAAAGATTTTGAATTTTACTCCAAGTGAGGTGGAAAATCAATGGATAATTTGAAAAGAGGAGCTACATGATCCAGCCCAAACGTATCAAGTCTGGTATTGAAGAGAGTATACCATTCACAAAAAGTTTTACTTCTGAATCAATGGGATGCCAGTTGTTACAGCCACATTGCTCTCCTGGCTTACTCATAGGCAGATGCACACATATACAAAAATAACATATGACAATAAACATTTCACATCAATATACTACAAATTAGTGGAGCGAGAATGACACTTCAGTAAAAGAGTTTGAGATAATCGCTTATACACGGAACAAATTTAGATCTCTACCTCATATTGTGCACAAGAATAAATACAAAGTAATTTGAAAAACATAAATGAGAAAACAATTTTCCCCATAAACGGATATTCTTAGAAAAATATAGGACAATATTGCTAACAATTTGGAGCAGAAAAAGTCTGCTTAAATAAGATGCTCAAAATGATACACCATATAGGAAAAGAATAACCAATTTTCCTCCTCCTGTCAAACTTTATTCCTTGGGACCTTATCTCCCAACTTAGCAAAAGGAAGAGTTTGTCCTCAGGCTGGAATTTGAAAGATTTATCCATTGTACGGAGAAATTGTAACAATGAGACATCTAGTTATGGGGCTTTATGCTTATTTTAAATAATACAAGTTATCCTTATTTTTATTAAGTAAAAGAAAAAATTTTCCCAATGGTCTGGCAATCAGAAATGCAGGCTCTACACCTAAATTTAAACCCTTTCAGTTTTATCTATAAAATGTAGCTGGTAATATATTTTCTGCTTACTTTATAAAAGTTAGAGTCAAATAAGATTATTTATGTTCAAATACTTTGGAATGTCTCAAGCTTAAGACACGATATCAACTATTATTAAGTTAGATGTATATTAACAAAGTAGATATCTGAAGCATACATTAGGAAAACTAAAATTTTAAAAATTCACTTCTATATAGATTCTCTGGTTATTTTCAACAAAAATGGGAAGTCTTGATTTATCAAATAAATAGTTTTTCTTCTGCATTTTATTCTACTAGAGTAGACTTGGGCAGTTAGTACCTTGACAGATATGTAATCTCTCTGGATAAAATGTAACCACAATGATTATTCACATTAAGTCTTAGATTTTTCAGAGAAATGGAAAGCATAAGAGTGGTTTCTAAACCCTCAGACTCATGGGAGCCACAATTTTTCTCAATTGCATTTTCTTTTTTCTAAGGTATTCAAACTGCTTTGGAGGGGAAATTGTTCTCTGCATTTGAGTGAGATAAATGGTTCATGTAAGCAGATGATGCCAGAATGCAGTTAGATGAACAACCACAAAGCATCAGGGGGAAATTGTGTGTGTGTGTGTGTGTGTGTGTGTGTGTGTATGTGTATGTATCTGGTTTGGTGGTAAATAGCCATCACTGCATTGTAGAAAAACATAGCTCAAGACAAAGCATCACTAGAATGTTAGGAATGGAAGGGAAGTAATTCAGGTGAGTGTGTGCTAATGGGAAATAACAAATAGCAACCACACATACATACATACATACACATGGTGGCTGTGTCTGAACAAACCAACCAACATTGTAAAGAACTGAGGTATTTAATAAAATGACTAGCAAAACACATTTTACCTTCGTTGATACAACTAATATATTTTAAATATAATAGAATTTTTATTTGTGCTTGAATGATAATGTAGATATGGTGAGACAGAAAAGAAAGAAATTAGGGCAAGGGAGAGAGGGGCTATTGAGCCAATTGTGGGTAGTAATAAATCTAGGCTATCATACATCAAGGGGAAACTAAACTCAGGTTTCTTACAAGCTTACATTGCTAAGTAAGTCCATTTTTATATGATGGAATCCAGCAACAAGAAATAGTGTGATTGATGATATCCAAAGTTATGTCCTGTTACCGTAAGTAGTGGCTGGTATGAATTTCTCTCAAATAGCAAGATGTATAGAGAATAATAATCGGCAATTCCAAGAAGAGAAGTTTGGCATCATATATGTCACACATTGCTTCATCCCCATCATCTTTATTAATAGGGCCTCAGTTTTATTCAGAGAGAAAATGGCCAGGAAAAATGCATAACTGCCCAGAGCTCCTTGCAGCTAAGAGTAGCCATGTGACTCTTTCTGACCAATGAGATGGAAATGGAAGTCTACGTGAAGAATAAGCTATGTTTCTTCACAATAGAAAGAAAGACTTGACTGGTGGCCCATTGCATTTTGTCTTTTACTCTTCTTCCTGTATAGTGATGGATGCAATATTAAAGGCAGTGGAGCAAAGGATTAGAAGAAACTGAGACACAATGACTTTCTCAAGCATCTTCCTTATCCCTCTACTCCCTAACTGCAGATTTTGATTAATGCAAAAACAAAAAGTCCACTTGATTAAGCTACTGTATATTGGATTTTATTATATGCACAAAAACCTACAGACAGAGCAGCCAGTGAGCTATTATAAGAAAATGTTTCATATTATCTTATAGTGTGGATATCATTCTGTTCTCATGCTGCTTTATTAAAAGATATACCCAAGACTGGGTAATTTATAAAGGAAAGAAGTTTAATTGAGTCACAGCTCAACATAGCTGGGGAAGCCTCAAGAAACTTACTATCGTAGCAGAAGGGGACGCAAATACGTCTTTCTTCACATGGTGGCAGCAAGGAGTAGTGCCAAGCAAAAGTGGGGAAAGCCCCTTAAAAACCCATCAGACCTCATGAGAACTCACTCACTATCACAAGAACAGCATGAGGGTAACCACCAATGTGACTAAATCACCTCCCACCACATCTCTCCCACGACACATGGGAATTATGGGAACTACAATTTAAGATCAGATTTGGGTGGGGACACAGCCATACCATATCATTCTGCCCCTGGCCCCTGCCAAATCTCATGTCCTCACATTTCAAAACACAATAATACCTTTCCAACAGTCCTTCAAAGTCTAGCATTAACTCAAGAGTCCAAGTCCAAAGTCTCATCTGAGGTAAGTCCCTTCCACCTATGAGCCTGTAAAATCAAAAGCAAGTTAGTTGCTTCCTAGACAAAATGGTGGTACAGGCATTGGGTAAACACACTCATTCTAAATGTGAGAAATGGGCCAAAACGAAGGGGCTATAGGCCCCATGGAAGTCCAAAATCCAATAGGCAGTCATTAAACCTTAAAGTTCCAAAATGATCTCCTTTGACCCCATGTCTCACATGCATGTCACGCTGATGCAAGAGGTGGGCTCCCATGGCCTTGGGCAGCTCCGCCCCTATAGCTTTGCAGGGTAAAGCTCCTCTCCCAGATGCTTTCACAGGCTGGCGTTGGGTGTCTGAAGCTTTTCCAGGTGCAAACTGTTGCTGGATATACCATTCTGGGGCCTGGTGAACTGTAGCCCTCTTCTCATTGCTCCACGAGGCAGTGCCCTAGTGGGTACTGTGTGTGGGGGTTCCAACCCCAAATTTCCTTTTCACACTGCCCTAGCAGAGGTTCTTCATGAGGCCTCTGCCTCTGTAGTAAAATTCTGCCTGGACATCCAGGCATTTCCACACATCCTCTGAAATCCAGGTGGAGGTTCCCAAATCTCAATTATTGTCTTCTATGCACCTGCAGGACCAACACCAGATGGAAGCCACAAAGGCTTGGAGCTTGCACCATCTGAAGCAACAGCCTGAGCTGTACACTGGCTTCTTTTAGCCACAGCTGGAGGTGAAGCAGCTGGGACCCTAGGCACCATGTCCCAAGCCTGCATAGAGCAGGCGGACCCTGGGCCCAGACCATGAAACCGTTTTTCCCTCCTAGCCCTCCAGTACTATGATAGGAGGGGCTGCCATGAAGATCTCTGACATGCCTTGGAGACATTTTCCTCATTATCTTGGTGATTAATATTTGGCTTCTCATTACTTAGGCAAATTTCTGTAGCAGGCTTGAATTTCTTCCCAGAAAATGGGTTTTTCTTTTCTATAGAATAATCAGACTGCAAATTTTCCAAACTTTTATGCTCTGCTTCCTCTTGAATGCTTTGCTGCTTAGAAATTTCTTCCACCAGATACCCTAAATCATCTCTCTCAAGTTCAAACTTCCACAGATCTCTAGGGCAGAGGAAAAATGCCACCAGTCTCTTTGCATAGCAAGAGTAACCTTTACTCCAGTTTCCAACATCTGAGGGAAGTCCATCTGAGACTACCTCAGCCTGGACTTTATTGTCCATATCACTATCAGCATTTTGGTCAAAGCCATTCAAAAAGTGTCAGGAAGTTCCAAACTTTTCTACATCTTCCTGTCTTCTGAGCCCTCCAAGTCTCTAGGAATTTCCAACCTTTCCCACATTTTCCTGTCTTCTTCTGAGTCCTCTAAACTGTTCCAACTTCTGCCGGTTACCCAGTTCCAAAGTTGCTTCCACATTTTCAGGTATCTTTACAGCAGCACCCCACTCTTGATATCATTTTACTGTATTACTTCATTCTCATGCTGCTAATAAAGACATACCACAGACTGGGTAATTTATAAAGGAAAGAGGTTTAATTGAATCACAGTTCATCATGGCTGGGGTGGGGGCCTCAGGAAACTTAACAATTATAACAGAAGGGGAAGCAAACATATCGTTCTTCACATAACAGCATCAAGGGAAAGGTATGAGCAAGAGGAGGAAAAGCTCCTTTTAAAACCATCAGATCTTGTGAAAACTCACTCAGTATCATGAGAACAGCATGAGAGTAAACACCCCCATGATTAAATCACCTCCCACCAGGTCCCTCCCACGACACGTGGGGATTATGGGAACTACAATTCAAGATGAGATTTGGATGGGGATACAGCCAAACCATATCAGTGTGGTACTCTCAACAGTGGAAATAACTTTGGGTAATATTATATTATGTGGTTAGAGAAGTATTTTCCAATTATCTTTCAGGCTTGAGTACTTCAAGGAGAAAAGTCTCAATTTAGTTCTAATATGTCTTAAACAGCACTCTAAATTTTGGTTTTCTTCCTGACAAAAAAAACTCAGATAATCTTCAGGCTTACAGCCTTTGTTAAGCATCACCCTCTAACTAAAGTTTAATAACACGTTTTGCTCCCATCAACTTTGCTTTATAGTCATCTCATATGGCATATGGCACAAGGTTAGTGGTTTTCCAGTTCTAGAAATGGCATAATTTATCATTATAAAATACATTTAAATAAAAATGCAAAATACTTAAAGATATATTATATAAATATAAACAAAATGGTACCCAAGAGAAAACTTATAAAAACAAGGACAGTAGTATATAAGTAGCTAAACTTTGATAAATTGAGTCCTTGGTATATGAAATTCTGGTACAGGGCCTGTGAGTATAATTCCAGACTCACTAATCCTTTTGTTTGCCATTTTAAAGCAGCCTTGACAGAATTTTGCCTGTTGGTTCAATAGCCTCAGTACTGAATGTTCTCTAAGTTAGGAAAACCCATATGCAAAATTTCTTCACCTCCCACTTTGCTTGTGACTGAGAACAGAATGCTTTGGGCCTATTATGCTATCATCTAGACCCAGTTACCAAAGTGTCAGTCCAAATTTCATCCTTTGTAATCCAAAAGGAATATTCCAAATATTTTCTATACAGTTGATCAATCAATATTTGTACATCTTGAGTTACTGCAGAGAATGAGAGCTATATAAATATTCTGTTCAGCTAAAATTTCAGCTTTGTCACCTAGGACCATGTGTTCAATAACTGAAAAGTTATTAAAACTTGATAGTGAATGCTGACTATCATCATAGAACACACTCACACTTGGCAGCTCTCTGCTCATTTGTTTTCAGCAGCAAGTTTGGTTGCTCATACAAATATTATTGGCCGTTGCATGTTCCCTTTGCTTGAGGAACTGGGGTTTCAGCTATTTGATATAATCTTATATTAAAAAGAAATTAGAGCAGAAGTCAAATTGTGTAGGAGAAGTCAATACCAAAACTGTGCTATTGTGGAAAAGGAAAGCTGAAAATTAGAAATTACAGATTTTGTGATTTTAAATTTTTACCAAGCATCCTTTGCATTTATTGTGATGCCCACATAATTATGATGGTTAATTTTATATTAGAAGTCTTAAAATGTCTGAAAAGTTGTTCAGTAATCATAAACACTTTTTGGAGAATTTTGTTACAAAAGTGCTTTCTTCATATATAAGCTATGTATTTCTTCCTTTTGGTAATTCTAGTCATTCCACCCTATAAATAAATATATAGAAATCCATAGTAGTCACAGGCATTAGATAATGATGTATTACTGTATAAGAAAAGAATATCAGGCCAGGCGCAGTGGCTCATGCCTGTAATCCCAGCACTTTGGGAGGCCGAAGCAGATGGATTACTTGAAGTCGGGAGTTCGAGACCAGCCTGACCAACATGGAGAAATCCTGTCTCTACTAAAAATACAAAATATTAGCTAAGCATGGTGGCTAATATTTTATAATATTTTGTAATCCCAGCTACTCAGGAGGCTGAGGCAGGAGAATCTCTTGAACCCGGGAGGCAGAGGTTGCGGTGAACCGAGATCACGCCATTGTACTCCAGCCTGGGCAACAAGAATGAAACTCTGTCTCCAAAAAAAAAAAAAATAAATAATAATAATAATAATAATAATAATAATAATAACATAAAACAATACGAAAGATAAAGGAACAATGTTAGAAGTGTGTCTTGGGTCTGAGACATGCAGGTCAACCCACAAGATGGGGTCAGTACAGAGAGTAGTTAGGGAAGCCGTGGGGCTGCTAATGAAGCACAAGCAGGACTGGAGTTTTACGTAGCTTCAGAGACTCATGTAAAAGGGCACCATGGAGGACTATATATATTCTCCATTAGGGTTGGCTCCCAGATTCTGCTTTAATTCTAAGATATTGGCGTTGGCATATCCAGTTGGGTGCAAGGGCATAAGGGTAGAGTGGGGGTTAGGAGACGCAGTGACCTGCCTTATCTAGCGTGCCCAGCCCCCACTGTGATGCACTGAATGTTAAATCTAAAGACTGTTGGTAGGAAAAAGCTCTTGGGCTCTAGACAGTCCCACCATTTCTGGCTGGGCTATTCCAGAGTATAGTCATGGGCTATTCTGGATCAGTACAGCTCAGCATGACCGCATCTTCACTCCACCACCTTTAGAGTTAAGTCAAGTGGCAGGATCTATAAAAAGTGGGAATTTGGGCACATGTATCTGAGAGACAGGTATCTGGTTTGGTAAATGGTAAATGATAAATGACCATCACCATATTGGGGAAAAACACAGCTCAGAAAAAAGCATCACTAGAAGTCAGGAAGGGAAGAGATTTAATCCAGGTGAGTGTGTGCTAAGGGAGAATCACAAATATTAGGTTGGTGCAAAAGTAATCGCAGTTTTGCTATTAACAGCAACAATAATGCCAAGTGAGTTTCTGCTCTTGGAGGCAGCTTATCTTGTCTTAGCAAGGCTTGGAGTGGCTCCTAGTCTAGGGTGCCTTAAAAAGAAGATACAGGTTGGAGCATTGCCTCTTTTGTACATAATACTCATTGTCTATTTAGAGATAATATTGCCTTGCTGCATCTGAAACTGTTATAAAGTAACAATATAATTTAAACTTGGATGTGCTTCTGTGAGCATGCATGTGAGTTTTAAAAGAGATATAATACATATGAATAGATGAGAACAGCAGGTTTTTTAAAACCTTTATATTACATAAAAGAATCATTGCTGAGTAAATGTGCTACTGCTGACTGTTAGGATGCAGAGCCAGTTTTGAATATTTAAGCAATTATTGACACTGTCTTCAATGCGATGAATGGCTCCCATGTTGAGACCACACATTGCTATGTTTACTTAGAGGCTGAGTTGATGACAGGCTTTATATTACATTCAGGAAAGAAATGAGAGTATCTGAAAGATGTTTCATACTAATATTATTGTTAACATTGACAAAGACACTGGTTTCTGATGTGAACTTTGCAGATTTTGAGCGCTTCACAAGGAAGTAAAATTATAAGGTTTAATTGAAAAAGTCAATTGGCACAAATCAAATATGTTTGGAAACTAATTTAAAATATAGAAATGTGTTCAGATAATGTGATAGGTAAAGATAAGGTGCAATTATTTTTTTTATTTGAAGGAGAAAGTCCTGACATTCACATAGGCTTTGCCTACATGTGCTGTTCCTTTTGAATTGTAACCTACATTTTTTAAAATCTATAAAATAATCAGTCCCTTTTTACATATACGTTTTAGGTACAGGGAAATATGACCAGATCAATTCTGTCTTTCTGTTATTGCAGTAGTTTTTGTCTTTTTTTTTTTTTTTTTCTCAAGCTAGGTCCAGGAAGCCACATAAACATGCCTATTCAGAGAAACAAAGGAAATTTTGAATGGGTGAAGTAGACAGGGCTGCAAGAAAAAAGACTGGACATTCTTATCTATTTGTTGGACAGATTTCCAACTCAGTCCATTCACTAAATTTGGGTTTTCTAACCAATCTATATAGCAGACTGTGTGCTATCTTAAATTCAAGAATGTTAGACTAGAATCAATTTTTGGACAATCTAAGAAGATACAAAATAATGCATAGCAATCAGTCAGTAATTAGGATACTCTGGGCACACTGCTTATAGGGTAGCTCTGCTCCCCAAGGAGCAGTATTAAAAAATTAACAATATAAATTTAAATATGCACTAAAGCAAGTCAGCAGTGAAGAGTGATTCATGCAGTCACTGCAAAGTAAAATGGTGACTCCAAAGGCCGCTTTCCACATTTCATAGACATGAATTACTAACAAACAGTGGAGCAGTTTCTACTTTAGATGGATCTATGGTAAGAATATGTGTATGAAAATCTGTGCTTGGAATATTCTTAGAGAGCTCATTGACCCTCACTCTTCTCCTTAAGATGTAATTTATTGGGTGTTGTGAATTTAATCCATCTAACATGTATCATCTGCCTTTCTTTAACTCAATTTGGGCAGCTCACCCTCTCTGCTGAGACATGAAGATCCTTTTAAGCCTCTGTCATTCTCAGAACATGAAGGTATTTCACATCTTCTTTCAAATGGCCATATCTATTTTAGGTGCAGCTCTATCTTGCTATGCAGAGCTCCTTGTAGGCAAATAGAAGTTAAGTGGGATTCTTTGGAACTGATTCATTTTTCTAAAGTTTTTATATTCATAAAACATAATCCGTATCTAAAATTCCGTATTATTCATTCTCAGATAGGATGAGAGAACATTGTTTTATATTTATTCCAAGTCAGTCAGATATCAAACCAGCAGCAGGTATCAGGACAGGGGCTACTATAAGACCTTTGATAATCTAATAAAAGATATCTTAACAAAGAAATACTTAGACTCCAATTTTTAATAATTGTTCATAAAAAATGTGAATGATTATAACATTGGCCAAAAAGTTCCAGAAATCAGTGATTTCTCTTCAGACTAGGTGCCTCTCTCTATCCTTTACCGGCATGCACCATATCAGGATATGCACCATATCTTTACCAAGCAATTCCATTTTCCCACTAACCTCAGATTGGTGTTTTCTACAAATACTGCTGAATCCTCATACTTCCGCCCCTATCAAACATGTATTCCTACATCTTTTTCCCTAACTTATCAGTCTCCTGTTATCCTCAAATTTCAACTTGCCATAACATGTTATAAATGTATGAGTAAAGCCTTCTAAACTTCTAAATTTCCCCAAGAAGGTGGTGAATAGATTGGTCTAATAAAGCCAACATTGCTATTTAGATAAGTTTATTTTGCCACCTTTATAGGGTGGGCCCATCTTCTTAGAATTGCCCTCTACTCTATCCCTCTGGCATAGAAACACATCCAAGGATTATAGCCTGCACACAGTAGGCCCACTCACAAAGTTCTTGATTTGAGAAAGCAGTATGATTTCCTCTCAATTTTTCTCCTCTGTTTCCAGGGAGCCAATATCTGCAGATCATTTCTTCCAAATATCAATCATTCAAATAATCTCAAATAATTATTTCATTAACTATTCCCTGGGGTAAGAAGAGTTGGGGATGTTCTGGTCGAGAAGGGGGATCATCTGCTTTACTGGCTTCCAGAAGAAAACAAAAAGAACAAAGAATTTGCCAATTGTAGAGAGTTATTTATAAAAGACTCTAAATCAGTGATTTCCAAGTGAAGCATTTACTTGACTAACTGCTTGCCAGTGCTCCATTTCCTGGCCACCCTCAACTGCAGTCCAATAACGCCTTTCCATTGCAGAGCAATTCCATGCAGTTCCTACCCCAGTCCTAACTTTGGGAAGGTGCTCACTAAAACCCTAACTCCTAGCTGCATGTGAAGCCTGGAATTAGCAGTGCACTTGAGATCTGACATCGAGGCTGCCTGGAGTGAACTCTATGCACCCGTGGCTTGAGCTGCTATCAGCTCTTCACTCTCCTCCCAGTGTTAGGCTGTGGTCTTGAGAAAGTCCCTTAACATCTCTATCATTTTGAGCCTCATCTCTAATAAAAACAAAATATATCTAAGGTCCTAAAAGTTGATTACTTCTTATTTACCTTTTCATATTTATGAAATGAGAATTCACCATATAGTCAAATATAATTAAAGAAGTATCTCTTCATTATCCCAATGCCAAAAACTATCATTAACTCAGTATATATCCTTTAAAATGAGAAAATATAATAATGACAGAGTACTTGACAGACAAATATGAGTGTACAGAGTAGCCTAGTAATTTAACACCCTTTCAAACAAACGATCTTTAAATATGTACAGGCACTTATTTTGTGAAGTTAAGGAAGTGAATGAGTTTCTTATGGCTGGTGGCTTGAGATTCAGAGACTTGCAACTTCTATGTGCTGATAGTAAAACTATCCAACCAAGATATATCAGTGCTGGCAAGAACCTTTGTTTTTTTTTTTTCTTTTCCTCTTTAGCATTCTTTCTGTTACAAGAATGTACTAGAGAGGGTCCTAAAACAACCTCCAGGACTTCCATTCCCTGGGGTACATGCCCTGTATAATCCTCATAAGTGGGGGTGGTCTGTTAATAGGTTGATATGTTGCTCCCTTGAGAACATGATGTTATATGGCTAGAGGAAGATCATGCTGGGTGGGCCTGATCTTATCTGATGAGCCCTTTAAAATCAGAGCATTTTCTCTGGGTTGTTTGCAGAAGACAGGCAAAGAGACACATTAACCCTCACATGGATGAAAACAAAAATCCATGTTGTGAACTGTCTATGGGGCCCATATGGCAAAAACCTGCTGCCAGTGTCTAGTTGCTGAGAGTGGTACCGAGCTGACAGCTTGCAAGGAAATGAGGACCTAAATCTAAACTGTGAGGAACTGAGTTCTAACATGAATTCAATAGTGATCTTGAAAGAGGACCCTAAGCCCCAGATGAGATCACAGCCCTAGCTGACACCTATTTCAGTCTGGTGAGAGTCTGAGCAGACAGTCTGGTCGTGCCATGCCTATACTTAAAACCTACAGGTACTAGGAGATGTTAAATGTGTGTTAAGTTGTTAAATTTGTGGTAATTTATAACACTAACACAGAACAGAAATTTACATTTTTCAGTCATACAAAGACTCATGTGTAGGAAATTAAGTTAGCTAGAACCTAGTGATGTTTTAGCCTTTCAGGATCCACATTTGTAAAGATTCTCATCTCATTTGGCCTGCTTCTTTGTCTCACTCAAATATTTTATTAGTACCTTAGAGAATATAAAGTCTGACAAGGGTTGAGCTAGGAATTTCCTATGGTTCCTTATCTATAGGGATTTTGGAAAATAATGTCTACGGTTTCTTTCAACCCAAATATCATAGGATGATATTGTAATATTTATGAGATTAGTATAGTTAATGTCAATATGACTTAGCTACAAGTACACAAAAATAAAAGATAAATTTGGAACACTGTATATATAGAGAGAATTAATGTTTATTTGGTGCTTATTATGTGACAGTGTGTTTACTATATGCATTAATTCACTTAATCCTCACAACACCCTATAGAATAGATGCTATTGTTGTCTTCATTTATAGATGGGTAAACAAATGTGTGAATGTACAATATAAATTGACCAGCATCTCCCAACCAGTAAAGCGTAGAGCCAGGATTAAAATCCAGGGCTGTCTGATTTCAAAGCATGAATATTTTCATTACATTCATGAACACTTATAAAATGTATAGAATGGACTTAAAATGCAGTATTTTGAAAAAGTGATTTTTCAGGGGAGATTGTTCTATTCTTACTTTAATATGTCATAGTTTCCAAATGTATGCAGTGAATGAAATAAAATAATATGTAAACCCCAGAAATAATTCTAAATGATTTTATTTTTTCCATAGTTCAATTCATTCCTAAATAATTTTTACTTTCTCCCTCTTAGTTCCCAAGTAGGCACATTAGTAAAATATCTGGGTACATATAAAACCTTTCATTTTAATTAACGTTTTTCAAAATGTTCTAATGTGTGAAATCACATCTTTTTAGGAAAAAAGTAAATATTTCCTCTTATTTTTCTTTTATGGGTTTACTAAGATATTTGGGGTTTTATTAGTAAGTTCACCTTCCTTTTCTTTTCTTAAAGTTAAAAAATAGGGCCTAAAGAATAGTTTTTGACACTGAATAAAACACCTAAATAATAAGAACATCAATAAGTTTGGAATGCAGTTACAATAAGGGGTAAGAAGCAATTGCTCAAATAAATGTGTATTTTTTTCTGGACCTGAAATTGTTGTATTAAGATGATAATTTGATGCATACTATAATTTAGGGTTTAAAGGAAGTGATGGTTTTACAGATGTACATGTATTCTCTGAATTTATAAACACTTAAACAATATAGGCACCACAGTGATAGAAAACAGGTGTGCTGGTACAAAAATGCAGCCATCACGTGGCGTATTGTCAAGTACTGAATAGTCTTTTGGACCCTTGAAATTTCTTTTAGTATAAGCAAACTAAAACTAAAGTTACAAAATAACCATCACTTGTCAAAAAGAGAAACGTAAATTATTCTAGGTGTATTTTATTTTTAAGAATCCACATCACTGCCACTATCTGAAAACTACTCTATTTATGCATCAATGGAATATTTGTCCCTTTCCTTTGAGACACTATTGGCTGGCAGCCTCTGCATTGGAGAATGGATAAATTGGTTTTAGCTCCACTCTGGTGGTTAGATATGGAACTTAGGCCAGATAGTTATACTGATGTCTTTAATTATGTGGTTTTTAAAATTCTTTTTTTTTTTTTGCCCTCTGAGGAATTAATGTAATTATCATTCACAGTTGGTTTCTTCCTTTTCGTGTTACTTGGGACACTTAGATCTATACTAGGAAAAGTTTTTATAGTGCTTCATTTTAGCTTTTGAAAATGTATCCTTGAACTTTTTAGCTTCCTTCTAGAGGTTGATGACAGTCTTTGATATCATCACCACAGGGCTGGTGAAGAACCAATCTTGGGTCTGGGAGTCAGGCAGAGTTTGAATTAGAGTTCTTCTGCCTATCAGCTGAGAGACTGGGGACAAAACCATTGTCTTATTGTATTCAGCTTTCTCCCTTGTTGATTAGACATAACAATACCTTCCTGATAGGATTGGGATGAAGTTTAAATTGTTTGTTATGTGATAGTTCCTGTTATATAGGAAATGCTCATGAATTTAGTTTCTTTTTCTTCTGTGTTGTGAGGTGGGCCATGTGGTCAGGCATTGTTTTGCATTTCATTTTCTATGGTATGTCTGTGAATATGTATTCGTACGCCCACCTCATAATAATTGTTCCACAGTATGAAGGAGATTAGTATATCATTTATTTCTTGAATGAACAGACCACAAACAATGAACTTCTGTTTTATGAATAATTCTTTGTACCTCAACATCTCTGGGAGCTGTAATGTAGCCAGTTGCTATTGCTGGGCGGGGGAGAGGACTTTTTTCTCATTGCTGCCATCTAAGAGAAGTGTTTCTGCTTTTGTAAATTCTGTCATGGAAAAGCCAGCCTTTCATAAACTGGCCTGTAAAATTAAGTACGATGTATAATATTATTTCCATGAAAAACTGTATTTTAAGTATCTACTGACATAGGACAAATTTTATGCAGAACCACTCATATTTAAAGCACTTTACTTTGTAAAATGAGTACATATATTTTTGCAAACTTAATATATATCTGCAGTGCAATGCTTCTACTTTTTAAAAATTGATAGAAAAGGCCTGGGAATTATGAAAGGGAAATTAAAGCTTAATAAAATATAACTTTTTTCCTCGGAAAAACTAAGGTGAGTTCTCTTTTTACTGCAAATGCTATGTTTCTTGTTTTCTTAAATACATGCTATACTTATAGCTCAATGTTGCTATAGATTAGAAGAACCCTTTTGTCATTTAAATAAAACACATACCCTGGTTCTTAACATTATGGACATTTTTTATGATAGTATAATTACAAAGACAGATGTTTCTTAAATCACTTTTTTTCATTTCTTCTTTGTTTTTCAAATTTATTTAATCTCCAACACTTGACTTAACTCAGTCTTTATAAGAGTTGAAGTAGTTCACAAAAGCCTCTTTAATTAAATAGAGTGACACACAGGAGTGACAACGAGAGAAAGCTGGACAAATCAGGTTACTCCAGGGAGGTAAATGTGAGTAATATAATGTTGATCTCAGGCAAGGAGCAGGACACAGTGGGAAATGACCTGGATTGGACGGCAGGGCTCTGGCATTGCAACTCCAACTAACAGCCTGTGCATCTTTGCACAGCTGTTTCTTAGAATCTTCATCTATGCTCTGAGAGATGAATTAGGCAAACCTGTGAGCCTTCCACTTCTATAAACTGTATGAGCAGGCAAACTATATATAGCCATTAAGACCTGTGGTATCTTTTTCTTCAGGCATTTTTGGAGTTGCCTGTGCCATGGGGTGATAGAGACACATTACAATGAAATATGCAGTATATGGCACTATTTGTGATTATTTAGAAATGGCATTTGCTTTAGAATTTGGGTCTTTGGGAAACAAAGTGGTTTTTAACTGCTTGTAGTCTAACTGCAGATGAGAGAAAAGTGAGTGAAGAAGTTAGGTTGATTTTCTTAATAAAATAAAAATTAGGCTTAGATCTAAAAATTTTAAAAAGCTATCTCCATTTTTAGGTCTGTATTTCACTAAAAGATGCTTATATGACTTCAGATTTAAGAAAAATTTTAAAGAGAAAAAGATAAACTTAGTGGATTGTATCATTAGCTGATTAAAGAAAATGTTAACTGAAACATCATCATCAAGCATATGGACTGATCTAATTAGTTGATTACTAATTCAGATTTAGTGCTGAGTACCTTTACTTTGAACATCAATTTCAGTTTAATAGGAAGTTCTTCCTGCTTCTCGGTCATCATAGAAAACAAAGCTTGGCAATTGGGCAATTAAAAAAAATGAATGAATGAATATTAGATTAAGGCCTTTCCTGACATTCATTTCCGAGTGCCAAAAAATGTTGTTCAAGGCATATTCATTACAGAACAGGAAGCTACTTCTCCTTTCCAAACAATATGGCACCTTTCAGTCATAAAAATCTCCCTCATTCATGTCCATATTGTCGTCTTTTAGCAAAAGTAAGTGCCTGACCCAATGCTCTATTCTGTAGACAGACAAATAAGATACAGCACCTTTTTTTTTTAAATTGCAATGTTTTGGACAAGTAAGTCACATTAGTAATCTACTGTGATTAATGATGAAAGAAAGTGGGCATTTCTGATTATAATGGGAGAACAGAGGAAACAGATAACCTAGTTTTTTGAAGTAGTGTAGCGTTAGAGAAGGCTGGACTGTATTAGAATAAGGGGAAATGGAAGGACTTCTTTTTGCCTTTTTCACTTACTTTATCCAATTTTTAAAAGGGTAATATCACTACCTAGCTCTATTTTCAATGTCTTTCCCATTTCATCAAGGTTCTTTCTCTTCCCCCAAACCCTCTCATCTCTTTTCCTCTAGAGGCCAATAATACTATCCTGACACTGACAATGGCCTGGAGGTCTACTGGTTAATAATCTCATTAATTCTCATGACACCTGTTCAGAAAAAATAATATATAAATGTCAATCATTACTGCAATTTAACATATGGAAAACTTGAGTCAAAAAGAATGACACAGATTTGCCCAGGGTTACACAGACAATGGAGGAACCAGGATGGGAATGGAAGAAACTCCAGAACTGGCTCCTCAGACAAACACTTCATAGTGTAAACAGTCATCTTGGGCTTCATTAATAGGCTTGTTATTGGAATAGAAAATGTTACCTTCGCCTAGAAAGATAACTATATGTGTGTTCCAGGATAATGCAGCATAAACTTAAAAATCAGCATTTTAAAGATTCAAATGTATTAAATATTGGATATTTTGGGTTTTTTGCACCTATTATCATTCAATAAAGTTGTAATATTGGGAAACAAAAATTCAATTCTTGCATTGAATCTATGGGAATGTGTGTGTGTGTGTGTGTGTGTGTGTGTGTGTATTATGTTTAGTCTGATTGCCATGGCAGTTTGAATGCTTGACTAATCTATAGAGATCAGTAGTAATTAACATGACAGACAAAAGGAGCAAATGTAGTCCATTTATGCCTCCAGCTGAACTAATTTTACTGTTAAGCATGAATCTAATATCCATAAATAGCGACTAGTTAGTCAGAATTATTGAAGTCACAATTATATTTGTAGTATTGCAGTAAAGGTAAGAATTGCCTAGCTTCACTAAGACTATGGGTTTTGTTGTTAAGAATAATGTTGATAAAGATAATGAAAATATTGACTGTGGATAAAATTTTGCTAGGAAAGTTAGTGTTTAACAATACCTAAAGTTTGAACTCAGCCTTTCTGATAAATGTTAATGATTATTTGGCACAACAGGAATTCAGTCAAGAAAATGATTATGAGTTTTATAGAACAGTTGAAAACAGGAACTTTATACAATATACATCTATATGTTTATAAACTTTATCTCTTTCTCTCCAAATATTAAATCAACTTGTTTTTGGCTAAAATGAAACAAACAGAACATTAGTTTAAAGTAATTTGGACTAGCTCAAATTTTGATAGCACCAGGTAAATTGAAGATTTGGAAATTTCATCCCAGTGCGTGTTTATAATCTCTTAGTCATTGTGATGTTATTAAACTATTGGAAGATAAATTTTGCCATGTCACATCTAGATTGGCAGAGAAATGCAGAAACAGCAGCAAAATTGATCCTACATCAACATATCCCTTATTGTAAGAGCCTGATACATGTGAAGAGATACTTGAAAAAATGCTGGATAGAACTGCGTGATCTATTCAGATTATACTTTCCTCAAATCAATATCGTGAAAATGACCATACTGCCCAAGGTAATTTATAGATTTAATGCCATCCCCAAGAAGCTATCAATGACTTTTTTCACAGAATTTGAAAAAAACTACTTTAAAGTTCACATGGAACCCAAAAAGAGCCCGCATTGCCAAGAAAATCCTAAGCAAAAAGAACAAAGCTGGAGGCATCACGCTGCCTGACTTCAAACTATACTACAAGGCTACAGTAACCAAAACAGCATGGTACTGGTACCAAAACAGAGATATAGACCAATGGAACAGAAGAGAGCCCTCAGAAATAATACTACACATCTACAACCATCTGATCTTTGATAAACCTGACAAAAACAAGAAATGGGGAAAGGATTCCCTATTTCATAAATGGTGCTGGGAAAACTGGCTAGCCATATGTAGAAAGCTGAAACTGGATCCCTTCCTTACACCTTATACAAAAATTAATTCAAGATGGATTAAAGACTTAAATGTTAGACCTAAAACCATAAAAACCCTAGAAGAAAACCTAGGCAATACCATTCAGGACATAGGCATAGGCAAGGACTTCATGTCTAAAACAACAAAAACAATGGCAACAAAAGCCAAAATTGACAAATGGGATCTAATTAAACTAAAGAGCTTCTGCACAGCAAAAGAAACTACCATCAGAGTGAACAGGCAACCTACAGAATGGGAGAAAATTTTTGCAATCTACCCATCTGACAAAGGGCTAATATCCAGAATCTACAAAGAACTTAAACAAATTTACAAGAAAAAAACAAGCAACCCCATCAAAAAGTGGGCAAAGAATATGAACAGACACTTCTCAAAATAAATAAGACATTTATGCAGCCACAGACACATGAAAAAATGCTCATCATCACTGGTCATCAGAGAAATGCAAATCAAAACCACAATGAGATACCATCTCACACCAGTTAGAATGGCGATCATTAAAAAGTCAGGAAACAACAGGTGCTGGAGAGGATGTGGAGAAATAGGAACACTTTTACACTGTTGGTGGGACTATAAACTGGTTCAACCATTGTGGAAGACAGCGTGGCGATTCCTCAAGGATCTAGACCTAGAAATACCATTTGACCCTGCCATCTCATTACTGGGTATATACCCAAAGGATTATAAATCATGCTGCTATAAAGACACATGCATACATATGTTTATTGCGGCACTATTCACAATAGCAAAGACTTGGAACCAACCCAAGTGTCCATCAATGATAGACAGGATTAAGAAAATGTGGCACATATACACCATGGAATACTATGCAGCCATAAGAAAGGATGAGTTCATGTCCCTTGCAGGGACATGGATGAAGCTGAAAACCATCATTCTGAGCAAACTCTCACAAGGACAGAAAACAAAACACCACATGTTCTCACTCATAGGTGGGAATCGAACAATGAGAACACATGGACACAGGAAGGGTAACATCACACACTGGGGCCTGTTGTGGGGTGGGGGAAGAGGGGAGGGATAGCATTAGGAGATATACGTAACGTAAATGACGAGTTAATGGGTGCAGCACACCAACATGGCACATGTATACATATGTAACAAACCCGCACGTTGTGCACATGTACCCTAGAACTTAAAGTATAATAATTTAAAAAAAAGATTATACTTTCCTCACTGAATGAACATGATATCCTTATCAAAAATCATTTGACCATATAGGTAAAGCTTTATTTCTGGGCTCTCTATTCTATTCTATTGTTTTATTTATCTGTTTTACACCAATACCACACTGTTTTGAATACTGTAGCTTTATACCAGGCCCTGAAATCAGGAAATGTGAGTCCTGTAGGTCTATTTTTTTAAAGATTGTTTTGGCTATTCAAGATCCCTTGATTTTCCATATGAATTTTTGGATAGGTTTTTCTATTTCTGCAAAACAAAATGTACTTGGGATTTTAATAAGAATTCCACTGAATCTGTAAATCCCTTTGGGTAGTAATGATGTCTTAACAAGATTGAGTCTTCCAACCCATGAATTCAAGATGTGTTTCCATTTACTTATGTCGTCTTCATTTCAGCATTTTTTGTTGTTTTCATTGTACAAGTCTTTCATCTCCTTGGTTAAGTGAATTCCTAAGTATTTTCTTCATTTTGATATTATTGTAAATGGAATTATTTTCTTAATTTCCTTTACAGAATGTCCATTGTTAATGTATATAAAGACAATTTTTATGTGCTAACTTTATATCCTGCTACTTTGGTCAATTCATTAATTCAAACAATTTGTATTAATCTTTAGTTTTTAATGTATACGATTACATCTGGAAACAAAATAATTTTACTTCCTTTCCAAGTGGGATCATTTTTATGTATTTCTCATGCCTAACTGCTCTGGCTAAAACTTCCACAACTATGTTAAATAGAAGTGGAGAAAGAGAATCTTTACTTTGCTCTTGATCTTGGAGAAAAGCTTTCAGTCTTTCACTACTGAGTACTAGGTTGGCTGTGTGTTTTGTTTTTTAATATATATCGGTTTTATTATGTTGAGATAGTTTCCTTCTTTTCCTAGTTTGTTGAGTGTTTTTATCATGAAATTGTGTTGAATTTTGTCAAGTGCTTTTTTGTTATGTTTGTTTATTTTACTTATTTATTTATTTATTACATGGATAAGTTCTTGTGGCGATTTCTGAGATTTTGGTGCACCTGTCACCTGGGCAGTGTACACTGTACCTAATGTGTAGTCTTTTATCCTTCAGTCCCTTCCAAACATTCCCCGAGTCCCCAAAGTCCATTGTGTCATTTTTATGCCTGTGTGTTTTCATAGCTTAGCTCCCACTTATAAATGAGAACATACAATGTTTGGTTTCCATTTCTGAGTAGTTCCACTTAGAATTATGGTCTCCAATTCCAACCAGCTTACTGCAAATGCCATTATTTTGTTTCTTTTTATGGCTGAGTAGTATTCCATGGTGTGTGTGTGTGTGTGTGTGTGTGTGTGTGTGTGTGTGTATACATATATATGTATATGTATATGTGTGTGTGTATATATAGATATATCACATTTTCTTTATCCACTCATTGATTGATGGGCATTTGTGCTGGTTCCATATTTTTGCAATTGCAAATTGTGCTGCTATAAACATGTGTGTGTATGTGTGTGTGTTTTTTTTTTTTTTTTTTTTCATATAATGACTTATTTTCCTCTGGGTTGATACCCAGTAGTGGGATTGCTGGATCAAATAGTAGATCTAATTTAGGTTCTTTAAGAAACCTCTATACTGTTTTCCATAATGGCTGTGTTAGTTCACATTATCACCAGGAGTGCAAAAGTGTTCCTTTTTCACCACATCCATGCCAACATCTATAATTTTTTTTTATTTTTAAATTATGACCATTCTTGCAGGTGTAAGTTGGTATTGCATTGTGGTTTTGATTTGCATTTCCCTGATCATTAGTGATATTGGGCATTTTTTCATATGTTTGTTGGCCATTTGTGTATCTTCTTTTGAGAAGTTTCTGTTCATGTCCTTAGCCCACTTTTTGATAGGATTTTTTTTTTCTGATTTGTTTAAGTTACTTATAGATTCTAAATTTAGTCCTTTGCTGGATGCATAATTTGTGAAGATTTCCTCCCACTCTGTGGGTTGCCTGTTTACTCTGCTGATTGTTTCTTTTGCTGTACAGAAGCTTTTAAGTTTAATTAAGTCTCATCTATTTATCTTTGTTTTTGTTGCATTTGCTTTTGGGTTCTTGGTCATGAGGTCTTTGCCTAAGCTGATGTTTGTAAGTGTTTTTCTGATGTTATCTTATAGAATTTTCATGGCTTTCATCTTAGATTTAAGTCTTTGATCCATCTCGAGTTCATTTTTTTATCAGGTAAGAGATGAGGATCCAGTTTCATTCTTCTACATGGGGCTTGCCATTTATTCCAGCACCATTTGTTGAGTAGGGTATCCTTTCCCTACTTTATGTTTTTGTTTACTTTGTCGAAGATCAGTTGGCTGTAAGTATTTGGCTTTATTTCTGAGTTCTCTATTGTGTTCCATTAGTCTATGTGCCTATTTTTATACCAGTACCATCATGTTTTGGTGACTATAGCCTTATAGTATAGTTTGAAGTCGGGTAATGTGATGCCTCCAGATTTGTTCTTTTTGCTTAGTCTTACTTTGGCTATGTGGGCTCTCTTTTTGTTCCATATGAAGTTTAGAAATGTTTTTTCTAGTTCTGTAAAGAATGATGATGGTATTTGATGGGAATTGCATTGCATTTGTAGATTGCATTTCGCAGTATGGTCATTTTCACAATATTGATTCTACCCATCCATGAGCATGGGATGTGTTTCCATTTGTTTGTGCCATCTATGACTTCTTTCAGCAGTGTTTTGTGGTTTTCCTTGTAGAGGTCTTTCACCTACTTGTTAGGTGTATTCCTAAGTATTTTAATTGTTTTTGCAGCTATTGTAAAAGGGGTTGAGTTTTTTATTTGATTCTTGGCTGATCACTGTTTGTGTATAGGTGTTACTGATTTGTATACATTGATTTTATATCCTGAAACTTTATTGAACTCATTTATCAGATTTAGGAGCTTTTTGGATGAGCCTTTAAGGTTTTCTTTTTTTTTTTTGAGACAAAGTCTCACTCTGTTATCCAGGCTGGAGTGCAGTGGGATGATCTTGACTCACTGCAACCTCTGTCCCCTGGGTTCAAGCAATTTTTCTGCCTCAGCCTCCCCAGTAGCTGGGATTACAGCCACCTGCCACTGCACCTTGCTAATTTGTGTATTTCTAGTAGAGATGGGGTTTCACCATGTTGGCCAGGCTGGTCTCAAACTTGTGACCTCAGGTGATCCACCCATCTCTGCCTCCCAAAGTGCTGGGATTACAGGTGTGAGCCACTGTGCCAGGCCTAGGGTTTTCTAGGTATACGATCATGTCGTCAGTGAACAGCAACAGTTTGACTTATTCTTTACCGATTTGGATGTCCTTTATTTTTTTCTCTTATCTGATTGCTCTGGATAGGACATCCAGTGCTATGTTGAATAGAAGTGGTGAAAGTGGGCATTCTTGTCTTGTTCCAGTTTTCAGAGGAAATGTTTTAACTTCTCCCCACTCAATATAATGTTGGCTGTGGGTTTGACATAGATGGCTTTTATTACCTTAAGATATGTCCCTTATATGCTTATTTTGCTGAGGGTTTTAATCATAAAGCGATGCTAGATTTTGTCAAATGTTTGCTTTTTGCGTCTATTGAGATGATCATGTGATTTTTGTTATTAATTCTGTTTATGTGGTGTATCACATTTATTGAGTTGAATAAGTTAAACCATCCCTGCATCCTTGGCATGTCACCCACTCGATCATGGGGTATTATCTTTTTGATATGCTGTTGGATTCTGTTAGCTAGTAGTTTGTTGAGTATTTTTGCATCTGTTTTCATCAGGGATATTGGTCTGTAGTTTTCTTCATTATGTACTCTCCTGGTTTTGGTATTAAGGCAATACTGGTGTCACAGGATAATTTAGGGAGGACTTCCTCTTTCTCTAGCCTTTGGAATAGTTTCAATAGGATTGGTACCAATTCTTCCTTGAATGTCTGATATAATTCAGCTGTGAGTCAATCTAGTCCTGACCTTTTTTGGTTGGCATTTTTAAAATTACAGTTTCAGTCTCACTGCTTGTTATTGGTCTGTTTAGAGTTTCTATATCTTCCGAGTTTAATCTAGGACAGTTGTATATTCCCAGGAATTTATCCATCTCCTCTGGGTTTTCTAGTTTGTGCATGTAAAGGTATTCATAGTAGCCTTGAATGATCTTTTCTATTTCTGTGGTATTGGTTGTAATATCTCTCATTTCATTGCTAATTGAGCTTATTTGGATCTTCTTTCTTCTTTTCTGGATTAATCTCACTAATGGTCTATCAATTTTGTTTATCTTTTCAAAGAACCAGCTTATTGTTTCACTTATCTTTTGTATTGTTATTTTTGTTTTAATTTCATTTAGTTCTGCTCTGATCTTTGTTATTTCTCTTCTTCTGCTGGGTTTTGGTTAGGTTTGTTCTTGTTTCTCTAGTTCCTTGAGGTGTGACATTAGATTGTCAATTTGTACTCTTTTAGACTTTCTGATGTAGGCCTTTAAGGCTATGAACTTTCTTCTTAGCACTGTTGCTGTATCCCAGAGGTTTTGATAAGTATTGTCACTATTATCATTCAGTTCAAAAAAAATTTTTAATGTTCATTTTGATTTCATTGTTGACCCAATGATCATCCAGGAGCAGGTTATTTAGTTTACATGTGTTCGCATGTTTTTCAGGGTCCCTCTTGGAGTTGATTTCCAGTTTTATTTCACTATGGTCTGAGAGAGTACTTGCTATAATTTCTATTTTCTAAAATTTATTGAGTCTTGTTTTGCGGCCTATCATATGGTCTATCTTGGAGAATGTTCCATTTGCTGATGAATAAAATGCATATCCTGTAGTTGTTGGGTAGAATTTTCTGTAAATATCCGTTAGGTTCATTTGTTCTAGGATATAGTTAAAGTTCATTGTTTCTCTGTTGACTTTGTGTCTTGATGACCTGTCCAGTGTTGTCAGTGGAGTGTTGAAGTCCCTCACTATTATTGTTTTGCTGTCTATCTGATTTCTCAGATCTCATAGTAATTGTTTCATAAATTTGGGAGCTCCAGTGTTAGGTGCATATATATTTAGGATTGTGAAATTTTCCTGTTGGACAAGGCCTTTTATCATTATATAATGTCCCTCTTTGTCTTCTTTAACCATTGTTGCTTTAAAGTCTATTTTTATCTGATTTAAGGATAACTACTCTTCATTTTTGGTGTCCATTTTCATGGAATATCTATTTCCACCCATTTGCCTTAAGTTTATGTGAGTCCTTATGTGTTAGGTGAGTCTCTTGAAGACAGCAGACACTTGGTTGGTGAATTCTTATCCATTCTACCATTCTGTATGTTGTTAGTGGAGCATTTAGGTCATTTACAGTCAAGGTTAGTACTGAGATGTGAGGTACTGCTCTATTCATTGTGCTAGTTGTTGCTTGAATACCTTGTTTGTTTGTATTTTCATTCTATGATTGTTTTGTAGGTCCTGTGAGATTTATCCTTTAAGGAGGTTGCGTTTTGTTGTATTTTGAGGTTTTGCTTCAAGATTTAGAACTCATTTTAGCAGTTCTTGTAGTGCTGACTTGGTAGTGGTGAATTCTCTCAGCTTTTGTCTGAAAAAGACTTCTTCTTTCTTGCATTTAGGAAGCTTAGTTTTGCTGGATACACAATTCTTTGCTAATAACTGTTTTTTTAAGGAGGCTAAAGGTAGGAGCTCAATCTAACTGTTTTGTTTAAGGAGGCTAAAGATAGGAGCCCAATCCCATCTAGCTTGTAGGGTTTCTGCTGAGAAATCTGTTAATCACATAGGTTTTCCTTTATAGGTTACCTGGTGCTTTGGCCTCACAGATCTTAATATTCTTTCCTTCATCTTGATTTTAGATAACCTGATGACTATGTGCTTAGGTGATAATATTTTTGCAACGAATTTCTCGGGTGTTCTTTGAGCTTCTTGTATTTGGATGTCTACGTCTCTAGCAAGACCAGCGAAGTGTTCCTTAATTATTTCCCCAATAAGTTTTCCAAACTTTAGATTTCTCTTCTTTCTTAGGAACACCATTTATTAAGTTTGGTTGTTCAACATAATCCCAAACTTTTTGGATGCTTTGTTCATTGTTTTGTATTCTTTCTTCCTTGTCTTTGTTGGATTGGGCTAATTAGAAAGCCTTGTCTTTGAGCTCTGCACTTCTTTCTTCTACCTGTTCAATTCTATTGAAACTTTCCAGGGTATTTTCCATTTCCCGAAGTGTGTTTCATTTCCAGAAGTTGTGATTGTTTTTTATTTATGCTATTTCTCTGGGGATTTTTTTCATCCATCTCCTGTATTTTTTTTTTAATTTCTTTAAGTTGGTTTTCACCTTTCTCTGGTGCCTCCTTGAGTAGACTAATAACTGTCTGAATCCTTTTTCTGGCAACTAAGAGATTTTGTCTTGGTTTGGATTCATTGCTGGTGAGATAGTGTGATCTTTTAGGGGTGTTAAAAAACCTTGTTTTGTCATATTACCAGAATTGTTTTTCTGGTTCCTTCCCATTTGGGTAGACTATGTCAGAAGACAGATCTGGGACTCAAGGGCTTCTGTTGAGGTTTTTTTTTTCTCACATGGTGTTCCCTTGATGTGGTGTGCTTTGATCAAGGGCTTTTCTTTGTTGGGAGACATTTGATTATTGATGCAATCTCCTTACTAATCTATTTAGTTGTTTTATTTCTTTGTGATTTATCCTGAGTGAGTTTGGTGTTAGAATTTGTTCATTTCATCTAGGTTATCTAATTTGTTAGCAAGTAATTTTCAACTGTATCCTTATATAATCCTTTTTGTTTTTGTAAAGTTGGTCATAATGCCTCCGCTTTCATTTCTGATATTAATAAATTCAAGTCTTTTCTCGTTTTTTTCTAACCCATCTATCTAAAGGATTGCCAATTTTGTTAACCTTTTCAAATTACCAATTTTTTGTTTGTTTCTCTCTATTGTCTTTCTATTACCTATTTCATTTATCTATGACATAATCTTTTTTATTTCCTTCTTTTGCTTCTTTTGGGTTTAGTTTGTTTTTTTTTTCTAGTTCTTTCAGTTGTAACATTAGATTTTTGATTTGAGATCTTTCTTCTTTTTAATGTCTTCATAGGTATAAATTTGTCCTTTAGCAATGCTTTTGCTGCATCCTGTAAGTTTTAGTATGTTGCATATTTTTTTCATTCATCTCTACGTATTTTTTAACTTCTCCTGTAAATTTTGTTGATCCAGTAGTTGAGTTTGTTGTTTAATTTTCACAAATTTGTGAATATTGAAGTTCTGTTGCCTATTATAACTTCATTTCCTGTGGTCATGGAAGATACTTTGACATTTTTCTTTTAAATCCATTGAGACTTAATTTTTGGTCTACCATATGGTCTCTTCTGAAAAGTGTGCTATGTTCAGTTGAGAATAATGTATATGCTATTGTTATTGGGTAGAAAGTTCCATATATGTGTGTTAAATCTACTTGGTTTATTGTATTGTTTAAATCCTCTATTTCTCTACTGATCTTCTGTTTGGTTGTTCTATCTATTACTGAGAGTAGGCATTAAGGTCTTCAAATATTATTTTAGAATTGTCTATTTCTCTTTTTAATTCTGCTGGTTTTTTGTTTATATATTTTATGGTCTCTTTTTAGCTGTGTAAATGTTTATAATTGTTGCATCTCCTTGCTGTATCAACCCTTTTATTAATGTATAATTTAATTCTTTGTTATAAATATTTACTGATAAAACATCTATTTTATTTCTAATATTAGTTATGACATCCCTGCTGTCTTTTGGTTAATATTATTATATAATTTTTTAAAATTCTTTCACTTTCAACCTATTTGTGTCTTTGGATCTAAGTTTCTTGTGCACAGTAGATAGTTGGATCATGTGTTTTTATACCTTCTGCTAATCTCTGTCTTTTGACTGAAGATATTAATCCATTTACATTTAAAGTAGTTACATATGTGAAGGGACTTCTGTCATTTTGCTAATTATTTTTTATATGCTTTATAGCTTTTTGTATCTTCCTGTATTATTGTCTCCTTTTTTACTTAGTCGATTTTTTTGTAATGAGATGCTTAAATTCTTTTTTTATTTCTTTCTGTGTATAGTCCATAGCTATTTTCTTTGTGGGTAGCATGGGGATTATCTTTCACATCCTAAAGTTATAACACTCTAATTTGAATTTGTGCCAGCTTAAATTCAGTAACATATAAAACTCTGCTCCTTTACAACTAAATCCCTACCTTGTGTGGTTGTTGGCATCATAAAATTACATCTTTATACACTGTGTGTGTGAAAACACAAGCTAATAATTATTTAAAATGTATTAGTCTCTTAAATTATGTAAAAACAAAATGTGGAGTTCCATGTAAAGTTACAATAATACTACTAGCTTTCAGATTAATAATTTTTAAATGTATTACTTTCAGTTATGTAGACAAGAAAAAGTGAAGCTATAAACTATTGTTCTAATATTCTAGCTTTTATTATTGTCCATGAATTTATCTTCACTGAGGTCTTTATATCTTCATACATCTTTGATTTTCTGTCTGGTATCCTTGCATGTCACCCTGCTGGAATCCCTTGAGCATTTTTCCCGCAAGGCAGCTCTAATGGTAACAAACTCTCACAGCCTTTGTTTTCTGGGAATGTCTTAATTTCACCCACACTTTTCAAGGTCAGTATTGCCAAATATAGAATTCTTTATTGACATTTTTTTTTCTCTTTTAGCATTTTTAACAAATCAGCCCACTGCCTTCTGGCATCTAAAGTTTCTGATGACAAAATTGCTTGTATTCTTACTGAGGATCCCATGTATGTGACAAGTTGCTTCTCTCTTGCTGCTTTTAAGATTATCTTTTTCTGATTGGCTTTCAAAAGTTTGATTATAATATATCTCAGTGTGGGCTTTATTCAGTTCATCACACTTGGAATTCATTCAGCTTCTCAGATACTTATATTTGTATTTTTCAACAACTTAGAAAATTTTCAGCCATTATTTGTTCAAATATTTTCTCTGATGCTTTCTTTCTCTCTTCTCCTCCTAGGGCCCTAAAAATGCATACGTTGGTCCACTGATGGTGTCCCACAGGTTGCTCAGGCTCTGTTTACATTTCTTCAATCTTTTTTTATTCCTTTTATTCCTCAGACTTGGCAATTTCTATTGTCCTATCATCAACTTTGCAGATTCTTTATTCTGTCTGCTCAGATCTGTCTTTGAATCTCTCTAGTGAATTTTAAAATTTCAGTTATTGTACTTTTCAGCTCCAGAATTTCTTTTTGGTTTATTTTTAGGTTTTGTATCTATTTATATTTCCATTTTGTCCATATATTATTTCTTTGACTTTCTCCACATATTTCTTTAGTTCTTTGAGTATTTTTAAGACAGTTGTTTAAAGTCTTTGTCTAATATATTTCCCATCATGTCTTTTTCAGGGACAGTTTCTTTGGATTTGTTTTTTTTTCCTTTAAGTGGTCCGTACTTTTTTGTTTCTTTGTAATATTTTGTTGTTGTTGTTGTTGTTGTTGTTGTTGCAAACTGGATATCTAAATCTAATATGTAGTAACTCTGGAAATCAAATTATCCTCCTTCCCTAGGATTTGTTCTTTTGTTGTTGTTGTTTTTATTGTTATTTCTTGATTGTTGTAGGCTGTCCATATGCCAAGGATCAGTCTTAAGTCTTCTTACGTCATTTCTGAGCCTTTCCCTAGACATGTGCAGTCATGTTCTAACTTTCTCTGCATATGCAGCTGTTTTGAATGTCCTAGTCTTTAATGTCTGACACCCAAAAGGGAAGAAGAAAAAAATCAAGGAGGAAGGGAATAAGTCCTTTAAATTACTGAGAGTGACTTCAGCTTGGGGGGGATGACTTGCAGCAATGTGGGAAGGTACATCAACATAGCCACTAATTCCTTTCCCCTCTGTGTTCACAAGCAGCAATCAGTGAGCAGAGATCAGATCCCTAGTATTTGTGGAACAGGATCTTTTATGCTTACCCTGGCTCCCACAAGTTGTATGCAAGTTGCTCCAAGAATATGTGCACCACTACCTGCTGCATAGCTGAGAGGTGGGAAATTTATATCTGCTACTGTGCTAAGAGCTGAAATTTACCAAAAGTATCCACAATTTACTCTCTGAGACTTCCTATGGAAGTTTCGAACCTTCGGTAGACTCTAGAGATCCAAAATAGTAGAGGTCCTCAATCATCGTGGCCTGTTAGGAACAGGGCTGCCCAGCAGGAGGTGAGTGGCCAGCAAACAAGCATTGTCACCTGTGCTCCACATCCTGTCAGAGCAGCAGTGGTATTAAATTCATATGGGAGCTTGAACCCTACTGTGAACTGTGCATGCAAGGGATCTAGTTTGTGCATTCCTTATGATAATCTAATGCCTGATGATCTATCATTGTATCCTGTCACTCCCAGATGGAACAATCTAGTTGCTGAGAAACAGGCTTAGGGCTCCTACTGATTCAACATTGTAGTGAGCTGTCTACTTATTTCATTATATATTACAATGTAATAATAATAGAAATAAAGTGTACCATAAACATAATGTGATCGGGTTATCCTGAAACCATCCCCCACCCTGGTCTGTGGAAAAATTGTCTTCCATGAAACCAGCCCCTGGTGCCAAAAAGATTGGGGACCACTGTCAAATAGTTACATCAGCAGATTATGCCAGTGCAATTGTTGGCTGGGTAAGAAGACCGATTCTGGGTGCTTCCTACTTTGCCATCTTCCCAGAATCCTCTGCTGATGGTTAATTAATTCCTGACTATGGTGCCAAAGCAAATCAATGGGGAAAGAAAAGTCTTACATAAATTATGCAAGGACAACTTGGTATCCACCTGTAAAAGAATAAAATTAAACTTTTACTTCAAACCACATATGAAGATTAATTCAAAATAAATAAAAAATTTAAATGTAATAGTAAAAATTATAAAACTCTAATAGAAAATGTAGGCATAAATCTTCATTAACTTGGATAAGACAATGATTTCTTAGATAAGACACCAAAAAGTACAAGAATGTGACAAAAGATAATTAACTGGATTTAATCAAAATTAAAAACATTTGTGTTTTAGAGATTACCATTAAGACAATGAGAAGATAATCCACAGACTGAAAGAAAATATTTGCCAATCATATACCTGATAGAATCTAGTAGCAAGGATATATAAAGAACTATCACAACATAAATTTTAAAAGGCAGCCTAATTTAAATCTGGTCATAGCACTTGAATAGATATGTCTACAAAGAAGATATGCAAATGGTCAACAAGCACATGAAAAGATGCTCAATATCATTAGGTTAATGAAAAACAAAACAATAATGAAGTTCAATTTTACAGCTACTAATGTGGCTAAATTAAAAATATAATAAGTCTTGATGATTATATGGATAAGTTGGAAGTCTTTGGAAAACAGTTGTATAGTTCCTAGAAACCTAAACAGTGATGGACTATATAATCCAGTTCCTGGTATTTCACTTGTGGGTATGTACCTCTCCAAATGGTAAATTATGTTCACAAAATTATTGTACATGAATGTTCATAGCAGTAGTATTTATGGTAGCCATATTGAAATGGAAACAATACAAATAATGCACCCAAATAATGAATAGAGAAACAAATATATATGCCTGTGCAGTGGAATATTATTCAGGCATTCAAAAGAATAAAGTATGGATACATGCCATGACATGTATAAATCTTGAAAACACTGTGCTTGCTATGGGAAAGAAACCAGGCACAAAAGGTCATATAATGTACGAGTCTATTTACACAAAATGTCCAGAGTAGGCAAATCTATTGAGACAGAAAATAGACTAGTATTTGCTAAGGAATGAGAGAAGCAGGGAAAAGAGAGAGACTGCTAAAGGGCATAGGGTTTCTTTTTAGGGTGATGAAAATGTCTCAGAATTATAGAGTGGGGATGAAAACTTAGTGAATATACTAAAAACCACTGAATTCTACACTTCAAAAGTAAGAATTGTATGGTATGTAAATTATATATCAACAATACAATAATAATGAATAGGCACCACAGTAATGCATTCAAAGCAAGACTCTAACAATTTGCTACAACATCTGAAGTTCTATTAATCAGAGTTAAAGACAAATGTTAAGATATAAACATTATCTAAAAGGAGTAAACCTTTCTTCAAATTAAATTACCAGTTTCCTGAGACCAATAAAAGATTCTGGGGATGAGGGAAAGCTGAAGTTTCAGAGCCTGAGACAATGTCTCCTATGGGGGGGCACAGAAGTAAAAAACTCCCGGTCACCTATGAACAGCATAAAAAACCTGTCATCTTTTGGTAGTGAGAGAGATTAACTAAAGGATATAGGAGAAATCTGAAAAAAGGTGAACCAAAAGAATGGAAGAGAGTACACTAGAAAATCACATCGAAAGTTTGCTCAGACCTAACCCTGATCATAAGTATAATCCTCACAAAGCTATTACATTTATATTTTAATAGAAAATGGTTTTTAAAATTTTTTTGTATTGTATTCCCCTTTAAGTATTACAAACATCACAAAGCCCATTTAGTTGGACTCATTGTAAGTTTATGTCCTCTAACATTGTCTCAGGTCCTGCAAACAGATCTTTAACCTTAGGTGTGTTAAAATGGTAGAATAATTACACAGGTATAAAAGCTAAGTTAAAAGAAATTCATCATAACGTTCAGTTCATGAAAAATTGTTTTGTCTCTACCTACAAAGCTTAGATGCTTATCAGGGGAAGCTTGAAGTGAAAATTTCCCTGGGCTGTTAATTCATCATGAGTTACACTAATTCATATCATACTCCTATGTCCAATATACAGTAGAAATATTATTTTAGAGTTATACTCTTACAAAGAAACATGTACTTAGAGAAATGAACTTTTAAGTCATGTCTACAATGACTGTAAATTGTATGAAATTTTTTTATTGTATCCATGGGCTATCTTAATTAACATTCTGCAAAAAGTAATACCAGGTCACTGCCCTTGGCATAGTCATAAAGACTGTGTTCTCCCAGCAAGAACTAAACATTTTTTTTTTTTTGATAAGATTTTTTTTGGCTAGATAGTCACAGCCTAACAGGGCAAGCCTGTTGAACAATTAGTTAAGTCATCCCAAGGATGGCAGCTGAATATTAGAGGAGGGAATATTTTACTTGAGTTCAAATAAGCCAATATTTGTCAAACGTACTAGCCCTTACCCCGATCTTAATAAAAAAAAAAAAAATCCCTGCTCTACAGAAGCAGCCACCAAATATTTCCTTACAGAAGCAACCACATCTATAATTCTCATGATAGGTATCCTTTCCAATAACCTGTCCTCCAGACAATGAACAATAATAAACACTATTCATCAATTTTCATCCTTAATACTAATGGCCATAGTAATAAAACTAGGAATAGCCCCCTTTCACTTCTGAGTCCCAGAGGTAACCCAAGGAACCTCTCTAATGTCTGGCATACTTCTCCTCACATGACAAAAACTAGCCTCTATCTTGATTATGTTTCAAATTTTCCCATCAACAAACACGAACATTCTCTTATCTACCACAATCCTATCCATTATAGTGGGCGGTTGAGGAGGACGTAACCAAATACATCTGCGTAAATTCCTAGCTTACTCCTCAATCACTCACATAAGTTGAATAATAGCAGTACTAATCTATAATCCAAACATTACCATTCTAAACCTGATTATTTACTTTATCTTAAAGTAAATAATTTTACTTACACTCAACCTGAGTGTAAGCACCACAAGCCTGTCACTATCTTACACCTGAAACAAATTAACATGGTTGCTACCTATAATTCCACTAATTTTACTATCCCTAGGAGGTTTACCTCCATTAACAGAGTTCCTGCCTAAATGAATCATCATCCAAGAATTGACAAAAAGCAACAGCCTTATTACCCCAACCATTATAGCTACCATAACCCTACTCAACCTGTACTTTTACATAAACCTAATTTATTCCATCTCAGTGACACTATTCCCCACAACTAATAATATGAAAATAAAATGACAATTCGAAAATACAAAACCCATAGTACTCTTCCCCCAACTTGTCATCTCTTCTGACATCCTCTTACCCATCTCTCCATTAATACTAACTGTAACTTAGAAATTTAGGTTAAATAAGACGAAGGGCCTTCAACGCCCTTAGTAAGTAAATTACACTTAATTTCTATAACAGATCTAAGGACTGCAAGACTCTGTTCTGCATCAATTGAACACAAATCAACCACTTTAATTAAGCTAAGCCCTTGCTAGATTGATGGAATTCAAACCCACGAAAATGCAGTTAACAGCTAAACACCCTCATCAACTGGCTTCAATCTCCTTCTCCCACCGTTGGGGGAGAAAGGCCGGAGAAGCTCCTGCAGGACTGAAGATGCTCCTTTGAATTTGCAATTCAACATGAGAAATCACCTCAGGGCTGGTAAAAAGGCCTTGACCTCTGTCTTTAGATTTATAGTCTAATGCTTACTCAGCCATTTTACCTTTTTTCCCCACTTATGTTCATCAATCGTTGATTGTTTTCAACTAACCACAAAGATACCGGAACACTATACCTGCTATTTGCCGCATAGGCAGGGATAGCAGGCACCGCCTTAAGCCTTCTAATTCGAGCAGAATTAGGCCAGCCGGGAACTCTGCTAGGAGATGATCAGATCTACAATGTTATTGTTACCGCCCTCACATCCGTTATAATCTTTTTTATGGTAATACCAATCATGATTGGGGGTTTCGGCAACTGGCTAGTCCCTCTGGTAATTGGTGCACCCAATATGGCATTCCCCGAGATAAATAATATGAGCTTCTGACTTCTCCCCCAATCTTTTCTACTCCTACTTGCATCCTCAATAGTAGAAGCCTGCGCTGGAACCGGCTGAACACTTTATCCCCCTTTAGCAGGAAACCTAGCACATTTAGGAGCCTCTGTGTATCTGACCATCTTCTCCCTCCACTTGGCAGGTGTTTCGTCTATTTTAGGGGCCATTAACTTCATTACCACAATTATTAACATAAAACCCCCAGCCTTATCTCAGTATCACACACCCCTTTTCGTCTGATCAGTCCATTATGGCAGTCCTTCTACTCTTTCCCTCCCAGACCCAGCCGCCGGCATTACTATACTGTTAACTGACGGTAACCTCAACACTACTTTTTTTGACCCCGCTGGCGGGTGTGACCCTATCTTGTACCAACATTTATTCTGATTCTTTGGTCACCCTGAAGTCCATATCCTTATCCTACCAGGCTTCAGGATAATCTCCCACATCGTAACGTATTTTCTGGAAAACAGGAATCATTTGGATATGGGCATACTATGAGCCATGATATCAATTGGTTTCTTAGGATTTATCGTATGGGCTCACCATATATTTACGGTAGGAACAGACATAGACACACGGGCATAATTCACCTCTGCTACCATAATTATTGCTATCCCTACTGGCTTCAAGGTCTTTAGCTGATTAGCTACACTGCACAGTGATTACATCAAACAATCTCCCGAAATATTCTGAGCCCTAGGATTCATTTTCCTTTTCACAGTAGGAGGCTTAACCGGCATACTAGCTAATACATCACATTGTCAAATAAGCCAATATTTAATATGGTACTATATATAAAAATGTCCCTGACATATACAAAGCTTCCTCCTTCCTTCCTCCTTCCCTCTCTTCCTTCCTTCCTCCCTCCCTTCCTTCCTTCCTCCCTCCCTTCCTTCCTTCATCCCTTCCTTCCTTCTTTTCCATTTTTTTCTTCCTTCCTTTCTCCCTCTTTCCTTCCCTTTGTCTTTTTTTTCTGTCCAACTACTTCCTAAACCAGTCTTGTCACATTACTATTAAGAATACTTTGTTGGAAGTGTCATTGCCATTATCTGTTTCCTAAGGAGACATGGGCTACGATATAAAGATTCTTTAGAGTGCAGTTTCCAAGAGTAAAGCCATCCAGTAGAACTTCCGCAATAACAGGAATGTTCTAAATCGGCACTGTTGCAACCGCTGAACATTTGAAGTGAGGCTAGTGCAAACAATGGCCTGAAATATTTTTTATTTTACTTCATTTTAATCAACTAATTATTTACATATGGTTAGTGACTACCATGTTGAACAGCATCCATTTGAAATTTTCTTTTAACCTTAAATATTTAAGTCAATGCTATATATATATATATATATATATATTTGCTTTCTCTAGATACCTATAGAAATATACATCTATATATGCTCTCTATATAGATATATATACTCTATATATATACTATATATGTACACTATATAGAGTATATACTCTATATACTCTATATATACTCTCTATATACACATATACTCTAAGAGTATATGTACTCTTATATATAGTACTCTATATAGAGTATATACTCTATATACTATATATATATATATATATATATATATATACACTCTATCAACACTAAGGACTACTATAGTTGTGTTAAAAAGAGCAGAGGTGTAATTACTTAGAATATAAAAGTGAGTTCATTCAGGAGACAGCAGATGTGAACCTGCGGATAGGAATAAAATAAATTGCATAAGTTCTGTCTAGCCATTTAATTCCCTTTCAATTTGATAGTTAAAAATTCTCCACTTGCAGACAAATTTAGATTATATGTGCTACAGGTGGTCTTTATATTTCTGATCTGTGGAAGTTGAAAGTTGAACAAAATTCTGCGGATAACCTCAGAAAGGTTGAATTATGCGATTAAACGTGGCAGAATCCATGTAGAACTAATTCCAACTTGAGGAGGGCCTGTCAAGGACAGCCTTAGATTGGGCAGATTTTCTCACCTCAGATGACAATTTAAATCCTTTGGAGCCTATCTTTGAACAAAAATGTTTTGAATACTCCTAGGAACCTTGTTAATACAAAGGCTGAGAAAACATATGCTGAGCAAATGAGACCCTGCTGCCTGTTAACTATTTGGAAGTGCGCGTTTTTTTTGTTTTGTTTTGTTTTTGTTTTTGTTTTTACAATGTATGCTGCAAAACAATGGTGAGAATTTAGAGAGATTCTCTAGAAAAGATGAAAAACAGCAGGTGAATATTTAATCTCCACAGCAAGCTAAAGATCTTAATTATGAAGCTCCTCAAATCCTTAGACTAGACTACATATGTTATGGATTTGGGTAGACATCAGCCCAACTCTGTCCTTCTCTTCCTCCCTCCTTGCTTTTATTTGAATCAAAGCATTGTATTTCAAAATAGGACATTTGACATTTTACTAGTGACTGTTTTCTCTTGTTTTGTAATAGTCTCCCCCAAACAGTTTTAGCTACATTGAGAAAATTTTCTCTCAACCTTGCAATTAATATAAAAATTTCTTCTGAAACTTCTACCACACAGCACTCCAAACAGTGATGATTAATAAATAGAATCTGGCACCCAGCAGCACTGTGAAGATGTGACTAATCCATCATCTCATCCGGAAGCATTGTGTGGCTGTATTGAGAAAATATATAGCTGCTGGCTATTAAAATACTCTTTGGAATTTAAAAAAATCAATATTGTAAATTATTTTACTCAATGTGCAGCCTTTATAACTGAGACATATTCAGTATAAAAGCTTCAGAAGGAGCGAAAGTAAAATAAATAAACATTTTCTGAAGACCTTTTTTGTTTCACACATCATGCACATGTTGTATATTTAATTATATCTACAAACCATTAAATTGATATTATTAAGCACTTTAATGGATGAAAAAAGAAGTCTCAAAATAATTAATAAATGTGCTCTAAATCAAGAAGCTCTTTAATACCAGAGTTAGAATAAGAGCCTATGTTTGGTTCTATGGGTCAACAGTAAGTGTGGAACAGAAAAGGGTGAGTTCAGTTGCCGATAAATTTGTCTATGGCCAAATATTTCTGTAGCTACTAACCTGAATGGGCCCTTTCCAGCTGCTCTGATTACTCTTGTCACAGTCCTATAGTGAGCTCTGGATCATTTCTCTGGACCCGAGGTGAGCAATGTTATTAGTCATTGTTCTATTGGTGTATTAACACTAACATCCCAACTGACACATCATTCACTGTGATCAAAAAGAAAAAAGGAAATTTTCTCCAAACAAAAATGCTACTTGAATATGGTAAAAATACTAAATACAGTTTCAACTACTGAGAACAAAACAAATGGTATAACATTTTATTGGTATTTACCTAGCTTTCTAGAAATGCATTCAAAAAAGAATATAGGAAAATCTTAAAAAAAATAATTTCAAGATCCAAACTGCCATTCAGATTTCTTTAAGCCTATCATCCCTTTTTTAAATAATCATACATGACCTTTATCATCTTTTGTTTGGTTTCTATAAGCTGAAATAGAACTTAAAATACTACCTAACTTGCCTTACAATTGTATCTAGTTTCGACTATTAGAATGTGGGCCTCCAGAAGACAGGAAACATATATTTAATATCTTGTATTTCTTAAAGTACTTAGATATGTACTCATAAGAATTCAATAAAGAATTGATTAAAGCTCATATTTTTAATTCAAATAAGTATTTTCTGAGACCCAAATAATTGTTTAGGACTCTAATAAGTGACAAGTTGTTCATAAGCAACATATCCACATATTTACTGACCTGGGGGTAAATATTTGTAACATACTATCAAAGATACCCATAGAGTTTAGAAAATGAATATAATCACTTTAGACTTTCCATTGCAGTAGAACTCTTGATCTGGCATCAACAATTTGAAGCATAGGAAGGGAATGTAAAAATTGTTTTATAAAAGGACAGGGTACAAAACTGAATTTGTGTTTATTTTTTATAACTGAAGATCTCATATGAGATAATCAAATTGTATCATTCTCAAAGTGAACTGATTTGTGTTCCCCGTTAGAGGGATAAAAAAAAATTAAGGAGTAATTGCTGCATAATGATGAATTATTTGCTCTGGATTCTGCTTAACTGAATTACCTGATTTTCTTTTTTCTTCTCGTGCTGTAGCACATCTAACCCAAGTCACTGGGAGAAGAGTCCAACAGGACTAAATTAGGATATATTAATATACTATAATGTGTATTACATAATATACATTAATTTATCTGTATATTTGTATGTATACATCTGTGTGTGTATGTGCGTGTGTGTATGTATCTCACCATCTTTTTTTAAGAGGTTGAATTTTTTTTTCACTTGACTTTATTTTCTAGAAATTTTTATTTTTTTTCTGCTGAAATAAGGCATTAATTTAAATAGATTAGAAATGCTCAGTGACATGTTACACAGTTTGATGACCATTGATAACAGACTGAGGACTGGTGGATTTCTTTTCTATTGGCCACTACTTAATGTTTTAATGGTAATACATTGAGTCATGCAATGAAATCAATATAAAATAGATAAAAATAATTACATTACTAGTTTAGCCACTTGAAATATTTGAAGAATAAATTATGTAATACCTAAAATTGCACAGCTGATTGACACTTTACTCTTCAAAAGTAAAATACTCATTACTTATTGCTGTGTAACAAATCATCATCAAAATGTGGTTTGAAACAATAACAACCATTTATAATCACTCACAGTTTGGTGAATTAGGAATTCAGTAGTGGCTCATCTGGCAGTTGTGCCTCAATGTCTATTGGCCTGCAGTTATCAGAAGACTTGACTGGAGCTATAGGACCTACTTCCAATGTGGCTTATTCCAGGACCAGCAAGTTGGTGCTGGCTATTGGCTGAGAACCACAGTTTCTTTTCGTATAGATCTCTCCACAGGCCTACTTGAGTATTCTCTTGACATGATGGCTTGCTCCCCCTAGAACAAGTGATCCAAAAGACCAAGGCAGTAGTTGTAATGCCTTTTAGGACCTAGTCTTGGAAATCATACGTCATCAATTCCACTGCATTCTGTTGGCCATTCAGGAAAAATCCTGCTTTAAAGAGGGAGGGCAAAGAGACCAGAAGAAATCACTGAGGGTCATAATGGATGCTGGTTACAACAGTGAAACAGTTCTTTGATTTTTTATGGCAAACTCTCTAAAATGTGTTATTCATGTTCCTGCCATGGAAAATGTTATGCTTCCAAAAAGGTAACCTTTCTTTTTCATGAGGTAAAGATATAATTAACATTAGTGTAATATCATACTGTAGAACAATGAAGATTTCAGAGATAATTGAGGTATGAAGGGACAAGTGGTCCTTCATGGAATAGTCAAAAGAGGTATGCTCTTTAATTGATAGGCCTTTGTTATATGGCCCTAATATCAGGAGGGTGTTTAAGTGTGCCCTTTCACTAAACATCCCCAAACTAAATTTCTGTTTTTGTTAACACATTTTCTTCTCTTTTCCCCAGTGGCAATTTTTGTTCTTTAATGTCACTTTATATGAATATCAGTGGTTCCGTATCTTGCCACTTCTGTTGTTTCTGTTTGCACTGCTAGCAGTTACTTCTCCAGAGTTTCTATTTTTGCTACTCTTTTCATGTCACTTAAACCAAGAATATGCAGGAATTAAAATTTCTAACTCTAGTTCTGGGCCATAACCATCTTAACTGTCCAATCAAATGCTAACTTTTGTCATCTTTAAGTTATTAATTATTTTCATTTGCATAAAACAATTTAAAGTTAGAATTATATTATGTAACCATTATGTTAAAGAAGCTTAACCTTCAAGGTGCAATAAGAAAACAGCTTAATCCTACTCCTTCCTTTCCCACTGGTACTACCTGTTCAAATTAACTTTATAGGGCCAATTACCACCTTTAGATGAGCCCCAGGCATGACTTCTGTGGTTACTGTCAGATAATAAAAAATATCCTCCAGTATCTTTGAGTCACCAACTACAGGTATAATGCCCATTCCACAATAATGACCAACTCTGAATTCATTTAAAATGAAAGCTTCCCTTCTCTATCAACTCAACGTAGCTCTAAGTAGAAATTTTACAATAGGAAAAAAGGACCATATGATTCACTTCTTTCCTGTTTCCCTAGCTGGTACTTCTCTCCTCTCCAGCTTGTCAAAAGGTTTTTCCCTGGGGTCATGGAACAAGAAGTAAGGGGCAGTAAGAGGTAGGAAATGTCTTCCTGATTTGTACTCTCCTGATCTGGTGCCAGGTTTATCTTAGCTAGGCTTTATTTAAAGATAATTCTTCCCTTTCCTGTACTTTGGTGGGTTCGTGGGCTACCCTCCTTCACTGATGTGACAGACCAAGTAATAATCAAAGATGTCCACATTCTGATCTGTAGAACCTGGGAATGGGTTATAAAACATGGCAAAACTCATTTTGCAGATGTAATTAAATTAAGGATCTTGAGATGGAGAGATTATCCTGGATTTTCTCAGTGGGCCCACTGCCATCCTAAGGGTTTATATAGAAAGACAAGAGAGGAAAGGCCTAAACACAGAAGCTTGTGTGACTATGGGAAAAAGACAGAGAAAAATGTGAGGATGCTATGCTGCTGGCATTAAAGATGGAAGAAGCCACAGTCAAGGAATGAAGGTGACTGTTCAGAGCTGCAAAAGCCAAAGAAACAGATTATTCTCCTGGAGACCCCAGAAGGAACACAGCTTGACCACAACTTGATCTCAGACTTTTGACCCCCAGAACTGCAAAAGAAAAAAAATGTGTGTTATTTTAAGCCACTAAAATTGTGGTAACTTGTTACAGCAGTAATAGGAAATGAACACAACTGAGAATCCCTGAACTGCAATTGCTCTGACGCAGATGAATGAATATCCAGAAGATTTCTGAGGATTCCTGCCTTGGCCCTTGAGCAAGCTTTACTATACCATCAGGCTTTTTTTACTGAGGCCTCCTAACCTTTTGAGGTGGCCCACTTGGGTAAGATTTAAAACAATACTAAGGAGACTCTCTAGCTTTATACCCACCCAAAACACAGGCCCACTGAAGATGGAAGTGAAGTGACTTTTTACCTACAATTTTCTGCTCTGTTTCCACAGCCTGATTCAGTGACCTTCTTGTCCTTCACCTTTCTCCAGTGTGGGTCTCTCACTAGTCCACTGCGTCCCCCATGCACTACGGAACTTGCATCAGAGCATCCCTTACCAGATGTAAGGTAAAAATAAGGAAATTATCTCCCTTCCATCACTGACAACTTCCAAAAGAGTTGTGGAATTTAGTTAAATCATAACTTCTGTCTCAGTCTCTTCAATCTCAGCTTAAAAGAAAAAATTTACAATACCTGTTTTTAGTATGTGTGATCTAGTCCCTTACTTTAGAATATGAAAATCCTTGCCAACTCTTTTCTTGGAAATATAACTGAAATTGAGACATAAAGAGTTGCATTGTTACATTCTGTTCTGATGATTAAGTCATCTATATGGGATCAGCTTACAAGAAAACCAAAGAAAGCAAAATAACTCATAAAACAAACAAATAACAAACAATTCCACCCCCTCCCCCACAAAATTAAAAAGCAGTCTTTGGTCTCTATCACTATGCTGAGATTATTATTCTTTTTAAATATACAATTCTAAAATAAGTCAGTGATCTGATTTTCCAAACCACTTTATATTGGTGTGACAAGCTAAAGAGAGCAGGTCTGACCATCAGGGATAAATAAAAGGATGAGAAATAATAGCCTGTTACAGTTCGTCTGTCGAAGGGAAAGCATTTTTTAAAAGTAAGCAAACACAAAAATAATAAGAGCTACTGTGCACATTAGCATCATAATGATGACACTGAGTAACATTCATAATGATGGTCATAATGATGACATGGAGTCACGTTCAAGAAAAAAAATCAAATGCTATAGCCTAACTTTACAAACACAAGAGGCTATAGATTTTATTTTAGAAAGAAAAACACAATAAAAATGTCTAAAACTAAAATGTACAAAATCTTATAGTTTATATCATTTCTTTTTTAATCCTTCATGAACCTATTTGCCACCAGAAGGGGTGAGGCAGTAGCAACAAGAATAGTTAACAACTATTGAATAATTTATCTATGTGCCAGGAAAAGATATAAATACTATACGTATATGATTTCATTCATTCCTAACCACAACGCTGTTGAGGAAATTGGGGCTTAGAAAGATTGAGTAACTTAGCAAATCTCATGACTAATAAGTGGTAGGGACCAAAATCAAAATTAAAGAGGCTGACTTTAAATTTCTTTAACCATAACACAGTACCATCACCCAGGTAGTAGAAATAATGTAATGTGTATCATTATGCATATTTTTAAAGGGAGAATCCTGAAGTATGTAGACAGTAAGTACTTTGCCCCAGGTCATATGACCAGTATACCAGAACAGGAATCAAGACCTTCTGATTTCTGGTTCACTTTTTATCTCACTATACATGTCTCTTTGACCTATATGAAGAATGCTCTATTCCTTAATCATTGAGATACATCAAATTCTTCTGTAGCTCTAGCAAGATAATATGTTTATTAATTAACTAGAATATTTTCCCCTTAATTTCTACTACACCAGGACACTTTCTTACTTAAGGCTATGTGACATTTCATTGCTTCAAAAGATTTATTCACAAGAAAACCAGAGAAGAGTCAGATCCTTTGCTGTCATTGTCAAGAGCAGTAGTCCAGCTGTAAAATAATAATAATGAAAAAATTTTAAATTGTTGATCAGCAAGGATCAGTTTTTCTTGTCCCTTGGAAACTAAATAAATGTATCAGAGTCTAAGGAGTCATGGAGGAGAGAGATGTGGAAAGGAAGGAACTGGACCAGGAAGAGGACTAGGAGTCCTAGAACTAGGGGATCTCACATGGATGTCAAGTGAACAGGAGCAGAGCCTGCTCAAGGAATCACCCAGCTCCTAGAAAGCAAGAAGCTCTCTCTGTCAATATCACCAGCAGGCCAGCACTTTGAAGTCCAATGTCCATGTAAGAAAGCCCAGTAAGTCATCAATATCAAAGAGCTGTAATGGTTGTCCTTCCCATTGTGGTCCAGATGGGACCATGAGAACAGCTAGCACATCTCTTATTGATTAATAGGGGTGATGCCTAAGTCAGTAGACTCTGCTCAGGCCCCATTCAAAAACCCCTCATGCCTAAATCCCACTTAAAATGGCTTTTGACACTAAATGCCCTTTCCTCAATGCAAATCCCCACCCAAGGCATAGAATATGCCCCAGGACACCTTGAAAGGAGGTGGCCATGTGGAACAGATGTGCAACTCCACCCCACCTGAACCCCCTCCCACACACACTAAAACAGTAGACTGATGTGAGGCTGAATGGACTCAATCTGAGCTTTTCTTTGAAAGCCCACTAGTAATGAAGCATAAAAATACCCTAACTTGACTTGTTTCTTTGGAATGTTTTATGTGTACTCTTCTCTATTAAACTATTACATCTTCAAGGGTAAGTAGTATAGCTTTATAGCTTTTTATTTTTCATTTCTCTTACATTATTTGTAATATAAGTTTAGAGATAATTAGGAGCTCACTGGATATTTCTGTGACTGGCAGCTTGATTAGAGAACAATCCTGGGATCTATAAAAATGTGCTGACTGTTACGCACATCTCCCCATCTTCTCTCTGTGACCACAACTTTTAAATAAATTAAAAATCTCAACCACTGAAACAGAAATCCATAAGAAGACCACTTTGACTAAATTACTAATGCTTCAGAGTGAGGATTATCCTCTGGGTCCCTAATTCCAAAGCATCTGGTGCTCCAGCTAGAGGAAATCATCCGTTACTCCCACCAGGTATTAATTACCAAGCATCGTCTTCAGCAGAATGTATGTTTTCTGTCTCTCCATTTCCCTTGGTTTTATAGCCAGCTCCTTTTAATTCACCTTTCTTTTTTTAATAGAAAAGGAAAGTCACTTTTAAAATTATTGTTCTAAAGGCTTCTATCTCAGGGTTTTTGTTTTGCTTTTTAATCTTGTTTTTCATCTTTTACAAAGCAATTGGGATTATGTTTTGTACCAACTTGACAAGAATGACATGAGTCTTGCTTTAATTGCAGTAAGCTGGAGAATGTCACTTGATGTGCAGGAGGCTGGAGACAGTCAATGTAAACAGTCACACAGCTAATAAATTTCAGTTTCATTCACTTTTTAAACACTCTCCCACTAAATTCCAAATCAGTCTCTATGCTTTATTCAACTACTGTGACTCCAAAGTGTTCCCTTAGTTTCCAGACCTAAAGAGAGAGCAGTCACAGAGCTTTCATGCTGCTGGAAGGCTGCCCTCATAAGACATCATGCTAAGAGTTCAAATTCTTGAATTTTAAAGCTTTGTAGAAACTTTCAAAATGAATTAAGGAATCGGTTACAGGAACACCAGTTCAGATAGAAGTTAAAATTCTTAGATGGGATGAAGAGTCTGGAGTCACCTTTCCAGCTATATTGCATCTGGCTTTCAGCTCTCATACAAAAAGCACATAAAATGGGTTTAGAATCTCTGGGAACATGTTCTTCCATGAATAAAATGATGTTTTGGGTATATGAAACTTGACTAAAAGACTCTGGGCAAATTCAGTACTTCTTACAAATCAGTTAGAAGGATATATGCCCATCCTGCTTCTTACAGGTTTATCCATACTGGGGAAAAAACAATGAATAATGCAATTACCAAGATATTGACTGAAGTAACTGTAGAAGTAGTGTCCATTTTTGCCATCCAATTAAACTTACAATAAAGTATTTAAGACATATTTGCAAGGAAAGTTGATGTTTACATAACAATGGCCAAGCTGGTTGTCAATATAAACCACATTTCTCTTTATGTTTAAATTTGAGGGCAGAAAATATTGATGCAGAAAGAGATACAGTAAAGAGTCAAAGAGAGCCATAGAAGAAATAATCCTATGTCAGAATAGACGGGCCACTGTTTTAGATATTACATTTTAAGGTAACGTTCTAGGTAGTTGCTGGATCTATTGGCTATTTTAATTCTTCAAATTTGAAGGGTTTCCTTCTCACTATTATTTTTCTGATAGCTTGTTCTGGGCACCAGACATCTTTCATACGCTGGAAGGTTCCCGGGAGAACTCTGGAGCCAATTACATCATCGTGCTCCCAGGAGTGTTGCAACATAAACTTCCATTTACAAATGAGGCCACAGAGTCACCAAGAGGTCAAATGGCACGTTTAGTCTTCATGGAGCATCTCAGCCAAGTTTAACTTTACACAGGCGCCCACATTATCACACTTAAAGCTTTACTCAAGCCCAGAACTCCAAAACTAAACACAAATTACCCAAAATTCACAAAAGATTTCATGGAATTCACTAGGATTACTAACAGAATACTTGCAAAGACTTCAGCAATTTGTTCTGTAAGAAAATACAAATGTATATGGCTATGAGAGATTTATTAATATATCTAATTATTTAATCATTATCCCAGAATAAGGTGTTATACAAAGATGACTTCTAAGCTTCAAAATTTTGTTTTTATTTGAATTATTCTGATAACATTTTTTCTCAAATTAAAATATTTTACCTCTTTAAAGAGATGGAATTAACATAATTCAATTTTATCTTAGTGACTCAAGGTCATTATAATGAGAATCCACAGTGATTCTGCAAGGGGAAATAAAGTGGACTAAATTTCTTAGTTAAAATCAGTCAGTGTTTATTTTAAAATTACTTCATTTAATATCTAAGAGAAATGTGGATTTCAGTAAGTTATTGAAATTAAAGTTAACAACCAGTAGATTTCAAAATAAGATTATCTCTTCAAAAATATTAGGGGAAAAACTTACATAGCATAAAAAGAAAAAAATGCCATGGAAGCATAAGAACTCAATTAAAAACAACATTTTTGTATTATTGTTTATAAAATAAATATATACAGTTAATTTTTTCTGTACATGTAATTAACAAAATAAATGCAAATGGTTAAACTTCTGTGTTAATTCAATGACCATTAGAGTCAAAAGGAAAATTCAAATTTTTGCTGTATTATAAAACAGATTAAACATTTCAATTTAAGTGTCCAGGAAATATTTTAAAAATATGTAATTTATTAGACTGTGACAAGAATTTCATGTTATTTTCATTAAATATAATGGCTTATGTTGTGGGGTGGGGGGAGGGGGGAGCGATAGCATTAGGAGATATACCTAATGTAAATGAGGAGTTGATGGGTACAGCACACCAACATGGCACATGTATACATATGTAACTAACCTGCACGTTGTGAACATGTACCCTAAAACTTAAAATATAATACAAAAAATACGGAATACAGATGTCAAACTCGAAAAAATAAAATAAATAAATAAATAAATGGCTTAAATTTAAAATAACCACAGATCTCATGCATAACTGATAAAGAGTATCATGAGTATATAAAAATCTCTTGTAAATTAATATTAAGGGGACAAACAACCCAACTAAAAAAAATGGACAAAGGTAAAAACAAACACTTTTTTGTCACTGAATATTTGAATAAATGTTCAACCTCATGTGTAATTAAGAAAATGCAATCAAGAATATTATGAGATATAATTTTATATTAATTTGAATGGAAAAATTATGAACTCTAATATTCTAAGGGATGGATTAGATATAGATTGGTGGCATTTGTTCAGGTTTGTTACCTGAATAAAGATAGAGTCACTTTGGGGAACAACTGGAGTATCTAAATTTAACTATTCATATACCCCAAGCTTCAACATTTTTCTTCTAGGTATATAGCAAAGAGAAATTCTTACAAATGCCTTTGAGGAAATATGCATATCAGTGGTCGAGGCAATAATATTCACCATTAAAAACACCTGGACACAAATAAAGTGCCCTTGGCTAAATAAATTGTGCACCTTCTATTACACAAAGGAATATTATTTACACCACTCAAAATAATTAAATACTGCAAAAGCAGGAATAACCTTCCAAATAAAATATTCCAAGCAATATGATACTCATTAGGAAACCCATTATTTAAGAGAGAAAGAGGATAATCAGCACATCAGGCAAATAGTAAACTTAAATTGAGAGAGACGGGTTGGATACTGTAGAACCATATAAATTGGTATAAGGTAATGCCAGATGTCTGCGTTGGATCATAACTTTACTTACTTTCATTTCAATCTCCACCACCCCAATTTTAGATTTTCTCAAGCTAACATATGGAATTTAAAATATCTGGTTGGTGAATCACTGTCAGTGCATTTGGTCTATCCCACTTTATATTCCTTTAGCCCTAATCCCATGCCCTTAAGATCAATTACTATATCTGTTTCCACTTTATTTTAATGTAATAAATAGTCATATATTTCCATGAAAATGGTCTGTGGCAACAAATACTTGGTCATCCAAAGCCTTGCCTCCTGAAAGCATTTGATTGTAGGTGTCTACAAGCAATAATTTTAGTGACTGTTTTACCACTGCAAGCCATGGGCAACCAGTGTCTCCTACACAAATTGAATCAATGTCTTTAAATTTAATCAGTTTGGAGAATTAATTGCAAATAAATCAGAACTAATTAAGAGAACCCGTGCTTAACTTTCTTTTCTCCTGGAATCACTTCCTTTTCACTGAATAAAATCATTACCCTTTCCATGATGGAAGGGGTCCATGAATAAGGCTTATATCATATTGACAGCTCAACATTAGTACTTGTTTTCAGAAGAAGGCATGGATTTACTAAAAAATCCTAAATGTTTGTGCCATGATTCTGCTATTAGGTCTAATAAGAGACTCTATAAAGCATCTCTGTTTATCAGAGACACCTTGTATACTATTGGATCTTCTAAGTCATATAAGACTCAAGTAGAAGAGCAGTTTGGACTTGCTGCAGAACTTTCTCTTGCCCTGGTCTTCTTCAAATCTGGCAGCCATATGTGTTATTCAGTACATGAGTCACATTAGCAGAGAAAAATGTATAAAATGTCTTTTAAATAAAAAAACTCATAAAGCATTGTGCTTCCTTTATAGTGATAGGTAGGCAAAGTACTCAACTTGTCTTTTCCATTGAAGAGAATATTGTGATATGCTTTAGACTACAGAAGTCCACAAACTTCACTGAAGATGAGTTCTTAAATTTTCCTGGGGTATATCTCTGACTTGCTTAGGTCTTACTAAGGCACTTAAGTATCTGATGTTGCTTATTAATCACGTCCAAAGATCCTAATGTCAAAAATATAGTGAACAGTGTGGCATTCTAATGTCAAGATGATCAAGATCAAGAGAATTGTAGACTAGGATTATATTATAGCAGAGGGCAGGATAATTAACACAGCCCTGAGGCAAGACTCTGAAGGTGTGATATTGACCTTGTCAAGTAAAAGTAATCTGCTTATTATGGCTTGTGTAAATTGGTACAGAGGGCAAAGCAATCTCCAGGTCAATTATCTGCATTCCAGATTCTAGGAAACTGGGGTGACTTACTTCAGGATATATGCCACATTTGGTATAGCAGCTATAGTCGGAGTCATTATGTAAATAAGATCATGATAATTCAAGATCAATTTACCTTCCACACAAGAAGAACCAAGATAAATGAGTAGGTGAATTTTTTAAGTCTTTGGTGATGTTACTAAATTCTGCAAACACTCCAGTTATGTGACATTGCTTAAGGTTCACTAATTTGGTAAGGACGGGAAGTACCAAGGACTTCCCACTTGGTACCACTATAACAGCTGAGTGAGGAATTCTTCCCATTGTCAAATCTGTCTACTTGAATATTCAGGAACTGAGAAGGTAATCACAAATTGGGTCAATGAACTTATTGTGCCAACTCTGATTCAAACTTGGGACAATTCCCTATTTATCACATGATCTCCAGTAGCTCCTAATTTGACCAGTAAACTACAGTGGCTTTTTTGGGTTCTCAGTGATCAATGTTAATTAAGACACAAGAAGTCTTATAACCCATATGTTCTTGTTATTTTATTTTCCACAGTGCAAAGTCACTGTACAGTTGTAAGTCCTTTTGAAAGAAGTCTTGATGTAAGAGTTACAATACACAGAATATAGGCTTATAGCAGCATATCAACTCCTCTCCTCAAGAAGATTGCATTAGTCTGTTCTCACACTACTATAAGATACTACCTGAGACTGGGTAATTTATAAACAAAGTAAGTTTAATTGACTCAGAATTCCACATGGCTGGGAAGGCCTCAGGAAATTTACAATCATTGCAGAAGAGGAAGCAAACACCTTCTACACAAGTCAGCGGGGAGAGAAGAAGAGCAAAGGGGAAAGAGCCCCTTTTGAAACCATCGGATCTCATGGGAACTAACTCACTGTCATGAGAACAGCATGGGGGAAGCCGTCCCCATGATCCAATCACCCCTCTCCGTCAAATGTGGGAATTACAATTCAAGAGGAGATTTGAGTGGGCAAAGAGAGCCTAACCATATCAAGGATCTAGCCTTATCTTCAAACAAGGGGTTCTAGATATCTGGACTTGCTTAAGTCTGGAAACTTGGAGAGAGGCTGTGATTCTTAATTGAGATGACTCATATTAGATTTCTAGTCTCTAGTCCTGGAGTTTTACCTGTTTTATACATCAAGTAAGATTTTTGTACACTTCCTAATTACTTCATTCCTAAGGTCACCATGATATTTAGGATACAACATTTTAATGAACCCTTTATTATTGCCCATTCTTGAAATTTAATGCTTTTAGTTGGTCTCTTTAGTCCAGGAATACATTTTCCGTTCTGAAATCAGTGTAATCACTAAATGGCAGGTTAATCATGCCTGCCATCATTTAAAATTTTTTTTTTCTTACCAAGGCAATATTGCATTAAAAAGTAATTAAAATAATATTTGTCAGAAAAGAAAGAACACAATGATCACTTTCACTATTTTTCACTATAGAACTTATCATTTTAAAAATATGCTATTTAATTTTCTTACCTATATATTTTAGGGTTTGTATCCCCCCAACAAACTAATGATTCTCTTCAATATGATAGACATTGTTATCTGTTTTTTTTCATTGCTATATTTCCAGTGACAAAAACAGTGCTTAGCATTAATAATAATAATAGACTTGATAATTGCTGAATGAAAAAATAAATGCATTGTTATATATCCACAGAAAATCAAATAGAATTTATAAAAATATTAAAGTGAATTGTTTTTGAAAAGTGACTGGATATAGCAGAAATATTACAGTATATTTTGAAAAGAATAATAAGGGGCTGAAAACCCTACTACTAGCCCCAGGGGAAACTAGGATGGTGATCTGACTAAAAAAGTTCAAGGGGCAGGTAATAGAACTTTGTAGAAATTGGTACATTTGGTAGAAAGTAGTCAGATTTGCACGTTTTGTACTTAGAACTGAAACATTTTAAAGATAGAACTCATAGAATGTATATGAAACAGTGAAAATGTCTTCGGCTAATGTATTGACTATCAGCAGCATTGACCTCGCTGGTTATCCCATTCCTATATGACGTCATATTAGCTTAGCTTTCTGGACACTACTCTCTCATGTGCTTTACTTGCTGTATTCTCCTTTTCTTTTGGACCTCTTAATTTTGGCATGCTCAAAGATAAGCCCTTGGATCTCTTCTCTTTATCTTCACTCAATCTGAAGGAGTGTCATCTAGGCTTACAGATTTGAATATCATCCATACACTGCTTTCCAGATTCCTCAGTGTTCACTCTTGTCCACTAACCTGAACTCAGTCTTACATATCCAGTGCTAACTTGACATTTCTACTTGTATATCTAATAGGCATCTCAAACTTTACATGTTAAAACAAATTTTTTGATTTTATCTCCAGCTTCAATAAACAAAAGTATGCTCATCACTCCATTTTTCTTTTCCTATTTTTTCTTTCTTCTTCTTCTTCTTCTTTTTTTTTTTTTTTTTTTTTTTTTGAGACAGGTTCTCAATCTGTCACTCAGGCTGAAGTGCAGTGGCATGATCTCAGCTCATTGCAACCACTGCCTCCCAGGCTCTAGTGATCCTCCCACCTTAGCCCCCTGAGTAGCTGGAACTACAAGCACATGCCACCATGCCTGAATAATTTTTGCATTTTTCATAGCGAGGTGATCTCATCATGTGGCCCAGCCTGGTCTCAAACTTATGGGCTCAAGTGATCTGTCCACCTCAGCCTCCCAAAGTGCTGGGATTACAGGCATGAGCTACCACATCCAGCCTCCAATTTTTAATGTTATTATTACCCATCCAGTTGTTTAAGTCAACAAGTGAAAAGGAAGAATAATAATATTTATCCTGATTTGATCACCACATACTGTGCACATGTATCTAAATGTTACATGTACCCCATAAATATGTACAATTATCATGTATCAATTAAAAAAAAACAAAATAATTTTAAAAGTGAAAAAAGAAAAGGAAGAATAAAGATGGAGACATCCTTAGCACTATCTGTTGATTAGACAACCATTCCTATTCTGCCTTTCCACTCCTCTCCATTGTATTTTATTCAAAGAGTAAGAGTGACTTTTTTTAAATTTTATTATTACTATACTTTAAGTTTTAGGGTACATGTGCACATTGTGCAGGTTAGTTACATATGTATACATGTGCCATGCTGGTGTGCTGCACCCATTAACTCGTCATTTAGTATTAGGTATATCTCCTAAAGCTATCCCTCCCCCCTCCCCCCACCCCACAACAGGCCCCAGAGTGTGATGTTACCCTTCCTGTGTCCATGTGTTCTCACTGTTCAATTCCCACCTATGAGTGAGAAGATGCGGTGTTTGGTTTTTTGTCCTTGCGATAGTTTACTGAGAATGATGATTTCCAACTTCATCCATGTCCCTACAAAGGACATGAACTCATCATTTTTTATGGCTGTGTAGTATTCCATGGTGTATATGTGCCACATTTTCTTAATCCAATCTATCATTGTTGGACATTTGGGTTGGTTCCAAGTCTTTGCTATTGTGAATAGTGCCGCAATAAACATACATGTGCATGTGTCTTTATAGCAGCATGATTTTTATAGTCTTTTGGGTATATACCCAGTAATGGGATGTCTGGGTCAAATGGTATTTCTAATTCTAGATCCCTGAGGAATTGCCACACTGACTTCCACAATGGTTGAACTAGTTTACAGTCCCACCAACAGTGTAAAAGTGTTCCTATTTCTCCACATCCTCTCCAGCACCTGTTGTTTCCTGACTTTTTAATGATTGCCATTCTAACTGGTGTGAGATGGTATCTCACTGTGGTTTTGATTTGCATTTCTCTGATGGCCAGTGATGATGAGCATTTTTTCATGTGTTTTTGGCTGCATAAATGTCTTCTTTTGAGAAGTGTCTGTTCATGTCCTTTGCCCACTTTTTGATGGGGTTGTTTGTTTTCAATAACAGACAAACAGAGAGCCAAATCATGAGTGAACCCCCATTCACAATTGCTTCAAAGAGAATAAAATACCTAGGAATCCAACTTACAAGGGACGTGAAGGACCTCTTCAAGGAGAACTACAAACCACTGCTCAATGAAATAAAAGAGGATACAAACAAATGGAAGAACATTACATGCTCATGGGTAGGAAGAATCAATATCGTGAAAATGGCCATACTGCTCAAGGTAATTTATAGATTCAATGCCATCCCCATCAAGCTACCAATGACTTTCTTCACAGAATTGGAAAATACTACTTTAAAGTTCATATGGAACCAAAAAAGAGCCCGCATCGCCAAGTCAATCCTAAGCCAAAAGAACAAAGCTGGAGGCATCACGCTACCTGACTTCAAACTATACTACAAGGCTACAGTAAACAAAACAGCATGGTACTGGTACCAAAACAGAGATATAGATCAATGGAACAGAACAGAGCCCTCAGAAGTAACACCACATATCTACAACTATCTGATCTTTGACAAACCTGAGAAAAACAAGCAATGGGGAAAGGATTCCCTATTTAATAAATGGTGCTGGGAAAACTGGCTAGCCATATGTAGAAAGCTGAAACTGGATCCCTTCCTTACACCTTATACAAAAATTAATTCAAGATGGATTAAAGACTTAAACGTTAGACCTAAAACCATAAAAACCCTAGAAGACAACCTAGGCATTACCATTCAGGACATAGGCATAGGCAAGGACTTCATGTCTAAAACACCAAAAGCAATGGCAACAAAAGCCAAAATTGCCAAATGGGATCTAATTAAACTAAAGAGCTTCTGCACAGCAAAAGAAACTACCATCAGAGTGAACAGGCAACCTACAAAATGGGAGAAAATTTTCGCAACCTACTCATCTGACAAAGGGCTAATATCCAGAATCTACAATGAACTCAAACAAATTTACAGAGTGACTTTTTAAGCCGCATATCAGATTATGTCTAAACTGTTCAAAATTTCTCAATAGAATCTCATCAATTTCAGGCATTTTAACATACTCTCAGAAATTAGAACATGATTTATTACATAGGAGACGCTGGCAAGTGCAAAAAGGCCCTCCAAAGATGTTCTCATCTCAATCCCCAGAATCTGTGGATATGTACCAAGGCAAGAGGGCCAAAATCAGGAAAGAAGATCTGATGAAGGAAACAGGGGTCCTCATTAAACAGAGAGGTTTGAGAACATAATGCTTTTGACTTGAAGATTGAGGAAGGGGCCACAAGCCAAGGAATGCAAGGGGTTTCCAGAAGTTAGAGCAGTCTAGGAAACAGATTTTCCCCTAGATTCTCCAAAAGGAATAGAGACCTGCCAATAGCTTGTCTTAGCCCAGTGAGACCCATGTTAGACCTCTGATCTACGGAACTGTGAGAGAATAAGTTTCTGTTACATTAAGCTACAAAGTTTATGGTAACTTGTTTTATCAGAAATAGTAAGGTAATACAGAATTGCCTAATAAATATTGCAAAGTGATTAAACTAGGTTCTAGTAGAACAAAAGTACTGGAATTGAAGTCATAGAATTAGGGTTTAGTCTCAGCTCTGCCCCATTCACTAAATGATTTTGGAAAAACCCTGGCATTTCTGTAAATTGGAGATCATGTCTCATCTTCTCATATCTCGGAATTATTGGTTGGTGTATTAGTTTCCTATTCCTGATGTAAAATATCACCACAATCTTAGTGGCTCAAGACAACATAAATTTATTTTCTTACAGTTCTGGAGGTCAGATATTCAAACTGTTTTCACTGAATTAAAATCAAAGAATTGGCAGGGCTATGCACCTTTTGGGGGATCCAGGGAAGATTTTGCTTCCCTGCTTTTTCCAGCTTCTAGAGGCCACCTGAATTCCTTGGCTCAGGGCTTCTTCCTCCGTCTTCAAAGCCAGTTGTCTAGGATTTTCAAATCGCTCTGCTTCTATCATCACATTATCTTTTCGGATTCTGACTCTTCCTGCTTCTGTTTATAAAAACCATTGTATCCTGACTAACATGGTGAAACCCCGTCTCTACTAAAAATACCAAAAAAAAAAAAAAAAAAAAAAAAAAAAAAAAAAAAAAATTAGCCGGGCGTGGTGGCAGGTGCCTGTAGTTCCAGCTACTCGGGAGGCTGAGGCAGGAGAATGGCATGAACCCACGAGGCGGAGCTTGTAGTGAGCCGAGATCGCGCCACTGCACTCCAGCCTGGGCGACGAGGGAGACTCCGTCTCAAAAAAAAAAAAAAAAAAACATTGTATTTGCATTGGGCCCACTAAAATCATCCCTGATAACTTTCCCATCTCAAGATCTTTAACTTGATCACAGCTGCAAAATTCATTTTGCCATATAAGGTAATAGATTAACTGGCTTTGGGGGTTAGGTTGTAGATACCTCTGTGGGGGAGCATCGTCTGTCTACCACAGAAGGTAAAGTTAAATAACCTATGGAAAATATCATAAAGCTACTAAAGCATAAGGCAAAACCAGGGTAAAGTATTCTTAGAACAGAAGATTCCAATTTGGTTCACGTAGTAAGAAAAGACATTGAAAAGTCCAGTTTGTAAAACTAAACCCGTACTTTTATATTTATCATTATAGTATAAAAAGATCCCTTTTAACTGGTCAGTCTCTTCTTCATTTCATTGAATGGAGTCCTTTTTTAATCATTCACTTTTAACACATAATACAAAAAGAAGTTATGTGCTTCTCTGAACAAAAGAATTACCTAATTAAAAAACAAATCTAAAAACTAATAACTGTATCATATGCTCTGGGGAGGCAAAGTCACCTATAATGATTGCTGATGGATACTGTACTAGTCTTATTATCTGCCAGATGATCATTTACATTTCAGTGAAAAATATGAACTCTATTAGTAATATCCATATTATAGAGTATTTGAGAATAGTTTCCAGTGATGTCTCATCCAGGGCCCATGTTCTAGTTCTGTAATATTTTCCTACAGGTATATAGTCAAAGAATGGTGAGATTAAACTTCTTGAATCATACCTATACATCATTAATTGGATAACCAAATTGCCAAAATTCACCTGTCTTTGTGAAAAAAGTAAGTGATCCTTATCCACATGTTTTCATTGAAGCCTCACTGGCTGAATACAGAGAATCTTCATGTATAATTATACAATCACCACATTGGAGATATATCACAGTTCAATGCTTCTTGAATATTTGAATCTCCTTTCTCATCACCAAAACTCATGAACAGTTTTAGGTCAGGTAGGAGAGTGATAATTAAACATTTCTGAAGCATCATTACCCAAGCATGTGGAAATTTATTAGGTTCAGTGAGTGGAAGAATACTTTTTATTGATTCAAATGCATCAAGCCAGATGCAATTATATATTCTGAATGTTTTTCAATAGATATTTTTTCTTGGTGCTAGTCAGAGTAATTACTGAGCAAAGTAAAGAGTTGCCCTCTTATTTCAGTAGAGAAAGCCAAGAAGTTTCTGACTCACCAACAAAACTTTACCAAAGGCTTTAAAAATGTTTAATTATCAAAAATTAGTTCCACAATTTATGTTTAGTCATAAGTTTTAAGTCACAAGTTTAACATATTTAGTCATAAGTTTTTTTCTTTTATCTAAATATTGTTTTCTTTATGCTCAGATAATATACTCCTTAAAATGAATCGCCGGAGGAAGAAAATACTTAAAATATGGCCAAAGCTACATTCTCTACCCAAATCCCAAATTTCTGCAAATCATCTCATAAAAAATAATTTTAAAAAACTAGCAGAGTGCACAATCTTTATAAATTACTAGTTCACTCCTTCCTTTTGGCAGGGGAAGGTTAAAAAATGTTTGATATTATGGTTTTGCTTCATGTTATGGGTGATTGCATTGGAATAAAAAATTAAAGTACTTCTTATCAAAATTATAACTAGACAAGGTAAAAGTATCAAGAAACATGAAATATTTGAAAATACTTCTCTGGAATGAACCATATAAGAAAAATCTTTACACGGGCAGAGAAGGCTAGATAAACTAAACGTCATTTCTCAAGATTGATACAAATGAGACTAGCATTTTAATTTGCACAGGAAGAGAGGGATGGGGAAATGAAAACGGATGCAATATGAAAGCAATTCCTTGACATGCTTCAATTGGATTCTTGTCCCTTCTCCCTAACAAAGAGAAAACCACATATTTAAAACAGACACCCTCTCAGAAATGATAATCATATTGCAATCTGGGTTGCCTCATGATGATCTGCTGGTTTCCAGTGAGCCCTGTTCTTAATATGATGGTACCCTTCTCCGATATATATCTTGCTGAGAAATAAAAGAAGGAGTCATCTGTTAAACCGATTTTACAGCACAGAGGTATCTCAGAAGAGCTCATATTCTGAAAGAAAAGACTGAAGAATTGAACATCACTAATAGAAAAGATCTCAGAAACTTGAAGATAAATTATTTGATCCTGAGCCTACCTGCATGTCTACCCTTCATTCTTCCTTTCCCACCTCTTCCCTCCCCTCTCTTTCCCCCTCTTCCTTCTGTGGAGATACAGTATTAGAATAATATATCAAAAAACATAGCTAGTCCTCTTCTGGATTGAAATCAATATTCGTCACTTAATTTAAAGGTGAAAATGAATTTAAGTTATTCTTAAAATGCAAACTTTTTTTGAAAATTCTGTATAAAAGTATTCTTCCTTGAAATTAGATTTCAATGGTAATTAACTCATTTGTAGCAGCAACCTCCAAATTACTTGCAAAACAAATTTAAGTGATTGAGATTACTATGGTGTCTACTTGCTGGAGAAACGTAATCATGAAGTTCGGTAATTTCTATGCTGTGTGTTATTGGAAGCTCTGGTTACCACAGAGATATTTCCAGGCACAGAAATGAGGGAGTTCCGAGTTTCCCCAGTGACGTCAAATGAGCAGCTCTATTTTGTTTCTTGCATACACTGGGCTTCCATGTCAGATTTTATATGAAGAAATGATTCTCTATCTAAAAACATTTTGAACACAAAGTAAACTTGTTTTTCTAGAAAAGGAAACTAGAAAATTCAAAGAAATGACTTTCTCGAAGCTCTGGGGTTTGTTTCTAGTTGCAAAAGGATCTAGGTATTTTGGGGGAGCTTGCAAATATAAAGATATGTCTCATTATTTTCTTTATGAGACCAGTATACATCACAGTTTTTCACCTCTTGAACTATTCATCAGTGGATGAAGGAACCGTAAGTGTTTTCATCTCTACCAACCATTATGTGATCATTTTAAAATCATTATCAGGTAAAGCTCGACCATCCTGATGAAAGTACCTTAAAAGCCAAACATTGCTGCAATAAAAATGACCTTAATCAGCAGTTCTTACCATTTTTCCTCCTCTGACATTTAAGGGATAGATTCAGATTAATGATCAGACAGGATTTCAACATCATGACCAACTGCTATAGACAGAGCAGAGGTGATTGTTCTTGGAGAAGAGTAGTGGATTCTCTGAAAATCATGGGACTTCGGCAAGTGCAGCGGCTTATGCCTGTAATCCTAGCACTCTGGGAGGCTGAGGCTGGAGGATCACTTGAGCCCAGAAGTTTGAGGCCACCCTGGGCAATGCAGTGAGATCTCGGAGATCTAGTCTTTTCTAATAAGTAAATAATAATAATTAGTCAGGTGTAGTGGTGGTCTACCTATAGTCCTAGCTACTGTAGAGACTAATGTGGGAGGATTGCTTGAGCACAGGAGTTTCAGGCTGCAGGGGGTTGTGTCTGTGCCACTGCACTCCAGCCTGGGTGACAGAGACAGACTCTGTCTCAATAAATAAATAAATAACATAACATAACATAACATAAAAAAAAGAAGAAGAGGAAAGAAAAGAAAAAAGAAAATCATTGGGTTTGGCTTTCAAAATTTGACAGTTTCACATATATATTGAAAATGAACAGGAGAGACCATAACCAGCCACACACCAGCAATGATTTTAGGCAATTATGCTGATAATTTAAGCAGGTAACTCACTGTCTGAATTATTTGGATATTGCAAACATCTTTTTAAAACTTGAAATGCTTGCATTACTTCCTTAATTTTTCATTCTTGGCAATAATATACATGAAATGAATACCCTGTAAGTAATTAAATTTCTCACCTTTCAAAGTTTTTTTTTTTTTTTTTTTTTTTTTTGGAGACAGAGTCTTGCACTGTCGCCCAGGCTAGAGCGCAGTGGTGCGATCTCGGCTCACTGCAACCTCCGCCTCCTGGGTTCAAGCGATTCTCCTGCCTCAGCCTCCCGAGTAGTTGGGACTACAGGCACGCGCCACCATGGCCACCTAATTTTTGTATTTTTAGTAGGGACGAGGTTTCTCCTTGTTAGCCAGGATGGTCTCAATCTCTTGACCTCATGATCCACTCGCCTGGGCCTCCCACAGTGCTGGGATTACAGGTGTGAGCCACCAGCACCCGGCTGAAACCTTTCAAAGTTTTTTAGTGGTTCCCATGTAGCTTCCCAACTCAATCACACAAGTGTTTTCAGTTTTTCCTCAAGGCAAATTACTGCCTTGGTGTAAAGGACATCTCTCCCAACCTAAAAGACCCTGGCATGTCAGTACTTAGGGCAGGCTTTTGCATCTCCTACAAGCCTTCCCTGCTGGAAATAATCTAATTTGAAACCAAAATGTTTAGTTTCCTAGAATGGGCCATTAGTTCACAAGTCCTGAGGGTGCTGTGCATCCTCTCAAGCTTTTGTTTGGCAACGTTGTTTGTAATGTTCTTTTCAGGAAAATTAAAGCACAGTTGAAAAGGCATAATTCAGAAATATATTGTTATTCTTTCCAAGGACATTTTCTTTTATTTTATCCATGGTAACAAAACAACAGCAATGTGTTTGCAGAAGTATTTTCCCAAAGGTATTGTTCCCTGTTTGGATCTTTTGCACCAAAGACAAACAAACAAACACCTGTTCTATTTCAGAAACTGCTGTTTCAGAAGAAGCTGATACTGGAGTTTGTCCCCTCTTATACCTTTTGACTTTTCTTCTCCAGTTTTTATGTTATCTATAATATGTATTTACAGGCAAATCAAGACTTCTTACCTAATTTTTCCTTTTAAATTGAAAAAATAACGGGGTGAACTTAAAATTAAGCAAAGAGGAAAACTACCTCCGAAAACTACCATTCTACTAACACAACTATCTGTTTTTTCGTTTCTACACTTGTCCCACTTGCACACTTGATATTTATTGTCATAATCACAGAAAAAATGCAAGGTAGTACTCTGCCTTTTTTTTTTTATCATCTAATAACTTACATTTCCAATCTCCTATAATTATTGCCTCACCATTTACATAATATAGTCTAAATGGGTGTACTATAATTTGTTTAGCCATTTCCTTATTACCAGACACTTAGAGAGAAAGGGAGAGATTATTCTTTTCTTCATTTGAATTTTAATTTACTGTAAATTCGCAAATGTAAATTTTTTGAGCCAAATGACAAAGCATTTTTTATTCTTGATAAATACAGGTGTATTACAACACAAAATAATTGTACCAAATTCAACTGGTGCCAACAAATTGAGAGTAATCTGATTTTACCATATTTATTGTATTTATATTAAAATTTAGGTGCATATCATAATATAATATTTCATAGATATATATTGAGATATCTTTTTACTTAAAATTTATAATTTTAAAAAGATGCTTCTTTTTACATAATTGATGAGATTGAAAGAAAGGGAATAGTAATTACCTGCTTCATATTGAGCTTTTCTTAAATGAAGCTTAAATGCCCAACTCATTTTTATCTACTATTTTAAAGTTGTTCTGTAATGAATAAACTAAAACATTTCAAATTTATTTTTACTTACTATTTCAATGTCATTCAGCAAAACTCCACTAGAAAATTTTATTTTCTGCTGACTGTGAAGTAGGAATAAGCCAGAATACGTGGTTTTGGCAATGTCTCCCAATTGTGAGAAACAGACAAATTCAACTTGCCTCAGATCATTGAGTTTACTGTAAGTGTAAAAAGTCTCCAAGAAAGAGTTAATCCCCACTGTAGCCCCATCATTTGTCTTTACGAAATGACATCCTAGTTTGCTTTCTGTTGCTTATAACAGAATACCTGAAACTGGGTAATTTATAAAGAAACAACATTTATGCCTTACAATTGTGGAGACTTGGGAGTTCAAGGTCAAGGGGGCTCATCTGGTGAGAGCCTTCTTGCTAGTGGGGACTCTGCAGGGTTCTGAGGTGGTACAGGACATCATATGGCAAATGGGCTGAGTGTGTTAACTCAGGTCTCTCTTATTTCTTCTGAAAGTCTACCAGTCCCACTCCCATGAAAATGCATTGATCCATTAGTCCATTAATGAATTAATTCATTCTTGAGGGCAGTCTTTTGACCTAATCACCTCTTAAAGGCCCCACCTTTCAATACTGCCACATTAGGGATTAAGGTTCAACACAAGTTCAGAGGGGCAAACATTCAAACTGTAGCAAATGATAACATCCTAAATCACTGTCTAATAACGCACAAACAGGAACTCTAGTAGTGGTTCCTCAGAAGTAGCCATCTTGATAAACCAACATTCACATGATCCAGCTTCTATTTGTCTTATTTCCTTGTAAAGAAATAAGACAAGGTCTCTTTCTTAGAGAACTTGTAAGGAAATAAGAGAAATAGGAGCTTTTATTTCCTTATATTGCGATGGTAACTTTTTGTATATACTATTTCTCTATCCTTGGTTATTCAAGGCTTCTGCTGACTCTGCTTTATTTACTGTGATTTTTTTTTTCTTTATACTTTAAGTTCTAGGGTACATGTGCACAATGTGCAGGTTTGTTACAGAGGTATACATGTGCCATGTTGGTTTGCTGCACACATTAACTCGTCATTTACATTACTTATTTCTCCTAATGCTATCCCTCCCCCGGCCCTCTACCCCACAACAAGCCCCAGTGTGTAATGTTCCCCTCCCTGTGTTCAAGTGTTCTGATTGTTCAATTCCCACCAATGAGTGAGAACATGCGGTGTTTTGTTTTCCGTCCTTGTGATAGTTTGCTTAGAATGATGGTTTCCAGCTTCATCCATGTCCCTGAAAAGGACATGAACTCATCCTTTCTTATGGCCGCATAGTATTCCATGGTGTATACGTGCTACATTTTCTTAATCCAGTCTGTCACTGATGGACATTTGGGTTGGTTCCAAGTCTTTGCTATTGTGAATAGTGCTGCAATAAATGTACGTGTGCATGTGTCTTTATAGCAGCATGATTTATAATCCTTTGGGTATATACCCAGTAATGGGATGGCTGGGTCAAATGGTATTTCTCGTTTTAGATCCTTGAGGAATCGCCACACTGTCTTCCACAATGGTTGAACTAGTTAACAGTCCCACCAACAGGGTAAAAGCATTCCTATTTCTCCACATCGTATCCAGCACCTGTTGTTTCCTGACTTTTTAATGATTGCCATTCTAACTGGTGTGAGATGGTGTCTCATTGTGGTTTTGATTTGCATTTCTCTGATGACCAGTGGTGATGAGCATTTTTTCATGTGTCTGTTGGCTGCATAAATGTCTTCTTTTGAGAAGTGTCTGTTCATATCCTTTGCACACTTTTTGATGGGGTTGCTTGTTTTTTTTCTTGTAAATTTGTTTAAGTTCTTTGTAGATTCTGGATATTAGCCCTTTGTCAGATGGGTAGATTGCAAAAATTTTCTCCCATTCTGTAGGTTGCCTGTTCACTCTGATGGTAGTATCTTTTGCTGTGCAGAAGCTCTTTAGTTTAATTAGATCCCATTTGTCAATTTTGGCTTTTGTTGCCATTGCTTTTGGTGTTTTAGTCATGAAGTCCTTGCCTATGCCTATGTCCTGAATGGTAATGCCTAGGTTTTCTTCTAGGGTTTTTATGGTTTTAGGTCTAATGTTTAAGTCTTTAATCCTTCTTGAATTAATTTTTGTATAAGGTGTAAGGAAGGGATCCAGTTTCAGCTTTCTACATATGGCTAGCCAGTTTTCCCAGCACCATTTATTAAATAGGGAATCCTTTCCCCATTGCTTGTTTTTCTCAGGTTTGTCAAAGATCAGATAGTTGTAGATATGTGGCATTATTTCTGAGGGCTCTGTTCGGTTCCATTGATCTATATCTCTGTTTTGGTACCAGAACCATGCTGTTTTGGTTACTGTAGCCTTGTAGTATAGTTTGAAGTCAGGTAGTGTGATGCCTCCAGCTTTGTTCTTACTGCTTAGGATTTTCTTGGCGATGTGTGCTCTTTTTGATTCCATATGAACTTTAAAGTAGTTTTTTTCCAATTCTGTGAAGAAAGTCATTGGTAGCTTGATGGGGATGGCATTGAATCTATAAATTACCTTGGGCAGTATGGCCATTTTCACGATATTGATTCTTCCTATCCATGGCACGGAATGTTCTTTCATTTGTTTGTGTCCTCTTTTATTTTGTCGAGCAGTGGTTTGTAGTTCTACTTGAAGAGATCCTTCACATCCCTTGTAAGTTGGATTCCTAGGTATTTTATTCTCTTTGAAGCAATTGTAAATGGGAGTTCACTCATGATTTGGCTTTCTGTTTGTCTGTTATTGGTGTATAGGAATGCTTGTGATTTTTGCAGATTGATTTTGTATCCTGAGACTTTGCTGAAGTTGCTTATCAGCCTAAGGAGATTTTGGGCTGAGAACATGGGGTTTTCTAAATATACAATCATGTCATCTGCAAACAGGGACAATTTGACTTCCTCTTTTCCTAACTGCATACCCTTTATTTCTTTCTCTTTCCTGATTGCCCTGGCCAGAACTTCCAACACTATGTTGAATAGGAGTGGTGAGGGAGGGCATCCCTCTGTAAAATACTGGCAAACCGAATCCAGCTGCACATCAAAAAGCTGATCCAACCCAGATCAAGTCAGCTTCATCCCTGGGATGCAAGGCTGGTTCAACATATGCAAATCAATAAACGTAATCCATCACATAAACAGAACAAATGACAAAAACCACATGATTATCTCAGTAGATACGGAAAAGGCCTTTGACAAAATTCAACCATCTTTCATGCTAAAAACTCTCAATAAACTAGATATTGATGGAATATATCTCAAAATAATAAGAGCTATTTATGACAAACCCACAGCCAATATCATACTGAATGGGAAAAAACTGGAAGCATTCCCTTTGAAAACACCTTTATTGAGATATAATTCACATGCTATAAAATTCACTCACTTAAAGTGTAAAATTCAACTTAAGCAAAATGGTATTATTAACTAGAAAATTCAAAAGAACTGTTTTCTTTTCATATTTCCAATCAAGCAATCACATATCTCCCTCTTTCTCTTTCCATTTACTTGATTTTCCTCCTCCTTTCTTGTCTCCTCACTCTCTTTCTCTCTGTCTTTATGTTTATCAACATTCCCTTCCTTTTTTCTTCAACTTTTAAGTTCAGATGTACATGTGCAGGATGTGTAGATTTGTTACATAGGTAAACATGTGCCATGGTGGTTTGCTGCACAGATCATCCCATCACCTAGGATTAAGCCCAACATCCATTAGATATTCTTCCTGATGCTCTCCCTTCCCACACCCCCACCCCAACAGGCCACAGTGTGTGTTGTTCCCTGCCTTATGTCCATGCACTCTGATCACTCATCTCCCACTTATAAGTGAGAACATGCTGTGTTTGCTTTCCTGTTCCTGCATTAATTTTCTAAGGCTAATGGCTTCCAACTCTATCCATGTTCCTGCAAAGAATATGATCTCATTCCTTTCTATGGCTGCATAGTATTCCATGGTGTATATGTACCGCATTTTCTTTATTCAGTCTATCATTGATGGCCACTTACGTTGATTCCATGTCTTTGCTATTGTGTATAGTCCTGCACTGAACATACGCATGCATGTATCTTTAAATAAAATTATTCATATTCCTTTGGGTATATAACCCATAATGGGATTGCTGGCTCAAATGGTATTTCTGCCTCTAGGTCTTTGATGAATTACCACACTGTCTTCCAGAATGGTTGGACTAATTTACACTCCCACCAACAGTGTAAAAGCATCCATTTTCTCTGCAATCTCACCAGCATATGTTGTATTTTGGCTTTTTAAATATAGCCATTCTGACTGGTGTGAGATGTTATCTCATTGTGGTTTTGATTTGCATTTGTCTAATGATCAGTGATGTTAAACTTTTTTTTCATGTTTTTTGGCCACATATGTGTCTTGAGAAGACTCAGCTCATGTCTTTCCCCACTTTTTAATGGGGTTGTTTGTTTTTTCTTGTAAATTTGTTTAAGTTCCTTGTAGACTCTGGATATTATACCTTTGTCGGATAGATAGATGGATTGCACAAATTTTCTCCCATTGTGTAGGCTGCCTATTCACTCTGATGATAGTGTCTTTTGCTGTGCAGAATATCTCTAGTTTAATTAGATCCCATTTTTCAATTTTTGCTTTTGTTGCAATTGCTCTTGGTGTTTTTACTCATGAAATCTTTGCCCATGCTGAGGTTCTGAATGATATTGCCTAGATTTTCTTCTAGAATTTTTATAGTTTTGGGTATAACATTAAAGTCTTTAATCCATCTTAATTTTTGTATAAGGTGTAAGGAAGGTGATATGGTTGGCTGTGTCCCCACCAAAATCTCAACTTGAATTGTATCTCCCAGAATTCACACGTGTTGTGCAAGAGACCCAAGGGAAGGTAATAAAATCATGGGTGCTGGTCTTTCCCATGCTATTCTCATGCTAGTGAATAAGTCTCATGAAATCTGAGGGGTTTATCAGGGGTTTCTGCTTTTGCATCTTGCTCATTTTCTCTTGCTGTGGCCATGTAAGAAGTGCCTTTTGCCTCCCGCCATGATTCTAAGGCCTCTCTAGCCATGTGGAACTGTACGTCCAATTAAACCTTTTTTTCTTCCCAGTCTCGGGTATGTCTTTATCAGCAGCATGAAAATGAACTAATACAGTACATTGGTACCAGCAGAGTGGGGTGTTGCTGAAAAGATTCCTGAAAATGTGGATATGACTTTGGAACTGGATAACAGGCAGAGGTTGGAACAGTTTGAAGGGCTCAGAAGAAGACAGGAACATGTTGGAAAGTTTGGAACCTCCTAGAGACTTGAGGATTTTTGCATCGATGTTCATCAGGGATATTGGTCTAAGATTATCTTTTTTTGTTGTGTCTCTGCCAGGCTTTGGTATCAGGATGATGCTGGCCTCATAAAATGAGTTAGGGAGGATTCCCTCTTTTTCTATTGATTGGAACAGTTTCAGAAGGAATGGTACCAGCTCCTCTTTGTACCTCTGGCAGAATTCAACTGTGAATCCGTCTGGTCTGCGACTTTTTTGATTGGTAGGCTATTAATTATTGCCTCAATTTTAGAACCTGTTATTGGTCTATTCAGGGATTCTTCCTCATTTTTCTCTTGCTGCCACCATGAAAGAAGTGCCTTTCACCTCCCACCATGATTCTAAGGCCTCTCCAGCCATGTGGAACTGTAAGTCCAATTAAACATTTTTTTCTTCCCAGTCTCGGGTATGTCTTTATCAGCAGCGTGAAAAGAACTAATACAGTAAATTGGTACCAGTAGAGTGGGGTGTTGCTGAAAAGATACATGAAAATGTGGACATGACTTTGGAACTGGGTAACAGACAGAGGTTGGAACAGTTTGGAGGACTCAGAAGAAGACAGGAAAATGTCGGAAAGTTTGGAACCTCCTAGAGACTTGTTGAATGGCTTTGACAAAAATGCTGATAGTGATATGAACAATAAGGTCCAGGCCAAGGTGATCTCAGATGGAGATGAAGAATTTGTTGGGACCTGGAGTAAAGGTGACTCTTGTTATATTTTAGCAAAGAGACTGGCAGCACTTTGCCCCTGCCCTAGAGATTTGTGGAACTTTGAACTTGAGATGATTTGGGGTACCTGGTATGGAAGAAATTTCTAAGCAGCAAAGCATTCAAAAGGTGACTTGGGTGCTATTAAAAGCATTCCATTTTAAAAGGGAAACAGAGGATAAAAGTTCAGAACATTTGCAGCCTGATGATGCAATAGAAAAGAAAAAAACTTTTTTTTTTTGAGGAGAAATTCAAGCTGGCTGCAGAAGTTTGCATAAGTGGCAAGGAGCCTAATGTTAATCCCCAAGACCATGAGGAAAATATCTCCAGGCCATGTCAGAGACCTTCACGGCAGCCTCTCCCATCACAGGCCCAGAGGCACAGAAAGAAAAAGTGGTCTGGTGGGCTGGGCCCAGGGTCCCCATGCTGTATGCAGCCTAGGGACTTGGTGTCCTGTGTCCCAGCCACTCCAGCTGTGGCTGAAAGAGGCCAACGTAGAGCTCAGGCTGTGGCTTCAGACGGTGGAAGCCCCAAGCATTGGCAGCTTCCATGTGGTGTTGAGCCTGTGGTTGCCCAGTAGTCAAGAATTGGGGTTTGGGAACCTCTGCCTAGATTTCAGAAGATATATGGAAACTCCTGGATGCCCACCCAAAGTTTGTTGCAAGGATGGGGCCCTCATGGAGAACCACTGGTAGGGCCATGCAGAAGGAAAATGTGTGGTTGGAGCTGCCACACAGAGTCCCTACTGGAGCACTGCCTAGTGGAGCTGTGAGAAGAGGGCCACCATCCTCCAGACCCCAGAAGGGCGGATCCACCAACAGCTTGCACCGTGCACCTGGAAAAGCTACAGACACTTGATGCCAGTCCATGAAAGTAGCCAGGAGGAAGGCTGAACCCTGCAAAGCCACAGGGGTGGAGCTACCCAAGACCATGGGAACCCACTTCTTGCATCAGCATAACCTGGATGTGAGACATGGAGTCAAAGGAAATCATTTTGGAGCTTTAAAATGTGACTGCCCTGCTGGATTTCAGACTTGCATAGGCCCTGTAACCCCTTTGGTTTGGCCAATTCTCCCATTTGAAATGGCTATATTTACCCAATACCTGTACCCTCATTGTATCTAGGAAGTAACTAGCTCTCTTTTGATTTTGCAGGCTCACAGGTGGAAGGAACTTGCCTTGTCTCAGATAAGACTTTAGACTGTGGACTTTTGGGTTAATGCTGAAATGAGTTGAGACTTTGGGGGACTGTTGCGAAGGCATGATTGGTTTGAAATGTGAGGACATAAGATTTGGAGGGGCCTGGGGTGGAATGACATGGTTTGGCTGTGTCCCCACTCAAATCTCAACTTGAATTGTATCACCCAGAATTCCCACGTATTGTGGAAGGAACCCAGGGGAAGGTCATTGAATCATGGAGGCCTGTCTTTATTCTCATGTTAGTGAATAAGTCTCATGAGATCTGATGGGTTTATAAGGGGTTTCTGCTTTTGCATCTTCCTCATTTTCTCTTGCTGCTGCCATGTAAGAAGTGCCTTTCACCTCTTGCCATGATTCTTAGGCCTCCCCATCTATGTGGAAGTGTAAGTCCAATTAAACCTCTTTTTCTTCTCAGTTTCAGTTATGTCTTTATCAGCAGCACAAAAACAAACTAACACAGAAAAGGTCCAGTTTCAATTTTCTGCTTATGGCTAGCCAGCATTCCTAGCATTATTTATTAAATACAAAGTCCCTTCCCCATTGCTAATTTTTGTCAATTGTCAAAGATCAGATGATTGTAGGTGTGCAGTCTTATTTCTGAGTTCTCTATTCTGTTTCATTTGGTCTATGTGTCTGTTCTACTATCAGTACCATGCTGTTTTGGTTACTATAGCCTTGTAGTATAGTTTGAAGTTGGGTAGCATGATGCCTCCAGCTTTGTTCTTTTTGCTTAGGATTGTCTTGGCTATTCAGACACATTTTTGGTTCCATATAAATTTTAATTTTTTTTTCTAATTCTTTGAAGAACGTTAATGGTAGTTTAATAGAAATAGCATTGAACCTATTAATTATTTTGGGCAGTATGGCCATTTTCATGATGCTGATTCTTCCTATCCATAAGCATGGAATGTTTCTTCATTTGTTTCTGTCTTTTCTGAGTTGAGGACTGGTTTGTAGTACCTTTGAAGAGGTCCTTCACTTCCCTTGTTAGCTTTATTTCAAGGTATTTTATGCTTTTTGTAGCAATTTTGAATATAAGTTCATTCATGGGACTCTCTGCTTGTCTATTGTTGGTGTATAGGGATGCTAGGTATTTTTGCACATTGATTTTGTATCCAGAGATTTTGCTGAAGTTTCTTATCAGCTTAAGAAGCTTTTGAACTGAGACGATGGGGTTTTCTAGATAGAGGATCAGGTCATCTGCAAACAAAGATAATTTGACTTCCTTGGTTCCTATTTAAATACCCTTTATTTCTTTCTCTTGCCTGATAGTCCTGGCCAGAAATTCCAATACTATGTTGAATAGGAGTGGTGAGAAAGGGCATCCTTGTCTTGTGCTGGTTTTCAAGGGGAATGTTTCCAGCTTTTGCTCATTCAGTATGATATTAGCTATGGGTCTGTCATATGTGACTCTTGTTATTTTGAGTTATGTTCCTTCCATATCTAGTTTATTGAGAGTTTTTTAACTTGAAGTGATGTTGCATTTTATTGATGGTCTTTCCTGCATCAATTGATATAATCATGTGGTTTTTGTCTTTAGTTCTGTTTATGTGATGAAACCACATTTATTGGTTTGTGTATGTTGAACCAACCTGGCATCCTGGGGATGAAGCCAACTTGATCATGTTGGATAAGCTTTTTGATGTGCTGTTGGATTCAGTTTGCTAGTATTTTACTGAGGAATTTTTCATCAATGTTCATCATGGATATTAGCCTGAAGTTTTCTTGTTTTGTTGTATTTCTTCTGGGTTTTGGTGTCAGGATGATGCTGAACTCATAGAATGTGTTGGGGAGGAGTCCCTCCTTTTCAGTTTTTTGGAAAAGTTTCAGTAGAAATGGCGTCAGCTCTTCTTTGTACCTCTGGTAGAATTCAGGTGTGAATCCATTTGGTCCTGGCATTTTTTATGTTGGTAGGCTATTCATTACTGCCTCTATTTCAGAACTCTTTATTGGTCTATTCAGGGATTCAATTTTTTCCTGGTTCACTCTTGGAAGGGTGTATGCATCCAGGAATTGATCCATTTCTTCTAGATTTTCTAGTTTATGTGCATAATGGCATTTATAGTATTCTCTGACGTTTGCATTTCTGTGGGGTCCATGGTGATATTCCCATCATCACTTCTGATTGTGTTTTTATGATTCTTTTCTCTTTTTTTAATCAGTCTAGCTAGTGATTTATCCTATTAATTTTTTCAGAAAAACAGCTCCTGAATTAATTGATCTTTTGAAGGTCTTTTTTGTGTCTCTAACTCCTTCAGTTCAGCCCAGATCTTGATTACTTCTTGTCTTCTGCTGCCTTTGAGTTTTTTTTTTTGTCTTGGTTCTCTAGTTCTTTCAGTTGAGATGTTAGATTGTTAACTTGAGATCTTTCTAGCTTTTTGATGTGGACATTTAGTGCTATAAATTTCCCTCTTAATACTAATTAGCTGCATCCCAAAGATTCTGGTACATTGTTCCTTTGTTCTCATTACTTTCAATGAACATCTCAATTCCTGCCTTAATTTCATTATTTACCCAAGAGTCATTCAGGAGCACATTGTTCAATTTTCATGTAGTTGTGTGATTTTGAATGAATTTCTTAATCTTGAATTCTAATTTGATTGTGCTGTAGTCTGACAGACTATTATCATTCTAGTTCTTTTGCATTTGCTGAAGAGTGTTTTATTTCTTATTAAGTGGTCAATTTTAGATTAACTGCCATATGGCACTGAGAATAATGTATATTCTCTTGAATTTTGGTGGAGAGTTCTGTAGATATCTGTCAAGTCCTGTTATCCAGAGCCAAGTTCAAGTCCTGAATATCTTTGCTAATTTTCTGTCTTGATGATCTAGTATTGTCAGTGTGCTGTTAAAGTCTCCCACTATTATTGTGTGGTAGTCTAAGTCTCTTTATTGGTCTCTAAGAACTTGCTTTATAAATCTGGATGCTCCTGTATAGGGTGCATATATATTTAGGATAGTTAGCTCTTCTTCTTGAATTGAACCCTTTACCATTATGTAATGCCCTTCTTTGTCTTTTTTTGTTCTTTGTTGGTTTAAAGACTGTTTTGTCAGAAACTAGGATTGCAACCCCTGCTTTTTTCTGTTTTCCATTTGCTTGGTATATTTTCCTCCATCCCTCTATCCCAAGCATACGTATGTCTTTGCAAGTGAGATGGGTCTCCTGAAGACAGCATACCATTTGGTCTTGGCTCTTTATCCAGGTTGCCATTCTGTGTCTATTAATTTGGGCATTTAGCCAATTTATATTTAAAGTTAGTATTGTTATGTGTAAATTTGATCCTGTCATCATGATGCTAGCTTGTTATTTGGCAGACTTGTTCAGGTGGTTCCTTCATAATGTCACTGATCTATGTACTTCAGTGTGTTTTGTAGTAGCTGGTAACTTTTTTTTTTCTTTCTATATTTAGTGCTTCCTTCAGGAGCTCTTTCAAGGCAGGCCATTGGTGATAAATTCCCTCAGCATTTGCTTGTCTTAAGAGGATCTTATTTCTCCTTTGCTTATGAAGCTTAGTTTGGCCAGATATTAAATTCTGGGTTGGAAATTCTTTTCTTTTAGAATGTTGAATATGGCCCCCAATCTCTTCTGGCTTGTAGGGTTTCCACGGAGAGGTCTGCTGTTGGTCTGATGGGCTTTTCTTTCTGGGTTACCTAGCCTTTCTCTCTGTCTGCTCTCAACATTTTTTCTTTTATTTTTACCCTGGAGAATTTAATAATTTTTTGTCTTGGGGTTGACATTCTTGTGGAGTAACTTAATTGGGTTCCCTGCATTTCCTGAATGTTAATGCCGGCATGTCTAGCTATGTTGGGGAAGTTCTCCTGGCTGATATCCTGAAATATGTTTTCTGACTTGGTTCCATTCTCCTCATCTCTTTCAGGTATATCAATCAGTCATAGTTTCAGTCTCTGTAAATAATCTCATATTTCTTGGAGGTTTTGTTTATTTTTTTTCATTCTTTTTTCCTCTAGTCTTGTCTGCATGTGTTGTTTCAGGAATATAGTCTTCAAGCTCTGAGATTCTTTCCTCTGCTTGGTCTATTCTGCTACTGATACTTATAATTGCATTGTGAAGTTTTTGTGTTGTATTTTCAGCTCCATCAGGTTAGCTATGTTCCTCTCTAAATGGGCTGTTCTGGCTAACACTTCTGTATTGTTCTAATATGATTCTTAGCTTATTTGCATTGGGTTACACCATACTCCTTTAAGCAAAGTTCATTATTACCCACCTTCTAAAGCTTATTTCTATCAGTTCAGCCATCTCAGCCTCAGTCCGGTTCCATGCCGTTGCTGCAGAGGTGTTGCCATCATTTGAAGGAGAAGAGGCACTCTCTTTTTGAGTTTTTAGCATTTTTGTGTTGATTACGTCTCATGTTTGTGGGCTTATCTACCTTCAATCTTTGAGGTTGCTGACCTTTGAATGGGGTTTTTGTGGGGTCTTTTTTTGTTTGTTTATGTTGTCATTGTTATTTTTGTTTGTTTTTCTTTTCACTAGCAAGCCACTTTTCCAAAGGGCTGTGGTTTGCTTAAGGTACACTCCAGACCCTAGTCAACTTGGTCCCTCCTGCATCTGATGGTATCATGAGTGAAAGTGCTTCTCTCAGCTGTGTTTGTGGGTTCCTTTGGCTGTGTGCCACTCCTGGGTGGGTCATTGCCCCGCTATGCTTTTCTTTATTCTCCATGAGTTATTTGCCTAGTCAGTCCTAATGCAACAACCTGGACATTTCAGTTTAAGGTACTGAATTCCCTTGCTGGTTTTCTTCCTCTCCATGAGTGCCATGGGCTGTAGCTGCTTCTAATCAGCCATCTTGGCCCCTCCCTGAAAATCCTATTTCCAAATCTTTTAGTAATAGCCATCCTAATGGGTATAAAGTTGTGTCTCATTGTAAGCTTAATTTGCATTTCCCTAATTATTTTATGATGTTCAGCATTTCTTTTGTATGCTTATTGGCCATCTATACATCTTCTCTGGAGAAATGTCTATTCAATTTCTTTGTCCATTTTTAATTGGGTTGTTTGATTTTTCTTGATGATGATTTGAAGGAATTTTTGTTTATTCTGAATATTAGCTCCTTACGAGATATATAATTTGCAGCCTATTCTATGGGTTGCCTTTTAACTCTGTTGATAGTGTCTTTTGACGTTCAAAGTTTTTTTTTTTTTTTTAATGCAGTCAATTTTGTCTATTTTTACTTTTGTTGCCTGTGCTTTTTTTTTTTTTTTTTTCCTTTGGTCATAGCCAAGAAATCATTTCTAAATTTAGTGTCTTGAAGCTTCTTCTCTATGTTTTCTTCTAAAAGTTTTATAGTTTTAGGTCTTACATTTAGGTCTTTGATAAATTTTGAGTGATTCTGCATATATGGTGTAAGGTAAGGGCCCAACTTCATTCTTCTGCATGCAAATATCCACCCTTCTCAACACAATTTGTTGAAAAGACTGTTCTTTTCCCATTGAATGGTCTTGGCATCCTTCTCTAAAATCACTTGGCCACGTATGTGAGGGTTTATTTCTGGCATCTTTATTCTATTCTATTGATATATATCTTTATCTTTATGGTGGTACCACACTGTTTTGATTACTGCAGTTTTGTAGTAAGTTTTGAGTTGCTCTTTTTTTGAAGATTATTTTGGTCATTTGGAATCCCTTTAGACTCCACATCAGTGCTAGGATGGATTTTCTATTTTTGCAAAAAATGTCATTGGGACTTTGATAGGAATTGAATTGAATCTGCATTACTTTGTGTAGTATTTATATCTTAATTGTCTTCCAATCCATGAACACAGGATATCTTTTCACTTCATGATGTCCTTTTTAATTTCTTTCAAAAACGGTTTGTAGTCTTAAGAGTGCAAGGCTTTCGCCTCCTTGATTAAGTTTATTTCCAAGAATTTTATTTTTTGAGGACAAAATATGATTTTTCTGAGGATTGAAAATAAATTATGCCAAGCAAAAATATACAGATACCTTATGCATAACAATTCCACACATTATACATAGGTACATCCCTTTCAAAAAGGGGAGCATAACTCCCCACCATTTAAGTGTGAGGTGGCATAGTGTGTTCCTTCCAAAGAATACAGTATAGAAAAGGGGAGGCAGTAGTATTTGTATTGAAATCTGACAGACACTGTCTCATGCAGGTGCTCAAGGTTAGCATCAACAGTGATAAGTCATGCTGATAGCATATATCCTTGAAATGATGTGCTGAAAATGGTGCTTCCATGTTCCTCCCCCCAAAACCCATAATCCTAATCTAATCATGAGACAAACATCCGAAAAATTTCAACTGAGGGCCATTCTATAAAACACCTTGCCAGTACCCCTCATAATTGTGAAAGTCATTAAAGAGAAGGAAACTCTGAGAAACCATCACTGCCAAGGGTAGTGTGAAGAGACGTGACAACCAACTGCAATGTATTATACTGGAAAAGACCTGTAGCAATAATGAAAAAGAGAATATTAGGTAAAAACTGAGGAAATCTGAATAAAATATGGACTTTAGTAAATAATAACATCTTAATATTAGTTCATTAATTGCAACAAATATACTATACTAATGTAAGGTAATAATAGAGGATACTGGCTGTGGTGGATATGGGGACTCTTCACTACTTTATGACTCTTCTGTAAACCTATAGGTAGTCTATAATAAAGTGTTTATTTAAAATTTTATATATGTTAACATAACTAATCATTAAGGAAATGCAAATTAAAACCACAATAAGATATCATCTCATACCTGTCAGAATGGCTGTTATTGAAAATGACAGAAGGTAACAAGTGTTGGTGACAATGTAAAGATAAAGGAACCCTTGTACATCATTAGTAGGAATGTAAATTTGTACAGCCACTTTAGGAAACAGTATGGAGGTTTCTTTAAAAACTAAAAATTGAGTTACCATATGATCCAGCAGTCCCACTTCTGGATATATAGCCAAAGGATTTTAAATCAGTATGTCAAAGAAATGTCTACACTTCTGTGTTCTTTGCAGCATTATTCACAATAGCTAAAACATGAAAACAGCCTAAGTGTTAATCAACAAATGAACAAAGTAAAAATAGCATATATACACAATAGAATATTATTCGGCCTTAAAAACTGAAATTCCATCATTTCTGACAATATGGATGAATCTGGAGGACATTATGCTAAGTAACATAAGTCAGAACAAATGACTGCATGATCTTGCTTATATGTGGTACCTACAACAATTGGACTGAGAATCACAGAGAAGAATGATGTTTGTCAGAGATGGAGGGTTGTGGGGAGTGGGGATGTGTTGGTCAAAGTTTCAGTTAGACATAAGAAATATGTCTTTTAAGATCTATGACACAGCATATTGACTACAGTTAATATATTGTATATTTCAAAATTGCTAAGAAAGTATATTTCAAATGTTCTCATTGCAAAAAATGACAAATATTTAAGGTGATTGATATGTTAATTAGATTGATTTAACCATTTCACATTGTATACATATAACATTTTATAATCCCTAAATATACACAATTATCATTTGCCAATTTATAATAAAACAGAAAAAAATAAAAAAATAAATAAATAATATAAAAATGATTCATGGATGACATTAGCCTATTTAAAAGCTCAATAAAAATTGGCTCTAATTATGATGATGTTTTTGTTATTTGACTATATCGTTAGCCAGGTCACATCTACTCCCACAAAATTTGATTTCTAATATAGATAATCCTGCAAAGTGTATTTTGACCACAGGGATACTTCTTATTAAAGGATTTTTGGCTTTTTCAAATCATAATGCAATGGGGAAAGAATGGCTTTTTCAATAAATGGTGCTCAATCAATTGGAAATTCACTTGGAAAAAGTTATATCTTATGATATTGACAATAAAGACAAAGAGAATTACTATTGAATAAAGGGCATTTCATAACGATAAGGGCATCAATATATCAAAATGATATAACACTGCTAAATGTGTATGAATCTAATTTATAGAACTTCAAAATGGATGAAGCAAATTTGACAGAATTAAAGGAGGAAATGGAAGGATATTTTTTAACAATCCACACTCAGTAATTAGGAAAACAAGTAGACATGAAAGATATCAGTAAGGTTGGATGACATAAACAACAATATAAGCCACCTTGACTTAATTGGCATCTACAGACCCCTACATGGAATAACTATAGAATCACATTATTTTCAAGTATGTATGGTATGTTCACCAAGATAAACTTTAGACTGAGTCATAAGTTTCAATCCATTTAAGGAATTGAAATTATATGGAGTATGTTTTCTGACTGTATTAGTTTACTCGACGTGTCATAATAACATACCATAGAGTGGGTTACTTCAATAACAGAAATTTACTTCACACGGTTCTAACCACTGGCAAGTCCAAGATCAAGGTCCTGGCAAGGTGGGTTTTATTCTGAGGCTACTTTTCTTGGCTTGTAGACTGTGTGCTCTCATGCCCCTTCTGTGTGTGTTGTAGAAAGACCAAGATCTCTCTTTCTTTCTCTTTTTGTGAGGCCACCAATCCCCTTGGATTAGGACCCCAACTATATGACCTCATTTGAATTTAATTACCATATGTATACTTAGCATATATATGTTCATATATATATGAAACAAAGTGTTAGTAACTTGTATGAGTACTTTGACTCCAGCATTGTTTAAAAGGATAATACATAAAGTCCACATAGGGTTTGTCCTGGGAATTCGAGGTTCATTTTTACGTTTAAAAATTTACCAGTGTAATTTGATCTTACTAATAAAGGTGAGAAATTATATGATTATATGTCAACAAAAAAATTTTTGAAACTCCAATGCCCATTTATGATAAAAACTAGCAGCATACTAGGAATGAAAGAAAACTTCCTCAATCTGATAGAGTTTCTATAAAAAAACATTATGCATCATGAGAAACATTGAAGAATCCTGCATCTTTAACTGATAAGTCAGTAACTGCTTTTAATGTCAATAAAGAAATTGGTTAAACTGTCACTTACTGTGTTTTAGGACTAAGACCATTGTATAATAACATGAGAACTTCAAGAAATTTGATACAGAAAATTGGATAGGAAGTCTTCTGGGATTACTTCCAAGATACAGACCAAAGCCCACTTGATCGTTAAAAGAAGATTCAACCTTCCTAACAGTGTCTTTCTGCCTGTAGCCAACAATTCAAGATGGTTAAGAGTCAGAAACTCATGTAATTTCTTGGATTGCAAAGACCTTTTTTTTTAAAAAAAAAAAAAAAAAACTCAATCTAAGAATATAACTGCATAATATTTCTGTCATTGTAATTTGATAACCTAATGCAATTTTCGGAATTCAAATAGACTGGCAGCCAACCTCTCTTTAAAATATATTTAGGTTTTGAAATATTTTAAAATAGAAATTATAATTTTCAATTTTTAAGCCAGTCAAAATTTACAATTGTTCAATCTTTAAGTCAATTTCAGAATCTGTGTCCTACCAGACTAAAATAAAAACTAGACTGCCTAATTAACGTAGTCACTTTATAAACCCCTCTATGTGTATCAGTAATGAGCATACATCCAAGCAGCAACAGAATGCAGGGCAGATTGGGTGGGCAAAAGGAGCTCACTTCGCTGTCAAAACTCAGAGCCTTTGCCCTCACTGTCAAGTGAGGGCACATGTCAATTCACATGCAATATGAATTGCTCTACATAACAGGTTGTTTCTTTTCTCGTTTTTTTATTAGGGAAATTTTTATTTTTTTTAATTTTCTTCTAATATTTTATATTTTCTTTTGTTGTTGAGAGTTAAATTACTTATTTGGGGTGATGAAATTTCAACTTCATTTCTGGCCAAGAGAAATGTAAATCACCCAGGGATATTAGATTTGAGACTAGAAGCAGCAACTAAAAGAGACTGTCTATTCTGGTGAAGAGTTGTGTACATTTTAGCTTCTTAAGAAATAGTTGCACTGCATTATGTGATAATATTTTTCAACTGTATATAAGAGAAGGTAGGTGAATGTGCATTCTATGCAAACAATGTGTGGAAAGTAGTAGATGCCTGTTGTTTTTATATATTTTGAAATCCTATTTGTCACTTTTTTATGAGTAATTCAATGTCGAATCCAATGAACAACCACTTCTTAGGGGCTGCTGTGTGTTGTCTATCTCCAATTCACCTTCTGTACATTACAAATGAAGGTACATGATTCAAACTAGCAAGGGGCTGTATTACTCCCCTGACCACACTGAATATATAAGGGTGAGTATATGGACCTTGGCTTTGGATATATGGGTGCTGAAAGACAGGTTGTTTTCTATTTCTGGTGTAACAAATTACCACAAATGTAGTGAAAAAAACAACAAAAATTTATTTTCTTTCGGTTCTAGAGTTTATAAGTCTAAAAGGAATCTCATGGGGTTAAAAACAGTGTCAATAAATCTGGTTCTTTTCCTTGCATTTTCAGCTTCTCAAGGCAGACAACAACCTTGGCTTTTGACGGCATCCCTCCAATTTCTGCTTTCATTGTCACAACACCTATGCCGCCTGTGATGCTGCTGCCTCCCTCTTATAAAGACCCTTGAGATTACATTGAGCACACACACATAATCCAGAATAAATTATCTCTGCATTTCAGGATCCTTAATTTAAGCACATCCGCAAAGTCCCTTTTGCTATGGAAAATAACATATTCACAGATTCTGAAGATTAGGATGTGGACATCTTTGTGGGGAGCATAAGTTGGCCTACCCCAGTGTGTCTTTTTTAATTTCATAGTTGATATATTACTATATTTGTAAGTTTAGAGTTATTAGCTGAGATTATTATTGACAGGTAGGAAGAGCTTTTCTTAAAGGCAGTGATCAAAGGGAAACTGAGGGACACTGAACCAAGATGGAGAATCAGAAGCAGCTGTAGTCCGCAGCACTCACAGAGGGGAATGAGAAGGGGCAAGTGAATTTATCACCTTCAACTGAAATATCCAGGTTCTTGAACAGGGACTGACTAAGCAAACAACAAGGCGACCCACAAAGAAGGAAGAAAAGCTGGGTGGGGTGGCAGGCAGTGGCCTACCCGGAGCAGCACAGAATCAAAGGGACTCCCACCGCCAGCCAAAGGAACCAGTGAGCGATTGTGAGACCCTACACAAGAAACCACGCTTCTCCTACAGATCTTTGTAATGCATGTATCAGGTGATCCCCTCGTGGGCCCATGCCACCAGGCCCTTGGGTCTGATACACAGAGCTGTGTGGAGTCCCTGCAGAGCAGCTGTTCAGGCACATACAGAGGCCCAGTTTTACGTACTCTGGCTCTGGTATCTCCTGCAAGACAGGAATTCCATCCATATATATTCCTAGGAAGAGGGCTGAATCCAGGGAGCCAACAGTGTCAGGCCTCACTTCCACGGCACCTCACAAGTTAAGTAAGATCCACTGGCTTAGAATCCCAGCCAGCCAATGCCAGTGGGTTGGAGTCCGCCTAAGACGGGTGTGAATTCCTGGAGAAAGGGATGGCTGCCATCTCTGCGGTTCAGTTAACTCAGCTACTTCAGCCTGCCAGCTTTGGAGAATACAGGCAATCCAAGATGAGGAATGGTACCCCACAATGCAGCACACTTCCTCTGCCAAAAAACAGGCAGACTGATTTTTTGGGCAGGTTCCTGACACTGTTCTTCCTGACTCGGTGAGACCTCCCAATGGGGGTCTCCAACCAGCTTCTACAGGTGTGTGCAGGGCAGCAACAAGTCAGTACACCCTGAGGCGGAGCTTCAAGAGGAACAAGCTGGCCCCCATGTTTGCTGTTTCACAGGATTCACTGGTGATAACGCCAGGTATGGAAGAAACTGAGGCCACTAGGGTCTGGAGTGGACCCCAGCAAACAGCAGGATCCCTGCTGTAGAGTGGCCTGACTGTTAGATCAAACAAAAAAACAAAAACAAAAACAAAAAAAACAAAACAAAAAACAAAGAGGCAGGGTGTGGTGGTTCATGCCTATAATCCCAGCACTTTGAGAGGCTGAGGTGGGTGGATCACCTGAAGTCAGGAGTTTGAGACCAGCCTGGCCAACATGGTGAAACCCCATCTCTACTGAAAATGCAAAATTAGCAGCTCATGGTGATGATGGTGCATGCCCGTAATCCCAGCTACTCAGGGAGGCTGAGGCAGGAGACTCACTTGAACTCAGAAGGCAGAAGTCACAGTGAGCCAAGATCATGCCATTACACTCTGGCCTGGATGACAAGAGTGAAACTTTGTCTCAAAATAAATAAATAAATAAATAAATAAATAAATAAATAAATAAATAAATAAAATAAAATAAAATAAATAAAATAAAAAGAAAGAAAAGAAAAGAAAACAAACAGAAAACATCAACAAAATGACCCCATGAAAACCTCATTCAAAGGTCAGCAACCTCAAAGATCCAAAGTAGAGAAGCCCACAAAGATGAGAAATAATCAACAAAAAAACGCTGAAAACAAAACGACAAAGTGCCTCTTCCCCTCCAAATGACTGCAACACACTCCAGAAAAACACAGAACTGGGCTGAAGCTGAGAAGGCTGAATGACAGAATTAGGATTCAGAAGGTAGGTAATAATGAACTTTGTTGATCTAAAGGAGCATGGTGTAACCCAATGCAAAGAAGATAAGAATCATGCTAAAACAATAAAGGAGCAATAGCCAGAATAGCCAGTTTAGAAGAACATAACCTACCTGATGGAACTGAAAAACAATACAAGAACTTCACAGTGCAATCACAAGTATCATCAGCAGAATAGACCAAATGGAGGAAAGAATCTCAGAACTCGAAGACTATCTTTCTGAAATAAGACAGGCAGACAAGAATAGAGAGAAAAAAAGAATGAAAAGAAACGAACAAAACCTCTGAAAAACATAGGATTATATGAATAGACCAACCCTACAACTGATTTGGGTACCTGAAAGAAACAGGGAGAAATAAACTAAGTTGGAAAACATACTTCAGGATATCATCCAGGAGAATGGATGATAGCAAGACAGGCCAGCATTAAAAATCAGGAAATGCAGAAACCCCTGTAAGTTACTCCACAAGAAGATCAACCCCAATACACATAATCATCAGATTCTCAAAGGTCAAAATCAAAAAAAAAATGTTAACGGCAGACAGAGAGAAAATCCAGGTACCCTAGAAAGGGAAGCCCATCAGACTAACAGTGGACCTCTAAGCGGCAGCCCTACAAACAAGATGAGATTTGAGGCCAATATTCAACATTCTTAAAGAAAAGAATTCCTAACCCAGAATTTTATATCTGGCCAAACTAAGCTTCATAAGCAAAGGAGAAATATTCTTTTCAGACAAGCAAATGTTGTGTGAATTCATCACCAACAGGCGAGCCTTATAAGAGCTCTTGAAGGAAGCACTAAATATGGAAAGAAAAAACTATTACCAGCCACTGCACAAACACACTGAAGTACACAGACCAGTGATACTAGGAAGCAACCACATAAACAAGTGCAAAATAACCAGCTAGCATTATGATGACAGTATCAAATTAACACAACAATATTACCCTGAAATGTAAATGGGCTAAATATCCGAATTAATAGGCACAGAATGGCAACCTGTATAAAGAGCCAAACCCATCAGTAGACTCTCTTCAAGAGACCCATCTCATGTGCAAAGACTCAAAATACAGGGATGGAGGAAAATTTACCAAGCAAATAGAAAATGGAAAAAAGCAGGAGTTACAGTCCTAGTTCTGACAAAACAGACTTTAAAACGATGAAAATCAAAACAAAGAAGGACATTATATGAAAGGAAAGGGTTCAATTAAACAAGAAGAGCTAACTATCTTAAATATATATGCATCCAATACAGGAGCACCCAGATTCACAAAGCAAATTTTAAGAGACCTTCAAAGAGACTTAGACTCCCACACATTAATAGTGGGAGACTTTAACACCACATTGACAATATCATACAGATCAAAGAGACAGAAAATTAACGAAATATTCAGGACCTGAACTCAGCTCTGGATTAAGTGAACCTGATAGATATTTACAGAACCCTCCATCCAAAAAGTGCTGACTATACATTCTTCTTGGTGTCAAATGGCACTTACTCTAAAATTGATCACATAATCAGAAGTGAAATAGTCCTCAGCAAATGCAAAAGAACTGAAATCATAAAGAACAGTCTGTCAGACCACAGCACAATCAAATTAGAATTTAAGATTACGAAATTCATTCAAAACCACAAAACTACATGGAAATTGAACACCCGGCTCCTGAATGACTCTTGGGTAAATAATGTAATTAAGGCAGAAATCAAGAAGTTCTTTGGAATTAATGAGAACAAAGAGACAACATGCCAGAATCTCTGGGACACCGCTAAAGCAGTGTGTTAAGATGGAAGTTTGTACCACTACATGCCCACATCAAAAAGGTAGAAAGATCCCATGTTAAAAACCTAATCTCTCAACTAAAAGAACTAGAGAACCAAGAGCAAACAAACCCAAAAAATAGCAGAAGACAGGAAATAACCAAGATCAGAGCTGAACTGAAAGAGATAGAGACATAAAAAATCCTTCAAAAATCAATGAATTCAGGAGGCAGTTTTTCAAAAAAGTAATAAAATAGACCACTGGCTAGACTAATAAAGAAGAGAGAAAAATCAAATCAGAAGTGATCACCATTGACCCCACAGAAATACAAACAACCATCAGAGAATACTATAAACACCTCCATGCACATAAACTAGAAAATCTAGAATAAATTAATGAATTCCTGGACACATACAGCCTCCCAAGACTGAACCAGGAAGAAATTGAATCCCTGAATACACCAATAAAGAGTTCTGAAATCAAAGCAGTAATAAATAGCCTACCAACATAAAAAAAGCCAGGACTAGATGGATTCACAGCTGAATTCTACCAGAGGTACAAAGAAGAGCTGACACAATTCCTACTGAAACTATTCCAAAAAATTGACAAGGAGGGACTCCTCCCTAACACATTCTATGAGGCCAGCATCATCTTGATACCAAAACCTGGCAGAGCAACAACAAAAAAAGAAAATTTTAGGCCAATATCCATGATCAACATTGATGCAAAAATCCTCAATAAAATACTGGCAAACCAAATCCAGCAGCATATCAAAAAGCTTATACAACACAATCAAGTAGGCTTCATCCACGGGATGCAAGGTTGGTTCAACATATGAAAATCAATAAATGTGGTTCATCACATAAACAAAACTAAAGACAAAAACCATGTGATTATCTCAATTGATGCAGAAAAGGCCATCAATAAAATGCATCATCCCTTCATGTAAAAAACTCTCAATAAACTAGATATGGAAGGAAGATAACTCAAAATAATAAGAGCCATATATGACAGATCCACAGCCAATATCATACTGAATGGGGCAAAAGCTGGAAGCATTCCCCTTGAAAACCAGCACAAGACAAGGATGCCCTCTCTCACCACTCCTAATCAATACAGTGTTGGAAGTTCTGGCCAGGGCTATCGGGCAAGAGAAAGAAATGAAGGGTATTCAAATAGGAAGAGAAGAAATGAAATTATCTTTGTAGATGACCGGATTCTATATTTAGAAAACCCCATGTCTCAGCCCAAAAGCTTCTTAAGCTGATAAGAAACTTCAGCAAACTCTGAGAATACAAAATCAATGTGCAAAAATTGCTAGCATTCTTATGCAGCAACAACAGGCAAGCAGAGAGCCAAATCATGAATGAACTTCCATTCACATTTGCTGCAAAAAGCATAAAATACCTAGGAATACAACTAACAAAGGAAGTGAAGGACCTCTCCAAAGAGAACTGCAAACCACTGCTCAAAGAACTCAGAGAGGACAGAAACAAATGAAGAAATATTCCATGCTCATGGATAGGAAGATAATGGCCATACTGCCCGAAGTAATTTATAGATTCAACGCTATTCCTAATAAAATACCATTGACATTCATCACAGAATTGGAAAATCTACTTTAAAATTCATATGAAACCAAAAAAAAGCCTGAACAGCCAAGGCAATTGTAAACAAAAGAACAAAGCTGGAAGCATCACACTGCTCGACTTCAAATGATACTACATGGCTACAATAACCAAATCAGCATGGTACTGGTAGAAAAACAGACACATAGACCTATAGAATAGAACAGAGAACTCAGAAATAAGACTGTACCCACCTAAAACCATTTGATCTTCGACAAACCTGACAAATACAAGAAATGGGAAAAGAACTCCCTATTTAATACATGATGCTGGGAGAACTGGCTAACCATATGCAGAAAATTGAGACTGGGCCTCCTTTTTACACAATATACAAAAAATTAATTCAAGACAGATTAAAGACTTAAATGTAAAACCCCTAACTATAAAAACCCTAGCAGAAAATCTAGGCAATACCATTCAGGACACAGTCACGGGGAAATATTTCACGATAAAAACACCAGAGCAATTGCAACAAAAGCAAAAATTGACAAATGGGATCTAATTAAACTAAAAAGATTCTGCACAGAGAAAGAAACTTCATCAGAGTGAACAAGCAACCTACAGAACGGGAGAAAATGTTTGCAATCTATCCATTGGACAAAGGTCTAACATCCAGCGTCTACAAGGAAATTAAACAAATTTACAGGAAAAAACAACCCCATTAAAAAGTGGGAAAAGGACATAAACAGACACTTCTAAAAAGAAGACATACATGTGGCCAAAAAACATATGAAAGAAAGATCAACATCCCTGATTATTAGAGCAAAGCAAATCAAAACCACAATTAGATAGCATCTCATGCCTGTCAGAATGGCGATTATTAAAAAGTCAAAACAACAAATGCTGGTGGGGTCACAGAGAAAAAGGAATGCTTTTACACCGTTGGTGGGAGTGTAAATTAGTTCAATTGTTGTGGAAGGCAGTGTGGTGATTCCTCAAAGACCTGGAAGCAGAAATACCATGTGACCCAGCAATCCCATTACTGAGTTTATACTCAAAGGAATATAAATCATTCTATTATAAAGATACATGCACATGCATGTTCGTTGCAGCACTATTCACAATAGCAAAGACATGGAATCAACCTAAACGCTCATCAGTGATAGACTGGATACAGAAAATGTGGTACATATACACCATGGAATACTACGCGGACATAAAAAGGAAAGAGATCATGTCCTTTGCAGGGACATGGATGGAGTTGGAAGTTATTATCCTTAGAAACTAATGCATGAACAGAAAACCAAACACCGTATGTTCTCACTTTTAAATGGGAACTGAATGATAAGAACACATAGGTACATGGGAGGAGGGAATGTCACACACTGGGGCCTATCAGAGGTGGGGGTGGGAGGAAGGAGAGCATCAGGAAGAATAGCTAATAGATGCTGGGCTTAATACCAAGGCTATGGGATGATTTGTGCATCAGACTAACATGGCACATGTTTACCTGTGTAGCAAATCTGTACATCTTGCATATGTACTCCTGAACTTAAAATAAAAGCTGAAAATAAAGATTTTCTACATTACAATCTCTGAATAAAAAAAAGAATTGGAAATAATAAGTGTTGGTTGGGGATATGGATAAATTGAAACCCTTGTGCACTGTTGGTGAGAATGTGAAAATGGTTCAGACACTATGAGAAACAGGATAGTGGGTCCTCAAAAATAAAAAAATGGAATTACTTTGTAACCCTGTAATTCCACTTCTGGATATAGACCCAAAATAATTAAAAGCAGGGACTCACACTGATATTTGTACAATTGAGTTCATAGCAGCATTATTCACAAGAGCCAATGGTAAAATTGACTCTAGTGTCCATCAACAGATGAATGGATAAATGAAATGCAATATATAAATACAATGGAATATTGTTCAGCCTTAAAAAGAAAAGAAATTCCGGCATATGCTGCAACATAAATGAACCTCCAGGGACTTTTGCTTAGTGAAATAAGTCAATTACAAAAATACAAATACTATATGATTTTGCTTATATAAAGTACCTAGAGTACTCAGATTTTTGGAGATGGAGATGAGAATGGTGGTTGGCAGGGACTACAGGAAAGGGGAAGTGGAGAATTATTGTTTAATGGGTACACAGTTTAAGTTTGGGAAAAGAAAAAAATTTCCCTAGATGTTTGGTGGTGGTTGGGTTTTCCTCTAGTTTGGTCTTGAAGTCTGTCTAGAGAGAGTGGCTATAAACTCTAGCCCTGCCCTGATGGGACTCCAGGTGTGTGGTTGTCTTTCATGGGATAGTTTTTTTTTTTTTTAATCATGGTGAATGGCCCAATGCCTACATGTCCAACCTGTCATCATGTGTCCCTCTCACAGGAAACCTGTTTAAACTGACAGATACCCTTGTGGCTCTTGTGTGACCTATGCCCAGTTTATTCCTACCAAGACAGCCACTGTATAGGAGAACGCTGATCAGAACAGAAGTTAGGTTTGGGTATCATCGGAGACAACAAAACAAACAAAATAAAATGAAACAAAACAAAACAAAACATTTGGGATAACAGAAGCAGAGTATCACTTACAGATCCCAGAGGTAAGAGAGCAACATGCCTCACAGGGCCAATGGGAAGGGGGAAAGCATCTGGGACTTGCATATGTGATCAGTGGGTGGGGAGAGGGAGAGAGAAAGAGGGAGAGAGAGAGAGAGGGAGAGAGAGAGGGAGAGGCGGAGAGAGACAGAGAGAGAGAGAGAGAGGGAGGGAGGGAGGGAGGGAGGGAGGCAGAGAGAGAGAGACCTGTTTGCCAAAGTCTTTATTGGGGTCCCAATAAAGTTACCCAAGCAGGTTTTCTGCAGGCAGTTGGAATCGGTGGGTTTACAAAAAGTAGGCACGAGTTTCCTATAGTCACACAGTGACTGAAAGGTGGTCACTGCTGTAAATCTATGCCGTCCACGTGGAGTGCTGGGGTCAGCAGAGCAAGTCAACTAGATTGCATCTAGCTGCTTGATACAAGGAGGAAGGTTGTCACCAGGAGACAGATTCATAAAGTAGATCTCCAGGTCAAGCACCTGAGGAACTAGAGGAGGCAGAGATTGGGACTTGTGTCAACGGTGACAAAGCCCTGCTTCTGATGTGATAAAAAGTCAAGCTTATACTCAAAATGGAGGCTGAGGCTACATAAAATTATAAGAATTCACTAGTTGTGATGATTGTACAACAATGTAGATGTATTTAATGCCACTGAACTGTATACTTAAAATGGTTAAAGTAGTATATTTTATGATATATATCTTATTTAAAAAATAAAGAATAAAGCTATAAAAACAATCTTATGTCTCTATAATTATTATTATTATTAATTTTGTATATTAATTTTTAAAAACATCTCAGAGATGGTAAGTAGCTATTGCAAGATCCTTCAGCTAATATTTGGCTTAACAGGTGTTATCTAACTCCAACATCATATACTTTTAACTACAAATATATATATATATAAATATATATGTGTGTGTAATGTGTGTGTCTATCTACCCTTCTGTCTATCATTAATTATGATGCAAAAACTATTTTCCTACATTTTTTTGCATACCCATAGAGTGTAATTCTTATTCCTAAGGGTTTTATAAATTATTGATAATTTATATAATAAATCAACCTCCATGCAGGTATTCAAGCCCCAAATCTGGGAGTTGTTTATGTTTTCTCTCCTATTTTTACCTATGTATGCAAACCATTATAAAGTATCTTCAGCCCTATCTCCTTAACATTTCTCACATAACTTCATCTCTCCCGTTATCACTATTTCTAGCCTGGTCGAAAATACAATACTGTCCTAGAGACTACTAATAACCTCCTGACATCATTTTATATCCCCCTATAGACCTTCTGCACAGACCATATGACTCCCAAATGTACAAAAGATATCACTCTTGAGCTCAGAAGTGGGCATACTTTTTTTTGCAAAGGACCAAATAGTTAAACACTTTAAGCTGTATAGGCCATCTGGTCTTTGTTGCAAGTACTCAACTGTGCCCAACTAGGATGAAAGCAGCCATAGACAATAGATGAATGTAAACAGATATGTGTAACTTCATTTTGATATAACTTTATTATGAAAGCAGGTTGGTGACAAATTTGGCTCATTCTTAATCTAGTTTAAGATTCACCAATGAATTCCCATTGTCCTTAGAATGAAACACAAGTTCTTAAGCCTGACCCACAAGATTTTACAAGACTTTACACTGCCTATCTCCCCAAATTCTTCTTCCATCCACTTCATATTCTGGGCACATACATATTTCTCTTTTTCTTCCCAATTGTTTGAACAGGAGCTTATTGTCAACATAAAGCCTACATATCAGTTCGTTACTCTGAATGGGATGGTCTTCTCCCAGATTTTTTGAACAGCTGGCTTCTCCTCAACACAACTTTTGTCAAATACTATCTTTGAACAAAAGGCTTTCCTAGACCACCCAATCCAAAAATTTTCAGCTCTATTACTCTCTATCTAAATGACCCTACTTAAATAACATTTGCATTTATTTGAAATGATTCAGTTTCTATGTTTATTGTCCAGGTTTAATATTCACACCTATCTCACCTCCTTATTAGACTGCAAGCCTCAAGAGACAGGATCTAGACCTTAATCTACTGCCTGCTATATTATCCATTCCTAGCAAGTTCCTGTCACATAGCAAGTGCTTGCTAAATTGTTGATAAGAGAAAAAAATGAAAGATATATTTATGAAGAGGTTTGTATATTTCCATTGTGTTTTTGATATAGAATAGTCCATTAATACCATAATTTAATATGTCCCATAGCTAAATTCCCAGAGATCATCTCTACTCGCATCTAATAATCACAACAAGCAAATCTTATATTTTGTATTTAATTATAAGCACAAAACTAATTTGTTTTAATATATCACAAAACGACTATATAATATGAAATTAAATTTTAGTGCTATCATTACTCATCTCATAAAATCTTTTGATGGTTCCTAAATATTTTAGCTTAAAAATATTGTGCTTTTATGATGTTACAAATAAACAATGAAAAATCTTACACAGTACACAGACATGATATAACCATTTATACTGTTTTATATCTTAAAGATCGATGTATATGTTACTAACATTTTTGGTCTTTGTTGCAGTTGATCATATTCTTTTAAATATAACAGTTATCCTGTCTTTATATTTACATTTATTTCATTTTTAAAGTAGGGACCTTTCTATCCAAATGTCACTTGTGCAATATAAACACATCTCCCATTCACAGATTTTAATTTATAGCTATCAAAATAAGCACTAAATATTACCTGTTTGCTTATAAATTCTGACTTCAGAATTAAAAAAAAAAATCAATTCTTTTTAGTTCTCTGTTTTTACCAATAGGTGGCAATGAGTATTCCTCCTACATTTTCTTTATCATAGTTGGAGACCATTGTAAGTAATGGTTGTAACAGTGCAAAATTTTACTAACAAATAGTTACAGCAGGGGACGAGGGGAATACAATCTAAAAGGCAACTCATTCTTACTGTCTAACAACTCTAATTGTTTAAATTTTTCTTTATATATTAAGCTAAAATCATCAAATGATATTTCTGTATTAATCTCAGGTCTATCTTGTGAGGCCATGCAGAAAAATTCTATGACCATTCTATATAGAAGCCCTGTAGATATCAAAGTGTTATTTTTCACACATGGCATCACAAATGTCAACCATTTTACATGAGACATGTCTTCAGATGCTATGTTCTGCTTGACCTTCTTTGACATGTTTCAATTAGTTTCTGTCCTTGTTAATATATGGCACCCAGACTTGATTACAATGTACAATCTAGCCAATGACAAATTCATGAGACTATTATCCAACTTTTTATGTATACTATATTCCTATTAATATACCTCAAAACTTTATTATCTTCTTTTGTCAAGCATGTCACACTGTGGCTTTTATAAGGCATTTATTTTTTATAAGATCATCAGTCTTATTCCTATCTTCTGTTTTGAAACCAACTTCAGATCTGTTCATTATCCCCAGTTAAATTTTAATAATCATTCATGTTTTAATTATTCCAAGTAATTGATTAAACAATTTTAAGAGTTTTTAATTGAATCTAAAATCAATCTCTGCAATTCCAAGGTCTCAACCAGACATTTTATTTTTTACTGTTTTACAACTTCCACAACAGAACTATGTGAATTCACTTGGAACCATGTGAATGGCACAAATCAAAATTTTGGTAACCAGAGATCTCAGGTTTGACTGAGGCATCTCTGCAATTTAATACCCCTGAGTTAGATACTAGACTTTCATTGTGGACCTGTGTTATATGTAATTCTCACTACATAACACAAATTTCATAAAAACCCACTTTGCCATCAGCCAATAGCATAATCTTTAGACCACAATTTTGACCAAGACAGTCTCTCCAGTTAGCAGTATCTGGATCAACTTCATTGCTAAAATCACATAACCAACTAAAGCTTTCTGAAGAGTCTTTTAGATATTACTTTTTACAACCACTTCAATGGCCCACAAAGAGTCAATATTTCTCAGTTTCAATCTCTTGTTTTAGCTATGGCCCTATTATAGTTCCTATTATTTAGAGCATAAATCATGGAGGAAATATCTCACAGCAAAATAAGCTCCCATCAGTTTCGTGCCTCATGTTTACAAAGGCGTCATTGCCTAATTACAGCTGTATTGGTCCATGAGCCACGGCTTAGAATTATTCAGTATGAGGCAGTAACAGAGGCTTTGATGTAGAGCCCTTAACGCAAGACAATGCAAATGACATTTACTAGCAATTTTTTCCCCCATTAATGAACAAACAGTACTTCAGGGAGTGTAAAGGCAAGAGGCATATAATTTCTGAACTATTTAAATTGCTAATTAGATCTGTACAGGAGGTGTATTCCTAATGCAGACAATTACAACGGCTCCTAAGTGTTTGCCTTACAGTTGCTAATTACTACAGAAGCCAATTAATTGCTGTTGACTTTTTGTATTCTTTTGCATATCGCCAGTTAATATTTACATTTATAATGAAGACAAAATTGGCAAACACTGTGTCATTTTGTAATGAACAATTCCAGTGTCTAAACAATGAACACATTATCCTCATTTGTGCCTGAAGAGTGCAGCTGATTAGCATATGTTCTGTGCATGCTAGAACATTGCTCTTTCTTCTCAAGAGTAAAAACATCACTTAGGTGCAGGACGTGCAGGTGCAATGTCTCCAGGGCTCTTGGAATTGGTTTCCACCATATGCCATATAGCAGGGAACAAAACAGCAGGTATAAAAAAGATGGGATTGAAATGATCTGAGCTTCTCCATGTAGCAGAAGAATTAAGAGAATGCTGTGGACGATTGCAAATTTTTTGACAACTCAGTATCTCTGCTGTTTATCTATGCTGGAGTAACTTCGCATATTATGAAGATATCCCTCTATAGATGCTGAGAAGGCCAAATACCACATTTTCTAGCCTCCTTCATGACTGAAATTGGGCATTTGTTAAGTTGTATCAATTAAATGCACATTTCCAAATTTGTAACCAGGATCCAACAGGGAAAAGAAACAAGGAACACAATGGATTGTTCTAGTCATGGTGGTGGTTAATAAGGATGATGATAGTGGTACTAAGCATAACATCCAGTGTTTAATGCTCAAGGTGTCAACAAAAAAACCAATAGCAAATAGCATTTGGTTGTGCACATGGAGTATGTTCAGGTATATTTCTTTTCCTGGCTTTGTATCCCTGTGGCGAGTCCTCCAACCCTCCTGGTGATTCTGAGAGCAATTCAGTCATTTTTAACTGTTTTTTCCTGTCAAAATCAGCCAGTTTTTTTTTTATTGGCTACTAACAACAGTTGTAGGTGTTTTGCAAGTTTGACAAGGGGAAGAGGATGTATCCATGGCCCAGAGTGCCATATTTTATGTATTATTTGATTTATTTTATCAAATAATTTATTCAGATGCCTTCTATTGAGATCTAAAGGAAATGCAAATGAATCAACTTCTAGTTTCACATTACCACAACAAGCAAACAAACAAAACATAGAAACACATATGTAGTTAGACGCCAACTTTCGTCTTTGTTTTTACCTGCCAAAGGGAGTAAGTTGGAAATAATTCTTTTCTTAACCAGCATATTTGTCAGAGTGTGTATTGCAAACAGCGGGGGCCTGAAGTGATTTTGTCAACCAGTTTTCCAACAGTGAAAACATAACTTTCATTTGCAACAACCTCTGGGCACTGCAAACAGAAGAGAGGTGGAAAATGACTTGAACGGGCAAAACTTCTCACTGCCTCATCTAGGGTAGACATGCTATTCTATTATCCCACACTTCATTATTTCTCCTATAACACTGCAGTCAGGTATTAGAGAAAAGACAGAGTTAGAAAACAAGGATAAATAAATACAAAGTGAACAATTTAACTTCCACAAGTTAAAAGCCCCAAATAGACAAGAATATTAAAAAGAAGAAGGGTCTATATGTATATTAGAGACACTCAAATAAGTGATGTGATAAATGTTTAATAGCTTGACCTCCAAAAGAATATAAAAAGTAAAAAACCGTGATTGGTGCCATTGTCCTTTCCTTAATGTAAATACCACCATGGCCACCTTCAACATACTAATGGGACTTCACTGAATACAGAGCTGGGAGGAGATGTTATGCAGCATATTACATAATATTTCCTCCATTCAGATGTAAACATAAATTATGTGTGCAGATAGAGATGACCCCAAAAGCACAGACAATAGTAAAATGTAGTGAATTAGTAAGCAATACATTTTGAGAATTTATTGTTTTAATATAACTTATTTGCTTGTAAGTTTATATAATTTAAATTTTAAAAGAACTGTTTCTCAAAATTTATGAAAACTTTAGCAATTGCTTTTTCAAGGGAGCTGCTGTGAACTGGCATTAGCACACCACTGTAAAAAGCCTTGTGTAATTAGCTGAGGCTAGGTGCTACTCCTTGCTCATTAGAATTAAGTTTTATCAATTAATAGCAAAGGTTTCAAAATTTACTTTGCTGGTAATCCTCAAATGAAATCAACTTGAATGAATTTTGGCTAACTTGACAGTCATTGTTCTCTGGCCTTTGAAAAATGCTTTTAGGGGGACAATCATAATACTGCTACTACTACTAATAATATATGACCCAATCATTATTACTTAACTATGGCTTTAGAATCAACTGTAATGAAGTCATCAAAGGTGGATATTACGTTATTTCCCAGGGCATTTTCATTCTGATGCAAAAAAACATAGAAGTAGCCCTTAGCTTATCATCATTCTCATTGAGATTTGAAACATCATGCGCTCAAAATCATTAGATTCCTAATGAAAATAAGACACTATGACTACGTCCTCCATGCCTATATCATTGGCTGAATGATCTGACACTGATTAAAATGTCCATAAGCCATCAAAATAATGCAGTATTCAGCCTGAGAATAATGCAAGGGGAGCAGAGGGAGACAGAGGTCAATCTGTAGCCTTTGATATTCAGCTCTATCTAAACACTTATCACATCTCTGTGTGTATCCACATGGGTGCATAAGCATGTGTATATAAGTGTATGTATGTGTTTTCTATTTGTATTTTTCAAGCAAAGAAATGGAGGTTTTTAATATTAGTTGAGGCTACTTGTTTACTTTCAAAGTTGTTTGTATATTTTTCAAGATATTTTTGTCTAAAGACGATTTGTTTGTTAAAGCTTTGTTTACACAGACAACTTGGCTTAACTTGATTGTATAGGTCTTGATAAATATTTTAATTTTCTAATATGAACAATAATTAAAAGCAAGAGAGTCCAGGCATTAACATCTTGTGAAGGACAAGAAAAATCATGAAACATTTTAAGAATCTTTATCTGTGGTACATGGAGTGAACATATGCCAGATGAGAAAGCCTACTGTGTATTAGTAGAGTGAAAGCAAGAATGTTTGGCCTCTGAGTTAGCAAGAATGTTTGGCCTCTGAGTTAAGCAAAAACAGTCTCAGAAACACTTACAGATTATTTTGATTCTCCAAGTTGCCAGTTTTGCTTATCGTACTTGAATTTCTCCCTTTCTCCACTTCTTTACATGTCTAATTTCATGCATTAATTGCTTTGAAAGTTCTCAGAAAGTTATAACGTTAACCTCATGTTATTCTTGTCGTTTCCAGATTGCAAAGCCAGAGCTTCCTAAAAACAATTTCTCCTCTGATGAGGCCACACATGTGTCTCGCCTCTGACGTTTCACTGATGCAAGGACACCGTGATAAATCAACTTCCCATGTAATTACAGAACCTAAATGTATAACATCCATCAAATAACTGTTTCTGTTTTCTCTCCGTTCTTTTGGCCCTTCCTTCTCAGGAATTAGAACAGACAGGCTGGATTTATACCTGCTTCATAGTGCTTCCAGGTTTTCTTTAGGTCCTCGGCTTCATCCTGCACCTGGGTTGGGTTTTCCCATGTGCCTCCCTCTCTCTTTCTTCCTCCAGTCTCACCCCACCAACTTTATTTGAGAAGGCACTCTCAAATAATAGCCCTTAGAAGGAAAACTTTAATTGTAATCAAACCTTTACTTGAATGTTTCATTAGAATGAAATTTAAAGGAAAGGGCTATTTTGAAAAAAAAAATGGAATCCTTAAAAAGAAATAAATTATGAACTTAATTGACTCAAACTAATTCACTGCCTTATGCAAACTGGGCAAGCTTCCTGTCACTCTACAAGTCTTCCTCTGTGGACTCCTTGCCCCTCAGCTCTGATTCTCTGAGCACAGAAAGAATGACATAATTTAGGTTGAACTAAAGGTCATTTGGAGAGCTTCCAGCTGTCCAGTTAACTAAACTGCAAGAATAAAGGATCTGGGGCTCCCTCTTAAATTTAATTTTCTGTATTGTCACTAACTTGTAGTTATGAATGTGTGAATTTCTTGCTGAGTTTCCTTGGCCTCATCTCCAGTAGAGTGAACCCCTCATACTTCTCATTTGTGCTTTGTTCTCACCCAGCATGCTCTTTGTTTGGAGGTGGTGATGGATGCATGTGGCATAAAAAAACCCTACGAAATCACTCAAACAGAAGGAACAGGAGAGGATTAGAGGAAACCAGCTGGCTAGAATGAAATTGGCAGAGTTCAGCCAATGAAAGTCAACTTGCCAAGATTTAGTCTTCTGTTAGGTCATCTGTTTCCTCCTAACTAAACAACTCTTGGATATTTATAGACATAAATGAATTTTTATTCTCCACAATCGCCAATAACTTGTCATTTCTGGTATTTGAATGTCAGTCATGGGGAAGAACAAGGACTTGTATATAGAACACTCAAATGTAGTCGCCTACAAGTGGAAAACAAGGAACAGATATATTATTTTTCTATACTGAATGCCAAACCAAAACAGAATTCGTGGAGACTTTATATAGTTGGCAGACATTATACATATTGCTGGACAGCTGCATGTTATTTATAAAACTTTCCAAAGTTTAAGTATTTTTGAATATGTACATTTCCAGCCCTCTGACTTCAGGCTTCCAAATTACCTGAATAGTCTATAATCACTTTTGGTGACAAGGTATTTTTTCACCTGACTTCAACCCAGGCCTGACTCTCAGAACATGAAGCTCAAAGTTTAATTTATACCTCTCCTGCTGAGGCAATTAGCTTCCTTTATTTGTTTGCTTATTTCCTATTTAGCACATATCTCTAAAGCTTATTTTTGTATTATTTTCATAGCAAGTTGCCTTATGATTGCATTGATTTCTGATTTTTCTTGGAAGTTCAAAATGTCAGGGTGACTTTCAGTTTATTATCACCTAGAACTAATTTTTGTTATATGTGAGGGAGTGGGAAAAGGATATGAGAAATATGTGCGTGTGTGTGTGTGTGTGTGTGTGTGTGCGTTTGTGTCTGTGATGTAACGACATGTTTATAAACATGAAGAGACACATAAAAAAGTACATGTGTACCTTTTGACTTTTGTACATGTAACTGTCATGATTTTGTCTACTTTTCAGTGACACAAAATGTCCATGATCTACAGTAACTGGTATTTTGCTAAACCATGAATTTAAGTGGCATGGGTCACAAGTGTAATGAACAACCTCACTATCAATAGGACTGTTACGGTTTTTTAGTTTATGGGGTGTACAGCTACTTTTGTCAAAAAAATTTAATTTTTAAAAAATATATGAAATTCAACACTGTAAAATGTTACTGAAAATGTTCCTAACTTATGGGGTGACAATATGCATAGGAAACATGACTTTGGGGGAAAATGTGCTTCAGACATAGCTAATAGCTCATAAAAATATTTCCTGACAAAGCATTAAGCATATTGAAACTACATGAAAGTCTTGATTATTTTCTCCTTCACATTCTAGAGCAGAGGTTACAAACTCTAAAGTCTCTAGGGCCTAGGGAGGTCGTGATGTCAATGAGCAAACGGAACTAGGTGCAAAAAACATTCTGAGAGGTGACGAGCTGGGAAAAACGTGTGAGCGCAAGCTGTGTCTAAAGAACAATGGATATTTAAATCCAAACATCATGGCTGATTTCCAATTTTTTTAGGAAAAGCCATAAATCCAGATTTATAAGCAAGATTTTCCAATTTGTAAATATCAGCTCAAATGACCAAAAAAAAAAGATTGTGTGTAAGTCATAAAAAGAAAAATCATAGTACCTAGCTAGTTTATAACTTCTGACCTAGTACCTGCACAAACACATGTGTATACACTTAGAGAAAAATGATGAAGGTATTTATAAATTTTCAAGTAGCTGGAAGGATCTTATTCAGAAGAGGTAACTAGTTGATGTTTTCATCTCTCACTCATAAAAATATGTGCCATTAAAAGCAGCCCATCAGACAGACTACTCATTGTCAAATCAGCATCACCACCATCTCCCTCGAAGATTTCTTCTCTATTTTGGAGGAGAGGCAGGAGCAATAATTTCCAAACACCCTCCATGAAACATAGTGTTTGCCGATGAGAGGCACTTGCATGAGGCTTAGAGCAGAAGGGAAAGAGAGGTCATTATTCTCCGGAAGGTCTATCCAGACATGTGGGATTTGATTCATGGGGACTTTTTGGTAAGCTCTTGACAACCACCCTTTTGCTGCCACAGACTGAAATCGTTGGTGGGAATTTCCCAGCAATTTTTGAGAATTGCAACAGCTTCCTGGGACATCCATGAGAACCACATGATTCAGAGCTTCAGGCTGAGTAAATCAGTAGTGGCTTCACACACTTTTGCTTTCTAAGCTTTTCCTAAACCTCTTGTCTCTTATACTAAAACCCTTTGTAACTGGAATACATAGACCTGATTCCATTTTCTTAACCAAACCATGAGTGATCAATGCAGCCTTTGAAACATGAGGAATATGTAAGTGATTTTCTTAGATTAGTTAGAATTACAGCGTTGTAGAGCTAAAAATAATGTAGTTGTTGAAATTGACTTCATTATTAAATGAGATCAGGAATCATGTTCTTTTATAAGTATTTAATTCATTTATTTGCCCAGATACAGTTCATTTATTCGCCCAGATACAGTTCATTTACTCAGTAACATATTTTTATTTGCGTGAACATGCGGTAGTTGAGGCAGGTGGGTGCAGGATCATGGGACTGTTGGTGAAAAATAAAGATTATTCCAGGTTACAGTGGACCTCTTTATAAGTAGAACTAGCTCCATATAGACTGCTTCCCTTTATCTGTCACTCTCTTTTTTTTATTTTTACATATGCATATACTCCCACACATAGTCTCATACTATTTAATCTTCTTAATTGTAACATATTCTTGCTGTAACTCACATTAGTATTATTTTAAGCAGCCATTTATTTATTCAATAAATATTTAATGAACACCTACTAGGTATCACATATCCTTTCTAGGCATTTAGGATATTGGAATAAAACAAAGTCCATACCTTCATGGAGTTTACATTCTAGCACGGAAAAACAGATAATAAGCGCCTTAATATTAATAAATATGTAATAAGCATAAGGAGTTCAAAAGGGATGAGATAGAAGATCAACCTGCGGGAGGCCAGATATTTGAGAAGGGCTTAAATAATGTGATCTACTAGCATAACAAGCCGGGAAGAATGAGGAAAGAAATGGGGTTACTTGTTAGGTGATGAAGTCCAAGTGGGAGCAGAACCCAGGGTCCTGCAGGCCCTAGCAAGGATGTCAGACTTCATTCTTAGAGAGGAAAAGACAAAGAAGGGGTTTGTGCAGAGGAGTAACCTGATCTGATTTTCAGTTTTAACATGATCATGCTAAGCAGCTTTGTGGAGGTTTGAGTGAGAGGTCACGAGGAGAAATGTATGCAGTGTAAACTGAATTTTCTGCCTTTGTTGTGCCAGAGTATTAATACCCTTCAGCCCTCAGTGTCTTCATCTGTGAAATAGAAATGGTATGGGAATTAGATGAGTTAACATGTAGACGATGTAGAGCCTCACTGGCACATGTGAGCCAGCAGGGGTAGTGGCTGTGGCAGTAACAGCAGCAGCAGCAGCAGCAGTACGGCCACCTCAATCCTCTGCTGGATTGTAAGGCCCAAGACCAATTTAGTATTTATCCTACCAGATTTTTCCCTATATACACAAACTACCCTACACAAATTATTTTACTGACTTTTTTTTTATACGTGCTTTTTTTCCTCAGAATCTTTTACTTTCTTATCCAGTAATATTCACGGACATTCTATTACATCAGTGCAAATGGGTCTATATAAATTGTTTAGTATTGCATAGTACCCTATAGTATAGAAATACTATAATTATTTGACATTTCCTGTAGGTTTTCTCCCTTTTTTTTTTTCTGGCTATGACATGAAGCTGTGATCATTGCGTGTCATCATGTACCATTTGTGCATGAGTTACAGTAAAATAGATTCCTAGAGGCTGGATTGATGGCTTGACAGATATGTACACTTTAATTTGGATTGTCACTACCAAATTACACTTTTAAAAGCTTGTTTGGGCCGGGCGCGGTGGTTCACGCCTGTAATCCCAGCACTTTGGGAGGCCGAGGCGGGTGGATCATGAGGTCAGGAGATCGAGACCATCCTGGCTAACAAGGTGAAACCCCGTCTCTACTAAAAATACAAAAAATTAGCCGGGCGCGGTGGCGGGCGCCTGTAGTCCCAGCTACTCGGGAGGCTGAGGCAGGAGAGATTGCGCCACTGCAGTCCGCAGTCCGGCCTGGGCGACAGAGCGAGACTCCGTCTCAAAAAAAAAAAAAAAAAAAAAAAAAAAAGCTTGTTTGGATTTACAACCTTATCAATTGCATGTCCCAGAGCCTTTTTCACATAATCTTAGCAGCCATATTATTTTTAAACTTTTGATGGTATATGGTATAAAGTAAAAAATGTATATCTCATTACTATTTTAATTTGCACCATCCTAAACAATAGAAATATTAGGCATATTTTTCTATTTTTGTTGATTCTTCTTATTTGACTGGCTAAGTTGTGACTTTTGTGCATTTTTTTCCATTAGTTTGTTTGGTACTTTACCGATTTGTAAGAGCTCTTTTTATTTAAGCAATATTAATGTTTCATATGTGTTATATATTACCCGTATTCTCTTCTCATGTGCCATTTTTTTTAACCTTAATTGTGGTGACTTTACCTAATTGATTTCCAAAATTTTGGGGTAGTCAATCTATCAGTCTTTTCTCTTATAACTTCTGGCTTTGTTTGCATTGCCTCAAAAAGACTTTCCTATTCAAAAAGCAATATTCCTCTAATATTTTATAATTCTGAAGTTTTTATGTGTGGATCATTGATAAACTTGGAATTTATCTGAGAGTTGATGGGTTAGGGGCACAATTATTTCAGATTAAAGAAATAGCCAAATATTTAAAAAGAATTATTTTCTAAAGTAGAAATGTGCTGTCTTCAGATCTAGTTATAAAACCACTGTGTGATAGTCCATACTCTCTCTTCTCTGTACCTGTTGGGTAGGCTGTGTATATCACTGTAAGCCAGAAGGAGCCTGGGTCCTTGAGCCACTGCTAGAAAGGAAGCTGCTAGGGAGAGGTCCAGATTCACACTGTTCTGTGAGCAAGAAATATGTCTTTATTTGTTTAAGAACTGTGATATGGGGTTTATCTGTTACTGCAGGGAGAATGAGCTTGTCTTTGCTGATGCAGGCACCAAATATAAGTAACCATACTCTGGTATGCACTAAATGTGCTGTAAGATTTCCGAAGAATGGAAAGACATCTGCATTAATAATAAAAATTAATAAAAGATTTGAAAGGTAGAAAATGAGAAGAGCACATAAAATTGTGGAGCCCATGTGAGGGCTACAGGTGATAAAGTGAGAAAACAGAAGCATTCTTAGGGAAGGATCTGGAAGCAAGGCTATATAAGTAGAGCGGACCCGGACTATTAACTAATATGAAAAAGCTAAGTTAAAACAGAGACAACTAAATCAAACTAACTGTTCCATAAGATGTTTTCTGGGAGGTACCTCTTTTCCTGTCTTGAAGAGGCTTCTCTTTTTCCTGATGATTTATTCTGAGCATTGTATCTGTACACAATGCTTCTGTATCAACTGAGAGAGTCGTGGCCCAGGCTACCCTCCTCTATTGATTGCTGTCCTCCTGGCCTCAGGGGAACCACTTGTCACCTCATAGTGACTATGATATCTACTACTGCAGAGGAGAAAAAATTCTTAGCTGTTGCAAAACATTTTCCAGTGATTTAAGGATCTAGCAGTCTACCAACTCACTGTTATAATGAGCTGTGGGGCTTTTCCCTTGGATTTTGCAGGACGTGCCCTTGAATTATTTATAACAGAGCAGCCACCTGCTTGCGACTATTTTCCATTTTGTCTTGTGTTCAATCGGTCTTGTCAGTGGCATCGCGAGTACAGTAGCACTCTGCATTGCACCCTTCAACCCCCTATTAGAACAGTGCTGACAGTGAGCTGCCACACACCTTAAAAGTTCTATTCCACTACAGCCATGGACTTTGTCTAAATAGATAGTTCTATAAGCTTCATAATGAAGAGAAGTGCTGGTTCAATTGTTCAGCAAGGTGCTGTCAACTCCAGCACTGAGAAAAGTCTTTCTCTTTTCTGGAAGACTGAAATTGATGAATATACATGCTTGTGTTGACAAAAAGCAATTTGGGTCGGGGGGAAGGAGAAACCAACCCACCTGCATTCAAAGTACAGCTCTGTGCTGGCAAACAAGCAATGCCTTCGCTCTTTTCTTCCTCCACTTTAACAAAAAGAAACATTACATGTTTGAGTAGACAACAAGAGGTACCATTAAGATACAGAAAATTGAAAACCTAGACTGCAATAAAAAAAAAAAAAAGACAGTCACAGGGGAAATTGTAATGGCTTCCCACGTTTTAGTGGAATACTTCCGTTTTTTATTCACCTCGCAAACAGTGTTCACAAACAACAGCAAAGAACAAAAGCTGTGATTTATATTTATGGACAGGTATACACGCACCCCTGACCTCCTGCTGCCTTCCTCACCCTTCGTACCAGAAGCAATTTATGGAGGCTGGTCTAAATAAACATTAAGGAGGCAAGGCCACAGACTGACAGCCAGGAAAATTGATGGTCTCCAGAAACCAGCAAGTAGGATCAATAAAAGAGATTAGGCATCACAAGCTAGTGTAAGGCTGTTACAGGTAAATGTGGCTTGCTCGTCATCTGACAGGGTTCTCAGCAACAGGATAAAAACTCATATAAACAGAAGCACACAGCGAGCAGCCAGTGGTGGCTTCTCCTGGGTTGCAGAGACTGATGGATGACCCCAGAATGAAAGGGATTTATATAGGGGCCTTTGGGAATTTTCATTTGCTCTTCCAGCAATGGAGCAGCTGCAGGAATGGGGCAGGAAGTAGTGCAGATGTATCCTTTGAAAAATTTCTCTGCGGTTGGGCACGGTGGCTTACGCCTGTAATCCTAGCACTTTGGGAGGCCGAGGCAGGTGAATTGCCTCAGCTCAGGCGTTCGAGACCAGCCTGGGCAATACAGTGAAACCATGTCTCTACTAAAATACAAAAAATTAGCCTGGCATAGTGCCATGCGCCTGTAATCATAGCTACTCGGGAGGCTGAGACAGGAGAATTGCTAGAACCTGGGAGGTGGAGGTTGCAGTGAGCTGAGATCATCCCACTGCACTCCGGCCTGGGCAAGAGAGACTCAGTCTCTTAAAAAAAAAAAAAAAGAAAAAAGAAAGAAAGAAAAATCTCTCTGCTTTTGCTTCTCACAAGTTAGCTTTCTCTGGATTTATTTATTACTCCTCTCTGAACACAGGACAGCATAACTTAGCCTGCCCTGTCCTTCTATGCACACACACACAAACACACAGAAACAAATACACACACTCACCTTCAACATTTCTTAACAGGATTATTTATACTCAGATGCACAGTGAGTATGAATGGGAACTACTATGTTGCAAACTTAACTCTCTTTTCATAAGTCTCTAAAGAAAACCCATGCATTCATAACTTAAAACATTGGATTGTTAACTTGCAAGCTGAAGAATGAAGGATAATTACATTCTTGAGTTTGCAAGTTAATGTCCAAAGCTTGTCAACAAAAGAATGAAGTATAATTATGTTCTTGAAAAGCAGGGATACTAAGAGGAAGAACCAAGACAAAATAGATTTTTCCTTTTTATGGAACAGGCCAGTTAGAACTTAAAAATTCAAATCTTAGCTTTGTGGGAATGGTTACTTTAAAACCAAAATCATGCTTTGTTTTGGCTGAGAATTTTCATTTTAGAAATGGTGGTAAGGCTTCTGTCTGACAAGAATATAATGGAAACACAGATGAGGATGAGTATAGGAAGAGAAAGTTTAATTTCCTTGATCACTAAAAGACAATTGGAATTTTAATTGTATTTTAATCTAGGGACAGGATAAAGTGAGGCTAATGTTCTCAGTAGTGGTAAATTAAGAAAAATACCACACCGTTTTGCTTCCCTTGAATCTGGGGATTCCCTCCATTGGGACTTCCCAAAGCTGACCTGACACCTTGCTTTGACCAATGTGATGTGGAAGGTGTCATGTGAGTTCTCCGCTTAAGTTTCAAGAAGATTTAAAGCTTATTCTCTTGATGTTCCTGGATAACACAATGTGAACAAACTCAATGCTGTGGTTTAAATGTCCCCTTCAAAACTCATGTTGAAATTTAATTGCCGTTGTGACAATATTAAGAGATGTAGTATTTAAGATGTGAGGTGATTAATGGTGTTATTGAGGGAGTGGCTTAGTTATTGCAATTATGGGTTCCTGATAAAAGAATAAAGTTTGCCCCTCCCTCCTCTGTTTCACATTTGCCTTTACATCTTCCATCATGAGGTGATGAAACACAAAGTTCCTTGCCAGATGTTGACACCATGCTTTTGGACTTCCCAGCCTCCAGAACTGTGAGAAATAAATTTCTTTTCTTTATAAATTACCCAGTTTGGGATGTTCTGTTCTAACAGCAGAAAACTGACTAAGAAAGAAAATTGGTACCAACAAATGGAACTATTGCTATAACAGATACCTAAAAATATGGAAATGGCTTTGGTTTGGAACTAGATAATTAATAGAAGCTAGAAGAATTCGGAGGAGAAGGCTAGAAAATGCCTATATTGCCATAAAAGGAGCATTATAAGCAAACCTGGTGAAAGCTTAGAAGAAGAGCAGAGCTATAGGGAAAAACCTGAATATTCTTAGAGATTACTCAAATAGTTATAACCAGAATGTTGGTAGAAATATGGGAAGTAGAGACCATTTTGATGAGGTCTAAGACAGAACTGAGGAACCAGGTATTGGAAACTGGAGTAAAGACCATCCTTCTTATACAATTGGCAAGAACTGATGGAATTGTGTTTGTGTTCTGGGACTTTATAAAATGCACAAGTTAAAAAGTGATGTACTAGGATATCTGGCATAAGAAATATCTAAGCAGGAAAGCATCAGGTTTATGTGTGGCTACTTTTAACTGCATACAGTAAGATGCAAAAGGAAAAGTGACTTAAAGGCAAAATTTCTAATTAAAAGAGAAGCAGAATAAAAATATTTTGAAAAATTGCAGCCTGGCCATTTAAAGTATGAAAAACACCTGTTTAGGAGAGCAAACCAAGGATGTGGCCAAGTTGTGGTTTACTAGGAGATGATTAGGATTAGAAGAGATCATCAAGACTGTTACAGAATGATGCTAAAGGCATTTCTAACATCTTTAAGGCTGCCTTTCCCATCACAAACCCAGAGCTCTGGGAGGGCAAAATGGTTTTGGGGAACCTAGCACATCTTCCATGGAGTCTCTGCCCAGAACTGCTTCAGGTCTCTGCATTCTACAGTCAAAAAAAAAAATCATAAAACAAACAAACAAAAAAAACCCCAAAAAACAAAAAACAAAACAACACTTGGCCACTTTAGTCATGGCTGAAGCAGACCCAGATGCAGCTTAACCCATTGGTCTAAAAGGTACAAGCCACAAATCTTGGCAGCATCAACATGGTGGTAATTCTGCAGGAACATGGAATGCAAGAGCTGTGGAGACATGGCTCTCTCCACCTACATTTGAAAGAATTTTGCAAACAGCCTGTGGGCCAAGACAGAGACTTGTTCTAGCAGCAGGGCCACTGCAAAGAACCCCTACTAAGGCAGTACCAAACAGAAATGCAGGATTTGGGCCCCTATAGAGAGTCCCTGCAAGAGCAATGCTTAGTTGAACCATGGGAGTAAAAAAGCTGTAGGCATGAAACTTTAACCTGTGAGAATTGATGGATGGACTCAGCCAGCAAAGCCATAGAGGTAGCACTACCTGAAGTCTTGAGGGCCCAATCCTCACCCCGGGATGCCCAGGGTTAAGGATATGGAGTCAAAGGAGATTATCCTCCAGCTGTAAGATTTAACATTGTTTCCCCTCTTGGATTTTGGACTTACTTGAGACCCTTCTTGCCTATTTTTCCGTTTTGGGGTAGAAATATCTATCTTATGCCTTATCCAGCATTCTATTTTGGAAGAACATCATTTATCTTGGTTTTACAGGCTCACGGCTGGAGAGGAATTTCCCTCAGGATGAATTGTACCTTGATTTTCACCCATATCTGATTTAGATTAGGCTCTGGACTCTGGAATTTTGAGCTGATGTTGAAATGAGTTAATATTTTTGGGGCTATTGAAATAAAATGTATGTATTTTCTATGCGAGAAGGACATGAATTTTGGAGGGCCAGGGGTGGAATGCTATGCAAAACTCATGTTAAAATGTCATTGCCATTGTAACAGTATTAAGAGGTGAAACCCTTAAGACGTGATTAGGTTATGAAGGCCCTGCCATGATGGATAGATAAAAATGCCATTATTTCAGGAGTGAGTTAGTTATAAAGGGAGTGGGTTCCAGATAAAAGGATGAATTCAGTCTCCATCCTCTCACTGTCTCAATCTTGCCCTCTCTTGCCCTTCCACCTTCTGCCCTGGGATGACACAGCATGCAGACTCTTGCCAGATGCTGACACCATGCTTTTGGACATCCCAGCCTCCAGAACTATGAGAAATGCATTTATTTTCTTTATAATTACCCAGTCTGTGGTATTCTGTTTTAGCAACAGAAAACAAACTAAGGCACTCAGGCTTGCCAGCTGAATGCTAAGCTTCATGTGCTCAGTTGCTCCTGACACCCTGTCCAACCACAGTTATGTGGGTAAGACCATCCTAGATCACCTAGCTGGCTACTGAACAACCAGCTGACCACATATGCAGGAGCAAGTACAGCCAAGAGCAGGTAAGTCAGCTCGGACCAGAAGAACGGCTCAGTCAACCCGCTGGGTCATTATCTAAATCAACTGCTGCTGTTTTACATCACTGTTTGGGGATAGTTTATCATGCAACAAAAGCTAACTGATTCATCCGTTAGGTAAATGTTGACTGCACAGTAGTCCTGGGAATGGTGAAGGGGTTCACCTTAGTTTTGTCTGCATTTTCTCATTGTTCCTAGCAAAATACATGACCTAAACTTTCTCTTCCCATGACTCTAACATTTTCAATATACCGTGTAGCTTCTATAAAGTATTAGAATAGTTTTCTTCCTTCTTCACCCCAAGTAGGAATCATGCTGTTTTCCTGTGCACACTTTTTGTTTAGCATCTTATAAGCACTCAAATAAATATTTAATAAACAATTATAATATAGCTTGAAGGTATAGTGGCAATAAAACTGTATTACTTCTGTTTGTAGAAGAAGACTAATTAGAAGAGAAAATTATACATATATGTGTGTGTATATATATGACATATACATATCCAATGTGTACATACATACATACACACATACATATACACACATATATATGTACACATATAGAGTGAATATGTATTATATACTTTTATGTATATATAGAGAGAGTTGGGATGAAGAATAATCTTTTTCTTGTATGAGGCTATAGTAGATTTTATATTTATTTCAATTACCTGCACCCTGATCCAATAAGAGGATTGTATGACCTGCTTGTTGCCATGTGACTTACAGAGTCTTTCAGTGGAGAGCTATACTTTCGCACCTCACTGATATCAGGCCTGGAATGCCCGGGCTCCTGGCCAGTGAAATCTGAGCCAAAGTAGTTGGCCAATGGAGAGCGGAAGCTTAAAGAGGATCAGGAGTTTCTGTTCAAACTCTTGCTCTTTTCTCTCTTTCATGAGAATAGTACAACCAGGTAGAGGCTGATCCTTCTGTGTGGATCTCAGATTGAAGAAAACATGTCTTGAGGAACCCAGCAGAACCACAACCACAGTTGTACCATAAAGAGCTTGTAATGTGTGAGGAATAGCCTTTGTTTTTATAAGCCACCACAGTTTGGGGATTTTTTTGTTACCATAGCTTCACCCAGTAAAATCTGACTAATACACAACCTTATATTTTTCCCAATCGAATGACAGTTATGAAAACAACATATTCGATAAATGTATGACACAGTACAGTGTACTTTATATGGTTCCTTCTTTCTGAGTCAATTTGTGCCCCCTTTTTACATTACCGTCCTATGGTGGACAGTTACAAAAAAGACCACGTATTTTAGGCTGTCTTTTGACAGCCAAAAAATGAAGGAGAGCCTCCTAAAGAATTTCTAGGTTTGTGAAGAAGTATTTCCACACCCTTGAAACACAAGGGAGTCATAAGTTCATTCTAAATGACATGACGGCAACGTTTTAAAAATGTTACCATTTCACAATGAGCAGTAGAAAGGTGAAGATTTCAGGTTGCCCTGAAAGTGCAAAGTATTTTTACTTAATAAAGCTTTTAATTGTAAAGATAATTAAATATAAACTGAGTGGGGTAAGAGAAAAACATTAAAAGGCTATGCAGAGACCAGCCATAGAATGTTATGCAGCATGAGAGGTGTGGACTCCAATCAGCTGAGTGTCCTATTCTAATTTACATTCAATCCATACAAAGTCTGAACTTCAAACACGAAAGTGAAAATGGAACCGGGGTAGTCTAAATTGTTGCACATTCATGTATCAGTGTGCACACCCTCTAATCAATCCTAGCTTGTCATCTCCAAAAGGAACAGCAGGATTTTTCTGTGATGGGAGGGAAGTGGGATGGGAAGGATTCACATTAGAACCAGATAGTGGTCTCTATCTACTTCTTCAATATGCTTGACATTTGCAAGGAAATGGGAATGCTTTCCATTGTTAAAAAGCGTAACCTGACAACATGACTGCATGTCTCAGAGAAACTTGTCAAAAAATAAGATCATGGGACACTGGGCGCATCCACTCTGTCATATTAATGGAAATTCCCCAAAGCTTCAACATTCATTTTTTTTTTCCTTTGTGCTTCCAACAAGAAAATCATTTGAAAAAGAAGGTAGGAAGACACATATGCTCTCACAGCTCCCACCATTTCATTAGAATGGTTTGTGCTAATATTCTTTTAAACCTTCCACATCAAAGGAGAAAGCTATTTTTCTTTCGTATCAGATCTCTCAACAATATTCATTTCTGTTGTTGTCTCATTGCCATTATCTACAGTTTATAAGTTATTCACCCCACTGTGTTTGCAGCGGTGGTCTTTTGCCTACCCTGCTAGAGGCTCCAATCTTCCACTTTATAATCTATAATCTGTGGTTTCCCTGTGAGCTCTTGGCACATTTATTTTCTGATATATTTCCAAACATAAGATGACAGCATACATCCCTTGGGTACAGTTATCAGTGGAAGCCATGCCAGGAATGTGTTACAGGCTCTTTGGAAAAGATGAACTATCTGCTCTCTTCTGATCCTTCCTATATACCCAAAGTAAAACATGAATACGTGCCAGAACATGGAGCTACCTGGAACTCCCTGTTGTGGAAAGATTCAAGTTCCTTGCCTCTCTGTACTTGGTGTGTTTGGTAGGGGTACATGGGGGTTCCACTGAACCCTTTTCAGCTTCTCTCAGGCCCAATCATTTCCCATCACAGAACCAGGCCAGAACCAGGTCAGTCTCATCTAACCCAGAGGGCATCGTTACATTAAAAAATCAGAGGCAGATTACTAAATTCTCTGATCTACTCAAAACTCTCATTTTTAATTTCCTTTATGAGAGACATACATGTATGTAGCTTTGACAAGTGGGAACATTATTATATAATCATGCTCTTGGAGCTTAAAATAATTTATACTGGCTCTGAAGGAGATCAGTCATCAACCTAGAAGGCTTTGGCAGTCTTTTCACTTTGTATGGAGCTCAGTTTTCATGGCAAGCCAATTTTTATGGACGAACACAGCCCATTTGGACTTAAGATAAAATCATTATTGAGGAAATCATTAACTGTATCTTTCTAAAAGTATACTCACTCTTATTTCTGTTCCAGCTGTTTCTCTCATGTCCTTATATATAGATCCAATTTGAATTAAATAAAGGTATAATTGGCAGAAAGATGATTGTGTTTTTAATGCTATGAGGAACACATAATATACTCAGATTCAGAAATTATTTTCAACACCCACCATTTACTTGTTATGTAAGCTTAGGCAAGTCACTTAACCTCTCATCTTCTCTCCTTGGATATTGAAGATGGTAATATCTGCTTTACTTGACTCACAGGATAGTCGTCAAGCTCAAAATAAAGAGCATAAAAGAAGAAGTTTGATATCAAATGTGTATGGTTATAGAGTACAATAAAAGTAGGCAATTTTTATGAATCCAGCCATTCAACAAACAGCAGATAATCACTATGCCAGGAATAAAGATGACTACAATAGGTTTCTTGTATATGTGGGTTCACATTCTAGATTCAGAAGCAAATAAAGAAGCAGACAACGATTTGAAAAAAAACTAGAAGATATGGAGATCACCAACCTCCACCACTATTTCCACTATGTAATGCGTACTAAGAGCTAACACTGTACCAGGCACTATGCTAAGCTCTTTACATCCATATTCCATTTAAGCCTCATAATTCTCTATAAAGAGAAAAATATTAATTGTCAGCATTTTACAAATGAGGATATTGAAGTTTGAAAAATTGAGATATTTACCGTGACCCTAAAACTTCTAACATAATATCAGAATAGATGGAGGTTTGGTAGAGGACTATCATGAGTTTGTTTTTAAACATTTTCAGTTCCTGTGTGTTATACAGTTGATAAATTATAGCTGGCCATTTGGATACAGGTTTGGTGCGCCAAAAGGAAAGAATCTAAGGTACAGATATGGATATCACCAGTGTCTACCAAACCTTGTGTTTGTCTCTCTACAGAGAGTTTGAGCAAAAAGAAAGAAGGAAATAAAGACAGTCATATCTGGAAGGTCCATTTTACCAAGAAGAACTCAGCTTTTAAGAATCTAGGTTCCTGGGCTTATTAGGAATCAGGGTTAAGGGTTCAGTTTCTGCCTTGGTAAGGCCACCACTTAGAGAAAAATCCCCATGTTATCTTTTAAGTTCCTGCAATTATCCCATTATTAGACAAGCAAGTAGAAGCTACACTGCAAGTCATCAGGTACTCTAAAGCACAAAATTCCAGAATGTCATGACGTCTGGACAGTCTTTAATGAGTCAGGATTGATTTTAAGAAATGATGAATGACTGTTTATTTGGAAAAATTACATATTTTATATTGTCTTCATTTTCTTTTATATTGTTATTTTAAATAATTTTATCTTAGTTATATTTTGCAGAAATTAATCTATACTGCTATTTTATTTAACAAGAAAATCTTTTTACAGTGATACCAATTTTGGTACTTGGATGTAGGACTCCATTACTAACTGATACCTATGGACCTCCCAAAACCTGCATGCTATTTTGCACATGCTGGAAGTACCAAGTCTATGGATGCAGATTCCCAGGCAGGATAACTTTGCAACTTCACTTTTTTAAGGGTAGCAAAAGCTACTATTGAAAAAACATGGGATGCAATAGAAGATTGGTGGACACATCCAGTAACAGAACTGAATGATGATAGTAGGAACAATAAAGCACAATTAAAATTAGCAGACAAAATAACTTCAAATAGCTCATGATTTTTTCAGAAGTGTTTTTGAATTTGAATTAACCAGCTAAGATATGATAATATTTATGCATTATTGTTCTCCAGGTGGCCTGGGACCAAATCACTTCTCCCTCTTTTCTGCTTGTAGTTCTCAAGAATAACTGTAGAATGTTCTAAGAAAGCAACACCTTGAGATAAGAGGGAACTTGCTGGAACAGCCTGGGCTCTGTTTTATCCTCCCAAGAAACAGGATGTTCTTCAATGCTTTATCCCAGCAAGTAATGTCACCTCTGGTGCATAAAATCCAGAGTAGACTGCTTTCCATGGTCCCTCAGCTGTAGTACAAGTAGGGCACCCGTACTTGAGACTCCATCCCCTTTGGGCAGCTTTCTTGATCCTTGAGTATCAGCTTGCAATGAATCCTAGGCTTTTATTCTCCCTTGCTGTCTATCTGTAAGTAGTAAGCCCAGTTCATGTAACCTGTTGTGTGCATGGGTGTTCTGTCTCACAGGACTTAGACAAGCTACTAACCAGTGCGCACTGAACTTGTTTCATTATTTACTTATAATAATAAAAACATCGATATCTACTGAAGAGTTGGAAACCAATATTACTTATGTGCATTTCATAAATTCTAATATCTGAAATAGAGAGTTTTAAAATTTACCTTGGTGTCTTGTTTGTAGTTACATGCCTGCATTATTGATTATGCATTATTGATCGTATGGATCATGTAGTCATACTAAAATCATCATAAAACTTTAAAAGGATATTTTTACTTCTTTGTTTACTTTTAGATTTACATATCAGAAAATGACATGAGAAATTATTATGTAATTTCAAGCTGTTTGTATTATCAGTCTAAACTATTGTGGGTCGACTGTGGGTTCTCCATTCAGAACACTACACATTGACTTCTTTAGGAACAGGCACTACATAAATCAGTCACACCAAGTCTTGCTGTTAATTGTAGATAAACTTTCATTGACATTTGCACATTCAATTCATTAAGAAATTGTTACTGGGCAAAAATTAATTCATTCACAAATAGTCACTTACAAGCAGAAATAGTTAAAATTTTAAATTTTCTTAAGGCATAGATTAGCCATTTGCCACATTATTTTTTTTTATCATTTTAGCACAGGAAATAGTGAGGCAAAATGACAGTTTTCCATCTGTGATATTTGAGGTGTGAAGGAAATGTGTTGTGCTTTTTTTCTAACTTGTAAAAGGGATTTAGGGGTGCTTTCCAAATGAAGAAAATATTTTTACACAGCTGCAATGCAATGTAATGGACAGAGAAGTAGTCTTAACTCTTGAAGGACTTCAAATTTGGAATATAACATCGCCAACAATACACACTTGCAGAACAATTCACAGTTTCCAAGTTACTTTTATATTCATTATCTCAACTGATCCTCACAAAACCCATAGAAACACAGAGAAAGGTAAAAATTATTCTAACTTTCTTAAAAAATTAGCTTTATTTGTTACTGATTAGAAAACTAATATCTGCTTATTATATGAAAATAAAAAATTGTTTACATTCCACTGCACAGATAACCACTGTTATCTGTATTTCCATGTATACACACAAAGAATTTTTCTTAGTAATATTCACAACATACACATATTATACATGATGATGAATCTTAAGCTGTTTTTTCATATGCCATTAGCATATTTTATGTCAGTTAATTAGATATCTACATCATGATTTTAAAATGCCTATTTATTTTATCCTATTTTAGAATCAGAATTTAAATACACTTTTTAGTAAGACTGAGGTTGCTAGAAAACCAGTCACAGTGTGGTGAAATGGGTACTCCTTAATTATTACCATTAAATACAGTTGATGTGTGTTAAATAATATTTTCCAAATATCACCCAGATATATAGGGTTAAATTCTGTAAACAAATAAATAAATAGAAAAGCTGTCCTTCACAACAAAACAATAAAATGAAAGCTAAACATTTCCTGGCTGAATTTTTGAAATGTAAACACTCATTGTAAGATACCTTTGAACTAAATGTAAATTGAAAGATAATATTTGGCTGGGAAATAAATTACAATTTGGCCATTATTGCCTAACACAACCCCCTTCACATTTCCTCATTATAAACAGAAATCCATTTGGTTTGCCAGAATCAGCCTCATAATTGATAAAGATAATGGGATTATTTTAAAATCTGTAGTGCAACCCAGCTTGATTACTTTCTGTGACCTTTGGATTTCTTAAGAAAAATTCAGCCTTAAGCAGTCTATCTTTAAAAAAAATCAAATTGGAGTCTAATCCTGATTTAAAATATCTTAAACTATTTCTTAGTTATCTTTCTCATTTTGTCTAAGGGCTTGAGAATGCTCTGTAGACATTATCTCATTAATTCTTAGAGGATCCCGGGGCAGCAATTGTAGGAGAGATTTTCCTATTACCATCACTGTTCCCATGAAATGGAGACCCCGGGAGGTTCCATGAATTGCCCAAGGTTATAGACTGAAGCCAAGGAGTAGCTAAACCCATACTCCAGGTCCCAGGGCTCCCTCTCCATATGGCATTTCCTCTCCGCAATAAATAACATTGCCATTCTGAAAGCTGGCTCTTAGATCATGTTTTATGTGGCAGAATTCAAGTTAATATGAGTTTCTCAGTGTTTTGATATTTATTTTAGATAGAGGTTGTGTACACTTATGAAACACATGAAATGCACCACTCTCAATTCATTTATTTGGTCCTCTTAAGGATCTCTGGAGACTGTCCTGTAATTGCTATGACTATAGAGATTGGTATTTATCATTAAGACTGAAATGGCAATATCAGCTCATTCACTGTTTCATCACCCATTGTATATAAACATGAGAGGAGTTTAAATAAGTTGAATAAAATGTTACCCAAAGTGTGACAAACATGATGACTCATCAGAAAAATCACAGATTGAATGCTACAAAGTCTTCTAAGTCAGGTAAATACAATTTTTAAAACATAGCATACTTGAAAAAACAAACTAGTATTTTCTTCCTTGAATGTAGTTCCCTCCCATTTATTTTGAAATTAGCTACAGAGTTAACACATTGTTTAAAATAGTGGGCTTCCCACTGCTTTTTCCTGACATGAAGTCATAATCCCCTGTTTGTGTCATCATAACCATTTCTATAGCAACTAATGGTGATATTAGAACTCTAAGACTGAAGCTTCAAGAGGGAAAGGAACTATAAGGACAGATAATCTCTTATAAATAAAGATTATGTTTTCAAGCAGATGTTACTAACAGAAAAGAAATGAATGGAAAGATTACCCACATTAAGGGAAAATCATAATTGGAATGTAGATGTTTATTAAGTAATCATTCAGCTAGTGATCTCTTTTCTAGAATAAAAGAAATTGAAAAATGGAAAAGAAAGGGAAATATATCAATGAGAGGATCTTTTATGGACTAATTATGTTAAATACAAGAGTCTATATATTTCTTAAGTAAATCTGAGGATGCTTCATATTTGATGCACACTGAGAAAGGTATGCCATAAACCATGTTCATGTATTAGTGATATGAGTAGTTTAATACTAATTATCAGAGTAGAGATTAAATCTCACATATTTGAATTATTTTCTTATTGCCTTGCTATATACAGCATGATTTAAATGTTTCAGATTCATTTGATTCCTTCATGTGTTAGTGGGCATATACACCCAATACTGTAGGGTACCAAGAAATGTTAGCTTATCCTCTACACAAACTAAAAAAGTATTTTTTCATTTATTGCTGTAGTGATAAAAAGATAGGTAAGGGAAGGATAGTGTGGTAGACAGCTTCTAAGTTGGACCCCAATAAGCCCTGCTCCTTGATATTTATAGTCTCATAGAATCTCCCTCTGGTGTGTGTTGGACTTACCAATTCACTTACAATACAATATGGCAGGAGTGACGGAATATTAATTCTGGCAAAAGTTATAAAATAACTATGGCTTTCTTCCTGGACACTCCTTCTCAGGCTGTTCAGTTTGGGAAAGCCAGCTGTCATGTCTTGACAGGGTGACCAACTGTCTTAGTTTTCCTGAAACTTTCCTGCATTTAGCCCTTAAAGTCAGGTATATGAAACAGTTGATCACTTTAGCAAGAGGCTCATGTAAGTGAGCTTGGAAAACTTTGAGGTTGCCAATAGCCATGTGAGTCAACTTGGAAGAATATGTTCTACAGAAAGGGTCAGCAACCCTTTTCTGTAGGTCAGATAGTAAATAGCTTAGCCCTTGCAGGTCATGTGGCCTTTGTTGCAATGATTTAATGGTACCTGGATTTGTTTTAATTAAGTATGGTAAGACACACAGATATGAAAACAATTTATCATAAGGGAAGAAGGTTTTATTATAGGCACAGTCCCCTAGAAGCAGGAGGCATGGCATGCCATATAGGGCTACTGAAGGAAGCACCAAGGTGAGATGAGTGGGCAGAGGTAGGTGCTGTGAGCAAGAACATTTATTGTGGTTTTTGAGGGAAGGAATGGATGAGGCGAGGTAAACAGGCTAAGCAGACTTAAGTTTGCATTGTTGGAATAATTTTGGTGGAATATGGACTATAGGAGCTGTTCCTAGTTGTCTAGTACCTGGTCCCGATGTGATTGGGCAGGAGGATAGTGTGAAGACTCAATAAAAAGAGCAGTTAAAGTCTTAGGCTCCAGATTTGTTGGTTTGCATATCAAAAGTGTGCTTGCAGGCAAGTTGTTTACTATTTCTAGGAATTAAGCTAACCCTGGAAGGGGCTGCCCTTTCAGGTCAGCAAGGTACAAGATATCAGAGTACCAAGAATACAGAAGTTAAGAAAATGTAGGTAACACACACAGGTACTGAATTCTGCTGTTGTAGCATGAAAACAGCTATAGACAATATGTATACCAATGAGCATGGCTGTGTTAAAATAAAATATAGCATGCTGACTTGTGTTTAATGCCTGCCAATAGCCACTTGACTTGAGTAAGTTTGGAGGTAGGTCTTCTCCAATTGAACCATCAGATGAGAACACAGTTCTGGCCCCAGCTTTCTTGCATTCTTGTAAGAGGCCTTGAGCCAGAACCCAGCAAAGCCATACCCAGATTCCCAACCCATAGAAACTATGAGATAATAAATATTTGTTATTTGTAGACAATATGTTTTGAGGCATTTGTTATGCAGCAATAGATGACTAATCTACATGAGTTGAGTAGAATTATTACAGAGGGTAAAGAAAATGACATCAGCAATACGGTGCAATAGGAGGTCTCCAACTCATAAGCCCCCACATTAACAATAATTTTGCAGCCATCCATGGACAAAAGTGACTTAGTGAAAGCTTTGGGATTCAGGTAGAAGGCTGTAAAATTCTGGTGGAGTCCAAGAGCTAGTGGGGCCGTTTTGAGAGGATAGACCCATGTTCAGGTGGCAGGCTTGCCAATGTGGTCCAGACTCTGGACCTGGAAATGGCCCCGTACCTCTGTGAACTTGTGTACAGCCCCATTTCACCTTGGTCTTGCTACCAGAACCATCCATCAAGGGACCTTGGAGGAGTCATGCCCACTTGTGCCTTAGAGGACAGGCTTACCAACGTTGGTCATAACAGTGGACCCTAAAATGGCCCTATCACTAAGATCTAGCCCCTCTCAGCACTGGTATGAGAACAATTGTGGCTGACTGCCATGGTTTCCACTTGAGACCATCATTACAACAGTTACTACTGTCACTACTTGAGACCGTCATTATGAGACTGAATGAAGGGGGACAAACGTAGAAATGAAAACTTAATACAAAAGAAACTGTTTTAAAGGAAGGGGTCAGGGGAAGAAGAAGAGAGCTCCCTGCTTCTAGTGAGCAAAGGCAGCCACGCTGAGCTTCTACAGCCCTTTAAATTTATTGGGTAGAAAGAACAGGAAGGAGGTAACAAATGGTCAGCCACTTGATTGATCACAGGTTCATGTTATTGCTAACAGGCTTCAGATTTGCCTAATCATAAGAATTACTTGTGTCTGGGTCGTGACAGCCCTCAGCATTCCTTCTGGGTGGCAGACACAGTTTGTCAGTTTGCCAACATCCTGCTTTCATGAGAACAGTTTGCTGTTTACTCATATAGCCTCCAGTGGTATACTGAGTTGATCATGACCCTCATTCTTTTGGCCTTCAACAAACAATCTTGCCTACACAGATACCCAGAGGAAGACATGTCTATCTTAGTCCCTGGAGCAGGTCTGCCTATGTCAGTTCCACAGCAGATCCTGAAGTGGCCCTATTCCTCAGCTGCAGTCCCTCACAGCTGTACTCTGAGACAGTTCTGCTTGCCTGGAGACACAGAGGGAAACAAAAATGTCCATGCAGGCCTCCTTATATCAGTTTCACTAAGGATCTTGAAATAGCTTTGTAACTTGGCTCTAGCCTCCCTCAGCTGCAGTCTCAGAGCAGTCTTGCCCACCCAAGGTCCTAGAGAGAGATACACCTGTCTGTATCTACAGAGGCAAGACTAGACCTGAAGCAACCCTGTGACTTGGTCCCAACTCTCTCAGCTGCAGTCCAGGGCCAGTACTGACTGCCCAGGGATGCACCCAGTGACCCAGTAAGAGTACTCCAAGAAACCTGGAGGAAACCACACCATTTGTGTACCTGGTAACAAGCCTACTATCTGTGGACTCTGAAGTGGCTACTCATTCCAGCACCAGCCCTACTGACCAAGGTCCTGGAGGCAATACAGTCCAGCTAGGGACCAGGCAGGATTCACATCTGCCTGAGCCCCTGGTAACAGACCTACTAACCACAGACCTTATTGTAAACTCAGCAAAACTCACATGACCTGGCTCCAACCACTCTTGACTACAATCTTGGAGGCAATCCTGTCAGCCTGGGAGCTCAACTTGAGAAGACTTTTATCTGCCAAAAACAGTCTGTAAAGACTGGAAGTAGTATTTGCTCCTTCGAATGCATAGATACCAATGCAAAGCTACATAGATAAAAAAGAATCAAGCAAATATGACATCACTCAAAGAAACTGATATAGCTAATAAAGTTACTAATAAGCTGTAGTAACCAACCCCAAGGAAATAGAGATCTATGGATTGTCTAAAAGAGAATTCAAAATAATTATCTTAAAGAAGCTCAATGAGATACAAGTGAACCCAGATAGTCAATGAAAGAAAATTAGAAAAACCATGGATTAACAAAATGAGAAATGTAATATAGAATAAGAAATAACAATGAACCAGAAATCCTAGAGCTGAAGAATACCATAATAGAACTGGAAGACTCAACTGAGATCATTAAGAGCAGAATCAATTATGCACGAGAAAGAATTAATGAACCTAAAGACAGGCCGTTTGAAATTAACCAATTAGATGAACAAAAAGAAAAAAATAATTAAAGCATAAAGAACTTATGGGACATCAAGCGTAAGAATTTTATAATTATAGGAGTTTCAGAAGGAAAAACAAGAGAGAAAGGGCAGAAAGTTTATTTAAAGAAGTGCTGGCTGAAAACCCCAAATCGTGTAGGGAATATGGATATCTATATTCATTTCCAAAGGAAATAAGATCAACATTTCAGAGATATCTGCACTACCATGCTCACTGTGGCATTACTCACAATATCCAAGATACAGAAACAATCTAAATGTTCATCTAAGGATGGATAGATAAGGAAAATGCGATGTATAATGGAACATTACTCAGCATGAAAAAAGATGGAAATCCTGCCATTTGCAACAACATGGATACACTTACCGGACATTATACTAAGTGAAGTAAGCTAGACTCCAAAGGACAAATATCATTTGATCTCACTTGCATGTAGAATCTAAAAAAGTTAAACTGATGGAAGCAGATAATAGAATGGTGGTTTTCAGGGGCTGGGGTAGAGGAAAAGAAGATATGTTGTTCAAAAGTTACAAGCTTTCAGTTACAAGATGAATAAGCTCTAATGTACAGTGTGGTGACTATAGTTAAAAATACTATATTGTTTACTTGAAATATGGTATGAGAGCAGATTTTAAGTGTCCTCACCACACACATGTACACACACGCACACACACACACGTAACTCTGAGTAGTGATATATTAATTTGACTGTGGTAATTATTACATTATGTGTGTGTGCATGTGTGTGTGTAGAACAATAATCATGTTGTACATCTTGAACGTATACAATTGTTGTTTCTTGATTAAATATTTTAAAATTTTAAAAAATCAGAGTCTTGGAAATAATCCTGAGTTTTTAATCATCCCTCTTTTTTGTTTTGTGTTTCATACTGGAGCCTCTTCCACAAAATTTGTAATAAGTAATTAGTGAGACTGCTTCACCATTTCCTCTGGAAAATTTTTAGCTGTCTGGCAGCCCATTTCATTTTTGGATAATTCCAATTGCTTAGAAAAGCATTTCTTTCAGTTGAAGTAGAGAAGCAAAGCTCTCCCTCTTAAAACTGTGTATCACTGCCCTCCCTGCAGTTCTGAGGCTTGGCCCACTAATCCAGTGACTTCAAAACTTGATTTGTGGACTAGTATACCTATCATATTTGACATCTTGTGAAGACTGTTTTTTTAATAAACAATCCCCTCCTCTATACAATCACATTATTTTCAGTAATAATAATGTGATAATCACTCACCATTACTTTCTAATTATTGTTTGTTTTTAAACAAATAATCTTAAAAGAATAAATTTTCATTTTAGATATATTATTGAAATTAATAATTTGTCCTATGAACTAAAATTTGCACTCACCAAACAGAAATAGTATACTTCATGGTTTGTAATTTGTATCAATCACTAGTTTATATTTTAAGCACAAACAAATCTCTAAGTGGTCACATAGAATAACAAAACTTCTCTAACTCAAGTTGTGTTTCTTCATTTTTGCAATCATTCTATTAATTTTTTTTATTTAAAATTTGTCTAACCACAAAAATATGTAATACCACAGAGACTGGGGACAAGGACTGTAGCCAAAGTAAGATTGAATGCTTCAGAACCATTAGAAACTTACTCCAGAAACTCGTTCCTATAACTAAGTCTAGTGTATTGGAAGCTGGGAGTTTTCCAAATTAACTTCCATGAAGAATATAGTATAAGTTATAATGGGCTATTATGAATCTTACATATATATTATTAAAACACCAGAGGAAAAGGCGAAAGAGTTATTTGATCTGAAGAGAAACCAGTGAATACTCAGGAAACCCATCTCATGTGCAGAGACACACATAGGCTCAAAATAAAGGGATGGAGGAAGATCTACCAAGCAAATGGAAAACAAAAAAAGGCAGGGGTTGCAATCCTAGTCTCTGATAAAACAGACTTTAAACCAACAAAGATCAAAAGAGACAAAGAAGGCCATTACATAATGGTAAAGGGATCAATTCAACAAGAAGAGCTAACTATCCTAAATCTATATGAACCCAATACAGGAGCACCCAGATTCATAAAGCAAGTCGTTAGAGACCTACAAAGAGACTTAGACTCCCACACAATAATAATGGGAGATTTTAACACCCCACTGCCAACATTAGACAGATCAACGAGACACAAAGTTAACAAGGATATCCAGGAATTGAACTTAGCTCTGCACCAAGCGGATCTAATAGACATCTACAGAACTCTCCACCCCAAATCAACAGAATATACATTCTTTTCAGCACCACACCACACCTACTCCAAAATTGACCACATAGTTGGAAGTGAAGCACTCCTCAGCATACGTAAAAGAACAGAAATTATAACAAACTGTCTCTCAGACCACAGTGCAATCAAACTAGAACTCAAGATTCAGAAACTCACTCAAAACCGCTCAACTACATGGAAACTGAACAACCTGCTCCTGAATGACTACTGGGTACATAATGAAATGAAGGCAGAAATAGAGATGTTCTTTGAAACCAATGAGAACAAAGACACAACATACCAGAATCTCTGGGACACATTCAAAGCAGTGTGTAGAGGGAAATTTATAGCACTAAATGCCCACAAGAGAAAGCAGGTAAGATCTAAAATTGACACCCCAACATCACAATTAAAAGAACTAGAGAAGCAAGAGCAAACACATTCAAAAGCTAGCAGAAGGCAAGAAATAACTAAGATCAGAGCAGAACTGAAGGAAATAGAGACACAAAAAACCCTTCAAAAATTAATGAATCCAGGAGCTGGTTTTTTGAAAAGATCAACAACATTGATGGACCGCTAGCAAGACTAATAAAGAAGAAAAGAGAAGAATCAAATAGATGCAATAAAAAAATGATAAAGGGGATATCAGTACCAATCCCACAGAAATACAAACTACCATCAGAGAATAATATAAACACCTCTATGCAAATAAACTAGAAAATCTAGAAGAAATGGATAAATTCCTCGACACATACACCCTCCCAAGACTAAACCAGGAGGAAGTTGAATCTCTGAATAGACCAATAACAGGATCTGAAATTGTGGCAATAATCAATAGCTTACCAACCAAAAAAAGTCCAGGACCAGATGGAGTCACAACCGAATTCTACCAGAGGTACAAGGAGGAGCTGGTACCATTCCTTCTGAAACCATTCCAATCAATAGAAAAAGAGGGAATCCTCCCTAACTCATTTTATGAGGCCAGCATCATCCTGATACCAAAGCCTGGCAGAGACACAACAAAAAAAGAGAATTTTAGACCAATATCCCTGATGAACATTGATGCAAAAATCCTCAATAAAATATTGGCAAACCGAATCCAGCAGCACATCAAAAAGCTTATCCACCATGATCAAGTGGGCTTCATCCCTGGCATGCAAGGCTGGTTCAACATACGCAAATAAATAAGCATAATCCAGTATATAAACAGAACCAATGACAAAAACCACATGATTATCTCAATAGATGCAGAAAAGGCCTTTGACAAAATTCAACAACGCTTCATGCTAAAAACTCTCAATAAATTAGGTATTGATGGGAGGTATCTCAAAATAACAAGAGCTATCTATGACAAACCCACAGCCAATATCATACTGAATGGGCAAAAACTGGAAGCATTCCCTTTGAAAACTGGCACAAGACAGGGATGCCCTCTCTCACCACTCCTATTCAACATAGTGTTGGAAGTTCTGGCCAGGGCAATCAGGCAGGAGAAGGAAATAAAGGGTATTCAATTAGGAAAAGAGGAAGTCAAATTGTCCCTGTTTGCAGATGACATGATTGTATATCTAGAAAACCCCATCGTCTCAGCCCAAAATCTCCTCAAGCTGATAGGCAACTTCAGCAAAGTCTCAAGATACAAAATCAATGTGCAACAATCACAAGCATTCTTATACACCAATAACAGACAAACAGAGAGTCAAATCATGAATGAACTCCCATTCACAATTGCTTCAAAGAGAATAAAATACCTAGGAATCCAACTTACAAGGGACATGAAGGACCTCTTCAAGGAGAACTACAAACCACTGCTCAATGAAATAAAAGAGGATACAAACAAATGGAAGAACATTCCATGCTCATGGGTAGGAAGAATCAATATCGTGAAAATGGCCATACTGCCCAAGGTAATTTATAGATTCAATGCCATCCCCATCAAGCTACCAATGACTTTCTTCACAGAATTGGAAAAAACTACTTTAAAGTTCATATGGAACCAAAAAAGAGCCCACATTGCCAAGAAAATCCTAAGCAAAAAGAACAAAGCTGGAGGAATCACGCTACCTGACTTCAAACTATACTACAAGGCTACAGTAACCAAAACAGCATGGTACTGGTACCAAAACAGAGATATAGACTAATGGAACAGAACAGAGCCTGCAGAAATAATGCCGCATGTCTACAACTATCTGATCTTTGAAAACCTGACAAAAACAAGCAATGGGGAAAGGATTCCCTATTCAATAAATGGTGCTGGGAAAACTGGCTAGCCATATGCAGAAAGATGAAACTGGATCCCTTCCTTACACCTTATATAAAAATTAATTCAAGATGGATTAAAGACTTAAATGTCAGACCTAAAACCATAAAAACCCTAGAAGAAAACCTAGGCAATACCATTCAGGACATAGGCATGGGCAAGGACTTCATGTCTAAAACACCAAAAGCAATGGCAACAAAAGCCAAAATTGACAAATGGGATCTAATTAAACTAAAGAGCTTCTGCACAGCAAAAGAAACTAACATCAGAGTGAACAGGCAACCTACAGAATGGGAGAAAATTTTTGCAATCTACTCATCTGACAAAGGGCTAATATCCAGAATCTATAATGAACTCCAACAAATTTACAAGAAAAAAACAAAAAAACCCCATCAAAAAGTGGGCAAAGGATATGAACAGACACTTCTCAAAAGAAGACACTTATGCATCCAAAAGACACAAGAAAAAGTGCTCATCACCACTGGCCATCAGAGAAATGCAAATCAAAACCACAATGAGACACCATCTCACACCAGTTAGAATGGCAGTCATTAAAAAGTCAGGAAACAACATGTGCTGGAGAGGATGTGGAGAAATAGGAACACTTATGTACTGTTGGTGGGACGGTAAACTAGTTCAACCCTTGTGGAAGTCAGTGTGGCGATTCCTCAGGGATCTAGAACTAGAAATACCATTTGACCCAGCCATCCCATTACTGGGTATATACCCAAAGGATTATAAATCATGCTGCTATAAAGAAATATGCACACGTATGTTTATTGCGGCACCATTCACAATAGCAAACACTTGGAACCAACCCAAATGTCCAACAATGATAGATTGGATTAAGAAAATGTGGCACATATACACCATGGAATACTATGCAGCCATAAAAAATGATGAGTTCATGTCCTTTGTAGGGACATGGATGAAGCTGGAAACCATCATTCTCAGCAAACTATCGCAAGGACAAAAAACCAAACACCGCATGTTCTCACTCATAGGTGGGAATTGAACAATGAGAACACATGGACACAGGAAGGGGAACATCACACACCAGGGCCTGTTTTGGGGTGGGGGGAGGGGGGAGGGATAGCATTAGGAAATATACCTAATGTTAAATGACGAGTTAATGGGTGCAGCACACCAACATGGCACATGTATACATATGTAACAAACCTGCACGTTGTGCACATGTACCCTAAAACTTAAAGTATAATTAAAAAAAGAGAAAACGAAAATGGAAAAATAATAACAAAAAATAAAAAAAATAAAACACCAGAGGAGCTACAACAGTTATTTTCAATGGAGTCTAACAAAAGTTTTCTGGTGAAGGAGTATTTTTTCACTGACATTGTTTAGAATTGCTGGTACATGGTGATAATAAAAAGCAGATCAGTTTTTAACTGTATTAATTATTATTTCTAAATCATCTTCAGACAATGCACCCCCTATTGCCTGCACCTAGGGCAGGTTTCCTTGGCTGCTCACCTTTGTCATCTCCTTGGATTTTGGAAGTCCACTCTATATGGCTGGAAAAAGCAGAGCTTCTCTAGTTAAAATTTGGACAGAGAACTCTACATCAGTTGTTCCATGCATGGAGGTAGAAGGTGGAGTAATCAAGATCTACCTGAGGCATTTCTGGAGAAATACTAGGGCTCCACAGAAGAAACTTACAAATCAAAGAGAAATCTACCCAGAAGCTCCACAGTGCATATGTGATCATGATAGGAGAAGGAGGCTTGAAATGTTCAGCACCAAAAGCTATTCTGTGGAAAAATTTCTAAACTATCAATAGTTAAAAACACCTTTCTATCAACTATGCTACAAGAAAGACTGAAGTGTCTCTCCATTTGCTCTATCTCTTATTCTCTTCTATATACAAACATAGAAATTAATATTACAACATTGTTGCTATAGGAAAAGTTGTTCGAGGAGTTCGCAGTCCAAAATGTAGGCTAAAATGTACCATAAAGTTGTGAGTTAGGCAATTAACTAACAAAAACATGGTTCTTTTTTTCTGGACTTCGGGATGTTTCTAGTATTTGTCAACACTTTAAAACTCTGAAATTCTAAATGAATATTAATTTACATATATAATGTTCTTTTCTTAAAAAGGGTCCCCAAATTACATAAGCTTTAGGTCTCACAAAATCTGGGCCGCCCCTGGTGAAAAGCATCAGTTTGGTCAAACTGTGTCTCTCCTCCTCCCTCTTCTTTCTCTCTTTTTCCTTCTCACCCTCCTCATTTTTTTTTTCTTAACAAATAATGAAATGAAACAAAAAGAGGTCAAGTCTATCCTCTGTCTGCATAAATGTCCTTAAAATAAATGATGGCCACTTTCACATCTCCCTAAATGCTTCTCTTTTTCGTTGACTAAACTTTGTTAGAATTGCTTTTGCTGTGTCTTCAGACTTTAGTCCAGTGCTAGCAATGTAATAGGGGCTCTTACTACCCTCCTGAATAAGTAAGTTCTTACTTCCTTTAATATCTTCTCATATTATTTGTTTCCAGATCTATAACATGTAAACCATCTTTTTCCTTTTCTGAGCACATCCTGGTTTGCTGATATCCCTCTCAAATTGCAGCACCCAAAACTATTCACATGACTTGACATGTTCTGTTTAATATTCACTAATTAAAATACTCAACCCTTCCCCATGCCACTGCTAGGAGAGATCTTGGACTCTTGCTTAACCTACAGTTAGAGGGGCTTCTATCTTTTCATTCTTGCCTTAAGATATGGCTTTGGGCCGGGCGCGGTGGCTCACGCCTGTAATCCCAGCACTTTGGGAGGCCGAGGCGGGCGGATCACGAGGTCAGGAGATCGAGACCATCCTGGCTAACACGGTGAAACCCCGTCTCTACTAAAAATACAAAAAATTAGCCGGGCGTGGTAGCGGGCGCCTGTAGTCCCAGCTACTCGGGAGGCTGAGGCAGGAGAATGGCGTGAACCCGGGAGGCGGAGCTTGCAGTGAGCCGAGATCGCGCCACTGCACTCCAGCCTGGGCGACAGAGCGAGACTCCGTCTCAAAAAAAAAAAAAAAAAAAAAAAGATATGGCTTTGTTCTGACCATTCAACAATCTCAGCATTCAACTATGAGTGAGATGAAGAAATTGGGTACAGACATTGCCTATAGCTCACATCTAATACATGGGTTTTGACCTGGGGAACGGGGATACAGAACGACAGAGTATGCAGTGACATTCCTAAATTCTTCAATTCACTAGGAAAAGGCAGCATTTATGGCGCCTGTCTAGAAATTCCTTAGATATAAATTATGAGTCTCCAGTTGACAATATCGCATTTCTAAAAGTGGACATAGGCAAAACTGTGCAACGCAAAGTTTGCCTATGAGACCCCGCCAGTCTTCTTTTTGCCAACTCTTCCCTGAAGGCTAAATCTCTCTGACTACTGGCCTGGCACTCTGCTGTTTTCATGTGGTTTTCTGGAAAACTTCTCTGCCCACCCCCTCTCATTTCTCCAGTTTCTTAGCCGGTTTTATGTTCCTCAGCTCTTTTTCAGTAATCACCACCTAGCAAATAATTGATCTTCAACGTCTGGTCAACTCATTCATATCTAGCTGTCATAAATATATAATGTTTATGCCATTAAGGAAATAAGCCTATTCCAAGTCATTTGGATAGTTACACCAAAGCCAGAAACTAGGGATTTCCCAGTAAGAATGTACCTGAGACACACTGCAATGCTTTCTATTTTATTCTACTTCATTCCCAATGCTGATCAACTCTCACTGATTTTACATTATTATCCACCATAGGGTCACATCCATCATTTTAAAATCACTGCTGTAGAGGAAGCCTCACAGCATCCTTTGTCATGGGCCACAGTATTGAATGCACCCTATAAGAAATTGTGTTGCAGCTGTGCATAGAACACAGTACAGGAGAGTTGAGGATTTGAGGGAACACAGAGTGCATTTGCCTCCCGCCTTAGTAGAGCAGGCTGCTCTTGGTACAGTTTTTTCTCTTGTATTCTCAGTAACAATGTGATAACACCATATGTATTATTTTGCACTTCTCTGGCCTGATTCCTCAAATATGCATAATAAGGAAAATGAATAGCACTAATGTCATTTTGTTAAATATGCCTATTATAGAGATGCTATGGTTCAGTGCTAATAGAGTTTTTTGGTCTTTTTGAGTTCCTAATGTTGCATGCTACAGTGATTTATGGAAGGCCAAAATGTTTTACCTCAATGAAGGTCTGTCATGTTAAACACCCACTGCTCCTTGCCTATTTTGTACCACAGCCCACATTAATTTCCCTGTGACTTAATCCATGCATTCAATCCACCATAAGTCCTATCTCCAAAATATATCACATATATAGATATATAGATATATATATATAGACACGACACCATCTCCCCAGCCCCCATCCTATTTCAAGCCACTACCATATCTTGCCTACCATAAGACAAAGGCTTCCTCACTGGTTTCTCTGCCTCTAGTGTTGCCGTCCTATAGTCCATTGTTCACCCTATAGTTGAGTTGTTAATTTCAGATGGAAACTAGGCACAGTCATGTCTCTGCTTCAAAAAATGTAAAGAAAGGTGGTATATGTGTATGTGTGTGTGTGTGTGTGTGTGTGTGTTTGCATGAAAACAGCTTCTCTCTCTCTCAACTAGCACGTTTTCTGCCTGAAATGTGCAGAAACTCTACCTGAAATGTGCAGCTTTCCCAGCAGTTACAATCTTTAATTGTAATATTAAAAGTATTGACAAAAACTGCAATTACTTTTGCAGTAACCTAATATTAATAGTTCTGCATGAATGCAAAAACAAAGGTGGTACAAAATGAAAAGCAATAATTCAGTTGTCCAGCTAAACTAACTCTCTTTCTTTCTCTCTCTCTCTCTCTCTCTCACACACACACACACACACACACACACACACACACAATAACAAGCAGCTTTTGAATCTTAAACCTGGCCATGGCTTCCAGTGCCTAGCTCATCTGGCCCTGCCTCCTTCTGTTATTAGGTGTCAGGTACTCTCCCTCTCCTCATTATGCATCAGCACCTTCTCATCCTCCAAACATGTTGAGCTTCTGTCCAGCTCATGGTATCCTTTACATAATGAGCACCTTTTCATTCTTCATGTCTCTGCTCAAAGGCACCTCAAAGAAGCCTTTCCTAAAGCAGCACTTCAATGCCAATGTTGGATATTTTCTTTGTCACATTCATCATAATTGTTTGTTCCTTTATTGCTTATTTTTTGTCTCCTTCTATCAGACTATAATACCTTAAGAGACATGTTCTCCATTGAATTGCAGTACTTAGAATAGTGCTTGTTACATAGTAGGCCCTCAACAGATATATGAAAATTAAGGCTTGCTTTAATATGATGTGTGTTATGTTAAAATGAAGGAAAGTGGTATTTAGGCATTTTTTTATATTAACAAGATAATGAAATCCTATTGTGCTCTGTACTTTTCACAACTGAAAGTTATTTTCAGAATATATGAAAATGCAATTTACCACTTAGTTGGATCATTAAAAAATGTTTATTCCTGAAATGATTGTGCTAATGAATGCTGATTAGAGAAAATGTACATTATATTTTCCCTATTTAAAAAAAGCTAGTGCTGGTTTAAGATTTCCAGTCTGCCCACACTAATATTCACAGATAGTTACTATTTCAGGGCAAATAGTAACAGATAAAAGCACTCCATTTAAGCTGACAATGTTCTTTATAGTTTTTCTTAGTGAGCAATCTCCATAACAGTTAAATAAAGAAGATTGTCCAACAAGAGTCTATTCAAATTTTTGTCTCCTATTTTTTGTTACAGGAATATTTGTTGAGGAGTTTTTCAGGATACTTTACAGCAGTGCTAGGTTAACAGATAGCCAAGATCTAAATTTCTTAAGCTCATTTTAGAACCATGAAACTCCTAAAAATTCTGTACATATTTAAGAAAAACTAGTTTGTTGTCTGGATATTTGTAACTCTTCAAAAGCATTATTTTTAATTTATTTAGGAATTTACATACTGTTTTCCATAATGCTGTACAAATCTATATGCCCACTAACAGTATACTAGGATTCCATTTTCTCCACACCCTCACCAACATTTGTAGCTTATCTTTTTGATAATAGCAGTTACACCAAGTATGAGGGTATATCTCACTGTGGTTTAATTTTGCATTTCCCTGATGACTAGTGTTGTAGAGCACCTTTTCATATACCTGTTGGTCTTTTTTATATCTTCTTTAGGAAGAACTCTGTTCAGGTCCTTTTCCCCTTTTTAAGTCAGGTGATTTATTTTCCTGAAATTGAGTTAAAAGAGCTCTTTGAAATTTTTAGATATTAACCTTTTATCAGATACATGGTTTGCAAATATTTTTTTCTAACCCAGAAGTTGCTTTTTTCATTTTGTTGATTGTATCCTTTGCTGTGCAGAAACTTTTTAGTTTCATGCAATCCCCTTTATTCATTTTTGCTTCTGTCACATGAGCTTTTGGTAAGGTAGCCAAAAATCATTGCCAAGGCCAATATCAAGGGGATTTTCTCTTACGTTCTCTTCTAGGTGTTTTATGGGATCAAGTCTTATATTTGAATCTTTTATCCACTTTGAGCTGATTTTTTTTGTATGATTTAAGATAAGGCTCCAATATAAATTTTATATATTCTTTCGCATGTGAAAACCCAGCTTTCCTATCATCATTTATTGAAGAGACTATCCTTTTCTGATTGTGTCCTCTTGGTGCCTGTGTCAAAATTATTTGAACATACATATTTGAATTTATTTCTGGGCTTTCTATGCTATTTCATTGGTCTATATTTCCACTTTTATGCTGGTTACATACTGTTTTGATTGTTATATCTTGGTAATATAAGTTTAAATTGGGAAGTATGATGTTTCCAACTTTGTTTTGCTTTCTTAGTATTATTGCTTTGGATATCCAGGGTATTTTGTGGTTCCAAACCAATTTTAGGAATGTTTCTTTTATTTCTATGAAGAATGTTATTGAAATTTTCATAGGAATTGTGTTTAATCTGTATGCAGTAGATACTTGAACAATGCAGGTTTTAGGAGTGCTGACCCCCCAAGCAGTAGAAAATCCACATATAACTTTTGACTTCCCAAAATTTAACTAAGAGCCTACTGTTGATAAGAAGCCTTGCAAATAACATATACAGTTGATTTGCTCATATTTTGTACGTTATATGTATTTATGCATTATAGTTTTAGAGTAAGAGAAAAAATGCCAATAAGAAAATAATAAAGAGAAAACATATTTACTATTTATTTACTGGAAGTGGATCATCATAAAAGTCTTCATCACCTTTGTCTTCACATTGAGTAGGCTGAAGAGGAGGAGTAAAAGGGGGTGTTAGTCTTGCTATCTAGAGGGGGCAGAGGCAGAATAGGTGGAGGAGGTGGAACAGGAGGCAGGAGAGGCAGGCACACTTTGTGCAACTTTTACTAAAAAAAAAAAAAATCATATATAAGTAGACCTATGCAGTTTACACCAATGTCATTCAAGGGTCAACTGTATTGCTTTGGGCAGTAAAAACATTTTAATTATGCAACACAATAATGCTTGTATATACACTCAATGGAGCTGAAATTACCATCTCATAAAGCTATAAGTACTCCCATGTTTATTGTAATGTTATTCATAATAGCCAAGATATGGAGCCAACATAAGCGATTATCAACAAGCAATTTGATAAAAAAAACCTCTCTCTATATATAGATAAATAGATGGATGGATGGATAAATAGATAGACATAATAAAATCCTATTCAGCCTTGAAAAAGAAGCCAATTTTGCCATTTGCCACAACATAGATGGGCCTAGGGGGCATTATGCTAAGTAAAATAAGCCAGAACAGAAAGAAATACATTGCATGATCTTACTTATATGTGGAATCTTGAAAAAAAAAAGAATAAAATACACAGAGATAGAAAATGAAGCAACAGTTACCAGGAGTGGGGTTACCAGGAGGAGGAAATGAGGAGATTTAGGTCAAAGAATGCAAAGTAGCAGGTATGTAGGATGAACAAGTCTAGAGATCTAATGAGCAATGACTATAGTAAATAAAATTATATTGTATTGGATATTTTTGTTAAATAAGTAGACATGAGCTGCTCTTTTCACAAAAAAAGCAACTGTATGAGATGATAGATATGTTAATTTGCTTCATTATAGTAACCATTTTACTATCTATGTGTATCTTATAACATTATGTTGTAAATTTCAAATGTACACAATAAGATTTAGTTTTTAAAAAATGGAGGTACTGGAACACTCTCTGCCTGCAAACAAAATAAAACAAACAAAAAACATTCTTTTCAGCTCAAGATAAGCTTTCCATTAGAAGCCAGTCCTCACTTGGTTAGGACTCTATGCAATCCACATTGAAAACCCTTCTTCATCAGTCAATTATTTCCCAGTAGGTATATTCCTAAATGTATTGAAACACTTGACCCATTCAAGCCAATTAGCCCAAACACTTGTGTTTCTTGGCAAATACTTTAAGTTATACTTCCTTATCACCATCAGAGTTGATTAGGACAGAAAACATTTTTCTCAGCTTTAGAATTTTGTTCCTTCTCAACGTTAACACTATCAGCAGCTGACTTCTCATGAGCACTTACTACTCTTTGTGCCTGTCATTCTTTATTATTTCATTTCATTATCCCTCAAAACCATTGAAATAGATACAATTACTATTCCCATGTTGCAGATGAGAAAAATGAGGGCCAGAGAACTTAGCTAGTTTTCCCTCGGTCATATCTCTGGGATTCAAGCCCAGCTAAGTGATTCATGCCATGTGCTCCTAGCTAGTCCATTCCTGTATTTCCACTGTGTGGAACCAGTGTGGGTGGTTTCTGTTTCCCCAGAGCAGATCCTTCTCATCGCTGGCCTCCCTACTTCCTAGTTTCTGTGCTCTAATTGTCTCTCACAGACAGAAGAGCCGTGCTGTTACTCATTGGGACATACTGAGAATTACAAAGAGACAGACATTCATCCCCCCAATGTCTCTGCTTGCTGTGTACTTTCTCCCAGCTTTCCCATGAACACAAGTCTAGAAACTACTCTGATTTCCTTCCTCTCTTATTCTTCTTCAGGAAGTGCGAAAACATAGGGACAACAGCGACTTTTATAAATACTGATAAGGAAAAACCACTCATATAGTGAAAAACAAAATGCCACCTTGCCACTTACACCATTTTCTTTCCATCACTTTTGTAAGACTGTTTTCTCCCAGGGAGTAGAGAAGTGGAATAATGTTTAAATGAGAAGCCTTCACACCTTTTCTCAATCTCACAGCTCAAGACAACTCCAAGGCCAATTTTCTTCCGGGCTTAACTTAATAACTACTTGGAATAAGGAGGGAAGAAAGGAACAATCTATTTTCTTCCACTCAGAGAAGCAAGTGTGCACGTTCATGACTGATTTAACATTTTGTATTTGGGTGCTGCTCTCAGCATAAAGGTGATATAGAAATGACTACAAATTTATGGGAGGACATAAATAGAGATGGCATTTTAAGGTGTGATGAGTAAAAAACCTTCAGCTTTTGACCAAAGTCATTTTTAATGAAATATTGACTAATATTTCCTTACTAAAATAAGTAAAAATGCACTGAATAGACAAGAAACTAGGCTTTGTCCAGCTTAAGCCATCCGGCTCCACAAGTATATTCTTCCCACAAAGAAATGTTTATCACAGTTTTGCAGTTACACACTTTGGCAGCTTATTAAGAATTCTGTTTGTTTTTCCTTTTTTTCCTATTATCCTATTTCTTTTATAAACACTTTTTTTAGTCATACACCTTTAGACTCCAATTTGTGAATTGTTTCTCACAAATAGATACAGAACCATTGCCACGAAAACTTAATTTATTAGTTTGAAAGTCTCCAAAATATAAAACAAATCAACAACATAAAGTAAATATGCTATAGGAAAGATTGCCTAACAAATGCTTTAGGTAAACCAGGTTATTCTGAGTTTAGGCAGGCAGTGCATCTTCCATTAAAACACACACACACACACACACACACACACACGCACATTTGTAATATATATGTAACTATATTGAAATATATGTACTTAATGTCTCATAGTTTTTTTCGCTTTGTTATCAGATGGCAATAAATTCAAGTTGGATTAAAAAGTTTTCCATGTCAACCCCTGAGGACAGCTGATTATAGATCCGACCTTTTGAGATTCTGTGTATTTCCCACTTAATCAGCGCTGGAATGAGCTTCTGCTAAGTGGGATATATAGGATTCCTACGGGAAAAGTGAAGCCATTTAAAAAATAATGAGTCTCCCTTCTGCCCCCTCTTCCTTTCCATTTTGAGCTCTATTAGGCCATGAAAACAGTCTTCATGAAGGCTCCACAAAAGCATAGCATAAGCTTATAATATTTACACTATACAGGGAAAGAGTGGGCTAGGAGATGTTTTGGGGAGCTCTGAATGTAAGACACCCTTTACAATGGGATCAAAAATCCTTTACTTGCCCTTTTACTGATGGAGAAAAATGTGTTTGGTTGCAAAGAGGTCCTGTGGGGCTTTTAAGTTCCAGCACCTCAGATTTTGACAGTGTAATTGGATCCCTGTGGCCTGGGCAATCACACGGAATTGGAACCGTCTCCATTTTGTCTTGTTACAGTAACATAACGTGATAGTTTAGAAATAATCTCACAAATACTCTAGTTTGGTCACCATTGCATTTCTTAAAACCTACAATATGAATGTGTGTGTGTATTTTTTTGTATGTGTGTTACACGCCCCCAATCTCATACCCTAATACCTCTAATTTTCTTCCCCAACCTTCTGTGAAACTGAACAGCATAATAGATGTAATTAGACCTTCAGTAATAGGACCGAACGGAGCAAGCAATGAGACTCCTTCTAGGGAAGCAATCAGTGCATTAGGTCCCCAGGACTGAAACCACTTTTAACAAGGTTTGGGGCCTAGGGAATGTCAGTCTAGGCTTCTATTGCTTCCCCAAGAGGAAGTTCTACCCAGAATGCAAATCTTCATTTACCATTTCTACAAAAGGGAGAAAAAGAACATTAGCAGTTTTATTACACACATAATGAAACAAACTTTGCTGTTAATATTTTTTCTCAGCAGTAAATCAGCTGCTCCCAAATGTTCTGAAGAATAAATGTATATTTTATCAGAATTTAAGAATCATTCCCTATGTTTTCATCATCAGCTTTTTGAAAAAGATAATACTGAACTGTGTCAAACAAAGGCAGCCTTTATGCTTTCAAGAGCATGCTGAACTGTCTCTATAAGGGAGCAAGCTTTAGTCAAATAATATTTCCGAGACATACATTTAAATAGTCAGTTTCAATAACTGTAGATATATTTGCAGACTGAATACAACCTATTGGTGCTATTCTATTCCATGATGTACTGAAGTAAACTCTTCTGAGGAAAAGTGTTATACTCCTATTTATGGAGTATAACAAACTCCCATTCTTTATGGTATACCTTGTATTTTGCAGTTCCTACTCCTTGGCATTAATATTCTACTAAGATGACTAGTTTGAGGCAATTTAAGGACAAAAATACTTCAGCTTTCTAAATGTACTTATGTAGAGACAAGTTGAAAGATAAAAGACAAATATGGCACCCAAAGCACATTATTTGTCTCTAATGATCCAATGTAATCTTTTCATACATTTAATCCTTATAATAAATATTCTTCCAACAAGAGGTAAAGGAATCACTTACAGGTAATGGAAGATTCATGAAATATGCATCATCAAGTCCTTTTGGTAAAATAATCAAAGATTAGGAGAGGGCAATCCCAAGATAATTTGTTTGTGAGCAGAAGAATTTTATTGGGAAGACAGCCATACATTTGTGTAAGGTGTGTTTGTGTGTGAAAAAACATACTCATGTCTGTGAAAGGCATGTGTGTGTGTTTGTGTGAAAGGCCCCAAATACCAGCCTAATCTAAAGAATAAAAGTTTTCATAACCAGTGATGAACCTTCAGCTTTGTTATATAAAATATATTTGGTATAATGTACATTGGTCAATAGAATGAATGTCAATTATGGTATTTTTAATTGTTTTGACTAATAAATTAGGTTAAATTTGGCTATGTTTTGACAAACTCTGCTGTTGAAAACTTCCAAAACATGTAGCTAAATCTATCAAAGTTACTTGAACAACATAGATGAAACTTACAAACCAGAAAAAAAGCTTTTAAAAGCCTGGCATTAAAGACCACATATTATATGGTTCTATTTACATGGAATATCCAGAATAAGAAAATCAATAGGAATTGAAAGTTGATTAGTAGTCACCTAGGGGTTGGGGACATGAAAGGATTGGGGGGTGATTGTGAAAGGGGGCAGAATTTCCTTTTGTGGTAATGAATATGTTCTATAACTGATTGCAGTGATAATCATGTAACTCTGACTATACTGAAAAATGAATTGTACATATTAAATGGGTAAATTTTAACATATATGAATTATAATTCAATAAAACTGTTACCAAAAATGTTTCTTGAGTTACTAGGAGGGTCCTGGCAAATCAGAATTCAATATTCTAATTCTTAATTCAGTTTTTTAATTCCATATTTCGATTCTTCCATTTAGCCCATTGCAAATTTGTTTAAAGGGGGGGTATCTTTTCATTAATGACATGAAATTAGGTGTGAGACATTATTAGGGCTGATTCTAAGTGTTTTGGTTTTTTTTTTGAGAAGTATGTAATGGAGAGCTTATTACTCTGCAGATTCTGTGATGACCTCGATGCATAAGGTAGACACAACTTTGCCTTTTCAAAGGTTATAATCAAATGCGGATATTGAGAAGGAAATTAGAAGCCTGTATACCATGTTAAGGAAAATTCAAGGTGACTTAGAAGGGATATTTAGCTTCAGTTTGTAGTGAGTAGAAATCTTCCTGGATGGTGTAATATCTAAGCTGAATTTCCAAGGAAAAAGCATAAACCAAGTGAAGAAAGAATGGCAAGGGAAGTATTGAAGCAATAGGAATATCAGATATTAAGATTGAAGACAATGCAAAGCATGGCTCTAGTGAAACTATGCAAAGTTTAGTATAACATGAGCCCAAAGGGCAAGAAAAACTGTGGTAAAATGAAATAACCCAAAAGATAAACAACAGCTAAATTATAAAGGCTCTTGGTAAGATAAAGAACTTAGAAATAGAAAACCAGTGAAAGGTTTTAAGCAGCAGAGTGACGTGATACATTTTGTATTAAAGAGAGATCATTTTGCCGATATTTTGAATAGTGGATTGGAAGATAGAAAGGTAGAAGGCAACAGTTAGGAAGTTAATGCAAAATCCAGGTAGAGGTAATGATGATCTCTGCTAGAAAATGGCAACAGAATGAAAAAGAAAAGCCAATAAATAGGAAAGTAATTAAGGACACCAAATCCTTGGGCTGGACTTGATTAAGAGGAGAGTGGTTTATTATAAAGAGAAAATGAGGTTTCACAGACAACTCCCACATTTTTGACTTATGATCTAACATTTTTAAATTAATAGATTGGAGTATTTAGGACAGTTTTAGATTTATAGAAAAATCAAACAGATGGCCCAGAGAGTTCCTATAGTCCCCCCGCCTCCTGGTTTCCTCAATTATTAACATATTAGCATGGTGCATTTGTAGTTCATGAAACAATATTGATTCATTATCATTAATTAAAGTGTATAATTTACATTAATATTCACTCTTCTTGTATTCTATGGAGATTGAAAAACACAGAATGTAATCTATACACAATTATGATTTAATATAGAATAGTTTCACTGCCCTAAAAACCCCTCTGACCACTATTCTGTTCCATTGAGCTGCCCATTCTTTGCCACACTATATTACTTATTGTAGCTGCATAGGAAGCCCTGAAGTTGGGGAGAGTCAGTCATCTAACTTTGTTCTTCCTCATTAGTACTGTGTTGGTGATTTTGAATCTTTTATCTTTCCACATAAGCTTTAAAATCAGTTTGTTGACATCCACATTGTAACTTTCTGAGCTTTTGATTGTGATTATGTTGAAACTATAGATCAAGTGAGAAAGAACTAATACCCTAACTATATTGGGTCTTTCTATTCATAATCATGGACTCTCTCTCCAATTATTTAAATTTTATTTGATTTCTTGCATCAGAGATTTGTAATTTCCCTTGTATAGATCACAGGCACATTTTATTAGCTTTTTATCAAATTATTTTATTATTTCTGGTGCTAATGTAAATGAGATTGTGCTTTGTAGTTTCAAATTCTAATTGTTCATTGTTGGTATGAGCAATTGACTATTGTACACTAACCATGTATTCTGCAACCTTGCTATAAATGTTTATTAGTTCCAAGAGGTTTTTCTTATTGTTGTTGATTCTTTGGGATCACTACATAGAAAATCTAACCATTTTTGAGCAAAGACTTCTAATTCATTTATTTTTTTTTTATTTTTATTTTTTGAGATGGAGTCTTGCTCTCTCACCCAGGCTGGAGCACAGTGGCGTGATCTCGGTTCACTGCGGCCTCCACCTCCTAGGTTCACACCATTCTCCTGCCTCAGCCTCCTGAGTAGCTGGGACTACAGGCGCCCGCCACCACGCCTGGCTAATTTTTTGTATTTTTAGTAGAGATGGGGTTTCACCATGTTAGCCAGGATGGTCTCAATCTCCTGACCTTGTGATCCATCCGCCTTGGCCTCACAAAGTGCTGGGATTACAGGCGTGAGCCACTATGCCCAGCCAAAGACTTCTAACTTATTTCTTCTAAATTTATATACCTTTATTTTCTCTTCTTGACTTATTGCATTAGCAACTATTTCTAATAAAATTTGAATAGGAATGTTGAGACAGGACTTCCTTGCCTCATTTCAGATTTTAGAAAGAAAGCACATAGTTTTCACCATAAAATATATGCTTTAACTTTAGGCTTTTTGTGGCTCTTATTTGTTAAGTTGTTGAAGTTCTCCTCTATTCCAAATTTGTCTTGTCTTTTTAACATAAATGAATTTCAAAGTTTGTCAAATGCCTTTTTTGGATCTATTGATATGACTGTATAATGGGATTTATTCCAGATATGTCAGGCTGGATCATATTTTGAAAATTGAGTAATTTAATCTATCATATAAACCCAAGGTTTAAATCACAAAAATCCAAGGTACAGGTATCAATTTTGACACGATAGATTAAATTGCTCAATTTTCAAATGATAATCCAGCCTGGCATATCTGGAATAAATCCCATTTGGCTATGTCATATAATTAGTTTTATAGATTTTTGGATTCATATTGTTAATATTTTATTGATAATTTTTGTATTTATGTTCATGAGAACTATTGGTTTTCCTCTCTTGTAATGTCTTTTTCTGATCTTGGTGCCCTCACTTTTTAATCTAGAAATGTAGAGTGCAGCTAGAAACATATGGAAAAAAAGTAGTGTATGTATGATTGCATGTGACTTCTCACTGATTTTCTGTATACTCTTTCCTCTTGGTATGAGATGTCTGCAGTTGGGTCCCACTTGCTAATTTTTCATCTTCTCTTTCTGAGTTAAAAAGATGGGACTTTGGAAGATTTGTTTTTCTAAAATGGATATGAAAATAAACAGAGATAGCTTTCTTACTTCAATTCTGTCCATGGATATTCATTATCACACACACACACACACACACACACATACACACACACACAGACACCACACCTTGCACAGACACATGTATGGCTGTCTTCCCAATAAAATTGCTTCTGCTCACAAAAAAATTATCTTTGGATTGCCCTCTCCTAATCTTTGATTATTTCACCAAAAGGACTTGATGCTGTATATTTCATGAATCTTCCATTACCTATAAGTAATTCCTTTACCTCTTGTTGGAAGAATATTTATTATAAGGGTTAAATATGTGAAAAGATGACATTGGATCATTAGAGACAAATAATGTGCTTTGGGTGCCATATTTGTCTTTTATCCCTTCAACTTATCTCTACATAAGTAAATTCAGAAAACTGAAGTATTTTTGTCCTTAAATTGCCTCAAACTAGTCATCTTAGTAGAATATTAATGCCAAGTAATAGAAACTGCACAATACAAGGTATAAAGAATGATAATTGTTCTGCTTCTGAGAATGAAATATTGTGTTACCAAATTACATGTGAAAGCAAGATTTAAGTGAATACCATTAGACTTCCCTTTGGTCAAGTTCATCAAAGATTTGTGGGGGGAGCCAACATTACAGAGCACACATTTCATATCCTCAACCCCATTTTTAATCAGATTTTAAAAACTGTAGAGTATCACAGAAATAAATCAAATCCAACACATACAAATAAATCGCAACTCATAAAACATGCACGGTAATAAAAAGAAAGCAACATTCACTGGGGAGAAGAAAAAGCAAATAAAGAGATCCAAATAAATCCCTTATTAAAGAAGATGATTAGTATTAACATCTCAATTCAAATCACATGAAAAGTTAACAATGATGCTTCTTTTATGCCCATTATGTATATTGTCTTTGTATTTGGTTATTGTTCACGTAGCCCGGAAAGATTTCAATCATGGCCAATTGTTAGAGCTTCTACAATGTGAAGAGGTGACTGGAGTAAGAAGAGACTTAAATAATCTCAATGCTTTTCCCAGAGAGCTTTAAGAATAGAAGTGCCCATCAAGAGGGTTAGGAGGCCTAGACAAAAAAGTGGGACAATAATAGCTCTGTGTCTTATCTATTACATTTTCTTTTAAGGGATTTTTTTTCCCTTTCCACTTTTCTCTGTCTTATTTTTAATAACCTCTTAGGATTTCAATAGAAATAGTTAAAATCTATTTCTTTTTTTCACACACAAAGGCTCATAGTTCATTGTTGAAGCATTGATTTATAATCCTAGTCTGCTATAACTAAGGACATTAGTGCATAGATAAAATATCATTTCTGGTTTTTAAAAGTATATGAAGATTTTCTTTCAAATGAACTTAAGAAAAACAGTACTGTCTGTTAATGAGCCATACTGCCCATATCTTCTATGGAAAGATAATATATATGCTCCTAGATTCAGAGACTATTATCAACTGAGGAAAATCCCAGCATTCCAATTCCAAATTTCAGGGACTGAGGTAATGATTGGTTGTTATGGCAGGTGCCAGCTCTAGCTTGGACTAGAGAAATGCTATTGTCCAGTAGGAAGATAGGTTCAAGGATCCTCCTTTGTGTACATGTCGTTGGGGTTATATGTATATGGATTGGATATTGAAGAAGTTGGTATGGAAAGACAAGGTTTTGGGTCTCCAAGAAGTTGCTGAAGGCTAAGGAGGTCCCAAAGTGTATCTACTCAAAAATATCAGTCATCTCACTAAAGTCCATCCCATCATATAATTTAAATGATAACATGAATCCTCTAGTAAACCACTTATTCTCCTCTGATTTTATGTACAAAGAGAGGGAAATAATACCATAGTTACAATTTGAGTTTTTATCATCCTTAGAAAATAATCAAATATAAACTATTTACCCAAACTGCCAACCAGCATAGATTCACTCACAAAGTACAATCTTGCCATAAGGTAAATTGAAATGAAATTTCTGGGAGAATACTGATTGTCTTCTCTCAGTATGGTACCAAAGAAATGTTGACAAGAGAGTCATTAAGGAAGCTTTCTTGTGAAGGTAAGCAGTATTTGCAGTCCTAGTATAAATTCATGACTCAGGGCATACTATCTAAGGGTTTTTGCTACTTATTCTAATTGTGTGCTAAAAATAGAGCAAGGTTTCATTAGGAATTTAGGAAACACATTCAATTTTTGAAAACATGTTTGGCTTCTGGATTCCTGTTAAAATGTGGAAAAAGAATCATTCCCACCCTTAGAATATAAACTGTTTGATAATCTGCAAAATTATAACCCTTATTGAAACCATTAGAAAGTGGAGTTTTAAGGCAAACAACTCACTTCCAATTCAAAAGAAGATAAGAATCTTCAGGAAAAAATAGGAAGCAAGCCTTGTTTAGATGGGGTAGTTGTCAGACACTTGACACCAAGCTAGTGAGCAGAATTCAGCTAAAAAAAAATAAAAACTAAGGATTTGCTAAAGGATGAATGTGGGCTAGTGTAAAAGTACAAAACGCAGGAGAACTTATACCAACACACAGGCTCATGTTCATGGACCTTACTAAGTGGCTCACAAGAAAGTTTGGCAGAAGGTGAGAGATATTCCTGAGGAAATGCTCCTCTTGTTGCAGACCTAGAGAAATAAACAGCAGCCATCGTGGTAAAGGCACAAATCTCACCCTGAATCCTCTTCCTTTATGTCCCCTACAGAACAAAAATCATAGAAAGCAAACCCTACCATCCTCAAGAAACAGGTGAAAAGCCACGGTAGCTGAGGAAAGGGATCAAGATGAAAAACCTTCTATGTTGATAAAGGGGCACAAAATGTACCAGGCCTGGACAGTAAAACCCTGTCCAGTTGTGAGAGTTGCAGGATTACTGAAAAGACCCCATTAATGAGACCCAAGGGCACAGTGCCTGTCTAAGCCTGAACAAGAACTACAAAGAACATGCTCTTCTAGCCCCAACCCCATCATCAGGCTGACAAGCACCCCTAATATATAACAGCATGATACTGCTGAGAGAAGTTCAAGAGCAGGGAGAAAAACCCAAGGTACAGGTACAAAGAAAACACCTAAAGCTGAGGGAGGAAGTAGGAAAAAACAAACAAACAAACAAACAAACAGTCTAGTAAACCAATTCACATCACACATACAGAACTATACTAGGGGAATTTGAGGAATGGGGTGCACTAAGGTACAGCAATAAGAAAATCCAAAAGTAACTCAACTCCTAACTAGATTGGTCTAACTCCTTGCAATAAAAATCAGCTGTGTAAAAAAAAAAAAAAAATTCCTGTGTCATTTATCAGGCATAAATATTAATTACCTCAGTGTTTACTCTCTTACAGTACATGTCTAGGTACCCACTAAATATTCCAAGACATATAAAGAATTTTAAAAATCACAATGTCAAGAGACAAAGCAATACATACAACTAGACTCAACTCTGACCCCTACGTTTGAACTATCAAACAAGGAATTTTAAAAACCTATGATTAACATGTTAAAGGATCTAGCTAAAAAGGGGAGGACAGCAAGCATGAATAGATGGGGAATTTCATATTAGAAGTAAAAACTATAAGATAGAAAGTAATGGAAATAATTGTGCTGAATCACATAGTAACAAAGCTAACAAATGTTATCATTAGATGCCATCAGTAGATTTGATAAAGCCAAGGAAATAGTTGAACTTGAAGATATGTCAATAGAAATTATCCACAATGAAACACAAAAAATAAAATGATGAAAGCAAAAATAAAATAAAATAAAAAACAGAATGGTGTATCTGAGAACCATGGGACAGGATTAAATGGGTACATCCATATTCTACCTTATGCCCACACTTGTCAGCAACACTTTGCTTCCTCAAGAGATAACATCCACACTGCACAAACGACTGGTCTCCTGACTTTTCATAGCCTGGCTGTGAATACCATAGGTCAAATGACCTGGGTCTGGGATACAACAGTCCATTGTGCAGATTCCACCTGTCAATGCAAGAGCTGCTGGACTATATTCAGACCATGATGCCACCTACACTTACTCAGGCTTTTCAATACTACAGGCATAACCAGCCTAGGTGGTACCATAGTTCCATTTCCACCATGACAGCAAAGTTTCTTATAAAAACTAAAGAAGCTCCCATTGGCTATTCTAAATTCACAGAAGATTTGCAAGATATAGAAGGTGGCACATATGCTAGCTGTATGCCCTGCTCTTCAGACATTTGAAGTAATGTTCCTAACTTCAGATTTTGCCTTTTAAAGTACATGTCAGACCATTACATAAGAGATAACTTAGAGCCTCATTTGGGGTTGAATGCATCAGGATCCTTTGAGGTATTATGTCTCCAATAGGATAGCAAGATAGCTAACTCTTTTCTCCTTGCTATTCAACCACATCAGTACATTTCTATGACTTCCTGATCAATAAGCCTTTATGCCTTAGGGTACCAAATTTGGTGCAAGATCATTGCAAACCTAGTGAAGTCCACAACCTCATCATGAGCCAACCTTGTGAGCCAACTCTATGACAGCCTAGTGGACCACCAGATGACCTCAGCCCATCTGACTAATAAAAACCAGACTTTGGCTCTGTTGCTGACCTCATTACTGCCAACGGCCAATGCTGCTCCTCCTTTGTTCTTGCTTTGCTTCAGATCCTGTTAACCTCACTGTCCTCTGCCAGCTGTCCTTCTATAGTCCTGCCCCACTATTCCACCCCTTCAGGCTATGGTACTCACACCAAATTGAAGCTTATCTCTAATTTTTTCCTGAAGCCATTGGAGAAACCATCACCTTGGCTTTCTCTTGACAGTATTCCCTTATCCACCCCTAATATGTAAGGCTCTGCTGCAACATATTCACCACACCACACAAATGCAATGACACCAGAGCTACACTCAATAATATTGAAAAGGAGATTGTCAATACTTACAAAACATTATTTATGCTATGGAAAACGCCAAGCTCAGACTCAATGGTGATTCATTATTTAGCTATATGTTTTCAGCAGCTGCCAATGGAGTATCTAAAGTTCTGTTTTGGGTCTAGGAGTACCCTCTGTCTATTTTGTTCTACTACCCCAGGCTACAACCTGACACATTCAACTTCTGCACTGTCCTAAATTTTCTCCCTAGATTTTATCATCTGGCACCGAGACTTAATTAATCATTGCCTAGAAGGTCACCACCATCCCATCACTCATGAACAATTCCATACCTTCCCTACCAGGCCCCACTTTCACACCCTTCATAGGCACCATTCATACTTCTAGCTAATTTCCCCTAGCCAGCCTCACTGAGTTTTCAGTACAGGGTTCACTGCCCTATCCCCATCTCTGCTTATGTTTTTTTGTTTTTCCTTCTCTGAGGCTCAGTTCATTCCATCACAGCAAGCCACCCCTAGTCTTGAAGAGTCTCTCCTATATGTATTTACAACTCATGGAGCATACAGTCCAGGTCCTTTGTTGCACTAATTTCTGGGCTTGCCACCAGTCCTTAGATGAGTCACCAGCTCTCATTACCCATATCCAGTTAACCTCATAGAAGGATTTACCTTGGCCAGCCCTCCTTTTCCTGTGTACCACTCCAAAAACCTAACGGGGTACCAAAATATTTATTCAAATTGCTCACTTGGCCTCTTCCTCTGATCTGATATGCTTTACAATTTCTAAGAAACACCCCTGCTTTGCTCATACCAACAAGCCTACTGACACTTCATGAACAGAATTTTCTCCTTATGTCAGCCAATATTCTTGTTGCTGAAGGGCTCTGATGTTATTTTAATAACACTTGTCTGTCCCTCCATTCTTACACTATCAAAACGTTCTTCTACTATCATATGCACTGTATGTACTCTGGGGGTTTGGAGGTCACATATTTTCTGGGCCTGCTGCTTCATGTTTTTCAGCCTTATTCACCACAAAAGGGCTACTATGCTATATATTGTGCTTGCCCTACTTACAGGCTTGAAGGTCACTGACACCACTCTAGGCACGCATAACCCAGTAAGCAAACACATCATTAATACTGGTCAGGAAATGGTATAGACTGATTGTATCCTTTCTCTAAATTCATATTCAAATCTGATTCTCAATGTGATGGTATTGGGAGGTAGGGCCTTTGGGAGATGAATAAATCATAAGGGCACCTCCCTTATAAATTGGATTAGTGACCCTATAAAAGAGGCCCCAGAGAGTTCTTTTTCCCCTTGTGCTATGTGAGGACACTGCCAAAACGCAGCAGTCTATGATTTAGGAGGCAGGTCCTCACCAGACACCAAATCTTCCAGCACCTTGATCCTGAACTACTCTGCCTCCAGAACTGTGAGAAATAAATTTCTGTTGTTTATAATCCATCATGCCAACCTGTGGTATTTTTGTGATAGTAGCCTAACCATGCTAAGACAGAAAATATCCAGAGTCCCTGTATTGGTTCATCATCACATTGCTATAAAGAACTACCTGAGACTGGGTAATTTATAAAGTAAAGAGGTTTAATTGGCTCACAGTTCTGCAGATGGCTGTACAGGAAGCCTGGCTGAGGAGGCCTCAGGAAACTTACAATCATGATGGAAAGCGAAGAGAAAGCAAGCATGTCTTACACGGCTGAATCAGGAGGAAGAGAGTGAAGGAAGAAGTGCTACAAACTTTTAAGCAACCAGATCTCAGGAGAACTCACGAAATTAAACTAGAAATCAATTACAGAGAATATCAAGAAAGATATTTAAATACTTGAAAAATAAACACCATATGTCTCAGTAAGCCATGTTTCAAAAGTCATAGGGAAGTTATAAAATGTTTTGAATTGAATGAAAATGAAAAGACAACATATCAAAAAAATTTTTCTTATTCTAAAAAAAGCAGGATACATGTGCAGAACGTGCATGTTTGACACATGGGTATATGTGTGCCATGGTGGTTTGCTGCACCTACTGACTCATCCTCTTTAAGTTCCCTCCCCTCACCACTCACCCCCAACAGGCCCTGGTATATGTTGTTCCCCTCTCTGTGTCCATGTTTTCTCATTGCTCAACTCCCATATATGAGTGAAAACTTGTTTGGTCATCTGTTCTTGTGTTAGTTTGCTGAGGATGATGGCTTTCAGTTTCATCCATGTCCCTCCAAAGGACACGATTGCATTCCTTTTTATGGCAGCATAGTATTCCATGGTGTGTATGTACTATATTTTCTTTATCCATTCTATCATTGATGGGCATTTGGGTTGGTTCCATGTCTTTGCTATTGTAAATGGTACTTCAGTAAACATATGTGTGCATGCATCTTTATAATAAAATAATTTATATTCCTTTGGGTATAAACCCAGTAATGGAATTGCTGGGTCAAATGGTATTTCTGGTTCTAGGTCCTTGAGGAATAGGCATACTGTCTTCCACAATGGTTGAACTGATTTACATTCCCACCAACAGTGTAAAAGAGTTCCTATTTCTCCACAGCCTCGCCAGCATCTATTGTTTCCTCACTTTTTAATAATTGCCATTCTGACTGGCGTGAGATGGTATCTTATTGTGGTTTTGATTTGCATTTCTCTGATGATCAGTCATGTCGAGCTTCTTTTCATATGTTTGTTGCCTGTGAAAATGTCTTATTTTTAGAAGTGTCTGTTCATATCCTTTGCCCACTTTTTGATGGATTTGTTTGTTTTTCTCTTGTAAATTTGTTTGAGTTGCTGACAGACTCTGGATATTAGACCTTTGTAAGATGGTTAGATTGCAAAAATTTTCCTCATTCTTTAGGCTGCCTGGTCACTCCGATGATAGTTTCCTTTGCTGTGCAGAAGCTCTTTAGTTTAGACTCCGTTTGTCAATTTGGGCTTTTGTTGCAATTGCTTTCTGCATTTTTGTGATGAAGTCTACCCATGCCTGTGTCCTGAATGGTAGTGCCTAGGGTTTTGATGGTTTTCTTCTAGGGTTTTTATGGTTTTTGGTTTTACACTTAAGTCTTTAATCCATCTTGAGTTAATTTTTGTGTAAGGTGTAAGGAAGGTGTAAGGAAGGGGTCCAGTTTCAGTTTTCTGCATATGGCTAGCCAGCTTTCCCAGCACCATTTATCCGATAGGAGATCCTTTCCCCATTGCTTCTTTTTGACAGGTTTGTCAAAGATCAGATGGTTGTAGATGTGCGGTGTTATTTCTCTGTTCTGTTCCATTGGCCTATATGTCTGTTTTGGTACCAGCACCATGCTGTTTTGGTTACTATAGCCTTGTAGTATAGTTTGAAGTCAGGTAGCGTGATGCCTCTAGCTTTGTTCTTTTTGCTTAGGATTGTCTTGGCTATACAGGGTGTTCCTTGATTCCACATAAAATTTAAAATAGATTTTTCTAATTCTGTGAAAACTGTCAGTGGCAGTTTGATGGGAATAGCATTGAATCTACAAATTACTTTGGGCAGTATGGCCATTTTTACAATACTGATTCTTCCTATCCATGAGAATGGAATGTTTTTCCATTTGTTTGTGTCCTCTCTTATTTCCTTGAGCAGTGGTTTGTAGTTCTCCTTGAAGAGGTCCTTTGCATCCCTTGTTAGCTCTATTCCTGGTTATTTTATTCTCTTTGTAGTGATTGTGAATGGGAGTTCATTCATGATTTGGCTCTCTGCTTATCTATTGTTGGTGTTAAGGAATGCTTGTGATTTTTGCACATTGATTTTGTATCCTGAGACTTTGCTGAAATTGCTTATCAGTTTCAGGAATTTTTGGGCTGAGATGATGTGGTTTTCTAAATATAGGATAATGTCATCTACAAACCGAGACAATTTGACTTCCTCTCTTCCTATTTAATATCCTTTATTTTTTTCTCTTGCTGATTGCCTTGGCCAGAATTTCCAATACTGTGTTGAATAGGAGAGGTGAGAGAGGGCATCCTTGTCTTGTACCAATTTTCAAAGGGAATGCTTACAACTTTTGCCCATTCAACATGATATTGACTGTGGGTTTGTCATAAATAGCTCTTATTATTTTCAAAATTTGACAATGTAGCTAAAGTGGTGCGTAGAGGGAGACTGATAGCTTTAAATGCTTATATTAGAAAAGAAAACAGAATTCACATGAATTATCTAACCTCCTTCTGAGAGAAAAATAGAAGAACAAATTAAACCAAAAGCAAATAGAAGAAAGGATAATGAAAATGAGAGCAGAAATCAATGAAATTTAGAACAGAAGAAAAAGAAAACTAATTTACCCAAAGGCTGATTGTTTAGAAATTTCAATAAAATTAATAAATTTCTAGTTAGAATGACCAAAAAAAAGAGAAAATGCAAATTACAAACAATAAGAACTAATAAAGAAACATCACTACAGACTGTACTGACATTTAAAGAACAAAGGGATGCTGTGAACAACTCTAAGCCCATAAATTAAACAACCTATATGAAATGGACATATTTTTAAAGACAAAACTACCGAAACTTACTCAAGGTAATATTCATATGATACTCAACGATCTATGCTATATAGAGGAAATTTCAGTAAAAGGAGAGTATTATATAACACAGGAGAGAGAAATCTCTTATTCAAAGCATATTTTAGTTTTTGCTATTATACTTTAGTAGCTAAATACATATTTCTTATAAATACAATTGTTGTTAAGTCAGAATGGTAATATTAAGAAGCTCACATTGACTTTTATTTAATAAAACTTGTATACCTTTTTAAAAAGTCATTTCTCTGTACTCCAGTAAAGTAAGGAAAACTGGGATATAATTATTATTATAAGCTACACATAATTTTTCCTCTTAAACATTCTGTTTTCATGTTGTTTGTAAAGTTGATTTTTTAAAAAGTAATTTAGTACTTTTTAAAATCTAGAAACTCATCGGACTTTTTTTTGTCATAGAAGTTTGAAAAATTCCACCAGGATTTCTCTAGATATGGACTTCTTTTGCATTCTGTTTGCCTGAAACATGAAAAAAAATTATTAAATTTCTCAGTGAAATTTTCATTAGATGAATTTTTAGACAATTCAGATAATTTTATTTTGTGATTTCAATATGGCTAGAACTTTGTGCAGTTTTATTTTCACCTATAAAAATTTTTATTAGCCATTGAATAGTGTTCTTGCGTGGTCTTTCAAGTTAATATTTTTCACTTACCCTCAGTCGAAAATGAGAAGGTAAAGTTGAGTTAGAAATTTTCTGTAGCATATATTCTCTACCCAATGATTGCATTGTATTTTAAATTCTTCATATTATACATCTGAATAATTTATAGAAAGCTCTCACAATGATTCTTCCTTCAGTGGGGACTGTTTGACATCCTGTGTATACAGTGTGAATAAAATGTTCATGTAATATACTCACACTGAATCAAAGGAAATAACACTTTGGCTGGCCTTGACTGAATCTTATTTTGCTTTCCTCTTTTAAGTTTTTGTTTTCAGTATTTCTTTCAGTTTTACATATCTTCAGGAGGTGTTAGAATCATTTACTATTTAAATGACAGACTATTAAATTGTTATCTTATAAATTAATTCTGGATTTTGGTATTTTGCATTGAAAGTTAAATGGTATTGAGACCCAAGACATATTCCAAACAGGTCATGAAGTCTAATTAACCTTTTATTACATTCAACTACTTTAAGTTACATGAACTTGGCTCTGTCCTCTAAATATAACAATACAGTTTTGGCATCTCATTAATAAACAGGACAGCATTTATTAACACTGCTATGTAACTAAAGTAAAACTTCATCAATTCAAATCTCAGGGAACCAGAAGTAATCAAGCTAGACCTAAACAGGAACAAATTATCTGACATCATATTTTAGCGGCAGGAGAGCTGAGAAGCTAAACAACTTGCTGTTTCTGTCAAACAATCTTGATTACTTGTCAGTGGAGAAGAAGTTGGTAGGGTATGGAATGAAAGGTTAATTTACTTGCACTCACATAACCTCTCCCTCTCTTCTTACAGAAAAATAATCAAGGTCATTAATTGAAGTTCTGCAAGTCAATTTCTATAAATTCATGACTCACAGGATCATATATTTTAAATTACAAATATAATAGTATTTGAGGTCATCCATGACAAAACATTCTATATAATACTGTTTATTATTATTTTTATCTGACCATATTTTCATTAAACGTTTCTAGACTAAAAACATATACACTTTTGTTAGTCTTGCACCAGAATTCTAATATGAAATATTTATTTGCTCTTCATGTATTCATTCATAAAATATCCTTCCTTTCCTTCTTATATTAACCGTGTCTATCTATATTTTGATGTTTTGACATCTGAGGCCCTGCTGACCCTAGAGGAAGTCAGCTCACTCCAGGATTAGCCAGTTACTAGAGAGAGTAAACAACTCACCTGCGAGCACAACTTTCATATGCAAATCAACCAATGCACAGCTTACACTCTGTACTCTAAGCCACTATCCATCTTCCCTTAGCATTCCAGGGCTAGGTCCTAGACAACTAGAGACAGCACCTATGACCCTGATCCTGCTGTAATTTCTCCCGAGGAAACCACAATAAAGGCTCTTGGCTCAAGATTTTCCCTCTCCCTTTGCCTCCTGACTGCACCTCCCCCACCGCATGCTGGCCTATGTGAGCCCCTGTGTCTCCATCTGTAAGTATAACACATTATCTTTTTGTTGTTTTTTAGAGATAGATTCTCACTCTGTCACCCAGGGTGGGGTGCAGTAGGGTGATTATAGCTCATGTCAACCTCAAACTCCTGAACTTAAATAATCCTCCTGCCTCAGCCTCCCAAGGAGCTTGAACTATAGGCATATGGCATCATACCCAGTTAATTCATTTATTTATTTGTAGAGAAAGGGATCTTGCTACGATTCCCTGGCTGGTTTTGAACTCCTGGCCTCAAGTAATCTTCCCACCTTGGCCTCCAAAGGATTATAGGTGTGAGCCACCATGCCTAGCCCACAAACTATCTTTTCAATGGCAATCATCTCCTGATCTGTTGGCCTTAACATAACTCAATAATAAAACCTATTAAAACTCTCTCTCTCTTTTTCCTTCCTTCCTTCCTTCCTTCCTTCCTTCCTTTCTTCCTTCCTTCCTTCCTTCCTTCCTTCCTTCCTTCCTTCCTTCCTTCTTTTCGTGTGTGGAAATATGTAGAAACCAGTGGCTATTTAAATGAGCCATTACTAATTAGCAAAATGTTGTACTGTCTTGGCTAGGCTATATAAAATAAATTTTAGCAAAATGAGTACTACGAATTTTGGATGGACATACGTCCTTTCATACTTAATAATCCTGAGTGTGAAGAAATACTTCTAAAATCTGCCTTGAGTTATCTAAACTTTAGATGAGTGGGTCAGTCTTCAAATATCAGTTATAGCTTTAGAAATAAGGGGAAATTATTCACCAGAGCACTTAAATAACAGCATATGTTCTTTTCTTTTTATTAACTATAAACAAATACCAAGTTTAAATGTAAACTTTGACTACTAAAACAAAATATGGGTACAGAGTTTTAAAATGGTGCCAACCTCACTTTACCCTTTACATTTTGGTTTTTGTAAGTACACTTACGCCATGGCAGAGAAGTTTAATCATGGATTTAGAAAATGTAATCATCAAAATTTGCTGAAATCAAAGAATAAAAGGGTGAATTAACATTAAAATTATTTTCTCAGCACCTTAAGAAAAGTCATCTCTAAATTAGATTTTTTTGTTACCAATTACAGAAAATATTTGTGAACTCCATTTTATTTGGATTGCATACCTTTTAAAATGTGTTCAGCTTTTTGGTTTTTCATTTCGTTTTGTTGACTTTATCTTTCCACTTAAGTTTTAGCCTAATTCCATTTTATTTTTGACTTTAAGCCTTCTATATTGTTCTCACTGATAACATCATTTATTTCTTAATTCCTCAATCTCCTACTTTCCTTGTTTGCTTGTGATCGATTTGCCCACTCTTTCCTTTTCTCTTGGGGAAGATACTCTCATACTCATTCATTCTCCCTTTTATTCACTTGTGAATTTTTTTCTGGGCACTTACCATCTGCCAGTAATAATAGGAGTCCCAAGGGACACAGAATGACAAGACAATTTCTGTTCTGGAAGAGATGAGAAAAAGAATGAAAAGCCACTAATCAATTAAGATGAAATGTGAAAATTGTTGTAATGAAAGTAAATAGTAAGTGCTATGTGCAAACAGTAGGCAAATTACCAAACTCAGAGGAATGAGATAAAGAAGATTTTCACAGAGGCGCGGATGTTAGTGAGGAGCACTGTAGGATAAATGAAAATTTTCAGGGAAAAAGGGGGAATAGAACATTTGTGACAAAGTTACCAGAATCGTCTAATTGAGTATTATAAAACACCAAGATAGAAGGTAAGCACAGAAAGGCTAGAATTCTGGTAATACTCAATTTATTCTCTTCTCATGTCTATTAGTCAACCTTATCTGACCTGTCCTGTTCCCCAGAAAGCTACCTCTTTGGCCTGCTTCTTCTTACCTCCTTACTATTTTGGCTTCTATTTGGGTTCAACCAAGGGTTGGCACTGGCAGGACACGAGGGTGGGAGGAGAGAATAAAGGTGCATTACTTCCTCACTCCCTTCCTAATTCCATGGAGATGTTCTGGTAGAAGCTCTGTCCCTCCATGACTGTAGCGTCCCCCTAGATGGCCCCTCCATCTAGGGCAAAGGAGCTATGGATTCCTTCCCCCTAGAATTGGCTCCTCCACGTTTCCAATTCTCACTGAGCTCCAGTAATGTCTTTCCTCCCTTGTCTCTTTGACCATTGAATTGGCAATGGCTTTCTACTGTTTCTACTTCTGGGGATCCTACCAATACTTTATTTGTTCAAATCCCAGCTGCAACTTTTCAATACCTCCAATCAACAATTTTCATTTTAGCCATCCGAGTTACATGTTGTACTTTGTAAGTATTCTTACTGCCATGACAGGAAGAAGTTTAATCGTGAATGACCTTTAAAATATCAACTATTTTAAAAATCTTGTTATAACCTGATTTAATATAATCTTGGGTTTCAGTATCTATTTGTATAAACAAAGAAATAAATGACAAACCAGAAAAAATAATGATGGAAAGCATGCAAACATTAAAGCCCCCAAAATCTTAAAAATCTCTGAATATCAAATAAGATTTCTGAGTCAAATTTGGTTATGAAACAAAAGGTAAAAGGGAGTCTTAATTTTTTTTCAGAACTAAATACAAAGTCTAGTAGAAACATTCACAAAGACACAAGATGATTGGGTCTCTAGGTAGATGGTATTATCAGCCCAGAAACAAAAATAGCAAGACATCATAAGCAGGGACTTTGTGGGAGAAGTTATTCTAGCTGTGCCCTTTTCTTTTCCTTTATTGACCTTGGGATAATAATCGTCTATCCTGTTGATGTAGAAGGTCAAGAAACAACAAAGCCATCCAGAATCAGCTGATAACAAAATAGTAAGATTAGGAGATGTCTAAAGAGTAGCTCAGATTAAAAATAATAATAATACATATATAAAAAGCAGGCTTTTGGTGCCCTGGATATGCAAATCCCATTTCATAAACTCCATTTCCTGGAGGAAAATATCTCCAGGTTAGGTTACAGAGTAGGAATAGTGGGTAAATGGAGCAGGATAAAGTGACCAGCCAGGATTGCAATACCATAAACTACACCTACTGTACTGCGCCTCCAATCTGCTCCCTAAAGTTACCTGCAAGAGTATGTGAGAATCCTGGGTTTTTGCCTGGCCCCAAATAAACAGCAGAGGCCAGGATAATTATAACTGATAATTGATAATGAATAAAAAATAAAAATATATGATAAGTGAAATTCCCAATGGTATATGAGCCTCTGTGTGTGTGATATATTTGTATAACGAACCATCAATGAAATTCAATCATTATGAAAGAAAAATAAGCTAAAGCATCTATACCAGAAAAAAAACAGAACTAATGAATGAGGTAGACTAATAATGTAACTTAAACATAATAATTACTGCGATGGTTAATATTAGGTGTCAACTTGATTGAATGGAAGGACGTCTAGATAGCTGGTAAAGTATTGGGTTTTTGCCTGGCCCCAAATAAATAGCAGAGGCCACGGTAATTATAACTGATGATAACTGATAATGAAAACAAAATAAAAATACCTGATAACTAAAATTCCCAATGGCATATGAGCCTCTGTGTGTGTGATATATTTGTATAATGAAACATCAAAGAAATTCAATCATTATGAAAGAAAAATAAGCTGAAGAGTCTACACCAGAAAAAAAAAAAAACAGAACTAGTGAATGAGGTAGACTCATAATGTAATTTAAACGTAATTACTGTGATGGTTAATATTAGGTGTCAGCTTGATTAGATGGAAGGATGTCTAGATAGCTGGTAAAGTATGAGGCTTGGGTGTGTCTGTGAGGGTGTTGCCAGAGGAGACTGACATTTGAGTCAGTGGACTGAGAGAGGAAGACCTACACTCAATCTGGGTGGGCTGCTAGAACAAAGCAGGTGGAAGAGTGTGGGCTAAGCTGGCTTGCTGAATCTTCTGGCTTTAATCATTCTCTGATGCTGGATGCTTCCTTCCATTCTTCATGCCCTTGGATATCAGACTCCAGGTTCTTTGGCCTTTGGACTCTTGGACTTACATCAGTGTTTTGACAGGGCTGTTGGGCCTTCAGCCACAGACTGAAGGCTACACTGTTGGCTTCCCTGCTTTCGAGGCTTTTGGGCTTGGACTGACCCACTATTGGCTTCTTTCTTCCCCAGCTTGCAGAAGGCCTATCATGGGACTTTGCCTTGAGATTGTGTGAGCCAATTCTGCCTAATAAACTCTCTTTCATATATACACATATCCTATTAGTTCTGTCCCTCTGGAGAACCCTGACTAATACATAGGCTGTAGGAGAAATAGATAGAAACCAGGAGTCCAGATGGAAACAAGCCAGATGAGAGGTGACAATCACCAATAACTTTTACAGAGATGAGAGAAGTTATTGAAAATATAAACCAAAAAAAAAAGAAGTTATATGTTTTAAAGAAAAGAATCAACTGGAACTGCTGAATATGAAAAATATATGTAATTGTTGAAATAACAAAGTCAGTTGAGGTACAGAATAGAAGAATGTTTCCAATTAGAAAATGCACTATTTAGTAACAAATCGTAGGAAAAAAAAATTATTCCAAACACATGGGAAAGAGATAGAAGAAATGAATGAGAAAGAAAAAGATAAATAGAGATGAAATAGCTATTGTTATACCGATTTAAATGACCTCCCAGAAGAAGTGGAAGAAGGGAATAAGATTTCAAAACTTCCTTATAAAAACATCTTAAAATGTAAAATAATGGCAGAGAATTTTTCAGAATTAAAGAAAGTTGTAAGATCTCGATTAAAAAGAGTTTATAAGTGCCAATAGGACAAGTTAAAACACATACACAAACACACAGGTAAACATAGTTCAGTAAAATTTTAAAAATATCAAATACAAGTAGAAAACTCTATATCCAGGAAGGATAAACATTTTACATACAAAAAGCACATCGTAGATGGAAAAAGGCATGAAATAATATTTGCAAACATCTGGCAATTTAAAAAAAAAAGAACTTTAAGCCCACAATTACATTCCCAATTACACTATTAGTTAAAGGAAAAGTGAAATAAATATATCATCAAATATATATTTGTATGATTATGAATAATAAAATTATTTTGAAATAACAACTTTCCTCTTTAAAGCACTTTCGGAAGAACTGCACCCACAAAAGGTGGCATAAATCTTTGAGGTTACTTCTTTATAGAATGTTTCATTGGGAAAAAAATAGTAAATATATGATTATATAAATAAGCAATGACTAAAAGTTATGTAAAATAGCACATCCACAAAAGTTCAAAACTAAAACTCCACATGAGAGGGAAAGACTAGAGTGAGACCAAAACAGACCAAGGCAGTCTCTAATTTTAAAGAAAGGCATATATTTTAATAAGTTTTAAAAACTGAGAGAAGGAAGTAAACATAACATGAGTCCTATTATTAGAGGCATAATTAATGACAGAATATAAATGTAACACAGTTGTTAGACCAGCAAAATAGCATTCAGTGCAAGCAAATAGAAAATGAGTAGAAATAAAAATTGATATTAAAAAAGATACATAAGATAGGAGAAATAAGCTCTAATATAAAAGTAGTGACAATAAATCTATATTAATTTAACTCATCAATAAAGAAGGCCCATACATTAGATAAAAATATTGAGGAATAATTTGCCTACAGGAGAAAAATTTAAATCAAGGAAATGCAGAAAGATTGAAAATAGAGGATGAAAAATATGTACTGGAAATAACAAGCTCATGTAAAACAAGAGTGGAATTTTACATTGGCAAAATAGAGATGAAAGCAGAAAAATTAACAAAAAATTTATAAGACATCAACAGAAAAGTTTTATAATGAAATTTATATTTAATAGTTACCCAAATATACAATCTCAGTGAGAGATAATTTCCTTACACCTCAGAGAAAATACACATTATTTTCTAGCACCTACCTTCACAAAGTCATTAACAGAATAATTCTCAGAGAAAGTATGAAAGAAAACACTCCAAAGATTCAGCATTGTAGAGACTCTGTTTTTTTCTACACTACTATGTAATTGTAAATTGACAACAAAAATACAACTATAAAAAAATCTATGTATATAGAAACTAAAATGTATATTAAATAGCTCTTGCCTTAAAAGAGAAATCATCTTTCGTATGGGGGTAGTCAAAGCATTTCTTGAAAGGAAGCTTATAACATTGAATACATTTATGAAAATTCTATAAACTGCATATTACCCAGAAACCCCACTAAAGGGCATAGAAAGAAAATCAAATTGATTACCAGCTCTAGTTCACAGACAAGAAACTTAACATTGGAAAACTGTCAATTATCTCCAAACTAATCTATAAATTCAATGAAATTCCAATAAATTACTAGAATAATGGGGAGGCTCTCATATAGGTCCATAAAGGAATCTGGTTTCAATAACTTGGAAATGACCAGATTGTTCATCTCTAGGGAAGATGTCTAGGAAAGAATACTGCGTGAGGATTAAAGGTTATGGTATGATATAGAGCAAAAAGTGGTTGAGTATGAAAAATAATACAATTATACCTAACATAAAATGTGATCAATTGATACACACAAAAAACACTATGTATTTTTTCAAAGCTATATGTATATGCAGCTGCTCTAGTAAATACATTTGAGTTATATATAGGAAGGGCAGAGTAGATGCAAAACAAAAAGAACACGAAAAGTTTGAGAAATGAATTGGAATAATAAAATTTTTTATGAAGATAGGTTTATGTAGATCGATGGTGGTGGCTTCATATAATTGAGGGGTAATGTCAATCTATGCACCAGAATTACAATAATAATAAAAAATTATTAATAAACATTTCACCCCTTGACAGTAAACTAAACGTTCACATATGTTGACAAATCCCTAGTTTCACTGCAGAGACCTCTGAGAGTTCCTGACAGCAAAGTATTCAGTATTCACAGAGACTATGCAGCCCTACCTCTACGACTGTTGCTTCTTCAGTGGGTCCCACTGCAGAGTTGGGGAGCACTGAACGGCCACTCTAGTCAATGCTGCTACCAGGACTGGAGCAAGAGGGGCTCACCTAGGTCCCAACCCTCTTTACATTAGCCCGATCCCACCAGACGTCTCCCTGTTCCAACTCTGTTTCACATTTGGCCATTAGGATTAAAAGCTTGTCTTTTGTTTGTTTTTCTGAAATGCTTTGTTATTTTCCTACATTGATTTTTTATCATTTTTACTTAAATGTGGACCTAAGGTTGAGTGTCGTGGCTTAGAGGAGGTCAAATATTGCCCAAAAGAATTTATTAAATTTTTTAAAAGTCTTGCCAAAATGAATTGCTGAGAAACACAAGTTTTGTTTAGGAGATCTACTTTGAAAATAAACTTTTCAGTAAGGTTTTCATTTAGTTTCTAATGAAAATCAAAAAGAAAAAAATCTTTACATTCTCTTATATTAAAAAAAAAGTCTTCGAGGAAATATTTTTTGTGAAACAGAGACTTACTCTGTCACCCAGGATGGAGTGCAGTGGCAAGATCTCAGCTTACTGCAAACTCCTCCTCCCAGGTTCAAGTAAGTGATCCTCCTGCCTCAGCCCCTACAGATGCATGCTACCATGCCCAGTTAACTTTTTGTATTTTTAGTAGAGACGGGGTTTCACCATGTTGACCAAGCTGATCTCAAACTCCTGACCTTTGAGGAAATATTTTGAGGCTACATCATGTAGAAAAGTAGTTACTCAGGGAAGCCTACAAACATACAAAGATATAAATATATGTATTAGATTTCATTTAGTATAAAAATAGAGAACTAAGAAGGGTTTATTCTGTTTTAGCACTGACTTTTGGGGTTATGGGACAATACTAAGTGAAAGATATATTAAATTTGGCACTATTAAAATTCGGTATGAAGATTAAAAATGGTTAAGAACTTTTAAAAGTTGAAATACATCTTATGATCATGGTTCTAAAACCTGAGTTTATGTGTGATTCGATGGGGGCTTAAAAAAAAATACTGTTTTCTAGACCCTAGCTAGACCAAGCTACTGGGATACCATGTGCAAATATTTAAAGGTAACTCAGTTGCAACATTTTATGAAAATTATCAAAAAGAGAAAAGTTGAAATAACAATTTTATGGGTAATATGCCCATCATCTAGATCCTACAATTAACATTTTAGCATACTTGCTTTATATACACATCTATCTAACCATCCACCTTATTTTCTATGCATTTCAAAGTTTCAGACATTGGTATACCTCCTCCTGCTCCCAAATACTTCAGCAGGTTCAATACTTCTTTACTTATCTTTTCAGTTAAAATTAATATTCAATGCAATATGCAAATCTTAGATGTACGACTCAATGAGTTTTGACACGGGTAATAGAAGGGTCATAATTCCAGAGATGCCAGTAGTTTATAACTCAATTTTCTGTTGAAATAGTCTGTTCATACAGCTCTATTTCAGGCACAAAAACAAAATCACCCATATCTTAATGAGTGGTAGAAAATGACTCCCCAAAATGTGTGTTTATTATCACCTAGAAATGGCTGTTAAAATTCAACTGTCTTTTTAAGCAGTTCGTGAATACAACTTCCTTCTTACAACTTTTCCTGAGCTTTTCTATCAGGAACTTTCCATTCTGCGCAACCGCAAACAAACATATGCAGAGATCATGCTATAGATGGATACGTAGGTGCATTGTATATCACACTATGCAATCTAATTTGGATTTTTGGTTAGTTGTGTTAATCCATTGCTCTCTGAATGCAGGAAGATTATGTCACGAAGTACAGTCCACGGTCTACATGAGGCCCTTAATACGTGAGAGCTGACTGGTTTGCATGTTAAAGTTAGGAATGGGGACCTGCTTTGTTTGTTCAGATGGTCTTTCAATACCTTTAGTAGATACTGAATCTAACAGATATTACTGCACTTGCCTCATGAATAACTCAACTGGAATCCACGTTTACAACAAATAAGTGATTTCTTGCTCATCCAACTTTAAAAAATACATGGAAATTGCATTTAGGAAAGGAGATTAATTCTTAATTTCAGTAATTTTTCTGGAAAACTTACTCTGTCAATAATACGATAGATTGGCCATGTTTAAAATGTTGCTTGTTGTAGTGCTTGAATTTCAGCCCTAGATGAATATTGTCAAGAAACCCAAAACAGTGATATGAGTAATTTAGCTGCCACGTAGAAAGTACAAAACAACTGGCCGGGCGCGGTGGCTCACGCCTGTAATCCCAGCACTTTGGGAGTCCGAGGAGGGCGGATCACGAGGTCAGGAGATCGAGACCATCCTGGCTAACACAGTGAAACCCCGTCTCTACTAAAAATACAAAAATTTAGCCGGGCATGGCTGCGGGCGCCTGTAGTCCCAGCTACTCGGGAGGCTGAGGCAGGAGAATGGTGTGAACCCAGGAGGCGGAGCTTGCAGTGACCCGAGATTGCGCCACTGCACTCCAGCCTGGGTAACAGAGCGAGACTCTGTCTCAAAAAACAAAAAAAGAAAAAGAAAGTACAAAACAACTACTTAGGGTTCCTGTTTCCATTGTCCTGCCCTTGGATCCTAACCTGGGTAACCAATAGTGACCGGTGTGTGCAATATTTTAATAAGTCAGTTTTCTCCTTACAGCTGTGTAATTTTCAGTGGTTATAATTGGATATGCCCACATCACATGTGTAGAGAAGCAAATATGCCTCCTCCAGTACAGAAATTTGATGATTATGCATTGCTGCGTCCCATATCGTAGCTCATCTGTGGTTAAATAGAGGCTTTCATTCAACAGAGCTATCAGTCTGGCAGCTTTCAAAAATACTACATTCATGGTAAGAAGAAAAATGTCCTAAAAAGAAATTGAGTAAAATATATTGGTTAAAATTTAAGAGTAGATAAATAGGCTTGACCATAATCAACTGTGAATTATTTGTGGTTATCCTCATATAAATGATAAAAATAAATTGTCTTATACTGTAAGTAAAAAATGCATTTGTTAAAACTATATAGATAAGAAATCTGTATATCTGTTATATTCCATTTTTGAATATGGCTCAAATTTTCCATCAAATTATATAACATTTCATATTCTGACATATTTTAATATTCATTTCTGGCAAAAAAAGAAGAGAAAATCATGGTAAACATTCTTTTTAGAAGGTTGCACTGAGTAAAATGTTCCAAAATAAGCTATAAATGAATTAACTCAAGGGTGGAAAATTCAATTTAAATAATAAATTAGAAACATATCAGAAATTAGATTCTTATGTTTTAGGGTAGCTTTAAAAACTTACTTCTGCCCAAGCCTGTTAATTCTAGCAATGTTATTATTAAATCATACTTAAGTTAAACTGCAAATTACTTACAAAGTATATATTTGATTTACATGCCTCCCATATTTGTCAATTCTCTGATAAAATTAATTGCTAAAATGTTTTATTGATAACCATGCTGGTAGATGAATCGGTTTAACCACTTTAATAGCTTAACCTCTGATTAAAACTCCCATAATCAATCCTTGACATAGAAATATTCCTTAATTAAATATTTCAAATAATGAGATGATAGGACCATGTAATTGATAAAGCTTTAGTTACATGGCATTTGCAACATAATAAAAGTTTATAAGAAAAGTCTTAAATAAGCTATGGATATAGCCTATGTTCTGTGTTTTATTGAAATTCTTTGAAATATTTTGAGGAGTGTTTATTATGTAAAGCTAACTATATGCTAGTAACTGTGATTTCTCACTTGCAAATGGGGATAACTAAATGTCAAAAATATAATGACCTTGAGTCTGCTTAAATAACTGTAGCCTAACAGTTCAAATCACTCCAAAGTTGGTCATTATATATATATATATACACACACATATATATACACCATGGGTATTCTTAAAACATATCATCCCTTGGTAATTTTAGCACAAATTTCCTTCAAAGAGTTTACAGTATTGTTTGTTGTACTTATATTTTAGTGGCTTTTATAATGAAGTTTTCAAGGATTTCCTTTTCTGTTTGCTTTTGAGAAAGAAAGATAATGAATGGAGATTGTAGCAGAAAGATAACTCTGCATTTCTGAAAATGTACCAAATTGGATATATTTTTAGGAAATTGCTACTAGGAAATTTACAAGAGAAAGATCATTGTTTCATATAATGAAAGTTGAATATCAACTTTATCATCTAAGCAAAGAGTTGCACCATTGGCAGGAAAACCCTACCCTTTATAACAAGATAGAAATGAGCATAGGCATGTAATGAGACATTTAATAGATTCTGAAATTGTGAATATAAAAGTTAAGAGTTCAAAAGCAATTGTGGAAAATACAAATAAGTAAAGAGAAGTAGCTAGATGCCCATACCTGATAATCCCAAAAGATTATTGCTCTAGTAGGACTGAGGAGTAGTTTAAGATGGCCTTTCCTATATGGGAAGATTAAAGTACAGCCCAGCTGAAGTCAATGTTCAAAGGTGGATTATGCCTCTGTGTGAATACCAGTGTTGTAGTAGGGGCCATGGTGGCTGTTGGTAAAGCTTGTACCAGGTGACCTTGCAGAGCTGGGTGATGTGGTGGGGGAAAAGGGCAGAAGCAGAGGCCATATGCCCAGGATATACCATATGGAAAGAAACGACAACAGAATGCAAAGTAGTTGTCTTTAACCAATTAGTGATGTTTTAATGATTTGTTATAGGGGATTAGCCTTTAATCCTTCCTCACAAAACAACTGGGAAAAATGAATGTGGTCTGTAACTCATGCATAATCCTCTGCTTTACTGGAATTTTTAATAAATTTCTTACATCTCCAGTAGTATCTCTTAAAAGGCACTGTTTTGACTTACGGTTTTGACTGTAGCACCAGAAACTTAAAATTAGAAAGTTGTGGCTTATGAGATACATATTTATAATCCAGGGCTACCAAATGTATTGCTGTGGTATCACTTTCATATTTCTGAATTTGAACCAAATATACTCCATGACCTATACTGGAAGCCTTTTATCATTTGTTGATTTTTCCTCTGAGTTCCACATCAGCAATGGTTTGAGCAGATGTGTATTTAAGCTTATCTTTGAGCTTCAGAAAAAAGCAGAGATTCTGCATTAAGTTGAAATTCTTTGAGACTGTTTGTGAGTTAGGACATATGTTTGTGGGCAGCTGTTTTTTTGTGGCCAAATTTGAAGCACTTACTTCAAACTGGTGTATTCCACCATATGGAGATATGATTTCCAGCCAAAACATTTAATTAACAATGAATTGAGATGACCCTGTCTTCGCTTATGCCACATGCAAGTGCTGAACACAGTGACAAAGCGAAGACAAGTGTACTTGCAAACTAGACCAGGTCCCTGCCCCTTCCCATCTGGTCATGATAACACCCAATCTTATTTTTACTATCCTCTCTCTGCTCCATTTTATTGTACTCCATATGGAGCCAAGCAACAGATAGAGGGAAAAATACATATATTTGGGAGCAAATAACACAATTTGGTTGGCAATACTTGCCTCTTCTAGAACTAACCTGAGGCAACTTATCAGAAAGCAGAAAACAGGAAAATATGAAAACCATAACCTCACTTTTAGAAGTATTTCAAGGCTATTAATATAAATGCTTTTTAAAGGTTGCATCTATTAGCTCTGAAAATTTCATTGACTTGTGAGGTAATAAAAGAGGAAGAGAATAAAGAGTATGTCCAAAAACCTATGACACAATTCCCCATTTCTTGACATTGTTCAAGTTTCTGAGCATAATCAAAAACATGATAAACAAAAATGCAGAAGTTATGGGGCATCAAAAAGAACAAACCATTATGATAAGAAGATCATATCATGGGGGGAAATTCCTAAAGTAATATGTATATTTTAAAAAAGACTATTACCACAGGTTACATATTCTCACAGAAAAGATCAGCTGTAACAGCTAATACCAAAGGCAGAACATGCCTCAGTAATGAATCCCATGATATTTCCACGAACAAAAAGGACCAGAAAGAACAAATTTTGCCAATGCTAATAAAGAAAAAAATTAGTTCAAACGTCTCTTTAAATTAGCAGTATCACCTTTTTTAGCACTCAAGGGCAACAAAAATTATTAATAAGATCTATATTAATATACTTCACATTTTGTTAACCTCTTTCTTCCCTTACTCCAAGTTTTGAAAATAATAATTTTGGTTATTATTATGATCAACGAATATTTATTGGGCCACAAAAGTTCTTCCTTTACAGCTTATTGTAAACTTTACCTAAATTTGTCATGACCCAGGAGAGGATAACAAGTGTGCAGTCTTTGAAACAAAGCATCAGGTCTTACATCAATTTCATCTGTTTAATATTTAAAAACAGTAGAAACATAATTTCTTCGATGCCATAATAAGCCCAGTTAAAAGGTATCTAAAACCATCAGTTGTTTTTGATTATAAAATGCCAAATAATGTTTGCTTGTCTTGCTTTTCTATTTTCACTAAAATGAGCTGTGCAATGGTGTTGAGTAGGTATACCTTGAGAAAACAATGACAATGTTTAAGTTATTTTTGGTACTCGCAAGCAAATAATCATTAAAGATGACTTTCGTAAGAAAATCATTGTGGTTAAACAAATATTAATTACATGAAAATACACTCATGGATTTTGTAAAAGGAACATTTTTAAAAGCACTGTTCTGAAACGTCTGTCTGCTTCAATCACCCCATTCACTGAGTGGGACTGGTGTTCCTCTCAGTGGGAGCTGCCATCATAATGACACTTCGCAGCAGGAACTCAGTTGGATGATGCAAACTAGAATAAAAAAGAATGTCTTTATGTTCACAAAGCATCCCAAATCAGAAAGATTCCAAGCTGCAGTGAGAGAGTCCCATGATTTATCTTCAGAGGGAAGCATTTTGTTAACTGAACAAGTTCTAACCAGATGTTAATTGAGCATAAAATTACAAAACTTGGCTGACACCATGGCAGATTGTAAATCCTCTGGGTAGAGGATAGGCTGACCTCTGTGTCCTACATTGGACCTAGCATGATTTGGGGTAACCTATAAATACTAAGTAAATGCATCTGGAAAATATTTGGAGCTCAAAAATTACTTCTGAAAAGAAAATGCCATGTCTAGGCATATTTTCTTACTAGTATTTTATTAGTAGTAATTGTTACAGTATTCTGCCGCTTGCAAAGCACTTTGAAGATGTATGAATACATTTAATCCTTGCTTTGACACCACAACTTGGGTACTATTTTTCCTAGGAATCTGAGATTCAGCATGCTTTTCCTAAAAAAACTGTGCTACAAATAGCAGGATGATTACGTGAACCATCTTTTTGCTTAGAAACTTAAGGAAAATCTCCCTAGGTTACCCCAATACACTTTAACCTAATTTGATCAATAAATTCATACATACTCAATTTTAATTAGACTAATATTAATGTCAATTAGCATGTTAATATCTTTATTTGATACTTGGGACAGTAGTACATGCTTCTAAAGGAAACAGGTCATTTTCATATCCATATCCACACATAAGGCCAGGAGAGTGAAAAAGTTTCTCTTAATACCCTTACTAAACCCTGTTCATCCTACTTGCCTCTTACCTCTTACTACACACATCAAGTGAGTATTCAGCATCATCCGCCTCCATTTTTATATTATCCACTCTCTTTCCAACTCTCTCCCTATTGACATTTCTACCATCATAATTCTGTTGAAATTCAGGAATCATCAGTGACCTTCAAATTAACACAATCAAACATGTTGTCTTGGTCCTTGTCTCTCTTGACCTTCCCATATCTTTTAACATTTTTGTTGATTCTTTCTCTTCGTTAATATTCTCTTTGACAAATCCTCTGTCTTTCTTCCATATGATTCTGCCCTCTAACTCATGCTCTTGTATTTTCACACTCAAAATTATAAACTTTCTACTGATGGTGGTGGAATGTTACTTTTGAACTAAGTAGCCAGCCTTAAACTCAGTGGTCTAGAAGCAAACTTGACCTCTACTGTACAGACCAGCTTTCCACTGACTTGCCCATTTCTGACAATGGGTTTATCATCATCCCATTCACCTGTAATTGAAGACTTTTTACCTTTTTACCCTTCTGGTTGCCAAGACCCACCAATTCTTCTGTAACAATCACTGTCTTTTCTTACACCATATTTCAGGAACATATCTTTCAGATTACTATGCCTGGAACACAACTTAGTGGTACACTCTTACTTAAAAGTGTTCAGTGTTCTCCTCTCCACCTCTCATTTCACCTACTATATGGAGTCCAGCCTGCTAACTTCTTCAGACAAATTCAAAGTTATTTCTCTTTATTCAAGGCAACATGATGTCAACAAGTAACTCATATATTTGATATTCTATACCTTTTGCATTTAGGGCTGAACTCATATCTTCCTCTCTCTGGAATGTGTTATTCCCACAGACTGTATTAATGAATTATCCTAAGAGGACCAGAAGAGATGCTAATTTTCCATTGTAGTCTTACTTGATTTTGTGAGTCAGAAGTACTTTCCTTCGCAATAAAGTCTTACATATTATTAGCTTTCTTCTTTTCTTTTTTTGAATTCTGTGTTGATATAATTACACATTTGCATATCTATCTCTTGGGGTATTTCTGTCTAGGTCAGTCTGTCTATCTTTATCTATCTATCTATCTATCATTTTATCAGTCTCTTTTTTATTAAAATATTGATTCTTGAATATTATACATTTCTTAATGTTAGAAGTACTTCCATTTGTCTTTATTTTGACACAGTGGCAATTGCATATAATAAATTCCTTATTTGATGAATAAATAATTGAATGAAAGATGACCAAATTGCATCAAGAGCAGGAGAAAAAATATTCGTAAAGAACATCAAGAGATGTAGAATTAAAGGATGCAGAAACATAAAAGGCTCATTAAGGAGATATGGAAATTGAGGACAGAAAATCTACAATAATTCACCTCTTAAACGTAAAGATGAATAACAAGTCTGGAGTTCAATGAGCCTAAAGGTGAGCAGAGAAGGATAGCCAGAAATATGTCACTGGAGGGATCCAACGACCAGATAGGAACCATGGCTTGGGACATATCCAAGAACTAGAAATGAGGAAGAAGCATGTCGAGATATTAAAGTCAGTCAAGGATCCAGTTCTCTGGACCACTACCATCTAGATTAAAACCTTTCTCTATGATTCTTCTTTCTACCTTGTGCTCTTGTATCTTGACAGCATCACAATCCAGAGTTTCAGAAAGCAAGGTTTTCCTTCTGGCATCTGTTTTCATATTTATTTTATTGGTAGGAACTGAGCTGATGTCAGGGTATATGCTGGGCTGGGCTGTAATGTGAATCTGTGAAGTGATAGCTACACATAAAGGACAAAAGGGACGGAAGACACTGTGACTATAGCCCAGAGCTGAGTATAGAATAACTTAAACAACACACATTATATAAAAATTTAAATCAATTGATCCACTGAATTATTTTTGAAAATAGATGAGCATCTATATATACCAAGCACTGAGCTGGACTCTATAGACAGTGCAAAACAAGTTAAGCATGGACCCCGTTCTCATGGAACATGCAGTGTATTGGGGGTACTCACCATAAACAGGCACACATAAAAATATATGTCTATAAATGCTGATGAGTGCAGTAGAAGAAAAAAATTGGGGTGCTGAAACGTCATATAGTTGGGTGAGGTATGCTATTGATTAATTAGAGAAGACTGCTTTGAGAAGGTGATATTTGAGTTGAGATAAAATATGAAAGGCTAATTATTTGACACAGAGGAAAAAGTGTTCTAGTTAGAGGAAATTATGTACAAAGGTAGGAGAACTGGTTTATTTAAGTCGTCTATTCAAAGCAACTCATCTGCAGAATGGTGAGCCAGAGGTGTAGTGGTTAAGATAAAGTTGGATAGATAAGAACACCCAGGTATCTGTAGCAATGAGACTGACAATCACAGAAACAATTAGACTGTGCAATAAAAGCCAAAATATAATTTACAATAATATACCAAATCGATGTGAGGCTAACCTTTTGGGAACTTAACTTGACAGAGTTGTAGGAGTTCAGACAAAGCATTCAATGGAATCCGTGACATAATGTATAAGCTCTAACTATATAATAGTCTATGCAAATATTGTATTTTTTATTTGGATAATGGCTTACGCTCTCCAAAACAAAACTTACGCACCCCTCATTCACCTACAAAACTTTCAAATTGGTCTAATTTGGTAGCCTTACTCAGTCACTTTTTGTATTCCAAATTTCACTCTCTGAGAATGACATCCAGTTGGCATCTTTGCTTCTGAAACAAATTCAGAATTCAGGGTCACAGAGATGTCATTTTTAACAACACACTGTACCTCAGCTGGAAATTCTGAATGTCTGTTGGGTTAATTGCTTTCAAAAGAGAGACAGACAAATGAGATGCTCCAATAATACCGAGTGGCTGTATATTCATTTTTGTGTTCAGCTTTTCCTGTTGGAGTTGCTTCTCTCAAAGAACAAGAAACGCATTCTCTCTTTGAGACCACAAGAATGACAGCCAGGCACAGAGGCCAAATGCACAGACTGACATCCCACTGACCTGCAAACTCTTCGGTCCTCCTCTTGTGGGGACATCATGCTAGTAATTAGCACAATGTCTTTCTTTTCCCCCTTTGCACTCCTGGAACCTGCCTGGAAGAAAGTCTAGAGCACTGTAGATCTCTCTGAGGGCTTGTTGAGCAATTGGCAAGCCTAGTTTTCTGGCCAAAGGTTCTCTTCTACTGAGGAATTAGTTTTCATACTGCATTGAGAGCTAGTGTCAAATACAGTAGGTGTTGAGGAAAAATTATACTCAAATTTCCATAAAGCTATTCATATTGCATCCTTCAGTAAGAGTAGAAACTCAAAAATTTCACCAAAGATTATAAATTATATAAGGTTCTCAACTCAAATTATTATGCAGCAGCCAACTATTAAGGGTCTCACTTTAAAACTCTTCTCAGTGTCAAAAATTCTCCCAAGAAAGAAATTGTTTACAGTGCAGTAACTTTGGCGAGATGACATCTGTTCTGGATTACAGTCTTGTGTTTTCAGTCTTTAGTGATAAGATTAAATAGGATTTTACTCACCTCATATATATACATTTTGCATCTCGCACAGGATGTACACTCGCATACACACACACATACATTCACATTCACACACATTAGGGTCACATTTCAATCCTAAACTTGCATGTAGGTTCGTTGTGTGGATATATTCATCCAACACAACAGTGGAACCACAGGAAGTATAATTAACTGAAGATTTTTGTTTGTTTGTTTGTTTAGCTGAAAAATATTTAGTTTCTTTATTTTTGGGATGCAAAGAAATTGTGAGGGGGAAAAATGCATGATACCAGTCCCTATGTGCAACCCAGGGGTGTCCTCTCTGGACCCTAAGGAGAGATCATAAGGAGAGAGAACCTTGTTTTCACCTGAGGCTGTCTGGGCCACAAGTACCAAGCTACATTGCTGTGGCATGCAAGAGACAATGGAGGACCCACAGGATTGGAAAGAGGGTATCCCCTGCTTCAATATGGTCACAGGGCAATGAGGCTTGCAGATAAGGCTCTGCCACTGCCTTGGCTCACCCCAAATGTCTTCTGTCAACATGATGGCTCCCTGCAAGAAGACCGGATCTCCCTCCCTGACGTCAAGATCTTTCTCCTGGAGGATGCTTCCTTGCCCTTATTTGGGCAATTCTGTGGTGTTTCAGATTTCAGAGGGCCCTCAGGGGGAGTGCACGCCATTTGCCCACTCATCACAGCATCCAGCTGTGTGACATACTCATGCACACTTCCTACACTAATGCCCCCTTAGTGGTGCATTTTGCCTCCCTTGCCTGTCTCACTTCTTCACTTTCCCATTGTACTTTCTGAGATTGGTTCCAAAATAAATTCTTTGCATTCATTTTTGTTTTCATGGATCTTTCAAAGGAATCCAATATAAAAGAGTTTGTTACCTTAGGATAACTCTTTAAAGCCTCAGAAGGCAGCTCCTGGCACATGGACAGGGCATGGTGGCAATGACAATGGTGGGCTGTGAGTATCTATGGGAGATGTACTGTTGGGGAACTTTTCAACTCAAGAGCACCTATGAACCCCTTTTTAGTTAGTTTCAGGAAACTAGGAAGGAAAATTAAAAGAAGACAAGGCCTACCTATGTTATGCAGTCAGAGTACCTCTCAGTGGAAATAATTCATTATTGTCAGAATAAAAGGACAATGAGAGCAGGGCTTGTTTTTTTGTTTTTTTTTGTTGTTGTTGTTGTTGTTGTTGATGTTCTACATATTCAGGCATCCAAAACAGTGTCTGGCATGTAAAAATTTTCCAATAAATATACATTGAATTAGTGAGTAAGTATGATTGCCTTAGGAGTAGAAGATAGATGAAGACTGCGAAAAGAGAAATATTGTATTCACACATTTGTACATTTACATATGCACAAACTCTATACATTATCTACACATATATGTACAAACACACACAGAGACATTATGGAATGCAGAAATTCAACTTTCATTAGTGAGTGGTATTTAAATGTAATATATTTTAAGCCTGTGGTCTCTCTTCACTTTTCCGGCTGATTCAATCTCAAATCTAGGCATACTTAACTACAATAATACAGTTCCTAATAAATGCACATATTATGTGCATTTCTCTCATGTAATTTGCAAGCCTTTCCTTAATGATTTTTAAATTTTATGTAATGTATAGTATGAGAAAGGCCCACAACAGAAGACTTTTTAATAATCTCCCACTTTTTTTCTAGCATATTCAGCTTTTACTTTTTACCTTTGCAGTTTTTAACTAGCTAGAATGTTTTGTGCTATAAGGGATAAGGCATGGATCCTCCTCTCCTAAGAAGTGTTCAGTGAGTTCCAACAATGTTTTGTGAATAATTCATACTTCATTACTGATTTCAAAGACTACCTTTTTATTGATTTGACTAAGCCCTCATTTGTATTTGGGTCTATTCCTGAGCTCTCTGTTCTGTTCCATTGGTTTTTCAATTAGTGTTAAAATAATTTGTATCACTTTTTTTTATTTTTCTTTTTGAGATAGGATTTCACTCTGTCATCCAGGCTGGAGGGCAGTGACACAATCACCACTCACTGCAGCCTCGATCTCCCAGGTCCAAGCAATCCTCTCACCTCAGCCTCCAGAGTAGCTGCACCACAGGTGCACGTCATCACACCCCACTAATTTATTTTCTTTTTATTTTTTGTTAGATACACAGTCTTCCTATGTTTCCCAGGCTGGTCTCAAACTCCTGGGCTCAAGAGATCCTTCCATCTTGGCCTCCCAAAGTGCTGGGATTATAGATGTCAGCCACTGTGCCCAGATGTCTTGCTTTCTTAGATCCCATAATATAGGAAAGCACTACATGTTGCTTCATATTTTTCAAATTAATTCTCAAGCTCTTAAGAGACTAAAGACAAAATGTTCTAGATTACAGCTGACTGAGAAGGAAGGCAGAACAATGGTTATTGGCATCTGTCCTGAAGCGTCAGTCTGAGCATGACAGCAACTCACAAATCTCATTGCCACTTATTCATAGGAAATAATTCCACCCAACCCGTAAGGTCCCTGAGAATTTTAAGGTGTTCCATGGAACTGAACTATCTAATTAAACCTCTCTCTGTAGTCGACAACTTTGATTTTTATGCTCCTTGCCACCAAAGCATCTGCAACTGCAAGACCTGTTCAGCTTCTGCCTAAAATCTTCATTGTGTATTAGCTGTGAAGTGTAAAATCAGACTTCTTTTACGACATCAGCTAGTTCTTCTTTTTTTCTGGTAAATTACTCAAATAAAACAAACATGCAAAAACTATATTTCCCTATCTTTTCAGCAAATACACAACGGCTTATTTATAATCATTCTGATAATATCATTTTACAGTAATTGTGCTGCAAATTGAACACATGACATATTTCTGTATTCAAATATTTTTTGAAATGTATATGAGCTCTGCTGCTAGTGACAAGAAACAAATATCACTTACAAATGAGAGATGTATTCAGCTACCTATGGCATATGAAGTCTGTACATTTTCTATATTGCTGTACAGTGATATGTTTATACACACGCACAATGTTAACATAAATGCACACATAACGTAATTTGTCTTGTCTTTTTAAAATCTCTTATTGAATAAGAACTAAGCTCTTAAATGACCTTGAAACCTATACATATTGGCATCAGAACTCCAAAATTTGCTAACAAGATTATTCTCTGCTACTTTTCCTCTTTTTACCCCCCTTCCTCATCTCCTTGACTCTCTCTACACAAGGTTCTCTTTCACCTGCTTTTCGAAATTCCAGTGCTGGAGAAAAAATGTGAAAGCCTCTATATGTTTGTCAAAATTATGGTGCAAAAATGTAAAGATGTAAACAAGATGGTAGGTGTTTCTGAGACTTAATATTTCCAGTGAATTCTGGAGCTCGGGCATTCTTGATTCCTCCTTTCCTGGCGTACCTTCATGAAGCAACTGCCAACTACTATGTAGAATGAAGACAGGAGTCTAACACTAGCGGCTCCTCACAGCTGCTTAGTGTATCACTGGGTCAAAGGCATATGGATTAACAAACAAAGAAATGTATAACTCTGTCTGATCACGAGAAGTCCCACTCAGAAAAATAAGCAGTAGCTTCAATTTAGAAAACAGTGAAAGCATTAGGATCAGCAGACCTTGTAACCTCTACTATCCCTATTGCCATCAGTTCCGTTTTGTTAGTCAGATGCTGTCTTCCAAAGAGAGTCATATTTCCTCTGAGTTAGAAAGATCATTTCATTATCATGCTTGTTCAGTCCTTCCTAGAGCAGGAAATGGTATAATATGTGTGCCCAAGCTTTAATATATTATTTTACTTTTTTTCCTTTTATGATTTCAACCTTGACCTCTGACTTCAGAGTCCACTGTTTTAACCATTAGTGCTTCTCTAGATCTTAAACCAGAAGCTAGCTACACGTCTAACACTTACAGAGAATGACCGTGGTAAAATACATATGCTGCCATATTAGCAATTATTTTTATTTGACATAGTATAACCACAACCAGCATCAAATCAGAACCCATAAGCCAATAAGTGGTTTTGCTACTTGGCTGTCAGCAGAATGCTAAGGATGCTAAGGCACATATCTAGTAAAACCAACCTGAAGCTGAAGTTGCATTTAAAGCAAGTTCTCTCAGTTAGAAAAAAAAATAAAAATAAAAGACACCAGATATATTAATGCCCTTCTTGGAAGATGAGTTCATCCTATCTAATATGCATTAGAAATAATCTACTCATTTGACAAAAGGTTTGCGAGGCATGAATAAAGGGCCAGGCTGCTTGTCTACAGCAGCAATTAACAGAATCACACAAAGCCCATTTCAGTGGCCTATTTTCTCAGGCCAGCCATCATTGTAATTATCCACATTAGAGGAATTTTCTGATCTGGAGGAGAGGTTCACAAGTCAAAGGGATCTGAAGTTCACTCTGAAGAATTTAACTAACTGTTTGGTTTTAATAATTCCTCATCAAATAATCTCTGAGGTATCAGAAGAAATCATTCCCTCTGCTCTTGATAAGGAATCGTCATTTTTGTGCTGCATTGGCATTGACACAAAGGTGATATCACAAAGTCGCTTCTGCGTTTTGAGGCAGCTTCTCTGAAGGGAATACATAAATCATATTCTCTTCTTTTTTTTTCATGAGATAAGAACTGTGTTGTCAAGTGAGTAAAAAAAATAGCAATAAGAAAATGCTGAATGATTTTCTTAAAGAATAAAACTATATAGATCCCATTCATGATAGTAACAGACATGTGATTTGTCTACAGCTTCCCATAATCACCTTCAAGAGATTCTTGACCTGGAATTATTCATTTGGATCAATAGAGAATTAAGAAATAATAGACTGAAAAATATTTACATATTTAGGTTTAAAAAGTGTAGAAAGAATAAAAAATTAGCTTTTACTTGAGCTCTGAAAGGAAATGGAGAGAAGCTTGGACTGAAGGGCCCAGAACGCTGTTCCAGCTGGTGGAAGTCTGTTTAGCAGACTGTGGTGATGGTGGTGGGACTTTTAAAACAAATATTGCCTAAGACAATTCCAGAAGACATGCAAATCATGATCTTGATAACGGAGGAATGATATTGTTCAAGTTACGAGTATGAGCAAGTGCCAAACAGTGAAGCTCTTTGCACATATTTTTCATCAAGAAGATATCTACTGACAAGGTATACACACTGATTCACAGGTGTGCAAGGGCAATGTTGCTAAAGTGGCCTTCTCTTTTTCTCTGACTTAAGGCCACTCTCTCACTATGAATCTCATTGCTGCCTCATAATATACTATACATACCTAAGGGTGGGAAAGTCTATTTCATGCAAAAATAATAAATATAGATGCATATAGGCCTACACACACACATTGTATGGCCTGACACACAGTAATTATAAAAAGATATATCAGCCATGATATCTATTTTTCTATCTAGCTGATTTGCTGAGATGCATATGCATTCGTACATGTGTGTGCCAGTGTATGCATTATGTGCAGCTTTCCTGTTGATATTGCCCCCCTCCTTTAGCATAATTATAGTGGCTCAGCACCAGTGAACACTGAAACTGCCCTTATTAAACTAGCAAAATGGACCAATCTTTTCTTAGATTAGATGGTTAGATTTAGATGGGTTTTTTCTCAGGTATTTTAGATCAGCCATAGAAAAGCCTAACAGGGAGAAAGATTTTTTCATTGTTCCTATTATATGTATAATGGAATGAAATATACTTGTGGACAATTTCAACAGGGCTTGATTGGTATTTATGTAGGAGACGCTGGCATGAAACTTTTCTGCTAACAATACACTAAGTGAGGTCTCAGCCCAACAGTTTAAAGTCCTTGAAGTCCTGTGAAAATCTGATTCCCCAGAGTAACTACATTTATGTTTATTATGGAGAAAGGACACCCCTGACTCTCAACCACACCCCCACCCCCAGCAGCATTTCAAGCACGATTGAGTTTCACAGTTTGAGAATTAACCAAAAATTGAGAAAGAGTTGCTCAAATCTTTTTCTCCTCTTCATATTAGCCCAAATGTGCCCTTTTTAAATGAAATGAGGATGAGTAAATGGTGATGAGGGAAAGAAAGATAATAATGGATATCCATACATTGCTGAAATTACGCTGCTTAACATATCTAAGAGATATGGAGCAAAATGTAAGCTTTTGTACACAACAAGTGGTTTATTTTGAGATAAAAATTGGTCTTCTCTTTGATTATCAATGATAATTTATGGTGAAAGATAATACAATTCAGTCACAGGCAAGGCAGTAAAAATTGTGTAGGTCTAGAGAGTTGATGTTTTTTCAAAATGCCCTTCCTAACATTGTTGTGTGTATCTGACAACAAACCAATATTACTGTCATGTTGACAAGGAAAAAGAATTCATGGAGAAACATGGAACTCACATCTACAGGCCACATGAGTGAAGAGAACCTAGATGGGCAGATAGACATATTCTTGACTTCCAAAACCCTCTATTTTACTAAACCCTCAAATAAATTTTTTTGTTGTTATAGTTCCTACAGTCAGATTTGCCCAGTTATATGAAAGCTAATGCAATCTTTCACCAACAGACTCTGCTTACTTGGCCATTAACATCTCTCCAATACACATCCACCCACCCACACACCTGAACACACAGAAGTTATTGGAATACCCTCTGATAATCTCAGATTCCCTGATGCCCAAGGCAGAGGACTTCAGGACTGATTCAATTATTATTATTATTCTTATTACTGGAAAGAGAGGAGCAATGAGCACATCAGCCTGCTGGAGTTCAACCAGGCATCACAGTTTCAATGAACATGTTTCAATCTTACAGTGCTTTTCAGATCTATGAAAATAAGGTTGCTTTGGGAAAATGTACTATGAATAATCATCTATTTTGGGATGTTGTGACTGTTTTTTGTCAATTTATTATTAAACAGTAATTCCTAGTAGGGTCATGTGATTTACAAAAACCAAAGGACCAAGCAATAATTATATATTTATTTATAACTGCATCATGTGACACCTCTTGAGAGATACATTACATGTGTCTGTAGGAACCGATAATACAGCTATAATGAAACAGACTAACAGAGGATGATTAGTTCAAAAAGTGATAGCACTAGAAAAGCAAGATAAAACATGGACCAAACTTTATATATCATGATGCAAAAAGAGTATTTACTTTTGCACCAAATTAATAGCACAGGCACTACTCTTAGGTGCCTTAACAATCAGAAGAAAAAACAACTATTGGAAAAAATAAGTTGAGTGGATATGCAAGCATGGTCAACAATTCTCTCATAAGGAAAGGGAACTTTCATTTCCCTGTAGGTTTGTTTGTCATTGCCTAGTTAAATCCATGGAAAGTAGATGCTGAGAAATATGAGTAGGAGAGGGAAAGAAATTACATCAGAGGAAAAGAGAAACCCCAAGAGTGGATGTGCTCACAGTTGATGCTGAGAGAATACCCATATCAACTTTCAAGTTCAGTGTGCTGGTCATGCTTGGTTTATCAAAGACACTTTTCTCTAGAAAAGATATGTAGGTTCTTGAATTGTATAGAGATTTAAGGCCCCAAACTACATTCCTGGGTGTCTAGGCTATATTATTGGTTTCTGAACAATACTAGTATAATGCAACAATGAACCGCAATGAGTAGCAATAACCCCTAAACCTCCCATCTTATCATATTTAACTGTCTTTATTTAAAATGTCAATGCCACAGATGATGCATTAATCTTGATAAAATGCATTAAGATGGAAGTACTATTCTTAAACTTAAACTTTGTTTTCCCAATTAATAGTTCTCTTAACTAGAAAGTATAGCTTTGATTACAGTAACCATCTGGGTGGTCACTTAAAATAATCTAATCTTAGTGTTAACCAGTAAATGTGTTTAGAAAACCTTGTATTTATCACCAGGAAGTTATCACTTGCACATGCTACCACTTTTGATCAAACTGTAAGATGTTTCTAGCTGGATATAGAAAATTAAACATTTTTCTAATTGTTTTTCTTTTATGTGTCTATAAACTGTTTGATCTATATTGGAAACAGTAATACACAAATTTCTGACTTGCCTGAAATTCACCAGATCTTTCATTTCTATAACGATCTGACTCCCCAGACAGCTTTTATTGTAAAAATAAAACAAATAAAAATGTTTCACCTCTTACCATTACAAGCATGACTATCACACCTGTGTACCTACCCTGCAAGGATGGCTGTTTGCTCTCTTAACACTTTACATGATTTATTTCATAGAACAAGCTTACTAAAATCTCTAAAAAATCGAATCAGTAAATCGCTACAAATATTATGGAAAATCAGTTGATAGTAAATCATTAGTCAACACATTCCTATCATTTGGTTCAGTAACCCCACTTCTGGAAATTTTTATTCATGCACACTTCAAATACTTACCATGCATCAAACATGTACAAGTCACTGTGCTCTTTGCTAGGTTTAACCAAATGAAGAAAACATGTTAGACAGGATTTTCACCCACATGTAGTTTGTTTTGAGGTAAAAAAAAAAAATCAAATAATCATACTAACAACTAAGTTAATTCCACCTATTATTGGTTCTATGAAAGTAGATGCACTGCTGCTATGAGAAAACAAAGTAAGGATTTGACTTAGTTCAAGATGTCAGAGGAGACATCCCTGAAAAAGTGGTACTTGAATAACTGTCTGAAGGACAGTGGTAAAGTAAGTGAAATGTCTGATGAAAAGGCCAGCAAGTTCAAAGGCCCAGAATGGGGAGAGGCATGCTGAGTACAAGACCCTGACAGAAGGCCAGAAGGACTGGATTAGAGAGTATGTAGGGAATGGGTATAAGATAGAGCAAGAGAAACAGGTCCAAAGGGTCAAAAGGAGGTATTGTTAAAGAGCTTGATTTTAGTCTAAGAGAGCTGAGAAGTCTTTGGAGGTTTCTAAGCAAGGTGGTGAGATGGTCATTTCTGTGTTTCTTACAGATCACTCTGAGTTTAGTAAGGAGAACAAATCAGAGTAACATGTGAGACTAAAATGTGAGGGGACAAGGACCTAAAACAGAATGTGTGCAGGGATAGAAAAGGCATAGATTTTAGAGATATTTAGGATATAGTGTCAGTAACATAGTCTCTATGTTATGAATGGTGGGCCATTATAAGGATACTATTATTCTAATTTTTTTTATCATCTAACTGGATGCATGGTAGTACCAGTTGCTGAGATACAAAATGCTTGTAAAGGCTAGAGTGTCTGTGCGTGAGTGTGTGTGTAGGGGGCCACTTATAAGTCATTTTGACTGGTGGGGATTGATTTACCTCTGAGTCATTGAAAAGCTGATATCAAATGGGCAGTTACTTATTCATAAAAGAGCCCTGACCTAGAAAGAGGAATGTGAGTTATCAGTATATAGCTGGTAATTGAAGGCATAAGTTTGAGTAAGATTTTATGAGAAAAGACTGAAAATGAGAGGAGGAAAAAGCCTAAACCTGAGCTCCTACATTTAATGTTTGGTCAGAAGAAGATAACTCTGCTCGTGGGACAGAGAGATTATAGTTACAGAGATGGGAGAAAAAGCAGAAGTGCATTTTCTGGGTGACAAAGGAAAAAAGGGGTTTGACAAAGGCATGAAGCAAATAAAAAGATTTAAAGACAACAACAAAAAAAACCCAGACATAGTAAAATACACATCAGTGGTCAGCTCCCCATTAGATATTCCAGTGGAATTCAGAAGATAGAGGGCAGAAGAGAGAGAGATAGTGCCAATCAGTAGCTGGAGATGCACTAGGGATTCAAGTGAGAATTTTCAGTTTTTGTTTTGTATTTATTTATTTATTTTTTATTATTTATTTTTTTTGAGGCGGAGTCTCGCTCTGTCACCCAGGCTGGAGTGCAGTGGCGCGATCTCTGCTCATTGCAAGCTCTGCCTCCTGGGTTCACATCATTCTTCTGCCTCAGCCTCCTGAGTAGCTGGGACTACAGGCCCCCGCCACCACGCGCAGCTAATTTGTTGTATTTTTAGTAGAGACGGGGTTTCACCATGTTAGCCAGGATGGTCTCCGTCTCCTGACCTCCTGATCCACCCGCCTCGGCCTCCCAAAGTGCTGGGATTACAGGCGTGAGCCACCGCGCCTGGCCTGTATTTATTTTTAATGGAGATATTTAAGCATATTTTTAAAATCACTGGGAAGAGTAATTCAAGAGAATTTGATCACTCAACTGAGAGCAAGGATAAGTAAGGAAAGGCAGGACGTAGAATCTGTGGCATAAGCCAGAGCCTTCAACAGGTGAAGCAGCAACTCCTCTGCTAACTAGAATGGTGAGTTGGGAGACATGTTTTATTTTGGTAAATGCAGGAGTTCCTGTCTATGGCATCTCTTTTCAAAATACATATGTGACTCAACAGTGACAATAAAATAATGTCCTGTGCAATATTATTTATAAAAAGTAAAAAATTTGAAAGTATGCAACAATCACAGAATGGTTCAATGTAATACAATTACCCATTGTGTCAAAAAGCTATATAGCTATGAATAGCTATGTTTTAAAAGTAGTATCACTAAAAATCACCAATAATTACTGAAATAAGCAAGATATAAATTAGTAATATTTCAGTGTGTCACTGTGCATGTTTCTGTATTTATAGAGACTATAGGGTTTTATGTCAAACAATATTCACAATCTAAGGACATTAGGGGAGTGGTAATTTTTCATTTTTTCCTCGTCATTTTCAATTTTGGGGCAATTAACATTTATTTATTTATTGGACAGGGTCTTGCTCTGTCACCCAGGCTGGAGTGCAGTGGTGCAATTACAGCTCACTGTAACCTCAAACTCGTGGATTCATGTGATCCTCTCACCTCAGCCTCCCTAAGTGCTGGGATTACAGGCATGAGCCACCGATTTTTTCTGGGTGTGGTGGTTTACACCTGTAATCTCAGCACTTTGAGGGGCTGAGGCAGAAGGATCACTTGAGACCAGGAATTCAAGACCAACTTGGGCAACATAGCAAGAATACACCTTTATTAAAAAAAAAAAAAAAAACAAAAACTAGCTGGTATAGTAGTATGTGCCTATAGCCCCAGCTATGAGGGAAGCTGAGGGGGAAAGATGACTTGAGCCCAAGAGGTCAAGGATGCATTCAGCCATGTTCACATAACTGTACTCCAGCCTCATTAACAGAGCAAGACTCTGTCTCTAAAGAAGAAAAAGAATTTTAATTCTTAAAAATGAAACTAGCTGCTGAGTCTTGAACATGAAATAAATCTAATGCATCATTTAAGTTTAGGTAAATATTTTTAAAAAGTAAAAGTTAAAAGGGGATCAGCAAATGTAATTTAATTTTTTTTCCCCAAGGAGTTGTTGTCCAGCTGATCTTTAAGATTCCTTATGAGGCTGGCCAAGATGGCTGACTAGAAGAAGCTAGTGTGTGCTCCTCTTATGGAGAGAAATAGAAAGGGCAAATAAATGCAGCACCTTGAACTGAAACATCCAGGTACATACACTGGGATTCATCAGGAAAAACTCGACCCATGGAGAACAGAAAAAAGCAAGGTAGGATGACTGTCCACCTGGGAGCAACAGCAGAGCCAGGGGGAGTGGTGAGTGAGTGACCCCAGGGATCCACACTTCTATGGATCTTTGCAACTCTTGGGTCAGGAGATCCCCTTGTGAATTTACTCCACCAGGGCCTTCAGTCTGACACACAGAGCTACGTGGAGTTTCAGCAGAGCATCCACTAAGGAACATGTAGGGCCTTGGGAGCCTTAGATACCCAGGCTCCCTGGCAAAAGCAGCTGCAACTCTGTCAAAGCAGGAGGTTAGATCCTCGTACATACCCCCCAGAAAGGGGTTGAAACCAGCAATGGTCTACAGGCCCTGCTCCCATAGCACCACACAGGATAAAACCAACTGGCTTGGGATCCCAGCCAGCAATCAGTAGCAGCATTATTCCTTCCTGAGATGGAGCTCCCAGAGGGAAGGGCGGGTTGCCATCTTTCCTGTCTTGCAGCCCTAACCTTTGCTGTCTCCAGGCTCCAGGCTGCAGAGGGTTCATGGGGACCAAGAACTGGTCCGGACCCCCAACATAGAGCACCCACCTCATGGAAAAGTGGTCAGGCTGTTCTTTACACAGGTTTCAGTCCATATTTCTTACTGGGGAGCGCTGCCTAATCTGGAACTCCAGCACAACCACTGTGCCCACAGGTGACCACTTCAATCAGAGGCAGCGCACCATTTCTCCAAGGAGGGAATCCCAGAGTCAACCTACATCCCTTCTGCCACTGCAGTTGCAGTAGTACCACCCTAACAACCCTAGGGTTGGGAAAGGAACAAAGGACCTAGTCACTACACTGGTCCTTCAGCACACTGCAGCCACCACACGGAAAGGAGTCCAACCCCTCTTCCCCCGGAACCCCAGCTCCCACTCCTCATTAAGCAGGGTCCCAGGCTCCTGACCACAGAACAGTCATCCCCACTCATGGCTGATTATAGCCACTGGTAGTGGCCCAGAGTCTCCCTAGGGAGAGGCTCCCAAAGACATCCAACAGCCCCTCTGCCATTGCCACAGGAGTGGTTCTATCCCTGCTGCCCTCAGTCAGGGGAAGAAACAAAGAGCCTGAGGGCTACACCCAAGCTTGCCGCATGCCACAGTTGCCACATGGAAAGGAGACCAGTCTCTCCCCGTCATGAACCCTCAATCCCCTGCTCTCCAGCAAGCAGAGCCCCAAGCTCATACCAGCAATGCAACTGTCCAACCACACTGGCTGAACACTCCAAGTAACCGCAACTCTGTGTTTGCTGGAAATGGAGCCCCCAGGAGCAAATGAAAGCCCTTCTGCCACCATCTTTGCAGCTTTGCTACCCCTGATACCCTCAGACTAATGAAGATTCAAAGACTCTAAGTGCCTTATCCATACTTCAAACAAGCTGGAATTGACAGAAGGAGAGAATGCTAGTCTGTCTCCCACAAGTCCCATCTTCCCACCTAACTCTTCACAATGCAGGGAAGCCCCAGCTTCCCTAGCTCTCCAACAAGTGTTCTTAACCAGGTTGAATTGGCTGAAATGGCAGAAATAGAATTCAGAATATAGATAGGAACAAAGATCACAGAGATTCAGGAGAATAGCAAAACCCAATGCAAGGAAACTAAGACTCATAATAAAATGATACAGGAGCTGAGAGACAAAATAGCCAGCCAGTGTATATATGGTTTTAGATCTGATAGATTGAAAAAATACACTAAAAAATGTGACAATGCAGTTGGAAGTATTAACAGTGGAATAGATCAAGCTGAAAACAGATTCTTGGAACTTGAAGACTGACTCTCTGAAATAAGACAGTTAGACAAAAATAAAGAAAAAAGAATGAAAAGGATCAAATGAAACCTCTAAGAAATATGGGATTATGTAAAGAGGCCAAATCTACAAATCACTTGTATCCCTGAGAAAGACAGAGAAAGCAAACAACTTGGAAAATATATTTCAGGTTGTCATCCATGAAAACTTCTCCAGCCTCACTAGAGAGGCCAACAATCAAATTCAGGAAATACAGAGAACACTTGCAAGATTCTATACAAGATTATCTCCAAGACATATAATCAACAGATTCTCTAAGGCTGAAATGAAAGAAAAAATGTTAAAGGCAGTCAGAGAGAAAGGTCAGGTCACCTACATAGAAAAGACCATCAAACTAAAAGCTGACTTCTCAGTAGAAACCCTACAAACCAGAAAAAAATCGGGGGCCAATATTCAACATTTTTAAGAAAAGAAATTGCAACCAACATTTTTATATCCAGCCCAACTAAACTTCATAAGCAAATGAGAATTAAGATATTTTTCAGACAAGTAAATGCTGAGAAAATTTGTAACCATGAGTCCTGCCTTACAAGAGCTCTTTACAAGCACTAAATATGAAAAGGAAAGAGTGTTACCAGTCAGTACAAAAACATGCTGAAGTACACAGACAGTGACACTATAAAGCAACCACACAAACAAGTATGCAGTGCCTAATAACCAGCTAACACCATGGTGACAGATCAAATCCACAGATATCACTACTAACATTGAATGTAAATGGGCTAAATACCCCAATTGAAAGACACAGAGTGGCAAGCTGGATAAAGAACCAAAACCCAATGCTATGCTGTCTTCAAGAGACCCATCACACATGCAATGACACTCATAGGCTCAAAATAAAGTGATGGAGAAAACTCTACCAAACAAAGATAAAACAGCAAAAAGTAGAGGTTGTATTCCTAATATCAAACAAAACAGACTTTAAACCAACAAAGATAAAAAAAAGACAAAGAAGAGCATTGCATAATGGTAAAGTGTTCAACAAGAAGACCTAATTATCCTAAATATATACGCACACAACACAGGAGCACCCAAATTCATAAACTAAATTCTTAGAGACCTTCAAAGGCACTTAGACTCCCACACAATAATAGTGGGAAACGTCAACACTTCATTGACAGTATTAGATCATCTAGGCAGAGAATTAACAAAGATACACAGGACCTGGACTCAGTACTGGATCGAATGGATCTGACAGACATCTACAGAACTCTCCACCCCTAAACAAAAGAATGTACATTCTTTTCAATGCCACATGGCACATACTCTAAAATAGGCCACACAATTGAACATAAAACAATCCTTAGCAACAAAGGAACTGAAATCACACCAATCACTTTCTTGAACCACAGCACAATAAAATTAGAAATCAAGACAAAGAAAATTGCTCAAAACCATATAATTTCATGTAAATTAAATAACCTGCCCCTGAATGACTTTTGGGTAAATAATAAAATTAAGGCATAAATCAAGAAGTTTTTTGAAACTAATGAGAAAAAAGATAAAAACCTACCAGAATCTCTGTGACACGACTAAGGCAGTGTTAAAAAGGAAACTTATAGCACTAAACACCCACAAAATATAACTAGAAAGATTTCAATTTACCAACCTAACATCACAACTAAAAGAACTAGAGAACCAAGAGCAAACCAACCCCAAACCTAGCAGAAGACAAGAAATAACCACAATCAGAGATGAACTGAAGGAAATTGAGACACCAAAAAACATTCAAAAGATCAACAAATGCAGAAGATGGTCTTTTGAAAAACTTAATATCATAGACAGACTGCTAGCTAGACTAATATAGAAGAAGAGCAGAGAATAAAAGACAGCAGATTCAAAGAAAAACAGTTAGAAATGATAAAGGAGATATTACTATTGACCCCACAAAAATACAAATAACTATCAGCAAACATTATGAACACCTCTATGCACACAAACTAGAAAATCTAGAAGAAATGCATAAATTCCTGTATGCAAACATCATCCCGAGACTGAACCAGGAAAAAATTAAATCCCTGAACAGACCAATAGTGAGCTCCAAAACTGAATCTGCAATATATAACCTACCAACTGAAAAAAAGCCCAGGATCAGAGCAATTCACAACCAAATTCTAACAGATGTACATAGAAGAGCTGGTACCTTTCCTGTTGAAGCTAGTCCTGAAAAAAATGAGGAGGAGGGACTCCTCCCTAACTCATTCTATGAGGCCAGCATCATCCTGATATCAAAACCTGGCAGAGATACAGACAAAAAAGAAAACTTCAGGCCAATATGTTTGATGAATATCAAGGTAAAATCCCCCAGTACAATACTGGTGAACCAAATCCAGCAGTACACCAAAAAGCTTATCCACCACAATCAAGTATGCTTTATTCCTGGTATGTAAGATTAGTTCAATATACACAATCAATAAACATGATTCATCATATAAACCCACAACTAATGATGAAGGCCACATGATTATTTCAATAGAGGCAGACAAAGCTTTCAATAACATTCAACATCCATTCACATTAAAAACTCTCAATAAACTAGTTATTGAAGGAACATACCTCAAAATAATAAGAGACATCTATGACAAACCCACAGCCAACATCTACTGAATGGGCAAAAACTAGATGCCTTCCTCTTGAAAACTGACACAAGGCAAGGATACTCTTTCTCACCACTCCCATTCAACATAATATTAGAAGTCCTGGGCCAGGCGTGGTGGCTCACACCTGCAATGCCAGCACTTTGGGAGGGTGAGGTGGGTGGATCATGAGGCCAGGACCAGCCTGACCAACATGGTGAAACCCTGTCTCTACTAAAAGTACAAAAATTAGCCAGGCGTGGTGGTATGTGCCTCTAATCCCAGCTACTCAGGAGACTGAGGCAGGAGAATCACTTCAATCTGGGAGATGGAGGTTGCAGTGAGCCGAGATCATGCCACTGCACTCCAGCCTGGGCAACAGAGCGAGACTCTATCTCAAAAAAAAAAAAAAAAAAATCAGACAATAGAAATAAATAAAGGGCATCCAAATAGTTAAACTGTTTGCAAACAACATGAAACTATACCTAGAAAACCCCATAGTCTCAGCCCAATAGCTCCTTCAGCTGACAAACAACTTCAGCAAAGTTTCAGGAAAGAAAATCAATATACAAAAATAACTAGCATTCCTATATATATACAACAGTCAAGCTGACAACCAAGTCGGAAATACAATCCCATTCAGAATTACCACAGAAAAATAAAATACCTAGGAATACAGCTAACTAGAGGTGAAAGACATCTACAATGAAAACTACAAAGAAATCAGAGATGACACAAACAAATGGAAAAATATTCCATGCTCATGGGTAGGAAGAATTAATATCATTAAAATGGCCATACTGCCCAAAGCAATTTATACATTCATTGCTATTCCCATCAAACTACCAATGACATTCCTCACAGAACTAGAAAAAAACTATTTTAAAATTCATATGGAACCAAAAAACAGTCTGAATAGCTGAGACAATTCTAATAAAAAAGAACAAAGCTAGAGGCATCATGCTACCTGACTTCAAACTGTACTACAGGGCTGCAGTAACCAAAACAGCATGGTACTGGTACAAAAACAGACACATAGACCAATGGAACAGAATACAGAGCCCTGAAATAAGGCCTCACACCGACAAGCATATGATTTTTGACACAGCTGAAAAAAACAAGCAAAGGGGAAAGTACTCCTTATTCAATAAATGGTGCTGAGATAACTGGCTAGTCATGTGCAGAAGATTAAAACTGGATCCCTTTCTTACACCATATACAAAACAAAATTCAAGATGGCTTAAAGACTTAAATGTAAAACTCAAAACTATAAAAACTCTGGAAGACAATCTAGGCAACACCATTCCAGACATAGGAATGGGCAAATATGTCATGACGATGATGCCAAAAGCAATTGCAACAAAAGCAAAAGTTGACAGATGCAATTTAACTAAAGAGCTTTTGCACAGCAAAAGAAACTTCTCAACAGAGTAAATAGACAACCTACAGAGTGAGAGAAAATATTTGCAAACTATGCCTTCAACAAAACTCTAATATCTAGCATTTATAAGAAACTTAAGCAAATTTACAAGAGAAAAAAACATTAAAAAATGGGCAAAGGACATGAACAAACACTTTGCAAAGGAAGACACACATGCAGCCAACAAGTATATGAAAAAAAGCTCAACATCACTGATAATTAGTGAAATGCAAATCAAAACTGCAATGAGATAACATACCAGTCAGAATGGCTACTATTAAAAAGTCAAAAAATAACTCACCACAATATTGTGGTGTTATAAAAAACTCAAAAAATAGCATTTGGTGAGGTTGTGGAGAAAATGAGAACACTTATATACTGTTGGTATGAGTGTAAATTAGTTTAACCATTGTTGAAAACAGTGTGGTGCTTCCTCAGAGAGCTAAAAACAATACTACCATCAACCCAGCAATCCCATTACTGGGTATATACCCAAAGAAATATAAATCTTTCTACTATAAAGACACATGCATGTGTATGTTCATTGCAGCACTATTCACAACAGCAAAGACATGGAATCAACCCAAATGCCCATCAATGGTAGACTGAATAAAGAAAATGTGGTATATATGCACCATGGAATACCATGAAGCCATAAAAAGATCGAGATCACATCCTTTGCAGGAGCATAGATGGAGCTGGAGGCCATTATCCTTAGCAAATGCAGGAACAAAAAACCAAATACCACATATTCTCACTTATAAGTGGGAACTAAATTATGAGAACACATGGACACATAGAGGGGAACAACAGACACTGGGACCTACCTGAGTGTGAAGAGTGGAAGGAGGGTGAGGATGAGGAAAAATAACTAATGCATATTAGGCTTAACATCTGGGTGCTGAAATAATCTGTCTAACAAACTCCTGTGACATGAGTTTACCTCTATAAAAAACCTACAAATGTCCCCATAAACTTAAAATAAAAGTTTAAAAACTTTTTTTAGCTCCAATCCTCTCATTCCTGAAGTATTTCAGGTGCAGCTTTTGCTAAATGAAAATTAATGTTCACCTGCATTTAAAATTATCATTTCAGATATTATTTCTACATATTTATGGTAGGACAACTTTTCAATTTGGCTCAAATAACTGTTGGCAAACAAGAACATGCATACTGTCTTGGTTGTCCTTATTGGACTTAGGATAATCAAACCCTCCAACACAACATCATTCTGTAAAATTATTATTTGAAAATATAAGTATTCCTTTTTATTTATGCTGACTTTCCTAGTGCTAGTATATACTCAGCTCAAATTTTGACCTTCTTTAAGCATCTGACTTTATTTCTGCTTAATCTCTCTGAGAACAAAAGTTTCAGAGATCAAGAATATTTGTAGAAAAAAAAAAGAGGAAGAGAGGAGAAATTACTAATGACACAAGAAATTCTAGATGAAATTAACGACAAGCAGCTTGTGGTTTTCTCAGAAGCTAAATGCATTTTATTATCTAATTAAGGCATCATCTAGGTAAGAGAATGACAGCAATATTCCATTTTACCACTAAGGGAATAAATTGAATTTGCATCAATATAAACATTAAAATGAGAATATGAAAAAAATAGTACAGTTTAAAAGAAAATCTTTACAGCTGGGATGCAGCAGTTCTAAATTCAAAAATTCATGAATCTGCAACAAATTAATAGTATGGCAATAAACATTTAATATGCAGAGGCCCTTTTTCTATCTTATGTAAAACAGAAACATAATCCCTGTTACATTTATTTTGCATTGCTCCCCAGAACTACTGTAATGTTAAAATAGTACATGTGAAAATAAATGGAAGAGGAGGTATTATTAAGTTAATGTACTGCATACTCTGTGAATCCATTTCTCTCTCTGTATCTCTCTCATTCTCTCTCTCTGTCTCTTTCTCTCTCTCTCACACACACATACACACACACACACACACACACACACACACACACAGAGGATCATGATACTTGCAATAAAGCATAACATTTCAATACTAACTCCCTGTGCATATTTTTGTTTATTTCATTTGCTAATTTTTCTACATCAAAGTTTCTAAAATTGTTCCATGTATCCTGTGAGATGATGTTGCTCAGCTTCTGAGGAGGCCTCAAAAAATTTACAATCATAGTGGAAGGCAAAGGGGGACAAGGCACAGCACATGGCCTGAGCAAGAGCAAGAGAGAGAGAGAGAGGGGAGGTGCCACACACTTTTAAACAACCAGATCTTGTGAGAACTCACTCACTATCACAAGAACGGCACCAAAGGGATAGTGTTAAACCATTCATGAGAATCTACTTCCATGATCCAATTACCTTTCACCAGGCTCCACCAACAACACTGGGGATTACAATTCAGCATGAGATTTGGTGGGGACACAAATCCAAACTATATCAAGGCTTTTGCTGAAAAGTTAATGAAAATAGTAGTAAACCATATATTTCTCTTAAAGCTTTATGAAGCATATTAGCATATTAAAGGCTTTACGGAGTCCTACAGCAGAGAAAGTGATTTAATTTTGCTTATCCTGGAATTTCCAAAGTTATTTGACTTTGCAACATATATTTTTCTATGTCTTTGCAACAAATATTTTTCTATTTTGCTATCTGGTAGAATTTCATGAGACATGAAAGTATTAGGGTTCCACAGAATAGTTTAGGAAACAATTCTCTACATTATTTCTATCATTCTCTCTTATTATTCTCTCTCTCTCTCTCTCTGTCACACAAACACACACACACACACACACACACACACGGTTATTTTTCCTGTAGAACTGCACTGTCCAATACAATGGCCACTGATCTCTAGAAATATGGCTATTCCAAATTGAAATGTACTGTTAGTATAAACTGTATATCAGATTTTGAAGAGCTGATAGCCAAAAATTGAAAATATCTCAATAATTTTATGTTGAAATAATATTTTAGATGTAGTAAATTATGTAATATATGTAATTAAAATTAACTTACCCTTTTTTCTTAAAAAAATTTACAATAACATAAGTGGGTACATTTGCTGCTCATTATCTTTTTATTTCTATTGGACAGCATTGATATAAATTGTTAGAAAGTTAGAAAATACCAACAAAATATAAAGAAGAAAACTATCACTTATAATACTATCACCTAACAACACTTGTTTTGAACCTTTCAGTGCATTTTCTGGTAGTTATTTTTCTATGCATATCTTATCAGAATTAGGATCACAATATGGATGGATAGATACATAGATAGTCAGATAATACAGATATAGACAGAAATCCACCAACACTATCTTTCTTTACTTCATTCTGAGGCTTTCTATGGTATTGGGCTACACAGTTTGACCTCTTTCTTCTTCCTGATGAACATAAAGCTTTGAATAAAATGAAGTGACTTTGGGACACTAAATCACCTAAAAAATGTATACTGTGAAATAAGCATTTGAGTCCAAGCATTTCATCCTGAGAGGTCTAAAGTGAGTCTGGTTTCAGAGGCTTCTCTGGTAACTTTGGGGGACAGGTGGAGAGGAAGGCAATCCAGGCTTTAATAAAAACAGGCTGGACCAAAAAGATTCTTAATTGGATGTTGCCTTTAAGCTAAAGAAGGAAAATGCATGTACACCAGACCTCAGCTTGCTGCTGCCATTTATTTAACGGAGTTTTACAAAAGCAGAAACTTCACTACAGTCAGTGATTTATCACCCAGGGGAATTCAAGGAAACTCCCTCATGTGAGCTATTCATTTTCTTGTTCTGAGCATCCCAAATCATCTCAGCAGGAGAGGATGTGTGTCCCTGACCTTGGCTGCTTTCTCTGGTTTGCATTTCCATTTGCTAAATAGGTCACTGCGCATTGTTTATTCTGGGCCCCAGCTCCAGCAACACTGTGGGATTCCCTCTCCTCCACATTGCCCTTCGCTTTCCTCTTTCTTCAACCCCCACCCTGTGGGACTTGCATAAGCGCTCAAGCAACTTAAATTGTGCTTGTGTCCACACGAACAACCAGTTCAGCTGTTTCAACTGAATGAGATGGCCTAGGATTCTATTCAGTCTACTAGGCAGGCAAATGAATGGAAAATAGTCACATTTGAAGCCAGCCCTGGCAAAGATGGAATGACTAGCTTGATTGAGTGGATTTTCACTTTCTAACTAAGTATGCATGTGTTTTAAGTGGCCATAGCTTTTATTCTTTCTAGCATTAGATTTTTATGACCTGCATTCTTTCAATGTTTTCCATTTTTCTCTCTCTGTTATACATCCTCCCCACCCCCACCCAGGGCCAGTAACTGTTTCAAAATAATAATGCTACTTTGCTTTCATAAGGTCTTTGATCAAAAGATCACAAAACACTCTGTGGATGATTGAGTCTTATACCCCATCCTGTGAGGCAAGGAAAGAATAAAAGAGGAATATGCTTATATCATAAAACCTAAAAGAGTCTCAAAGAAAAACATAAAAAAGGGAATGCATTTTTTAACTCTAATTCATCTGCTGTATTAGACTTGCTTTTTTCTTAAGACAATTTCTTTTTCCAATCTCTTTTGCACAATTGAAGTTTCTCCTGCTTTTTCTACCTTCTCTGAGCATTCTATACGATTCCATTTTATCTCTCTCTGAGTATGTCAGTTATACCTCTTTAAAGAAAAAGTTTTAGGGTGTGAGTTTGCAACATAATTTTTTACATAGTATCAAAATAGGTGGCTTTGAGTTCAAGTTTAAATAGCATCTTTAACTTAAACAAAGAAGAGTATTGGAGAGGCCAGTAATGGCAAGGTAACCAGGAAAAGCACAATAAACAAGAATACGGTTTGTTATGTAGACTTAAATCAGTGTCTTCTGCATCAGCAAAGGCTAACTTAGTCATCCTTCTCTGCCTGATACAAAGAGGGAGATACACTTAAGAATGGACATTCTCTTTATTGATATAAGTTTTCCTTACTGAAGGATAATCTCTCTGTTTTCAGAGCTTCTCCTGTGTCTGCAGTTTCTTAAAGTAATCAATTCAAAATATTCCTTTTGCCAAAAAGGCATGTTTTGAGGTAGCACATTTTAGTCTTCTATGTACCTTATAACAGAGTATGCCTGACTCTTTTTTATCACACAATACATTGTCACTAGTACCTGAAGAGTTATTTTTAAATCAATACAAGTAAGATATTTTACCTTCATTAATTTATTTTATAATGCTTTTCTTTTTATGTGGATCTTCATTTCTGACTTACATTATTTTCCTTCTCCCTGAAGAACTTCTTTTAACATTTCTTGCATAGCAGGTCTGCTAGCCATGAATGTCCTCAGTTTTTGTTTGAGAAAATCTTCATTTCTCCTACATTTTTGAAGGATAATTTCTCTGGATACAGAATTCAAGATTGGTGGTTTTTTTCTTCCAGAACTTTAAATATTTCACTCCATTCTCTTCATTGAAAAGTTTTTGACAACAAATCCCCTGTAATTTTTCTCCTTTTTAAAATATAGATAATTTGGTTCGTTTTCCCCCCAGCCTTCTTTAAAGATTGTCTTCTTGTCTTTAAATTTCAGCAGTTTGAACATGATATTCCTAGGTATGTGAAGTGTTTTTGTTTTTGTTGTTTGCATTTATCCTCCTTGGTGTTCTCTGAGCTGTGGATTGGTATCTTTCACTAATCCTCAGGTTTGGTGTCTTGATCATTTTAAATTTTTTTCAGCCATTATTACTTTAAATATTTCTTCTGCTTCTTTCTCTCTTTCTTCTCATTCTGGTATTCTATTACGAGTAGTGTAGGGGTGAAAGAAACTTTCCTTCCACCCTTTGAAGACAGAAAAATTTGAATTTCTAGAGTAAACTGACAGTCGACAGATTAAAAGGAGAAAAGGCATACAAATTATGTGCATATACACGAGAGCCTCACAAAATTAAGACTCAAAAGATAAGATGACTGGAGTTTTATACAACATAGAATGGAGTAGGGATCAGGGGGTTCCTGGAGGATGATGTGGACAAGCTACAGGAGGGTGAAGGGAGGAACTGCACTGCAAACAAAGTTGTCTTAATATGTAGATAAAGTATCTCAGGTAGCAGCCCTTAGAATAGATTGTAGCCTGTTGTGATCTCTGGGCAAGGTTTCAATATGACCTTTCCAAGATCTGTATTTAGGCTGATATGGGGCCTAAGAGAAAGCCTCTGCTTGCATCTGCTATTTACTTCACTGATGTAGATAGATGTAAAAGGACAGCTTTTTAATAAAGTTGTCTTTTGCAAAAAGCTATTTATGTGTCTGCAGTTTCTCTTAAAAGCCATCTTGAAATATGCCAAAGAAGTATATTTTGGGGTGGTATATATTTGGTGTCCAGCAGTGTGGTAGAGTAATATTATATTTCACTTTGGGAAATTGTAGGAGACTGGTCAGAGTGGTTGGAGAAGCTATAGGGAAACGAGCAGGCCTTCTGAAAGGTCAGAAGGCTCTGCATAGCTTCAGGGGAGAATAAGCTGAGGGCAACTGTTCTCTTACCTTGAGGCAGAGGGTGAAGAATAGGTACAAGAGAGTGTAGGATAATTTACCTTAAATAGACTTGTTTACTTATGTTGTCTGGAAACCCACCTTTGATCATCCACCCATGTAACTGCTCCCTGAAAGGATGAACAATAATATTAATTACCCACAGATTGTGTTTGCTCCAGGCTTTCAGCATTATGTCTGTACTGAATAACAGCAAGCAGCTCCAGCTGTTTGGGACTGCTCACTCTTCAGCCACTAGTGCCGGGCAGTTCCCTAGCTGCTCTTACACTGCATACCTGTGTCTGAGTACTCCTTTCATCTGTCACTCCGCCAGTGTCTGCAGGACAGACCTGGCGGGAGATACCTGTTGATGTACGTTCAAACTTACTGATTCTTTCCTTAGCCATGTTGAGTCTAATCGTGAGCCCATCAAAGACATTCATTCTTCCTTTCAGTTGCTGTGTTTTTTGTTTCTAGAATTTCCTTTGATTCCTTCTCAGGGTTTCCATCTATCTGCTTATCCATCAGTTCTTATGTGTTATCTACTTTTTCCATTAAACTCCTTACCACATTAATCATATTTATTTTAAGTTCCCTTTCAGAGAATTCTAATATTGTCATCATTCTCAAGTTTGTTTCTTATCTTTGCTTTGTCTTCCCATATTGTATTCTTCTTGCCTTTTGTCATGACTTGTAATTCTTTAATTGGAAGCTGGACGTACTATATCAGGTAATAGAAGCTGAGCTAAATAGGCATTTAGAGTGAGGATTTATGTTACTTTGCTGGAAGTTGAGCTGTGTTTAGTGTTTTCTGTAGCTACAGGTACCAGAGGCTTCAACTCTAGTGTTCTTGTTTTTATCTTTCCTGTTAGAAACTTTGGACTTCCTCAGAGAGAGTTCATTTTGGAGTTCTTTCAGCTATAATCTAATGTTATTATACTGGAGCCCAGTGGTTGTGGTGTTAAGATATGGGGAAGAAAGAGTGTTTTATGACCTTACAATTAAATCTCAGTTTTCTGGTGGGCCTGTGTCTCTCTGGGCTGCAGTGTTTCTAATCTATTTCCTTAAAGCTTTGGCGCATGTTGACTATGTCCCACTCCTCTTAGGTAAGATAAAAATAAAGGGGGCTGGAGAGGGAAGAAGGTCCTTATTCCAGCTGTGTTAAAGTTCTGGCAAAATCTTCCTCCTGAAGAGTGGGCCTTTTTTATGGAAAATTCTCTGCATATATTTCACAATGATTAAACTTCCCCTCTACTGACAAAGCCATGAGTGAATCTTCCTCTGATCTTCATGAGTGCATCTTCTCATCTTTATTCAGTGTGAGAACCTGGTATGATTCCTGGAGGTAAATTTCACAGAAGTACGAAGTCCCCAAAGGCTGCAGACACCAGAGTTTTTCACTCTCATGCTAGTCCACACTCAGCCTCCAGTTTTAGCAAAATTACCATTTAAGTGTGAAATCACCTTTGCAAAAATTACAACAGTGAGAAAATTGTGAGAGTGAAAGAGATCTGATCTATCTAACCAACCCCCTTCTTGCCTTTAACCTCTAAACTGCTCTTGGTCATTCCATGGCTTGGCCCAAGCTAACTTTGGGAGAAATTTAGTTTATACTTTAAATGATAATAGCCCTTCCCCAAAATTAAAGCACCTTTGTAAAACTAACGAAAAGACCACCAGATTAGAAGAATAAGAGGAGCCCAAATTCTGCTAAAATATAGGCATAGTTAAATGATTACGAGCCATTGTTCTGGAGGTCACAACATGTGTAACTTCCCCAATTACTCCTGTAATTAACATCACTATTGTAGAACCTAAGATCGGCCTTTTGAGATGTCTTTTCAGGTTTTTACATTTCTGACAATTTGATGGCCCCACCCAGATCCATGACTCAACCAGTCCTGTGGCCCCCACCCAGAAGTAAACTCAGTGCACAAGGACCATTTTCCAAATTCCTATGACTGCATTCCCAACCAATCAGCAGCACCCATACCATAGCCCCCTGCCCTCCAAACTATTTTTGAAAACTCTGGCCTCCAAATTTATGGGGAGATTGATGTGAGTAATAACTCTCTCCCACATAATGTGGCCAGCCTTGCATCAGTTAAACTCTTTCTTTACTGCAATGCCCTGGTCTCAGTGAATTGATTTGGTCTGTGTAATGGGCAGGAAGAACCCATCGGGCAATTACAATTGTACCTACCAGTTATTACTCTAGCCACTTCTGCTTCAGGTAAGCAGATCTGATTTCTACTGTGACTCTCTGGAATCACCTATCTCTCCACATTCTGGGCTGTGGCAGTTTACTGTGCAACCTCAGTTTTCTTATGGATCTAAGAAAAGTCATTGATTTTCAGTTTGTTTAGCTTTATCTCATAAAGATGGAGTGACAACTGCCAAGCATTTTATATATCAGAAATGAAACTGGAAGTCCTCCCATAATTGAATTTTTATTTCTTATTTATAGAAAGTTCGTTTCAGAAGAATACTTCACAGTGTTTGATCATAGCTGAGTTTGAGCATTATCACTCAGAAATGTCAATTACCTGTCAAATGTCTCTCCTGAACTATATATTCATTTTTTCCCCATTGAACAAATATTTACTGTGGGCCTATGGAAGATATCCCTGGGTCTATTCTCCTTGGTACATTATAAAATGCTCAGAAACGAAGCTTCCAAATCAGGCCACAACACCAGGATACATTAAGTTTCACCTTAACAGTTTTTTTAAAGCAATGATGTCTTCACTCAATGGTTGTCCAGTGGTTAATAAGTCAAATAAAACATTAGAGAACTGTAGTATTTCGATTTTCCTTTCTACAGAACAGGTAATGGCCTGTCATGAACTTTGGTGAGAAGCTGATCATGCTCAGATTTTGGACTGGTGGAAGAAATTCTTATTAAACCTTGAATCATCACTGAAAACATGAATTCAGCTGAATAAAAACATTTCTTGGCTCTGTCTACTGAGGTTATCAATTTCCATGTTAACAAAAGTGAACATTTCTCCTTTACATTTCTCAAGTAAAACCATTCTGTTCAGAATGCAATAATCTAGAGCCAGAAAAAAGATTAAAAATGAAGGCACTCTCGTTTTGCACCTGAACAATCAATTCACTCTGATATGAAATAAAATATTTGTTGTGATTCTGCTGTGACCTGATGCTTTATTGCATTTATAGGTCAAGCAACTGTTCAGTCTTGGTAGTTAAAGTGAAAGCAAAAGTTTATGACTGTGAATAGTGGCTTTTCAAGATAAAAATAAAACACTATTCAACAAAAATATACTAAGCAATTGGTGAAATGTTAGCTATTTGAAAATCCTAATTTTCATTGTCACTTATGAATGACTGACTATATTTACTCTTTGGAAAATGATTATAGGGAAATTAGGCCTCATTTACCTTTTATATAAGAATATGGAAACCAAATTCCCAACTTGGAGCAAATGTAGAAGTGTTTTGCTCTGAAGGTTTATGTTTGCCCGGCCTTAGAGTGGCAGACCAGGAAATCACGGTGGAATTCTTTTCCTCTAAGCTATGTTCATTGATGCCACACTAAAGAAAATTTGGAGGGAGTATTTTTTAATTAGTTCTATCTCAGTAACCCTCAAAAATGCTTTAGGGCATGGGAACACAACTGTCCAATGTTCAAGCAACTCCTGTTGATTTAAGTGTAATTGATCAGGAGCAATATACTAAAGAAAGCTTAGTACAAAAGACAAATAAAAAGCTGGAGGCTACTTCTTGTATTGTCTGTGGCTTATTGTACAAAGCAATGAAAGTCTCATCTACTCACCTATCCACAGCCCTGGCTGTTGACTCCTTCTAGTATTAAATAAAATATACCTAGTTTCTTCCTAGAAACATTCTATCCTTAAGCAGATACACATTGATATTCCAATTGTCTCTTGGAGTACAGAAATATTTGGTGGCAATTTTGACCTCCAATCATCAGGTTTCCTGTAACTAAAGAGTTTTGCATGGTCCAGGACTCTAATAATTGCTTTAATTTATATTAAGCGTCTCAGAATTGAAAACATCAGATTGACAGCAGAATGGTAAGTGATTTCATGAGGTATTGTAATGTGGCCAAAATTAATAAACTATAAAAATCACTAGTAAAGTCATTTCCTTTGGAGACATTTTATTTGGAAATTCAAGTAAGCCACGTATGGTATGCATGTGTATTTTGTCACCCATCATGTGTTTTACGTGTGTTTGTGCACATTCTTCTGCTAAAGAAAACATACAAAGAGATATCAGGTTTTTTTGCTATATGAAGTAATGGTTTCTTCCAGGAATTGTGTGCTTGCAGGGTTAATTCAGGAAGGTTATTGCCCAAGAACCACACAGCAGTCATATCTCATCACCTTCAGCAGGAATAATTTATAGTTTAATCTTACATGCAGGCGTATTAAATTAGTATTACTCATCAGAACCCGCTTATTAATAAAACAAGCCAAATTAGCCACTGGAGAATCATATTTGGAAATTCAGTGACAATTTTACATTTTTAATAAAGGCTCAGAAATATTATTGCAGTGCAGGTGGTACAGAGAACTGTGGTCAAATTTGACATTCATTAATAATTGAAGTGTGGAACGTGACAGAGGTGAAAATTGATATTGATTTCTTTCCTCTAATATTTAGAGGAGTTCTAAAAGGTAAATAAAATGAGATAACAAGACATATCAAGTCTCACTGACTTCTTTGATCGCCCCCTCCCCACATGAGAACACATATCACTCGTTTGCCTACCATGTTTTGAATAATTCAGTGCCCATAGTCTTTCCAGTTCAATGCATTATAAAACACACTCAAGCTGAGTTTCAATCATATTAGACTGAAAGCTGATTTTTTTATGAAGGATTATTTAAAACAAAATGCGTCTTGGGCCCAACAGCCTTTGAAGCCAAACAATCCTGAGAGTTCAGTAAGGAAATGTCAACACTGTGGAGAATTTTTCGATTCAGAAAATTAAAGGAATCCTGTTTGATGTATATTAACCATATCAATATTAACGACCTTCTGCTGGATTTCAGCACTGATTTGAGAGCTGAGGTATTATTGGTCTTGTATTTTAACTAGCTGTGAAAGCACTGAGAGAGTTGTTCTTGGGTTGAACTTGACCTGCGTCTGGGAATGCTTTCTGCTCCATCCATTTTGAAAAGCTTTATTCAAGTGGATTTCTCTGCCTTTCTTATCACTTGCACCCCTTCGGAAAATAAAAGATGCTCAAATATAGATGTTAACACTACAGATGCTTTGTTTGGTAATAGCGTCTTTCAGCTTCCTGTCTTTAAAAAATTATATTGCCAACCAGCCATTTGACATAAAAGTAACTCTTTTTACCAAAAGACACTTATATTGGGATGCCAGAAGAAAGAAGTCATTTCAAACTTCCTTTTGTCATAGATTCATACTGTAATACACTTGTTCAACAGATCATGGAGCTTCCTTTCTACTGACCAACTAATGAAGCAAAATGATCTTCAGTGGACAATATAAGTAGAAGCAAAATGTTACTAATTATCAGTCTTTTTCCTGAGCCATACAGAATCTTGTAATTTCAAGTAAGACAAACTCAAAGAGAAAGTGTTACAATAGTCTAGCATACCAGCATTACTCTTTTAACATTCAGCAGTTTTCACTTCCAACTAACCCTGAACCCTAGACTACTGAGAATGTCTTTATCATTAATTTTTAAATCTCTCCTCTATTCATTAAAATGGTCACAATTTCATAAGTAAAATTAAAGAAGAAGCATAATAGTGGCAGGACATCCAAGATATTCTAGATAGATGCTCTGAGATAAATGGCCATCTTCTATTTCAACTGAATATAGGTCTTATATACCAAAAAGTATCTGAGACAGAACTCAATCAATTTAGAAGTTTGTTTTGCTAAGGTTAAGGATCATGACCTGTGACACAGCCCCAGGAGGTCCTGAGAGAATATGTCCCAGGTTATTGAATTTCAGCTTTATTTTATACATTTCAGAGAGACAGAAGTTACAGGTAAAGACAAATTAATACAAGTAAGGTATACATTGGTTTGGTCCAGAGAGACAGGACATCTCGAAAGGTGGGCTTCCAGGTCATAGGTAGATTTAAAGATTTCCTGAATGGCAGTTGGTTGAAGGGGTTAAGCGCTGCCTGAGGAGTTGAAATAAGCTTGGGTTAATGTAAGGGGCGGGATGTGTGGTGGAGGCGGTTGTGAAAGGTAAGGTTCTTGTCTTATAGATGAAGCCTCCATATAGCTGGCTTCAGAGAGAATAGATGGGAATGCCTCTTATCAAATGTGTCAGACTCTAAGAGACCTAGTAAAGAAAAGAAATTCTCTACAGATTGCAAATTTCCCCCCACAAGAGACAGTTTTGCAGGGCCATTTCAAAATGTGTCAGAGAAATGTATTTTGGGGTGAAATACTTTGATTTCCTTTGAAGAACCTGTTATCTGTCTTGTGATGTTATTCAAGAGTCAGGCTGGCATTGGTATATTATGGCTACAAATTGTCTGTTCTTTCAGTCTTAGGAGATCTATTTTAATGTTAATACTGGTCAGTTGAGCCTGAACTCTGAAGAGAAAGGAGTATAATGAGGCATATTCTGATCCCCCCAACCCACCCCTTCTGTCATGGCCTGAACTAGTTTTTCAGGTTTGTTTGGTCACCTTTTGTTAAGAGGAGGGTCCATTCAGTCAGTTGGAGGACTCAGAATTTTATTTTTGGTTTACAGTCAGTTTTCTTAGAAATAAGAAACTCATCTCATAGTTGAAGTGAGAAGATAGGCTGATCACCCCTCTTGACTATATTTACAAGTAGCCTCTAAGGGTGTCTACATATTGGTCCCGCCAGCAATCCACTACTCCATCACTGTGGAGTCAGCTAAGTGAGGATCTTTTCGAGGCCATGCTAGAAACATAAAACATAGTAACTGAGGTGATTGGCAAACAAGAAGAAGGCGGAGGAGAAGATGAAAAGGAGAAGCAAGAGTAGTAGGGACCCCAAATTTCATTGTTTTCTATATTCTCTGCTTTACAAGGGAAAGACATCCGGGTCTGAATTCTTTTCATTCTTAGTCAATAATGTGAGTCCAGCATCTGAGGGAAAAAGCTTAAAAAAAGGAAATATCCAGTTTGGGATTAAACTATTTTGCATGCAAGATCACAATTTAAAAGGCCTTCCAAAATGAAGGGATAACCTTTGAAAGAATAACTCCCAACCCTCTCAACCTAAACAAATGAATACTAAAAATACATTTTAAAAAAACCAGCAAAGAAACACACTAACCACAGCCAAACAAAACAAAGGCCTACGTCATACCAATTGACAGTAGCTGTCCAGGAGAGAGAAAGAAGACTCCAAAATTCTATCTGATTTAGCAGAATCTAGTGTAGCTTCTATATTTTTTTCCCCAAAATCAAAGGATAAAGGATTTGAGTAAAAACTCCAAAAGCAGATTGAGAGAATGTACAGAAAACAGTACAAAAAAACCCAAACCTCCTTAATGAGAGAAGCTCCTTCTCATATCAGTGGAAACCCAGGTTTTATCTGGGTATAAAATAATAATAGGTCATTTCAGACAGCTTCTTTTTGTATTTATTTATTTAAATTTTAGTCAACATTTAAAAACTATCCAATCAGAATGAGAGGTAATTCTACATGCATTGGTTATTCAATTCTCACAGTTTCATTTGTATTAATCGTAGATTTGACTGCATTTGTGCATTTAGTTTTCTTTCTATACAACTGACAAAGAAGGAGATGAAAGAGATTGAGTAATATTTGCATATGCAACTAATCAAAGCAGAATTGCTTTAACACAAATGTCCTTTTGTGATCTCAGATTAATATCTTTATTCCTAAATAGAACATAAATAACATTTATTGGCTGAGATTATTTGCAATAGGCAAGCCTGCCTAGTGTTTACTGCCCGGCAGATAACTATTTATAAGTCTCACTGAGTATGCTAACAGAGAAAAAATGCTGATACTGAAATCCCACTTTACAAGAGTGAATTTAAATTACCTTCAGTAGCCAGTATTAATGAAACCAGGTAAAATGACACAAGGGTATTCCACAGGGTATTTTGTTTTAATTAGAGATAGAAACTATGAGCTTTTAAAAATATTACATTCTATTACTCTCTCATTTTAAAAATCTAGGAATATTAATGAAAACTGAAAAACATTACTTAGCTATTTTAGTCCAGTTTTTAATATACAGCAGCTCTGGATTAATATTAAGGGTAAATAGTTAAGAACTTGAGTAATGAATATAATTTGGAAGCATTCAGATACAAGTAATAAAACGTATTAGAAAGTGAGTATCCATTTACTCAGAGATAGCTGTATCATTTAGTTAAAAGTTACTACAATTAAAACATTATGGCAGTACTTCATGAATAAATACATATACAAATTAGGCAGAAAATACAAACAGATCTAAATCTAGAAAGTTTGATCATGATAAACTAAAATTATAATCTAAAGATTCAAGTTAATCATTCAAAATTGATGCTGAGAAAACCATATGCCAACTTAGAAAATAATAATGTTAGTTTTTTTTTAACCACAGGCTATATTAAAAAATAAATTACAGATGGATTAAAGTTGTAATTATAAAAACAGAAAAATATTTTCAGTAGACCCGAAAGCTGTAAAGATTCACATATTTAAATTATAAAGTGTAAAAGATTCTATGTGATAAAAGGTGATATATACAAAGTGAAAATAACATGATGGACTTGGAGATAATATTTGTACTATATATAACAGACAAAGGATGAATACTCCTAAATATAAAACATGTTTACAAATTAATAAGAAAAATATAAACATCACAGTGTAAAAATAGGCTCAAAATACGAACATAGAAGTCATAGAAAAAGGCAAATAATCCATAAACCTGTGAAAAGATGCAGAATAACACTAGCAGTCAGTGAAAGGCAAATTAAAGCAAGAAATGTCATTTTAACATGAAGATTAGCAACGAATGAAGGGGCTGTATATTCTAGTTGAGGTAAGAACGTAAGTGGTATTTTTAAACAATATTAACATCTTTTTATGATATTATCTGCATTGTCCTAATAATAGAGATTCAGTGATCAATGAGACACAAATTTCTAATATCAGGAATGAAAGAGGAAACACCACTACAGTGCTTACTGACTTTCAAAAAGGTAAGAAAAAAAGTTTGTGAATAACTTTGTCAACAAGTTCAATAACTTAGGCTAAATTTTAAAAGATAAAAATTATCAAAACTGACATCAGAAGTAATAGAATGTTAATAGCTTTATTCTCGTTATAGAAATTGCATTCTTACTTAAAATCTTCCCATAAAGAAGACCACAGGCCAAGATGACTTTACTCTTTTGGAAAAAAAGATGAAGCAAAAAAACATTTTAAACTCATTTTATGAGGTTAGCAATACTTCAAAACCAAATCCTGAGAAAGATCTTGCAAGAAAATAAAAAAATAAAACTACAAAGCAATAACCCTCATGAATATTGAGTCAAAATATCTTAGGACAAAATGTACAGTGTTTATGACCACATGGGAGTAAAGTTAGCTCCTAAAATGAAAAGTTCCTTTAACACTCAAAACTTTCACATCCAGAGTTTCAGAGGCATTTGAACTAGAGCAACTCCATCTTGATTAGGGGCTGGGTAAAATGAGGCTGAGACCCACTGGGCTGCATTTCCAGATGGTTAGGCATTCTAAGTCACAGGATGAGATAGGAGGTCAGCAGAAGATACAGGTCATAAAGACCTTGCTGATAAAACAGGCTGCAGTAAAGAAGCTGGCCAAACCCACCAAAACTGAGATGGTGTCGAGAGTAACCTCTGATGGTCCTCACTACTACACTCCCACCAGCCCCATGACAGTTTACAAATGCCATGGCAACATCAGGAAGTTACCCTATATAGTCTAAAAGGGGAGGCATGAATAATCCATCCCTTGTTTAGCATATAATCAATAAATAACCATTAAAATGGGCAGTCAGCAGCCCTCAGGGCTGCTCTGTCTATGGAGTAGCCATTCTTTATTCCTTTACTTTCCTAATAAACTTGCTTTTGCTTTGCACTCTGGACTCACCCTGAATTCTTTCTTGCATGAGATCCAATAATCCTCTCTTGAGGTCTGGATCGGAACCCCTTTCTGGAAACAAGGGAAAATGTCTAAGAAAACCCTTTCTGGAAAAATGTCTAAGAAAACCCTATACCTTAATGGTAAAAGAGTGAACATTTCCCTCCTAAAATCAGGAACTGAGCAAGTTAGACTGTTTCTACTACTCCTAATTACCATGGTACTCCAGGTCCTCACCAATGTGATAAGGCAAGAAAATAAATAAGAGGTGGATTATGACTATGTGCATAAAAAATCCTAAGAAATCTACCTCCCAAAATACTGAATATGAGTAAATTTAGCCATATCACAGCATATAAGTTTAAAGGACACAAATTAATTTTAGTTTTATATACAAGCATATAAAATTTTAAATTAGAAAATGAATGAATTGAAAAACAAACTGAAAAGATCAATACCACTTAAAATAGATCAAAATTATAAAATGCTAAGGGGTTAATTTGACAAAATAATTGCAAGCCCTGTTAAAATAAAATGATAAAACATTGCTTAGAAAAGTGAAAATATTTAAATAAATTGAGAAATATAACATTTTATAGTTTGGAAATTCAATATTGTAATTAGATTGATGTAAAAGTAATTGCAGGTTTTGCCATTAAAAGTAATGGCAAAACCAAAAACTTTTAATTTGCCATTAAAAGTATTAGTAATTACTTTTGTACCAATGTAACAAGCTATAAATTGCTCAAATGACTCTAAATTTATCTATAGACTCGATGTCATCCCCATCTCCAAAAAGTATTCTCTCAAGAGGTGACTAGATAAACAAATTGCAACATATCCATACAATGGAATACTATACAGAAATAAAAAGGAATGAACTATCTATACCTGAACAACATTGATAAATATAATAATTATACTAAGTAAAAGAGGCCAGAAAATAAAGAGTATACTATATCATTCTACAAAGTTATATAAAATATGAAAACATGCAAACTCATTTAAAGTGACCAAAGGCAGATTAGCAGCTCCCTTTGGGCAGGACAGGTGCAAGGAAGAAGTAGAGGGAGAAATTATAAAAGGACATGAGGAAATTTTGGGGGTTGATGGATATGTTCATCATCTTTATTTTTTTATTTTTTATTTTGAGACAGATCTTGCTCTGTCACCCAGGCTGGAGTGCAGTGGCATGATCTTGGCTCACTGCAACCTCAACCTCCTGGGTTCAAGCGATTCTTCCGCCTCAGCTTCCCATGTAGCTGGAAATATAGGTGTGCGCCACTATGCCCAGCTAATTTCTGTATTTTTAGTAGAAATGGGGTTTCATCATGTTGGCCAGGCTGATCTCAAACTCCTGACCTCAGGTGATCCTCCTGCCTTGGCTTCCCAAAGTGCATAATCTTTATTATGAACATGATAATGATTTTATGAGGAGCTACAAATGTTATAACACATCATATTGTTAATTTTAAATATTTGCAATTTAATATATCTCAATAATACCTTAATAAAATTATAAAATGAAATGAAATAAATTGTCTATAGCATTCATATCTTTCTGTTTTGAGATGAGTTTTAAATAAAGTGTAAGAGCCACCTCTGCATGATCCTGGCCAATAAAGGCGCTGTTGCCTATGTTGCCTATACAGAATCTCAGATTGGAGAACTCTTATATTAGGGTTCAATACACCATGCTACTGATGCCTCATCCATTCTTAGGTTTTGACTCATGAACAAAAAAATGACACAAATAGCCGATTGAGAAATAAAGTTTGGATTTATTAATTAGGAAAAGAATATAATACACTCCTAAATGCTAGGTTTCATGGCTAAAAGATACATTGGGGAACTCTGCTCATACTAAGTGATCTAGACAATGCCTTTTAATTGTTTCCTTTAAAATATCATTTTTTTAATTTTGTGCATAGACTTGAGGATAGTATTTAATTATTGTAAATTGGGAAAATATCAGTCCCTAGCTCACACACTGGTACCAGAACAAAGGGAAATAAGTTGACTTTTAATGACTGGAGCCTGAAGATGGCTAAAGCCACTAAGCCCATAGGTGGGAAAAGAGCCCCATCCAGCTACAAGGTAGACAAAGAAAAGAAAATATACGTTTACTCCCACTATCAGGTAGGAAAAAGATTCTTAAATTTTTGCCAACTGATGAAACTGGATATAGGAAATATAAGAGATGGTATAACACAATTTCATGAATGAACAATTCATAAAAATGAGTACTGGCTTTTAACCCAGTCATTTGGCCAATCAGATTATCACGGTTTGGACATTCATTTGAGCAAAGTCATCTGTTTGTTTTATATTACTTTGCGATATTCATTTATTCATGCCACTAACTTTTATTCAACACCCACTGTGGAAAATATGCCCCATGTGGGGAATAGGGGAAGAAAACCAGAGGGTATGGACATAACCAAGGGTGACTGATTATCCATACGCTTCTTACAGTCCAGAAATTGTGAAATCATTTCTTTCCCTTTGAACTTTTCAAAAAGTGAATTAAGTCATAACTCAAATGACTGCCACAGCATTTGATCTGAATTGCATTGCTAAGTTCATTGTTACTTTGTCCTTATTTTCCGCCAAAAACTTCACTGAAACTTTTACAGCTGAACATGACATCTGGCTTGCATGCCTTTTCCCAACTTTGTGCACAAATACTCTTAAAGTAGATAAAGATGAAAATTAGTGGTACTAAAACTTAAGACTGACAAACAATGTGGGACAGTGACAAGTTGGAAAAGCATTTATAACAAACTTTCAAGTGTTTCAAGGCATCAATATTTTGTACAGATGTTCCTTGACTTATGATAGCATTACATCCAAATAAATCCATCATTAAGTTGAAAATATTGTAAATTGAAAAATGCATTTAATATACCTTACCTACTAAACTTCATAGCATCACCTAACCTACCTTAAATGTGCTCAGAACACTTATGTTAGCTTAAAATTGGATAAAATCATCTAATTCAAATGCTATTTTATAATTGTGTTGAATAGCATTTGTAATTTATTGGATACTGTACATTATATTAAAAAATAGAGTTTTGCACCACTGTAAAGTAAAAAATTGTTAAGTATTGGTCTTTCTACTTGCTCTTAGTTTTACCTTTTTAAAAAAATCACAGATATTATTATAAGGATTTGTATTTATCCTTCTGCTTGCATTATTTAAAATCTCAAATACTATTTTTAAGGATAAGATGTATTTTTTCATTGATGAAATTATTGTATGAATTTTATGCAGTAAAATTCTGTCTTTTAGTGTACAGTTCTGAGTCTTGATGAACTATGCCTTCTTCTGAACTTCTTCTGAAGGCATAGTACACATTTTTTCCATCTTTTTACTTTCAAACTACTTGTGCTTTATACTTACAGTGGTTTATTTTACATAATATGTAGTGAGATCTTCCTCTTTTATCTAATTTGAAAACCTCCGCCTTTCAATGAGAATGTTAAACCTTAAGGTTTTTCACTCTTATTAGTGTCTATTCTTTCTTCTAATGCTTTAAGTGGTTCTTTCTCTGCCTTCGATTGTTTTCCTCATAGGCATGTGCTTATCAGTACTCAGCTGAGAATACAAATGGGACCTCTGTAAGCTTTAGAGGTCTCTCCCTCTGTGTAACTCTATCCTCTCTGGTATTGTACCCTGTGATCTCAAGGTGTCCATATTTCATATTGTATACTAGATATTTTAAGTTTTATATACATATATAACATATATATCATATATTAAACATTACATATGATATATATCATGTGTTACGCACTATATTTTTATGATATATTAACAATTAAAATATTGTATATTGTATTGTACATTAAGAAGTAGCAAGCTTAGACCCAACGGAAAAAAAAAAAAGTATAAGCTCACATCACTGAAGTAGTGCTCCTGAAGGGAAACATTCTATCGACAGAGTAACAAATCTTAATTTTATATCAAGCTTTGTTGTTAGTTTTCTGCACTCGATGCATCTAACTTGTCATGACAGTCTCCTTCTTGCATCTCTTTTTTGTTTGAAAAGTTAAGCAAATTTTTGTAATTTTTTTCTAAGTTGAATGGTTTGTACATTTGAAAATTTTGTTTTTTCCAAGTACAGTATGTAAGCACATTTCCATCATCGACAGTGGCCCCATCAGATTATAATGGAGTTGAAAAATTCCTATCACAAAGTGACAGTATAACCATCATAATTTCATAACTTAATGTGTTACTCAACTGTTTGTGGTGATGCTGGTGTCAACAAACCAACTAAGTTGCAGTCCTATGAAAGTCTAGCACATACAATTATGTATAATACATAACAATTGAAAATGATAATAAGAACTATGTTACTGGTTTATTTATTGACTATGCTATGCTTGTTATCTTATTTTAGAGTATACTCATAAAAAAATGTTAACTGTAAAACAGCCTCAGGCAGGTCCTTCAAGTGGTTTCCAGAAGAAGGCATTGTTATCACAGGAGATGGCAGCTCCCTGCATATTATTTACCCTAAAGACCTATCAGTGGGACAAGATGTGGAGGTGGAAGATAAAGATATTGATGATTCTGACCCTCTGTAGATCTAGGCTAATGTATGTAGTTGCTTTTAACAGAAAAGTTTTTTTTTTAAAGTTTTGTGAATAAAAAGGCTTATAGAATAAGAATTTAAAGAAAAATATTGTATAGCTACACATATATTTGTTTTAAGCTGTGTTATTACAACATTAAGAAAGTTAAAAAATTTAAAATTTTAATAAAGAAAACAGTAAGCTAAAGTTAATTTATTATTGAAAAAAATTTTAATGAATTTAGTGTAGTGATATGGTTTGGCTGTCTCCCCACCCAAATCTCATCTTGAATTGTAGTTCCCATAATCCCCAAATGTGGTGGGAGAAACCTGGTGTGAGCTACTTAAATTATGAGATGGTTTTCCCCATGCTATTCTCATGATAGTGAGTAAGTTCTCACAAGATCTGATGATTTTGTAAGGACTTTCCACTTCTTTTCGCTCATTCTCCTTCCTGCTGCCATGTGAAGAAGGACGTGTTTGCTTCCTCTTCCACCATGATTGTAAGTTTCCTAAGGCCTCCCCAGCCATGCTGAACTGTGAGTCAATTAAACCTCTTTCCTTTATACATTACTCAGTCTTGGGGATGTCTTTATTAGCAGCCTGAGAATGGACTAATACAAGTAGATAACTGTGCAATGTTTATAAAGTCTACAGTAGTGTACAGTAATGTCCTATACCTTCACATTCACTCACCACTCCTTCACTAACTCACCCAGAGCAACTTCAATTCCTGCAAGATACATTCATGGTAAGTGCCCCATACAGTTGTACTATTTTTATCTTTTATAACATATTTTTCTGTACCTTTTCTATTTATAGATGTATTTGTATGTACACACAAATATTTATTGTGTTACAAATGCCTACACTACTCAATGCAGAAACCTGTTGTACAGGTTTGTAGCCTGAGAGAAATAGGCTATATCATAGAGCCTAGGTGTGCGGTAGGCTATAACATCTGTTTGTGTAAGTGCACTCTATGATGTTCACACAATGATAAAATTGCCTAATGACAGATTTCTCAGAAAGTATCCTCATTGTTAAGCAACATGTGACTATTTCAGAATTTTTTTTTCAATTTTCTTTCTGAGTTGATGGGGTTGTATATTTTTTAATCCTTGGATGTGAAAAAAATTTAACTTTTCACATGTAAGTTATGATTTTGCTTCTTGTACAGTTTATATTCAAAATCACTTTTCCTTAAATTTGGAAGGATTTTTTTTATTTCCTTATAGTATCGAATACTACTGAGAAATTTAATTTTAATATTTTGTGTTGTTGCTTTGTATGCAATCTTTGTTTGTTTTATCTAGAAAGTTTTAAATTTTTGTATTTCCATTTCATCTTCTGAAGGTCAAAGCCAAATGAAGTCTTGATAAGTAATTCCCACCACTTAACCTTCTCTACAGTTAATACAACCTTGTAAACTAAAAAACATATTTACCTTCTGCTCTGAATAATTTTTAAAATCTTCCTTTGATTATATCTTTTTTATTATTATACTTTAAGTTCTGGGATACATGTGCAGAACGTGCAGGTTTGTTACACAGTTATACACGTGCCTTGGTGGTTTGCTGCACCCATTAACCCGTCATCCCCATTAGGTATTTCTCCTAATGCTATCCCTCTCCTAGGCCCCCACCCCCTGACAGGCCCTGGTATGTGATGTTCCCCTCCGTGTATCCATGTGTTCTCATTGTTCAACTCCCACTTATGAGTGAGAACATGCAGTGTTTGGTTTTCTGTTCCCGTGTTAGTTTGCTGAGAATGATGGTTTCCAGCTTCATCCATTTCCCTGCAATGGACATGAACTCATTCTTTTTTATGGCTAATAGTATTCCATGGTGTATATGTGCCACATTTTCTTTATCCAGTCTATCATTGATAGGCATTTGGGTGGGTTCCGAGTGTTTGCTATTGTGAACAATGCTGCAATAAACATATATGTGCATGTGTCTTTATAGTAGAATGACTTATGATCCTTTGGGTATATACCCAGTAATGGGATTGCTCGGTCAAATGGTATTTCTGGTTCTAGATCCTTGAGTAATCTCCACACTGTCTTCCACAATGGTTGAACAAATTTACACTCCCACCAACAGTGTAAAAGCATTCTTATTTCTCCACATCCTCTCCAGCATCTGTTGTTTCCTGATGTTTTCATCATCGCCATTCTAACTGGCATGACATGGTATCTCATTGTGGTTTTGATTTGCATTTCTCTAATGACCAGTGATGATGAGCTTTTTTTCATAAGTTTGTTGGCCACATAAATGTCTTCTTTTGAGAAGTGTCTGTTCATATCCTTCTACCACTTTTTGATGGGGTTAGTTTTTTCTTGTAAATTTGTTTAAGTTCTTTGTAGATTCTGGATCTACCTGTGGTAGTCTGAATAATAGCAGCCCCCGCTGCCCCACTCCCCACAAAAAAAGAGAGAGATAGCCTAATCCCTAGAAGATGTGAGAATGTTGTTACATGGCAAAGGGAAATTAAGATCCAAATGGAATTATGGTTGCTAATCAGCTGACCTTAAGATTAGAAGATTATCATGGATCACCCAAGTGGGCCTAATGTAATTGCAAAAATCCTTAAAAGACAGAGGCAGAAGAGTCAGTGAATAAAAGGTGACAATGGAAGCAAGGTCAATGATGTAGTGAAGGACTCAACCTGCCATTGATAGACTTGAAGATAAAGAGATTGAGTAGAATAACAAGTGCAGTCTGTAGAAGACTTTTTCAAGTCAAGGAAATAGATTTTCCTCTAGAACCTCCAAAAGGGAATGCAGCCCTGTTGACACCTGGATTTCAGTCCAGTGAGACACACGTTGGACTTCTAATTTACAGAATTGTAAGACAGATAATAAATTGGTGTCATTTTAAGTCACTAAGTTTGAGTTAACTTGATAATACAGCAACAGGAAGCTAATACAATACACTTACTCTCTCCTCTATTTCTGGAATGCCTTTATAACAATATTATATTTCCTGTATTATCCATCCTCCATATATATATATGTATATTTATATATATATGTGTATATATTTATATTTAAATATTAGTGTGTATATTTGAAATACATACATTTTGTATGCTTACACACACACACACATATATATACACACACACCTATATATTTTAAGTTAGCATTTCTCTGCCATAAGTATACGAGAAAAACCAATAAGATGTTCCCCTATAATTTCCTATTAATTCTAATTAAGGCCTTTGCTTTATTCTGGTTTTGACCTAATTATATTTGGTCTTCTGAATTATTCCTGTTTTTTTTTGGAATTTGCTTTTCTGTTTGTATACTTGGTTGTTTTGATATAATTTTTCTGTTTTTTTTCTCAGTTTTATTGATTCTTCTTATCTACCTATTAAGTCATTTATTTATTCATTGAATTAGGTTTAATGGAACTGGTATGTACTATAGGTTTTTCTCTGCCTGTGTGAGGATGTTTTTCTCCCAACAAGCCAGTATTGTGAATGAGAGCTTTGTCTGCCTATTTATAAAAGGGGATTTGGGGTGGTCTTTTAGTTGTACTCCCATTCTCTCCATGTATATGTGTATTTGTGTACAAGTCTAGTGTCTTGGTTAACCTTTTCAAGGACCATGAAGCTATTTCAATTTCTTAGGATATATGATTCACATGACAATGACATTTTTAAAGACATATTTTTCATTGGAAGAAAATATCTTTTAACAGATGTTACTCCATTTTGTTTCTGTGGCTTTCTTTGGCAAGGATTACAAATAACTAGATTTAATTTAATTATTCATTTTCCTTTTCAACTTTTATTTGAGGTTCAGGTGTACACGTGCAGGTTTCTTTCATGGGTAGTGTTTCATGGGGATTTGGTGTACAGATTATTTTGTCACCCAGGTAATGAACATAGTACCTGACAGGGAATTTTTCAGTCCTTACCCTGCTCCCACTCCTCCATCCTCAAGTAGGCCCCAGTGTCTATTGTTCCCTTCTTTGTGTCTACGTCTACTCAGTGTTTAGCTCCCACTTGTAAGTGAGAACATGCGGTATTTGGCTTTCTGTTCCTGCGAATAACTGGATTTTAATGAGAAAAGAAAATCACTTTATTTTATAAACAACTGTCATGTTTTCAAAATATGTCTTAAAACTTCAGTCCAGAGATATTTGCAGAAATATTCTCCCTGAATAACAGAAAGGACTTTGTCCTGTAGAACAATCAATAACGATGGCTCAATGACTTTGGCAACTGAAGTTCTAAATGAGAGAATAAGAGTGCTCTTCCCAGGGTTTGAGAAGTCTATGCCTCTGCATTTCTCTATCTGTTTTTTTGCTACAGTCAACAAAACCAAAAACTTAACAGATTTAGTTTATGTTTGTATCTACTAACTTACTCATTGTCTGAGGACTGCTTTGAGCATGCAATTGCCCATGTTGTCGGAGCTACTCCTTTCTTCTTCTGTTAGTGCCACGCTTGTTTGATGGACCCAGCTCATAGAGGGCATCTATCACTCTACTTTGTCTACCAAATCTAGAGACCCATTAAAGTGCTTGGGGCATTAGCGTGAAGAGGGCTTCCTTTTGTGTGTTGTGCATGCGTGTGTGTTTATTTAATACTGTGGTCAGGTTACAGTAGCACTACACTGGGCTTCATTTTTGGCAAACTTTTCATTTCTTTTTGTTTACAAGGTGGACTTTTTGTTTACCAAGAAGCATTTTTACTGGTTTCATGCCAAGTGAGTATTTGCCTGTCCCCTTGTATCCATATATTTAACTATTTCCCTAGCATTTACTGTCACAAACTTGGTCAATATTTATTAACTTTGCTCTTCAATTTGTTTGCACACTTATAAACACAGTAAACTCTCACCACACTGATGGTAGACTCCATCAGAGCATGCTCAAAGGGGCACAGGGGGGAAGATGCTGGGGGAAGGTGCTGTCAGAGGCTGATTGACAGTATCAATGTTGTAGATGGATCTAATGACAAACATGCGTAGTTCTTACTTATGCCTTCCTGCTGCCTAATAATAGGCAATGACAGCTCTGAATCAGAACATTTGAACCTAGAAGAGGTAATTTTCCACTATATGTGGCACTACTGTACCTATGGAAATATATCTTATTAAGGGCTTTTCTTTTATGCTACACAAATATGAGGATTTCGCTTTCTGGAACAATAAACATTCTCTTGCCATGACAGAGCCAAAGCAGATGCCGCCAGTCAGAAACATTTCTGAATTATGTGACTTGGGTTCCTTAACAAGGCTAAAAAAACTGTTTATTCTTTTTGTTTTATGATTAAACAAGATGAGTTTACCTAATCTATGTAGCCAACAAATAGAACTACTGAAATAACAGGCCCATATTATTATTTTCAGATAATTTGATAAATACTATAGGAATATTATTTTACTAATACTAATAATTGCTATCATTTAAAAATTATTTTATAAGCCAAGCATTGATTGCTTTAAGCTTAAAAATATTACTAACTTATTCATTCCTTACAGTCACTCTATGATATTGGTACTATTATTCATCACCATTGTGCAGATGAAGAAATTGAGGCACAGAGAGGTTAAGTAACTTGCCCATGATCACACAGCTATAAATGGTAGAAATGAAATTCAGACTCTGACTGCCCAGCTCCAGAGCACATGAACTTAACCTCTATGCTACTTTGCTTCATCAACCACTATCATATTAATTTAATTGGATTCTAAATTCAGATGAGCAATTTTTTCTTGGTTGCAAGGAAATCATTTAATAAGCCCAAATTGCAATGTTTGAGATGCAAGTCTGAGTCCAAATCTGAAAACTCTAAACCACGTGATTTCCAAAAACACACTGGGTATTTGTTCTGAAGCTTGACATATTATAAGTTTGCATTTAAAATAACAGGTCCTATTATAAATAAGTATAAGAATGTCATTCTAAAGAGTAGTGTATCCAACAAGTGCTACAATTTCTTTAATGGTAATGAAAGGAAGAGATGTTTCCTGAAACACTAAATGAGTTGATTTGCTTTTAGTGAGTGAACACTAAAGTCTGTTGACAAGACCTAACCTGAAAGGACTATGTAAATATGCTATCACTCTATTCAGAGACAGCCTTGTTTTTTTTCTTTAGCAAACAGGAATGGTAAGATATAGTTTCAGTTGGTATGAACGAATGCATCATTTTTGGTTTTGGTTAAATCTGTACTCTAATAAATGTCTTCAACTTGGAGGAGACATGGGTTCATAGTTCCCTTTCTTTATGCCTATTATCACCATATAAAACAATTCCAAGAAGGTAAATCTGTGCTTATGTATGTATGTCCAATCAGAGTGTGATGCAGCTATTCAAGCATACTTTATAGCCTAAAATACTGGTAAAGTGAGGGCAGCCAGTAACCGGTGAATTGTCCTACCATTGATTCATCTGTGAGGTCCTTCATTCTTCCCTTCTTTTGGAATTAAGAACTGTACATAAGGTCCTATTCCAAGTTTCACTCTTTATTCTCCTCTTGTATGACTGAGCACTTTCCCTATTCAATGCCACAAGCTGCCAAAAACAAGGCTTAGTACTTTCGGGCCATGACATAGGTGTCTGTATAGAGATTAACTTCTGTCCAAAAATCACTAATTCTAAAATAAACATAGGGGAAAACTAATTGGGGAAATGACTGGGATGAATTAAATATGTAGGGGGCGGGGAGGAGGACAGATATATATGTTGAGTATGTCTTTTAAAAACATGTTCTATTGGCCGGGCATGGTGGCCCACACCTGTAATCCCATCACTTTGGGAGACCGAGATGGGTAGATCATGAGGTCAGGAGATGGAGACCAGCCTTGCTAACACGGTGAAACCCCGTCTCTACTAAAAAGACAAAAAATTAGCCAGTTGTGGTAGCATGCGACTGTAGTCCCGGCTACTCGGGAGGCTGAAGCAGGAGAATCGCTTGAACCTGGGAGGCGGAGGTTGCAGTGAGCCGAGATCACGCCATTGCACTCTCCAGTCTGGGTGACAGAGCGAGACTCCATTTCAAAAAAAAAAAAAAAAAAAAAAACACAACAACAAAAACTATACAAAAACTATATTCTCTACTGACCTCATATTTAATCCAGTCACTATCTCTGAATACATTTTGAGACCATATGTGTATATGTGTATGTCCATAATGATGGCATTGTATATTATTTGTGTTATGTTCTCTTGTGCACAGGAATATGTTGCCTTTAGCGTTTAACCTTTAATGGTGCTTTTGTATATGGTTGAAGTTTCATATAGTAAGGGAAAAAATGTTCAAGGATTTCTTTCCCATCAGTGTTGATATGAGTTCCCATTATTTTATTTCTTTTTGATGACTGCCAGTGGAAAACACAGGATGGCCAAATACGGGTAAGACCCTGGAACACTTGCAGTGAGTTTTCACGGTCTGCATCAGAATTCTACAGAAGGCTTTCTGCAGAATTGGCAGTGAAATGAGAATGGAAAGTTGGAATTAGTTTGTTATTTACTTTCTGTTTGGTATCTTTTTCTTGTCTACAATGTATAAAAGTTACACAAAAGTCAGGAGAATAGCAGTTATGAAAAAAATAATCTGTCACATTAAAGATATTCAACACTTACTTAGGCTCACAGATGCACAGAATGTTAGAACTGGGTTGAGAGAACTAATCTAATTCCAACTCCCTCCCATAATGATGAGGGAAAGTTGGAGGCTTAACAAGAGAAGTGACCGTCTCAGCATCAGTGAGTTTGCAGTTGAGAAGAGATCCTTGGCTTCTGTAGAGTGATGCCTCTGTGGGCAGGGTATTAATAGAGCATTAAGTATCCCTTTACCTAAGAATGTTGAGCTTAATCAAAACATTTGGGATTCTTGTCTTCTCCTTTGTTTTGGTTTCTTTTTACATACTCATGGACCGCATTCTTTTAATTACTTTCTAGAATGAGATCTCCAAGAAATTTGCTTGCTTTAACCCTTCTGTTTTGGATTGTAGCTTGAATTTTTAAGTTGGGGAAGAATACTGAACTGCAGAAAGTTAACAGATTGCTGGTAAAGAAAATCAAAATAATTATAATGCCAGTTTCTCTGGGTATTCCCTATGTACTTTGGGAGTAAAAAATAATATTTGCAAAGCTATTTCAAATTGTACTAATATTACCTATAGTTTACAACCCACTGGTTAAGAGCACTGACTCTAAGTTAGAGAGCCTAGGGCTTTTTCCTAGCTCTGTCACTTACTACTGGTGGGACCTCAGGAAGCTTACTTCATGTCTTTCTGTTTCATTTCCTCATTTGAAAAATAAGGGTTATAACTCTACCCATCTTATAGGGTTGTGGTGTGTAAAGAGTTAATATATGTAACGTCCTTAGAACTTTGTGCCATTCTAAGCCTTTTATAATGGGTCTTATTATTGTTGTTGTTACTATTGTTACCCAGTTGTCCTTGAAAAAGTTTCCCAGCTGCTCTGACTTGCCTTTCTTTTTTGTTATATATTTTCTACATCCCACTTGAGAGTTCTATCAAATCCTGCAAGGCTATTTTGCAGATGTTTGATACCTTTGTACCTATTTGTCACAGCAAACGTGAAAGAAGTTCTGGCTTACCATAATCTACAAGGGGTTTTGATTTTTCTCCCATTTATACACAGTGGTGAACAGATATATGAAAATGACTCCATGGGGCTTTCACTGGGGCCCAAATATCCATGCTTTGTGTGACTCTAAACTGCTATGTACAAATGATGGACCTTTAAACATGCACCCCCCGGCAAATGTCAACTAAATCATCATTATTTCTGGAATATGAGGTATGCTTTTTGTTAATTAATTGTGCATACAAAGAAACAAGAAAAGGAGAGATGCTTTGTATCACAATGTTTTGAGAAATACTCTGAGGTCTAAGACATAGTTGAAGCTTTTCCCATCATAGAGGGGTTCCAGAGTTACCATATCTTTTACCATATATACATTTTTTAAGCAATGGCAATAATGTTGTGACTATACTGTTCAATTCCTCATAGCATCAGCATTAGATACATTAAAGGGGATAAATTCAAATACCAATCTGATCCTTCTGACATAACCCCTAAATCTCTTCTACTTCTATACTTTCTCAAATATAACATAGAACCTGAAGACAAATTATTTCTAAATACTATCAAGAAATACAGTAATACATAGCAGACAATCCCGCTGAATCTTTCTGTAACAGTGCACTAAATTTGTTACAAGCAGGCATGTAAACCTAAAAGATATAATTTAGAGGAGAAACTCCGTCCTGTCTGTTCTCCAGGAGCTAGAGAAAGAACAACAGCTGAAAGGACTGAGTGAAAAGATCCTGGATAATCAGTTTTCTCAGTTATAGCTGTGTAACAGGAAACAAATTCCCATGGAAGGCTGTGATCAGTTTGAAACAGCTAAGAGAGTGCCAATGGCTAGAGTCTTTCATATACAGTTATTCAAGCACAGACTAATTGATTATGCAATAGGGATGCAACAGAAGGGAATCTTGCCCTAGCTATGAGGATGTGACAAGATCGCTTCCAGCTCTTATACCTACACTTGAAATCTAATCATTAACCCCGAGCCATCATTAAGAGTGACCTCAAATCATTCCAAATCCATTTGTCTACTCATATATTTTTATACACTCAATCAGCAAACCTTGAGTGACTACACTAAGCCAGACACTGTTCCAAGGCTGGCATAGACAGGGAATAAAAAGGAAATTCAATTTCTGCCATCATGGAGTTTGCGTTCTTTGAGAAGAAGTCTATCTAAATACAAATAAATGAAGATAGTCATTATTTTTATGATTATTCTGTTACTGTTCCTGAAACATTGGTAAGTGGTTCAAAGAAAATGAATTAAGGTAATACAATTGTGACTAAGCTGAGATACTGGATCATCAAGAAAATGACTTTTTAGGAGGTGACATTTAAGTCACATGCCAAGGAATAGAAAGGAATAATTTATAGAGATTTTTCTGGAAATATTATTCTAGAAAACAATTATTCTAAAATGTTATTCTAGAAAAAGAATAACAATATTATTTTTACACAGTAAGTGCAAAGGCCCTGAGACAATATCAAGCTTAGCCACAATACAAGAACAAAAAGTAGCTAAAAAGTCAGGTCATGAGATAACATACAAATTTACACCAGCTGGTTCCTAACTTCAACTATACACGGATGTTTTCTTGCAGTGAGTCAGACATGCACATCATCCAAAAGAAATATCTGGTTTGAAATTACATTGGAAATTCTGCCTGAGAGTCTTGACAAGGGCACAACCCTATTAAAGATCACAGCCATCATTTTCAAAAGCTTAATTCTGGCAATCACTGGCAGACATTTAACAGGGGTGTTTAATATCCTCCCTAAAATATCAGGCAGGAAAGAACAAACATTCTCGCATGTCTGCAATGTGAACTTAGTGTCTCACAACTGAAAATGGGCTGGAGCTTACCCTGCTGAGGATTTTGCCAGCAGTCCAGCATTTAAAGCCTTGAATTCCTGTCCGTTCATCTGTACTTGTGTTTATGTCTCTCACTTAAGCAGTTTTCAACACACTTCTGTGGTTCTTTTGATATAGTGAACGTGCAGGTGTATGTCTGACTGTGCCAGGGACTGTGTCCAGATCTGGTCTCTATTGCTAAAACAGACATCTTTGAATATTTGAATCACTACACATGCCATATTTACTCTTGTGTAGGTAGGCCAACTTTCCTCCAGCTAAAGATATTTTAAAATTATTTCTCCTCGCTTACTCCTCCACTTTCCACCATTGCTTATGCTAAATAATTCAGTGCACTACTCCAAAAGTGGATGTGAGTCACCCAACCCATCTATATTCTTTCAGGGTTAGAGAGAAGGTCAAAAAATGCAGGAAAAGGAGTCTATACCCAACAGACTTAGAGAAAAACTCTGGCTGTCTATCTCAACAGGTCAAAATAATTGCTTCAACTGGACCAAGATTTTATTTATATCTCATTTTCTGGAAAAGAGACACAATTTGGGGAGACTAGGCAAAAGGGTGAAAAATTCATTGGTGCTAGCCTGTTTCTAAAGTCTCCTCTGGAGCTGTTTTGAAACCTTTGCAATTATGAATGAGAAATCCCTGTGTTATATAATGCATTTCTGGAAAAATGCTCAAGTCACATATGTGCTCTATGCAGCTCTAATAGTAACATTAATCTAATGAATGGTATATTAGAAACATGATTTGTGTACATTCCAATGGAAAGCATGTTTTATGAAGGAAGCTTTTGGATGGAAATGCAAAAAATAACCATCCCCTAAACATGGCTTGCAGCTACCGTATCAACCAATAAGATAAGTTAGTGCACCTTTGCAGAAGATTGAGTGATTACTCTGCCTTTGTTGCTCAGGGGAAAGCATTTTCCAAATCTCATGCAGGTGTCTGAGACAGATGACCTCAAAGGAGAGGAACTGCATTCTCAATTTTGAGCCCCGGATACCTCTTTTTCATATACAAGCTTTTTTTTTTTTTTCATAATAGTTCATTTTTCAAGTGCAACAAAAACTAAGCCCCTGTTTATCCCACAGGTTAATTTGGTTAAACTTGATACATCACACTGTGACTGGCTTAATATTTTACTCCAAAAGCTGTATCACCTCTATCTTTTATTTATAATGATCTTTATATTCATTTCTCAACTGAGGCAGGTATTTCAGGGATAGCAGGCATTGATCTCTAATTTTTTTCTTTTTTCTTTTTTTTTGTAATGCATACTTTTTGATCCTTAAGAAACAGCACTGACAGTTTTTTGGTTTTTTTTGTTTTTTTTTTTTTTTTTAGAAAAAGTAAGAGTTTGAGATTGGGGATCTTTCTAACCTACTAAAGGCAGAATCAGCCTCTGTCACTCAGTAGATGATTTGGTTTTAAATAAAATTGTCATCCTCTTTTTTTTTTTTTTTTTTGAGACGGAGTTTTGCTCTTGTTGCCCAGGTGGAGTGCAATGGCACACTCTCGGCTCACCGCAACCTCCACCTCCCAGGTTCAAACAATTCTGCCTCAGCCTCCCTAGTAGCTGGAATTACAGGCATGTGCCACCATGCCCGGCTAACTTTTTTATATTTTTAGTAGAGACGGGGTTTCTCTGTGTTGGTCAGGCTGGTCTCGAACTCCCGACCTCAGGTGATCTGCCTGCCTCGGCCTCCCAAAGTGCTGGGATTACAGGTGTGAGCCACTGCGGCTGGCCAATCCTCTTATTTTTTTTTTAACTGCATTTTTCTTCAGAGGAGATGGAACCCAAATTGAACGTTTCATGTAGCTGACTTCCGATTATTAACAGGTAAGAGTGAGGAGAGGCTCTAAAGAGAGGTTTAAATGACATAACAAATGAGAAATTAAGTCGTCTTTGCCAAGTACAAATGAATTCATGGGTAGAAATAGAGTTGAGGCCAATAGATTCATAACTGCATTTTAAGGAATCTAAATCTCCACCAGTTGTCCTGAGAAGCAGCCAAAAAAAATTGCAAATCAAGGTATGTACAGAACTCAGCTGTCTGGCAATTATAACAGCCCTGTTTCCCATATCTCGAGATGCCCAGCAGGGACAGAGTGGAACTTGAAACTGGGAATTCAGAGGAGCCGCTTTGGGGTTCAGAGCTGCTTTGGGATTGAGCCACCCAAATTAACCCAGGCACATGGTGCACCAGAGCCAAAAACTGAATTTAGACTTTTCAAGATTCGAACAAAATTAACCTGTGACTCTTCAACTTCAGCTTTCAGCTTCCATTCTGATGTCAAATTGCTGCCCCTCAAGGCCTTATCTTTTCCACAACTAGTGTTCTCCTATTACCTCTGGTATTTTTTCTTTTTCTTCCTCCAATTCCCTCTTGGGCTCTGCATATGTTCTTGAGTCTGATCATCTGTTTCATTTCTTAAGCCCCAGGAGAAACATGGATAACGTCCCCTGCGATGCTCAGAAACAAATGTGCTTTGTAAATGATATCTGTCAAACATTTATTATATGCCACAGATAGATATTTGGTCTTGAGTACATATTAAGAAATACCGCCATCTTTTACTGCTTCTGGCATGATTACAAATTAGCGCTTTTCTTAGGATAGCCCTAGAGAGCATTAAAATGAGAGTTTATTAAGAGCCTTTGTGATAGGAGGTGGCTTGATAAAAAAAAATAAAGATTGAACATTAGAACGGAGGCCAATTAGCAGGTCTGTCACCAGCTAGCTGCAAAAACTTGAGCAAACCACTTAATTCTCTGGTCTGCAGTTTTCTCATGTTAAATGAGTTGACTGGAATAAATAATTTCTGTAATCCCTTCAAGTCCAAAAACTCTACATAGAAAAGAGAAGGGACACTATTTCATTAATGTTCCTTTTTCTCTATCAAGTATATAAAGAAACCCATATCACATTACAGCATGATCTCTCTCAAACTCGATTTCCAGAAAGGTGGTAGTAGGCCCTTACAGGGTTAATTTGCTTAGATTTTGGTTTGGATTCCTCCAGCACATTGTGTCCAGCCTTAATATTTTACACTATAAGCCATATCATCTTTTATCTTTTATTTATAGTGATCTTCATATTAATTTCTCAATAGCAGGTGGTGCGGCAGGAGGGACAAGTCATTGATCTTCCAATTTATCCGCTACTCTTACATATCCTGAGGTCGAGGCAGCCTGGAGAGATTGATGGAGTGCTGGCGCCTGCCCAGCAGCCGTGTGTTCCTCATGCATGAAAATCAACCACAGGAAACCGAAATTCGACAATTGGCAGCAATATCAGCCACCTCTGTAATAAATATAACAGGGCGTTCTTTAATAATTGAATGGGGTGTCTGGGATTCGGTAATGAAAAAGCTCCTGTATGAGAGTGCCAGTGGAGCTCTGGACTGGCTGGAGGTGGTATATGTTGGGATGTGGGTGGAAGAGGGAGAGGCTGTTGCTGATGTTAGCTTCTCACACAGCAAAATTCTTATTTCTTGATTCTCAAGCAAGTCATGATACAGAGTAAGCAACACTTCCTTCACTTTCTGTAAAGCCAAATGCTTTCTGTGAAATTTTTTTTTTGAGTTTTGCAAGAAAAACAACGGATCCTCAGATTATGTTATTGCACAACAATATAAAAGAAAATGTTCCTTTAGGCTACATTAGTCACAGATACCAGGTGAACAGTTGTGCCCAGAGCTTTGAATCACCTACATGTTCTCACAGGGACAAACCACTAATTGATTCTTAAAGGAAGGTCTTCACTCCTTGTCATGGCTGAGCAGTGGCCTTCAACAGGCCTAGCTGTGGTCTCAGGGGACTTGAGCCCCTGACAGCAGTTTAACCCTGAGCTAGATACCTCTTCCCCTGCCTGCTCCTCAGCTAACTGGTCTTGCTTGAATTCAGTTGTTATAGGCTTATTTGATCATCAGCCTTGTTTCTGTCTGGATTGAGACCCACCTGCTGAGGCTTGACTCTCTCTTTTACCCTCTGTGGCTGGGGAAACAAATGCTATGTGCAGAATCAGTTTTCCCTCTAGGCCACATATATGATGCTACAGTGTCAGGACAGCTATAGGTGTGGCTGATGTGGAACTACAAGGAAGCAAAGCTTCCCCATTACCAGCCTGTGGAAATATTCTCTCGCCTTGGTCATTACTCAGCATGCAAACTATAGAGACACATATATTATCTCTGCACTTCTTTTTATAATGGAGTCACTAATAATGCCCTTCAGGGATAAACTAGAATATCAAGCTGCTCAGAAATTTCAGGTACAGAATTCCAGAAAGCTGGTGTTAAGTTATTTACTTCTAACAAAAAATGTTAGCAGAGATTTTGAGTGTCCACGGGGTTTGAGCCATGTTATGATTCTCACAGATAAAGCCTCACAAAGGGTTCTAACCAGCATGTACTTCATCTTCCTCTAACGAACAGTCAATCCCTTTGAGTTTTGAAACCACAATAAATATATCAAATGACTTAATCTCTTACAATACTGTAGTCTGATATAAATAGAGAATCTAAATGTATAATTTCTCCAGCAGGAATACACAATTTATGCATTTTAAAAATTTTGTTTCTTTGTCCATTTGAAATATTTTCCTCTTTCATTCTCTAATGAGGCTTTATTCCATAGTTATTTCTGGGTATTAATAAATATTCAACTGGAAGCTGCCCTCAAAACAGAAAATAGATATATAAACTATTGTGCAACATGGATCAGACTCACTGACAATGATGAGAATTTACTGGATAGTAGCTCATCCAGTGTTATTATTCACAATGTGGTAGAAATAGGAATAAAAACAATAGTAATAAATAGTAGTACTGATGCTGTGTATTCATATAGCACATGACAATTTTCAAGATGTTTAAGTTTTATACTGAAAGGAAGGCACCAGGTTCAAGAGGCGGAGGAGGAGACCCAGAGCCAGCAACCAAGACACAGAATTTTATCAGGGGTTTACATACAGGGAGAGAGTCCAGAGGTGTGAGCTGGACAAGATAACTGCACAGCCCAGTGACAGCAAGCTGGGCAGAAAAACCGCAACTGCTAGCAAACAGCATGCAGTTTTTATAGCATTTTCAGTTAACATCCTCCCCTTAATGACCTCCACCTGGCAACCTTCATTTAACCCAAAACACACTCTCATGTACAGCGTGTGTTCATGGGACTGGACAGGATAGGACAGGACAGGAGCTTAGACATTCCTCATAGGAAAGGAACATATCTCTGGATTGGCCTCTCCGGATTGGCCAATCTCAAATTCCCTAGCTCAGAATACACATTCAGGTGCATCTGCCAAGCAGGGTCATTCTAAGGCTATGCTTAATTTATCGCTATCAGGTGCATTTACCCTACAGTAAATGCATTGTTTCATTTGACTTTCAAAACAATCCTATGTAGTAGGCAGGCCTGATATCCTTATCTCATTTTATAAATGAGAAAACTAAATTCCAGAAACATGTAGTGATTCACACAGCTAAGAAGACAGAGAATCAGGTTCTCTAACTGCTACTCTAAGCTCCTCCCTATGCACTGGTGAAAACGATTATAAACAACACTAATAAAGAAGCCAAGAACAACAGATTCCCAGGACTCTCATGGTAAGCTATTTGCAGGTAAGCTATTGTTGCATGAGGATTATTACAGACGAAACAGTAATTTTAAGGCCTAGTAAAACGTGTCAATGGCAGGGGCAGGGGACTGAGTGTAAGTAATTTCAAAAATTGAATCTGTAAGATATCATGCAATTTGGCATTTGCCTAAAAATAATTCAAATTTAAGTAAAAGCCTCATATTCCTTGAGCCAGTTTGAAAACATATTCTGTAAAGAAGTGTCCAGCAGTTCCTTACCCATATTTTAAAGCCTTAGCTGCAGGTTTCATGTCAACTATTTATTTGCCTGTCCCCATTTAATATTATTTTCTAGGAGATGACACCACTACTATATATGCTTACTTTACAAGAGTCCTGGAAGATTTGGGGCCTATCCACAGGCAAATCACTTAACACATGAATGAGGAATCGTGTGGTGTGAATGGTCGGAATAACTGATATCTGACACTGAACATTAAGACATGCTTCAGTGAGGAGCATAGTACTTTGCAGCCACAACACTCCCTGCCACCCCATCGCTCACTGGGAATCTATGCATCTCTTTCTCAGGTGCCTGCTCAACACTGGCTTCATGCAGTAGAGTTTGGAGGCTCTCAGGCAGGTGGGGTCAACCTGGTGTTGGGCCTCTAAGTACCTTCACTACATTGACTAGAATCAGGATTATCAGGTGAATGATTTAGGCAGCCAGCCATCCTACTCAGTGAAAGTTAATCATGTTAGCAAATCTTTGAAGAGTCACCAATAAAAATATGTAAAATGATTGGATGCAAGTGTCTAACTAGCCGAAGCTTATTGTACACATAATTGCCCTTAGTTTAATTATATGCACTTCCTTAAGATGCAGTCTGATATTACCAAATGAACATATCTTAAATATGGAAAGTGAATCCAGTGTTATTGTGGAATCAAAAAAGAGGAAAGGGGTAATCTCCAAGTTCTAATGACTAAAAATAAGCTTGATTTGTCTTACAGTTGGTCAGGTATTCCCCAAAGAAGGAAAAAAAAAAAAAGTGAAATGAGGAATGCTAAACCAGAACAGCAAGAAAGAGTATTTGCCACCACTAAGAATATTAATAAAAACTGGCATCACTGGTTATTTAGGAATTCAGTCTGTTTTATTTGCTTTATCTGCAAAGCTAACTAACATATATCCCAGAATTGCAGAGAAACATGCCTGTCAAACCTTTGCAACAGCTTGGGACTCTGTTATATAAACTTTGGGAGACTATTAAACTTGAAATAGAAAGCCCTTTCAAAACAGATGTTCTTATCTGTTTTGGCATATTCGTCCCCTGTAGGAGCACTGTGATTCAAAGAAGATTAAATAACAATAATTTATTTTAAAAGCAATTGAGAAAACATTCCACTTCAAAAGGCTTAAATCTGGAAGCACTTCAAATATGAGGTTTAGGATTACCAGTATGGTTTCCTAATCTCCTAATTATTTGAGAATGAAGGCACTTTTACATTTCTCTTTTTGGAATAACTGGAAATATCAATTAAACATAACAAATTAAGAAAATGTCTCTTGAGAAATAAAAATATGAGAGCACATTATACCTGTTGCCCTTCTGCTAGTGGTTAATAATTCATCTTCACTCAATCCAGTGAAGTGCCACATGTCCAAGAAATTTGGGGGCAATCATTTAGGGCTCATTTAAGCACTTTATATCCTACAATCACTAGAAATGCATTTATCTGTGAAAATGATGATTTATGTGTATAAACCATGTTTACTAAAGTAATACCAACAAAATTCTCTCCATTTCCATGGGAACTTCTGGTTTTCTTGCTCCTCTTCTCCAGGTATGGTTGCACAGTCTCCATATGCACAAAGCTATAAGACATCTCACCAGTCATCAGCAGGTACAGTCAAATCATTTACCATCATATGCCACCACTGCCACTGGGTATCACTGCTCCTAGAGACATGCACTAGAGCACGGGTGTTCAATCTTTTGGCTTCCCTGGGCCACACTATAAGAAGAATTGTCTTGGGCTGCACATAAAATACACTAACACCAATGATAGCTGATGAGCTTAAAAAAAAAAATTGTGAAAAAAATCCAAAATGTTTTAAGAAAGTTTACAAATTTGTATTAAGCCACATTCAAAATCATCCTGGGCCACATGTGGCCCATGGGCTGTGAGGTGGACAAGCTTGCACTAGAGCCTTTAATGGGCCACAGTAGAGCTATGATCTTCAAGTGCTCAATGAAATGAAGCTGTAAGATGTACTGAGTAGATGTAGAATGCATTTAATTTTCCCATTTTTGGGTGACATGTTGTTAGAGGGTCATAAAAAACTGTTGCTGAGATACCATTAATGAATATTGCTTTATTCCACTTTATTAACAGCCCCATCTCTCAGAAGAATCTGGGTATATATTTGTAGCGAAATAAAGTACAGGAAAATTCAACTAACGGACACCATACTGGACTTGACTTTTCTACTCTCAACTGGTATGTTTTTGTTGAAACACACTTCTATGCCCAACTTAAAAATATACATTTTATTAAAATATAATTGACATACAATAAATCACACACATTTAAAGTCTACAATTTGATAACTTTTGACATATGTATATACCCATGAAACCATTAACACAATCAAGAAAATGTACAATCTGTCACCCACAAAAGTTTTCTTATGCCCTTCATAGGTCTTCTCTTGTACTTTTCCCCATTCTGTCCCTCCACATACCAAGGTCAGGGCTGATCTTTCCATCACTATGGACGTGTTGTCCTTTCCCAGAAATGTATATAAATACATTCATACAGTACAGACTCTGTCTGGCTATTTTCACAAAGCATAATTATTTTGAGAATAATGTATATTTTTTTTGTGCATCAATAGTCTATTCCTTTTTGTTGTTCAGTAGTATTCCATTGTATGGGTCCACCACAATTTGCTTGATTTTCCTGTTGATGAATGTTTGGGTTATAGTTTTCAGCGATTAAAAACAAAGCTGCTATGCACATTCATGTACAAGGCTTTGTATAAACATAAAAGGAATAATAGAAAGGCGAGATCATATGATAGATATATATTCAACTTTTAAATAAACTGCCAAACTGTTTTCTGAAGTGATTGTACCACTAGCAGTGTAGAAGAGTTCCAGTTACTGTTCTTCCTTACCAATACTTGGTACAGCCAGACTTTTTAAGTGTAGCTCTTCAATGCGTATATGGTGGTATCTCCTTATGGTTTTCATCTTCATTTAATTAATGATTATGATGAGCAAATTTTCATGTGCTTATCTGCCATTTACATGTCTTTCCTGGGAAAGTCTCTTCAAATTTTTTTCCTACTTTTTTTTTTAATTTTTACATTATTGAGTTTTGAGAGGTCTTTATATGGTATAGATAAAATTTTTTTCAGATATATGATTTGCAAATATTTTCTCCCAATCTGTGCCTTGTTTTTTCATTCTTTCACTAATGTCTTTCAAAGAGCAGTCATTTAAAAATTTTTTATGAAATCTAACATTTTTTTTTCCTTTATAGATCTTGTTTTTGGTGTTGCCTCTTGGAAATATTTGGCTAACTCAAGATCACAAAGAGTTTCTATACGTGTTCATCTAGAAATTTTATAGATTTGGCCAGGCATGGTGGCTCATGACTGTAATCCCAGCACTTGTGGAGGCCGAGGCAGGCAGATCACTTGAGGCCAGGAGTTCAAGGCCAGCCTGGCCAACATGATGAAACCCCATCTCTACTAAAAATACACACACACAAAAATTAGCCAGATGTGGTAGCACACACCTGTAGTCGCAGCTACTTGGGAAGCTGAGGCAGAAGAATTGCTTGAACCTAGGAGGCAAAGGTTTCAGTGAGCTAAGATCATGTCACTGGACTCCAGCCTAGATGATAGAGCAAGACTCTGTCTGAAAAACAACAACAACAACAAAAAACAGATTTTATAGATTTATGTTTTACATTTTGGTCTTTGATCTATTTTGAGTTAAGCTTTATATAGTAACAGGTAGTGATCAAAATTCATTCTTTTTTTTGCAATGGCTATTTATGCACTTTATCCATACACTACATGTGTCCAGCAAGATTTGTCAAAAGACTACTTTTACTCTACTGAATTGTTTTTGTACCTTTGGTGAAAGTCAGTTGTTCCTATACGTGTGGGTGTTGTGGGAAGTCAGGGACCCCAAACGGAAGAACCGGCTGAAGCCATGACAGAAGAACGTGGATTATGAAGATTTTATGGACATTTATTCGTTCCCCAAATTAATACTTTTGTAATTTCTTATGCCTGTCTTTACTGCAATCTCTAAACATAAATTGTAAAGATTTCATGGACACTTATCACTTCCCCAATCAATACCCTTGTGATTTCCTATGCCTGTCTTTACTTTAATCTCTTAATCCTGTCAGCCGAGAAGGATGACAGGGTCATCTTCGGACCCTGTAATAATTGTGTTAAGTACACAAATTGTACAGCATGTGTGTTTGAGCAATATGAAATGTGGGCACCCTGAAAAAAGAACAGGATAACAGCAATTGTTCAGGGAATAAGAGAGATAACCTTAAACTCTGACCGCTGGTGAGCTGGGCAGAACAGAGCCATATTTCTCTTCTTTCAAAAGTAAATGGGAGAAATATCGCTGAATTGTTTTTCTCAGCATGGAACGTCCCTGAGAAAGAGAATGCGCACCTAGGGGTAGGTCTCTGAACTGGCCCCCCCGGGGCGTACCTGTCTCTTATGGTCGAGATTGCAGAGGTGAAATAAACTCCAGTCTCCCATAGCGCTCCCAGGCTTATTAGGAAGAGGAAATTCCCGCCTAATAAATTTTGGTCAGACCGGTTGATCTCAAAACCCTGTCTCCTGATAAGATGTTATCAATGACAATGGTGCCCAAAACTTCATTAGCAATTTTAATTTCGCTTCGGTCCTGTGGTCCTGTGATCTCGCCCTGCCTCCACTTGCCTTGTGATATTCTATCACCCTGTTAAGTACTTGATGTCTGTCACCCACACCTATTCGTATACTCCCTCCCCTTTTGAAACTCCCTAAAAAAACTTGCTGGTTTTTGTGGTTTGTGGGGCATCACAGATCCTACCAACGTGTGATGTCTCCCCCGGATGCCCAGCTTTAAAATTTCTCTCTTTTGTACTCTGGCCTTTTATTTCTGAAGCCAGCCGACGCTTAGGAAAATAGAAAAGAACCTACGTGATTATTGGGGCAGGTCCCCCATATGTGGGTCTATTTATAGGATCTCTATTCTGTTACATTGATCGATTGTGTCCAACTGTGTTATAATAAATTATTTCCCTGATTGATTTCCAGTTGTCCATGTAAATAGACTCCCAGTAATATGACCTCCCTATTTTATCGCGCATACCAAAAGGCATATTTGAAATTCATTTTATAGCTAATGGCACTTGGGCTCAAACTAGGATAACTTCCAAAAAGCATGTTAAAAATATTGAAGTGTAAAAGCTATATATTTTATAGCCTTTCAAGCTCAACCAAATTCATGTTAATCTGTCACCAAAAAACTGTTTGGCATATGTGTGGGCATGTAGAGTGTAGCAAGTATGTAGGTGGGAGGAGTGGGAGGTTATCCTAAAAGATCACTATAGGGCAATGAAAAAAATAGAGAAAACAGATAGGAATACTCAAATACCAAATGTTAAAATAAAATATTTCTCCAAGTGTCTCAAAATGACTTTGTATTATGAGATTATCAACCAAATCATAAAATAGAAAAATTTAAAGAATATTTCCAGATGCTCTTATTTGCCAAATACACTGAGATACTAGGTATAATACAGAAGTTTCCAGAACCAACGTGTCTTATTTTTCATCTCTATAGGGTGATTTGTTATATTTTATTCACTGTCTTGTACATGTAGGTGTGAATAGGATGAAATTTTTCTAAAAAAGAGAAATGAACAAAGAATATATGTTGTCAACTTGTCTAAAACATTTTTCATGTTCTGACTCATTTTTCTTTGTGTTAGCATTTCAAGAGATTTTTAAAATTTGAATATAATAAAAACCTTAATAACTTGAATAAAATCCAATAAAAATAATATAAACAACTCTAATGGAAAGTGAAAAGATGATAATAGCAATCAGCACTGCGATGTTTCTCATCAATATTCTTTATAATATATAATAGTCATAAATCCAGCATTAATTTGACTTTTTGACTTTTAGTCTTTATTTGGTGAAAGTTCTTTTGATCAGCAATTTCTTTTGGTCATTATTTCTCTGCACTTTAAAACAATTAATGACCATTGATGGAACTATCTTAGAGTATATTGCATTGAGAGGAAAGGTATGCTAACTATTTATAGATCTTTAGGTTCAGGGAATATAAGGGCTTTATGTTTGAATGTTGTGGAATTTATCCTCCTTTCCCAGAGAGAAATGAGAACATGCATGTACTTATGTTATTTAAAATTATATTGACAGGACAGGCACGGTGGCTCACGCCTGTAATCCAAGCATTTTGGGAGGCCGAGGCAGGTGGATCATGAGGTCAGGAGTTTGAGACCAGCCTGGCCAATATGGTGAAACCCCATCTCTACTAAAAATACAAAAATTAGCTGGGTGTGGTAGCACTTGCCTGTAGTCCCACTACTCGGGAGGCGGAGACAGAAAAATCACTTGAACCAGGGAGGCGGAGGTCGCTGTGAGCCGAGATTGCGCCACTGCACTCCAGCCTGGGTGACAGAGCGAAACTCCGTGTCAAAAAAAAAAAAAAATCGACAAATGTTCATAGAAGGCATCTTCTATTCTGGGTATAGTTAGGTATTAAGAGAAAAACAACTATAAAACCTGACTACAAGAAGTTTATAATTTAGTTGGGGCAGGGCATTCAATGGCTCAAGGAGGATGAGACTGATGCAGCCACCTGCATTAGTCTAAACTTTGTTTTAGAACAGACTAGATTACTCCTCTATTAAAATCCTTAATTGCAGCATCTAAAACCCTTAACTGTAGTAAATCTAAGGCTCAAAATCCCCTGTAGAAAATTTTTCAGAGGAGCTAAGGGTCAACCAGTCATCTATGACTAAGTGAAGGTGTTGACAGCTCCAAGAAGCCACATTCTCCATCATATTCTTTCTTACTCATGTTGTTTTCCAGTATTAGCCAACCACTTATTCTGAAATTGACGACAGAAAGGGGAAGAGACAGCAACCCATCGTTGCTTTTCCTTTTAGTCCTTCTTTACTCATCAGTAAGCTGAGGTAGACAGTTTTGGTAGAATGTGTAGATATCAAGAAACAAGATGAAAACAGTTGAGTTAGTTTGTAGAGCATTTTCACTGCTTGGTTAAAAATAAAAGAAACTTGTATACATATACAAGCAACAAAATAGGGATCCTGTGATTTCTTGGTAATTTTGCACATCAGATAACTATTCTTATATTTACATGTAAAACTAGCATTGCTTGATATAAAGAGGAATGGTAAAATCCGCACTAATAATTTTAAATTTTAATTTGTATTTACTTAGAAACATATTAAATACCAAATAAAAAAGCCCATGGAAGTTAGAAGACCACAGAAGAAAGGAAAAAGCTTTATTTATTTATTATATTTAATTTATTTATTTATTTATTTATTTATTTATTTATTTATTTATTTTAGAGACAGCTTATCGCTCTGTCAACCAGGCTGGAGTGCAGTGGCATGATCATGGCTCACTGCAGTCTCAAATTCCTGGGCTCAAGCAATTCCCTCTCATCAGACTCCTGAGTAGCTAGGACTGCAGGCACATGCCATGACATCTGGCTAATTTTTTTAAAGGCTTTTTAGATATGGAGTCTCACTATGTCACCCAGGCTGGTCTAGAACTCCTGGGTTCAAGCAATCCTCCTGCCTTAGCTTTCCAAGTACCTGAGATTACAGGTGCAAGCCACTATGCCTGGCCCTTTATCTTTTAATGCTATATTACCTTTCTAGGTCTGCCATAGCAAAACTCAGTTGCCTTTCTATATCTGTGGGAAATTGGTTCCAGCACCCCTACAAATACCAAAATGCAGGGATACTCAAGTCTCTTGTATAAGTGGCATAGTATCTATGTAACCAACACACATTTTCCCTTATACTTTAACTCATCTCAATTAATTGTAATACCTAATACAATGTAAATGTAATGTAAATAGCTGTTATACTGTATTGTTTTCTGATTTGAATTATTTTTTATTGTTGTATTGTTATTTTAGATTTGATGTTGGTTGAATCCCCAGATGCAGAATCTGCGGATACAGAGGGGTGATCGTACCACATACTGTGTGACTTAAAACAACAGAAAATTATTATTTTAAAGCTCTGGAGGTGAGAAGTCTAAAAACCAAGGTATTGGCAGGGTCATGTTCTCTTCAAAGTCTCTAAGGAATAATCGTCCCTTGCCTGTTTTACTTTCTGGTGGTTGTCAACAATCCCTGCCCTTCCTTGGTAGCCTATCTGTGTTACTTCAGTCTCTGCCTTCATCACCACATGACCATCTTCTCTCTCTGTTTGTTTGTGTGTTTCTAAATATTTTTTCTTATAAGAATACTGGTCATTGGCTTTGAAGTACCCTAATCCAGTATGACCTCATCGTAAGCTGATTACATCTGAAAAAAATACCCTCTCTATTTCCAAATAAAGTTACACTCCAGTTCCAGGTGAATATGAATTTGGGGGGACACTATTCCACCCAGGAAAAATACCTTTTACAGTACTTTTTCCTTGCCTTTTGTACAAGGTACCTGCATTTTCATTTTTCACTAGGCCCCAAACATTATAACTAGCCCTGCTGTCACCTTATCGATAAAGCTCATGTTGGAAACATGGTTTAATGAGCCAGCCAAATGAATCGGCTAACTGAACTCCAGAATTGTACCGACTTTCCCATTCTTGCAGCTAGTTGGTTCTAGGCAAGCCCATGTGAGAGAAGCATGCCTATATAAGACTTATGTCTATGTGGCATGACAGATAAATGCTTATGGCATTTGTGTCTATGGGCAGGCTGCCTCCCAAGATTAAGAAAAGAAAGGGCTAAACAAAGCATGGCCAGTTATTCTTTCCAAGTATCCAGTTAGACAGGGCATTTCACCAACCACCAGTGGTCAGAAGTATACTAATCAAATTCCCTTCTCATGGAAACAACATTAGGAATAAAAATAAAAAGTTGTCACTAATTCTCTACTGCTCTTAATTCTTTTAATCCATTGAACTATGCCTTTAAGCTCATAGTCAATAGAGCATGGCTAACCCCTTCAGAAGAAAGGATCAGAGGTTCATCAGAATATCCCTGCTCCCATTTTCATGAGGCTACTCATGTGAGTAACTCCCTGGGACTTCTGGTAGGCAACCTAGATTTTTGTCCCAGAAGTCTCTGAAATGGGTGAAAAAAATGCATTAATTAAATCAACTCCAAGGCTATTAATATCCAATGATTAAAATCAACTTTCTATTCTATCACCCATCCTAACATACATCTAGCTACAGAAATATGACAAAGAGGTTAAATGACAAATTAAGATGAAATATATATAAAGTTATTTAAATAATGTTATTTAAGGGTGATATCGATGTCCATATTTAAAAGTAAGCCCTTCCCATTATCAAACTCTTCAGGGAGAAATTAAAGGGCATATATTAAACCATCTTACAAATTAAGGTCCTAAAGTGTTAAAGTCCAAGTCTGAAATCAAATTTCCTTGTCATTGTGGGTTAAAAGTCAAAAATTTGAAAGGTCCATAAATAAGCCTCCCAAGTGTCTTATTTGGTTCATTCTCAGTGGCAGGGTTGTCTGTACCTCAGTGGGACTGAGGTCTCCTTTAATACTTGCTACTTGGCTGTCTCTCACTGATGTGAGTGTAGGTCTTCCAGGGCCTCAGATGTCTTATCAGTTTAATGCAAGTCTCTCATAAATCATGTTTTTAAAGAGTCCAAATAGTTAATAATATTTAACAGCATTAGCCCCAGTACCAAGAAATTTAGAAAGTGAGCCAACTCCCAGCCCTTGGAGCAATTAAACTAGGCAAGATTTTGTTCCAAGAATCCAGTATAGAATGTGGTCAAAGAACGTAGCAGGAACTCAATGGCATTTGAGAGAAAGATAAAGTCCGTTTGGTTTTGGCCTCACTAGGAGGTCCATCAGTTTATGTCACTTACTTGAAATTTTTGACCTGTGAACTTAGAAGTTGGAAGATTCTTTGAGCATGAGGTTAATTTAACACCATGAATTTGTCTTTCAGTCTTCAATTATACTTCCTTTTTGATCACTCTCTTGCTTACACTTTAGTACTGAACTGATTATGGGTTCTACCTAATAATATTGCATCTGCAGCCTCTGGTGTGTCAAGTTTATAGTCCTATGCCAAAATAGATGTTTTCACTGCCTCCTGCTATTGACTCATATGGAACAAATAAAGCTGCTTTTTAGAGAACATTTTTCTCTCATGTAATGAACAGGTTCAAGATTAGCTTGAGTCTACTTGGTAAAGGGAGTCACTCAAGCCTACAGCAAGCCACACGTGTCAATGCCAACAAGTCCTGATTTCCCTACAACTGAGTCTGTCTCTCAGTCAAGCCTTCTTAGGAAAAGCTTTGCCTGAAAAGTAAGCTAAGGCAGGCAGCTGCCCAAGATTTTCTTGCCCAACAGACTCTTAAACCCCTAAAGCCCAGTGCCAAGTCTCTGTGTAATAAGGATCCTCCTGGTCTCTTCTTCATTCTGCTTCACTCATTCTCTCAGCTACCTGCACTTCTTCAGAAACAGCCACTCTCCTATGCTGTAGACTGCAGTCATCAGCCAAAATCAAAGTTATCTTATGGCTGGTGAAATGAGTTGAATGGTGGTCCACCAAGAATATGTCCATGTCCTAATTCCTAGAACCTGTGAATGTGACTTCATTTGGAAAAAAAAAAAATGTTTTCATAGATACAATTGAGGATCTTGAGATGAGTTTTCCATCCTGTATTATCTGGAAGGGCCCTACATGACAAATGTCCTTATAAGAGACGCAGAGAAGAAAATTTGAGATAGACTGAGAGAAGAAGTTATGAACATACAAAGGGAAAGGTGATATGAAGACAGAGGTGGAAGTAATGTGGCAACAAGCCAAGGACACCACAACTACCAGAAGCTAAAAGAGGCAAGGAATGGATTCTCTCCTACAGCATCTGTAGAGAATATGGCCCCGCTGACACTTTGATTTCCGTCTTTGGGCCTTCAGAACAGTAAGATAACAAATTTCGGTTGTTTTATGTCATGAAGTTTGTGGTAATTTGCTACAACCTGCACAGGAAACGAATACAGCAAGTATTAAACCTTTCCCCAGGCTTCATCAGTTTATTGCACAAACCTGCCTGGCCTAATCTATTTTCAAACCATCAAGGTCAAAACACTCCATCACACTTTAAAGACCAAGGCACAAAACAAATTTCCATGGCAGTATCTAAACACTTTTCACATGGACAGTTGATTCTTGAAAATTATGTAAGAGCACCATGCTATTTTGGTTATTGTAGCCTTGTAGTATAGTTTGAAGTCAGGGTTGTGTGACGCCTCCAGCTTTGTTCTTTTTGCTTAGGATTACCTTGGTTATTCAAGCTCTTTTTTGGTTCTACATGAATTTTAAAATAGTTTTTCCTAGTTCTGTGAAGAATCTCAATGATAGTTTAATAGTAATAGCATTGAATCTATGAATTGCTTTGGGCGTATGGCCATTGTAAGGATATTGATTCTTCCTATCTATGAGCATGGAACGTTTTTCCACTTGCTTGTGTCATCTCTGATTTCTTTGAACAGTGGTTTGTAGTTTTCCTTGTAGAGATCTTTCACCTCCCTAGTTAGCTGTATTCCTAGGTATTTTATTCTTGTTGGGGCAACTGTTAATGGAAATTCATTCCCGATTGGGCTCTCGGCTTGACTGTTATTGGTGTATAGGAATGCTAGTCATTTTTGCACATGATTTTGTATCCTGAGACTTTGCGAAGTTGTTTATTAGCTGAAGGAGCTTTTGGGTTGAGACTATGGAGTTTTGTAGATATGGGATCATGTTTTCTGCAAACAGGGATAGTCTGACTTCCTCTCTTCCTATTTGGATGCCTTTATTTCTATCTCTTGCCTGATTGCTCTGACTAGGACTTCTAATACTATTTTGAAGAGAAGTGGTGAGAGAGGGCATCCTTATCTTGTGCCAGTTTTCAAGGGGAATGCTTCCAGCTTTTGCCCCTTCAGTATGATGTTGGCTGTGGGTTTGTCATAGATGGCTCTTATTACTTTAAGGTATGTAACTTCAATACCTAGTTTATTGAGAGTTTTTAACGTGAATGTTGAATTTTATTGAAAGCTTTTTCTGCTTCTATTGAGATAATCATGTGGTTTTTGTCTTTAGTTATGGGTGTATGTGATGAATCATGTTTATCGATTTGTGTATGTAGAACCAACCTTGCATCCCAGAGATAAAGCCTACTTGATCATGGTGGATAAAGCTTTTTGATGTGCTGCTGGATTCAGTTTGCCAATATTTTATTAAGGATTTTTGCATCAATGTTCTTCAAGGATATTGGCCTGAAGTTTTATTTTTTGTGTTATACCTCTGCCAGTTTTTGATATCAGCATGATGAAGACCTCATAGAATAAGAGAGGAAGGAGTCCCTCTGCTACAACTTTTTTGAACAAAAACAAACAATGGAAAAAGGACTGCCCATACAATAAATGGTGCTAGGATAACTGGCTAGCCATATGAAGAAGATTGAAACTTGACCCCTTCCTTACACCATATACAAAAATTAACTCAAGATGGATTAAAGATGTAAATGTAAAGCCCAAAACTATAAAAACCCTATAAAACAACCTAGACAATACCATTCAGGATATAGGGACGAGCAAAGATTTCATGACAAAGATTCCAAAAACAATGGCAACAAAAGCAAAAATTGACAAATGGGATCTAATTAAACTAAAGAGCTTCTGCCCAGCATAAGAAACGATCAGCAGAATAAGCAGACAACCTACAGAATGGGAGGAAACTTTTGCAAACTATGCATCCAACAAAGGTCTAATATCCAGCATCTATAATGAAGTGAAAGTTACAAGAAAAAAAAAAACTAAAAAGTGGGCAAAGGATATGAACAGATACTTTTCAAAAGAAGACATATGTGCAGCCAACAAGCATATGAAAGAAAGCTCAACATCACTGATCATTAGAGAAGTGCAAATCAAAACCACAATGAGATACCAGCTCACACCAGTCAGAATGCATAGTATTAAACAGTCAAACAACAACAACAATGACAAAAACCAAACAGATGGTGATGAGGTTGTGGAGAGAAAGGAATGCTTATACACTGTTAGTGGGAGTGTAAATTAGTTCAACCGTTGTTGAAGACAGTGTGGTGATTCCTCAAAGACCTAAAGACAGAAATATCATTCGACCCAGCAATCCCATCACTAGGTATATACCCAAAGGAATATAAATTGTTCTGTTATAAAGACACATGTACGTGTATGTTCATTGCAGCACTATTCACAATAGCAAAGTAATGAAATCAACCTAGGTGTTGATGAATGGTGAACTGGATAATGAAAATACATTACATATACACCATGGAATACTACAAAGCCATAAAAAAGAACAAAATCTTGTCCTTTGCAGCAACATGGGTGCAGCTGGATGTCATAATCTTAAGCAAATTAACACAGGAACAGTAAACCAAATACTGCATATTCTCACTTTTAAGTGGGAGCCAAACATCGGGTACTCATGGATATAAAGATGGCAGCAGATAGACACTGGAGACTCCTAGAAGGGAGAGGGAGGGGGGAGGGTTGAAAATCTAACTCTTGGGTACCATGATCAGTACTTTGGTGATGGGGTCATTTGTGCCCTAAGCTTCAACATCTCACAATACACCCAGATGACAAACCTGCATTTGTACCTCCTGAATCTAAAATTAAAATTGGAAGAAAAAAAACTGAAGTTCTTCCTTTGTTTTATACTCCTTCATTTTACACCAGAGGCTGCAGTTCTCAAACTATTCACTGGAATAAAGTCTCTTTCCTTCAAATTCCTTTTTCAGATTACTTTTGTTCTCAGGAGAGTAATGCGTAGTGACTGAAGGCAAGGAGACAAAAGGGATTTTAGGGAAAAAAAGTTCATTTAATGCACTCTGTGGATCAGTAGAGTCCAGAGGACTCTATGTTCCCATATTAACTTTCTATAACTTAGAATACATTTTCCGTGATCAAGACAAGAAAAGAGAGAGTGAGAGTGTTCAAACTCAGGTTGCCAGCTATGGTTTATTGTCATTATCATAGTGTCATCCAAAGCTGGCCACAGGTTCATTTGATGTGACTGGAGATGGGTGCTTTAAAAATTGTCAAATTAAAGGTAATCTCACTTGGCAACTATAAATTGCTGTTATTATTAAAATATTTCTATTAATTATTAATTTTTTTAGAAAATATATCACTGACAAATTTTATCTCAACATGTTTGCTTCTGCAAACTCAATGATCTCAGAATAACAACTTGCCATCTATCTAATGCTATTTAACCTCACAAGGACAAGTAAGAGAATATTCTATATCTCAAAAAATATATGTTGTGCCTCTACTCACTGGACAAGAAAAATAAAGAGGTAATTTTTTTGTAGAATATCTTTGCCCAAATTTATTTGTATTGTCCTGAAGCCCCAATATGCATTATATGTTTGATGAATTTTTCCTCTTTGGGAAAAAATGGAAATAACATGACTGTCATTTATAGTTTTCAAATGAGTCTGACTTATAATCATCATTTTTTCAGAGTTCCTGTGAAATCTTTGTCCAAAATTTGTACGAGCTTGTAATTTTTGTTCGAACAAAGGAAATCAATTGATTTGAACTCTCCCCAAATGATTACAAGAAATTATGGTTAAATGCCATATCTGTAAATGATTTCTGCCCTGGAAATGTTAGAAAGGGCTTATAGTATTTCTCCTTTTTTTTTTTCAAACAGAATTCGGATCTTAGCAAAGCTTTTTGTGCTCCACTGACCTTAGCCTTTTTTGGGGATGTAATTCCAAATTTGCTCTGACATGCTATAAAAGGAATCTTATGAGCAGAGGGCTAAAACCAATTTTGTAGTATGTTAGTTATGTCCGATGTTATTTTAAGTAAATATTTTAAAATGAAAAAATATATAAAAATAGTTTTACAGATCATTGTTCTTGGTTCTGAAACTTCTGCATGTCATATGTCTGATATACGTCAGCCCCAAGAAAGAAAAACATGCCAACGAAATAAGCCTGAGAAACAAGGTTCAAACTAGAGAAGGTCGTGTAGGATTTTCCAAATCTTTCTTGTCATGCTGAACCTTCCAGATTCTAGGACAGTAACACACATTTCGTGTGTCCTGTCAATAAAAAGCATGTATCTTCTCTTGGTCATAAGAAGGTCTAGAGTGATATTTACGTGACAATAATGTGTGGTGAAGAGTGGGCCCAGCAGGCATGTTCACAATGATCAAATTGTATTGATCACATTTTAATCCAATACATTGTTCCAGTATTAACTGGCAAATAAATGATGTATTTGCTTTCTAGAGATATTCCAGGAAGGCCAGAGAAACTGGATTTCTTATCCATGTGGAATATCCACTGGTGAATTTCTTTCAGGGTAGACCAAAATGGATCTAGAATATAATCTTTACATATTAGATCCTTCACACAAGACCAAAAAGAACATCTGGGCTGCAAGTCTCCATTAGAAGAGAAATGTGACATGACACTGTGTGACAATTGATGGTCCCTGCCCTACATCTTCTTAGAGGACTGGAGCCCTGTGTGGGCCACAGACAACTTGCGAGTTAAGGTAAAGACCTCCTCCTAGGTGCGCATGTGTTTATTACACATATGCCACCGTGCTAAGTACCCTACGGGCTACAGGAAAGAATGAGAAAACACGATGTCTCCACGATAAGGAGGCACACAGGCCAGAGCGTGAGCTGTGGAATCAGCCTGAGTTTAAAGCCTGGCTGGGGCACTGCCACCTGAATCACCTGAGGAACGGTCACAGACTTAAATGTTGTTTTAGGGAATTTGTAAAAAGAAATTACAACACCCTGCCAGGAAGGGAGGTGGTAGGGACAGCATCCAGTCAGGTCAGGGCACCACGGCCTCTCCTTGGAAACCTGCGCAGGGGAGCTGGTGGCCCTAGCGGCCAGGGCGGCCATGGAGAAGGCAGGCCTGGCTCCAGGCAGCACAGAGAGACTGGAGAGGCCCCGTGGGGAGCCTGGCAGGATCTGGATGGCCCTGTGTTTGGCTTCCAGCAAGCTCTGCCCCTGTGACCCAGAGGACAGGGCCGGCCAAGACAGGGCCACTGAGTATCAAGCCAGCGCCCAGGCCAGGTGCCAGGCGAGAAGGGCTCTGGCAGATCAGGCCCCGCTTCCCCCAGAGTCCCCACAGAGGGGCCCACTCACCCTCTGCAGCAGCAGGACAACCCCGGGTCCCCGGGGCTAGAGAGTCTCGCTGGGCCCCGCAGGGGGCCTTGCCCTTTCTCGCTGATCTTGTTTAGGAGCCTTCGCTGGGCCCGCGCTCCCTGGCGTCCTCCTCTGTCAGGATCCGCATGGGGATGTCATGAGTCTCAGCTACCAGGGGATGCCCGGCCACCAAAGAGCGGATGACAGAGGAGCGTCACTTCCGCTTCTGTCCCTCTTCTCAGTATCACAGGCGCACAACTCACTGGAGACTGGCAATTTACTTCACATGTTTCTTCCCTGGTCTCGCTGCAGGCTCCCAGGCCAGGGCCCACCCCTCACCCTCAAGGCCTCCGCGCCTGCCCGGGACACCCAGGCCTTTTCTGATTCCTGTTCAACCCACGGCGGCCTCCTAGGCCCTCATCTCCAGGCAGCTTGTGTGGCACCCCTTGTCCTCTCCCACACTACAAGGGCGACCCTCTTGGGTTCCTGCAGGCTATGGCCTCCGAGCCGCCTGTTGGGAACTCCCGGAGGCTGCCGCACCCAGGGTCCCTGAGGACCCTCCTCCTGGCTGCAAGGTCGCCCACCCACTGCCTTCACCACTTGAGCAGGTCGCAGCCAGGCTTCTGAAGGAGACAGAGGGGAGGGCCAAAGAAGAGCCCAGAACAGTGACGCAGATGCATCACGGAGAGACCCAGGAGCAGGATGACAAGAAAAGGGCCCCTGTAGCCAGAAGGAAGTGTCATCCACATCCAGGGCCCTGGAGACCCAGGGAGGCCTCACCTCCTTTGGGTGCAGGCCCAGGCCTCTGCAGGGAAATGTCCACCCCTACTTGTCGGAAAAACTCTTTACAGAGAGAAGGCCCAGTCAGTGAGTAGCTCCTTCTGGGAGGGCCATGAGGCCCCCAGCTCATACAGCCCTGCTGGAGTGGCCTTCCCCTTGGGAAGGCTGACCCGGCTTCTGCAGTGGTCCCGGCCCCGGCCCCGGCCCCAGCCCCGGCTGCTCCCTGCTGCCAGAGAAGGCGGCCCGGAAGGTGCTGGATGAAGACCACCCGCCCAGCTCTCCAAGCTTGCTGATGTCCAGGAAGGAGATGCAGATGTCAGGAAAGAAGAAGCCTTCAGCTCTTCCAACATGGAGCTCTTCTCCCCCAAGAGCTGCCAGCAACAGGCGCTGTGAAAGGAAAATGTGGATTCCACCGCTGCTGCCGCTGGCCCCACGCTGCGATTGATGTGGGATAGAGGTGAGCTCTCTCCACTTGCTAAGCTTCTCTACCTGCCTATTGAGGGATACCTGGGGAACTTGGAGAAGAGCATGGGGTGTAAACAGAAGAGAAAACTTCTTCAAGGAGAAAATGGAGGCTTTGGAGGATAAAACGGAGGCCAAGGTAAACTGCAGCACCACTCATCCTGCCCTTGCTGTCTCCGCACCTGCAGAGACTTCAGACTCCCTGTCCCTGGCCACCTACACTTCGCAGGTCCCAGCTCCTCTGTTCGTCCTTGACTTGGCCGAGTTGGCTGCCAGACCCCCCTGCCTGTCTGTCCACCTGACCCCTCACCAAAAATATCCAAAATCCCTAACTCCCCACTGTCTTTTTTTTCCACTGACTTTGTCCCTATATTGGAGGTTCTACCTAATGAGAAAGGAGGTTCTTCTCATTCTGGAGTAGCTTCAGCACTTCTCACTTCTGACCCCCAACACTTTCTAGCCCCACACCTGTCTCCTTCCAGCCTCCTTTCAGAAGAGAGCCAGCCCTGTGTGCTTTCCCCTCCTCCTCTTTCCTCTCCCACCCTTCTTCCAGGACCTTCCACAGATCTCTGTTACCACCAGCAAGCAGATGAATTCCACAGCAGTCATTTCCACCATCACAGCAAACACATCTGCCCACCAGATCTTGGAGCCTCCTTAAGACCATCAGGCCATCAACAAGGACGCCACTTCCCCTCCTAAGGCTGTTACTTTCAGAACTTCCTCAACCTCCAGGATGAGAGCTCTCCCAATTTCTCAAGTAGATAGCCATGCACAGCAGGGGCTCCCTGGTAAGATTCAGTCTACATCCACCCAGCTACATTTATATTCCCCAGCCCCACCCCTCAGCCCAAATTTGGAGCCCCTGATTTGGCCAACCCAAACTGCAGCACCCCCCAGCCTGCCCCTGCTACCTCCCCACCTGCAGAGACTTCATACTCCCTGTGCCTGGCCACCTGCACTTCCCAGGTCCCAGCTCCTCCTCCCACCCCTGACTTGGGCATTGCCTCAGCCCACATCTCCACCAGTTTGCCTGCACAGCCAGTCACGAGACCAATGGCAACTTCTAACCACACTATAAATCTGGGAGCCACTGCTCCACTCACATTCGGGGTCCCCAGCAGGAAGCAGGAAAAGCCTGTGTCCCTAATACCCCTGTTATTCTGAGCCATCCCATTATGATGCCTCCAGACACCTCCACTTTAGGGAGCAGCACCTCTGCAACATCATCATCTTTTCCTACCATTGATAGCAGTGCTGTGGATACTACCCTTATTCAAAAGCTGTCATCTCCCAGTCTGCCACTATCTCATGGAAGAAGTGCACTGTGCCTTACCTGGGGCTCCTTGGTTCTGGGTATTCACAACCAACCCAGTGGCAACATTACTTCAGCCCATGTCTCCACCAGTTTGCCTGCAGTCAGTCACGGGATCGATGGCAACTTCTCCACATGCTGTAAGTCCAGGAGCCACCTCCCAGCTCATATCTGGGGCTTCTCATGGGCAGGATAAGTCAGACGATTCTCTCATTCTGGGAAACCCAGCAACCCCAGCACCAGTCATAAGCCTAAGGTCTCCTGCAGCCCAGCCACCCAGTGAGTGGCAGCATCATGGCAGCAGATCTCACTGGTGTGACATCACCATATTCCACATTTGGCCTGCCTGTCAATGTGCAGCCACGTATGCTTAACAACTCAAGTGCTTTCCTCATTACTACAGCCAAGTCTTCTGTATTTAAAGTTGCCACTAGCATGCCTGGCAGTGGCGACAGTACTGCATTGGTTGGCAATTCTACTCTAGTCCCACTGGGGATTATGAGACCTGGAACCCCTACAGATTGTGAGAACATAGGGGTTAGCATGTCTGCCTCAGGCCCCAGTTCAACATCAGGAACATTGAAAGCTGTACCAGGATGGAGGAGAACAACCAACACCAGTCTGTTCCCCCATTTAGTCAGGTAGCCTGGGGTTCACCTGCTCATACCACATTGGTTGTGGCTACAAACACCAGCAACATCTCTGCTTGTTCTACCTTCATGCCAAGTATCTGGCATGCACCGCTCCAGAACCCAGGTGTTGCACCAAGAGGAGGCACACTCATTTCCATTGTCGGAGGCCCTTGTGCTTCCTTTTTCCATCAGTCCATGGTTGGCCCATCTGGACACAGGTGGTGCATCTACAATGAATGCCACCATAGCTATAATGAGAGGCCTTCATGTGCCGGCATGGCAGCCAAACACCCAAGGCCACCTGCACAATGAACAAATGGTGTGATGGGGTTCAGCACCACAAATGCTGTGAGTGGCCACACTTATGGTCCCCATTCACCAAGAGCACATGAGGTCCACCTGGTACACACAGATGGTGCAATGCAGGACAAATAAGAGACAAATAAGACCTGCTCTTATTTGAACTTTGCCCCTTGAGGAAGGGGGTCAGTCTCTTTAAGTTAAATTTAAGCTGCTCTCTCCCTTTAGAAGCTGGAGGCCCCAAACCTGTGTGTTTGTATGTGTGTTGGAGGACATGAGGAGGCTGATAAGCCCAGTTGGAACCACAGTGTATTTGAGATATTCCCCTATGGAAGGTAGAGGAAACCAGCATGTGTCGGCTGTGCTCTCCCTGGCTTGACTGTTAACCTGGCTGCCCCAAGCCCCCAACCAGTTCTCTAATACTTGAACTGACAGGATGCCCGCTACTATTTACAGGTGTTACTTTTCCCCTTGCCTATATTCCTCAATGAGTCCTTATCTTTCCCAATTGTGTGTATTAAAACCTTGCTCTTACTAATATGCCTCTGCTCATGTGTTTTTGCTCTTTGATTCAACTGTGGAGGAAGAATTGACATGAGGGGTGATGTGTTGAGGCAGACTTTATGCAAAACTTTGTGTTCCAGGGAAGAGGATGTGGAAGAAGCCACTTTTTCTGACTTCACAGGCTGAGTCCTGAAGCCTCCGTGTGAAGTCTGAGCATCAAGGATGACAACCTAGTGAGACATGAGGTTCAGACAAGGGAGAGACCAGGTGGCCCATCCTTGCCTCTTCCGTCTGTTCTTCTCTCCAACCACTCTTACCTCATTGGAGGCAATATATTCCCTGATGTGTGTTAGGAAATTGTACTTTTTTCATTTTTAAAAATGTATAAATGTATTTTGTGTGTGTCTTTTTGTCTGATTTAGACTTAGGTACGTCATCCTTACAGATTCCCACTTCATCCAGAGGTTGGGCTTGGCATCCAGTTTCTTGCATGTAGAGGAACAAAGAAAGGAAGAGCTCATGCCCACTCTGTAATTATTCAAAATTTATGTTTACTTAGAATTTATCATGCTGCTTAAAATGATCAGAAAAGATTCTCTTTAAAAACTGCTCTGGCTCTAGTCTAAATTACCAAGATATCAAATCACGAGAGTTACAATTATACCCAGATCTGGCTGACCCTAGCATTCTGCTACGTCTCCACTAGACTAAATTGCTGAAAATACAATCTTTTCTAAGGTATTTCACAACCCAGAAGAACCATCTCAAGATGGGGAAAAGAGAAAAGTACAAGCATTTCCCTCAGCTTCTAGCATATTAAACATTTATTCAGTGAGGTTGGGATTGGCATCCAGTTTCTTGGATGTAGAGGAACAAAGAAAGGAAGAGCTAATGCCCACTCTGTAATTATTGAAAATTTATGTTTACTTAGAATTTATCATACTGCTTAAAATAATCAGAAAAGATTATCTTTAATAACTGCTTTGGCTCTAGTCTAAATCGCCAAGATCTGGCTGACCCTAGCATTCTGCTAGGTCTCCACTAGACTGAATTGCTGAAAATATAACCTTTTCTAAGGTATTTCACAACCCAGAAGAACCATCTCAATATGGGGAAAAGAGAAAAGTACAAGTATTCCTCCTCAGCTCTACTCTAAACCCTGTGCTAGGCCATGGAGATATAGAGTTGAAGACGTCTCTTGCCACAGAAAATTTACAATGTAGTCGGGGACAGAGACGACCAGACCAAACATTTAACTGGATAGGTAGGTGCTGAGATAATGGGGAGCAAGTAAGAAGAACATTAACTACTTCTGGGGGAAATGAAACATGAACTGCACATTCAAGGAGGAGAAGGGGACAGTCAAGTGGAAAAGAACTACTTCCGGGTCAAAGCAATAGGACAGAAGTTAGGGAAGGGATGGAGAAGACCGGTCAGTAGAACACCAGTGAGGTGGTCAGCTGTGGGTAAAGAGTGAAACCAAAGCCGGGAGGTGCACCTGCAGGGTTCAACAAGGGTTGTATGAACACAAACTTAAACACCACAATGGGGCACCTGTCATTTATTCTGAAAATCATGAAAGGATTGCAAGCAAAACAATGACAAGATTATATGTAGATTATAGAAACCTCCCTGTGACTGTGTGAGAAAAGAAGTAAATAACGCCAGGGCAGAGGCAAGGAAGTTTAGTGACACTGTAGTGAGCCAAGCAAAGATGAAGCAATGAGCTCCTGGTCTAAAGGACCTGACGGCAGGGATGGTGCGAAGGTCAGAAAAGCGGGAAGTGAAATGGGTGACAGCAACAAGCCCAGGCCTATCCTCATCATCTGGTTTGAGTAAACGAACATGAGTTTTTAGCAAAAATATAAGTTCTACTTTTCATAGTGTGAGATGCTGATGGAAAATCCAGATTCTATTTGGAAAGTGGTTCATTCACTCTATCAGTTTAAGGTATCTGTTGAGCATCTGGGATGTGCTGTGGACTATTGTAGGTAGTAGCGTCAATTGCAAGAAAAGAAAAATTCCTCATTTTGTGGACCCTACATTCTTGTTGAAGGGGAGAAAGAATATCAATGAGCATGCAAATTATCTGGTAGGTTAGTCAATAACAAATGCTATGGAGAATAAAGAAGTACGTGGAGGATTGTGATTGTGGATAGAAAGAAGCGGGGTTTTTATTTAAACTGTGGACAAGACAAACCTCACTGGGAAAGTGAAATGTGAACATCAGAGGCAAATGGGCCAGATATCTGAGCAAAGAACATCCCAGATAATAGGAATAGTCACTGCAGAGGCTCAGGGGAAGGATGGCTGGGGTCTTAAAGGAGCAGCTATTGAGGTAATGTGGATGGAATGGAGTCAGCATGTGGGAGGGAGAAAGGCAGGGAGAGAGGGAAGGGAAGAGGACAGAGAAGATGTGGGGTGAATTCCTTGCACCACCATTTATTGGTTGTATAATAACAGTGGACTCAACCTTCAAGAATCTCAATGAAGTCAGTTCTTCTACTGTGGACTGTTTACCTGACAAAGTTTCTAAAAGGATAAAATGCAATAAAATAAAGAAGTGACTTATAAGCTATTGTTGTTATTGTTCTATACATACGAATCGATAAATGAATAGATGGATAGATAGATGATAGATAGATTAGAGAGATAAATAGATAATAGATATATAGATAAGAGTTATAGACTGAAATTTTGTGTCCCCTCAAAAATTCGTATTTTGAAACCCTAAACCTCAATGTGATGTTATTAGGAGGTTGGGCCTCTGGGAGGGGCCTAGGTTTTGATGAAGTCATGAGGATGGAACCCCTATGATGGGATTTGTGCCTATATAAGAAGAGCAAGAAACACCAGAGCTGCTTCTCACAGCCACACAAGGACATACCAAGAAGGTGGCCATCCTTAAGCCATCTTAAAGATAGATAGGTAGATAGATAGATAGATAGATAGATAGATAATCAATAGATAGGTAGGCAGGTAGATAGATAATGATAGATAGAGATAGAGCATATACTTATATATGTATGCTCCGTGAGTGAATTCCTTAGGCAGTGGTCCTCTGATTGCCTTTACTAGGCAATTCTAATAGAAGAATCCTATTTTAAAGGGAGCATAAAAATGTTACTTTTATGAAGTAAATACCTATAAAAATATGATAACTGGGACAAAAAATGCACAGCATTGTGCCTAGTGAAATATTTATTAAATGAGTCCTGTAAAAACAAAACCATCACAAAGACACTAGTGGACTCCTCCTGGTGCCCTGCTGCCTGATTCATTTACTCTCAGTTGCTTAGCACAATTCCAGAGGGTCAAAGTTCCTGCTCACTGGCTGCAGAGAATCACCTGCCCTTTGTAGTCAGAACTACCTCTCAGAAGCAGGGTTAAAATCCATTTGCTTTTAATAGTCCTGCACCATCTCTACCATGACTGGCAATATTACCAGAAACAATTTTAAAAATTCATATTTATGACTTTTTCTTTTTTTTTTTGAGACAGAGTATCGCTCTGTCGCCAAGCTGGAGTGCAGTGGCACGATCTTGGCTCACTGCAGCCTCCGCCTCCCGGGTTCAAGCAATTCTCCTGCCTCAGCCTCCCGAGTAGCTGGGACTACGGGTGTGTGCCACCACACCCAGTCATGAGGAGGGTTCCATCCTCATGACTTCATCAAAACCTAGACCCCTCCCAGAGGCCCAGCCTCCTAATAACATCACATTGAGGGTTAGGGTTTCAAAATATGAATTTTTGAGGTGACACAAAATTTCTTTTTAGTAGAGATGTGGTTTCACCATATTGGACAGGATGATCTTGATCTCCTGATCTCGTGATCTGCCCGCCTCTGCCACCCAAAGTGCTGGGATTACAGGCGTGAGCCACTGTGCCTGGCCTTGTGACATTTTTTTAAAAAGGCCTTCAATTATGATTCTGATAAGACAAACTTTTAAAAAATATGTGAGAGATATAAAGATGAATTTGATTTTTCTGTTTTAATGCACTTACACAGCTGAAACTATTTCTAAACAAATATAATTCTGTTTATTAAAATAATATATGAGCATATCAATTTGAATAATACTGAAATTCAACCCTTCTTACTCCAGTTCCCCTCTCCAAAGACAGTTTTTAGCTACTTTGCTGTTACTCCCATAAACTTTATGCTTATTCTGCTGTATCGTGACATATTCATTTTAGAAAATATTTCTACCACCCTAACATAAGGCAGGACGATAAACTCCCTCTCCCACTCATATTCCTCATCTCTTCCTTTCCAATATGTCATGTTCATTTCATTATTTTTGCTGCTTTTTTTTTATAACTTCATAAAATTTTACTAGTTTATCGATGAGGGAAAGTGGTTAAAAGCATTGGTTCTAGAAATAGACCACTGGGTTTGGAAACTTTGCTCTTCAGCTCTGCAACCCTGAGTAATTTATAGAGCCTTCCTTTGCCTCTGTTTCTTTATCTGTAACTCAGGGAAAAGGTTAATACCTACCATATGGGGTTGCTCATGTTATTTAAGTGGAACAATGTATTTTCAGTCTTTAGTGTCCAACACACAGATGTTCTCAGGAAGTATTTTCGACTATTATCAGTTTCTTGTTTTATCAATGTTCACTCTAATCTCATGACTTTCTGTATGCACAGAACTGTTTTCCTACAGCTCCTCTGTCTTTCCTTTCCCCTTGCACAACTCACCTCTGTCAGTGACCTTTGCTTTTGTTTGTGCTGTGAACATTTCCATTTTTCATGCACTGGCAGCAAACAAAGTATCCCATGTTTTATCCAAAGGTTGCCCCCAAGGGTTGAAAACTAATAAATTGTATTAACTAAGTATTGCTCAGTCCTGGGGAAAAGAGTGGAATAGGAATATATTTTCTTCTCTGGAGGTAGAAGACCCCATCTTGTGTCTTTTCCATCAATTGTTTAAAATTGGGCTATATTTTAGTTTGCTTTTTACTTCAACCACTATTTTGTCATACAGATTTCATTGCTTTTCTTACCACTTGAATTGCCCTCTCCTTTTTTCTCCTTGCATTCTTTGCACATAAAAATGTATCTTGAATTTTCAAACTCAATATTGTTAATGTGACTGGAACCCTTTCTTTTTCTGAAATCTTGTGCCTCCCCAACTCCATTGGAAACTTTACAACCAAAGTAAGAACATAATCTCAGAAGAAAGAGGGCCAAAGGGACTGCTAAAATTGCTTTTAGGTGAGGCCAAACATGCTCACTATCCACAAATTATTTTTTTAAAAAAGTCTAATTCTGAATTCATCATCCTAAGTTCCCAGATCTGTGGTAGAGACAGGAATCTGGAATTCAACCACCACTCCAGGTAAGTATAATGCAGACAGTCCACATTTCGTATTCCTCCAAATGCTGCTTTAGGCCTTAGATGAAGGCTTACCAAAGGCCTATTCATCTCATCAGATAAATAATTGTACATAGGAAGTGGAGCTAAAACCCTAGTTACTAATAAGCAGAGTATTCACCCTAAATCTATTTCTCAGGAACTAGAAAGTGGCTTGTGGGAAATTTTAGAATTTCAGAGATGTGGATACATGTCTTTCTGGCTCTAGATATTTTCATTTTAGAGATCTAGAAACTGCTCCTGGCTGTAAAGAGCGTTCCCAGGCCTTCCCTGAAGCAGTCACTGCTGTGACCCCAGGGCAGTGTGATGCAGTGAGGGCCTCCTGAACAACAGCTCATTCTTTTCCTGAGATACAGTGAGGAATGACTCTCCCAGAAGTCCCAGGACAGAAGTGTCATCTTCAGGTGTGCCTTCTGGATAGGGAAACTGAGGCTCCCAGAATCAAACAGCTGCTAAGTGTTAGAGCCGCAATCTAGATCCTGGATTTATCTAAGGCAGACAGCAGGATGTGAAAGGGACCAGAAAAACAAAACCAAACAAAAGCTCTGATAAGTAATGTTCTGTCTTAGGTAAATAGCACCTTTTCTTTAAATCCATACTATTTTGTTAATGACTGGTATCAGAGACTTTCTTGGAAGTAGGTTTCATAGAATGGAATGCAAATGAAAATTTATGGGCAAATAGATTGGGGTTTCTGGGGAGAGTACATTGAAGTTAAGGGTTCAAAACACAACCTAGGTCAGTTTATAATTTGCCATCTAACTAGCTGAAGCTGTTGTATAGAAATTGAGAAGTACTGATTGGTGAAATATCAAAGTTAGCCATATTAGCAATCACTACCAAGTATTTTTCTGTTTCCCTTAAGGTTTTTTTGATTTCACCAAATATATGTCTCATATATGCACTGAAAATGTTAAGCCCTGAAAATGCTAAAATATTTGTGAGCCTAACCTTGATGGACATCAAAACTTATGACAGAAAGTTGAGTAAGTTATAAGCTTGGAATTTGCGTTTATTAACAAACACGTTTGTTTACCCTATGACAAGCACTATTCTAAACAATTTACAAATACAAGCTCATTTATTCTTTCAAATAACCACACTATTGGTAGGTATCATTCATAATTCCACTTTCTTTTAGGAAACTGAGAGTCAAACCAGTTAAATACCTTGTTCGATTTCACGCAATTAATAGGTGGTAAAACCCAGATTTAAAACCAGACTATCTGAACTTTTGTCACTTGGCTGTACCACCTCATTATAAACCATGTGTAGGGAAAGGCCTAAATTGACAAGATTCTGAACGAAAAGCAGAAGAGGGAAATGAGAAAGTGAGTGATCCTGGAATGTGGGAAGAATTTAAGTTCAGAAGTTCTCAGGGATGAGACTTGGGATGGAGCATGAGACGCGGCTAGAATATTAACTTCAGGTAGCACCTAAATCCCCTGCGATAGGACTCTGTTCTCCTTAAAGTTCAGAAAGACAGGTTAGATGAAATGTAATGAAAAACAAGGTAGAAAGAAAAAGAATAATGTGACTTCAGTGATGAGCAGTAACATTTTTCCTTTTAATAATAGAAGAGAGGGTCTCTGGGGAAGGAAAGACCTCTTGCTGCCAGGTGTCTAGGCATTTATTCCCCGGATGAACATGGGGAAAAGTGGCGGTCATTGTATTGGTTTCAGAAATCCCTTAAAACCAAAGCTTCAGTTCCCCAGAACAGAGTTAATGGCTGTGTGTCAGGCTCTCCACTGTGTCTGCCGTCACAAGTTTTCACTGGAGTAACAGTTCCTGATAGGTATGCATCAGTCTCCTATGGCCACTATAACTAATTACCCCAAACTTGGTGGCATGAAAATAATACATGTATTCTCTTACAGTTTTGGAGGTCAGAAGTCTGAAGCCACTTTCACTGGGCTGAACTCCACAGTTGGCAGGACGGTGCTCCGTCTGGAGACTCGAGAACAGAATCCACCTCCTTACCTTTCCAGCATTCCTTGGCTTTTGGCTTCATCAACCCAATTCCTGCTTTACTACATTCTTTCTGTCTATAGCAAAATCTCCTTCTGCCTCCCTTTTATAAGGGCACTTGTGAGCACATTTCTGACCCACCCAGATAATCCAGGATAATCTCTCCATCTGAAGATCCATAAATTAATCCCATCTGCAAGATCCATTTTGACATGTAAGATAACATTCACAAGTTCTGGGAATCAGGATGTGGACATCTTGGAGCAGTGGCATTATTCAGCCTACCACAGGTAGGCTATTATTAGTTATTATTTTTCTCAGGTGCAGAAAATAAAGCTTGTGGAAGTAATTTGTTTCAATGTTTCAGAGTAGAGATTTAAATTCTGGCATTCTGACTTTAGGACACACTCTGAACCACTGTTAACTTGTATTCTTAACCACTGCACATTCTTAGTTAACAGTTTCACTGAAGTACAAAGACTTTGGCGGGGCGTGATGGCTCATGCCTGTAATCCCAGCACTTTGGGATGCCGAGGTGGGTGGATCACTTGATGTCAGGAGTTCGAGACCAGCCTGGCCAACATGCTGAAACCCCGTCTCTACTAAAAATACAAAAATTAGCCAGGCGTGGTGGTACATGCCTGTAATGCCAGCTATTCTGGAGGCTGAGGCAGGAGAATCGCTTGAACCCAGGAGGTGGAGGTTGCAGCGAGCTGAGAACATGCCAGTGCACTCTAGCCTGGGCAACAGAATGAGACTCTGTTAAAAAAAAAAAGGACCAAGACTTCATTGGATAAAATGCTGTGTACTGACTCCTCTTTCACTTTGGTGTGTTTATCAACCTTGTCAGAGTACAAGAGTTCAGAAAACTGTTATGCAGGATTGCTAAGTGGAAGCATTTACTGTTTGGTTTGCTCTTAGTAATAGAGAGTTTTCTAATAGAATATGCTGGCAAGTAGTGTTACCACCACTTCATATATTTAAACACAAAATAAAAAACTATAGACGTAAAGGTGTCAAGTGCTTGTCTAAAGCATCCTAGAGGGCAGAGAAAAAGCTGGTCCCAGATGCCAGATGCCCAGGTCTGGATTCATCCTATCCAGGCCTGATTAAGCACCCATTTAGAGGGACTGTGGCTGATCAGCCAACACCTCAGACCTTACACCTTGGATTGAAGATGGAAACTAGCTGAGGGGTCACATATATTTGTATTAATCACTAATCCATAATCTGCTATTCCCATCCTTTGTGAGTGACAACTTGGCACTTTTAAAATTATTTTCTGCTTCAGAAAGAGCAGAGCAGCCTATGCCCCACTACCTGTGACCTACTGCACTTTTCAAAGGTGATTTGCCAAGTGGAGCTGCAAACTTGTCTCCAACATCACACATCTATGGAAAATTCTGGTCAGGTTTTAGGCCCAGTCACAGTACATTTTGCTGAGGATCAGTAATGATTTGCTGAGGATCAGTAATGCTCTCCATATGCTGGCTGACAAGGGCACGATCTCTGCACTTATTATACAACATTTGTCAGTTCCTTTCAGACACGGTGGTCTTTGGGATTCCTTAGGAATATACGAAGTATTTAGGTACTATTTCAAAAGCTGTTCCTCCCTGCATCCTCTCATTTTCTTTTTCTAAAAAAACTGTTGGTACATAGTAGGTGTAGATATATTTATGGGGTACATGAGATATTTTGATACAGGCATACAATGCATAATAATTACATCAGGGTAAATGGGGTATCCAGCACCTTAAGCATTTATCATTTTTTGTGTGTGTTACAAACAGTCCAATTATACTCTTAGTTATTTTTAAATGTACAATAAATTATTGTTGACCATAGTAACAGTGTTGTGCTGTCAAATCCTAGAGCTTGTTCATTCTATCTAACTATATTTTGGTACCTATTCCCCCACCCCGCTCCCCGCCCACCACCACTACCCTTCCTAACCTCTGGTAAACATCGTTCCACTCTTTTTCTCCATAAATTCAATTGTTTTAATTTTTAGCTCCCAAAAATAAATGACAACATGCCAAGTTTGTCTTTCTGTGCCTGAGTTATTTCACTCAACATACTGTCTTTTTTATGGCTAAATAGTGCTCCATTGTGTATACGCACCATATTTTATCCATTAGTCTGTTGACAGATACTTAGATTTCTTCCAAATCTTGGCTATTGTGAATATTGCTGCAATAAACATGGGAGTGCAGAAATCTCTTTGATATACTGATTTTTTTCTTTTGGGTACATACCTAGCAGTGGAATTGCTGGATCATATTGTAGTTCAATTTTTATTTTTTTGAGGAACTCCAAACTGTTCTTCATAGTGATTGTATTAATTTACATTTGCAGTAATAATGTACGAGGATTTCCTTTTCTTCACATCCTCACCAGTGTTTATTATTGCCTTTTAGATAAAACCCATTTTAACTGAGGTGGGATGTTAGCTCATTGTAGGTTTGCTTTGCATTGCTCTGATAACCAATGATGTTCAGTATATTTTCATATGCCTGTTTGCCATTTATATTTTTTCTTTTGAGAAATGTCTATTCAAATCTTTTGCTCATTTAATTTGATTATTCGATTTTTTCCTATAGAGTTGTTTGAACTCCTTATATATTCTGGTTATTAATCCCTTGTCAGATGCGTAGTTTGCAAGTATTTTCTCAATTTCTATGAGCTGTCTTTTCACTTTGTTGATTGTTTCCTTTGATGTACAGAAGTTTTTAAAATGGATACAATCTCATTTTTCCATTTTTGCTTTGGTTGCCTGTGCTTATGGTGTATTACTCAAGAAATCTTTGCCAACTCCAATATCCTGGAGTGTTTCCCCAAAGTTTTATTGGAGTAGTTTTAGAGATTGATTTTTTTTTTTTTATTATTATACTTTAAGTTTTAGTCTACATGTGCACATTATGCAGGTTAGTTACATATGTATACATGTGCCATGCTGGTGTGCTGCACCCATTAACTCGTCATTTAACATTAGGTATATCTCCTAATGCTATCCCTCCCTCCTCCCTCCACCCCACAACAGTCCCCAGAGTGTGATGTTCCCCTTCCTGTGTCCATGTGTTCTCTTTGTTCAGTTCCCACCTATGAGTGAGAACATGCGGTGTTTGGTTTTTTGTCCTTGCGATAGTTTACTGAGAATGATGATTTCCAATTTCATCCATGTCCCAACAAAGGACATGAACTCATCATTTTTTATGGCTGCATAGTATTCCATGGTGTATATGTGCCACATTTTCTTAATCTAGTCTATCATTGTTGGACATTTGGGTTGGTTCCAAGTCTTTGCTATTGTGAATAGTGCCGCAATAAACATACATGTGCATGTGTCTTTATAGCAGCATGATTTATAATCCTTTGCTAGAGGTCCACTCCAGACCCTGTTTGCCTGGGTATCAGCAGCGGTGGCTGCAGAACAGCGGATTCTCGTGAACCACGAATGCTGCTGTCTGATCGTTCCTCTGGAAGTTTTGTCTCAGAGGAGTAACTGGCCATGTGAGGTGTCAGTCTGCCCCTACTGGGGGGTGCCTCCCAGTTAGGCTGCTCGGGGATTAGGGGTCAGGGACCCACTTGAGGAGGCAGTCTGCCTGTTCTCAGATCTCCAGCTGCGTGCTGGGAGAATCACTGCTCTCTTCAAAGCTGTCAGACAGGGACATTTAAGTCTGCAGAGGTTACTGCTGTCTTTTTGTCTGTGCCCTGCCCCCAGAGGTGGAGCCTACAGAGGCCGGCAGGCTTCCTTGAGCTGTGGTGGGCTCCACCCAGTTTGAGCTTCCCGGCTGCTTTGTTTACCTAAGCAAGCTTGGACAATGGTGGGCGCCCCTCCCCCAGCCTCACTGCCGCCTTGCAGTTTGATCTCAGCCTGCCGTGCTAGCAATCAGCGAGACTCCATGGGCGTAGGACCCTCCGAGCCAGGTGCGGGATATAATCTCCGGGTGCGCCGTTTTTTAAGCCCGTCGGAAAAGCGCAGTATTAGGGTGGGAGTGACCCAATTTTCCAGGTGCCATCTGTCACCCCTTTCTTTGACTAGGAAAGGGAACTCCCTGACCCCTTGCGCTTCCTGAGTGAGGCAATGCCTCGCCCTGCTTCGGCTCATGCATGGTGCACTGCACCCACTGTCCTGCGCCCACTGTCTGGCACTCCCTAGTGAGATGAACCCAGTACCTCAGATGGACATGCAGAAATCACCCATCTTCTGCGTCACTCACACTGGGAGCTATAGACCGGAGCTGTTCCTATTTGGCCATGTTGGCTGCCCCCCACCCCCCCAAGATTGAGGTCTTTGATTCAAATTTTTAATCCATTTTGATTTGATATGTTTATATGGTGAGAGATAGGGGTCTAGTTTCATTCTTTTGCCTATGGATATCCAGTTTTCCCGGCACTATTTATTGAAGAGACTGTGTTTTTCCCAATGTATGTCTTCAGCCTCTTTGTCAAAAATGAGTTTGCTGAAGATGTGTGGATCTGTTTCTGGGTTCTCTATTCTGTTCCACTGGTTTATGTGTCTGTTTTTATGCCAGTACTATCCCGTTTTGATTACTATAGCTGTTTAGTATTATTTGAAGTTAGGTAATGTGATCTCTCCAGTTTTGTTCATTTTGCTCAAGATAGCTTTGGCTATTCTGTGTCTTTTCTATCCTAATATAAATTTTAGGATAGTTTTTTTTTAAATTTATGTGAAGAATATCATTGATATTTTGATAGGGATTGCACTGAATTTGTAGTTTGCTTTGGGTAATGTGGACATTTTAACAATATTGATTCTTCCAATCCATGAACATGGAATATCTTTCCAATTTTTGCATCCTCTTCAATTTCTTATATCAATTTTCTTACATCAATGTTTTACAGTTTTCCTTGTAGCAATTTTTCACTTCTTTGGTAAATTCCTGGGTATTCTACTTTATTTATAGCATTGTAAATAGGACTATTTATTTCTTTTTCAGATTGTTTGCTGTTGGCATATAGAAATGCTACTGATTTTTGCATGGCAATTTTGTATCCTGAAAATTTACTGAGTTTATCAGTCCTATAGTGTTATGGGGGAGTCATTATTTTTCCAAATATAAAACCGTACTATCTCCAAACAAGGATAATTTTACTTCTTCCTTTCCAGTTTGGATGCCCTTTATTTCTTTCTCTTCTCTAATTGCTCTATCTAGAACTCCAGTACTATGCTGAATGATAGTGGTGAAAGTGGGCATCTTTGTTGTGTTTCAGGTCTTAGAGGAAAGGCTTTAAGTTATTCCCCATTCAGTATGATATTAGCTGTGATTCTGTCATATAGTTTTACTGTGTTGAGGTATTCCTTCTATACCCAGGTTTTTGAGAGTTGTTATTACGAAGGGATGTTGAATTTTATCACATGCTTTTTCAGCATCAATTGAAATAATTATATAGTTTTTGTCCTCCATCCTGTTATATGATGTATCGCATTGATTGATTTGCATATGTTGAACCCTCTTTGCATCCTTGGGATAAATTCTACTTGGTCTTGACAATTATTTTTTAATGTGTTGTTGAATTCCGTTTGCTGGTATTTTGTTGATGATTTTTGCATCAGTGTTCATTAGGGATACTGGCCTGTGGTATACTTTTTCTGATGTCTGTGTCTGGCTTTGGTATCAGGGTAATATTGACCTTGAATGAATTTAGATGTATTGCCTGCTCCTCTATTTTTTGGAATAGTTTTAGTAGGACTGACATTAGTTCCTCTTTAAATGATTGGTAAAATTCAGCGTTAAACCCTCGGGTACTGGGCTTTTCATTGATGGAATTCTTTATTACAGTTTCTATCTCATTACTTGTTATTGGTCTGAATGTTCAGGTTTTGGATTTCATCATGGTTAAATCTTGGTAGGGTGTATGTGTCTAGAAATTTATCCATTTCTTCTGGATTTTCCCATTTATTGGCATATAGTTGCTTAGAGTAGCCTCTAATGATTCTTTGAATTTCTGTAGTATCAGTTTTATTGTATCCTTTTTCATATCTGATTTTATTTATTTGGGTCTTCTCTCTTCCTTTAGTCTGACTAAAGGTTTGTTGATTTTGTTTATCTTTACAAAAAAGCTTTTTGTTTTCTTGATCTTTTTTATATTTTTGTTTCATTTTTCCCTGATCTTTTTTATTTATTTGCTCCTACTAATTTTTGGTTTGGTTTACTCTTGCTTTCCTAATTATTTAAGATCCAATAGAAGTTTTTCTATTTTTTTGGTATAGACATTTGTTGCTATAAACTTTCCTCTTAGTACTGTTTTCACTGTATCCTATAGCTTTTTATTCATTTTATTTTCATTTGCTATAAGAAATTATGTAATTTCCTTCTTAATTTCTCCATTGACCCACTGGTCATTGAGGAGCACACTGTTTAATTTCTACATCTTCATATAGTTTTCAAAATTCCTCCTGTTATTCATCTCTAGTTTTATTTTGTTGTGGTTAGAGAAGATACTTACTATGAATTCATTTAAAAAAATTTTTAAACTCTTATTTTGTGACCTTACATATGAACTGTCCTTGAGAATGAACCATGTGCTGAGGAGAAGAATGGGTATTCTGCAGCTGTTGAATAAAATATTTTGTAAATATTCATTAGATCCATTTGTTTTAAAGCGCAGACTAAGTATGCTGTTTCTTTGTTGATTTTATGTCTGGAAAATCTGTCCAATGCTGAGAGTAGGTCTCTAGCTGTTACTTTATTGTTGTCTATCTCTCTAACTGTAATGATATTTGCTTTATATATCTCATTGCTCCAGTGTTAGGTGCATATATATATTTACAATTGTTATATCCTCTTGCTGAATTGGCCTGTTTATCACCACATAATAACCTTCTTTGTCTGTTTATATAGTTTTTGTCTTAAAATCTATTTTGTCTGATATAAGTATAGCTACTCCTGCTCTTTTCTGGTTTCAATTTGCATGGAATATCTTTTTTGATGCTTTTTTGTTTTTAGTCTATGCATGTCCTTATAGGTGAAGGATGTTTCTTGTAAGCAACAGATTATTAAGTCTTTCTTAAAACAAAATCCATACAGCCACTCTATGTCTTTTAATTGGAGAGTTTAATCCATTTACATTTAATGTTATTATTGATAACTAAAGATTTACTCTTGCCATTTTGTTATTTGTTTTCTGGTTGTTTTGTGATCTTCTACTCCTTCTTTCCTTCCTTCTTGTCTTCCTTTTAGTGAAGGTGATTTTCTATGGTGACATATTTCAATTTCTTGCTTTTTATTTTTTTATATCTGTTGTATTTCTTTATTTGAGGTTACTATGAGTCTTTCAAATAATTTCTTATAACCAATTATTTTAAACCAATAACACTGAATGCATAAACAAACAAGCAAAGAGAAAATGAAAAGAAACTCAACCCTTCAACTTCATTCCCCTGCTTTTAGAATTTTTGTTGTTTCTATTTATATCTTATCATACTGTCTATGTTTGGAAAAGTTGTTGTTGTAGTTATTATTTTTGATAGGCTTATCCTTTAGTCTTTCTGCTCAATATAAGAGTAGTTTATATACCACAGTTAAAGTGCTATAATAGTCTGTGTTTTTCTGTGTGCTTACTATTACCAGTGAGCTTTATCCCTTCAGATGACTTCTTATTGCTCATTAACATTATTTTTCAGATTGAAGACTCTCTTTATTATTTTTTGTAGGACAAGTTTGATGTTGATGAAATCCTCCAGCTTTTGTTTGTCTGGAAAAATGTTCACTTTCTTTAATGTTTGAAGAATATTTTCACTGGATATACTATTCAAGGATAAAAGCTTTTTTTCCTTTAACATTTTAAATATGTCATGCCATTCTCTCCTGGCCTGTAATCTTGTCACTGAAAAGCCTTATTTCAGATGAATTGGAGCTCTTTGGTATGTTATTTTTATCTTTTTTCTTGCTGCTTTTATTTTATTTAATTTATTCATTTATTCATTTTGAGATGGGGTCTCACTCTTTCACCAGGTTGGAGTGCAGTGGTACCATTTCAGCTCACTACAACCACTGCCTCCCAGGCTCAAGCAATCTTCCCACCTCAGCCTCCCAAGTAGCTGGGACCACGCACATTTGCCACTATGCCCAACTAATTTTTTGTATTTTTGGTAGGGACAGGGTTTCACCATGTTGTCCAGGGTGGTCTCAAACTCCTGAATTCAGGTGACCCACCCGCCTTGGCCTCCCAAAGTGTTGGGATTACAGGCATAGCCATTTCTCCCAGCCTCTTACTGCTTTTAGGGTCCTTTCTTTATATTTGGCTTTTGGGAGTTTAATTATTAAACATTTTGAGGTAGTCTTATTTGGGTTAAATCTGCTTGATGTTCTATAACCTTCTTTTACTTGAATATTGATATCTTCCTCTAGGTTTCGAAGTTCTCTGTTATTATCCCTTTGAATAAACGTTCTATCCCAATCTCTCTCTATATCTTCTCTTTAAGGCCAATAACTTTTAGATTTGCCCTTTTGAGGGTATTTTCTAGATCTTGTAGGTGCACTTAATACTTTTTTCTGCTTTTCTCCTTTGTTTCCTCTGACTGTGTATTTCCAATTAGCCTGTCTTCAAGCTAACTAATTCTTTCTTCTGTTTGGTCAATTCTGCTGTTAAGAGACTCTAATGTATTCTCAATATGTCAATTGCATTTTTCAAGTCCAGAATCTCTGCTTGATTATTTTTTAGTATTTCAGCCTCTGTTAAATTTATCTAACAAGACTCTGAATATTTTCTCTGCGTTATCTTGAATTTTCTTGAGCTTTCTCAAAATAGCTACTTTGAATTATCTGTCTGAAAAGTCACATATTTCTGTCTCTCTGGGATTGGTCATTGGTACCTAATTTAGTTCATTTGGCGATGTCATGTTTTCCTGGATGGTCTTAATGCTTGTCAATGTGCATTTATGTCTGGACATTGAAAAAGAATTGAGTATTTATTGTAGCCTTTGCAGTCTGGGCATGTTTGTACCCATCCTTCTTGGGAAGGCTTTCCAAGTATTCAAAGGGACTTGGGTGCTGTGATCTAAGTCTTTGGTCACTGTAGCCATATCTTCATTAGGAAGCTCCCCAAGCTCAGTAACGCTATGACTCTTGCAGACTCATAAATGTACCGCTTTGGTCACCTTAGGTAAGCTCCCTGGATTACCAGGTGGAGACTTGTTCACTTTTCTTACTTTCCCTCAACGAATGAGGCTTTTTCTTTGCTGAGCTGCCTGGAACTGGGGGAGGGGTGACACAGGTAGCCCTGTAGTTACTATAACTGGGATTACACTGAGTCAGACCCAAAGCAAGCACAGCACTGGGTCTCATCCAAGGTATCCACTGCCTGCCTACCACTTATATTCACTCAAGGTCCAAGAGCTCTACAATCAGCAGGTGGTAAATTCAGCCAGGATTGTGTACTTTCCTTCAGGATGGCGAGGTTCCTGTGGGCCTGGGTGAGTCCAGAGATACCATCTGGGGGCCAGGGCCTAGAGTCAGGAAACTTAATTTCTACTGCAACGGAACTGGCATCCAAGCTGCAAGACAAAGTTCTTCCTACTCTTTCTTCCCCGTTCCTCAAGCAGAGGAGTCTCTACCCATGGCCACCCACTAGCCGTGGCCCACAGCGAGTACTGCCTGGCTACTACCAGTGTTAACTCAAGGCCCAAGGTCTCTTCAGTCAGCTTGTAATGAATGCTACCAGGCCTGAATGTCACCCTTCAGGGCAGTGAACTTCCCTCTGGTCTAGGAAACGTCCAGAAGTGTCATCCAGGAAGCAATGCCTAGAATCAGGAACCCCAGGAACCCACTTGGTGCTCTACCCCACTGTAGTCAAGCTGATACCAAAACTGCAAGACAAAGACCCCCTTATACTTCCCTCCTCTTTCTTCAAGAAGAGTGAGTCTCTCCCCACCCCCTCCCCACCATAGCCACCACTACTGAGAATGTGTTTGAAGACATTTGAAGCAAGCACGGCTTTAAGTCTCACCTAAGGCTTATAGTAAGTACTGCCTGACTACCACTTCTGATTATTCAGGACCTAATGCTCTTTACTCACCATGGGTGAATTCTGCCAGGACTGGCTCCTTCGCTTCAGGCAGCAGGTTCCATTCTGGCCCAGGGTATGTCTAGAAATGTCTTTAAGCTAGTGCCTGAAATTGGTGCCTTAGGACTCTGCCGGGTATTCTTTTACTGTGGCTGAGCTGGTGTCCAATTTATAAGACACAGTCCCTTTTCCTTTCTTCTCTTCTCAAACAGAGGGAAGAAGTCTCTTCCAGAGCTGTGAGCTGTGCTGCCTAGTGTTGGGGGAGGGGTAATGTAAGCACTCCCTTGGCTGCCCCAGCTGGTGTCTTACTAAGTCACGTGTACCCTCAGTCCACTGACTTCAAGCCTAGCACAGCACCAGGACTTGCCTAGGAATTGCAATCCTTGTGGCCTAGACTACCTTTAGAATTAGACCCCCAGAGCACTTTATCACTCAGTAGCAAGGCTTACTGGAACTCAGATTCCAACCACTGCAATGGATGATTCACCTTTGGCTAAGGCTTGTCTAAATGCTCCCTCTGTGGGTGCCAATTGAGTTCTGCTCTGTGAAGCTTTCCACTGTGACAGGGCATCCATGAGTTCCAATGCAAAGTCCCATGTCATTGTGCTCTCCCTCTCCCAAGCACACAGATTCTCTCTCCATGCCATGTGGCTGCTGCCAGGGAACTGGGGAGGGATGGGGTATGCAATTCAAGACTGTCTTTTTCTGCCCTTCAAGACTGTCTTTCCTGCCCTCTTCAGTGTCTATTTCCTTAATATGGTGTTAAAACTAGGTACTGTGATTACTTACCTGATTTTTTATTCTTATGAAGGTGCTTTTTTGTGTGGATACTTTTTCAATTCAGTGTTCCTGCAAAGGGGACAATTCCTGGAGGCTTCTATTCAGCCATCTTGCTCTGCCTGTCTCCTTCTCTCATTTCTTACAACATTTATTAGTTCAATCTATGAATAATTCCACAGAGGTGGGTTATCAGGTGCATATGTTCCCACTCTGCTTTACTTGAATTAGGGCTACAAATGAACTAGCAAGTCTGTCAGCTTTTTTATTTTTTTCCCACTTGATTGTCTAAGAGTGATTTGCTAGATACTGTGTGTTTTGATGTTTTGCAAAGATCAGTGGTACAGACATAATATTGGAATTCTGCCCTGAAGACACTGACATTCTGTTAATTGTTTTTCCTTTCTTAAAGAACTGAAAGGAGGTTAGTCTGTCAAACAGGTACTCAAGGTTTCTCTAAATACATTACAGAGTATCTGGGTTAGACAGGCAATTCTCCACCTGTTGAAGGCGCCTTGCAGTTCATAAAATGAAGTCCATAGTAGATGAGAAATTTGATTTAATGTCTCATCTGTTGATTTATAAAGTTTGACTTTCTGGTATTTTCCCATCCTGATACACTTGTGGAGAAAGGAAAGTGTTGGTCAAACCCTTGGTCTTATGTTGATACGTTTCCTAGTTCTTTGTCTTTATGTTTAGATTGTCTTTTGTCACGTAGAATTCGTTAATTATTAGGACAACATATCCACTATCTGTTTTTTTTAATGGTATCTCAGTTTCATGTTCTTCTTAGGAAAAGACTTCTTCATACAAAGAGTATAGTTTCTTATCCTAGTCTACATTATTCTAAGTATTTTTTCTTACATTAGAGCATTAGTGAATGTATGCTATATAGGCAGTCCTTGCTATATAAAGTTCACATGTACAGGAATTTTAGTTATTATGTTTCAGTTAAATAATCATTCTCCATCAACATTCAAATTTTAGTTACTACCATATACTGTGAGAAATAGCATAACATACAAATTTCACAGCTAACTGTACATTCCACAAATCACTATATAAATAAGACATGCATCTCAATCAGTGACCAATTAAGTCACTTCTTTAGGTCTGTTGGTGATTGGTCACAGTGCATGTTATTCAACTAACACACATCAAAGTGTGTCATCATGCGGCCTTCTTGTTTCCCAGTCATAAATCTACATGACATTTTATAAAACTGGATAACTGAAAGAGAGAAAGCAAGGCAACTAAGGCAAAAATGCAGCAAAGAAACAAATAGTGATTACTCTGGAAGTATAATTCTAATAGAATGTAAATGGGTTGTGGAAGAAATAGCTGACCATGTGAATGTTCACTCGATAGACGTTGAGAGTAAGTTTGCAGCCCAGGGAACCCAGTAAAGGCAAAATCAACATAAATGAGGAAAGTAGTTGTCACAAAAGGATGAAGATGTCCCACAGTAAGTGACATCAACAAAAAACTTCACATTAAAGAATTCTCAGATATATTTTATAACATGGAAAACACAAAGGATGAAATGTTGAAAATTCAAGGGTAAATGTTAGAATAGAGCAAGACAATTTGCCAAGGCATAGAAAAGATTTTGACTCCTTGTAAGGTGTATGAGAAGAGTAGGACAAGCACTGTAAACTACTATTGATAAGGTTTTTTTAAAATTTCTCCTTTTAAAATATTCTATTTTTTGGAGAAGTTTTAGATTCACTTAGAAAAATTAAGTGGAAGATATAGAGATTTGGTATATTCCACCTGTCCCCACATACGCACTGCTTCCCCGCTTACCAATATCTTCCACTAGAGTTGCACATTTTTTACAATTGATGAACATACATTAACACATTATTGTCACCTAAAGTCAATAGTTTACATTAGGGTTCACCTGAGTTGTATAGTCTATAGATTTTGACAACTGTACAATGACATGCATCCACCATTATCACAGAGAATAGTTCCACTACCCTAAAAGTTTTATGTAATTTGCCTATTCATTTATCCCTTATCCTTATCCTCTGCCAACTACTGATCATTTTTACTATCCCCATAGTTTGGTCTTTTCCCAAAAGTCATAGAGCTGGAATCACATTACACAGCCTTTTCAGACTGGTTTCTTTTACTTAGAAATACACATTTAAGGTTTCTCCATGTCTTGATAGGTCATTTATTTTTATCACTGTTTAATAATCTATTGTCTAAATTACCACTGTTTATTTATCTATTTACCTACTGAAGGATATCTTGGTTGCTTCCAAGTTCTGGCAACTATGAATAAAGCTGCTATAAACATCCTTGTGAAGGCTTTTGTGTAAAATAACTTTTCAACACATTTGTGTAAACACCAAGGAGTGTGATCACTGGAATGTATGGTAAGAGTATGATTAGTTTTATTATAAACTGCCAAACTGTCTTCCAAAGTGGTTATACCATTTGGTATTCTCACCACCTGTTGCTTCATGTCTTTGTCAACAGTTAGCGTTGTCAGTATTCTGAAGATTGGCCATTCTAACCGTCATGGTAATGATACCTCATTGTTGCTTTAATTTGCATTTCTTGAATAACATATGGTTATTCAAGAAATGGTGTGAAATATCTTCTGATATGCTTATTTTTGAATAACATATGGTGTGAAATATCTTCTGATGTGCTTATTTGTCATCTGTATATCTTCTTGAGTGAGGTTTCTGTTCAGGTCTTTTGCTCACTTTTTAATTGTGCTGCTTTTCGTCATTGTTGAGTTTTTGAGTTGCTTATATGTTTTGGATAATAGTCATTTATCAGATAGGTCTTTTGCCAATATTTTCTCCCAGTTTGTAGTTTGTATTCTTATTTTTTGACAATGTCTTTCATAGAACAGAAGTGGGGATTTTTAAACTTTAATAAAGTTCAGGTTATTAGTTTTCACTTCATGGGTTGTGCCTTTAATGGTGTATCTTAAAAGTCATCACCATTTCTGAGGTCATCTAGATATTCTACTATATTATCTATTTTGAGTTTTATATGTTTGTGTACTACATTTAGGTCTATTATCCATTTTGAGTTAATATTTGTACAAGGTACAAGGTCTGTGTCTAGATTTATCCTTTTGCATATAGATATTCAGTTCTAGCAATATTTGTTGAAAGATTATCTTTTTCTTGTTGTATTGCCTCTCTCCTTTGAGAAAGATAGTTGACTATATTATTGTGTGTCTATTTTTGGGCTCTGTATTCTGCTCCATTGCTCTATTTGTCTATTCTTTGCCAATATTACGCTATCTTGATTACTGTAGCTTTATAGTAATTCTTCAAGTTGAGTAGTATCCGTCCTCCTATTTTTTTCTTCTCTTTTAATATTGTGTTTTCTGTTCTTGGTCTTTTGCCTCTTTGTATAAGCTTTATAGTTAGTTTGTCAATATCTACAAAATAACTTGCTGGGATTTTGGTTGAGGTCGCATTGAATCTGTAGATCAAGCTGAAAAGCACTGACATCTTGAAAATACTGTCTTCTTACCCATGAACGTGGAATAGTTCTCCATTTATTTAATTTTTTTAGAATTTCTTTCATCTAATTTCTTTCATCTAAGTTCTCCGGTTTTCATCATATAGACCTTGCATATATGTTGCTAGAATTATACCTATGTATTTCATTTTTGGGGGGATGCTAATTTAAGTGGTATTGTATTTTAAATTTCAAATTCCACTTATTCTTTGCTGGTATACAGGAAAGCAATTGACTTTTGTATATTTCTCTTGTATTCTGCAAACTTAATACAATTGTTTATAGTTTTGAAAATATTTTTCTTCATTCTTTTAGGTTTTCTGCATGGACAATCAAGTCATCTGTAAACAAAGACAATTTTATTTTATCCTTTACAATCTGTGCACCTTTTATTTTCTTTCTCATGTTATCTATTTCCTAGAATTTTCAGTACATGTTAAAATGAAATGTTGAGAGGGGACATTTTTGCTTTGTCCCTGATCTTATGGTGAAAGCTTCTAGTTTCTCATCATTAATTATGGTGCTAGCTTTAGCTTTTAGTTGAATGTTTTCTATCCAGTTGAGAATGTTCTCCTCTACCCTGGTTTGCTGGGAGTCTTTCATAATGCATAAATGTTGGATTTTGTCAAATGCTTGTTGTGCCTCTATTAATACAATTAAATAATTATTTCTTTAGCCTGTGGAGGTAATAAATTATATTAATTGATTTTCCAATGTTGAACCAGCCTTGCATACCTGGGATAAATTGCACTTGGCCATGATATATAATTCTTTTTATACATTGTTCGTTTTCTATTTGCTAATAGTTTGTGGAGAATTGTTGCATCGATGTTCTCAAAAGATATTTGTCTGTAGTTTTCTATTCTTGCAATATCTTTGTATAGTGTTTTTTGTTTTGTTTTGTTTTGTTTCGTTTTGTTTGTTTTAGACAGAGTTTTGCCCTTGTTGCCCAGGCTGCAGTGCAGTGGCATGATCTCAGGTCACTGCAACCTCTACCTCTCGGGTTCAAGCAATTCTCCGGCCTCAGCCTCCTGAGTAGCTGGGATTCCAGGCACGCACCACCATGCCTGGCTAATTGTTTGTATTTTTATTAGAGATGGAGTTTCATAATATTGGCCCAGCTGGTCTCAAACTCCAGACCTCAGGTGATCCACCCGCCTCGGCCTCCCAAAGTGCTGGAATTATAGGCATGAGCCACTGCACCCAGCCTCTTTCTCTGGTTTTATTACTAAGGTAGTGCTGGCCTCATAGAATAAACTAGGAAATATTCCTTCTACTTCTATATTTTGAAAAATATTTTATAATTTCTTTCTTAAATATTTGGTAGAACTTACTAGTGAACACATCTTGGCCTGATGTTTTCTGCTTGGGAAGGTAATTATTCAATTTTCTTAGTAGATACAGGCCTATTTAGATTGTCTATTTTTCTTGTGTGAGTTTTGACAGATTGTGTATATCTTTCTGCATCTCTACATTTAATTTACATATGCCTTTATATTTAAGTTCGGTTTCTTACAGCTCAGAAATAAATCAACTTTGTTTTTTGGTCTGCTCTAATATTCTCTTTTAATTTGTGTATTTATACCATAGAATTTAGAGTTATTATTGGTATACTTAAATTGATATCTATGATATTTGTTACTGCTTTCTATTTATTGTTTTTGACCTTTGTTCACATTTTTGTCATTTTTTTTCTGGCTTTTGTGGTTTCAAATGAGCATTTTAAATGATTCTATATTCTTTTATTTCTTAACATATTAATTTTCTTTTTGTTTTTTGTTTTGGGTTTTTAAAAAATAACTATTTTAGTTATTTCAATAACTAAAATTAAATAATTGTTTTAATTATTTAATTAATTTAATTAAGAAATTATTTAAAATAACAATTTTTAATTTTTATAAATAATTAAAGTAACTTGCTATTTAGTTATTATTGTAATATATATTTACAAATCATCTAAGTCCATACTTAAATAACACTCTACTGTTTCATAGATAGCGCAAGTACCTTACAATATTACAATATTTCTAATTTCTCATTTTGTCTTTTGTTTCATTTCTGACATTCATGTAATTTATACATAAGTATACATGAGTGTGTATATATAAACACCACACACATATGTATATAGCTGCTATTATTTTGAACAAACTATTATATATTAGATTCTTTAAGAATTTAAAAATAAATGTTTTCATTTACCTTTACTTATTCCTTCTCTAATCCTCTACCTTTCTTTATGTAGATCCAAATTTCAGACATATATGAATTTCTTTCTCTCTGAAGATCTTTATTAAATATTTCTTGCAAGGCAGGTCTACTGGCAAAAATTCTCTCTGTTTCAGAAAGTCTTTATCTTTGACTTTTACAGCATAATTTTATAGAATACACAATTTGGGGTTGACTATTTTTGTCTTAACACTTTAAATATTTCACTTCACTCACTTTTTGCTTACAGTATTTCTAAGAAGAAAGATGTAATTCTTATCATTTTTCCTTTATAGGCAAGATGTTTATTTCTTCTGGCTTATTTCAAATGTGTGTGTGTTCTTTTTAATCTGCAGTTTGAATATGATATGCCTAGATGTAGCTTTTTGTCATTTTAATTTTTGTTTGTTTTGGCATTTATCTTGCCTGATGTTCTCTGAGTTCCCTGAATCCATGGTTCAGCATCTGACATTCACTTGGAAAAATTCTCAGTCATTATTGCTTCAAATATTTCTATTTGAAATATTTGAATATTTCCTCCTCTCTTTTTTTCTCCTTATATTATTCTCATTCTATATATGTTATACATTTTGCAGTTGTCTCACAGTTCTTGGATATTTTGTTGAGTTTCTTCTGTAATTTTTCTCTTTACTTTTCAGTTTGGGACATTGTTATTGACATATCCTCAACATTGCTATTGACATATCCTCAAGCTCAGAGATTTTTCCTTTTCCTCAGCCATATCCAATCTACTAACAAGCCTACCAAAGGCAATATTTATTTCTGTTGCAGAGTTTTTGATCTCTAGCATTTCTTGCCTATTACTGCTTAGAAATTCTCCCTCTCTATTTATGTTATCCATCTGTTTTTGCCTGTTCTTTATCTTTTCCTTTAGAGGCCTTGGAATATTAATCATTGTTTTAAAATTCTAACGGATAATTCCAACAATTCTGCTATGTCTGAATCTGATTCTGATGCTTGCTCTCTCTTCAAACTCCTCTTTTTTTTTTGCCTTTTAGTATGACTTTTCATTTTTTTAAAATATGGACATAATGTACTGGCAGTAAATAGCCCTTTAGTAATGTGGTGCATGGTAAAGTGTGGGGGAAGGGAAGAGTTCTATATTCCTGTGATTAGCTTTTAGTCTTTTAATGAGCCTGTGCCCTTCTGCTGTGAGCTTCACAAGTGCACTTCAGGACTTCCCTCACCTTAGGTGTGACAGGATGACTGGAGAAGATTGGAATTCTCTACCACCCAGCTTGGTTAGGCTTTGACACAACCCCTGTAAGTTAAACTCTGTTAAAATAGTTTCTCTTGAGGACAGACCTTGTTAAGAACACAAAGCTCTGGTGAATTTACAAATGGCCACTTTTCCCCTTCCTCCACCAGAAGCACAGGGAATTTCTCTACAACCTTCACTGTGACAGCCTGATAGATCTCCAGGAGGTAAAACTTACAAGAGTCTGGGGACCTCCCTGGAGTTTTTAACTCACAGACTTGTTCACATCAACCCTCCAGCAATTCAATTACAGTTCAAATTTTTATATTTCAGCACTGCTTTTCACAAGAGGTTTCTACCCCTGGGTTTGTACTCTGATAAGTTGTGATTCTCTGGAACTGTTTGTCTGTCTGTCCAATTTTTGTGGGCAGTGGTTTGACCTATAACTCCCTTTTCTGATGAATTTAAGAAGTGTTACTGAATTTTCAGTTTGTTTAGTTTTTTACTTGTTATTAGGATAAAGTGGCAACTTCCAAACTTCTGAGATGCTGGACCGGTAACTATAAGTCTCAACAAGGTTTTACTGCAGAATAAAACATGGTAATTTCTAATGTTTTATAGTGCATTAACTAAATATAAGCTTTACTTTTTTTTCATTGATGTATACTTTTATAACCAACAGAAAGGGGGTTTCTAATAGTTGTCAGAAAAATTTTAAGGACATGAAACAATCATAATTTTGCTGCTAATTATTACAATCACTTTGTACAGTTTCAGCTTACATGGCCATTTTTGCAGTTCCACAAGTGAGGATAAGTCTGTACTTTATCCTTTATTTTATTTCCTATATATTCATGAATTCCTCTTCCAGGTCAATGACATATCAGTGTACTACTACCACAGCTTATCAGATTTTTGAAAAAATACTATAACTTTGGAGTATCCTTTGATATTGGATATGGACATTTCTCTCCTTATCCCAATGATTATTTTATTTTTATAAATCTGCTTTATGGTAATAAACTATACTTGAACATAATGATTTTTTTAAATATGTTGCCAAAATCCACTTACTGACATGAATTATAATCTAAGATCTCAAAAGAAATATGTCGCTAAATTTTTAATGCATTGGTGTAATGTTGGTATAGTATTCTTTTGCAATTAAAAAAAAACTTGCCTCTGTCTTATTGCTAATCAAATCTCTATCATGTTTGCCAAATTTTGCTTAGTCATCCTTTTAAAGAACAAGCATTTGCTTTTAGCTGTTAAGTTTACTACTTTTCCTCTCTATTATGGCTTTTCTTGTTAATATTGGCCTTCTACCCTTTTGGATTTACATTGTTCTATTTTTTTTATTTTTTATTAAGATGGAGCCTCACTCTGTCACCCATGCCAGAGTACAGTTGCGCAATCTCGGCTCACTACAACCTCCACCTCCAGGGTTCAAGCGATTCTCCTGCCTCAGCCTCCCAAGTAGCTGGGACTATAGGTGGGCACCCCCACACCTGGGTAATTTTTGTATTTTTTGTAGAGACAGGGTTTCACCATGTTGGCCAGGCTGGTCTTGAACTCCTGACCTCAAGTGATGCACCTGCCTCAGCCTCCCAAAGTGCTGGTATTACAGGCATGAGCCACTGTGCCCAGCCTGCATTGTTCTTTTTCTGTGTCCACTGTTCAATTTCTATAGCTTTGAGGACCATTTTCAACAACTCAACTAATTCTTCCAGCTCTATCATGCCAACGTCATCATATGTCATTAAAATTTAATTACAAACACTGAATGAAGACTCCCCAGTCTTATTCTGCTTCCAAAATTGTCCTATGGCCATAGAGTCTCCTGAATTAGCTCTGTCATCAGGGAAAACACTAGTAAGCCTTCATTCTACTTGTAAGACCTGCCTTTTCTCCAGTTTCATAGTAAAGAAACAACTTTTCCACCTTTTTCTTTGGTGTTGGTCAAAAACAGCAAAACTTCTGTATTCAGATCCAGAAAAATGAGCAAGTCATCATTTAGACAGGCTAACCGAAGTATCTGGATTTTAAACAATGTATAACCTTGAACAATGATGCTTTCAAATACTCCATGGTTCCCCTTTTGTCCCAGGTGTCTGGAGTTTTCCATTCCTACAGTATTTTCTACACATGGTCCATCTGTATCATAAACTACTCCTGAGGACACTTTTCCTCAGCAATATCTAGTAGCCTTCAATATGAGTTATGTCATTTCTTATCACTTCTATTAGATTACAACCTGAAGGAGCTTATGTAATAACTGGTATGTCTAAATTATAGTTTATCATTGTTTTTGCCTCTTTGTTATGCATTCGTTTTACTTCTGGCACTAGAACCTCATTTTTCTTTTACAGAAGTCCTTGTAGTACAGCTAGAGTGGGTGTTCTCTCTCTAACCATGACATGGGCCTGGTTAATCACAATGTTTTATATATTCTCCATATGTCTTATGTGCTTTTTTAAATTTTATATTATTTTTCCTCCAAATTTTAGCCTGGTTATTTTTTGTTGACTTTAATAATCCTTTCTTACATTTTTGTCTAATATAATATTAAACCAAGCTGCTGAACACTTAATTTAAATGGCTGCTTTTTCAGTTTTAGAATTTTCCTTTGATTGCTTTTTATGAATGCTAACTTTTGCTTAACTAGTATGTTCTGTCCTTTATTTTCTTGAATACATTAATCATGGTTTTAAAATAATAACATCATTGAAATATAATTCTTTCACATTTCATATATTTAGTGTACAATTAATGGTTTTTAGCATTTTTACAAAATGATGCATCTATCACCACAATCGATTTTAAAACACTCTCATGTCCCCACTCAAAAGAAAAAGAAACCTATTAGCAATCACTCACTTTCCATTTTCCCCAATTCTAGGCAACTTTTTCTTAATCTACTTAATCTCCTTTCTTTTTTTTTTTTTTTTTTTTTTTTTTGTGATGGAGTCTAGCTATGTCCCCCAGGCTGCAGTGCAGTGGCACAATCTCAGCTCACTGCAACCTCCGCCTCCCGGGTTCACGCCATTCTCCTGCCTCGGCCTCCCGAGTAGCTGGGACTACAGGTGCCTGCCACAAGCCCGGCTACTTTTTTGTATTTTCAGTAGAGACAGGGTTTCACCGTGTTAGCCAGGATGGTCTCGATCTCCTGACCTTGGGATCTGCCTGCCTCGGCCTCCCAAAGTGCTGGGATTACAGGCATGAGCCACCGCACCCGGTCTTAATCTACTTTTTTTAGATTAATGTCTTAATCTACTTTGTCTTCATCTGCTTTCTCTCCACAGATTTGCCTATGCTGAACATTTCATACAAATAGAATCATACAATATGTGGGAATTTGTGACTGGCTTCTTTTACTTAGCATGTTTTCAACTTTCATCCATGTTATAGCATGTGTCAGTACTTCATTTCTTTTTATGGCGGAATAATATTTCATGGTATAGATATACCATGTTTTGTATATCCATTCATCAGTTGGTAAGCATTTGAGTTGTTTTCACCTTTTGCTATTATAAATATCGCTGCTATGCTTCTGTTTGTGTGCAAGTTTCTGCAAGGGTAAGCCTAGCTATTTATTTTAAATTAATAGGCAATTTTTTTCTGCAGTTTTAAGATCACAAAATAATTAAGCAGAAAGTATAGAGAGTTCCTATATACCCATTCACCTCTCTACCTAGTTTCCCCATTATTAATATCTTGCATTAGTGTGGTACCTTTTTCACAATTAATGAATTATTGATACATTATTATTAAGTCAAGTTAATATATACATTAGGGTTCACTCTTCTTTTTTTTGCAAATGTTGTTTTGAGTTTTGCAAATGTGCCATGACATGTCCACCATTACAATATTATACTGAATAGTTTCATTGCCCTAAAAATCCTCTGTGCTCCACCTATTTATCCCTTCTTCCCCCTCCCTAAACCTCTGGCAACCACTGATCATTTAACTGTCCCCCATAATTGGAACTTCTCCTGAATATCATATAGTTGGAATCATACAGCCTTTTCAGACTGGTTTCAATTAGAAATACGCATTTAAGTTTCCTTCACATCTTTTCATAGATGGATAATTCATTGCCTTTTATCACTGAATAATATTCCATTGTATGGATATGCCATAGTTTGTTTTTTTAATTCATCTCTGGAAAAACATCTAGGTTGCTTTCAAGTTTTGGCTATTAAGAAAGCCACTATAAATATTTGTATGCAGATTTGCACGTGAATGTAAGTTTTCAACTCATTTGGGTAAATACCAAGAATTAAAATTTCTGGATCATATGATAAAAGTATGTTTAGTTTTATAAAAAAAAAAAAAACATCTCCCAAAGTATCTTCCAAAGTGGTTGTACCATTTTGGATTGCTATGAGCATTGAATGAAAATTCCTATTGCTCTGCATTCATCAGTTTTGGTATTTCAGTTTTTGGATTTTAGCCATTCTAATAGGTAAGTAGTGCTATCTCGCTGTCATTTTAATTTGCAATTCCCTGATTATGTGAGTTTGAGCATCTCTCATATCCTCTTATTTCCTATCAGTTGATTTTCATTGTTGTTGAATCATAGTTTTTTTTTAAAAAAACAGTGACTGCTAATTATAATATCCTGTCCGTTTATATTGTCTTTTTTTTCTTAGTTTTTGATCATTTACTCTTATTTCTTGGTATATCAAGTGATGTTTTGAATACTGGGTGTATTTAAAAGAGAGAGAGATAATTGTACCTCATGGATGTCCTTATCTTTCTCTGAAGAAGATTTGCTTTCTCTTATGGCAGATAGTTATTACAGGGATTGGTAACCTTAACCCATTCTCAGTTTGAGCTAATTTAAAATTGGTCTTCAGTCTTTGTAAGTGCTGGTCTATTTTTGGTTTGCCCTTCCATTTAGGACGTTGCCATTTAAAATTGCCATGTGAAAGGCTGGGTTCACCTGTGCCCTCAGATCCCTCGTTGGACTCTAAGCTTACTTGTTCTCCTAGACCTATGAGACTACCTAAGGGCTTGTCAGCCTCTTAGTTGGTGCTTTTGGCTTGAGCACTTGCCAATTGGCTTCTCTGCTCCCTGGCTTTTCAACTCCTTGGCTTTTCAGCTCCTAGGCTGTATGTTTTGAATCAGCAAATGCCGCAAGGAGAAAAGCAATGCCAAATGTCAAGCTTTCTGTTTCCCTTCTCTCCAGAAGCTTGGCCCACATGGCATGGCTTTTTATTTTTTTAACATTCTGATGACTTTAAGCAGATGTTTCTTACTTTATCCAGCATTTCTAATATTTCTCAGCCCTCGCTTAATCTTATTATTGAACTATCATCACAATTTTCCCTAGGAAAAAATTCAGAATTTTAAAATTTTACTATATGAACCTGAGTTCTGTAGGGACCATTTTACCCAATAGTTCAATCTAGTTCTGTGTTACCAATGGGAAGTGGGTAAAATGTTATGAGGGATCCTAAGTATATTGGTGATGGGAGGAATCACTGATGAGTGATGTCTCTTGCTCTTTTTATTTTTCCTCCTCTTACTCTAGCAGCGTAAGCTAGCCAGGGCACTGGCCACCTCATTTAGTCCAATTGTCCAAAAAAAAAAATAAATCCCCAAAAAATCCATGATGGCAAAGGCTGGACTCTAAGTAAAGTCTGCATGTCAGGAATAGCTAGATGATGAATACCCTGCCAAGTTATTTTGTGTGAGAGTTTTACAGCATTTTGCAAAGCCTTTTGTCTCCTACTAACACTGCTCCTATTGCTGAAGTTTTCTGGGATTCTATCTATTATACCTCTCTATTTGGTATCCCAGATGAGTTCTTCTCTATCCTGATCTCATTTGTGGGCTGATGGCCCTTGTTTTTCCTCCTTCCCCATCTAATTCTATTTGTTCATAAATTCTAGAAAGCCCTCAAAGTAAAGGTACCTTCTCCCTCTTCCTTTCTTTTTTAAGCAACATTGTTAAATATTAATATTTTGAAATTTCTTACAGTGGGAAATTGAAAGGTCAAATAATTGTGAACCCCATTAATCTATGACTCACACAATACCTTGCTCCTAAGCCTAAATGTGTGATATTCATTCGGTTTTCTTATGATATCTTCTATGTTTCTAAACTTATAATGACTTAGCTAATTCCTGAGTTATGTGACAATAAGAAAGTAGTCAAATTAGCATTATAGAAATTCAGCTTAGACCTAAGAACAAAAACCAATTACTAGAAAAGCTCGTAACCAACAAATTTCACTGTGCTTTGTGTTTTAAAAATGCTGAGGGTGAATGGGGAACGAGGGTTGAAACAGTTCAGTCTACTCTAGTATCACAGATTCCTGCACTGAAATGAGAAAGAAAATGGCATAGTTCCTGCTTCAAGTCATTATCCTATGCATGGATAAACAATAATAAAACAAAAACAAAACATAAAAAGAAATAAAACAAACACTAAACACTAAACTAATTACCAGGTCAGGGAGCACAGATTATACTTGCTATAGGAGTTCATTAAGGAGGGATTCCAAAAACCACTGGCTTCTTCTAAGAAAACTTCTTAGAAGAGGTAGGATTTGGGTTGGGCCTTGAACAGATATGTAGGAAGGAGAAAAAAGGAACTTTAACACAGAGAGAAGGCACAGCGTCAGGAATGAGCACAGGGGGCTTATGGAATAGAGAGCGAACCTGTCTGCAAAGAGGAGTGGTGTGTGTTGAGGAACAGTGAGAGTAAGGCTGGCTGAGGTTGGTTAATTAAAATAGAATTAGAATTAGATTGATTAGATAGTGTGGGTGGAAAGACTGGCAGAAAACTGTGGAAAGCCCCTGAAGATATAGATCAGCATAATAACGTTAGGAGCTCAGTGGTACTTGGACACTATATAAATGTCTAGTTTAAGGAAAAAGGGAGACACAATAAAAGAAGAAACTCTTAATAAACTAGATATATGTCAATACGCCAGACACAAGAGAATACATACCATGTGTTACTACGTATAAGATATATAATGACAGAGGTCATTATAAGAGTTACCACTAAGGAGTATAGCATGGAAAGAAGTACCAGAAAACACTTTAGGGTCCTGGAAATGTTTCATGATATCTTGACCTGGGATTGAATACATGGATACACACAAATGTAAAAATTTATTTATGGCCAGTGCAATGGTTATTTTTTGTATCTATAGCTTTAAAAAATCCATTAGGATAATTATGCTGACAGTTGCATGAACAAAGTTTTAGTCAAGAAATCGCCAGGGTATTAATCCAGTAGTAAGTTCTAATGTGCTCATTATGGACTGGATGTACCTATTGGAAATAAGTGGCAATGTGGGCAATAAAAAAGACCAATTTTGATGGTTGGCTGAGCTGGTCAAACTAGATGACTGTACATTCAATTTAAGAACTTCGGGAGTGTTTGGATATCATTGAACAGTGAGAGAAAGAAAATGCAGTTTTATTGAGCGTACGTTTTGTGTCAATCACTGAGATTTTTGCGCATATATAAAAGTAGTATTGCATCTTGTAACTGAGACAGTGAGGATGAGGAAGGTAGCTGGTTTTGATGCTAAAGGTTGGGAAAGGAATTAGCTCATATGTCTAAGATATTTGAAGCAAGAGGAAGGGAATAAAGAGGGAGCACACAGTAAATGCCAGGAGCCACAAAGCATGTTTTGGAGCTCTGGAAACCACATGAGAGGTAAAGCCACCATAGCTGTTAAGCTCTTTAAGGCCATCAATGAAGCAAATAAAAACAGAAGACTAAGAACTGAGTCCTTCAAAACGACAAATGTTAGAGCATGAAATAATAGAGTTATAAGAAAAATAATTGCATGCATATCCTAGCACAGAGATATCCTAAGATCCATCTCAGCAGCTCTAAAACTGGCCTTCCACAAAATGTAGTTCCATCAACTGATTTAAGATTTGTTCTGAGAAAAGGGCTTGGATGTCAAGTAAATTTGAGTAAGACTGAATTAAACAAAGTCAAATCAATTTTTTTCCTCCAAAATCTCTCAGTCTATAGTACAGCAATATGTCAGTTGAATCTCTAATAAGGAGATATGGCATATGGCTGTTCCCAAATGCTTTTGCCTCATAACTACATTACTATATCCTAAAACCAGTGTTCTGCTGGACAGAGATTGTGAAATGCTGCTCTCACCCTGAAAAATCACTCACCATTCTCAGATTTGAGTCTTCCTTCTTCTGCCTTTTCTCACATTGTCCCTGACACTTGTAATGCTTCTCTGTGCCATCATCTGCCAAAACCTGGCCCATCTTTCAACAAGGAGAGGATAAGGAAAGGATTACATTACTAAAAGCATTATACTATTACATTTTATTATCATTTCTCTACATTCCTTGCCTAAAAAAAAATTTTAAAACCATACCACAGTGACCTTAATTCTGTAAGTATGAATATATTTTGTTACTGTGAATACCGTAAAAGTCAGTGCACTGCAATATATATGGATGCACATGTCTGATCTCCAGCCTGTAGATCTTGCTGGTAACACTTTCATGAACCAGGTTAGTTATTCAAAAAGCCATTGTGTTTGGCTAAGCCCTTATACCTAGGGAATATTAATATTGGAATGGCCCCTAGATATTAGGTAATTTACTTACCTCATATCTCATATAAGAAAATTGAGACCTCTATAGATTGAATAGTTTATATTGACAAAAGGTAAATAAATAAGATATTGGCAGATCTATTTTTTAGATGAAACATTCTGAGCTTTTGTAGAATACCAGAACATTATCCCCACTGATATTGAGACAATGCATTTCTTATTCATCCTCTTCTATTGCAGTGGATAAGAGATGGGGTGGTAAGGAGTGGTTAAAAGGGAAGTCAAAAATTGGAGAAGTAGAAAAATGTGACAATGTTGGAGAGGAAAAGGAGGAAGAAACCTTGGGATTAGGAAATTCTTCATAGAGAAGATGTTTTACAAAGCAGATGACTCTTAAGGAACAAAGTAAAAAGATAAATGATACAATAAAAGGTAGGGAGAGAGAGAATTTAAGAAAGTAAAAAAGGAAAAAGTTTGAAGAAGAAAAATGGGATGCACAAAGAAAATATTACAAGGTTGGCCTAGATTCACTGAATGACAAAGTGTTCATATTTTGAGCATTGCAAAATTTGTGAAGACAATAACTATTTTTAATATACCAGTACTTCACATCTATTATCTTATTTTTAATTCTCAGAACAGCCCAGTGAGGGCTGGGCGTGGTGGCTCATGCATGTATTCCCAGCACTTTGGGAGGCAAAGGCAGATGGATCACCTGAGGCCAGGAGTTCGAGACCAGCCTAGGGAACACAGTGAAATCTGTCTCTACTAAAAATACAAAAATTAGCCAGGTGTGGTGGCTTGCACCGGTAGTCCCAGCAACTTGGGAGGCTGAGGTGGGATGATGGCTTGAGCCTGGGAGGCAGAGGTCACAGTGAGCCAAGATCATGCCACTGCACTTCAGCCTGGGCGACAGAGCCAGACCCTGTCTCAAAAATAAAAATAAAAAAAGAGAGAAAAACCTAGCGAGTTGGATATTATTGATATCCCATGTTTCAAATTAATAAATTGATCTGCAGAAAGGTGAAATAACTGCTGGTCAGTGGCAGGGCTGATATTGGAATCAGGCTATTCTGATGCTTAAATCATACTTTATTCACTACGCTCCAGAGAAAAAAAACAAGATAGAAAAGAAAGAGGTTGACTATTCATCAAAAGGAGATATTTAATAGAAGAGAAATGTAAAAAGGACAGCAGGAACATAAATTAAAATAGTTCCTCCAATGACTGCTAGCTGGAAATAATATACTAACATTATAGTTAGACCAAAGTTGCGAGACTCTTCATCCACATTTCCTTGGACATGGGAAAAAACCTGATCAAATGTGGAAAGATTCTGGAGGACAATTTTATTGTAGCTTAGTCCTGCTGCTTCATTCTGAATTTCTTTCCTCTTGTGCCATACCAGAATTATACAAGGAATAACAGTTGACCAGCTGATACTTGATTATTTGTTATCTGAGGACTTCTTCATCCCACAGAGGTTGTCAGTCCCATCAATTATGCACTTATTAAGACTATACCAAAGGACAGAGATCAAGCTATTGTTTGCGTTAGTAAATGCTTACCACAGTTACAGCACATACACATATCTAATTCTTATAATAATACGATTCACATCAGTGCTAACTTCATGACTTAACAGATGATGAAGCTAAAGCTTAGAGTCTCACAATTTGCTCAAGATCTCACAGCTGATACATGGAAGAGCAGCTCTTACTATCTAGAACCACATGATATCCAAAATTACCAACACTTTGGGGTTTCCAGGAGCTTAAAGTAAATAACACATGAATCAGTAAAATAACACATGAATCATTTTCAGAGAGCTGCAACTCCAAGTTTAAACTGTAATTATCTTGAACTTTTCCAAGTAATAGAGGTTGATAAGGCCACGTTTTAGAATAAATTGAAATAATTTGAGAAGTTTTATAGGAATTAGACCTTGACTTCTGGTTTAGAAGAAAAATTAGCAAATGTTGTTCCAACTGAAACAAGAAAAGTTATCTCAGGCAACTACCAGAAAAAAGCGTAAATCACTAGAGAGTCTTCCTAACTACAGAGAAACAAAAGATAATCTCTGGCCAACGATCCATCCAAATTCCTGAAGTCTCTTCCAAACACATACAGCTATGATTCTGGAATTAAAGTTACAAATCATGACTGAAAAGAGCAACTGCTGTGGTTACTGTCCTTTGCCCTTAGGAATTATCACCAAAAATTCCAAGAAAAAGACGTTGTTTTAATTGTGTACTATGTGAATTCCCGGCCCCTGGGTTTTAGCAATTTCATGGATTTTCTATAGATGACATCATGTGTAATGAGGAAAATAAGCATCATTTGATCTTTTTGGTAACACTGAACCACAAAACCTAAGGCTACTAAATTGAAACTTGATGAACACCGTAATTGTTCTGCCATTTAAATTTTTCCCAAATTATTATCACTGGATACTTGGAGACTCAAAATACTGTCCTACAGTTTTTTAGATTTGTAGAGCAGGGTGTATGGTTAATTAAAACCTTTTGGACCAATGTCCCTATTTTAAAAATTAAAAAACAAAACTGAGATGAAAAGGAATTGGAGCTAGTTAGTTGCCCAATTCTCTTGATTCCTGAGCCTCTTTCTCTTATATGCCAGTGGATTTACACTACTGTTCAATCAGGAAACTTTCTGTAGGAGATTGACCTTGGTCTGTAAAGGAAAGATGGTGTTAGCACATGGCAGAGACAAATGGCTATCTTGTAAGAACTTGAAAAGGAAAGAAATTAAACCCACTTTTAAGAGTTAAATGATGAGATCAACACATTTTTTTTTTAAATTCAGCATGGAAAGACAAAGTCACCTGAATGAGACAGAAGAACTCTCAGGGTTATACATTTTGACTATAATCTGATTATTTAATTAAATTATTTTATTACCATATATAAAGAAATACAGTGTGTCTCAAAAATAGAGTTAGCCATCAATAAAAATGTAGCTAAAGTAGAGTACCAGAGGCAGAATTTGGCAGTACACATTTAAGCACTGGCCAGGTGAGAGTTAAATTAGACTGTGGATTCGAATTGTTTTCTTCCTTTGGCTAAACTATTTTGGCTATCATAGTATAAAATGTGGCTATTGACAATACTGAAAAACATAGATTTTGAGAACTGAATCAAAAGTGTAAGTTCAAAAATGGCTAGAAGAGAATAATTTGAATATTCCTAGTGTAAAGAAGAGATAAATAATTAGATAATGGATATCTCAATTACCCCGATTTAATTATATAAATGTATCACATTATCACATGTACCATGATAATACGTATAGCTATTATGTATCAATATTAATTTTTTTAAGTGTAAGACTATTCTGTGATTATGTGTTTTAATAAATGCTATCAGAGTAGACTACATATCTGTGAAATGGATATTTCTACTATTAACCATCCTGATGAGAAATTAACCCTAGGATAGGGAATTTAGACTTGAGGAATTAGGCCTTAGGCTAAGATGGGGACACTATTTGTTTGTTCTCGCTAGAACTAGGAGGAAATCTGGCTTGAACTTCAAAACTTTGGAAGTTCTACAGCAGATCTGGTAGTGAGGGGTACCTGTCCCAGGACAAATGATGACAAGCAGAGAGCCAGGCCATTAACTGACCCGGTAAGAGACCCCAGGGTGGTATGATATCATGTGATAGTTTGAAATCTCTTCCATTGTCCCTGGTCTTCAGTAAAGCCACATTAACATTTTCTAGTTGGGTGTCAGCTGCATTGAGAGGAACAAAAAAAGCCTCCTTGCTTAGAGCCAAGCAAGGCAGGGGATAAGAGCATCCCTTCCCTCGTGGCCAGGATCTGAGGTTATAGTGGCTATGGCTGGTGAGAGATAGCCTACCCCAATAGGGTGATCTCACAGCACCAAGGGTGATGGTGGCAGTGCAAGGAGACTGGTTGAAAAAAAGTCAACAGGATTTTCCTGAGCCAACATTACGAGGGACTTTGAGATGGTCTTGGAAATAAGTGGACCCTTTGAGACAGTCTCCTTTCTGTGATTGTGAGTAGCAAACAGGTTCATAAGATTAAAAAAAAAAAAAAGTGGAATTCACTCTGAATCACAGCCCACGTTCCTGCTCATCCAGTGCAAACTCCACCCATGTTAACACTTCTTCCAGGTCTGCGATGATTCTACCTTTGGATTCACATGGCTGGCTTCTTTGGATTCTTCCTGCCTCAGCTGGATGCTTATTGAACATTTCCCTGAACTCATAAACAGGTGCCCAAATCTGCATTATTTGGACACATTATTTTCATCTTATCCAGTTTTTTTTTCACCTCCATATTTCTGATTTTTTGTTTCCAAAGTGTGCAGTTTCTTTTGTACTTTTGTTGTTGATTTTACTTTTATTTTGTTTTCCTGAAAGATGTCTCTCTGGCTCACTATAGGTTACTCCAGAGACTAGCATAGAACCTGGCACCCAGCTAATAGCCATATACCCAAAGTGTTTGTTGAATGAATGAATGAATGAATGAGGCTACAGTGTAATTAGTCTGTTCTCATTAGACATCGGGCTTGCTCTTTTCTGATTCCATACTCATCTTTTCCCTTTGTTTTTATAAATTTTATTAAGATTCAACATGTATACAGAAAAGTTCACAAATACTTTTGATACCCAAGTTAGCCTAGCCTACAGAAAGAGGAAATACAGTTTTAAAAGATACAGAGTATAGTAATTTCTGCCTTGTTTATTTGCCATTACATCCATAACAACATTCTGCTTTTTAGAGATTATATGTTTGCTAGTTTAATGTAAGTTTCCTCCTGAGAAGAGAAATTGTATTCAGCTTCCTAAAAACTTTATGTTTCCAAGTCCCAGAACTGAGGGAAAGACTCTGGGCTTTGGTAAATTCATACAGTGACAGACAGCAGCCTCAGATGTGAGAAGAGCCATCAGTCTCCTTTTGTCCATGTGCCCCTGCGTGATTCATCCTGCTTTGATTCCTGATTTTGAACTTCTGTAGGAAAGACCTAATATGAATCACAGTGAACATGGGGCAACTCTACAATCAACATAGCTCATATATATAATATGATATGTCACAATTAACATAGGGCAAATCTGTAATAAACATATTTCATATAAATTAAATGATACATATATAATTAGTAGAAAAGTATAATCAGTAGGGCTGCTGTCTGGCTTCCTTCTGAAAACTATCTTAAGAACATTTTGAAAAAATAAATGACATCACTATTCAATCTGAAAAATTTCATACATGTAAGTGATTACAGAGCACTTTAATATTACCATCACCTCCTTTATCACCTGGTCCTTGTAAAAATTATTGATCGTAATTTTGACAGATTTCACCAAAGGAAAGGTACTTTCATTATGGAAACTATAAAGATAATATCTATACCTCCTGTTTTACAGATTTGCAGTTTTGGGGTATTTTTAATTCTCATTCCATCTTCCAAAGAAATTGGGGTTGATGCATTAATAGTAATCAGCTTCACAAGATACAAAGAAAAACTAAAAGCTGAGAAAATGCAGCAGTTTCTAACATTGTAATGAGAGAGTCGGTATTTTAGAACCTTAAGATGTTATACATCATAAGAGACACCTAAGGTCAGCTGAAGTCAAACCACTGTCTTGCATCCATAGATAATTAAAATGACCCCATGTTTCAAGACGTAAGTCAAGGATTTTCAGGAGTACAGTAATATTTAATGGCTAACCTTCAGGAAATTTTCTCTGCAACCTGGGAAAGGTACTGAAAAGAAGCTTATGGACCAAGAAGAGAATTTAATGGGCTCTTAACCCCTTTCAATTGAGGTACAAGATGTGGGATTAAGAAATGGAGCAACTATCTAAGTCTCTTCATTCTATTTTTTCACTCCGTTCAGAAAGAGTCCAGCTAGCAAAGCAGTCACTTGAAATTGTATGTGCATCTTCATTCTTTTGAGTACTGAACTTTCACGTTTATGAGAGTCTTATATAGGTATCTTAGACAATCTAAAATCTCGATTTTCTACCTGTAAATTAGTGTATTATAGTGATATCAAAAAGAGTGATTTTTAATGTGATAACGGTATCAGAATATCACATTGAAATAAAACACTCCTGTTGGACTGAGAGTATTATAAAACTAAAATGCTAACTTTAACTTGTAAAAGGGTTCATTTTCTGACCTTGAATATGTTTAATTGTTACAAATATGTGTTATCCTAATTAAACATGTCTCAATAATTATATGAAGAAGCTGCAAAGCTTTTAAGACTCTTACTAATCCAGCAACCTCTGGTTGCTTGTTTCTAATTTGTTCATTTTAATATACCAATTATGTGAATTAGAGCAAATAAACATATTGTGAAAAATCTCTCTTCTGAGACTCTGACCCTCAAATGTTTTGAATCAGATAGAACAATCCTTGTTCTAGCTCAATTATTTAGCTTCTAGAGTAGATTAAAGGATTAAAAAGCTAATTTATTTAATTGTAAATGAGTAACTTATCTTGAGGTTTCACAATTTTCATTGTGAATTTTCAAGTGCTAAATATTGTTTTGATCAAATACAAAGAGGAATAAAATCAGATAAATGCATAATGAATTATTCTATCAATTTTAATGAAAACTTCATGAAGAACCATATTACATTAAAGCTGAAAGAGAAATAGTAAGACTGTTTTGTTTGTACCGTTTCTTTATGGCAGGCAATAATGACCCTATCAATTTCATAGCAGAGTTGAGGGGAACATAGTGTATTGTATTTCTTTAGAGTAATGAACCTTCGACATATAGGCTTTTTACTTCTTTGTTGTTATTTGTTTACATATACTGCATATTTATTTCTCCCTGTTTAGTTATAACCCTCTTTTCAGGGTCATATTTTTCAATGGGGATATGAGGATGGATTTGTTTTAAAGTTTGGATAACAGAATATATCCAGAGTTGCTCTATCTTCCTGCTTTCCAGCTCACCTAGCAGATAATGATCATTCTGTCCACTTAGTAGATTTAATAGCACACACACCCTTCTGCCTAGTGCCCATTAAAATATAAGGCTGGCACAATTCTCTCCCCTGTAGAGTCACCCAGAATGAGAAAATTAAAGCTTCCTGGGTAGAAAAACCTCTCTTAGCCCAATAACTGAAATCAGTATTGATGGGAAGCTGATTCTGTCGTTGTAGTTGGTTTTCCTTCTTCTAAATAGGAAAACATACTATTCCAATGAAAAATTTGAAAAAACAATAGTCACTCCCAACACCACTAACTGCAGCATCTGCTATACCTATTTTCATATAATTTTTACTCCCTTTAGCTTTTTCTAAACATGAGGGGTTTTTTTTGTACCTAGCTAGTTCGCTTTTTTCAATATTACAATAAGAATTTTCTGACATAATAACATACTTTATGATTGTAGGGTTATACAACAGTCTACTGTATATGACAATGTCATAAATTTTGCTAATTATTCCAATGTTGTGCAATGAGATTATTTCTAGTTATTTGTGGCTACATATAGCATTGCTCTGGATATTAATCAGAATTGCTAGCTTGTATTTCTTAATTTATGTAAAGGTTTATTCATAGCCATAGGTATTTTACCATTGGGGTATTTTTTATTTATTTGTAAGAGTGCCTCATGTAATAATAAAAATTTTATGTAATATATGTTGGAACATGTTATTTACTGTATACTCTTTCCCTTTTATTTTGCTTTTCATGGTTTTGAATGTATGCACTCTGGTTTTATACCTTTGATACCCAAATGTAAGAAAAATATTCATTTTTAAAAAAATTTCTGTGGCCAGGTGCGGTGGCTCACGCCTGTAATTCCAGCATTTTGGGAGACCAAGGTGGATGGATCACTTGAGGTCAGGAGATGGAGACCAGCCCGGCCAACATGGTGCAACCCTGTTTCCACTAAAAACACAAAAATTAGCTGGGCATAGTGGCGAGTGCCTGTAATACCAGCTAGTCAGGAGGCTGAGGCAGGAGAATTGCTTGAACTTTGGGGGCAGAGGTTGCAGTGAGCCGAGATCACGCCACTGCACTCCAGACCAGGCAACAGGGTGAGGCTCCATCTCAAAAAAAAAAAAAAAATTATACTGTGACTTTTCTTTAAACTTGAGCCCTTAAAATCATTGGAATGTGTTTCTGTACATATGTGAAAATTTGATTGTTCCATTTTCATTTATTTCTCTCCTTTTTCAATAAACGTGGTGTCATTTTCCTCTTTCTCTACCTCTTGCCTTCCTGAACAATTCAGTTCTAAAGACATTAATAGGGTCAAGAAAGGAAGGCATCTGTTGTGTATGGAGTCAGGGTATGAGACAGAAGCCCCAGGGGCTCAAGGAGGATACATGTGTAGATGGGCTTTCCAGTGTAGAGTGGCAAAACCTTAGCAGGACAAGGAGCCCATCTCTGCCGAAAGACAGCCTGGTATGGGCTGGCAGAAAGCTAGTGGGGTAAGGCAAGTGGCTGTGTAGGTAAGGTGCCTGTCATGAAGTGTTGGAGCCCAGGTCAAGTAAAGACTTTCTCACGGTGGAATATCCTCATGCCGGTGTCAGCGCACAGGTGAGGTGAGAGGGTGGAAGCCAAGGCCAGAGTGTTAGAACCCTGGTGGGTGAAGAGGGATATGCAGAGAAAGAGATGATAGCAGCAGTGGGAGACTGGCTACGTAAAGGGGGATAAATCACATTAGTAAATTAAGAATAATGGGGGTCAGTTATGGCATTATTGGAAAAGAGAGTTACAAATACAAAAAGGGAGGAGCTAGTATGAATTCTGCAGTAATGGGTTGGCTTGAGGCATCCGTATGAACTCATAGTTTTCAGATAGATAGATAGATAGATAGATAGATAGATAGATAGATAGACAGACAGACAGAGATGTAGATGATGTGTGTGAATGTTCACATAAAAATCTCTATAGCTCTTTCCGCTGAGAGAAAGACACTGAGAACAACAATAATGCAACAGTAATGAGTAGACCTAGCAGCCAGGCCTTGATTCTACTAAAAGGAGCCAGAATACCTTAGAGAAAAAGCTGATTCCATGGCCTAGGCAAGTAAAGTACAAGATAAACCCATATTGTGTTGGAAAGTAAAGAGGTACACAAAGAATGATAAGAACACATCAAAGAACACAGAATCCAGATTGAAGGGGCTTCTACTGTCCAAATGTGGGACAATGTGGGCCTTAAAATATAGAAACAAATTCAACCTAAATGCCCATCAATGACAGATTGGATAAATAAAATGTGGTACATATACACCATGGAATACTATGGAGCCATTAAAAAGAACTAGATCATGTCTTTTGATCTAGGAATATGGATGGAGCTGGAAACTATTATCTTTAGCAAACTAATGCAGGAACAGAAAACCAAATATTGCATGTTTTCACTTATAAGTGGGAGCTAAAAGATGAGAACACATGGACACATAGAGAGGAACAACACACTGGGGTCTACTTGAGTGTGAAGGGTGGAAGGAGGGAGAGGAACACAAAAAATAACTAATAGGCACTAGGCTTAATACCTGGGTGCCAAAATAATCTGTCCAACAAACCCACATGACACAAGTTTACTTCTACAACAAACCTGCCCATGTACCCCTGAACTAAAAGGTTAAAAAAGATGAAGTGGGCTGGGCCCAGTGGCTCATGCCTGTAGTCCCAGCACTTTGGGAGTCCAAGGTGGGTGGATCACGAGGTCAGGAGTTCGAGACCAGCCTGCCCAACATGGTGAAACCCCATCTCTACTAAAAATACAAAAAAAAAATTTAGCGGGGTGTAGTAGTGGGCGCCTGTAATCCTAGCTGCTTGGGAGGCTGAGGCAGGAGAATTGCTGGAGCCCGGGAGGTGGAGGTTGCAGTGAGACGATCGTGCCATTGCACTCCAGCCTGGCAACAGAGCAAGACTCCGTCAAAAAAAAAAGAAGAAAAAAAAAAAGATGAAGTGATAGTAATTCATCACCAATTTTCTGATTTTGTTTGCTTTCAGAAATATTCTGACAATAATTGTATACCTTTTTTTTGAAAGAAATCTCATGACCTATTCCACTGGCTAGAACTGTTAGAAGATTTTTCCCCCTTCAATATTCATAAAAATACCATATATTCTTATATTATTTTATGTCTTTCATGGGAATGTCTCTGATGTTTTCAACTTTGACACTAACTCCAGTGTTGATGTTATCCCAAAAACATACCTTCTCATATCAGGGATAATGCTTTTTCCTCTCATAAAAAGGTCCAACTAATTTTCTGTATTTATTAAGATTAATATATAGTTTTTTTTTTTTGCTTTGACCTACTAGATGCAGCTAGGTATATTAACATATTTGCTTATAGTAAATAATTCATGTATCCCTGGATGAAATCTTAACTTGGCTGCAGGTTATTAATAGTTAAATATACTGCTAAATTAGATTTGCTAATATGTATTTACAATTTTTCATTTGTATGTGAGAAATTTATCTGTATGTTTTCATTATGTGCTTAATATTTTAGTATAACACCATCAAAATAAAAGTTACAACACTGCACAGTTTTCTGTGTGCTACAAGAAAAATTAACATATCTGTCATCAATTTTCTTTTCTGTTTTCCAAATGATTAGTTTATAGCTTTGTTTCTAACCACCCTTTTCTCTGCATACCTTAGATTAAGTGCCAGCAAACCTTTTCTGTAAAGGGCTGTATATAGTGAAAGGCTGTATGGCTTCACGAGACAAGTGGCCTTTGTCACAACTACTCTGTCCTTCTCACTCTGTGCTGCTATAACAAAATAACTGAGACTGCATAATTTATAAAAATATATTTATCATAGTTTTGAAGGCTGAGAAGTCCAAGATCAAGGCACCAGCATTTGGTCTGGTGAGGGCCTTCTTGCTGTGTTTGCACATGGCGGAAGGCAGAGGGGCAAGCTAGCAAAATTAGTAAATGCTGCATAAAGCCTTCTTCATAAAGCCTTTAATCTGATTCATGAGAGATGAGTACCCATGGCCTCATCACCTCTTAAAAGCCCCACTTCTTTCTTTTTTTTTTTTGAGACGGAGTCTTGCTCTGTCACCCAAGCTGGAGTGCCGTGGTGGGATCTTGGCTCACTGCAACCTCCGCCTCCCAGGTTCAAGCTATTCTCCTACCTCAGCCTCCTGAGTAGCTGGGATTACAGGCGTGTGCCACCATGCAGGGCTAATTTTTGTATTTTTAGTAGAGATGGGGTTTCACCATGTTGGCCAGCTGGTCTTGAACTGCTGAACTTGTGATCTGCCCACCTCAGCCTCCTAAAGTGGTGGGATTACAGGCATGAGCCACCAAGCCCAGCAGGCCCCACCTCTTAATACTATCACTGTTATCACTGTTAACGCCTGAATTTTGGAGGGAACAAATTTAAACCGTAGCACTGCCCTGAGCCATAGATGATTTATAAAAGAATAGGTATGGCTATGTTTCAATAAAATCCTATTTACCAAAATAGATAGTGGGCTGAATTTGGCCCCTAGAGTACAGTTTATCAGCTCCTGCTTTATTCTAGGTACTTTTTAAACAAATTATTGAATACAATTTGAAATTTTAATTTTCACTTTTTTTTTTTTTTAACATTTATAGTATATAGAGACATTTGCTTTCCTCTGAGTCCAACTTTGGAAGTCTCATAAATTTTGACATTCAGTGTTCTTACTACTGACATTTTTCTACATATTATATCATTTACATTTATGTTCTTCTTGGTCTAAAAAGTATTTAGGGAAGTTGTTAGGTGCACTTTTAAATGTTGGAAAATAAAGAAAGGCTTTGAAATTAGAGACATAAATAAAAATAATTAAAAGAACACAATTAAGTGGCATTTTGGTACTGGCAATGACATGCCATTCAGTGCAGGAGTGACAGGCTCAGGAGTATGATCCATTGTCCTGTGCTGCCACGGCTGTTACTATTTGAATGCATCATGGCCAGAAAGAATCACAGTATAGGGATTAATAACCACAATTAGAAAAGTAAAGAATGATGTTAGTGTGCAGTGTGATAACCACAGAGAACAGCTTTAGAATAAGAAGTTGAAAGACTATGAAATAAAATATTGGTATAAAAATAGAAAGGAAAGTCATAGCATGATTCTGCAAAAGTTTGGCTATGGTTAAGTTACAGAGAGTTATGCATTTCATTATTATTTTCCTCTTATATTGCATTATGTTGAGAGAATATATTCTCTACAATGGTTGCATTTTTCAAGGTATTGGAGCTCCCATTGTTCCAAGAGTTCTATGAGTGTTGGGAAATAAATGCTAAATCTCTGCAGGATACTGGTTTATTTATGAATGTATTCGTTGTGTTCCTAATCTTTCCAGGACTATAAAAAATGTATTCATCTTCCATTGGTGTGGTTTTTTCAACTTCTGGATTCTATCAACTATATACGTTAATTGTTTCACGTATTTTGATGTTAGCATTTCATGTAAGGAATTCGGGTTTTTATATTTTCTTTGAATATCCAGCCCTTCATCGACAATAAATACAGTATTGTTGATGAATTTAATTTGCTTAACATTGCATCTATTTTACCTGTCATTAATGTTGCCACCCATACTTCCTTTTTATTTAAATGAATGTTGCCTAGCCTTTGGTCTTAACCTTTGTGAATATTTTTTCAATGGTGTATAATGTGATTTTGTTTTTATATGGTGTTTTATAATTTTTTCTTTTAGTAAGTGATTATTTGTCCATTTTCATAAGGATCTAAGAGTGAGTTAAACACTAGCACTCATGTAACCATATTGTGTTGAAGTTAATCAATAGTCTATTAGTCTGTAATAAACTCATAATGGTTTATGTGCTTATTCTAAACTCCTGAGTGGAATTTTTTACATAAAATTCTTATCATTGGATTTTGATTAATCAGTCTCAGCAAGACTTACAGGCAGAAGCCTAATGCCAGTTTTTAGTCTTATCCTTTGAATTATCCTTAGCATCTTCTCTGGATAGATAATTAATAAACAAGAGCAATGAATATGACTTGGTCTAGAAGCTTGAAAATGCTGCTCTCCATAGAATCCAGTAATTTACATATGTCCTACTACTAAGAGCATGCAATAGGACAAGAGCAAATCAGATGGTAAAGAAAAGCAAGTGATTTTCTTGATGATATACTTCAAAAACATAAATTATCAAGACCCTAGGAGGCACAAGCATGGATGAGAAAAAATAAATTTAGTTTTTTTCTCTTTCAAGTCAAACCAAAAAACTGTTAGCCTCTTCCCCTTTGTAGTACATCTTTTCACTTACTCAATTACTGTCTATGACAATGATCCAGACTCAGCCACCCTCTGGGGACCGTTCTTCTGATTGAAAATGCACACAGCAATCCCTAAGAATGTTAGCTGTTACAAGCTTTATGATAAGAATGAAGGTGGTTGCTGGTTGTAAACTCTGTGGACACATCATCGGTTTAGTGACTCTATTTTCAAATTTTGTTCTAGCTGAATTATGGGGACTGAAGTTGTTCTGTCTCTGCCAGTCCATATTCCCCTAACCTTTCTGAACATGAAGATGTCTAGCTCCCACATTACAATCTCAAGAGACTATGTTGTTTCCCTAAGTGTGTACCTTCTTCTTATTAGAGCTCAAAAGAAAAGAAAAAGAAAATGAGCAGAAAGAGTAATTCATAGCTATAGCCACAATTCAAAACAGAATACTTGAAGGTTGTAGATTTACTATGTTCCTTTATGACTTTCTTCCATCCGGCTATTTCCATCATAAAAAAAAAAAAAGCTCCCAGATGCATGAACTGAATGTCACTAAGGTGCACTATCTCAGGTGCTATAGCACTGAAGAGCTGTGGAATTCCTGGAGAGACAGGCTTTCAACAAAGGAATTGCGTTAGGGGAAGCAGAAAGCTATAAAGCCTGTTTTCCCTTTTGGAAAGGTCATTACAGTGAACTTTCCTCCTTTATGGTAGGAAGCAGCAATCAAAAAGAAGATTCCCAGACACTAACATGACAACTCTGTTGCCATCATTAGCTTCCCTAGATAGTCTGGGGTTCTAGGGGAGGATGATCCACAAGTTCAATATATGTTGTACATAAACAGCAATGCCAGAGCAGTTTCAATTTTTTTTCAGGCAATTAAACTTTATGCCAAGCTAATTCAATTTTGCTGCTGTTTTATTAAGTCCTATGGAAAAAGAAAAGAAATCTGTTCTCTTTGGTAAATCATAAGTTTCACAACACATTTCTTCAAATAAGCTCCTTGTTCTGCTATTTTGATATATTAAATATCTAGCAACAAATTTCTGGGATCATAAATCTACAATGATAAAATTAATCCTATCGCCGAAAACAAATAAATATTTTATTGAAGTTTTATGAGGTTTATGTTCCCTCTTCACTTGCAAGTAGATGTTGTTTAGTGGTACAAAGACATTTTGCTTCTGTAAAATGTATTAGAAACAATATGGCAGTAATAGAATTCATATCTACAGAACTGTTGTGCACCCTTTAGATTGAAAATTTAAAAACATCTCCCTCTAAAAAAAATCGTATAAAGAATAATGTGTCAACAAAACTATCCAGTCATTATAGTCAACTCAATTTGTATCCTAAAATCTTTTATATTTCAATTTCAGGCACTAATTCTATCATGTGTCACTTCTTTTTGTTTGTTTTTGTTTTGTTTTTGGTATTAAGAAGAAATGTGAGTTGTAGGAGGGCAGAAAGTGTAAAAAAACTAAATACTCATTAAAATGTAATTCTTTTAATTTTCATGAGTGCACATACTCTGGAGGTTACAAAAGAAGTTATATGTGGCAAATTCAATGAAAACAGGATTGCAAGGATTGGGGGAAGGAAAGCTCAGAGACAAAGTGGCCCTCTAACATCTGTAGAAACTTTAATTTTGTTGACCTACCTTCAGAAAACATTTCACAAAACATAAAAAATGCGTCTAGGAAGACCAAGTAGTTTATTCCCTCACACACGGGAGAAGAGGAAACTGAGGCTTACAGAGCTTGATTACTTACCTTGAAAATATTTTCTGCCACAACTCAGACCACACCTAGGCAATCTGACTGCCAATGCCCTAAATCTAGTACCTTTTTTATTATAACAGATAAATTGCGAAAGATTATACCAACTTTTTTAGAATTTAGATCAGACAAAACTCCACAGAAGTGTTTTTCAATATAATCTACTCATTATGCACCTTGGCCTTTGGTCATTTCTCCAATACAGTCTTGCTTGGGATACTGCTTAAGGTTTTCCTGGGTTCACGCCCTTGCATACCATGCACATTCTCGTCTTCAATGAATCCCCATCTTCCCTAGGCTGAAATTCCCCGGGCAGGGAGGCACACTCAGAGATGGGACTATTCACAACCACTTTTATATTTTGCAGGAAGTAACACATATGTGTCAACTGCACTTACATTCTGGCAAATTGTGAAGAACACTAAAATACTTTGCTACAATCTGGCAAATTGTGAAAAGTACCAAAATAGTTTGTAAAGCATGGGCCAATGAGAGATATTAGTACAATAATAAATAAAGGGAAAACTGTGATCTACTCTCAGCGAAAACAACAGAGACCTGATTAATCCTTCCTACCTGAAACACAAAGGAAGGAAGGAAAGAAGGAAGGGAAGGGAAGGGGAGGGGAGGGGAGCGAAGCAGGGAAGGGAGGAGAAGGGAAGGAAGTAAGGGAGGGAGGGAGGGGAAAGGAGAGGAGGGAGGGAGGAGGGGGAGGGCAGAGGCAGAGGAGAGGGAGGGGAAGGAGGGGAAGGAAGGAAGGGAGACAGGGAGGGAAGCGAGGGAGAGGAAGGAGAGAGAGATAAAAGGTTTTTCAAACAGTGGATATGAAACAATGAAGGAACCTGATTCTTCAGGATGGGAAAGGATCAAAGTGAGCCCTTCATTTGCTCCAGCAGAGTTTCAAGGAAAAAATATTGGAGAGGAGACAGCTATGTAGAAAGAGAACTTCTTAATAAGAACTCTAATTTATAATGAGCTGATACATTGTCACCCAGCTAACCACTGCATTCTGTAGCCTCTTTCTCAGCCAGCTGTGACTTTGGGGCTGTTTTGGCCAATGAGACTTATGAATATGCTCTATGTGGAAGTGAACAGAAAAGGTATGCCTTTTTCCTACTGGTAGGAACGCAGTGTGATTGCTCACCTTTGAGCTGTATTGGACAATGAGGCATATGTGCAAAGCCATAGGCATCGGACCTTTGTGTCTTCTCACCACACCAATAATTGGTTGAGACATTCATAGTCCTGTTTGGGTCTCAGTCATTGGTCCACACAGGTTACCAATCTCATATACGTGCCCCATTCAGGTCTAGCAGCAATCTTCCTTTGCACACACCTTTGACTTGCTTCTTTGGGCACATGGAGATTACTTGGTTCCTCCTATAATATACTGTTGGGATATGGGAAATTCTGTGGGGCAGTGGAAGGCGTACATGAAACCCAGAGCACTTTTATTCTTGGGATTTGCTATATCTCTTGCATCTACCCAGCCACTGGAGCACAAATTTTTCTGTAAGATCCCACAAACCTATTTGAAAATATGCTGCAAGAATCAGTCCATGAGGATGACAAACTACTGCTGATGTTTTCTGTACTTCTATTTTACTTAAAGTGAGAAACAACAAAGTTTTTTTCTTGCTAAAGCAGTGATCTCCAACCTTTTTGGCACCAGGGACTGGTTTCATGGAGGACAGTCTTCTCACAAACAGGGGGTGGCAGGGATGGTTTCGGGATGAAACCATTTCATCTCAGATCATCAGGCATTAGTTATATTCTCTTAAGGAGCATGCAACCTAAATCCCTCACATGTGTAGTTCACAATAGGGTTAGCACTCCTATGAGAATCTAATGCTGCCACTGATCCGATAGGAGGTGAAGCTCAGGTGGTAATACTCCCTCACCACTTACCTCCCGCTCTGTGGCCTGGTTTCTAACAGGCCACAGACCAGTACTGGTACACAGCCCGAGGGTTGGAGGACTCCTGTGCTAAAGTATTCACCAAAACATTTTGTTTATACCTTAAGTCCTTCCTATTTCAATAAGGATTCAGGTTTTTGGAAAATCAAAAGTCAGCAAGAGACAAACCCCAGCACCAGTTTCTGTTTTTAAATCCCTTCCTTGATATTGACTGACCAGGAAAAGGTTGATTGCATTTAAAACAAAGTTGGAAATTTCAGGATAAACTAATCAATATAGACATAAAAATATTATCCTGGCACAGTAGATCTGATGAACTTCACTTTCCTCCTGGCTTAAAGCTAATAAATGCCCTGATCTGGGGAAGGTATGATTAAAAGTTTTAGAAGCTTTCTCATTTAATTTATTACATGTTTTTAGAAAACACTCTTTTGCTTTCTAACAAAAACAATTTATAATGAGTTCTTAGCTTCTTTTACAGTGAAAAGTTGCCCTTTTTGCTCTGGTGGTGCTAGTTTTCAGACATAATCCAAAATGTGGCATGAAGCAATCAACTGGAGCTCACATAGAAAGCAAAGAATGGCAATGCTCACCCAAAGCCTGTGCAGACTGTCAAACCACAACATTCTGTAAATGCACAAAGATAAACATGGCATGTCAAAGACATTTAGGGAGCTTTGGACTCTTTCATACAGGAATGGAAACCCTGAAAAGAGCTAAGGAAATACAGGTCCCACAAGTCACTGTTTTAAAAGAAAACCGATGAAAGTAAAGTAGCTCATTTCTTTCTTCTTCTTCTTCTTCTTTTTTTTTTTTTTTTTTTTTTTGAGACAGAGTCTTGCTCTGTCACCCAGACTGGAGTACAGTGGTGCACTGTCGGCTCACTGCAAGCTCCGCCTCCCGGGTTCATGCCATGCTCCTGCCTCAGCCTCCCTAGTAGCTGAGACCACAGGCACCCGCCACCATGCCCTATTCTTTTTTTTTTAATAAATTATATTGTGATTTTACAGAGTAAAAGGAGCCAGCTGGACTTTTGCTAGCAGCTACCCTCAGCCCACCTTACCGTCCTATGATCTCTGTCTTCCAGATAAAAAGACCATGTGATTTACTGAATAATTTTAAGGTAATGACAGGATAATATTTTGAGATGTTAACTGACTTTCCTTTGTCCAAGTTTCCTTATGTTCATTGCCTCCCTACTCCCAACAGCTGGGCAGTAGTAATAGATTTCTAGGTCTCATCCTAGCTGGGAATAAATAGCCACATTTTTCAATCTAATTGTTGAAAACTTACTAAAAAGATAATTTACTAAAGGCAAAAACTTTTGCTATTTGTAAATGTGTGATTTTGATAAATTCATTATGGATTCTAATATCCAGAGCTTATAGTCCTAACGTATAGTATTAAAAACAACAATGACCAAGGAGATTATGGGGGTTACAGGGTGATAATATGAGGGTTGTTTTCCCACCATAGAGCCAGGCAGGAGAAACATTTGCTGGACTGTAGAAATGAGTTTGGAGAAGATTGTGAAACAGGGCCAGAAATTAAGAGATTGGCTTGGATCTCTGTTCTCTGTTTACCTCCATGTCTGCCACCTGCCAACACTGTGGTTCAAACCTCAATTAAGGATGGGACAAAGAAAGTAGAAAATGCTATGTCTAAATTCCCATCTGGAACTTTTGGAAGAGACAGCCTCCTAACACGAGGTGATCACAATAGATTACAAATGGTGATGTATTCTCTATGATAACTTTTTAAAAAACTGAAAAGCAGTTAAAGATGGAAAAAATATTTAAGGATGCTATAAATTGTAGTACATTTACACAAAAGAATACTAGGCCAGAAGAACTTCTAATTTAAAATATCTAGAAGTTCTTCTAAGGTCATACAGAAAATGGAGAAGTGTTTATCAAGGAAATCTGCTAAGTCATGGTAAGCACAGCAAAAGTCAATAATATTTGAGCCATAATTTGTTCTCTCCTTCTTTCTCAGCTCACAGTGATGGAAGCTCTACTCCAGGCATGTGTAGCCAAGAAGATAGGGTTCTCTTTCACTCCAGGTACCAATGTAGGTTATGATATTCCTCTAGGAAAAGCAGGCCACTAATATTTCTCATCCTCACTTACCTCAATTTTGCAAAAGCTCTATGCAAGGAAAAACCAGTGGAGACATTGAGGGTTCCATTTTTTTTTTTTAAGCCCGCTCCCAGTTGTAGGGAAGAAGCTCTATGCCAGATATGATAGGCCAAGAATAGTGGTTTCTTTTTTTTCTTTTTCTTTTCTTTTCTTTTTTTTTAAATGGAGTCTCGCTCTTGTCGCCCAGGCTGGAGTGCAGTGGTGTGATTTCGGTTCACTGCAACCTCTGCCTCCCAGATTCAAGCGATTCTCCTGCCTCAGCCTCCTGAGTAGCTGGGATTACAGGCACCCGCCACCATGCCCAACTAATTTTTTTTGTATTTTTAGTAGAGATGGGGTTTCACTATGTTGGCCAGGCTAGTCCTGAACTCTTGACCTTGTGATCTGCCCGCCTCGGCCTCCCAAAGTGATGGGATTACAGGCATGAGCCACCATGCCCAGCCAAGAATAGTGGTTTCTAATCACACTTTCCCCATATCTTGTGTATGCCAAAGGTTCTACTACAGAAGAAAAATGAGATACCAGAGGCTACTACCTTTGTCTAGTGCCCTACTCATCAAACAGGCATACCATAAGAGAAGCAGTCTGCTGTTTTTATATCCACACATTGGAGCAGTGGCATCTATGTTATGCCCAGGGAGGGGAGAAAGGTCATAAGAATAAAGAGCTCCACAGTTTTCCCCAAGAGAACTACTTTACATGGGACAGAGTATGGGGAAGTTCAAATCTGATAGCATTGTCAAAAACAATGGCTATTTGGTGGTGAGCAATTAAGGCTTGCAACTCTGTATAATCAATAAGAGCAAAAACAAAATAGCTAGAAGTTTAGCAGAAATAAACAAGGAAAAAACAACTAAGAAGAGACATCCTGGGGTTGAAAGAAGCCTCATTCTGGCCTCAAAGACTATCCCTTCAAACAAGTTCAACTTGAATTGCATCAAATTGCAGACTAATTTATTTACCAGAGCGTTGTAAAGAATACTAAAGCAATCAGCTATAAATTAGTGGATGCTAAATTGTCAGTCTGATATCAATACAGTCAGATCAGCCAGTAGCTTGACACGGAGTTCAGTCAAAGAGAGCCTGGAAAAAAATCTTTCATCCCAGTGGGGAAGGGGAAGTCAGAATGAATGTGTGTACGCCCAAGGCTCCATTCTCTGATAAAACAGCATCAGAGAGTGCACACTTGGGGTAAATAGTCTTTGCTAACCTAGTTCAGTGAAGTCACTAAAGAAAGAAACAAATTAGCAAACAATAATGACCACCCCAATGGTGGAGTAACAGTATCAGAGTTGTGAAAATGTTATCATAATATCCAGTTTTTGACTAAAAAATTATGAATTATGAGACAAGCAAATAAAAAGATGTAACCTTATTTAGGCTTTAAAAAAGCAGACAAAACAGAGTTTCAAAATAGCTCTCTCTTTGAGAGAGCTTCAATGTTGGACTTAGCAGACAAAGACTTCAAGGCAGCTATTATATACCTGTATATTTCTTCTGCTAACTGGATTTAAAAAATAATTGTGTAAAATTATATTTGTGTATTTGTATTGTTGTATCTATAACAGATAGAAATGTAATATATTTTTACAAAGGAGGTGGATGGTAGGACACTTGTATTGGAATATCAAAATGACATCATATAGTAACTTAAATTCACAAGAAGAAACAAAGAGGCAAAAATGTTAAATAAGAAAGCTAATATTAGCAATTCCATAAATATGTACTTGTTTTTATTCTTTCAGCTTCAAGACATAAAATTATATGAGATGATAATCATAGCAATATATTACTGTGACATATATTGATATAGTATGTATACCAATAATATTATGAAGCAAGGAAGAAAAGAATAAGCTATAGAGGAGTATAATTTCTACATCATACTTCCTGATGGAATTAAGCTAGTATAAATTTGAAGTAGATCTGAATAAATTAAAATGCATATTGTAAGCCTAGAAAAAACATTAAGAAAATAACAAAAAAAATAAAATTTAATAATTAAAATGTTATGCTAAAAATTATTCAGTTACTGTAACAAAAGAGTAACGGGGGAATAGAAGATGAAAAGAGGGATCTGGCAAGATGGCTAAGTAGGAACAGCTCCAGTCTGCAGCTCCCAGCGAGACCAATGCAGAAGGCAGGTGATTTCTGCATTCCAACTGAGGTACCAGGTTCATCTCATTGGGACTAGTTAGACAGTGGGTGCAGCCCAAGGAGGGCGAGCAGAAGCAGGATGGGGCGTTGCCTCACCCAGGAAGTGCAAGGGGCTGGGAACCTCCTTCCCCTACCCAAGGGAAGCCATGAGGGACTGTGCTATCCAGCCCAGATACTACACTTTTCCCATGGTTTTTGCAACCTGCAGATCAGGAGATTCCCTCAGGTGCCTACACCACCAGGACCCTGGGTTTCAAGCACAAAACTGGGCAGCTTTTTGGGCAGACACCAAGCTAGCTGCAAAAGTTTTTTTTTCGTACCCCAGTGGTGCCTGGAACCCCAGCGAGACAGAACTGTTCGCTCCCATGGAAAGGAGACTGAAGCCAGGAAGCCAAGTGGTCTCACTCAGCAGTTCCCACTCCCACAGAACCAAGCAAGCTAAGAATTTCACTGGCTTGAAATTCTGGCTGCCAGCACAGTAGTCTGAAGTTGACCTGAGGATGATCGAGCTTAGTGGGGGGATGGGCGTCCACCATTACTGAGGCTTGAGTAGGCAGTTTTCCCCTCACGGTGTTAAGTAAGCCACAGCAAGTGGGGACTGGGCGGAACTCACCGCAGTGTGCTAAAGCGACTGTGGCCAGACTGCCTCTCTAGATTCCCCCTTCCTGGGCAGGGCATCTCTGAAAGAAAGGCAGCAGCTCCAGTCAGGGGCTTATAGATAAAACTCCCATCTCCATGGGACGGAGCATCTCAGGGAAGCGGCGGCTGTGGGCGCAGCTTCAGCAGACTTAAATGTTTCTGCCTGCCGGCTCTGAAGAGAGCAGCGGATCTACCAACATAGTGCTTGAGCTCAGCTAAGGGACAGACTGCTTCCCTAAGTGGTTCCTTGACCCCCATGCCTCCTGACTGGGAGACACCTCCCAGCAGGGGTTGACGGACCCCTCATACAAGAGAGCTCTGGCTGGCATCAGGCAGTCGCCCCTCTGGGATGAAGCTTCCAGAGGAAGGAGCAGGCAGCAATCTTTGCTGTTCTGCACCCTCCGCTGGTGATACCCAGGCAAACGGTCTGATGTGGACCTCCAGCAAACTGCAGCAGACCTGCAGAAGAGGGGCCTGATTGTTAGAAGGAAAAGTAACAAACAGAAAGCAATAAGATCAACATCAACAAAAAGGACGCCCACATAAAAACCCCATCCAAAAGCCATCAGCATCAAAGATCAAAGGTTGATAAATCCACGAAGATGAGGAGAAAACAGCACAAAAATGCTGAACATTCCAAAAACCAGAATGCCTCTTCTCCTCCTGATGATCGCAACTCCTCTCCAGCAAGGGCACAAAACTGGATGAAGAGTGAGCTTGACAAATTGACAGAAGTAGGCTTCAGAAGGTGGGTAATAACGAACCACTCTGAGTTAAAGGACCATGTTCTAACCCAGCGTAAGGAAGCTAAGGACCTTGATAAAAGGTTACAGAAACTGCTAACTAGAATAACCAGTTTAGTTAGTTTCGTTTCTTTTATCCTAAAAGAAAAGAAAGATGTAAAATCAATAAACTAACCTTTTACCCTAAGGCACTGTGAAAGGAAGAGCAAATTAATATTAAAGCAAGTAGAAAGAGAAAAATAATAAAGATTAAAATGAAGATACAATTGATAAGAGAAAAAACTCAATGAAACAAACAACTGGTTACTTGAAAAGATCAACAAAATTGACAAAGTTTTATCTAGATTGTCCAAGGAAAAAAGAGTGAAGACTCAAATTACTAAGAATTAGGAATAGAAGAGGGGACATCACTCTCAATCTTATGGAAATAAAACAATTAAAATGTAATAATATAAATAATAGTATGCCAACACGTTAGATTATTTAGAATAAACAAATTTCTAAAAAATGATGCAAACTACCAAAACCAACGCAAGAAAATACAGAACATCTGAATAGATACAGCCACTAAAGAGAGTCAATTCATAGTCAAAAGCTTCCCACAAAGAAAAGCCCAGGAAAAAATGGCTTTATTGATAAATTCTGCCAAACATTTAATGAAAAACTAATACCAGTCCTTTATAAACTCTTTGTAAATAAGTGGAAGAGGAGAGAAAACTTTCCAACACATTGTATTAGGCCAGTGTTGCCCAGATACCAATTTGAGCAAGGACAGCACAAGGAAATGAAACTGTGGACCAAGATCTCTTTCAAATAGAGCCATAAAAACACTCAGTGAAACAGTAGTACATCAAATCAAGCAAGATATTGAAAAATATACACGGTGACCAAATGGGATTTGTCCTCACCCCAGAGTGGGCAAAACTGAACAATTTGATTGCTATTTTAGCAACATCCTGAATCATGTAAGTAACATATTAACAGGCTCTGAAGATTAAGGTGTGTACATCTTTGAGAGGCCATTATTCTACCATATTATATTACCCCAGTTATTATTTACTTTTCTTGTTTTTAGTTTAAGGTTCTAGATGGCTATTTAATTTTTATTCTTTATTTCTTAACTATGATACCCCTATGTATTCTCTACTCTTGACATTACTATCGCATCTTTAGTTACTCCTTAATATAAGTGCAATAGTTGGCTAAAACGTGCCGAGGTGTGGCTAAAATATGAACTCAAACTGACTACTTAATTTTATTTACTTTCTTTTAGTTGATGGTTTAGCTTTCTGTGATACCAATACCTTAAAATAAGTCAATTAACTGGGTAATTGGTCTCAACTGCTCAGAAACTATTTAGATGACAAACACACCTAGTCAGAAATTAACATTCACTATTATATCATAGCTAGAAAATTAGATTCTTGTATCCACAGACACAACACTCAAAAACCTCACATAGGAAATAACATTTTAAACAAAAAAAATCATAGAAATGTATTTTGGAAAACAGCAAGGAAACAGTGGTGTATATGAAGAGGCTATGTCACTATTGGGCACATTACTTAGACTCAACCACAAGCCCTTTAGCTGTCAATCCATTTGATTATATTATTATATTAATGCTACAAATTTCATGATGTGGTTTCAGAACATTCTTCATTAGTGGGGCCAAAACTATACTACAGCATTTAATAAACTCATTGGATTATGTTGTCTGAAAACAGATCACTGCATGGCTACAAACAGCTTTGTCTGATTTGTTTTGCAAGCTTCTATTGATACCTATTGAGGTATCCTATTGAGTATCATATAGGTATCAATAGGATCTTGCGAAGATCCTGTTTTGTTTTGCAAGATCCTATTGATTGTTAACCACGAAGTGGACAAGAATGTGCCTTCAGGATCATGCCTGATATCACCCATCCCATTTTGACTCATTGTTTTCCCTTTTTGGGAAAAGAGATCTTCAGGTGAATTTAAGAAATTAAGAGAAAAAGAGAAAAGAAAAAGAGAAGAGAAAAAATGAGCCCTGATTTGAATTTAAAAACTCCATTTTACTTCTATTCCTAAGGCTTTTTATTTTAAATTTTATATAAGGCACAAGAGTAGAGAGAATACTACATGCTACGGTCCAGAAAATATCAGGAAAACTAGGCAAACTTCTTGAGAGGTTCTTGAAATTGAACATGTGGTGGTTTAAAATAAGGACACTTTACATGTCATACTGGTCTCAGGAGAATATATAGGGGAAGAACGTTGTGCTTAAATCACAGAGATCTTTTTTTTTATTTTTTTAAAGTTCTGGGATACATGTGCAGGACGTGCAGGTTACATACGTAAATGTGTGCCATGGTGGTTTGCCGCACCTATCAACCCATCACCTAGGTATTAAGCCCTGTATGCATTAACTATTTTCCTTAATGCTCTTCCCCTGCTACACCCCCAACAGGCCCCAGTGTGTGTTGTTCCCCTCCCTTTGTCCATGCTTTCTCATTGTTCAGCTCCCAATATAAGTGGAACATGTGGTGTTTGATTTTCTGTTCCTGTGTTAGTCTGCTGAGGATAATGGCTCCCAGCTCTAAATATGTCCCCTCAAAGAACATGATCTCATTCCTTTTTATGGCTGCATACTATTCCATTGTGTATGTGTATAACATTTTCTGTATCCAGTCTATCATTGATGGGCATTTAAGTTGGTTCCACGTCTTTGCTATTGTGTAGTGCTGCAATGAAGATATACATGCATGTATCTTTAAAATAGAACAATTTATATTCCTTTGGGTATATAACCATTAATGGGACTGATGGGTCAAATGATATTTCTGGTTCTAGATCTCTGAGGAATTGCCACATTGTCTTCCACAATGGGTGGACTAATTTACCCTCCCACAAACTGTGTAAAAGCATTCCTATTTCTCCACAGCCTCACCAGCATCTGTTGTTTCATGACTTTTTAATAATTGCCATTCTGTGTGAGATGGTATCTTATTGTAGTTTTGATTTGCATTTCTCAGGATCAGTGACGTTGAGCTTTTTTTCGTAGGTTTGTTGGACACATAAATGTCTTCTTTTGAGAAGTGTCTATTCATGTCCTTTGCCCACTTTTTGATGGGGTTGTTTTTATCTTGTAAATTTGTCTAAGTTCCTTGTAGATTCTTGATATTAGATCTTTGTCAAATGGCTAGATTGCAAAAATTTTCTCCCATTCTATAGGTTGTCAGTTCACTCTGATAATTTCTTTTGCTGTGCAGAAGCTCTTTAGTTTAGTTTGATCCCATTTGTCAATTTTGACTTTTGTTGCACTTGCTTTTGGTGTTTTTGTCATGAAATCTTTGCCCGTGCCTATGTCATGAATGGTATTATCTAGCTTTTCTTCTAGGGTTTTTATAGTTTTGGGTTTCACATTTAAGTATTTAATCCATCTTGAGTTAATTTTTGTATAAGGTATAAGGAAGGGGTCCAGTTTCAATTTTCTGCATCTGGCTAGCCAGTTTTCCCAGCACCATTTATTAAATAGAAAATCCTTTTTCCATTGCTTGTTTTTGTCAGGTTTGTTGAAGATAAGATGGTTGTAGATGTCTGGTCTTGTTTCTGAGATCTCTAATCTGTTTCATTGGTCTATGTGTCTGTTTTTATACCAGTACCATGCTGTTTTGGTTACTGTAGCCTTGTAGTATAGTTTGAAGTCAGGTAGCATAATGCCTCCAGCTTTGTTCTTTTTGCTTCGGGTTCTCTTGGCTATAGAGGCTTTTTTTTTTGGTTCCATATGAATTTTAGTTTTTTTCTGTGAAAAATGTCAATGGTAGTTTAATGGGAATAGCATTGAATCTATAAATTACTTCAGACTGTATGTCCATTTTCACTATTTTTTCTTCCTATCCATGAGGATGCAATGTTTTTCCATTTGTTTGTGTTCTCTCTTATTTCCTTGAGAAGTGTTTTGTAGTTCTCCTTAAAGAGATCCTTCACTTCCCTTGTTAACTGTATTCCTAGGTATTTTGTTCTTTTTGTAGCAATTGTGAATGGGAGTTCATTCACAGTTTGGCTCTCTGCTTGTTTATTGTTGGTATATAGGAATGCTTGTGATTTTTGCACATTGATTTTGTATCCTGAGACTTTGCTGCAGTTGCTAGTCAGCTTAAGGAGCTTGTGAGCTGAGATGATGGAGTTTTCTAAGTATAGGATCATGTCTTCTACTAACAGACAGTTTGATTTCCTCTCTTCCTGTTTAAATACACTTTATTTCTTTCCCTCTCCTGATTGTCCTGGCCAGAATTTCCACTACTATGCTGAATAGGAGTGGTGAGAGTGGGCATCCTTGTCTTGTGCCAGTTTCAGGGGGGAATGATGCTTCCAGCTTTTGCCCATTCAGTAGGATATTGGCTGTGGGTTGTCATAGGTGGCTCTTATTATTTTGAGATATGTTCCATCAATAGCTAGGTTATTGAGAGTGTTTAACATGAAAGGATATTGAATTTTACTGAAGGCCTTTTTTGTTTCTATTGAGATAATTATGTGGTTTTTGTCCTTAGTTTTGTTTATGTGACGAACTACGTTTATTGATTCGTGTATGTTGAACCAGCCTTGCATCCCAGGGGTGAAGCCAACTTGGTCATGGTGGATAAGTTTTTTGATGTTCTGCTGAATTAGGTTTGCCAGTATTTTATTGAGGATTTTTGTATCAATGTTCATCACAGATATTGGCCTAATGTTTTCTTTTTTGTTGGATCTGTGCCAGGTTTTGGTATCAGGTTGTTGCTGGCCTCATAAAATGAGTTAGGGAGAAGTTTCTCCTCTTCAATTGTTTGGAATAGTTTCAGAAGGAATGGTACCAGCTCCTCTTTGTACCTCTGGTAGAATTCTGCTATGAATTCATCTGGTCCTGGGTTTTTTTGTTTGTTTGTTTGTTTGGTTGATAGGTTATTTATTACTGCCTTGATTTCGGAACTTGTTATTGGTCTATTGAGGCATTTATCTTCTTCCTGGTTTAGTCTTGGGAGGTGTATGTGTCCAGGGATTTATCCACTTCTAGATTTTCTAATTTCTTTGCATAGAGGTGTTTATAGTTTTCTCTGATGGTTTTATTTCTGTGGGGTCAGCATTTTCAATATTACTAAAAGGATTTGAGAGATGAAAGATTTTTGAGTTTAGGTAGTCTGGTTAATGGCCCAATATATAGTTTTACAGACCATTTGGATGGGAAATTTCATCTATTCTCAAGGTTTAATTTGAGGAGTCTTTATTGCTTGGTAAGTAGTGAACTAAACTCCTGATAATAATGATTCATATTACTATTTATTTATGATGCAGGCCTTAGATGTGTAATCTCCAGAGTCTCAAATGTTGTTTGATATCTGCAGTTCCATCAAACAAAAAATACAATAAATTGTCTTCCAACAAAAATGGGAGAAAATGTGAAACTTAAAGAAGTTGAAATGATTATCATCAGAAACTTTATACATGACTGTGAGATATCAAACAGCAATGCAGAAAAGGGAGATGAGTAAGGAAATAAGGGACTGAAACAAGATAACAAAATAATTTTCTGTTCTGTGTTAAACAATGCTGGGACTGAGCATACATCTGTGACTCTACTCAACAATACTGAGAATAAACAAAGTAAACTTGAGTATTTGCTCTAGGAAATAAGGATGTGAACAAACTAGGATAGCTTATATACCAAGACTGACAGATTGCTTGTCATGCCTCACTGCAAGACCCTCACTCCAGTCCAAAGTCATTACGTCATAAACTCTGACAAGTCCCTACCTACTCCCCTCCTTGCAAATCTCACCTTAAAATTACTCTTTTCAGACCCTAAAATCATATAAATATCTCCCTGCTGTTGAGTATCCTCTTCTGAGGTGCTACTCTATCAAGATTTTATTTCCCCTTGCTGCAGTAGGTCTAATAAACTTAACTCTGCCAAATTAACTGGATTTTCTGGCCTTTGGGGGAATTGATAATTGTCACAACCCTCAGATTGTTATAACCTATTAGACAATGAGTTTCTAATATAGGTGCTTATACTGTGTTTTCATTGCATATCTAAAAGTACCCCAAAATAATGATTGCATTTACTGGGCAGTCAGAGAAACTTATTGAACTAAAACATTGCTTTATGTTATTATCAATAGCTCTATTGGAAGAATAAAAGTATTTTCTTATCCTTAAGGGACTCAAAAATTAATATTTGGTTTTACTGCTTTCCAATTAATGTGAAAATTATCTAATATGAAAAAGTAAAACTCAGGAGACCATTTCGGTCCAGAGAAGACAAAAATTATTGTGTATTAAAGATATATTTTAAACATATTTTAAAAAACAGAGAGACTGTGTAGAAGGACTTTGTACTAAAACATTCATGATACAGCAAATAATCTGTTCTTAGAAGGGGCTTAAATATATTCAACCGTACAAGAAAGTATTCATTCAATAAATATTTTTAATAACTACTGCAGGCTAAGTACAATTTTTGGAATTGGTATATGGTGGTGAATAAAACAAATATGTTCTCTAACTGGATAGGATTTGTAGTCTAGTGGTAAGAAGACAATCTTTAAGAAAAAGAAATGTATACGAAAGTATAAAATTACAATTTGTGGTAAGTACCTTGAAGTAAAAGAGAGTGTAGTGAAAGAAATTCAAAACAGACTCAGGCACCAGGAGACCAACCAGCTTTGTAGAAGATCAGGCATAAAATTAAGTTGGGATATGGTTTTTTTGCTTTTTTATTTTTCCTACCTTGACTTGAAAGACAAAGCTAAATTTTCAGGCAAGTTGGGGGTGTGCAATTTTTCCAAGAGTAAAGGAGGAGAATGAAAGTAAAAGTGAATTTTTAGTTATTTTAGATAATGGGAAATAATAGATAACAGGAAAGAAATGTGTTTCCTTAATCTTGTTTTCAATGACAGAATAAGTTGGAAAGAAAGGATTAAAACCAGGTAAAACTGTCACCTCTAGAAATTCTATTTGCATTCAGCATTTCCAAAAGCTTTAGACAAAGATATCCTGAAAGAAACTGGAATTAGAGCCTACTATGAAAACCTAAAAGGAACCAAAGTTATTGGTATAGCAATCTAATTTATCAATTTAACTACACTCAAACAGTAAATGCATTTTGCATTGCTTACCTAGAATGTCCAGGATATAACTTGTTCTGTATTAATGAATTTACACATCTTAACTCCAAAAGAACACACAAATGGGAAAAAGCATTTTAACATGAAATACACACACATGTATCTGCCCAATCACTTTAAAACAGTTTACAATTTTTAAAATAGATCTTATATTAAATCGCCTGCACTTTATACAATTTTTAATAAATTCTGCAATTCCTTTTACAGAAGAAGGTAGCTAAACAAACGATTGTGTAAATACATTTTGAAGTCATTTTTTAATGCAGAGTCTACAATTTCTTTTCTCTGCCACTTGTGCTCCTACAGTGACCTTGAAGTTCATATTTCTCAACAATTCCTAAGTATGTCCAAATGAAATATTAAAAGTGAGAAAAACTAAAACCTGGGCTATCATACCATTCAGCAAATGAATAGATTATCAAAACACAGGAGTTGTCACTATCACATTAGCAAACATCTAAAAGTTTGAGAACATACCATGTTGCTTTGACAATTTAGAGCAAAAAGGCAGTTTTATACATTGTTGATAGAAGTGTGAATTCTTAAAATCCCTAAGGAGATAAAGTTGGCAACATCTATTAGAATTACAAATATATAAACACTTTAATTCAACAATTTTAAATTTGACTTCGAAGTGCCCCTTTTCTTCTGGGAAAGGGGCCCATTTGTAATCCTCTGCCCCCAGCTGTTACAAGCCTTCTCTGTATTTTCACCAGCTGCTTAGTCACTGGACTGGACCTCTTCTGAATGTGTTGCTCACCTAGAACCGTACTCCTAATAGTCTTTTAAAAGAAACTACCATCAGAGTGAACAGGCAACCTACAGAATGGGAGAAAATTTTTGCAATCTACCCATCTGACAAAGGGCTAATATCCAGAATCTACAATGAACTCAAACAAATTTACAAGGAAAAAAAAACAACCCCATCAAAAAGTGGGCAAAGGACATGAACAGACACTTCTCAAAAGAAGACATTTATGCAGCCAAAAAACACATGAAAAAATGCTCACCATCACTGGCCATCAGAGAAATGCAAATCAAAACCACAATGAGATACCATCTCACACCAGTTAGAATGGCGATCATTAAAAAGTCAGGAAACAACAGGTGCTGGAGAGGATGTGGAGAAATAGGAACACTTTTACACTGTTGGTGGGATTGTAAACTAGTTCAACCATTGTGAAAGTCAGTGTGGCAATTCCTCAGGGATCCAGAACTAGAAATACCATTTGACCCAGCAATCCCATTACTGGGTATATACCCAAAGCATTATAAATCATGCTGATATAAAGACACATGCACACCTATGTTTATTGTGGCACTATTCACAATAAAAAGACTAGGAACCAACCCAAATGTCCAACAATGATAGACTGGATTAAGAAAATGTGGCACATATACACCATGGAATACTACGCAGCCATAAAAATGATGAGTTCATGTCCTTTGTAGGGACATGGATGAAACTGGAAACCATCATTCTCAGCAAACTATCACAAGGACAAAAAACCAAACACCACATGTTCTCACTTATAGGTGGGAATTGAACAATGAGAACACATGGACACAGGAAGGGGAACATCACACAGCGGGGCCTGTTGTGGGGTGGGGGGAGTGGGGAGGGATAGTATTTAGAGATATACCTAATGTTAAATGATGAGTTATGGGGTGCAGCACACCAACATGGCACATGTATACATATGTAACTAACCTGCACATTGTGCACATGTGCCCTAAAACTTAAAGTATAATAAAAAAAGAAAAAAAATAGTCTTTGACCTTGATTATCGCCTGGGATCCCTGGCCAGCCTGCCCAGTTCACTTGAGGAGAGTCCCTTACGTATGAGCACTTGCCTGAATGAAGTATGAATTCATCATGACCTTTTTACAACCAGCAGTTGCAGTAAGTTATTGCTCTTCAGTTGCCAGACTTTCAACCTTGCCCTACCTCTCTTTTTTCTTTGTCCAGTGCTATTGGGAGGTCCTAGCATGCCCTGTAATTCTGCTTGTCCAATATATGTTACCTAAAAAAAAAGAATTAGATTGTGCCCTATTCCTCATAGTACTACACATACCAAGGAAATCAATATTTTTGAAATATTTTCTGCAAGCTAAGTCCTCTGCTAGCAACTTTTACAAATATTTTCTGATTCAGTCTTCATTGAATACCTGTGGTGTAAATGTTATTATCTTTATTTTCTTTTGAGTAAACCAAGACCTGAGAAAATGCATTTCTTAAGGTCATATGCTTAAGATTGAACTGTGATTACAGCTAGCTCTCTTGACTTTCCATCTAGTGCCATTTTTAATTAAACTTCATGGCCTCTAAACTACCTCCCTATTAATCAGAAAGGGGTGTTCAATCAAAAGTCCCTTTCTATTTCAGCAGCTTCAATAAACACAAAATTAATATTTCCATATGACAATTTTGTAAACTCCCAGATACTGTATAAAGTAATTGTCAAATGGCTTTTTAACATCTTCTAAATATTTATTTATATTTTGTTACATTGGCCCTTTTTATTTGTTTTTGTTGTCTACCATATCAAATTTAGATCAAAGTCAAAACAAAGTACTTTCTTCATTTATGGAACATCCTAAATTATTTGTCTTTGTAAATCGGTTATATGCTTTGCCTTTTCTAGGTCTGAAACACAGCCAATCTCTGTGTTTTGGCAGCAGGTGACTTATAAAGTCCTACAAATGAGACTTGCCTTCTGTTTGATGGCTAAGGATTTCAAGCTTTGTGTGTCAAAAAGGAAATTTAATTTCTATTGATAATTATAGATTTATGTAATCAATTTTAAAGTTCATGAGCTTAGAGAATGTATCTAAGCATGCTTTTGCTCTTCTTCTTGTTTATTTATTTATTTTTTTTGAGATGGAGTCTTGCTTTATCACCCAGGCTGGAGTGTAGTGGTGCAATCTCAGCTCACTGCAATCTCTGCCTCCTGGGCTCAAGCAATTCTTCTGCCTCAGCCTCCCAAGTAGCTGGGATTACAGGTGTGGGCTACCACACCTGGCTGATTTTTGTATTTTTTGGTAGAGATGGGGTTTCATCATGTTGGTCAGGCTGGTCTCAAAGTCCTGACCTCAGGTGATCCACCCACCTCGGCCTCTGAAAGTGCTGTGATTACAGATGTGAGCCACCATGCCTGGCCCTTCTTAGTTTTTTAAATTTAGATTGCTCCTAGCACTTAACACAGGTTCAGTTGGTATGATTTACTTCTTTAAGTACATACACTTGGTTTGTGGCACTTTGAATTAAAATTAAAAGAAGCTCATTTCTGCCTTAAATTTTCTCATTAGTATAAAAGTTACTTTTTAATTATTCAGGAGGGTCAAATTTTTTTCCTTTATTTTAGTCTTCACTCTTTCACTCAACAGAAATTCCTTAAATATCTACATTTTGGCGGGCACTGGTACTCACTTGGGTTGTCATCTTGCATGAAAGACGCATAGTCCCTGCCACGATAGGGCTTATGTTCTAGTGGGGGCAGGGCACAAAAAAATATGTAACAAATACATTTGTTTTATTCCTTAAAAACTTCACAAACGGCAATACAATAGAATAGAGTAATGCTTGTATGAGTGTGTGTGAATGTTGAAGAAGGAGGGGTGTTGTAGACAGGAGATCAGGGGAGCATTTTGAGAAGGTTTCATAGAGCTCAGACCTTAAGGAGAAGAGGCTAACAATTAAACAGCAGAGAAGAAAATTCAAGAAGGTAAAAGATTTTAAGCAATGGCGCTAAGTCAAGAAAAAAGAAAAATATGTTTTTAATGAATGAAATGATCAAAAACCACAGTAAAGTTAGGGGGACAGTTGTACAGAGTGAGTCTTAATGACCTTCTAGACTTTTTAAAATAATTCTGATTTTACGCCAACTACAGTGGGAGCGACTGATTAGTTTTATTTTTTTAAAAAAATCACTTTTGTTGCTAAATGGCAAGTAACTTAGAGAGTCAAAAGAGGGAAGAAAGACGACTTTATCTGAAGATTAGCAAAGAGCCAGGGAAGAGATGCTGACCACCTGGACTAGGCAGAGGGCAGATTAAAAATGTATTATCATAATTTGAGGAAGATTTGAATATGGAGGGTGGGAACAATGGAAATTCAAGGTTGTTCTGGATCGAATGACCATTATTAGATAAGATAAATGTAAGTAATGCTACATTCACAAATAACTATGGAAACCACATAGCCTCAATCTACAAAGTTTTTTTCTTGCTTATGTTACTTGTCCATTCATGGATAGGCAGGGGCACTCTGTTCATCACTGTCACTCAGAAATTCCGGCTGATGGAGAAAGCCTTCCTCCTGAACATCAAAGGCCATAGTGCTAGAGAAAAAAGAGCTTTTCAGTGTCTCATATTAGCTACTAAATACCATAGCCTGGAGGTGACCTATATCATTTCCAGGCATAACTCATTGGCCCAAACTAACTACATAGAACCTTCAGACACAAGAGTGCCAGAGAATGCAACCCTACATATGCTTGGAAGGCAGAGAGCTGGAAAATATTTGATGACTATATTAATCATTAATTCCATGTCTCCTCTTTGTAAGACCCTATTTTTATTTTTAAGAAAAACTTGGGAAATTTTTGAAAGCTGTGGCCACACTGTTCAGATGACATGAGTGCTTTCGACATAGAGTTTCTGGACTATAAATAATTTCATGTCCAGGAGGCCCACTTCTTAGGACAGCTGTCTTGTGGTGATGTCCCCAAGGCATGCTGGAGACCTACCTTAGACACAATTCACAGGCAGATTATCATCTCTGCTATTATCTGTGTTATGATAGACGTGGTGAAGAATGGGGATAGATCTTGGAATTATTGGCAACTGACCCTTTGTAAAATAATTATACAAATTGCCTTTTCCAATTTTTCTCCATTTATGAGAATCAATTCTCATTTTAACTCAAATCCTTTGATAAGCACTCTTACAATATTACACATTCAAGGATATCTTCTCTGTAGCAGGAAGGACTGTAACTTTCTTAAGACAGAGGCCAGATTCATCTTGTTCATCACTGCATTTACTTACTTACAGGACAGTGCCTGACAAAAAGTAGTCTATTGTTCATAAATATCAAAAAGAATATTTTAGTATACATCATATATATGAATGTGGAATATGATGCTATCTTCTGTAATAAAGTCTATATTTGTAATGTTTTATATGCAATATAATGGCATGCAAATTTATATATGAAATATATGTTTTTTTTTATAAAGAGTTGGGTGTCTACTATATGTAAGGCATGGTGTTAGGTAAGTTAGCTTTATCTTATTTATTTCTCACTACAATGAGAAGTTCTTAGTATTTTGTTCACACTTTACAGATGAGAAAACTAAAGTTTCAACCTACTCCTAGCATTGTCAGAGGATGTGTGTTGTGGCATGTTTCCTGGACTTTGTTCCAATGTTGTATTTCCCATACAGAAGATAACAGTGGCATGATGTGTTATGAGAAGCCAGTGGCCAAAGCACTTCCTGGATCATCATGAATTTTGCCTAAAATATGTTTTATAAAAAAGTTGTATAAAATATAAAATATTTAAATTTTCAAAAGAAAATAACAAAAAAATTTTAAACACTTTTAACAAATTTGTTTACTCTTTGTTGTGTCAATTGCTTATATCTTTACTATAACGTGTATATCAGATAAGAATTTAATTCAACTGCAGTAAAGGAAAAATAAAATATCAGTGGTTCATGTAAGGCAGGGGCAAGGGTTTTACTATCACGTGATGAGAAGTCTAGAGTGGGTTAGGTAGCGTAGTGCTGGCATGAGACTACGATATCACCAAGAACATGACTCTTTCTATCACAGTGCTTAGCCATCCCACCCATATGCTTGTAACCTCACTGTCACAAAATTCTTCATCAGTCATTCTATGTTCCAGAAATAGGGGAGACTGGAAAAGACAAAAAGCTAAGAAACAATCTATCCAAATTTGGCCCATTTTAGATGATTTCTTGGAAGCATTAATGAAAAACTTTCTCTTAAATCTATTGGTCAGAATTGTTTCACACGGGAAAACTTAGATCCAAGGAAAGTTGTAGAAACAGACTTTTAGGGCCGGGCACAGTGGCTCACGCCTGTAATCCCAGCACTTTGGGAGGCTGAGGCAGGTGAATCACCTGAGGTCAGGAGTTTGAGACCAACCTGTCCAGCATGGTGAAACCCTGTCTCTACTAAAAATACAACAGTTAGCTGGGTGTAGTGGCGGGTTCCTGTAATCCCAGCTACTCAGGAGGCTGAGGCAGGAGAATCGCTCGAACTCAGGAGGCGGAGGTTGCAGTGAGCCGAGATGCCATTGCACTCCAGCCTGGGTAACAAGAGCAGAACTCCGTTTAAAAAGAAAGAAAGAAAGAAAAAGAAATAGACTTTTAGCTGGGCAATTGACACATTCAATTAAATTAGGATTATGTTAGTAAGAAGTAAGAAATGGGTATACTGAGTTGGTAACAATTACCCACTCAAATCTTAATCTGAATCAGCCTCTACCACGCCTTGTAGACATGTCTATTGGTCATCACTGAGTGGCTACCCTAAGAATTAGGCTACCTGGAAATGAAGTGGGTTTAAGGTTAAAGGTTTGAGAAGGATTGCTCTAATTCTTAGCAATATACGCCATCTGGATGACCCTTCCCCTTGCAAAATCTATTAACTGCTGCTTTAACCTGCAAGCAGACTACTAATTTATCCCTCCATAGCTTGAAATGAGGTGATATATGTCTGAAATCATTACAGATAGTCAAGCTGGGAGCTCTCCATCTTTCTGTTGACTTTGTGAATGTTCTCTATTTGTTGTTGGAACATTTACAGTGAAAGTTGTTCTCTTAATTTCTGAGAATTTGGATGAAATAATTTAACTGTTGAGTGGCTTTACCTGGACCATGAAAATATCAAATGCAATTTAGTCAAGAGAACTCTACTATGTACAAATGGCATCAGAGGAAGCTGAAATTGACTTGATTTTGCTGTTCTGATGTGCAAGCAGCAGTGGCTTTAGAACTACCTTCTTTTCCCCCTAGAAAATTAAAACCTCTGAACCAAGACTGATGGGACTGTCCTGTCCCCAGAGCTTTTTAAAATTATTATTTAATCATACTGTGATCACAGGTGAACCAGGCCCTGCTGGTAATAGGGGAGGACAGCACCTTGCTTTAGAAATTCCCTCATTTACTTCAAACAGAAGGGATACTTCACAATATAGAAATGCCAAGATTCAAAGACTCAACTCCAAATGTTGTGCTGTTCTTAGGCCTAGCTATTTTAGGGGAAAACTAAGTATATTCTTCATTGTGGAGGCAGGATTTAGTTATTTTCTACATTACACTTCCATGATAATCTATTGTTTCCAATTTACCCAAATCCCTCCAGAAAACCTAGAATGTGAAGGGCACAGGCAACATGCAGAGTCAAAAGTAGTTAGACAAAATCCATTATGAAGCTGAAAACTCCGTAATTAACAATGTAATACTTCATCTTTCACAGAAACACAGATAATTAAAATGGACCAACCACTAACAACTCAAAAGAGCAAACAAGGCAAAGACAGCCTCACAGTGCCCCCTAGCAAACAACAAAATTCCTCTCCAGGACATTGCTTCTTTGTTATTATAAATCTGACTCAAACTATTTTGAAGCCACAGCCCAGACATTTCGTAGTCCTAATCACTATTGAAGCAATTTGACATATTATGGAAAAATATGCTGTTATCTATTTAATACTAGACAAGCCAACCAGAATAAGATTCTTTGATTGCAATCTGCCATAATTCACTCATATGACTGACTTATTTCTTACTGTTCTCTCTTTCTTCCTTTCCTCCTTTTAAAAAATTTTACTTAACCTGTAATGTAGAACCTAAAAATATTAAAAGTAAAAACAAAGCTAATAAGACCCATAGCTGATTTCTCTTTTCCAGAAATTTACATGTTAATCTAAATCATCACTGAGTTCTGCCAAGCAGACTGTTTTTGTACAAGACTAGCTGAATTTTACAGTCTATTTATTTTACGCTTTTTAATTAAATGGCCTCTACCTAGTGCCTGGTCCCTGTTCCACTGTCTTACATATCTGCTCACATTTTCCTTCTGATTAAGAATGAGAAATAGTTGCCAGGAGTGAAGTGGAAATATGTGAAAATCACAACAATGCATAGCAATTTTATTTTTCAACTTGGATATTTCCTGAGCATCTCATTCAGGTCAGCCGAGTTTTTAAATGCTGTGAGTGATTACTAATTCCAGTTGGATTTTCCTACAAAGCTGAAGGTGATGAGAGAGGGAGACATTCTGTGACAACCAGAGATAGAAGCATAAAACAATAATGTTCAATTTTGAGAAAGTCAACAGAAATGTTAAAAATTAGCTAACTCTTCCAGGTGTTATGGAAAATTGTAGAGTGGAAATAATAGGTAGATGACATTTGATTAAATATTTAATTAAGCTAAATACACACAAGGTTCTTAATTTTGAATGTGCTCTGTACAATGGTGTTCCACCAAAGTGAAGTAGAGAAACAATTTTCAACAACTTTCTTTTGATTATATTTCATTGTGACTTGGTCATACCAACCATGTCATCCAATATTACCTTCAAACCAAGCCACATTTCCTGCTAATGTTCTACTTGTTAGACCCAGTTTTGCAGATTGAAGGATGCTTAGTATACAAATTTCCCTTGCTTGTTCAGAATATTGACTTACTAGCATTTTGTCTTCTCGATTAATTTAAAAGGCTTTGGAGAGGTTTACCCATTGGCACTCAGGGACTAACAATTGCATTAGAGGCTACTCTTGCCAATTCTGATGCTCAAGAAGAAAATATAAAGCAATGGTGCTTTTCTGAGCAATGCCAACTCTGGAAGAACAGGATAGGGGAACATTCATGATTAGAGAGTGAAGCTCAGTGCATATGGATTGTAGGAAACTCCTGAGGGGAGACCCAGCACCTTGACCCAGCAGGCTTGAATGCAGAAAATTCATTTACAAAAACGAATTAGTATGCCCATTTCCACTGACTCAGCAAGCTAAATAATTCTGCAATCCCAAGTCACTAAAAAATGGAGAAAAGAGATGCAATGGAAAAGATATTTTAAAAGATTTCAAAATAAAAACTTTTTCATACACATCTGAAAGCATATTAACTCCAAGTAGAGAAAGATGTTCCTCTGGGACTCAGAGTTTCTTGTCCTGCATGTCACATATGTCAGTAATATTTTTATTACTTTTGCCAGGCTATGACTCCTCCAAGATAGTATCTGAATTGTAGTCCAATTTTTATAGCAAGTGTATTAGTTGGCAGAATTAACTGACACACCATTATTTAGTAAATTGGATTGAACTACGTTAATATTGGTAAGTGTTACTATCCAATCAGTCAGCAAGGACTTGGAGCTTGTAGTAGGCAAAACAAAGAAACTTGCTATTACTGTGACTAGGTTGTTTTTTTTTTTTTTAAATAAGCTGGTTGTCTAGTTTTTAATTAAAGCTGATATTGGCATTTTCTAAGCATATTAATGAACTGTTAACTGATTCCACATTTCTCCTCAACTCCAAAGGGAACTGCGTACCCATTATATAGTCATCTTCAACATTCCAGTACCCTCCTTTCCCATAGCATAAAATAAGCTATCCCCACAGAGACCATTTGTGAATATACTTTGTTTTCATAGCTCATCTATCTTGCAAGTCAATGTAATGGGTGCTGTATTTTAGAGAGGCATTGACCTCTAAATGTTTCCGGAGCACTAGACACTCAGCAGCCATTTTCTTGGTGCTGTAGCATGTGATGCACTAAAAGAAAAAAAAAATAATTGCAAGGTCAAATCGTATTCAAACAAACAAGACTAGGAACACAAAGTAACTAAAGGCACTTAACAAAAGAATTAAGAAGAAATCTTGTGAGGTAGATGAAGTGCTCTGTGTCATGATTAAGAGGTGAATTCAAAGTGGACCCCTGAATCAGGATAGACAGGATTTAAATTAGGCTCTTTGTGTACTGATGTGCAGGTCCTCTCCCGCGTGGCTGCTACTCTGAATGACAGGTCAGAAATAGGCTGGATTGACCGAAGCCAGCCATGAACCACTTGGAGTGAGAACAAAGAGAAAGAAAATAGAAATGATGCAGAAATGCTGTCAGTGTAATTGGTAAAACCTTGAAAGAGAAGAGCCACTGCACAAATGTAATAATACAAAGAAACAGTTTCCTCTGATAATGCATTGCCCCAAAGTAAACAATGCTATGGAGTGGAACACAGTCCATCCATAAGCCCTAGTGATCAAAAGCATCAGTAGCAGTCCTTGGAATACAGGAAAGTTATGTGGCTTGTCACAGTCAGCCTCTCCTCACTCCCCCGTTATATATGGTGTGTGCATATGTGCTCACTTACACACACACACACACACACACACACACAGACACACAGATACTTTCAGGGCTGGTTTGTTATAAATTAAAATACATAATGTTTAGTTAAGATCATTTACAAATTCAACTAATATGTTCAGCAAATTCTTTAAAATCTGGACAATGTATAACCAGATTACAGATGGATAATCTGGATGGGTGGCATACATTCAAACCCTGTACCAAATTCTTTACCCACTTTATTGTGATACAACAAAATTCTTCTACTTTTAAAATTTCATTTACAAAAAATAAAAATATGAAGCAGCATCATTTTCTTAAGCACATGAAACGTATTTTTTCTCAAAATCAGGCGTAGCATAAACATGATCTACATTTATATTAGTAGATAAAAATATTACTCCTGGGAGTAGTTTATGTTTATTTTTAAATTTATTTTTTATTTTATATTACAGCAATCATGCGCATAATTTCCATGTATTTTCTAAAAGTTTATAACATAAATAGTACCCCCCTACTTTTTTTCTGTTCATCAAACTCCTCCTCCCCAAAAATGTTTTAATTCTTTTTGCTGTTTATTTTTATATCTATCTCAATATTTTAAAATAATTGGCTAATTGGCTATTATTATTGGCTAATAATTACTATTTCTTCCATCATCAATTTTAGATATTAGTTTATTTTTATTACAGTAATTAAATCCACCGTGCCTCAGACACACACATGCACGTGTACATGTACACACACACACACATACACACACACACACACACACAGTTTCCTTCACCGCATCCTCTCAATGTAGTTATAATGTTATTTTTTAAATGAAAGTCAGGGTTTATACTATTTAATATAACTTGGAATGACTGAATTCCTTCTTGCTTACATTTTCTCCACATATAAGAAAAGCAATTAAGAATTGCCTTTTTTCCATTATTTTCCCAGTTTTCTTTGGAGTCATTAATTTTTTAAGAATGTTCCAACAGATCTTTCAATAAATTTGGTAAATTTATCAATTTGCCTATTAGCAAATTATCCACTTGACCAGACAGAATTCCTTGTGTGCATGATTGTTGTAGGAAGACCTTCGCACTGTGGCTCTCCATCCTCTTGCTCACTGACTCCTTCCTAGGTATCTGGCATCCTGTACAGTAGTCAGACTGGAGCTCCATTGCTTATTTTTTGGATCCTCATTTTGTTGGCTCTCATGTTCTTGTTTTTTGTTTCCTCCCTTGTTTTGCTGAGATGTATCCTATGGTAGCTTTCAAAAAGGAAGGTGAAGAGAGGCAAATTCTTGTGAACTTGTATACCTAAAAATGAATTTATTTTCGCCTCACACTCCATTGATAATTTGCCTGTGTATAGAATTCTGGGTTGAAAATACTTCCCTAAGACAATAAAACAATTGCTTCTCATATTTTATAACATCCAATATTTTTATTAGAAAACCTGATGGTAGTTGGATTCTATTTCATTATATTTGGTCAATTTGTTATTATTAATGATAATTGTTTTTCTTCTACCAAAAGCCTCTGAGAATATCTCTCTTTTTAGATTTCTTGATAGATGTAAAGTTTTGGCTGTTGTTTTGGTTTTATTTATTTGTTTGGCACACAATAGGCGCTTCCAATCTGAAGATGTGTGCTCTTCAACTCTGGAAATTTACTTATAATTTTTTTTGATAATTTTCCATTTTCGATGCTACATTTTTAATAAGCTCCCAGGTAAAGCCAATACCGCTAGTCCAAGGACCACACTTAGGGAAGCAAGTTTGTAGAAATTAAAGCAATAGATATATATGAGCCAGTGCCAGATTCCTAAGAAATTAGGATATAACTTGATTGCAAGGTCAGTGTGAGCTAGAATCATTTTTTATTAACTATATATTTATAGTCCCTGAAACAAAGGCTTATTCTAAATAAGAGCTCAATAAATATTTGTTGAGTCAGACTGAATTTAAATGAAATCTTGCTGGCCTTTTATTTCTAGTTACCATTTTGGCTAAATTGATTAAGAGTCTTCGTTACATATGGGCTGATGGTTTCGGAGTGTAACTGCTGGAATCATGCTTTCAGATTCTTGCTGTTCACACACATAAGAAATGTCTCAATATTTTTGTCAAGTTGAATTTAGCAGCATTTAAACCGAACTCTTGTGAGTTTGCTTATATTAGAAATAACTAACTTTACTACTTTCCTAAATAATAACGTAGGTAAATCACAAGAATTATTTTCTATTCACAAGAGCTTTTGTGTCTCTTCACAAAGAGTTTTTCCTCCCTAAATCACAAGAACTATTTATTCTTTTTTTTTTCTATCTTATTTCTCTCATTAGTACAAATTCCTTACTGGAAAGGACCACCTTATTGATAATCCAACAGCATTCGGTATTAAACTAATACTTCTCAATCAAATGATTCATTGCAAAATTTTTTTTTTTTTTTTGGAGACAGAGTCTCACTCTGTCACCCAGGCTGGAGCGTGGTGGCGTGATCTTGGCTCACTGCAACTTCTGCCTCCTGAGTTTAAGCAATTCTTCTGCCTCAGCCTCCCGAGTAGCTGAGATTACAGGTGTGTGCCACCATGCCCAGTTAATTTTTGTATTTTTACTAGAGGCAGAGTCTCACCATGTTGGCCAGGCTGGTCTCAAACTCCCAACCTCAGGTGATCTACCCACTCCAGCTTCCCAAAGTGTGGAATTATAGGCATGAGCCACCATGCCCAGCCCATTACACAATATATTAGAAATGCTAGAATCTTCTTAGAATTTTTATAATGGAAAAGTGCCCTGAGTTTATCATAACAGCCTAGATTAAAAGCCAAGCTCTATCATGCTTCAGGAGAGTAGACCTACACATCAAGCGACAATCATCACAACCCACATTTAGGCCCTCATGCCTAGCTCAGATAACCACATGAAGTTGTTCCAAGAGTCAATGAATCCATAATTGTAAAGAGTACCAAACACAACGATAGGCACGAGAGTCAGTGTTTTGTATTTTTAACTTCTAAAGCACCTTCACATTCCTTATCCTGCTTGAATGTCCCTAAGAGCACTTTGTAGTGACAATGTAAGAGAAGAGATATTATGAGCATTATATCTTTATTCTGAAGCTCTAAAAGGCTGAGGACTAACGATATATTTTTAATTTTATTATTATTTTGGTGGGTTTTTTGCAACAATAAGCAATGTCTTGTAATTGTTTTTCACAGATTTTTTAAACGCCTTTCTTGAGTGCCACAATGTCTAAAGTCACTAATAAAACAAACTTCTGTGCACTAAAAAAAAAAAATGCCCAACAGGATAAAAATTGCCTGTCAATTTGTTCTCTGTCATTAATATCTATTGACCTGCATTTTGCCAATAATCTATTAGTATCTGATATGCCAATGATTAATAAATGTTAGTGATCTGAAGTCATTTCAAAACTGCATCTTTACACTCTCACACACCCACTCTAGAATACATTTTATTCATACAAATACAATCTGTTAAAGTGGTTTCAGACCTGAGATAGTAGTACCTGTAACAGTGAGAGAGCTACAGTTAATTACAACACTATTTCTTTAAAACATTTTCCAGAAAACCTAATTTTTTAAATGTTAGCATGAGGATGATATAAATTAGGTATCCTTTTCTTATGAAATTTTGTCCTGGAGTTTTAAAAATTTCTGTCAAGAAATATGGTAAAAGAAATTATAACCCGTTTCATAGAAATCCTTAGATATGTAATTATAGAATATAAAATAGCTATTCTGCAGCAATAACAGTCTGACAACTCAAGATAAGCATATTGGTCATTTCTGATCAACTATGTAATATTTAATATTTTGATCACAGGAAAGCTATAGGACATTCCTCTCTCTATCTCAATGGAAACTACAACAACTTATTATGCATGCCTCCTTCCTATTCCTGTATAATGCATCCTCCGCATATATTGTGAAGCTAAAACCTGACATGAAAGTTTATGACAGAGTGAGACTGTAAAAATGTATTTTTTATTTGAGACAATTTTGCTATAAAAGCACATTTCAGTCCTTTAAAATAACAGTCGACAAGATTTACTACATCAAATGTAAGTTTCACACCTCAGTCAGTGGTAGATTTCAAACAAACCCCAGCAGCTGAGCTGAAATTCGCTTTTAAAATCTTTAAGTAAGTTTGTTCCCAGATGAAGATCATTTTTTTTTAACTTGAAAAATCACACTTATCATGCAGCTTGCAAATTATTTGGTTTGCATTTATTCATTTTATTATCCTTTTCTTATTGACAGAGATAGGAGCCATGTCAGTGCTACATTAATCCAGAAACTAAAAATAAATAGCAATATTGTGTATATTAATGCAAGGTGGCGGCTCTCATTTTTTTCCCATCCCAACCTATTTTCCATTTGAACCAATTTGTACAAAACGTATTTAAAAATCAGAAACTTAAAGACAACCAATTTTCAACTCATTGACCTACAAATTTGCCGGTGATTGCAGTGCACTCCTGCCGTAGCAGGGAGAATCGGAGTGGGTGTCTGATACTGCAGATCCCTGGGGGAAGGCATAATCACATGCTGGAAGTATACCCAGGCCGTTTAGTGTCCAGGGTAGAAATTAGAGGACATCTAGCCAGTTCATGAGTCCCGAGAGAAGGGAGAAATGAATGTCGATAACCATAATGCCTCCATCTGTGGGAAGGCTGTCTAGCTCCTGGTAAGAATTTCAAGCTTAGTGTTTCCTGGATAGCTTGCTCTTTCACTCTCTTGTTGTCCAACTAAGCAGAGGAGGAAGAAAGGAAAGAAAAAGGGTAAGAGGGAAGGAGGGAATAAAGGAAGGTAGAAGGGAAGGAGGGAAGGAGGGAGGGAAGGAGGAAAGGAGAAAATTAAGCAGGAACAATCCTAACAGATTTGACCTTAGGTTTGTTTTATCTGTCATGAATATTCGGCCTTAATATTCATTTACTTTGTAAATTCATCTCTAATAATGACCAACATTTGTATAATGCTTTTAACATTCCAAAGGGTTTATACCAGTATTACACACACACACACACACATATACACACACACACACACATATATATAAAATACACACACAATATTGGCATGATAAAACATTTTTGAGACATGAATATAACTCCATCATACAGATCCCAAAGCTGAGCTTTGAAGAAATTATTTAAACAAAGTTCCTGAGGTGGCAATTAAAATCTACTTTTTCAAAATTCAAAGCCCAATGCTCTTTTGCCTATACTAAGTTGACACTTTCAATCATTGAAATGTTAGTTTCTGTACATTTTCTATAATTTTTGTAAAAAATTTTCTATACTTTTTATAAGAAAAGAAATTTAAAATTAGGCTTCCCATATTTCACATATTTTAAAAGATAGATTTATATAAGTACCTGAATAAAATACTAAAGTAGAATACTCTCTATGTAAAAGTAGACAGAAAATTGATGCCAAATGTCCTCTGATAGCCTTTTATCCTATAATAACAGGTCCACTTAAATGTAAAGAATTGGGATATAGGCCAGGCGCGGTGGCTCACGCCTGTAATCCCAGCACTTTGGGAGGCCGAGGTGGGCGGATCACGAAGTCAGGAAATCGAGACCATCCTGGCCAACACTGTGAAACCCTGTCTCTACTAAAAATACAAAAAATTAGCTGGGCATGGTGGTGGGCGGCTGTAGTCCCAGCTACTCGGGAGGCTGAGGCAGGAGAATGGCTTGAACTGGGAGGCGGAGCTTGCAGTGAGCTGAGATCGCGCCACTGCACTCCAGCCTGGGTGACAGCGAGACTCCGTCTCAAACAAACAAACAAACAAACAAAAGAATTGGGATATAGATGGAGATAAAGAACGTTAGACACTTTTTCTTAGATCTTATTTTTGTGCCCTTTGGTATCCACTGCACTGTGAAGTGTGTTTTAGGGGAAGTTTCTTAAGCCTCGGTTTCCCCAGGAAAATTCTTACGGATTTGTCCCCTGAACTAATTCACAGGGTTTCATAAAACACAAATGAGAACACTAAACTGAGAGACCACAACAAATTTATGCCATTATTTTTCACCGTCCTTACACATCTTGAGCAAGTGCCATCTCAGAAAAAAAGTCAAAATTTTAATTAATATTTCCATATAATCACCAACCCTCCATAGTTCAGTTCCTTCACATAATAAATATTACTTCTGACTCTATGTCAAGTCCAACTGGAGTTTCCTGGTTTAACTGCGTTCAGTGATTCTGTCCTTATCTACGTCTTTGGGCTCCTTTCCCTTTGCACTGTACTTGAGAAAAGAAGACACAGAGAAAATATTCCTATTTCATAACCACTTAGTCCTAAAGAGGTTCACATCATTCCCACTTGCATTCATTAGAGGGAGAAGTAGCCACACCACCTCACCTAGTGGCAATCAACCTAAGGAAAGCATGAATCTTTATCAGTCCATTAGGCGTGTCTGCCACATTGCCCTTTTGTTCTCTTCCACAAACCACATATCAATTTTTGAGGCTCTGTCAGTTGAGCATTTCACACTAAAATTCATAGAAACACAGATCATTTGATCTATAAACCTATGAAATTCTCTGGAATATATCTTCTGCACAGTTTACTTTAAACTCAATCTGAATACCAGGGATCTGTTCACTAGTTCTATGAGATACCTTACATTCAAGAACAAACATGAGTTAGGCCAAAATCCCAATGCCCAGGTGTCAGTTCATGTCGATCTGAATTGAACAGTCTCCACTGCTTGTGATCTTTAAGGTGAGGCACATCTTGGTAGAGTAGAAAGCAGCCAGCACTGACAACTGATGTCATGATCTATCTTCTAAATGTATAAACAAATGAAATGTCAATACTTTAGAGAAAATCCTTATGTAAGACTTTTTAAACCTTCATAAATTTAATTTGCTAGCACTTAATATTAAACACTATCCTTAACAACTTTATAAATGAAAGCTTTACTTTTATAATGGAAGGTTTACATTGGATATGTGACTTATCACAAATCACAAAATTGGAACCAAAACTTGGGGCTATTACCACTGTGATATGTACTTTACTTCTCATTAAAGAGGAACAACATCATAAAACAAAACTGTAATGATGTTTGTGTATAGGGTACCTTAATGGTCAAATTTAAGACAAGAATTGATAAATCCAGTGTGCTATTTTACTGCTTAAATTGGTTACTCTGCCTCTTGATGGTTAACCCAAGTAGTGCCAGAAACTTTAATTACATCAGTATTAAGCATAAATTGCATATATTCCTCATTTTCAAGTACTTGCAGACTTAAGTTTGCAAGACATAAAGCAAAAGGTATAACTTTGGAGAGTTTCTGTCACATAGCCTTTTGCTCCCAGGAAGTGGTTATTTTAATAGTCCTGTTTCCATATATGTATATATATATAAATGTATATATGTAGGTCTCTCAAGCCTGAAATGAATTTTCAAGACTTAATGTCTTTATGCTAAGTATTCAGCATTCCAAAAACTATTGCTTCTCAAAGTGTGTATAGGTCGGGAATGAAGTGTTCTATTTTTACAGTGAAATGCAGATTTTTCTATTAAAAAGTAAAGCTTTCATTTCCAGTGTTATAAAGGACAGTATTTGAGTTTTGGTGAATTAATTTAGGAAGCTAAAGAAGTTCTATATAAGAATTCTCTCTAGATTATGTATTTACATTTGACTTTACACTTGAACATTATTAACAATGTCCAATACTTGGCTCTGGGTATTTGGATCAAATAAATATTAGTGGCTAATATTTAAATGATCAATTTTTGTTGCACTGTTTTCAATTAGATTTTGTTTCATAGCTTATATAGTTTCAGATATCAATTATTAAAATACATGGATATTACTTTTTCATTTATCTCAGTGTCTCAATAACACTTTCACATTTTATTTTTTTACTGATACATAATAGATGTACAAAATTCAGGGGTACATGTGATAATTTTAAACATTCTAATAATCAAATCAGGGTAACTAGGATATCCATCACCTTAAACTTATCTTTTCTTTATGCTAAGAACATTTGAATTATTCTTTTCTAGTTATTTTTAAATGTACAGTTGGTTAATGTTAACTGTACTCAATCTACTCATCTACTGAACACTGGGTCTTATATATGCATATATATGGAAACAGGACTATTAAAAAACACTTACTGGGAACAAAAGTCTAGATGATGAAAATTGTCCAAAGTGATATCTGATGCCTTGTGTTTTGCAAACTTAAATCTGCAAGACTTTTAACTGTATATTTGTATCCACTAGTCAAACTCTCTTCATCCCTCTCTTGCCTCAAACTTTCCAGCCTCTTGTAACCACTGATCTACCCTCTTATCTTCCTGAGATCCACCTTTTTAGCTCCTATGTATAAATGAGACTATGCCATATTTTTCTTTCTGTGATTGGCTTCTTTTACTTAACATAATGACCTCCAGTTCCATCCATGTTGCTGCAAATGATGAGATCTCACTTTTTTTACGGCCGAATAATATTCTATTGTGTATATATACCACATTTTCTTTATCTATTTATTCATTGATGGACAGTTAGGTTGATTCCATATTTTGGCTATTGTGAATAGTACTGAAACAAAATGGAAGTGCAAATATCTCTTCATTACACTGATTCTTTCTTTTGGATATATACCCAGTAGTGGTAGGTCACACGATAGTTCTATTTTTTAGCTTTTTGAGGAACCTCTATACTGTTTTCCATAGTTGCTATATTAATTTACATTCCTACCAACAATACAGAAAGGTTTCCCTTTCTCTGCATCCTATTAAGCACCCATTATTCTATGTCTTCTTTATAAAAGCCAGTCTAATTGGGATGAGATAATATTATATTATGATTTTGGTATGATGTTATGGTGAGATATAATTTTGGTTTGCATTTCTCTGATGACTAGTGATGTTGAACATTGTTTCATATACCTGTTGGCCATTTGTATTTCTTCTTTTGAGAAATGTCATTTAGATCATTTGCCCATTTTTAAATTGGATTATTTGGGGTTTTTTGTTTCTTTTTGCTATTGAGTTGTTTGAGCTCCTTACGGATTCTGATTATTAACCCCTTGCAAATGTTTCCTCCCATTCTATGGGCTGTCTATTCACTTTGTTGATTGTTTCCTTTGCTGTGCAAAAGTTTTTAGCTTGGTATAATCCCACTTGTATATTTTTGCTTTTGTTGCCTCTATTTTTGAGGTCCTACATAAAAAATTGTTGCTCAGATCATGTCTGGAAAGGCTTTCCCAAAGTTTTCTTCTAGTAGTTGCAAACTTTCAGGTCTTAGAGTTAAGCCTTTAATCCATTTTGATTTTGTTTTTGTATATGGTGAAATATAGGGGTCTAGTTTCATTCTTCTGCATATGGTTATCTAGTTTTCCCAGCACCACTTATTTAAGAGAGTGCCCTTTTCCCTATTGTATGTTCTTGGCACCTTTGTTGCAAATTAATTGGCTATAAATATGTGGATTTATATCTGGATTTCCTGTTCTATTCCAGTGTTCTATGTCTCAGTTTTTATGCCAGTACCATGCGGATTTAGTTACTGTAGCTTTGTAGTATATTTTGAAGCCAGGTAGTGTGATGCCTCCATTTTTGTTGTTTTTGCTCAGGTCTTTTCTCTGATGTCTTTTGTGGTTCCATATATCTTGGTCTTTTGGCTAATACCCAGTGTCATAGCTGTTCTTATCAGTTTAATACTTTTTAAAAATTCTATGTCTTCCTTAATGCAGAAAACAAAGTGGGCACATAAAAAGAGAACATATTTCTGAATAAAAATAAGATGTAAAGAATTGTTATTGTTTTTCATCTAGATTTAAATAGTGTTTCAAAAAGTCATTTCAAGTCAGAATAGATGTGTATTATGTAATACAGGACATTTTGGGCTTAGGATCTTCAGTATTTCTCTAATAAGTTTGTAGACTCTATAGTCCTAAGTAAGTACAATAATTACATAGTAAGCTCCATGAGCACCTTGCCTGTGTCATCTGCATTAATTAATATACACCTATCAACTAGCACAATGCCTAGCATATAATAGATGAGTAGAAATTAATGAAGTATGGGAAGTAGTAATTCTTCTATCTCTTGTCCAGTCCTGACTTGTAACCCTGTAGACCCTTCCATCAATTTTACAGTTAAGCCAAATAGGCAATTACCTTGAAAGTTCTTTAAATGACTCAAAAAACTCCTAATGTCCCAAACTATACTTTTTTCTCTGAAATCCCACTTCTAAATCTCATTCATTTAGCTAAAAATATCATTCTTCTTAAAATGCAAAATAAAAAATATATAAAACTAGAGATCCAGTGACATGTAAAGCTATTTTAAATCATTTACACATATGATAAATTAGTATCATATTTTCTTTTCCCCCAGTGGATTTTTGGTTGGAAAGAAGGAGTCATTCTATCATCTCTGGACATCTGAAGTAGGTTGAGAAAAATATGTCAGTAGGATGAGTTTAATAAGTGAGAAACACCAAGAAAACTTCTGCTTATCCCATACTGTTGCTTATGGGTGACATAATACTAAAAACATAGATATAAGCTGTTTAACACCAGGACTTTTACACAATGAAAATGATATCCACAGATGTGAACTAGTAAAATAGCTAGTCATTGGTAAAGCTAACATTAGCTTTTGGAAAATCTGATTTTTGGTTTGGTACTCTTCAGAAATTCGATCCCTTATTTACAAAAGCTAATTCTACTTCGAAGTAAACCAAATCCTACACAACATTTTGAAAATTTAAAATATCTTTAAAAATCTCAACAAATTTCCTGTCTCTGTAATTTTGTCCTGTAAACACAAACAACTACTTAGGCTTCCTTAGAGGGATTTAATTATATTATATGGTTTGGCTGTGTTGGTTTCGCTGTGTCCCTACCCAAATCTCATCCTGAATAGTAGCTCCCATAATCTCCACGTGTCACATAGTAGGGACCCAGTGGAAGGTCATTGAATCATGGGTCGGCTTTTTCCCATGCTGTTCTCATAATACTAAATAAGTCTCACGAGATCTGATGGTTTTATAAAGGGCAGTTCGCCTGCACACAGTCTCTTGCCTGCTGCCATGTAAGACATGCCTTTGCTCCTCCTTCACTTTCTGCCATGATTGTGAGGCCTCCCCAGCCATGCAGAACTGTGAGTCTATTAAACCACTTTTTCTTTATAAATTACCCAGACTGGGGTATTTCATCATAGCAGTATGAAAATGGACTCATACACTGTGATTAAATATGAAAACTTATGGTTATAAAATTAGAAGCTAGTTTAAAAATATTCTTCATCACTTCCAAATTTGGAAACATTTTACTAAACCAACTCCTTGAAGTAATCATTGGGATTCATGACTATGGTGAAAAAATCATATGTTGCTGCAAATATAAAAAAAAACTTTTTTTCAAAGATTTACTCAATAAAGAAATTGTACTTATGTTTAAGTACATACACCATGTGGAATAGGAGAATTCTGAGGTCAAGAGAGCTAAGATTCAGTAATCAGGCAATTAGCGTTCTCCAGAGAAATGGAATCAATAGGATGAATATATTTAAAAAGACACTTATTATAAGGAATTGGCTCACATGATTATGAAGGCAGACACATCACAAGATCTTCAGGATTATTCAGCTAGCTGAAGACCCAGGAAAGCCAATGATTTCACTACAGGTGAATTTGGAACACCTGAAAATCAGGAAGGCCAATGATACTGCTTCCGCCTAAAGTCTGAAAGGCTGAAGACCCAGCAAGAGTCAACGTTTCCGTTTGAGTACAAAAACAGGAAAAATACGATTTTTTTATTTTGAATGCCATTAGGCAGGAGAATTGCCTCTTATTCAGGGAGGGCCAGTCTTTTTATTTTATTCAATTCTGCAAGAAATTAGATGAGGCCCACCCACATCATGGAGAGCAATGTATTTTACTCAGTCTACCAATTTAAATGTTAATATTGTCAAAAAACAACCTCACAGAAACACCCAGAATGACATTTGACCAAATATCAAGGCACCCCATGGTCCAGGCAAGTCGACACATAAAATTAACCATCACAGGCAGGCAGGTTTCATTATGTACAATGCCTCGGTCTTCCCAAATACCTTGTTGCATCCATTTTTTAAAGAAAATATAAAAGCACAAGAACTTAAAAAAAGAAGATGAAACAATTCTACAACTGGCATTAAAACATATGCAGAGACATATATGGAAACTGAATGTTCTGGGATAAATGACAGAAATTACTTTAAAAGGATCGATAATGCTGCTAAGAAAGACATATCATAAATGGAAACTAAGGCAAGAAACAAAATCCTTACCATTGGAGAGAACTGTCTTACTAGACACAGTTTAGTGAATATTTTACAAAATGGCCTTGACCCAGCCACCTGGGTCGATGCATCTAGTATGTCCACAGAATAAGAGGACTATGCATAAAAACAAAACTGTTGTCCCATTCAAGCCTGTGCTTTACTAGACCTAAGCAACTTGACTCTATGACATCTTTAACAGAGCAGAATAGGGAGAAAAGAACTAGCTCTAAAGATGATTCCCAAGCCCTGTAAAACTGAGAAATCATTGGACAGTAGAATTAGAGAGTGGCATAAATAATGGGAAGCCAGATTGTTGTGTCTTAGAAAAAGGAAGCAAAGGGCAGCTGTGTCAGTTGGAGCTGCCCCTCTGAGATAACTAGGAGCACTATTAGAGAGCCCCTGTAACATCCCGAATCAGTTGGAGGGGACAGGAGCATTTCTTTGTAACAGGTGATCTATTACAACTTTTTTGTAGCAAAATAGTCTACTAATAAATTAATTTTCATATTGTTTTATTCCTCTAGCCTCATAAAAATATATGAAATGTCTCCCTATAGTGCTCTCTTAATCTTTTCCCTCCAGGGCTACAGTCAGCCCTATGCTTTCTCATTCTTAGCTCTCCATAAAGCAAGGGGTATAGTAAATGCCTTTTTTTTGTTGTTTTTTGCAGTTCTCTGAAAGACAATGGATTGTGGAGCATACTGAAGACTATTCCTAAATGGCTATTTGTGTTGGGTGGTCAAGGCTATTCAGAAAATCTCAGAGGAGGACAAATGATAGTGCACTGCAGCCAGCTCGGACTGGCTTGCAAGAGTCAGTTATTCATTTTTCAGGAATTCCATGTTGTTAAATGCAGACATTATTAAAATTTAAATTACATAAACACACTCTGAAATAAATTATGTTACATACAAACTCATCAGTTCCTAATTATTTTACTACAGTTTACTGTTGTCTATGCTCTTGACATTATTTACCTGTGTTGAATTGGTGTGGCAGAAATACTATATGAGAAGTGCTACTGAGCATCCCTTTCCAACTCTGTCTTTAGTGACATCACGTTAGTAACAGAACCACAATGTTGGCCATATTGGGAGCACTCACATCACGGAAATGGATAAACACAATTCTGGCTTTATTTTTCAGTGAGATGGCTGCTAAACATTTACCGGAACACCAATGGGTTGAAGATGTGCATGTTAAAGTCCAGTGAGAATGATCTGATCCTAAGTTAGTGTGAAGTCACTGAGGAGTAAGAAAAGAAAACAGGTTACAACTTGAATTCAGCACCCATGATATAGCAGGATTCCAAAATAAGTAGTGCCCATGGAAAGTGGATTCTAAATCATGATTATTTTAGAAACCCTTGCACTTTTGAAGGGACCATTCCAGTCTGATCAAACAGTATTGTCAGGGGTGATCTTTGCAATTGAGAACCAAGCTTTTCCTCACCTTTTCTATGAGAGAAGTTTCTGATTTCTTCTGCAAACTAAAAGAAATGGTTTCCCACAATTGGCTGATACTATGCATTTGCCAAACTTGGTGGTTTGTATCTGTACCTAAATTAAAATTTACAGAAAAAAAAAATCTTGAAATCTGTGACATTACCTGGACCTTGTAATGTGTTGTGAAATGATTCATACTTGTCATATTATGGAGAAAAATACCTTGCAGGAAAAAAAGATGTGATGAAAGTGTATTTATCATAAATTACATTTTTTCTAGGTATTCTATAGACCAAATAATTGAAATATATTTACTATCATAGAAGTGTGACTAATGTTTTAAATGCATCCATTGTATCCTTCAGAGTCTAATTAGACAAATGAAACCATTTTACATGCCTTGTCCAATCCACCATTGATGGGCACCTTGATTGATTCTATGTCTTTGCTGTCGTGAAAAGTGCTGTAATGAACACACAAATGCCAGTGCCTTTTTGTACAACAATTTATTTTCTTTTTGGATATATATCCATTAATGAGATTGTATAGAATACTACACAGCCATGAAAAAAGAACAAAATCGTGTCCTTTACAGCAACATGGATGCAGCTGGAGACCATTATTCTAAGTGCATTAACACAGAAACAGAAAACCAAATACTACCTGTTCTCACTTATAAGTGAGAGCTAAACATTGGGTACTCATGGACATAAAGATGGCAACAATAGACATTGGAGTCTACTAGATGGGGGAGGGAGAGAGGAGAGCAAAGATTGAAAGACTAACTCTTGAGTACTATGCTCACTACCTGGGTGATGAGATCATTCGTATCCAAATGTACTCAGCGTCATGCAAGGTACTCATGTAACCAACCTGCACATGTACCCATTGAATCTAAAATAAAAGTTGAAATTATATTTTAAAACAAAGAAATGTATGTAGCTGATTCCAGAACCCACTATGTATCACAGTTACAATCCCCTTCCCCCCCATCACCCGCAACCCGCTGCCAACATCTCTTCGTTATTGTGAGGTTTAAAGATTATTTTTCCATGTGACATTAGGAGGAGAATTTATGAAGAGGATGGATGGGGGCATCAACACCCTCCCAAGAGTCCTAATACCCTCCTACCTCAGAAAAACTCTAAGGATGGCTGAGATATCCCAGTTAGTCAATGCAGCTAATAAGCTGGAAAAATGAGGATACTGGGAATTTGTTTGCACCCACTGATTAGTGACTGAGTCATGAAAAAAACTATTATCCATTGTTTCCTTCAGGGTCTAATCAGAAAAATAAAACCATTTTATACACTAAAATAAAAGAAATATAATGTACAAGATTAGTTACACAGGAAGAGCTATCAGACCAAACAAAAGACGATGAGACAACCCAGCGATTATTAACAACAGAAAGCCACTAATCTCCTAGTCTGAAGAGACAAAGGGCATGAGTGATGACACAAAAGCCCAGAGGCCAGGACCACCTGGCTGCCAGGCTTTTCACACAGGAGCTGCAGCCCTAGAATTGATGATATTAGTGACACATATGCCACCAAGACAGAGAGAAAAACAGAAAATATGTTGACTTCACCTGTCCTCTTGCCCACCAGTCTGACACCAGAGATTCCCACAGGCTAAACCTATAAGCCAGTGAACAGTGGGCCCTTAGATATGCAGCTTCCAGGGGTCAGTGAAGCAAGAAAACAAAAAGGAGTCCGGGTGCAGTGGCTCACGCCTATAATCCCAGCACTTTGAGAGGCCTAGGTAGGTGGATTGCTTGAAAGCCAGGAGTTTGAGACCAGCCTGGGCAACATGGCAAAACCCTGTATCTCTACAAAACAAAACAAAACAAACAAAAAAAAAAACATTAGCGTGGCGTGGTGGTGCGCATCTGTAATTACTGCTCCTCGGGAGGCTGAGGCAGGAGAATCACCTGAGCCCAGGAAGTCAAGGCTACAGTGAGCTCTGATCACACCACTGTACGACCCCGCCTCCAAAACAGAAAAGCAATAGATCTGAGGAAAAAGGAGATGCAGGACCAACATATCCATAAACTCCAAAATATCTATGTCTATATTTGTATTTAGAGAGAAAGAGAGAGAGAGATTGATTGATTTCTGCAATGCCCATTAAGGTTAGGATGTAAGGGCAGAAGAAAAAAAGAATTTATTTTTAGCCCATATCTATTATCTTAGTGGACAATTGATAAATGAATTAGAAGTTTATACACTTCTAATTCACACTATTCAATTGAAGGAGGCAAAAGAACAGACTGAATGAACTGTACTGAATAATTGAGAGCTGGCTGCTTTTGCAAAGTGCTTTTATTATCCCACATGTAATCCTTGCATTCTACAAAATAGCTAGATGTAACATATTGATATTATTGCCACTCCTCTACCATATTCTCTCTCTGTATAAGAGTCTATCAGAAAATATACAATATTAGCCAAGACTTGGTTTTATCCTTTCTAAAGTTACTTTTCTCTTGTTTACGTCCTCTTTATAAAGGTATTATTAGAGTCTTCTTTGTTATCATGAATTATACCAAGGGAATCACCTTTCTTCCCTTCTTGAACATATTATTTCATGAGAAATGTGTTATGTTGCTTACATACACAGGTAGAGCTCTTTAAAAACAGAAAACTCATCTATTTTGCTTGCTTTCCAGACACTATCCATCTATTACAGCTAAGCACACAGATTTGTTCTAGAAGGTTGGCAACTAAAAAACAAAAAACAGCCTTATAATATTCAAATAACTTTTAAACTGTTTTAAAGACAATATTGTTTGAAAAATTAGAGTATAAAAAAAATGAAATCAAACACACTTTCCCAACAGTCTAATGTTTAACAGAAGAGAATCTACACACTGAATTCCAGTTTAAGGAGCAAAAGACAAGGAGACTTTAAAGTCAATCATAGATGACAATGTTTCTTCTCAATGGGCCTGCTTTCGAGCCATATTTCTGCTGACTACTTAAAAATTTTCCTTTTGAAGTATTTTATAATATATTAGAACCAGAGATATCGAATGTTAGTGCTAGAAGGAACTGGCTATGGTCTGTGATTCAATTCCCATATTCTTTCTGCACCATACTCTTTAAGACCATCATTGAGTTAGTCTCAGAGTTTTGAAGCTGTAGAATTCAGGGTAGTACATTACAATATGCCAATATTACTATTCTCCTGCTCTGACATTCTCTTGATTGATTGACAGATGAAGGAGAAGGAAGGGCAGTCACCATTAACTTAGAGTAAATGAAACTGGAATATTAAAATTCAGGATTATTTGAGTGACTGAATTGCCTGGCAGAATGTTCTCAAGTTAAGAGTGGGGAAAGATTAACTCTGCACATGACACCACTACTGTATTTATACAAGTCTACTGGGACAATTGTTTGTCTTGAATTGTTTTCTTCATTCATTTCAGTCAGACAGTTGCGTTGACTGATTTTTCTTTTTGATGTATAGAATGACTATTTGACTGGATTTACCATTTAATTTCCACTAACGCACTGTAAAAACAATACATTAGTCAAATTAGATTGGCAGATATGAAAAGTTTATCCCCAAGCTAGAGAGAAATATAATAGTGCCTTCTATAGACATTTGTCATATGCCCCGAGTTTGGGAAAATTGCTCCAATTTCATCTATTTTGTCACATGCCTTGGCTTTAGTTCCAGAAAAGTAGAAACACTGATTCCATAATAAAAATATCTTTCAAGAGCACACATAAAAATAATTTTGGGTGAATCTGAGAATTACATAATAGAGTCAGGAAAAAATATATAAGCCTAATTTCACTGAGTTTCTTACTTACCAGGAGGTTTTGTATTAAACTTTTGAGTATTATTCCAGAAGTTCTTGAAGCATAAATATTTCAAATATATTTATAGAAAACTCTCTTTAAAGATTTATTATTTCAGGCCGGGCACGGTGGCTCATGCCTGTAATCTCAGCACTTTGGGAGGCCGAGGCGGGCAGATCACCTGAGGTCAGGAGTTTCAGACCAGCCTGATCAACATGGAGAAACCCCGTCTCTACTAAAAATACAAAATTAGCCAGGCGTGGTGTTGCATGCCTGTAATCCCAGCTACTCAGGAGGCTGAGGCAGGAGAATCGCTTGAACCTGGGAGGCGGATGTTGTGGTGACCTGAGATCATGCCATTGCACTCCAGCCTGGGCAACAGGAGTGAAACTCCATCTCAAAAAAAAAAAAAAAGGGAGATTTATTATTTCAATATTTGCAGTTACTAGGGTAGGCCACTTCTCCATGCCCCATTCCATAACTCTGTGTTCTTATTGAACATTTGAGAATTGGTGCCATAGGTAGGAAGGAGAGGCAATTTTGTATATTTAATTGTTATTCAATAACGCTGATTTTATAGAGAGTTTCCTCCATGGTTGACTAGTTCAAAACAGCAAAGATGGTTGGATACTACTCTTTGGAATTGAAAAGATTTTTCTGGAAGTTTCCACATTTTGCAACCAATCTGTGTTCTTGATCAAGGCAAAGTTAATTTTTTTCAAAATTTGCACATTAGCTTTATTATTTTTAATAATTCTGTTAGAATTAGTATTATTTGGCAGGAAAATCTAGGGAAGATTGGAAAAAAGTAATCATAAAATTCAGAGAAAAACAAAACACAATTTTTAAAAAGGTTCTGTTTCCGATGATACCAGCTCACCCTAGAAAAATATACTAGAAAAGCCAGGTAAATTGTATGCCATATTTAATCATGGTCGTTAAACTTGCAAAACGTAAAACGTGAAGAGAAATAATCTCACTGAATTGATACCAATGTTGTGCATGTGCTTTGCTTTTTTTTTTTAAACTGTATATGTTTAAGGTATACAACATGATGTTTATGTACATATACATAGTGAAATTATTACCATAATCAATAACATACTCATCACCTTACATAGTTACCTTTCTTCTTTTTGTGGTAGAAGCACCTAGAATATACCTTTTTAGTAATTGCTAGTATACAATAAAATCTTATGAACTATAGTCCTCATGCTCATGTTGGATCTCCAGACTTACTTATTCTACATAACTGTAAGTTGGTACCCTTTGACCTACATAACCCCATTTCCGTTTCTTCCACAACTCTGGTAACCACCATCTCACTCTATTTCTATGTGTTCAAATTTTTTTAGATTCCACATATAAATAAGATCATACAATATTTTTCTTTTGTGTCTGACTTAAGTCACTTAGTATAATGTCCTCCAAGTTCATCCATGTTGTTGCAAATAGGAGTATCTCATATTTTAAAGCTGAATATTATTTCATTACATTTTCGTTACATATGCACAATTTCTGTATCCATTCATCCATCAAGGGCACTTAGGTTGTTTCCATATCTTGCCTATTGTGAATAATACTGCAATGAACACATTGCAGTACACATTGGAGTACAAATATCTCTATGAAGTGCTGATTTCAACTCCTTTGTTTCCATACCAAGTAGAGAGATTGCTATTTTTAATAAGATAGTGCTATTTGTAATTTTTTGAAGAACTTCCATACTGTTTTCAATAATGGCTGTACTACTATACATTCCCTCCAACAGTATACAAGGGTTCCTTTTTCTCTTCTTCCTAGCCAACACTTGTTATCTCTTGTCTTCTTGACAGTAGCCATCCTATTGGGTGTGAGATGGTATCTCACTGTAGTTCTGATTTGCATTTTCCTGTTGATTTGCAATGTTGAGCACCTATTCCTATTGGTTATTTTATGTTATCTTTGGGAAAATCTCTATTTAGGTCTTTACCCATTTTTTAATCAGGTTGATATTCTATTTTTGTTTTCCACTATCAATTTGTATCAGTTCCTAATATACTTTGCATATTAATCCCTTACTGCATGTATACTTTCCAAATATTTTCTTTCAATCCACAGTTTTCCTTTTTATTTTTGTTGATTGCTTCCTTTACTGTGCAGAAGATTTGTAATTTGATATATTCTCATTTATTTTTGCTTTTGTTGCCTGAGCTTTGGGTGTGATATCCAAAACATTGGCAGGGCCAAAATCAAGGAGCTTATTCCCTGTGGTTTCTTCTTGGAGTTTTCCCATTTTAAGTCTTATTTTGAGTTGATTTCTGTTTGTGGTGTACGGTAAGAGTCCAGTTTTATTCTTCTGCATGTGGATATCCAGTTTTTCCCACACCACGTATCTAAGAGACTATCCTTTTCCCATTCTGTCTTCTTGGTGGCCTTGTTGAAAATTAGTTAAGTGTATATTCCTGAGTTGATTTCTGGACTCTCTATTCTGTTCCATTGGTCTATATGTCTGTTTTTATGCCAGGACTATATTATTTTGATTATTATAGCTTTGTAATATGATTGAAATCAAGGAGTATGATGCCTTCAAGTTTGTTTTTCTTTCTCAAGATTGCTTTGGCTATTTCAGGTCTTTGTGGTTCTGTATAAATTTTAGAGTTTTTTTTTTTATTTCTGTGAAAAATGCCATTGGAATTTTAATAGGGATGATATTACATTTGTATATTGCTTTGGATAGTCTGGACATTTTAAAAATATTAATTCTTTCAATCCATGAACATGAAATATGTTTCCATTTTTTTCTTCTTTAATTTCTTTCATCAGTATTTTACAGCTTTTACTATACAGGTCTTTTACTGACTTGGTTAAATTTATTTCTAAGTATTTTATTATTTTTGATGCTGTTATAAATGGGATTAATTCCTTGATTTCTCTTTTGAATAGCTCATTTTTGGTGTTACAAAAGCAACTACTTTTGTATGTTAATTTTGTATTCTGCTACATTATGGAATTCATTTATTAGTTCTAACAGGTTTTTGTGGAGTCTTTAGAGTGTTCTACGTGTACCATCATGTCATATGCAAACAAGGATAATTTGTATTCTTCCTTTCAAGTTTGGGTACCTTTATATCTTTTTCTTGTTTGATTTCTCCTGCTTGTACTTCCAGTACTATGTTTGATAGAAGTGATGATACTATGCTTGATAAAAATGATAAGAGTGGGCATCCTTGCCTTGCACCAAATCTTAGAGGAAAAGCCATTGGTTTTCTCTCATTGATTGTGACATTAGCTGTGGGCTTTTCATAAATAGCCTGTAATATGTTGAGATTTCCTTCTATACCTCATTTTTTCAGAGTTTTTACAATGAAAGGATGTTGAACTTTATCAAATGATTTTTCTACATCTGTTGAGATTATCATGTGATTTTTATCTTTCATAAAATAATGTGATTTTATCTTAATGCGGTATATCACATTGATTGATTTGAATATTTTAAATCACACTTGCATCCCAGGGATAAATCCCACTTGGTCATGAAACATAATCATACGATGTGTTGTCAAATTCAGTTTGCTATTATTTTATCGAGGATTTTTGTATCTATGCTCATTAGAGGTACTGGCCTATAGTTTTTTTTCTTGAAGTGCCTTTGACTAGCTTTGGTATCAGAGTGATGCCAGGCTCATAAATTAAGTTTGAACATATTTCCTCTTCTTCTGTTTTTAAGAAGAGAGTAATGAGGATTGGTATTAATTCTTCTTTTAATGTTTGGTAGAATTTAAATGTAAAGCCATCTGGTCCTGAGCTTTTTTGTTGAGGGGTGGGACAGGAATTGATTATTACTTCAGTCTCTTTGTTATTGGTATGTTTAGGCTTTCTATTTTGTTTTGCTTCACTATTAATAGGTTGTGTGTTTCTAGAAATTTACCCATTTCTCCTCAGTTATCCAACTTGTTGACTTTTTATTGCTGATAATAAATTCTTATGATCCTCTTCATTTCTGGGCATCTGTTGTAATGTTTGCTCTTTCATTTCTGATTTTATTTGAGTCCTATAACTTTATTTGTAATTCATCCTAGCTAATGGTTTGCTATTTTCAAAAAACCCTGAGTTTATTTTTTCTATAGTTTGTCCATTCCCTGTTTGATTAATTTCTGTTTTGTTCTTTTTTTCTTCTGCTAACTTTGGGCTTAGTTTGTTCTTTTCTAGTTCCTCAGAGTGTAAAGTTAGGTTGTTTAATTAAGATCTTTCTTCTTTTTACATGTAGGTGTTTATTACTATGAAATTTAATTTCTAACTTAATTACTATAAGCATCTTAATTTTAAGTGGACTTTTGATTTCCTCTTTGACTCAATGATTTTTCAAGAATTTTTTTAATGTCCACTTATTTGTGAATTCTCAAATTTTCTTGCAATTTCTGATTTCTAGTTTCATTCCCTTGCAGTCAAAAAAGATATCTGATATATCAACCTCCTTAAATTTGTTAAAATTTGTCTTGTAACCTAACATGTAACCTGTCATGGAGAATGTTCCATGTGCACTCAATAAGAGTGTGTATTCTGCTGTTGGGTAAAAAGTTCTGTATATGTCTGTCAATTCCATTTAATGTGTAGTGTTGTTCTAGTTCATTGTTTATTGATTTCTGTCTGGATATTCTATCTATTATTAAAAGTAGGGTATTGGTGATCATAATATTAGTGTATTGCTCTCAATTTCTCCTTTCATATCTGCCAATATTTGCTTTATGTACTTAAGAGCACTGATGTTGTATGCCTAAATGTTTACAATCGTTACATATTTCTTCTGAATTCACCTTTTTATCATTACATAGTGAACTTCAGAGTGGCTTTTCTTAAAAAGCCTACTTTGGTATAATTATAGCCACCATTAATTTCTTTGGTGGCCACTTGCCTGGAATATCTTTCTTTCATCCCTTCAATTTCAGCCTATATGTGTCTTTAAATATAAAGTGAGTTTCTTGTGGACAGTTTATAGTTGGATCTTGGCTTTTCATTCATTTGTTCACTCTGTACCTTTTTATTGGGGCATTTAGTCTACTTACACTTAAAGTAGTTATTGATGGGAAAGAATTTAATATTGTCATTTTGTTATTTTCTACTTGTCTTCTAACTCATTTGCCCCCAATTTTCTCTCTTTCTGTCATCATTTGTATTTTATTCTTTTCTGTTTTTTTGTTTGTTCTTGTGAGTTTTCTTGGTATTGCTAGGTTTTGATTCCTTTTTGTTTTTATTTTGTGTAATTTCTGTAGGTATTTTATTTGTGGCTACCAAGGGGCTTACGTAAAATATAGTTATAACAGTGTATTTTAAGCAAATAACTTAATTTCTCTTGCAAGAATTTAAGAATTATTCACTTCTACCTCCCCCCATATTATATGCTATTTATGTCACATTTTACAATGCTTATATTATGTACCATTTGACATAATCTAATTATAGTAGTTTTAATACTTTTGTCTTTTAACTTTTACAATAGGGTTAAAATTGCTTTACTTAATACTATTATAGTAATAAGATATTCCCTTTGTGTCTATATATTTACTTTTGTCAATGTGTTTTGTAATTTCTTATCCCTTATGTTGCTTTTTAGTGCTCTTCTGTTTCAACTTAAAGAGTTCCCTTTAATATTTCTTGTAAGGCAGATCTTGTGGTGATAAACTTTCTCAGCTTTTGTTTCTTTGATAAAGTCTTTATCTTCATTTGAATAATAGGTTTATTGGGTATAATATTAATGGTTATTAATTATTTGTTTCAGCATTTAAAAAAATATTTTAAGTTCTGGGAGACATGTTTCTTCAGCATTTTAAATATATCATCCCACTCTCTTCTGGCCCGCAAATTTTCTTTTGAAAAATCTACCAATAGCCTTATGAAGGTTCTCTTGTATGTAACAAGTCACTTTCTCTCTCGGTTTTCATAATCTTCTTTGTCTTTAACTTATGACTATTTGATTATAATGTGTCTTGATATGGGTTTCTTTGGAATCATCTTATTTTGTATTCTTTGGTCTTCTAGGATCTGGATTTCTTTTTCCTAGGTTTGGGATATTTTTAGCCATTGTTTCTTTGAATATGTTTTCTGTCCTTTTCTTTATCTCTTCTCTTTCTGGATTTCTGATAGTGAACACATTGTTCCACTTGATGGTGTTCCATAAGTCACTTAAACTGCCTCCACTCTTTTTTATTCTTTTTCCCTTTTGCTCCTCAGATGGAATTATTTCCAATAACTTGGCTTCAGGTTTACTGATAATTTCTTCTGCTTGATCTAGTCTGCTGATGAACCCGTGTATTAGATTTTTCAGTTATAGTATTCTTAAGCTCTATAATTTCTGTCTGGTAGGTTTTTAATATTTTCTATCTCTGTTGAAATTATAAATTTGTTTATAATTTCTCTCCTAACCTCAGTGAGTATCTTTATGATTGTTCTTTTAAGTTCTCTGTTGGGTAAATTGCAAATCTCCATTTCATTAGGTTTGATTTCTGGATTTATATTCTTTTATTTGGAGTATATTTCCTTGTTTTACTTCATTCTCTATGTTAATTTCTGTGCATAGGATAAGACCACCCCCCACCCAGTCTTGTAAGATGTGCCATGGATAGGAGATAGATCTCCCCAATCAACCTGGCCAGAGTTATATATGCCTCTCAAAATTTTGTGCTTGTTCAAACTGCTGTCATTGTTCTCAGTGGCCCCAGAAAATTAGGGTATACCATGCCTTGTCAGTGCCCCAAGACAGGCAAGAAAGAATTCAGTTCCTCAAGATACAGGTGGAAAAGTTAGGGTGTTCAACATGTGTTCCAGTCCCTTCTACCCTCGGGAAGAAGTAGAGAGTCGGAGTTTGTCTCTCACTTATTTTGCACTAATCCAGGTAGTGGGTCTGGGGTAAATGCCTTCAATCTTATTCAGACTACACATTATGAGCCTCTTGGAATAGCCTCTAAAAGTGTGTATATTTTAAAACCATCTCTTTAGTCTCTGTGGTCTGGGGAAACTCATGAATGCAGAGCCCAGTCAACTCCCAGAGCTCGATAACTAAAGAGCCAGTCTGTGAGGTGGGACCTGTAGAGGCTGGGATACACAATGCACACACAAACTACTTCCTGGAAGAATCTGCAGACCTCATATAGTCACTGGAGCAATTATCATCTCCATAGATGCATAAAAGGCATTTGACATAATTCAACATCAAAATATTATTTTAAAAATTTATAGGAAACTAGAAAAAGAGAGCTTTCTTAATCTATTAAGAATTTTGACATAAAAATAGAAAAATTTCATGATTAAAATAAGACAAGCTTTGATTCAAATAGGAAGCAATAAAATGATAACCACTATCATACCTTCTATTAGGTTGGTGCCCTAGAAGAGGCAATAAGGGAAAGACATGATGAGGGGAAATTTGTTATTATTTACCAATGACAAAATTTTTATACGGAAAATCAGAAAAAAATCTACAGATAAACCATGTATAAGATAATTTTGCAAGTTTACAGGATAAAAAGCCAATATAGAAAAAAATTCAATTGCAGAATTCTATACCAAAAACAAAAATACTAGAAATTAAAAATTTTTAAATATCAGTTATAATGGAATCTCAAATCATCTAATACCTATAAATCAACCTATAAAAAATGGACACTATCTCAATGCAGAGAAGTATAAACTGTTATTGAGAGAAATTACAGAAGTTCTAAATAAACATAAGTATACGTCTTGTTCATGAATTGAAAGACTAAATATTTTAAAGATGTCAATTCTCCACAAATTTATAGATTCACTGGAATCAAATTTATAATTCCAACCAGGTTTTTATTGTTGGTACTGGTGGTGGTGGTGCTAGTGTTGGTTAATAGTGATAGGCATTCTAAAAGGTACCTAGAAACAAAGCCCCACAAATAGACAATGAAATCCTGAAGAAGATTTCTAACATTGTAGGACTTAACATTATTGTGTAACAAGACTTACTACAGAGCTACTGTAATTAAGATAGTGTAGTTTGGTACAACAATAGACAAATAGATCAATGGAATGAAATAGAGGGTGTATTAACATACTCAAATACCCATGGCTATTTGATTTATAACAAGTGGCACTCAGTTCAATGGAGAAAAGGTTATCCTTGTAATAAAAGGTGCCAGGGTAATTGTATCTCCACATGAGAAAACAATGAAACCTCTAAGTCAACACACAAAAATCAGTTTAGATTAATTGTAGATTTAAATGTGAAAGGCAATGTAAGAAATATTCTAGAATATAGGAGAATATTTTCATAACCTTGAGGTAGGCAACAATTTTTCACAAAGTACACAAAAAATCATTCAGGATAAAAAAAGATAGACAAATTGTGCTACTTTAAATTTAAGAATGATTAAAGAAGCAACGGGCCAACGTGCAATGAGGAATAAATTATTTGCACTCTCTCTCTCTGTCTCTCTCTTGCTCTCTCTCTATATATGTTTAATTATTATATATCTATTATATATATAAAAATTAATCAGAAAAAAATCAATTAAAAAGTGGGCAAAGCTCTGAAGATGCACTTCACAAAAGGAGATATCCAAATGGCCAACAGGTTATAAAAAGGGCTCAGCCTCAGCAGTCATGAAAGAAATGAGAATAAAATAACAATGAGATCTCACTACTTAACCTCCAGAATGCCTAAGATTAAACTGATAATATACCAAGCATTAATGAAGATGTGGAACACCTGGAACTCTCATATAGTACTCATGGGAGGGCAATTGGGAACAATATTTTTCAAAGCTGTTTGGCAATACATAATTAAGATGAAGTTACTAGGCACTACTGGTGACTCAGCAAACCCACACCTCAGTATAAATTTTATAAAGAGGCCTAGATATGTTCATCAAAACTTATGTATGCAGTTTTTCATAAAAGCACTATTCATAATAGAAAAAGCTAAACATAAACCAAATATCCCTACACAGAGTATACAAATCATGGTTTATCAATGTAATGGAAAATTTTACAGCAATGAGAATAAATAAACTACAGATATATGCATTGACATGGGTATATCTTACAAACATAATTGCTTCCTTTTACTGTATATACATTTCAAAAATAGGCAAGACTATTAGATAATGGAACTTGGAATAGTGATTACACTGGTGAATGCTGGTGTACAAAGTGACTGAAAGGATACGAGAGGATCTGTAAAACTCTGGGAATGTTTTGTTTTGTGATCTGGATGTGCTTAGCTGGTTTGATCACCCTGTAAAACTATATTGAACTGTATACTTGTGACTTGTGCACTTTTCTATAAGTATACTACAATTCATTAACATTTTATTTCAGAGAAAAAATGGTAGATGAGAGAGTCTGGCAGGGAAACAGACTTGAGAATTTTGTGATGTCCTATTCACAGTAGAGCTCACCCATAGAATTCTGGGGCAAAATAGTCATTAGGGTTCAACTGAACAATTTGGGTACTGAAAAATGACAAAAAAGAGTAGAACTTATGCATGGGGGCCTGAAAGAGATTTTACTTGGTATAAAAATTCAACATTTATTAAATAAATATGGATATATTCACACAATAGAATAAAGTTATTAAAAATAACATTGTGAACTTGTTTCTGGGAAAGCAAACACATAAGGTGCCAAAAACTAAAGAGAAATATATGTGTTGATGGTGGCCTTCTGAAAGGAGATCTTTTAATTTTATAACAGTTAGTGTTATTAATGTGTGTGTGTATGTACAAAATCATCAAAAGAATAGATGAGAAAAAAATACTGTGATGATGAATACTCCAAAACATTGAGTCTTTAGATGACTCCATCCCTAACGGACATCTGATTGCAACTTCATGAAAGGCCACAGTCAGAAACTGCCTATCTGAGCCCAGTCAGCTAACAGAACTGTGAGAGATAATAATAAATTATTGTTTTACACCGCTAAATTTTAGGGCAGTTTATGATGCAACAAGAGATAACTAAAACCATGTTTATATTTCCTGTGATTTACATAACAAATTAACACAAACTCGGGGGCTTACAATACTATTTATTTTCTCACAGTTCTGGAGACCAGAAGTCAGAAGTTAATATTATGAGACTCAAATCAAGGTGTTGGCAGGGCCATGCTCCATCTGGAGGCCCTAAGGAGGAATTCATTCCTTGCCTTTTCTGCTTCCAGAGGCTGCTAGCATTCCTTGGCTTCAGGAAACATCACTCCAAGTTCCCCTTCTGTAGTCACATTGCCTCCTCCTCTTCTATGCATTTCAACCCCCTCTTTGCCTCGTTCTTACAGGAACATTAGTGATTGAATTTAGGGATCCCCCACATAACCCAGAATAACCCCTTATCCCAAGATTCACCACTGCAAGATTCACAACTGCAAAGATTCTTATTCCAATTAAAGTGACAATCTTAGCTTCCAGAGATTGGGATGTGGATATCTCTTTTTGGGGGTGGAGGTGAGGGGGGAGGTTATTTGTCACCCAACCACAATTAGTAATTAAGATCTCTTTTTAGGGACCTCCCAGGATATAACTGAAGGGAAAAAAATCTAGGTATTCTGAGACTTACTCAGTAAGAAGTCATATACTCTGAGAGTAATGATTCTAAATAAAGCTATTTTCAGATCATCCCTGGTCCAGATCCCTGGTGATATGCTTATGCTCTATGTTCTATTGATTAGAAGGAAATAAATTTTAAAATTTCAAAGAACTGTATCACTATGCTTAGTGAAATACTGAGGTCCTAGCAAAGGTGTTTTGGGCCACTTTAAAGGTTATATAATGAAGGATGGAACACTGCCACATAACCACTAATTATCATCCACTTGGTCATTGGGAGCCAAGGGTTCTGGTGGTTGTGCTAAATGGGCTCTAGTAGAGCAGATATGCATTCTTATGCCTAGACTATCAAGATGGTTATCAGGCATAGTTATTCCGATGAAAGACTAAGTTGTCAGGTGAGGCAGCATCTAATTAGAGCACCACCCATCAGTGACTACTGTTCCTGCTAGAGCCGAAGTAGGGCAGACCTAAGCACTGCAGGAGGCCAGCAACAGGCAAGGACAAAAGAATGGCTTCTAAATGAGACCAACGGAGCACAAGGAACACCAAGGCCAGGAGCAGTTACCAAGGAAGAGTTTTCAATGTACGTATGTAGGGATTGGGAAACCATGATATATTTAAGAGCTGGCCCCATAAACCCTTTTAGGGTGATGTATATCACTGTGGAAAAATAACAAGCACTTGATCTAAAAGGAGAGCATCTTCTTAAGTCACAGACAGGTGTTGTTTCCAGGATTACAAAATGAAAATGAACTTGAAGTTGTCATAGATAGTCCACCAAGGAGAGGCTAAGACACAGAGATGGGAGGCAAGAGACAGAGAAAATTAAGGGAAATATTTGTGCAGCTTTGTGCTGATGAAAAGCACAAGAATGTCACTGATATAATTTGAATATTTGTCCCCTCTAAATCTCATATAGAAATTCGATCCCCAAAGTTAGAGGTGGAGCCTAGTAGGAGGTGTCTGGGTCATGGGAGTGGATCACTCATGAACATATTGGTGCTGTCCTCACAGTAATGGAGGAGTTCTCACTCTATTCATTACCATGAGATCCGATTATTTAAAAGAACATGGCACCTCCTCCTCTATCTCTCTTGCTCCTTCTCTGGGCATGTGATGCTGGCTCCTTCTCCCCTTCCACCATGAGTGGAAACTTTCTGAAGCCCTCACCAGAAGCAGATGCTGGCACTATGCTTCTTGTACCACCTACATAACTGTGAGCCAAATAAACCTCTTTTCTTTATTAATTACCCAGACTCAGATCCTTTATAGCAACACAAAACAGGCTAAGATAGCCTCCCATTTCCAAATCTTAAATCAAAGCTGCTGTATTTTTTAAGTCTTTTAGGTGCATAGAATTTCTTTTTAAAACCTCAAAATAGAGTCAAGATTCCCATCTGGGTTACTACAGAGCAGAATGAAGCCAGCATATTTACCAACAGTCTGCCATATGGCAGAGGGGGCCTTGAAGCTATGAGCTGAGGCTCACTAGGAACAGGCAGGACAGAAAAAAAAAATTGAACCAATAGAAGCTATTGGGTGTCCTTTCTGGAGTGAAATCCCATCATGATTATTATACCATCAACGGCCCCTTCCCCTCTCTGCCTCACCTTCCTTACTCCTTTTGGGGCCTGAAGGAGTTATATGAGCATTCTTTGACCTGTACTTAGTGTTCCCAGAACATCTTATTATTTGCCGACATAGGTGAAAAGCCTGCCTTACACCTGCCAGCTTCAGTTTCTCAGTCTCCCTGCTGCAGACTAGACTCATCAACCACCTTTCCTTCCATTTCTGCCAATAATCCATCCCAGTAGATGCTCCTGGCCCTTTTCTGGGGTTGGAGGAGGAGGTGAATTAAATAAGGACATTTCTGTTTCTAGAGGAAAAATTGATGACTTGACTTCATGGTATTCATCTCCTCACTTGTGCAAAAGGTTTCTTAGCTCAATTATGGGTATCTGTGGCCTCTCAGACTCAAGGAGGTGTTATAAGATTGTCCTTTCCTCAGCAGTAAGCCTCTCTCCATTCTCCTCACTCTCTCTCCTTAGTCATCTCTATTCATGGACTCACAGGCTTTCTGGACCTATAAGAAAGATAAGCACTTCATAGAATCTCTGCTACAGGACCAAATAATATTGAAATGACTTTTTATGAAGATATTGAAACAACAGAAAAAGAAGACATGAGGATTGTTTCTCCTGAGGGTTCAATTATTTCGAGGGCCTGCAGCGAACTTTGATTGATAAATCTAACCTTTCCTTCCCTGGCAATAGCTGATCACACTGTGATAAAAAACAAGTCAGAGAATGGAAAAATAATATTCGGATTTCAACAAAATAATGAAAATGCAGGGACTGTCTTGCAAGGTGAGAAAAGATTTCACAGTTTGATTAAGCAATGGCAGGAATCTCTTAATACCTGGATGTCTGCATGAAGCATTTAAAAAATCAACCTTTTAAAATATGCACAACACCCATAAGATTTCTTGATCTCTCTGGGGCAGGATGCACCATTACATTTCAGAGTGGTGCCGTGTACATTCAACTAATAAACATATTTTTAAGTACAGCAATGGCTGCAAGTTTGGAGCTGGCAACAGTTTGTTGAAATGTGTTCTGCTTCTAAAACTGATTGCGTAACCTGTTAAACGTCCAAATTCAGGCAGGCAGGTCTTGCTAACGATCAGGGGATTCAGCTCTGTTGTTTTTTTTTTTTTTTTTTTTTTTATACTCTAAGTTTTAGGGTACATGTGCACATTGTGCAGGTTAGTTACATATGTATACATGTGCCATGCTGGTGCGCTGCACCCACTAACGTGTCATCTAGCATTAGGTATATCTCCCAATGCTATCCCTCCCCCCTCCCCCGACCCCACCACAGTCCCCAGAGTGTGATATTCCCCTTCCTGTGTCCATGTGATCTCATTGTTCAATTCCCACCTATGAGTGAGAATATGCGGTGTTTGGTTTTTTGTTCTTGCGATAGTTTACTGAGAATGATGGTTTCCAATTTCATCCATGTCCCTACAAAAGACATGAACTCATCATTTTTTATGGCTGCATAGTATTCCATGGTGTATATGTGCCACATTTTCTTAATCCAGTCTATCATTGTTGGACATTTGGGTTGGTTCCAAGTCTTTGCTATTGTGAATAGTGCCGCAATAAACATACGTGTGCATGTGTCTTTATAGCAGCATGATTTATAGTCCTTTGGGTATATACCCAGTAATGGGATTGCTGGGTCAAATGGTATTTCTAGTTCTAGATCCCTGAGGAATCGCCACACTGACTTCCACAATGGTTGAACTAGTTTACAGTCCCACCAACAGTGTAAAAGTGTTCCTATTTCTCCACATCCTCTCCAGCACCTGTTGTTTCCTGACTTTTTAATGATTGCCATTCTAACTGGTGTGAGAAAGCCAAAATTGACAAATGGGATCTAATTAAACTAAAGAGCTTCTGCACAGCAAAAGAAACTACCATCAGAGTGAACAGGCAACCTACAAAATGGGAGAAAATTTTCGCAACCTACTCATCTGACAAAGGGCTAATATCCAGATTCTACAATGAACTCAAACAAATTTACAAGAAAAAAACAAACAACCCCATCAAAAAGTGGGCGAAGGACATGAACAGACACTTCTCAAAAGAAGACATTTATGCAGCCAAAAAACACATGAAGAAATGCTCATCATCACTGGCCATCAGAGAAATGCAAATCAAAACCACTACGGGATTCAGCTCTGTTAATAGCTAAGTGTGCGTTGTTAAACTCTACCTTGGCAGTTCCAGAAGCTACTGGGTTTCTTTTATCCCTTTGTTACTGTTTCCTTTGTGTCATTCTGTGTTTAGAAAAGCATAGCTGTGCTACCTTGGGAAAGTTACATTATGTCCTTGGGCCTCAGTTTTCTTCTCTATAAATACCTAAGTTTAACTCCAGTACTGCTCAGTAGAAATTTGTGATAAATGAAATTCTCCTGTACTGTTCAATACAGTATCATTATTCACATGTAACTAACAAACACTTGAAATGAGGCTACTGTGACTGAAGGACTGAATTTTTAATTTTAAGTTTATTTAACTATAAATAGCCCATCTGGCTATTGTCTACTAGAAGTACAGGTCTAGATATTTTAAGGACACTCTCCACTCTAAAACTCTACCGTTCATTAACTCTATCTAAATATTCCTGCCTTTTAACAAGCAAAAAATAATTTATGCTTCATTTGAAATTATTTTGAAAGAAATTTGTCTGTTTGGAAACACTGTATTCCTTAAATATTGTTTGTTTTATGAAACTGTAATAATATTGGCATTTCCTACCCTCAGTGCCACCATAGTGATTATGAAAAATATTAGGGACAAATGAGGACGACTTCAAGAGATCATGAAGAGAGACCCTTTTTTGGATTTAATTTCATTATGAGAATGCTCAGAATGTCAAAGTGCTAAATATCTGAAAGAAAAAACCATGCCTTTTTGGATAGTGTGTGGTTTTCTACAGGTAGTTGGAAAAATGTTGAGAGTTAGCTCTTAAAAATTATCTTTAAAAACTGCACGTCTTTAAATTGCCTTTGGCTATTCAAGGATTTTATAGTACTTTATCCATTTCACTAATAATTTCTTTAGTAAACAAATGTAGTTTCCATGATTACTACATATGTGTCTGTGCTCTCCAAAAGGTTGTATGTTCTTTGAAGTTAGCAGCTATATTTATATTACAGCCTCCATACATATCACCATCTCCAGTGCTAATTCAGATCAAAAGATATGAGATAAAATTTTAAATTTATTATTATGGTCATAAATATCTACCAAATAAAACAGAAATCAAAAGCAAGTCTTTCTGTAAGCCAGAATATTAAAAAAAGAATTACCTAGTGCAAAACCTTGTCTCTAATAACATTGTCGTATTTAGAAGATGCATGTGTTAAACTTATTTTAAAATATCTCCCTATCAAAGACTTCAAAGTTGTGTCTGAAAGATTATATCAAGAGCAAAAATAGTCATTTGGTCTGGCCAGCCTGGATTATTTATGCAAAGTAATTGTAAAGAGAAATGGAGTTTTAAAAATTCATCTCTAATCTAATCTAATGGACCAACTGAGTCACAATAGAAACTACAGCTTCACTGGAGATAGCACATGGCCAGTAAACTGTATTGTTACCCTCATTACAATCATACCTCCAGAAAAATATATAGACTAGCATGCATTCACCAATATACGTAAGTTCTTCATTTGCTGACATTGTTAGGGGATAAGGTAGTGCATATTAGGAAAACATTTTTTAAAAACCTACAAATTTATAAAAAAAATTAACCAACATTTAACTACAAATTCAAAAAAGCATACTTAAGCATCACTTTTAGTAAATTTTTCTAAAATTAATAAATTTATTCATTAGCATATTTAACATTTCCTTGATAAATTGGGGTCATCAGTTCAATCATCATTTGTATTAATAACACAGGTAGAAACAAGACAGACATGCTTATTAAAATTGAAGATGACATAATGCTGGCATGGATAACTAATGGAACAGAAAAAAATCAAATTATGATTAAAAATAATCACAAGTGTAATGTTCTGAATCTCTATATATTTAGTTTCAAAAAGGGATACCACAAATACAGGCAAGAGACTCCTATGAAATTGACTGCCTTTTCCCGTGTTTTCTTCTTCCTGTCCTTTTTCTTCTACCTTAGATTGTTCCAGAAACAGTTTAAAGCTGCTTGCAAGGCAAACTCTATTGCTTGCTTACTCTCACACAAGCTTCACAATATATCTATGAGGTACGTAGTGTTGAGGTAAAATATGATTCATCATACTGAGATCAATTGTAAAAACAGAACTGAAGAAAGGATCCTGGGAGGGCAGTAGAATAGAAAGCACTAGGAATCTGTCTCCCCACCTGTACAATTGCACTGGCCGACTCTGTCTGATATAACTACAGTAGTCCCACCTTATCTGTTGTTTCACTTTGCATGGTTTCAAAAATATTAAAAGGAAATTTCATAAATGAACAATTTGTAAGTTTTAAATTGCATAATATTCTGAGTAGTGTGATGAAATCTCATGCCATCCACTGTGTCCTTTCCAGGACATGAATTATTCCTCTGTCCAGAATACCCAGGCTGTATACACTATCTGCCCATTAGTCATTTAGTAGCCATCTTGTTTATCATATCAAAAAAGCAGTTTATATAGACTCCAGTAGTATCTGCAGTTTCAGGCATCCACTGAGGGTCTTAGGACATACCCTTCTCAGATTATAAAAGGAATACTGTGTTTTATAACTCTGAAGTTTGGTGAAGGCTTGAACCTCCCAGGGTAAGGCTTGGATGGTAAATTGAGATTTATTCAGCAGTGGCTACCTATCCTACACCATTTATTCCTGTGCCTGGAGGTTGTGCAAGTATTCCTGAGGCATCTTGCACACAGCTTGTAGGAACCAGGGTAGACCATAAGGATCCTGTTCTCCCAATGCCAGTGGTCTTTTTTTGGTTGCTGATTGCTGCTTCTGATGAGGGAAATATAGAAATAGAGGTGAAGACCCATTGTTGCACCTCATTGCCATTGTCGCAAGCTGCTCCTCCAATGGAGCAGAGGCAGCTTCCAAGGGATTTAAAGAATTAGTGTCTCCATGCCCCCCACACCTGACTTATTTTTATCTTCTTTTTTCCCTTTTAGGAGCTAGACATTCAATACTAGGACACTCAACATAACTGCATATACAGGAGAAATTAGAAAGTCATCAAGCTTGCCTAGGAAACAATACACACTCAGAAAAGATGGGAGAAATGTCTTTTTTTTTTTTTTAGACGGAGTCTCGCACTGTCACCTTGGCTGGAGTGCAGTGGCACAATCTCTGCTCACTGCAAGCTCCACCTCCCGGGTTCATGCCATTCTCCTGCCTCAGCCTCCTGAGTAGCTGGGACTACAGGCACCCGCCACCACACCCGGCTAATTTTTTTGTATTTTTAGTAGAGACGGGGTTTCACCATGTTAGCCAGGATGGTCTTGATCTCCTGATCTCATGATGCACCCACCTCGGCCTCCCAAAGTGCTGGGATTACAGGCGTGAGCCACTGCACCCAGCCAAGATGGGAGAAAATTTTAAGTTTACATCTCAGTCTGATCCTTGGCACAGAGATAATCTAAAAATTATCAAAACCAAACCAAAACAAACAACAAAATTAGTAAATTCTGAGGAAGGAGGAGAATCTGATTACCAGAGTTGAGTTAACACATTATTAGATTCAAATGTCCAGTTTTCAATAATTCAAAAAATCACAAGCACAAAATACATAATAAAGGAAAAGAAAGAAACAACAGAGACTATCCCTGAAAAAGACCAGATGGCAGACCTACTATACAAAGACTTTAAACAGTTGTGTTAAATGTGCTCAAAGAACACATACTTAATATTTAAATATAAATATTTAAATTTAAATATTTAAATGGAATATAAATTAAGTTTAGAGTGCTATAATTTTAGAATATTAAGTGTAATCTTTATGGTAACCACAAACAAAATACTTATAGAATACATGCAAAAGGAAAAGAGAAGCTAATTAAAACATTTCATTACAAGAAAATCAACTAAAAAAAAAAAGAAGACAGTAATGTAGGAACCACAAAAGGACAAAAATCTATAATGTATGTAGAAAAATATAGCAAAACTACAGAAGTTTCTTCTTATCAGTAATTTCTTTAAATAAAAATGGATTAAACCCTCCAATCAAAAAAAGATTGACGGGATATATCTTTAAAAACATGATCCAACTATGTGCTGTTTAAAAGTGATTCACTTTATGTTCAAAGACAAACAGCTTGACAGTAAAAGGATGGAAAGATATTTCATGCAAACAGTAACCACAAGGGAGCAGGAGTAACTATATCAATACCACACAAAATAGACTTTAAATGAGATATCAGTATTACCCAAAATGCTGTACAGATTTAATGCAATTCCTATTGAAATCCCAATGATGTTTTTTGGAAAAATAGGAAAACCTATTCTAAAATTAATTTGGAATCTCAAGGGAACCCTGACTAGCCAAAACAGTCTTGGAATAAAAAAAATAATAACAAAATTGAAGGGCCCACCCTTCCTGATTTCAAAACTTGATACAAAGCTGACAGTAATCAAAATAGTGTGGTACTAGCATAAAAAGAGATATGCATATAGACCAATAGAATAAAATAGTCCAGAAATAAACACTTGAAAACATGGTGAAATAAATTTCTATAAGATTGCCAAAACCAGTCAAAGGGGAAAGAACTATCTTTTCAATAAACAGTGCTAGAATTTCCATATGAAAAAGAATCAAGTTGAAGCCTTAACTAATACCATATACAAAATTAACTAAAACTAGATAAGAGACATAAATGTAAGAGTTAAAATTGGCTGGGTGTGGGGGCTCACGTCTGTAATCCCAGCACTTTGGGAGGCCAAGGCAGGCGGATCATATAAAGTCAAGGGTTCGAGACCAGCCTGACCAACATGGAGAAACCCTGTGTCTACTAAAAATACAAAATAACCTGGGCGTGGTGGCACATACCTGTAATCCCAGCTACTTGGGCAGCTGAGGCAGGAGAGAATTGCTTGAAGCCGGGGGGTGGAAGTTGCCATGAGCAGAGATCGCGCCATTGCACTCCAGCCTGGGCAACAAGAGCAAAACTCCATCTCCAAAAAAAAAAAAAAAAAAAAAAAAAAAAAGAGTTAAAATTATGAAACTCTTAGAAAAGAACATAGGGCAGAAGCTTCACAACATTAGATTCTACTGTGATCCCTTGGATATGATGCCAAAGGCACAGGCAATTAAAAAATATACAAATTAGACTTCATGAAAATTAAGACCTTTTGTGAATCAAAAGATACTACCTACAGAGTGAAAAGGCATGCTACACAATGGGAGAAATTTGCAAACTATGTATCTAACAAAGTATTGATATTCAGAATATATAGAGAATTCCTAGTCAACAATAACAATGACAACATTAAACAGCCCAGTTCAATAATGGGTAAATGACATGAACAGACATTTAACCTAAGAAGGTATACAGATGGCCAAGAAGCATACAGATATTCTTAATATCACCAATTAGTAGGGAAACACAAATCAAAACCACTATGAGATACAACCTCATACCCATCAGAATGGTTGCTCTCAAGGAACAAAAAACAGAAAGTAACAAGTTTGATGAGGATATGGAGAAAATGGTATCCTTGTACCCTGTTGGTGAGAAAATTAAAATGTTATAGCTGCTATAGAAAACAGTATGGTGGAGCCTAAAAAATTAAAAATAGAATTACCACATGATTCAGCAATTCCACTTCTGAGTATATACCCAAAAGATTTGAAAGCAGGGTCTTAGGGTCTGAAAGAGATATGTATACACCCATGTTTTTTTTGTTTTTTGAGACGGAGTTTTGCTTTTGCTGCCCAGGTTGGAGTGCAATGGTGCAATCTCAGCTCACTGCAATGTCCGCCTTCCAGGTTCAAGTGATTCTCCTGCCTCAGGCATGTGCCAACACGCCCGGCTAATTTGTGTATTTTTAGCGGAGACAGGTTTTCACCATGTTGGTCAGGCCGGTGTCGAACTCCTGACCTCCAGTGATCTGCTCACCTCAGCCTGCCAAAGTGCTGGGATTACAGGGGTGAGCCACGGCGCCCAGCCGTGTATACACCCGTGTTTATAGCAACATTAGTTGCAATACCTAAAAAGTGAAAGCAACACGAGTTTCCCTCAACAGATGAATGGATAGTCAAAATGTAATATACACATACAATGGACTAGTATTAAGCCTTAAGAAGAAAGGGAATTCCAACCCATACTACAACTGGAATGAAATTTGAGGATATTATAAGTAAAATAAGCCAGTCAAAAATACAAATACTGATTACACTTATATGGGGATGGGGTACCTAAATAGTCAAAATCATAAGAGACAGGAAGTGGAGTTAACGGTTGCTAGAGGCTAAAAGGAAGAGGGAAATGGGGAGGAAAAAACATGGACTTAGAAACCAACTTCTAAACATGCAGCGTGTAGGGGAGGATGTCAGGCACTCATTTCCTACTGAATGTATTTTCATTTCTAATAGCTGTTCTTATTTACCAAGATCACTTCATATTGATACCCTATTCTACACTGTTCTACTCCCCCATCCTTACTCTCTTTATACAGACCTTCACACTGTTTGTGATGCTAGCTATTCATTTATTAAATAATCAATTGTAGGACTATTAGAATTAAACATAGAGTAAAATAAAAGTGTTGGAATCAGTTGAAGAGTTTAAGTGCCTCTACCACTAAACGCGGAGCATGAATTTAAAGAAACAGACTTGGACTTTGCCCTTGTTTAAGATCTTTCTCAAGTATCTGAGGTAAATCTAAACTCAGAATTAATTTAGCAATGGAAGTCACTGTTCATGTCCCTGCATTTTGTAACATTTTCAGAAGACATGGTGATGTTCCCTGCCCACTACAGAAGCTCAGGGCCCACCGGGCCCACTGTCTGTCTGAAATCTCAAGACTGTATCCAGATGCCAGCTTTCCCAAAGCCCTAGGGGCTTACATTTCAGTTTCTGAAATGCTCCAATTGAGTGTTGCCCATCTCTCTCTCAGCTTGGAACCTGGTCTTCTATCCCTTTCCGTGGTCTGGGCAACTACCTTCTAAATTTAGGCCTCAGTTGTTTTAGCTCTAAAATGATAGATTTGTCCTTAATTCTAAAGTCTTCATCCTCAAGCTCTAAAATTCAGTGGCTCCTTGATGTATTTCTTTTTGTTTATTTGCTTTAATTTTAGAGCTAATTAAAGCCTCAGTTATTCTAAAAGCAGGTTACATTAGATAAGTAAGAAGTGCTTTTTAGTTAGAGTTGCAGAAATAGAAAGTGACTTAGTATGTTTTAAGATTCTAATGATCCATTCTTATGAGAGTGATAGGGGAAGGGCAAGAGTTAATAAAATACTAAATGAATTCTTACAAATTAAATTAGCCAAGCTGGAGCTGATTAGTCAATATTTGAATAAGCTACAGATAGCCATCACAAATTTCCCTTTATTGTTCTAAGTGATCCTAGTGAACTGAGTCCTGTCTTAAGTAACTTCATATTCAATGTTTAAAATAATCTTTAAAAATAGTCACAGTTGCTGAAAGAAGAAATATTGCCAATCAGTCCTAATCGATGTTTTGCTATCAAGTGCATTTGAAATAAATTTATTACTTTGCCTGATCTGTTTAATATTCCAAAGAGGGAAAAATGCACAAGAATTTATGGAGTCTCAGGCTTCCACATTAAAGAGTGCAATAAATTACAATATTATTTGGCCATGAAATTAACAAGCCATGGAAACCACACCATTAGCAAGGTATACAGTGGTAAACAGCAGGCAATGATGATGATAAAAAACAAAATAGGCTCTGGATGTTGGAGTGGGTGCCAATAAAGGAATAATTAAATGCATTCATATGCATCTTAGGCAGGTAAGCTCTTTGAGGACAATTGCTGTGAATTCTACTTTCCTGTCAGGATATCACAGCTCAGCTTCTATGGCTTTTATCCAAAGACCCTGGGAAGGGTTACTGTGGGCAAATTCAGACCCCTCCTCAACGTAAAAGCTTGGCAATGTGCATTCTGAACAGCAGAATATCCATAGACCCTTTTCACACTGATTCCAATCTTCCTATTCATTGCCACCTTGACAATGCAGAGTAAAGTGTAATGGGCTAAAAGAAGCTGAAAGAAACGGAGACATGGAGAGAAGGAAGGAGGTAGGGAGGGAGGAAGGGAAGAAAAAGAAAAATTAGATACGGAGTATTTCAACATTTGTATAAAAAGTAGAACCAAAACTAACCTGAGGTTATCCTAAACTATTAGCACATGCCACAGAAACCTAAATGAAAACAGTAAGCCAAACTAAGATTCTTTATTTTTTAAACTTTACGGCATATACCTATCCATGTTAAATTCATCTATACATTTTTATCCAATAAAAGAGTACTATTTTGAATGTGTCCCCTCCAAAATTCAGATTTTGCTAATGTGATAGTATTAAGAGGCAGGGCCTTTGAGAGATGATTTAGGTCATGAGGGCTCCTCTCTCATTAATGGGATTAGGCCTTTATTAACTGCCTTTCAGCTTTATCTTTATCACCTGTCTTTCAGCTAGTTTTGCTAGTTTTCTAGCTTATTCTTCTTCTCCAGCCAAGGGAGCACACTGCATTCCACTCCTACAGCGGATGTAGCCTCACCAGACAACTGAACCTACCCTCACCTTGATCTTGAACTTTTAGCCTCCAGAACTATGAGAAATACATTTCAGTTCCTTATAAATTATGCAGTCCCGGGTATTATGCTGTAGCAGTACAAGAAAACTAGGAGAGCATTGTTTTGTAAGAGTATCTGGCTCTATCAGAGGGCATTTAAAGGTCAGATGACTCAACTTCAGCAAAAGAATTAGCCCTCAGGTGAGTTACTGCTTCTTTCTGGTTATGACCCTTTAGACTTTCCAGAAGTGTTTTCAAAAACCAAAAACCTAAAATAGTATTAGGACAACTGCCTATAAAAGTTTTATAATATCAAAATTTTTATAAGAAAACATCCTCCTGGATTATCAACACAATGATGCCAACCAGGTCAATGTATGCTGAGAAACTTATACAACAAAAAACACTTTCCCTCTCTTATACTGACAACAACCTTTCTTTTGTAAACCGTGTGCTGCTTTGAAAAGTTAGAAATGGTCATAGTAAGCCAAAAACAGACACAGGTAATGCCAGAGGCTTAGGTTGAAGACAAAGTCAGTCATCCAGGCTAAATTCCTGTTTTAAAAATTTCAATAAGAATGAATCTCAAAAACCACATACTAAGCAAGTGAAGCCAGATGCAAAAGCATACCTAGTAAATTATTCAATTTATATAAATTCTAGAATAGACAAAATTAATGTATAATGTTAGAAAACAGATCACTGGTCGCCTGGTGCAGAAAATAAGGGAATTTTTGCCAAGAGCCGGAAGGGGAACTTTCTAGAGGTTTGGAATGATTCTCTATCTTTATGGTGGTACTGACTACACAAATGTATACACTGACTAAAATTCACTGAACTGTTCACTAAATATATATGTATTTTATTGCATGTAAATGATTCCTCAATAAAGTTTATTAAAGACAAAGCACAACAAATAAAAGGCTCTCAACCCTCAAAGAAAATGTGCTGCTTTCTCCCAGGGCATAAGATTGGAAGGGATTCATTGGTCTTTCCTACTTTAAAATATATCTAGAATTATCTACATCATTTTAAAGTGTCAGGCTTCCCTTTCGGGGAACTCACCTATGTTTCAGTATCTTGATTTATTTCCTGTACCTTCTTCCAACCTAGTGAAGTTTAGGGAAGGAAAATCAGCTCTTCTATCATTACATAATATATTCTTTCCAAAGCTATATAGATATATTTGGATTGCAGTTTGCAAAAGCTACCTCTTTGACACTCACATATCTTAACAAATAAACTATTGTCTCTGTTGGAAGTTGGAAAAATTAACTTGAATAGTTGGGATTTGACATTTTTGTTCTCTGTGATTCTCCCTTCCACAAAGGGAGCAATGACAGGTGTGAAAGTGAGTAGGAATGTGAAACACATAAGTTTTTAAAATTTTTACTTGAAGTTCCAGGATACATGTGCAGAACGTGCAGGATTGTTACATAGGTTAATGGGTACCTTGGTGGTTTGCTGCACCTATCAACCTGTCACCTAGGCATTAAACCCTGCATGCACCAGCCATTTTCCCTGATGCTCCCCCTCCCCTCGCCCCCACCAACAGGCCCCAGTGTGTGTTGTTCCCCTCCCTGTGTCCATGTGTTCTCATTGTTCAGCTCCCAATTATGAATAAGACCATGCAGTGTTTGGTTTTCTGTTCCTGTGTTAGTTTGCTGATAATGATGGCTTCCAGCTTCATCCATGTCCCTGCAAAGAATATGGACTCATTCCTTTTTGTGGCTGCATAGTATTCCACGATGTATATGTGCCACATTTTCTTTATCCAGTCTATCATTGATGGGCATTTGGGTTGCTTCCAGTTCTTTGCTATTGTGAATAGTGCTGCAAGAAATATATGTGTGCATGTGTCTTTATAGTAGAATGATTTATAATCCTTTGGGTATATAGCCAGTAATGGGATTGCTGGGTCAAATGGGATTTTTGGTTCTAGATCCTTGAGAATTGCCACACTGTCTTCCATAATGGTTGAACTAATTTACACTCCCACCAACAATGTAAAATCATTCCTCTTTATTCACATCCTCTCCAACATCTGTTTCCTGACTTTTTAATTATTGCCATTCTAACTGGCATGAGATGGTATCTCACTGTGGTTTTGATTTGCATTTCTCTAATGACCAGTGATGATGAGCCTTTTTTTCAAGTTTGTTGGCTGCATAAATGTCTTCTTTTGAGAAGTGTCTGTTCATATCCTTCACCCACTTTTTAATGGGGTTGTTTTTTTCTTGTAAATTTAAGTTCCTTCTAGATTCTGGATATTAGACCTTTGTCAGATGGATAAACTCCAAAAATTTTCTCCCATTCTGTAGGTTGTCTGTTCACTCTGATGATAGTTTCTTTTTCTGTACAGAAGCTCTTTAGTTTAATTAGATCCCATTTATCAATTTTGGCTTTTGTTGCCATTGTTTTTGGTGTTTTACTCTTGAAGTCTTCACCCATGCCTATGCCCTGGATGGTATTGCCCAGGCTTTCTTCTAGGGTTTTTATAATTTTAGATTTTAAGTCTTGAATCCATCTTGAGTGAATTTTTGCATAAGATATAAGGAAGGGGTCCAGTTTCAGTTTTCTACATATGGCTAGCCAGTTTTCCCAACACCATTTATTAAATAGGAAATCCTTTCCCCATCACTTGTTTTTGTCAGGTTTGTCAAAGATCAGATAGTTGTAGATATGCGGTATTATTTCTGAGGCCTGTGTTCTGTTCCATTGGTCTATATATCTGTTTTGGTACCAGTACCATGCTGTTTTGATCACTGTAGACTTGTAGTATATTTTGAAGTCAGGTAGTGAGATGCCTCCAGTTTTGTTCTTTTTGCTTCAGATTGTCTTGGCTGTACGGGCTCTCTTTTGGTTCCATATGAAATTTAAAGTAGTTTTTTCTAATTCTGTGAAGAAAGTCAATGATAGATTGATGGGAATAGCATTGAATCTATAAATTACTTTGGGCAGTATGGCCATTTTCACAATATTGATTCTTCCTATCCATGAGCATGGAATGTTTTTCCATTTGTTTGTGTCCCCTCTTATTTCCTTGAACAGTGGTTTGTAGTTCTCCTTGAAGAGGTCCTTCACATCCCTTGTATGCTGTATTCCTAGGTATTTTATTCTCTTTGTAGCAATTGTGAATGGTAGTTCACTCATGATTTGGCTCTCTGTTTGTCTGTTATTCGTGTATAGGAATGCTTGTGATTTTTGCACCTCGATTTTGTATCCTGAGACTTTGCTGAAGTTGCTTATTAGCTTAAGGGGTTTTGGGGCTGAGACAATGGGGTTTTCTAAATATACAATCATGTCATCTGCAAACAGGGACACTTTGACTTCCTCTCTTCCTTTTTGAATACCCTTTATTTCTTTCATTTGCCCTTTTCATCCGGTTCACTCCTGCCCCTGGAGATGTCTCCGGAGGAGGCTGGAGAACAGCCCAGATGGGTGCTTGCCCCTTCCTCTGGGATCTCTGACTTCGAGGGGACAGCAACCTAATGCCAATAGGAAAGCTCCTGTATAGGGTGTCTGGCATCCCCTGTTGGTGTGGGGAGGGGGGGTCTTACTCTGTTGGTGGGCATAGGAACCAGGACCCATTTAATAAAGCGCTTTGGTTTTCCCTTGATGGAGGGAGTGTGCCATGCTGGGGGAAACCCACTCATCTGGGCTGCCTGGATTCCTCAGAGTTAGCAGGAAGAAAGACTGAGTCTGATGGTCTATGGAGACTATGGCCACCACTCCCCCTAGGCATTCAGGCTCAGAGAGATCAGAGTTCTCTCCCTGAGCCCCCTGGCTGGAGTTGCTGGAATTCCTGCAAGGGGTCCAGCCCAGTGAGGAGGGATGGGTCAGGGTGCAGCCTGAAGAGGCAATCTGGCTGCAGTCAGCCACAGCCAGAGTGTTGTGCTATAGGGAATACCTTCTGGGACCAAGCAGTCCAGCCTCCCTGGCTCCAGCAGGAGAAAAGTGTGGCCTACAGCTATGTCTTATGTAGCTTAGTGTCTTAAGTAGGTTGCAGCCTCAGTTTTGGCTGCTCCCCCTCCCCCAGAGAGCTCAGACAGCTTATACAGCTGGCAGCACCAGTGGTGGTGGCCACCACTCCCTCGGGGAGCTCTTTTGTCTTAGGCAATGGAGGCAGTGGCTGCCACTCCTCCCTCAAGGAGCTCAGATGGTTTAGACAGCAGGCAGCAGCAGTGGTGATGGCTGCCCCTCCCCCTGAGAACTCAGTAGGCTTAGGCAGATTCCAGCAGAGAGGCTGTTGAGAATCTGCGTAGGTCCGTAGTTGGGACCCAAGGCCCCAGTGGCATGGGTTCATCTGTGGGATCTTCTGATCCATGGGTTGCACAGTTCCATGGAAGAAGCACGGTTTTCCAGGCTGGGTAGCATGCTCACTTACCGCCTCCCTTGTCTGGAGGTATGGGCTCCCCTGCCCTGTGTGGCTTACAGGTGGGCTGACCCACCATCCTGCTCCTCTCCGTAAGTCACACCAGCCACCTAATCAGTTCTGATGACAGAACCTGGTTATCTTGGTTGCTGGTGCAGGATTCACACACTGTTTTGGTTCTTTTCGGTGAGAGCCTCCAATCACACTGCATCTAAGTTGGCCATCTTGGCCCCACTCTCCAAATACATTTTTAAAAAATTACCTTGCTGCATTTATATTACAGAGATGACACAATATGGTTAAAACTTATGTACATCTCTCTTAACTAACCATCTATCATGGGACCTGCAATATAATCTTCATGAAGACCAGGATCTTTGACTTTTGGTTTTATTCATTTTAGTTTTTATTGATGAATCCCCAAAGCCTAGAAGAGTGACTGGCAATAGAAAATGACCACTACTTGTTTGTTGAATGACTAAATGAATGATAAATTCTGGCTGACAGTGTGCATCTCAAGCTGTCATTAAACCAGCAGTTTCTACAACAGAGTATGGGAGGGAGTTATCAAGATATTTGTAGTAAAGGGTTATCACGATACATCCTTTCCTTGAAATAATCCAACTTCAAATGGATTGTTATCCCAAACTTTATGGTTCTTTCCAATATAAAAACCATTAGTTTCAGAAGATTGCAGTACACATTACATCATGGATATGATTTTTTATTTTTTATTTTTTTATTTTTGAGACAGAGCCTCACTTTGTTGCCCATGCTGCAGTGCAGTGGTGCAATCTAAGCTCACTGCAACCTCTGCCTTCTGGGTTCAAACTATTCTCCTGCCTCAGCCTCCTGAGTAGCTGGAATTACAGGTGCCCACCACCATGCCCAGCTATTTTTGTATTTTTAGTAGAGATGGGGTTTCACCATGTTGGCCAGGCTGGTCTCAAACTCCTAACCTCATGATTTGCCCACCTCAGCCTCCCAAAGTGCTGGGATTACAGGCCTGAGCCACCGACAGATATGATTCTTGATGATCTTTTAAACACTATACCAGTTTATTCTTTCCTCATGCCTCTTTGCCTTAACTTAAACCTGGCTTTTCACTAATAACATATTCCCTTCTCACTCACTAAGTTGTGGGTCTCTTCAACTCCCCTTCACTCTGGAAACAAACAATCAACACCTTCCTGCTCTGTAATGATACTTCCAGGTCATTGTATTTTTATTGTCCTGAGGAATGACAAAACAATTGTCATATCAAAGCCATTGTGGCCCTAAAAATTAAGATACAGTGTCTTCGAAACATATACTGGTTTAAAATTACCATAATATGGAAGTAGAGATTCAAAGTCATTTATGACCATCAGTGTGGAAAGCACCTTCCTTCTGGCATATCTAATGCTGTATGCAGTACTCTCTCTCTGGAAGATATTAAGGAAGTGTGGTAATGGATGGTTGCCTTTTGTGGAAAGACATTTTTGGCTTCAAAAGGCTTGAAGTTCATGCATTTTTCTTGAATTAGATTCCCCATTAATTACTTTATCCACAAAGAGGTATCAGCAGAACTGATGTAAGCAATTAAGGAGATGCTACTTAGTGTTTTTTTCTGCTTGTTGACTTTTCCCTGTTTCGTATTCCATTTGGCTGAGACATCAGAAATATGCATGTCTTTCTATTTTTTTAACAGAATAATATATGTGCATGTGAGTGTGTCCACATGATGAACACTTCATTAAGATAAAATATCGTGAATACACTTTTAGGAAGCAGAGTTATCTGAAGTCCTAGAAAATTTTAAAGCACTAATATTCCTGGACAACTTTACATTATCAAATTTGCTCAAAATTTTATTGACATCTAGAAAATTTTCAAATTTTCAACTATGATTATTTGTTAGCTTTAAAATTATATATTATGGTAGGAGTATATTACAATTTCCATTATCCATTGTAATTTTTTCAAGTATTCCTCTCCTTGTTCTCAGAAGGTATTGCGTCATATACTACTAAATAAGCACAGACTATCAACATGAAAGTACTTTATAGTGACAAGAACTACTCTAGCTTATCTCTATCCTAAGACAATGGACTATAAAACCACAGTGTACAACTACAAGTCTTCCAAAGGCACAAAACATTTATCTACCCAAATTCAAAAAGAGCTACATATTCAGAAAATATATCCATAAAATTCATAAATAAACCACACTGTAACCTGCCACACATAACACACTGATTGTAATGTCCTGAGTCTTTCCCACCTTTAGGTAGCAGGAAATCATAACAAAACAGGATTCTTTACCTTTGGGAGTCATACTAACTACCTCATTGCTTCTTTACAGATAACAGGAAATTAACTTGAATATCATGCAAAAAATAATGTTACTGATACAGAATCTTTGGTTTAAAGACAATAACTTCAATAGCAGTGGGAACTTTATCGCTATAGGTTTCAAATAACCCCCATATTTCTCAGTTTTCCTGCTGAATTAGGAAATGCCTTATTGTGTCTGAAGCTATTTTATTTTCAGTAGTTCATTTTAAGTCAAAGCAATAAATACTGAGGAATGTTTTGGCCCTCAAATCCATAATCCATGTTGATTATGCCTGGGTAATCACTGGTACATGGTTGGAATCACAGATTAGCAGCATTCTGGCCAGCATATATATTATAAATTATACAGAATCATTTGTGGGAGGGGGAAGGGGACTGAGAAATTCCTGTGAGGCCTCTGAGATGGCAATATGAAGTCCTAGCATGTAGAATCTTCATCCACAAGATGGGGAATGATGCTAATTGACTTCAGAAATACTTTCCCAGTCCGACATTGAAAATCCATTGTAGGTCACAGCACAAGCAAATAAGATGTGAAACACACATCTATTCATTTGGCCAATCAACAAACATTCACTTTTAAGTCTACTATGTATGAAGTGTGCTGAGCTCTAAGGGTATGATCCTGAACCACGAATGTTCAGTTCTAGTCCTCCCAGACCATATTACCCAGGAAACTGTCTCTGTTGTAAATGACCAAGACTGATAAATTCTAGTCAATGCTATTTTCATAAGCTATCATCAGCAGGTGACCAATACTATACAGGTTGCTTTTTAAACAGGTCTCATACTCTGTCTTGCTTTCAATATTTTTGCTTTCCTTTAGTGGTCAGTTTCTCCCAGTTGATGAGGCTTGCAGAAAACTTGCCTAGTGAACAATTTCCTGTGGCCTCACTCTTTCACCACACTCTCCTTCATGCACTTGAACTAAGACCTTGATTAAAGTCACTTGCTGTAATCCCATTATTTTAAAATACGGCTGCTCCAGCTTTGAGAGATTTCTACTGGACCGATACGGTGGCAAAGCAGCACTGAAGCAGAAGCAGGTAAATTTCAAAATGACAGCTCTAAAAATATCCTCTCTCCTTTTGTTCTCTTTCTTTCCCCTTGCCCTGAACACCTATGCCCTGACGCATTGCCTCTACCCTCCCATGATTACTGCTACAAAAAAGGTTTTCTAAAAGCAGAGAGTATTTACAGCTTCATTTGCTCCTGAGTCTGTGTGAAAAATATTTTTTCCTGATTTGTAATAATTTCACACTCGTGTTAACACAAAAACCACATTACTTCATTTATACTCTCTTCAACTTTATATTTATCATTTCTTTCATCTGGATCAACATTGAAAGAATATTTTAAAGGCAATATTTTTCCCCATTGCCCTTCCAAGTTTCATGTTCATTCCTCCACTCTCATTTCTAACCCCAATTAAGAGATACATCACAAATGTATAAGAAAGTTCTTTGTGCTTTCCCTGTACCAGCCAATTATTCTAATTGTTCTGCCTGTAAAGAAGGGGATGAGAAATCAACACAAAGGCCGATTATGTGATCTGTTCCAAGAGAAAGATCTGAGGATAGTCGATTTGCTAATGAAGCTCAGTGTGTTTTAAGGATTGACAGATACAATCATCTGAAATTTTCTTCCCTTAAATTAGTGTTTTTAACCAGATACACATCTTTCATATTGGATAATATATTCTTTAAGTTCAAGATAGTTGGACAAAAAGAAAAGAAAAAAAAGGCAACCAACACATTTTAAAGTAATAATGCAATATTATAGCTATCACACTTCCTGGAGAATTCAGCCTACTTTATGGGCACAATTTAGCACAAACCCATAAGAAAGCTAACAAAGCTCAAAACCACTTAACAATAGCCTGGAGAGGTAAAGGTCAAAAATGATCATTGCCAGGCCCAAGATACAGCAGACCTACAAAAAAAAGCACAGCACAGGAAAATCTGGAAACTTGTGCTCTAATTACAGTTATTTCAGTAATCATTAGTGTGATCTGAGTGAACTCAATCTGCCCTACTTTTTCAATTATAAAATCCTATATCATCCTCTCAGTAGAATAAAATATAAGATCTGAAAAGTTGCAGATCTCTTTAGGAAGGAAACAAAACAAAAATCATGCTTTCTAACCAAAATTGAATAATTCAAACAGCCAGTAGAATCCTAACAGAAGTTTTCCTTGTACCAAATTACATGAAGCAATTGCTTTTTTGAAAGCTATTTCTGATAATTACTAGACTTTTTATCCCCCCCCAAGATGGCAGATTAGAGGCTTTTAGCAAGACTCAGTCACTTGGAAATAGCAAGATGATGCATAAAGATAAACTCTCTGAGCTTTAATCAAGAAGGAAAATGGAAATCCACTGGAAACCTGACAGACACCCCACATTCTGGGAAGGAGAGTTCAGGCAAACAGCCACCATGATGGCGTCTGGCTGATAAAAGTGAGTGATGCCCTGTTATGTGAGAGGGGCAGAGAGCCTCCCTCTGTGACTCACCTTTCCACTAGGGATCCAAGTAACTTAGGCCAAGAGAGAGCACCTTGTTTCTCCCAAGCCCCAGAACTATCTTGGGGAGAGGCTTGGAGACACTGAGAGGGAAAGACACCAGGAACAGCTGCAGGCATTTTCCCAGACCTGGGACTGAAAGCAGGATGCCAGTTTTAATCCAGGTTCATACAAATCAGCCATACTTTGGCAAACGGCAGGCATTTTTGCCTCAGGCTAGAGATTGGAACACCTGCTGTGGAGCAGCATAGGAGTTTTCACAGCCAGATTGTGGAAAGTGCCTCCCCAGTAAGCACTGGAATTTTGCTCTCCCTTGTCACAGGCCTGGGGTGGGAGGAGAGCTGCTACAGTCATAGTTTATTCTGGGTGACTAGACTTGTGTCAGGGCTTGCTTGGTGACTTGGAACTGGTATGTGTGTGTGTGTGTGTGTGTGTGTGTGTGTGTGTGTGTGTGTATGTGTCATCACTGGGTGCCACAGCCTGCTCCCCTAAGATCATAGTGAAGTGAGGCCCTCTCCACTCCACTCCAAGGCAAAACAGCAGGCATTCAGAGAACAGGCTTGCCTAGACCAGCAGCCTCAGCTGCCCTGCTGCCTGGACATAGATTGTGGGGCAGTGGGGCCCTCTCTGCTCCATGCCCAGACAGATCTCAAGGCATCTGGAGCACTTGTTTGCCTGGTTCAGCAGTCTGAGCCATCCTACCCTTCTTGTGCACAGATTACAATGCAGTGGGGCCCTCTCTGCTTTATAACCAGGCAGATGGCCAGAAGTCCAGAGCAACTGCTTACCTGGTTCAGCAGCCTGAGCTACGGCCATCCTTCCTGTGTAGAGATCCTGATGCAGGGGGGCCTCTTCACTCCACATCCAGGCAGAACTCCATGCATTTGGAGCAACTGCTTGCCCGGACCAGCAGCCTGAGTTTCCTAACCCTTCCTGTGCAGAGATAGTGGTGGATTGAGGCCTTCTCTGCTTGATGCCCAGGCAGATCTCCACGCAGTCAGAGCAGCCACTCACCCAAATCAAAAGCCTAAGCTGTCCCACCCTTCCTGTGCAAAACACGTGATGAAGCAGGGCCTTCTCTGTTCTTCACTCAGGCAGATCTCCAGGCATGCAGAGCACCCACTCACCCAAATCAGCAGCCTGAGCTGCCCCACCCTTGCTGTGCAGACAAAATGGTGATGCTGGGGTTTCCCTGCCCCAAGCCCAGGCATATCTCCAGGCATTTGGAGCACCCAATTGTCTGGATTACAAGCCTGAGCCACCCCACCCTTCCTGTGTAGAGACTGTTGTACAGCAGGGCCCTCTTCACTCCACATCCTGGCAGATCTCCAGGCACCTAGAGTAACCGGTCTCCTGGATTAGAGACCAAGGTGGGACCTTGGAGGTTTTAGGACCAAGGAGGTTTCCCAGCTCCACACCTAGGCAAACTTTTGGGCACTTGGTGGTCACCTACTTGATTCTCCATAGCCACTTGTCTCTGCCATCAGGCAACCTATAGATGGGCTTGCCTGGACTGGTCCTACCCATCTTGGTCCCACCCACCCCAACCACCCTGGGGCTGATCAGGGAGCTCAGAACACTATGCACTCCTTGGTTTAGAACACTGCCTGAGGCAACAGAGAGCTTCTCCACGTAAACAAGGATCAAGTATACCCAGCCACATTGCTTGCCCCCAGCTCTTACCCATATGCACGATCTAGTGGCTTGTAAGTAGAACTACACGGTCCAATATTAAACCTGCCAAATAAAGTGCATAGGGCCATAGGAGCAGAGCTGAAAGACCAGACACAATATTCGCTAAGTCACATCCCTGAGGGAGAGGGGAAAAGGAAAAGAGAAATAAAAGCCCAATAATATTATAAGGAAAAAAACAAAAAATTTTACCTACACAAAAATAATTATAAAAATTTGAAGTGCCAGCATCTCCAGATAAGAAAACAGTCTAAGAATTCTGGCACCATGAAAAATATTAACATAGTGACACCACTTAAGGATTGTACTGCTCTCTATCAATGGTCTCTAACCAAAATGGAAACTCAAGAATGACGGATAAAGAATTCAAAGCATGGATTGCAAGGAAGCTTAAGGAGATCCAAGACGAGGTTGAAAATCAACACAAAGAAACTTCTAAAACAATCCAGGAAGTGAAAGAAGAGATAAAATATCTTTAAAAGGGATCATTCAGAGCTCCTGGAATTGAAGAACTCGCTTTAGTAATTTTAAAATATAACTGAGAGCTTTATTGGGCAAGCACAGTGGCTCACACCTGTAATCCCAGCACTTTGGAAGGCCAAGATGGGTGGATTAGCTGAGATCAGGAGTTTAAGACCAGCCTGGCCAACATGGCAAAACCCCATCTCATGGTGGCGCATTTCTGTAATCCCAGTTACTCAGGAGGCTGAGGAAGAAGAATAGCTTGAACCCAGGAGACAGAGGTTGTAGTGAACTGAGATCATGCCATTGCACTCCAGCCTGGGCAACAGAGTGAGACTCTGTCTCAAGAAAAAGAAAACGGCCGGGCGCGGTGGCTCACGCCTGTAATCCCAGCACTTTGGGAGGCCGAGGCGGGTGGATCATGAGGTCAGGAGATTGAGACCATCCTGGCTAACAAGGTGAAACCCCGTCTCTACTAAAAATACAAAAAATTAGCCGGGCGCGGTGGCGGGCGCCTGTAGTCCCAGCTACTCGGGAGGCTGAGGCAGGAGAATGGCGTGAACCCGGGAAGCGGAGCTTGCAGTGAGCCGAGATTGCGCCACTGCAGTCCGCAGTCCGGCCTGGGCGACAGAGCGAGACTCCGTCTCAAAAAAAAAAAAAAAAAAAAAGAAAAAGAAAAAAAAAACCTGAAAACTTTATGAAAAGACTGGACCAAGTGGAAGAAAGAATTTCAAAGCTTGAAGATCAGTCTTTTGAACTCAATCAGACAAAAATAAAGAAAAAAAAGCACTTAAAAAATGAACAAAGTCTTTGAGAGATATGGGATTATGTAAAGTGATAAAACCTTTGAATTATTGACATTCTTATGAAAGAAGAGAAAAAATAAACAACCTGGAAAATATATTTGAGGACATGAGTCAAGAAAATTTCCTTATCTTGCCAGAGAGGCAGACACCCAGATAGAAGAAATCCAGAGAACACCTGCAAGATTCTATCCAAAATGAATAGCACCAAGATATATAGTTACCAGACTGTCCAAGGTCAATGCTAAAGAACAAATCTTGAAGGCAGCAAAAAAAAAAAAAACAAAAAAAAGGCGATGGGCTGGGGGGTGCAGACTACATAAGATCACAAAGGGATCCCCATCAGCCAAACACCAGACTTTTTCAGTAGAAACCTTAAAAGGCAAAAGAGATTAGGGGCCGATTTTCAGCATTCTTAAAGATAAGAAATTCCAACTAATAATTTCATATTCAACCAAACTAATTTTCATAAGTGAGGAGGAAAAAAAATCTTTTCTAGACAAGCAAGCACTAAATAAAGTTGTTGTCACTAGACCAGCCTTAAAAGAGATCCTTAAAAGAATTCTAAACATATAAATGAAAGAACAATACCTGCTACCACAAAAACACCCACATACCCTATAAAGCAACCATGCAGTAGGAACTACAAAACAACCAGCTAACAATCTCACAATAGGACCAAAAACGCACGTCAATATTAACCTCGAGTGTAAATGATCTAAATGCCCCTACTTCAAAGGCACAGAGTTGCAAGTATGATTTAAAAAAAAAAACAAAAAAAACAAGATCCAACTACCTGCTATATTCAAGAGACCCAACTCACACATAACAGTCATAGGCTCAAAGTAAAGGGTTGGAGAAAGATCTATCACACAAGTGAAAAATAAAGCAGGAGTTTCTATGTTTATATGAGATAAAACGGACTTTAAACCAACAACAGCAAAAAAGTGATAAAGAACAGCATTACATAATGACAAAGTGGTTAATTCAACAACAAGAGTTAACTAGCCTGAATATAGAGGCACCCAACATTGGAGTACCCAGATTCATAAAACAACTACTTCTAGACCTATAAAAGGACTTAGATAGCTACACAATAATAGTGGGAGACTTCAACACCCCACCAACAGCATTAGACAGATTATTGAGGTAGAAAACTATCAAAAAATTATAAATTTCACCCTGCACCAACTGGACCTAATAGACATCTATAGAACACTCCACCCATCAACCACAGAAGATACATTCTTCTTATCTGCACATGAAACATACTCCAAGATCAACAACATGCTCAATAATAAAGCAAGTATCAATAAATTTTTAAAAAATGAAATTATATCAACCATACTCTCACACCACAGTGGAATAAAAATAGTAATCAATACCAAAAAGTAGAAACCACATAATTACATGGAAATTAAACAACTTGCTCCTGAATGATTTCTAAGTAAACAACAAAATTAAGGCTGAAATTTAAAGGATTCTTAGAAATAAATGAAAACAAAGATACTACATACCAAAATCTCTGGGATGCAGTGTAAGCAGTGCTAACAGTAAAGTTTATAGTGCTAAACACCTATTTCAAAAAGTTAGATCTCATATTAGCAATCTAACATCGCACCTAGATGAACAAAAACAAACTAACCCCAAAGCTAGTATAGAAGAAAATAAGTAACTAAAATTAGAGCAGAACTGAATAAAATAAAGACCCAAAAATTAATTTTGAAAAAACAACAAAACCAAAATTTGGTCCCTTGAAAAGATAAATAGGATCAATAGACCACAATCTAGACTAATTAAATAAAAAGAAGGTCCAAATAAGTATAATAAAAAATGACAAAGGTGACATTACAACCAATCCCATAGAAATAAAAAAGAATCTCAGAGACTATTATAAACACCTCTAGGCACACAAACTAGAAAATCTAGAGGAAATGAATAAATTTTTGGAAACACACAAGCTCCCAAGATTGAATCAGGAAGACATTGAAATACTGAACAGACACATATCAAGTTCTAAAGTTGAATTATTAATTAAAAAGCTACCAACAAAAAAAGCCCTGGACCAGATGGATTCACAGCTAAATTCTACCAGAAGCACAAAGAAAAGCTGGTACCAGTCCTATAGACACTACTCCAAAAAATTGAGGAGAAGGAACTTCTCCCTAACTCCTTCTGTGAATTTAATATCACCTTAATGCCAAAACCTGGCAAAGACATAATGAAAAGAGAAAACTTTAGTCCAAGATCCTTGATGAACATAGACACAAAAATCATCGACAAAATAATATAAGACTAAATTCAGCAGCACATCAAAAAGTTAATTTACTGTGATCAAATAGGCTTCATTCCTGGGATGCAAGATTGTTTCAATATACGAAAATCAATAAATGTGATTCAGCACATAGAAAGAAAAACAAAACCATTTGATCATCACAACAGACACAGAAAAAGTCTATAATAAAACCCACATCTCTTCATGATAAAAACTCTCAACAGGCTAGGCATTGAAGAAATGTACCTTCAAATAATAAGATCCATCTGTGACAAACCCACGGCAAACTTCATACTGAATGGACAAAGGCTGGAAGCATTCCCTTGAGAACTGGAATAAGACAAGGATGCCCACTCTCACTAATCCTATTTAATATAGTACTAGAGTTCCTTGCCAGAGCAAGCAGGCAAGAGAAAGAAATAAAAGGCATCCAAACAGGAAAAGGGGAGGTCAAATTATGTCTCTCTGCTGATGATCCTTTACCTAGAAAACTCTAAAGACGCTGCCAAAAGTCTTCTGGAACTAATAAGTGACTTCAATAAAGTTTTCAGATATAAAATCAATGTATAAAAATCAGTAATATTTCTATTCACCAATAATTTTCAAGCTAAGAGTCAAATCAAGAATGCAATCCCACTTATAGCCACAATAAAATAAAATAAAATACTTAGCAACACATCTAACCAAGGAGGTGAAAGATCTTCACAAGAAGAACAACAAAACACTACTGAAAGAAGTCATAGATGACACAAACAAATGAGAAAACATTTCATGCTGATGGATCAGAAGAATCAATATCATTAAAATGGCCATACTGCCCAAAGCAATCTACTGATTCAATGCTATTTCAACCAAAACACCAACATCGTTTCTCACATAATTGAAAAAATCTATTCTAAAATTCATATGGAACCAAAAAAGAATTATTCAAATAGCCAAAACAATCCTAAGCAAAAAGCACAGACCAGAGGCATCCCATTCACTAACTGCAAACTATACTATAAGGCTACAATAACAAAAGCAGCATGGTACTGGCATAAATACAGACACAAAGACCAGTGAAACAAAATAGAGACCCCTCAAATACAGCCACACACCTATAGCCATCTGATCTTCAACAAAGTTGACAAAAATAAGCAATGGGGAAAGGACTCTCTATTCAATAAATGGTGCTGGGATAGCTAGCTAGCTACATGAAGAAAGAAACTGGACTCCTACCTTTCATCGTATATAAAACTTAACTCAGGATAAATTAAAGATTTAAGTGTAAGACCTCAAATTATAAGAATACAAGAAGAAACCCTAGGAAACGCCATTCTGGACGTTGACCTTGGGAAAGAATTTATGACTAAGTCCCCAAAATCAATGGAAACAAAACCAAAAATTAACAATTGGTATCTAATTAAACTAAAAAACTGCTGCACAACAAAATAAACTATCTATAGGTAAAGAACCTATAGTATGGGAGAAAATATTCACAAACTATACACCTGACAAAAGTCTAACTGCCAAAATCTATAAGGAACTTAATTCAACAAGCAAAAGCTAACCCCATCAAAAAGCAAGCAAAAGACATGAACAGACACTTTTCAAAGGCGACATATGAGTCCAACAAATACATGACAAAATGCTCAACATCGCTTATCATCAGAGAAATTAAAATCAAAACTGTAATGAGATACCATGTCATAACAACCAGAATGGCTATTATTAAAAAGTCAACAAACAACAGATTCTGGTGAGGCTGTGGAGAAAAGGGAATGCTTATGCACTGTAGTTGGGAATACAAATGAGTTCAGCCCCTAAGGAAAGCAGTTTGGATATTTCTCAAAGAACTTAAAACAGAACTACCATTCAACCCAACAATCTCATTACTGGGTACATATCCAAAAGAAAATCATTCTACCAAAAAGACACATGCACTCAGATGTTCATCACAACGCTATTCACAATAGCAAAGGAATGAAATCAGCCTAGGTGCACATCAATGGTGGATTGGATAAAGAAAATATAGTACATGTATACCATGGAATACTATGCAGCAATAAAAAGGAATGATATCATGTCCTTTGCAGCAACATGAATGCAGGTGGAAGCCATTATCCTAAGTGAATTTACATGGGAATAGAAAACCTAATACCTCACGTTCCTGCTTATAAGTGGAATATAAACATCGGTTACTCATGGACATAAAGACTGTAAGAAAAGACAGACACTGTGGACTATTAGAGGGGGGAGGGCGCTACTACAGTGGAAAAGGTTGAAAAACTACTTATTGGGGGCTGGTGCAGTGGCTCACGCCTGTAATCCCAGCACTTTGGGAGGCTGAGGCAGGCAGATCACAAGAGAGATCGAGACCATCCTGGCCAACATGGTGAAACACTGCCTCTACAAAAAATACAAAAATTGACTGCTCGTGGTGGTGCACGCCTGTAGTCCCAGCTACTTGGGAGGCTGAGGCAAGAGAATCACTTGAACCCAGGAAGGGGACGTTGCAGATCACACCACTGCACTCCAGCCCGGTGACAGAGCAAGACTCCATCTAAAAAAAAATATATATGTGTGTGTATATATATATATATGTGTGTGTATATATATACACACATATATATATGTATATATGTATAATATATACATATATATATATATATGTATGTATTGGGCACTATGCTCATTATCTGGGTGATGTGATCATTTGTATACCAAACCTCAGCATCATGCAATAAACACGTGTAACAAACCTGCAAATGTATCCCCTGAATCTAAAATATAATGTGAAATTTAAAAAATTAGTAAAAATAAAAATAATAAAGGTAAAGTAAAAATAAAATAAATTTTAAAAATAAAAGTTATTTTTATGTTTATTAGGATGCAGAATTACATAAAATTATAGTTAAATAAAGTCATTAATTGTTTTGAAAATCAAGGTCATTAAGTTTATATTTCAACTTTGACCTTGACACAGGCTAATGAAGAATCTAGCAATATGTCCCAGTACTTAACAGTCCCCATGAGTGTGAGAAGTAGAATACACAGACAGAACCCATATAACCATATTCTACATATGATGGTTTTAATACAGGGCTTTAAATTCTTTGGCATCCTTTTCATCCAGAAATGGAACCTATGTGTTTTTGCCTTGAATTTGGACAGGTTTTTTATGTCCTCAACCTGTAGAGCAATGTCAGTAAACTGTGTCCTATTGACCAAATCTAGGTCACCTTCCTGCTTTTGTGAATACTGAAGCACAACCATGTTCATTTATATATTTTCTATGGCTTTTTGTACAACGGCAGAATTGAGAAGTTGCAATGGACACTGTATGGCTCTCAAATTCTAAATACTTACTATCTGACCTTTTATAGAAAAAAGTTCTCCAACTCCTGAAATAGAGTATAATAGAAAGGATGCTATATAATATCTAAGACTAGGCCATAGAAGATCATGCAGCTTCTGCTTTGTTCTCTTGGAATGCTTGATCTTTGGACACTCCTTGGAACATTATTTTGAAACCTACCCATTAAGCTATGAGAAGTTTAAGCCACAGAGGAAGATACATGTAGGCACACCAATTAACAGCCCCTGTTGGTCTCAGTCCTCAAGTCATTCCATCTCAGGTGCCAGATATGTAAACTAAAAACATGTAAATGATTCCAGTACCAGCCATTTGAAGTCCCATGAGCTGAAGCTCTAGACATTAGTTGCGGAATAGGGATAAGCTATCCCTGCTATGCACTGTCTGAACTGCTGACCCACAGAATCTATGCACATATTAATATTTTTGTTTCCATGCTAAGTTTGTAGTGCTTGGTTATGCAGCAATAGTTAACTGGAGCACCATTTCTGCATATAGGAGATCTACACTTCACAGAGGACATGTTTAGACATTAGTGTTGCTGCTCCATTTAATATAAGAATGTATACACACAGATATGAAATGTACATGTTTATGTAAATTCTATACCTACATAAGCTAGTCTGTATTACCCATAAAATCAGAGATTTTATAACAACTAACCTTTTTTTAACATTTCTTTAACTGTTTCAATAACTGATAAGTTCTTATGCTGTATAGATCTTCTCTTTTAACCATCACAGAAACTCTTAAGAGATGTAATATTATTATTTCTATTTCATAAATGAGAATACTGAGACAGAAAGAGAAAACTTGCACAGGGGTACCCATCAAAGAAGTCTTAGAGTCAGGATTTGGACCCAGGCAGTCAGGCATTATACCCCCTTACTCTCGTCACCAAGCTATATATTGAGGAAGGGGACAGAAGCAGAATGATTACCTAATGTCCAGGAAGTTAGAAATTTAGCAGGCATGATAGAAAGAAGACAGAGCTGGAGTCACAAGTCCAAGGCTCTAGTAATAAGTAAATTCTACCTTCATCTAGATATAGATTTGTTTAAAAAATGAAAAAGGGCCCTGAACATTTTAGTGATTAAGTTTTATATTATAAAAAATGACAAAGAACAGAATATTACTAAGGGGAGGGAATAAAAAGTTATCAGTTATTTTCCAATGGCCTAAACTATTGATCAAAATGAAATCTTTATTAAGTATTAATGCCATCAGAAGTTGTTTCCACTCTTAATTTTTCAATTTCTTTTTTGCCCTCTCTTGGCCAAATTTCAAAGCCTAACTCAACATTTTAGAAATAATATCATAAAATAGTTACATCACACTAAGTCTCCATATTCCAATGCTCCTTGAAATGGAGAATCTAATTCTCTAAATAATTTAAACAATAAAATATTATACTTTTGACATCGATGGAAAGATAGGAGAAGTTGCTTGTGTAGTAAAGTAGTAAACAACAAGTTTTTGACCAGTTAGGTTGATTTAAATATAGATACTAACCCAAGTTTCTACACCTGTGCTAAAACCTAGTGACAGGCCACAAATGGTTTCTAAATGGATAATTCGGTGAATTCAGCCAAATTCATTCTACAAAATGGGTTATTAGTAGTAGTAGCAAAAGACAGGGTTTGACTGGCCAACTAGGACATATATGAAGACCCCAAGATAGACAGTATCAAAGACAAATTATATAGAGTAAGATATTGCTTCCATTATCAGTCCATGGAATGGGTCATCCAGGATAGAAGAAGAAACAGATCTGTTGCCAAGTATGTGAAGCCAGAGCCATGAAGAAATGAGTGGTAGGTGGTTAGAATAGACCAGTTCTGAGAACCACAGGGAGCAGCGTGAGGTGAACAGACATAGCAAAACATATCTGCATGTCTTCAGCTATTCCTTTCCAATTTGGCCACCTGGGAGGAATAAAATTTAAGAGATCATTGACCTAAGCAGAACAAGAAATTGATCATCTGACCCAATGTGCATGAATTATTCCCCTTAGAGTGGTCAGGAATCAGATGCCATTCTAGGGCAGGGGTCAGCAAACTTTTTCTGTAAAAGGTAAGAAGGTAAACATTTTAGATTTTGCGGGTCATACTTCTCCATTGCAATTGCTCAACTCTGCTGTTTTAGCATGAAAACACCCATATACAATACATTAATGTATTGTATGTGTTCCATAAGACTTTATTTACAAAACCAGGAGCCAAGCAGAATTTGATCAGTTGGCCATAGTTTCCCAACTCCAGTGCTGGCTTAGTGTTCATCAGAGACTGTGAGTCAATGATTCATGAGACTAAATTCTAGTTCTCGCTGTGCTACTTTCTACCTGGGTGAAGTTGGACTCATCCCTTTATCTATATGGCCTGCTGTATTAGTCAGATTTTTTCAGAGAAATAAAACAGGAGGTTTTATAAACAAAGAGAGAGAGAAAGGAGTTAGCTCATACAATTTTGGAGGTATGGTAAATTCAAAATCTGCAGGGTAGGCCACCAGGCTGCAGACCCAAGGAAAAGCTGCAGTTCTGGCAGAATGCAGTCTGATAGCAGAATTACTACTTGCTCATGGGAGGTCAGGTTTTTTTCCATTAAGGTCTTCAACTGATTAGATGAGTCCCACAAACATGGCAGGCAATCAGCTTTACTCAAAATCCACCATATAGATGTTAATCTCACCCAAAAAAAAAACACCTTCACAGAATGACTCAGAATAATGTCTGAGCAAATATCTGGGCATCATGGCCTAGCCAAGTTGTCATGTAAAATTAACCATTTCAGCCACAGGTTCCTCATCTTTTAGTGGGCAGTTTATTTGAACTGGTCGATCCCTCCTGGAGATAACATTCTATCTTTAATTTTGCACACACCAGGCATTGGAGAGGAGCAGCCTATTCACTCAGATGACACCTAAAGAGATAAAACTTTGTCTTATTCTCTCTACAACTAACTAGGAAGAATGCCAAAAATACAATACCACTTGTATCTGCTTCAACTAACATATGATAGGTCTGGAACTGACCTATACTCCCAGGGGGGTGCCCATAGAAGATCTATTTTCATCACTGGGAATCTTGACTTGCTGAGTTTGTAAGTAGAACAATGTGGTACGTTAAAAGTTGCCCAAGGATATGAGTCCATGAGGCTGAGAACAGGAAAAAGAAATGAGCATTTGAAGATATAATTCTACAGCATGAGAATATAATTCAGGGGGCCAAACTGCTGCTGCTTTTCAAATCAGCACAAATCAAGTATATTGGCGAAGGAAGAATATTGGTCATGATAGACAAAATCCTTTTAAGAAATGATCTCTTGAATGATTTGACTCAGTGTCGACGATAATTTGGCTCCAGAAACCACAAGCCAGAGCTTCTTATTCTCAGGTCCCTCTCCAAATATCCATAATAATAATTCGGCATCAGTATTTTTTGAAAAGTCCCCAAATGATTATGATGTACAACTAGGGTTAAGAACCACAACCATATCCAATTCTAGACACATAATAGAGATGTAGAGAGAATTTAAATTGAACTAGGGTTAAATAGTAAAATAAGCTGACTGTAGCTAGACAAGGGCTTATAGATTTAACAGGAGGAGAGGATAAAGAATACAAGACAAAAAATCAAATGTTTTACATCTGTGTTTAGCTAATTGCAACTCAGATAATTCAAACAACCCATAGCACCTGAACCCTAAAACGTGTTAACTCTGTTTTTTTTTTTTTTTAATACTTTAAGATCTAGGATACATGTGTTTTTGTTTTTGTTCTTTGAGACGAAGTCTCGCTCTGTCGCCCAGACTGGAGTGCAGTGGCACGATCTCGGCCCACTGCAAGCTCCACCTCCCGGGTTCACGCCATTCTCCTGCCTCAGCCTCCCGAGTAGCTGGGACTACAGGCGTCCGCCGCCACGCCCGGCTAATTTTTTTGTATTTTTAGTAGAGACGGGGTTTCACCATGTTAGCCAGGATAGTCTCCATCTCCTGACCTCATGATCCGCCCGCCTCACCCTCCCAAAGTGCTGGGATTACAGGCGTGAGCCACCGCGCCCGGCCAACTCTGTTTAAAAAAAAAAAAAGTAACTGTTCAAGTGAATGTACTCGGAGAATAATGTAAAAGAAAAAGATGAAATTTTACTTTCTGTGCTAGTTGCTTTCTATACCTGTATGCTATTTTATTTCCCTAACGCAAACTAGATATTCTTCTGCAGTTTGTATAGATGAGGAAAATAAAACCAGAAAAGCTCAATAATTTTCTCATGGCCACTCATTGAGGGTATGATAGGCAGAATAACTGCCCCCAAAGACATCCTCACCCTAGTCCCCCAAACCTGTGAATATTTTACCTTATATGGAAAAAAGGGGCTTTACAGATATTGTAAAAGTTACATTGAAATAGATTATCATGGATTTTCTTAGGGAACAAATCAAATCAAATCACATGAGTCTTTAAAAGCAGGGAACTATCCCCATCTGGGGAGGGAGAGGGAAGGAGAGAGACAGATGACAGTAGAAGAATGGTCAGAGATGCAATATTGCTGGCTTAGACAATGAAGAAAGTGGCACCTGAACCAAGAACTGCAATTGACTTCTAGAAGCTGGTAAAGTCCAGCAAAGGGGTTCAGCCCTCGAGCCTTCAGAAATGAATTCAGCCTTGCCAATACCTTTATTTTAGCCCATTGAGATCTGTCAGGCTTCTGACATAAAGTTTAAGATAATAAATATATTTATTAAGTCACTAAATGTACAGTAAGTTATATGACGGCAATAGAAAATATTAACAAAGACAGAGGGCCTGCAAGGCTCACGCTATGTATTCAGATCTAAGCATTATCTAAAGCGAGGTCCAGCCTTGTGATCCACAGCTCTAGTAGCTTCAGTGGTGCCTCACCCCACACCTGGAGCAAAAGTGGCCTAATGCAAAGCAGTGACTGCAGCAGTGAGGCTCTCTCTACCTCACACCTGGGGTAGATGAGGATCTGATTTACCTCACAGATCAGCATCGGTAGACACTAGTGGCTCAAATGTACTAAGACAGCACATAGAACTAGTAAAATCTGAATAAGCTCTATGAACTGTATGAATGTCAATTTCCTGGTATTGATAATATACTATATTCATGAAACATGTCAGCTTTGGGGGAGGCTGGATGATGCGTACACCGAGTTACCCATATAATTCTCTGTAACCTCTTGTGAATCTATATTACAACATTTTAAAAATATTTAAGTGGGTCCGGCCTGAAATATTAGCAGTGTAGGCATAGAAAAGATTAGTGAGGTTTATGTCAGAAAGACTAAATAAGCTGCTAAATAATAGTTAAGGTCTGATAGCAGGAGATTTTCATGGCACCAGCACAAATAACACCGAGCAATTTTGGTTTTAATCCCTGGAGTTTAAAAAAAGAAATCTCTAAAACAAAATTCCCAGGTATTTGTGTAATGACAAGACCACTAGATTCGAGATATGGCTTCCTAAAATGAAGATTTCAAAAGCAAACATACTAATTCAATGTATATGTGAGCTTTTAATAGATCAGTGATATTATTTAAATCAGCAGTCCCCAACCTTTTTGGCACTGGGAACCGGTTTCATAGAAGACAATTTTTCTATGAACCACCGTCGGAGAGGATGGTTTCCGGATGATTCAAGCACATTTCATTTACTGTGCACTTTATTTCTATTATTATTACACTGTAATATATAAAGAAATAATTATACAACTCACCATAATGTAGAATCAGTGAGGACCCTGAGCTTGTTTCCCTGCAACTAGATGGTCTCATTTGGGGGTGACGGTAGACAGTGACAGATCATCAGACGTTAGACTCTCATAAGGAGAGCGCAACCTATATCCCTCACATCTGCAGTTCCCCATAGGATTCGAGCTCCTACAAGAATCCAAGACTGCTGCTGAGCTGACAGGAGGCAGAGCTCAGGTGTTAACGTGAGCAATGGGGCGTGTCTGTAAATACAGATGAAGCTCATCTCCCTTGCTAGCCCACCACTCACCTCCTGCTGTGTAGCCTGGTTCCTAACAGGTACCAGTCTGTGGGCCAGGAGCTGGGGACCCCTGATTTAAATGGCATATATCTTAAATAACCAGATATTTCTGGATATCCAGCTATACCAGGTGGCATACAGGGTTTGCTTTGGGTTCAGTGTTATCTTATAATGAGAGTAAAAGAAACATAAGCCTCAACTACAGCTGGATCTCATCACAGGAGGGCTAGAATAAAAGAAGTAGCAGCAATTCTTAAGCACCAAAGCTTAAGCAGTGGTTTCTAAATTTGGCCTTACATTAGAATCACCTGAAGAGCTTCTTAAAAATCCTGCTGCATCCCAGACCAATTAAATCAGAATTTCTGGTTCTCTGATAGTGGGTTGAAATATCAGTAATTTTAAAGTTCCCCAGATGATTCCAATGTCCAGCTAAAACTGAGAATAAATAAGCAGAAGGGATGTGCTGTAAAGATCTTTTAATAATAAGATCTTTTACCCAATGAGATTTACCTCCCCCAAAATGGGTAAGGAAGTCTAGATTTTGTCCGTACTTGCTTAATTTTAATTAGCACTGTGATTTGTCCAACCTCGATCATGTTTTCTCTAAATGTCATGTTAGCTGGTCACTGTGTTGAAATGGAAAGCATTTTTATATCCCTACTCCTACTTTCAGATACCAGTCTCTGCCAAGAAATGGAGAAAAGGCATTCTGTATCACTACAGCAACGAGTTCTGTCATAATAGCTTTAGTTAGTCCAAATCTTTGCTCTGGCTGTGATAAGCCTCTTTACCAAGTAGGGACCTATACTAAGAACAACTTGTCCTCCACCAGGGCATGACATTTTAGAGTGCATGAAAATCACCTGGAGTGCCTTTTAAAGCACAGATTGCTGGGTTCCACCAGAGTTGCTGATTCCATAGGCCTGTGGCAGGGCTTGATAATTCGAATATGGAACAGGTTATAAGGTGATGCTGACAAAGCTGGTCAGGTGATCACATTTTGAGAACCACCATTCCAGGGGCTTTGAAATATTAAGATACTAATGGAGGAAGCCCTTACCAGATCCAGATTATACTATCACTAACTACTTTTTGTAGGGAAAAAAAGCATGTTTTGTTCTTGGTTGCACCTGTTTGTTTATATTGGAAACTATTTTTTTAAATTTTTTAATTCACACATTGTAACTACATATTTATGGAGTAGAATTTGATATTTCCATTCATGTACATGGTGTATAATGATCAAATAAGGGCAATCAGCCTGTCACCTCATCCTCATTTATTATTTCTTTGCAATGAGAACATTTAAAAGCCTCTCTTCTGGCTATTTTGTAATGTACAATACCTTGTTGTTAACCATAGTTACCCTACTGTATAATAGAATACTAGAATTCTTCCTATCTTATTATGACCCTGTACAAATTGATCAACTTGTCCCCATCTTCCCATCCCACCTTTTCTCCCCAATCTTTGGTAATCACTGTTCTACTCTACTTCTACAATATATATATCTATATATATATATATTTTTTTTGCTTCCAACTATGAGTAAGATCATGGGTTATTTATCTTTCTGTGTCTGGCTTATTTCACTCAATATAATGTCCTTTGGATTCATCCAAATTGTCATGAACAGCAGGATTTCATTGTTTTTTCTGACTGAAAGTATTTCAATGTGTATGCATACCCCTATTTTTACCCACTTACCTGTTGAATCAGTTGATTTCATATCTTGGCTATTATGAATAATGCTGCAATAAATATAGGAGTGCAGACATCTCTTCAACATGCTGATTTCATTGCCTTTGGATATATACCCAGTAGCAACATTGCTGGATCATATAGTAGCTTGATTTTCAATTTTTTCAGGAACCTCCATACTGTATTCCATAATAGCTGCCCTGCTTTATAATCTCATCAACCGTGTGTATGTTTCTTTTTCTCTGCATCCTCACCAACACTTAATATCTTTTGTTATTGTTGTTGATTATGTTGTTTTTAAATTAGGTTGGTGCAGAGTAACGGCAAAAACGCAATTACTTTTACGTCAACTGAATAAATAGCCATTTTAACAGGTGTGAGATATTGCATTGCGATTTTGCTTTGTACTTCTCTGATGATTACTGATGATGATCATTTTTAATATACCTGTTGGCCATTTTATGTATTCTTTCTATAGATGTCTATCAAGGTATTTTGCCCATTTTTAAATCAAGTTGTTTGTGCTTTTGCTGTTAAGCTCCTTATATATTCTGATTATTAACCCCTCGTCTGATGTATAGTTTGCAAATATTTTATTCTGTACATTGTCTCTTTACTCTGTTAACTGTTCCTTTGCTGTGCAAAGCTTTTTAGTTTGATTTAATTTCATTAGTCTATTTTTGTTTTGTTGCCTATGTTTTTGAGGTCTTATTTTAAAAGTCCCTGCCAAGCCCAATATTATAAAAGATTTCTCCTATATTTTCTTCTAGTAGCTTATAGTTTCAGTTTCTACATTTAAGTTGTTAATCCATTTTGAGTGGATTTTTGTATATGGTAAGATGTAGGGATCTAGTTTCATTCTTCTGCATGTGGATATACAATTATTGTTTTCTTGATTTCTTTTTCAGATAGCTTACTGTTAGCATATAGAAATGCTACTGATGTTGATTTAGTATTCTGTGAATTCACTGAATTCATTTATTAGCTCTAACAGTTTTTTTGGCGAAGTTTTTAGGGTTTCTATGTATAATATCACATCATCTACAAACAGGGATAATTTTACCTCCTCTTTTCCAATTTGTATGCCTTTTATTTTCATTCTCGCCTAATTGCTCTGGCTAGGACTTCCCATACTATGGTGAATACAGTGGTAAAAGTGGAGACCTTCATCTTGTTCCTAATCTTGGAGAAAGAGCTTCAGCTTTTCTCCATTCAGTATATGTTAGTTGTGGGTTTGTTGTATATGGCCTTTGCTGTGTTGAGGTAACTTATTGAGAGATTTTATCGTTAAAGGATATTGCATTTTATCAAATGCTTTTTCTGTGTCTATTGAAATGATTTTTTTTCTGGTGATTTCCTGTATCACATTTATTTATTTGCATATGTTGAACTATCTTTGCATCCCTAGGATGAATCCCACTTGATCATAGTGAATGACCTTTTTCATGTGCTACAGTTTACTAGTATCTTTTTGAGCGTCTTTGCATCTATTTCCATCTGCGATATTGGCCTCCCGTTTTCATTTTTATTGTGACTTTGTCTGGTTTCGGAATCAGGGTATTGCAGCCTTGTAAAATGAGTTTGGAAGTGTGGCTTCCTCTTCAACTTTCTGGAATAGTTTGAGACTATTAGATTGATATTAGATATTAGTTCTTCTTTAAATGATTAGTAGAATTCAGAGACAAAGCCATTAGGTTCTGGACTTTGATTTGTTTGATGGAATACATCATATTACTGATTCAATCCTTTCACTCAATATTGGTCTTTTCAGATGTTCTGTTTCTGCATGATTTAATCTTGGTAGTTGTGTCTATGAATTTGCATTTTTTTCTATATTGTCAAATTTGTTGGCATATAGTTCATAATAGTCTCTTATGACCTTTTGTATTCCTGTGGTATCAGTTGTAATGTCTCTTTTTCATATCTTATTTTATTTGAGTATTCTCTCATTTTTCTTAAAGTAGCTGGAGGTTTATCAGTTTTGTTTATATTTTCGAATAATCAATTTTTTATTTTATTGATCATTTGAATTGTTATTTTGGTTTCTATTTTGTTTATTTCTGCACTGACCTTTATTATTTCCTTTCTGCTACCAATTTGAATTTAGTTTGTTCTTACCTTTCTAGTTCCTTGAGGTACAAAATTAGGTTGTTTAATAGAATTCTTTCTTCCTTTATGATGTAGGTGTTTATGGCTATAAGCTTGCATCTTAGAACTGCTTTTGCTGTGTCCCATAGGTTCTCATTTATCTCAAGAAATTTTTAAATTTTTCTTTTAATTCCTTCATTGACACATTGATTATTTGGGATCATGTTGTATAATCTCCATATATTTGTAAAATTTCTAAAGTTTTCCTTTTTGTTAATTTCTAATTTTACACCACTGTGGCCAGAAAAGGTACTTCATATAATCTTTACCTTCTTAATTTTGTTAAGACTTTTTTGGTGGCCTAACAAATCATCTATCCTGGAGAATATTTTATATGCAGTTGAGAAAAATGTATATCTTGCAGCTGTTGAACGGTATGTTCTGTAAATGTCTCTTAGGTCTATTTGGTCTATGATGCAGTTTAAGTCTGTTTCTTTGTTGGTGTTCTGCCTAGATGATTTGTCCATTTTTCAGTGAGGTGTTGAGGTCTCTTACTATTATTGTATTGTAGTCTACCACTGTTTTTAGATCTAATAATACTTGATTTATATATTTAAGTGCTCCAATGTTGGGTGCATGTATATTTACAATTGTTTCATCCTGTTGTTGAATTGATTCCTTTATCATTATGTAATTGGGATCCTTAGCGTGTCACTTCACCAGCCAGAAACCTCTGTGGCCTGCAGCACCTCTACTTGGGCTAGTTCCACCCACTCTGCCTGGCAGGCTGCGCTTGGCTCATGCTACTGTCCTGGATCCCATGCCTGCCAAGGGCAAGCCAGGTGTGGAGCGGCGAGGGGTGTGTGAGTGAATCCTGGGTCTGGCCACTGCAAACAGCCAGGTGTGCCAGCTATGGCAGGGTGGGCAGCTCCAGGCACTGGCACAGGCACCAGCTCCATGTGAGGCTTCAGCTGAACCAGGTGTACCCCAAGCGGCTTCCACTGCAGGCACCAGGGAATGTGGTGGTGCCCAGAGGCTTTGAGACGCCAGGAACCGTAAAGCCCCAAAGAGGGTGTCACAGCCCTTGTTCGGGAGCCCCTAAGTCTGGGCTTCCCAAAAGGCCACAGGTCTTCTCTCTTTCTCATTGCCTGCAATGTGGTGAGCTGTGGCCATGTTTCAGCCCTCCTTGTGTTATGGCTCTTTCAGGCCCACCATTCAGCAGGTCTCAAGTTCTTGTCCTGCATCCAGAAAGAATGAGTTATGTGGACAACTAGAGGGTGAGCAAGGCAGAAAGGAGCTTCATTGATTGACAGAACAGCTCTCAGGAGACCCAAAGTGGGTAGCTCCTTTATGCAGGCAAGTCTTCCAAATGAGTGTCAGCTCTCAGCACAGAGTAGACCCATAGTGGATAGCTCCTTTCTACAAGCAGGTCATCCTGATGAGTCAAGGAGACCTGAAGTGGGTAGCTCCTTCCCACAGCTGGTAGTTCAGACATCTGTGTGAGTCTAGCTGAGTCTGGGGTTTTTATGGACTCAGAAGGGAGGAAATTCATGTTGATTGGTCCATGGGTGGCCATGGGTAGACATGGGCAGCCTGGTAAAAGCACCATAAGTTCTCACTCTGGGCCAAAGACACCACCCGGAACTGGCAGCCTGGCATCCAGGCTTCAAGCCATCCTTGGCTTGAAGGTGGGGCTTCACTAGGGACCTGCCCCTTTCTACCCAGGAATCTGTCTGCCTCCCACCACCGTCAACATCCCATCCATGGTTCTTGGGCTATTCATGATGAGGGGTGCCTGCAGGCTTATTCTGTGTCACCCTCAGGATTGCCCCATCCTCCCTCCCATGCTCATTGGCACCCAAAGTCCAGAGGAGGCCAAGCAGCAGGGTGCTGCCATGTCAACACTGGCCCAAGTGCATACACATCCAGCCAGGTTGCAACAGTGCCTGGGATTGACTTCAACTTTGCTCTGCACCAGAGTGGGCCTGGAGCAGGGAGAGACCAGGGAGTGGAAGCACGCACTTCTAAGCTCACAGAGGCAGGGAGGCATCTTGGGTCCCCAAGAGCTTGGGGATGCTCAGGTCCCGAGCTGTGGCTGCACAGCTGAAGCTGTGCCTGGGAGTGCAGAGCTCCTGTCCCACCAACTCAGTAGGGGGTGCAGTGCTGCCTCTTCCTGGTCCCACCAGTTCCACAGAGCCCACAGCCCAGGCAACACCTCCCCTGCTGCAGCTGGCATATTTGCAGCAGCCACTCCAGATGGGCAGTTGCTGCCATCATAATGACCTCTTTTTTGTCTATTCTTAAAGTTTTTTTTTTGTTGTTGTGTTTTGTTTTTTTTACTTTAAGCTGACTTTATCTGATATGTCTACTCCTGCTTGCTTTTTGTTTCCATTTGCATGGATAACTTTTTCCATCTTTTCACTTTAAGACTTTATGTTGCCTTGAACAGTGAGGTGAGTCTCTTATAAGCAGTGTATAGTTAGGTCTATTTTTCAAATCATGCAGCCACTCTATATTTTTTAAATGGATAATTTAATCCATTTACATTCAAGGTTATTATTAATAAGATATAACTTATTCTTGACATTTTAAAAATTGTTGCCTTGTTGTTTTATAGTTCCTTTGTTTCTGTCTTTCCCTCTTGTTGTTTATCTCTGTGTTTTGGTGTTTTGTGTGTGTGTTTGTGGTGCTAAGCTTTGTTTTCTTTCTCTCTCTCATTTGTGTATCTGCTGTAATTTTTTTTGGTGCGTGGTTACCACAGCGTTAACATAAAGAGTCTTGTAGTTATAAACTATCTTAAACTGATAACAACTTAGCTTTGGTTACATAAAAATACTCCTGACTCTTTCTTTTCCTCCCACAATTTATAGTTTTGTTACCTTTATTTACATCTTTATGTGTGCCCCTTTGTCACTAATTGTAACTCTGGTTTGTGTGTGTGTGTTTTGACCATTTTGACTTTAAAGCTTTATACTAGAGAACAGAGAGATTTACATAGCATTATTACAGCCCTGGAGTGTTCTGAGTTTGATTGCAAATTTACCTCTACAGATATGTTTTATATGTTCACATGTTTTCATGATAGTAATCATCATCCTTTTATTTCCAGTTGCAGAACCCCCTTAAGCATTTCTTGTAAGGTCAGTCAAGTGGTGATGAATTCTTTCAGCTTTTGCTTGTCTGCTTTTCTTCATTTGTAATTAATAGCTTTGCTGTAGATAGTATTAAACATAGTCATTTTTTTTTCTTTCAGCACTTTAAGTATACCATCCCATTTTCTCCTGGCCTGCAAGTTTTCTGGTGAGAAATATGCTGATAGTCTAATGGAGATACCCTTACATGCAACTTGGTGCTTTTCTCTTGCAACTTTTAGAATTCTATCTTTGACTATTTTTGGTTTTGAGACAGGATCTTGCTCTGTCACCAAGGCTGAAGTGCAGTGGCATAATCATGGCTCACTGCAGCCTTGACCTCCCTTTGACTTTTGACAGTTTGATTATAATGTGTCCCAAAGGGAATCTTTTTGGATCTGGTTTGAGACTTTTGATCTCTCTGGATCTGGATGCCTATGTCTCTCTCAAGACAAGAATTTTTTAGCTATTATTTTGTTAAACAGGTTTTCTGTGCCTGTCTCTATCTCTTTTCCCGCTGGTAATACTATAATGCAAATATTTGTTTACTCAATGGTATTTCATAGGCCTGGTAGGTTTTTTACTTTTTAAAATTCTTATTTCTTTTTTATTCCCTCTAACTGGGTTATTTCAGAAGACCTATCTTAAAGTTTGAAAATTTTTTCTTAAGTTTGATTTAGTTGGTTGTGGAAGCTCTCAGTTGTATTTTTTATTTCATTCATTGAAACTTTCACCTCCAAGATTCCTGTTTGGTGCCTTTTTATGATATTTACCTCTCTGCTAAATTATTCATTCATATAATAAATAGTACTTTATGATTTTATTGTTTGTATTCTTTTGTATCTCATTGAGTTTCCTTAAGATAATTATTATGAAGATTTTAAGGCAATTTGTAAATATAATTTTCTTCGAGGTCTGTTACTAGAGACTTACTATGTTTCTTTGGGGATGTTACATTTCTTTCCTTTTTCATGTTTCTTGTCTTCCTACATTGATAGATGCACATCTAATAGAACAGTAGCTTTTTCCAATTTTATGGATAACTTTCATAGAGATACAGTTATTCTGTACATCTACAGGGTCCTAAGGGTATTGGTTGGATATGGTACATTGGCTTTGGAACTAGGTGGACTCAACAGCATGGGCCCCATGCAGTTTCTTCAGCTGTAATTTTTGTTGGTGATGTCTGTGATTACCTCAGTGAACTAACCTCTGAAAGCTTGTGACTTCAGTGGTATAATTTTTCTGAAGGTGGGGGTGCCTAGCTGGTTTTCAGGCTGGGCACATTCAGGAGTGATAGGATGGCAGGGTGTGTGATGGGTTCTCTGGGGCAGCAGGGCCACTACTGAGCTGGCTTTTGGGCCAGGCATGCACACATCACCAGACTACTGTGTGGCAATGTCTCCAGGGAGATGAGTCTGCCACCAGACTCACTATTGGGCCCGTCAGCTGTGTGGTAGTCTCTACAGCAGACAGAGCTGATGAAAAAGTGGTTGTTGGTCTAGGTGCAGGTGCACACAGTGCAGTGAGCAGATTGCTTATGTGGTGGTAGCTCTAGGAGACAGGGCAGTCGCCGCTCTGTTAGGCTTGTTATGGGTATGCATTGGCACAGTGGGCTGACTGGCTGTTCTGCAGCTGCCTTGCTGTGCAGATCCACCTGTTCTTTGGGGATGGGGGTGCAGGCTTAGTGAAGCCAGGCTCGTGGTGCTACAGGCACTCATATGAACATGGTAGAATAACAGTGGAGCTTCAAGAATAGAGGCAGTGGCTCCTGGCCTCCAGGGCAGGACACACTCTAGCGGTGGGTCCAGTTTCAAGATGGCACCTGGTTGTTGCAGCTTAGGTCATAGGAGTGGTGGGTATACAACCTAGGCTCTTACTCTGGGGCAATGCTGCTGCATGAACTTTCAGCAACTTTACAAACTGTATTTAGGGTCTGTAATGACTGAGGGACTCTCCTGTAGCAAGGATTTCTGGCATCTCTGGCAGCTATTGAGACCACTGGGAGTCTCCAGCTTGCCTCTTCCTAGTAGAATAACTTCCCCTGACTCAAAGCTGATTGCAGCAGGGGAAACAGTGCAGCAGAGGCAGGGTGTGTTGCTTCCTTCTCTATGGTGCTATCCTAGGCTTCTGTACTCCACAGGGATTTCACTGCTCCCTGGTGCTCTCCAGCATACTTTCTCAATCACTCCACTTGAGGTATAGTTGTTTATTCATTGTTTTGGTCCCTTTTTGTTGTGGGGGACCAGCACCTGGCAACACTAGTCAGCTATCTTGCTCCTCATTATTCTATATCAAACCTTATTTGAAACATAAACAGAATGAAGAGAAGAGAAAGAAAGAAATATATATTGCTATATGGATTGTCCATACTTTATGCATGTGGAATAAGTTTGTTTTGTTTCCCTATTGAAGTGATACTCAAATTTTGCTGCTCATTTGAATTACCTAAAGAGCATTAAAAGACATTGGCTTCTGGGCCCTACCTCCAGATTCTGATTTAGTAGATCTGGAGAGGAGCCTGGGCATGGGGATTTTTTCAAAATTTCCCAAGTGATCCTAATGTGCAGCAAATTTGCAAACTGCTTATGGGCTGCAAGTCAACTAGTGATCACATAAAAATGTAAGACACATGGGCTGTGACTTGAGGTCTGTTGCTATGTGTATTCCATTTCTTCCTCCTGGAAGAGCTGTGCTATGGAAAATGACTGACACTTGTGCTGATTGTCTGAAATGGATTGAAATTTCCAATTAGCAGGAACAGGGAGGGAGAAGGGTTGAACACAATACTAATGTGTATCATTGACTTATTGCACTATGTGTTTAGCTAGATGCTGTTGCAATTGAGTTCAACTCTCCTCTTCATGCTAATAGTAATGCTTGTCCTAATACCCCTGTAAACTTCTAAGCCTATAGGTAGACAGCCTCACAAAGTATTTACCCCTCGCTCTCAAGCCCACTCCTATCTCTCAACACATACATACACATCAATGCACTTGAGAGCGAAATAAACATATTGGCCTTTAATTCTTCTTCTATTCAGCTTCCTTTTTATCAGGAGACCTCAGAGTTCAGTGCAAGGACAAATGTTTACCTTTTGGTGAGGAATGTAGACAATACCATCAAAAGATAAAAAGCCCTTAGGGAGAGGAAAACAGTATTTCAAAAAGGTTGATGCTCAAAGAAGGAAGTTTCAGTCATCTCAGCTTAGAGGTCAAATATCCAAAGTAAAAAAAGCAAAAAAAAAAAAAAAGAAAAAAGAAAGCAAAGAAAAGAAAAGAAAAGAAAAGAAAGAAAATAAATCAAATCCAGCTTTTTCTATCTAATTGAAATCAGGCAGCTTTTTAAAAAGAAGAAAATAAAAAAACCTTAAACCTTGAATTGTCTTTCCTGATGCAAAGTATGCTTGCCCTGTCTTAGACTATCCCTTCTATTTCCTATATTACTCACAATGTTTAATTCTTGAAATAGCTACCTGGCTGAAAACAGAAGCTAACCTCTTGCCCCAGTGTGAATTAAATCTTCTTTTTCTAAGACCAGCCTTGGATGTACATAATTATTTTCTCAGTTTGAAATAAGGTGCTGTGTTTTGCTTTTTCAATATACTTAATACAACTATAACAAACCTGTTATGATGCCACTTTGCTGATTTTCTTCATCCATATAATTTTGAAAAATAAAATAAATTCATAATATTCATGTGTGGTTTGCCCCTGGGGTGGATTGCTGTAATGCGAGGATATTGGAGCCTTTCCCTGAGTCATTAGAAAGCCTCCAGAAAGCAACCCCTGCTCTCCTTCAAAGGCGGAGGGAAGGAGAGAATCTTTAATCATAATAATCCTGAGTAAAAAAAAATCTTGGAAATATAACATCTGCTTCTGTGCTTTGTTGTTTTGCAGGATAACAGTGATTGCTTTAGCAGCTTCTATTGCCATATGTGTACAATAAGTAAATGAACATAAAATTGAACAAACACATAAAAGAAGGATAAACCCACCCAGCTTAACAAATCCACTCTCTCACCTGCTGTGCCCTGAAACATAAAAAAAGAAATTATTTGGATCATGAGGATTAGTAAAATAACAGTCTCTGTTAACAACATTGACAGGCAGTATAAGGATAATTTGTCTGATGTGGGGGCTAACAGTCTTGCGTCTTAATTCTTAATACTGCTCTCTTTCACCACTATGTCCCTAATCAGGGAATAAAATTTACCTATACATTTGTCTTAGAAAAAAAATCAAAAGTTAATAGTCCAAATAGACTTTTTTTCTGCTCAGTTGGAAATGAAACCCATGACTGGATTTTTCCTTATCATTCGCATAGTCAATGTGTAAAACATCATCGTGAATTTAGGTGCACTAAGATCAGAAAATTTAAAACTGGTCCTCCCAAGCCATTATTAATTAACCAATATTGTGTATAATACTAAAATCTTAGGGACCCTTTTAATATTTAAAAAGCTCTGCAAACATTAGTTAATTTATCCTCATCATTTTTCTCATGCATCATAATTTGTAATTACTAAAGGTCCTTAATATTTGTCAATAAATAAATCTTTTTAACTGTCACTGCTGCATCAAAGTCATACTGTTAATGAAAAAAAGTATTATTTTGGATTTAGCAAAACAACAATGGGAGTAGATTATTTTTATATGCTTAAACATAGTGATAATTAAAAATCAAAAATAAATAAAAGATGTTTCATATATTGCTGGTCATTCTACATTGTAATTAATATCCTCATTTTTTTCCTAGCCTTTAGTTTCTCATGTGTTTCTACTCTAATGAGGTAGCTAAAAGAACAAACAATGAATCCAACAGATCCAGGTTCAACTTTATGGCTACCACTTACTAACTATGTGATCTTGGGAAAGCTACTTAGCCTACCAGGGCCTTAGTTTTCTACTTTACAAAATTAGGCACAAAATAATCACCAACCTCACATATATTTTATAAGGGTTAAATGAAAGTATGGATTTAAATTGCTTAATATAGGACCAGTCACTTAATAAGTGATCAAAAATATTACCTGGCACAATCATTGTATTTTTTCCAATGGTGTTATCTTCATAATTATTTTGTTTCTTTTAATATTTGTCTCCTTCAGTGTCACCAAAGTCTCTTCATTCAGTGAGTTACTCTTATCTTCTTATTTAAAAAAAAAACCTTCTATTTCTAATGATTCCTCATTCTTTTTATAACTTTTCTCTCTTACCTCCTCCCAACCATTTTATATAATAGACAGGTTTGCCTTGAAGCTAATGAGGCTTAATCTTCAAAGATCCAAACTTTATAGGTACCTTATTAGATTCTAGGAGGAGCTCCAGAAATTAGTTCATATAATCATATGCTTTGGAAAAAAAAATTTAAAGTGATCTATTTTAACTGTAATTAGATAAGATCACTGTCTTGTCTTTTCCAAATTCCTCTCCATCATGTTCGTTTGGTATTGGGTCACACTAGAATGGCCATAGGCTTTTTGGGCATCTGGCTAAAGGAAAGTCTGAGTTGAGTCTATTATGTGGTTGAACACTACCACGTATAATGAAGTATTTATTGTTCTATTATTGGAATAGCTTCCAGAAACACTCCTATTGCCCACACTACTAATGTAACTGGCACTAAGGTGTGGAGGCACAAGGACAAAGGCAATTTTGCAACATAGCTATGTCCTACACTTCATACTTCTGAAAGCATGTGTGGTTGAAGATGAAAAAAAGAATTGAAATGTAGGAAGCCAGAAACTGTTCTGGAGAAAATTATTTCGATCATCAGACATAAAGTGTAAGTAAAAGGTTGATTCTCATCAATGCTTAGTCAAAACAGACATTTTCTCCTGTCAATAATATACTTGATCAATAATGGAATGTGTGTGTGTGTGTGTGTGTGTAATGAGACTTGTATCAGAGTTCCTATACTGCATTAACATGTAGTGGTGCTGAAATTACTAATGCATTTGCAACTGTACAGTATTTATGAAAAAGTAATCTATAGATGACTCAAATATAAAATCAACTAATAATAATTAGACATTATTGATAAATTATGAAGCTGAACCTTTTCTAAATTAATAATTTAAAGCAAATTCTAACCAGCCATGATAAAAGAAATCTATGTATATAAAATATACATATATACACAAATGTATAAAATATACAAATGTATAAAATAAATATACATTTATTCCTTAGCATACCTATAGGAATATTATAAAGCAATTGTTACATAAAAATTTCTACTAAAAAAGTGGAAAAAATTTTTCAGAGATATGCCAAGTTGTAGTTAAATTTTTAATTTTTCTCCCGATTTTGTGATATCTGTGATACTTGGCAGCATTTTAGAATTTGTAATTTGATGAGCTTCAGTTTCAGTTAGGATGAAATATTTTGACCACTGAGAAAGCAAAAAACAACTAAAATGACTAACACTCAATCAAAAAGTTCTAAACATACCAAGAGTGAGAATTATATGACTAAAATTAAAAGAAAAGAATAGACAATAGAAAGAGATTTGAACATGACATTTGTGTTATCAATCAAAGACTTTTAAATAATTTGGATTAATATGGTCAAGGAAATCAAGATAGAAAATTAATGAAAAAATAAAGAATTTTACCAAAGAATTGAAATGTATAAAAAATAACCAAATGGGCATCTAAAACTAAAAGTACAACTAAACTTAAGAATTAATAGATTGATTTATTAGCAGAAAATGTGGTTAGAGAACCAGAAGGTCTCTCAGAGGACAAAGAGGAAAAATGCAAGTAGAAGTATAAATAGTCTTGTGGAATATGGGGAAATAGTTGAACAAAAGCATTTTTCAAGTTTGAAAATGGAAAAGAGAATGAAGCAGAAGATATATTTGAGGATAAAATTACCAAAAGTTTTCCAAAATTGATTAAAGCCTCTAATACACAGATTCAATAAGTTATGAAAACCCTGAGTAGAATAAGTAGAAAGAGAATTATATCTAGGCAATTGAAATAATCCCAAAAACCAAAGGGAAAATTTTGAAAACATCTAAGAGGGAGGCATGATGAGAGAGGAAGACACAGTGCCTTCAAATTAACAGAAAAAAAAATAACATTTGAGTTCTGTAGAGACCATGGAGGCCATAGGAAAACACATTTCATATTAATATAATTTTTAAAGTGTCAAACTGGAATTTTGTACAAACAAAAAGTTTTTAAAATGGAATGAAGATAACTTCAGACCAAACTATTAAGAGAATTTATTATGAGCAATTCTTTATTGAAAGATATATGCAAGGAGTTATTGCGAAAGAAAAAAAAAATCCCAGATAGAGTCATGATGTACAGGAAGAATGGGCAAATATGTGAGTAAGTGTCAATGGATTTTGACTATATAAACCAAAAGAAAAATGCCTCATAGATTTTAAAATATGTTTAGGCTAAAATGCCTCGAACAAAATAAAACCTCAGCAGAGGGACAAAGAAAGTTAAAATGTTAGAAAGTTATAGATTTATATAGAAATGGTAGAAGAAAAATAAACTATAATAGTTCAAGTTTTCTTGTTATAATCGCTATAATAGTCATGTAAAGGAATGTATAAAAAATAAAAGATTAAAATTAAAAATGTGAAAGAAAGAACATAAAATTAAAAAACATTTTATTAATTCAAATGTGAACAAGACAAAAAAGTAAAAGAACCTCAAAACATTGGAGGATGGACAATAAATGTTAGCTATTGATCCAAACATTTCAATAATAACAAAGCAATAAAAGAAATAGATACACTATATACAACACTAAGACAGTAATACTTGAATTACAAATAAACAAGAAGTTGCATTTGTTGCTTAGAAGTGACTCACTTTTATTATAAGGATCCACAATGATTATAAATAAAAGGATTAAAAATAATACACTATGCCAAAAAAATTGCAGGAAAAAAAGGGAATATAAAAAAACATTCAATGCTAATATTAAAGTTAACTTTCAAAAATATAATTACAGACATATGTCATAGTGATAAAAGTGAAAATATATCATGCCCTTGTCCATTTTGTGCTGCTGTAACAGAATACCTGAAACTGGGTAATTTATAATAAACAGAAATTTATTGACTCATGATTCTGGAGGGTAAGAAGTCCAAGATGAAGGGGCCAGCATTTGGTGACAGCCTTTTTGTTGCCCTATCCCATGGCAGAAGGCAGAAAACCAAGAAGGGGTGAAAGAAAGAGAGGGAGAGCAAAAAGGGGTGAACCCACATCCACGATAATATTAATCCATTTATGAGGATGGAGCCCTAATGATCTAAACACCATTTCTTAAAGGTCCCACTTCCCAATGCCTTCACAATAGCAATTAAATTTCAACATGAGTTTTGGAGAAGACAAACATTCAAACCATAGCATACCAGGAGTATTAAAATTCTAAATCTTTAGGCACTCAGTAAATTAGATTCAACATATATAAAGCAAATATTTACAAAACTGAAACAAAAAAACAAACAAATCAACAATCTTAATAGAATTTATTACATTTCTCTCAATAACTGATAGAACAGAAAAAATATCAGTTAATATATGAAAGACTTTAAATTTAAAATGGATCTAATTACATATGTAAAACTGTGCAGACAATCCAGATACAACACACATTTTTTGCAAGTGCACATAAACCATTACCAACTTTAAATTATGTCATTTCAGAACTTGTGTAAACCTATTTTGATTGAAATCATTCACAGTATATAATCTGACCAGAGTAAATTTAGGACAAAAATTAACAATTCAAATATACTAGGAAATCCTCACATTCTTGGAAATTAAGTGATAAACATCTATAAAAACAAATAACAGAAAAACCACCTGAGTCAAAGATAAAATAACAACAGAAATAACAAAAAGTTTTAAACCAAATGATAGTAACGACAGAACCTATCACAATTTGTAAATTGAAGTAAGACCTACATTAAAATAGGACGTAGAGTCTTAAATGCACTTGGAAAAAGATGATAAACTTCAAATCTGTGTTCTAATTTTCTAGCTAAAGCAGGCAGAAAAAGAACATTAAATCAAACCCAAAGAAAGCCATAAAAAGCCTATTAGAAAATCTGTCTTTTTTTTTTTTTGTCTGAGACGGAGTCTCGCCCTGTCACCCAGGCTGGAGTGCAGTGGCGCGAACTCGGCTCCCTGCAAGCTCCGCCTCCTGGGTTCACACCATTCTCCTTCTCAGCCTCCCGCGTAGCTGGTTCTATAGGCGCCCGTCACCACGCCTGGTTAATTTTTTGTATTTTTTAGTAGAGACGGGGTTTCACCATGTTAGCCAGGATGGTCTCAATCTCCTGACCTCGTGATCCGCCCGCCTCGGCCTCCCAAAGTGCTGGGATTACAGGCGTGAGCCACCGCGCCCGGCCCAGGTTTTTAATCTATGAAAATCTATGAAACAATGATTTTCAGATGCTGACCAACAGGCTGCACGATACTCTCATCTCAGAGGCGAGAGAATAAACCAAGAGAGCTCTATGACTGCACTAGTTTACTTCTTGGGGTCGGTTTCCAAACTGCTGTGTAGGAAGAGGAAATACAAACAAAGCCTGAGAGAATTGTGGACTTGAAGAGATAGAGATCTTATCTCAGGGAAGGCAAAGGAGCTGGAATTTGTGGGCTCAACTACTGGAAAGGAGGGTTCTGAACTGACAAAGAGCTCTGAAGATGTGTAGTAAGGATGTCTTGAGTGTGTAATTGAAGATTTACCTGCACATGTGTGAGATGAAACTACCGAAGGTAGAAAAAGAATCATTTTGAGTAAGCAGAACAATCCCTACACATCACACAGAGGTAGGGACAGTTGGTGTATACCCAACCAGACTAGAAAGACCTTGTAACATACAGAGTATCAAATAGAACCCACAAAAGAAATGATGTGGCCATATACTAAAGAGTGTTCTATCATTCACTCTAAAAAGTTTAAAAGCAAGCCTTGAATGATTGAACTTTAATTGCATTCCTTTAAAAGATGTTGGATAGTATATCTTTTAAAGGAATATAATCAAAGCCAACAACCAACAACATAACATTTTCATTGTCCAATCTAAAATTTTTTAAAGTCCTGGCTTGCAAAACAAACTGAAAAACAATAACAACAAAAATGAAATAATAACTAAAGATATAGAAATAGAAAATATCCCAAATAGAAGGAAAAAAACAAGCTTTTAGGTGATGAAAATTTTCTATACATTGTAAGAGATATGATTATAATGCCAAAAACAATAAATATGGAACATTTATTCTATTAATACAAAAAAAGTCAGTAAAGGAGGAACAGAGTGACAAAAACAGGTGAGACAAGTCAAAACAAATAGGAAAAGGGCATACCTAAGTACAACTATACCAACAATTGTTGATATGCTGCTCAAATTTGCTTTAGTTCCATCCATGAGGGCCTCCCTAGAGACATCCCTTGTGACAGTAAAACTGGCTGTTTCCTTGAGAAGCTTGATAGCGCACCAGCCTGTGTCACCTTTCTTTCCTTCCTGCATCACTTGTCACTTCACTTTTTCCTAATCTGTGTTGTCCTAGATTTGTAAGTTCTGTGCAAGCTCTGCCTCAAGCTGGGAGAAGTGAAAGACAGCATGAATGAGTAGGAACAGCAGCTGTCATTACTAAGTACTTACTCTGTACCACACACTGGTTCATCTATGGGGTATAGGGTGAAAAAGATAGTTACTTACCTTGAGGTAAGTCTAATGAGACATACATAGATATAAAACATCACAAAACCGTCTAACTACTAGGCCAGGCACGGTGGCTCTTGTCTGTAATCCCAGCACTTTGAGAGCCCAAGGTAGGCAGATCACTTGAGGGCTGGAGTTCGAGACCAGCCTGGCCAACATGGCGAAATCCCGTCTCTACTTAAAATACAACAATTAGCCAGGTGTGGTGGTGTGCACCTGCAGTCCCAGCTACTCACAAGGCTGGGGCAGCAGAATCACTGGACCCTGGGCGGCAGTGGTTGCAGTGAGCCAAGATTGCACCACTGTACTCCAGCCTGGGTGACAGAGCGAGGCTCCATCTCAAAAAACAAACAAAACTGCCTAACTACTGAATATGACTAGAACCTCCAAACCCATCAGCACTTATTTACAAAAGATCAGAATTGTCACTACTTGTGACGTGCAGGTACATCATGAAATTTTTACTTTGTATCCTTCATGTGTGTACTGATTATTTTCTATACCCAGCTTTGAACAGCCAGAAATACATTATTGAGAATTACTATTGGAGAGGCTTCCCAGCTGGGAAGCTATTATCTCATTAATATTCCAAGCCAAGACATTGGTCAGAGATGGGTGTGTAAACATCAGATTTTACGGCAATTTTTGAATAGGGGAGCAAGGAGACTTCAGTGCCTTGTGCAATAGTTCACTTCTTTATAAAACCTTTGCTTTTTTGAGCTACATTAGACCAGGCAGTAGCTTTGCTCTCTGTGGTCACTGACCCACAATATTTTAGTAATTTATCTGTAAAATGCTTTGGTATATGCAGAATGGAAAGTATTTTATTTTACATCCTGACTCTCATATCCTGGATTTCTCCAAGCACTTTGCAAAGTAATTAATTTAATTAAATTACTGGTTGCACAGTGACTTTGGAAGCAAGTGGAAAGTGCCACATACACTTAGTAGTTTTCATAAAGGTCAGGTTTATTCTTGGGAAGAAAATATTAGATCCATGCAATTCATAAATATTTGTTGAAATCACACTATGTTTCAGGCACTGTTCTAAGCACTGGCATCTTATAAATGAGAAATGCAATTTAAAAATAAATGAATAAAGGGAAAAATGGGATGAGGCAGAAAACAATTTTCATTGGGTGTTCCAGAAAGAATTCTATGTGGATGTGGCATTTGAACTGAGACCTGAATGAGGCAGAAGAGACTGCCAATGAATACCTTGGTAAAGTGTATTCTAGGCAGAAGCTACTACTGTGGTGTTTCCTAAACTAGCTTCTTAGTTCACTGCCGCATATACACCTCTCAGAAGGAAGCAAAGTTTAACTTTAAATCAAGGGCCCCAAGAGGAAGAAGGACTTACTGACCTATAGCTGTCAGGCATCCTAAGCTCTACCTCTGATTAATAAAACCACTCGCTGGCTTTAATTCCATTTCATGTCATTCAGATTATGAGCAAAAGTACTAACAATAAGGAGGGAAATTTGGAACATGGTGAGGTTCAGGTGTCTGAAACACCCAGGTAATGGAATCCAATAAATAGCTAGTAAATTGGATCTCCAATATGCCTATACAATGGCAGAGTAAGCTCAATTTAATGTCACTCTCCTACTCTTAATATATGGAAATGTGAAGTGAATTTTGAAAAATTTAAAAACACATAGCTGAGGCCGGGCGCGGTGGCTCACGCCTGTAATCCCAGCACTTTGGGAGGCCGAGGCGGGCGGATCACGAGGTCAGGAGATCGAGATCGAGACCATCCTGGCTAACACGGTGAAACCCCGTCTCTACTAAAAATACAAAAAATTAGCCGGGCGTGGTAGTGGGCGCCTGTAGTCCCAGCTACTCGGGAGGCTGAGGCAGGAGAATGGCGTGAACCCGGGAGGCGGAGCTTGCAATGAGCCGAGATCGCGCCACTGCACTGCAGCCTGGGCGACAGAGCGAGACTCCGTCTCAAAAAAAAAAAAAAAAAAAAAAAAACAAACACATAGCTGAAACTGAAAAGAAGAAAGGCATGTCTCCACTTTTTGAAAATTATGAGAAAAATAAAATCCAGAGACGTAAGAGCAGGCGGATGCTCACAGGGTCTGGTCCTAAATCCAGGCAATATGCAGGTACGAGCTGGAGCTATAACTCTAACGTCATTTGGAGGCCAGAAGTCTAGACTCAAGTTGGAAGAATATCGATGAGCTGATACAGACGTCCTGTGTGAAGTCCATAAGGGGCTGTTCAGTCCATAAAAGGGCCCAGAGAAGTAGCAAAGAAGATTGACATCTGTCTGAGGTCTTCAGATAGAGAAAACTTCAATAGCTCTAAAATAATAGTGCTGTCTTTTTCAGAGTTGTGATAACCAGGTTGCCATTGTACGTTCTGTATGATAGAGAAACTGTAAGGGGATTAATTAAAAAAAAAAAAAAAACTTTTGCAGGGTGGATATTGGAATAAATCCTAGGAACCCATCCGAAACAAAATTGAAACCACTTTAAAGGGAAATGTTTATAAATCAGAGTAGACAGAATCTCAACCAGGAAGAAATAATAATTCTCAGGAAGTGACTTTAGTTATTTAAATATTCTATGCATTTTCATAGCCATGCCATTGCAAAGAATTCTTAAAACATATACAAACAATTCATTTACATCTTATATGTCCCACCATTCAGAGCAAAATTCACTTGAGAATTGAACCTATGAGAATTGGAAGGCATTGTGTAGAGAGAAGGTTTTTTGCTATTAAAAACTTGGACATAAGAAAGATAATATCAATTGTTAATTATCATGTATTTTCTTTAAATCTTTTAGAACACAATAATAGAGAAAAATCCATGTATAGATGAAGATTTGAATAAAGATTTGTAAGTCTGTTATCTATAAAGACTTTATAAGTCTATGTTTTAAATAAAATCCCTGGGAGGTACAAAAAAGTTGTCTGGTGACAGGTTGAATAGGCTTGAAAGAATTTCATTTGTTTAATATTCTTACTCAGCCATCAAAATCTTTCCAGAGCATCCTGAGTTTCACAGAATGACTCAACTATGAGATGGATATTTTACAAAAAGCTCTGCTCCTCTTTTTAGCCTGCTCTTCGTGTTTGCATTTAAAAACAATCTGGGTGGTACATGATGCTATTACATACTCCCTCATTTATGCATTAATCCATCCAAACAATATCAGAATTGAGATACTTCAGTTATACTCAAATGATATTTAGATGAATAAATGTCCTTATTGTCATAGCAAGTACTGAGAAAAATCATGAAAATGGAAGATTCTAGCTACACAGAAGCATGTAATTGTGTTGAAGATATAAGATATGCTTATGGAATCACAATTTGTTATATGGGACAATCTCTAAGTTCAAAAATGAGATTTTGTAGACACAGCTTGAGGACAAGGAAGGGACAGTTCATTATGGGCTGAGTATATCAACGAATGTATATTTGAGTTGCAATTTGAGATTGACCTTAAAAAAAGAAGACTTAATTTGATCTTTAAATAGAGGACCATGGTTATAGCATGTGCACAGCTAGTATGGCCAATATGTGTGTTCCTTATTAGTGACATTATTCAAAGATAAACCAAATGTAATTTTGCATTCATGGATCCATCTCTGTATCCAAATAAGATGGCAAATCTACCTCAGTAGCACTAATGAATAATGCAGTCTTTAGTGAAGAGATTGCCAGGGAAAGGGGAAGGGTGAGACTCATGTCCTACATCACAAGACATAACTTAGTAAATTATTTGTTTCTCTTTCTCCCCTCCACAAAGATCCTCTCCATCTTGCTGCACATGTCTCTACTCCGAACTCCTGCTACACACTCCTCCAGCCACCTTTCAAGATCTTTCTGGATCTCTTCATTTTAGTTTTATTACACCACAGTGAAAACATCTCTCAGCCTCTCCAGTTTGCATCACCACCAGTTACTCCACAAAGACAAACAAAGAACACTTCTCAGGATCTACTCTCCTTTGAAGGGGAGAGGCCATGAGAAGTGACTATCAATAATATAAGCAGAGAGTAGTGACTTGAAATACTGTGCTATTTTTCCTGGTAGATATTAAAGCATGAATCCAGGGAACTTTGGGAAACTGGGAAGACCAGGAGCATTCGTCAATATTTATTGTTACTTCCAGAATAAAACACAACCAGATGGCAAGCTCTGACAGGTTACCTTTGCAGAAGTTGCTGTCACATACCTTGGGACAGATCACTTGACTACTGGGGTGTTTGATAACCACACCTGTTTCTTCTTTACTTTTTTCTTTCTTTGCAGGCACATATATGGCACCAGTCTTTCAAATCATAAGAAACTTCCCATAAGTCCCTCACCAGGCAAGGTTAAGCTATAACAACCCGAATAGATTTTTGAATAAGCTGGCTGGTTGAAAGCACAGGAAAAGAGCTGGGTTTTTCTCTTTTGACAGGCATATAATGGGTCATGGGAAAGTGGTTTAAAAAGTCAGTCTCCATGTGAGGCCAAGGTTAAGATAAAGACTCTAGAGGCCAGAAGAGCAAAGTAACTACAGCAATTCACATGCTTCCAAGAGCAGCCCTTTATATCTGAGGGATTGATTTTTCCCACTATTTTTCCAGTAACCCAACTTGTGTCTTTATTAAGTGACCCAAGAGAATACAGTGTGACAGAGAAGGCTTTGATTTTCTTAGCCCAGAATCAGGTATTCTCAGTTGACTGTCCACTCAAATTAAAAAGAGAGTTTTATAGGAGGAATTGAATGTAATGGAGTGAACTTTTTATTTCAACCCTTTACCTGAATGTTTTTTTGCTTGTTTTCAACTTTCCACTGACATGTCTACATTAATATATTTTAAAGAGTAATTTGTTAAGTTAAAAGACATTTTTTCACTATGTGCATTTACTATGATTTGGCAGAGTCAAATTACTTAGCCAAATTTGTTTCTATGTTGCCAAAGATTATATTCTGAATTAAATGAAAATTGGTGTTTCTTTGCTCCAATGCTGACTCAGTTGGAAGGCAGAACAAGGAAGGATACTGTATTAGTCCGTTTTCACACTGCTAATAAAGACACACTAGAGACTGGATAATTTATAAAGAAAAAGAGGTTTAATGGGCTTACAGTTCCACATTTCTAGGGTGGCCTCACAGTCACGGCAGGAGGCAAAATGCACATCTTACATGGTAGCAGGCAACAGAGAGAATGAGAGCCAAGCAAAAGGGATTTCCCCTTATAAAACCATCAGATTTTGTGAGACTTATTCACCACCATGAGAACAGTATGGGGGAAACTGCCCCCATGATTCAGTTCTCTCCCACCAGGTCCCTCCCACAACATGTGGGAATTATGGGAGCTACAATTCAAGATGAGATTTGGGTGGAGACACAGCCAAACCATATCAGACACCTACCCATTCAGAGAAGGAAATTCAGCTTCTGTCACTGTCCCAGGTCCTTTAACTAAAAATGATGTAAATTACCGTTGGTTCCCTAAAAATTTGCAGACTTTAGAAACAGGTTTGAAACTTTCAGTGTCATGCAAATACTCCGATGTAAGAGTTGGAAACTAGATATTCCCTGTTTTAAATCTACCCAAATGCTTTTACTTCTTTTTTTTTGTCCTCCATATTACTCTGTATTTATTATTTTCCCTTGACATGGCCTGCAATTTTATCTTTTTTTATGTCTTGCTTTTCTATTAGCCTAATTTTTCCCCCTTTCTCATTTCAGTTTACTAATACCCATTACTCTGCATAATTTTTATTACCTTTTTCTTTCTTATTCTGAGATATATGCAAAAATAATGCTTTAGGAAATATTATCACTTTACCCAGACTAAGAGTCTATATCTATTTTTTCTAACCTTTAGATGCATTTTGGGAGAATCAGAATATCACCTGCACAAATCACAATTCTTTGGTTAAAGCTAAGAAAAATATACTTTTACTAGCTTAAAAGAGAAAGGAATTTATTGAAAGGATATGGGAATCTCCTTTAACCAAGGATGGTATTGAGACAGCGGAGCCTGAGGCACAGATGGTTCCCAGGGAGGCAGGAGGAAACTAGGAAGGGTTTAATCTTTCTCAATGTCTCTTACAATTGCAATTGCTGCCTCTTTCTGCTCTTTCACTTGCCTGCACTACTATTTTTTTTCTCTCTCTCTCTCTGTCTCTCTTTCTACCCACCCTCCCCACCCTACTTATCTCTTTCTTCTCTCACTTTCTTATCTTTGCTTCTCCCTGCATACCTCTTTATTCTTCTTTTGAAGAATGATTTTTGCAAAACTACAATGGTTTTGCAGTCCAGAAGGTGTAAAATGATCTACAGATAACTCTGCAGTTTTTTGTGTCTGTGACAATGTTCCAGTTCCAAATTCTTTGGAAAGGAAGTCTATTATCAAATTTGGCTCAGTGGACATCCCTGATTTAAACAAACAGGCCTAGGGATAAGGGTCACATGGTATAAACACAACCCATTCACTTTAACTATATAGATAAAGATAGAAGACAAACATATTTTAGTATTATTAACTACCCCCAAAACTTAGTAGTATAAAACATCAACTATTAATTGTGCTCATGACCCTGTGGGTGATAAACTAGGAGCACTGCACAGTGAGGGATTCACCTCTACTCATAAAAGATGGAGACATTTAAAATAATTACACTGTGATAGGTTTGGCAGGGCCCTTCTTTTTGTGCCTATACTTTGGCTAAGGTTTTTCCATTGGATTTATGCAGTCACGGACCCCCATTCTTCACCAGATTTTTGTTAGGTTTGGTTTTGTCCACACTTTCTTTCAGCACTTTATTTGGCTTTTATAGCCTTTTGTATTTACTTTATTCTCCATTATCATTGTGAAACAACTTTGTTTTCCTGTTCGGATGTTGAAAAGTGGACAATAATACTTCCTGCGCTTTACATGTTACAGGTCAGTTTTAGATGGCAGGGTCAGATACCCCCAACTATTTCCAATAACATAGTCTGAGACATAATTTGATATAGGATGAACAATATGTTTTGTGTTGAAGTGTGTGGGGCTTATTATACCTGATCTAGTTCCAAACTGAAAAGATTTTAAGATCTTTATCTTTGGATAGTTTTTCTGTGCTGTCCCTTGGTGTCAGACTGTTAATGTGCAGTCTGGCACCTGCAAATAATGTGGCTTTGGGAGCCAATCATGTTTACTATGCTGCTTTATCCAGGGAGAATCTTAAAGTCAAAACAGTGGTACAACCTGAGTGACTATTCTTTCTTCCAATTTCACCGCCCTAGTTTTTTCTTCCTGGTTTATCTGCATTCCCCCTGGCCCTGTTTATATTAAATATTTCTGCAATATATTGGATCAGGCATATTCCTGTAAGCTATCACAATGTTGTATGAAACAAGGATATAAATGCATGTAAAATATATAACATTATATATATATATATAGTTTGTTTAAGTGCAGTGTTTTATGTTTTCTCTGCTGAAGTCATTGCTCCTTTTGCCAATAAGGATTTGAATGAATATACCAAAAAGGCAAAATCCTCAATTCTGAAAATTTAGTATAAGTCAGGTATATAATTTGTAAATGAGTACAATAAAGTCTTAGAAGTGAGGAACTGTCTTTTAAATTTAATTGCTATTGTAAACAGCAGAGTAGCATATACAAATAAGTACCTAATGAAAATTTATGTTCTAATTTGGAATTCCTGTTTTTTCCCTTCTCATCTTGGGATAATAGGCCATTCCATTACTTTCTATTTAATGCTTCCACTTCATAACATGAGATATTTTCTGTGAACAAAAAGGGAAGGAAAATGATTATTATTCTCTTTTTGATGGGGAGAAGGGATGGTAGAATATAAAAGGTCAAACACCCATGAGGAGCTCATAATTTTCTATATATTTCATGGAGTACTTTTTCTTTCAAAAACTGATTTTAAATTCCTGAAAGGATGCTGTGATATGTTATTATGTCCATTTTACAGACTAAAGTAAGTGAATTTCAAGAAGGTATGAAACTTGCCCAGGTTTATCCAGTTAATAAGTGGCAGAGGTGGGAATTAAATCCAGATATATCTATTTCCAAAGCTTTTGCTCTCCTCTCTTCATCCACTTTTCATACCCAACAATTTCCTGCTTATGAATATGACAGGCTTCCCAAGAGCCAGTCAACAATACTTTTTAATCAGCTCAAAAAATTACTGTTGATTCTCTAAAGATATATTTCTTTTCCATTCAGTGACTGTAGTTGTTCAAATACTATTCCCAGACCCTGGTAATCATATGGATGGAGACCAAGAACAAACAGAACTAGAGATGCCTCTAACAATCAGTAAAGACTAGGCTCATTGGTGCCACCAAATGTCTTTCCCTCTAGACTAAATTAATCCTATTAATAAGATTCTAACACTTTATAGTATTGCCCTTCCCTGATGGCTTCTTCTTCTGCGCATCATTTTCTTTTCTTTTGTCTTTCCCCATATTATTATTATTATTTGACAAGTTTTAATGAATTAAACTCAGTGACTAGAATTCAATGTACTAGTCACAAAAGTGGAGGCTCCTAGATCCCAGCAAAGGGAGAAAATAGAGAAATGTTATAAAACATAAATATATAAATATATATACATACCTAAAATGTACATCCTATATGTGGCATTTCTTCAAACTTTATGCAGTATCTGCATATTTATTGTATATTAGAAGCAATAATAGGAATAAGCATAGCACTGTTTACAAGATACAGAAAATATACCCAAATATGGAAATCTTTAGCAATGACAATAAGGAAGAAAGACTACACACAAAATTGAGACGTTAATTTTTTTTTCTGGCTGTGATGCCAAATATTGAATTTTCAACTTAATACAAGAATGCCATAAGAAGATATATTAGTTTGCTAGGGCTGCCATAACTAACTACCACAGGATGGGTGACAAACAACAGATATTTATTTTCTCACAGTTCTGGAGGCTGGAAGTCTGAGGTAAGGGGTCAACAGGGTTGATTTCTTCTGAGGCCTCTCTTGTTGGCTTATAGATCGCCATCTTCTCCCTCTGGTTTCACATGGGTTTTCTTTTGTGTATGTCTGCATCCTAATCTTTTCCTTGTATAAGGACACCAATCACATGGGTTAGGTTCCACCATGTAACCTCATTTTACTGTAGTCACCTTTTTAAAAGCCCTATTTCAACTTCTGTAACATAAAAAATGAAAGTAAAAAATAAAGGCTCTATCTCCAAATACAGCCACATTCTGATGTCTTGGGGATTAGGACTTCAACATGTAAATTTGAGGGTCGGGGGACAATTTAGCCCATTACAGAAGATAGGGTATAATTTAAGGAGATAAGTTACTACTTATTTAAGTGAGTTGCTTAAGGATATGAATTTATGCAAGAAGAACAATAACAACAAGAATTTCCATAACACTGTATATTACACAAATAATTACACTAATGATCACAACATCCTGTGATGTAGGCATTAAATGAGGATAAGTTAGATTAAACAATTTATCCAGAGTCATGTGGTTAATATTTGGCCAAATCCAGAACTCAAAACACATATTTTCCCAGTTACAAGCTCATTCCACAACTTGCCACAAAGAAACAATAGTCACTTTCCAAGGGGCCCTCCAACTATTCTGTTACATATTCATTTCAGTTTTTACTGAGATGAATAAATCAGCATTTTTGCTTAGTTTCAGAAGTTACATGGTGATAGAATGGAATTGGATATTGTTAGTAAACTTCCCACATGGGAAAATGGAGTCCAGAAACTTCAGTGATGTTTCCATATAGAAGACAAATAACAGAACAAGAAGTATTTTGCCATCCTTTTGGTTCATTTTTCTCTCCAAAAACTCTACAAGAATCCACTTTACGAAGTCCTTGTGTTTTCCAAATTTTCACCAATGGGCTCTGCAGGGTCATCTATGATAATCTAATTAGTTTCACATTTTAATTCACTTTAAAACCAGAAATTCCCACTGTTCTTTGTAAGGAAATCAAGTGAAGATCACAGCTGCTAATTTGGGGCAGTTTCTCTTCAGGACCCAGGCAAAACTTAATACATATAGTAATAATTATTGTTAATTATATCTTTGATAATGATTAATCAGACATCAAAAAGGGGCATACGTTGGGATAAATGATGATCAGAAAAAAACATAGATCATAAATATTTAATGAATGCTCACCAACATAGGAGTTTAACTTTGGCTAAGCTAATTTCCCTTTTAGCCACTTTCCAACGCATCCCCACAGTTGAACCAGGAAAATCATCTGCCAACACAATTTTTATTTCTTAATTTTTTAAACCAAAAATCTACAATGACTCCCACATTTTCTCAACCAAATGTTGCTATAACAGAAAAGTAGCTATTACATCTATCTTGGATTAGACAGCCAACCGTACTTTACTAAGTTAATCATATTGTAAGCACTTTAAGGGCAAGACCTGCAGAGTCTTACTTTGTCTCTTCTACAAGATCAAGCCAAGGGATTCACACATAGTTATAGCTGGGAAAATATTTGTTCTAAGTTTATGTTTCTAGAATTTATCAAGTCTTTATCATCAAGACTTATCTCCACAATCTCCAAGTAGAAGACACACTTTTAATTTTCATTTTGTAATCTCAACTAGGAATATAAAAAGAAGCATTGGAAGTAGCAGCACTCTGCTAGTGGCTGAAGCAGCAAGCACAGTTAAATAATCTGTGAAGATATTATCTCTTTTAAAAGATATGGGCTGTGCATTGTGGCTTATTCCTGTAATCCCAGCACTTTGGTAGGCTGAGGTGGGCAGATCACTTGAGCCCAGGAGTTTGAGATTACCCTGGGCGACACAGCAAAACCCATCTCTCTAAAAAAAAAATATATATATATATGTGTGTGTGTATATATATATATACGTGTGTGTATATATATATATATATATATATATATACGTATATGTATATGTATATATGTGTATATATATACATGTATATATACATAGGTCCCTTAGAAAGTGATTATTGTTTCTTTGTGGCAAGTTGTGGAATGAGCTTAGAACTTGGAAAATATGTATATGTATATACATATATATATATATGCACACACACACACACACACACATACACACACACAAAGTAGCCAGGTGTGGTGGTGCACACCTGTATTTGGAGCTACTTGGGAGGCTGGGGTGCACCTGAGCCTAGCTAGAGAGGGCAAGGCTGCAGTAAGTGGTGATTGCACCACCACACTCCAGCCTCGACAATAGAGTGAAACCCTGTCTCCAAAAATAAATAAATAAATAAAAGATATGGACATAGGAGAAAGTCTTGGAATTTGAATCTCCATTTTTCAGAAAAAAATTTCAAAAAAAAAAACCCTAGAAACCCAGATATGTACTAATAATGAATTGGTTAAACAAACTATGTTATATTCATGCAATGAAAAAGTTGATATTAAAGAATGAGATACTCTTTTCTAACTGAATTATCAGTGCTTCAAAAACCATGGTTAATAATAGTTTTTTTGTTTTGTTCTGTTTTTTTGAGACGGGGGTGTCACCCTGTCACCCCAGCTGGATTGCAGTGGCATGATTACAGCTCACTGCAGCCTGACTTCATGGGATCAATTAATACTCCTACCTAGGTCTTCTAGTAGCTGGGACTACAGGTGCCTGCCACCACGCCTGAATAATTATTGTATTTTTTGTAGAGACAGGTTTTCACCATGTTACCCAGGCTGGTCTTGAACTCCTGAGCTCAAGTGATCTGCCCACTTTGGCATCCCAAAGTATTGAGATTACAGATGTGAGCCACTACACCCAATAGTTTTTTATTTGATATTATATTAGGCATCCTCATTTTGTCCTGCACTTATTGCCAATGTTAGTAAAGTTTTATCAATATCTTGCTGATAACGGTCTGGATCTGTGTCCCCACCCAAATTTCCTGTGGAAATGTAATACCTGATGCTAGAGGTGGGGCCTGGTGGGACGGTTTCTCATGAACGGTTCAGCACCATCCCTCTAGTTCTATTCTGGTGATAGAGTTCTCACGAGATCTTGTTGTTTTAAAGTGTGTAACACCTCCCCTTGCTCTGTCTTCCTCTTGCTCCAGTCATGTGAGACACTCGCTCCCCTTTGACCTCTGCCATGATTGTAAGTTACAGGAGGCCTCCCCAGAAGAGGAAGCCACTATGCTTCCTGCACAGCCTGCAGAGCTGTGAGTCAATTAGACTTCTTTTCTTTATAAATTACCCAGTCTCAGGTATTTATTTATAGCCATGTGAGAACAGACTAATATGTCTACCCCTTGTTTTCTTTTTTAGATATATAATTTCTTCATGTTGCAGAAACATTCATCTATTCTGATTTATTAATATTTTAAAATTAGAAATGAATGTTGCATTTTATAAAATACCATTTGTGGATCTTTCAGATGATGATATAACTTTATTCTATTTTGAGCATGTTTTATGGTAATTTATTTTTTGTTATATTATGTAATTCATTATATTTTCTATATTATAATTAAAAACAGCATTTTGGTTCAGAATTAGACTAATCAATGGGAAAATGCCTAAAATTAGATTCAAGAATATAAGAGAATTGAAATTATAATAAAATTGACATTTTGGATCAGTAACAAAAATTATTCAACAAAGGTGAAAATATAGCTAATCGTTAATAAACTCTAGATATATTAACTATTTAAAAATGTAGAGGCTGGGCGCAGTGGCTCATACTTGTAATTCCAGCACTTGGAAAGCTGAGGCAGAAGGATCACTTGAGGCTAAGAGTTTGAGACCAGCCTTAGCAACATAGCTAGATCCCCATCTCTCCCGTAGCTGAGCATGGTGAATGTGTCTGCAGTCCCAACTACTTGAGAAGTTGAGGCAGGAAGATCACTTGAGTTCAGATGGTGGAGGCTGCAGTGAGCTATGGTTAAGCCACTGCCTTCCAGCCTGGGGTGACAGAGCAAGGCTTCACCCCTAAAAATAAAAAAAAAAAGAAATAAAATAGATATAATGGAACTATAGAAACCTGGAGACTTGAAATTTTTTATTCTTAGTGAGGAATATCTTTTTAAGCTACAAAGAAAAAATGATCTTAATTATATAAGAATTTCAAATTTCTCCATGGAAAAACATACTAAAAAGAAGGTCAAAAAACAAGTAAAAAACCCTGGGAAATATATTTAGAAATATACATGCTTTCTCTGCATCTCTTGAGAGAAGCACATGGTTGTTTTTGTTTGTTTGTTTTGTTTTCTTGAGATGGAGTCTCGCTCTGTCACCCAGGCTGGAATGTAGTGGCGCAATCTTGGCTCACTGCAACATCTGCCTCCTGGGTTCAAGGGATTCTCCTGCCTCAGCCTCCTGAGTAGCTGAGATTACAGGTGCGTGCCACCATGCCCAGCTAATTTTTGTAGTTTTAGCAGAGATGGGGTTTCACCATGTTGGTCAGGTTGGTCTCAATCTCTTGACCTTGTGATCCACCCGCCTTGGCCTCCCAAAGTGCTGGGATTACAGGCGTGAGCTACCGCGCCTGGCCGGTTGTTTTCTTTAATCTATAATGTAAACGTCAATAAAGGGCACTGGTTCAGGACATGAACTCAGGAGTTCTCGTCCTGATTCAACCACTGATCACCCGTACAATCTCTACATGTTACTTCATCTCCATATGCTTTGCAGTGGAGTCCTCACCTGAAACAGGGAAGCAAGATATGATAGTGCCTTCTCCTGGAGACAATAGGAGGTTAAAAGGAGTAAATATTTGGAAACCATTTGGGACAGTGCTTACCACAAAGGCAACACAATATTGATATTTATCAAATTAAAAAAACTAAAAGATAAATAAAATACAGTCAATTAAATAAATGTATTCCTGATATTAAACCACCCTCACATTTCTTGGATGACCTGTCAGTCATGCTTTTTTCTCACTCTAGTGGACTTAGGCAGGTAATACAGTGGTTTAAACATTTTGCTTTTATATCCATGAGTGAATTTGGCTTATAAATTTCTTTACAGTTCTTATCTATGTTCAGTATCAACATTATATAAGCTTCATGAAATAATTAAAGGAAGATTCTTTTCTTACTCTTTAGAACTTTTTGTTAAAACTGATATTCTCTTTGTACTAGAAGTTTGATAGAATTCACCTCCCAAATGATCTGGGTCTGGTATTTTCTCAGTGAAGGATTTTAAACAATTGATTTAATTTCTTTACCAGTTAAAGGACTCTTTCAGCTATGCATTTCCTCTTGTGTCAGTTTTGGTAAACTTTAGGCTCTAGGAAATTGTCCATTTTAAGTAAATGTTCAAATTTATTGACACTTCATATATTCTCTTAACTGTAATCTTTGCTGACAAATTGCCCCCATTCTTTCGGCATATTATTTATTTGTGTTTTAATTTTTCCTAAAATGCTTGTTTGTTTTTAAATCTTTTTAAAGCATTATCATTTGAATCTAGAAATCACCTCAATTTTATACTATTTTTCTGTTTTGTTAAGTTCTGCTCTTACCTTTATTATCTAACTCTTTCTATGTACTCTGGGTTTATTATTTTGCTTTTCTTTTCCTTCCTTTCCTTTCTTTCTTTTTTTTTTTCCTTTGAGACAGAGTCTAGGTTTGTTGCCCAGGTTGGAGTGCTGTACAACCACACCTGGCTATTTTTTTTTTTGCTTTTTTTTTTTTTTTTGGAGAGACAAGATCTTGCCGTGTTGCCTACCGCTGGTCTAGAATTCCTGGGCTAAAGCAATCTGCCATCCTCAGCCTCCCTAAATTCTGGGATTACAGGCATAAGCCACTACACCTTCCCTGTTTTAGCTTTTCTAACCTCTTTTTTTTTTTGAGACGGAGTCTCGCTCTGTCACCCAGGTGCAAGCTCGGCTCACTGCAAGCTCCACCTCCCAGGTTCACATCATTCTCCTGCCTCAGCCTCCCGAGTAGCTGGAACTACAGGCGCCCGCTGTCACGCCCAGCTAATTTTTTTTTAGTTTTAGTAGAGACGGGGTTTCACCTTGTTAGCCAGGATGGTCTCGATCTCCTTGAGAGGTGACAGTGTGCTGGCAGCCCTCACAGCCCTCCCTGGCTCTTGGTGCCTCCTCGGCCTCGGGGCCCACTCTGGCCATGCTTGAGGAGCCCTTCAGCCCGCCGCTGCACTGTGGGAGCCCCTTCCTGGGATGGCCGAGGCGGGAGCCCATTCCCTCAGCTTGCGGGGAGGTGTGGAGGGAGAGGCTCAGGCGGGAACAGGGGCTGTGCAGGCGCTTGCGGGCCAGCTAGAGTTCCGGGTGGGCGTGGGCTTGGCGGGCCCTGCACTTGGAGAGGCCGGCAGGCCCTGCCGGGCCCGGGTGGTGAGGGGCTTAGCACCCAGGCCAGCAGCTGCTGAGGGTGCGTCGGGTCTCCCAGCAGTGCCGGCCCACCTGCGCTGCCCTCCATTTCTCGCAGGGCCTTAGCTGCCTCCCCATGGGACAGGACTGGGGACCTGCAGCCCGCCCTGCGTGAGCCTCCCCCCGCCCCCGCCCCTTGCCCTGTGGTGGGCTCCTGTGCTGCCAGAGCCTCCCCTGTGAGCGCGCCCTCCTGCTCCACGGCGCCGGGTCCCATCAACCACCCAAGGGCTGAGGAGTGGCCCAGGACTGTCAGGCAACTCCACCTGCGGCCCTGGTGCTGGATCCACTGGGTGAAGCCAAATGGGCTCCTGAGTCTAGGGGGGACTTGGAGAATCTTTATGTCTAGCTAAGGGATTGTAAATACACCAATCAGCACTCTGTATCTAGCTCAAGGTTTGTAAATGCACCAGTCAGCACTCTGTATCTAGCTCAAGGTTTGTAAATGCACCAATCAGCACCCTGTGTCTAGCTCAAGGTTTGTAAATGCACCAATCCATGCTCTGTGTCTAGCTGATCTAGTGGGGACTTCGGGAACTTTTGTGTCTAGCTCAGGGATTGTAAACGCACCAATCAGCACCCTGTCAAAAGGGACCAATCAGCTCTCTGTAAAACAGACCAAACAGCTCTCCGTAAAATGGACCAATCAGCAGGATGTGGGTGGGGCTAGATAAGGGAATAAAAGCAGGCTGCCCCAGCCAGCAGTGGCAACCTGCTCGGGTCCCCTTCCACACTGTGGAAGCTTTGTTCTTTCGCTCTTTGCAATAAATCTTGCTGCTGCTCACTCTTCGGGTCCACACTGCCTTTATGAGCTGTAACACTCACCACAAAGGTCTGCAGCTATTCTCCTGAAGCCAGCGAGACCATGAACCCACCAGAAGGAAGAAACTCTGAACGTGTCTGAACATGAGAAGGAACAAACTCCAGACACGCTGCCTTTCAGAACTGTAATACTCACTGCCAGGGTTCTTGGCTTCATTCTTGAAGTCAGTGAGACCAAGAACCCACCAATTCCGGACACATCCTGACCCTGTGATCCGCCTGCCTCTGCCTCCCAAAGTGCTGGGATTATAGGGGTGAGTCACCGCTCCTGGCTTTCTAACCTATTAATTTGAACACTTGCTCATCAACTTTAACAAATCTTTTTACTTGTGATAGTCAAGCCTCTTTGAAAGTCCCAAGTTCCTGTAGGCCTGTAAGGGTCAGCTCCTCCACCTTATTGCTGGCCCAAAACTTAATTCACTCTATACAATGAGCATGTTGGCATTTCTTTGCCCTGTTGACTGTTTTGTCTTTTACTACTTCTTACTTACATTTGAAGGGAAGTGCTACAAAAATATTTTTTACATGCTGAAGGGACAGAAAGTGATTAAAAGTAACTTCTTTTCAAGATCTATCTACTAATTAATCAAGCACAAAATATGATATGCTATTTTTCTGGAAGCAGCATGATTTCTCTCTTTACTTCCATGTTTTATCTGCTGTTTTACACCATTGGGTTTTTAGCTTACTTGATTATATGTATTTTTATATTTGTTTAAATTCTACCTAGCATCTTTAAATTGTGCCTAGTTAGTTGTTCAAATTCAAATTGTGTGTGTGTGTGCATATATATATAGTTATATATACACACAATTTGAATATATATCATATATATGATATATGATGTGTTATATATAATTCAAATTATATTATAAGTTCAATTATATACAATTTTATATTTTACAAATTCAAATGTATATTACAAATTCAAATTTTATTATAATATATAAATATTATATATTATTTGTATATAAAATTTGTATATAAAAATTTATATATAAAAGTATACATAAAATAATTGTACTATATATAAAATATATAAATATTTATATATAAATAAGTATTGTATAGTATATAGTATATAGTATATTTATATATAATATGTAATACATATATTTACATATACTATATAGTAGTATATTATAATATATTATATATATTTATTTGCTATCCTGTACCTGATCATTCCAACTTCTGGTGGTTCCAGGAATCAAATTCTGTTATTGTGTATTTTTGCTGATTCAATTTCATTGCAGCTGATGTTTTCATTATTGTGTGAATTTAGGTCTTCAGCTCACGTTTAGCTAAACTTTGTGGGAAGCCCATGAAGTCAGGGTTGAGAGTGTACCTGTCCAGAGGGGATTGACTTTTGTGTTTAAAGGACTACCTCGCTGGGAGCACTTTAGGTTAATTTATTTGCTTCTGTTTCTAGAATTACAAATTTGCAGCCCAAACACTCTGAAAGCAGATATGGGGTTTTAAGTTCTCAAGAGTTCTTATCTTGTTTTCTACTCATAGAAGAAACCAACAGAATTTGTCTTAGTCTTCCTTTAGACAGTAGATATTTTCCTGGTCCACCTTTGAATTAAAGATAAGGCTAGGTATAGATTCTCAGTTCTAAGTTCCCATTTAGTATGGATAAAGTCTTATCTCCTGCCTTCCACATTGTCTCTGCCATTAGTGCAAGTCTTTAGATCAGATGTCAGCAAACTATGGCCCATAGGCCAAATCCATACAGCTGTTTTTTACAGCCTATGAACTATGAGTGATTTTCCTGTTTTTTGAGTAGTGACATTTTAAATGGTTATGTAAGTACTACATAGTATTTTCAATTTTGCCTCTTTTCCTACAAAGCCTAAAGCACTTACTAATTGACCCCATTAGAAAAAGTTTGCCAACTCCCATTCTGGGATGTCAAGACCTGCAATCTATGCTAGCCACAACTTTCACATTAGTGTAACCCTTTCTGTTTGGGTAATTTTAATTACATTCTTCCAAATCAACCATACCCATAAAAGTAAGTAGATTACATTTAACCTATAATATGTAAAGATTTTATTTTTTAAGAGTTTCTCCAATAATCTTGCCCACCATGCTGTTCATAGTCTTGTTAATAATGGCAAAAAAATTAAAAATAAGTTGACATCAATAAAGGAGAATTGTTCATAAAAAATTATAGAATCACATACAATGGAAAACTATAAACCATTATTAAAACAATGAAGCACAACTATTTTTATTGTTATAGAAATGTGTTCATTTTGGTCCCTTTTAAAAATTAGCATATCTCTGTGTATGTATGTAGATAATAATATATTTATATACATGCATACATAATTTTTATGAAATTTATATACAAACATGAAATCATACATATATTATTATATACATACGTAAAAATATGATTATTTTTATATATGCATATACAAAAATATACTTATGTATTTATACCACATATATACATTAAAACTTGATGCATATATATATATAGCATATGGGTGTGTGTATATGTGCATGTTTACACAAGGATGTGTAGGTAGAGAGTTATATAGATATGATTTAGACATAATCCAAGAATTTTAAAAGTAGTTATCTCTAGGTTGGAGGGATTGTAATCAACTGACAGGTTCTTCCTGCCACTGCACACACAAAACCTATTCACCAAGACTTTCCCTATTGCAGTGGTATAGCAATAGGGAAAGAATTAAATTAATGCAAGGCCACTGAGCACAAGGGCTGGAGTTATTACCCAAATCATTCTCCCTGAATACTTGAAGGTTTGGGTTTTACAAGGATCATTTGGTGGGCAGGGGAATAGGGAATAAGTGCTTCTGATTGGTTGGGAATGCAATCATAGGGGTGTGGAAAACAGTCCTCGTGCACTGACTCTGCCTCTGGGTGGGAGACCGCAGGACCGGTTGAGTCACAAGTCGTGAGTCCAGGTGGGGTCACTTGGTTGTAAATGTCTGAAAAACATATCAGAAGGCCAATCATAGGTTCTATAATAGTGATGTTATCTATAGGAGCAATTGGGGAAGTCACAAATCATGTGACTTCTGGCCACATGACTGACTCCTGAGCAGTAAAGAATTATAGAAACTATGCTTACATCCTTGCAGAATTTAGGCCCCTCCCATGATCCTAATCCTGTGGCCTTTTGTTAATCTTACAAAGGCAGTTTCAGTCGCCAAACAAGGAGGGGATCAGTTTAGGAACTACTTTCATTCTTGCTTCAAAGTTAAACTATAAATTAAATTCCCCCCATGGTTAGCTTGGCCTACTCCCAGGAATGAATGAAGACAGCCAGTCTAAGGCTGGAGACAAAATGGAGTCCGCCATGTTAGATTTCTCTCATTGTCATAATATTTGCCAAGGTGGTTTCAGAATTGTGGCCATTTCATTTAAAATATTGCTCATTTTATATCATAATTCTTTATAATTAGCAAATTCCTATGCAAATAAAATTTTAAATATATATTCATACTTTATATACAATACATACTTAAATATTTACATTTAAATACATATATAAAGATAATGCCCTCCTTTTTAAAACATTTTTTATTTGAGACAAGGTATTGTTCCGTTGCCCAGACTGGAATGCGGTAGCACAATCATAGCTCACAGCAGCCTCAAACTCCTGAGCTCAGGCAATCCTCCACCCTAGCCCCTATAGTAGCTGGGACTACAGGCTCAAGCCACCATGCCCAGCTAATTTGTTTTAGATTTTCTGTAGAGACACAGTAATGCCCTTCTAAAGTCATTTGCTACAAGAAGTAGAGTGGGACCAGGATGGCTAAAGCAAATTCTAAAATATCAGATTATTTCTATCGAATTATTTATGTCATCTTCCTGTAATACCTATCTAGCTATTAAAGGACATAGCAAAAACACCTAAAAGTCTCAAAGAGGAAATACAATCCTTTATTTGTTAGAACCACAAAGAAAATGTGGTGCTTTTCTGTCCTTTGTTAAAGAGGCAAGAACCAAGCTTGAAGCTCCTAGCAAAAGCCAATTCAAACAAAATCTTTTACCCCCAAAATTGGAAAAGTTAAGTTCCCAAGAGATCCCTCCATCAACCTCCAAAGCCCCTCTGGCATGGTTCAAAACAATAACACTTGCAGAACAGCAAGGAAACTGATTATAGCTGTTTTGCAAATAAATAAAAATAATGCAGCCAATTAGTGTTTTATAAATTCAAAAGAATGAAGGGAAAAGTAGGTAGAAGGAAGACGGATAACAAAGGTAAAAAGAAAAGGAAAAGGAAAATAAACTTTTCTAGTTTGACACTCAGGCAGTGCTCTTCTTCTCCTGCAATCATTTCTGTCCCTTGTCTACCAGGCCAATTGGAGGCTTTTCCCTCCTTTTCTTTTCTTTCCATGAGACGGGTTACAGGTAGCACTGGAGATTCCACTGAATGAAGGAATTCTGGTATATACATTTGTAAATGAACTGTGTGCTGAAGTAGAGGAAATAGAAAATTGAAATGTGGATGTCTGTCCATATGGCTGAGTAGGAAGTTAACAAAACAGGTTTCATAGATGTGTTAAGGAGAAATCATTGGATTTTATTATTTGATTTCCCTTTAATTTTTTCAGGACTGTGTTAAATTAAAAAAAAAAAAAGTCTACACGTTCCAAGTACTCTTTGCTGAGGTCACTTGGAGACCTGAGAGAAAACTGAATAGTAGAGCTGTCTTTATTCTTGACCAGATTACCTTATTTTCTGTAATCCTTTTCTTCTTTTATTGTAGTAAAATATACTTAATGTAAAATTCACCATTTTCATCATTTATAATGTACAATTCAGTGGAACTTAATACATGTTGAGCAACCATTGCCATTATCTAGTTCCAGAACACTTATATCACCCCACAAGGAAACCTCACACCATTTAGCAATCACTCCCTATTTCCCCCTCCACCAATCCCCACACCCCTCCCTGTCAACAACTTTCTGTTTTTATGTCATACAGACTTCCTGTCTCCATGGACTTGCCTCCTCCTGATAGCTCATATAAATGGAAATATATTAATACAAAGTGTCACCTTTTGTGTCTGGCTTCCTTCACTTAATATAGTGTTTCCAATTTTATCCATTTGGTGACATGTATCAATACTGAATTGCTTTTCATAACTGAATTCTCTGATCCTTTATTGGCCTGTTTATCTCATACTGTTTGCACACAAAATTTAAAAATATACTAAGAATAAAAGGCTAGGTGTGATGGCTCATATCTATAATTCCAGTGCCTTGGAAGGCTGATGTGGAAAGATTGTTTGAGACCAATTGGGCCAATATAGTGAGACCCTGTCTCTACAAAATAAAAATAAAAACATTAGCCTGGTGATATATTTTGAATGTCCCCTCCAAATATCATATTGAGATATAATCCCCAATATTAGAGGTGGGGCTTTGTGTGAGGTGTTTGGGTCATGGGGGTGGATCCTTCCTGGTTTAGTGCTGTCCTCATGATAGTGAGTGAGTTCTCAAGAGATCAGTTTGTTTAAAAGTATGTGGCACCCGTCCCTCACATTCTGTCTTGCTCCCACTCTTGCGATGTGATGTGCTTGCTCCTGTTTTACCTTCTACCATGAGTAAAAGCTCCCTGAGTTCTCCCAGAAGCCAAGCAGATAATGGCACCACCCTTCCTGTACACCCTGCAGAACCTTAAGCCAATTAAACCTTCTTTTCTTTATAAGTTACCCAGCCTCAGGTATTTCTTAATAAGAATAAAAAAGTGGCCTAACACAGAAAATTGGTACTGAAGAGTGGAGCATTGCTATAAAGATACCTGAAAATATGGAAGCAGCTTTGTAATTGGGTAACAAGCCGAGGTTTGAAGATTTTAGAGGGCTCAAAAGAAGAAAAGAAGGTGATGGAAAGCTTGGTATTTCTTAGAGACTGGTTAAATGGTTGTGACCAAAATGCTAATAGTGATATCAGCAGTGACATCCAGGCTGATGAGGTCTCAGATGGAAATAAGAAACTTGTTGGGAACTGGAGCAAAGGTCACCCTTGTTATGCCTTACCAAAGAACTTGGCTATTTTCTATCCATACAGTAGAGATCTGGGAAGTTTGAACTTAAGAATAATTTCTTGGGATATCTGGTGGAAGAAATTTCAGAGCAACAAAGCTTTCAAGAAGGGCTTGGCTGCTTCTAAAAGTCTATCCTCAGATGAGGGAGCAAAGAAATGACTTAATGTTGGAATTTATATTTAAAAGGGAAGCAGAATGTGAAAGTTACGAAAATTTGCAGCCTGGTCATGTGGCAGAGAAAGAAAAAGCATTATCAGAAGAGGAATTCAAGAAGACTGCAGAACAACCACTTGCTAGAGTTATTACCATGACTAAAAGGGAGCCAAGTGCTGGTAGCCACAACAATGAGCAAAAGGCCTTGAAGGCATTCCAGAAATCTCTGAGGTGCCTCTGCCCATAACAGGCCCAGAAACCTAAGAGAAAAAAGTGGTTTTGTGGGTCATGCCCAGAGCACCAACGCCCTGGGCCACCTAAGGGAGGCTGCTGCCCACATCCCTACTGCTCTAGTTCTTGCCATGGCTCAAAGGGCCCCAGGTACAGCTCTGGCTGCTGCTTTCAAGGGCACAAGCTGTAAGCCTTGGAGGCTTCCATGAGGTGTTAAGCCTGCAGGCATGCAGAGTGCAAGAGTGAAGGAGGCTAGGCAGCCTTGGCCTAGATTTCAGAGGATGTACAGGAAAGTCTAGGTGCCCAGGCAGAAGTCTGCTGCAGGGGCTGAGCCCTCACAGGCAACCTCTACTAGGGCAGTGCAGAGAGAAAATGTGGGGTTGGAGGCCCCACAGAGTCCCAACTGTGGTACTGCCTAGTGGAGCTATGGGAAGGGAGCCACTGTCCTCTAGATTCCAGAATGGTAGTCCACCAGCAGCTTGAATCCTGTGCCTGGAAAAACTGCAGGCACTCAACTCTGACTTATGAGAGCAGCCACAGGGGCTGCACCCTGCAAAGTTACAGGGATGCAGCTTGCCCAAGGCATTGGGAGCCCACCCCTGAACTGTTGTGCCCTGGATGCAAGACAGGGAGTCAACAGAGATTATTTTCGGAGCTTTAAGACTGAATGACTGCCCTGTTGGGTTTCAGATTTGCATAGAGCTTATGGCCCCTTTCTTTTGGACAATTTCTTCCTTTAGGGATAAAAATATTTACCCAATACCTGTATTCCCATTGTATGTTGGAAATAACTGGTTTTGATTTTACAAGTTCATAGGTGGAAGGAACGCATCTCCAGATGAGACTTTGGACTTGGGACTTTTGAGTTAATGCAGGAATGAGTTAAGAATTTAGAGGACCATTAGGAAGCGATGAGTATATTTTGCAGTGTGAGAAGGAATGAGATTTGGGGGGCCAGAGGCAGAGTAATATTTTGGATATCCTATCCCCTCCAAATCTCATGTTAAGATGTAATCTCCAATGTTGGAGCTGGGGCCTGGTGGGAGGTTTTGGGTCATGGAGGCAGATGCCTCATGACCTGGTGCTGTCCTTGTGATCTCCGCTTTCATGTTGCTCAAATGAATGGGCATAATAAGCGAGCAATTAAGCCAGAGCTTCACTCCTTGTTTTTTGTTTTTTGGTTTTTTTTTAAGAGACAGGGTCTCATTCTGTTGCCAAGGCTGGAGTGCAGTGATGTGATCATAGCTTACTGTGACCTCAAACCCCTGGGCTCAAGTGGCCTTCTCAAGTGAGTGAGTTCTCACAAGATCTGGTTGTTTAAAAGCATGTGGCACCTTTGCCACCCACTTGCTCTTTCTTGCTCCCACTCTCTCCATGTGATATGCCTGCTTCCATTTCACCTTCCTCCATGAATAAAGGCTCTCTGAGGCCTTCCTAGAAGCCAAGCAGATGCCAGTGCCATGCTTCCTGTACACCCTGCAGAACCACAAGCCAATTAAACCTCTTTTCTTTATAAATACCCAGCCTCAGGTATATTTTGTAGCAATGCAAAAATGGCCTAACACACTGAGTATGATGGTGCGCATCTGCAGTCCTAGCTACTTGAGAGGCTGAGAAGAGAGGGTCACTTGAGTCCAAGGGTTTGAGGTCACAGTGAGCTATGATCACATCACTGCACTCCAGCCTTGGCAATAGAGTGAGACCCTGTCCCTTAAAAAAAAAAAAAAAAAAAAAAAAAAAAAAAAGGACTGAAGTTCTGGTTTAATTGCTCATTTATTAGGCCCATTCATTTGAGCAACTTGAAAATGGAGATAGAGCTATAAAATGATGATCTTAGAAAATCCTCACCCAATTTGATGAAGGTTTGGAAAATGTTGCAAAAAGTTATTTGCTTTATTTTAAAAATATTTTAATCAATTCTGGGAGGCTCTTTTTCTTGTTAGATAGCTTGAATGGTGAGAAGGAAATTGCTGCTCATTAAAATACAGTTTAAAGGAATTCTAATTACTCTTAATAGGTGAAAGAGAGTAACATGATCTATTTTCAAAACACTGTTTTGGTTCAGATCTTCCATCAAAATAATGTTTATGGTTCTTGCCACCAATACTGAATTATATTTCTTAAAAGTCAGACTGCTGCTTAATTTCTGCATATTTCTTTTAAACTTTCTTTTATCATATTTATTAATATGATGTAAACAACAGAAGTTGATGTTTAAGTGCAGTTCAAATATCAAGTCTAAGGAACTCCAGTGAAAAAAATCCCATATCTCTTGCCAAAATCTTGTCAGCTCTCTGGTGACTTGCTAGCTGAATAGCTCTTTTAACCATTAGATGAATAGGGTTGTTTAAAGGGGATGAGAGCCAATTTTTTTTAAGTATTTGTACATACTAAGAACAATTCTAGGATCTCTCTTACTGTATATCATTCAAGTCTCACTATTTTACATTCTACAAATGTGAAAAGCAAGGTTCAATGTATTTTATTAACTTGCTGAAAGGCACACAGTAGTACATACAAGCAAGAATTCAATCTCAAATTTGTTAGACTAAAATTTGAGCTATAATTTGACATTAATAGAAATAGCACTAAATTTAAAATCCAGAGATTTTTTAAAATTTCATGTTCTTTCACTATCTGTCTTTGACTTGAGATAAATAATTTCAGGTGTATGGGCCTTAGTTTTCAGGTGTAAATCTGACTAGATGATCTCTATATGGTTTTCTAATTCTAAAATGTTTTATTAAATTGGCCTCCTACAATAATTGCCCTTGCAATATATGTATGCTGCCACCACGTGGCAGTAAAGAGTACTAGTTTCTCTTTTTTTTTCCAAGTGGGGAGTACATTTGACATGACTTAACCATGGAAAGTTCATATCTATTAATATAACCATAAAGTAATTATATTATGAGGTATTATTTACTATAAAGCAGAGGCTTTAAATTATGGCTGTGAATCACATCAGAATCACATATGGAGGTTTTTAACCATAGAAAAAATTCAGATCCTATTGAATAATAATTGTTAGTGATGGGGCTTGAGCATCTGGACTTTGTTTTTTTTTTCTTCCAGTGATGATTCTGATATATGGCCAGTTTTAGGATAAGCGAAAAGAAATAAAGTGTAAAAGATGCTGAAACTAGCTGCTAACATTTTATAACTAACCTTTAACCTTCTTTGTATACATAAAGAAAATAGTTTACAAATATTATCTTCCTTTGAATTTATCAAATATAACTTATTCTGAACTATTTCTAAATCATTTTTCACTCTCAAACTTTAGCTTCCTTCTTTTCAGATCACCCTTGCATTGCCCTAGGTGTGCAGATACTTCCATGAAATACCTGGGTCTAATTTACCACCATTGAAATGCAATTTTTCTCCTTTCTCCATCAATAGAGTAGTGAAACAGTTCACATACCCCACGAACACCTTGAGTTATCCCCACAGTAACTTTGGGGGCTTAAAAACCTGCTGGAAGGGAATGATTCAAAAATACTAATTCAAAGCAATACTATAAAATGAGTACTAAAATAAATTAAAGCAAACAATATAATTTGTGTTTATTCTCAGTACACATATCTGCAAGGTACATACCCACCAGAGTATTGTAAGGATCTATGCCAAGCCTGGTCTCTCATGTATTGGAGAAGAAAAAAAGCAAGTTCCCTAACATCTCAGCTGGGTCACACTGGTTTAATGTTACCACTGGAAGATGATTGATAAGTATGTATTAGGCAAATATCATTTTAATGGCTACATAATCAGGAGAATTCCCAGGCAAATACACATACATATACATGCACACAAACACTCACTCATCCCTCTTTACAGAATATAATATTTAATCATGAAATGGACTTTCTTCTTTTGGTAGTAATCGCTCTTTTGCTTTTCCCATATTTTTTTTGTCTGAGAATTGACTACAAAGTCAACTATTGAAAGAGGCAAATTTGAAGGGTTTGAACAATTTAAAAATTCATTTACAGTATTCAATGGGAAAAGAAAGTAATTCCTTCTTGTGTTGATGAAAACCCTACATTAAGGAAGAAAAAACCAGTGTCACATTACAGAGACTGCAGAAGAGAGAAAGGAACATAGCTGCATTCATGCACCTCCTTGTATCTTCACCCATAGCTCTACGTGCATCATTAGTACTGTAGCTATATACAGAGCAATTGGAACAGAAGATGTAAAGACATATGGCCATTCGGTCTTCAAAGTCAGGGAAAGACATATGAAATAGAATCTATATTTATCTCGTTTTCTATTCTCCAATTGCCTATTCATATCCCCTTTCCTTTGGGTTTTCTGTCTTCTTTTAGATTCACTGGAATTTTAATCTGTTTTTCCCATTCAACATTTCTACTCTCAGTGAATTTGTCAGCTGTCTATTAATTTTATTTGTGAAATTCTTTGTTGAGTAGAAAATGTTGATTTTTATATAATTAAGCTGGTACATTGTTTACAACTTTTGTTTAAGGTATCATGAAGGATTATTTCTCCACTCATAGGACACAAAGCCCTCTCCTGTGTTTTCTTCTTTGAATTTTACAGTTTTGCCTTTCCCATGAACATCTCTATTCCATATGCGTTTACTTCTGTATGAAAGGTGAGTTAAGCACCCAAATTTTTTCTTCTTCCTAAAATGCATTACATTTCCCAACATCATCTATAAAACAATTGATACTTTTCCAATTTTTTTCTGTGATGTTCATGAATCAGTGGGTCAACTTTGAGTTCACACCATCCAGTAGAATAGTGACTAGCCTCTTATGGCTGTAAGTATTTGAGATGTGTTTTACATCCAAAATACATATTGGATTTCAAATTTTTTTCATTGAGAAAATTGTGAAATATTTCATTAAATTTTTATACTGCTTACATGCTGAAATAATAACATTTTGGTTACACTAGGTAAAATACAAAATATTATTAACATTTATATAATCTGCTTCATTTCCATAAAGTACCTAAGAAAAAAGTACAACCACGTATGTGTAGCTTGCATTATATTTCTTTTGAACAGTGCCAAATGATATTTTGGAATTTGTTTTATTATCATGTATGAGCAATTTCACTTTTAAATTTTTTTTAAATTTACTTATGAACCTCCCTTTTGAAAGCTATTTTTGTATTCCAATTTCTCAGAAAAACTGAGCTGGCATTTTTATTGTGTATGGACTGAACACACAGGATAGTTCAGTATAAATGATATCATTAGATATTAGATTATACTATTCAGGAACAAGGTCTATCTCACCCTTCAAGAAATTTTTCTATTCTTTTATAGTTTTTAAATTTTCTTCACTCAGGTATTTGTTTTTAGGTTATATCCTAGATTTTACACAAAACGTTTTTGAGATTGTGGATGAAATATTTTTTCTCAGCTCTTGTTTTTTGTTAGCAATGAGGGTGAATTGACATATTTTAGTTGATGTTGTAGCCTGTAACCTAGCTGAATTATAATTAAAGAATTTATTTCTTCATTCTGTTGTATTTTCTGAGTATACGTTCTGCTAATAAAGATAATTTTATCTTTCCTTTTCCAATGTTTATATGCATATTTTGTCATTCATTATTTCTGTGGACTTCCAATTCTATATTAAATCATATTGTAATAATGGATATTCTACTGTGCTCACAGTTTTAATGAAAATTCAACTAAACATTCTCCATAAATTTTAATACAGCATTTTTAGCTTTAGTTTTTGTTTATTTGCCTTTTAATGTATGTTTATTAAGTTGGGAAAGTTCTATTCTATGTCTTATGTTCTGAAAATTTTTATCTTAAATGTTTTCCAAAGCTTTTTAGCTAACATTTATTAAGAATTTATTAATAACTTTTTTCTTCTTTATTGTAAAGATCAACTTTCTGATCTTAAACCATCCCTGAATTCCTGCAATAAATAATGCATGATTTTTAAATATATGGCTAATTGGTTGACTGATTTTGAAAATAAGCTGAAAAAAATAAATCAATCTGGCCAGGCGTGGTGGCTCACACCTGTAATCCCAGGACTCTGGGAGGTCGTGGCAAACAGATCATGAGGTCAGGAGATTGGGAACATCCTGGCCAACATGGTGAAACCCTGTCTCTACTAAAAATACAAAAATTAGCTGGGCGTGGTGTCGCATGCCTGTACTCCCAGCTACTCAGGAGGCTGAGATAGGAGAATCACTTGAACCTGGAAGGCGGAGGTTGCAGTGAGTCAAGATCACGCCACTGCACTCCAGCCTAGCGACAGAGCAAGACTCTGTCTCAAAAAGAAAATAAATAAAATAAAAATAAAGCAATCTTCCTCCATTTTAATTCTAGTTTTCTAGTTTTTTTTTTCACTCTACATGTTTTACAGTATATTTCCTAATCTTCTTGTAAAAATTGTAAAAGCTAATAAGAATGATCCATTTCTTAGAAATATTATAGAACCTATCAGCAACACTACTTGGACTTTGAGTTTGTGTGTGTGCGTGCGTGCGTGTGTGTGTGTGTGTGTGTTCTTCCCCTGGCTACTCTTTTATTTCTATTTCAATTTCTTAAGTGGTTATCTATTCACATATTCTATTATTCTATTTCTACGATTTCTATTTATGTCAAATATGTGCCACTTTACCCTTCCTTTCTTAGAAAGTAATTCATTTCAGAAATTCATTCATTACATTTGTTTCCAAACAAATTTAGTAGCATATAGTTTATTTACATGTTTTAAAATCCTTTTTGTATCTACTGAATATATTTGTAGTATTTTCTATAGTTTTCATTTGGTATTTTGATTGTTTGCATTTTCTCCCTATTGCATTTCTCCAATATTCTTGCCAGAGGTTTTTCTATCTTACAAATCTTTTAAAGATACAAGGCTTTTCTGGGAGGCGGAGGGATTTTGTTTGCTTGTTTATAGAAGGGGGATCTCTCAGAGAAATCTGACTTGACATTTGTAACTTACTATAAAGTTAACTTATAAAATCTTTTTTAAAAAATAGTTATATCTCTTCCCCTAATTTGTAGAAGACTACGTTGTTTGTTTCAAATATATTATGTTTTAACAAGCATGTATTTAAACCTAGACATTTCTGAGTACTACTTTAACTGAAATTTTAATGTAAAGTGGTTTTTGCCATTTAGCATTAAGAATTTAAGAATTCATCTTGACCTTTTCTTTAACTCAAAGGTCATTGTATAGATTTTAAATGTGTTTTTAATAAGAAGACATATGAAATTAATTTATCTATTCTTTTATTTTATACATATGACACTATTTTAGAAGACTACGTATTCTGTAACGTGCTGTTGTTTCTTACAAATGCATCAAAGTTTTCTTTCTGACAACTTTTTGTAAAACTCTCATACAACTTGAAAATAATGATTTTGTTCGTAGAATAGAAAGTTCTTCCTGAATCAACTTGATCTTGTTAATGGCATTATTCAAACTTTTATTTTTGCTTCCTTTTGTCTGACGGATCTATCTGTTTCTAGGAAACTGGAATTTAAATACCAAATTTTGGCGAGGCATTGTAACTCACACCTGTAATCCCAGTGCTTTGGGAAGCTGAGACAGGAGGATTGCTTGAGGCCAGGAGTTTAAGAACAGCCTAGGCAACACAGAAAAAAAAAAAATAAAGCAGCTGGCCATGGTGACACATGCCTGTAGTCCTGGCTTACTGGGAGGCTGAAGTGGGAGGATCATTTGGGCTCAAAAGTTTGAGGCTGCAGTGAGCAATGGTTGTGCCACTGCACTCCAGCCTGGGTGACAGAGCAAAGACTCTGTCTCCAAAAACAAATGAACAAACAAACAAATAAAGTTTTTTGATATTTTAAATTTTTTCATATGCTTCTATCAGTTGCTTTGTCACATATATTGCACTCTATTTTACACACATATATGTTCATAATTATATTGTATTCTTGATCTATTGTTTTTCTAGTATATATCATCTCTCAATGCATTTTACCATAAATTCTATCTAACTTCTAGTCACTATACAGGTGTAATTTACTTGATTGACTTCACTTTATAAAATGAAGGTTTGTGGAAAACCTGCATTGAGCAAGTCTATCAGTCCCACTTTTTCCTAACAGCATGAGCTCACTTTGTTTGTCTGTGTCACATTTTGCTAATTCTTGCAATATTTCAAACTTATTGTGTTTTTATATCTGTTAAGTGATCTGTGATTAATGATTTTTGATGTTACTATTGCAACTGTTTTAGGCACCACAAAGTGCACCTATATAAGACAGGGAACTTAACCAATAAATGTTGTGTGTGTCCTGATTGCTCCACCAAACAGCCTTTTCCCCATCTCCTTCTCCTCAAGTCTCCCTATTCCATGAAACACATTGATATTGAAATTAAGCTAATTAATAACCCTACAATGGTTTCTAAGTGTTCAAGTGAAAGGTAAAGTCATGCATCTCTCACTTTAAGTTAAAAGCTAAAGATAATTATATGAAGTGAGGAAGGCATGTCAAAAACTGAGATAGGCTGAAAGCCAGGCTTCTTGCACCAGTTAGCCAAGTTGTCGAATGCAAAAGAAAAGTTCTTGACAAAAAATAAAAGTTCTACTTCAATGAACAAATAAATGATAAGAAAGCAAAACAGCCTTATTGCTGATATGTAGAATGTTTTAGTGGTCTAGATAGAATATCAAACCAACAGCATTTTCCTAAGCCAAGGCCTAATCAAGAACAAGGCCCTAACTCTCCTCAATTCTATGAAGGCTGAGAGAGGTGAGAAAGCTGCATAAGAGATTGAATCTAGCATTGAATGGTTCATAAATTTAAGGAAAGAATCCATCTTCATAACATACAAGTTCAAGGTCAAACAGCAAGTGCTGATGTAGAAACTGCAGCAGGTTGTCTAGAAGATCTAGCTAAGATCATTGATTCAGGTGGTTATATTAAATAACAGATATTCAATGTAGATAAAATAGCCTTCTATTGGAAGAAGATGCCATCTAGGACTTTCATAGCTAAAAACGGGAAGTCAATGCTGGGCTTCAAAGCTTCAAAGGACAGGCCGGCTCTCTTGCTAAGGGCTACTATAATTTGGATTTACTGACCCCTCCAAAATGGGAGTTGTTTCAATCACAGGAGCAGATCCCTTCTGAATGGCTCGATGCCATCTTCATGGTAATAAATGGGTTCTTAGTCTATTCGTTCCCATAAGAGCTGGTTGTCTAACACCTTCTACTTTCTTATTTGCTTCCTCTCTTGCTGTGTGATTTCTGCACTGCAATTTCCCTTTTACCTTCTGCAAGAGTGGAAGCAGGCTTAAGCTCTCACCAGACACAGTGTTGTGCCATGCTTCTTGTAAAGCCTGCAGAACCAGGAGCCAAATAAACTTCCTTGCTTTATAAATTACCCAGCCTCAGGTATTCCTTATAGCAATACAAATAGACTAGGGCAAGAATACTGCATCTGTTGAATTTAACTTGAAGGCAATGTTCATTTACCATCCCAGAAACCCTAGGGCTTTTAAACACTATGCTAAATCTACTCTGCCTGTGCTCTGTAAATGGTACAACAACGTCTGGATGACAGTACAGCTCTTTAAAGCATGATTTACCAAATATTTTAAGCACATCATTGAGACCTACTGCCCCCCAAAAAAGATTCCTTTTAAAATACTAATGCTTATTGACAATGCACCTGCTAACACAACATCCGTTCTGCAGACTATGGATCAAGGAGTAATTTTGACTTTCAAGTTTTATTATTTAAGAAATACATTTTGTAAGCCTATAGCTTCTATATATAGTGATTTCTCTGATAGATCTCAGCAAAGTAAATTGAAAACCTTGTAGAAAGGATTCACTATTCTAGATGTCATTAAGAACATTTGTGATTCAGGGGAGGAGGTCAAAATATCAATGTTAACAGGAGTTTGGAAGAAGTTGGATTCAATCCTCACGGATGACTTTGAGGGACTCAAGACTTCAGTGGAGGAAGGAACTGAAGACTTAGTTAAAATAGCAAAAGAAAGAGAAATTCGAAGTGGAGCTTCTAATTCTATTTGACCAACTTGCTCAAATCTCATGATGACACTTGAAAAGATGAGGAATTGCTTCTTATGGATGAACAAAGAAAGTGATTTCTTGAAATGAAATCAGCTCCTGGTGAAGATGCTGTGAACATAGTTGAAATGACCACAAAGGATTCAGAACATTATGTAGACTTAATTGATAAATCAGTAGCAGGGTTTGAGAGGCTTGACTCCCATTTTGAAAAACATCCTACTGTGGGTAAAATGCTCTCAGACAGTAATGCATGCTACAGAGAAATCTTTCATAAAAGGAAGAGTTCATTGATATGAACAACTTCATTGTTGTCTTGCTTTAAGTCATTGCCACAGCCACCCCAGCCTTCAGCAACCACAACCCCAATCAGTTAGTGTCTATCAACACTGAGGCAAGACCCTTCATCAGGAAAAAGTTTATGACTCACTGAAGGCCCACATGATCATTAGTATTTTTTAGCAATAAATTATTTTTAAATAAGGTATGTACATGTTTAGACATTTAATAGACTACAGCATAGGTCAACATTATTGTTTTATGCACTGGGAAAACAAAAAACTTTGAGTGACTCATTTTATTGTAATATTCACTTTCTTGTGGACTAGAACCTAACCCACAATGTCTCTGAGGCATGGCTTAATGGCTTTCTTTTAGTTCATATTGACTTAATATAATTTTTTTATTTTTTATAATTAGCTTTTCTTTGTCCTATTATTTAAAGTATGATTCATGCAGACAGCATGTTGTTAGATCTTGTATTTTTAATCCAGTAGTCTGGTAATTGAATTCAACTTATTGATATTTACTCTAGTTAATATTATAGTAGGACTTCCTTTGGCCATTTAACTTAATATTTTCCATTTCTCTCACTTTCATTTCATTTTGCTTCCCCTGCCTATATGGCTTTCATTGCAAAGATTGTTTTTTCCTTTTTTTTTATTTGAAAGGTATACATTCTCACTTTTTTCTTTTTGTGGTTAAATACAAATTAAATTATAAGAAACATTAAGAACATCACAAAGACTGCTACTTATATTCATTTCTCCACATGAGTATTTCAAACATCCCTCTATAATGTCCCTCAAATAAGAAAAGCAATATAGCATGATTTTTACCTTTCTCTGGGCTTCCCTTACCTTCCTCATTAAGATTTTTAATTGTGAATTATTACGAATATGCCATTTGATCTGACCGTTATTTTTTAAGACAATAAAATACCATTACCATACTTCCTGTATATTTCAGAGCTTATTTATTTATTTATTTATTTATGACATGCTATCTTAACAAGTGTTTTCAAATGACGTTTTTATATGGTAAACCTTCTGATGTTTTATGTACCCCAAAATATCTTCATTGTGACTACATGCAAATGTTAACTTAGCAGGCTTTAAAATTCAAGGTTTCCATCAATTCTCCTCCTAAACTTTAAAATTATTACTTCATTATCTTAAGAACTGCATTTCGATTCAGAAACCTGATGTTCACATGAGATCTATCGATGTAGCATTCATCTACTCATTCTTTCTTTCTGTGACTTTTTGAATGTTCTCTTTGCAGTGTTCTTAATGTTTCTTACACATTTTTTAAATGTGGGGTTTTCCTCTTTCCTATCCTGTTTGCAACACTTTACGGTTTTAATCCAGTGACCTTTCATGGTATTCACTAATGGCTTTTATTTAATCTCGCTTGTTCCTGCTTCAGATTATGACTATTCTTGCATTTTGTTTTCCAACTACTTAGTATGCTGACTTTAAAATCTAGCACCGTTTATTTTTAATTAAGTCTGAAATTATCATTTTGATATATTCTCTTTTGTATGATCTGCGTGCTCCTCAAATGCCTTGCTACAGTCCCTGGTGCTCACATTCTTCTCGGGTCATAAGCAGGACCACCATACATGACTCTGCCAATTGAAACTTGCATACGCATGCACAGTTGAAAGGGCCAGGAGACCTGAAATGCACCTGTGCTCCATCACCAAGTTGGTGCCCTGGCACAGGGCTACATTCTCCCAGAAGTCAAAATGAACTTTTCTTCACTCAAAGGAGTCATTCACTTGTCAAGCCAGGACATATGGTAATATCTTTTCCTAATTTGGGGGTCCAAAATTAGTACCTGTTTCTAGTTTTTCTGCCCAGAAGTTGTGCCTTTTAATTTACTCTTACAACTTGTCCATCTTGCGGCAAATACTTTTTCTAATCTGTTCATCCAGAAAGGTGCTTTTTCAAATGAAATTTTGAGTAGAGTGACCATGTATCCTGGTTAGCCTGGAACATTCTCAGTTTATACCAACTGAGCCCAGGTAATTATTTTTCCCCTTTTTACACTCAAAAGTGTCCTGGTTTTAATAATAAATTATATGGCCATCCCACTTGTAGGTTCCCAGTATGTAGCCTAGGGTATGACTTCTGTTGTTAATTTGTACTCAAGGAGGGGTGGTCAAAGCCGAGGCTCTATTCTCTGATTCTCTTACTGAATTTAAGGAGAGAGGATTTGCCTTGGAATGGATGATCCCTAGTCCAATGATCTTGGCTTGAATTTACCTATTTCTTGCCCAACGTGAAACATTTGCAATTCCCCCTGTCTGTCTTCCCTGGACATTGCTCTTCTTCAAAGGCTTTACCTCTCAATCATATAACTTTCAGAATGTAGGAGAAAGTAGAAGGCAACTCTAAAGGCTCAGGCAGTCTATTTACACATTTGCCAGACTTTAATGATGCCCTGCTACAACCTGGAGACAAAACTATGCTGGGCAGGTGTTTTTTTCTTTTTTGAAGCAGCACCACTCCAGAGTTTTCTCCTAACCAATCTCCTAATGGCAACTCCTAGCTTAAGCCTTCTTTTAGCCTAGACTACTTCTGCCATTCCATGCCAGGTCACAACTGCCTTCCTCTCCCCAGGAGTTTCTGTAGGATTTAACATTCATTTTTTAAATAGAGATACATTCCTTTACTTTCTCTGACATTGATACAGTTGGATTTTGTAGAGGCAACAAACAGCCTGTGTCAGTACTCTCTCTTCCCAAAAAACCAAAAATTCTTACTGTCCTTTATTTTCATAATACCACTGGCTCCAAAGAGCAAGCCCACAGCTAATAATTGCAGGCCCTGAAACAAGAGAAAATACAAATCCCCACATATCATATATGCAAATGTTGATAAGTTATAATTCTACCAGAATCTGTTAGGTTGGTTTTCTCCTCTTCTCTTGAAAATATCCTTAAAAAGAACTTTAAAGGACTGGTTAAAATTTTGAAACATATCCAATTTTTTATATAATATAAAGTCAAATGCAAGAGCCAGTCATCATCAACAGCCTCCCAACCAGAATAAGCTACATAATTTATAGGGCCCAGTGCAAAATATAAATGCAAGGCCACTATTAAGAAGGAGAAGCAAAATATGATTAAATGTACTAAAATAGGAAGTTTTTCCTTTTCTTTTTCAACTTGTTCTGGGTTTTTGTATTTGCTATTTGAATAAAGAACAATTAAAATTTTAAGTGTTTAGCATGAATCTTATATCCTCATGTTACACAATGCCAATTTAAATGCAAATATTTTTATATTGTAAAATGTTTATAGTGAACCTTTTTATATTGTACAATGGCAGCTTTATATGCAAATATAGGCACATTTAACTCATTTGTAGAGTGACCTAAGTGATAAGATTTGTATTGCATAGCTCATACATGAATATATATTTCACTGTTAACACAATAGTGGAAAACTGCACAAAATTAATTCAACTCCTTTTTCATTCCCTTTTTTGTGTGTACATGCCTACAAAAATTTCTGCCTTTGGCTTATTGATAAGTCAGGAAGTACTAAAAGGAAAAGGAACTATGAATTGTCCTATCTTTCTCATTCCTTCTATGTCATCATTTTCATTGTAAATGATTGGCTAATAAAGAGAATTAACATGCACAATAAAGAATATGCTAGAGTTCTTTGATAATTTGTGTTTCTTAGAATGCAATTGCACTCTCTCCACATTTAAAGCAAGTTCTGCTTCAGATGAAAAGCTTAGCCTATCAGGGCTGTTAGCAATCCCACTTAGACATAGACCTAACATGTATACTTGTATTGCTTCGAGTCTCACTGAAGTCCTGTTCACTGTGGGTCTACTAGATTCCATGCCAATGAGGCACTGTGACGGCGTATGCAAATGCAGTGGTAAAGAATGGCAGTGGATGTCCACATGTCATGTACTTCCTCTATTCATGTGCACGCTTAGTTTTCTCACTAGATTTGATGTGTGAAGAACAAGTTCAAGGATGAAATTATTAAGAATAGCAAGATAGCAATAACAGAGTACTAAACTAAGTCTGAAGTCCTTCTCTGTGTGGATGCCTGTATGATTACACAGGTTACATACCAGTAAAGCCAGCAGTAGGCCCACCCTACTCCTCTTCCCACCCCTGACTCCATATTGAACACTATCAAGCATATTTCAGCTCACACATACAGGCTATGTTTCATTCCCTACAAACAGCTATGTGTTGACCACCTGTCCTTGGGAGGACAGAGTTAGGGGAGAGGCCTGTGCAGGTACTCAAAGCAGACTTGAAGCTTTGGCAGGAAGTTTCAGGGTCCCAAGCTACCTAGATCATGGTTTAGATACATAGGATCTGGTCCATGTGGGCATGTGATCTAGATCCCTGATCTCCTCATTCAAACAGGAGGGGAGTAACCAAGGCCAGACCGGAGTGGGATCCTCTAAAGCACAGGGCTCATAGAAGGGACTCCATTTGTCTGGGTTTAGGTAATGCCAATCAGTCAGCCAATGCCATCAATGTTTTTCTCATTCTCATCATAACTCATATTTTAATTTAGCATTTTACATGTTTTATCTTATTTTGAATTTTTGCTGTATTAGTACCATTTCCCTTTTGTTACCTGGATGTCTTTTCACTTTTTGCACATGTCCTTTCTTAAATCAATTTTATTGGAGAGATACTTGAGTAGCCACAAAAGTGTCTGTAGACCTCTCTTTGGTTTCTCCCATACTTATGTTATTAACAATGATATTGTCAGAATTTCATTTTCTGATATTACTGTGAATTGACAGAGCTAAGTGAGACAACTAGAATTAGAAAATTGCAAAACTTTATAGTCTTATGAGATCTATGACTCAAGTAGTTACTAAGAGGCTTGTCCTATGGGTAACAGGACATTGGTGGCATAAAGAAGGTTAGGTCCCAGACCTCCCACCTCCCAGTCTAATGCCCTGTACTTATGTATACTTTTTCAAAGCAGAATTAGCCAGTGATATCTTCATCATTTGACCTCTGGGTTATGAGGCTAGCTCACACCACTGATGAAATGCAGCTCTGGATGTGATGGTCCAAGAGATCAATCAGACCCAGTATTAATACTCTGACAGGTATCTGAAAATATGTACAATGTATTCCTGTGGAAGTCATTGCTAATCAAAGTCTTCTTACTCCTAGAGTTTTATGCTTCTTTCTTCCATTAACAATGAAAATTAGGGCCAGGTGTGGTGGCTCACACCTGTAATCCCAACACATTGGGAGGCCAAGGTGGGCAGATCACCTGAGCTCAGGAGTTCAAGACCAGCCTGGCCAACATGGAGAAACCCCGTCTCTACCAAAAATACAAAAATTAGGCAAGCATGGTGCTGCACCTGTAGTCCCAGCTACTCGGGAGGCTGAGGCAGGAGAGTCGCTTGAACCTGGGAGGTGGAGTTTGCAGTGAGCCAAGATTGCGCCACTGCATTCCAACCTGGGCAACACAGCGAGACTCCATCTTAAAAAGAAAAGAAAAGAAAAGAAAATTGGCACAAACTATAAAACCTGTAACCATCCCACCTATGTAACTTAGAAACTGAAAATATTACACAGCCCAGAATACATATTTAATATTAAACTGAAAACAATGACAACATAGTTAACTTCTAACATTTTGTAAACAACTATTTCAAAACAAGCTTTGGTCAAAGTCCTTGTATCAGTCAAAAATTGCTATTAGATTGGTGTAAAAGTAATTGCAGTTTTTGCCATTAAAAGTAATATAATAATGCTGTGTAACAAACATTGAAAAAATGATTGGTTTACACACCAGACTTGCATGGATTAACAGAACAGATGGTGCTGTTGTGCTTTGTACTGCAGGCCTTCGGGTTCAGGTCTGCAACAGGTGTGTTTTATGTCCTTGGACCAGCAAGTAAGCCACAGTTAGTTCTTCTCAGGGTGATGTCTGATGTCAAGAAAGCAAGTAGAGGCTGGGCATGGGGGCTCATGCCTATAATCCAAGCACTTTGGGAGGACAAAGCAGGAGAATTGCCTGAGCCCAGGAGTTTGAGACCAGCCTGGGCAACATAGTGAGACCCTGTCTCTACTTAAGAGAAAAAACAAAGAAATGCAAGTAGATACATGGGACCTCTTAAGACTTAGACTTAGAACTGGCATACCGTCACATCTGCCTATGTGCCATTAGCCAGTCCAGGTCAAATGACCCAAATTCAAAGATAGGGAAAGTCAGCCCATCCATAATGAAACCATGGTCAAGGTGTAGATGCAGAAAGGATGGAAAAATTGGAGACACTCTTTCAAACTACCACTGGCCAAATGCCAAGAAGAAGAAAGAATTTTGGAGCCATGCTTAGAGATATTAACTATATTGTGCTAAAATATATTTGCTTAGTTCACGTGAGCTTTTTAAATAATCTCTGCTGCTTGTTTAATTAATTGCTGTGTGTAAATATTTCTGTTTTCAGGGAATCTAAAGATTCCATCATTTTATAGGAGAGATGGGTTTTTGATTGTACTTGATTCACTGTTCTCTTTCCTGCAATATGAGTACCACCCAGAGGACCCAGAACAGATGTCCCTTTGCCATTTAGTATTATAGCCATGATATTTTAGTAAGACCTGTCATCATCCATTCTGGAAAACAATCTTAAAAACATGGCTAGGGCCAGGCACAGTGGCTCATGCCTATAATCCCAGCACTTTGGGAGGCCGAGGAGGGTGGATCATTTGAGATCAGGAGTTCAAGACCAGCCCAGCCAGCATGGTGAAACCCCGTCTCTACTAAAAATACAAAAATTAGCCGGGTGGTAGTGGTGTGCACCTGTAATCTCAGCTACTCAGGAGGCTGAGACAAGAGAATCACTTGAGCGTGGGAGGCGGAGGTTGCCAATGAGCCAAGATAGTACCACTGCACTCCAGTCTGGATGACAGAGTGAGACCCCATCTCAAGAAAAAAAAAAAAAATGCTTGGCTGAATTGCATGTAAATTTCAAGTCTTTCCTTTGGAAATCCTGGTAAGTTTAATTTTTTAAGTTAAAGTTAAAAAACAACACCAACAGACACCACTAACAGTATTACTTATATTATAAATAACATAACAGGATTATAAATTATAAAATGGGGGTAGGGACAGGAAATATTTGACCCCAAGGAAATACTAATTATATTAATATCTACCATCTTTGAAAAAGGCCATTTATTTTCTTTTTTTAGTATTCTTCAAATGCATCATATGCATTATACAGCCCTTACCTAAAGAAGTTTTAAAAAACATTCTACAATAGAAAGTTCCCAGATACGGTTTTTGAAGAAGATTTAGTGGAGGGTGGAAAGGGAAGCAGCTAGTTTGAAAATATTATTTAACAAAACTAAAACTGCAACTTTGTTTCATTTTAAAAATAGACATTGCATTGCTTCATGTTTTCATTTTATGACTAAAATACTATGTGTATTGCATTTCTTCAGACAGATGTGAGTTTCTGGGTCAATTTGAAATTTGGTTAATCATTCATTTTTGCTAGCTACTTTAAAATGTTGTTTATATTAAGTTAAATGAAATCAATAAAAGGAAAAATGTCCCAAGCCTTTTATGCAATAAGGTTTCCAGTACAGGCCAGGTCAATTACCCCTCTGATACCTACAATTGGCATTTTAAATGATCAGGAAAAAATAGCTGTTACTGATAGTTTTTCAAAGCCAGCTTGGTTACAAGCCATTTCATAATCTCTGTAGAAAAGTGTTTCAGGAGAAATTAGATTAATTTTTAAAGGCTCTTTACCCTTGGGTTTACTGTAAGAATTCATCACCTTAACACACCATGTTTATTAAGCAATTCCATGTTTTATATATGATGTATATAAAATCTGGTTGTGTGAGGGGTTTATATTTAGCTGTATCCAAGGCTGAATGAGACAATCAGGGTGACAGGATGTTAACATATTAAACATATTAGTAAATAGGGCTTTAATTTTAACAGTAGGAGAGACTTGCTTCTATGCCATATATTATTTTGTTCGAATATTAATCACATCTTCCAAATTTTCCATGATTAATATCTAATGGTCATATTTTCTATGCATTGGGAACTTTTTTTCCCTTAACTATTACACAGTTATTTAATGACGAATTCCTCACAATTGCAAAATGATGTTTAGTTTTTTGACACACTGGTGATAAAATTTAAAATTTAAGGAAAAAAAGCCCTCCTAAGAATTGCATTACGGAGAACAAATCTTGCATTGGCCAAATGGTTTTACAAGGTAAGCCTTTCTGTCTCATTGATAGAACGTAAAGAACCCCTCAGTCACCTCCAGACTTAAAACACTCTATGGTGCAGAAGAAAATATAAATTCCCATCCTTGTTGCTGCCTAATTTTAGTTTGCCAAATGATGAGTCATTTGTTACTTTTCAAGAAATTATTTCCCCAAAAATAGTTTGCCTTATTTATTTTTACACAATTAAAAGAAAGAAAGAAAGGAAGAAAACTAATGGATAGCGAAAAGCAATTAGAAGGAACAATGTGAAGTTGCAGAAGGATTATATCCTTGCAGAAGATAAAGAAAAAAAATGCACGTATATTCTCTACATGCTATTAGAAAGTGTTAGTTTATTATTTGTTGTGTTAAACACATAGACATACAGATTAGGAAATATAATGATTTCTCTGTTGTTTAGAGACATGGAGATCAAAAGAGGACAATTATCCATCCTTCCATTCATTTAGTAAAATTTGAATGAGCACATACTATGTGCTGAGCATGGATGGATAAGACATGGAGAAAGCTACAACCTCGGTAACATTAGCAAACTGACATCCTCTTTCAGCTGCCTAATTTTAAACAGTGCAAACAGATGTTAGATTGAAAAGTTATGTTGTTTATTTTCTTTGAAGAAAAGAAGTGGGAGACTCGGCCTTCCCCCTAAAGCTCCCCAAAGGCTCAGGAGTTGAAATTTGTTGTTTACTGTGTAAAGTAAAAACAACAGTATTTGCATCCTGTTTCCACTGGGGGATTAAAACACAATGGCCCTTAGCTCTAGCGTGGGCTCTGCCTTTCAACCATTTATAATACTGAGTATTACTGCCTTGGAATGAGGAGGCTACAGAACAGGGAGACAATGTTAGAGTTAGTACATTAAAGCAGATTTCTAATTCTGCATAACTAGCATGCATTTACTTCATTAACTAGCAGTTACATTTCCCACGCCTTCAATTAACACTGGTTTCATTTTAAATGCTATCAGTTAAGACAAGATGCGATAAGAAAACATCATTGCCAAGCAAGCATTCCTCAAACACTGTCTGATTTATCTCTTTGGCAATTCATTAAAATGCAAAATATATTGAAATTGATTTTCAGCACTTTCAGGCAGGAATGTTTGTAATAATGTTAATTTGCAAATTTCCTTTTTTTTTTTTAAGTCTCTGTGCTGTAGTCGCCATGTTTAGCTGGAGGCTATTTTTATTGTGCAGACAGAAAATGAACAGCGAACATTTATTTCTCATATCTTTCTGAGAAACCTGAGGTGCATGAAGATATTTGTTCTGTAACAGGCATAGTCAATCTCCTTCACTCGCTTTCGTCGCTATATATCACCAGCAAACTCCCAGCTAGTCCTGCTGTAGCAATTAACCTGCCAGAGCTCTCTCCTGTCAAACTTGTTAATAATAAACTCCTCCCTCCACCACCCCTGAGAGAGACAGAGCTATAGATTCTGGCTCTGCAACTTCCATAGAGGCTGAATTATTCAGAATCAGCATGATTAAGAAGATGACATGGATATTAGTTAAAAAGACATACTTTTTTTTCTCTCTCCCCTGACTGAGGTTTAAACCTATTAAGGTTTAAAGCAGTGGAGGCAACTGATCTTTCCCTCTTTAGTGCACCAGTCCTAAAATAGGAATCCTTGAAAGACTATTTACAATACCTTGTCAATGTCCAAGTTTATGAATAAAAAGTATAAATACCAGGAGGGAAGTGTCAGAGTCAAAATGTACAGCTCGTGTAAATCTAGGAACTGGCTAAAAATAATATTTTCACCCCAAAGAGACAAAAGGAGCGGGTTTGTTTCAAGAAATTAGTCATGTTTCAATTGTTATTCTTATAAGCAATGAAAAAGCTTCTCATGTTTGTGTTTTTTGGGTCAGTTTCAAGTGGACCAAACTGTGATTAATTATAAGTTTAAAATCCGGATACACGCTCTGTCAGATAACAAGTCGTTAGACTCTAGAAATAGCATATCCCTAACAATAATCCTTGTCTTTATGAGGATGGCAGTATTATAAATGTCATAATGGATTGCAAATGAACCAGCTGTTTACATTCTACTGTAGCACATGAATGGGAGGCTAGCAAGCCAGGAAATAAAAAGAGATTGAGGAAAATTTACTGATACCAAGTCACAGAAAAAAGCCCAAGGAACTCAATTTTTACGCATTCCCATCCAATTTACCCTTGCTGACTTTTGGGGGGGAAGTGTAGCTTTTGAAACCAGTTGTATTATTTCACTTTAAGATGCCTTCTAGTATATTCAATAGACCCATCAGAGTTATATGTTCCTTTTTCAGTCTCAAGCTGCCCTCACCATATGAGATTGGTTACTGTCTGAGGACTTTCAGAGAAGGATTTGAATGCAATTTCAAGGGCCAGACAGAGCAGCTTTCAAAACACTGCAAGCCTAGGAAAGCAGGGTTAGTGGCCCAGGAGGGGTGAGAGACTGGTTTTCTCTTTCTCATTTCACTTCAAGCTAAAGCACCTTTTGATCCCAACCAGGTGAATTGGAAACAGCATGGCGTTTCTAATTGAATGACCCCACCCATCCAAGCTCTGTAAAATGGCAATTATCAGTAACTACATTATTGCCAGCATCTTCCGCATTAGCCCATGGAGACTGGTGATTCCTTTGGGAACAGAAACACTTTGCTCTTCCATGTATGATTAAACCTAGGTCCACCCATGAGATTTCAGCAAATAGCCAGGCTGCTCACATGTGCTTGTTAGCAGATGGCCATTTTCTGCACATCAGGTATGAATCATAGGTGTTTGTTATGCAAAGATCTTATTTCAAGTTTCATGTCCTCTTTTATCAGCCAGAACTAGAACCCAGCAAAGGGATGCAAAGGAGGGGTACAATTTTACATTACAAATTAGGAGTGTTGCTTTATGGGGCATTACAGCTACTCTATTTAAAAATCCAATTCAAAAGATAACATTACCACTTTGTTATGTTCGCATTTTCAGATAAGGCACCTTACCCCTGGCTGCAGTTTTCTTATCTCTCTAATATTCATGGAGTGGTAGCTTTTAATTAAACCATCCACAACTCTATGTAACTCAAAGTGTATATTTTACTGCTGAGGGAACCAATAGTCAAGAAAAATTCCATATTTTTAATTTATTTTTAATGCCTGGATAGTTTTATTATCAGTGATGTCATGAACAGTGTTGTCCTACAAAAATGACTAAGTGCTGTGTTTCAGGAGACATACAGATCATATCAGGGGTCCCAAAAGTTCATGAGACTCTTGATTTTCACAGATGGGTTATTCACAGATTTGACTTTGCCAGAAACTCTTCGAGGTCCGTAATATGTAACCATTTGTCATTTTCCCCAGGCATAATTTTATTCACATGCATGGCAGATCCAGAATGTGGAGGTGAGTCACTAAATTACTGATTTCTCCAAATTAACTATCTGTCTTCTTCAAATATAAAATGCATTGACTTCTGTGACATCTCAGACTCCTGATTTTTTTCCAAAGGTCACATTTTCTCGGCCTTGTTTTCAATTCCATCACCTAGATGTTAAGGTCCACACCTCTTTTTCAGTCTTCACACTCTCTTCAGGTCATCTTTTTGATGCCCAGGATTTCAAGTTCTATGTATACGTTGATGACTCACAAGTACAAATTACCCACCCGTATCTTGCTCCTGAAATTCAGAGGCAAATACTCAGCTTCATCTTGCACACTGGATATCCTACTGGCACTTAAATTCAATATATGCAAAATAGAATTCATAATAATAATAGTAATAATGCACATAATATTGAATTAGCATTTAATGCTTATTCTCATAATCTTTACCAAAACCCTAACATGTAGGAGACTGTCATATTCCCCATTTTACAAGGGAGGAAACTAGGACTTAAAGAGGTTAATTGTCAAATGTCAAATGTTCACAAAGAGTTATGATTTGGACCTAAGTGCACCTGCCCAGAGTCTATGTTGTTTATCACCACTCCCATGCTGACTACCCTTAGTTTCCTCTTTCACTTAATTCTTCCTAGTGGTGTTTCCTATTTGGATGGTGCAACTGCTTCAGGGTGACTTTCCTGTTCCCATGGAGTAAGTTGGGTTTCCAGGGCTAAAGTCTACAATTAGTTTTTTAAATTAGCACCTTTTTTCCCCCCCAGAGAATCTGTAATCATGTATTTGACTTTTAAACCTCTCAATAGCCTGGGAAATACACTGGACAGATACCAGCTCCATTTGAAGTTGAGAAAACAAAGCAAAACAAATTGCTGAGGGAGGGAATAGTTCCGAAAGAGGGAACAGCAAGTGCATAAGCCCGGGTGGGGTAAACATAAAATAAAAGTAGCATTCTCAAATAACAGAATCATTTATTTTTTAAGTTAGAGCACAAAGAATGAAAGTGAGGAGGGGCAAGAGGCAAGAGAGGCAGACGGGTGCTAGATCACAGAGGCTTTTACAGGCCATGTTAAAAACCTGAAAATGTATTCTAAGAACAAAACAAGAAACACTTCAGCAATGGGATATGAAAACCCAAAGGTCGTTTATTTAATTCTCAGTCATTGATGGGCAAAACTGATCATAAAGACTGAAGTTTAAAATTTTTTCAATGCATGGAGGATGCTGATGAGGAAGGGCAGAAGAAAAATGATAAATTGTGATCTTTTTACTTATGCATTAAAGGGGCAAGTACTCCAGGGAACCTTGTGTAAGATATTAAGAGAATAGGTCTCCTAATAATATTACATATGTGTGTGTGTGTGTGTGTGTGTGTATATATATATATAATTATATATAATATATTATATATAATTATATATATATAGTATTTTTAAAGCAGTTTTAGGTTCACAGAAAAATTGAGTAGAAAGTACAAAGTTCTCATATAGCCCCAGCCTGCACCCCCTTACTCTACCTCAAACAGCCTCCCTGACCATCCATATCTAGCACCAGACTGGAACATTTGTTACAACTGATGAACCTACCTAGACACATCCATATCACCCAAAGTCCATAGTTTACTTTAAGGGTCACTCTTGGTGATGTATATTCTATGGATTTTGGCAGTTGTATGATGACATATAGCTATCACACCAAGTTGTTTCACTACCCTAAAAATCCTCTCTGCTCTGCCTGTTTATCTATCCCTTCCTCCTAACCCTGAACAACCACTGATGTTTTTACTCTAACCATAGTTTTGCCTTCTCCAGGGTGTCATATTGTTGAAATAATATAGTATGAATCTTATTCAGACTAGCTTATTTCACTTAGTGATGTGCATTTAAGTTTCTTTCGTGTTGTTTCATGGCTTGATAACTCATTTCTTTTTAGTACTGAATAATATTTCATTCTATGAATGTACCACAGTTTATTTATCCATTTATCAGTTGAAGGACATCTTGGTTCCTTCCAAGTTGTGGCAATTATGAATAAGGTTGCTACAAACATACATGTATAAGTTTCGTGTGGACATAAGTTTTCAGCTCCTTTGGATAAGCACCAACAAGTGCAATTGCTGGATCCTATGGTAAGAGTATGTTTGGTTTTGTAGGAAATAGTCACCAAAAACTGCTGCAACATTTTGCATTCCCATTAGCAATGAATTCCTGTTCCTATTGCTCCATATCCTCGTCATCATTTGATTTCGTCAATATTATGTGTTTTAGCCATTCTGAGTAGATACGTTGAAGTATCTAACTATTGTTTTAATTTCCAATTCCCCAATTACATATGATGGTGAGCATCTTTCCATTTAGTTGTCATCTGTATATCTTCTGTGGAGAGATGTCTGTTCAGGACTTTTGCCCATTTTTTAACTGAGTTGTTCATTTTTTTAATTGTTGAGTCTTAAGAGTTCTTTGTATGTTTTGGAAATCTGTTATCACATCTCCTTGATTTTCCCAGCCACTAGGGGTTGTCTGCACTCCTTGGCTTGTGGCCCCTTCTTGCCCCTTCGAAGCCATCAGTGCAGCTTCAGTCCTTAGGTAGTACACTTCTGAACTTGCACCTGTCATCACATTTTTTAACTCTCTCTTTTTCTGTCTCCCTCTTCCACTTTTAAGGACCCTTCTAATTACATTGGGCCCACCCAGATAAGCCAGGATAATCTCCCTTTTTTATAGTTAGCTATTAGCTCCTTAATTCTCCTTTTACCATGCACCTTAACATATTCACAGGTCCTGGGAATTAGGAGGTCGGCACTTCTCAGGAGGCATTGTTCTGCCTACCACAGTGCTCCATAAGTATTTGCTATTTATTAGTAGGAGTAGGAATTTTAAAACAATATGAAGTCACTACTTATAAAATGATTAATATTGAGTTAATAAAATCTTAATATTTTACAGCTGCCTTGTTTCCACTTAATTCAAAGCAACAGTTATTTTTTTTCTTTCTTAGCAGTTTAAATGTATGAATCTGTTTAAAGTATTTAACTTAGTTTTCATAGGAACAAAAACTCTTGTCTTTTCACACTCACCTGGGGCGAAGAATTTATACAATATTTAATTAAACTAAATAACGATAGTGATAATTATACCTGCGATAAATGCATGGGGAGAAGCACAACCGGCTATTGGTAAGCATAGAACTCAGACTCAGCTGGAGAAGCAAGAGAGTTTGGGCTCATCAGAGGAATGCCAACCAGTGACAGACACACAGCATACAGGGAGCATTCATCTGTGTGCTTTGCAGAGGGAATGAAGATTGTCCATTAATCTGGTAAACCAGTTAAGTGGAAGATTTTTGAAGAAAGCTTCTGCTCTGCTTCAAACAATAGAACACAGGCTCTGCAGGCAGACATCAGTTCTAATTCATTCTCACTCATATCTTACAAGGTAGGTTACTTTGAGCAAATTAATTAGTGTCTAAGATGTTCTGTTCCCTCCTCTTGTCAAATGAGGATTAAAATAATATCTACTTCACAGTGTAGTGGTAAGTTCAGTACTAACCTTGTTCTTGCAAGTAAAGATGTTCATTGCATGCTAGTCAATAAATCACAAGTATTTGCATACTATTTTCATTAGTTCCTCGAGTAAATTCCTACACATAAATTGCTGAATGCAAGTGTATATAATTCTCTTAATTTTAATACAGCTATTATCAAAATTATCTCCAGAAATATATGCTCATTTCACTTTTGCCTATAATGTGTGACAGTGTCCATTTCCTTAAAAAAAGTGATAATATTTTGTATCATTTAAAAATTGCCGTTTGACAAAAGCAGTGTTAAGAGGAAAGTTTATAGTGCTAAATGCCTACATCAAGAGGACAGAAAGATCTCAAATTATCAACCTAACCTCACACCTAAAGGAATTAGAAAAATAAAAACAAACTAATCCCAAAGCCAGCAGAAGAAAAGAAATAACTAAAATCAGAGCAGAACTTAATGATATTGAGACTCAAAAATCCATACAAAGGAACTACGAAACAAAAACTTGGTTATTGGAAAACATAAGCAAGATTGATAGACTCTAGCTAGATTAACAATGAAAAAATGAGACAAGAACTAAATAAGCACAATCAGAACTGACAAAGGGGACATTACAGTTGATCCCATGGAAAATACAGACGATCCTCGGAGATTACTATGAACTTCTCTATGTGCACAAACTAAAACATCTCGAAGAAATAGATAAATTCCTGGGTACATACAAGCTCCAAAGATTGAACCAGGAAGAACCAGAAATCCTGAAAATACTAATAATGAGAAATTGAATCAGTAATAAAAAACTTACCCTCCAAAAAAATCCCCAGACCAAATGGATTCACAGCCAAATTCTATATACCAGATGTGCAAAGAACTGGTACCAATCCTACTGAAACTATTCCAAAAAATTGAGGAGGAAGGACTCTTCCCTAACTCTTTCTACAAAACCAGTTTCATCCTGACACCAAATTCTAGCAAAGACACAACCAATAAAGAAAACTACAGGTCAATATCCCTGATGAATATAAACTCAAAAATCCTCAGTAAAGTATTAGCAAACCAAATCCAGCAGCTCATCAAAAAGTTAATTCACCACCATCAAGTGTGCTTGAATCTTGGGATGCAAGGAGGGTTCAATGTACATGAATCCATAAATATGATTCAACACATAAACCTAATTTTTAAAAAAATGTATGATCATCTCAATAGACATGGAAAAGCTTTGGATAAAATCCAACATACCTTTACAATAAAAACCCTCAACAAACTAGGCATCAAAGGAACATACCTCAATATAATCAAAACAATCTCTGACAAACCCACAGACAACATCATACTAAATATGCAAAAAGTGGAAGCTTTCTCCTTAAGAACTGGAAGAAACAAAGGATATCCATTCTCGATATTCTTATTCAACACAGTACTGGAAGTCCTAACCAGAGCAATCAGGCAAGACAAAGAAATATAAGGCATCCACATAGGAAAAGAGGAAGTCAAATTATCTCGCCTCACTGAAAATATGATTCTATACCTAGAAAAACCTAAAGATTTTCGAAAAGATGTCCTGGTCTGATAAACAATTTTGGCAAGTCTCAGGATACAATATCAATGTATAAAAATTGGCAGCATATCTATATACCAATAAGGTTCAAGCTGAGAAGTAAGTCAACAGTACAATCACATATACAATTGCCACAAAAAAGGTAAAATACCTAGGAATACCTCTTACCAATGAGATGAAAAATCTCTACAAGTAAAGCTACAAAACACTGTTGAAAGAAATCATAGATGACACAAACAAATGGAAAAGCCTTCCATTCTCATGGACTGGAAGAATCAGTATCATTAAAATGTCCATACTGCCCAAATCAATCTACAGATTCAATGCTATTCCTATCAAATTACTAACCTAATTCTTCACAGAATCAGGAAAACACTATTCTAACATTCTTATGGAACTGAAAAAGAGACCAAATAGCCAAGGCAATCCTAAGCAAAAAGGATAGCTGGAGGCATCACATTACCTGACTTCAAACTGTACTGCAAGGCTATACTAACTGAAACAGCATTGTATTGACGCAAAAATAGACACATAGACCAATGGAACAAAATAGAAACACCTGAAATAAAGCCACACACCTACATCAACCACTATTCAACAAAGTTAACAAAAATAAACAATGGGGAATGGATACCCTGTTCAATAAGTGGTACTAAGAAAACTGGCTAACCATATGTAGAAAAATGAAACTGGACCCCCACCTCTTATGATATATAAAAATTAACTCAGGATAGATTAAAAACTTAAGTGTAAGACCTCAAACAATAGAAATGCTAGAAGAAAACCTAGGAAATACTATTCTAGACATTGGCCTAGGCAAAAAATTTATGACTACATCTTCAGAAGCAAATGCAACAAAAATAAAACTACAATTGGGGCCTAATTAAACTAAAGAGCTTTTGCATAGCAAAATAAGCTATTAACAGAGTAAACAGACAACCTACAAAACAGAAGAAAATACTTGCAAACTATACATCTGACAAACGACACTGTCCAGAACCTATAAGGAACTTAAATCAACAAGAAACAAACAAATAACCTAATTAAAAAGTAGGCAAAGAACATAAACAGACACTTCTCAAAAGAAGACATGCAACTGGCCTACAAACATGAAAAAATGCTCAACGTCACTAATCATCAGAGAGATGTAGATCAAAACTATAATGAGATACCATCTCACACCAGCTAATATAAGCTATTGTTAAAAAGTCAAAAGAAAAATAACAGGTGTTCATGAGGTTGTGGAAGAAAGGGAACACTTACAGACTGTTGATGGGTATATTAGTCCATTCACATTTCTATGAAGAACTACCTGAGACTGGGTAATTTATAAAGAAATGAGCTTTAATTGGCTCACAGTTCTTCAGGCTGTACACAAAGCATGGCTAGGAGGCCTCAGGAAACTTACAGTCATGGTGGAAGGCAAAGGGGAAGCAAGCATATCTTCACATGGCCAGCAGGAGACAGAGTGAAAGGGGAGGTGCTATATACTTTTAAACAACCAGATCTCATGAGAACTCACTCACTATCACAAGAACAGCAAGGGGGAAATCTGCCTCCATGATCCAATCACCTCCCACCAGGTCCATCCCCGAACATTGAAATTAAAATTTAACATGAGATTTGGGTGGGAATGCAGAGCCAAACCGTATCAGCGTGAATGCAGATTAGTTCAGCTCCTGTGGACAGCAGTTTGGAGATTTCTCAAATAACTAAAAATAGAACTATCTCAACAAACTAAAATCAGAACTACCATTCAACCCAGCAATCCCTTTACTGTATATATACCCAAAGGAAAATAAATCATTCCACCAAAAAGACACCACCACTTGTACATGTATCACAGCACTATTCATAAAAGCAAAGACATAGAATCAACCTAGATGTACATCAAAGGTAGATTTGATAAAGAAAATGTGGTACATATACACCATGGAATACTACACAACCATAAAAAGGAATGAAATAATGTCCTTTGCAGCAACATGGATGCAGCTGGAGGCCATTATTCTGAGCAAATTAACACAGAAACAGAAAACAAAATACTGCATGTTCTCACTTAAAGTGGGAACTAAACATTGGGGACACATGGTCACAAACATGGGAACAATAAAACATTGGGGGTTCCAAAAGGCAGAAAGGAAGGAGAGCAAGGATTGAAAAACTACCTATTGGGTACTATTTTCACTACTTGGGAGATAGAATCAGTAGAAGCCCAAACCTCAGCATCACGCAATATATCCATGTAACAAGCCTGCTATGTACCCTTTGAATCTAAAATTAAAATAAATAATAATACAATAAAAACAGCCAATTGAATTGCCTAAATAAGTAGTATCTGAAATTATTCTTTTCATTTGAATTTCTGTGATTATTGCTTTTGGGAATTCTTTCATGTAAAATTTTATTGACCAATTGATATCCTCTTTTTGTGAGTTATTTGTTAATATCCTTACCCCATTTTAATTAAGAAGTTTAAAGTGTTATGACTGATTTGTAAGATTTTGATATATTAAGCCCTATGTCATATAAGCCCTTAATTTTTCTGATTTATGTTTTACTGTCTGTTTTATTTATGTGTCCTAAAGATATCCTTGAAAGACAATTCCTGAATTGCCTCTTTCCTTTGGGAGGAAAACAATTTTAAAACACCATCTGCCTGAGATTTCTTATGGCTAGTAAATTTCCCAGTGATACTACGGCATGCAATTCAGTGTTCATCAAAGAGTTCATTTGAATCTTTAGTAATTATTTGACTTTTTAAGAAACCATGACTATCTTCAGAAAGTTGTTTCTTCTTTACATTCTTCTCATACCTTAGGTACTAAACCAACTTGTATTTGTGATCCCTGACTTTTTTTTCACCAATCAATTTCTATTCTTTTTAAATTGCATATTTGAGTAGGCTTTCCTTTATTTAGTAACTGTTGCCTTAAAGCTTTTTATTATAGCACCTCTGTCTGTTAAGTAACGTCAACTTCCTTCCCATCACCTCCACACTTCTAATCCCCCTCCTCACAGCCCCCTTGCTGAATGAAAAGCAATGAAATTTTTTTGTTGGAAGCTTTGAATGAATAATTCATGTGGAAAAATCATCCGTGTTGTGCATGCTCAGAAGACAGAGCACTTCTCTTGTCAGTCACAATGGCTTGGGTAGGACTAAGTGCTGTTCTGTGTGTTCTTGGAGTGTGCAGCTGATGGCGGGCTGCTGAGATTGCCAACTGTGTTAATCCCGACCATCCTTCCTTGTCTTCTGTGACAGGAAGATTAAGAATTGGGGTCTTATTCAACTGTTGCAGTTAGACTGTATTTCACTTTGTTGTTTCAAGCCTTCTTTTAAGTTACTGACAGATTCTCATCATCCCTCAAACCCTGTGAAATCCTGACCTGGTGCAATTTACTCCTGGGCAGCATGGTTGAGAGAGTAAGGAGTATGGCTTTTCACATCAGAGAACCTTAGGTTTGGATTCTACAGCAGCTGTTTATTAACTTGGCAGCTTGGGCCAGTTGCATAAACTTGACCAGCCTCAACTCTCTTATCTGGATATGGAAGGAATTATTGCTACATAGCAGTTTGGGGTCGGGGGTGTGTGAATTTCATAAATAATTTTCTTTATGGAAGCACCCAGCACTCTGCCTGCAGGTTGGCAGGTTTCTAGTTAGTGTTCATGTCCTTTTAATTGATTTCTTCTTCACCGTTGTCCCCGTGATCTCTATCCTTTATTTTGTTAAAAATGTGTAAACTACTTAATGAACATACCATTTCTCTGCCTAACAAATAGAAAATTCAGTATTTTCCCTATTTGCATGAGATAAAGTCTACTCTCTCCAGCATGATCCCAGTGAGAGGCCCCCTCCCTTCCTGCCCACCCAATGGCCCAATGGCCCATCAACATGGAAATGTTCTTCACTTTTCCCAAATCATTTAAGTTCTGTTTCCAGGCCTGGCAGCTTCTGCTCTCATACATATCTAACCACAGGATAATTATCTGGCTATGTCTCCACCTCCCAATTGTACTGTGATCTATAAGGGGCATGTATGTGCTCTAATGTCTCATTGTTTGTCTTATAGAAAATGCCTCAAGAAATTTTTGGTGAATGAATGAGTGAGTAAATGAATAAATGAAATATTGAACATTTTTAAATACAGTATGGTAGAAATTTAAAAATGCTAAAATCATGGTGACATGGTGACAAACAGCAGAAAATGCCTACTGCACACTTTTTAGATCAGACATCTGTGAAACCAGTCTTTAAAATATGTTGATAAATGCTAGGTGCATTTTTCTTACTGTTTACATCTGTTCCCCACCTCTTTCCTCCCTGGTTGCTTTCTCCAACTTTTGCCCCCTTCCTTCTGCCTTCTGAAGAACATAGAACTAAGAGGGATGATTTGCAGAATCCCTCCAGAGGCTGGTAGCCTCAGCTGTGTTAAAGGGAACCTGGCCTGTTTTACTTGCTGGGTCTATAAAACATCCTCACAGATGATGTTAACAGGGAAAGAATCCTAGATCTGTTAACCATCTCCTTCCTGGCTCAGTGGAGGAGGCTCTGTTCTGCATTTTGTCTTGGAACTTACATTCTTTTTCTCCCCTAGGGGGCATGTGTTGTTGTAACTGGTACTGGCTAAAACTAATAGGCAGCAAGCCACATATCATAAAAAATCTTAAGGGATCTTTCTCCTGCAGTTTTTACGTGGTGTCCATTGATTTTTCAGGAAGTGTCTCATCACTTTTCCTGTCTTTCTCAGGAGAAAAATCTAGGATCCTAGAATAGAATATATTGTCTGATCAGTGTTTCCATGCTAACATTGGATACAATCATGAATAGGGTCTTTATATAAGAGGCCCTATGCCCTTGCTCAGAAAAACTCAAAGCTAATGATACCAACATTTTCTTAGAGGAAATATAACCTAGGAATTCATATGTGAACAAGATTGTCTTCTTTTAACTTGTACCTTAAAACAAAAAAATTAGACTAAGACTAAAAAGAGAATGCTATTTGAGATGAGCTATGGGTCATAATTTCCACTTATGGAAGTATGAGTGTGTGTATGTCTGATTGATATCTGCCACTATGGGGTGATAAGGGAGAAGCCCATATTTTAATTGGGAGATGCATATGGATGGTTTGATTTTCTTTTGAGTTACCAAGAATGATAGCAACAATGATAACCACCATTAATAGGCTACTCATTGTCACACTTTTCATCCAATATCTTATTTAATCAGCAAAACAACTTATAAAATAGAAATGATAACTGTATGCTAAAGCTGATGCTAAGGCTCTTGAGTGGCTTGCCAAATGTCACCTAATTAGTAAGAGGAAAAGAAGGGATTCAAACAGTCTAATTCCAAAATCTAACTTTTACCACTGCACAATACTACCTCCTGCCAGTTCAGCAATATGGTACTTCTACAGCTTACTTTTTCCAAATTGTTGACAGTATAATGCTATCATATGTAACAAATCAATAAGAACTCCTGGATACAATAGCTCAATGAAATCACTTTTTTATTAAATGGATTGTGTTAAGAAGGCAAAACCCTGGAACCCACCTAGACCTACTAGAGGCAGGACTCTGGAATCTCTACTACATTACCTCCTCAGTCAATTGTCATGTAGCCCACCTAGCAAGACTTTGTGGGTGCATGGTTGGGAATCATGTCTTAGAATCTAGGCATTTGGCCGGGGACTAGGTCTGTCACAAGAGGACCCGGCTTAGGAGTCACTCAATAAATAATTGTTGAACCTGCAATCTGTAGGGTGATATCCCCACATTACAGCACCGATGAGAACTATTTTCCCTCTAATATTTTGCAAAGGGAAATCCACTCAGTGCCACAATGCAGCTCAGCCTCTAGGGTTTGGGGGAGATGCTCAGGCTGCAACAGTGGAGTCTCTCAGCCGTTTTGCATCAAACAGAAATACTACACTCAAAGTAGACATTTTCCTTCCTAGGACAGTAGCTGCCCCTATCATTAAAGTTTATAGGTATTTGTATATGTCATTACTGTTACCAGTTTTTCCTGAGTCCTGGGGAGAGTCCAGCTGAATGCCTGTAAAATACAGCAAGTTCCTAAGAGAAAGATGCTCTCTAAAGGTATAGTATTACTATAAATTTCAACTACTTCCCCAAGCTTGAAAATGCTGTCCTGGAGAGAATGATCACTTAACAATCATTGACTCATTTCCCAAGCTCGTAGGAAACCAGCCTAACTCCCAGGCATGGTAAATGTAAAGGAATGGGGTAACTGGGGCACAGGGCAGAGAAAATACTAGCCAAAGGGACACTAATCTATTTACCAAATCTGTGTCAGTCATAAATACGGGCTTATAATGACCTGGTGTAATGATAACAAAAAAATGGACTTAAGAAACTCCATTACCTATTTATAAGTGGAAATCCATCGTCTTAAAATAGTGTATTTTCTGGTTTTCTTATTGCTGCTCACAATTTAGCGTGCGGCAGTATCAGGGAGACTGAGTCTCTTCTTTAGCCCTGGAGAAGTGTGTCACCCCAATCTCCATAAGATTTTCACAGTGGCTATTTGAACAAGGATAGTTCCCTTGGAGTTAATCTTTTAAACTCAAGGCAAAAATCCCTTGAGCTCATCTCATATATATGAGGTTAAACATCTCTGAACTGTTCATAATCTTGGAGAACTGCCATCTTTTGGCCTGCAGATAAATACAACACTTCACCAGTTTCTGGGTATCTTAAACCCACTTGGGTTGTGATAACAAAGTAAAAACCACTGTTCTAGAGAGAAATGGATATATTTATAGACCAACAAAGGGAGTGTAAATCATACAACCATTTTTAAAAGTAATGATGCAATATGATCCTAAGACGCGGAAATATTACTAACATAGATTACATGCATTTACATTAGACATATACGTATCTACGTGAATATTATAAATAAATGGTATATAATGTTTGAAACATACAAACATTATACAAATATACCTAATGCATTTATATTATTCTACTGGTGACCTTGTCCTGTCCCATGAATTCTGTGTTGACCACTGTCAGAACTCTCTCCTTTCTCTCTGTTCCAATAGAGACCTGCCTTCTCAAGCCCTCTTAGATGACTTACTAGGCATCTCAAAGTAAACTCTTGACCCTCTCTGCCAAACTTGGTCATCTCACAATCTTCCTCACCTCAAACGGAAACTCTTTTCAATCATTTACTCAAGGCAAAAAGCTTAAGATTCTTGCTGATTCCTCTTTTCTTTTTTTTTAAGGTAAGGTCTCACTCTGCCACCCAGGCTTAAGGGCAGTGGCATGATCACGGCTCACTGCAACCTCGACCTCCCAGGCTCACATGATCCTCCCACCTCAGACTCCAGAGTAGCTGGGACCATAGGTGTGCACCACCGCATCTGGCTAATTTTTTTTTTTTTTTTTTTTTTTTTGTATTTTTTGCAGAGACAGAGTGTTGTCATGTTCCCCAGGCTGGTCACCAGCTCCTGAGATCAAACGATCTGCGTGCCTCAGCCTCCCAAAGTGCTGGGATTACAGGCATGAGCCACCTTATCCGACCAACTTCTCTTTTTTCTACAGCAACCAAGACATTTCATTGTCCGTATACTCAAAATAGATCAAGAACCCAGACACACTTTATACTTCTATCGCCCCCACTCTTCAAAACACCCCACCTTGGAGATCAGAAGGGAGATCTGCCTTGAGTTACCCGCAAATTATGGAGTCACCAGCAAATTGATACATTTGATTGCCTTGGGAATAGAGGAGATCTGTTAAAGAGGAAGTGAGGAGAGAGAAAAGAATAAAACTCAAGAAAAAGCTGTGAGGAACTTTCACATTAGATCTCTGATATGGAAGGTGGAAATTTAAAAGAGTTAGAGGCCCTTGCTTTGTTAGAGGTGAGACTATGTTAGATCAGCACTGGACGCAAAGCTGCATATGCTCTAGGGGAAACAGCCACATAATCCCCCTAAAGGCTGTCCTGGAAATGTCCTAACTGTCACACAAACAGTCACTTGAGTCTAGGACCACTGCAAGGGAGAAATTTAGCCTCACAGAAAGTTATTCAGCTCCGTCTTTCACCCTAGATGCAGTAGGGCCAGTTTCATGCGTGTCCGTGTGAAGAGACCACCAAACAGGCTTTGTGTGAGCAATAAAGCTTTGGTGCAGGTGGGCTGAGTCTGAAAAGAGAGTCAGCGAAGGGAGATAGGGGTGGGACCGTTTTATAGGATTTGGGTAGGTAAAGAAAAATTACACTCAAAGGGGGGTTCTCTGGTGGGCAGCAGTGGGGGTCGCAAGGTGCTCAGTGGGGGGAGCTTTTTGAGCCAGGATGAGCCAGGAAAAGGACTTTCACAAGGTAATGTCAACACTTAAGGCAAGGACCGGCCATTTACACTTCTTTTGTGGTGGAATGTCATCAGTTAAGGTGGGGCAAGGCATATTCACTTCTTTTGTGATACTTCAGTTACTTCAGGCCATCTGGGCGTATACGTGCAAGTCACAGGGGATGCGATGGCTTGGCTTGGGCTCAGAGGCCTGACATTCCTGCCTTCTTATATTAATAAGAAAAATAAAATAAAATAGTGTTGAAGTGTTGGGGCAGCAAAAATTTTTGGGGGGTGGTATGGAGAGAGAATGGGCGATGTTTCTCAGGGCTGCTTCAAGCGGGATTGGGGCAGCGTGGGAACTTAGAGTGGGACAGATTAAGCTGAAGGGAGGTCTTGTGGTAAGGGGTGATATTGTGGGGGTGTTAGAAGAAACATTTGTTGTATAGAATGATTGGTGATGGCCTAGATACGGTTTTGGATGAATTGAGAAACTAAATGGAATAACAGAAGGAGAAAAACAGGTATAAAAGGTCTAAGAATTGGGACGACTCAGGATATCTGATTAGAGAGTGCCTAAGGAGATTCAGCATAGTCCTGCCAGCAAAGATTATTTATTTACTTCAAGAGTTAAGAGTGGCAGTTTGGGAATAGCACCAGGAGATATCAGCTGTGATGGCTTGGAAAAACAGTGTAAACCAGCAATGTAAACAAGAGCAGGGCATGTATGAGTAGTTGAGAACGGTGACTAGGAGTATGACTAGACAGAAGACAGTAGGGATGACAAGTTTTTTGGGGCATAGTCTAAGTTGGTCTGGTGTCTGGAATGAGACTGGGGCCTAATAAAAAGGAGCGTCTATACAGGAGCTTAAATGGGCTGTACCCTGTAGCATTCCGAGGACAGGCCTGAATTCTGAGAAGGGAAAGTGGTAAAAGTATTGTCCAGTCCTTTTTAAGTTGGTGGCTGAGCTTGGTGAGGTGTGTTTTTAAAAGACCTTTAGTCCATTCTACTTTTCTTGAAGGCGGAGGACCGTAAGGGATATAAAGGTTTCACTGAATACTAAGAGCCTGAAAAACTGCTTGGCTGATTTGACTAATAAAGGCTCGTCTGTTATCAGACTGTATTGAGGTGGGAAGGCTAAACTGAGGAATTATGTCTGACAGAAGGGAAGAAATGACTGCGGTGGCCTTCTCAGACCCTGTAGGAAAGGCCTCTACCTATCCAGTGAAAGTACCTACCTAGACTAAGAGGTATTTTAGTTATCTCACTCAGGGCATGTTGAGTAAAGCTAATTTGCCAGTCCTGGGTGGGGCAAATCCTTGAGCTTCATGTGTAGGGAAGGGAGGGGGCCTGAATAATCCCTGATGAGCAGTAGAATAGCAGATGGAATACTGAGAAGTTATTTCCTTGAGGATAGATTTCCACGATGGAAAGGAAATGAGAGGTTCTAAGAGGCGGGCTAGTGGCTTGTACTATAGTATAACCTGCCTTTGCTGGTGTGTGGCAATTAGGCCTGGTGGAACCGCCATCAATAAATCAAGCGTGATCAGGGTGAGGAACAGGAAAAAAGGAAATTTGGGGAAATGGGGTGAATGTCAGGTGGATCAGAGAGATACAGTCATGGGGGTCAGGTGTGGTATCAGGAATAATGTGGGAGGCCGGATTGAAGTCTGGGCCAGGAACAATGGTAATTGTGGGAGACTCAACAAAGAGTGAGTACAGCTGAAGGAGCCGGGGAGCAGAAAGTATATGTATCAGGTATGAGGAAGAAAATAGATTTTGGAAGTTATGAGAACTGTAGAAAGTGAGTTGAGCATAGTTTGTGATTTTGAGGGCCTCTAAAAGTATTAAAGCAGCGGCAGCCACTGCACGCAGACATGAGGGCTAGGCTAAAACAGTAAGGTCAAGTTGTTTGGACAGAAAGGCTACAGGGTGTGGTCCTGGCTCTTGTGTAAGAATTCTGACCGTGCTAACCATGCCTAGGAAGGAAAGGAGTTGTTGTTTTGTAGAAGGTGCTTGGGTTTGAGAGATCAGTCGGACATGATTGGCAGGGAGAGCACGTGTGTTTTTATGAGAATTATGCCGAGACATGTAACAGATGAGGAAGAAATTTGGGCTTGATTGAAGTAATGGGGGCTGTCTGTGAAGCTTTGCGGCAGTACAGCCTAGGTAATTTGCTGAGCTTGATGGGTGTCAGGGTCAGTCCAAGTGAAAGCGAAGAGAGGCTGGGATTAAGGGTGCAAAGGAATAGTAAAGAAAGCATGTTTGAGATCTAGAACAGAATAATGGGTTGTAGAGGCAGGTACTGAGGATAGGAGAGTATATGGGTTTGGCACCACGGGGTGGATAGGCAAAACGATTTGGTTGATAAGGTGCAGATCCTGAACTAACTTGTAAGGCTTGTCTGGTTTTAGGAGAGGTAAAATGGGGGAATTGTAAGGAGAGTTTATAGGCTTTAAAAGGCCATGCTGTAGCAGGCGAGTGATAACAGGATTTAATCTTTTTAAAGCATGCTGTGGGATGGGATATTGGCGTTGAGTGGGGTAAGGGTGATTAGGTTTTAATGAGATGGTAAGGGGTGCATGATCGGTCACCAAGGAGGGAGTAGAGGTATCTTATACTTGTGGGTTAAGGTGGGGGGGATACAAGAGGAGGATGCAAAGGAGGCTTTGGGTTGGGAAGAAGGGCGGCAATGAGATATAGCTGTAGTCCAGGGATAGTCAGGGAAGCAGATAATTTAGGTAAAGTGTCTCAGCCTAATAAGGGAACTGGGCAGGTGGGGAAAACTAAAAAGGAGTGCTTAAAAGAGTATTGTCTAAGTTGGCAGCAGAGTTGGGGAGTTTTAAGAGGTTTAGAAGCCTGGCCGTCAATATCCACAACAGTTATGGAGGCAAGGGAAACAGGCCCTTGAAAAGAAGGTAATGTGGAGTGGGTAGCCTCCGTATTGATTAAGAAGGGGACGGACTTACCCTCCACTGTGAGAGTTACCTAAAGCTCGGCGTCCGTGATGGTCTAGGGGGCTTCCGAGGCGATCGGGCAGTCAGTCTTTAGCCGCTAAGCCGAGAAGATCTGGGAAGGAGTCAGTCAGAGAGCCTTGGGCCAGAGTTCCAGGGGCTCTGGGAGTGGCTGCCAGGTGAGTTGAACAGTCCAATTTTCAGTGGGGTCCCACACAGATGGGACGTGGCTTAGGAGGAATCCCGGGCTGCGGGCATTCCTTGGCCCAGTGGCCAGATTTCCAGCACATGTAGCAAGCTCCTGGGGGAGGAGGTTCTGGAGGAATGCCTGGCCGCTGTGCAGTTTAGGCGTTTGGAAGTTCTTGTGTGCTGGAGATGTGGCTGGGGTTTGTCTCACAGTGGAGGCAAGGAATTGCAACTTTTTTCTATTATTGTACACCTTGAAGGCGAGGTTAATTAAATCCTGTTGTGGGGTTTGAGGGCCGGAATTTAATTTTTGGAGTTTTATTTAATGTCGGGAGCAGATTGGGTAATAAAATGTATTTTGAGAATAAGACTGCCTTTTGACCTTTTAGGTTCTAGGGCTGTAAAGTGTCTCAGGGTTGCTGCCAAACAAGTCATGAACTGGGCTGGATTTTTATATTTGATGAAAAAGAGCCTAAACGCTATCTGATTTGGGATAAAGAAAAAGGAGCATCAACCTTGACTATGCCTTTAGCTCCAGCCACCTTTTTAAGAGTAAATTGCTGGGCAGGAGGGGGAGGGCTAGTCACAGAAGGAATCTGTAAGCCAGACCAGGTGTGAGGAGGGGAGGTGATAAAAAGATTATAGGGTGGAGGAGCAGAGGCTGAGGAAGAATTGGGACCTAGCTCGGCCTGGCGAGGAGCAGCCTGGGGAGGAAGAGAGAGGTCAGATGGGTCTGTAGAAAATGAAGATTAGAAAGACTCAGCGATGCTTGGGGTTGGTACTGAGGGGACAGGCGGGAGGGAAAGAAGGAAGATTTGGGACGAGTTGCACTGGGCAAAGGGACTGATGTGTAAAATAATGCCTCGACGTCAGGCACCTCAGACCATTTGCCTATTTTACGACAAGAATTATTTAGATCTTACAGGATGGAAAAATTCAAAGTGCCATTTTCTGGCTATTTGGAACTACTGTCGAGTTTGTATTGGGGTCAAGCGGCATTGCAGAAGAAAATAAGACATTTAGGTTTTAGGTCAGGTGTGAGTTGAAGAGGTTTTAAGTTTTTGAGAACACAGGCCAAGGGAGTAGAAGGAGGAATGGAGGGTGGAAGGTTGCCCATAGTGAAGGAAGCAAGCCTAGAGAAAAGAGAGTAGAGAAATGGAGGGAAGGGGTTCAGGGGTTCTTACCTTCCAGAAAAGTGGGAAAAGGGGTTGGGGCACAGAGATAAGAGGTCAGGGCATGGAAATAAGGGATGGGGCACAGAAATAAGGGGTTGGGGCACAGAAAGAAGGGGTAGGAGCATGGAAATAAGGGGTCGGGGCATGGAAATAAGAGATTGGGGCGCAGAGATAAGAGGTCAGGGTGCGGAAATAAGGGATTGGAGTGCAGAGATACAAGAGGTTGGGGCACAGAAATAAGGGATTGGGGTGCAGAGATATGAGGTTGGGGTACTTGCCCCTCCTCTAGAAAAGCGGGACTTGCCGCTAAGAGTGAAGGAGAAGAGGTTGAGTGGTACTTGCCCCTCCCCCAGAAAAGCAGAGAAGGGGTAGAGACAAGGAGAGAAGAGGTGGGGGTACTTGCCCCTTTCCCAGAAAAGCGGGACTTGCCGCTAAGGGTGAAGGACCAAGGCAGGCGTCCCTGCATGGTCTGACACCTTTGAAACGTGGGTGAATAATCAGAGAGGTGTCCCTGCAATGATTAAACACCAAGGGAAGCTGCCTTCCCAGTTCGTGACCGGTGCCGCAGTTTTGGGTCCACGGATAAAACATGTCTCCTTTATCTCTCCCAGAAAATGAAAGGAATTGAAATTAAGAGAAGGGAGAGATTGAAGAGTGGAAAGGAGAAAGTGGTTGAGGGAAAGTGAGAGAGGCTGGAGAAGAGAGTGAGAAGAGGCCACTTACCTGATTTAAAATTGGTGAGATGTTCCTTGGGCTGGTCGGTCTGAGGACCTGAGGTCATAGGTGGATCTTTCTCATGGAGCAAAGAACAGGAGGACAGGGGATTGATCTCCCAAGGGAGGTCCCCCGATCTGAGTCACGGCACCAAATTTCATGCGCGTCCATGTGAAGAGACCACCAAACAGGCTTTGTGTGAGCAATAAAGCTTTTAATCACCTGGGTGCAGGTGGGCTGAGTCTGAAAAGAGAGTCTGAAGGGAGATAGGGGTGGGGCCGTTTTATAGGATTTGGGTAGGTAAAGGAAAATTACAGTCAAAGGGGGGTTGTTCTCTGGCGGGCAGGAGTGGGGGTTGCAAGGTGCTCAGTGGGGGTGCTTTTTGAGCCAGGATGAGCCAGGAAAAGGACTTTCACAAGGTAATGTCATCAGTTAAGGCAAGGACCGGCCACTTACACTTCTTTTGTGGTGGAATGTCATCAGTTAAGGTGGGGCAGGGCATATTCACTTCTTTTGTGATTCTTTAGTTACTTCAGGCCATCTGGACATATACGTGCAAGTCACAGGGGATGCGATGGCTTGGCTTGGGCTCAGAGGCCTGACAGCCAGGTCATGTGTTTTTCATAGAATAAAAGGAAGAGAAGCAGTCAAACTGGCTCCAATTTCAGCAGGATGTGGGAAAACTACAATCCAGGGTCACTTAGGCGTCTCAGTTGCACCCCAGGGCAACAGCCTCCCCACAACGGCCATCACACAACCCAAGTTCCTGTTGGATGGGCCAGGCTGCACCAGTCATTTAATTTAACGGAGGCTGGGATGGAATAAAAAATGATGGAGTTCCTGAGATAAAATTATTGTGAGTGATGTCCCATGGGGAGGCTGGGGAGACTCAGAACAACCATCACCACCAAGCTGCAATCCTGCAACACCCTGGATTCTCTAGGCGCATATACTAGGAGGAAGAATCTCCAGAGGAAACGACCCCAAAGGCGCTGGTGGATGAAGGGAAGAAGAGGGAGACAGGAGCCTGCAAGGAGCTGAGTAGTGGTGGTTTCAGGAGTAGGAAGACAAAACAATAGATCACCAGATTCCAAAGCAGAGAGAACAGGGAACTGTAGAATAAAACCCTGTTTCTACTTACCCCCCATCCACAGCAGAGGTTCCTGGAGGAAATTATTTAGAAATAGAGTCCTAGGGACAACTGGATTTCCTCTCATCAAAAGAGTAAAAGATTCTGACGTCCATTTAGACTTGAAATGTTCTGATAAATGTAAATCTTGGGATATATCTATCACCTCTCTTTTCTAAATTGTCTTTAATAAGCATGAACCACTTTTAATTTTTTAAATCAATACAAAATAAAAGGAAATGACTGTGGTTGCTGCACTCATTTTTTTTCTCTATGTTTCTAAAAGATTTACTCACAGTCATATTACAAACTTCATGTGGTGTAGTTGGCAACTATCTCATTTCATTGACTGAAAAATGGAGTACTGCAGAGATTAATAAACCTTTTAAAGGTCAAAATTCTAAACCTGTGTGTTATTTTTCCCTAAGTACAAATTCCTGATCCTAACATGTTCGAGCAGTTGTCAAGTCCTAATTCTGCTTTGTCCCAGATTCTAGTTGCGAAGGGCTGAACCAGGTGATTTGAGACTAATTATTCAAATATTAAAAATCGCATCTGCCTTTACTTCTGTTAAGATGCAGTTGACTGCAATTATTTTCCTTTCTTCTGCCTTAAGGCTTCTCTGCACCCCATGTTCACCTGGCTCTTTCTTTAGAAGATACATCAGATGGGATCTCTCTTTTCCTAGATTCCTTGAGTGGGAGCATTCTTTTTTGTCAATAAATACTTCAGGGATAACATGAGAAATAAAATTCTATAACAAAATCACAGATTCTAGTGCTATTGGGGGTTCATTTACATAAGTAACATCTATCTATGTTGCTTAAATTTCATATTTCACTTGCAATTAATATTAGTAAATATTGCTAAAATACCAATGTTTTGTTTTTAGTTGCCATCTACTTTCCTTCCAAGTATGATGTAGGCACAGGAAAAGCAGAAAAAGAAAGAAAACAAATTGCAAACATTAAATACTAAACTGTCAGTTACTACACAGTTTTATGATAATTCCAGGGAACAAAATATATATTTATGTGTTTCTTTTTCCCATACCCTTTCTTTTATTAAATTATGCCCACCAAGTGCCAGTAATTACTCTTTTCGTCAGAATCAGGGAAACAAAATTATGCTATTAAGAGCCAAGAGGCAAGAAATGTTTTTGGAAAACATTAAATGAATGTGGTTGCCTATTGAGTTATGGTTTTACCAGATAAATGACTCTTTTGACCAATTCTCAAGTGTAAGCCTGAAACAAATAAGCATTATTGCTCAAGCTTCTGGCTTGGGAAAAACATATGCACAATTTCATCTACTATAAACCCGTATTGAGTGCGTGTGCAAACAATCTTCACTTAATCTGAGGGAGAGGCCAATGAAGGAAGGACCAATAGCTAGCATGAAAGAGCAGGTTGATAATAGCTTAACAGGGAAGGAAAAGAACAAATTCAGTAAAGTCAGTTCTGTTACTTCATAGTAAGACTGGCCAGAGGCAGGGATAGCAGAGTCTGCCAAACACAGAAGAATCAAAGTTTAATAAGCGTTGAAAGTCAAAGCAAGGTTTGGCAGTCATTTAATTTAATTATCTTCCATTTCTGCAGAGAGGAATCTCATCTCTGGAGAAGTAATGTGGCTTGCTCAAAATTAGACAACTGGTAAGTGAAAGGGTTTCTGCTTCTACTGAAAGTTCTTTTCGCTCTTCTCCCAACTGACTCTCTTTGAGGAGGATGCGAATGCTAATGAAATTCACCTGGAGCCTAGTTTGTTTGGCTTTGATATGGGAATTAATACAGACATTTGGGAACAATAGACTTTGTTGACAAGGACTGAAACTTTGGTTTGAGCAGAAATAAGTTTGGAGATATCAAATACTCTATAACCAGATCAAGCTAATGTGGGTGGGGAGGGTGGGGAAGACAGGAGTTAGATACTCATACAGAAACAAAGCACAGGGTTGAATATCAGGAAGTTATGGTTGTTTGTCAGGAAAGTCTAAAAGAAGATCTAAGGACGATAGCTTTGCATGTCAGGCACATCTCTGTAAGAGCTGAAAGTTAGGGGGGAAAGGGCGGGTTTCATTGACAGGGTTCATTGATCCCTGTCACAAGGGCAGGTGGGGACTTCCCAAGCATTCTTACCTGAGAAGTTCTCCACTTCCCCTAGGTCTTAAAAGTACTCTGTGTTCTGAACAGGGCTTTCCACTGCAGTCTAAAATTTTTTATTCACTACCAGAAGGCAACATTCAACACATTCAAACTATCAAGAAAAAATATAAATTTAATTTACAAAACTTTCTAGGCATGTGAAGTCTTCTCCTTTTTCTTATCCTCAATCAGCCTATTTCTGTATATAACTTTCATTATGTTCTAAGTTTATTAAACCAATGTCCTTTTAAAACAATTTTATGCCAATTAATAATAAGTTTTTATCACGTAGTTGATGCCTTTTAATCAGTTGGGTCAGCAGAAACACTGACTTCAACATTTCTCATTAAAATAGTAACCATTCTAAATCAGCAATAGTTTCAGAAATGTCAGACGGGCAGAAAGTAGGATAAAGATCCCTAATGGCAACATAATCCCCAGTGTCTTCACCACACCTTAACCCTTGAGATCAAAGTTAAATTATATCAGTTAAAGCTTACTAATTCAGTGAGAAGCATGGGGCTTCACTTTTTCACAGAAATGATACCTGGTTCAAATCATCTAATGTGACTTTTTTTTTTTTTTTTTCTGAGACCGAATTTCACTCTTCTTACCCAGGCTGGAGTTCAATGGCATGTTCTCGGCTCACCACAACCTCCGCCTCCCGGGTTCAAGCGATTGTCCCACCTCAGCCTCCCGAGTAGCTGGGATTACAGGCATGTGCCACCACGCCTGTCTAATTTTGTATTTTTAGTAGAAACGGGGTTTCTCCATGTCGGTCAGGGTGGTTTCCAACTCCCGACCGACCTCAGGTGATCCGCCCGCCTTGGCCTCCCAAAGTGTTGGGATTACAGGCGGGAGCCACCACGCCCAGCCTTAAAGTGGCTTTTTAATTTTAACCTCATGTGTTTTTCAAGCTTCCAGAACAGAGAATTCTGCTTGAATAGTAAGCTTAAATATTTGGTGGCAATGCCTGTGATTCATTGTGTTCTTGAACTCTAACTCATTACCAATGGTGTTTTATCCAAGTTACAGGAAAAGACTAGGCAATTAATTTTGATGCCATTGAAAAAGCCTTTTACATACTCTTGCATGCTGGATACTGCCGGTTTAGTGCAAATCCATTATCCCTTAACCACAAATGCAAAAAACAGAAAGTCTAAAAATTAAAAATGTTTTATTTTTTACAATTAGCACCATATTTATTTAGTGGGAAAATCTAACGAACTGATATGAGACTATTTGCAATCGATTTATCTCCCTTAGTGTAAATATTGATTATTTTTATTATAGAAATCTTAATGTATTTTATAAAGGGGAGTTGCCCTAGACACTACTGAAGGCTGTTACATAATATAAAATGTTTGTGTGTGTGCATGTGTGTGTGTGTATGTGCACGCACATGAGCACAGACTGTATTACCTTGGAAAATATGAAAAGAAAATGAATTTCAAAACATAGCCAGCCGAATCAGTTTTAAATAAGGATGAACCCCAAAAAAGTAAAATGTGGATATTTTCTAAGACTGCAGAAAGTGATTTTCAAAAATTGCCTCTGCTTAAGTAAGCAGTTCTTATTGTCGTTGCTCATTCATTCACACTCTTTCCCCCTGGAAGATTTTGTTTGGGTTTTTATTTTATGCTATTTTTATTTTTACTTCAGTCTTCAGTTTGCATACTTATAAAAAAATCAGCAGAAGGAGAGCACTAGAATCTATAACACAACAAATCCACAGTGGACAGTGGCCACACAGCCTTTCTGATGCTATTAGGACAATGCCTCATAGTGGTTTACTTGGCTACTCCTTGTGATTAGGGGCATATTTATTCAAAGAACATTTAATATTTGGCTTTGTTGTTGAAAATTTCAGCAAAGGATCTGTAAAAAGAAATGCTATTTATTTGAGCTATGCCCAATGCATACCCCAGCACCTTGTTTCTCATTTATTCTGCTGCAGTCACACAGTGTGCATGAATCTTACCCACTCGTAATAACCACTTTGAAAAGAAAAAAGAAAAAATAATCTCTTATCTTCCTAGGTGTGTTCTAAAATAAAGTGTTTTCTGCTCTCAATGTATTACTTTACCTTCCACATTTTGGTTGCAACTAGAACTATAGTTAAAATCAATATATTAGTCTTTAGCTGATGATTACAAGGATAGTGGTTGAAAATGGATACTAAGTTATATATGTTAGGTTCTGCACAAAGAATATTAATTAGATATGATCCTTTATCAACTGTGATATTGAATTCCAAAATGGAGAGAAACAGAGAGAGACTAAACACAACTGTAATATCAAAAGTCAGTGTTGTGGCAAGAAAAAGATTTCAAAATATTATGTACATGATTGTTCATGAAGTTCATCTTGGGCATATAACTTTCTGTTAGAATGAGAAAGAGAGTGAGAGGGAAAGTTCTAGAGGCTGGGAATATTCAACTCAGATTTTGTTCAATAAGAGAGCCTTAGAACATAAAATCCAAATGAACTGGTTTTATTGTCGTCATTGAAAATTGAAAAGAAAGAAGAATTTGGACTCTATATCTACAGGCTATGGACTGGAAACCAACTGACGTTAATTTACAAATTGACAGACAGCAAAACAAGTGAGAAGTATGCAACCTACATATATTAATCTGGATGCATTTAAAATGCATTTCATTTCAACAAGATCTCTTTAGAAGTCCACTAGCAGTGTATATTTTGCGTATATATACATGAGCTTTCAATAAGTGGCTGGTTCTTATGAATTCAGTGGAAACCTCAGTGGGGAGGAAAGCAGAAACCATGAAGCCGCAGGGATGTTTCAACTCCCACAAATTAGTGCTACTTCAGAAAAACAACTACCAACCTTTAAACAGCTTAAGCAAAATGTCAAGTAAATCAAGTACCTACCATATGCTAAGCCTGTGTTATGAAAATGTTAACAAATAGCTAGGTATTATTACAGTGAATAAAAGAAAACACATTGCAATTGATGGCAGCTGGGAAAATTACTACCCAATCATATAAACCAGAACTAAAAAATAATTCGGCAATATGGGAGAGAATTTTATGCATCTCCCCCACCCCCTTTCTTCTGAGACAGGTTGGAGGCAGTAGCATGATCATACCTCACTGCAGCCTCAAACTTCTGGGCTTCAGTGATCCTCCTGCCTCAGCCTCCCTAGTAGCTAGGACTACAGTTGTGTGCTACCATGCCAAGCTAAATAAATATGTGTGTGTGTATATATATGTGTGTGTGTTTATATATATGTGTATGTGTGTATATATATGTATGTGTGTGTGTATATATATGTATATATATCTTGTAGAGACAGGATCTGGCTATGTTGCCCAGGGTAGGCATCTTTCTTTTATAATTACAAAAATTTTAGTAGTATCTCTATTAATCTTTTAGGTACAATTGTGTTCTTTGAGCCTAATGTGAGGAATTGCATAAATTACATAAAACGTGAACTAGCCAGGGAGACTAGTATACAAATTATCTGCCTAGATTTGAAAGTGACATGCATCCTGGATGCTCACATATCTACTCATTCTTCATGTAATTTTCTTTTGAGATGTATATGTAAATAAAATTACATATATATTTTGTATACATGTAATTTATGTATATGTAATTTTATGCAAAATTACATATGTACAAAATATATATGTAATTTTATTTACATATATACTACTGCTTAAAAGTTCTTATGTATATTTTCTGGAATTTCTATGTAAATTATCTAATATATATATATGTAGTGAGACAGGATCTTGCTCTGTCACCCAGGCTGGAGTGCAGTGGCATGATCACAGCTTACTGCAGCCTCGACATCCCAGGCTCAAGCAATTCTCCTGCCTCAGCCTCCCTGGTAGCTGGGACTACAGGCACATCCCACCACACCTGGCTAAAATACACGAAAATTAGCCAGTGGTGGTGGTGCTGCCTCTAGTTGTTGCCCAGACTGGTCTCAAACTCCTGAGCCGAAGTGATCCTCCTGCCTTGGCGGAATGGTGGGATTACAGGTATGAGCTACGGTGCCCGGCATCTTGACATATTTAAGCTGACATAAATAAGCTTGACATATTTAACCTTTATTATTTTTATTTTTTTTGCGATGGGTTCTCACTCTGTTGTCCAGGCTGGAGTGCAGTGGCATGATCTCGGCTCACTACAACCTTCATCTCCCAAGCTCAAACGATTCTCCCACCTCAGCCTCCCAAGTAGCTAGGATTACAGGCATGAGCCACCTCACCCAGCTAATATTTTTGTGTTTTTAGTAGAAACAGAGTTTCACCATGTTGGCCAGGCTGGTCCCAAACTCCTGGCCTCAAGTGATCCACCTGCCTCAGCCTCCCAATTCCTCTTTTTCTTAAAGAGATATTTAAAAGCCTATAGAACTCAGACTATTCTGACATGGTATACTTTACTTATCCTTAGCTAAATTTTATAATTAAAATAGGAAACGTACATGCAAGGTAGCAAAACAAGTAGACAGTGAAAATAATTATTTCTGTCATCCTACAACAGTCCACAGGGAACTACTGCTTAAAAGTTCTTTTGTATATTCTCTTGAATTTTCTATGAATATTATTGTGCCCTGTGTTACCTTCTTCAACAACTTTCTTTTTCTCCTCTTAACAATATATCTTAGAGAAAGTCTGTGTCAACCTGTCAGTACATACAGAGGTATCTCATTTTTAAAAAGGCTGCAAAGTGATCCATTATATGAATGCACTATAATTATTTTAATCAGTTTTCTATTAATGAGCCTTTTAAAATATTTCTAGAATGTTACTACTAATAACAATGGACATGCATCTTTGCTTACACAGTAGACATATCCATAGGAGAGAGTCCTTGATATGGGATTGTCAGGTCAAATAGTATATATGTTGAAAAACTGGAAAGATATTTCTAAATTATGCTCCCAAGCAAATATCCCAATGTATATTCCTGTTAAAATTGCTTGAAAATGTTCATTTCTCCACATCTTCAACAATAATTTTTCTGGTGAATATGAAAGTTAAAATGGTATTTCACAGTTGTTTTAATTTTAATATAAAATTATGGATGCTTCTAAGCATTTGTTCAGATGTAATTTTTTTTTTTTTGGTCAAACTATTTATTCCTGTTCTTTCCCTTTTCTCCTATGGATTTATTTACTCTTTCCTCAATCATTTATAATATATCTTCAAATTATAAAGAGTATAATTCTAAACACAATGGTATGCACTGCAAATATGTTTTTTTTTCCTTTTTTAAAATTTTCACATTAAGGTATTTGGCCTTAAAAATTGTAGGTATAAAGGTTTGTCAATTTTATCCTTGGATCAGTGTTTCATTGCTTTTTATCAAAAGCTAGAGTAATATTTTTAAGGAAACAAATGACTTTATTATTTTATGTAATTATAGGACATAGTTTTAGTTGCTTTTCTTTAAGAAGAAATACATTTTAGAGAAAAATACAAATAGCTTGGAAACATATGAACAGATGCTGAATTTCACACATAATATTAAATTTAAAAAAATTTTGTTACAAATAGATCATGATTTTCATAAATAATAGGTAAGGAAACCTTAGTTCTTATTTTTGAGAGTATAAAATTCTGCGTTGAAAAATTTGTTTCTATCGATTTCCTTCTAGATTGAAAAGTAGCAGTTGCCTCAAGAATCTCTGAGGTCTGGTACATGGTAGAGGTTAAGTAACAAAGAAGGTCTCTCATCTAAGAAGTCCTACAGTTTCCAGTTTGCTCAGCTATGGGAACCTAGTGGATTCAATAGGGCCTCGAATATACCGTGTCACAGGGCAGCCTCTCTCATAGCCCATTTTAAGGTTTAGCTTTCCCTCTGCAACTTAACAAGCTGTCTTCCTGCTTCCTGCTCACTTCTGACAACTTGATTGAATTGGACGCCCTAGGATGCTCATGGTGTCACCTATGACAGAGACTCTGTAGGCAAAACCCCAGCCTGTGCTGGAATTTAACATTTAAAAAATAACCTATGTAGCACACAAGATTGTAAAACTGTAACATAGGAAGATTCTAACACCAAAAGTGTGACTTGAGCCAATGAAATGCCAAAATCCAGTTCTAGCTGACAACGTCAGTAGTGGAGGACAGACTTCCACTTGTCATTTGAGGAAAAAGCATGTGGATTCATGAGTGAAACAGCAGATACCCCACTGCCAATTACCAAATCCCGTGCACATTCCTGTTCTCCAGTCACCTTTTCTCCATAAATGTTTATTGTATAAAATTAAAGCCTCCCCAAATATTAACAAGTAAACCTTTATCCTCTGATTTCTTTCTCTAAACTCGTACTGCCTTCATATTCAGTATCACTGACTTCCACCAACTTACATTGCATTCTCAGCTTATGTTGTAGGTGCTATCTCATCTAAAACTGATTCTGTTCTCGAGTCTCCAGAATGAGCACAACCCTGCCATCTCTGGACTTCAGCCCAGTGAAAGTGCTTTCAGACTTCTGACCTCAAGAACTGAAAGAGAATAAATGTATTTTGTTTCACGCCATTAAGTTTGTGGTAATTTGTTGTGGCGGCCGTAGGAGACTTACGCATACCTATTAGGAACTGTTACTCCAGTGAAAACATATGACTTGCAGACACAGTGAAGAACCTGACACAGCTATTAACACTGGTCTGGGGAACCGAAGCTTTGGTTTTAAAGGATTTCTGAAACCAATACAATGACTGCCACTTTTCCCCATATTCATCGAGGGAATAAATTAGACACCTGGCAGCAAGAGGTCTTTCCTTCCCCAGAGACCATCTCTTCTCCTATTACTTAAAAGAAAAATGTTACTGCTCATCACTGAAGTCACATTATTCTTTTCCTTTCTACCTTGTTTTCCATTGTGCTTCATCCAACCTGTCTTTCTGAACTTTAAGGAGAACAGAGTCCTGTCTCAGGGGACTTAGATGCCAATGCCATCCCAAGTTAATATTCCAGCCACGTCTTATGCTCCCTCCCAGGTCTCATCACTGAAAACTTCTGAACTTAAATTCTCCCCAGGTTCCAGCATCACTCACGTTCTCATTTTCCTCTTCTGCCTTTACTTCAGATTCTTGTTAATTTAGTCGTTTCCCTACACATGGCTTATAATGAGGTGATACAGCCAAGTGACAAAAGTTCAGATGGTCTGGTTGTAATTTCTGGTCTTTCGCCATCTATTGTGTGACGTTGAATGAGGTATTTAACCTCTCTGGGCCTCAGTTTACTGAAAAAAAAAGTGGAATTACGAATGATACCTACCAATTTTATTTTTATTACAAAGATTCAATGAGCTTGTATTTGCTAATCACTTAGAATAGTCATTGTTGTAGAGTAAGCACTACAAATGTTTTTGTTAATAATAAATGAAAATTCCAAGTTCATCAGTTAGTCAGCTTTCTGTCATAAGTTTTGAGGTCCATCAAGGTTAGGCTCACAAATATTTCAGCATTTTTAAGGCTCACATTTCCCTGCATATGTGAGATATGTATTTGATGAGATCAATAAAACTTCAAGGAAAACAGAAAAATACTTTCATAGCGATTGTCAATGTGGCTAACTCAGTATTTTCACCAGTCAGTGCTTCTAAATTTCTATACAACAGCCTAGGCTAGTCCAATGGCAAATTAGAAATTGACCTAGTTTGTGTTTTTTTTAGTGTTTTGAGAGAGTCTCAGTCTGTCATCCATGCTGGAGTGCCATTGTGTAATCACGGCTCACTGCAGCAGCCTCCACCTCCCTCTTTGGGTAATCCCCCTGCCTCATCATCCTCAGTAGCTGAGACTACAGGTGTGCAACACCACTCTCAGATAGTTTTTTATTTTTTTATAGAGATGTTTTTGCCATGTGGCCCAGGCTGGTCTCGAACTCCTGAGCTCAGCAATCCTCCTTCCTTGGCTTCTCAAAGTGCTGGGATTACAGCCGAGATCCACTGCATCCAGTCCAAGTTTGTGTTGTGAATCCTTAACTTCAATGTACTCCCCACAAACTCTAATCTCTCTGCCCATAAACTTTCATTTGCCTTCCATCTTATGAAACCTACTTCCAAGAAACGCTCTGATACCAGTCATTTAAAACATAGTATGGATTTAAAGAAAAGGTGCTATTTACCTAAGATAAACCCTTTTTTAGCAGACATGCTGTTTAGTTTTGTTTTTCTGGTCCCTCCCATGTCCCCAACCCTGGAATCTAGATCACGGCTCTAACACTTAGCAGCTGTTTAATGCCAGGATCCTCAGTTTCCCTATCCAGAAGGCACTCCTGAAGATGACACTCCTGTCCTGGGACTTCTGGCAGAGTCATTCCCAGCTCTATCTCAGGAAAAGAATGAGCTGTTGTTCAGGAGGACCTCACTGCATCACATCGCCCTGGGGTCACACCAGTGACTGCTTCAGGGAGGGCCTGGGAATGCTCCTTACAGCCAGGGGCAGTTTCTAGATCTCTAAAATGAAAATATTTAGAGCCAGAAAGACATGCATCCACATCTCTGAAATTCTCACATTTCCCACAAGCCACTTTCTAGTTCCTGAGAAGTAGACACAGAAGAGATACTCTGCTTATTAATAACTAGTGGTTTAGCCCCACTTCCTATATATAATTATTTATCTGACAAAATGAATGGGCCTTTGGCAAGCTTTCACCTAAGGCCTGAAGCAGTGTTTGGAGGAATATGAAATGTGGACTGTCTGCATCATACTTACTGGGAGTGCTGGCTGAAGTGCAGATTCTTGGCTCTACCACAGATCTAAGAAGTTAGGATGACGAGGCCAGAATTAGACATTTTTTTTTGTAATGAGTAATTAGTGAGCAGTTCTGGCCTCACCTAAAAACAATTTCAATAGCCGCTTTGGCCCTCTTTTTTCTGAGACCATGTCCTTACTTTGGCTCTAGAGCTTCCAATGGAGTTGGGAAGGCACAAGGTTTCAGGAAAAGTAAAGGATGTAGTCACATAAGCAATATTGAATTTAAAAATACAAAATACATTTTTATGGGCAAAGAATGCAAGGAGAAAAAAGAAGAAGATAATTCAAATGCTATGAAAAGCAGTAACATCTGTATGAGAAAATAATAGTTGAAGTAAAAAGCAAACTAAAATATAGTACAATTTTAAATAATTGATAGAAAAGACACAAGTTGGGGCCTTCCACCTGCAGAGAAGGCAATATAATCCTATCCCACTATTTTCTCCAGGACTGAGCAATACTTAAATAGTCAATACAATTTATTAGTTTTCAACCCTGTATTACTCCATTTTCACACTGCCGATAAAGACATACCCAAGATTGGGTCATTTATAAAGAAAAGTGGTTTAATTGACTCACAATTCCACATGGCTGGGGAGGTCTCACAATCATGGTGGAAGGCGAGCAGGAGCAAGTCACATCTTATATGGTGGCAGGGAAGACAGAACTTGTGCAGGGGAACTCCTCTTTATAAAGCCATCAGACTCCATGAGACTTATTCACTATCATGAGACAGGACAGGAAAGACCCGCCCCCATGATTCTATTACCTCCCACGGGGTCTCACCCACAGCAGGTGGGAATTGTGGGAACTACAGTTCAAGAAGACATTTGGGTGGAGACACAGCCAAACTATATCAAACCCTTACATTCAACTTATGGATAAAACATGGGATACTTTGCTGCCAGTGCATGACAAAATGTAAATGTTTACAGGGCAGACAAACAAAAGTAAACATTATAGACAGAGTTGAGTTGTGCAAGGAGAAAGGAAAGACAGAGGAGCCATGGGAAAACAGTTTTGTGCATAAAGTTATAAGATTAGAGTGAATGTTGATAAAACAAGAAATTGATAATAATAGAAAATATTTAAGAGCATCTACATGTTGGATGCTAAAGTCTGCAAATGCATTGCTCCACTTAAGCATTACAAGCAATCACATGTAGGGGATATTAGCCTTTTCCCTGATACACAGGTGAGGAAACAGAGCCATAGAAAGGCTCCATCAGTTACTTGGGGTTGCAAAGCTGGTAAGCTGAAGAACAAGGATTTCAAACCAAGAGGTCTACTTCAAGAACCAATGCTTTGGCCAGGCGCGGTGGCTCATGCCTATAATCCCAGCACTTTGGGAGGCCGAGGCGGGCGGATCATGAGGTCAGGAGATCGAGAACATCCTGGCTAACACGGTGAAACCCCGTCTCTACTAAAAATACAAAAAATTAGCCGGGCGTGGTGGCAGGCGCCTGTAGTCCCAGCTACTCAGGAGGCTGAGGCAGGAGAATGGCATGAATCCAGGAGGAGAGCTTGCAGTGCGCCGAGATAGCACCACTGCACTCCAGCCTGGGCAACATAGCGAGACTCTGTCTCAAAAAAAAAAAAAAAAAAAAAAAGAACCAATGCTTTCAAACACTTTCCCTCATCAATAAAACTAGTAAAATTACATGAAGTTATAAACAAAAGCAGCAAAATCAATGAAATGAACATGACATATTGGAAAGGAAGAGATGAGGAATATGAGTGGGAGGGGGAGTAATATCATCCTCCCTTATGTTAGGGTGGTAGAAATCTTTTCTAAAATGGGTATGTCACGATAGAGCAGAATAAGCATAAAGTTTAGAACTATGGGAGTAAAAGCAAAGTGGTTGAAGACTGTCTTTGGAACTAAAGTAGGAAAGGTTGAATTTTAGCATTATTCAAATGATATCATCTTCATATATTATTTTAATAAACATAGAAAAATATTTCTATTTGTTTAGAAATAGTTTTAGCTGTGTAAGTGAATCAAAACATAAATATCAAAATCATCTTCATATCTCTCACATATTCTTTAAAAATGTGCCTCATCAGAATTATAACTGAAGGCCTTTTAAAAATGTCAAGAAATATGATTTTTTAAAATTTGTCACTGGTAATATTCCAGGCATGGTAGAGACAGGGTGCAGGACTATTAGAGGAAAGCAGATTTTGACCCTGCTTCTGAGAGGCAGTTTTGACTACAGAAGGCAGGTGATTTTCTGCAGCCAGTGAGCAGGAACTGTGACCCTCTGGAACCATACTAAACAACTGAGAGTAAAGGAATCAGGCAGCAGGGCGCCAGGAGGAGCCCACTAGTCTCTTTGTGATGGTTTTGTTATTACAGCGCTAATCTCATAAACATGGCACTAGGCAAAGCTGTGCATTTTTTCAGTTATCATATTTTTATATGTGTTCATTTCATAAAAGCAAGCATTTTTATGCTTCCTTTAAAATAGGGTTCTTCTATTTGCATTGCCTGGTAAAGGCAATCAGAGGACAACTGCCTAAGGAACTTACTCATGGAGTGTGTGTGTGTGTGTGTGTGTGTGTGTGTGTGTGTGTGTGTGTGTATATATGCTCTCTCTATATATATCTATATATGTATATATATACTCTATATAGCTATATATATAGCTGTATATCTATATATATCTATATATCTGTATATAAATATATATATAGATAGAGAGCATACATATATATACACATATATAGATATATAGCTATATAGAGAGCATACATATATATATACACATACTCCATGAGTGTATATATCTACAGATATATATAGATATATATAGAGAGAGCATACATATATACATATATACATATACATGTAGGTATGTATATATGTATATATACATATACATGTAGGTATGTATATACATATATAGATATATATACATATATACATATAAATATATAGATATATACGTATACATATATAGATATATACGTATACGTATAGATGTAGATATATACGTATACGTATAGATGTGTATGTATACGTATATATCTATATACATATATACGTATATATCTATATACGTATATATACATATATATACATACCTACATGTAAATGTATATATGTATATATATATATCTATAACTATACATAGAGAGCAAATATATACTCCGTGATTGAGTTCCTTAGGCATATATAGATAGAGAGCATACATATATATATATACTCTATCATCTGTCTGGCTATCTATCTTTTCATAGATTGATCGATCTGTCAATCTATCTATCTATCTATCTGCCTACCTACCTATCTATCTATCTATCTATCTGCCTACCTACCTATCTATATTAGTCAGCTTGGGCTGCTATAACAAAATGACATAGACTCGTGGCTTCAACAAAATTTATTGTCTACCGTTCTGGAGGCTGGGAAGTCAAGATGAAAGCAGATTCCGTTTCTTGTGATAACCCTTTTCATGGCCTAAAGACGGCCACCTTCTTGCAGTGTCCTCACATGGCAGTGAGAAGAAGCACTAATGTTTCTTGCTCTTCTTTTTTTTTTTAAATTTTTTTATTATTATTACACTTTAAGTTTTAGGGTACATGTACACAATGTGCAGGTTTGTTACATATGTATACATGTGCCATGTTGGTGTGCTGTACCCATTAACTCGTCATTTAACATTAGGTATATGTCCTAATGCTATCCCTCCCCCCTCCCCCCACCGCAAAACAGGCCCCGGATTGTGATGTTCCCCTTCCTGTGTCCATGTGTTCTCATTGTTCAATTCCCACCCAACAGTGAGAAAATGCGGTGTTTGGTTTTTTGTCCTTGTGATAGTTTGCTGAGAATGATGGTTTCCAGTTTCATCCATGTCCCTACAAAGGACATGAACTCATCCTTTTTTATGGCTGCATAGTATTCCATGGTGTATATGTGCCACATTTTCTTAATCCAGTCTATCGTTGTTGGACATTTGGGTTGGTTCCAAGTCTTTGCTATTGTGAATAGTGCCGCAATAAACATAGGTGTGCATGTGTCTTTATAGCAGCATGATTTATAATCCTTTGGGTATATACTCAGTAATGGGATGGCTGGGTCATATGGTATTTCTAGTTCTAGATCCCTGAGGAATCGCCACACTGACTTCCACAATGGTTGAACTAGTTTACAGTCCCACCAACAGTGTAAAAGTGTTCCTATTTCTCCACATCCCCTCCAGCACCTGTTGTTTCCTGACTTTTTAATGATTGCCATTCTAACTGGTGTGAGATGGTATCTCATTGTGGTTTTGATTTGCATTTCTCTGATGGCCAGTGATGATGAGCATTTTTTCATGTGTTTTTTGGCTGCATAAATGTCTTCTTTTGAGAAGTGTCTGTTCATATCCTTCACCCACTTGTTGATGGGGTTGTTTGTTTTTTTCTTGTAAATTTGTTTCAGTTCATTGTAGATTCTGGATATTAGCCCTTTGTCAGATGAGTAGGTTGTGAAAATTTTCTCCCATTTTGTAGGTTGCCTGCTTACCCTGATGGTAGTTTCTTTTGCTGTGCAGAAGCTCTTTAGTTTAATGAGATCCCATTTGTCAATTTTGGCTTCTGTTGCCATTGCTTTTGGTGTTTTAGACATGAAGTCCTTGCCCATGCCTATGTCCTGAATGGTATTGCCTGGGTTTTCTTCTAGGGTTATTATGGCTTTAGGTCTAATATGTAAGTCTTTAATCCATCTCGAATTAATTTTTGTATAAGGTGTAAGGAAGGGATCCAGTTTCAGCTTTCTACATATGGCTAGCCAGTTTTCCCAGCACCATTTATTAAATAGGGAATCCTTTCCCCATTGCTTGTTTTTCTCAGGTTTGTCAAAGATTAGATGGTTGTAGATATGTGGCATTATTTCTGAGGGCTCTGTTCTGTTCCATTGATCTATATCTCTGTTTTGGTACCAGTACCATGCTGTTTTGGTTACTGTAGCCTTGTAGCATAGTTTGAAGTCAGGTAGTATGATGCCTCCGGCTTTATTCTTTTGTCTTAGGATTGACTTGGCGATGCAGGCTCATTTTTGGTTCCATAGGAACTTTAAAGTAGTTTCTTCCAATTCTGTGAAGAAAGTCATTGGTAGTTTGATGGGGATGGCATTGAATCTACAAATTACCTTGGGCACTATGGCCATTTTCACGATATTGATTCTTCCTACCCATGAGCATGGAATGTCCTTCCATTTGTTTGTATCCTCTTTTATTTCATTGAGCAGTGGTTTCTAGTTCTCCTTGAAGAGGTCCTTCACATCCCTTGTAAGTTGGATTCCCAGGTATTTTATTCTCTTTGAAGCAATTGTGAATGGGAGTTCACTCGTGATTTGGCTCTCTGTTTGTCTGTTATTGGTGTATAAGGATGCTTGTGATTTTTGCACATTGATTTTGTATCCTGAGACTTTGCTGAAGTTGCTTATCAGCTGAAGGAGATTTTGGGCTGAGACAATGGGGTTTTCTAGATATACAATCATGTCATCGCAAACAGGGACAATTTGACTTCCTCTTTTCCTAACTGAATACCCTTTATTTCCTTCTCCTGCCTAATTGCCCTGGCCAGAACTTCCAACACTATGTTGAATAGGAGCGGAGAGAGAGGGCATCCCTGTCTTGTGCCAGTTTTCAAAGGGAATGCTTCTAGTTTTTGCCCATTCAGTATGATATTGGCTGTGGGTTTGTCATAGATAGCTCTTATTATTTTGAGATATGTCCCATTAATACCTAATTTATTGAGAGTTTTTAGCATGAAGCGTTGTTGAATTTTGTCAAAGGCCTTTTCTGCATCTATTGAGATAATCATGTGGTTTTTGTCTTTGGTTCTGTTTATATGCTGGATTACATTTATTGATTTGTGAATGTTGAACCAGCCTTGCATCCCAGGAATGAAGTCCACTTGATCATGGTGGATAAGCTTTTTGATGTGCTGCTGGATTTGGTTTGTCAGTATTTTATTGAGGATTTTTGCATCAATGTTCATCAAGGATATTGGTCTAAAATTCTCTTTTTTTGTTGTGTCTCTGCCAGGCTTTGGTATCAGGATGATGCTGGCCTCATAAAATGAGTTAGGGAGGATTCCCTCTTTTTCTATTGATTGGAATAGTTTCAGAAGGAATGGTACCAGTTCCTCCTTGTACCTCTGGTAGAATCCGGCTGTGAATCCATCTGGTCCTGGACTTTTTTTGGTTGGTAAGCTATTAATTATTGCCACAATTTCAGAGCCTGTTATTGGTCTCTTCAGAGATTCAACTTCTTCCTGGTTTAGTCTTGGGAGGGTGTATGAGTCCAGGAATTTACCCATTTCTTCTAGATTTTCTAGTTTATTTGCATAGAGGTGTTTGTAGTATTCTCTGATGGTAGTTTGTATTTCTGTGGGATTGGTGGTGATATCATTTTTTATTGCATCTATTTGATTCTTCTCTCTTTTCTTCTTTATTAGTCTTGCTAGCGGTCTATCAATTTTGTTGATCTTTTCAAAAAACCAGCTCCTGGATTCATTAATTTTTTGAAGGATTTTTTGTGTCTCTATTTCCTTCAGTTCTGCTCTGATTTTAGTTATTTCTTGCCTTCTGCTAGCTTTTGAATGTATTTGCTCTTGCTTTTCTAGTTCTTTTAATTGTGATGTTAGGGTGTCAATTTTGGATCTTTCCTGCTTTCTCTTGTGGGAATTTAGTGCTATAAATTTCCCTCTACACACTGCTTTGAATGTGTCCCAGAGATTCTGGTACGTTGTGTCTTTGTTCTTGTTGGTTTCAAAGAACATCTTTATTTCTGCCTTCATTTCGTTATGTACCCAGTAGTCATTCAGGAGCAGGTTGTTCAGTTTCCATGTAGTTGAGCAGTTGTGAGTGAGTTTCTGAATCCTGAGTTCTAGTTTGATTGCACTGTGGTCTGAGAGATAGTTTGTTATATTTTCTGTTCTTTTACATTTGCTGAGGAGAGCTTTACTTCCCAGTATGTGGTCAATTTTGGAATAGGTGTGGTGTGGTGCTGAAAAAAATGTATATTCTGTCGATTTGGGGTGGAGAGTTCTGTAGATGTCTATCAGGTCCGCTTGGTGCAGAGCTGAGTTCAATTCCTGGGTATCCTTGTTAATTTTCTGTCTCGTTGATCTGTCTAATGTTGACAGTGGGGTGTTAAAGTCTCCCATTATTATTGAGTGGGAGTCTAAGTCTCTTTGTAGGTCACTGAGGAGTTGCTTTATGAATCTGGGTGCTCCTGTATTGGGTGCATATATATTTAGGATAGTTAGCTCTTTTGTTGAATTGATCCCTTTACCATTATGTAATGGCCTTCTTTGTCTCTTTTGATCTTTGTTGGTTTATAGTCTGTTTTATCAGAGACTAGGATTGCAACCCCTGCTTTTTTTGTTTTCCATTTGCTTGGTAGATCTCCCTCCATCCCTTTATTTTGAGCCTATGTGTGTCTCTGCACGTGAGATGGGTTTCCTGAATACAGCACACTGACGGGTCTTGACTCTTTATCCAGTTTGCCAGTCTGTGTCTTTTAATTGGAGCATTTAGCCCATTTACATTTAAAGTTAATATTGTTATGTGTGAATTTGATCCTGTCATTATGATGTTAGCTGGTTATTTTGCTCATTAGTTGATGCAACTTCTTCCTAGCCTTGATGGTCTTTACATTTTGGCATGTTTTTGCAGTGGCTGGTACCGGTTGTTCCTTTCTATGTTTAGTGCTTCCTTCAGGAGCTCTTTTAGGGCAGGCCTGGTGGTGACAAAATCTCTCAGCATTTGCTTGTCTGTAAAGTATTTTATTTCTCCTTCACTTATGAAGCTTAGTTTGGCTGGATATGAAATTCTGGGTTGAAAATTCTTTTCTTTAAGAATGTTGAATATTGGCCCCCACTCTCTTCTGGCTTGTAGGGTTTCTGCTGAGAGATCTGCTGTTAGTCTGATGGGCTTCCCTTTGTGGGTAACCCGACCTTTCTGTCTGGCTGCCCTTGATATTTTTTCCTTCATTTCAACCTTGGTGAATCTGACAATTGTGTGTCTTGGGGTTGCTCTTCTCAAGGAGTATATTTGTAGTGTTCTGTGTATTTCCTGAATTTGAATGTTGGCCTGCCTTGCTAGGTTGGGGAAGTTCTCCTGGATAATATCCTGAAGAGTGTTTTGCAACTTGGTTCCATTCTCCCCATCACTTTCAGGTATACCTATCATACGTGGATTTGGTCTTTTCACATAGTCCCATATTTCTTGGAGGCTTTGTTCATTTCTTTTTACTCTTTTTTCTCTAACCTTGTTTTCTCACTTCATTTCGTTAATTTGATCTTCAATCACTGATACCCTTTCTTCCACTTGACCGAATCATGTACTGAAGCTTGTGCAATGCATCATGAAGCTCTCGCGCTATGGTTTTCAGCTCCATCAGGTCATTTAAGGTCTTCTCTACACTGTTTATTCTAGTTAGCCATTTGTCTAACCTTTTTTCAAGGTTTTTAGCTTCCTTGTGATGGGTTTGAACATGCTCCCTTAGCTCAGAAAAGTTTGTTATTACTGACCTTCTGAAGCCTGAAAGGAGATTCTCTCCTGTGCCTGGCTCAGCGGGTCCCACGCCCAGGGAGCCTTGCTCATTGCTAGTGCAGCAGTCTAAGATCAAACTGCAAGATGGCAGCCTGGCTGGGGGAGGGGTGTCTACCATTGCTGAGGCTTGAGTAGATAAACAAAGAGGCCAGGAAGCTCGAACTGGGTGTAGGCCACCACAGCTCAGCACAGCCTACTGCCTCTATAGACTCCACCCCTGTGGGCAGGGCATAGCTGAACAAAAGGCAGAAGACAGCTTCTGCAAACTTAAACATCCCTGTCTGACAGCCCTGAAGACAGCAGTTGTTCTCCCAGCACGGCGATTGAGCTCTGAGAACGGACAGACTGCCTCCTCAGTGGGTCCCTGACCCCTGGGTAGCCTAATGGGGAGACACCTCCCAGTAGTGGCCAACAGACACCTCATATAGGTGGGTGCCATTCTGGGACAAAGCTTCCAGAGGAAGGATCAGGCAGCAATATTTGCTATTCTGCAATATTTGCTGTTCTGCAGCCTCTGCTGGTGATACCCAAGCAAACAGGGTCTGAAGTGGCCTCCAGCAAATTCAAACAGACCTGCAGCTGAGGGACCTGACTGTTAGAAGGAAAACTAACAAACAGAAAGGAATAGCACCCACATCAACAAAAGGGACATCTACACCAAAACTCCATCCGTAGGTCACCAACATCAAAGACCAAAGGTAGATAAAACCACAAAGATGGGGAGAAACCAGAGCAGAAAAGCTATTTTGAATAGTGTGTCTTTTGGAACCAGGAGCTGTGCAGCCTGGGGTTAGAGGAGGGGTGATTCCTGTACTTCCTTAGCCATCCCAGCTGGTGTCTCAGTAGGTCACATGCCCTGCCCAGTGCAATGGCTCTGGGCCTAGTTCAGCACTAGGACTCACCTAAAAGTTGCAGTCCTCATAACGTTGACTGCCTTTCAAGTTTACTTGCAGACACAAAGTGCTTTAGCCCTCAGTAGTGAGGTTTGCAGGCACTCAAGTTCCACCCATGAGATCTGCTTTTCTCTCTGGCTAGGGCTGCTTTAAATGCTCCCTCTGTGGGCAGACGTCAGCAGAGTTTGGTTGGGGTTTCCTTTCTACTCTAACAAGGCAACACTAAGTTCAATGCCTCACAATTGCTGTGTTCTCCCTCCTCCAGCATCCAGAGAGGCTCCCAACACCAAGCCACTGCTGGCTGGGGTTGGGGAGGGGTGGCATCAGCAATTCAGAACTGTTTTTTCCATGTCTTCAGTGCCTCTTTCAGCGATATGAAATTGCTCACTTGATTTTTGGCTCTTATGAAGGTGTTTTTTCCATGTAGACACTTGTTAACTTCATGTTCTTGTGAGGTAGACAATCGGTGGAGCTTTCTATTCCACTATCTTGTTCTGCCTCCCACCTTAACTGCGTTATAAAGGAGGCTATTCTTATAGCTCTTCCAACTGACAGCAGGAAGTATTGAAATTCTTGAAAGATCACCTAACTTTGTGAGATTTCCAGCTCTATTTTCATGTCAACCATGTTGTGTAAGTGCCAGATAATAACTTCTCAATGCTTCTCTGAACTAACATTCTGAACCTTTTTAGGTTTGCTCCTTGATATCTGAAGTTTATCCCAGATAGCAAGGAGCAAACCAAGGAGAAAAGATAAATTTCCTTTTTCAAAATAGAGAAGTGATTAACAAGGTTTTCATACCAAATAAGTATTTATATATTTACCTGTAATACGTGAATGTATTCTACCTAATAACTGTGTTCTCTTTGGAAAATGTAAAGCTATTTGAGGAATAAGCTGTTTTTTTTTCCACAAAGACTCTAAGCTTCTGAGGTAGAACTATATTTCACTTGCATCTGTAATCAGAACCTAATATGATGTCTATAAAATAGTCAATAAATAGGCAACAGATAAATTAACAGATAAAGGCATGACTTTCTTTCCAGATGAACACATTCTTTAAAAGGTGCCAAGACATGAGCAAAGAGAAAAATTTTGTTTCCAGGCACAGAGTGGCATCTGACATGTAAATGATACAGACAACAAGTGCTACAGCAATTTGAAGGAGGCACAAAAGTTCTTATCGGGTTTCCATAGGAGAAACCATTTGAAAAAGGGAAAGATGGCTTTTGAGTTAATCTATAGGGATGAGTTAGAAGGAAATTAGCTTTTGGCCTATTCTTGTTTTTAAATCAAATTTGCAAAGTGATTATACTACAGATGAAGTAACGACATAACTCACTATACTGAGACTTGCAGAGCTTATGATGATGGTCCAAGATATAAAAACAAGTAATTGTGGACAAAAATTACAACCAAATCCTGATGAACTCAGAACTCCAAGCTCTTTCTGTGTCATCAAGTGGCCTTTGAGAGTAATTTTTGGTGGAATGGTAGAAACTGCCTGTAGAATGTGGATGGAAAATAATAGCATTGAGGACTTTTGAAATGTATATAGGTGGCATGTTAGAATGAATGGTCTCTGTCATATTATCAATGAATGTGGAGGACCCATTGAAAGGTTCAATGGAAAGACTAATTGACAACAGTGACATTAGCAAAATGGCAGACTAGGAATCTCCAAGCTTTGGAAATACCAAAAACACCAAAGAATAACTAGAAACTGGGTTAACTAATCTTCTAAAAGCTCTGAAAAAAAGATTTACACCAAATGAATGTGTGCTCAATCAGGAGAAAGCTACCTTCAAATGGTGGGAACTTCTGTGGTGTTTTCACCTGCCTTTGCCCAAATTCCAATCCCTCTTCTTGTGTATCATGGTCTTGGCCTGGAAGAGGTGGCAGCCTGGTTACCAATTCCCCCTCTCAAACTGGGGTGAGTGGAGATCTTATTTGCAATGTTCTAAACTGTCTGAGGGCTGCTTAAAGGTCTGGTTTCTGTTACTCGTAACTCACATCTCGGGTAGTAAAAGTGTCAGTCTATGCTTGTACAAGCTGCAGAGAGACTTTATACCTGAGGATATCTCTCATAAAAGATTAGAGTGGAGACATAGAATAGACCATCTAAGGCCCCAAGGAAAATCTAGGGTGAGACTCTTTGGGAAATTAAGACAGTGAGAGAAGTCATGTATATGGTAGAGTTGAGAAGGCCACTTTCAGACCCAGGAAAGACACATACTCCAAAAACACTTTAACCTTCCACCTTCAGCTGATCCCTAGACTCAGAGCCAATCCAGCTAATCAGTGAAGTACTGTCCCAGACAGAGTCTGTCTTCAAAAACTGGAAGATGTGGCTGTTTCCAGATGCCCAATTTTCAACAATGACAATAAATCATAAGACATGCAGAGAAATAAGAAAACGTGATCTATTTAAGGGAACAAAATAAATTCACAGAAATCCTTCTTGAGAAAGCCTGGAAAAAAGAATGAAGAAAGAGATCAGAGATTAAAGTGCCTGTAGCACACCACAAGAGGACCAACACATGCACTATGAGAGTTCAAGAAGGCAAAGAGAGAGAACAAAGGGCAAAGAGATTATTTGAAGAAATAATGTCTTAAAATCTCCAAATTTGATGATAGATATGAATCTATACATCCAAGAAGCTCATTAAATGCTTTGTAAGGTAAACCCAAAGATAGTACACTGAAGCATATTGTTACCAAACTGTTGAAAGACACAAAGAGAGGACCTTTCAAGCAGCAACAACAAGTGACTCATTATGTGCAAGTTGTCATAAGTAAGATTATTGATAAGACTGGGCTGCATCCCTGCCCAAATCTCATCTTGAATTGTAGTTCCCATAATCCCCACCAGTCATGGGAGGGACCCTTTGGGAGGCAATTTTATCACGAGGGCAGTTACCCTCATACTGTTTTCATGATGGTAAGTGAGTCCTCACGAGATCTGATGGTTTTATAAGGGACTTTTTCCCCTTTTACTCATCAATTCTCCTTGACATCATGTGAAGAAGGATGTGTTTCCTTCCCCTTCCACCATGATTATAAGTTTCTTGAGGCTTCCCTAGCCATGTGGAATTGTGAGTCAATTTAACTCTTTTCTTTATAAATTAACCAGTCTCGGGCAGTTTTTTATAGCAGCGTGAGAATGGACTAATACAATTATCAACTGATTTATCAGGTAGAAACTTTGGAATCCAGAATTGGTGGGCTGGTATATTTAAAGTGTTACAAGAAAAAAAAAAAAACTGTGAACTGATAATTCTATGTCCAGCAAAACTGTCCACCATAATGAGGGAAAAATTAAGTACATTTTCAGATAAGCAAAAGTTGACATGTTCATAACCACCAGATCTGCTTTACAAGAAATGACAAAAAAGAAGTCTTTCATATTGAAATGGAAGGATGCTACATAGTAACTTAATGTCAGCTCTTCTCAATCAATTTCTTCTAAAAACTTAAAGAGGAGAAAATAGCTTTTTAACTAATACTATGAGGCCAGCTTTACTCTGATGGTGAAGCCAGACAAAAATGCTGGCCAATTGTGTTGACTCATGCCTGTAATTCTAGCACTATGGGAAGCCAAGTTGGGCAGATCACTTGAACTCAGGAGTTTGAGACCAGCCTGGCCAACATAGTGAAACTTTGTTCCTACAAAAAAAAAAAAAAAAAAAAAAAAATTGGGCATGGTGGTGCATACCTATAGTCTCAACTACTTGAGGGGCTGAGGCAGGAGGATTGCTTGAGCCCAGAAGGTCAGGGCTGCAATAAGCCAAGATTGTGCCACTGCACTCCAGCCTGGATGACAAAGGGAGACCCTGTCTCACAAAAAAAAAAAAAAAAAAAAAAAAATGCTACAAGACAAAGAAAACTACAGATTAATATCCCTTTTGAAAATTGATATAAAAAATTTAAAAGCTTCAATAAAATATGAACAAACTGACTTCAACAGCATATTAATATTATACACCAGATTTATTTATGAAAGGCAAAGCTGGTTCAATATATGAAAATCCATCAAATGCACCATGATTTAGCAATTTCAAATATATGCCCAAAAGTATTGATATCAGGGATTTCAATGGATATGTGTATATCAGTGTTCACAGCAGCATTATTCACAATATCTAAAAGCTAGAAACCACCCACATGTCCATATGTGGAAGTATGGATAAATAAAATGTGGTAGATACAGGATGCCTTGTTTTATTGTGCTTTGCTGTATTGTACTTCACAGATATTTCATTTTTTACCAATTGAAAATTTGTGGCAGCCCTGCCTCGAGCAAGTCTATTGATACCATTTTTCTAATAGCATGTGCTTACTTGTGTCCCTATGTCACATTTTGGTAATTCTCACATACTTTAAGATTGTTCATCGATATTATACCTGTTGTGGTGATCTGTGGTCAGTGATCTTTGATGTTCCTATTGTAATTATTTTGGTGTGCCATGAACCTCACCCAGATAAGATGGAGAACTTAACCTGTAAATATTGTATGTGTTCTGACTGCTCCACTGACCAACCATTCCTCTGTCTTTCACCCTTTTCTTGGGCTTCCCTATTCCCTGAGACACAACAGTATTGAAATTAGGCCAATTAATATGCCTGTGGTGGCGAACAAGTGTTCAAGTGAGAAAAAAGGATACAAGTCTCTCACTTTAAATCAATAGCTAGAAAGGATTAAGTTTAGGGAGGAAGGCATGTCAAAAACTGAGATAAGCCAAAAGCTAAGCCTCTTGTACCAAGCAGTTAGCAAAGTTGCAAATGCAAATGAAAAGTTCTTGAAAAAAAATTAAAAGTGCTACTTTAGTGAACATACCAATGAAAAGAAAGTGAAATAGCCTTATTGCTGATATGGAGCAAGTTTTAGTGGTCTGGATAGATCAAACCAGCTACATCATTCCCTTAAGCTGAAGCTTAATCTAAAACAAGGCCCTAACTGTCTTCGATGCTGTGAAGGCTGAGAGAAGTGAGGAAGCTGCAGGAGAAGAGTTTGAGTCTAGCACTGATTGGTTCATAGGTTTAAGGAAATAATGCATTTTCATAACATAGAAGTGCAAGGGGAAGCAGCAAGTGCTGATGTAGAAACTGCAGCAAGTTATTCAGAAGATCTAGCTAAGATAATTGAAGGTGACTACACTAAACAACAGATTTTCAATGTGATAAAACAGCCTTCTATTAGAAGAAGATGCCATCTAGGACTTTCATAGCTAAAGAGAGGAAGTCAGTCCCTGGTTTCAAAACTTTAAAAAATACAATGATTCTCTTGTCAGGGGCTAATGCAACTGATGACTTTAAGCTGAAGCCAATGTGCATTTACCATTCCAAAAATCCTAGGGCCCTTAAGAATGGTGCTAAATCTACTCTGTGCCCTTATCAATGGAACAAGGCCAAGATGACAGCACATCTGTTTACAGTATAGTCTCCTGAATATTTTAAGCCCACTGATGACACCTACTCCTCAGAAAAAAAGATTTCTTTTAAAATGTTACTGCTATTGACAGTGAACCTAGTCCTTCAGGAACTCTAATGGAGATAAACAGGGAGATTAATGTTGTCTCATGCCTACTAACACAATGTCCATTCTACAGTCCATGGAACAAGGAGTAATTTCAACTTTGAAGTCTTATTATTTAAGAAATACATTTCGTAAAGCTATAGCTGCCATAGATAATGATTTCTCTGATGTATGTAGGCAAAATAAGTTGAAAACCTCCTAGAAAAGATTCGCCTTTCTAGATGTCATTAAGAACATTTGTGAATTATGGTAAGAGGTCAAAATATCAACATGAACAGAGTTTGGAAGAAGATTCCAACTCTCATAGATGACTTTGAGGGTTTCAAGACTTCAACGGAGGAAGTAACTGCAGATGAGTTACAAATATCAAGAGAAATAGAATTGGAAGTTGAGCCTGAAGGTGTGACTGAATTACTGCAATCTCATGATAAAACTTGAGTGGATAAGGGTTGCTTCTTATGAATGAGCAAAGAAAGTGATTTCTTGAGATGGAATCTTCCCCTGGTGAAGATGTTGTGAACATTGCTTAAGTGATAACAAAAGAATTAGAATATTACATAAGCTTAGTTCATAAAGCAGTGTCAGAGTTTGAGAGGATTGACTCCAATTTTGAAAGAAGTTCTACCATGGGCAAAATGCCGTCAAACAGCATTGCATGCTACAGAGAAACCATTCATGAAAGAAAGAATGAATCTATATGGTAAACTTTATTATTCTCTTAAGACATTTCCACAGCCACCCCAGCCTTCAATAACCACAACCCTGATCAATCAGCACCCATCAACATCAAGGCAAAATTCTCCACCAGCAAAAAGATTACAAGTAACTGAAGGCTTAGAGGATTCTTAGCATTTTTTAGCAATAAAGTATTTTTTAATTATGATATATGTATATTGCATTTTTAGACATGCTATTGCACATTTAATAAACTATAGTGTAAACATGATTTTTATTATGCACTGAGAAATCAAATATTTATGTAATATGCTTTACTGTGGTCGTCTAGAATCAAATATCTCCAAGGTATGCCTGTATTCTTCAACCTTTGGGCTCCAAGCTAGCTATACTGTTGTGTTGTTTTGTTTTGTTTGTTTTCCCAAAAGCATGTAAAAATCTCTCTGAGACAAAAATTTGCCTCAGTTTTCAGGGCCTTCTTGGTGTTCCTCCCTTAATCTGCCATCCAGATGGATTTTCTGGATTTCTATACTTGCAGGCATGAGAATTTAACCCTCCAGGGACAGACTCCTTGTGTTACTGAGCTCTTATTGCTTCTCCCGTTCCATCTGTTCTTTAGATGAAGTGGAGATTGTGGTTCGAGGACTCGTACCTACAATGCCAGGTGTCAGCTCTCACAGTGAGGAGGAGGTTAAGGAAATGGCCCCACAGTCACACTGGCTGGCCTCAGGCATCTGACCAGCAGGGAGACCTTGGGGAAGGTGCTGCTTCTGTTAATCCTCAGAATCCTAATTTATAAAATGTGGATTATCAGATTGAGGACTAAATGAGATAATCTGTTTAATATTTTTATAATAATGCCTGGAACTCAGTAAGTCCTCTGTAAATCTGGATATTGTATTTTACTTCAGTCTTTCAGCGTGAGGACTTGTTTCAGGGCAAAATTGGTGAGCCTCTGGTGAATCCCACCAGGTAGGATATAATTTCAACTAGGTGGGAAGAAGGTGGTATCTAGGACCAATCCTACAATGACAAAGCCTAAGATTACAGTATCACAGCTCTAAATAGCTACAGCAGAGACATGAGTATTTTGTTAACCAAGAACTGGAGAGGTTAGTAGAGTAAGAGGCTCCCATTAAGAATCTCTTATTAAGATAGACTAAAAAAGAGAGTCAAGACTCTGGGAGCTAGTTTAGAATATAGGGTAAGATTACAGTATCACAGCTCTAGATAGCTACAGCAGAGTCATGAGTATTTTGTTAACCAAGAACTGGAGAGGTTAGTAGAGTAAGAGGCTCCCATTAAGAATCTCTTATTAAGATAGACTAAAAAAGAGAGTCAAGATTCTGGGAGCTAGTTTAGAATACAGGGTAAGATTACAGTATCACAGCTCTAAATAGCTACAGCAGAGTCATGAGTATTTTGTTAACCAAGAACTGGAGAGGTTAGTAGAGTAAGAGGCTCCCATTAAGAATCTCTTATTAAGATAGACTAAAAAAGAGTCGAGATTCTGGGAGCTAGTTTAGAATATAGGGTAAGTGCACTTTTAGAAAGTGGAATAAGGACTCAAAATATGGAAAGAGAGTTTTTACAGTGTCTTCAGAAAACTGTTGAAGGAACCCATGATGGCTCAGTTCCATGGGACAAGCAGTGCTTAATCCCTCTAGAGTAAGGGTCTGAAAACGTATTTTGTAAAGAGCCAGACAGTAAATATTTTCAGCTTTGTAGGCCATATAGTCTCTATTCCAACAACTTAATTCTGTCATCATTATGTGAAAGCAGACATAGAGATATGCAAGCAAATAAGCATGGCTGTGTTCCAGTAAAACTTTATGTACAAAAGCAGGCAGTCACTAAATTCGGCTAACAGGCAACAATATCCCAACCCTTTTTTTTTTTGAACAACAACAACAACAACAACAAATATTACTACTGCTACTGCTACTACTAATACTATGTGAGATGCTTACTATGTGCCAGGCACTATCCAGACATTGTTTCCATTTTTAATTTTTTTCATAACACTATGAGGAATATACCATTATTAGCCCTTTTTTACAGAGGAGGAAATAGGCTCAGAAAGTTTATCTTGCTCATAGTCAAACAGTTCATCAGTGTCTGGCAGGATTTATGCTCAGGCAATTTGGCTCCAGAGATTGAATACCCTTAATCACAGGCCGTGTTGCCTCTAGAGGGGCAGTGGAGGGGAGGCTATTCTAACTGTCTGTTCACCCCCATCTTGTCCTAAAAGGACATCCTAAAAGTGGCTATGTTTTTCTGTATCTTGATTTACCTTTGAGGATAAGCATCTGCATGTCTACTATTTGCACCTATGTATGTGCTCAAAGACATTGCACTTCTTAAATGGTCCAAAATTCCCTGCTGCATCTGGCCTGGGTCCAGCAATCCAGTGTTGTACCAAGTTCTCTCTTTTTCTCTGCATTCCATCCCACCAGAGTTCCTTCCTTTTCTTGAAGATTTCCATTCTGCTTCTTGCCTTAGGCATTTGATATGGTGTTTTCTCTGCTCGGATTATTTTTCCCCTCCTCTTCCTTGCTCTACTTACCTCTGATTCACCCTTCAAATCTTAATCATCCTATCTTCACAAAAGCCTCTCTGATCCTGCATCTTGATAGCAGTAAGTGACCATCTTTCACAGAATACTGCATAGTTTACAATTTTACATTCATTTATATGATAATTTGACAAATATTTTTTCCTGCACTAAAACAGACCTCCTCACTGTTGGAATTTCAGGCTAAACAAGTCTTTGTTTTGAGGGAGGCGTGTGCAATACTGTGCATTGTATGATGTTTCGCAGCATCCTTGCCCTCTACTGGCCTCTACACACAAGATGCCAGTAGCACCACTCCCTCAAGTTGTGACAATTTAAAAAATATCACCAAACATTGCCAAATGTCCTCTGAGGGAGCAAAATCTTCCTCACTGCCCTAAATGAAATCACTGCCCTAAAATGAAAGCTTCGTGAGAAGAGAAGCTCTGCTGGTTATCTTCCGTTTGCCACCCACCCTTATCCACAGTCCACCCTTATCCACTGTCCAACCTTCTCCACCCTTCTCTCTGCCCCAGAAGCTGCTGATTCACATGCACTCTATCAACAGGCTTCATTGTCCTCTTGCTTCCAGTTGGGTGTGATCAATGTGAGGCATTCTCAGGAGACTGGAGGACAAGGACAAAGTGAGATGGAGATAAGTGTCCTAGTTATAGTGGGTTATCATGGTTAGATGGCACACTTGTATCCAATGCCTCTGTTTCTGTCAGTTTCTCAAAGCAGCTACTTTTCCTGGTAACCATTTTCCACTGTAACTGCCTTAGAACCCAACACCGTGCCTTGCTGGTTTCCTGAAATCCTGCCCATACCTATGTAAATAATTCTTCTCAAAGAAGATCTACTCAAATTGTTCATTTGGAGTGTACCTTCTCTTTCTTGCTGAGACTCTGACTGATACAAAGACTATACATATATTTCTCATCATTGAATGTGCAGTGTTAATTGCAATAAGCTCCCAGTATAAATATGTCATATGAATAAGCGAAATGGCAACTGTTTATTCTCCTTCCTCTGACCTTCTGCCCTTATCCACCTCAATGTTTCACTGGACCCAAACTCAAGAGTCCTTACCTGGTATAATTCACGGGCTCCAAATTAACCGAGGTCTTCCAAGACATACTCAAAATTAACCCACATAGCCTAATACCTATTTCTAATTCCTGCTATGCCTAATTCTGTAACACACCGTTACCTCTACTCTTTCTCTTCTTAGAATCCTTCCTGCCAATAGGTCAAATTCTTTGTTGAGTTTTGCTACACTACCTAGCCTGATACCAATTATGGTCAACCAAATGCATTCAGGTAAAGTTTTGTCTTATAAACTAATAACATTTAATACCATATCTATAAATTAATAGGAAGACTCACTTTCAGGTATGACTCTGATTTTTTCAAAAATTACGAAGGTAAAACCATTCATCGCTTCTGCCCCATTTCAGAAGACTGCTGGTTCACTAGATACTGTGATAATATTTTTTCACCTAAAATAGTTCCAACTCAAGCAACATTTCATGTATATTTCACAAATCCAGCTGCTCATCTCTGGAATAAATAACATTTGTTTTAGAGAAAAAGCAAATACAGACAAGAAGCTAAGTAATTAAGAATTTATTATAAGTGTTTAGATTTCTCCCAAATTCTCAATTCCCAAGCTTTCATGTGTATGCGTGCTTTCTTGACTCACAAATTCTGATCTTCTCCTTCTACTGTCCTTTTCTTGAGAATCAACGAAAGACAAGTCCTAACAACATTTTACTAAATAGGACAAGTAGTTTTTCTATGTTCACATGGAAGGCTATAGTTTTTAATTCTTTAGTTTTTTTAGCTAAAAAAAAAACACCGTTATTTAAATATATCAAGATGTTTAAAACAAGCCTTACTTTTTCTGAAAAGTCACAGAGCTTACAATTTTTTTTTTTTTTTTTTTTTTTGAGACAGAGTCTCACTCTTTGGCCCAGGCTGGAGTGCAGTGGCACGATCTCAGCTCACTGCGAGCTCCACCTCCTGGGTTCATGCCATTCTCCTGCCTCAGCCTCCCTAGTAGCTGGGACTACAGGCGCCCGCCACCACGCCCGGCTAATTTTTTGTATTTTTTTTTTAGTTGAGACGGGGTTTCACCGTGTTAGCCAAGATGGTCTTGAGCTCCTGACCTCGTGATCCGCCCGCCTTGGCCTCCCGAAGTGCTGGGATTACAGGCGTGAGCCATTGCGCCAGGCCTCATTTTTGTATTTTTAGTAGAGACAAGGTTTCACCATGTTGGTCAGGCTGGTCTCGAATTCCTGACCTCGTGATCTGCCTGCCTCGGCCTCCCAAAGTGCTGGGATTACAGGCATGAGCAATCCCGTCTGGCCTCAGAGCTTACAATTTTATTGATAAAGACAAAATCTTTTTATATCTGTAGGCTTTTCTTCTTCTTTTCTTTTTTTTTTTTTTTTTTTTTTGAGACAGGGTCTTGCTCTGTTGCCCAGGCTGGAGTGCAATGGTGCAATCTCACTTCACTGCAACCTCTGCCACCCAGATTCAAGCAATTCCCCTGCCTCAGCCTCCCAAGTAGCTGGGACTACAGGCACCCACCACCACGCTCAGCTAATTTTTATATTTTCAATAGAGACGGGGTTTCACCATATTGGCCAGGCTGGTCTCAAACTCCTGACCCTGTGATCCGCACGCCTTGGCCTCCCAAAGTACTGGGATTACAGGTGTGAGCCACCGCACCTGGCCTATCTGCAGTCTTTTAAGAAAATGTAGAAAAATGAGTGTAAGAAAGACAAGTACTCCTAGTTCTTCTACAGAGAAGGGAGAGGAAGCTACTAGTTCCTGGAAAATAAAGTCTAGACTAACTTCATTGCTTTGTTTTTCTTGGGAAGAAACTTGTTTGTGCCTATCTTTATTATACTCTTTCCTAGTCTCTCTTACACTCTATGACAAGAGGTCATTCCAGAGTAATTTACATGAGAAAATGTGATTACTATAAAGTCAAATGTAAAAAATAGAAATTATGTAAAAATGTAAAATAAATAGTGGCATAAAGAAATTGTACTGTGGAAAAATGAAAATAGTAACATTGGCATGGCAGTTTTGTGGAGAGTCTATTATTTAAAAACTCAATATTTTAACAATAAATTAAAGGGAAAAGCATAAGAAAGGGAAAGTTTCTTCTGTAGACTTTAAACTCATTATGGATATTGTATTAGTCCAGCTTCACACTGCTTAAAGAACTACCTGAGACTGGGTTATTTATAAGGAGAAGAGGTTTAATTGACTTACAGCTCCTCATGGCTAAGGAAGCCTCAGGAAACTTACAATCATGGGAAAAAAGGAAGGGGAAGCAAGGTACGTCTTACCATGGTGGCATGAGAGAGAGAGAGGACAAAGGGGGAAGTGCCACAGATTTTCAAACAAACCGATATCTTGAGAACTCACTATCACCAAAACAGCAAGGGGGACGTCTACCCCATGATTCAATCACCTCCCACCAGGCCCCTCCCCCAACACATGGGGATTACAATTCAAGATGAGATTTGAGTGGGGACACAGAGCAAAATCATATGAGGTATGATCTATTTGATTTTGTGGCCCTTGAACTTGGTTTATAGCAGGCTCTCAATAAACATTTTGTAAATATGAAATGAAGGTTATCCCACTTTGGTAAGAGTAAGATCATTTGAACCATCAGGAACAAAGTAAATAGAGACAATAACTTTATTTCCTTTGGATCATGGGCTACTTTTGTGCATTCTACATAATTCAATAACCAATAACTTTTTTTAAAATAAAGACATCAAATTAAGCTCCTCAAAAAACGTTTTTGACTGGCTTCTGTGCATGAAATGAATAAATTAACTAAGATACTCTTTAAAGTCCCCTGGATATTGTCATGATTAAAAAGGAGCAAGTTTGGCTACCCTAAAGAGATGAATAAATTTAGATAAGATGTAGACTAAAGTTTCACATCTTCTTAACTTGAAATATAGATAAAAATATAAAGAGAAGACAGGGCCTTCTCTAGAATATGTCTTGAAGTGAATCCAAGTTTTCTTCCTTCTTTCTGTGACAGTAAAATAAATAATTTGGGGTTTGAGGAAATGATGAAACACATTTTTTAAATTTCCAAAAGTATTTTTATATAAAGTTTCAAATGTACAGTAAAGTGGAAAGAATTTAACAGTGAACACCCATATACCTACCACCTAAATTCTACCATTAACTTTTTGCTATATTTACTTTACTACAGATCTATCCATTCACAGATACATATCTATCCATCCAACCATCAATCATCTCATATTTTAGTGAAACTGCAAGTTCAACACATATATTTCTAACAACAGTTTAATTAATTTTTCAGTAGTTTTCTTCTTTTGAAATTAAATGTACACATAGCGAAATGCAAAATTCTTAAGTGTGTATCCACTGAGTTTTGATTTACATCTTGGTATTTTAAACCCCTATCAATATATAACAGTCCATCATTCCAGAAAGTTTCTCACCCTCCCTCTATAGAAATACTCATCCCCCCTCTAACCCTGAGATGCCTATTGTTCTGATATTTTCTCCCTTTGTTCTAGTGCTTTGTAAAGAAAATCATATGGTAGCTTTTTCTAGAAATTTATATTAACGGAATCATAACATAGGCACTCTTGTCTGTATGATTTGTTACCTTCAGGATAATGTTTTTGAAATTCACCATGTTGTTGCATGTAACAACATTATTTTTCCTTTTTTAGTGTTGAGTAGTGTATTCTATTTTATGAATACATCACAGTTTATTGACACTGCAGCCATTTCCCATTTGGGGCTTTTATGAATAATACTGCTATGACTACTCATGTATAACTTATTTTATGGACATATATTCTCATTTGTTTTGGGTAAAAATGGAATTGCTTGGTCATAAGGTCGATAAATGTTATAATTTATAATAAACAGCCATCTATTTTCTTAAATAGATCCTACCATTTTATATTCTCTCAACAATTTATGAAAGTTTCATTTGTTTCATATCCTCACTAACATCCAGTGTTGCTATTCTTTTTCATTTAAAATTAGTTACCTGCATACATAAAAAGATTAATTTAGACCCTTCACATAAGACACAAAAATTAACTCAAAGTGGATCATAGACCTGAATGTTACTTCTAAGACTATACAACTTTTAGAAGAAAACACAGGAGAAAATCTTTTTGACCCTGAGGGTTAGGAAAAGATTTCTTAGATACAATACATAATAGTATCTTATAATACCTAGAAAAGCATGGCTTATAAACAAAAAAAATTTTAATTGACTTTATCAAACTAATAAACTTCTGTGCTTCAAAATTATTAAGAATATGAGAAGATAAGCCAGACACTTGGATGAAATATTTGCAAATCCTGTGTCTCATAAAAGACATGTATCCAGAATATATAAAGAACACTGACAATTCAATGATAATAAAGTTAGTGGCCCAATTTAAAAAATGGGCAAATAACTTGAATAATTATTGTTTCAAAGAAGATACACAAATGGCAAGCAAGCATGTGAAAAGATATTCAATGCCATCTGTCATTAGGAAACACAAATCAAAACCACATTGAGATATCACTTCATACCCACTAGATGGCTATAGTAAAAAAGATAATAAGTATTATTGAGATATGAAGACACTGCAACATTGGATATAGAAATGTAAAATGGTACAACCACTTTGGAAAACAGTTTGGCAGTTTCTTAAGGTGTTAAACATAGATACAACAAACAATATGACAATTCCACTCTAAGAAATGAAAACGTGTATTTACAAAGGCTTACACATAAATGTCCATAGCAACATTATTAGTAATAGCTAAAACATAAAAATACCCAATATTCATCAACGGGTGGATATATAAACAAGATAAAGTATATTCATATTGTCAAATGCTATTCAGCAATAAAAAGGAATGAACTGCTGATCACATAGCTATGATATAGATGAATCTCAAAATTATTATGTTAAGTAAAAGAAGCTAGGGACAAAAGCTACATATTGTACAATTATATTTATACCAAATGGTCAGAAAAAGTAGATCTATAGAGATAGAAAGTAGATTAGTGGTTGCCTGGAACTGGGGGTTGGAATAAAAATAACTACAAATTAGTATGAGGTATATTTTTGAGGTGGTGAAAATGTTCTAAAATTGGATTTTGGTGATGGCTGCACAATTCTGTAAATTTACTAAAAATCATTAAGGTTTACATTTTAAATGGATGAATTTTATGATATGTAAATCATGTCTCAATAAAGCTGCTTTAAAAAAATGTTTCCACAAAGAAAACTGCAGGTCCAGATGGCTTTCCTGTGAATTCTACCAAACATTTGAGAAAGAAACACCACCAATATTACAAAAACTCTTACAGAGAATATAAACATAGGAAATGCTTTTTAAATAGTTATTTGTAGGCCTGAAAAGAGCATAACAAGATGGGAAAATTACGGGCCAATTCCATGAACATGGATACAAAATTTCTAAACAAAAATTAATAAATTGACTCTAACGTTAGATAAAAATAATAATATATCACAATCTAGATGGGTTCATGTCTAGTAATAACTGAAAATCATTCCATGTTTTGGAGGATGCAAAAAATTAATAAAATTCAATGTCCTTTCATGATAAATGAAGAAAGCCCTCTTAGCAAACTAGTAATGGAAGAAGCTTCCTTAATCCATTAAAAAGTATCTATAAAAACCTTATAGCAAACGTAGAGCTCAATGATGAAATACTGAAAGCTAGTCACCTGAGATTATGAAGGAGATGAGAATGCCTAGTATTGTAATTTCTAGTTAACATTGACCTAGAGATTTTAGCGGGTGATGTTAGGCAAGAAAAGAAATAAAAGGTATAAATAAAGGTTTAAATAAATGAAGACTGGGAAGCTGTCATTATTTACAAGTGATTGTGTATGTAGAAGGACCCAAATTAGCATTAATTTATGAATTTATCAAGGACAGTGGATAAAATCAGTATGTAAAGTGAGCATCAGTTTTGTCTCTGTATACCAGTAACCCAAAACTAGAAGATGGATTGTATAAAAGATACCATTTATAATAGCAAAGATTTCAAGGCACTTTGAGTGATAGCCAAAATAAATAACAGATAGCAGAATTATATTTAGTAGGACTTCAGATATCAACATTATCAAATGAAACTGTGAAATAACTGTATTTCTACATTCAAATAAAAATGACTTAAAATATAAGCAAGAAAAAAGACTATAAAAAGACAAAAGAGATATAAAAATTAATAATACTTATTTTGGAAGTTAAAAAATTGATATAAAAATGTTAACAGATAAATTAAATCATAGATTATACAGACTGAGATATTTAGTTTATGCAGAGATATAAATACTTTTTCTCTAAAATGTAACATAAAACAAAATCGATGAAAAATATTGAAAAGAAGTTAAGAAGCCAAGTGTGTTGGCTCACGCCTGTAATTCCAGCACTTTGGGAGGCCAAGATGGGAGGATGGCTTGAGGCCAGGAGTTCAAGACTAGGCTGGGCAGCATAGTGAGACCCGGTCTCTAAAATTAAAGAAAAAACTTGGCTGGGCATCATGGTGCTATGTCCCTGTAGTCCTAGCTGTTCTAGGGCTGAGATGTGAGTATTGCTTGAGCCTAGGAGTTCAAGGCTGCAGTAAGCTATGATCATGCCATTGCACTCCAGCCTGGGCAAGAGAGCAAGACCCTACCTCTAAATAAAATTTTAAAAAATACAAATAAAATAGAAATAATAAAGAAGTTAAGAGACATGGAGATCAGGATGAGGAATTCTGGAATGAGGAATGTAACTTTTGAAGAGATAGTACCTGAGAATTTTTCAGAACACTAGAAACACACTCTTAGGTATAGATATTCGTGAATATTAAAAAATATATAAAAAATATTTTTGAGTGAGCAAAAAAAAATTATGTTACAAATATATACATGTAGTTTGGTTTCACATGTAGAAACTTAAAAAGCACACAGAGCTAAATGATCTAACATTTAGGGACTCATCAAATATCATTAAACTATTGAAAAAAGCAAGAGAAGAGAAGATGCCATTCAGGGTAATCGTGATCTTTGAATGCTGAAGAAGAAATGGGAACCATCCACAGAGCTTTTTTAAAGAAAATCACTGATGTTCTACACATGAAGCTAGGTGGTACATACATGAATATTTGCATTGCTATTTGTATTTATATCCTTCAATATATATGAGCAGTTCCAGGCACTTCTCAGAATAAACTATGAATTGCTTTCTAAGATATGAATGCAAAACATAAATTAAAACAATAAGCAAGCATTTTCCCCCGTTAGATTCAGGCAAACATTTTAAAATGTGATAATATAGAGTTGACTAAAGCATAGGGAAACAGACATTCATACATTGCTGGCCAAAGTGTAAGTTGGTTCAAACACTTCATAGAGCATTTGATAGTATTGTCTGTAAAACAAAAAATATTACAACTCATGCCCACCTGTGGGTACTCATTTAAACAAACTATGGCACATCCATTCAATGTAACACTATGTAGTCACTAAAAATAATGAAGTAGGTCTATATGTGTTGATATAATGACCTCAAAGAAGTATTAGCCAGTAAAAATAGCAAGATATAAAACTGTGAATTTATAGTATGCTGCTATTTAAGTGAAAAGATAAATATATGTATTTTATGTTTGTAGAATCATGTAGTATTTCTAGAAGGATAAAATAAAAATAAAATAAAACAAAAATCTGGTAAAAATAGTTGATTCTGGGAACCAGTAGGATAGTGACACTCGGCTAGCAGGTTTACTGCCTTTTCACAATCATCTCTTTTTTTAACCTTCTGTATCTTTTATCACATGCTAAAAATTGCCTTTCAATTGGGAAAAAAAGACATTTTGTACAAAGATTCACATATGTACAGAGGTGTAGTATGAGCCTAATATGGAAGCAATCATGCTTGTCAAAGTCATTGTAACAATACCTTCTATATTTGGAATTTATTTGTAACTAAAGTAATAATTCCAAACCATTTATAATAACAAAAGTGACTTTTTATTTTATCAATATTTTACACTACTCAAGTGTTATCGTCAAGAAAAAAAACCATATTGCTTGAAATTTCTAGTGCTTCCTGGGTTTATCTTGCTCAGAAATAACAGGGGAAAATGCTGTTTCAAACATTAAAAAATAAAGGTTGGCTGAATCTCTTCTTTGAAATGTATAAACATAAAAGCAAAAAATGGAAATAATTTTAAGATACCTATTTTGGGATTCCTTCTCTAAAGTGGGGTGTGTTATTTAATTTCACTTTTTATCAGTTGTACATTTGGGGGTCAAACTTTCTACAATTCCATAATGGAAACTGCCACTCTATTTTCAGAGGCGCAGATGGTGGAAAAACATTTCACAAGTAAACCATTTTATTTGAGTGGAACTGAATTAGCTTTTCCAACCCACAATTTCCAAATACGATGTCAGAAATGAAATACACCCTTCTACACCCTAGTGATGTGGCTCTGGGAAAATCATGCCATCACTCAAAAATACAGACCTTTTTCTGCAAAATGAGGACCCCAATGCCTTTGTTATACTGATGTGAGGATTAAATCACATGGCATATTCCTCTGAAAGTACCTGCAGGCTGCCTGGCACACCTTGAGATACCCCTGCCTGGCTACTTCTCAGAATCACTGGCCAGCACCTAGCACTAATGCCCAGGCCTCATAGAGACCAATCAAATCAACATCCCTGGCCCTGGGCCCTGGCATCTGCATTTTTCCAAACTCCCTGAGTGATTCTCATATGCAGCTAGAGTTGAGAACCACAGACTTACACCGTACCAATTTCTATCATATCCATCAACTGTTAAAAACACTGACAATTTGACTGATAAAACACCGATGAAGTTGTAAAAATCCACAAGCAAACAAACTGAGTAGTCATCCATTTGCAGTGGCATGTCTGCATATTTGACTCAAGAAACAAGAAACGCCTACACCAACCTGAGCAGATGCCACTTTATCAGCCTCTAGCTATGTAGCAGGTAGACGTGACATGTTAAGAGAAGAGTAGGAAGAGAAGTAGGAGGAAAGGAACTTGTATTTAAAAAGCAGAAAACCTGCTATTGTTTTAATGTAGCAGAAAAGATATACAACTGAGCATGCCACAGGTATCTGTTGTGGCAGGTCCAAATCAAGCCTAACCTGCCATAATGTTTTTCATAGCAATAACAGCTACTCTTAACAATTGCTACCTATCTCCTTACCTGCAACTCACTTGGAACTCTCAATTTCCCTTTACTTGTTCTCTATCTTTTCCCACAGTTTACTAATTATGTTTTATTGATTTACTCTATATTTGCATCACAATATGAACTTCATGAGAGTAGCTGTAAGGTCCTAGTTATCTCTTACATTATCACATTTTCTTCCTAAATTTCTCCAAAATGAGATATCTATCCCTAAGGCATGAATTTTTTTTTTAAATAAGAAGAGATTATGCCATGTATCAAAGTGTAGCACAATAGGAAGAACACAAACTAGAAGAAAGTGATGTATTTTGAATCAATTATTTTAAAAAGAAAAAAAATGTGTTTTCAATTGTTGTATTTTCCATACACGAGACATTCTTTCACATATGTTGGCCTATTTTGATTTAAAAAAATTTTTTCTCCAATACTGAATCCTTCAAAATATTTTCTCTGGCTGTTGCTTAGAAATTATTGTTATTCAAACTGGTCACTAACTAATTCTCTGGTATGGCTTTAATTCCTTTCTTTAATAATTGGATTTTGCCTGCTGTTTTCTAGCCTTCAATATTTCCTCCAAAATGTAATAAGACAAAGCTTGTCCTCCTTTTGTCTTTACTTTCTTTGGAGTCTTACCAAATATCTCTGTACTCCTTGGCCTACAACAAATTATCCTTTCCCATTGTTTATTGGAGAAATCACGTATGTGTATTGTGTAACCTTAACCAGTGCAACGTGTTATTCCATTAGTAAAAGGTAGGTTTGACCTTGCTCCAAACATCCTGCACATGGTTCAGTGTTCTGTTAAACTGTGTGTATGACCTGGGCCAAGCAACCTCCCCTGTATGAAACTCAGTTCTGAAATTCACTTATAAAACGCTAGCCAAGTCCACCTCAAACTTTTTTCCTCTATGTTCATGATTGTTTTATAAAAATAATTTTGCGGCCAGGCGCGGTGGCTCACGCCTGTAATCCCAGCACTTTGGGAGGCCGAGGCGGGCGGATCACGAGGTCGGGAGATCGAGACCATCCTGGCCAACACGGTGAAAACCCGTCTCAACTAAAAAAAAAAAATACAAAAAATTAGCCGCGCGTGGTGGCGGGCGCCTGTAGTCCCAGTATTGGCTGAGGCAGGAGAATGGCGTGAACCCAGGAGGCGGAGTTTGCAGTGAGCCGAGATCACGCCACTGCACTCCAGCCTGGGCAACAGAACAAGACTCTGTCTCAAAAAATAAAAATAAAAATAAATTTTTTTTTGCTACATGTAAATCATTTAGCCAACTTGCTGAATTCAGTAGGGTACAAACCGCATTAGTTTAATTGTTTTCCAATGTTTTAATGTTTCAAAATGTTTTCCAATGTTTCAAATGTTTTAATGTTTCAAAGGACTCTGTAGGAGGCAACAGTCTCCTCCGGACAATATCTTCAGCAGGTCCCATACATTTGGAAAGTCTCATTTTCTGTGTTAAAAGGTCTACTTTAGTCTGCACCTAAACTTTCACATCGTAACGTACCCAATGTAGAGTTGCTTCTCTGCTCCCCAAGTTCAAGGCTGATCTGAGGTTTGGCAAGCACTAGCCCAGAAGGGGAAACAAAACCCATTTCATAGTAGCCCTGGAAGGCATCTTTTCTGGTGGTCAACCTGCATGTCCCACCAAATGTAAAATGGTTTGAATATCACTCCTAGCTTTTTCACTCTGCTTTCTCTTCTAACTCCTCCACTGCTTCTGGCCAGAGCTTTTAGTAGTTCTTTTTTAGACAGCAAATGTCTTCTGTCTACTACGGTAGACTTCTAAAAGATAGCCCTGCTGTACAGCATATGAATTGGCTTTTGGCGATGCCCCTCTTTGTCAAGATCCTTTCAAGACTTTCCAAGCCTGGCTACCTCTCATAGTGTCTTACAGCAAAACACCTATCCTGGCTCTCCTAAATCTACTGATCTTCTATCCTCTTTTTTTTTTTTTTTTTCTTTACAGCTTCTTCCAGCCAGCCCCGAGGGCTTGCAGACTTCTCCATGTGAGAGGCTTTATGCCTCTCCTCAGATCCGGAGGACACATTTCAAATTCTCCCAAGAATTATTGCCTCCTGCACTCCAGGAGTAGCTCTGGGTAGCCTAAAAGTCTCAGCACTCTTCAAGCCAGAGTGAGATGCTAGCCTCCCTCTTGCAGACAGCATCATATTTAGTGACTGGGCTCCACTTTGGCATAGAGGCAGGAAGCAGTCCCTTCTCTTCCTAAGAGAGGCAGTCAAGAACTGTCAGCTTTCTTCAAAGAAAATTTTTCCTCACCAAATTTACTTTTGAATGTTTGATCTTCTCATCCCTGGACTGTTGGAGTGATCACGGTTGACCAGGGTTTCCACTTCCCACAAATTCTATAGAATTAAGTTGGAATTTTTTTTTAACCCTTTAAACCCTTCACAGCTTTAGAACTTTTGCTGAAATTCCAAGATAACAGAAAGGTGTCATTCCCAGTATGTTAAATTTCACAATCTTTTCTCTTGCATGTTTTTTCTTTATAATTAAAGGATACTCGGGCTTTAGAATTGTTCATTTCAACATTAAACGATCTCAGAAAAATACTTAGTCACTCTAAATCTCAGTATATTATGTGTAAAATGAGCTAATATGAAATTAATTGACACGGTAATTATGAGATCAAATGAGACAATCTGTGGGAATTCTAGGTAAACTTTTAAGTGCTATTGAAAGATTAGTTAGTATGTTTAATATAACTCAAGTAAAGTGTAAATTAAAGCCAGTTATTAAAGTGAGGCAGGCTTTCAAAATGTCTACCAGTAGGAAGTCTACATAAAGATACATACCTGAACATAGTCTGATGCATACAGACAACATCCCAGCCTTCAATCTAAGTTCTTAGATAAAGCCTAAAGTGTTGTAAAATTTATATGTCACATAGAAGAAAAAGAAGGAAGGGAGAAGGGAAAAAAGGGCTAAGAAAAGAATTTTATTTTTAAAAAGAAAAACTCATACCATCATGCTCATTATGACTGTACAAAAACCACTTCTCTTGGTGTATGCTATCACCACCAGCTTTCATTTCTCAAACATCTCCTCTAATCTTTCCATCCAGCTTCCTCTTGCCCTAGCATCTCTAAAATTGTTCTTTCCAAAATGCTAAAACTGTCATATATTTTATTTTCAGTATCCCAGCTACTTCATGAATTTTTTTTTGTCTCTCCAATTAAAAAATTAAGTTGAAGGCTGGTCTTCATATTCTGTGGCTTTTCCAAGGCATGACAGGAGGTTAAGTCCACAGGCGATATTTGGTAAATGTATATTTGTTTGCCTTTATTCAAATCAAAGTGTGCCACAGATTGAGAAACCTCAAAGTAAGTTAATTTCTGTAGCAGATTTGATGAGTTCTATGAAATGCTAACGTTTTAAAAATATATACAGATTGGATAAAACCTGAAATAAAGGATCACAGCACACTGTGTTGACATGGGAACCTTTAAGATTCTTGATACTTACAGTAAGACTGGAAATACCATGTGATATTTTTGTATTTCTATTTTTGTATCAACACTTAAGAGGAAACAAAGCATATTATTTACATGCACACAAATATCTGCCAAATGCACATCACCATGTGACTATTTATGTAGAATTGTTTTTTCAAAACCAAAAAAAACTTTCTTTACTTTCAAGTAACTTTTTTTTTTTTTTTTTGAGATAGAGTCTTGCTTTGTCACCCAGGCTGGAGTGCGATCTCAGCTCACGGCAACCTCCGCTTCCCAGGTTCAAGCGATTCTCCTACTTCAGCCTCCCAAGTAGCTGGGACTACAGGTGTGCATCACCACGCCCGGCTAAGTTTTGTATTTTTTAGTAGAGACTAGGTTTCATTATGTTGGCCAGGCTGGTCTTGAACTCCTGACCTCAGGTGGTCTGCCTGCCTTGGCTTCTCAAAGTGCTGAGATTACAGGCGTGAGCCACCGTGCCTGGCCTATTCAAGTTTAGTCTTGATTTGAATGAATTACTTCATTCTTGCCTTTTTTGATGCATAAGTTATATGATTCATGTTTGATAAAATGTAAATTCTAAATGTGCAGGGATGATAAACCAGTAAAAAATAAAAGTTAAACCAAAATAAGCATTTAAGAAATGACTATGATCAGGGACTAGGCTGCCAATATACATCTTTACCCTTTAAAATTACAACAAGCCTGTAAAATAGCCATGATAGGCCTTGAGGAAATAGGTTCAGAGAAGGCTAAATAGTTTTCCAAAGATCACACAAATTGGATTGCTGAGTCTATTTTCTGATCACTGTTCTGTTTGGCATCCCGAAACCAACTTAACCAAGCCTGCTGAGTGTTGGCCACTAATATTCCACTTCTGTGTGAGAGGAAAGAAAATGATGGGATTATGAGTGAAGCTGAGAAGTGACGAATTCCCGACTGGCCCTAGTCTAGCCCTTGGTTTCATTTTATCTGTTCTCACACCTGTTTTGTAGGCCACTTACTTTTATCTTGTATAGACTGTGTGGTTATTCCCTCTTCAGGGCTCAAGTGTCTGGCTCATGGCCCCCAGAAGAGAATCACGTTGTAACAAGTGTACCTTGGGCATGGTGGAAATGGGAGTGGAAGGAGGGAAGGATGAAAACCTAGAGTGTTAGAGCCTCAAGAATAAAGAAGAGCGAAATGGTGGCCGATCAGCTAATTCCTACATTCTATTCAGCAGTAAAACATGGCTGTCCATAGACAAAATACATAGCAGCATGTGACAGGGAGGTTTCCTCAGCCCTCCTTCAGAGAATGCTCTTCCACTGGCTTTCTGTGTTCAGGTTATTTCACATCACACCTCATCTCTGAACTCTCTAAATGTCCATGTGACTTTTCTCTCCTTTGCCCACTCGCCCTTTCTGAGTCTCTCTGTCTATTAGCTTCTCAGTGCTAACTCTCCTTCACTTTCTGCTTTCACTGCATCTGGTTCTTCTTTGGCAACAAAATGGAATCCAATATTCATAAAAATTGTTGCAAGTATTATCTTTAATTCTCACCACTCTGGATTGGAGATATGATTTGTCGTATTTTGTAAACAGGGAAACGGGGAGTTGGAAATGTAACTCATCATACTGATGTCATCCAACTAAAACATTCAGTCACAACATGCATGTAGGTTTCTCTTTTTTTTAAACAGCTTTTAAAGATGTAATTCACATATTATACAATTCACCAACTTAAATTATACAAGGCAACTCAACAGCTTGTAGTATATTCACAGAACTGTGCAACCATCACCACAATCAGTTTTGGAATATTTTCACCACCCTCAATACAAACCCTGCACCATTTACCCATCAGATTCCAATTCCCCCATCTCTTCAGCCTTAGGCAATCTGCTCTCTGGCACCATAGGTATGCCTAATCTGGACATTTTATATAAAATAATCCTATAACATCTGGTCTTTTTGACTATTTCTCTCATTAAGCATGTTTTCAACATTCATCCATGTCATAGCACATGTCAGCACTTCATTTATTTTTGTGGCTGAATAATATTTTATTATGCCCATTTTGTTTATCCATTCACGAATTGATGGTAATTTTTATTATTTCTACCTTTTGGATACCAGAAAAAATGCTGCTATGAATATTCTTACATAAATTTTTGTGTAGACATACGTTTTTATTTCACTTTGATATATACCTAGATGTAAAATTGCTGAGTCATGTGGTAACTTCACGTTTAACCTTTTTTAAAAACTGTTTTCCAAAGTGGAGGCACCATTTTGTATTTCTACCAGCAGTGTATGAGGGCTCCAGTTTCTCCACATCATCACCAATGTTTGTTATTATCTGTCTTTTTTATTATGCAGAACCTTGACTAATACACCATTTTAATGGGTCTGAAATGGTATCTCGTTTTGGTTTCTATTTGCATTTCTCTGATGGTTAATGCTAGGCTTTTCTTGAAGTGCACCTTAACATATTTATTACAGTTTTTCAATTCAATGTTAAAATACTTAAATCAGTAAGATAGAAATAAGAGAGTACATGTATACACTAAGCTGATATAAATGTGCATGCATGTGTGTATACATGCGTATTGGGACATGTTTATACTGCATGTGTGTCTTACAAGTATGTATACATGTGCATGTAATTGTGTATATCTCAGAACTATTGAAAGCATGGGATCTTGGGTTAAATTGCTTTAGGTCAGATCCAGGCACTGCCATATAATACCTGAATGACCTGAAGCAGGATGCTTAATTCCTGTAAGTTCATTTTCCCTATCTGTAAGTGGGAACAATAGAAGTAGCATACATAACTTGCTTCTCATAGTGCTTGCTAAGTTGTTTGTTTATAACTATTAGCTAAGTACTTCTACATTCATTGACTCTTTAACAATGAGGAGGTGTTTCCTGTACTGTGCAATTAAAAACATCAATGAATTGTACATTTTATAATTGTACATATTATTTGTTTCTAAACATTTCCAGTCAATGTTTTCATTTAGGCTTTAATAGATTTATTGTCAGAGATCAGTGTCCCACCATAACTAATTGGTCACCCTATTCTTTGGATTAGTCAAAAATTCTCCATACAAAAAAAAATAAGAAACTGATAATCTTATTGCAAAAGAGCATCATCAGTTTTCACAGCAAAATGCCTCTCATTTTGATACAGCTCCAAGAGAGGTCTCAAACCCAACCAAAATCAGAAGAGGGAGCCACCCGGAGCCTGGAACAGTGTGTGTCCTTGAAGGACAGCAAAACTCTCCTTCCTTTCTTCTCCACAGCCTCCCGATTTAGCCCTTGCATTCCCCACTCGTCAAACCTGGGGAGCAGTAGAAATAAGCAGCACAAATTGGCAGATAATGCACCTTATTTCCATGTAGAAGCAGGTGCATTTTCCTCCAGATAAGTGGTGCAGTGACACTGATCCGCTCTGACAGGCCAGCTGATCTAAAATAACTCAGCACACATCACCACTAGCGGGGGAATCTTCTCCCAAGAGCTTATTCCGAAACTCTTCAATCCCCCGGGTGATAATTAAAATTTACTAGATAATATTTGCAAAGCTCAATGGCCCTAGTTACAGCAATTATCAGTTACTAAACGTTAGTGCCAGAGATGTCACCTGATGATTGGCTTTTTTATCCAAGAGGATTTTCCCTCTTCCCCATCCTCTTATTCTTTTCCTCCAATTCTTCAAGAAACTGAATGAACTAAATGTCTCAATTGGCTGAAGGTGGAGAACTGGGGAAATTCACCATCCTACACTTAAAATATTCTTTTCTCATTGAACCACTAGTTGCTGAGTTTTAAACACAGCACCTGATCCCACCATAAAAGTAAGGGGCTAAATTGGAGGACCACCTTTGAGCCATGATCCAGTAAAAAAGGTACCCCTCACTCATCCATTTGCCTCATGAGTACATCAGTTTACCCAGGTACAAAAAGGGCCTAGCCAAGACCTGCTAATCTTATTCTGTTATTGCTAATGATTGCTCTTGAAATGGGAGGTGATATTTCTATACAAAGGAGATTCAATCAATTTATTGAATTGGCCACCAAATCAGCCATAGGCAAAGGACCCAACCACCTGTGTCCTGCTCTGACCCGGTTTTCTGCAGACCACATGGGGAGCTGATTGCTGCAATGACATACAGATATATTTGCTGTGTTAAATTGTGTTCGTAATGCACTTGATGGCCTTCATTTTATTTTATTTATTTATTTATTTTTTGAGATGGATTCTTGCTGTTGTCACCCAAGTTGGAATGCAGTGGCACGATCTCAGCTCACTGCAAACTCCGCCTCCCAGATTCAAGCGATTCTCCTGCCTCAGCCTCCAAGTAGCTGGGATTACAGGTGAGCACCACCACACCCGGCTAATTTTTGTATTTTTAGTAGAGACAGGGTTTCACCATGTTGGCCAGGCTGGTCTCGAACTCCTGACCTCAACTGATCCACCCTCCTCAGCCTCCCAAAGTGCTAGGATTACAGGCATGAGCCACCTCGCCTGGCCTAATGGCCTTCATTAAGCAGATAATCTGTGGCCAGATTCTCTTTAAATCAATGACCTTAAAATTAATGATCAAATTTCTTTAAGTTCTAATTCAGGAAATACATCATATCCATGGGCAGGCGTAGCTGAAGTCTATTCTGGGACAGGGGCAACTTTTGCTCCTTGTTCATACACCAGTGACAAACTTTTGCCAAGACACAATGATCCCAGTTATTAATTTATTTCCAGAGGAACATTTTTTTCAGAGTTCTTTTCATGACGGAGAGCAACTAATATTTATAGAATATCTTCTATTTGCCAGATATTAATGATTGCCACTTTTAAAAAAAGACATCTTTCTTAGCATTGGCTGAACTATAATGTTCATTGTCCTTAACCTTTTTAAATCCGTCTCCTTTCAGAAGCACAGGGAAAGATGACTGTCCATTTTTTTATAATCAGGGATATATGCAGCAGCAACATGAAGCAGTGGAAGAAAGACCAGACTTTATGACAGAAGACCAGGAGGTGATTTGAAAACTCTACCCGCTTCCATCTCTGTGGCCTGCACCAAAGTATTTAACATTCTGAGCTTCTATTTACCTCACTGGGTCAAGAAGAAACAAGACGTGTGAAGGAGCTTAGAAAGATATGACATTCTATGCAAACATAAAAAAAAGACAGGACTTGGTCAGGTGCGGTGGCTCACACCTGTAATCCCAGCACTTTGGGAGGCCGAGGCGGGCAGATAGCCTGAGCTCAGGAGTTCGAGACCATCTTGGGCAACATGGTGAAAGCCCATCTCTACTAAAATACAAAAAATTAGCCAGGCTGGTAGAGTGCAACTGTAGTCCCAGCTACACAGGAGGCTGAGGCACGAGAATCACTTGAACCCCGGAGGCAGAGTTTGCAGTGAGCCGAGATCACACCACTGCACTCCAGCTTGGGCTACAGAGTGAGACTCCATCTCAAGAAAAAAAAAAAAAAAAAAAAACAGACAGGGCTTTTACTCCAAACATGAGGTCAGTAGAAGTGACCTTCACAAACACTCATAATGCTCACTGAGATCAAATTGAAGTGTCGCCAAGTTAAAAAGTTACAGCTGGTGATATCCTAGTATATGATTATCATCAATAGTTTAAATAATTTCTGTTCCTGATCCATAAGGTTTTCTTCAGACCCAAGCAGGTTAAAGCCAACTCATAACAACAATTAATACACTAGATCATTCAATTTCTTTTACTTCTCATTTTCTCACTTTACTTGTATATACTGAACAATATCATACAGGAACAAACTTACATTCTTCTCCTTAAGCCTCTTCTGTATTTCTTATAAGATTTCATTCTTTTTTTTTTTTTTTTTTGACACAGTATCACTCTGTCACTGAGGCTGGAGTGCAGTGGCACGATCATAGCTCAATGGAGCCTCGAACTCCTGGGCTCAAGTGAGCTTCCTGCCTCAGCTTCCTGAGTAGCTGGGACTACATGCCTGTGCTACCACGCCTGGCTAATTTTTAAAAAATCTTTTTGTAGAGACGGAGTGTTGCTATATTGCCTGGCTTTGTCTCAAACACCAAGCCTCAAGTGATCTCCCTGCCTCAGCGTCCCGAAATGCTGAGATCGAAGCCACCATCCCTGACCTTCCTATAAAATTTCAAAAGAATGAAATTTATCTAGTACATTCTAGAAAAGTCTTGTGGTCAGACTTAACTGATCTTCCACCAGGTTAAAATAATTTTTGTGAGTATGTCTGATAAGCTATAAGTATGTCCAATAAACCAAAGAGTGAAAAAAATTTTATAAAGAAGCAAATTCATCTGAATTGTCAATAGCTCTTTCTCTGGACTAAATTGATGATGAAGCATTTGCATGAGTACTATCCTCAACCACAAAGTATTTACTAGTTGTCAAACATTTGCTGGTAACTTCTTGGTACTGATCTACAAATCATTTCAAATACATGGAGACTCTTACTTAGCCAGGTAGTAGTGTAAGGAAGAGCAGTCTAAGCAAAGGCAGCAGCACAAGACCTTGAGTGGGATAAATCATGGCTGGAATGTAGGTGAAATGTGGGCAGGGCAGGTGGGAAGTTAGCTCATAAAGGGCTTCACAACCTCAGCCTCTTGGTCAAGGTCCTAGGAAGAAACAGAAATCACTCAAATGGTTTCATAAAGATACTTTAATAAAAGTGATACTTACACATGAGTAGGCAGTATTTAGGGGGCAAACAAGGGTTGGAACCCAGGCACCTAGAGAATCACAACATCAGGGAGCTGTCATCACCTCCTACCCTCGCCCCTAGGAGGAAGGAGAGGGGAATAGGGCTATTAGAGTACAGTGATAGCAGGACCTGTAGAGGGAAGGCTGCCCACCTTGCTGGCAGAGAAGCAACACAGAAACAGAGAGGCAGCAAGACAGAAACACCTCTCAACTCTCTCCTTCCACCCTGCCAGTGTCTCCCGGCCAGTGCCTTTCTTTGAACATAGAGCAGAGCAGAGAAAGGAAGGGGAGGAAGATTGGTGAGCAGAAAATAACTAGTATATTCTATTTTGTATTTTATCCTAAGAAAAATAAGAAGCCTTTGAAAGATTTTAATCACAGGAGTTAAGTGGTGAAATTGAGCAGCTAGGGCTTTTTTGTTACAGATTTTATGAGACCACAGCATTTAAAGACACGTATTTTTCCATATTGGCATTCATTCACTTGGTTTAAAAAAAAATGTGAGATGCTTCTGGTCTGTTTCAAGTTTAAAAATGAATGGAAAATGAATATCAAGACTGAAGACAAATTTGGATACTCCAGTAATAAATATAAATCATGCTATGAAAGTTCGTAGGTGATTCATAGTGCCTAGTTAGAGAATAGCAATGAATTCTGTCGATGATCATGTGTGGAAAATTGGGGGTTTCTTTTACGTTGTCTTTTAGAATGAGTTAGTTTTGCAAATTTTCATCAAAGGATTTGTTAAAGTTCAGATGTTTCCTGTTTTTGACAATGAAAGTTATTCTTTTTTTCCTTTTTTTCTGTGTTGGGTGGTGTTTCTAACATTTGTTGGAAGGAAAAAAGCCACTTAGGTTCTATGGAGATAGGTTGATTTCCTGCTAGAGTTCATTTTTATGCCCATGTTTACCTAAAATTGAGATCTGGGAGCATTTTGAGAGAAATTCTAGACCTTTTAGTAAAAAAAAAAAAAAAAAAAGAGAGAGAGAGAACATGTAAATATATAAGGTGCATATTTGTACAGTGAAAGAGCTATGAAGAATTCGGTTTTCTAAATCAGTGATTCTACTACTTTGCTGCATGTCGTATATAATCTAGGATATTTTTAACACTGTTAATTCCCAAGGCACCCTAAAAACCAACTGAAACAAAATCTGAGTAAAACCCAGTGTATTAGTCCATTTTCAAGCTGCTGTTAAAGACATACCCGAGACTGGGTAATTAATAAAGAAGAGGTTTAATGGACTCACAGTTACATATGCCTGGGGAGGCCTCAAAATCATGGTGGAAGGCAAGGAGGAGCAAAGTCACATCTTAAGATGGATAGTGGCAGGCAAGAACTTGTGTAGGGGAACTCCCCCTTGTAAAACCATCAGATTTCATGAGACTTACTCACTATCATGAGAAAAGCATGAGAAAGACCTGCCCCCATGATTCAGTTACTTCCCACCAGGTGCCTCCCACAACATGTGGGAATTGTGGGAGCTGAACTTCAAGATGAGATTTGGGTGAGGACACAGCCAAACCATATCACCCAGAGATTTTTTTAAATTATTCTAACATGCAGTCATGTTTGGTGATCAAGAAAGATATAATTCAAGCCTTAAACTGTATTTATTTTAAAGTTCCAGACATTTAAAATCCTGGTGATGCACGCACATGTTTATCATAGCACTATTCATAATAGCAAAGACATGGCATCAACCTAGGTGCCCATCAGTGGTGGTATGTATACACCATGGAATACTTGCAGCCGTAAGAAAGAGTGAAATTATGTCCTTTGCAGTAATGTGGCTACAGTTGGTGGCCATTATCTTAATCTTGGTTAAATTTAACACAGAAACAGAAAACCAAATGCTGCATGTTCTCACTTATAAATGGGAGCTAAATATTAGGTATAGATGGACATACAGATTGGAACAATAGACACTGGGGACTCCAAAAGCTGGGAGAAAGGGAGGGAAACAAGAGTTGAAAAACTACCTATTGGGTATTATGTTCACTACCTGGGTGATGGGTCCAATAGAAACCTAAACCTCAGCACCAAGCAACAAACCTGCACATATACCCCCTGATTCTAAAGATAAATAAAAATAAAATAAAATGCTAGTGATGTCAGCCTAACAAGTTTCCAGATCCCTCCACCTACAGTCTACTACTCTTAATATTCAGTTTCAAATTTAAATGCATAGAGGTGGTTGAGTTGACCTCAATGTGTTGCCTCCACATTGTGCAATGCCTCTGTGTGCATCTTTAGTAATAGGCTTTTATAAATAGCATATAATTTAAAAAATGCCTGATTTTAAATGTGTTAAAATTTTATTTTATTATTATATGTTGGGAGAGTTCAAGAAATATAATGATCATTATTATTTACATGCCATAGAAAAATCACTGGTCTGTACTTTAGTTCAGAGGTAATTACAGTCTCTTTCAGTGATGGCTGCAATGAAATGTCAATCACTGTCAATAAACACTATACTGAAATCAACCCAATCCTGCACTTCAACATGGTTTTTACCTTCAGACTTCTTTCTGTCATCAAATACTCACCTGTGTCCTGTGTTTTTGAAAGAGGATTTGTGTGAGATGTGCCCTGACTCATTCTGAAGCATTTATCTGATTTGAGTTCTAGCTCAGTCTTTACTATACTGCTCTCTCTCTGTTTTGGCTAACCAAGGACAAAATATTTAATCATACTCAACTTGGAATAAAAGTCAGTCTCTGGAAATTTCATGCTTACCCTCGTATCCTCATCCTTTTACCCCACAGTAGACATGCACCATCATTATGTGTTCTGCGTAAACTTCTCCTGAGCCTTTCTTCTCTACAATTTGTGCTGCTGCAACATTACGATTTTCATTGAAAAACTATGGTGTGGACTGAGCATAAGCAACCACTTTCACCCCAGTCTAAAATCCTTAGAAATGAAACAAACTGTTTTAAAAGATTTTATAATGTTACTGGAAAATAAAAAACATTGTCTCTGATAAATGCAAAAGTTTGATGAATTTCTGAAGAATAGAAAGCTGATAGGAATGAAATAGGAACCGAAGGCTACATCAAATTGTAATGAAAATATACAAAGTAAAGAAATGGTACTGAAATCAGAGTGGTTTGGGGCAGGGGTCCCCAACCCATGGACTGCGGACTGGTACAGGTCCCCGGCCTGTTAGGCACTGGGCCGCACAGCAACGCTGCATCTGTATTTACAGCTGCTCCCCGTCGCTGGCATTACTGCCTGAGCTCTGCCTCCCGTCAGATCATCAGTGTTATTAGATTCTCACAGGAGCGGGAACATTATTGTGAACTGTGCATGCAAGGGATCTAGGTGGCACTCCTTATGAGAACCTAATGCCTGATGATCTGAGGTGGAACAGTTTCATCCCAAAACTATCTAATCCCCAACCCGCCCCCTCCGCCACCAGCACCCTGGTCTGTGGAAAAATTGCCTTCCACGAAACTGGGGGACCGCTGTTTTAGGGGAATATTCAAAGCCAAAGGATACAGGTAATGATTATGAGTCCTTAGGTAGTTATCAACTGGAGCTATTACTTTCTTTGTACAAATGTTTTGAGAGGACAAAGTAACTAAGTTTCCTCCCAGATGTGTCAGTGAATGGAGCAATAAAGCCAGAGAATTCCGGATATATAAAGATCCAGTGAGAGATGGAGAGGGTACCTTCAAAATTGCAAAGCAGGCTGCAGCATACTATATTCCACAGTATTTCTATCTCTCCAAAGACCAGGTTCTGCAATCACAACATGCAACCACAAACAGGTAATAGTGCTGTGATAAACATGTGCATGCATCAACAGCATTTCAACTGTCTGGAACTTTAAAATAAATATGGTTTAAAGCTTGAATTATATCTAAGAATCAACAAATAGCTGAGGAAAACCAAAACCACAAAAGAAAGAACCCTCATTCAAAAAGTACAAAACTAATGTGAAAAAATATTTAATGGAGCAAGTAGACTAAATTCTAATGAAATTATGTGAATATGTTTATCATATGTATAAAAGCATTTTATGACAAAATATGAAGATTTTGGAAATAAAAATACTATACATTCAAAAGGTGAGTTGAATGACAAAATGAACTAGGCCGAAGAGTAAATTAATGAGCTAGATGATCATGCAAATAATTTCACAGAACAGTGTGAAAGGAAAAAAAAAAATGGAAAGTACAATGAAATAAATAGTTGCAGAGAATAGATCCAGTATACCCAAAATCCATTTAATAGGAGCATCAGGAAAAGGAAACCTAGAGAATAGAGAAAAACACATAATCAATGAAATAGAAAATGTTTACAGAGCAGAAGAAATATATTGAAAAGACCCAAACTTACCAACCTGGAGAATGAGTAAAATGTCATAGCTAAATATACCAAGGTGTGATTCTTCTACAAGCAAAGACTAAAAAGAATACCACTCCTAAAATATTCTAGAAGGAAATCACTTTCGTAGCTTCCCTACAAAACAGAAAGAAGCATTTTCACATCAGGCTTCTCCTTGACAACACTGCATACTGTGAGATAGTAAAACAAAACTGTCAAATGTCTAAGAAAAAACTCCCTCTGAAAGATATATGATTTCTGCATATTTGAAAAGTTACAAGTAACCTCAATTTTCTTCAAGATGTTAATATTAAGTGATGGTGAATCAATATTATGGAATATTACTCTATGGCTTGATAACAGCACAGCAATAAGCATTTGGGGCAGCTTCTCTCAAGATGATTGCCACTTCTAAAAGCAGTGGCTGTAAGGTGGAGAAGGCAAGCACAGCTTCCAATAGACTCATACGTCTGAGCCCAAAATGAAGCTCAGGTCCTGCCTAGGCAGAGGGTCCTTGTAAAAACTCATGCCTTTGGGAGGTTCTGAGGGTAACATTGAACCAGAAACAGACCAGGCCAAACAGGAAACAAAGTCTAGGTTCAAATAATTTTAAACCCTTTGGGATTTAGATGACCTGAGATTCTTAGCGTCCCTAGAATAACTGCCAGTCAGAAATAAAGTGAAACCTCATTAGAGGAAGAAAACATCATCCTGAGCCCCAAATGATTTCTGAGGTTTTTCATATGCAAGCTTCAGCATCCTGATTAAACAAAAATAGGGTATTCTGGAGACATAAATCAATCAACCAATCAATAATAAATAAGCAAATTTAAAGAACAACAACCAGACATACAAAAAGAAGTAACTAAAATCAAAGGAAAAAAAATCAGGAAATAAAACAGACACATAGGGTAGTCAGACAATGGAGTTATAAAACACGCACTTGAAAATAGCTATCATTAATCTGTCAAAAAAAATAGAGGACAAAAATACAAATTAGAAAATTTCATTTAAAAAAATAGATAACCTGAATCATTTCATATATATTTAAGAAATGGCCAGGCACGGTGGCTAACGCCTGTAATCCCAACACTTTGGGAGGCCTAGAAGGGCAGATCACCTGAGGTCGGGAGTTCGAAACCAGCCTGACCAACATGGAGAAACCCTGTCTCTACTAAAAATACAAAAAATTATCCAGGTGTCTTAGTGCATCCTGTACTTCCAGTTACTTGGGAAGCTGAGGTAGGAGAATCACTTGAACCCAGGAGGCGGAGGTTGGGGTGAGCCGAGATTGCGCCATTGCACTCCAGCCTGGGCAACAAGAGCGAAACTCAGTCTCCTCAAAAAAAAAAAAAAAAAAAAAAAGAGAGAGAGAAATAAATTTATGGGTAAAATTCTCCCAAATCTCTCAATATAAAAGACTCTAGGCTCCTTTAATATCTCACAGTTCTCTAGGGCAGAATTTGAGGTACAGTGGGCTAGATTCTCTGCTCAGGATCTGGCTAGTCTAAAATAAGGTATTAGCCAGGGTGCGTTCTCATTGGGAGCTCTGGATCATCTCCAAATTCTCATGGTTGTGGCAAATTCAGTTCCTTGTGGTTGTAGGCCTGAGGTGCCCATTTCCTGGCTGGCTCTTAACCAGTGGTTAATTTCAGCGTCCAGAGACCACTCACGTTGTTTTCCTCTTGGCCCTCTCCATCTTCACAGTCAGCAACAACAACAAAAAGCCCTTGCATATATTCCTTCTTGTTGTTTAAATCTCTTTCACCAAGAAGAGCCCAGTTTCCATTAAGGTCACACTGGATTAGCCCTACCAAGAATCATCTGTCTACCTCCAAGTCAGATAATTTAAACTCTTAATTACATCTGCAATTCCCTTCACAGCCCCAACTAGATTTGTCTTTGATGGACTAACTGGAAGAAGGTCAGTGTACACCAGGGGTAGGAATCTTAGGGGCCATTATAGATCTCTGCCTACCCCACCCATTATCATTCTTTTCTAAGTATTATATGTTTATTTCTTCAACACAATGGTTATTTACTACTTTTTACTTAGCTTACAAATAAAGATTGGTTTCCATTTTGTTTTCCAACTTTACTACATTATGTAAAATAATCTGAATAATATCAATGATTTTAGATTGGTTGTACATTCACTTACGGCTTAACAGTCAAATTTTATAAAATTTCCCAAGATTGTACATTTTCTGTTTACGAATTATGGAGTTAGATGACACATATGCACAAAATATATGTGCAATAATATAGGTTTAAGATAGCTTAAACCTTTGATACAGTTTAAACCTCAAATTGTTCAAGTATTTGATATCTATTTTTGTCTGTTTCTGTAATCTGTTTTTAAGAAGGATGTGTTTGATATAGCTATTTTTCTCTAGAGTACTGTCGGTTATTTTAATTATACTTCTAGGCTTTATTTTTGAGGGCACAGAATTTACTATCAACGTGATTTCTTTTATCAATATACAAAGGGTTTTTTTCGCTCTTAATACATTGTTTACCTTAGTTATATATTATCAGATATTATGATTCCCACACCAATATATTTTTATTCTCTCTTTTAGCCACAAATATTCCTTTTGTCTTGGTTTTAAGCATGTTTCCTGAGACACGTATTGTTGAATTGTATAATTTATGCAATCTGAGATTTTTTACATTTTCCACATCTATTTATTATTCGTTCCTTCAGTTTTATTCTCTTTCCCACCCCAATTCTTAATGCCCATTGGATAGACTGAGTTTCCTTTGGCTTGTGTAAAAATTATGCGTTCTGTTTTTGTTCTCATGTTTGCTCCCTGTAGACTAAGACTCAAACTCATATTTACTTTTCTAATTGATTTATTACATCAATATTCATATCACTTTCATAAGACAGGAAGTTCAACATGCTTATGTACTCCTTTGTCTGCTAACCTCGCCTTCTCAATGAGGTCTCCCTTGGCCAATTTGTATAAAATTGTAGTGTGCACCTCCCTATATTCCCTATTCTCTATCCTTGATTTATTATTCCCCAAAAACATTTATTAATTTTTAATTTGCCAATTTTTTAATTCTGTTTCCCTCTTAAAGGAACACAAGTTTCATGAAGGTGGGTAGTTTTTTTTTTTTTCTTTAACTTTTATCTTAGGTTCAGGGACACATGTACAGGTTTGTTATATAGGTAAACTCACAACACGGGAGTTTGTTGTGCAGATTATTTCATTGGCCAGGTACTAAGCTTCGTACCCAATAGTTATTTTTTTTTTATCTGGTTCCTCCTCTCACCCTCTACCATAAATAGGCCCCAGTGTCTGTTTTTCCCCTCTTTGTGTCCGTGGGTTCTCATCATTCAGGCCCCACTTATAAGTGAGAGCATGCAGTATTTGTGTTTTTGTTCCAGCATCAGTTTGCTAAGAATAAGGGCCTCCAGCTCCATCAATGTTCTGGCAAATGACAAGAACTCATTCTTTTTTATGGCTGAATAGTATTTCATGGTGTAAATGTACCACATTTTCTTTATCCAATCTGCCATTGATGGGCATGTAGGTTGATTCCATGTCTTTGCTATTGTGAATAGTGCCACAGTGAATATATGTTTGCATATGTCTTCATGATAGAATGATTTATATTCCTTTGGGCATATATCCAGTAATGGGATTGCTGGGTCAAGTGGTAGTTCTATTTTTAGCTCTTTGAGGAATCACCACATTGCTTTCCACAATGGTTGAAATAATTTACACACGAAAGTGGGTAGTTTTGCCTGACATGTAGGAGATAATAAATATTTGTAGAATGAAGAAACAAATCAGATCTCTAATCTCAATTTGATCTGAAACTAGCTGTGTGACCTCAGATGAGTCATCTGATCACTCTGGGCCTCAGTATATTCATCTGTAAAAATGAGAAAATAAGTTGAGATTTGTGCTATTTACTTTGTACTGTGCATATATAAATTACCTGGTGGTATTTTTGAAATGCATGTTATAATTCAGTTGGTCTGGTGTGTGCTGCCTGAGCCTCTCCATTTCTAACACCTTCCTAAATGATGCCAATGTTGAGCATCGGTGAACTGCTCTTTGAGTTGCAAGGGATTAATCTTTAAGGTTTCTTTTCTCTTTTTAACTCTACAGAAGAGACTGGCAAACCACAGCTTGTCATCTGTTTTTGTAAACAAAGTTTTATTGTAACACAGCCATGCTCATTCGTTAACATTTTATGTATGTTATGTTGTTTTTACATTACAACAATAAAAATTAATTGCAGTACAGACCATGTATGATTTTAAAGTTGAAAATATTGGCTATTTATCCCTTTACAGAAAAAAATGGTTTGCTTTAGTATCAATTGCCTCTGTATCAATTGCCTCTGGCAAATATTTTGGAATTTTAGTGTATTAACTATGGTTCATTATTCTAGTTTTTAGTTTTTTCTTAGTTGCTTTATTTTGCCTCATTTGCAGCTTAAATATTCTCTAAGACATAAATCATGCCATTTGCTTATTTTATGTCTCCATGAGCACATGGTTGGAGAAATCTAAAACTGAAAAATGACCTTAGAAACTAGTTAGTCTGAATTTGCATTTAAGAGGCAGGGCCTGTGGTGGGGTGGAGTAATTGTTCAATGTCACCTAAGAGCTAAGACAGGCAGAGGGGAACTCAGGTCTCACATGCTTTGTGTTATACAGGCTCCTTGCCTTTATTTCTAGGATTTAAATGAGACATATTTTGATTGTGCTTATGGCAGTGGTCCAGCTATGAGCATTGGCAATCATTTATCCAAGGGCTCAAAGAGGACTGAGGTGAAGGGGCTTGCCTTGGTTTAAGGATCTTCTTTAAAAATAATTCAGCCTAAGAAGGAAAAGTGTTGGGCCAAGGTCAACAAACAAAGTCTATAGGGAAAAGAAGAGGGAGGGAGATCAAGGGTGTACCAGCCAGATCCCCCTTGAAGACCAAGATACTCATTCCCCCAGTTTCACAGAGTTTGCTACAGACCACTCCCATCTGAATCCTTTGGGACTTGCCTTCAGTTGAAAACCACCTCTCTTAAGTTTATGTCTCCTACCTGAGACAATCCACATCTCATAACTGCATGATGAGGGAGTACAAATTCTAGCTCCTTGCTTCAATGGCAAACAACTCTGAGGAGCCAGGCCAGCTCCAGATCTCCCCAATGCAATCGAAAAAGGCCTCTGTTACAACTTCATCACAATTAATCTGCTTCCTCCTCCAACCCCTGCTGCCTCACTCCCCCACAGATTATTCTTCCTCTCCCTCTACCTTATCAGCTTCTTTATGTCCCCTCACACAATCATCAGTCTTTTAAAAAAAATAACTTTTTTTTTTTTTATAGAGACAGGAATTTCACTATGTTGCCCAGACCGGTCTTGAATTCCTGGGCTCAAGTGATCCTCCTACCTTATAGGCATGAGCCATCATACCCTTCCTTCCTTTGTCTCTCTCTTCCTTTTTTCTTTCTTTCTTTCTCTTTCTTTCTTTCTCTTTTTCGTTGTTGTTTTCAATTGTTGGTCTTGAATGTACTCTCAGTACATATCCTGCATACAAATCTCCTTCTGAGTCTGTCTCAGGAGACCCTGAACCAGGGCATTAACAATTACCCAGACCAGCATCTGAAACAGTCACTGAGCATTCTTGACCACAGCTTGGAAGAGGTGGGTGGCAGTGATGAGGAAATAGAAACACAAAGATCAGTTTCATTGAAGTTATCGTGGCATTGAATTTGCTTTAAGAAGGAACCAACTGGATTAACAGTGTTGGTGCTGGGCCTGTGAGCACTAACTTGAGACGCTGTGGCATTATAGGTGCCAGGGTCAGTGCCAACATCACTGTGGCACCAATGTCCTTAGTGTTTGGCATCAGGGACTAGCTCAGGAGTTGGTAGCCTCGCCTGACAGATACCACCACAGTGAGCAGAAGGGGAGGAGGAGAACCTCAGATGTGGGGGCCAAGAGGACTATGTTCAAAAATACAGGAGGCATCCCTTGAGGTTTCGAGAAACAGTTGGCCAGGTGGGGGAAAAAGGAGGGTATAGTTCCTGCAGTTTTGCCAGAGAAATATGATTTTGGTGAGAGCATGACCTTATTTATACTCCTTGGATGGTGTGGCCTGGGGAGACACTGGCTAACACTCATGGTTTCTTTCACTATTAAATTCTATTCCCAGCAATTTCAGAGCAAATAATTTCACATAACACTGTCTGCTTTCTTTGATCCATGTGAGGGGAAGGATGAATCGTCAGCTCCCCTGCCCCATCAGTCCTGCCATTGCCCAAGGCACAATCAATTTTAATATGCAGGGGAAATAGACCACACAGGATCTATGGCCTCCCTACAGGGACCTGACATATTAACTGTTGTAATGCCTCTAATTCAGTCTATTTACTTTGGGATCGGCCTGTCTCTCCTGCTCATCATTTTAACCCATACATTGGCAGTGTCATGACTACTTAGAGTGATGGGGGTGATCCTCGGGGCATAGTCATGAGAAGCCTGATGAGCCCATGTTGCTTCAGGGTAATGATGACTAATTTCATTCACTTCCCTCACCCCTGCCTTGAAATCTTCTCTTGCCTTTTAAATTGACGTCTGTCAGAGGGAATGAGACTCTGCTGGTGTCAGGCTTGATGTATTGGCCCTGTGGAGGCATTCCTTCTTGTCGTGAGTGGAGACAAGTGAGAGGGGTAAAGAATAGCAGAGGAGGGGAGGTGGGGGATGGAGAGAAGGAGGACCCTCTGGGAAGATGAAAAATGAGCAGAGAAAGAAGGAAAACATCTTCAACCAAATGCCACTATTTTGATTCGAACACTTTAACAGCTTTTCCGATGTAGAAGCAGGCTATTGAGATGATTTCACCCCATGTATGTCTTAAAGAAAAAACTATTCAATGATGCTTGTTAAAGTATGGTAAGGCAGACTTTATTTAGATGATTAGCATAGGTGTAGAGACCTCTACAGTGACATTTTGCAGTGGGAGAGAGAGACTGGGCTCTACTTCAAATACAGCATACGCAAATGGGAATTGACATCCAAGGAGCAGCATGGCATCAGTGGATGGAAAATTGCTAAGAGAATCCTCAAGGATAAGGGGGAATCCTGGCTGAAGCTACTTAATGACATTCTTGCTGAAGACAGGCCAGGGTGCTCAGACATCACTTGGGGGATGGTGGATGATGAGAAACCTGATCAGATATCAAGGATAATCAGAGATCAAGGATGATCAGCTATTGGCAGGGAGTGTATTTGCTAAACTAACCTAGCAGGGTTCTTTGCTAAGATTTCATGTTATGAGGAAGTGAACTAATGGGCCTAGGAGAAAGTTTAGGAGGCTGAATGAAGTTTGGTCTGGCACAGAACCTCCGTTATATGTCACAACCTTAAATAGCCCAGGTTGGTGTATTTTTCAGAAAATATCTCTATGAGAAACAAGTAAATAGGTGCTATGTCATGGCAGGTGATTCCATTAGCCAGCCCTTCCCTTTTAAACTGCTCAGAACCTACAATAGCATGCTGACCCTTGATGCATTTTTAATTAGCTATAATGAAAAATGATCTTTCAAAGCATCAATTTTGAGCTGATAGTGACGTAGCTGATTATCTTTAGATGAGTAAATGGGCATGTTTGAGGTCAGGCTTGAAAACAGAAAAAGAAAACATAAAAATGCTTTTAAGTTGTGACTCAATTTTTCAGTATTTCTTTTACTGGAGAGAATTTTTTTATTTTGATTTTGCTTTTGTTTAAACTACAAACACTTGTAGGTTTCAGGAGATGAGCAGATTCAAGCTCTAGCTTGGCAGAGTCTCCTGATAACATGGTAGAATACCATTAATTAATGTCAAAAGGTAACAACGGTTATGTTCTTTAAAGTGAATGGTCAGATATTAAAATTTTCTTACCACATAGATAAATCTCTGTGATTCAAAAATACGTTCCATTAATTTTGATATAATGAACCTACAAAAGACAGCCATGGCTGGGAGAGCTGGTTGATATTTGGGCAAAGTTCTACTCACCTCCCAACTTGGAATAGGTTCTGGCTCAAAACTGATTCCCCGGCAAGACCAGAAATCGCCTGAGTGAGTCTGGCCCTGCTCCCAGGAATTTTGGTTGGGCAGATTCTCAGGAGGCCAAGGTGTTCCTGAGGATAACTCGGGCAGCTCCCTGCTGGCCAGGATGCATTCTGAAATCGTGATCTGGAATCATGCCCTGTCAGTCCTGGAGAAAACCCAAAGCCATAGATTGGCTTTAGAACGAGTCCAACAGCAGGGATGGCTGAGGTCAAGGGCAGGCCCTGCAAGGCCTTTTTATACTCAGAGGAAGTTCCTGCTTTCCTTCAGCCCAGAGCTTGGCCAGGGGCAGGAAAGTTTAGATAAGCTGAGATCTGTCACTGCCAGATCTGCTTAAGCTGAGGGCTTCAGTTCATGTCCCATGGCTTGTGCCTCCAGCATGCCCAAGACAATGGATAACAACAATATTCATTACCATGTACTGAACTGCTTCTCTGCCAGGCACTGGGCTGGTTTAATTACAAAACATCACTGAAGGTAAACGTGATGGTACCTTTGTTGTTGGTCTTCCCTTCTGGACTGTGAGCTCTTTGAGGAGGGGCTTAAAAAAAAAAGATCTTCTCTGCTCTAAGCAAATTGTCTGGCAATAATAATGGCTTAATAAAAATTTAATAAGCTCCAGAAGGTTACATAACTTACCCAGGTTTACACAACTAGCCAATAATAAAGTTAAGAATCAAATCTAGACCAGAAATGGTGGCTCATGCTTATAATCTCAGCACTATGGGAGGCTAAGGCAGGAGGATTGCTTGAAGTGAGAAGTTGGAGACCAGCCCTGGCAACATAGCCAGATTCTGTCTCTAAAAATAAATAAATAAATAAATTAGCTGGGCATAGTGGAACACACCTGTAGTTCCAGCTACTCAGGAGGCTGAGGTGGGAAGATTGCTTGAGCTCAGGAGTTGAAGTCTACAGTCAACTATGATTGTGCCACTACACTCCAGCCTGCACAACAGAGTAAGACTCCATCTCTTACATAAAAAAAAAAAAAAAAGAATCCAATGTAGGCCCATATGAATGCAAAGTGTAAAGCAGTCCCCTGTGTTACACTCTTATCCTGCCTCTGCCCTTTACAGGGTCTGGGTTTAGGTGTACTATCCTTAAAGTAGTAAATACCCAGAGAAAAGTGGGAAAGAGTCAGCTCACAAAGGTAGCAGCAATTCTGACAATATCACTATCTTCACTATGCCCTGAATGGAGCCAAAGAATGGTAATTTATCAAAAAGTTGTAATGCTTCTTCTTTGTACAAACACAGGCCATCAGAGTGGAAGGGAGAAGTCTGCCAGCAAAATCACTCAATTTGGATTTTTTGTTCTCTCGGGCACAGATACTCAGGTGGGTAATTTACTAATTCACTTATTTCATACTACTTTAATGAGATGATTAGAAATGGAATTGAATCATGACTATGAGTCCATGGTAATAAGGAAAATAGTATACTTTCACTCTTCAAAATTTAGAAAGCACTTCCATACATACATTTTTCCTGTATCAAAATTGTACTAGAAACTAGACAGGAAGAATGTTACTATACTTATTGCATGGGTAAAAAAAACTGAAGTCCAGAGAGACTACATGCTTTGTCTGAGGTTACATGATTAATTAAAAGATACAGTATCAAAACTCAAATTCTGACTCCAGATTACCGTTCTTGTTCACTTCACCAGTGGTCCTCAACCCCAGTTGGATATTAGAATGACTCAGAGATACTTATTCCATTGCTCTGGGATTAGGCCCAGGCAACACCATTTTAAAAACAAAGCCAGATATATGTGTAGCCAGGGCTGGGCAGCAAGTGCGCTACGTGATTCTGTCTGTTAATGAATGGCACACTTGGCCAGGCACGCACTGAGATTAACTGTTTTGTTATCCTAACAGAACCATCTCAATTATGACCTAATAGTTGCAGAATTATTGATATAAGATATTAGTTTCACAAGGACTATTGATTTTTAAAAACATCTTACAGGTACCTTGCCATTCTCTTGCATTTGCAAAACTGAAAATTTAATTATTGAGTTTATGACTATTCTCTCCATTACTAACCACACACAGAAAAATTTCCCGAGGCTAGAAACCATGTCTAATTAACCTAAGGGTTATTTATACTAAAGAAAAGAAGAGTGAAAAGCAATTTAATGAGTCCAATTATTTCCTTCAAGCCCAGGGAGGGCATTGGCAACATGCCTCCCTTGGGTACAGAGCAGATGGGCCTCCTCCCCATGCTTCTTGTAGTTGTTCCCCCAACAAACTGAGGCTTGGCTCAAGAGGGACTGATTGAATAGCTACCAATAGTTTGTTGTTGTTGTTATTTTATGCGACTTCCAAAAAGTAAAAACGATATGCAGAATTAGAATCATTGAATGCAGAGAAGAGCCAAGATCCGTGAAGATTATACTGTATTAATAGTTGATCACAGTGTTAGTTAATTGTATTTGTCAAGATAACTAACCTCTGCTGCAGAAGCAACAAGACAAAATCCTCAATGGTTTACTACTTCTCAGGCACACTATATGACCCATGTTAGCTGGTGAAGAGCAGAGGGAAAGGCTCAGCTCCAGTCTCCCTGACACACAGAGGCCCTACCTTCTTGTGGCTGGCTATCCGTAACAAGTAGCTTTCTCAGTCGCCATGTTAGGGGAAGAGAAAGAGACAAAATTGTTCATGGGCTTTTCACTACTTCACTGTGCAACTGATGCACATGTATTCACATTTTCCTGACCAAGACTAGTTCCATGACCCTTTTCTTATTGCGAACACACTGGGAAATATGGGGCAATTAATATAGAACTTGGTGAGCAATACTCTCTTTGCCGCAAATGCCATATATATGACTCTTCCCAATATTTGACTTAGATTGACTCCCTAGGATACCACATAGCAGAGCTTTTCTGCCTTTTCTCATTAAGAGGAGCAAGTTCTTCCCTTTGTTTATGCCGTAGATGGGAGCCATAGAGGAGCTATTGAGAAGATATTGTTTATTTTCACAGAGAATAGGATAAGTAATGAAATACTTGTGGGAAAGGTGACTATATAGTGGTCCTGGTGCTTTTCACATCTATTTGTTCATTCATTTATTCCTTTATTAATCATAGATTATTTCCTATGATTCAAAAAATAGAATAGACTTGCATTGTATGCCTTATGCACAGTCATGCCTAAATTTGGTAGCTTCTTGAGTGCCCTTCTAATTCCACTAAAGGATTGGAATTAGAAGAGTCTTTAATTGAGCCAGGTTTTGCACAGTTGAAGAAAATCCATAACAAAGAATAAACTAGACAATTTTAAAAAGAGCATTACATTAGTTTCTCCAGAATGCTAAAGGCTGAATTCTCAGGAAGCTATCTGCTTAATGAGGTGCCCTTAGGAGAAAATAAGAGCTCCTTTTCATCGCATCTCCATTTGGCAATACTTGTTCCCAGCATCCAAATTTCTCTTCATAGAAGTCATCAGGCCAACAGAAAGCAAGCAAGCCAATTTCATAGCTTAAGGATGGTTTTTGAAATATTCTACCATTATAATGCAAAAGTTTTAGGACAGTTCCTCTTCAAAAACTCTTTATGGTTGCTTTTCCATTATGAAAATTAGGCCTAAGATATGTGTTAAGAGCAGAGGATTCCATACAAAAGAAAAATTAGAGTTGAAAAGAATGCAAATGATATTGATCAATTTTTAGAGTATTGAAGCAATATTAAAACTTTGCCTCTTTACCAATTCACATTCAAAAGTAGACAAAATCTGTATCCATTATAAATAAGCAATATTTTTTTACCTTCTGTTTCAATGTGCTAATGAATGTTATTGTTGCATGCAGTGCCTTATAGGAACCAAGTCTTGTATTACTATAATTTGTTAAAATATACAGTGAAACAATCTCACAAAGGAAAACATTTGTTTGATGAAATATTTTAAATAAATTGATCCATATCAACACTGACAATACACAAAATCTATGTAGGATATTCCATCAAGACATTTTCTTTTTAATTGAAAACATGAATATTACACTTAAAAATTCTCAAAACCATCCAGTTCTTATTGATAAATATTTAGAAGACTGGTTTTCATCCCTCGATGTACATTAAAATCACAGGGAGCTTTTAAAACATGGTGATAATGGAGCCCCAGCTAAACTACTTGAGTCAGAATCTCTGAGAGTGAGACCCAAACACTGATAGTTTTTCAGTGCTCCCGCATGATTCTAATCTGCAATCAGGGCTGGCAACCACTGAAATGGAACACTTCCTTGTCTCTCCAGCTAGCAACAATATTCAGTTCTGCAAAATCCCCATTTTTACACTGTCTACCCTTTATAAAAAGTAGATGTGTAGATACTACCTCTCCTCTATTAAAGAGTAAGTTCGTGGAGGGCAGAGCCTCTGTCTCACATTTTTATATGCTCAGTTTCTAGCAAGGCACATGGCAGGGATCATGTTGAATAAGTATTAACTCATTGAGTGGCACACTGATCATCTGAGTAAATCTAATTAGAGGGTTTTAATTTTAGAAACTCTAAGAAGCCCCTTTCAACAGAGCAGCAAAGGAAGGATGTATGAGGAAGTGAAAAGTGAAACATCAAGATTAATAATTTGGCAATTCTTGTTTGGATGACACCTAAAATCTAATTACAGGGGATTTTCCTGGCATGTTCTTGGAGGCAAAGAAATAAATGATATGGTGGATTTCTTCTAAGACATTCTGTGTGTTGAGTTCTGCTATAAGTTTGCAGTTGTCTTCAAAGCAATAGTATCAGGAGTAGAAAGGCAGTATTTAGGAGGTAGAGAAAAACCTACTTTTTTGTCCTTCGGGAACTATAATAAAAAGGTGATTAATATATAATTGTATTTGCTAAGGAAACTAAAAATAATGAATTAATTAATTAAAATGAACCAAAATAAAAAGAAGCTGCTTATTTTTTCAGTTGTCCTTCCATTTATACATCCAAGAATCTCTTCTTTCTTGTTACCAACTTTGATATTGTCAAGGCAGCTTACTTGCAACACAGCTCAACACTGATGTGTTAGTCAGTTCTGGCTGCTATAACAAAACACTTCAGACTGGGGTGGTTTAAAAACAACACAAAAGTTATTTTTCAAGTTCTGGAAACTGGGAAGTCCAAGGTCAGGGTGCCAGCATGGTTAGGTTCTGTTGAGGGCCCTTTTCCGGTTTGCAGATGGCCAACTTCTTGCTGTGTCCTCACAGGAAGAAGAGAGGACCAGGGAGCTCTGTGGGATGTCTTTTATAAGGGCACTGGTCTCATTTATGAGAGCTCCAACCTTATGACCTAATTAGCTCCCAAAGTCCCCCCTTCCTAATACCATCAATTGTGCATTAGGATTTCAACATATGAATTTTGATGGGACACAAACATTCAGTTCATTGCAACTGGTAACTCTAATCAAACAAATAGCATATTACCTGATGGATCAACTACTCAACCAAGACAGCTGTATGTGTCTGCAGAAAGTGCAATAACTCTTTCTTTCCCAGTTATGACTGGAGAATTACCAATCCTTACTGACAGCAATGGGAGGCAGCCAAATGCATAGGCAGATAGGAGCGGGTCCCTGGCAAAACCCCACCTCCAAGCCAAGACAGTTTAAAGCCTGAAAGCCAAGCTACATGTTAAATCCTCCAACCAGTTTGAGAACGCACCTTCTCGTTTGGTGTACTTTGCTCTGATTGATCTCCATCCTTTACCTATTTTACATACGCTTACCCTTTCCTAATTGGTTTTCTACACTGTCACGCTTACCTTTGAGTGGCATCTTCACTTTGACCTTTTTTGCATACTCACAAACCAATTAGCACACACTCCCTATTCTGAGCCCATAAAAAGCCCCAGGCTCAGCCATATTGAGAACTCTCCTGCCTTGCCTTCAGGAGAGGGACAACCCCATACCCCTCCCTGCTAACATCTGTTTTATCACTCAATAAAACTTCCCATCTTGCTCACTCTTTGAGCATCCTTGTGTCCACTTCTTCCTGGTCATGAAACAAGAACCCAAACCTACCAGAGCTAAGGAACAACAAGTCCTGCATCATCGCTACTTTATAAAAAAGAAAAATTGTATTTTTGCAGTGTAGTTGTTCATATACTAAGAAATCCAAGTACCAGACTCAAGATTTTTGCCATACATTTACAACTTCTATACTATTCATAACTCACTTAATATTTTTAAGACAAATCACTCACTGTCTTTACCTCAATGAATTTGAAAGAGAAACTTCAAATCATTGTCATAAATAGAAGGTATCTATAATAGGACATATATAAATATTAAAGCAAAAGGTGTTTCTCTCACATCCCACCAATAGTATGAGAACCACCACACAACAGAAAACACCATAAGTAAAATCATATTATTTGATTGCCAGTTGCACTAGGTCTACATGATGTTGCCAGAATTCATGCCATTGGAAAAATGCATGAATTTAGAAATACCTCTAAACTTTAATTAATAAAGAGTAAACTTAGATGGGTAAAGAAAGAGTGTAACCTCCGGCTATTTCCAGGCTCTTTAGGAGGTGAATAAACTTTGATAAATTATATGAAAAGGAGGACCATGCCACTGTCAAGAAGCCTCCTTGGAGGCATTTTACCAATGACCAAGCTGAATTTACAACATCCAGGCAAAGAGCTCTTAGGATATGGACCACAACGCTTTAGAATTTATTATAGTGTATAATTGTTTATTTTGTGCCCATTTTTTCTTTGTTTATTGGTTTACTAACTGTGTCTAGACCACCACTCTAAGTTCTATGGGAGTGAGGACCACAATCACTGGTGGGGGCCACATTCACTGTTGGAATCCCACTGATTAGCATATATTGATTGTCAAATTAACAACGGTTACATAAATGACTAAATATTCTCTTTCATTCTGTAGAAACCTCCCCTTCCAAAGTGACAGTACCCTTGATGGGTGTTCTACCCCAACTGTATTTCAGCTATATCTAAAATACACAGCTTTAAACTCTACTCAGTAACAACATTTCTATATACCTCTTACAGCATCCGCAAACCCACACTTTCTCCTACTCTCAAAATCCCCCATGGCCATTTTCTTCCCCACCCATGAAATCCTCACCTGCTAGCCTCACCACTCTATGGCAGCTTACCTTTCTACTTAGGCAAGCTTGTATCAGTATCTGGGGTCCTAGATCTTAGACTCTCAGGAGGCCATGCCATGGGAGGGGTGATGACTGTAAGATAAATTTTGTCATCTTACTTTATAATCCACAGCAGTGCAAAGGACAGGATTGGCTCAACTTTCTGACATCAAGGAATAAAAATGATAGAAGACCTGGCAAGTATCCTAAGTGATTTAGCAAGGAGCTTCCACTGCTGAAACAGTATCTTAAATGTTTCTTCGCCCACCCCGTTTCCATTCATCCTGTTCTGTCATCACTAGCATCACCCTAACAAATAATCTAGGGAAACTAGGGCAAGGAAAAAGCTGAGAGAGAGAGGCTGGTGGGTAGGGGGATGTGGTTAGGAACACCCTGCTATCCAATACCCATAAAAAATTTGTTTTTAATTCCCCGGCTATCACAGATAGAGGCTGCTGCTAGCATTTAAGATAAGATTAGTTGGTGTTGTGCTATCAGCACCTCCACATTTTCCCTGCAGGGATTCCTTCTGGCAGGCTGAAGCTGGAGGCATGTCTCAGGATTAACACGAGCTAATGATTATACACTAAAGCTTTGGAACTGTCGGACTAATAGGATTAAGCAATAGCAGATGCAGGTCCCCGTTCAGGTTAAAAATGCACTTTTTACATTACAAAGTCAGACAGATCCCTTTGAACATGCAATGAATATGGATGTTTTCAATTATCACAGTCTTCCAGGGCTATACGATATGGTAAATTAATCCCCTTAGAACATCGGAAACAGGACAAAATAGCCTTCTTGAAGCTGAAATCCCTCGTTTTAGATTTTCTTTCATGGGGATAAGCAGCGGTGCACCTCACATAATTAATCTTATTACAAACAGAGAAAGGGGAAATTTTAAAAAGTGTGTAAAAATTGTTTAAATATTTGGGAAACTTAGAAAAAACACTTTGAAATCAACATCTCTTAATTAATTTTCAAACGGTCAAAAATACAAACATAAGGCATGACAAGCAAATGTCTGGATGTGTTTTGGGATGGGTTTGTATTTCTCGATGCCTCAGGCTGTCAGCGCAACAAGGAGAGAAAAAAAATTAAGGTAACTTTAAAAATGAGCAGAATAATAACTACCAGTAGAAAGCACTATTTCTCAGAGATTTGAGTTGATCTGATCTCATGCTCTGGGCCCTGGAAAGGAGAATGAAAAGGGCATATTGGGATACTTATATTTTGCTGCTGCATGAAAGGGTCTCTGCCACCCAGTAGATAAAACCATCCCTCAGAATAGCTCAAAAGTAAATCTCCATTACTGCAATTAGATGGGGTTGGACTTGGACATTAGTAGGGGATGAACCTAAGAAGTTTCATGTGTTTGATTGACTTAGGGTGGGGTGGGGGAGGGGGGAAACAAGTATTTGACAGGAGGATTTTCCAGAGAAAGTTGTTTGAGATGACAGCAGGGAATGGAAGTAGTTTTGTAACAATCAGAATAAAACAGGTTTAACACCACTGGTTTGACTCTGAAAATTCTAAAGCCAAATATCTTTACATTTGGGCTGAGTGATTGGTATTTACCCTCATTAACAGATCCTAGAATCACACTGCCTAATATTGCTCCTCGCTTCACAATAGAGACAAATAAAACACATGGGAATTTCTCCAACAAAGAATCTCATTTTTTTAAAAAAATGCAAAATGAAAGAAAGAAAGCAAAAGAGTAGGTTACACCAGGTTTCTTTATTGAGTCTACACTTTGGTTTTTATTATGTCTTACATGGTTTTTGTCTAGAAAACTGCAGGAATACTTACAACCTAGGATTTGAATAAAATCTGAATGGAACTAACATTTACAACAATAGAAGAAAACCATGATCTAACTGTGGACTATTCACTCAGGTTTTAGCCTTACCAGTCAATCAAAAACACCCAGATGTCAAAGTGAAATTTAACTCCTGAAGTTTCCCTAATAATCCAGTACATTTGTATACCCTGTGAGCAGGATTTTCTATGCATATCACAAGTCTAAAGTACCTGCTCTGGAAATACTGCTTGGGTAGACTGAAATATACTACCTAAATTAAAGATGCTAGCAAGCATCCAAAAATGTTCCTATTTTTTAAACTTTTGATTGAAAATGTCACTTCTTGACAGAATGAAATGAAAACAATGGTTATTTTAAGTGGACTACTTGGTATTCCTTTTTTCCCCCCTTCTGGCAGTTGCACAATAAATTTCAGAAGATATAAAATGATTTTCAGATAAATACTGCTATCCTAGTAAAAGATATCCAGAAAGCTGTTGTGTTAAATATGTATGTCCTTCTCCTTTGTTGGAAGACAATGACAATTGATTATTTGTTCAAATGGGCTTAATCTTCCGTAATTATCATGCATATTTCAATGACATACATTAAGACAAGTGTGACTCAGTTTTATTGTACGTGGGAATCACCTGGGACTTTTGTTAAAATGAAGCTACTGAGGCAAACGTCTGGAGAGGTGCTCTAGAGTCTGCGTTTCCAACAAACTCCCAGGGAATACAAACACTGCTGGTCCAGGAGAACACACTCAGCATCAGCATGTCATTAAGACACCAAAGTCACTTCATGAATGATATGTTATAGAGTGTAGACTTGAGGAAATTAAGCAAGCCAACTCCATGCATTGCTTTTCTAACAAAGTATTACAGTTATCAACTTAGGAGTGAATTTAATGATAATCAAAACACCCTATTTCTTGGCCTTTTTCCTACATAGCAATTCCTTACCCATTCTACTAGGTTTATTTGTAATGGGTTTAGTTTTTCATCCTCTAAAACTATCTTATGATAAGTTTATCATATGAGTAGCTTCTAAGCCATCATCTTAATGAAATTATTACAAGTTCATTACAATTTTTGTTATTCCTTAAACATTCTGAAAACTGGCAATATTAATTATATAATTTTGCAGTGAAATTTATTAGAATAGTATTACATTTAGAGGCATTTTATATATTGTGTTAGTTTATCTGCAATAATCACATTAAAATTTCCCATTAACTGTGAGATTATTTTCAATGGAAAACAAACTATAATTTTGGTATCAATGCTGAGTCATGTTTCCTCTGAAATTTTTAAAGAAAATCTTATTTTTTTCCCAAATTCAGTACATTTCACAATGCTTATTGAGTACTGCGTGGCTCTGTATATATCCCTGGCACTGGGAAGGAAGAGAATAGAGAGTGCAGCACTGATACAATGACAATTACAGACATCATTTTTGCCACCCAAAAGTTCATGTAGTAGTAAAAGAAGCACACATTTGTGAGTCAATGATACTTTACAATAGCAAAGCCAAAACCAAAGTTTTATTAGAACACAGGCAAGTCAATGAACAATTGTTGATTAGCGCTGGGGAAAGGTATTGCAAAGAAAATAAAGTATGAGAAAAGTTTTGAAGGATGAATAGAAGTCTTTATGTTCTAATTTGGTTTCTGGTGGGTGGGAGGGAAGAGAAAAAGATGAATAGAAGTCCAGAGAAAAGAAAATTGAAAACATCCTGTTTACACAGATAATAAAAGACAGAAATATCTTAAACATCATTGCATCACAAGATGAGGGTGACATCAAAAGACACAGGACTCTACATTCAGCACAGCATAGAATCCCAGCTGCAGCACAGGTATTGAATAAAGAAGGAACAAAATAAATGAGGAAATTATCTGCTTCCCTAGGGAAAGCAGTATGACTAAAATGAGGTCTCTATATCCTCATTCCTTTGGCTTCTCTATGAGTCTCTGTTTAAAGCACTCATTTTGTACGATGTTTAGCTAACAATTTTTTTTTTTTTTTTTGAGACAGAGTCTCGCTCTGTCGCCCAGGCTGGAGTGCAGTGGCACGATCTCGGCTCACTGCAACCTCTGCCTCTCGGGTTCAAGCAATTCTCCTGCCTCAGCCTCCTGAGTAGCTGGGATTACAGGCGTGTACCACCATGCCCAGCTAATTTTTGTATTATTAGTAGAGACGGGGTTTCACCATGTTGGCCAGGCTGATCTCGAACTCCTCACCTCAGATGATCCACCTGCCTCGGCCTCCCAAACCTCACAAAATTTTTATACCAGTTTATGAGTTCTCCGAACCTTAAGAAGCCAGAAGATTCCCAAAACATGACAGGTTGAGAACTCTCAGGGCACACGCTTTCTATACCAACGCCTTGTGTCCATAAATAGGATGGGTGGAGGTTGAGAAGAATCATAGTCTCTTGCTCCTGCCTTAAACTTAGGGCTGTGTGGCAAATAGCAATAATAGTCATGACAGTAATTTAATCCTATGTCCAAAGGAGCTCAAAAGTGACTTTAAAAATTCATTCATCAGCCACTGACCATATTCTCAGCACATGTGTGCCGGGTGTGAAGGTGGATAAGCAGCGTGAGGGTGTATAAAGGCAAGAAAAAAAATATGTGCACTGCTTTCCAAGGAAGTACAGATTAGCTGTGAAGGTATGACAGGAATACATAAAAGAGAATACATAATAAGATTTGAAAGAGTATAATTTAGAAAGATTAATTATAATTTAGAAAGATTAAACATAAGAAATTAACCTCACAGGTGAATGTCTTTGCATACTTTGCAGTAACATCAGCACTAAGTTTAATATAAAATCAGAAACAAGTTATTATGTTTCTTACAATAGACATGCATTGGATATAATCACAATCACCAAACAGTGAAAAGAGACGTTATGTCGCAAAAAGTGTTTTAGACTCCTTGATGTAAAGGCAGGCACACGATTAGAAGAGCTACACTCAAAGACTAGAAACTCTGTAGCTGGAGTATGTCCTTCTGTCATAGCCACTTTAAATGCAAGCAGTTTTTAAACAAAGTTTTATTATTAACTAATGTGTCATATTCCATTTCCCTAATTACCATCCCATTCTACTCTCACGCTTTCTGTTGCAATCTGCTTAGGCTGTTTTCTTTGAACTATGTGCATTTTCAACATGAATTTTATGAAGCTGGAAATTACTGAGTCCTTGGTGATTTAAAACCTCTGAACCCTATCTTTTCTAGTGCCTAAATCACTCCTTAGGTGGCTGGCAGACACTTATTTCTAATCAGAGATGTTCATTAAATAAGTGATTAAAAAGCATGGTAGATGTGGCTAATTGTTGAAGGCCCAAGGACAGGACATTAAATGTATCTTCTTTGAAGATTCGGTGGATTGTTGGTAATGCATTAAATGGTGCCCTGGTGTGTTGAACTAGTTACTGGTATTAAGCTTGTAAGTAGAGTGACTCTGACTCTGGGGAGAAACTAACTCAATATTATTTTTCCACAGGGCTCAAAACCTTTACACAAAAGCCAGCCAAATGTTCCTAATTCTAGGGAACATGTTATTTTAGCCTTGGTGATGATGACTCAACACTGAGCCTTACTGCTATGTAAGATTCCAACAGAGATGACATTTGCAATCCACAGCAGCAACGTGTCCCCTGTCTGGAAGCGAACTGAGAAATAGTTCACTTCAAATGGGCCTCTAAACAGCTGTCAGGTCAGAATAACTTTAAGTCATTACCTATCTGAGCCATGTTGAGCCAGTGACTTCTAAGTGGTGAAAATCTCTGTATCATGTTACTAATCTCACTGGCCAGCAGTGGCTATGTCAACAACCAACATTCCATCTTAGTAAGCAGGCAAAAATAATACACTGCTCATTATTTGGAAATTAAGGGAGCAGTTGAGAGGTTGAGAAGCTCAGGAAGTGAAGAAGTTGAAAATAGGCCTCCTCAGAGCTTTGTCTCTAGAATGATGACAGCCTTTAAATCACAATGTGCCACAAAAGAATTCTCTCTAGCTTCTGATCTGCTAATGGTTAGCCATGCAGACCTTCCCCACAAAGACCCCTAAGCCGCCTTCCTCTAGTTACCACTCTGGAGCTTAGACCCAATTTCCTGACCAATTAGCAGCTCAAGAGTCTAAAATTAAAGAAGTAGGGAGCAGCTGTAAGTCTCTATGATTACTTATAAACCCTTCAAATCTGGACTCAAATAGCTTCCCTATCGTTTTTCTCAATTGATTAACTCTGACTGGTTTATCACTAAACCATTCATTTACTTTAACAATCCACTAAAGCCTCAGATAAAATGCGTTTCATGTCCCTTCTTGGGCCTTTAATAATTAGCTGTGTCTACCATGTCTTTTAATCTCTTATTTAATGAGTGCCTCCAATTTTTAATAATTTAAAAGGATATCAAGCCAAGTATCAATTAAAGAAAACTGTTCTAGGCAGCATAAACAATAAGTATTAAGTCTGTGGAGAAAAGCACATGGAGCCCTGTTGCTTTCTATTGCTCAAGAGCACTTGAAAACTATGGGATTATTTCAAAACATTACATTTCACTGCTTTTTATTTTACCTAGCTTGCAGGCAAAATTAAAAATAAAAAATGAGCATGAATCATTTTGTACAGATTCAAAAGAGAATCATGCATGGCAATATCCAGCCCAACTCATATTTCTGAATATATTACCACTTGCTCAGCTCATCCCCACTGCCCAAGAGCACCAGCTGGCTTCAGCTACAGTTTAACTATTTGTTTTTGATCCTTCCAATTTCTGGAGCCATCTTGAAACTCTTGATTGTTCCAAAATATCTAACTCATGGAACTGATTTATACTACCTCAAAGGACATGACCTCTACATCCATTAATTGATTTTGTTAGAGATCAATATTAGATCACTAGTATTTCCCCATTCCTGGGAGATCATTAGAATAAAGTTAGCTAGGCTGGGTGCAGTGGCTCACACCTGTAATCCTCACACTTTGCAAAGCTGAGGTAGGCAGATTGCTTGAGTCCAGGAATTTGAGACCAGCCTGGGCAACATGGCGAAAACCTGTCTCTACAAAAAGTACAAAAAATTTAGCTGGGCATTGTGGTACATACTTGTAGTTCCAGCTACTGGGGAAGCTGAGGTGGGAGGATGACCCAAGCACAGGAGGTTGAGGCTGCAGTAAGCCCAGATCACACCACTGCACTCCAGCCTGGGTGACAGAGCAAGACTGACTCAAAAATACTACTACTACTACTACTACTAATAAAGTCAGCCCAAAAGGTTGGTTGTCTTTTTAATAGAAATGAAAAGAGCCTGGGTAACACAGACCAAACTAAACTTCAGTCACCTGAAGGAGGCCTTTGATAGGCTATAAAAATGGCCACAATATTTCCCTTCCTAAGCCACAGTCTTTACAATGTAACTTTGTGGTGTTTTCCATTTTGAGGTGGAGTCTAGTTTCACACTCCTTGAATCTGAAATAGACTTGTGATTTTCTCTGGTGAATAACATGGGGTAAAAGGGATGTTGTGCTTCTTCCAAGCCGAGACCATAACACGTCACATACATGTTTGCTTGCCGTTTTGGAAACTTGCCCATCTGCCTTGTGAGAAACCTGAGCTACCCTGCTGGAGGATGAGACACTGTGTACAGGAGTTAACTGTCACAGCTAAAGGCCATCCTCAGGAGCCAACTCAGCTAACCAAGCAGCTGAATATAAACGTGTGACAGAGCTGACCCCAAAAGCAGAAGAACCACCCGGTGAAGCCCAGTCCAAACTTCTGACCCACAGATTATGAGCCAAATAATTAGTTGTTATTGTCTTAAGCATTTAAGTTTTGGGGTACTCTTATCTAGCAAAAGCTAGTTGATATAATGCCCCAGATTTTACTACTTAACCTGCTGGTGGTTTTCTATATAAACCAAGGCCCCATACTCCACAGCACCAACAAAATCAAAAAGATTTTCAAAGCTAAACTCAATTTTCCAACTTACCCTTGACTTAGAGAATCACTAGATCAGTGCCTTGAACAATTTCTCAACTACTTCCAAATGTGATTACTATATACATTTCTATGTATCATATTCACAATAATTATCCATATTACTACAAAATCTGAAATCCTAACATTTCCCACACATGGAATTTCCTCCATTAATTGACAAGTACGTGGGTTAGGTAAAAAATTTTGATTAAAAATGTCACCATCATTATCAATAATGTTAATACCCCACATGTATTCCTTTGGATATCTCAGTAGCAGTCAGAGGATGCCTCTGGAACTTTCAAAGCAGCAGCCTCTTTAGCATTATTCAGGTACACATGCAGATCATGCCATCAACGTTTTCATAAGCAATCAATTTGCAAGATAATAGTAGGAATAACTCATATGCCTCTTCCCTAATGCTTCAACAAATAACTACCGCAAAGTTCTGACACTTTCTGATGACACCAGGAGATACGGTCCCACATGCTTTGGGTGTAGCCACACCACTGATGTCATCTGGCTTTGCTTGCTGGTGAAGATAACGACGTTGAGATGTCAGTCTTGATGTCTGTATCTTAATATGTTTAAGCACTGATATCCTTGGGCACAGGTCAGAAAGAATGTGAAACAGGAGGGAAAGGTGAAAAAAAAAAATTTCCTTTCTTTGTTCCGCCCAGCCCCATGAGTTCAGTGGAAGAAAGACCCGTTTGTTTCCCTTATCTCTCAATCAGCAACCATGGTGGCAGCACTACCACTGCAACCCAGGCTCCTCTGCCTATATCTTCTCGCTCATCTGCATATCGTGCCATCACTTCCAAAAGATTAATTCAGATGAAATACACCCTGGATTCATATTTTTTACTGTAAGCCACTTAGAATATAAATTTCCAAAACTGTCAAGAATCCCTAAACACTATTTTGTTTGGAAGGCTAGTCACTATTCAAAGAATCCAAAATACCAATCTCTTTTGAACATGGATATTAAATTGCACAGTTCAGCTTTGTTTTGACTCCTTGTTGTATTTTCTAAGAAGTAAATAGCAATTTTCTATTTGTTTAGAAAAGTAGCCACTCTTAATAGCTTATTTTTTTCTAAAATGGAATTACCATTCCTGATATTTCCACAGTTGTTTAAAAAACAAGGCATTATTAATCTTGTTGTGAAGATGGGAACATAGAACGATGCATGCGGCCATGTGTAAGTTAGATAAACTACAATGCAGATTGTTTTGAAATTTGGTCTTACAATACTTATTAGCTATTCAATAAGCCAAATTAAGACACAGGAAGTGCCAAATTTACTGCTTATAATAAAATGTAAGCCTATATTTGAAACAGGAAAAATATTAATATCTTCTTAAAATTTCATGCTCATTCTTTTTCCAGTTTTGTAAAGATTGGTGTATTTTTACCATAAAAACAGTGATATTAGAAAAAAAAAATCTGTGTGTGGTGGCTCACACCTGTAATCCTAACCCTTTGGGAGGGAGAGGCAGGAAGATTACTTGAGGCCAGGCATTCAAGACCAACCTGGGGGACATAGTCAGAGCCCCATTTCTACACATGCACAAAATTACCCAGGCATGGTGGCACACACCTGTAATCCTAGATACTCCAGAGGCTGAGGAAGGAGCATGGCTTGAGCCTAGCACTTTGAGGTTGCAGTGGGCTGTGATTGTGCTACTGCACTCCAGCCTAGTCAACAGAGTGAGACCCCATCTTGAAACCAAAAATAAAAATAATTCAGTGAACACTTTCCAGGACATAATCAAGCACTATGTTATGCCCATCAAGCACACTATCTCATTTAATTTTTATAACAACCCTGTGATATAACCAACATTATTTCTGTTTTTTAAGCAAATAGTAGTAAAAGTAACCCAGAACTTGTTCACTGTCACACACACTCAGCTCTTCTAACTCCACATATTCCTTCTTCCTAGTGAGGACACTGAGCACATAAGAACATTTGTGCTTTTGAGACTAGATAATATAAATGTGGATTATTTGTTTTACTTCCCCTGATGTTGATACATTATTTTCTAAAAAGAATAATTTCTAAAATCCAGCTTTCTAATATATATGGAATAAAACGAGTCAACTGATTTCCTTTTATACACTAAGGTATTTGGCTATGTTGGGATTGGTTATAGTGCAACTTTTCATGCTACCCCACCACAGGCTACTCATTGGCCCAGGATGACTGGGGAATGGATATGTCATGTTTTTTTTTTTTAATAAACTCAAGAGATCTATCATAGCTGTCTTCAAAAGTCAAGGGACATTACGTATATATTTAATGTGATGTTTTGATATATGTATACATTGTGAAATTATTACCACTATTAAGGTAATTAACATATCCATCACCTAACAAGGCTACCATTTTTTGGTGTGGTAACAGCATTTAAGATGAACTCTCTTAGCAAATTTCCATTATGCAATATATTATTATCAATTATAGTCACCATGCTACACATTAGCTCTACACATTATTTATCCTGCATAACTGAAACCCTTTGACCAACATCTCCTTATTTCCCCACCCCCTCAGTCCTTGGCAACCACCATTCTACTCTTTTCTTCTATGTGCTCTACTCTTTTCAATTCTACATATAAGTGGGGCCATGCGGTATCTGTCTTTCTGTGCCTGGCTTATTTTGCTTAGCAGAATGTCCTCTAGGTTCTTCCATGTTGTCACAAATGACAGGATTTCTTTCTTCTTTTTTTTTTTTTGAGGCTGAATAATATTCTATTGTATACATACTACATTTTCATTTTCCATTCATCTATTGACTGGCACATAGGTTGATTCCATATGTTGACTATTATGAATAATGCTGCAATGAACATGGGAGTGCAGATAATTCTTTTGCACACTGATTTCATTTACTTTAAATATATACCCAGAAGTGAGATTGCTGAATTATAAGGTAGGTGTATTTTTAATTTTTTAAGGATCCTCCATACTGTTTTCCATAATGGCCACCTCAATTTATATTCTAGGGTTTCCCTTTTCTTCACACCCTCACCACTACTTGTAATCTTTTGTCTTTCTTATGATAGCCATCCTAACGGGTGTGAGGCAGTATCTCACTGTGGTTTTGATTTGCATTTTCCCAATGATTAGTAATGTTAGGCATTTTTTCACATATCTGTTGGCCATTTGGATGTCTTTTTTTGAGAAATGTCTATTCAGGCCCTTTGCCCATCAGGCTTGAGGGTGGGGCATTTGCTGGGGAACCACTGTCTTCTCCCCAGTATTTCCCTATCTCCTGTTTGTATCGATGTAATTCAATTTGTCTATTTTTACTTTTTTTGAAGGTGCTTTTAAGGTTATACCCAACAAATCTTTGTCCAAACCAATGTCATGGAGCTTTTCTCCAGGTTTTCTTCTAGTAGTTTTAGTTTCAGGTCCTACATTCAAGTATTTGATCCATTTTGAGTTGACTTTTTATATATGGGTTTGACAAAAGTGTTCCAGTTTATTATTTTTAGGCAGATATCTAGTTTTCCCAGCACCATTAATTGAGCACTGTAACCTTGCCCCAAAGCGTGTTCTTGGCACTTTTGTCAAATATCAATTGACTGTAAATGCATGGGTTTATTTCCGGGCTCTCTATTCTGTTTCATTGGTGTATATGACTGCTTTAATGCTAGTACCATGTTATTTTGATTATTTTAATTTTGTAGTATATTTTGAAATCAGGTAGTGTGTGGCCTCTAGCTTTGTTCTTTTTACTCAAGATTTCTTTGTATATTTGAGGGATTTGTGGTTTCATACAGATTTTAGGATTTTTTTCTATTTCTTTGGAAAATGTCATTGAAATTTTGATATGGATTCCATTGAATCTGTAGATTGCTTTGGATTGTATGGACATTTTAACCATATTAATTCTTCCAATTCTTGAATACAGGATATCTTTACATTTATTTATGTCTTCTTCAACTTTTTCATCAATGTTTTCTGATTTTTATTGTACAGATTTTTCACTTCCTTGGTTAAACTTGTTCCTAAGTATTTTTATGCTACTGTAAATGGAATTGTTTTCTTTATTTTTTGGATAGTTTGTTTTTCATGTATGAAAACACAGCTAACTAATTTTCATATGTTGGTTTTGTATCCTATAATTCTACTGAATTCACTTATTCGTTCTAACAGATTTTTGGTGGTGTCCTTAGGGTTTCTATATATAAAATTATGTTGTTTGCAAAAGAGACTATTTTACTTCTTTCTTTCCTATTTGAATGACTCTTGTCTTTTTCTTACCTAACTATTCTAAGACTTCCAGTACTATATTGACTAGAAATGACAAAAGTGGGCTTCCTTGTCTTGTTCCTAATCTCAGAAGCAAAGCTTTCAACTTTCACCAATGAGTATGTTAACTGTGGGTTTGTCACGCAAAGTCTTTATTATGTTGAGGTTATGTCTTGTACAGCAAGTTTGTTGAGATTTTTTTTAATTATGAAATAATGTTGGGTTTTGTCAAGTTCCCTTTCTGTATTTACTGAGATAATCGTATGATTTTTATACTTTATTCTGCTAATGTGGTGTGTTACATTTATTGATTTGCATATGTGTAATCATCCTTGCATCCTAAGGTTAAATTTCACTTGATCATGTTATATAATCCTTTAAATTTTGTTTGCTTATATTTTGTTGAGGAGTTTTGCATCTATGCTCATCAGGGATACTGGCCTGTAAGTTTTTTCTCTTGTGGTGTTCTTGTCTGCCTTTGGTTTCAGGGTAATGCTGCCTCATCAAATGAGTTTGGAAGTATTCCTTTCTCTTGAATTTTTTGGAAGAGTTTGGGAAAAATTGGTATTTATTCTTCTTTAAATGTTTTCTAGATTCACCAGTGAAGCCATCAGGTCCTGGGCTTTTCATTCTTGTGAGATATTTTTATTATTGATTCAATCTCTTTACTCATTATTGGTCTGTTCAGATTTTCTATTTCTTCATTATTCAATTTGTATAGGTTGTATGCTCCTAGGAATTAATCCATTTCTTCTAGGCTTTACAATTTGTTGGCATATAGTTGTTCATAGTAATCTCTTATAATACTTTGTATTTTTATATTACTGTGGCATTAGTTGCAATGTCTCCTTTTCCATTATATTTTATTTGAATATTCTCTTTTTTCAAAAGAAAACTCAGTTTTATTAATCTTTTTAATTGTTTTTCTGGTCTCTATTTCATGTGTTTTTCCCTAACTATTATTTTCTTCCTTCTGGTAATTTGGGGCTTAATTTTTTCCTTTTGTTTTTAGTTTTTTGAGGCATAAAGTTAGATTGTTTATCTGAGATCTTTTTTTTTCTTAATGTAACTGTTTATCATCAATATAAACTTCCCTCTCAAAACTGACTTTGCTGCATCCCATAAGATTTGGCAGAGTGTGTTTCTATTTTTGTTTTTATTTCTTTGTTTGTCGAACTTATTTTTAAATTTTTTCCTTTAATTTCCTCTTTGACCCATTGGTTGTTCAGGTGTGTGAGGTTAAATTTTTGCATATTTGTAAATTTTCTAATTTTCCTTTTGTTATTGGTTTTTAGTTTCATATCATTGTGTTTGCAAAAGATATTTGATATAATTTCAATCTTCTTAAATACATTAAGACTTGCTTGCCACCTAAGATATAATCTATCTGGGAGAATATTCCATGTGCACTTGAAAAGAATGTGCATTCTGCTGCTGTTGGGTGGAATGTCCCACATATGTGCATTACGTACATGTGGCCCATAATATTATTCTAGTCTACTGTACCTTATTGATTTTCTGTCAGATGATCTATGTATTGTTAAAAATAAGGTACTGAAGTCTTCTACTATTACTATATTGCTGTTCAATTCTCCCTTCAGTTCTTATATCTTTGGGTGCTCTGATGTTGGGTGCATCATATATTTACAATTGTTATATCCTCTTGATGGACCTATCCTTTTATCATTATATATCACCTTATTTGTCTCTTTTGACAATTTTGACTTAAAGTTATTGTTTTCTGATATTAGTAAAGCTACCACCACTCTTTTTTTGTTGTCATTTGCATGGAGTATCTTTTTTCGATAATATGTCCTCAAAGGTAAGGTAGGTTTTATAGGCAAAATATAGTTAGATCTTGCTTTTTATTGATTCAGCCACTGTCTTTTGATTGGAGAATTTAATTCATTTCCTGTTTAAAGTAATTATAGAGATGTAAGTACTATCACTACTTTGTTAAAATTTTCTTACTGTTTTGTCATTCCTTTGTTTCTTTCTTCCCCTCTTGCTGTCTTCTTTTGTGATTTGATGTATTTTTGTAGTGGATGCTTTGAATCCTTTTTCCATCTTTGATGTGTCTAATACAGGCTTTTTCCTTGTGGTTACCATGAGGCTTACAAAAACACCTTATAGTTACAGCAGTCTATTTTAAGCTGACAACAACTGAACTTCAACCACATTAAAAAAAAAAAAACTCTACATGTTAACTTTTCCTCCCTTCTCATTTTATGTGATTGATGTCACAAGTTATATCTTTTTATATTGTGTATCCATTCAGAAACTATTGTGGCTATAGTTATTTTTTATTCTTTTGGTTTTTCAACTTTTATGCTACAGTTAAAGTGATTTATATACCATCATTACAATATCAGATCATTCTAAATTTTACTACATCCTTACCTTTACAGTGAGTTTTGTACTTTTAATGTTTTTATGTTGTTAGTTAGCATTCTTTTCTTTCAATATAAAGAACTCCATTTAGTCTTTTTTATAAGATTGTTCAAATGGTAATGAACTCCCTCAGCTTTTTTTTTTATCTTGGAAAGCCCTTATTTCTCCTTTATATCTGAAGGAAAATTTTGCTGGGTAGAGTATTCTCAGTTGACGATTTCTTTTTCCTTCAGCACTTTGAATATCCCATCCTATTCTCTCCTGTCCTGCAGTTTCTGCTGAGAAATTCACTTATAGTATTATAGAGGTTCCTTTGTGTGTGATGAGCTGCTGTTCTCTTGATGCTTTTGAAATTCTCACTTTGTCTTTGATTTTTGAGAGTTTGATTATAATGTTTCTCATTGAAAATCTGTTTATGATACATTTACTTGAGGTTCTTTTTGCTTCATAAACTTGAGTGTTCATTTCCTTCTGTAATCCTGGGTAGATTTCTGTCATTATGTTTTAAAATAAGCTTTCTGTCCTCTTTTTTTTTCTGCTCTTTTGAAAATTCCGTAGTGTCTATGTTGATTTGCTTGATGGTGTCCTATAAGTCCCATAGACTTTCTTCACTCTTTCTTATTCTTTTTTCCCCTCTGACTAGGTAATTTTAAATGGACTGCCTTCGAGCTCACTGATTCTCTTCTTCTTGAGTCTGAGGTTGAACTTCTGGAAAGTTTAGTTCAACCATTGGTTATTCAGCTCCAGAATTTCTGTTTGGTTCTTTTTTATGGTTTCTCTTTTTTGAACTTCTAATTTTATTTACATATTATTTTTCAAATTACATTTAATTGTCTATTTGTATTTTCTTGTAGTTCATGAGCTTCTTAAAAATCATTATTTTTAATTCTTAGGCAGTTTGTTTTTAAGGTCAGTTAATTGTGCTTTATTTCATTCTTTTGATTGTGTCATGTTTTCTTGATTATTGATGATCCTTGTGGTCTTGCATTGGTGTCTGTGCATGTAAAGAAGTAGACACCTTTTTCAGTCTTTATAGGGAAAGCCCTTCACTAGTCGTCTCCCACAGATTATGAGAAGACTGGCTGGGAGGATCTATGATGGGCTTGTTGCTGGAGTCTGAGAGTAGGATGGCCTGGTTCCTCAGTCAATGGGCTGATGGGCCTGGCACCTAGACCCACAGAGGCTGGCCTGGAAACTGGGTCTGCAAGGACCAGTCTGACTCTGGGGTTCACTGAGGCAGGCCTGGCACTGGGGTCCATGGTAAAGTCAGGTTCTCACTTCATTCTCCTTTCCTTATGCAGATGATATGTCTCTCAATACTGCACTGTGTGAGCTTGAGGGAGGAATCTCATGAGTAATGTGAAACTCTTCTTTCTACTCTCTTCAATGTGCCTTTTATTATTTGTGCACCTCCAGGTCCAGTGATCTCTCACATTGATCCTTTAATTATTCTGAAGGTAGTTTTTTGCAAGGATGATCGTTCAAATTAATGTTTCTGTGAGAAGGCAAGTGCTGGAAACTTTTATTAAGCCATCTTTCTGACATTAGTCTCCCCTAAAGATTATTAAGATAATAAAATGGTCAAACAACCCAGAACACAAATGGAGTACATGACATCAGGACTTGTCCCTATTCCTCATCTCACATAACCATTACACTTCTTATAATTTGCAGGATTCTACAGCTTATTTTATCAAAATATAGAGAAGGTTTTTCCAAAAAAGCTTTCTCAAAGAATGATCTTTTCATCCATTTGATTAGTTACTATTACAAAGTTAATCACGTACCATTATAATAAGGAGATATGAGAGTCACCACCTTAGTCAAGTGATAATATGTGGCAACATCAATAGTGGAGCAACCTGACATTAAAAGTCCCTGGTTGTAAAGCAGTACAAAGCACTTATAAGAACTGAAGATTGTTCTTACCAAAATCTTTTGCATAAATCTAAGCATGAGGAAACACAAATACAGCATGTGGGATGCTCTACAATGCAATCTACTTGGACTATTTTTAAAAAGTTAATGTTATTAAAAACAAATTAAAAGTTCAGTGAATAATATTTCTAGATTAAAACAGACTAAAGGCAAATATAACCAACCCAAAGAGTAAATATTGATTAGATTCTGAGCTTAAAATAAGTGGCTACACTTAACATTTTTTCTTCAGGCAAATGAAAATTATGCAAGACTGTGTATTAAACGATATTAGTGAATTAATAATTTTTAATATGTGGAAAAATTGTGTTTTGGTAAATAAATGTTTTTATCCTTAGCATATATTGAAGTATGTAGTGTAATGTTATGTTTATCACTTACTTTCATGTGGTGCAGGAAAAAAATGTACCTAGATAGACATGTATATATACAGATAAACACATACATAAGCAAATATGGCAAAATATTAACAGTTGATGAATTCTTCTCTCCAATTCTCTGCTTAAAGCTATATCATGCAAAGCTCCCAATGAACAATATTAATTAATGTTAGAGTAACCATCTAACAGGGGATTCTATGCATAGCCATGCTACCCTTCACTCCTGCATTTTAAAAATAATAAAATGATAATAAATTGAGTTAAAATATAATGAAGAAAATATATAACAATTTGGTATTTTATTATTATATAAATTCAGGCTGCTAGTACTTTAAATACTGGAACATGTGTGGGTTCTGGGAGACATTTATATCCTTGCAGGCTTACAAAGTTCCAGCTGGTAAGTCATGAAGACCACAGGAAGCAGCAAAGATTGGTCTCCTTAGTGGCAAATGTTCATGTGCTCCACCTCAGACAGAGAGGGAAAGTGAGTCCCCTGTCCCTTAACTTCTCTGGGATGAGGGATATCAGCGGATATTCTCCAAACCAAAACGGGTCAAAGCTGCCCTTCCTCTCCATAACACCTGAGAACCACAGGCCCAGATCTCTGCTGCTAGCCTTTAGGCTTACTGCTTTTCCAGAGGGGAATGGAGTCTTGGAGGTCTGCTCTCTTTCTTCTTCTTTTCCTCTAAGACACTCACTATGGGAGCTGGAGGATTCTCACAATCAGCTCATGAATGGCTATTGATCAGACTGAAGCTTAGAAGGGAGGATCATCGCAGTGATGCATAAATGGACAACCTACTGGAGCCCCACAGTCACCCTCCAGCCATTGCCCTGAAACCAAACTCCCCTCAAGAAGAGTGTGCTCTCAAATACCCCAACAATTGGTGTGGGTTTGAACTTATGCTGTCCTATATTTGTGTCATTTCTGCAACATTCCCACCCTGTACATGTATTATGTAGCTTGTATCTATAGAATGCTTTAAGTGAATTAAATTCATCTCTCTATTGCAGATCCCTGGGGATCATCAGGGTAAGGAATCAGAGTCTAAGAATTAGACTCCAGCCCCCTGATATTCTGTAAAACAAAATGAAACAAAAGTGCCCACAATGTTAGAGTACTAGACAGTGATTTCCAGGAGCACCTTCCTATGAATTCCAACTGAATATAAACAAATTGCAGTTTCATCACCTTACGAAACCTTCAGACAAATGACTGTTTATTTCTTAGATTAATCTGATTGATTACACTCATCCCATTTTAGAAACAGGAAACTAAATATCACATCCAAAAATCCACCCTCCCTTCCCAGCACTCACACATGGTAATACCAGAAAGGCAGGAAGATATGGATCACAGTTGCCTTCAAAGCTTTGAGAAATCTGTGGAAATTCATAGCCATGGTTTCCAGATAATATTTTTAACCTGATTCTGAGAACTTCAAGTCACTGCTATTCAGAAGAGTGTGGGAACAAAAACACTTCTAACTTTCTAAACTTGGAAAAGTTTTTTTTTTTTTTTTAAATAATCCAACTTTCTTCCAGCTTGGAAGGGCCTAATTTACATAAATCCCCTCACCCCCACCTTACCTCTGACAGTGGAATTCTAAACAAAGCAATCAAGCTGGCAGATGAGTCAGATTTGCTTATTGTATTGCATGCACGCCTGTTAAAGAATGGTACTAGCTCTCTCTTGTTATTTATTGGTGTCAAGAGGTACAATTTTAAAATTCTGCTCTTTAATTTTTTTTTTCTCTCCTATGACAGGCAGATTGCTTCCCCCTACACCTCCTTGAGAGCTTGCTAAATATTTGAGCATTAAGAAACCCTAATTTCTCCTCTTAAAACTAACTAGAAACATTTATTTTGATTTAACTTTTTAGACAAAGAGAACCCTTTGATTTGAGGGCTTTCAGGTTTTGGAATAAAATGATTTTTGGTAAATTAACTGCTTAAATTACTATTATTATGCTTATAAAAGCTGCTAAAAATAATCAGTTCATAAGGCAAAAAAATTCATATATATATTTTCTTCCTGACAGATATTTCAGAAATGTGGCCTATAATAGATGTTAGTTTTTTTTAACTTGTAACAGAATTAAATTACCAAGAAAATGACTGTTGCATCTATAAATCTTTAATAGCACTGGTATTTACAGAAGCTGGACTTTTCAAACACTTAAAATGATAAATGCCCAAAGACAATTTGAGCCATGTCTGTCTGCCTTTGTTTCTGATCCAACTCAAGAAGTATAGGTAGGCAATAACAAACACCACATTACAAATTGCTTTGCTTTTACTCTTAGGTATTTTTTGTTTTGTTGAGCAAATATGTCCACTGGATAGTGGATGTCCCCCATCTCTTCTCAGTCCCCATTAGAGCAGAAGCTATTTGAACATGAGAAATAGAGCTCTTCCAAATAACAAATCTTTGCTCATGTTTTCAAGCATGGAGGCAAACATTGGCAGCAAACATGAACAGCAGTGAAAAAAAGTCATTTGAAATTTATTTTTCCTCTCTTTAGAATCAGCAGCACATTGATTGATGCAGTCACCACAGCAAAGAAGTGCATCCGGGTGACTAATGCAGATGATCTTGACCCTGAAAAGGCTCCCCAGAGGTTGTTCTCCTCTATCTCCCACCCCTAGAAGTAGGGTGGCCCACATGCTCTTCCTTTTCAAAACATCAGCTATCTGCCTTTTCCTGTTAAATATGCAAAAACCAAGACAACGAAACCTTGCTTCATACTTTGTGTCACCAATTCCTAATCCAGAGATTGAAGAAACTCTAATATCTTACCTTAATTCCATTTTTGACAGTTCTAGACTTTTCCGTCCTGTCTACTGAGTAAAAACATAAACTTGGGCTATGTGACACTCTAAAATTATTTTTTCAAGAAACATTCAACAGTCTAAGTTAAATGTGATTTTTTTGAATTATTAAAAGTTGCCTTATATTTGAACAACACTTCATAGCTTGTAAAAATTATTTTGCATAGAGTCTCATCTGACTCGACTAACAGCCTCCCAAGAAAGGCAGAAGAGGTATTGTCCCCAAGTGCAAATAAAGAACCTGAGGCTCTGAGAAGTTTAATAACTTACCTCAAGAAAGTAACCATGTAAATTCGGAGTCAAGACTAGTATTGACTCATCTGATTCCCAATCTAGTGCTGTCCACTCCAGCAAATTGTCTTTCTTTCCCGGTTGCATTTGGTGTTTATTTCCCTTGAACCTTCGGAAACTTCTTTCACTTCAGACAGAAAAACTGGAGCAGAATATGGTGGATTTTTTTGTTTCTTGTTTTTTGTTTCTGAGACTGAGTTTTATTCCGTCACCCAGGTTGGAGTGAAGTGGCCCAATCACAGCTCACTGCAGCCTCGACCTGCTGGGCTCAAGTGATCCTCCTGCCTCAGCCTCCCAAGTAGCTGGAACCACAGGCCAATGCCACCAAGCCTAGGTAATTTTTTCATTTTTTGTGGAGACGAGGTCTCCTTGTGTTTCCCAAGCTGTTCTCAGACTCCTGGGCTCAAGCAATCCTCTCACATCAGCTTCCCAAAGTACTGGGTTTACAGGTGAGAGCCACCACGCCCAGCCTAGTGGTATCATATAAAGTGTATTTATGTATAAGAATTAACATACTTCTGAATAATGACTTTATATTTTAGTACATCAGTGGTGATGTCGATGTAATTTGAAAACCATGATGCCTGTAGATATTTTTCTAACTTATTTACATAATATTAGTCCTTGAGCGATCAATAATCCTTAAATTTTATTTGTTGTTGTTTTATTTATAAATGGTGTTGATGTGAATGGCAATATCAGGAGAATGCAAGAGCTGACAGTGAGAGGGCTAGTTTTGATACAGTTGTATCATATGTGATTAGAAAACACATATGTGACTAGTGATGCTTTTCTGAAGGTATATGTTTTTACATAGTCCCCTTGCAATGCCCTACAAAGAGAAGAGATCCTTTAATGAAATGGAGATTCATCCTGTACCTTTGCAGCTGCCCTTCCATTTGGTGTGCAGTCAACTGTGTATTTCATACAAATATTGCTTCAGGATTTCCATAGCAGATAAGAAGACTGCTGATGTCAGAATGCAGTACAGAGAGAATCTGCACACAGGTAGCCCTGTGAAATTTAGCTTGGTGAATAATTACCGTGATGATCATAATTAATAATTATCTTGTGCCAGTGGAGAATTGTACTAATTGGTAATCTCTTCTCTTAAAAGTCCTAATATTTTATTTCTGCTTATTGCTAACTATCAAGTGGAATGCTAATGAAAGTGTGGATGACTGGTATTGTAATAATTATAACTGTAATCACATTCAGCAGCTAACCTCTAATTAAAATAAATCAGATGATGTAGCAAATCGGCTACATAGACTTGTGTTTCCAATAATATATCTTATTGGGAAAAATTATTTTTTCCCACAGAAAGCCTTTGAAGATCAGATTAAAAATTATGTGAATGTGTTGTATTTCTAAGGAGATGTTTTCTGTGGTAATAAGTAGGTTAATTGCATATTCATCAGGTGGTGGAGTTTCAGGACAAACACAAGTTAGGATGTAATAAGTACGACTGTTTCTAATGGAATTATAATATTGTTATCTTGCAATTATATGCAGGCCACTCTTGGATATTCAGCCAGTAATGAGTATAGGTACACAAACCTCAAATTTCTTGACTGAATTCTGAAAAGCAGTCAGGTTAAACTATTCATGTGATTTTTAAAATTTTGAATTGTGTGATTAGGGGGTAATCATGTTTTCTTTATTTCTGAGCATTTTCCAAAAAGAGTCTAAAATTAAAAATGATATATGTCATATATATGTGCATATATATATGTATTTATCTGTGTGTGTGTGTGTGTGTATATATATATATATATATATATATATATATATATATATATATATATATATATATATGTACACGGATGGATGGATGGATGGATGGATGGCTAGATACCCCAAATATCAGTTCAAGCTATCTTGGACTGATCACTATTATCATTTGCCATCAATAAAGACAAGAAAGCTGACAACAACTGCATATATTCCTATCTTCATGTGAATGGAAATGGAGGACAGGGAAAATTTCCTGAAATGACAAATGTGAGTAATAACTAAATATTTTTAGAAACATTTTATGCTGCTCTCTGATCTTGCCTCTCCCTGCCACACAGCCCATTTTCATTCATTTGGTCAGAAAATTTTCTGTGGAAAGTGCCGTGTAGTAAATATTTAGGCTTTGTGTGTCATACACTCTCTATCACAACTACTCAACTCTGCCATATAGAGAAAGCATCCATAAGCAATATGTAAAGGACTATGTGGCTGTTGTTCTGGTGCGGTGGCTCATGCTTGTAATTCCAGCACTTTGGGAGGCTGGGGTGGGTGGATCACTTGAGCCCAGGAGTTTGAGACCAGCCTGGGCAACATGGCAAAACCTCATCTCTACTAAAAATACAAAAATTATCTGGGTGTGGTGGTGTGTGCCTGTTGCCCCAGCTACTCGGGGGTGCTGAGGTAAGAGGGTCACCCGAGCCTTGGGAGGTCAAGGCTGCATTGAGCCATAATTGCACCACTGCACTCTAGCCTGGGTGACAGAGTGAGAACCAGTAAAAAAAATAAATAAATAAAAGAAGAAAAAAAGATTATGTGGCTGTGTTTTATTACATCTTTATTCATAAAAATGAATATCTTCAAGAAAGGAAGATATAAACTGCTATTGCATAAGTAAGATTTCATGAAAATGTTGTCACTTGAAGATTTTCAGTCATAGTTATATCAAAGGCAAAGAGCTACAAAAGATGAGGGCATATTTGAGACCCAGTGAGTGTCCTGGGAGAACACTAGTTAATAAGAATCAATGACAATGAGCCTGGAAAGTTAATTCGGACTGAATTGTGGATGCTCTCAATCTCCTTATTAAAGACTTTAAACTTCACCTAGAGTGACTGGTGTGAAGAAAGTGGAGCATCACAGAATGTTTCTAAGCATTAAAGGGCGTGATTTGATCCGAGTATCAGAAGAATGAGTGTGGGGAGAGTATGGAAAGTAGATTCGGAGGGGAGTTTTGTGGGACTACAGGTTAAAACTACAATTCAGAGTGTAATATAATAGCCTTATAAAATACAATGAGGGCCTGAGGTCACTTGCTGTCCAGGGTTATGGAGAAAGAGATGGCTTCTACAGGCTTCTTCTAGAAGGGGGTTAGAAGATCTTGGCCTAAAGCAACTCATCTTGCTCTAATCACAGCCTACCTAATGCTTACACTTGAGTTCAGCAGTCTTATCACACTTATTGTTAGTTTTCAATGAAAGAAAATGAGGAACGAGTAAGTGATGACAAACAGCTCTTAGAGACAGGTGCAAAGCTTAATGTACTTTTTTTTTCAAGTCTGAGTGAGAGCAGGAGAAGAGGTTCACAAAAGCTAGTAAATGCTATCCATTTTTAATATGTTTGCTTCCTTTCTAAATGGGCCCGAGTTCATCTTCACTGCCTTTCCTTTTCTAAAAAAAACACCAAGCTTAAAAAAAAGTATTCTGGATGTTCTTGCCTGTCGAGGTGAAAGCCACATGATCCAGGGTCATTGGATTCTAGGATTAGTTTAAAGGACCCTGGCACCTGGACTTGCAGACGCTGTGATCTTAAATATCTACAGGTTTAAGTGGTATCTGAGTTCTAGAAATATGATAAAGATGGCTGAGATTCATTAATTAAATGCATCACTCCAAAAACTAACCCAGTGGAATGATAAAATATGGAAAACTATTTAAGCAATACAATATTTAACTTCAACAGATTTGAATTCAGGTATTGTGTATTAATCACATCTATTCACATTATCAGATCATTTTTACTTATCTACTTTTCTTTGGGAGCCAAAAACCCAAAGTGTTAGGTGAACATGAATAATTTGCCAAAATGGGTGTAATTTAAATTCTACAACTACATGAGGAAACTCACCCCCATATACAGATATGTTTGAATGTTCATACAAACTCTATTTGTTAAAGAGAAAAATTAGGAACTACCTACTTTTTAATCAACAGGATAACAAAGAAACAAAATGGAATAATATATAGTAGCTAAAAGAAATGAAACAGATATATATAAATATGGCTAAATCTCAAAAAGCATAGTATTAACTAAAATAAGACAAATTACAGAATGGCATATTTTATTTGACACCATTTATAAATAACTTTGAAGACACAATAACAATATTATTGTCCAGACATACAGATTAAAATATATGTAAATTATTTAAAATTTATTAAAGTAATTGCCTTTGGAATGAGAGATGGTAATGAAACTATTGAGGACTTCAACTTCATCTGTAATATTTTATAACTTTTTATTCTAAAAAGATTTGAAGGAAATGTTAAAAATTAGCAGATCTGTGTGGGATTATTCTTTGATCACAGTCAGATTTCTTGGAGGCAAGAAATACATTTTCAATCATTTTAAAAATAGTTATGTTTTAAGGGCATACAGGTTTATTTCAAGCTAATTTTTGTCACATATATATTTTCTTTGTATTTATACAGTTTGTGACATTATGTTCGCACATTTTACTTAAATATTACTGATTAAATAGCAATTTTTTCAATTAAATGCTGTTTTTCAATTAAAGCTTCTATATAATGAGAAACTTTTAAGGTCAAATTTTGACCAGCAGTATTTACCTAGAAACTTGCATTTTGACTCAATAATATGGACAGTGCTTTGGAATCTATGGAGGTGATGGTTCACCAGTAAAATCAAGGTATATTTTGCATCTAACTGAAAAACACATGCCAGAGCTAGGAGAGCAAATGAAAAGGCTGAGTATATCTAAAGCACAGGCCAAATAAAATCACTAAAGCACTAACATCTGTGAAAAAGTTTTATATGTATATATATATAAAACTTTATATATGTATACACACATATACATATATATGTTTACATGTATGCTGTGTGTGTGTGTGTGTGCGTGTAGGGGAATGGGGAATATGATACATATGAGGGGACATCAAAAGTTTGTGGGAAAAATGAATTAAAAGGTAAAAATAAAAAATATAAACCTTATTTCTCAACATAAACTCTGTCAAGTTCAAGACATTTTGGTATGCAATGATATCAGCTGTTTAGTCCATCCCTAAAGATCTGAGGGTCTTGGGAATTTAATCATGTCAGTGCAACCTTTTTTACATTATTAATGGAAGAAAAATAGGTGCCCTTTAAAAAAGTTTTTTAAGAATAAGAAACAACAACAACAACAATAAAACCAGAAGGAGCCAAATCTCATAGTCTTATAGGAGACTAAAGCCTAAAGCTTTCCTGTTGAAACTCTCACAAAATTGCCCCTGTTTATAAGAAGAGTGAGAAGGAGCATTTTCATGGTGGAAGACTCTCTAGTGAAGCTTTCCTGGTCATTTTTCTGCTAAAGCTTTGGTTAACTTTCCCAAAGCACTCTCATAATAAGCAGATCTTATCATTCTTTGGCTTTCCATAAGGTCAACAAGCAAAATGGCTTAAGCATCCCACAAAACTTTTGCCATGACCTTTGTCCTTGACTGGTCTGCTTTTGCTTTGACTGGACCACTTTCCACCTCTTGGTAGTCATTGTTTTGATTCTGTTTTGTCTTCAGGATTATACTGGTAAAGCCACATTTCATCTCATTACAATTGTTCAAACAAATGCTTCAAGATCTTGATTCTACTTGTTTAAAATTTCCACTGAAAATTCTGCTTTTATCTGCAGCTGATCTGGGCACAATTGAGTCAAAAGTTTCCTCAACTTTAATTTTTCTGTCAGAAATGTGTAAGCCGAACTAACTGAGATGTTTTTGGTGTTGACTGTTGTTTCTGCTGTTAGTCGCCCATCTTGTTCAACTAGTTCACAAACAAGGGTGGGGCACAGTGGCTCATGCCTGTAATCTCAGCACTTTGGGAGGCCATGGCAGAAGGATTGCTTAAGCCCGGGAGTTCAAAACCAGCCTGGGCAACATAGCAACACCTTGTCTCTATGAAATTTTTTTTTGAAAAATTAGCTGGTTGTAGTGATATCCAACTGTAGTCCCCGTTGGGAGACTTAGGTGGGAGGATCTCTTGAGGCAAGGAGGTTGAGGCTGAAGTGAGCCATGATCATGCCACTGCCCTTCAGCCTGGGTGACTAAGTAAGACCTGGTCTCAAAAAAAAAAAAAAAAAATTAGGAACACAAGATTAATTTTTTTCTGGCAAACTGATGTGGATGTCATCTTCAACATCATCTTGTCCCTTCTTAAAACAAGTTAACCATTTGCGAGCTATTGATTTCATTAAGGCCTTGTCTCCATAAACTTCATAAAACATCAGTGATTTCAGATTAAAGTTCTTCCACCCAAGCTTTACCATACATTTGATGTTTGTTCTTGCTTTAATTTTGGCAGAATTCATGTTGCTCTGACAGGGGCTCTTTTTAAACTGATGTTTTATCCTTCTTAGTGTCTCAAACTAGATTCTGGTCAGACATGTTGTAACAAGTTAGTATGAGTTATTTGGGTGCAAAAAATTGGAATTTATGCAAAGATTTTTTCATAATATGCACTTTCCACATACATTTTGAAGGCCCACATATATACACACATACACATACACATACATATTTGGAAAAAATTAGAACACTGTTTGACTTATTTATACATATTTTACTATTTTGATTTTTTAAAAGTTAACATCATATGATTGGTTGTTTTCCATAATCTTTTCAGTATTTTGGGCATCTTAATCTACTTCTGCACATGCTTTTTGTCTCTTCAGCTTTACTTAGGGAGAGATTCTTCTGGACTTTTCCGGATCTCTTTGCAAAATGGTCTTTTATCAGGGATCAACTAGCTCTGTTTCACATAAACTTGAACTTTTCAGAGTCCAAAGTGAATATAGGAACATGGGGCAGGCTGTACTCACAGACTCCACAAAAATGACCTCTAATTCACAAAGCTGAAGGAAGGTCTGCTCCCCAAAACCAAGGGGATTGTGGGAATGATGAACACAGGCCAGTAGGCCCATGCAGATGCCAATCAAAAGGCAAAAAAGGTCTTCACCAAACGCTGCAACCTGGGAAAACAGCAGACGCGTGAGAGGTTTGACTCCAGCATGTCTGTTTTCCACTTTGCCTGAGATCTCATGGAGGCTGCTCTTTGTTTTTCCCTTGGAGATCATGCAGGAATCAACTGCCAAGCATGCCTTACACCTCCATGCCATCTAATTATAGCCTGTAACTCTCCGGAGTGCTGACAGTGCTGAGCTATTGACTCTTGACACTCTCTAAAGCTCTTAATTATCTTTTCACATAAGCCCCTTTCAGACCTGTCAACTTCTTTGTATTGTTTATGGAGGAAAAAAAGTAGCATATTAAGATTTCAGGTCTATGCACTCAGAGGCAAACTTGCAGTTAGACTTGTGAGTGCTCTTGAAGGTCTGTGCGCTCATACACACACAGACAAGCGAAAAGTGTGGAATACACCTGCCGGATGACAATTCAGATGCCGATTTGCCATGGGGATAAGTAAACTTAATCAGGCAAAATAAAATTAACCCAAACCTTAATTCATATGTTTGAAGTCATTTTAACCTTTTCCAAAATTCAAATATATGGGGATATAGATATAGGTATACACATACACACCTTACAAAGACTGAAAATGTTTTTTAAAATTTATTTACAACCTTACAAAGTTTTTTAGCTCATCATGGGATCAGGGAATTTCAAAAGGATACCAATGCTTTACACTCTTTTAGAAATTATTATTATATAACTTGAATGTTTAAGTACTTAAAAATATGCACATATATTTTTTCTTATTAAATATTCAAAAACTCTGAAAGACACAGACATTTGGACATTACTGCTAACTGTGAAGATTTCAAATAAAGTGTAGCTCAAAGATCTAAAGTGATGTGACCAAAGTCCTCTAATAAATGGAGAAATACAACTACATTCTGGCTGGGTGCAGTGGCTCACGTCTGTAATCCCAGCACTTTGGGATGGTGAGGCAGGCAGATCATTGAAGGTCAGGAGTTTGAGACCAGCCTGGCCAAAGTGGTGAAACCCCATCTCTACTAAAAATATAAAAATTAGCTGGGCGTGGTGGCGCATGCCTGTAATCCCAGCTACTCAGGAGGCTGAGGCGGGAGAATTGCTTGAACCTGGGAGGCTGAGGTTGCAGTGAGCTAAAATTGCGCCATTGCCCTCCACCCTGGGTGACAGAGTGAGACTCTGTCTCAAAAAATATACAATAATAATAAAGACTACATTTTGGCTGCTTTGCCTATTGAGTAGCCATTCTTAATTCCTTTCCTTTCTTAATAAACTTGCTTTCTAAAAAAAAAACTACATTTCAACTTAAAAGAGTTTATGTCCTGAAGTTAGCATGTACGGCAAAAATTATAAATAATTAAAATTACCATTGAAAAATCTCTTTTATATCATCCATAAAATAGAATGCACCGATGCACTGTGCACCAGTTATTTGGCTGGTGTTGTCTTGGATGTTGCTGCCTCTGCAATTTGTTTCTCTTACCGCTGGAATCAACTTCTGCCTCCTTGGCAGAGAATTCCATAATGTTGTTGGTTGGCATTTAGGTACCATGTTGAATAGGAAACATATCTGCAAACCCCAGAATCCCTGTCCAAATGTGGGGATGCTCACATCATGAGAGGTAACAGGAAGTGAGGCCATTTTGAAAGGTCAGGGGATTTACATTCCATAGAGCGCCCTCCCTCTGGGGCATACCATCACCCGCCAGCATCATTGGAATTATGCCATTCCCCTAACTTTCTTACTATTTCTTTGCTGACGTGTACGGTTGAAGTCAAGTAAGTTAAATAGATGTATCATGCCCCTCTGCCAGATGAGGATTTGGACGCTGATTTCAGCCCTTTCCTCATATGCTCTTTCATTCATCTCTAACTTGCTGAGCTGTGGAAGCAAATGGAATAAAGCCTGATACTAAAAGAACGCAAGCCTGGGCAACATAGTTTGAGACTCCATCTCTACAAAAAATTAATTAAAAAAATATTAGGGGGCCGGGCTCGGTGGCTCACGCCTGTAATCCCGGCACTTTGGGAGGCCGAGGTGGGCAGATCACGAGGTAAGGAGATGGAGACCATCCTGGCTAACACGGTGAAATCCCGTCTCTAGTAAAAATACAAAAAATTAGCTGGGCATGGTGGCAGGCGCCTGTATTCCCAGCTACTCGGGAGGCTGAGGCAGGAGAATGGCATGAACCCGTGAAGCAGAGCTTGCAGTGAGCCGAGATCGCACCACTGTGCTCCAGCCTGGGCGACAGGGCGAGACTCCATCTCAAAAAAGAAAAAAACAAAAAAAAACAAAAAAAAAATTAGCCTGGCATGGTGGTACACACCTGCAGTCCCAGCTACTCAGGATTCTGAGGTGGGACGATTGCCTGAGCCCAGGAGATCAAGGCTGTAGTGAACTGCGATCACCCCACTGCACTCCAGCCTGGGCAACAAGGCGAGATCCTGTCTCAAAAACATAAAATAATAAAATAAAAGAACACAGACTTCTTCTTGGTTTTCCTTATGGAATAGAAAAATAGTGAAACTTCCCACATTCAGCAATGAACCTACCAAATGCTTCAGGCCTAAAAGTAAAACTGAGAACAGGAGGGCAAAAAGATAACAGTGACCATGAAATGGGAAAGAAACATTTATTTAAAACTCAGGATTATGCTTTTTTAATTGAGAGAGACAGAAAGGGTCATCTTTCATTTGATGGTTTATACCCCAGAGATGATGTGAACGAAGAGCAAGGAGCCTTAGCTGAGATAGCAATGTGAGTAATGCACCTAGAATAAAGTCCTGGCCCTTACCTAAATTGTGGCAATTTGTCCTAAGATAGTGAAGGATGCCCAGCAGACCTAGGTGTAAGCAAATCTCAGACTCCCCCATGTGGAGTTAAACAAATTCTCTAACTCCTTGGGTGTCAGTTTTCTAACCTGTAAACTTAAAATCATGATACTTAGTTCACAAAGTTGCTGCAAAGATCAAAGGTGGAAATATGTATAAAGTATCTGTAACACGAGGTTTGGCGTTCAAGTCTCATCTTTCACCAAAATCTTGCAGGGGCAAAAGGGATACAGAAATTCACAATAAAGAGACCAAACTATCAAATGCATCAATTCTAATCTCACAATTACATTTAATAATGATTGAGAATAAAATTTTATCAACATAATAATGACTGTAGTCACTTATGTAGTATATTCTAATGGGATTAAAATTATAAGAATTTTAAGAATAAAATATAAAATTATAAGTTTTTTTGTGCTGCTTACATATGAAAGACATCTTCTATCAAAAAAGAAACCATCATATTTCAAGAAGCAGCATAAGACTGAATTATCAATGCTCTCATTTGTAACTTCATTGTAGAACTAATTTCCAGACATTCTTTTATTTCTTTTTTCTTTTAAGAAATGCCATTTCTTAGCATGAAAAGACTTGTAGGTTGAAAATCTTAGAAGTTTCATATAGAAGCAGTGGGTGATAGTTCCACTGCATAAAAGCAAAACCAGGGCTGTAAGATGGATATGGGTGTACTCATGATCTGGTGGAAGACCACCAATATGTTTTATTTCTTGGTCTAACTTTTGCACATCCCTGCAGGTTCCTCCTTCTTCTAATAGCAATAATGCAGAGTAGACTTCAAGGAGGAAAGCTGTACTGTTAACTGCCTTGAAAAATGCACTATTAAGTAGAATTTTATATTCTGGGTTAGAAAAAAAGAGGAGGCCTCCAGGCAGCAGGCGGTAGTAGGGAGGTAAAGAAGAGAGGTAGCAAAGCTCAAAAGATCAAAGGGCTGAGCAGAACATAGAAAGCTCAGCTTTAGTTTATATCTACCACTCAGACATTAGCTCCAACTCAATCTCATTGGATATTAAATGAAACATTTTCCAGAGCCACTTCCTAGCAGGGGTACAGCATCTCCAATAGTCCCACCTTCCACAAGCTGCTTTCATATGACATCAGATAATTGGGCTTTATTGGACATTTGATATAGAAAGATATAACAGAATATATGTGATATTCAGAATAAGTGAGAAGACCAGATGTACCAGTTAGGATGATTATCAACACTGGTAAATGCTGGCTAGTCTTCATTTCACAAGTAAGATGTGTTAAAAATAATGTCCAACAATGATAGATTGGATTAAGAAAATGTGGCACATATACACCATGGAATACTATACAGCCATAAAAAATGATGAGTTCACGTCCTTTGTAGGGACATGGATGAAATTGGAAATCATCATTCTCAGTAAACTATCGCAAGAACAAAAAACCAAATGCCGCATATTCTCACTCATAGGTGGGAATTGAACAATGAGAACACATGGACACAGGAAGGGGAACATCACACTCTGGGGACTGTTGTGGGTTGGGGGGAGGCGGGAGGGATAGCATTGGGAGATATACCTAATGCTAGATGACGAGTTAGTGGGTGCAGCGCACCAGCATGGCACATGTATACATATGTAACTAACCTGCACAATGTGCACATGTACCCTAAAACTTAAAGTATAATAATAAAAAAATAAAAATAAAAATAATAATAATTTTGTAAAACAATGTCTAAGAATTTAGAATATATTTTTCTCATAGACACTAGATCACCAGTAATTGTCATTTTTGAGACTAGTCTCCACAGTATTTTACCCACATTCTAACAAACATATTTTGCAATGGATGGTAGAGGGGACAGTATAAGGAAGTAGAATAAGAGGATAGCTTTGGCTTAATTCAAATTTTTCGTGAGAACTTATTACAAGATAAGTCAAACTTGTTAAATTGCACATTTTAAGCTTGTGCAGTTTACTGTATGTCAATTAAAGTTCAGTGAAGCTATTTTTTTTTAAAAAGTCCAAGAAGAGTTAAAGGAGCTCTTCCTTTTTCCTGTCTTAGGCATCACATAATAAAAGAGAAGACAGTAAATTTCAGTTTCTCTTATCAGTGCTGAAGCTAAACTAAATGAAAGTTTCAGAGGTCTTTGTGAGCTGACCTGAAATCAAAATAGAATTTAAATTGTCATCTTTATCTAAAAATGTGGTCTTATCTACAATCAACATATTTGCCAATGAATTAGGCTTATTCAGAATTTGAGAATTGGCTTTATCTGTTTATCAACAATTATCTCCTTTAATTTGTTTACTAACCTGCGTTAATTGTAGAATAATCAGAAAATAACAATGTGCAGACAAAAATCGCATTAAATCCTATCTGTGGAGATCTTCTTAAAATCAACTTTTGATTTTTTAAATTCTAATTAAAGGCTATGGATATAAATTATCTGAAGTGGTACAAAAGCTAAAAATAATATATATTTGGCTTTAGAAATTCCCTTGGATTTGATTTTTATATATTGGGAAGTCATTCACCTATCAAATTACTACTATCTTCTTGCCTTGAAAAAGTAATTATTTCATTATAAAGGACTTCTTCACCAGCTCCTTATGAACTAGAATAAGCAGCAAGATTTATGCCCTTATTATTAATTCACATAAATTACATATAGTTGCAATATGATGATTTTCTCAATTCAGAATTTACTTCCTACATTCATACTGATAGGTAGATATAACATCACAAAGACCCCCTCCCTGCCCCACTCACGCACAGACACACACTTAAACAGGATATCATGCAGTCTAGCTTGTTAACATTGCACTACTTGTGGCATTAAAAAGGGATCACTGAATTCTGATTATGCTTTTAGTTACAAAAAATATAAATATTTGGAAGCAAGTTTTATCAATATTACTTCAAGAAGTTACTGCCGTGATTTTTTTTAAATCTTCTGATGTCTAAGAATGGTGGTGGTAATAAAGCGAAATATAGCAAATGGTCTGTTTTTCCTTTCACTTCGTTTCAGCTTCTATTATTGTCTTTTCCTTGCCTTATTCATTTCTTTGTCCTCATTATTTTCTCTTTCCTTACCTTTTCAGGAACACAGCCCATTAGCGAAAACCCCTGTTGCTTCACATATTCAATTACATGGTCTTTCTGACTCTTGCCTCTAATTCACCACCAACAACGACTTTTATTGCAGATTATACTCTAAATTTACTTTTGTTAATCTCACAGAAAAAACAAGTTTGGAAAACACTGGTATGGATTCTACTAGGGAAAGATTATTTGTGAATTAGAAAGTGTGGTCCCTGAGATCAAACACACTTGGGTTGTAATCCCAACTCTTTCATTAACTAATTAGGTGACTCAGTTAATAGCTTAAATACACTGATTCTTATCTATAAAATACTATGAAAATGTATACTTCATAGGCTTCTTCTTCTCTCTAGCATTCATAGAAACAGAAGTAGAATCAAAACCTAAAATCAAAATCTCTCAGAAGGATTTTTCCTTTGACCAACAGCAGTCCTAGAACTTTAGGGTAAATTACTTGTCTTCTCATCTGTAGGCTGCTCTCCTTCTCTTGCTGTCTCCTACCTTTTCTGCTGCCTCTCCAACCTCTTCAGCTCCAGCACGTATCTCCTGCTGTGACTCACTCAAGATACCAGTATCCCAGCCAGAAGCTCTGGTTTGATCTAGAGCAAATGAAAAGGCAGAGAACCGGAATGAAACAATAGGATACAAATCTAGACTCTGCCACTTACCATCAAAATTTAGCAAGTGATATAGTTTGGAGGTTTGCCCCTTCCAAATCTCATGTTGAAAGGTGATTCCCAATGCTGGAAGGAGGTCCCAATGGGAGGTGATTGGGTTATGAGGGCAGATCACTCATAAATCATTTGGCACCATCCCCTTGGTAATAAGTGAGTTTTTGCTCAGTTAGTTCACATGAGAGCTGCTTGTTTAAAAGCCTGGGACCTCCCCATTCCTCACTTTCTTGCTCCTGCTCTCACCATGTGATGCATCTGCTCCCCGTTCGCTTTCTGCCATGATTGTAAGCTTCCTGAGCCTCTCACCAGAAGCATGCTGGCACCATGTTTCCTGTGTGCTCTGCAGAACCCTGAGCCAATTAAACTTCTTTATAAATTACCCAGTTTCAAGTACTCCTTTGCAGTAGCACACACAGACTAATACAGAAAATTGGTTCCAAGAAGTGGGATATTGCTATAAAGATACCAGAAAATGTGGAAGCAGATTTTGAACTGGGTAATGAGAAAACGTTGGAAGAGTTTGAAGGGCTCAGAAGAAGACAGGAAGATGAGAGAAAGTTTGTCACTTCCTAGAGACTTGTTAAGTGGTTCTGACCAAAATGCTGATGGAAATTTGGACAGTGAAGGCCAAGCTGATGACCTTCACTGTAAAGTTTACCTATGCTATACCTTAGCAAAGAACTTGGCTGCATTGTGTGTGTAACCTAGGGATCTGTGGAAGTTTGAACTTAGGAGTAATGACCTGGGGTATCTGGCAGAAGAAATTTCTAAGCAACAGATCTTTGAAGATGTGGCATGGCTGCTTCTAACAGTCTATGATTAGACAATGAAGCAAAAAAAAAAAATGACTTAAAGTTGGAGTTTATATTTAAAAGGGAAGCAGAGCATAAAAGTTTGGAAAATTCACAACCTGGCCATGTGGCAGAGAACAAAAAAAGCATTTTAGAAGAGAAATTCAAGTAAGGTGTAGCGCAACCACTTGCTACAGAGATTAGCATGACTAAAAGGGAACAAAATGCTAATAGACAAGGCAATGCTTAGAAGCACTGCAGAGATCTTGGAGACAGCCCCTCCCATCCCAGGGCCAGAGGTCTAGAAGGAAAGAATGATTTCAGGGCTCAAACACAGGGCTCTGTTGCCCGTGAAGACAGGACACTGCTCCCAGCATCCGGGCTGCTCTGGCTCCAGCCTGGCTCAAAGTGCCCCCACGTACAGCTCAAGCTTCTGCTTTGGAGAGTGCAAACCACCACAAGCCTTGGTGGTTTCCACATGATGTTAAGTCTGTGGGCACACAGAATGTAAGTGTGAAGGAGGCTTGGCAGATTCTCCCTAGATTTCGTAGGATGTATGGAAAAGCCTGGGTGCCCAGGCAGAAGTCTGCAACAGGGGCAGGCCCGCACAGAGAAACACTAAGGCAATGTCAAGGGGAAATGAGTTAGTGCCCCAACACAGAGTTCCCACAAGGGCACTGCCTAGTGGAGCTCTGGGAAGGGAACTACTGCCCTCCAGACCCCAAAATGGTAGATTCACTGGCAGCTTGCATCCTGAGCCTAGAAAATCTGCAGGCACCCAACTCTAGCCCATGAGACCAGGTGCAGAGGGTGTACCCTGCAAGGCCACAGGGGTGAAGCTCCCAATGCCTTGGAAGCCCAGCCCTTGCACCAGTGTGCCCAAGATATGGGAGATGTAGTCTAAGGGGATTATTTTGGAGCTTTAAGATTTAATGACTGCCCTGATGGGTTCAGACTTGCATGGCCTGTAGCCCCTTTCTTCTGGCCAATTTCTCCCTTTTAGAATGGAAATGTACACCCAATGCCAGTACCACCATTGTCTCTTGGGAATAAATAACTCGTTTTTTATCTCATAGGCTCATATGTGGAAGGAACTTATCTCCAGGTGAACACTGGAATTGGAACTAGGGAATTGGGACTTTTGAATTGGACTTTTGTGAAGGCATGATTGTATTTTGAAATGTGAGAAGGACATGAAATTTGGGGGGCCAGGGAGGGAATGAAATGTGATTCCCAGTGTTACAGGTGGGGCCTGGCGGGAGGTGGTTGGATCGTGGGAGTGGGTCACTCATGAATGGCCTAGCCCCATTCCTTTTTTGATGAGTGAGTTATTGCTCATTAAGTTCAAGTGAGATCTAGTTGCTTAAAGGTTTGGGACCTCACCCCTCTCATTCTCTGTCTCCTACTCTCAACATGTGATGTGCCTGCTCCCCTTTGCCCTCTGCAATGATTATAAGCTTCCTGAGTCCTCATCAGAGGCAGATGCTGGCATCACACTTCCTGTACACCCTGCAGGACCCTGAGCCAATTAAACCTTTTTTCTTTATTAGTTACCCAGTCTCAGGTATTCCTTTATTGCAATGCAAATGGACAAATACAATTTAACCCCTTTGCATTGCAGTTTTCTCAACTATAAGATTGAGTCAATGATAGCCACCTCTCTTTGTTATTTTGAGATTTAGACATGAATATAAAGTGTCTGGTGCAGTATATTTTAGTGGAAAATAGTAGGTGCTAAATAGTTGGAGTGATGTCAACATATCACTTACAATGCCCACAAATTATATTACCCATTTGATCCAAATCTATTGTGCCCTTGCTGACTTCCTAAGATAAAAAAGGAGCAAATATTCACTTGACAATGATAATCATGTGATAGTTTGTCATGTTAAGGGATACACAAAACTCTTTGTGTATACTTGTACACAAACCTGAGCAAATCATATTAAATCACCAAATCTGTATTTCCCAAAGTAGAAGGACTAGCTACATTGGAATTATTTTGTATGAGGTTTGTATGAAAATTCACATTCCCAGATCTCATACTTATTGATTCAGAATTTCTTATAGGGGCCATGGAGCTAGAACTCTGGAATTTTCGGATAATTTTATGTTGGCTTTAATTTTTTTCCAAGGTTTACATACTGCTGCTAAGTGAAGGTCATTCACTGAGCATGAGTAGTACATTTATTTGAAAAGTTCCCAGTGCACAGAATTATTCTCTGACCACATATACGGGGGTTTCTTTTCTTTTGAAAAATAAAATAAAATAGTCATGAGGAATAAAAATGTGTGGGAGCCTGAAGCTAACAAATCCAAAGTCAACATTGTTATATTTGTTTATAAAAATCCTGGTAGAAATGTAATTATGTGGTACTTGGAGGTGCTTGTAATTCAATGGCTGAATGCCTTTCATTCTTGTGCTCACCACTAACCCAATGGGTCAGTTTCCCTCAGTTCATGGTCCTTTCACATCATGAGTTCTTGTATGCACATACCTTCAGGAACCATAGAATTATATATTCATTAACAAGGCTTATTTTCTGAGGCTAGCCCTTGACCATGAAATCGCTTCTGCTTGAAAGTTAGACCAGGAGATTGCTGTCCACATATAAGTGGTTTTATGGCTCACATTTTTTTTCGCGAGAGAACTAGGAAAGCTTACCAAGACAAGTCAATCAACAGGGGCTGTGCTCTCTTACAGATCTTTTCATCGCATTCCTGGAGCAGCAATTTTCCAGAGAGTGTTGCAAGGTAAAACAATCTCAGGGTATCATTGAAGCATTTCTGTGTTGAGCACCAGGGATCAGGGTCTTCCTCCTATGTACAGCCAAGCCAACTCAGTCAGCTCCTATGAGAAGACAAAAGGGAAAATATTACACCTGAATTGGGATTACCCTCTGCCGATGCTTCACACAAGCATACACGTATCCACTACTGCTGAACACGGCATTTCTGAATGTCCTCTGGGGATTCATGAAAAGCCTGGTCTTTTTATTCTCATCAACTGACACTTCAATTAAAATGATCAACTTACCTGTATTGCAGTCCAGATACTGCATGAGTTGTTGTTCTGATCCAAAATTTTAGCAGATACTAGCTAGCTGCTTACCAATCCCATTTCATCTTCTCAGGCACAAAAATCAACTGTATTCTCTAGCCTTCCTTTCAAAGAGACATGACTGTGAGCCTGAGTTCTAGCCAATGGAATTAAACAGAAGGAATGTGTGCCACATCCAGAGCTGGCTCATAAACAGCCTTCCACACCATATCCACTGTGTTGTTTCTCTATCCAGTGGCTTGCATACATAGCTATGTAGGAAGCTGTGTGTTAAAGATAATAAAGCAAAAGCAAAACGAAACAAACCACCAAGTTCTTGAATCGCCACTTGAAGAACAGCCCACCAATCAAGAATACCTATTTTATATGTGCAAGAAATATACTCCTATTGTATTAAAGAATTGCAATTTTAGCTTTATTTGGTATGGTTGCTAGCAATACCCTAATACATAAACCTGCAATAGGAATGTATTGTATGTTGGAAACAAACCAGTTACAGCTTCCAGACATTGAGTTCTCCAAAACACACTTCCAACTCAACTGCACACAAAAAAAGTTTTACATAGTTCTCATATTAAGAATTATTTTTCTCATAGTTTACTTAATTATCACTGAGAAAGGAATTCAGTTTTAAAATAATGATAATCCTTGACAAGAGTTTACAAAACATTTGCACATTGTCCTCAGATAAAGATGACAGAAAACATTCTCATTTTCTCAGGAAAAAGAAAACTAAGAGGAGATGAAATGACATTTCCAAAATAACCCTGGTAAGTAAAGAAACTAGAAATCAGACCTTGGTCTTCTGACTCCAGATCAGACCAATGTTCTAGAATTCAGACCTTGGCCTTTTGATTCTTTCCCTCAAACTAACTTTTTCCTTTGCACTCTTGATCAAAACTCATAGCCACTTCTCAGAGAGAGCAAAATCAGCTCAAGTCTGTTTGCCATAAGGCAAATATAGCACAAAACACTCCTATTTACTGTCAGGATCAATTTATAACTTGAATAGAATCCAGTGCATTGAAAATTTCTTGCCTCCCCCTAAAAGTCTATGGGGTCCTATTCATTATTTGCATTTTCAAGTTTCTAGTGTTGTCTTAAAAATCATCTGGTCTGATTTGAGGCTCCTAATTCCAAACTCTGACTCTCAAATCATATTGTACTTGCCTCAACATCCTGTATCTAAACCTATTTCATTTCATTTAACCAAGTTTTCTCAGTTGAAATTACCCAGTTCTGAATCTTTTCTCATGTAAGAGGTCAGAACAAATGTAAGCAACCAAGTTTGTTTTGCTGAGATCCAGTAGAATGACCACAGCTGGATTTGTTCTGATTCTAGACTCAGAAGAACATTTCTGTCTGTCAATAATTTTTCACTTCCCTTAAAAGCTTCTGCTGGCAAAGGATTAGATGTTAGTTTGTGTTGTTCCACAGGCATTTTTCTTTTAAGCCCAACAGATTTTTCTCTCCATGGGATGCACTGACTTCTTAGCAGACTCTAGGATAATCCATCCCACTGGAACACCCAGTCTGCATCTCAGTGTGAGAGCAGCCCTAGCACGCCAGCACCATCATGGTAATAACTTACAGCTGAGCTTGCTGCATTCTGGCCCTTTTAATGGAACTGTGTGTACAAGCATAAATATGCCCAGAGATGAGGAAAATATGCTCAATTACTTTATTGCATTATTCTACAATGTACATCATGTCTCTCCAGGCATTGAAAATAGCCCAAGTAAACCACAAATAAGATAAATCCTGTGATCATCAAAATGAGGACACGATCCAAAATATGACTTTGGTTTGTGGTTGAATATGTTTGAGTAAAAGATTATTGTCTGTTTCTGCTAGAGTCTGTTTCTTTTATGTTATATTTAAATTAATTACACATGGAAATACTTCTACAATGAGAAACGGTGATGATTTCCTAAGAACAAAGTGGGTGGAAATCCCTGGATTTATCTGGGCAATATTTGATGTGAAATTACTTCAATTTTTATTTTGTTATAACTCTGAAATCTAACAACATGCTGCATGTGACAATTCTCATTGTCAATCTTGTTTTTTCTTGTTCAAAAAGAAAAAAAGACAGAAAAAAAACAAAAATCACTACTGTAATGATAGAAAGTTCAATTTAAAAAAATATATTGTAAGACCGAGGTAACTGGGCTAGCCAATCATAGTTTCCTTTCTCATGTATTACATTATTTAGTGTCTATTAAACATCCTTAACTCACAATATGTTATTTACCATATAAGAAAGGCATGAATAGTTTTCACTCTAAGTGGAATACATGTTCCTATTTTATGCTGTGTAAATATAGTTTCTAAAAGCATTAGGTCCCACTTTGAAATGCCTATGTGAGCCATAGATGAGGTGAACATTTCATTTCTAAAAAGCATTGTGCTTTGTCTCTTTATCTTGCCCAGAAAATACGTCCGGAGAACCAGCCTGGATACTCAATCAGAAGAAAATAGCCAAAGTATTTCATTAATATATTTCCTTAGTTATCATAAATAATAAAAAGACTAAAAGGAATTGCTAGTTTTAAACAGAGCATAGGTGTACAATAATTAATTGTTGAATGAATGCTTAGAGGGATGAATTGATGAATGATTGGATGAAAATAGATGGATTATTGCTGCTGGGTAGGTCCATGTCTGAGCTGATGTCAAATGTGATGATAGAGGTATGAGGAAATTTCCTATGGAGACCTTGCTGAGGGGGAAGGGGCCTACCGTGATGGTATCATCACTATGGAGCTTTCACAAATCTAAATAAATTTCTTTCCCTAAAAAGTATCTACTATTTTTCCTTACATGACCATTTACAATGACATTCTGGGAAAATAAGACTTCATAGAGGAAAGTGTTAACATACTCTTCCATAAAAAATAAAAGTCTGAAGAAGGAGTAAGATTTGGTGAGTGTCACCATCAGAAATATCCATGGTGACACAATGAGAGAACGCTCTACATTGGTTAGGTTGGTTATCTCAAAAAGAAAGAGAAAGAAAACAATAAGTGTTGGTGAAGGTGTGGAAGAATTTGAATTCATGTGCATTGCTGATGAAAATATAAATGATGTACGCACTTGAAAAAAGGGATGGTGATTCCTTAAAAACATTAAACCTATAATTACCATACAATCCAGGAATTCTATTTCCGGATATATGCCCAAAAGAACTGAAAGCAAGGACTCAGATATTTATGCACTGGTGTTTACAGTAGCATAATTCACAATAGCTAAAAAGTAGAAGCAAGCTAAATGTCCATTAATAGATGAACAGGTAAGCAAAATGTGGTATATAAATATAGGGAATATTATTCAGCCTGAAAAAGAAAAAAACTTGACGTACACTACAACCTGGGCGAATCTTGAGGACATTATTTTATGGGAAATAAGCCAGTCACACAAAAAGACAAATACTGCATGATTCTACTTGTACAAAATAACTAGACTAGTCAAATTCAGAGACAGAAAGTAGAATGGTGGTTTCTAGGTGTTGGAAAGTGTGGATGGGAAGGGAGGAATGCGGAGTTAGTGTTTAGTGGGTACAAAACTTCATTTGGGAAAGATAAAATTCTAGAAAGGGATGGTGGTGAGGGTTCACAACAATGTAAATGTACTTAATGCCACAAAGCCATGCACCGAAAAGTTCTGTGTATTTTACCGTAATAAAAATAAATATCCATTAGAGCAAAAGCATAATTATGCAATTAAATATTCTTCCAGAAGAAATCCTTGAACTATGAGTAAAAGGCTAAGATTTAATGACATTTGTAAGAGTCACTGGATCTTTGTGTTTTCTTCTTGTATTAACACTTTTTCTCTCTGACCTCACTTATTATTAATAACAGAAAAAAAACTTAAAATTCGAATGCTTTGTTTGTCGATCTTTAGGAGGAAGAAAACTACCAGACTTTCTTTAACTCTGAAGCAAGCAAAAAAAGGCAGAAAATGCTGAAGGAATTCATAATTGTTATTATAGACAAAAAGGAAAAGAAAACTAGGACTAGAATACTATGACAAGAATGAAACAGTACTGGATGACATCATGTTTTACATGGCTTTCCAATAACAGTTCAGATAGAGCCTACAAGAGACAAAAGCCTCACGATCAAGAGAAATAGAAGCAGAAAGAATAAAAAGGGCACTGAGGAAGCACAACATAAAACTAAGGTATGGCAGATCACCAGCTCTTTGCTGTATGTCGATTGTGTCATTCTTCTACATTGAATTCTACTTAGAAGTGTTTGTGCCGATCTTGCCTACCAGGCTTGGCATTCTCTCAGTTGGCATGTAGTAGTCATTCAATAAACATATGCTAAGGAAATGCATGATGAATAAATAAATATGTGAATATGCTAACATCAGTTGGAATTCAATTCAATCCATAAAACCTTTTAAGTGCCTATGATGTGCAGTGAATGTTCTTCTCCAGGAATTGCAGTGTTTCAGGCAAGCCAAATACATAAATAATTAATAGTAGCAGACTCTGATAAATACATAATAGAGTTGAAAAGAAGCTGAGAAAAATGAAGACCACAGGAAGGCTTTTCAGAGGAGATTAGATTTTAATGAGCCTTTGAAAAATTGGAAGATTCTGGAAGGTAGCTAAGAAGCAATTAGAATCCTAGAAAGAAGGGAAGACCAGTGTGCTTTCGGACACAGAAGCAGGAAATATACAAGCTGTCGTTGGAGAACTGCAAATACAATTTCTAGTCTCTTAGAATTAAGAATGTTTTAGTGAAGGTCTTTGGAGAGTTTGGGGAAAATTGTAAAAGTTGGGTTAGAAGCCTGAGAAGCTGTATGTTATTTTTCACATAAGGGGAGACTATTGGAAAGTTTTGAGTAGGAAATAAACTTAGTTCCTGTGATGGTTAATACTGAGTGTCAACTTGATTGGATTGAATGATGCAAAGTATTGTTCTTGGGTATGTCTGTGAAGAGGTTGCCAAAGGAGATTAACATTTAAGTCACTGGACTGGAAAAGGCAGACTCACCTTCAAGCTGGGTGGGAACAATCTAATCAGCTGCCAGTGTGGCCAGAATAAAGCAGGCCGAAGAATGTGAAATAACCAGATTGACTTAGCCTCCCAGCCTACATCTTTCTCCCATGCTGGATGCTTCCTACCCTCAAACACTGGATTCCAAGTTTTCAGCTTTGGACTCTGACTGCCTTCCTTGCTCCTTAGCTTGCAGACAGCCTATTGCAGGACCTTGTGATCATGTGAGTTAAAACTCCTTAATAAACTCCCCTTTATATATACATTTTTCCTATTCGTTCTGTCCCTCTGGAGAACCCTGACTAACTTAGTCCCTTTAGGTTTGGAAAGGATAACCCTGGAAGCAATGTGGATTATGAATCTGCAAGAGGGAGTAATGAGAGTGATTATGAACAATAAGGAGGATATTTCAAACAGCCAGGATAAGCATCAAGGACCCAGCTAGGGTGATGGCAATGGAGATGGGGATGCACAGGAGAGACTCCTACAATTCTATCTTCTGAACGGTTTTGGAACTTTGGGAAATGGAAATATAATGGGGGTGAATACCTTTGTAAGGTAAGATGGAAAATAATGCATGCAAAAGAAAACAGTTGAAATAATATTTTTTATTATGTAACAATTTCATCCTTAGAAAATTCCTTTAATGTAGCCCCCTACAGTGTTCTGCTGAGGTTTTTTTTTTTCCACCTTACATGGTTTCTGCACTGATCTTACTTGAGCAAACATAAGTTTATCAGCACAATCTTTCTTGGAGAGCATAATCCATCTGTACTGATCAAAAATAGCTGTGGTCCCTAATTTCAGTCCTGAGCACTGTGAACATTATCATAAGCTGGGACAGGGCCTGAGATACTGAGTGGACATTGGCACAGGCTTATAGGGGGAACAACTGGCAAAAAATGGGAACAGTTCACTTAGAAATGGAGGGAGGCTTGGAGAAGAGAGTCCCAACAAATGGGCCAGAAGAATCTTGGTTTTGACTCCTTTATTTTAGCTGAACCTCATTTTCCTTGCCTGTAAACAATTAATTTCCCTTACGTCAGAGGGCATTTCAAACAAGATTTTTAAGTGGTCCATAAAATTAAAAATAAGAAAGAAATAAGGGTTATTTTTATTGTATTGGAAGGGTCGTGAGGATTTCTGAAAGCTCTCTATGTGGAAGAAACAGGAGACATTTTCATATCCTCTTGGAAGGCATGGGTAGGATCAGAAGCTTTGTGCTCAACAAGGGAACAAGTTTGGCACAATAGGAAATGCTGTGAAGATAGAGTAGCTTGTGTTTAGGCTATGGAGAGTGGTCTGTTGTGTCTATAGGAAAGCATGCCAGTCTCCTGGTTGGTGAGATTGAAGCATCAAATGTGGAAGTAGAGTATGTGTTTCTTAGACCCCACATTCTATAAGTCTAAGAAAAGTTTCTCTCTCATTATGACTGAACAATGTTAAATGGCACTTTAAAATGAGGTGCCAACAGGTTTCAAACAAACTAAAAAGTAATGTGAAAACAACTATTTTCTTAACAGTAAAACAAAGAAACAAACTTCTCTGTGAGAATCTGGAAGAAAAGCAAAGAAGTCTAGTTCCCCAGTGATTCTTCAATCCGGAGAATTTGAAAGTGACTCTGTTGGAAAAAACTCCCAAACCAATTTTCCTCTACTCTCTTACCAAAAGAACAACAACCATCAACACAGACATCTGTGACCACAAAACATGTCGTGATTTCTCCCTACCAGCAAGAAAGCAATCAGTTCTGCAGTAGATACCAGCTGGGTTTCTTCCAATTCAGTTCTGACCCTACCCGCCTAGAGAAGAGTGTCAGATCCCACAGGTTGAGGGCTCAGTCCCCAAAACTGCCTCCTGCCTTCAGACACTTCAGTCACAAGTTTGGGCCTCCAGAACTTCTGACTGGCTATAAGTTGGGGTTCCTGTGACCCTTCTTTGGGTTCAACTAATTTGTTAGAGCAACTCACAAAACTCAAGGTAACACTTGCTTTATGTTTATTGCTTTATTATAAAGGCTATCACAAAGGATCCAGATGAAGAAATGCATAAGGTAAGGTAATGGGGAAGGGGTACAGAGCTTTTATGTCCTACCTGGGTCTGTTCTCACACTGCTAATAAAGACATACCTGAGACTATGTAATTTGTTTAAAGAAAAAGAGTTTTAATGGACTCACAGTTTCATGTGGCTGGGGAGGCCTCACAATCATAATGGAAGGCAAAGGAGGAGCAAAGTCGTGTCTTACATGGTGGCAGGCAAGAAAGTGTATGTAGGGGAACTGCCCTTTATAAAGCCATCAGATCTCGTGAGACTTACTTACTATCACGAGAACAACATGTGAAAAACCCACCCCCATCATTCAATTACCTTCCAGCTGGTCCCTCCCATGACATGTGGGGATTATGGGAGCTACAGTTCAACATGAGATTTGGGCGGGGACACAGGCAAACCATATCTGGGTGTGCCACCGTCTAGGAACCTCCATGTATTCAGCTCTCCAGAAGCTCTCTGAACCCTGTCTTTTAGGCCTTTCATGAAGATTTTATTTGTTTTCCATAATTGACAACCATGTAGAAATGTGATTGGACAAAAAGGGTGTGATCTAAACCCAGTGAGGCCTGTGTGTTCAGATTCTTCTTGGCCTCTCTGTGCAGCATGCCTTTCTCTGGGGTATGGGGCAGGATTCTCTTTGGAATGATAGATTCAGATGTAATGATGACAGTCAGATAGAGTCCTGCCTTGGGCAGGTGAAAGGAGGGCAGAAGAAGGTCAGAGAAAGAGATGCTGTTTCCTGAGACCTGCTTCTGAAGGCTAAAGGACCACAATATTATAACTAGGGCTGTAGGAGTTATAAGCCAGGAACCATGAACAAAAACCTATAAAATATCACATAATCACTTCCTGATGAATGAGAGAGTAAACAAAGAGGATGGAGATCATTTCTCCTACCTCTTTCTAGAAGAGTTTTCTCCAGGAAATGCTAGATTTTTATGCCATATCACAGATTTAATAGAATAACAAGATGCAGTAGATATGGTCTGGCTTTGGAATCTGTACTACCTCTCACTGGATGTGAGGCCCTGAACAACTTCTGTAAACTCTTTAAGGCCAAGTGTACTCAACTGTAAAAATCAGGTAATAATTCATAACCTTTACACCTAGTATTAATGTGGCAAAGTGGGGAAGTGTCCAGATTTGTGTCTTAGTGGGATTTGTATATAACTCATCATGTTCAGCAGATAGTTGGCCCAGACTTCCATAAACACATTGAAGTAGAGGCTGAGGAGTTGTCCATGAGAGAACCCAAGCTCAGTTCACCACTGAACTGATATACATGGACATGTCTTGTAAGCTATTGAGTTTTGCGCAATCAAAGCCAAGAATAGGCTGGGCACAGTGACACACACCTGTAATCTCAGCACTTTGGGAGGCTGAAGCGAGCAGATCACTTGAGCCCAGAAGTTTGAGACCAGCCTGGGCAACAGGGCAAAACTCTGTCTTTACAAAAAAATACACACACACACAAAAATTAGCTGAGCGTGGTGGTGTGCTACTCAGGAGGCTGAGGTGGGAGGATTGCTTGAACCGGGGAGGGGGTTGAGGCTGCAGTGATCATGCCACTGTACTCCTGCCTAGGCAACAGAGTGAGACTATCTCAAAAAATAAATAAATAAATAAAAGGCCAAGATTATTTGTTGGGAATAAAAGACTCATGTTAAGTGAAATTGGAACCAATGAAAACAGTACAACAAGAGCAACAAAAATAAATAAATATAATAGAACAAAACCTCCATTTATGGAATAAATGAATGAGATGTGAGCCACAAAAATCTATTTGTAGCAGCAATCATTAATAAGAGGCTCCTAGGGGGAACGTGACCTTAAGCAGCAACAGAACAAAGGGTTATGAGTTGGCCCATTCACAACACTTAGACTTCTGAATGATGTCTGCCATTCACAGTGTCTCCCGACCCAACAAGAGGAGTAGTGAGAGGGATGAAAACTGAAACAATAATTTCTTTTGAAACCCTAGCATGTATCTGGGTGCAGCCATACTATGTGATATTTTCCAAACACTGTAACCAACAGGGGAGAAATGTTTTATTTCACTTTGCCATGGGTGGCCATGTAGGTTTATCATCACCAGGACTCCAAGGAATCAGTTTGGAGGCTCCTAGTGGAAGAGTATGTGTGAGCACATTCAGTGCAGCCCATAGTTCCCTGGCAGGTTCCCAGGAGCCAGGATGCTCCACAAGAGAGCATGATACCAAGAGGGTGCCCAGCAGAAGGACCTGGTGGAAGACTGGAGTGCTAGGAAAGGTAATGTTCATGGTAGAACAAGCCAATATCCTGTGCCAGAGTGAAGAAGTCTCTGCTTAATGAAAATATTCTTTCAAACCCTGAATGCATAATAGTCAGTATTTAGAAATCAAAAAAGAAAAAGTTGTATATCAGGGATGAAAAGCCACAAAATGTTCACCCATCACTTCTTAAAGAATTTTTAAGATGTTACTAAAGTATGCAGAAGTTGACTGACAGACTAGGTGTCCTTTCATAATGCAATGCTCCAAAAGAAGTCAGCCTGATCACACAGAAATGACAGAATCAGAATAGCTACCACACTAAGAAACACCAGGGTTTCCAGTTCTTATGTTTTGTGTGACCTTCAACTTCAAATCTCAGATTTATGTGAACTTTAAAATAGATTCATGAGTTTCATTTTAAGTCACTGTGATTTCCATGGGTTTCTTAAAAAGACATTAGCAACAAATCACTCAGGGCTCATTTCAATTACACCCCACTCTTTTGATACTTCTGGAACCTAAAGAAGCAAGAAAAGTTTGGGGAAATGTGTTTTAATGTATTTATATTTTTTCCTGTAGATACAAAATGGGCCAGGAGAAAGGATTCAGGTTCACGCTTGTATGACAATGGTTTTAAAGAACTCTAGCGCTGATTACAGCAAAGGGGGAGATTTATGGGTTGATAATACTTCACTGATCAAATGCACACTTTAGTATTTAGTTTAAGAATTTGAAGTGAACTCCAGATGTGTTTATGTGAGCGAGGCACCCTGGTAACCAGACTGTGAAATAAACCTGCTTAGGCAATGTCTAGGTGAGGGCAAAACAACTGGTTGACTCAGAAACTTCAATTATCAGACAAGACATCGTAAAAAAGAAAAGCCATCAATTCGTTGCTAAATTTAGCTAGCCAGTTTGGTCAGAAAGATCATTTTGTTAGATCTGACCTTTGAATTACGAAATATCTAATAAAAAAATTGTGATATAATAAAATATTAAATTTCTTGGGTAGCCAGAGAATTGCCTACAATGCAGACACAGTTTTGAAACAGAAAATGTAAAATAGATAGCAATCTCCAGGAACAGCATCAGCAATTTCAGCAATTGCTAGAGAAGTAAACTAAATGAAAATATTTATAAAAATTATTTAGGTAAGATCCAGAAAATATTTTGTAGCACTCCTTGATTAAAATAGCATTCCATCACATAGGGCCAACAGGAGAATGCATTTTTATAACCCTGGATATCTCTCCCAGTCCTACTTTTGGAAATGTAATGGATGGAAAGAAGGTAGGCACTGCAGTAAAATGAAACTCCATTTAACTGACTCTCCATTCATTTACAAGGAAACTCTACTCCTTGAGTAACATGCAGTGTAGGATATGCTGGTTGCTAGAGACCAGAGGCTAGCTCTGACACATCTACTCCTCATGTATCCTACCACCTATGCGGCTACATGCTTAACAAGAGGTATAGTGTTTCTTCCTAAACCTATTACAGCTACCTTTAAGGGGACGAAATATGAGGAAAATAAAAGAATTTCAGAAAAATTGTCATTTCTCTGAAAACTAAGTTGAATGCTTAGTAAAATCTCAGTAAAAATGAGTACTAAAAATGCTGTAACATTAAGTTTGAGGAAGAAAATTATAAGGTGTCCTGTTTTAAATTGTTCTGCAAGTGTGTTTAAATTGTCATTAATCTTTAAATAAGCCAAATCTGGAAAATGTATGTAATGGCTTATGGGCTTGATCTACACAACAAATATAATATCCTAACTGATGATGCCAAATTCCAATCAGTGCAATAAAAGAGGTTTGATTGATGCCACATAAGAACTCAAAGTGTATTGATTGATTGGCAAAAACTCTACAAGTATATAGTTCACATTAAAATAAAATGTGTAAGATATAGGAATACATTGCATGATATTGTGTATATGTGTGTATGTATTACTGTATGAATCATATATTATGATTCCCTGCTTTAATTGGAATTTCTGCTTAACTGGCCAAATACTTAGGGAAATCATTTTCAATAAGAGGACTTCTACAGAATAATCATGTACCCTTTTAAACTATCAGCCTAAACTGATAGAAATTCAAGAAACCCTTGAGATATAAGACAATTTATGTCACTCAAGTGAATTTGTTCCACTTAAAGGAAAAAACAGACGTTGCTTCACCCTGCCTTTTTACAACACAATGCAGAATGGAACTTTGTACAAAAGTACAAAATGAAACAAGTAACAAAATTCTGAGAAGTTGCAAGATCAAAAAGAAAATGTGAACACAATGCAACTGAACAAACTGAAGTACAGTATAATTGAGTAGACAGGAGTGAGCTCAGAATCGAAGGACAGTTTGAGTATCAAATATCCTGGCTGTGATTTTGGACAAATAAATGACCTTCTCTGTCTTGCTTTCCTCTTCTGTTAAATAGCAAATGAAAAAAATTACCTAATCTATAAAGATATTTTAAGTATTAAATAAAATACTACACTCAAGGTGCATAACAAAATACATAGCATATATATGATATTGAAGAAATGCTATCATTAACAATTTAAAAAACCATTTAACATAGTACTAGTAGCTACTTATATGTGCTGGTAAAATCCTCTTTTCAGTTATGAAAACTTTTCCCAAGTAGATGAAGAGTGATTTCTGTATTCTAAAAATATAGCAGACTCACACAATACAATGTACTTATTTTATGTATAAAGATAACATTTGTCTTCATATAGTGTGTGTTTATGTGTATCTATGTGTATATATAAGAATAATGTAGAATTAAAATTGATTATAAATGTATATCATATTATTTCTTATATAATGAATATTTTATATTAGATTTAAATGTATATACATATATGTGTCTATACATAATACATATACATATATATATGGTGAGTGTTTGTACGTGTAGTTTCTTCTGCTGGCCTTAAACCACCAAACATATTTTGCCTAAGATGATGCAGTCTTTAAAGAGGACTGCATACCTACTCATTCACAGATGCATCTGTCCCTGAAATGGGATGTACAAAGAGCCTAGGAGCCACTCAAATCAGGGTCTTATAAAAACTTTATCCCCTTAGAACCAATAAAAGAAAACAATGAAAGATGAATGAACACAAAATGCATTTTTCCCCTAAAATGAAAACAAATCTAATTTTGTTCTTATTTTATGGAATTACTGTGTCTACCAAAAATTGATGAAACTCTGGATCCAATTTTTAAATGCAGACTGAATAATTTATATAGAAAGTTATTAAAATAAATTAGCACAATGGTTATGCTATAATCCTTTTATAAAAAATACATATATGTATATAAGCTTGTGTATGTATATGTAAAGGTAAATATAGAGTTATACATACTGAAGATTTGCTATTTTAAGGAGTAGAGGTTAGTCAAGGATGTGAGGAAATGAGGAGAGAAATTATTGCTTTTATTAATATATTTTATATTACTTAGTATAGTAGAGTAGATATATATTTTTCTTATCTAATTTTAAAAATCCAATGTAATAAAATGAGTAGAATAGAATCCAGGTTGTTCTCTACAATGATTGACATGGGTAGACTAATTTCACATTCTCAGGTGGCAGGAAAAAAATAACTGATATTCCCACTTAAATAATTCTAGGGTGTTCTATTGCAGTAATGATACCCTAGGCATTTTATACCAAATCTCCCATTGAAAATATGAACAAGATTAAAAATCTCTTTGAAGGCAATGGAGAAGTAACCTTTCCATGAAGAATTACAATGCCACGATCCAAGAAAAGAAGAAAATCTAGAAAGTTGAACCCAGCATTTCAGGTTGCTTTTCTTCTGGGTTTCTTCCAGTTTCTAATAAGATAGTTAAGAAGCCAACTTGTTGACCTGCATAACCAAACTCTCACAGGTCTACAGAGATAAAAATTAGAATTCGGGCCTTGGCAATGTAGGTAATGGGTCCCTGGAAAACTCTCCAAGTTTTCAGTTAGGATTCCGAAGGGCCACATACTCCCTAGAGGCAAGGTAAGCCAGAAATAAAACAATCCTAGCAAAGTCTAAAACTTATCTTGGCATCATCTCAGTTTTTGATTGGACTAATGTGACCTGGGATGGCTAGTTCCTCTGTCAAACAATATATATATTTTTTTATGTCCAGATGCAAATGTAATTCTTTTCAAAAGGAAGATGCCTTTAACGAAAGTCAATTTATCTCTTCAATTTTTTATATACAATGTCCAGCATTCAATCAAAACTCAGTATATGAGAGGACAAGACAGTGTGATTGAAAATCCAGAGAAAAAGATCCCAGAGGAGCAGACCTACAAGGATTCTAATCAGATAGAGATAACAGACACAAACTTTAAAATAGCTGTGCTTAATATGTTCAAGAATAGCAAAGTAAAGAGAATTTCAGTGGAGAATTAAAAACTATTGAATAAAAAGATTCTCTGTAAAATAAATTGTTTTCTTCTATATTGTATAATTTTGTATGACTTTCAGAATCCCTTGCATTAATCATGTCAGTAGCTAAGACACCAATTAACCCAAACTTAATGACCTTATTATGTTTTTCATCACAGTATCTGTTTTCCTGGACATTTTAAAATTTGGAGGATCAAAAATTTCTTTAACAATATTAATTTCATAGTTTCCAAAGATTATGGTTCTTTCTGATCACATTATAGTTTGGAAACACTGTTTTACTCTTCTTGATAAGTGACTCATTTCATCCAATTTTTGGTCTCTCCCTTCTTATTCCTACATAATTTTCAACTTGATTCCCTTCATACTGAAAACGTCTTCTAACAATTTCCTAATTATAAGTATTATGAATATAGATGAATAGCTACAGAAAAAGAGCTATATAATGCCTGCACTACAGAGAATATACCATTAAACTATAAAAACTGAGAATTTAACGACAGAATAAGGAAGTGTTGAAAGCCATAAAATTACATGAAAATAAATTAAAAATTAAAATCAAGCTTATTGTTTCTTTTATTTAGAGAACAGCAGCTGCTTCTGCATTATTTTTATTTGAAAAGTTTTATTCTGTATTGATATCTCAGCTTTCTCTATATATGTGTGCATACATACACATTCATCATATTTACAAACCATGGAATATATAAAAAACAGCAGGCTAAATTGACATAAATTTTGTGTTCTAAAATATCTCCCTTGGCCCAAAATTTAAAATGGAGAATTTCCTCCAGGAAAAACAAATTCTAAAATTATGAAGTTATGACATGTTTGAAAGTACAAGTTTTCTTTTTTGAAACAACTTAAATGGGTACACTTTAGTCATAATCATATTTGAAAGAAAGCAACCTTTGATAAGAATTGTATGTTAAAAGGTTGACAAGGAAAATTCTGCTGCTTCTTGACGCTGTAGCTCATAGCATACCACTTTTCCCACTGAGAAAAACTTTTAAAGCCCTCAAAATACAAAACATCTGTTTGTAGACAGCAGCATGCCACTGTGACAAAAAGGACTGAAGGACCCAGATTATACACCAAAGGAAAGCTCATTGAAATGAGCTCAAATTCTGCCTGTTGATATATCCTACAGCACTTGTTGAGCCCTGGCATGGGATGATGGCCTAGGAAGGAAGGCAAAATTTAGTTGCTAAGACATGGGAGTGCTTTAGGCAGTCTCATGAGCATGGGAAGACAAAACTTGAAGTTCAAGGCTGCCAAAGCAGCCAGATATTAAGGATCTGAAATGTAGGACAGAGAGGCTGAGCATGGAGGCTCATGCCTGTAATCCCAGCACTTTGGTAGTCCGATGTGGGCAGATCACTCAAGACCAGGAGTTTGAGCCCAGCCTGGGCAACATGGCAAATCCCTGTCTCTGCTAAAAATACAAAAATTAGCCAGGTGTGGTGGCACAAGCCTATAATCCCAGCTGCATGGGAGGCTGAGGCACGAAAATTGCTTGAACCTGTGAGACAGAGGTTGCAGTAAGCCAAGATAGCACCACTGCACTCCAGCCTGGGTAACAGAGCAAGACTCTGTCTCAAAAAAAAAAAGGATAGAATTGAGGTACAGAGACCTAAGACTAATATTTGGAACTCATTTTCTTCTTGAGTCACTTGCTTAATCTAAGAAAGACAAAAGGCTAAAATGTTAAGATTAAGATGGCTGAAAGGCATAAGAAAACATTATCCCTTTTTGCTGGGGAGGAAAAATTAAAGTTCATGACATGCAAAGTTGGAAAGGGCTTAGGAAGCTCCAGGCTGTGCGTTGAATCCACTGAAGGTGGATGAGTGGAAGAAAACGAGAAGTAGAATGATCCTTACAAAGACTGCAAACCAGCTTTGAGTCAGGACAGTCTGAAACTTAGATTGAGTTGATCTGACTTTCTGCTGTCTGCCAGAATAAAGAATGAATCCACTCTGGAGGAAGATGACATTATGCAAAGCCTCCACAATTTTTCATCATAATGTTCAATATTTAGTCAGAATTACCAGCATACCAAGAAATAAGAAGAAGAGAAAACAGAAACAACACAAACAAATCCAAAGAGACCTAGATATTGATATAATCAGAAATGTATTTTTAAATAAGTAAGTTACACATTTCAGAAAATAGAGAATGTGAAATACCTCAGAAAAGAACTTTAATATAAGAAAAAGAGTTTAATGGATGTTAAAGAAATGAAAAATATGGTAACAGCAAATAGGAACTCAATACAGTTGGCCCACCCTATCCATGGATTCTGCATCATGAATTCAACCAACCACAGATCAAAAATATTTGAAAACAAAAAAAAATAACAATACAACAACAAACATAATCCAAATAAAATATGCAGCATATCAACTATTTACATGGCATTTACATTTTATTAGGTATTATAAGTAATCGAGAGATAAAGTATGCAAGAGGATGTGCATAGTTTATGTGCAAATACTGTGCCATTTTACATAAGGGACTTAAACATCTGTGGATTTTGGTATCCACAGGAGGTCCTGTAAGCAATTTCCTGTGGATACTTAGGGATGACTGTACATGGTTATAAAAGGAAATTGATCAGAGTTAAAGAGAGATTTAGTGAGCTGAAGAAAGTCAGTAGAAAATATCTAGACTGAAGCATGCAAACAAAATATATGGAAAGTACAGAAAATAGCATTAGAGATGTACAGAACCTTATGCAAAGGGTGAATATGAAGGAACCTGGAGATCCAGAAGGGAAAGAGAAAGACAACAAGTTAGAAGAAGTAGCTCAAGTGGTGGTGGCTGAAAATTTCCAAACAGGTAGAAAACATCAAACCCCAGATTCTAAAAGTTCTATAAATATTAATCACCAAGAAAATCACACCTGGGCATACTGAAGCTCCTGAAAACTGGACATATACAAAAATCTCAAAGGCACCCAGAAGAAAAAAAATATATCACCATCAAAGGAGCAAAAGTACAACAACAACAACAACAACAGCAAAAAAGCAACTAAATTTTCTATTCAAACAGTAGGACTCAGAAGAAAAAGGAATGATATCTTTAATGTGCTAAATGAAAATAACTACCAACCCCAAATTTCACATCCATCTAGTGAAATGTCATTCAAAAGTACAGGCCAGAAGGACATTTGGCATGTGAAGTAAGTAAAGGACCTCCAAAAATCCTTTCCTCCATAAAACCAACAAGAACACTGGCAAGAAAAAAAAAAAAAAAGTCAAAATCAACTTTTTCAGAACTCTAGAAATTAACTTCAGACTTACAAAAATTGAGGAATGTTTACTCAAAAAACAAAGCTGAATGTTAGTAAGAATAACTACTTTTTGGTATTTAATTTGACCTATTCTCAACTGTCCACTTCTGTGATAGCCTTGAAAATCAACAGCTGGCAATTACTGTGAAAACCAACATTCTAGCAGCCAATGGAGGGGTTGGAATGGGGTAGAAGCTCTTTCACTGCCCTGTTCTCAGGGAATTGTCATTATTTGGCATGTATGGCAATCCTATGGAAAACTTTACTTGCAAGGCTTGTCTTTAACCTAATTAAGAGCTTACTTAGTGTAAACACACCCCCACACCCTCTGTACCCACAACCTAAACACCTGTTAAAAACAATCAGTGGCAGCTGCCTGCAGCTGTAACAATTGGGCAAACAACAAGCAAAAAAAAAAAACCTTAAAAAAAAGAAAAGAAAAATCTGGGGTAAATATGTCCATAGAGAACTTTAAAAAGATCTGACATATTCCTGGTAATTGAGAAGGCTATGTGCACACTTAGGGCTGTGTGTATACACAGAGCTATGCATGTGTACAGGAAATGCCAGTGAAGACCCTAAGTTCTCACATGTAGCTAATCTTGAGGTTCTGCACAAACAGGAAATGAAGGCTAAGGAAGAATTGTAAATTGCCTAGTTGAGTGTGAAGTTATGCCCCAACGTAGATATAGAGCCCATCAGCGAAGACTGGGAGACATTTTGGTTTCAGGCATTTAAGGATATCTCTGTCCAGTCATTAGCTGATTATTAAGCTAACTCAACAGAGATATCAGTGGCCACACATGACTGACTATACAGACTTAACAGAATTAGTTTAGGAAAATTACTAAAGAAAAAAGCAGCAGAAACAAAAATAAACAATAGTAATGAACTCCAGAGATGGAGGAAAAATTTTATCTTCAGAGTTATGTTAATATTAATATATTAATAGAATTATAGTAATTAGAATGAGCAATTTTTGACAAAATTAAGAGAGATACAAAAGCAAGAAAGTAAGAAAGTATGGCTTATACAGAGAAGGAAAATTTAATCAATAGAAACTGTCCCTGAGGAAGAGCAAACATTAGACTTACTAGGCAAATACTTTAATTCAGCTACTTTAAACATGTTAAAAGAATTAAATAAGACCATTTTATGGACTAAAGAAGAGTATTAAAATAATTTCTCACCAAAGAGAATATTAGTAAATGAGGAGAAATTACAAAAATAGAACAGAATAGAAATTCTGGAGTTAAAAAGAATAATAACCAAAATAAAAATTTTACTAGATGGGCTCAAGAGCAAATTTGAGCCGGCAGAAGAAAGAATGAGCATACACAAAAACAAACCAATTGAAATTATCCAGTTTGAAGAACAAAAAGAAAAGGAAAAAAGGAAAATGAACAGAGCCTCAGGGACCTGTGGGATATCACTAAGGATATCAACATACACAAAATGGGAGTCCCAATAAGTGGGTAGAGAGAAAGGGGGCAGAAAAGTGTTCGAAGAAATAGTATCCAAAAACTTCTCAAATTTCTTATAAGACACAAATCTTCATATCTAAGAAATTCAACAAATTTCAAGTAGGATAAATTCAAAGACATTCACCCCTGGACACATCATTCGAACTGTCAAAAGAAAAAGACAAATAGAGAATCTTAAGCAGCAAAAGAGAAGTGACACATCATGTACAGGTAACTTCATAATGATTTACAGCTGATTTTTCATGAGAAACCATGAAGATCAGCAGTCAACAGCAAGACAAATTCAAAGTGCTGAAATAAGTCAGCTCTTAATCAAGAACTCTACATCCAGAAAAATACTTCTTAAAAATGACAGACACATTAAGAGAGTCTTGCATAAACAAAAACTGAGGTATTCTTCATTGGGACACCCATCCTACAAGAAATCCTAGAGAGAATTTGAGGCTGAAATGAGAAAATACTGGAGAAAAACTCAAATACACATGAAGAATTAAGAGGACTCGTAAAGGTAACTGCATTGGTCAAATGTAAAAGACAGAATACATCTTTTTTTATTTGTCAATATTTTGGTCCCCTTTGATTTAAAAGACAACTACATAAGGAAAAATAGTAATAAATCTGTGTGAATGGGCATATACAAAAATTTAGTTAGTATTGTAACACCATAAAGAAAATGAGAAACAAAGAAGCTACCTATAGAGGAACAAAAACTAAATAATATTGGAATTAAGTTGATAATATTTCACACTAGATTTGTGTAAGTTGATAATTGGAAACCACAGTGTAACTATTAAAAATATATTTCAAAAATGCAGTAGAAAACCCAAGAAAATCAAAATTATACACTAGAAAGTATCTATTGACAAAATAGATGGCAATAATGGAGAGATTGAGAACCAAAGTAAGTATAAAGAATGTGGAAAACAAATAGCAAAATGGCAGATGTAAATTCTACTTATCAATATTTACTTTAAATATAAATGAACTGAATACTTCAAGAACAAGGAAGACACTAGAAAAAAAGATAAAAGAATGACATGATACTTTTATATGCTGTCTACAGGAGATACACCTTAATTTCAAAAGCACAAATAGACTGAAATTAAAGGATGGAAAAGGGTATGCCATGCAAACAGTAGCAAAAACAGAGTTGAAATGGCTACAGTAATATAAAACAAAATAGACTATAAGGAAAAAGATGTTACTAGGGACGAGGATGGACATATTACAATGATAAAAGAGTCATTCCATCAAGAAGCTATAACAAGTATAAGTATATATGGGACTTACCTGCCATTTGGGATTAACAACATAGTTCCAAAATACATGTAGCAAAACATGACAGAACTGAAGAGAGAGATAGATGAAGATTTCAATACTCCATTTTCAATAATGGATAGAACAACCACACAGATGATCAGTAAGGAAACATAGGACTTGAACAACATCATAAACTAATTTGGACTAACAAACGTCTATAGAACACTCTACCCAATAAGAGCAGAATATGCATTCCTTTTAAGTGCACATGGAACATTCTCTAGAATAGATCATATGTTATATGGTCCCAATATATATTAAAACAATATCAATAATTTTAATTGAAATGATACAAAATATATTTCCTAAAATATATTTCATAACCACAATGGAGTGAAATTAGAAAGTAATAACAGAAGGAAATTTAGGAAATACATAAATACATGTATTTTCAATGACACACTCCTAAACAGTCAATGAGTGAAAGAAGCTATTATAAAGAAAATTAGAGAAAACTTTGAGATGAATGGAAATGAAAGTACAACATGCCAAATTTATAGGATGCAGTGTAAAGAGTGCAAAGAGAGAAATGTATGTCTATGAACACCTACATTAAAAAGGAGAATAATTTTAAATCAATATGTATGTATACATCCATCTTAATAAACTAGAAAAAGAAGAGTAAATTAAACTCAAAACAAGCAGAAGGATGAAAATAAAGATTTGAGGGAAATAAATGAAGTAGAGAATACAAAGACAACAGAAAAAAACAAATATAACCAAAGTTGGTTATTGAAAACATAGAAAAAATTGACAAAATTTTAGCTAGACCAACCAAAAAGGGTATGGGGAAGAGAGGAAATTAAAATTACTAAAATCAGAAATGAAAGAGGAGGCAATACTATCAAGCTTACAGAACATATTTCAAAGGATTATAGAGAAATACTGTGAACAATGATATGCCAACAAATTAGATAACCAGGAAACAGACAAACTCATAGAAAACAAATTATTGAAGCTGATTCAAAAGGACAGAAAATCTGAATAGACAGTGATATTTAGTTTTATGTGTCAACTCGACTGGGCCACGGGGTACCTAGATATTTGGTCAAACATTATTCTGAGTGTTTCTGTGAGGATAGCCTTGGATGAGATTAATAATTAAATTGTAGACTGAGTAAAGCAGACTACCCTTCCTAACGTAAATGGCCCTCATCCAATAAGTTGAAGGCCTGAAGAGAACAAAATACTAACCCTCTAGTGAGTAAGAAAGAATTCTCCTGCCTGATGGCCTTTAAGGTAGTATATCAGCTTTTCCTGGTTCTACAGCAGCTTCCAGCCTTTGGACATGAACTGGGACATCTGCTCTGGCAGATTTTGGACCTGCCAGGCTCCATAATCATGTGAGCCAATTTCTTATAATAAATCACACACACACACACACACACACACACACACACGCGATGGATATATATATATATCCATCGTGTTTCTGCTACTGCAGAAAACCCTTACTAATGCATAGGCCTATAACAAATAAAGATATTTAGTTAGTAATCAAAAAACTTCCCACAAAAAAAATCTGAGGTTCAGATGGCTTCACTGGTGAATTCTACCAAATGTTTGCATCAAAGGGCACTATCAAAAGTGTGATAAGACAATGAACAGAATAGAAAAAGAAATTGCAAATTATATGTCCAATAAGACTAGTAGTCAGAATATTTAAAGAACTCTCACAACTCAACAATAAGAAAATAACCTAATTTAAAAATGGGCAAAAGACCTGCACAGACACCTCACCAAAGAAGATATACGAATGGGCAAAATGGAGATAGAAATACTCTGAACATTATTAGTCTTTAGGGAATGCAAATCAAAGTCACAAAGAGATACCACTTCACAGCACTAGGAGGGCCATAAGAAGTGAAGTACTGATACCTGCTACGACATGGGTGAATCTTAAAAACATTATGCTAAGTGAAAGAGCCAGCCACATAGGACCACTTATTGTATGACTCCTTTAATATGAAACATCTAGAAGAGACAGATCTATAGAGAGAGTAGATTTCTGGTTTTCTAGGGCTGGAGACTATGAGAAGATTTGGAAGTGACATCTAAAGTTTTGTGGGGCTTCTTTTCATGGTAATAAAAAAATAACTCTAACATTTATAGTGATGATGGATGCAAAGATGTGTCAATCCACTAAAAGCCCCTGAGTTGTATATAATATAAATGGGGGATTTGTATGGTATGTGAATTGTATCTCAATAAAGCTGTTTTTAAAAACTTGTGAGATTCTATTAAAGCTGTAATAGCTTTATATGCATATATGAAAAATAAGTTAAATGATTGAAGATCATCTTCACAAAAAGGTCTAAAAATTCACTTCGTAAGAGGGAATAGGCAAATGGATACTAACTATGATAAATTTCTCAAAATAACTAGAGAAATGCAAGATATTACTACATACCCATCATAATAGTTAAAATGTTAAAAACACTGTCAAGTCAAAATTCTGGCCAAGTCCTATGATTACTTCATGATAACTAGAACGCTGATATAATGCTGGAGGGATTATAAATTGAACATTTTTCCTTGGAAAACTCTTTGGCAATAGCTAATAGAGCTGAATCTGTGCAGACTTCTGATGCAAAAGTTCCACTACTTAGAGGTATTGTGAACAGAAATGTATACATACAAAATAATCAGACCAGTCCAAAGTGAGGAACATTATGCTAAGTAAATACCCAGAACTCTTCAAAAATATTAAAGTCAAAAAAGACAAGAAAAGGTTAAGGAATTTCTTTTGATTAGAGGAGATTAAAATAACCTGGTACCTGAATGCAAGATTCTTAATTCTAGATCTTAAAATAATAATCATTGTTTTTAAAATGGCAGCCATAAAACACATTGTTAGTATAAACAGAGAAGTCTCAATATTGATGGTATCTTATTAAATAATAGTATTCTATCAAAGTTACATTTCCTGAGTGTGCTAATTGTACTTACATAGAAAAAAATGCCCTTGTTTTTAAGAGATAACTCAATAAAGTACTCAGAGGTGAAAGAAATAGAAACAAAGAGAAAATGTGATAAAATGTTAATAATTGGTAAAAGTAGATGAATGGCATAGGGCTATACACTATACGTAGGGCATAGTACTATTTCTCAACATTTTTTTTAACTTTTATTCTTTCCCAAATAAAAGATTGAGGAAAAATTTTAAAACTCCATATACATGTAAACCAAAAAATGCATGCACAATATTCATAGTAGTAATATTTTAATAGTCAAAAATGTAAAAGTCCCTGACATTCACCGATAGTAGAATGAATAAATAAATTGTTATAATGAAATATTTTATGGCACTGGGAATGGATGAATTCATGCTAAAGAACATAACATGAATATTTTTCATGAACATAATAGAGACAGTAAGAAGCCAGACACAAAAAATGGAATAGAGAATTTGATTACATAAAGTTCATAAACAGGAACACTGATGTAGATAGACATTAGGACTGTGGTTACCTTTGCAGGTATAGTGGCTGGGATGGTGCAAGAGGGGGCTTCTGGGGTGCTGATAATATTTTTAATCTGAGTCATATTTATAAAGTTATACTCACTTTATAAAGTTATACTCACTTTATAAAGTTATATTCATCAATCCATACATTTAAGAGTAATGCATCTTTCTACACATAGGTTATTCTTCAATAGATATATTTTTTTAATTTGATGGCTTAAAAATTATGAGTAAGAATCCAATATAAAGTTGCTGATGTTTCCCCAAAATATCTTCAAATCCCAATTGAAAAGTACTGTAATTTGTCAGGCACTGTGCTAGTTATATTCACATATTATCATTTACATTTTTATCCCAGTTCTGTGAACAAATCAGTCTGGATGCTTTATGCCAATGAGAAAACAGAAACCCACAAAGGTATTGGCTCAAGATTCATCCCCAGGTCATACAGCTTTAATTTCAGTGACTTTTATTCCTCTTTACAGAGCCTTACATATTACAAGTTACAATTAACTTTGAAAATTACCTTAACAATAAAACATAAAATTTATTCTCACCATTTATCTAAAATCACCCTGCTAGCAACTATCTACTAACTAGGTCTTCTGTCTATTGTGACAAAGCCAACAAGCTGTCACCTAAATCACTTTGCTTATTTGTGTTATTATTTAGTCTGTGCTTGTCAGTGACAGCAACTAAATACATCGCCAGCTTGGAAGAACAAGTTAAAGAAATTATGGAGATCGTCGACTAGCCAGAGACAAAATGAAAATTGGTTGGTGCAGAAGGAGACTTAAACTATGGATTCTAAGGTTAAATGTTTCCTTAAAAAGCCTCGGCCACAGCACTGCAAAGTTAATCAGAAAAGTTTTACACTTTGCAATCAATAGTGCTTCCTAGTTAAAATGAGTATTAAAGAAAGAAAAAGGTGCTGAAATTTGTTCAGGTAAAATAAAACAAACTTCAAAATGCTGAGTGTGATCCTTTCTCTTCAGGTGGAACATTGCCATATTATAAAAGGCTTCTGCCTCACATCTGACATTCTACTTGCTAATATTTAAAATAAGTATCAAATAAAATGTGTTAAATGGGCAAAGCAAACTTCTTCTCCACACTACTCCTTTCCTCTAACATGATAGCTTTTACTCCAAATAGCCAGTATTCTTTCCTCTTCTCTGTCTCCATGTGCTCTTGAAAATGATCTGAAATTAGGCATTTATACCTCAGAAAGAGCACATTTACGCTTTTGGAGTCAGATGCCCCATCATACAGCCTTTTTTCCCCACAGTGAAAACATCTTCCAGCAGCTCTTTGTGTAGACAGAAATAGAATGCTGCCTTAATGCATATCGTAAGTAGCACCATTTGACACAGGTGAGCAGAACAGCCCCTGGCCTGGAGAGGAGCAACATTAGTTTGAATTAGCAAACAAAAGCATGCATTGTGAAATGATGACATCTGAGGAAGGGAAAAAGATGTCAAAGGAACTCAGTGGTGCTTCCAGGACAGAAGACAGTTATATTCAGCACATCTCTCTTCTCTCTAGGATGTAGAGTGAAGGAGACAGGGTAGGATTGTCAAAGCTCAACAAATGTCCAGTGGAAAGGAATGAGAACGTCAAAATGAAGCCACTAAGTAAATTGCATGTGTTGAGAAACATGATCCCAATGGCCTTCTTCCTGATCATTGCTGCAACCTGAACATTCTACATCTGCTAGAAGAAGCTACCTATGACAGTGACTAGTCAACTCCAGACATGACATGTGGACATGACCTCCAGAGACCAGCTCCACAATTGTGAACAGTGCTGACTTGCCAAGCCTCTAATTCAGGATCCAGAGAGTGTGGCTGCTCTTCTAGTCACTGAGTAGCTTCACTGCAGAGGCCCTGCTACCTGCTGTAGGTAACTCAGTCTCCTTTCCACCCCATCCAGTTGCTTCTTCCCAAGGCACGGGCATACCCAGTGTGCTTGCTGAACATGAAGGACAAGCAGTAAAGAGGGACAATAAGAGATGACAAAAGAAACAAATAAGAGCCAGATCTTGTATGACTTTGTAGTTACAGTATGAATTTCAGCTTTTATTTTGAGTGAGATGGGAAGCCATTGGCAGTCTGTGTATAGAAGTGACATCATCTGATTTATATTTTAACAGGATTATTCTAGCAGCTGGGCTGAGAATAAATAACAGAGGAAATAGTGGAAGCAGAAATACCAGTTTAAAAAGTAATGACTAATAGAGGGAAAATATGATGGTAGTTTGGAATGAAGTGCTTGCACTGAAGGTGCCAAAGCCAATATTTATATACTTTAATGACTGCAGCTTTTTTAGTATATTATAATATCTGCTCTCTATTCTTACTTTAAATTCTTTCTAGATTTCTGTTGATGCTTTTTTCTTTCAGATGAACTTAGGAGTTCACCAAGCAATTTCAAACACAGAAAAAAAATCATATCTATACTTCAATTAGAACGATCATAAATTTGATCCATTTGGGAAGAACATTCATCCTTACAATATTGAGGCATCTTATTCAAAACAATTTTCCATCTTAATTTGTGTCAATAAAAATTATATTTTAAAACAAGTCATACATATTTTGAGTTTATTTACACATGAAGCATATTGATTATTGTATAGTGCATTATATACACAGCTCACTAATTTTTTCTTACTAGTTTTAATAGTTTTAGGGTCAATTCTCTAGGCAAATATAGATTATCTGAAAATAGTAATGCTTTCAACTGTTTTTACAACATGAAGGTGACTCCTAATATTGAATAATAGACAAAGAACATTTAAAAGTTATGATAAGTATGTTTAAGAACTGGAAAAGTGATCTTAACAAATGAAAAGATGGAAGATATCAGCAGAGAATTAAATACTGTTAAAAACAACTAAATGCAATCTGGAACTAAAAAGTGTAATCTTAAAATGAAAAACTTATTGGATAAGCAAAGCACATTCAAAACAGAAGAATGGGTCAGTGAACTTGAAGGCAAAACAGTAAAAATTATCCTAGCCAAAGGAAAGAAGAAAGATGAATTAAATAAAATAAACATAGTTTAATGACTTATGAGCTAGTATTAAGTAGTATAATACATGTGTAACTGAAGTCCCAAAAGGAGAGAAAAGAGAAAACATGAAAAAAAAATTGGAAGAAAACATTGCTTTAGAAATGTCAAATTTTGTTCCAAAAATACAAACAAAAAGATTTAACAATCTCAGACATCCCAAAGTAGGATAAAACAAAGAAAATCATAACCAAGCACAGCAAAGTCAAACCGATAAAAATCCAAGAAAAGTCCTGGTGTAGTGGCTCACGCCTGTAATCCCACCACTTTGGGAAGATGAGGTGGGTGGATCATGAGGTCAGGAGTTCAAGACCAGCCTGGCAAACATGCTGAAACCCCATCTCTACTAAAGATACAAAAAATTAGCCAGAGCCAGGCATGGTGGTGCACGCCTGTAATCCCAGCTACTTGGGAGGCTGAGACAGGAGAATCGCTTGAGCCTGGGAGGTGGAGGTTGCAGTGAGCCAAGATCACGCCATTGCACTCCAGCCTGGGTGACAGGGTGAGACTCTGTCTAAAAAAAAAAAAAAAAAATCGGTCAGGCACGGTGGCTCACACCTGTAATCCCAGCACTTTGGGAGGCCAAGGTGGGCAGATCACGAGGTCACGAGATCAAGACCATCCTGGCTAACATGGTGAAACCCTGTCTCTACTAAAAATACAAAAAATTAGCCCGGCGAGGTAGCGGGCACCTATAGTCCCAGTACTCAGGAGGCTGAGGCAGGAGAATGGCGTGAACCCAGGAGGCGGAGCTTGCAGTGAGCCGAGATCGCACCACTGCACTCCAGCCTGGGCGACAGGGAGACTCCATCTCAAAAAAAAAAAAAAAAAAAAAAAAAACAAAGAAAACAAATCTTGAAAGCAGCCAAAGGAAAAAGACACGTTCTGTACATAGAACAAAATGAAGAACTGCTAATTTCTCATTAGAAGCAATGGAAGCCGGAATACTGTGAAACAATGTTTTCAAAATGCTGGAATTAGAAAAAAAAACTGTATCAAGAAAACAAGAAGGCTGGGAAAAAATATTTGCAAAAGACATATCTAATAAAGTACTGTTATCCAAAATATACAATGAACTCTTATAACTTAGCAATAAGAAAAATAATCACCCCAATTTTAAAATGGGCAAAAGACCTGCACAACTCATTGAAGATGATAAAGAGATAGCAAATAAGCATATGAAAAGATGCTCAATGTTATGTCATTAGGGAACTTCAAATTAAAACAACAATAAGATACTACTACACACTTATTACGATGGCCAAAACTTAAAACACTGACAACACCAAATGCTAGCAAGGATGTGGAACAATGGGAACTGTCATTAATTGCTGGCGGGAATGCAAAGTGGTAAGCTGCTTTGAAAGCTAGTTTGGCAGTCTCCTACAAAACTGAACATACTTTTATCATATGACTCAGCAATCACATTCCTTGGTTTACCCATAGGAGTTGATCAATAGAATGGAAAGCTGTTTTTAAACAGTTTTAAAGATGAATAAAATAAAGAAAATACTGGTAAACAAAGTCAACCTTGGAGACTGACAATTCCAAAGTCTGCTCAATGCATGAAGGATGCTGACAAGGAAGGCAGAAGAAAAATAATAAGCCGTGATCTTTTTATTTATGCATTATGTTTTACAGGCAACTTGTTTGTGTCATGGTTTGTCTTCAGAAGCTGTTAGCATAGTGTCCTTATCTTTGAAAGTCTGAAATTTTACCACAAGGTATACCTAGATGCAGATTTTTTTTCTTTGTTTTCATTGATTTTGGTAGGCACTTGGGAAGCACTTTTATCCCAAAGTTCCATGTTTTACTTTATCTTTATCAAGTTTTTTCAATATTATGTGTTTATTTCCTGTCTTCCAGTTACTGTTCTCTCCTTTTGTAATTCTTATGAAAAGAATATTTTAAATTCTATATCTATGATTCCTACCTCTTAACTATGTTTTCAAAGTACTTATTCTTTTGCTCTTTGGTGATAAATATTGGACAATTCTCTGGCTCAATATTTCTGTTCAACAATTTACTCTTCTGCTGCCTCCATTCTGCTACTGAGAATTGAGCTTCTGTTTATACCCATAATTATATTTTTTACATTCTAGTTTTTCCTTTTTCATGAAAAACTATTCTTTCCTCCTGATGAAATATGCTTTATTTTTATCTATGTATATGAGTTATATTTATTTTAAGTTTACTATACTACTTTCTATTTTATGGTATTCATTTTCCTTAAATATGAGTGGTGTGAATGTGTGTGTGCACATGGGGGTCTTTGCTAATTTTCAACCTGATATTCCATGTTCACCTGTTGATAGGTGTGTGTGTGTGTGTGTGTGTGTGTATCTTTGTGTTTTAATGTATTCTTCAGCCAGTGTTAGGGGAGTGATTTATTCAAATAGTCATACCTACTTGACTTTGTCACTTCATTATTCTTTAAATTACCTAATCCACTGATGACACTTCTCTGTTTCCCATACCTACATGTTATTGTAATTCTAAAATATCCCTGCTTCACAATTTCTAGAGATGTTTTTGAAAATGAGTTATGCAGATACATGTACCTAGTCTTGCAGTTTAATCCATTTCTTGTATATAATGTTATAATAATAAATTTATTCCAATATGCAAGACTCATATTTATTAAGTGTGTATAATGCATAGAGAGTTTTTTGCTGGTTAGTAGGAAATATAAAATATAGAAAGAACTCAGAAAAAAAGAACTCACAGTGTAGGGAGATGGACAAACACGTAAGCAGCTCATTATAACATAAAATGGCATGTATGAAGATAATAGAAATATGTAGAAAGTATATAGTGTGGGCCAACCGTGTGTCAAGGGAAGGGGGGGAACAGTTTGGCAGCAAGGAGTATTTTATTACTAACATTACTTAATGGTGATGATTAAAGCAAACCAACAGTTTTATTATTTTTAAAAATTTTTCACCAACAGTAACAAAAACAGGACTTCTAGCCTGCACAGGTGACAGATCACTCCCACTGTTCCTCCTTGTTGTGCCAATTGTGGAGACTCATAAAGGCCAGTGATGTGCTGCTCTGCTGGGCCTCATCACTTTAGAGATGAAAATCTTTATAAGTTGGCATGTTAGAAAAGGTGAGGTTTGAGAGGAGGTGATAAGACACAAGAATCGTAAAAGCTAGACACGAAGGCTCTTATTGGTGATTTGGGTACTGAGGATGAAGGTGTGGACAGGGTCTAGGGTGACTCTTAGGCTTTTGATTGGCAAGACAAGTAAAAAAGGAAGGGCAGGTTTAGTGGGATGAAGCATGCAATGAATACGAGATACCCACAGAGCACTCAAGAAAGTAAACTAATAGCTCCTTCTAGAAACAGATTCTGAATTTAAGAAGGAGATCTGGGTTAAAACACAAATGTTGTTTTAGTAACATGTTATCAACAAATGATGCCCAGGTGTTTTAACGTGAGGAGAATAACCTGAACTGCTTGCTTAAAATGTGGATTCTAAGGCCCTCTCCATTTAGAAACTTTCTTTCAGTCAGACACAGATGGGACACAAATATCTGCAATTTTTAAAAGGCGAGTTGATCCTGTAAAGACGGCCCTCTGACAACACTTTAGAAAATTCTGCTATAAATACATCAAATCAATGGCCTTGTCTAAAAAGACCCTCTTCTACATGGCACCAGCAACGCAATAAAATTTGTCAACCCCATGAATAGTTATCAACTTAATCTAGCTCCCACAAATTTTCACCAATCCATTAGTTGTCTCCTTTTTTATACCAATATTTATAACATTTTGGTACCATTTTAGAAAAAAAATAGTGAATATGCTTATCACATGGTATCTTTTCAAGAAAATAGAATGTGCAAATACATATTTACATAATTGATATTATTCAAGGGCTAAATATTTGCACACTTTAAATAAGGTCAAAGTGAAAAATGCAAGTTATCGACAGTTACAGAGACCAGTATAGTTACCTTACTTTTATACAAACAGAAAAGAGCTGAGCTTACAAGGATATATTTGAAAACGTGAAGGAAACACTTTGGAAAATTTGGGAGAGGAAATGAGGATTTTAGGGACAGTGACTTAAAAGGATGGGCAGGATTGGAAGTAAGAATGCCAGTATTTTAGCTTTTTTATGTGTTGCTATAAATTCTTTGCAGGAAGAATTTGAATTGTCTATAAATAAAATAACTTATGCCCTCTCATTTCCCTCTGCAAATATCTATAATGTCTCTATGATGAGCGATCCCAAAGAGTTGCTGCTACACAGAAGGAAAGAGATGAATATTGCCACTGACAAGAATTGATACACTGTTTTTATTTTCTCAGACATCTATTAAAATTATCAATGGATCAATTTATTTTCTGTAGATTCAAAAAAGTAATGTTAAGTAGCAGGCTCTGGAAGCTGTGGGAATCTTTTCCATTTATTATTTCTGCACTACCTGGGAAAATATGTTCCTTTGTTGTATTAAATTGTGGTACTGGAGTTAAGTCTTTCAATTGAAAAGAAAACAAGAATGCTGGAGAAGGAGCTTGGGAAAGTATTTCAACAAGTTATTTACATATTTCCCAAAGCAATTGCCAATGTCTGGCAAAGGAGGGCAAAATTATTTTTATGTATTCTGGAGGGATTAATGGGAGGCTTTATATGTTACATATCAAACCTATCTCGTATAAAATACATAGCACTATTTTAAGAAGTTCAAAAGGGTTCTTTCTGGCTACATAAATAAAACTAGAACTTGCAGGAAATACAATATGCTCATCCATTATCTGAATGTTGCTTTGTTTTGTTTTTGTTTTGTTTTGTTTACAAGACAACTGTTTCTGCTTCTTGTCTCTTCAACTAAAATAATTTATAGGCAAATTGAAGCTGGACAAATAGAACCATATCACTGAAGCTGATGTACAATGTCCATGAGGAAAACTTCACAAAACTAGAAAATGTAGTTCTAAGAATAGAAGACTACGAGGGTTGTCTCTCAAATACCTTTAGGGAGCGGAATGGAGGTAATGCCTTAGTGATTTATCTATTCTTGATTTAAATTCAAGGAAATGGACCAAATAGAAATGAGGGCCCACAGTTATGCATGTGGAATGATTTAGTAATAAAATGATTGATAGGTATTCAAATATTTTATCAAGGGAAGTTATTAAAAATAGGACAAACCACACACTCTGCATTACCCATTGTTAAAGCCTAAGGAGTAATTTTTTAGAGGCAGAAAAAAACTCGATTACCTGCTATAGTTTTCCTAGACCTAAAATTTTATGATTATTTATAGCAGTTTTTCAAGTAAAGAAAATATTAATGTTTGTTCCAGAGGTCTTTCCTGACTCCAACCCTATAGCAGGCCTCAGGCTGCATGCCCTTCCATCACCATGATTTTTAAATTCGTTTGGCCTCATTCATTATGTACAGTCCATAGTCAGGTGCCATTGATTCACCCTGCAGAGACTTTGTCTTTTCCAGTTCTCCCTCTCTACTCTACAGACAATTTCTCATCCCAGCCTCTGTGTTCTCCCCTTTGGAGACATCAACATTGCTTTCCTACCCTACAGGCTACTTCCAGCTGGCAATGGTATCAACATTTTTCCAGTCACTTGAAAATGAAATATGAATTAGTTTTGACATCTTCCTTCCTTTCTTTCCACCTCCATATATCATCGGAGACCAGGTCAATTCTTTCTTCCTCATGTGCCTTGAATCTTCTATTTGCCATTTTCTCTGTGTACAAGCTGAACTTCTGTTCCTCTAATATGGACTTTCTTAAAATTGTTTAAAGGTTCATAGCTTTCCTAAAATGGTTTAATGGTTCATGGCTTAAATCTCATTAAAATAAACATCATTAAAATCTATCTTACATCACATAAACAATGGTCGACTTACTTCAAACTATGTGTGATGGTTAAAAAAAAAAAATCACAGGATCCCTAAATAATTTAAATAATAAAACAGTGAAACATGAGCTTAAGGTCAGACTTTCTAGCTTCCAGTCTTGTTTCTGCCACAAACCTGCTTTGTGATCTTGGATTTTGTGTACTCATTTGTGCTATGAGCAAGTTAATAAGCTTCAAGGACCCCCTTTCTCTTAAAGTCTAGAATCCTCTGATAAATTTCTTTGAAATGAGATCCATTAACTACTGAGACTTGCTCTTCCTGGCTCTTTTTTCTGTGGCAACTGTCTTAGTCCATGTGTATTGCTATAAAGAAATACCTGAGACTGGTTTTTACAAAGAAAAAAGATTTATTTGGCTCATAATTCTGCTTGCTGGACGATTGGCCATCTGGTGAAAGCCTCAGGCTGCTTCCACTCATGGCAGACGGTGAAGGGAAAGCCAGCATGTGCAGAGATCACATGGCCAGAGAGAGAACGAGAGATGGGAGAGGTGCCAGGCTCTTTTTCATAATCAGCTCTCACAGAAACTAATAGAGCAAGAACTCTTTACCACCAGGACAGCAGGACAGCACCAAGCAATTCATGAAGGATCTGTCCTTGTGGCCCAAACACCTCCCACTAGGCTCCACCTCCAGCATTGGGGATCAAATTTCAACATGAGGTTTTGGGGGGATAAATATCCAAACCACAGCAGCAACTATGTCCCATGTCTTCTGGCCCCATTTCCTTCTAGGACCAATAATTTTTCTCAGCTTCCACCTTAGAGGTTTTCCTTCATTTACTTTGGTGTTCTTGTTGTACTGTATTTCTCTTGTATTTTCTCTTCCTAGATTATGCATACTCACACTGCATTTGGATTTTTCTAATATCCTGCACATTTACCCATCAGAACATTTATCATGGGGTGTTGGGACGATGTTTTACTCATGCATATTTCCAGTGCCTGGCCTAGGGCCTGAAACATAAAGATGGCTCATTAATTTCTTCAAGGGAACTAAGCCGAGAAGGTAAACACTATGGCACCACAAATGATTGCATCGCTTGTGCATTGTCGATTCAAATGGATCCATGGCAATTCTACTATGATACAAGCAGAAAGCTGGTGCTTGTTTCTCATGGCCCTTTTTTTCCAATGAAACTGTCCCCAAGGTTTGATTTTAAGTGATCATTCTTCTTCTCTTTCCTCTCCAAAGCATCGTGATAGCAAAAACATTATTTGAGGCACCAAAGGAGGACATCAAATCTAACAAGCAGGAAACATAGTAAATATTCTCAGGCTTATCACTTACTTAGGTCTTTCTGCATGTTTTATGTAATGAGATTTTTTAAACAAGCCTTAAGTAGATGTAAATTCTAGGCCTTTAGATTTTTGGTTGACATGGGTGATAAGAGAAAGTTCTACATTTTATTGACTGATTATATTACATTATGAGAATAAATACAGGGTAATTCTGAAAGTTTGGTCTCTTGCTTCCTCTGAGCTATTAGTTTTATCATTTTGATATAAAGAAACATAGACGGTTGGGGTTTGAAAGAACCTTAAGAATCTTGTAGTATGACCTCACCTAAGCTGGGCTACTACAGCACACTTGATTTGCAAGATTTGATAGGTGTTCTGAGAAAAATTTTTAAAGATTTGAGAAGAAAAAAAAAGAAATGAAAGTTCTGTGAGTAACAATATTCGGGAAATGCCAAGTTTTTAACATCAGACTAGTTTTTCTTGTATTTTTAATGCTTTAATATGATAATATTCCTAATGAATTTTCAAGACTACACCAGGATATTATATAACATATCCGCAATGTTTTGATTATTGAAATATTTCTTAGTGAAATGCATATGAATATCCTTCAGACGAGTTTACTGAAAAACATGTTTGGAAATTCTGAGACCCAAAGGAGTATAGCTTATCTATAAATACAGATGATTAGTGAGTCCTAGAACCAGAACCAGAACACTTAGAATCTCTCTTTCATTCTCTTTCCAAGACATCATGTATTCTGATACCAATCTGTACTGCTTTCCCATATTTTATGCTACTTTAGATAAAAGGACAACACCCAAGAACAAAAATTACTTGGTAACAACAATCATATTTAGACAGTATTTTAAAATTTTTGACCCATTCCTAGTGCCAGTACTGTTACCTGAAAAAACAAAAATTGCTACTCAATTAAAAAGTCTTAAGGATTTCTGGCAAATTATTTATAACATTGGGAAAAAACATAAAAATAAGTCTGAGTAATATTTTATATGTGTGTATATATATGTACTTACACATGGTGTTTATAAACTGCCCGATTTTTAGTTTTTAAATAGATACAAATTCCTGATTTTTAAATAAATATGTCAATTAAAATAGTTTCCATTATATAAGCAAATCAGAATCTGTGGTAGACTCTAATCTCACACAGATTTATCATTTTTATTGTGCTGTGCAGAATAAATCAATTAATTTACATTTTTAAAAATATTCTTTGGAGACAAAATATCAGACTAGTCAACTTTTCAGTTCAACAATGACATGTGATTTGATGTATCTTGCTAGTCTAAATTTGAATTTGCATTAAATTTTCCAAATAGGAATGTTTTTTTAAATGGAGTTATGATGGCTTATCACCAGGAATTAAATAAATAAATAAAACTACGCATTGTTTTTGCAATGGCAAAATGCTTAAAGGTCACCATTAACAAATAGGAAAAACATGTCGCATAGTTCAAAAGAAATGGAAACAAATTTGACCATAAAAATGACTTCTGCTCTTGTATGTCTGCAGAAATCTGGAAGACAAGTCAAGTCAAGACACCCGCTTAGCCTTTGACTCCACTAAGTATAGAAGACAGTTTATGTGAACACTGTTGGTAACTCCTCCATATTTAAGTAAAGAAAATACAATGTAAGAAAAATAGACTTATAGAATCCTATGCCTGAAATAAATGTAGAAAGAACATTTTCTGTCCTGAAAATAATTCTCTCCAATAAAGTAAAAATACCAATACCTATTGAAATATGTTTGGACAAATATTTGATTTAGAAAAAAAAAAAAAAGAAAATACCCCTTCCTTGCTTTGGAATCTTACTAGGCCCAAATATATATATATATATATTTTGGCATATAAAATCCCAAGACGACAAACTCATCCAAATAGAGTGGGGTGGATTTGGGGTATGGAGGAGAAGAGTCCTTTCTAGGAGCGGTATCATCAAATGTCATGCATCACTCATATGTTCACTCACCTGAGGATTAGGCTTTGAACATCTAGGTGCCCAGTCTGAAATCTTACATTGAACAGATATTTACTGAAAAAGCAGTATGTGCCAAACATTATTCTAGGTATGGGAGATTCAGTAGAGAAGTAAACAAGTATGGTCCCTGTTTCAGAAGCTCACAATTTACCAGGAGAGATATTCCATAAACAATATCACACAATGGAAGTGCCATGAAGAAAATAAAAAAGAGTGATGCAATTGGTGCTTGGAAAGGGACAGTCTGAAGAGACAGCATCTGAAATGACAACTAGATGACAAGAAAAATCCATCCATAAAATGTTCTGAGGGAAAGATATTCCAGGCAAAAAAGGATGGCAGATGCAAAAGATCAAAGGCAGGAGCGAACTTGATGTGCTTGAGGGAGAGATAAAGGGCTATGGGTTGGAAACACACTCAGAAGGCAAGAGGGGCTGTAGGATCAGTGGGTGAGACAGGCAGGACCAGATCATGCAGGGCTTTAAGCAATGAGATTTTATTCTATGTGTCTGAGAAGGTATTGGATGGTTTTATGCAGAGGAGTGGCATGATCAGATTTACATTCTTAAGAAGACTGCTTCCACTCCTGTTTGGGGAATCAACTGTAGTCAGAAAAAGAAGGAAGGAAAACAGTTAGCAAGAGAGTGGCTTAATCCATTTGCAATGGTGGCTTACAGACTTAGACTAAGGTGTTAATAGTAAAAATGCGGGAGAATAAGATAGATTCCAGATATGTTTTAGAGATTGAATTGCCTTGACATGCTGATAGAATCAATTTTGGGGAAAGTAAAAGAGAAAAATAAGAAATGTCTTCTAGCTATTTGGCTTGAACAATTGAGTAAGTGCAGGTGGGAGGGCGCCTTTACTGATACAGGAAGTCCTAGAAAAGGAAGGGATGTGTGTGTGTGTGTGTGTGTGTGTGTTTGTGTGTTGATGGAGATGGGCCATTCATCAAGACTTTTAAAAATACGTTGAGTTTAAGATGCCTATCAACATTTAAAAGAAGATGTCAAGTAGCATGTAGATCTAGGAGCCCAGAATTTATGGGAGAAATCTGGTTGGGAGATATGAATTTGGAAGTTATTATCATATAGATAGATATTTAAAGTTACAGACCTAGAAGTATTCACCCAAGGAAAGCGCGAAGGCAAGAGGGCTCCTCCGAAGTCCTAGAGCACCAAAACATTTGAGCAGTCAGGAAGGTGAGGAGAAACCAACACCGAAGGCTAAGAAAAAAATAGCACTGTGTGCCCATCTGTGATCACGAATGGAAAGTGTGACCAGTCAACAGAGAGGGTGTTTCTCTTCAGTGGTGTTCACAACATGAGTTTTTGTCTTTTGAATGCAGTCCCCTAGGTCCTCTGTGGAGTAAATGATCTAGGATTTCAGCTTATTACACAGCTCTGGAATAAAGAGGCCCTCATGGCTAGAAATCTATGGACCAGTCTAACAAGACTAGATGATTTGGACCCATTTTTATGTTCACTTGAGGAAAAACACCAAGAGTGGCCGATCCCCATGAAGGGGAGGAGAAGGGAGAGAAAGAAAGGGAGAAAGGATGAAGCTCAAGGTTAGAAGGCCTCGCTGGACTGACCTTTTTAATGACATCTGGCTTTTTCCCTCCTGTGCCTTACTCTGTAGCTTCCCTTCAGCAGATTACCTTCAGACACAGTAAGCCATGGAAAGGACCCTTTCTGTCACAAAGATAATAGCCATTTTCATGTGATCTGTTGTTGCGTTTTTAAGTTCTCGTGTCCTTGAATCAATTTTCTAATAATTAATCAGCATCCCTTTCAAAGTTCAGAAGCCTTGGAAAGGGCAGGCTATAGTGAAGTAGCTGATTTCTGTCTTCTGATTTTCAGTCCACACATCTGCTACTTTGCAATCTATCAGATTTCATGCAGTCCAGCCAAGATGTGATTTAGCTAACAAGTATTCAAGTATAAGGTATGGTTTACTTCTGTTCTCAGCTATGACATTTGAGGAAGAGTGTATGATTAGAATCTTATGATCATACTGATGCTAGATTAATTCTCTACAACTATTTATTGAGGTAAAGGTTTATGAAAATAATCCATTAGCTTTGGCTGTCTCCCTTTTCTTTAAGGTTCTTTGGAGGGCTGTCATGAATATTAATGCTTGTTGTTACCAGTTAATTCTTCTTCCTGTACCATTTCCTTCTCTGCAGCATCCTTTTTGAAATTCACAAGGCAGTCGCCTCTCACCAAATTCACCTAGAAAAACTGTATTTCTCAGGGCAACATAAATGTTCTGTTTAATTAAATGTTCTTATTAACAAGGGTTTAACCCAAAACAAAGCAAATAAAATGGTGAAATGCTCACCATTCTTATTTAAAACAATAATCCACACAGTGATAGTACTGGCTACCTGAGGAAAGCCTTGGTGTTTGACACTAAACAACACAGAGGGCAGAGGAAGAAAGGCTCAGTCTCCAGACAAGCCAGGCTTTGGTGTTGGAGCAGACAGGAATGATAACATAACTCCACCTAACAGAATACCCCGCCAGAATAGTTTGAATATTTAGGAGTTTGTTTTTCTCACATCACAGGAGGCCAAGAGATAGGTACTTGCTGTTCTCAGTTCTGGATCCAGGTCTGCAGAGATCTTGCAGCTTCCATTTTGCCCTTTGGACCCTGGCCATCATGTAAAGACCTGCTATCATGCTGGAGGAGAGGCCATGTGAAGAGAGTCCCCTGGAGGATGAGAGAGAAGCCAGGCAGAGAAGGACTGAAGAGCCCCAGCCAGCAGCCAGCACTGAATCCCAGACCTGTGAGTGAGGCCACCTTGGATCCTCAAGCCCAGCTGAGCTGCTTTGGTTCACACCATGTGAAGCAGAAATGAGCCAGTCCCCACTGCTCCCAGCCATGATTCCTCACTCAGAATGATAGCAATAAAATAGTTATTGTTTTAGGCTACTAAATTTTGGGGTGGTTCATTATGCAGCAATAGAAAACAGAAACAGAAGGTTAAGCAAGTTCTTGTAGTGACATATTTCCCCTAGTAGAGCTCAGTCCTTTATAGAACTCTTTTTCTAACTTTTTACATCAATGATGTCCATTTAGATTGCTGTACTTAGTGTTATCAGACTCTACCAGTTGCTAGAAAATCAATGTGTATGTGTAAGTTTGCACACAATGCACATATATTCTTTGAATAAAGACCAAATACCTACTGATCTACCAATGAATGTTAATAGCAAGGAAAGAATAATGATAAAATCCATGTATTTATTTCATTTTTATCTATTTTCCTAGTCTTGGAAACAAATTATTTACTTAAGAATTACAATCTTGTTTATATTAATAGTAACATCTGCCATGTTTCTTTGAAACTCCCCTTCCTAACCTCTATTCTGCATGACATAGCACTCTATAAATAACACTAATGTTCACAATCAGGTTTTCATCCTCTACTTGAACTTTTTCAACCTGTTTTCAAGCCACTGGTTAATGTCATTTAATTTTTTTGAACAATATCAGGTAGATAGTACAGGTTTTATTAGCTCTATTTCACATATAAAACAACTAAGACATTGACCATTGTATAAAAAATCTAAGCATATGTAGCAATATAGCAACAAGACTCACTAGAGAAAAGTTAATCAAAACTTTCATTCAGATATTCCTCTTTTAGCGTGATGTTCTTTGCAAACCCTAATTAAGAAACTTATGACATCTGAGTGTGCTGATATTCATGGTGCTCTCTGTGTGTCCAACAGAATTTAATTTTTTAAGAACCTTCAAAAAGAAATATACAATTAATTTACCTCAATGGGGAAATACCTATAAAAGCAGGTATCTTACAGCTCAACACTCAGGGCCTATCATTGTTTTAGAAGCAAACAAAATCAGCTCGGCCTTACAAAAAGCTTTCCAAAACCATTAGGCCTGCCAAAATGCTCAGCAGCCTTCTATCAGCAAATTCCTATTTTTACCTACTTATATTTATCTAATCTACACTTTCATTTTGTCCCACCACATATTCATAAACTGAGAGAGAACACTCTGACCCCAAGATAAATACAACTCTGACAAAGATTTCCACCTCCCCCCACCCACCCTCAACAAATAAAGAAAGAGAAACAGGGTCTCTATTAAATTTCCTGTTGGCCCATTGCCTTCTTCTTATGAGGCCCACCCTGGTCACATGATGCAGAAGAAGGAATACATAAACGTTCAGCTTTCATTTTACAACTATGGAGAAGAACCATAGCCTTGCATTTTGTAACCCAGATGTAATTAAGAAGATTACTGCTCAAATGTAAAACTGAAGCTTGTTTTTTCACATCTTTATTAGTCATATGAAAGAAAATGATTAGGTTTGCTTTGATTTCATTTAGGCTCTGGGAACACGGACTAGTGTTTGTTTTCAAGGCTGCCAACGTTTAAACCTTCCAAGCAATTTTGGATTCAACAACTGAACACATTAAACAGCTAATGTATAACACACTATGTCCTCAGTCGAAAACCCACAGCAACTCTAAAACATTTTAAACCATAGCTTTTGTCATGAAACTATTGTAAATCTATGTTCAAAATCTTGTTTAAATTTTGTTTAAACCTTTCTGCAAGAGGATGCCCTTTGAGAAATAATTTCTGGAAGGGTTTATATCAGAGGCACTTATTAAAGTCTGAACTGCAGTTATTGCTAGGGATTTAGTGAGGCTAATCACTTTATTTCAGTTTTGGAGTCAATATTCCTTGATTCACTAACTAGAGTGCTAAGTGGAGAAATAAGTCATCTGATTAAAGAGAATGAAAAAAGAGATTCTTACGTTTTCAGCAGAATGACTTTTCTCCTTTTCTCCTTCCTCTGTTCTTCTTTTCCTTGTTCTCTGCCAATTTGTGCCACGTGGTTCAGACAAAAGTGCCTAGGAGGAAATCTACATGAAAAGGATGATCATAAGATTGATTTCTCAGAAGAATGACAGAATGTTGATCATTGATGTCGACTGAAGGGTTCGTGGCAGGGGGGTTCCTTATACTAATTTCCTATCTTGTATATTTTTGAAAAATTGTATAATGAAAAGTAAAAAATGTTTTCTTAGGCAAAAATCAGTAACCAATTAACCAAAGCAGTTAACATAGTTAATGATTTCTGAGTAACAGAATTAATGCTAAATTTTCTACTGCCTACTTCCAAAAACAGACACTAAATTTTAGCATTCCCTGCTCTGTACTGTCAAAAGCCCTAAGACGTTTTAATGTGAAAAGGACTTAAAGATTTGGTAAACTTAGGCTACTTAAAGGATAATTTGGCTCCAAAAGCATAAGTTAAAGCTTTTTCATATAGGTGATAAAGAACATTTGTGTTTTTTTAGAAGATTACCTTTTTAGTTTTATCGGCAAATAAAATGCAAATTTCTGTGTTTCAGTTATCTATTGCTGCATAACAAACTACCCCCAAACTTAATGATTTAAAATAACAGCCATTTCATTTGCTTGTGAATCCGTAGAGCAGGAATTTGCATAGCAAGAGTGTCTCTGCTCCACGAAAGCTGGAGTCTTAGCTGGGATGACGCAGATGGCTGGGAACCTGGTGGACAGCTCCGCTGGGGTCACAGGTCTGGGGCGTTGCTTCTTCCTGTTGGCAGGGCTTTAAGTACTCCTCCCCACGGCCTTGCCAAATATATAACTGGACATAGTCACAGCCCGGTGGTCTCAGGGGTGGTTGGATTTCTTACATGGCAGCAGACTTCCCAAGAGAAAAAGAGGAAGCTGTCAGGCTTCTAACAGACAGCTCAGGACTGTTACACTATGGATTCCTGCTGCATTGTATCGATCAAAGCAAATCACAAGGGCCTACCCAGTTTTCACGGAAGGAGAACTAGATGAATCAGGACTCCTTACCTTAGTGGGGGTAAGGGAGGTATAGGATTGTGGGCAGCCATTTTTGAAGACTATCACGTAGTGGCTTTAAAAGAGCTTTGTATTTGGATGTATCTTGGACTTTGAATTTAAAGCACATTGGAAAGTACCATCACCTAGTGGCAAAATGCCCTTAGTTTTGGCAGATATCTAAAAGGGGAAAAGGGCTTTAGGATAGTGAAATGGAAAATATCTTTAGTACCCTTTCTCACAAATTAAATAAAAATTACTAGTACAGTAAAGGCACAGAATTTAAGTCACATTACAATGCAGATGTGGGGGGAAATGTGATTTCTTTATTCAGTCTCTAACCTGGATTTGTTGCCCCAAATGACTACACACTGGTGAGTAGGAGATAAAATATATTGAGTATGCATTTTGGCTTAAAGCAATGATCTGTAACCTAAACTGTCTGCTAGGTAATGTTCAGCCTTTCCTTGGGAAAGGTTCTAGATGGTATTCCCTGGACAACTTGGTCCCCCCCTTACTCCTGCTGGCTACAGATCCTAACTGCTGTGTTGTCCACCTGGACCAGTGATCCCCACCCATCCCAGCCTGTCTTGCACAATCAATCTCATTTCACAGCAGACTCCACAGCAATCCCATGATCATTTAATACAGCACTTATACCACTTGACAACTGAAGGCTGCCAGGAAAGCCTATCCCAGAGCCTCTCTGCCTGATTACCCTCTATGCAGAAAAGAGTCACAGCAAGCCTGAGACTGCTAGCCTTAGGCCTGCTTACAAGGTTATCCCATGGCTAGTGTCTAGGACTTGGATTTTGGGAGGATTTCCACCATATTAACTAATAAGAACGGATCACTGTCTCTCAACTATTGTGCAAACGATGTGGTTTTTGCTGAAGACCTGTTTTCCTTCTGGGAGCCTGGAATTTGGCAACTGCCAGGAAGAGGATACCTTCATGATCAGCTCCCAGTAAAAACTCTGGGCACTGGGTTTCTAATGAGCTTCCTGGTAAACAACATTTTACACGTGTTGTCACACCTCGTTGCCATGAGAATCAAGTACATCCAATGAGAGTCCACCAAGAGAGATTCTTAGAAGCTTGGGTCTGGTTCCACCAAACTTTGTTCCAGGCCCTTTTTTTCTTTGCTGATTTTACTTTGTATCCTTTCACTGTAATAAACCATAACCGTGAGTACAACCACAAGCTGAGCCCTGTGAGTCCTCCTAGCAAATCCCTGAAACTGGAAGTGGTCTTGGGGACCCTCAGCACATTCTCTGCCACCATGAGACTTTGATATGGTGGCATCTCAGATTCAGAATGGATGGTAGAGCCTACAAGATAAGACTGGAGGAAAGCCAGAAAAGATGAAACTCAGAACTCACTTATCTTCACTTCTTTCTTCTTTCTTTCTTCTCCTTCCTACCATTGCCTGAGTCTGGAAGGGGGATCACATTATTTACACTGCCACTATATCAAAATTTACTCCCTAAGGCAGGTAAGCCTGTCAGCGACATCAGGGGCTAAAGAAGTAGCTCTCTAGACTGGAATAGAAAGTCTTCTTTCAGGTCAATAGCCTGTCTTACAGGTTTTTTTCTCACTGCATAGTCGTAGGTTGTACGTTGAATATCATCCGTCATGTTCTATCCACAGTCCCTGTGCAGACGGATGCTTTGGGTGGAATGAATTAAGAGCTTATAACTGCAAAAGCAAAGGACTAAGGCACAATAAAACATTTCAAAATATTACCTCCATTATATTAACTTAAAGTTCATTGTTTTTGTTCATATTAAGGTAAATAAAACTTTAGTATGAACAAAAAAAACTAAATGTGTGTGCATATACTATATACGTATGTGTGTGTATATATATGTACATATATGCATACATGTGTATATATGTATATATATATGCATACATGTATATATGTATATATATATGCATACATGTATATATGTATATATATATATGCATACATGTATATATGTATATATATATGCATACACACACACATCACCTCAAGTTAATAATATATGGTTTTCTTCAGTTTTCATGTGTTAGTTTGCAGAACTAATTGAGGTTTTGCCATTACTTTTAATGTCAAAAACACACAATTGCTTTTGCACCAGCCTAATAATTTTACTTCATAAATTTTATCTTCTGTTTTTCAATATAGAAAAGAGATTCACCTAATCAGAGCAAACCCACTGGCAAATTTTCTCTTGTAAAGCAATTTTAAATAAAATACTAAATTTAGAACATCACTAAAAGGCAATGTTTAATATTGTACGCGATCCGACAAGTTTTTAATATATTGAGTCAAAAGTAAATTTTACTGATGATCCAAAAATAATAATCAGGCTGAGTCATCAGTTTTACCTGGGATGGCCATGAGCATGAAGAAAAGGACATTAAAATAAAGCAACTAGTGATGAGAACATTCCCGTAATGGCGAGTGCCATGTCCCTGGGAGAGCACATATCCTTGTAATAACCCCTTCTTCAAACTCAGTCTCTCTTTACCTTCTTTGCTTCCAAAACAGCCTTCTCCCCTGCATACTAAATAAGGAGATAAATGCACTCAAGCAAGCAAGCATTACCTGGATTCCACGAGGTGAAAAATAGCATGGTGAGGGTCTTTTGGAGGAGGGTAGTTGTTCTCATGCAGCATAGTCTGATTTTAGTATCACCTGCTTTGATTTGGAATTAAGGAGAATCCAAAAATAAATGAACTGGCTCAGAACCACTTGATGAAAATAGTGTTGAAAGGCCCTGTCTCCAGCTGGCCAGCACGCTGCAGAACCATGGCTGGGGTCCCCACCTCCCTCCTATTTCCCTTCCTATGTGAGAGCAGCTCATTCCTGCTGCCAGTGCATATTTAACATGAAATTCTTCAAGTACCACTGCAAAGCATCCAGCAAACACACCACCTCTAAAGTTAGTCTTACATATGTAGCCAGAGACATGGATAAATATAGAGACCTAGAAATACATACAGAACGCCAGAAAAACGTGCTCTGGGCCAGAAACATATTGTGAATATGCAAATATCTCAGTGTCTGATACTGACGCTCTGCCCTTTAGCACTTGCCTAACTCCATCTTTCTCTCTTTTTCTCTTTGCACCATGTCCCCCCTCCACCAGTATCTTCCCATCTGTTTATTTTTTCCAAACTTTCGTTTTAAAAAATATGGTAGCACCGCTTAAAAATAAGAAAAATATGGTGCCACAAATACGGCTGCCAGGTGTAACATATGATGCTGCTTCTGGGAGTCGGGGAACAAAATGTATAAAGGAGGCTGCATTCAAATTTTCTTACAAAGGTTACCGGAAATGGATTTTATCCATTTTATCTGAACTCTGTTCGTTCCTGGTTAGATTTCAGGTCTGCTTTGTACTTTAAAGAAATTGTATAATCCAGGCCTTGTCATCAGCTTTCTTAATTTATTTCCCCGAAATGACAGGCCTGGCAGAGGCAAGTCTGCCTCTCAAATGTCTGGATTACAGTGTAGCTATGGAAACAGGTGTTAAAGGGGCATGGATGTCAAGTTACGCTGGTACTTTGCACATCGCGTTCTATGCGGACAGCATGTTATTTTACATGCTGACCCATGCAACTGCATCCCTGTGCTTGATTTACAGGAGACCATCACAAAGGAGATCTGCCTCGAGGAAACTATCAGACTGGCCCAGGATGGAGAATGAAGACAGCAATTTGCTCTGTTCTCTAAAGCTCTGATTCAAGTTCTCTAGTCTGCCGAAAATAAATAAATAAATAATTTGACATGAAAGAAATGAACAAATAAATAAAATTAAAGGAGAGGTAGGGAAATCAGAATACATTTTTATTCTATGGGGTCATTTTCCTTTTCTTGTCTAAGAGGAAGAAAAATGAGAAGAATATTTTAAGAAACAATCCTGCTCTAATTCATATAGCCTCTCTATAACTTTCGTGAGTATCCCTGTTCACAGTATTAAAGACCTAGTGAATCTCAGCATCATTATACAGAAGTAGCTGTTTTCAACAACTTGCCAAAAACAATGCTCTGCATTAATCTGATCTACTCAGAAAGAAAAAGAAGCAAAGGAACGAATAGGAGGAGCCACTGTGTGCTGGCCTAGTGATCAGACATGAGTTATTGTATTTCATTTCATCTTTACAAACAGCACTGCAGGGGAGGTATAATCCTTGTTTTATGGGAAAGGAAACTGAGACTCAGAAAGGTTAAGTAATATGCTCAAGGCCTCAAGGTTACAAGTGCAACAGCCAGAATTCAATCTGAGGTTTGTCGACAAAGCCCATGTTCTTTCCACTAATCAACCTAGGCAGGAAGTTTAGGGCATGTAAGGGCAAACTGGCATGCCCTCTCCCTGGCATGCTTCCCCTCACTTCAGCTGGTTTCAGAAGACAAGGCATCACATCTCAGGCTGGGTAACAATAATTAGGTGTGGTCCCTTGGCACTCAAATTATGTTGGCCTGGCTCCAACTTCTATCCATATTAGCATTACTCAATTGAAATTGTATCCAACCCTCGATGAGTTATTAAATCAAAGTCCAATTTAAATTGATATTTAGAAACTATACTTTTAAAAAGCAGTGACATAAAACCTAATGGATCCTATCTGTTTTCTTTATAAATACTTGTTGTGATTTTTGATACATCATTGATCTTCTGACAGGCAAAAACAAGAAGAAGAGCAGAGGTATTCCTAAACCCACATGTACATAAAATTTTAAAAATTTAAATTTATGCTTCTGAAAAGGTGTGGTGAGATACATTTGCATTCACCTTAATGTGATCATTTACATGCAAAAAAAGTCTAATATAGATGAAGCTAACTGATTTACAGGTGTCTATCCATGTCTATCTGATAAGCAGATAAAAAGAGGCTCAAATAAAACAATCCAAAAGAATAAAGAAGGTTGTTGTGAACTGGCTATTGAAACTAGCAGCAATTGGAAAGTTACAGCAAATTCTGCTTTGCTACCATTGCTGTACTTATAGTTTCTTTTGAAAATCTACACTAATTCATAGGAAAGATGTAAAGCAACATTACCAGTATAGATTTTGGCCTCAAGTTCCAGTATACAAATTGTGCATCTTTCAATCCTGAGGAGTTGTTGCCACAATCTAGGCAATGATAAGCCAGTTCAAAGATGCAGCTGTACCTCTCCAGTGAGATCTATCTTCCCCTTCCCTGGAGTAGGGGTGGTTTTAAAGAGGCTAACCAGCAAGCCTGAAAGAGTGGTGTTGATTAAAGTCAGAGGAAATGCACCTCAGTTTTCTAAATAGGGAGCTTCCTTCAGCGTATTATTCGAGATTCAGTTTCAATTGATTGGGATACAGGGGAACATTTAAGAAGCATATGCGTTATACGTTGAAGGAGAAATGGAAATTCATTCATTGTAATGATGTGGCTGGTGTTGAAGGATTAGTGAGACTCCCTGAAAGTTCTTACAGGGTCTGCTTTGTAGAATAGGAACTTGGTGGAACAGAGAAGGAGAATTTGGGCAGCACTCAGAGCACCTGACACAATTCAAACCACCTTCTGAGACACAGAGGAAGAGAAACTAACACTCTGTATACGCATTATCCTTTTGGACATTTAAAATACCATGGGAAATTGGTCTTATTACTCCTATTGTTAAGTGGTGATGTCAGGATTTGAACCCAGGGATACCTGCTACCCCCTGGGCTCCTGCTTTGCTTTAAGACCATAGCGATTATCTTTCCTGCCTTGCCTGAATTGTGGTCATGCCAAGCCTTTCCTTGAGAGTTTAATTAGTCAAATGCAACAATTAGCCCAGATTCTAAGTCCACAGCACTCAAAATTAGCAGAATTCTATAGTCGGTCAGTCCTTGGATAGCCTATTTTCTACCATTCATCAACTAGAAATATATTCCAACTTGATAAATAGGATTTTCTTTTCTTTTTCACCTCTGCTTTGAAATAGCCCTTTTACATCCATTTAGGAAACAATGATCTTGGAGGCAGTGGACACAATAAGCTTTTCCTTCGAGGTTCAGAATGATTTATTTGTAAACATCCATTCATTCAACATTATTTGAACACCTACCAATAAGTTTTGGCTGTGTCCTCACCCAAATCTCATCTTGAATTCCCACCTGTTGTGGGAGGGACGCTGTGGGAGGTAATTGAATCATGGGGGCGGGTCTTTCCTGTGCTGGTCTCACGATAGTGAATAAGTCTCATGAGATCTGATGGTTTTGTAAAGAGGAGTTCCCCTGCACAAGTTCTCTCGTTGCCTCCTGCCATCCATGTAAGAAATGACTTGCTCCACCTTGCCTTCTGCCATGATTGTGAAGCCTCTCCAGCCATGTGGAACTGTAAGTCCATTAAACCTCTTTCTTTTATAAATTGCCCAGTCTCGGGTATGTCTTTATCAGCAGTGTGAAAATGGACTAATACACCTACTATGTGTTCAGTATGTTTAGTATTGTGGAATGCAAATGATTTTAAGTAATTTACAGTCCAGTTGAAAAGGCAAGCCAGCTATTATCTGGACAGTACAATAACAGAGGCATGCACAGAATATTTTGACAATAGGAGAAAGGGGCAGATAAGTCAATATTCAAAGATGGGGAAAGGTGGATGAGAGCATTAAAGAAGGTTTCTTGGGGGAAGCCACATGTAATTCATAAGTAGGGGTTCTTTCTGTAGGTTAATAATTGCATAAACTGTGTTCATGATTCAGCTCCAAATTATACTGTCCCATCATATTAGCATAAGAACAAGTACTCTGAGGTTGTATTCTTTTTTTTTTTTCTTCAGTCTCCAGTTTATGGGAAAATAAGTTAGATTTATAGGAAACTTTACTCATACACACTCACACTCACATGCACACGCACACACCCTAGGTGGGACAACGTGCTGTTGCAATTGCTTCAGTCCCACACCAGCTCACATAGGTTACTGGGAGGATGAGCATCCACTTCACCCAATGTTGCTTCCAGGAAGGATCAAGTGGCGTATGTTTAAATTAGGCAAGGCAACACGTGTCTGCAACTGACCAAAGTCAGAGAAACCATAGATAAGCATCATACCTAGAAGTTCTGTTGAATGCAGAGTTAAATTAACTCTTGTGTACGTAACTCCAAGTCTTTTTCCCCAAGTCCTAATCTTTGGTCTGCGGCACAAAACTTTCCAACATTTCTCTCCAGACCATCTCCACAAAGTAGAGCTGGCTAGACCACGGTTGGGCTTCACCTGTAAATTAGCATTCATTCAGATATCATTTTATCTGAGTAAGCTTTTTGTTTTGTCTCATAATAACAGCTTTTTCATAAAGTATGGCCCCAATGCCCAGACAACCAGAAAAGGTACAGTTTGGCATGTATGGACTTTCTCTGCAGTTTGATTAAATCCCGAGTGAATTCTTGGCTTACCTCATTTCCTCGCTAACAAGAATGCAAACATTCTCTGGTCTTTCCTCCTTATTTTGTCTGTTTCCCCAAAGGTCCTGGTGACTGGCACATGTTCCCGAGAGGTACTGATTTCACACATTCCACTGGGCTGTATTACCCTGAAATATTTCCCCCTTTTCATGCAACAAATACTCCACCCCATCCGTACAAGCCACTCAACATATGTAGGTGTTCATATATCAGTAAGTAATGAATACAGGATATATATGCCTCTGTATACTAGGTTATGACAAACCTATTTACAATTATAATCCCCTTGCCATTTGGTATCTGAAAATCTGTTGGTGTCTAGAATAAATTTTCATTCAATGCACTGATACATATAATTGGTATATGGGCCAACGAGTTGTGTCTTTTTCACATATCTTAAAAAATAAATATCTTGTGATACTTTTGATAGCATTTAAATTTATATGCTCCCCCTTTTATATTCTTAAAAATAATGTTCTCTGGAATGATTTCCACTGACTGAAGATGTGAGTTCACAGGAAAAGATGATCTTAAACTCAGCCAGGACACAGAACTGTTACGTTCTGTTCCCTGGATTCTTTTTCGTATTTTAAATTGGCTACACTGGATTTACTAGCCTGACTTATGGAGTGCTTTCTATTTATCCCCTACCTTTCAATCCCCCTAAGGTGCAACTGTGCAAACCTTGTCCTTTATACAGAAAAACACTTTGCTGTCCTGGTCAAATGGAAGGCTGCAGTGCATACTTTGGATGGCTGAAATTTTCTCTTAAATGAAATATAGGAGCCATAACTCAGTTTCTGTGGCAATGAACCATAGAGGCCATTCATCAGGATGTGGCAGACATTTATCTCCTCAAATACTCCAAGGCAGATGGAAATAGCATCTAGCCTCCTGTCAGAATAAATAACCCAAACATTGCCCCCTTCCCGAAAAGACCCAAACAGATCAGCAGCCATAGATCAGCAGGAGGCAAAACCAAACCAGTCAGCTGTAAACCTTTGCTCCACTCCCACCTCTTCTTCACCGACATGGCAGTCTCATTTCACAATGGGTGGGCGTTTTACAGCCAAGGCCTTTGTTCTGACCCTCTTAGTAAGAAGTCCAAAGCTAATGTGTTGTTTTTTACTGTAAAGTTCCCATCTTTCCCTCTTTTGACTTTATTGGAAAGAAAGGACTTTTTTCATTTTCCAACCTAAATACAAACATTTAAAAATGATCTCCTCCAGGGAATAGTTTGGCACAACAAGCTTTTTTCCCCTATTTTGAAGCAAATTAGGACTGTAGACTTAAAAATGTTTAAGTAATAAATCCTATGTTATGAGTATTTTACCACAATTTTTAGAAATTAAAAATTTTAAACCAAGATATTAAATTAGTCTTAAAGAAACTCAAGAATAGATAAAATTAGTAAGGTTTTAAAATACTCATCTTTCTTAATTTTATCATATTTATCATATATTTAAGTCTTCTGGAAGACAAGCAGAATGTAAACTAGCTTTTTCCCCTGCAATGCTGGCCTTATATTAAAATTGTTTATTAAATTTCTGAGACACTCAAAGCTCCATGGTGAGGCTTTTGTTTACAGAGTTTATGAGCAGGGCCAACTCCATACCCTGAAAAGCCTAACCTCAGCCTAAACAGACTAGCCTAAGAATTCTACCCGGTTTTTCCTCGCTCCACTCACAAAGAGAATTTCTGACTTAAATGTTGTACTTTTTAACTTTTTTTTACAAAAGTTAAAAAGAACTGATTGGATCTCTAATGTCTTAGCTGATAAATTTTTAAAACTGAAAAGTCTCAAGCAACGAAGACACTTGTTTTGCTTTGTTTTTTGTAAAAAATATGGCTTTTTCCCCAAAAGTTCTCCCTACCCCTTTTTAAGTAGCCCCGTCATTGTTCCTGAGGGATTATAAACTTTTTAAGAAAAGATCTTCATGGCATAGCCTCTGTAAGTCCACCTTACATAGCACACTGCCATGTCTTCATTAGGCGTTCAAAGTGCTAATTGCATTGATTTGAACTGGCAGGACAATAGAACACTCCTTAACACAAATATTTTGGAAATGACAAAAGTAAAAACATTGTCTTCAGTGAACTGGTGGTGTCCATTCAATAGCCAAACACCATTCCTGAAAAGGGAAGCATGCAGAAAGATAGGCAGAGGGTTTTGTCTGTTCTAGGCTAAGCTGCTCGGCCAGTAGTAGAAAATTTTTGGCTTTAATGTCAAGCCACACTTGAGCATCTCCTTGTAAAGGGAATTTAGGAGTATGAAAAACAGCTTGAGCACATTTTCTACAAGTGAAGTGGAAGAACATCTGTAGGTACCCAACTATGAAATTAAGGAACCTCAGATGGTTCCCTTGGAGAGTAGACCCTAGGACATTCACTGAATATTCTCAGCAATCTGTGGTTTTTACCCAACGTTAAATACATGCAGACACAAAGGTTCTGGAAAAGCAGAACCTTTAATATAGAGTTTGAAATCTAAATAAGCGTTAGCAGCTGGATTTCTTGTGAAGAGCTAAATAATTCCTGAATATGATATGAAAGTGGAAAACCCTTCAATGGTTCTCCAATACCTGTAAGATAAGGTCCAAACTTAAGGCTTTAATTAGTGTCCACCTCTCTAGCCTCTTACCTGCAATTCCTTCGATCTCTAGCCAGGCTTGTTACTTTCCATGGAAGCCATATTCTCACACTCTATGCCTTTGCCTAAGCTGCCCTATCTATATCGAGTATTTTTCTCAATACCGTCCTCCTGGCAAATGCCTACAGACAACTTCACACACTCAGGCCGCTGGTGATTCCTTCCCTGGTACTACCTGGGGAGACTCAGAGGACCCCTGCTTTTTCCCTCTGGCCTCTGTCGTGTTGCAGCCAGAGCACCTGCCATGATACAATGTTTGAATCACTGTCTCTAGATTATATAGTGTCTACAATGCAGAGAGTCTATTTCTTGCTTATCCGTATATATGCAGAAAAAAAAGGGAGGACAGAAGCCGCAAAGCAAGGAAGGAAGGAGGAAAAAGAATATTCACACACACTGGTGCTAAAAAACAGTAGGGCATTCATTCATTCGCTCACTCATTCTTTCATTCACCCGAGGGACCTGGATGTAGGATGGTGCTCAGAGGAATTGAGAGAAAATGCTAGCTGGTGTCTTAAAGCCTAAAGATAAGATAAAGTCAGTGAACCACTGGTATGAAAGTCAAAATCGAGCTCAAAATCCAGAAACCAAGAAGATGGTAGAGTTGAGACAGAGCAGAGGGGTTGAAGAACAGAGCATCCTGCCCTCTTTGGAGGGGACAGGTGTGGTTTCTAGTCTGTGACAGTCTCCACCATTCCTTAATACTTCATTTAGCCAGACTTATTCCATTATATTACCAATCTAGACTCTGTAGGTATTTTGGTTGTGGACCTGTGACCTAAGGGATTTATTTAATACATGAGTTTTTGGAACTCATCTGATCCACTGGTTTGGATGCCAAGAATTTAGACACTTCTGAAAGAAAAATAGCTTATTACTGACAATGTTTTTAAACTACAGAACCATGAAGCCTTTGGTAATATCTCTAGCTTCATTAATCAAACCAGGCATTCTAATAGTTGCTTGAGGGCAAGGAGTACTTGATGACAAATGAGTAACAAAATACACAAACATACAGCACACACACACACATCCCCACCCTCACCATCACCACCACCACCACCACAAGAACAAAACACACCGGCCCTTTTCCCTCATGATGCTAATTTTCCTCAACCTGCTTCCTCCAAAGAAAACTTTCTAATTTTGTAGGCTTTACAGAGCTCCTGTACAATACTAGAAACAACCTTTTTTCTTTTTTCAGTTCTCTCCTAATAAGAATTATGACATCATCATTCAACACAAAAGTACAGCTGCTATCACAGGAGGGTTGTTCATTTTCCAGCAAAGCTGAAAGGTGGCTGTGTTTAGTTCATAATATATTTTTTTAATGAGGTGGTGTCTATGTTTGCTCCTTGAGAGGCAGGGTTGGAGGAGAGATGGCAGGGAGCAGGAAGTCCTTGAAATCAATTGGCTCTGTGGAAAACTAAAGGTCTAAGATATCCTTCATTTGCTCTAACCATAATCCATTGGACTTGCATTTCGTGCTCTGTCTATCAAATCAAACCTTCCCCAAGGAGAACCTGATTCTTTTAGGCTCAGCCTGTGCTCTGAGAGCACAAGCCACATGGCCTCCTTCAATAAGTCCCCATTACTGCCGACTGCATTGGTTTCGGAGCCAAATCCCAAGGGCTCCAAAGATGGATCATTCAATCTTCTGAGTAATCAATCCCCAGAGCTTGCCGCTCCGGCCCGCTTGGCTGAGATACAGGAGCAGCCGGCCTCGTGGCCAGTGCAGTATCCGGCCTGGGGAAGTAGCAGCAAATGCATAACCTCCTCTTTAAAAAGCCTATACACGAATACTTGGAAAGGGCAGGAGGAAGGTGCGAAAACAGAAGCAGGGGTAGGTGTAGGAGGGTGGGAGATTCGATCCTAAACAGATTTAACTTAAGAAAAAAAAAAAAAAAAAAGGTTACCTGACCCTGTGCAAAAACCTCACGCCGCGCAGTGCCCTTCGGGAAACCGGAACCACCCAACTCTGTTGTCACATACTGAACCCACACCCAGAGTGTTAAGTATCACTGGCGCTCAGAAAGAAAAATATCATCATTCCCTCCTCCTGGCTGGTGTCTTTAAATAGCTCCTCTTATTTACGGTGTACATAGTGTTAATGTCCTTCAGTTGCTCTATTTTCAAGGATGGAAAAGCCGTTGCTAAGCATTTCTAAATGACAGCCCCAGGGTTCATTAAAAATATGGCAAACATTTGCTAAGCTCATTAAGTGCAATTTTTGTGTGTGTGTATCAGATTCCTCCTCTGCATGTTCTGCGTGACCAAACATCTATTAACCCTAATCCCATTGATGAGTCTGATACATTCAAACCGGCAATTAGACAAAACAAAAGGGATATTTATGGAGAGACTCCTAAATGGGCTTTCATACTGGTCTAAGCTGTTTCAAAACGACAGTTTAATTCCCCTCTGTTAATCCCTTGCTTCCAGAGCACTCCCTTTGTTTGATTATAGGCTGTCAGGTTTAGGAATTCTGATTGAATCAAAATTCGAAGCAAACTAGAAACACATAATAATTACACTATTTAAGCACTGTTGCCTACTGTATAAGCAAACGAAATGCTCCACAAATGAAGACTCCTCGGCACAAAGGGTTTCTAAAATGTACTGCTTGCACAATTAGAGGCCATAGAATGTGAATTAGGTGGTTGTTTTCCCCGATCCTTTTAAAAATGCTCCAGTTGATGAATCTGGTGGTAAAAACGCCATGCATCAAATCTGTTGACTAGGCAAAAATATTTTAAGACAGGCTCCCTCTGCCCTTCCTCCACGCCACCCCTTCACCTCTCTCCCGCCTCCCCCGCCGCAGCTGTGGACTGGTCTGACCCACAGTGGTTAATCTGAGCACCAGCTCTCATTTGGCCATTCCAGCTTTCCATTAACTCAGGGCCACGGTGGTGTTATTATTAGAGGCGGAAAGGATTCCGCATCACTTACATGGTGTAAAGCTGGACAAATAAACAAGTACTGACTGTGGATGTCTCCCAATCGCACCGGGCCTCAAATTTTGAATGCACTCTTTCAAATAGCAAAATGACCCTTCTCTAGCTTGTAAAACCTCTCTTTGTTTTCCCTTAAAGAAAAGGAAACTCACCAAGAGGAGTAGACTTTTGACAGAGTTCCCCTGCAGTAACATCATTTTCAAGTGGCTCTTGACCAGCTGAGCTTTTTTCAAAGTGTAACTTTTATAGCCACAAAGGATCATGTCTTATTTAGGTTCATTAAATTTCCTCTTACTTTGCAAAGGGCTGACCAAACTCACAGCTGCTGAGAGAGAGAAGCCAACCCTTCATCATTCTTCAAGTTGATTCAGCACTGGTCAGGGCTCTATTTTGAAAGCCCTACCCAGAATTGGAACTCATAATTTAGTCTCTGTTGGATGAAACAAACAAACAAACAAAAATAATTTTTCTGTTTGGGTTAGAAATGGATCTTTTGTGTTTTGTTACTGGCAAAAGTTCCGGTGTTGCCATTGTTAGCGTGGCAACAAGATACAAGGCGATTTACAAAAGTACTGCCTGAGCGAGGCAAGGCTGCCGGGACTCTCAGGGCTGGGTGAGAAACATTACCTAAGAAATAAAGACAGGATGAACAAGAGAGTTCAACTGCCAGATTGTCTGTTGTCGACCGAGGCATCCCCCCGCCCCTGCCCCCTGCCCCCGCCACTCCCTGCCCAGGAACTACACTTCCCAGCATTCCTTACCACTAGGATTCCAGGTCAGACGCTTCAAAGGAAGGGATCTCACCAGGATTTGGAAGGGGAAGAGAAAGAGAAGCCACTCTTCTCCAGCAGTAGCTGGGACAGGACTTGCAAGTCCCAGTATACTATCGAAAATTACTATGAGGCTGCCCAAGATTCCCTCTGCTTCCTGCACTTCCAGATTTCTTGAACAGGCAGTTTCTGCCTGACCTTGGCTCCTAGCCCTCCTCATGGATGTGCCAGCCTCTAATTACCCATGTTAAAATACTTCCTGTTTCACATACCTGGCTGAAACCTGACTGATGCAGGTAATACGTGCCTGGAACCGGGGAAGACAGCAGAGTTGACTAAAGCCAGACCACTTTGAAAATGGGATCTGAAGCTTAGTGTAGGGAGCGTGCCGTTTTATTCATGCATGCAAGCCTCCTTTCAACAAATTTTTACAGGGGGCAGCTACAGTATCATAAACTTTCTGGTAGAAACTAGTGATAGAGCTATGTACCCTAATCCAGAGATCTTATAGTGTAATACAATAAGGGAGTGAGAAAAGGAGCTGCAGCTGCCATTTATGGGGAGATTGATAAAGAAAAACAATAGTAATGAATTTAGCAATAACAACAACAACAACAACAACAACAACAACAACAAAAGGCTAGTTGGGAACCAAGCTATGTAATCTTTCTAACCTTGTAGCTTTGAGGCAATCAAATCAGTTTACTCTCTGAGTGTCCGCTTCCCAGTTCCTGTCTTCTTTCATACATGATTGTTATGAAATTAGAGATAACAAAGGTAAAGTATCCAGCACAGTGGCCAAAGCACAGTAGTCAGCCAGCAAATGGTCCTTGTACCTTTTGCTCCTCGCTAGGTACTAAGCTTCTAAAGGCAGCTGCCAGGTTTTACTGTCTTGGTGTCCCAAGTATTTACTTTGCACAGTGTCTTAGGTTTAAAAGATGTTCAATAACTCATGAATGAATGATGAATGTTGGAATAAATGAATACTTGAATAAACTGTGTGGTACATAATACATGCTTGGTAATTGAGCTGTTCATGCTATAATTGAGTATAATTAGTATCCTGTAAATATGTACAAAGCCCAGTGGGAACAAAGGAGAAGGAAGTCTTGGATGAGTTAGGAAAGGAAAGGAGTATTAAAAGCTGAGACTTGAAGGATGAGGACGACCCAAAGGTCCTATCATTTGGACAAATGATGGCACAATACAACCAGTTGAAAATGTGCCCAGTGTGCTGACACAATCTTCTTACGTGGGCATCTCTGGGACTCTCACTCTGAATGATGGCCAAGGCTTCTCCACTGTGGCCAGGGTGAGCCTTCTGTGACCTGTTGAGTTAACTCTGAGCTCTGTGATTCTATGAGTTCTTGGGTAGGGAAACCCACACATCGCCCAAGAATGCCCCATGAGTGACGCAGGCTCTCATTTCTGCTGAAGGAAATGAATGCAGAAAGAAAATGATAATCTACAGGGAGTAACACCCACACAGTTATCACTCAAATGATCCCAAAAGGCTCTGAATCTGATTGGAGCAGTGCTTCATAAACTTCCTTTCAAGGGGTTTGTCATCTTAGTAATTATGAAAGACTTTTATAGTCTGATTAAATATGCTCAATCTCTGTTCAATTTTATACTTATTTTTAAACTTTACCCATTGTTTCTTTTTTTCTAATGTTTTTGCCTATGCATTTTTAATTTAGTTTCTCCTTTTGCCTCCTTGCTACCTCCTTCTTCCCATGTCCCCTCCCCCAATGTCAATAACAATGTTCCAGAATCATTTCTGGGTGGCCTCATTCTTTATTCGTGATACATTTTTCCTGATCTTCTTGTGGGAGAGTCTCAGATCAGTGATGGCTGTAGGCCTTGCTACTTTCTCTGCTCATTCAATCATTTAGTCATTTATTCGTTCATTCATAAATAGCTACTGAGCATCTACTTTGTGCCCAGCAGTGCTCTGGGCACTGAGAACAGGACAGACAGGTCCATGCTCATGGAATTTAGCTTCTGTTAGGAGAACACAGGTGCCCCCTGGATATATGGTAAAATAAGTAAAGGGAATAAGTAAAATCTGACACTGAGGTCCCTCACTTTCCCTTTTCAACAACTATTTTGTACTGTGTTGCTTCTTTTACTCTGCTCACTGACAAAACTTCTTTCTGCTGGATTTCCCACAGCTGCCTGGTCTTCATTGGAGGCCTCCAGTCAAGCAGACTCACTCTGTGTTTAGACCTAAACCATTTTACTCAAACAAAGTCAATCTATCTTGTATCCTAATGCTTCTCAAATTAGGGTATGAGCATGGTATACCAGGAATTTGCAAAACCACTGGAAAAATCCAATGCAACTTCCTGGAACATCAAGTCTGCTGGAGGATAAAGAGGAATATAACAGAGCATAGAATATATAATTTACATGAAAGTTTTAGATAAAACAGAGGGAAAGAGAGACTTGCTTATGGTCAATTGCCTTTTACTGTTCTTCAGAGTTCTGAGAGACAGACAAACGGCAAGAGAAAGGGAAAACAAGGCAGAGACAGGAGTGAGTTGAGGAGTGGGAGGTGCACATTCAGAAGGATGATGTCAGGAAACCCCTGAGAATGGTGCCAGATGCTGCTTCCATAGGGCCCGGGTCTCCAGCTGCTCTCCTGCTGAAAACTCTGCAAAACCTTCCCCTGGCAATCCGGAAGACACCCCTACCCAACCCCCGCCTGGCACCATCTGTCCTTGCCCAGCTCTCAAACACCACCCAATACCTTTTTTCTCTTCCTTCCTATGTACAATCGTTTGGTTCCTTCTTGAGGGTTTTTGCACTAGCTGCTGCCTTTTCTTGCAATGCTCCCACACTCCACCCTCTCCCACATCTTAACCTTCACAGGGTTAGAAGCTTCTTTCCTTCTTGTCATTGTCTCTTTACTAAATGGCACCTTCTCAGAGAAGTCTTCTTTAACAACATGTGATCCAAGTAGAAGGGGTCTTCCTGTCAATTGTTCCAATGTCCCCCTGTTTCTATTCTCTGTATAGTACTTCTCACTATTTAAAATGATCTTATTTGTGTATTTGTATGCTTAATGTCTGTCTTGCCCAACCTGGATCACAAGTCCCCTGAAAGCAGAGATCTTGCCTGTCTTATTTCTTGACATATCAATTCTCAAAGGTGTCAGGGATATAGTAGACATACCATTAATACTTGTTTTGTAATTGAAGATTGAAATAACACCTTGCATAAGCCTTTTCTGAAAGAAAATGATGGGGGTGGTGTTTTAAGAAGAGGAGAAAGGCCGGGAGTGGTGGCTCACACCTGTAATCCCAACACTTTGGGACGCCAAGGCAGGAGGATCACCTGAGGTCAGGAATTTGAGACCAGCCCGGCCAATGTGGTGAAACTCCGTCTCTACCAAAAATACAAAAATTAGCTGGGCATGGTGGTAGGTGCCTGTAATCCCAGCTACTCGGGAGGCTGAGGTAGGAGAATTGCTTGAACTGGGAGGTGGAGGTTTCAGTGAGCAGAGATCATGCCATTGCACTTCAGACCGGGCAACAAGAGTGAACCTCTATCTCAAAATAAAAAAGGAGAAAAAGTTGTACAAACGAGACTGGTCTCTCTTTATAGTTTGTCATAGAGCTAGACCAACAGAGCCACTGAAATGGGCAACTGATCATACCCACTAATTCCCAAGAATGGTTTATGTATTCAGCCAGTCAGTTTTTTCATTTAGATTTATTATTCTAGACATTGTGTAAGCACTGAAGACCTAGAGATGAATGCTACGTTATTGATATCTTTGAGAAAGTAGGGAGAGGGTTACTAACAGGATAGAAAGTGCTTTGATGGAGGTGTGTACAAATTATTTTGAGCAGAAGAGACCAACTAAGTCTTATCTAGAAGAGTTACAGAAACAGTACTCACATACGATCTGGGTTTTGGAAGGTAAGAAGAAACTTTACAAGCAGAGAGAAAGGGAAAGTTCAGGCTAAGTAGAGGGGTAGCAGCATACACAGTAAGTTGAAGCTGTAAAACGTTCTTCTTTACAATCAGGAAAAAGGTGGTGCCCATATGGTGGGAAGCCAGGGAATCAGAGACAGGTAGAAGGAGATGGGCCTGTGAAGGGCTTTTGCTATCGAACTACACGATTGAGACCATCCCGTGGCCGCTAAGGAGTTAGGGAGATATTTAAGGATAATGGAGGCGGTGCAAAGAATGCATGTCCAGTAGCCACGGCAGAAGACCATAAGGCTACTGCATGGACACAGGCAAGAGATCATCAAGGCAGTGCACTGAGGTGAAGAAAATTAAGCCACAGGTAGGAGTGGCAAGACTCACTTACAAATTAGATGTGTGTGGTGAGGAAGTGAGAGAAACCATGGACAAATAAGGAAATTGTTAACTGTGCATGGCAGGAACAGTAGGAGAGAGACAGGTTTGAAGGGAAGTCTCTCAAATCTTCATACAGTTGAATGCTCAACTCAGTCCAGCAGCCCTGGCATTTTATTGGTTGTTAAAGACCGCTAAGCCTTAGCCAGTGGGAATTTAAAGGCTGAGATAAAAGCATTGTGACAGGCCAGCAGGAGAGGTGTTTTTAAGAAGAGTGTCTGTCCCAGAGTCCTCTCTCTGGTCACCCACAAAGACCACTACCTTCATTAACGGAACATGGGCCATGCCTGCTGCCAGCCACCACTAACAACCCCCTACATCCCCATTGTCATACATTATAAGTTATTTCAATCCATCTAACATAATGAGACCACTTTGCAATTCCATTACGATTTGCTCCCAAGTTTAAAAGCTATGGCCAAACCACGATGAAGGAAAAGCATTAGGGAAGTGATGTGCCATCCTTTGGGGTTCCACATGCTTCCTGGGCAGCCAAGCCAACATTTTGAGCATATAGGACTCTTAGAGGGTATTTGCCAATCTCTTTTTCCAAGAGTATTAGTAAATATCTATAGCTCCCTGTTGGATACCAAATGCAGCTGCCACACTCCGTGTTGGTGCCAGCAAAGTACTTCACATAGACAGACAGCTTTCTGAGGCTGCTTTATTTCTTGTCAGCTTTTCAAACCTCACTCCAACAGAAATCTTTTGTATTTAAGCTAGTGGCCACAAAACCAGAATGTGTCTTCTGGTCAAATGTGCCTTTTATACATCATGCCACGTTTCTTCTCCCTAATTTTTTTTCTTTTATAAGATGGAAAAAAATCGCAGTGGACTCTTTGAGATACTACTTTCATTATGGCCACAAACTTCCTCACAGAAGCATATCTGTTCACATGGAGCCTCCTTGTGCCCAGAGAAATGCCATTCACAATTCAATAAATGTATCAGCCTCATCGCCTTTGAATACAGGCTTCCTTGGTTTAAATTTTCTGTGAAACCACTGACACATTGTCAGAGTTTGATTAGTTAAATGAACCAATAAATTTCTTCTTTTTTTTCAGCAACACTTTGTGTAGTCCAGTTCTCAGCCTCTCCAGGGTAATGTTTGTACAGTTTTGAAAGAGGAGCCTAGAGCATTCTTCTTTAGCCCCATACCTTCTTCCACCACCATATTGAAACTGAAGGTTATAGGTTTCCAGATCAAAGCTCTGAATTGGCATGAAGCCTAGCTAATTACTCTGCTGGCACTGAGCCCCTTGGGAGATCAGATAGGCCTCCCTCACCTTCAATACAGCTCAGTAATGGGGAATTAAATACTGGATAAGAAACTGAGAGGAATAATTCACTGCAGACAGAGCTGAACAGAAGTATCTGTTGGAGGACAAGGGCCCCTTGGCACCATATCTGAGGCTCACAAATGACAAAGCAGATGTGAAACACTATTGGGGGCAAATGGATTGGGAAAGACCTGGGAGAACTTTCCCATCAGGCTAACCCTCCCTGAGAGATGGTATAACCAGAGAATGGAGAAAATATCCTCCAGCCAGAAAACTAGCAAATCAAAATATGCAAATCTGTGTGTTTGAGTCATAACCTTCCCTTTAAAAAACGATTTTGAAGAGCATCTCTATAACTTGTTTGGCTAGTCCTTAAAGAAAAACCTCAAATATACAATAAAACAAATATCTGCTCACATTTTCTAACAAACAACACATTGTGTTAAGTGCTATGAAGTCTTGAAAAATCAAAAAATTATGGTCCCTGCCCATCAGAGCTTCACAGTCTGTGGAGACAGTCACTCCATGAATGTATGCAGAGGTCTTTAGAAGGAAAAGAGATAGTAAAAATAGGTGAGGACAGCAGGGATCTAGGTGTTATGGAAGAGGAGAGACTGGAATTGAGCCTGGAATCACAATTTGAACTTCAATTAACAAGGTAGGGAAATGGAAGGAAATTGTCCCTTCTTTACTGAAGGAACAGTAAAAGCAGAAGAAGATATTTGTAAAAGTTCAGGGCATGTTGAAGGAATAGCAAGTAGAGTTGATATATGGAATACATGATGTATGGTTGAACCCTGTGGATGGGTGAAAAATGAGAAATATAAAAGGTCAGCATTAAAGTCTGAGGTTTGAGGGTTTTCTCCTCTGTTCAGTGAAGAACCATTGAATGATGTGGATGAAGGGAGATGTGTGGCCACATCCCAGCTGTAGGATAATAATGGGAAGCAGTGTGCATGTTGGATTGGAGGAGTGAGGTATTAGAGACAGGGGATCTTGTTATGAGGCTACTATAATATTCCAAGCACGAGGCAAGGCAAATCTGATGGTAATGGGAGAGGGGAATGGTGGTATATGTGGTAGGCTAAACAATGGCCCTCCAGAGATGTTCACATTCTAATCTCCAGAACCTGTTACTTTACATGGCAAATAGGACTTTGCAGATGTGATTAAGGACCTTGAGAAGCAAGGGTTACTCTGGATTAGCGGGGTGGGTATAATCTAAACACAACAGTCCTTATAGGAGGGAGCCCAAAGGATCAGAGTGAGAAAGAGAGAATGCAAAGATGGAAGCAGAGGTCAGAGAGGAGAGAAGATGTTACCCTGATCGCTTTGAAGATGGAGGAAGGGGCCATGAGCCAAGGAAGGCAAGTGGTCTCTGGAAGCTATGAGGCAAGGAAATTGATTCTCTCCTAGAGGCTCCAGAAGGAACTCAGCCCTGCTGATACCTTGATTTGAGCCCAATGCCTATTTTGGACTGTGACTTTCAGAAATGGAAGATAATAAACTGGGGTATTTTTAAGCTACTAAGTTTGTGGTAATTAGTAGAGCAGCAATAGGAAACTAATACAATGGGACACACATTTCCCAGGTAGTACTGATATTACACATCCACTGATTAAATTGGGAGGAGAAGAAGAAAAAATTGCAAGTGGCGGCTGGGCTCGGTGGCTCACGCCTATAATCCCAGCACTTTGGGAGGCTGAGACGGGTGGATCATGAGGTCAGGAGATCGAGACCATCCTGGCTAACACGGTGAAACCCCATCTCTACTAAAAATACAAAAAAATTAGCCGGGCGTAGTGGCGGGCCCCTGTAGTCCCAGCTACTCGGGAGGCTGAGGCAGGAGAATGGCATGAACCTGGGAGGTGGAGCTTGCAGTGAGCCGAGATTGCACCACTGCACTCCAGCCTGGGTGACAGAGCGAGACTCCATCTCAAAAAAAAAAAAAAAAATTGCAAGTGACTTAGTGAAATCATTGATAAATTAATTCACCATTAGCAGAAACATTGGGCAGAAGAGAGCGTGTTGAAAGAGGATAAAATTCAAAGGGGAAGAAGATAGATAAAACAAGGGAGTTAGAATAGGACCTTTGAGAAGGGGACATCAGTCCTTTCGATGTCCTTTAGAATGAGGCTGACAGATGTCTCAAAGAAGGGGAGGTAAGGGAACATTATAATGTCCTGGATGTCACTCTATGCCTTACTATAATAGGCAATTCCCATTATTCATCTTATTAAAGAGCTTATAATTAGGCACTTCTGGATCTTATAAAACTAATGCCAGGACCATTCACAGCTTGATTTTAGGTAGGTTTCTCTGCATACCATGTGTCCCTTTGCTAGAAGACCTGTTCTGCTTTATATTAACCCTGTTATATGTATTACTTAGAGTTTAATTTCCCCTTGGTTGTGAGTGAGTCAAGCTCACCAGAAAGAACTCACGACAACCACTTGGTAGTTCTATTTAAATTCATCTTCTCTCCAAACTCTCCACTATGCCAGGTCCAGCTCTCCTGACACCTGTTCCCTCTTACTTGGATGTTCCCATAGGAATTTTCAATATCTCTCCCTTTCATTAGGTACAGCAGCATCCCAACTCTGAGGCCTGGGCATCAATTGGCACTCAGGACTGTGGAATCTCTGCTTCATTTCCAATAGCTTTCCCAAGAACTTCCCAAACAAAGACATTCTCTTCTTCTAATGAAGTATAAGAAAATAGCGTTTACTTCATAGTGTTACACATGTATTTGTAATACATGACTTCAAATTTTTGTGCAACAAGGTAACATGCAAATAAATAAACACTGTCTTGCCTTGACAAGTCAGTGCCCAGAACTTTCAAGTGTCTCTTAGAGCAAAAATTACTTGCCCAGTGATCAGAAAATATTCAACCCTTTCCTTTCTCTTCAGTTGGGAATGCAATTAAGCAAACTTTAGAAACAACACACCATTCCAAAATTGAAGATAAGAGGTCATTTGTTCATATCTTTGAAAAACCTTCCTTCCAAATTGTACCCAACTGTCTACACTGGTCTTCCTTGTGGTGGACTAGCTGGGAACAGCTGCCTTATCCAACTGGCATGCTAAGCACAATGACAAGAGCTTGGGAGCTATTTGGGAACCTATGAAAATGACAGACACTTGAGAAAAAGTTATTGCTTCTAAAATAGAAAAAAAAGGACTGAAATTCAAAATTAATAAAGTTTTAATTAAATGACTATATTACACTCTTCAGATTTACCAACCATTAAATTTGATACTGATAAAATTTCACTACAACTTGAAAACAATCAGCATACATTTTCTCACACAGGGAGAATTTTGAATGCACAGTGATGTCAGAGAAGTCACAGCAAATCGTAAAATAAATGAGTTATTTGATGTCAAATAATTTTGAAAGTCAGTTATAAAAATCTTGTCACTTTACAAGAAAATTTATATTTCATTTTGGATGTGGGTATATATTAATATTTGATGTTGTGTGGCATAGAAACTCCAAAATACCATTTCTAGTGGTTTATGAAGACTAAAATGGTCCTGACTGAAGGTATTCTATGAAAGATCCTCTCTACTTCATCCTCTCTGTTAGTGATGTTTCTAAGCATCGCGCCCCATTCATTCGCTCACTCAGACTTGCCGATGCCTTATTGAAAACTCTTGAATCTTTCGCTTGCCCTCTGCCTGCTCCTAAGAATATATCTCTTCATTCATTTATTCAGCCTTGCTCTGATCTTCTGAGGCATCTTGAACTCTTTTTTGAAAGTGCCTGCGATATGTAACAGGCTGTACTCTGGACTCTTCAAAAGAACTTGACAAAGGCATTGTGGTTGCTGTAGAGTTCCAGAACTATTCTCCTGTTATCTTCTCTCTCAAGCTATAGATGCAGTCTGTACGTAGTGACACAAAGGTAAATTGTCGTTTATAATCTGAACAGAATCTACCATATTCCACTATCATCAGCACTAGCAGAACTTCTCAAGGAGGAATTCATTTCTAGCCCTGAGCTTCCATTGAGTGGCTCCATGCTCCAAATCCCCTGTCCTTTTGGAATCCTGTGGCTTCTCTCTATGCCAATTCCCTATTCTGTGTGGCTTTCTAAATCTCTCCACTCTTCCTGGGTTCCAGCAGAGTGGCCCAACCAGAGTGGGGAAGCCAGACTCTTTCTACATGTATAGCTGTGCGCCAAGTGGTTCTTGAACTAACGGCCCCAGTTCCCTAGAAAAAAGGGAGGCTTCAGGCAACACCAAAATAACCTATCTCCTATATTTAGAAAAATCCTGAGAAGTCTACAACTTTCCACAAGAAACTCTGAGGAAAATTCCTGCCCTTTAAACAGAGGGAGAAAAAGAGAGATGCCCAGGATTCAGAAAGCCTACACCCTCACTCCACCATTTAGCTTTGGATACTACAATCACCAAATTCTCCTAAATATATTGAAACTTTCTTTTGTCTAAAAGCACACAGAGGAGCAGAATGTATAGTTTGTAAATGGACCCATTTAGTGCAGTTTAGGCTTTTGAACAATCCCTCACATCCTAGGTCCTCCACAAGTAAGTAAAGCACTGAGTATATTACTTGCTCCCATTCGGGACATCCTGGAACCCAAAAATGCATTTCATTTGGGATTTATTGGTAAGCTTTGCAGCCTCCCTGAATCAGCCTTAGTTTTGTTGCTGCTTTTATTCTGCTGGCTTGCTGGCCTCAAGCACTTGAGAGAGGGAAGGTTAAGTCACAGCATCACAGCAGCCTGGGCATTTGGCTTTCTAGTCTAGTCACTCATTTGCACCGGTTTCTATAAGGTGGCTGGGAAGTCTTCTTATAACTCCATCTAATTTCTCTTCCTTCCCAGATTCTCAACATCAAAAACAACAGAGCCTTTCCCCTTCTAAATCAATCTTCATTTTCATAACCTGCGCTACATTCTTGAGGTGGTTAGAAATGTCTGTTTCTATCAGAGGTTTAATATTACAGTTGAGGGCTTGTCAGGTTGTTAAAATGTAGAGCGTTTGTTCACTAATTCAGCTGGGGAACCCTTGCCATCTGGACTGAGGAGACAGTCGCCTTCGGACTCCTGGACTAGCATCGCGGGTCTTTCCGTCTGTGAAGGGATTTGAATTAGCAGGCCTCGTGCGTAGTCATTTCTGTGCAGAATTCCTACTCTAGAGATATTAAACTGATGTGGGATGGAAGAAAGAGTCGCTCTCCTAGTCTTTCCTTCTCCTCCCTTTGGTCTCCACCTCGCATACTGGGGAAAGAAAAAAGGGGAAAGGAGGCCGCCATGTTGATCTCCTAAGGCTGGCCAACTGCACAGAGAAACATCAAACAGCTGTTACACGTGACTCACTCATTTAAAGGCAGTAATTTATAAATTAGGTAAAAATATATGTGTGAAGAAAGGGAGTGGTATACTATGGAACATTTTATCATGAATGTGGCAATTATCAGCACCTCTAGAAATGAACTCCAGTGTTCTTCGCTTATATGGCAAGACTGCTGAAGCAACCACTGCCTCCCGGTTGCATGATCTTGGCGAACCACAGGAGAAGTAATTACTTAGGGTACTTAGGGGTCTCATTCGTCCACCACTATTGATATGGACGCTTGTATCAAGCTTGAGGAATGTTTTCATGAGCATTCTATATTCTTTATAGTCTCATCTCTTCTTTAAACATTTGAAAGCCTATGCACCCACTTTGTGCAGGCAATCTATTCATCCCTATAAGGCTTTTCAGAGTGAGAGTAGTATAAGTGAGTGGATAATACAAAATATGCCACTAATTTTATGCAGTGTTATATTTAGAAATATAGGCAGACTCTCCAAATTATAGTAATTTGCATTAAAATGTGAAATGGGTCTTTGTTTAAAGAGTTTTTGTGCTCTTTTCACAGAAAATCTTTAGCGCTTATTTAAATAGTTAAATTGCAAAACTTTTAGAGATTCCTCCTAATACCACCAAAAGATTTTAACAACATCTCAAAGCATCCTAAAACCCTCACCAAACTGTTCATGTAGTGCCCAAGGCCTAAGCCAATAGTGTGCTTTTTAACTCATTTTGTAAATTCTGATATTATAGACTAAAAAGAAAAGAAGATGCATTTAGAACTTGAATTACACAACAAAACAATTGATGTTTTCAACTTGTGAATTTCATAATAAAGAAATTCTTATGGGAAAATAAAAATACAGCATTGTGGCAGGTGTTGTAAAAGAAATTTTAGCTTTATACCCAAAGTTTGGAAATAACATCTTTCTAAAATCATAAGTGCAGAAATAACATGTTATAAAGGAACAGAAAAAATAGTAGAATTTATTTGGGATGTTTTTCTCCCAGTGGTGGAGCAGAAACAAAATATCTACATTAAAAGCAAGCTGGTCCTAGCCAGTCGTGCCTCCAGCCCCAGAGGCCTTCAGGCTCAGCGATTCCAGAGGACTTAGTAGATTTTCCCACTGGCTTGCTGAATCTAACACTAGCAGGAGTATCCTTCAGCTTGCATAACTCCCATTTAAATGCATATCCTATTACAATGGAACAGCAAGTTTCTACATCTTGACCAGGCTGGCATTTTGTTCCTAAGAAAAACAGAACAAAACAGTTTACAAAGGGGCCACTGATGTTAAACTGACTCTGGCTAAAACCACAAGCAGCTTGTTAGGAACCAAGCAGATGATTTGCCTGGGTTTCTTGAGCGTGTGTCAGCACCAATCTGTAAAGGACTTGGGGCCAAAATGAAGCAGGGATGAATGTCAGCCCCTTGTCCATGACACCTTATACAAAAGAGGAGCCCCTGTATCAACCTTTGCTGTTGCCTTGAGAAAAATTAAATTGCTCTGAAGAATTCTTTCAAAATTAGTCTTCAAATTTTCAGGCTCATTGCAAACATTGAATAACATTTTCTGTAGCATTTGTTTTTTGCTATTTGCCAAGCATTCAGGTTGAACTAGCATTTATTGAGCACTGTTATGTGCTAGCAGCTTTGCAAATATTATCTTGTGTCATCGGCAAATAAAACTATAAAATAGGTACTCATATTCCTGCTGTGTAGATGAAATATAGAATTTCAAAAAGATTAAATGACCTGCCCAAAGTTCACTACAAGTAAATGATGGGAGCAGGGTGGATCCCTTGTCCTTAAGGTCAAGTCTTATGTCCTTTCATCTACAGCCTCACTAACTACCTCTAGAAATCAGTGTACCAGAACATATTAAGCTGCATCAGCAATATTTGAGTCCCAACAGTCCTGCAGGCTGTAAAATGTCTTGAATTTTTACAAGATTTTTTCCCCAGAGCTTCCATGGATCTCTTGTGCTGTCACAGAAAACATGAAAACCTCAGATTAGAATTCCGGCTGTGGCACTAGCCATCCATGGGACCTTGCACAAGTACTTATCTTTTATGTACTTCAGTTCAGTCACCTGCAAATTGGGGATAATGATTGTGACTCGATGGGATTCTCGATTCTCTTCACCTGTCCGCTCTTTTCCATTCTGTACATATCCATGTTAGGCTGTGTAAGGCAGCAAATATTACTCAGAAAGAGATTTATTTGATTTGTTCTTAAGAAAGCAAGGGTCCCTCTTATTATAACAAATCATCTGGGAAAATATTATGAGACAATACAGAAATTTGGGCAGTACCTTCATTTTTAATAATATGAAAAGAATTATAGTTAAAATTTTTAGTATGTGATGGATTGCATCAGTGTCAATTTCCTTGTTGTGATATTGGACCACAGTTAAGCAAAATGCTCCCACTAGGAAAAACTGGGAAAAAGATATATAGAATCTCTTTGCATTATTTATTACAACTATAATACATTTGAATTTACAATTATATCAATATAAAAGTTTTTTCTAACTTAGATGTGAATATTTTAGATGTGTTATTTTGGTTATGCTAAAAAGCTATCTTTTAGAGATTAACAGTAAGAAATTTAGTATGAAATAAATAATTTTAGAAACATATATTTGACAAAAAAAAATACAGTTTAAATGCTGTTTTCACATGATACCAAAATAAGATCAGATTTTCAAAAGAGGATTTAAAGAAATAATCAGTATAAATGTCTATTAAACTACTGAACCCTGTACCATAATCCTAAAAATAATTCATCTTTGATCTGTGTTCCCATTTTTGTGAATCAATTATAAGCAAACCATTATTACATATACACACATATATTTTTATGAGAGATGTATATAATACAAATATAGAATCAATCTATAAGTACTTGCAAGTGTGTCAAAATGAAAAGAAAAATAAGTGGTATGAAAATAAAAACACATCCAAAATCTTATTGGTAGTACAATTAGAAATGTTGAAAGGTGGGCATATAAAAGTATTTCAACAACTTATTGCAAAGAATTCAGGAAAAATGAAAGAATTCAGGGAAAATGAAACGAGACTTGCAGGCTCAGTCATGAAGTAATGCTGACCCTTCGGTCCCAAGAGAAAGAAAACAAAAAAAGTTTAAAGAACAGGCTTGAACTAAATGCTTTCTCAGTCCTTTCATTTAATACATAAAATTATCCTCATTTCATCCTCACAACACCATAAGGTAAATACTATTAGAGCTACACCCATTTCAAAGATGAAGAAACTGAGGCATCAAGAGGAGAATCAGCTGGCCCAACATTACAAAGATAGTAAGTGATCCAGCCAGGATTCAAATCCAGGCAGTCTGATTTCAGAACCTGCACTACCAGTCAAGGCAGCCAGTATAGGGAAAGGTTTACTTGTTTTGTAAACACTCCTCTCTTGTATTTGAAAGACCTAAAGCCTCCTCCTACAATGCACACAAGGATGTTGCACTGTAATTTAAACTAGAATCCATTTATCAAATGAAGTAGAAATTTCCAACGGGAAGATGAAGCACACATACAGTTAAGGACCTGTGTCTCCCAAATCAATAAGAATTGATTGAAAAATAAGCAATTGCCCTTTATCTGTTACAGTCAACTGCCATCCCTCTTTTTCTAAATGGTAATAAGAAATGTAGATTGAGCTCAGTGGTTTCTCAGAAAATAGACACATTTCCAATGTGGATTGGGATGATGAAAATTCGGGCAACCTACTTTATTTGAATGCTGAGTGTCTCTAAGTTTCCACTGCAGAGAAAGTTAGATAAAGCCTTTCCAGAGGGAGGGAGAGAAAAATTCCTAGCTTCTAACATTCACTCACCCCATTTCCTCTGCCTGGATCCTAAACAGGAGGGTGAAGTAGGTTAAGTCTGCATCCAAAAACGGTAGAGAACTAAGACTAAGTCCTCTATCTTTTCTGCAGTGCCTCACATGGGGCCCTGACCATTTATGTGTTGTAGGAATACTTGGTTTTGCTATACTTCTTGTTCCAGAGCCCTCCTTTTTTAGGAGGCTATAGAAGAAATCATTCCTTACTCAGGTAGAAAGTTCCCCAGTTGGATATTCTCTCCTCCTTCCTGTCATTAAAAACCTGCTCACAGGAAATTTTCTGATTGAGCCATTTATCCTAGACTATAACCAACCAATCACCTTTATTATTGCCTTGTTCACAGTGTTTACACTTTTCAGTCATTCGTCAGTCAACAAACCTTTATTGAGTATATACTCTATGCTAGGCTCTGTTATGTGTACAGACTGGAATTTAGACCAAACAACAAATCTATACTTGTGGTATTTTGTTTTCAGTGATTTAGTCAAGATTTTCAGTAGGAAATATCCAAAATATATTGAGCTAACTTGAATAAATAATAATAGAATTTATTAGAGAATGTATTATTATATAGAAAAAAATGTTACGAAACCTGAGAAAGGAAATGCAACCAAAGCCTTGGAGAGTCCAGAATGAGGAAACCGTCAAAAATAGGCAGCTATTTTTTCCATTCTCCCTCTTTAGGACAGGCTATCCTGCCCCTTGTTTCTGTCCCCCTAAGTCTGCATTCTTCTTTTGGCAAATTGGCTTTCTCTATTTCTCCATGCCTACGTTTGTCCATAGCTCCAGAAGTTTAGGTTCTTAGAAAAAATAATCTGCTTTCTCCAAATGGGTTAGGTGTATACACCACCCAATAAGCAGGGTCAGGGGAGTGGAATCATTGGTACAAACAGGGCCACAAGGTCTCACATGGGTGAGGCTGGCGGCAAGCAAGCTGTGAGAGAAGGAGGTATGGCTCACATCTGTGATGTACATTCAGGGAGCAAAACCCTTTCTAGGGTCCACAGAAAGACTTGGACGAGAAGATTCATAGCAGCTTTACTCATAATAGGCAACAATTAGAAATGTTCTGGTATTCACCAATTGGAAAATGGATAAACAGTGTTATGTCTGTGCAATGGAATTTTATTCAATAATTAAAGGGAATGAACTACTGAGAATAACAATGTGATGAATCTTGAAAACATGTTGAGTGAAAGGAGCCCTACAAAAGAGTATCTAATTTATGATTCTACTTATATCAACTTCTAGTAGAGAGAAATCTAGTCTACAGGGAGGTGGGCACAGTGGTTACTTGGAAAGAAAGAAGAATTAGGGAATTTCTTTTTTTTTTTTTTCTTAACCTGCACAGGTGTACCTGTGCAAGTTTGCTATATGGGTAAACTGCATGTCACGGCAGTTTGGTGTACAGATTATTTCATCGTCCAGGTAATATGCATAGTACCTAATAGGTATTTTTTAGCCATTGTGGAAAGCCACGTGGAGATTCCTCAAAGAAGCGGAAACAGAATTACCATTTGACCCAACAATTCCATCATTGCGTATATACCCAAAAGAATATAAATCTCTCTACTATAAAGATGTATTAGGGAACTTCCTAGGGTGATGATGATAATGTTGTATATCATTAGAGGGATTTGTTTGATACAGGTATATGCATTTATCCAAACTCCTTTAATGGCACACTTAAGATTTGTTCATTTCATATTATTTAATTATACCTCAAAAACGAACTATAAACAAATATTGAACTCTAGATAATGATATGCAAGCTGAAGTGTTTTGGGGTGTAGTGTACGTATGTCGGCAGCATACTTTGTCATATCAACAAAGGATAAGATGATTGATGATTAGATAGCTATATTATAAAGGAAATACAGAAAAAATGCAAATTGTAGAATCCATATGAGTATCTACTGTATAATTCTTTCAACATTTTGTATAATAGTAAACTTGGCAGAAAAAGCTAAGAGATTTCCAATTTAAAATATTATCCAAAACAGGAGACAACTAACTGTAAAGGGCTCTCAATGTTCAAACCTGGGTCAATTTGAGTCACAAAATATTTAATGATTATAAATGAATATTCATGAGTATATACTGACATAAATAAAGTTTCATAATTAAAGAGAGGAGAAGTGCAAGCTCTTGCTACAGCAAAATACCAATGAACAATAGTAGGTACGGTGATGGAAATAAAAAATAACCAATTTAGTAAACACCACAGTAATAGTTGTGAACAAGAATAATCAACAGGTATTAAAATTGGTGTCAGTACCATCATCAATGAATGATAAAATTAATGGGCAAAAATGGGAAACAGGATCAAAGAGAACAGGAGAAAGAAAAATTATTATCAATCCCTTACACAGCCTACTCCAACAGTTCACCAAAATGCCCAAGAAAAAAATAGATAAAAACAGAACACTGAAAACTAAGGCTGACATCCTCCCTAAAGGCTTGTTCTGAAGACTGAATGTGATGATGCATGCGAGGTGTTTGCCTTAATGTCTGACCAATGGTAATAGAGAAAGTAGTAGTACTCATAATAATCATAATAAAAAAAAAAAAAGCTAACATGCAGTGCTTACCATGCAGGAGACACCAGACATGGATTATCATGTTTAGTTATGATAATAACTCTATGGAGAAAGGTACACGCCATAAATGCCGACATTCAAAAATGCTAATGAATTTCCAGCAACTGAGAAAAAAAATTAATGGAGGCAGGGAACATGACTTTCTTGTTTAGATATGTGTTACCAGGATGAAGTACAGTGCCTTGCACATAACAATGATCCAATATATACATATATTTGTTGAATCAACTAATTAATACATAAAGTAAAAAAAAAAATGTGCTCTCCCCATCCTTTGCATCATGGCTAAGCAGTTCTGCTCACCCTTCAAAATATAGGGGGATAATTTTCACCCTCCCACAATTGACTGGCAATCTATATTAATCTTTTAAAGAATGTAGTCATCTCTGTGCTCTTAGCACTTTGCTTTACTCCTTGCCTCATTTTTTTTTAATATCTACCCAGAAACCACTGGTCTCAGAAAACAACAGCTAGAGAAATATGGAGGGGAATAATGCCATATTGCTCTGTGGGAAGTATAGCCACCCAAAGTAAATTGTTGTGGATAGAAATAGGAAGAAATCTGGATGCAGTTCATCTTAAGGAAGTCTATTTTGTATACACCATATTACCTGGAATCTCAAGAAACTGAGCAGTGATCCAGAACAGGAGAGCATTTCACTTTTTTCAACAGAGCAACACTAGATTAGAGCATGCTCAGCTTTAGAATTTAAGCTGGAATTCTACAGGTATTTCCATCTGTGGATGTAGAAAGGGGTCTCAATCAGTGCCCAAGGAAGGCAGAAGTAAATCAAAGTAATTTCTAATGGACTGAAGGCTGGTTAACTGTGTGGATCAAACACACCACACTTGAGGATGTGTAAGGAGAGGAAAGACAAAATTGGGCCTATTCAAAACAAAAAGTCCTGAAAAATAAGGAAAAGGTAATTTCGTACGAAACAAATTTCCGAAAATGATTCACTATAGGAACCAGAAGAAACTGCTGCAAAGCTTTTGGCAATGTAATGTAGTCAGGCTTCAGAAGAGACTTGAATTGCAAATCCTCAAAACCAAAGCAGTTGGTCTCTGCCTCTCTCTCTATGCAGCAGCATGTACTTCTTTCCAGTTTTCTTTTTATACCTACTTTATTTTCTTTTTCCCTTGTTACTTTCTGCTCTATGAAACTTGGGCATATAATGAAAAGGCACCAATGGGCTGAAATGTAATTATAGTAGATGAAATGCATAGATTACAAGCTAAGATAAAATGTTATGTAAGAAAGTGTTGCATGTAAACCCACTTTAGACCAGAAAAATTTTTAATGTTGATGATAAAGAGAATGGCATTGCAGATAATAAAAAAAAATCAAGGTAGAAGAAAAACATAAGAAACACTCTAAAGTGACAGGGTGTAAAAGAGAAGAAAATCTTTGAAAGAACATGACAGATAAGGAAATAAGACAATGGAGATCAAACCTATTAATTAGGTATGTTCCCAAGGTGAAAAAAGTGAATGACTGGAATAGAAGCAGAAATAATAGATGAAGAATGTGTTCCATCACTAACCATCATTGAAAAAATGGTTGAATATACTTATCAAAAGTGTCAAGATCGTAAGACACTGTCACAAACTGGAGATATTAAGACAGCATGAAAATCAAAGGCATTGGATACTGAAAGAGGAAAAAAAGTGCAAAAACTGATGAAATCCAAATAAAGAGTACAGTTAGTTAATAATACTGCATTAATGATAATTTTTTAATTTTGACAAATATATCATGGTTGTATAAGATGTTAACATTGGGTAAATTTGAGTAAAGAGGATATAGGACCTTTCTGAACTACTTTTAAAATGCTTCTGTAAATCTAATTTTATTTCAAAATAAACTTTGGGCTTTTTTTGAGTTTGCCCAGGCTGGAGTGCAGTGTGGTGCAATCATAGCTCACTGAACTCTTGGGCTCAAGCCATCCTCCTGCCTCAGCCTACTGGATAGTTGGGACTACAGGAGTGCACCACCACATTTGGCTGATTTTTCTTACGTTTAGTGGAGATGAGGTCTTGCTATGTTGCCAAGTTGGTACTAAAAATAAATTTTTTTAAATAACTGAGTTATCAAATAAAAGGGGTTGTCTTGGGCAGCTCTGCCCGTGTGGCTTTGCAATGTACAGCCTCCCTCTCAGCTGCTTTCACAGGCTGGTATTGAGCATTTGTGGCTTTTCCAGGCACACGGTGTAAGCTGTTGGTGAATCTACCATTCTGGGCTCTGGAGGACAGTGGCCCTCTTCTCACATCTCCACTAGGTGGTGCCCCAGTAGGGACTCTGTGTGGAGGCTCTGACCCCATATTTCCCTTCTGCGTTCCCCTAACAGAGGTTCTCCATGAGGGCCCCACCCCTGCAGCAAATTTCTGCCTGGGCATCCAGCCACTTTCCATTCATCTTCTGAAATCTAGGCAGAGGTTCTCAAACCTCAATTCTTGACTTCTGTGCACCCAAAGGCTCAACACCACATGGAAGCTGCCAAAGCTTGGGGCTTGCACCCTCTGAAGCTACAGTTGAGCTCTACATTGGCCCCTTTCAGCCATAGTTGGAGTGGCTGGGATGCAGAGCACCAAGTGCCTAGACTGTACACAGCAGAGGACCCTGGGCCCAGCCCATGAAACCACTTTTTCCTCCTGACCTCTGGGCCTGTGATGGAAGGGGGCTTCCATGAAGACCTCTGACATGCCCTGGAGACATTTTCTTCATTGTCTTGGGAACTAACATTTGGCTCCTCATTACTTATGCAAATATGTGTAGCTGGCTTGAATTTCATTTCTATTACATTGTCAGGCTGCAAATTTTCTGAACTTTTATGCTCTGCTTCCCTTATAAAACTGAATGCCTTTAAAAGCACCCAAGTCGTGTCTTGAATGCTTTGCTGCTTAGAAATTTCTTCCACCAGATACCCTAAATCATCTCTCTCAAGTTCAAAGTTCCACAAATCTCTAGGACAGAGCCAGGATGCAGCCAGTCTTTTTGCTAAAACATAACAAGTTTGCTCCAGTTCCCAAAAAGTTCCTCATCTCCATTGGAGACCATCTCAGCCTGGACCTTATTGTTCATATCACTATCAGCATTTTTGTCAAAGCTATTCAACAAGTCTCTAGGAAGTTCCAAACTTTCCCACATTTTCCTGTCTTCTTCTGAGCTCTCCAAACTGTTCCAACCTCTGCCCATTACCCAGTTCCAAAGACGCTTCCATATTTTGGGGTACCTTTTCAGCAACACCCCATTCTACTGTTACCAATTTACTGTATTAGTCCATTTTCACACTGCTGATAAAGACATACTCGAGACTGGGCAATTTACAAAAGAAAGAGGTTTAATTGGACTTACAGTTCCACACGACTGGGGAAGCCTTATAATCATGGCAGAAGGTAAGGAGGAGCAAGTCATGTCTTACATGGATGGCAGCAGGCAAAGAGAGAGAGCTTGTGCAGAGAAATTCCTGCTTTTAAAACCATAAGATCTCATGAGACCCACTCTCCTTCATGAGAACAACACAGGAAAGACCCACCCCCATGATTTGAACATCTACAACTGGATCCCTCCCACAACACATGGGAGCCATGGGAGCCACAAGGTAAGATTTGGGTGGGAAGACAAGGCCAAAGCACATCACAAATATTAATTTTGGGGGGAAAAATAAAATAAAATGTAAATAAAAATAAATAAAATATAATAAATAATGAATGTAATAAATAATAAAAAATATATTTGTATAATAAATATTAAAATAGAGATTAAGAAAATTTAAAAAATACTGTATAATTATAAAAATTAAAACATCTTGACAGAATGTTTGGGTTTATTGGAAAATAATATATTATCTAAAATGATTCCATTAAAAAGGATAAAATATGAAAAGACTCACAGGGAAATTAAATAAAAGTTTATCTAAAAATTACCTTTAAAAGTAGCTTACAAATTATATAGACTTTCAAAAACCACAGTATTCTTGTGCTACAAAAGCTACTGAATTTTTTCATAAGCTAACAAACCCTAAGGCCAAAATTAGACATAAAGAGCACACACACACATAAAATCTCATTTATTAATATGAATATTTCAAACTGAATTCATTAATACAAAAGAATTAGCTACCATGACTAAGTAGGGTTTATCCCAAGAATTCAGGCCTAGGATTGGGAAATCTCTTAATATAATTATTCAAAAAATAGGCCTAATAAGAAAAAAGATAAATAATTTAATCATTCAGCTGTTTCAAAGGCATTCAACAGCATTCACTATCTATTCCTCATTTAATTTTTATAAACTATAGAAAATTAAAAATGAAATTTTTCAACATTATAAACTTGTAGAGACAATTCAATAGTATAAGAAGCAGACAAAGAGAGTTGACTATTGGAGAGAAATTTTTATCATTAATAAAATCATATGTATGTATTCATTCAGAAAGCCCAGTAAATATACTCTACAATTCTTGGGATTAATAAAGCACATAAAGTGATCAGATATAAGATAAATATACGTGGCTCAATTGTTTTTCAAACAAAATATCAACAATGACACATCAATAACACATACACACATAATTTTGGAAAAGGTTTAATTAGAAACTTGGGGTTTTAATGTGAAGAAAATATTAAATTTTCTTGAGAAATATGAAAACTACTTGTGTAGCCAGCAGACTGGGTATTGAGAAAGTTTTAATTCTTATTTCTGTTAGTTGGGCTCTCTTCATCTAAGTCTAGTCACACTATGGTGACACATAGCAGATAGTAAGTACATAGTACAGACCTTAAGGAGGTATCATGACTAAGGGAGGATATTTTATGCCCATGGTCATGGAAAGGTAAATGCTCTCTGAGATTTAAACTACAAACTTGACCACCAATACCATTCTTCTGAAACTGCAGAGCACAGCAATTTGCCAAGGACTGTGCAGGAAAATGTAGTACATTGTTTCTAGAGTACAAGTATTTATTCATTATTTTGAAACATTATTATTAGTACAGTGGACTATAGAGAGCTGTCCTTGTTTAAGAAATACCATACTAAACCACTGATTTTAACAGTTGGGCATTCAGGAAGTGATATGGACACAGATGGGGAAAAGGAGAGAGCTAGACTGTTCCAAGACTCAGAATGTTCCTACTGACTCAAAAAATTAGTCATTAGGAAAAATCGAAGAAGTAGCATGATACGGCAGTTTGAGTCCATGGGGGGGGGTGGAAAATGTCCCATGAGAAATTCAGTTCAACATGATAAGATTCTGAAGCATATTTAGGACACAAATGTCTAACATTCCATTCCAAAGGCTTTGCTATATAATGCTGTGTGTTAAACACCATGCCTCCTGCCCTCCCATCTACTCCCAACACTCTTACCCCATCATCACCCTAAACTTTCAGTAAAACCCCACTACAAAGAAACATTTTGGGTGAGCAAAGTGATGAAAATCAAGAAGGTCTTTGCTCCACATGCATATCAGGGTAGAGCAGAGGGATTCTCTCAGAAACGGAGAACTCCTTCAGAAAAAAATAAAATAAAAAATAAATTAGAACCACTATTAAATAGAAAAATATAAGCCTCCCAGCATCATATAATTCTTGAGGCAACCTTACTTAGACTTCTGTATGGTCCAGGGCAACTTACTCAATTTCGTACAAACCTCAGTGGACAAGGGTTCAAGAATTGATAGCAGGCTGCATTCTTCTAAGGACAAAGGTCTAAGGTTTTAGAATTATGAAGAGTAAAGAATGAAATTCAAACAAATTATGAACTTCTCATATATTCCTTTAGGTCTTCTCATCATATCCACAGAGGAAAGTTAACTTCCTTTTCCTATTAAGTTTGGTAGACATTAATGTGATATCTCAAAATAGATCACTAGAGCTATTTGTACAAAATCACACAACAGAATGACTGAATGTCCAGAGCAAGATGTGCTTGCAACTTGTCTGAATATCTTAATATATTCTGGAAGCCATTTGGTCAATTTGGTTTTCAGAAAAACAGGTAAATCAAGCAGATTGTGTCTAGGACTTCTTAGAGCCCTAAGAGGACTAGTGAAAGGGTAGCAGTACGCATGTCCCTTAAGGAAAGCTATCTTCAAATGAAGGTGAGTGCATCACACCAACCTATAGCCAATATTCCTCAAATTAAACTAATGCCTCTTATTCTGGGGCCACACTCCCTAAGCAACTTTCTGGTGTAAGCTGACGGTATTTTGGTTTTTATAAAAGCTTGCTTACTGTAAAAGAAACTGTTATCTACTGATATGAGAATAATATTTCTACCTGTTGTATTTCTCACTGTGCACTAATAAATTTGCATTCAGACTTATTTAACAGTCTCCTGTGTATTCACACCATCCCTGAAAGACTGACCTCCACTCAGTGAAATAAAAAAGTTAAATTTCTAGGCCTAGAAAACTAAGTGTCAAAATGAAATTAATCATGATTAGATGTCTCTCTGTTTTCTTACTTGTAAATGACACATCCCACTGCCACAGGCATTCCTTCAAATATTTTAAAAGGACTCTATTAGCATAACCCTTGGTTTGAAGGGTTAATAAAGGAAAATGTGACAATTATGGGAAATAGCAAGAGTGGCATTTGGAACAACTTCCTTTCTTCTTTCTATCACAAACTCAAAAAGTTAATCTTGACTATGAATCTTTGTTAGTATCTCTCACCAATTCCCCATTTCTCTTGGATTCTTCTTGATCTAGAGCAGCAGTTCTCAAAGTGTGGCCCGCAGACCTTCAAGATCAGCATCATCTTGGAAATTGTTAGAAACACAAATTCTTGGGCCCTACCCAAGACATACTGAATCCAGTACTCTGGAGACAGGGCCCAGCAGTCTGTGTTTTCACTAGAGTGTGTGAAGTTGTGATGGCCTTTGAATTTTTTCATTAACTTTACTAATTGAAAGTGGCAAGAATACCACTTTATCCACAATATCAGAGTGAACTTACCCTCCCTGAGGTATTTTGCAAGCGTAGGGTCATTAATTTAAACTGATTTGTCTCTTAATGTCATTTGTCACCATTAGCAAACCAAGTTGTGTGCCCCAATGGGAGACAAAAAATCAATCACCACTGTTTGGTCTTAAGCCAAGTAAGCATTGTAATAAACTATAATCTAGACACCTAACTGATTCCTGGGGCTCAACAACTTATCAAAATCTAGCTAAAGATGAAAATGAGGGGTTCTAGTTTTGAGGGATTGAGAAGTATAATAAAAAGGCCACTGGACAAAAGTCCAGAGAACTGGACGAATTTTACCTTATCTCTGTTGACTTCAGTGCCCTCAGTTAACATTAAAAATTGAACAGAAAATTAGTCTGAAATTAACATTAAAAAGGAAATCAAGCACAGCCTCTTGGTTCCTAAGTAACTTTTAACTCATGATTTCTGTCAAATGCACTTTACATGAGTGATTCAATGACTGAGCTGTTATGTGGTGCTGATGAATATCAGAGACAGTAGAATGAAGAAACGCTGTGCTAGGAAGTGTAGATCTAGCTTTCCTCTGTACACTTCATTAAAGTTGTGTGACCAGGAACAAGTGTCAACTTCCATGGGCTTTAGGCTTCTCATATTTACACCCAGAATTCTTTCGGTTGTAAACAAACAGAAACCTAAGTCAAACTGGCATGAAAATAAAGGAAAGGGGTGTGTGTGGATGGGTGAGTGTGAAGAGTTAGGTATTATGTGCCCCTAAATCTAGGTGAAATCAGTCACAACTGAAGAGACCAGGCAATATGTAATTGTTTGCCTTCAAACAATTCATCTGAAAGCAGCCCTTCTCCATCCCTGGGTCTGCTTGCCTCTGCTGTGGCTCCATTGTCCTGTAGGCTGCTCCACATGGTGGCCCCAGAATTTCTAGACTTTCATCTTCCGTGTTTCAACTGTATCAAAAAGAGAGACTGCTTTCCCAAGAAAAGTCCCAGAATAGAATCTCATTGGCTATGATTGTGCCACATGACTGTGGCTCGATCAATCAATGTTGCCAGGGGAAGGAAAGGTCTTTGGCCAGGCTTGTGTCAAACCTCATCCCTGATGACAGGGATTCGGTCAGCCCTTCTTGTTTTGAACAAGGGTGGTACAAGGGTGAGGCAAGCAAGGCACCCAGGGGACAACCTTTAAGAAGGCACTATATTGGTTGCCAACCTCGTACTTGTATAACCCTGGAAGTGAAGTGAGCACCTCCTTAAATTTCGCACCCTAAGTACCTTACTTGCCTCATTCTACTCACAACAGCCCTGCTAATGAGAGTTAGGTGAGACCAATTTCCTCAAAGGAAAATCAGGGTGCAACTTACCCAAAGAAAAGGAATGAATGATGCGGAGCCCAAAGCAGATGTCCACTATAGGATTATTTACATGAGTGAAGGCAGGGGACCTGACTAGGTAATCACTCTAGGTTCTTGCTCTATATGGTTTCGTGTTCTGTTCTCCATCCCCACTATCTACATTCAAGAAAGAAACAAGATCAAATAGAGTCCTCCAAAAAAGAAAGAAAAAAGAATAGCGAATGCCTACAGATGAGAATCATTTCAGCTCTGAGCTGCTTATAAAACACACTATATCTTCTAACCGTTCTACTTATATGGAAATGAAATAAAACTCACCAATTTCCTTAACTGGAAGTCATTTATATAACAGAAATAGATAGCCTGGCCATTGGAAGATACAAGGATGATCCTTGGTCCAATGAGGACATAAACCACATCTAACTTTAACATAAGGCAGAAATGTAATTACGTTTTATAATTAGCATGACCATTACAAAGTGATAATGAAGCTGAGACCACAGACATAAACAGTGACTGTCCAGAACAAACTGGGATGTATGTTATCCTAGCTTAACAGGGTTTACATAAAGTGTCAGGAGAGCGCAGAGCAAGGGGATTTGAATGGAGTTTCTAGAGCTCAGTACGAACAGTCTTAATCAAGGCCTTGACCAAAAAGAAAAGTGTCCACAAAGACAGGGAAAAGATGTGGTGCCAGCAAAAGCCCATGGATGAGAAAAAAGAAAAGAGTAGGGTATGTTTAAGAAAATATGAGTGCTGGGTGCCTTGGCTCAGGCCTAAATCTCAGCACTTTGGGAGGCTGAAGCTGGCAGATGGCTTGAGCCGAGGAGTTCAAGACAAGACTGCACAACATGACAGCACCCCATCTCTACCAAAAGTACAAAAAATTACCCAGGCATGGTGGGGCACACCTTATGGTCCCAACTACTCAGAAGGCTGAGGTGGGAGGATTGCTTGAGCCTGGGAGTGAAGGTTGCAGTAAGCTGAGATCGCACCGCTGCACTCCAGCCCGAGTGACAGACTGAGATCCTATTCCAAAACAAGAAAAAAGAAAATGTGAGTAAATTAGGTTATCATAAATTTAAAAAGGACAGAGAAAAGTAAATGAACATAAAAGCAGGTTGGGGCCAGATCAGGAAGAACATTAAATGCCATGGAAATGTTCCCTTCTTTCAAAAACCAATGAGGAGCCCTGGAGAGTGACATGACCAACACAGTGGTAAGGGACACCATAATCTTAAGTAAGTTATTCTAGGACAAGCATCAGCTTCACCAGAGAAATGGAATAAAATAGAAGTGATGATTACCTAAGGCAGTGTTACTGCCCTGGCATCCAGTTAAGTCAAAAGAGTTATTTTGAGTGGCTAACGTGATGGGGAAAAAAAAGAAAATTTGAATGATTTTAGGCATGACATTCTAGTTCAGCCACAGACTTCACTATTCCCAATTGCCTCACACTGAATAAACACATTTACTTGAAAGCTTTGAAGCCATTTGTGTTTGAGAGAATTACTCAAAACAGATATTTCTTCATTTATCCTCAGGTTATTGCTAAGATTTTCTGCAGATAAAATAGCTTATTTTCATCTGTCACAGATTAAAAAAATTCACAATTGCCTCTCCTCTTTAATGAGAAACTTTATTAAATATAAGATGATAGCAATAAGGAAATATGCATTTGTGAAATTTATTTCTGCTGATGTGTTTACTGTGCTCTACTCTCACAAAGTATGATACAAAGGAAAAGAAATTTAATGAAACAAAGAAGAAAAAGAGGTGAGAGGAAGATATGAGGAAGAGAAAAAAAGATATGGAAAAATAAGAGAGAAAGAAATTTGTAAGTAAATTTACTACCTAGAAAATCTGAATTGGCTATATTGTATTTTCCAGGATCAAATCTCTACACAGATGGAGTTTGGATGTCCCTAAATATACAATATTTGTATCACAACATCCCTATACAACATGTAAAAACAGACACAAGTATGAGCATAAATAAAGAGAGGTGGGGGTGGAAAGCAATCCTGTCTCCCAGATTGAGGAATAGAGTGAAAATAAGTTTTTTATCCAATATTTTCAATCTAGGAAAAATAAAAAGATGTCAACCTCACAGTGTAGTGTGTAGATGCAGAGAGTAATTGGTCAAGGAAATAAACATATGTCATCAAAAAGACCCTATGAGCTTGAGGACACACTTCTGTACGTCAAGAAAAGCATGAGTACAGCACTGTGTGCAGACAGTATGGGTAGCAAGAGCTCAAAAATCATCCTTAACGTGCTTGGTGGGTTGCAGAAAGTCCTGCGTAGCAGCAGAAATCCTACCCTCACTGGTGGTGTTCCCAAGGGCCCAAGCTCCATGGGCTGAGGGGCAGATGATTGACAGAACACTCCCAGGCCACTGTAGCCCAGGCATTTGGGGTCAGGAAATGGTAGGTCCCTCTAGTTCAGACATGTTCCAATGCTGCAGTTGAAATAGACATAAAGGAAGCCTTCTGCTGCACTGAAACAGCTATTGAGTTCTTGGCTTTGCTCAACATTTATTTTTCTTTCCCTAGCCATCTGACAATTGTTTGGTTTTGGATGCTGGCTGCTGGCCATTTTCCTAGTCAAAGCACTGCTCAGAGAAAGCTCCACACTATCCACCTTCTTGGCTGGGCCCCACGACGGCTGCCTACACAGGTTAAGACATTTCACAGGGGCCATTCTTAAGCCCCTAGAGGATGGTCAATGGATATGAAAACCAATGGTTGTAGAAAGAGCTAGGTTTAGGAATAATAATAATAATAATAAATTTTAAAAATACTTACAATTGGGTCACTGCATGTTAAGGAGCAAAGAAACTTTAGAAATCTAATACCTAGGCATATGGATAAACTAATTTTCCCAATGTGGCACAATCAATCAGCAACAGGTCTGACATTAAAACTGAAGACCTTTGTCTCCACATTTAACAGGGCAGGTCATTTGGGGAAAGGGATAATTCTAGGCATCAGGGTGGGTCGCTCAACAGTTGTGTGAGCTTGATCAAGTCACTAAGACCTCCAGGGCTTCAGTTTCCAGGTTTTGAAAATAAGAGTCTTCAGTCAGATGATTTCCAAGGCTGCTTTTAGCCTCCAAATTCCAGTACATGTTACTGGATGTACTGTGCTCCTCACAACGTTTCCCCAGGCCCTGCCACAGATATACACACGCTTTCATCTGGGTATTTTCAAATAGAGTCCCCTGCTTGATTTTTCGTTGGACTGAGTTTTATCAGAGGCATGTGACATTTGCTCAGTGGATCGTGGGGAACCATGAACTTTGTACACTTTTAAAGGGAGGTCAACAGGGACCTGCTTCCCGAGAAAACGGCCTTCTGTGAGCCTCATCAGTTTATTCTGAAGCTAAAGGGCTTGAATTATCTCAAGCCTCTTGCGGGTTGAGTTGTTGTAGAGTTTTCCCAATGGCATTAAGCTCCTCTATTATATTTCTGAGTAGGTAAACTCAGTGCCCTCCCTTATTAAAAAGATAGGAATGGGATGTTTGCTCCAAACCTTAAGCGCACATTTGCTAGATTTTGCTTCCTTTATCTCCACCTCCTTTTCCTTGTCCACCTGCCTCTAAAAACACTACTAATAGTAGAAATAGTAATTAGTGATATGAATAGTAATTAGTATCAATTTCATTCAGTTTTGAAAATAAAAAAAAATAAGTTCACAGGTTTAAAGAGCTGAGAAAAGTGCCCTGCCTTTAGTAAGCACTCAGATCAATGTTATAATTACATGTATTGTGCAACAGCCTAGAAGGGTAATGGCATTCTAAGAAGAAAGTAAATGATAAGTGTTTTTAAAGAGAAATGGGCTACATGGTCACAGAAATTCTCCTAGGCATTAGGAATGCTGGTGGAGCTGTGACTCTGACTCACAAGTTTTATAGAAAAATATGAATTACTTCTTCCTGTCTAGAAGGTGACAAAAGGGCACCAACCAGTTCACTGAAGGACTCAAGTTTGAAGACAGATGAAATGAGCCAGAAAGGAAAAACCAAGACAGCCCAAGGGATTTAGGGAAAAAAGCGGGGTGGGGTGGGGCAGGGGACTATGTCCTAGACTCAGTCAGAGAGCTAAGGCACAAGGAACGAAAGCTAGAGAGGTCAAGATGACAACAGCTATCTTGGCTGAGAATCAGAAACTAAGCCTGAATATTAGCAGGGCTGTCTCATACAGATGTGTGGGTTGAGCACTGCACAACTCTACAGAGCCCCATTAATCACTCACAACTATAATCATCCCTGATTTGTTTATCTATAATAGCAATTTTCTGGTAGATGGCAGTAAAGTGTCATGAGGAAGGGACACATTTTTCTAATCTGTTCAAGATGTACTATGTGCTGGTGGCAGCCCTATATATGAGACAAGAAATAGGTGAGAATTCCTATCCTCAATTAATAATTAGCAACTTTCCCACAATCAGTGGCCAATAAGCATAGGAAGAAATATTCAACCTCACTAAAAATAAAAGAAATGCAAACTATAGTAATGAGAAGATGTAATTTTTATTTATCATCTGGCAAAGATGTAAATGACTGTTCATTCCTTAATATTGGTGAGAGTACGAGAAAACAGGAACTCTCATAAAGTGTGGCAGGGATCTAAATTAGCATAACCTTTTGTAAGGCACTTCAGCAATGTATATCGTAATTAGAAAAGTGCATTCCATTTGACCTATCATTCCCACTTGAGGATTAGCAAGAGACACATGCACTGGTATACTTACACACATACATATATATATTAAATATGTATCAGGATATTTATCACAGTATTGCTTTTAATAATAAAGAACTGGAACTACAAAATTTGTTTACCAAAGACCGGTTGAATCAATCTGGACACATCCGTACCATAGCACACTTATCACAGAATGAGGTTGCTCTGCAAGTGACTATGCTAAAATGAAAGATCTTGAAGAAAAACCAATACAAAATTGTTAAAACACTGCAAAGAAGTGGGTATGGTACCTTCTACTTTTAAAACAGAAAGAGAAATGAAGGAAAGAAGGGAGAGAGAAAATGTAGAAAGGAAGGAGGGAAAAAGGAAGGAGAAAGTAAAGACAGGTATAGGGTTTTACATGTACAGGAAAATGTCTAGAAGGAAACATAAGGAACTGCTTCAAGTGTCTACCCTGGATGAGTGGGAATATAGGAAGCTTTTGTTTTCTTTGCTTTCTATTTTCTTATTTGGATCTTTCACAACATAAATGTGATAATTTGCCTAACACATGTTACCTGTGCACTTGCTATATTGCTTTTGCGGGAAATTGTCTTTCGCTTCAGATGTTTGCAAAGCAATTGCTTCACCCCATTCAAGTCCCCACTCAGATGTCACTTGTCTTAGAGGACTGTCCTGACCACCCTAAGTAATATAACACCTTTCATCCAGCCCTATCCCTCCATGCTGCTTCATTTTTCTTTATGGCTCTTATCAGTACCTGATATTAGAATATTGTAACATATGTTTGTCTGTTTTTTCATGAACGCTCTTCCCTGCTAAATGTTCACTCTGTGAGGATGAGGGCTTTGTTGTGCTTCTCACACTATCCCAGAGCCCAGATGCCTACGTTGCTTTAAGTTACTCCCGCAAATAGAGTGAGACATGGTCACTAGGGTTAGCCGAAGCCTAGATGCTAATCGGGAATGTGGAAAGGGTGGCCTACCCAGAACACACAGATGGGTTAGTCAGATGGCAATCTGATGAGGAAGAGTCACACAGCAGAGGACGCCACCACGCGCACAGCTGTAACTTCTCACCCTTCCTCAAAGTGAACGTCAGGAATGGCTTCTTATTGTGAAGTTAGCAGAGTGAGAAACAAGGTCTCTAGCTATTCCAGATACACAGAGTAATAACTAGGCACACGATGTCGACACTTTCTAATCTCGTGCATAAGGAAGGTCCAAGAATCCGTGAGGGTCCTCACCTGCACCCTCAAAAATGGCACCCAAGCTTGAGCCCTACTCAGCCTGCTATCTAAGAGGATTTCTGTTTGTCTGACACCAGCCAGAATGCAAAGTACTGACTCTGGAAGCCTGGGTCAACCTATCATGAGAAGAATGCTGGAACCATCTCAAAGAATGGAGAACTGGGATTTCTTGGGCTAACAAAAGAGATGATTTCAACCCTTTGCAGTGCCACGCAAAACCATTTTGAAGTCTGAGGCAGAAGATAAAATCAGTGATATTGATCCCATCTTTATTTAAAATTTGTACGTTTTTTCATCATGTGTCTATTGCATTGATTTTGGTTTTAAAAAATAATATATTAAAATATTATTTTGATGACTGAATTTTTTGGCACCCCGTTATATTTTGTGCCCTAGGCAAGGGTCTCAGTCACCTCACACTAGTCCTGCCCTCCTTTTTGGTTCCTGCTTTGCTAGCGAATATCTGTTTAATAACTGTCCATGTCTGTGACAGAATGTAGTCTGAGACTTCCTTTCATTGTACCAGGTAGTGGCATTGTAGGGGAGCTGCAAACCCTCTCCACCACAAACTTCTTGGATGGCTTACCTAACTTCATACCATCATCTATCCAAAAGAATCATCAAATTTTCCACGACCAAACTGGCAGATGTCAGTTCACAAGAGCCTACCAAGTAGCTGGCAGGCAGGAAGCATGCATCAAGAGTGGAGACACATTTGCTGAAAAGCCAAGGAAACTCAATTTCTAGGTAACTCTTTCACTTGCTTGGCCTGCTACCAATGCTCTTGCAGAAGACCTAGCAATTGTCAGTTGTAATTCTGTCATGCTTTTAAAAAGGGTCCCCCATTTGTGTAAACTTCAGGCCCCTCCAAGCTTGGATTCATCCCTGAGCCATGGACATACCCATTCTTAAGCAAACCAATAGTTGAACATTTAGGTTTACAAACATAATAATTTGTAGAGATTATTTACTTTACTTACTTCTCATGGTGACAGGTGTTATTGGATTCTCATAGTACTCCTTTTACCTTTGCCCCTCTAGCACCAAAGGCTTTTAGCTGCTGCTACTCCCTAGGTGCCTTAACATGCATCCTACAATGTAAGTTCCAAACCTTTCTTAGGCCTCTGTTAAGTAGTCCCCTCTTTTGAGTTTTCTTGTTTAAACCATCCAAATGGATTCTGCTTTATGCAAAGAATACATTATAATAAATTGCTTTAAAAAGTTTAAACAAATACAAAGTGTAGGGGGACAGTTAAAATAAATAACACAGATAAGTTAGGCTTATATGGAAAGTACTAAGAAAACATCTGTCACAACAGAGTGTTATTTGTGAACCCTTTTATTGCTTGTTCCATTTAAGAGCTGACATTCCACACTTGGAGGCCTCTTCTTAGCTTCAACTGTGTTTTTACTATGATTTGAGCTTAATTGTCGACATTCACTATGGGCTGAATTCTAGCAATGCCAAATCTAACATTTATCTCTCATTTAATTTACCCTTCAAAGAACATTGAAAAAATTATTTTAGGAAGTTGTAACATGTATGTTAGACCAATATCTACCAATTTTAACACAATTATGCCAGTTTTTACTAATATATTAGATATCTTAATAATCTGTCATGTGTGAGAAGAGGAATATTTACAAATTATGAAACTTGATTAAAGTACTTAATATTTATAATTGGCACTTCTGCAAAAGCATTGACTAGATGTCCCTGAAAGTGTTTTCTTTTCTGATATTATTGGTCTCACAATATTAAATAACCAAATGAGAAGAAAAGTCCTACACAAGGAATCTTTCTTCAATCCAACAAGGTATAATAGTGAATTCTTCATTTTAAAAATTAATAATAATTTTCAGTAGCATACTTACTCTCGACTCAGAATTTATTACATGATAAGAATGTCTTTATTTGGGATATTAATGTTTGTCTGATTATTTTAATGAAATCTATAGTATTGCCACTAATTTGCCTTTAAGGATTTGTGGAATATTTCCTCCTCTATGAGTATGAGCTATAAACAGCCCTGCACATGTATTATATTTATATTTTTAAAATTATACAAAGGAAATTATACAATTATGCACAGGGAAACTCCCATTTCCACCTGTGTGGCTGTTGGTTCTGGACAAAACGTATTGCTGAGAGGATAAGTCAATAACGTGTAAAGTGCTTGCAACAGTGGTCCATGCAAAATTAGTGTTCAATAGTGTCAGTTGTGATTGCTTTCTGTTGGCAAAATTTATTCATTCACTAGACCAGAGGCAAATTTGCCCTGAAGTTAATGAGCTTAAGCTTCAAGGTGTCTCTGACACTCAAAACTGAGCATGTCGACTCCGCGGGAGCTGTTGGATGTTCTAGGCGATAGGAAATGCCCGGCTGTGGGAGGAAGTGTTCTATGAGGTCATTTCTGGCCAGTTGCTTGAAAGGATGTCAAAACAAAGGGGCCTGAATCTCAAACTCCAATAGTTTATTGTGGTTTCTTTTCTCACTCTAAAATAAATATTCATTTTCTTACCTGCTTTCATCTGGAATTCTGCATTATTTTTCTTAAAATGTCCACTAAGTTAAAGAAACTTCAGATCGGAGATTGTCTAGGCTGGTCCAGAAATGTGGGTCTTACAGATGACTTGTATGAATGCAGAGAGTCTTATTGCTGAGAAGTAATGACTTAATGACTTTATCATTATTCAACAAAGAAAGCACATTTGCCAGTCAAAGAAATGTGATGCAGGAGGCTTCAGCTTTTCAGAAAAGCACTGTTTGCAAAAAAGGGAACATCAGCTGAAGCCGGAGGGCAGTGTGAGGATCAGACCTGTGAGAAGCCAGTGGCAACAGCAATGGCCATCAAGAGAAAATGAGAATTTTAAACAAAATATTCCTTAAAAAAATACATCTCTCCATTTATGATTCACTTTTCCATCACATCCAATTCCTGATAGGGCTGCAAGTCAACAGCATTTTACAATTTCTAATTTCCTTCCTGAGGCAAGGAAAGGTAGCATGGTGTTCTTGAAGAACCAACAAATACGGTGAAATTTTAACTCACTTTTCTCCTCTACTTCATTATTTCGGACACGCATTAAATTAAGAAAGGCAAACATTTCATTCCTTTTGTAAAATATTGTAGATCTGTCAAAACTTTCAGTTAGCCATTTATTCTGTGTACATATTCTGAAATATTGATTTATTTGTGTCACTTTATCCTTAGAATTTAAAAAATAATTGTGATGAAAATGATTTTGTTTATATCCAAATAAATATTCAAGCATATGCATGTACTTCAAAAATAATGAACATATGTGTTTAAATTAAAACAGGATGTAGGGGGAGTCCATGAAAATACATACACTAGCAGCCATTGTAAGGTCTATCTCATTATGTTTGCCAAACTTTGAAGTCTGGGCAAGCATCCCGTTTCTGTGCCCGCTGGAAATCCTGCAAGTAGCTGATTCGTGAGACAATGCCAAGTCATCCAAAAATGGAGAGATGCGATTAGGTTCTGTATAACACAAACACCGTGATCCTATCAATATAATCTAGCTGCAATCCCTTTGTTTGTATGTCTAGCAAATGATTAATATGGCATTTCAAATCTGAAAGAGGAGAGAGATAACAATAACATACAAATAAAGAAGCTATTACAGAGAGGAATAGGAAGTCCAAGATTTGTTAATTAATCATCTGGACAAACAAGACGTTGTCTCCTTTCATTTGAGCTAGTTTTTCCATTCAAATGTGTATTTTCAAACAATTATCTTCTGATGAAACAGGGATACACACAGAAGATCCAGAAGGCATCCTGTCTGATGTTTTTAAAGATATGGTTCCTTTCCTAATTTAGAAAAATGAGAAGGAAGAGATTCTTTCATGACACTGCAATAGGAAGGAAAATAAAGAATATACAGTGCTTTTACTTTTTACAAAGAGAACGCATTTGTAAAACCATGTAAATACGTTTCTCTGTGTTTTACCTCTGACTTAGTGATCTGCAATGGGTTCTTGTTTTAGCACCACACTTTTCTGCCTTGTATTTTTCACTAACGTTGGTTAATAATCTAATGCTCCAGTATTCTATTGCAGCATAACAAATCATCCCAAACTTGGTGGCTTAAAGTGACAACCATTTTATTAGACTCGTGGATTCTCTAGTTCAGGAATTTAGACAGAGCACAGTAGAATAACTTCTCTGCTCCATGATGTCTGGGGCCACATCTGGCAAAACTCCGGGGCTTTGGGAGGCTGCAACCTCTAGGATTAGAGTCATTTGGGGGCTTCTTGACTTTCATGTCTGGTGCCTGAAATAGAATGACTCAAAAGTTGGGCTTAGATGGGACTATCCACTGGAGTGTGGACAGGTGACCTCTCCATGAAGCTTAGGCTTCTTCACAGCATGGAAGGGTAGTTGCTTTTGACCTGGTAGCTCAGGGCTCCAGGAGTGAGCATTTCAACAAATGAAGCCATTCATGGCCTACTCTTAGAAAACATATAGCTTCCTTCCTGCTATACTCCATAGGTTGAAATATTACAAAGCCACATAGATTCAAAAGGAGTGGACATAAACATCACTTCTTAATGAGGTAAATGTCAAAGAATTTGTGGCCATATTTTTAAATTGCCACAACTATATAACTGCCACAATCGACACTGTTAATAGTCAATAAAATAAGGGAAGAAACTACTATGTACTATAGAGACTTTAAAAACACAGCCTTATTTACTCTTTACAACAGCTCTATGAAGAAATTATTATTATCTCCATTTGACAAGTCAGGCAGCTAAAACTCAGGGTTACTCAAATACACATGGCACTGTACAAAACCGTGGTCTATTTGATTCCAAAGCCTGGTACTTTCTTACTATTCTTCACTGAGATCACCTTATGTTTACTTGCACTTTAGCAAAAAATTTTTTCTAATAAAAAATCATTTTTAAAATTAACTTGTATGAAAAATACAGGATTTTAGAAATTGTGCTTTAGTTTACACAGTAATCAAAAACTCATCAAACACCAAAAACTAAATAATTTCAATGCATTTAAGATACTAATAAATAAAAAGACTGTATCAGTTTCCTATTGCCGCTATAACAAAGGACCACAAATTTAGTGGTCTAAAACCACACAGATTTTTTTTTAATTATTATTTTTTGAAGTAGGGTCTCACTCTGTCTTCCAGGCTGGAGTGCAGTGGCCCCATCACGGCTCACTGCAGCCTCAACCTTCTGGGTTCTAGCGATCTTCCTACCTCAGCCTCCCAAGTAGCTAAGACCACAGGCATGAGCCATGACGCTGGGCTAATTTTTGTATTTTTTGCAGAGACGGGGTCTCTCTATGTCTATATCTCTCTATGTGGCCCAGGCTGGTCTTGAACTTCTGAGCTCAGGTGACCTGCCTGCCTCGGCTTCCAAAGTACAGGCATGAGCCACAGCACCTGGCCAAGATTTATTATTTTATAGTTACAGTGGTTAGAAGTCCAAAGTAGGTGTCACAGGGCTAAACTCAGGGTCGGGCAGGGCTGAGTCCCTTCTGCCCTTCTGGAGGCTCTGGGAGTATGCATTTCCTTTCCTTTTCCAGCCTCTAGACACTGTCCTCACTTCTCAGCCCACGGGCCCTTCTATCTCCAAAGCCAGTCATCACATTACTTCAACCTCTGCTCTGTCCTTGCGTCTCCCTCTCTGACTGATTCTCTGTCTTCCTCTTTCACTTATAAGGACCCCTGTGACTACATTGGGCCCACAGATAATCCAGGATAATCTCGGCATCTCGAGACTCTTAATCACATCTGCAAAGTCCCTATTGCCATATAAAGTAACATATTCACAGGTTTGGAGGCTGGGGATGTGGACATCTTCGGGGCCATCACTCTGCCCACCACAGAAAGCATTATACAAATACAGCATCAGAGCAATCAACACCTACATTCTTCATCCCAACAGCCTCCATATTCTGTCATCCAGTCACAGGAATGTGTTATGTTTACCAACTGTGAGGCTGTTAATTACAACATTTCCTCTCTTACATCTAAATTAACTATCCCATCAAGCTTACTAAAGACCCTCACTCTCTGGTCCTGGAGGCCACAGAGAGTCTCAACCAGCTCCACACATTCAGCACCCCAACGGGGAACAGTGTCCTGTGCTTTGCAGAAGTCAGTATTCTCACTGCCCCTCCCCCTCAAATCCCTCGACAGACAGGCACACCTGAGTGCCCAAACAAACTTATCAACTCAACAGAATTCAGCCCAGATTTGAAGACTCACATTAGCACCTTCTCCCACCGTGCAGAGCACGTCTGATTATGCCCAAAAGGCGCTGAGGAAATGCGAGGTTTCAAGCAGCGTGTCATGTCTAAACATGACAGGTAAGTCTGTGCCCTTTCTCCACACTCACTGCCATCCCTTGTCAGATGTTGTTTTTTACTCCCCGCCCCAAGACCCAATGAGAATAAAAATGCAGTAAAAAGTCAAAAGACAGAATCTTAAAGTCCCTATTTTTACGCAGACATTCTCATTTGTTCAAGCTTAGCATGTAACCATGAGCCATGACTAGAATTTATTAACTTGCTAAAATTGATGCTATGAGGTCTTCAACCATTGTATGGCGATTGTTTGCTTAATTATCCACATCTAAAGAGTGTCCTTGGCTGATTTGTGATTCTTGCCATTTTCTAGGCCTGGGCAGCCCTCTGTTTAGTAACGGTACAGGTCATTGAGTACCTACCGAAAAGTGTCCTCTAGAAACACCTGGAGGGCCCACTACCGTGAGCCTGGTGCATCCCACATTCACAGAATCTGTGGCCACTGGTGCAAAAACCAAGAATCCACTCTGGGTGGGCAGTGAAAGGCTCAGAAATGCCAGCAAATGCCAAAGAGACGCTGGGTAATTTTATTCCAATTATACTCTTAGTGCCATGATGTCACAGCATAAATTTGTACTTTTGCATGCAGCTCATGCTGGTGTGATGACAGCTCTTAAAATATTGAGTGATTGTGGGCCCGTCAGCATAAAATTATTCTAACATGGTGCCTTTATTAGTGCTTCAATAAATGCCATTCTTCTTGTGTTCTGAGGTGGCATTTGCAAATGAGCTAATTTCTCTGCAGTAAAATAATTGTGTTGCGTTTATTTTGCGGGGGAAAAAACAGTGCTATTACATAAAGGGGGCTCTTTTTCCACCAAAACCTCATACGCAGTAGTTAGTCAAGTTTAAAAAAGAATGCATTAACTAAATGACTAGGTAATTATTTAAATGAACTCACTGCTTTAAAAAGCTGTGGATGGGATAAACACCTTAAAAATTCCTTGCTATTACAAAAAGATGTGGTAAATTAGTCACGAGGTTATCCACGCTCCAACTCAGGGAAAGAAGGTGTTTGCTGATTGGTGACGGACATTTTAGGGCTTCATGATGACTCTCTTGACTTCAGGTCACATTGGCTTTATTCTTCAGAAATAGTGAAATGGAAAGGGGAGAGAGGAATGGGTACTATTTGAATTTCCGCCTAGGTGTTTGCTGCCTGAATCCTTTGGCCTGGAAGTCTAGAATGCTCTTAGAAGTGACCTGGCCAAAGTCTCACCAGCACAAGGCCCTTCTGTACATCACTGACAGATGGTGACCATGATAAGCATGCAGCCAGCTCTGCACTCAGTGAGGTCTTCTGCAAAGTATGCACCATCTCCTCTTCCCATAATTTAGAGGACTGTGCACCAAGATTAAGAAACGATTAGCTGCCTGCTCAAAGTATTTGTAAGACACTCCATGCTACTTTTCATTCAACTTGCAAAAATAAAAAGAGGGGAGGGAAAGAAAGAAAGGAGACGGGGGTGGGGGTGGGGATGAGCAAGTGCAAAAACAAGAGAGAGAATTAATAAGAAAAAAGGGGAAAATAGGGGGAAAAGAAATACAGAAAAAGTCAACCTGAGAATTCTCTGAAAGATGTTGCCAGGACTGAGAAATAGGAAGTTGTGTTTTAAGATAAAAGTCAAGCAAATCTCAGTGCAAGGGTAAACTATGAAATTTATTGAGGTTTATACTTCCTAAATAAACGAATCAGGTTCCTCCTCACTTCCACACTGCTGTGAAGATCTTTGAGCTTTTTCCTCCCTTAGACATTGTTCCTCCTTTGATTTGGCCTGTGAGCTAAATAACAAAAAACTAAAAGGGTATTTGGCTTTAAGAAGAATTTAATATGCTTAGAGAAAAGTAGTAAAACATAACAATTTAAATGAAAATTAGGTCATATTGGATATCTACCATGTAACCGGGCACCAGGTTAGGCGATTTGCCCTGCTCCTTTTGCTTACCCATCACTACTATTGTGAGCAATAGTTCTAGGCTCTGCTAAGTCTACTGGAGCCCTGAGGAACAGTTTCCTTACAATGTGCACTTGGAACTAGCTAAGATCAAAATGTCGGCTCTTCGAGTGGATTGGAGAGCTAGGCTTACTGTTAAGCCTTCACCGGGTTTCCTAATACTTCACCCAAGTCATACCTGGCCCCCAGGAAAAAAACCACAGATCTCCAAGTCAGGGGCAGTTGAGGGCAGGGAGACTGGCAAGCAGGCAGTTCTGAAGAGGGAAAGAGCTTGAGCTGGACACACTCAGTTCCGTCTCCAAATTCACCAAGCAGCTGAGCTCCCTTTCATCCCTGGGGAGGCATGAGTGAGAGGTGGGGAAAAGCAAAATGTGTTCATCCCGTAATTTCACAATTTTCCCTCTCTGGGAAGTAGAGTGGAAATCTCATCCCTTTTACAGAAGCAGAGAATGTGTTGTCCCAGGAAAAATTCCCATATTACAAATACAAAAGTGGAGATCTAATTTTGTCTAAGCCTGAAGAGCCAGTAAACAGAAAGTTAATCTCTGGCCTGAGTTTCTGACTAGGACTATGCCATTTTCCACTAGAGTGTGTTACACTTTTAAGAGCAGAAATAATGTTTATGGGAGAGTGGGAGTAGGAAGTCAAGCCATTTAACAACTGAAAAAATTATTCAATTTTCACCATCTACATTTCAGTCAAAGTGTAGGCTTAACAAACTATAGACAAACAGTCTAAAAAGTATTAGGAATGGATTCCCATTGCTGAGAAGTAGCAAAGTGTTGCTTATATAACCACTTTAAGCAGAACTTAACTTTTGTGTAGAATGGTGGTTCTCAACCAGGATTGATTTTGCCCCTCAGGGGACATTTAGCAATGCCTGGAGACAAACTGCCCTCACAGAATTATTTGGCTATATATATTATATATATAAAATATATATATTATATAAAATATATAATATATAATATATATAATATAATATATAATATATATTATATATAATATAATATATAATATATATTATATATAATATAATATATAATATATATTATATATAATATAATATATAATATATATTATATAATATATTATATAATATATAATATATATAATATAAAATATAAAATATATAAAATATAAAATATATAATACATAATACATAATAAATATTATATATAATATATATAATATACATATATATAAAATATACATATAATATATATTATATATTATATAAATATATAAAATATATATAATATATAACTATATATAAATATATATAATGTATATATAAAATATATAATATATTATATATATTATATATAAATATATATTATATATAAAATATATATCTAAAATATATATAATATATTATATATAAAATATATATTATACAATTATATACATAATATATAGATATATAATATGTATATTTTGCCAAGTATATGGCCAAATATATATTTTATATATATATAAAATATATATTCTCTCATATATATATTTCTCATATACATATATTTTCTCATATACATTTTTTTCTCTCATATATATATATGAGAGAGAGAGAGAGAGAGAGAGAGAGAGTCTCGCTCTGTTGCCCAGGCTGGAGTGCAGTGGCGTGATCACTGCAACCTCCACCCCGCAAGTTCAAGTGATTCTCCTGCTTCAGCCTCCCAAGTAGCTGGGATTACAGGTGTGTGCCACCATGCCCAGCTAATTTTTATTTTAGTAGAGGCTGGGTTTCTTCATGTTGTCCAGGCTGGTCTCAAACTCCTGACCTCAAATGATCTGCCGACCTCTGCCTCCCAAAGTGCTGGGATTATAGGCATGAGCCACCGTGCCCAAAATATTAATAGTTTGGTGGCCAAAAATATTATAGTTCTGAGGCTGATAACCTTTGATGCAGCAAAAGTTGGGTCTGATTTGGAGAAGTGGGAAGATCTTTAAGTCAATCTTCTCCAGTGGTGGACCAGGCCAAAAATTCTATAGTTAAAGAGAATATTTGGGATTGCACTCTATTGTCTTCACAAGCCTATATTTAAAATAACATTTCCAGTAGGAATAAATGCAAGCAGATATTGCTTTTAATGTGATAGCAAGCCAAGAAAAAAAATATGATACCCAAAATATAAGGGGAAGGGTTAAGGGAGAGGCCCAGGCAGGCTCAGATGGGAGGCTGCCGTGGGTCCACTAAGGAACAAAGGAGCAAGTGAGAGAGAGATGGGAGAAAATGGTCTAATTCATGATTTCGCTCAGGGCTGACCTTAAGCCCCACAACAAAAACAACAAGCACCACCAAATAAAACAAAACAAAACAAAACAAAAAAACCTGTCTATGAGGTTTCCAGACAACTAAAGCTACATTTAGCCAAATGCTGTGAAGCAGGGCATGATGTTTTGGAAGCTAGTAGATTTGAGTTTGAATCATAGTGCTGCCATTTTCTACACTGTTTGACGTTAGGGATTTTACTTAAGCTCCCTGGCCTCTACTCTTCTCATCTCTGAATGTACAGGAACAAGGCTAACTGAATCAGATTATTGTACAGATTCAATGCGATATGTGGAGCCCCTGGCCCATAACAGAGGCACAGCAAGACACTTGAATTCTAGAGCAACTGACTAAGGCCCCTGCAAAACTAAGCATATCAGTGGCCTTAAATTCTCTGTGGAATCAGAGTAGGTATAGATAAGTAAACACAGAAACTGAACTTGTCCTTGGGCAAGTGTCAGATATAAAAACACAAAAACATCATGTGGTTTCTATCAATGATTTTTCTCAAAGGTACTTGAGACATGAGAATAGCATTGCAAATAGCCTCAGTAGAAAAGACCACATGATCCCCAAAGTTGAATCTCTACTTAATGGTTTGTAAATTAAGTTGGTCAAATGGAGAAAAAATATTCTCAAAATAAAAGGCAACTTGAGTGGACTTTACACTGATATGCCTTAATCCAGCTCCGTAACACAAATGTTAATCCTCAGCACATGGATTTCTCCAGTCATTGCTCTGCATACTATTTAAAGGGGTGATTTTAATGCCAGAGGGGCATTACTAAATTTACATTATACTCTAGGTATGATACAACTTATTGAATAAGCTTAAAGTAAGTCATTTTTCTTCCCTGTGTTTCATTTTACTTTATCGTAAGTAGAAGAGTAAAATTTCATGAAGATGTCATGAGGATTAATGAGAGGTGCCTTTTTGAGTGATGTAAAAGTTATATATCTTGTTTTGATCTGTTTTTTTGACATATCTCAATATAAGCATGAGGCCATGGGCAAGTTTCTGGATCTTTCTTGGCCTCATTGTTTTTATTTGTTCAGTAATGGGGTTGACACATACAACTCCAAGGCTTTATGATCCCAAAGCCTGAAGCATCCCCTGGGAGCTTGTTAGAAATGCTGCACCCAGACCTACAGAGTCAAAATCTTTACCAAGATCCCAGGGCAAATCATATGCAATTTTAGGTTTGAGAAGACTGTAGTAAGCCTTGTTCTAGCTTCATAATTGTAGAAATCCATGACATGGTAAGAAAAGCTAGCAAATGAGAGGCCAAATATTGTTATAGAAAAGTTAAAACATATCCCACCCCCTCCACCCTGCCTCTCTCCAGGATTTCCTTGATGTCTCTACCTGATAGTCTCCTTAGGACTGAGGATCCAATGGTAGCTGAGTCAACGGGGATAGGCAAATAGAAAAATTGGTAAGTTGCTGCTCCTTTTACTCTTTTATAGTCAAAGCTACATGTGTCTTCATAAAACCTTCTGCTCAATGGGTCAAGCATTCAAATACTAAGAGAGGCAGCATAGTGTGGGGTTTCCTAGCACTGACCAAGGAGCCCAAGGTCCTGTGTGAGTTCTAGTTCTGCCATTGATGAGCTGTGTGATTTGGAGTCATTACTTTATCCCCTGTATTTCACGCCCCTCATCTGAAAACAGGGAATGATAAGGACCTCCCCACTCCATTTAAATAAATAACTAAATAATATTTGCAAAATTCTCTGGCCAGAGTCTGACCCACAGTAAGCACTACATAAATCTTTGTCCAATACAATCCACCAACATGTAAGAAATGCTTCCATTTTCCTATTTTGCCTCTAACAGAGAAATCAAGTTCAACCAACACTATCTTGTGGTAATATCTTTGACCAAGGCAAAAGAAGTTTATAATTGGCATTCTGACAACTCATTATGATTTTGCTATTAATTTTTCCCTTCAGATATACTAAATGTATGGGATAGATAAACAATAGATATAGTTTAAATAACATATATATGCTATATATACATATTTAATAAGCATGACAAACTTATGAGATAGATATGATTGGCATCCCCATGTTACAGATGAGAAAAATGAAGCTTTAAGTGACTTACCTAAGGTCAGACAGCCATATGGAGAGTGGGGCTTTGAAATCAGGCAGCCTGGCTTTAGAATCTGTGTTCTTAAATATTATACTAGAGCATACTTTATACTATATACTAAATGCTGTGCTATGCTCCCTTTCTCATAGGGCTTCATCCTCTCTGGTTTTATTTAATATTTATGCCAGTGTTATTTGTTTTAAATTTATCTCAGATAACACATCTCTTAGGGGCAGACTATTTCTCTGCTTTTTTCTGTGTAAAGTCAACCAAAGCAACCTGTGTAGTTAATCACTTACTAAATTCCTAGTAATAACAATGACATAATATATTACCAAATTCTAATAACATCACAGAAAATAAAACAACATTGAAAACATTTCTTCCCTCTGATGTTCCCCTGAATGTGACTGAGGCATTTATGCTACAATTTTTACAAGATATTTACATTAGGTTTGTACAAAATATTTGGAAATCCACTTGGATAAGTTATCCCAAAAGCTAGTAAATGACCCTTTTATGCTTCTTTGACAAGATCAGAGGCAGTAGCCAATCTTTACTATCATAAAGAGAAAGGGAAAAACAACAAACTGAAGCTGAAATGGCACACAGGGCCTCTAAAGTTATATTAGAGATGTTTCCCATCTTGTTATTCCTACTCTGTCATAGGCAAACAGCTTAAAAACAGACAAGGGAGCATTCAGGCTTCTGGCAAACACAGGTGGGTACAGCCTCCATCAACACTGGCTGTAAATGGCAGACTGGGGAGAAGGAGGGAAGTGGATGTTCAGGGCATGTGAGAGACAGGGCACTCTAGACTGGCTGCCTAGATGCAACTGTGAGAACAGCCCAACTCCCCAGTGACACCCACTATGCCTCCCCTGGCCCAAACACCCCAACTCCCAGTCCAGGTTGCCTTTTCTGTGATGCATCACCCTTCTGAACACACACAACACTTAGAATCTGAATTTCCACTTGGCCTAACCACAGATCAACGATCCTGTCCATTATCTCCTTCTGTGGGAGGCAATAGAATTTATTTAAAATGCAGCCTGGAGGCAAACTTTGCATGCTCAGGTTCTAAGCCCTGCCACTTGCTACCTGAGTGATGCTGACAAGCTTCCTACCTCTTTTAAAACCTCTGTTTTCCTATTCATAGAGGAGGGAAAATAATGGTTTCCCAATCCTGGGGTTATGGGGTTATTGCAAGGATCAATTCCAGCTAATGTGTGTGAAGTGCTAAGGGAAGTGCACTGGATAAATGTTAACTATTTTTGCAAAACCTCTTTTCTGCCTAATTAGGTTGTACATTTCTCCCCCTTGTACTCCTTGCTATCCTACGCAGCAGCACCGTCATAGCAGAGCAATTTGCATAAAGTAGGTGCTCAGAAAATGTTAGAAAGACACATTGGCACATTTTTTTTCAGCTCTTGTTCTCAGGTTCATGATTTGCAAATAAATGTCAGAGATCTAAGGACCAGCTGCATTCCAATCACGTCAGAAGCTTTTAAGAAATACAGATTCCTCACTCCCGCTCCAGAGATTATATGACTGAATGCGTGACACAAAGGAGACACAGGAAAATACCCTGAAGCAAAATCAGCCAACAACCAAGCAAACTCCCCATGCTGTAGAACTCTGGGCCAAGCTACCCCTCTTGGCAGGGTCTTTTCCTTTTGGGTTTTATATAACTAAGTGCTGACTTCTGGTGTAACTCAGAGAAACAAAGGCTGTGAGGGCTGGGCATGAAGAAGGAGGTGGGATAATAGCATGCGAGATCACAGAGACGGCAGGGAGCAGGAAGAAGAAATCCACATCCCACTAGTGACACCTAAAGCACTTCTCATCCTGGAGGTCTTGCCAAGCCTGAAGCCTCTGTGGCAGCTTTCCTCTCAGTTGAAATTTGTCCTGGCAGCCACATTTGGTGAAGGGTAATGGCAGAGATACCATTAGATCTTAAAAGGTGTGACTGCGCCAGACAATAGCAGGGGCCCTGCCCCAGAAAAACCCTGACTGCATGCCAAACGCAAAACAGAAATTTTGGGCAAAGCTCCCAGGTATAACTGCCTCTGATGCTCTTCTCCAACTCTGGCTCTGGCTTCTGCTCTATCCTCATTCCCCACAGGCTGAAGGATCTTTGAAGTGGCAAAATGAAACCAAGTACCATTCTTTACCCCTCATCTGGGTGTAAAAATTTGAAACAAGGCCTCATACTCAAGCCTGGTAGATCCCCTTTCAATTCCCAATCCCTGACAAGCCTAGCTATTCCTTTGCAAGAGTGAACAACTAAGACAAAAAAAAATGTACAAGGCATATAAAAAAGATATGGTAGTTCAAAAGCAAGGGATCACCATGAGAATTCAGAGCAAATGTCTTCCTATAAAATAACAAATTTGCTGCAAGGAAAACAGGAAAGTGCTTTAGAACATCTGTATTATGTGCTTACAATAGGAATCAAAAGGACCTGTTTCTATAAAACTATATCAAACATGGAGGTAAAAAACTTAAATAACAAGCTTAATAAAATTAATGAAGGCTTACTAACCAGTGACTTATCTTAAAAATTCAAATTTGTAACCAGAAATTCTCCCCAAACTCAGGGAAAGCAGATTAAAATTGTTAAGCTAAGGGACACGGAAGGTTAATGTAGGGAATTCAATAAAGTTGCAAAGAGAGTCTAAGAGGAATAAAATAGAAAGACATGACTGAAGCAATGATTGTAAGAATAATAGAAGAAACTTTTTTACCTGGAAAAGAACTATTTTCAAGATTGAAATATTTTGCCCCCCCCAAAAAAAAGAATTTAATGAAAAAACAAAACCTAGACATAAGCCAACATTTTTTTTTCAATTTTTCCACTAAAAATATCCCTCAAGCATAAAATATCCCTTCATGAACACACAGACACATATAAACAACCACCACACACAAACATATCCAAACTCAGGCAGACATTTGGTTTCTCTGTAATACTTAATACAGAAGACAGTAAAGCAAAGGTTACTAGAAAGAGACTGCAACTCAAGAGATCTTAAGTTGTATTTGTTTGTTTGTTTGTTTTTGAGTCTCACTCTGTCGCCCAGGCTGGAGTTCAGTGGTGCGATCTTGGCTTACTGCAACCTCCACCTCCCGGGTTCAAGCTATTCTCCTGCCTCAGGCTCCCAAGTAGCTGGGATTACAGGCACGTGCCACCATGCCTGGCTAATTTTTGTATTATTAGCAGAGACAGGGTTTCACCATGTTGGCCAGGCTGGTCTTGAACTCCTGACCTCAGGTGATCTACCCGCTTCAGCCTCCCAAAGTACTGGGATTACAGGCGTGAGCCATCATGCCCGGCCAAGTTTTTTGTTTTTTTTTTTCAACAAGTCTATAAAAGAAACAGAAGGACATAAACATGCAACAGGTCAGGTAATATAAAACTGCGTATTGTTCATTTAACTCAAAGATGTATTCCAGCTGCCAATGGGTGAATTAAATTAAGCCTATTTGATTAACAATTTCAAAGGGTTAAATCCAGTTAATAGCCCCAGCTATTTTGAATTTTTATGAATACTAAGTTCTCATGAGCCGTGGGTTCAGTTCAGGATTCCCAAATTTATGCATCCTTATAATGATAATAATACTAACAAAAACATCTTAATTAAAATAGGCTAGGCATATTACATTCTGTTTGAAATGGAAAGAAGCAATGTTTTCTTCCTACTCTCATACTCTACCCACCATTCTCAATACAATACTTCACCTCTGGGTACCAAAATGTGTGTGGGGATGTCTCCTCACCAATTACCAATTCCCCAGTGGACACCAACTGGATGTCCTGTAATTCAATTTAATTAGGAAACTATCTACCTGGAGATAGTGGTGGAACACACAGGCTAAGGGCTCAGTCCCACAAGTCTTCCCCCATTCCAGATGCCAATCGCAAGTACATCTGATACATCTGACCAGCCAGCTATAAATCTGGGATTTCTACAACCCCTTCCTTGAGTTTGATCAATTTGCTAGAGCAGCTCACAGAACTCAGGGAAATATTTTATGTTTACTGGTTTATGATAAAGGATACTATAAAGGATACAGATGAACAACCAGATGGAAGAGATGTATAGGGAAGATATAGGCAGGGAACACGGAGCTTCCATGCCCTCTTGGGCTACACCACTGTCCTTGCACCTCCATGTGTTCAGCAATGCAGAAGCTCTCCAAACCCTGTCCTTTTGAATTCTTAAGGAGGCCTCATTACATAGGAGTGTTTGATTACATCACACCACTGGATATTGGTGATCAACTCAGCCTTCAGGCCCTCTCTCCTCCCCGGAGGTCTGGAGGTGGGGTGGAAAGTTCCAACCCTGTAATCACATGGTTGGTTCTCCCATCAACCAGCCCCCATCCTGAGGCTATCCAGGAGTCCACCAAGAATCACTTCATGAAAACAAAAAATGCTCCTATCACTCAGGAAATTACAAAGATCTCAGGAGCTCTGTGTCAGGGGTCAAAGATCAAATATTAGAACAGATGAGGAGAAGAAAATCCCAAAATATGGTACTTTGGCATTTGAGAAGACTGCAAAAGGTCTTTCTGACCTTCTCCCTTCCCCTTTCTCCTGAAGTGGGCGATAAAAACTCAAATTATCCTCACCCTTTCTTCCTGGAAGCAGACCATAAAACTCTCTGACCTTCCTCCCTTGTCCCCTGAAGGCCCTCAAGAGACACAGACATGGCTTGCCTTATACCCAGAGGGAAAAAAATGTCACACAGGGATACCAAGAAGAAACTGAATAAACGGGCCTTGTTAAGTTTATTACCATTAGATCAGACCTTTTTGTCCGCCAGTCATACTTCTGCATGGCTGTCCATAAAAATATAATTTTCCCGTTTCTTTGAGGGTTGATTTCTGAAGGCTCCTGTATCATGTAGAACTTATATTAAACACATTTGTATGCTTTTCTCTTTTTAATCTGTCTTTTGTTGTAGAGGTCTCAGTCATGAGCCTTGTGATGGGTAAGAAAAAAATATTACTTCTTCTCTATAGAGCAAAAGATTCTCCTAGCACCCTTATCTACAAGGCTTTTAGGAACTCTGTCTAAGAAAAGGTGGGCAGAGACCAAATATATATTTCTTATTGTATCACAATATCACACATTCATTATACCAAATATTTACATAACCCTGATAGATTGATTCTATTTTCTGCCTTTCATAAATAGCAAAATCATGTCTTAAGGAGACTAAATTACCTTCCAAAGAAACTGTTAATAAGTGACAGGGTCAGTATTCAATTACAAGTTTTCTTGTCTCCAAGGCACAGGCATTTCCTGCTATCCTATTTTACTTGCTTTTGGACCCACAAGTCTGTAAGTTCAGAATGGGGATGCTTGTGGTTCAGCTTGGGTTAGAAAAAGAGAATGCATGTGACTAGATGCTAACTCCTACAATGGAAATAAGAGAGGCTGTGTACCAGGGAGTGTGTTAACTTTGTTTCTAGCTTCTGTAAACTCCATATTCAACATTTGTTCTACATGCCTTATTGTGCACAACCTAATAATATGCCTAAGTCACTTGCCTTAGCCTCCTGACTCCCTTGCTACCTCCCCCTGTGCCCAGGAGGAATCTTCTTCCTAGGTACACTTTAACTAAAACCCAACACATTTAGTCTGTACTTCCTACAGTCTTATCTGGCTGTCACACTTTGATCCACTCTACACCTGCCCTAATCACCTTAGGGCCACGTACTAGACAAATAGGGACAACCCTTATGCCCAGAGCCTATTGAAATTATTCCAACTACCCAATCCTAAATTTGTTTACCCTGTATTACCTGTTCCTGCCTGCAGAAACCACAAGGAAAACTTGCCCAGTTTCCCCCCTCCACCCTGCCTTCTGACCAAGCCCAGTACTCCCTCAAGTGGCCCCCCTGTAGTGGCTACTTTTATGTGTCAACTTGACTGAGACATAAGATGCCCAGATATTTGGGCAAGCATTATTCTCGGTGTGTCTGTGAGAGTGTTCTTGGATGAGATTAACATTTGAATTTGTAAACTGAATAAGGCCAATTTTCCTGCCTAATGCAGGTGGCCTTAATACAATCAGTTGAAAACCTGAATAGAACGGAAAGGTTAGCCTTCTTGTGAGTAAGGGGGACTTCCTCCTGCCTGACTGCTTGATCTGTAATGTGAGTGTTCTGTCTTTGGACTCAGACTGAAACATCTGCTCCTCTTGGGTCTTGAGCATGTTGCTTGCAGACTGAAACTTTCACCAACATTTTTCCTGGTTCTCAGGCCTTTGGACTTGTGCTGAAACTACACATCAGTTTGCCTTCCTGGGTCTCCAGCTTGCCAACTAGGGGTTTTGGGATTTCTTAGCCTCCATAATTGTGTGAGCCAGTTCCTTATCTCTCTCTTTCTCTCTCTCTCTCTCTCCCCCTCTCTCTCTGTCTCTCTCTCTCTCACACACACACACACACACACACACACACACACAAATATGCTTATTGATTCTGTTTCCCTAAAGAACCCTGACTAATACCCCTACCCTACCTCCAGGATGTGGCAGGCCCCTTCCTTTTGGGAAAATAGTTTTAGTACTAAACTAACTTCTCGATGGTGGTTATTTCCTGATCTGTTGGCCTTACTATACTTCAAATTATCTATCAATCTGCTGTATTTTAAAACAAAGGTTTTAGCAGCATGACGTACCTACCATTTGTCTACATGAATCTTTTATAGTTAAAGTTTTATAAATTAGAAATCCTATGTGACCCCCATCTGCTAACTCTAGCACATTTAGGACATTTAATCAGAAGTTGAGTATTCTTCTTTACAGCTTCACATTCACAACTGTATCTATGGATTGAATATTAATGAAGCTAATGCTGTGTATGGGCTCACTTTCCTAACTCACCTTGGCACAATCTATATATTAGAAGAACTAAAGCTAAAAAGCACTAAATCAGCAGTAATTGTCCAAACGACTGAAAAATACTTTCATCAGTGAATGGTTCTGTGACTGGCTTCCCTCACCCAGGTGTATTAGTCAGGGTTCTCCAGATGGACAGAACTAATAGGATACATGTACATATGAAAGGGAGTTTATTAGTGAGAATTGGCTCACATGATCACAAGGCATAGTCCCACCACAGGCTGTCTGCAAGCTGGGGAAGAAAGAAGCCAGTAGTGCTCAGTCCCAGGCCAAAAGCCTCAAAAGCAGGGAAGCTGACAGTGCAGCCTTCAGTCTGTGGTTGAAGGCCCAAGAGCCCCTAGCAAAATACTGGCGTAAGTCCAAGAGTCCAAACACCAAAGAACCTGAAGTCTGAGGGCAGAAGGAACAGATGGAAGCATCCAGCACGAGAGAAAAATGAAAGCCAGAAGACTCAGCAAGCCAGCTTAGCCCACCTTCTTCCACTTGCTTTGTTCTAGCCCTGCTGGCAGCCCATTGAATGGTGCCCACCCACATTGAGGGTAGGTCTTCCTCTCCCAGTCCACTGACTCAAATGTCAGTCTCTTCTGGCAACACCCTCACAGACACACACAGAAACAGTACTTCACCAGCTATCTAGGCATCCTTCAATCCAATCAAGTTGACACCTCATATTAACCAAAACATCAGGGAGCAGTAAAACTAGAGAGAAAACTCATACGACCAAAACCAGAAAAGATAAGGATGCCACTCTACTGAATCAAATTGTTAGTCTTAGAAACCAGAACGGAAAAGGAAAGGACAGGGAGAATTTGTGCAACTGTGCTACTTTCTTGTCACACTGCATGAGTCTTGAGTCTTGAGTCTCATCAGCATCTGCCCGAGGGTTACAAAACACCCAGGAATAGAGAGGTGCCTTGAAAAGCCAGGACTTGGAACAACTGATTCACTTTAAGCCTGCTCCAGCCTCTGAAAGCTCAAGGAAAGACCATTCACTTGACTAAGTCAACATTGAGCTATTAGTTCGAATAACAGTTTTGTTATAGTTTTTGCTATTTTCAAATTCTAAGATTATAGACAAGTATATTTTTATTGTATTTATAGTAGAAAGTATCCCATAAATTTAATATTTTTTAATGAGAAGAAAGTATTAGAATACCAATGCCATTGTACCAATTCAGTTTCAATCAGGAAAACAGAAAATGCATCAGTTATTTTAACAAAAAGAAGTAACATAAGGAATTGAAGGAAGAAAAGAGCAAAAAAGGTGACATTGAAATACCTCAGAAGTAATTTCTGAGGATTGAAAACTGGCTCCTTTCTTCATGAATTCTGAGACACTGGGCAAGTTACTTGGCCTCCTTAAGTGGTCTGATACACCCAGAGTTAGTTAAAGTGTGAGGATTGGAAGGCACAGCTGTCAAGACTTCCCCTTCTTCTAACATCAACTGCAAGTCTAGAGGGTTAGCAAAATCACTCTCAGCTTTATAATTCACTACAAGAATACACAGAACTCACTGAAAACTATCGTTCTCAGTTTATGTTTATTATAGGTCAACATCAACCAAAGAAGAGATACAGAGGGCAGAGTCTTAAAGGGTTCCAAATGTGAAGCTTCCATTGTCCTCAGGACACCTTAGCCTTTTGGCATCAATGTATGGCAATATGCATGCAGTGCTGACAATCAAGGAAGCTTGCCTATGTGTCAGCGTACAGTTTCTACTGAGGCTTCATTATGTAGGCATGATTTGTTGACTGATTGCCCATATAGCTAAACTCAGTATCTAGGTCAACTGACACCCTGTATTCCAAAGCCCCCACCCTAAATCACATTGTAGGTCTTTCTGGTGTGGCCAGCTCCCACCCTAAGGTTATCAGATGTGGCCACCCTCATCTTAAGAGGCAGGCAGATCATCTGAGGTCAGGAGTTCGACACCAGCCTGGCCAACATGGTGAAACCCTGTCTCTACTAAAAATACAGAAATTAGCTGGGCATGGTGATGGGTTCTGGTAATCCCAGTTACTCAGGAGGCTGAGGCAGGAGAATTACTTGAACCCTGGAGGTGGAGGTTGCAGTGAGCCGAGATCATGCCGCTGCACTCCAGCCTGGGTGACAGAGTAAGACTCCGTCTCAAAAAAAAAAAAAAAAAAAAAAATCTAGTGTGGTCAGCCCTAGCCTAAGCAAAGCATTTTAATCAGGTATGACAGAGATTACCTTCTAGAGCTGATGGCAAAGGCCATACATCTCTTTAACAAAACTAAACTCTCTACTACACATAATACCTCCTAGGTAGAGTGACGATATGTGTTTATTTGCCCAGAACAGTCCCAGTTTATTCTTTTTTTTTTTTTTTAATTTTTATACTTAAGTTCTGGGGTACATTTGCAGAACATGCAGGTTTGTTACACAGGTATACAAGTGCCATGGTGGTTTTCTGCACCCATCAAGCCATCATATACATTAGGTATTTCTCCTAATGCTAGCCCTTCTCTAGCCCCCTGCCGCCAAACAGGCCCTGGTGTGTGATGTTCCCCTCCCTGTGTCCATGTGTTCTCATTGTTCAACTCCCACTTATGAGTGAGAACATGCCATATTTGGTTTTCTGTCCTTGTGTTAGTTTACTGAGAATGATGGTTTCCAGTTTCATCCATGTCCCTGCAAAGGACATGAACTCATCCTTATTTACGGCTGCATAGTATTCCCTGGTGTATATATGCCACATTTTCTTTATTCAGTCTATCACTGATGGCCATTTGGGTTGGTTCCAAGTCTTTGCTATTGTGAACAGTGCCGCAATAAACATACGTGTGCATGTGTCTTTGTAGTAGAATGATTTATAATCCTGCGGTTTATTCTTGATGCCCTGGAATAATAGCTTTTAAAATGTCACACTTCTTTTGACTCTCAAAACTGCCTCAATTTGGTTAATAAACCACGAAGTCATTTGATTTATTGGCATGAGTAATATTAGAAATATTTACGATCTAGTATAGCATAAACATTGGTCAAATTGCATGGGTACGTGCAGCAAACAAGTGGTGGGGCAATAACTATTACACACGAGTGAGTTGTATGCTCTGCTCATCAGGTTGTTGTATTAAATTAACATGTACCTATAAATCTTAAAAAAGGACACTAGCAAATCTCTTTTAGAGTGAATAACATTTAATGCCTACCAAGCATCTATTCCCCACTTCCATATTTATAACAAAATCTTAATTTTTCATTCCATGACCCTTCTACATCCGGGACTTTTTTACCTAGGGTAAGCTGCTCCCATCTCTACATCAATGGATGAATCCTGAGAAGTATAAGCTAGTGCTTCTCAAATTTTAGAATCACCTAAGGAGACCTTGAAACATCCTGATATTCAGGCTCCATGCCCAGAGAGTCTGACTTTCCTGGCCAGGGAAAGGCCCAAGTATTAGTACTTCAAGAGATACCACCCCACCCCAGTTAAAATGGCTTTTATCCAAAAGTCAGGCAATAACAAATGCTGGTAGGGAAGTGGAGAAAGGGAAACCCTCATACACTGTTTGTGGGAATGTAAATTAGTTCAGCCACTGTGGAGAATAGCAGACTCCTCAAAAAACTAAAAATAGAACTACCATATAATCCAACAATCCCACTATATCCAAAAGAAAGGATATCAGTATATCAAAGAGATATATGCACTCCTGTGTTTCTTGCAGCACTATTCACAATAGCCAAGATACAAAATCAACCTAAATGTCCATCAACTAATGAATGGATGATGGACATGCAGTATATATACATGGTGGAATATTATTCAACCATAAAAAGAATGAAATCCTGTCATTTGCAACAACTTGGGTGGACCTGGAGAACATTATGTTAAGTCAAATAAGCCAGGCACAGAAAGACAAATCAGTTATATGTTCTCACTCACATGTGGGAGCTAGGAAAACAAAAATTAAAATTATGGAGATCAAGAGTACAATGATGGTTACCAGAGGCTGGGAAGGGTGGCAGGGATTGGGGGCATAGAGTAGCAATGGTTAAGGGGTACAAAAATGCGATTAGATAGAATGAATAAGATCTAGGCTGGGCGCGGTGGCTCACGCCTATAATCCCAGCACTTTGGGAGGCTGAGGTGGGCGGATCACCTGAGCTCAGGAGTTCAAGACCAGCCCGGGGAACATGGCAAAATCCCATCTTTACTAAAAATACAAAAATCAGCTGGGTGTGGTGGTGCATGCCTGTAATCCCAGCTACTTGGGAGGCTGAGGCAGGAGAATCACTTGAACCCAGGAGGCAGAGGTTGCAGTGAGCAAAGATCATGCCACTGGACTCCAGCCTGGGTGACTGAGAGAGACTCTGTCTCAAAATATATATATAGTTTTCAGCAGCACAATAGAGTGATGTACTTAAAAATAACTTATTCTCAAAAGAAGACATTTATGCAGCCAACAAACATGAAAAAAAGTTCATCATTACTGGTCATCAGAGAAATGCAAATCAAAACCACAATGAGATACCATCTCATGCCAGTTAGAATGGCGATCATTAAAAAGTCAGGAAACAACAGATGCTGGAGAGGATATGGAGAAATAGAAACACTTTTACACTGTTGTCAGGAGTGTAAATTAGTTCAACCATTGTGGAAGACAGTGTGGCAATTCCTCAAGGATCTAGAACTAGAAATACCATTTGACCCAGAAATCCCATTACTGGGTATATACCCAAAGGATTATAAATCATTCTACTATAAAGACACATGCACACATATGTTTATTGTGACACGGTTCACAATAGCAAAGACTTGGAACCAACCCAAATATCCATCAATGATAGACTGGATAAAGAAAATGTGGCACATATACACTAGGGAATACTATGCAGCCATAAATAAGAATGAGTTCATGTCCTTTGCAGGAACATGGATGAAGCTGGAAACCATCATTCTCAGTAAACTAACACAGGGACAGGAAACCAAACACAGCATGTTCTCACTCATAAGTGGGAGCTGAACAATGAGAACACATGGACACAGAGAGGGGAACATCACACACAGGGCCTGTTGGTGGCGGGGGCTAGGGGAGGGAGAGCATTAGGAGAAATACCTAATGGAGGTGACGGGTTGACGGGTGCAGCAAACCACCATAGCACATGTATACCTACGTAACAAACCTGCACATTCTGCAGATGTACCCCAGCACTTAAAGTATAATTTAAAAAAATAATAACTTATTGTATATTTTAAAATAACTGAGAGAGTAGAATTGGAATGTTTCTAACACACAGAAACAATATACATTTAAGGTGATGTATACCCCAATTACACTAATTTGATCATTACACATTATATGTCCGTATCAAAACATCACATGTACCCCACACATATGTACAACTATTTTGTACCCATAATAATATAAAAAACATTTTAAAGGCCTCCCTTGTGATTCTAATAAGCAGTGAGTGCTGAAAACTAGCAATCTATCCCAATCAGAGTATTCCCATACTCCTCGATGGGAATTGTGTGGGAATGGGCTTGCAGCACACCTGCAAGCCAAGGAGATAGAGATGTGACAGAGTTTCTCCTGCCACTTCCAGAAGAGTTTCCTGCAAACGTCTGTCTATCCCAAGAAAAGAATTAGCAATATTGTAGCCTAATTGCTTCTGACAATCATCTTAAGGCCACACAGAAAATTACTCTCAGGATGAAGCTGATCATTTGGACATCACAGCAGAAAGGGAGAAGCTGGGTCCTTGAGGACATGGTTGAGCTCCTGTATCAGAATGACGCCCACAAGCCCCTCCTTTCTTTGACTGACAGTTACATGCACCAAGATATGTCCTCACTGAGCTTGCTTTTCTGAGGTTTGCAGCTGAAAGCCTCCCAGCTCCTCACTATCTTGTGTTTTACTCTGTGTCATGGAATTACTCTCTAATTACTCCACTAATAATAAAGGAGGATTAATATCATGACTACAAAACACATTTCATTCTATTTGAAAATATGTTTTGCTTTCCATTTTAAAAAGATTTTATCCCACACCATAGGGTATAGTATTCACAATCCCTAAGATAACCAATATCTATCAATGAGTGAACAAACTCCACAAGCACGTCCCTGCAAATTGGGAGAACTTCCACAAACCCTTTTGTGGGAGGACTGCTCGCGCTCCTTGGAGTCTCATTTCGGGTTGGCAGATAATCATTTTTCTAATGCTTCTTGAGTCCTCTCCAGCCCACTCTGCCCTTCACTGTAAATGCCTGGCTCTAGTGCTCATCCTCACTCCAAAGCCTTCATGATTCACTTACCCTCTTTTCATTGCTCTTTGAGCCTTGTCCCCAGGGAACTCTGCCCTGGAATGGACAGAGCTTTCTTGCTCATCATCTTGAAATATCGTTATGTATCAGCAGGCAGGCTCTACTTTCAGCAGGGGGGTGCTGACCTGATCTAGCTAAAAAATAAAAATGTGCTCCATGCACTTCACCTTTTTCTCCCTGAGAAAGCAGTGACACCTGCCAAGTATGCTGCTTGCATTGAAAATGGTTTCCTAATGAGTTTTTCCACTCAGCTTTGCCTATAAAGGGCACTAGGATTGGAGGCAGAGAGATGGCATAACACCCAACACTATTCTCTCCTTCAGGATTGCCACAGACCCTCAGAGTTTCCATCTGTAAATGGGAATAATTACACCTACATCTCAAGGTAATTGTAAAGATTACATAAAATAATGTTTATAGCATGATTTGGGGAATTGGTTGGCATTCAATATACATAAAAATTATGTGCACAGATAAAATAAAAATATTTTAGCCAACATGAAGGTCAATTTTGCTGCCACTGACAGACTCTTCTGAGACTGGTGACTCCTGTTGAGTAAGCAGCACCATCCACACCAATTGGTTGTACCAGGGATGGCCTCTTGGCTCCACATGGGCAATTCATATTCTCTCTCCCAGGAATTAGGAGGCAGAATAAGAAGCCAATTCATTTAGTTGTAAGAAGCTGAGCTAAAAGATCATAAAAATATGGACACTGAGGTCACTGTCACAGAAACAGAGGAGTGAGCAGGAAAGGCAACAGGTAGAGAGAGAAGAGGGCAAAGCAGAAGCAAAGAGAGAAGCAAGAGTGAACACTATTTGTAGAGAGAGGAGAGAGAGGCCCCACAAAGTCCATCTCCATGGACCTGAATTTATGTAGTTCATGTATTTATATTTGAGGTCTCTTTGAGAGCATTTCTATTGCAACAAACAAACCTCAGGACAAACATTGAGACAAAGTTTTAGTCACACACTCAAAAGGAAAGGGAGGGAGAGTAAGAAAGAGAGAGAGAGAGAGAGACTACATATCTACAGTCATACATAGATTCAACTCTCTAGCCCTCCAACTTTTCAAGACTGGTATCTCTTTGCCACCACAGACAGACATATCGCTATTGCCTTAAGGACTGTGAGAGAAGAAATCAAATTGGATGGTGAAGGAAAGTGGACTATTTTGAGATTTCCCCCAAAGAGCAAAAATAGGAGCCATGGTAAGGACCCACAGGCATTGCAGTCTAAATGCATCACACATATTCTCCTCTGTACAATCACTGCTCTCCAAAGAACAAGCCTTGGGCTCAAAGCCTCAGCTTCTCACACAGAGGCAGTCAAGTCTCAAGGGCTTGGGGGGAAATACATCAGTCAAGCCATTCTTTGGTAAACGTGAGGAACATTAAGATGTTGGTGAGGCCTGTGGCCTGTTATTACCATCAACGGTAATATGTGCTTCTACAGAAGTTCTCAGATTAGGGGAATTTTATAAAAACAGCACCATATTATTATATATTATAATGAGGAAGGAAGTGTTTGGGAGAAGCAATTTTTAGAAAGTAGGATGACAGGGAGATTAAATATTTTCCTTATGGGGTGCCAAAAGGAACGAAATTTATCAGAAATTGGTAAAAGAGGGATGAGAATGAAGTGAGGTGAAGGTCTCATGCCATTTACTAACTGGGTAACCTTAAGCAAGTTCCTTTACTACTCTGTGTCTTGCTTTCCTCACATGTAAAATGGGGATAATAATAATAAAATCCTTACCTCATAGAGTTGTTTTAGCAATTAGGTGAGAATCACACCTTGCCAGGCATCAAACACATCTCTACATTCAGCTGTGTTTACTGTTTTTAGCTGGGCTTTCCCAGAAAACGACAATGAGACTAGGGTTTCTGTGCAAGTAATTTATTTGGGAGGTGATCTCAAGAAGCACCTGCAGGGAACTGTGGAAGTGAGATCAAAATGTAAAGAAATTAACTTAGGGAGCATCCAGAGCAGCTATCACTGCGGGCACTTGGTTCAGTCACACTAACAGGCCAACCAACTCTCCATCATGGCATTCAGACAATGCGAAGGAGACATGTTCAAGGGACATTAGAATCATCTTGTTATCCCACAAATGTCACCACAGGGCATAGACCAACCTGTATTTGATCAACCTTGGCCAGTACTTTTGTTGGGAGACCTGAAATGCCTAAAATTATAGCTTTTGGGTTTGAAAGTATGCCTGATAAAAAATTCCAAGCAACCTAGTCATTTCAGTAAAGCATGTATGTACATTGGGAATGAAATCACTAACTGTATGGATTCCCCAAAGAAAATGAATATCCCTTAACTTTCTGAATGCATTCAAGCAAGGGCCTAGCCAATGCAATCTGAGGTTCCACATGGTTTTCACCCAGGCTTCAAGGGAAATAGGATCACCTTAACATTTACTGACTCATATTTCACCTTCATGTCCCCTCTCCAAGTCTGTTCTATTGTTCATCCTGTTATTTCTGGCTGCAGGATGAGGGTCTCACATCTGTTCCTGAATTCATCTGTCAGTTGACAACTCAAACCTACTAGAGCACCTCTATTCTTACACTGTGGCTCTTCACCACTGGACAAGAGTGGACATCCTTCCCAGGGTAAATGTCTCTGGATGCTCCCAAATGTCCTTTCCTCCAGGCTCCAGGGCAGCACTGTGTCCCCTAACCTCTCCATGCTGCAAAACTCTGTTGTGTTCTGGGGAGTATAAGGTGAGTGCCCCTCTCTGCTTCATAGCACTGTCTACTGCCTGAGGCAGAAAAGTCTGGGTCCCTAAATCTCACCAAGCCCCTCTTTCTAAACAGCTCAGTGAGCTTTCTGTCCACAAACACCTTATCCACGGGGCTCAGACACAGACACAAGCCAGTCAGGCACATAAATCCCTAATGGACCTACTAGATCTTATAGGACCCCGTATGACTCAGCCTCTGCTTACCTCTCCAACAGCATCTCCCATCAGTCTTCCTCTCATGCACTCAGCTCCACGCATACTGGCCTTCTTGATGTTTCTGGAGAACTCAAGATGCTCTTTCTAGCTTCAGGGACTTTGTGCTGGTTACTCTCTCTGTCTGGAATGTTCCTCCCTGTGATCTTTGGAAAGCTGACCCCTTCTTGTTATTTAGACCTCAGCTTAAATGTCATTCTGATCATCAGTGTTAAATTGTCAGCTATCAGCTCAGCACCAAGCCACAAGGCCCATCTGAGGATGAGAACTATGTTTCCCAGAGTCCCCTTTTCTGTATGCTTCTAGATTAGGGTTTGCCAAGGACAGGAGTTCAAGCAAGATATGGAAGGCAGAAGTCACTATTATTGGGAGGTCGTGAGTGTAAGACAAGGCCACTCTCACGGACACACTTCACAATCCAACTCAAAGAGCTAGTATTGTGCTACTTCTTGAACTTCGCTTTGAGTTCCAGCTTTTCCAGGTGAAAGTGCAGAGAGTTTCTCTGATTCTAGAGCTGAAGCTTTTCAGGCCTTCACTCTCCAACTCCTCCCACATTCACACCACCCAATATTCCTGGAATACTTGACTTGCCTCTGTTTTTCTTCCTGGAACCAGGGTTGCTACACCACCTATCTGAAGTAGCTCCTTATACTCAACCTCATCACCCTCTTTCAATTCTCCCCTTAGCACATCTCAGTGATATTTTCTTTCTTCATTTACTTGTTTGCTTTCCGTCTCCATTGCTGCCCTACTCCCACCATAGGAACACAATTGGGAACTTCGGCTATTTTGTTCACTTCTGTTTTGTCCAGTGTGTGGACCCAGAAAATCTGAGACAGATGTCAGTTAATTTAGAAAGTTTATTTTGCCAAAGTTGAGGATGCGCCTGTGACACAGCCTCAGGAGATCCTGATGACATGTGCACAAGGTGGTCGAGGCACAGCTTGGTTTTATACATTTTAGGGAGTCATGAGAACATCAATCAATATTTGTAAGAAATACATTGATTCAGTCTAGAAAGGTGGGACAACTCCAAGCAAAGGCAGAAAGACTCAAAGCGGGAAGGGGGCTTCCAAGTCACAGATAGGTGAGAGACAATTGGTTGCATTCTTTTGAGTTTCTGATGAGCCTTTCTAAAGAAGGCAATCAGATATGCATTTATCTCAGTGAGCAGAGGGGTGACTTTGAATAGAATGGGAGGCAGGTTTGCCCTAAGCAGTTCCCCACATGAATTTTCCCTTTAGCTTCGTGAGTTTGGGGGCCCAAGTTATTTTCCTTTCACAAGTGCATGGCTTCAAATAAAATCCTTCTTTTGAATAGAAGTTCTAATAGCTTCATAATTGTACCAATGGTCAGATGGAAATACAGGAGTAGGAAGAATATTGTTACATGAGAATTCCACTAAACAGCATTTACTTACAGAGTACAAACCAGTATAATTTTTACTTCCTTTGCAAAGGAAGTACAGATGCATTTATTGAGCACCTACTATAGTCATGCCAAAAACTGTGCTAGGCTCTTTAACATAAATTATCTCTTTCACTTGCCTATAAAATAAAGTTTCTGTATTATGAGTGCCTAGATTAATGTAGGATTCAATAAGCTTCTCAGAAAACTCAGACCAGATGTCTCTATCTTAAATTTCAAGATCTTACTTGGCCCTGGTCCTGTTCCCTCTAGCCAGAACACAGCAGCAGGCTCCTAGAAGGAAAAATGAACTATTTAAGGATTTCCTGATGGAAGCAGACGCTCACAACTTGACATAAACTCAGAGAGGAGCTCTGTGGTCAGTTCAGAGTCTGATATTTGAGGTTAGAAATTGTGTCTCTGCCAATGCCTCATTTTAAAGCCCAGGATTGTTTCTGGTTGGCCATCTACCAATTAGAAGCAAGACAAGAATGAAATAAACTAAAACACTACTGTGATGACGTACCTGAGATGAGTAGTAAAGGTCACCTTCATCTGTAAATAGCTTCTTTTTAATGAGCTCCTTTGCACATGTCAATCACTGAAATACAGTGGACTGTGGCTAAGAGTACAGTGTTCACCTATCTGTGGCTCTCTGCTCCTTCCTAGGCACATGGGACTATACTTCCCAGGTATCTTGCAGGTAGGTGGAGTCACATGACTGTTTCTAACCAATGGAAAGCAAGTGAAAGTGATTTGTGCCACTTCTGGTCAAGGAACTTCAGAGTAGGTCTAAATGCTCTGTGTTCCCTCTTTCTTTCTCAGGTAGACCCTGGAAATCATGTTTGTGAGCTGGCATCAACATGTGATAGTGAGATACAGGACTAGCTGGATTTCCTAGGCTGGCTTAAGAATTCCTAAGCCTAGCTGAGAAGGTGACTGCACCAACCTTTAAACACGGGGTTTGTAACTCAGCTCACACCCGACCAATCAGGAAGTAAAGAGGGCTCACTAAAATACAAATTAGGCTAAAAGCAGGAGGTAAAGAAATAGTCAAACAATATGTTGCCTGAGAGCACAGGGGGAAGGACAATTATTGGGATATAAACCCCAGGCATTTGAGCTGGGAGAGGGCATCCTCCTTTGGGTCCCCTCCCATTGTATGGGAGCTCTGTTTTCACTCTACTAAATCTTGCACCTGCACACTCTTCTGGTTCGTGTTTGTTACGGCTGGAGCTCGGCCGGAGCTGAGTTTTCGCTTGCCGTCCACCACTGCTGTTTACCGCCATCGAAGACCCGCCGCTGACTTCCCCACCTCCGGATCAGGAACGGTGTCCACTGCGCTCCTGATCCAGTGAGGCGCCCATTGCCACTCCCTATCAGGCTAAAGGCTGGCCATTGTTCCTGCAAGGCTAAGTGCCTGGGTTCGTCCTAACTGAGCTGAACACTAGTCGCTGGGTTCCACAGTTCTCTTCTGTGATCCACGGCTTCTAATAGAGCTATACCACTCACCGCACGGCCCAAGGTTCCATTCCTTGGAATCCGTGAGGCCAAGAACCCCAGGTCAGAGAACAAAAGGCTTGCTGCCATCTTGGGAGAGGCCCGCCCCCATCTTGGGAGCTCTAAGGACAAAGACCCGCCAGTAACAATAGTAGGGCTTATTCAGGCCAGATCTCAGCATTTGCAGCAAAGCATCCCACTGTAAGATATACTGAATGAATATAAATTAAATCTTTTTTCTGTTAAGCCACTGAGATGTGGGGATTAATTTGTTACTCCAACATAACCTAACCTGTCCTAACTAATGTTAACTCCAAGATCCTCTTTCCTCATGATAATTCCTACTGTATAAGTGAATAATAATTAATGAGATCCTGGGTAATGATTCTGAAGGACACTGTACTTTTCTCTCCGGTATACAAAAGCACTTTGTATATATTGTCTCCTTTGTGCATATAGCACTTCTGTAATGAAAACTAGAATGATCATTTCCATGTGAAAACTAAAGTAAAAGAAGTGAATTGATTATCCATAGATAATCACAGCTCATTAGAAAGAGCCTGTAAAGAAAAATCCATATGGACTTATTACCACCATCAGGCCTCGTTCATTCACAAAACAATCTCTTGGGCTTTTCTGGGCTAGCATCCATTTCTTGCCTCTCATAAAACCCCTTACCAGAATACAACAGTGCTAAAAGAATGGAAAAAAAAAAAGTATAATAGCTTTTTGGATATAAAACCTGAAGTAATTGTATTGTATGGCATGCCTGTGGCCTTAATGTAAATTATTTTTTTCTTTTGATTTCTTCCCACTCTGCTAATAGCATGCCCTCTAGAGTAATCAAGTTACCCAGCAAACTAAGCTCTTGCATTACTAAAAAGTATTACCCAAGAACAGCATGCAACCACTAAAGCTTTTTCCCCCATCCTGTGAAAAATGTGACACTGGCTAAAAAGGAAAGCCATTCTTGGAACCAATTTGGCGTTTGTTGGGTTTTTTTCTTCCCCTCAGCTCCTCCTAACAATTTAAAGACTGAATAAGAGTCAAGGATTATATTGAATACATTGGCAACACTAGTTATTCTACTTATTGTTATATTTCGGAATATATATTCAGATAGATAGATAGATAGATGACAAATATTAAGTGGCTTTAAAATTTCCAACTGGAGCCTTTTCTTTTAAAAAAATCAAATTGAATTTTTAAACGTTGAAGAAAGGTAAGTAATAAATAATAGGACAGTGAAATAAAATACACTTATTTTCAATCATTACCATATTCCCTCTATGAGCTTTCTGGAATCATCTAATATGGAACAGAGTTATCCAAAAATAATGAAGAGGAGTGGCAATATAAGAAATCATTACCAATAATTTTGGACATAATGATTGAAAGCCTTTGTTTGTTTTGTTTTAATTTTTTATTTGCTCTCGGATCCATTTCTCTTCTCTCCCCCACTCTGCTCTATTTCCAAGCTCCCTGGACAACATATTTTTACCTAGGTCCCGCAAGGTAGTCACTGGCAGGGGATTAAAGGTGGAATTGCAGAGAAGCCGGGGATCTCTCCAACCCCACCCCAACTTTCTTTACTCCCCTCCTCCTCTCCCTTGGGCAGTCTCTGAAACGGATTGCATCTCTTCAGAGAGTTCTGGATATGACAGAGAAATTCCAGCCTCTGTAATCCCCATATTATTTCCCAGAACTTTTGTTGTTTTGCTTTTTATATTTAGACCTATGATTGGACCCAGAATTTTGTGTGTGTGAGTGTGTGTCTGTGTGTGCACACATGCATGCAATGTAGGATGGGAGTAAGATTCTTTTCTAAATGTGTGTATATGATTAACTCAGCACTATTTATTTAAAAGACCATCTTTTTCCTCACAGTGCTCTTCCCCACTTTGTCATAAATTAGGTGATTTTATATATGTGAGTCACTTTTTGGACTCTCCCCTGTTTTATTCGTATTTATATCAATATCACACTATATTACTTATAGCAGCTTTATGTTAATCTTCATATTTGAGAATGTTTTCCTCCAACTTGGTTCCTCTTGTTCAAGATCATCTTAGTTATTCTTGCCTCTTTGCATCAAAAACTGTATATTCTTAAATACACATTTAAGAATCAGCATGCTACTTTTCAAGAGAAACAGAAAATAAATAAACAAACCTCGAATTGCATGGGACCTATAAGTCCATATAGGAGAACTAATATCTTTTTAATGTTGAGCCTTCCAATCAGTAAATATGGTTTATTCCTCCATTATTTTGGTCTTCTTTAACTTTTTTCTGTATAGTTACTTAGTTTTCAGTGAAGATTTACAAATCTTCCATTGCATTTATTCTAGAGAGTTGATGTTATTTGATGCTACTGTAAATTTTTTTAATTCAAAATTTTGAATCTCTTAATTATTTTGCTAATATATAGAAAATCAGTCGATATTTGTATATTGACATTTTATCCAGTGTTTGTTAAACTCACTTTTTAAATTTTTGTAATTTTGGGGGGATTTTCTATGTTCTATGTTCACATCATGTCAGCAGTGAACAACGAAAATTTTATTGCATCAATTTCAATTCTTATATACTTTCTTTCTTTTCCTTGCCTGCTTGCAGGAGCTAGGACCCTATCTTGTTCCTGATAAGAGAGGAAAAGCTTCAATATCTCGCCATTAAGTATGATGTTGGCTGTAAGTATGTTGTAGAATACCCTTCATCAGAAAGAGAATTTCTTCTTTGTTATTCGTTTGCTGGTTGCTATTAAATGTTTCTATGATAAACCATTTTTAATTTTATCAAATACATTTTCTGCTCCTATTAATATAAATATATGATTTTCTTTTTTATTTTGTTTATTAATTTCAATGATTTTTCAAACATTAATTAATCTTCTATTTTTAGAAAATCCAACTTGATTCTGATGTGTTAGCCTTTCTATATATCATAGGATTTACTATTGACATATTTTTGTTTATGATTTTTATAACTATGTTCCAGATGTTGACTTGTAATTTTTATGTATTTTGCTACCTTTGTCCAGTTTGGTGTCAGTATTACGTTGGCCACATGAAAACAGTAGGGAATGTTTCTTTGTCTTTCTTTTGATTTTTAGAAATTTTACCTAAAATTAATGTTATATCTTCCTTAAATATTTGGAACAATTTGGAAGTTAAGCCATCTAGAACTAGAGACTTATTTGTGAAAATTTTAAACTGTGGATTCAATTTCCTTAATAGATATAGAACTTTTCAAATATTCTATGTTTCCTTGAATTGACTTTGGTAAGCTGATATTTTCTATAAATTTATCTACTTAATCTGAATTTTCATATATAGGCATAAACTTGTTCACAACACCCTATTGTGACTTTCAATGACTGTATGGTCTATAATGATGTCTCTCATTTATACCTAATGTTGGTAATTTGAGCTTCTCTCTTATTTATCAATCTTTCCACAAGATTATACATTTTTGGTTTTTCATTGGGTTTTTGCGGGGGTTTATTTGTTTGTTTGTGACAGGTTATCTCTCTGTTACCCGGGCTGGAGTGCAGTGGCACAATCATAGCTCACCATAACCTCAGACTCCTGGGTTCAAACAATCATTCTGCCTCAGCCTCCCTAGTAGCTAGGACTACAGACACGTGCCACTACACCTGGATAGTATTTATTTATTTATTTTTGTAGAGACAGTGTCTATGTTGCGCAAGCTGGTCTTGAACTTCTGGCCTCAAGTGATCCTTCTGCCTCAGCCTTCCAAAGTGCTAGGATTACAGGTGTGAGCCACCTTACCTGGCCTGGTCTTTTTAAAGAGCCAAATTTGGCTTTGTTGATATATTCTATTTTAAATATATTTTCTATTTTATTAATTTCTCATCTTTTTATTTCATCCCTTTTATTATCTTTGGTTTTAGTATTCTCTTTATATTTTAATACCGCTTGTCTAATATACACAATGAACATTATAATTTCCTTCTTAAGTGTAGCATTAGTGGTATCTCTGAAGTTTTGATATGTGATACTTTTATTAATAATGAGTTTAAAATATTTTCTAATTTCCATTGTGATAAATTTTTTGACTTTTAAGTTACTTCAAAAGAAAACTGCTATGTTTCCAAATATTTGGGGATTTTCAAGTTATCTTTTTATAGCTAATTTCTATCTTAAATTTTTTGTAACCAAAGAATAAATACTTATAATTTCCATCCCTTGATGCCTGAGATTTTCTTTATAATCCAGGACATGGTCAGTGTTTGCAAATGTTTCACATGCACCAAAAAAGAATGTGTATTCTAAAGTTATTGATTGCAATGTCATATGTATGCTAGTTCTGAATGATGATATCTCTCTTCAGAGTTAATTTCCTTTTCTTCAGGAAGGCAGATAGAGGGCTGATCATCTTTATCCAATCAGGGATTGAGATCATCTGAGGTTTGGTATTTGTTTTAAGAAGATCTGGTCTGTTTTTCAGTTTATCCTTATTCTCAGGGTTTAGCCTTTCAGTAGACCCAACTTAAAGCATGGGGTGTTTATCAGAGTCCCTCATCTTTGGATAGCTATGATATCCAATTTATGTGTTCCTAGTGGCATGAAAATGTCAAAAATTCTGTGCCTTTTTCTGGTTGGGTTTTTGACCTCTTGGCCCATGGTTTAGGAATCAGCAAATACCTCAGGGGGAAATCTTACTGATCACTGAGCTCATTTCGTAGCAATTCTCCATTTTCAAGATTGTGACCCCTAAAATTCTGGATGCTTGGGTAAATTTGAGTTCCAATTATATTCTCAGTCTGCTAAGAATGCAGATAGCACTGAGCTGCCACTCAGCTTTTCTATCCTCTGTAGTCCACAATAACCTACGAGTATTAGTAGCAGACAAAGCGGAGCTCCTCTTCAACGCATTTCTCATCCCGCTGGAATCCTGGCTCCACAAGTTCTGGCTGCTTAGTTTCACTACAATTCATTCAAACAGTAGGGATTTTTTTTAAAATTCAGATTTAATTATTGTTCTCAATAGAGACATTGTTCTGATACAAAATATTCCATCATAGCCAAAAGTAAAAATTTTGGATTTTTCTTTATCTTATTTTTGGATTTATTAATCTTCCCATATTTGTGGATGGTTTTCTTTCATCAGTTCTGGAAATTTTCAGCCATTACCTCTCAGAATATTAACTTGTCACCATTCAGTCTATTCTCTTGCTCTGTCAATCAGATTAGATACGTGTCAGAATTTCTTACCTATCCTCAATGTCTAAAACTCTATTTCACAATTCCCATCTCTTGCTCTTTCTGGTTTACACTCTTGGTAATATTGTTTAGATTTCTTTCAGTTCACTAATTTTCATGTCAGCTGTGTCTAATGTACTGTTTAAACTATCCATTGTGTTTCCAATTATAATGAGTCCATTTTTTATTTTTAGAAATCTTACTTGGTTCTGTTTCTTATTTGCCTACTCAGAGTAGCTTTTTTGATTTCTGGTTCCTTAATTACACTTTCCTTCCATTTTTATTCCTTTAAAAAATAAGCACATTTGAATGTTTACTCTCAAATAATTCCAGTATCTATATAGTATTTGCTGGTCTGATTGTATCTTATGTCATTTCTGCTGAAACTCAGAGTCACTTGTTTCTTCATGTTATTAGTGAATTTTGATTATGAACTCATGTTCCTTGAAAGTTCATCTATGAGAATTCCTTAACCTAGTGTTTAACATGCATCACTTCAGATAGCAATTTGTTTGTTTGTTTGTTTTCTGGCATGGACCTAATAGCATTAACAACCTGAAATTTATCTAATCTGATGTGCTCTTCTGGCCATATTGGTGATTATGCCTTTTTTTCAAATAATCTGAGAAGACTTCATTTTTCTTGCCAAATCCCAAACAGGCAAGTAGACAATGTTTTGTGGTTTTTTTTTCTCAAAGTGCCAAATAAAAGTGGACTTCAGCTTTATATGTATGTGTGTTGGGGATGGGGGTGTGAGAGGAGTGATCTGCCATCCCATTTTCTTTGGATTATAGACTCTGTCTCCTATCCCTTACATAAGGACCTTTAAAATCAGTCTAGTTTGCAGGGTTCAGCACACGCCCTCAAGGCAAAAAACAATCTTCAGCTCATTCTTACCTCCATTTTTTTTCTGACTGATTCTGAACTCCAGTTATTTCTTATATTTTAACCCTAGCTCAGACACACAACTTTCAAATACATTTAAAAGGATTTTTTGAAGTATTGTATCTGCCTTTTTAGCACTCTCTACTCTGGAATGGACTAATACACATGAGCTGTTAATATAGGTTATTACATTAACAGAGAAGAGAAAAGAGTAAAGAGAAAGATTATAAAATATGTTGTTTTGTATTTTTTCACATACATTTCATAAATTTGGGAGGAAAATTTAATGGTACTTTTGCAAAATAACTGTAACATAGAGAAAACATTTCAAAAAAGTACTCATGCAATCCACAGGGATCTCAAGCATCTCTAGATACTGAGATGAAGTGAGCTGAACTGCCAGAAAGTTACATTTTTGTACACATTAGGGTTATCCCTAAGAGTGTAATGTTTACCTTTAGCTTTTATCAAATGTCATCATATAGTCAAGCCATATGAAATTTAGTATTTTATCAGTTATAAAAATGTGATTGAGGTCAGTTTTTATTACATCACTCACTGCCCTCAAGGAATTATATAATGGCTTAAAGCCAAATTTGAAAGCCAGCTGTGGCAACAAGGTTTAAGCCTTATGATGTGGATAATTATGATCTCCTTTTTATTTGATCCTGATATTTTATATCTTCTTTGTCACTCTCATTTTGGTTTGCTATGTTATAAGCTGCCTCAAATCCTCAAAGGGAAAAAATAGGCAAATAGATTTTTTTAAAGAATGTGTGTTGAGCAAAGGAGAAATAACCTATAACCTTAGTATAATGACAAATATTGATTGAAACAATTAGGAGTGATGTAATTATTATTTAATTTGGACTTTGATACAGAATGGTACAAAAAGGCAGTATATACTCATAGAAGCAGTATAAGGAAAAATCAATAGGCTGAAATTCCAATTTTGAATTAAACAAGCCAACCACATAACTTGATTGTGCCTCGATTTCTTCATTAACATCTGCCTTTTCTACCTCACAGGATTACAATAAAGGCACACACACACACACACACGCACGCACAAAAAGATTGTTTTGATTCTTCAAAAGATTGTTCTGATTCTCATATGAAGGAAAGGAAAACAGCATTTACTAATAATTTTGCTAGGTATTCCATCTAAATTATCTTATTTAATCCACAGTACAACCCTCTTTGGTAAATATTATTATCCCCAATTTGCAGACCAGTAAACAAAGGCTCAAACTTACACAGTTATTAATCAGCAGTGCAGGATTTCAAACTTACATCTATCATAAATGACTGATACAGTCACCATACCAGGTGAAGCTCCCCATACGGGAAAGGTACTCAACAGATGTTTTGGACTTCACTTATTGCTCAATACAAAAGTCAATGCCTTCTGTATTAAGCAATCATATGGAATCAATCATTTATTTTTGAGTATCTACTCCACAACTTGCAAATCTTGAAACTTACATCCCTTAGTGACAGTTCATGGGCTAAGACTTTAATGAGGAAGGACCTGATTTAATGTAATAGTTTTCTGATTGTTATTAACAGCAACTTAAAGGAAGCAAAAACAGACTTTTTGCTAACAGGGCCAGAGATTGAGTTATTTCTCTAGCTATCCCTAATATAAACCAATTTCTAGCACTGCAATTTAGGAAGCCAAGCAAGGGTTTTTAAAATTGGAACGTCACCATCATTTCACCTTTAGAAGCAGGCTAGTGAGAGCTAACCAATAGCCTCATATCAAAATAGTCTGAGAAAACTCTGCATCCACACACTTCCATTGCTTTTTCCCAAAGATGGCACAACAATTAAAAATCCTAAAATGCAAAATGTAAAAGGAAGCTTCATCATTGACAAATGGTAGAAATATCGGCCCACCGCCTTGGAACCCCTTCTGAAGCAAACCCAGTAGAGAAAAGCAATCAGTACCAACTGGAGAACCTATGCAGTTCCCATCTCCTCAGTCCTCTATGGGAGCACTTCGTTAAATGTTTCTAATAACATAAAGCCTGAATTTGCATTCTTCCTATATAAGAGCTTGAAATCAATTTATCGTCAGGCAACAAGTATTTGTCCCTTATATCCCCTGGAAAATAGTTAATATATAAAAAATGTTGATAACTTCTATTTTTAATGGAAAGATTTAATAAATATAATTTCATGTACATGGAGGGAGAAGGACTATGAATTCCAAGGCAGGCCAGGCCTGTCAGGAGCAGCATCACTTCTAATCCTGCCCAAGCAGACAACGTGATTGTATATCCTCATTAATGCGATAATTGGTATCTGGAATCTGTTCAAAAATGCCGATTTACTTTGTAACAGAGGATTATGGCTGAATTTGGAGTTCTTTATGGTCTGCAGATGCTTGTGAAATTCAAATATAAAAACCGTCAGTTAAACATCTCATGAAAAGCCATACCTTATACTAATCCAAAGGAACATGAACAAGTGCTTGAGGGGATGAAAACCCACAATGTGTTTCGGTAGCTAACCACTTACAGAAACATTAACATTCCTGGACAGGGTTGCTCACTGAGTTTCTAAAGTAACTTAGGAGCTATCAGGATTCAGTTCTTAACAGACTTCAACACAGTAGGGGGAAAATTGTCAGTCACAAGCCTCCAGTATTTATGAATTATTAATGTTGGCTTTCTGGGTATTTTTTTTTTCCAGTTTTGCTTTTGTGTGCATGTTCAGCTGAGTAATTCAATAGACTGATGGAGACATGAATAGATATGCTAACTAGCACCAGGGTTAACCTTTAAAGTTCGTTAAAGCTGTCAGCTTTCAATGAAATATTTTCACGTTCCTTTTTTTTTCTGTGAACTGGAATATAAACATTATTTGTACACTGGGATCAGAGGTGCTTAGGAGAAAAGGAGACTCCACCCTGGCATCAATTTTTTTTTTAAACCAAGACACCACTAATGGATTCATCAAGAAAGGCATCTTTAAAAACATTTCTCATTTACAAATCATGCCACCAGAATATATTCACGGCCTACCTTTATTACAGTATTTTTCAACTGAAAAAAAAAAAAGTGATGGCATGTCCCTATTGCTACAAAAACAGTGGAAAAAAGGGATAAGATTTAGAGAAGAAATATGGAAAGCTAAGCAGTGTGCTACATCAGTGTGTGGGTTGCAAAAGGAACAAAAAGTACATCTTACGATTGTGGTAAAGATGACATATAAAGCTGGTAACCACCTTTTGTCTAAACAGAGATTCTTTGGAAAAACAGGGAAATAAGGAGGCTCCTAATTAAACCAATTATGAAGTATTCAAAATCTTCAAGGATTTTGTATCTACATATACTTGCTAAACAAACCTAAATAATAAAACTCATAATAGCACCCTTCCTGCTTCACAATCTTTCCTGCTACTCTTTAACCATAAAGTACTTTACTGTCTCTTGCTATGGAATCATCTGTCACCTGACACACACCTGGGCTATTCCACTGCCATGTCTAATGACTGCACATTTCTAAGTCCTCCTTTCATCTCAATCTCTATCAAAACAAGAAATAAGGCAATGTGAAATGAAAGAGGAAGACATGCTGCTTTTGAAAGTCTTTAACTGCCCACCAGTTTGCAACAATTCCATTATTAAAGATATAGAATAAGAAAGCTGCCCATTCTTGATGTGTAACAATAAAGATGTAATAAACCTAATAACTCAACCTTATTCTAAAGGGAGCTCTATTCTTCAATTTTTTTTTCCATCACATTCCTTTGAGGTCAGCAAGACAGATAAGAGAATGGTTTGATCAGCTTCATAAAAGTAAAGAAAAAAATTGAAGCAAAGAAAATTTGGATTACTTGCCATCGTCCCAATGCTCTTAGAAATACTTCAGCTTAACCCTTTAATCCTTTATCAGATCAAGGACAACTAGCCCCACATCTAATTTTCAAAGTAATTTTTGTCTACCAATAGATGCTCCAAATTAGGGGCCCTGAAATATGGCCCAGACCCCATCTCTTCTTTCTCAGTATCTATGCCTTTAGAACTGCTCTCTCTCACCAGGATTGAAAAAAAAAAAAGAGCTCTTGGAGTTTATTATTTATTCTTCCTCCTTTCCTTCAAAACAATTTTTTCTCTTTTCTGATATCTATCTTTTATTATTATTTATAATATAGAAGCATATATCGGAGACAGTATTTTAAATTATTAATGCACTTTATTTGTTTTGCATTTCCAAGTACATGTCCTAGAGCATCCATACGCTTGGGGAGATGTGTTGGGGAAAGAAAAATAAAAATAAAGACTGACGTAATATTCAGCATCTGACATATGAAATAGGATATAACAGAAAGTCAATAAGCTTAAGAGCCATGCATTTTTTAGAGAGAAAGGATTTCCCAAGTGCTTTTATTTACTCTTTTAGGACATCAACAGCCAATCCTGAAGGACCCACGGCCATTGAGTTCTTCTTAGAGCTAAGAAAATTTTATTTCCCCCCAAGAAGGCAATGGCAGGAAAGCTCTTGCTCAACTGTAGGAAAACAAGATGCAGGTAAAGAAAAATAAAAGATTACCCATTTCTGGCTTGGGGAATTACAGAGAGCAGAAAGGGAAGAAAGAAATGAAGATTCAAATGTTCAGTCTTGGGTCTCCTGATTTTCTCCTCAGACTTTTGCCCAGAGGGTGATTTGTGCTGAATAAGCAAAGAAATCTCAAAGAAAGGTGGCTCTTGCCCCTTCTTCTCCATTTGGGATTGAAGGAGGAGATGACTATGAGGAAGGCCTCACACCAACATAAAGACACTCAGCCCAACTAAGAAAGCAACCCAGTGGCTAAACAGAGGGTGATCTGGGTTAAAACAACTCCTTCTCCCTGAAGGCCCGTGGGTTGTGGGTATCTGAGTTGAGAGTCAGCCACCCTCACATGGAGCCTGCTGTCCTGGGCAAGATGACACCACAGGGGAAGGTGGAACTGAGCAGACTGGTCCGAGGGCTGGGTGGGAGGCATGGTAGAGAACACTCGAGAGCCAGAAAAGGACAGGGACCCCTCCAACCCACTAACATGGAGACACCTCATATACCCAGGTGCCATCCTGGAAAGCAAAATAAGGAGAGACAGAACCTAAGTAATTCTACCTAATAGGAGTGCAACACGACCTAAAGAAACAGCTTCAATGTTTTCATCAGACCAAATTGGGTACTGTATTACATTTTCCCCACTCTCCAGAAGAGTTTCAGAATTAGCTCCTCAGGTGATTCTTCTGCACATTAAGTTTTAAGTTTAAGAACCATTACCCAACTTTCTAGCTATCCTTGCAAGAATAAAAACTATGTGAATCTCTGGATTAATTGATCATGAGAAGAGCAGATATTCTTGGTACTTGAGTTAGAAATTTCTCCCCAGGGCCCTCCTGGCAAAAATCCCATGCAATGGTCTTAGTAGTTACCTTTCAGGAGACACAGAAATGGGCTTCTTGAGGTTCTTCTAGAATGTTCTTTGCTCAATGCCGAGGACACCTCAACAAAGAGCAATTTGTTATAGATAAGCTAATGCCGAAATAACACTTGAAAGCTGAGGGATTCAGCTTCATGATTGAGCTTGGTAGAGAGGTAAGCTTTCAAATAGCTGATGGAATTGATGAAACAAATACACTTTAACCAAACTTCCCTTCATAAAGGTTGTTTCAGCTTGATTTTTGCTAAATGGTGGGTGGGCCTGAAGCTAAAAGGGTGCTCATTATGGGGCTAGTTTATGTCACTTTTTAAATAGGCAAGTATCTAGGCAGACAATACAGATTAGTTTGATATCTTTTTATAAAAATGGAGCCACTTAGTAAGAGCTAACAATGCTGTATAAGTTTGGTAGGGCTGACTTAACAAAGTACCAGAGACTGGGTAACTTAATGAACAAAAATTTATTTTCTCACAATTCTGGGGCCTGGAAGTCTGAGAACAAGGTGTCAGCAGGGTTCATTTCATTGGAACCCCTCTTCTTGGCTTGTGGATGGCCCTTCTCCTTCCTTTTTACTTGGCCTTCCCTCGGTATACATCTGTGTCCTAATCTCCTATACAGAAAGTGGTCATATTGCATCAGGGCCCACTTATAAGGCCTCATTTTACCTTAATTATCTCTTTAATTGTCCTATCTCCAAATACCATCACATTCTGAGATACTGGAGATTAGGACTTCAGCATATCAATTTTAGGGGACACAGTTCAGCACAAAACAAATGTCTAAATAGGAGATCATATGGCTAACCATAGAGATAGGTTCAGGAGTGAACACATTCCTCAAAGTCACACCACCAAGATTCTGTTTCTCTGGGGAAAATGATGTTCTCTTCATCCATGGGGATTATCGGCTATGGGAATATAGCCAGGAGTCGGTCAAATGTCCATTCCTGTGCCTAAGGTGGGCTTGAGCCCCTCCACCTGAAACACATGAACTGTGTGGGGAGGTATGGCACACAGTCAAGCATGTTCATGGCACAAAGTTAGCAGCAGAATGTTCAGATGGGTGAATGAAGCTAGGATCTGCTCCAGTCTCCAGGCCAGGTGCCCCAATCTAGGGCATCTGCCTGGAGGGATCATCCCTTTATAAATTCACAGAGAATCACCGTATGCATTAACAACCCTGGTATTCTTGTCAGGAGGTTAGGGATGTTTGCCAGGCAGGCAAAACTACCAGAGGTCCACTACTCCTTTCCAGAATGCTTCCATCCCAGTCCCATACTCTTCTCTACATTTTCTTATATGTACTTTCTATGTTTTCTATGGGCCCCAGGTACATAAACTTTGGTTCACTAATTGCACATATGTAAGGTTCTATGTTAAACTCTCCAGAGCTCTTGTGTCTGGAATTGTGTCCCATGTTCCCAGGCCCATGGGGTCATTCCCCATTAAGCCTGAGGCTACTCCCGTCATCACTCTCACATCTTTCACATCTCATACATCTCTCACACGCAAGCTCCCTATACTAAAGAGTCTTTCAATCTCTACCCCAATCCTATCCCTCAGTGCCTGAGGAGGCCTAGCTGCTATGTGCATCTACCTTTCAGGTTCAATGTGTGTGCTTGTCTGTATGTGTATGAATACTTTTTGATCAAAGAAGTAGAACTGGTATGAGTGGTCTCAGATAAGGAATTTCTTGTAGTGGTTACACTGTAGGTAATAGTGGGAACTGAAGAAGCAGTCTGTGCAATTTCCATAGGTCAGCCAGGTTGCTGTAGGGCAGGAAGCTGGATGAAAAGAAGAGCAAGAACAAACTGGAACATGGGAGATCACACTGGAACTTGCATCTGCTTTGCACCACTTCCAACCGTGTTGCCACGGATGATCTGCAGGACGAGCTGCATCCTTCATTAAGGAGCAACACGCATATGGGACCCAGAGTTCACAGAACCTGAAGGAGTAGCTCTGGTGGGAGGTGCAGGTGGATGGGTGTGGGTGCTGCCCCACAACAACGAGGTGAGCTTGCAGAAGAGTTACAGTGTGCATGAGCTGCCTCCGTGCCTGGCATCCTGTGCCAACCTTCCAAAAATAACAAGATGGCTGTGGCTTGGCTTTGGCCTTCCAAAACTTGTGTGAATTTTTCTAGTGGCCAACTTTAACCGGGTACCAAATAGGAAAGAGTATCCTGGGACATGTAGTTCCAAGTAGCTATGCTCACACAATACAAGTCACCAGACTTAATACATCTAAAATTATTAATTCACTTATAAAGCCATTGTCCACTTTTTAAACTGCACTATACTTAAGTCCATATTAAGACTCGTCTAAGAGGCTAGGCATTGTGGCTCACGCCTGTAATCCCAGCACTTTGGGAGGCTGAGGCAGGCGGATCACAAGGTCAGGAGATCGAGACCACCCTGGCAAACATGGAGAAACCCCGTGTCTACTAAAAATACAAAAATTAGCTGAGTGTGGTGGCATGTGCCTATAATCCCATCTACTAGGGAGGCTGAGGCACGAGAATCGCTTGAACCCAGGAGGCAGTGGTTGCAGTGAGCCAAGATCACGCCACTGCGCTCCAGCCTGGCGACAGAGTGAGACTCCATCTCAAAAAAAAAAAAAAAAAAAAAAAAAAAAGACTCTTCAAAGAAAGATGCACCCCACACTAAACTGTATAAACCATGGCTGATAATTAAACATAGGCCAATATCTTCGGCAGGAAATGACCATGGAAAGATTATGTTGAAAGATAGTCATTTCTGAGCCTTAATATGTCATATTTTGTGCATTTGCCACAGTTTATATAATGATTTTACAGAAATTATTACTCAAGCATCCAGTTCTCCCCCAGGTTCTGTAGGGTGCAAGCCCTGCTGACCCAATATGTAACAATATGTAATACCTCACAGGGCTCTGAGTCCTACTCTCTTGGGTCTCCCGTCAGTTTCATTTTTACTGAAAGTTTTGGAAACCTTAAAAGGTCAAATTGAAGCTTTTTCCACATTGTAAGTCACCAACAGTGGAGATTCCTAATATGTAAATATAGGGGATTGATTAAGTATATTTTCATTTCATCCATATAATGGAGAACTATTTTGCTATTACAGCTGATATTGTAGAAAAGCATATTTAATTACTCAGTACTATGTTAATTAAAATGAAGCAAGTTACATAAGAAGATAGTCTCATTTTTGGAATCCATAGCCCATATATGTGATAGAATTGTCCACATGGAGATAGGCCAACTCTAGGTGCTTGGCTGTAATATTTGTTGCTGGCAGCAGGGATTCATATGAAGGAGAGACATCAAGTACATATAGGATATGAACTAACTTAGGAACTTGGTTTGTCTTTTATCCTTCCACTCTATTTGGCTTTAGAAACTTCAAGTGCTGCAAGATGCGTAAAGTTTATCTGGATTATCTTGTCATTTGGAGCACTCAAGTGTCTGCATCAATATGCCTTCGAATCACGAGTGCCAAATGAGAGCGATACTTTGTGCTTCTCACATAAGCTTCTTACCAAGGATCCCAAAGCACCAGCAAAATGTTAGTTTTGCCTCCCATTGCTTCTCTGAAGAAACTCAGGAAAAAGCCTGGGGCAATTTGACTCATAAAACTTACCAATTAATCCAAAGATAAACTGTCAAGGGCATGCTTTTACAAATAGATGTGGTTATTCCCAGAGTCCATTCTCCCAAAAGATGTGAATCCCACAGAGTTATAAAAAGGATATGGAAATTAATAAAACCTGGATCCTCAGTCTAACGAGTACAGATATACATAGAAGAATATTACGTGTATCTGGAAAAATACCAAACTTCTTGGCCTCCTATGGAACACACAGGACTTTTTTTTTCTTTCTGCATCTTTGTGCTGGCCTTTCAACTTTTAAAATCAAATAGCGATCCGTTACTATGTAAACTAATCATAGGAATGCAATCAGAGATAAAACATTTTTTTAAATATAGGTCTGTAGTCATGTGATGCTGATTTACATTGGCTTTAGTGATTTCTGGATGGAAGCTACTCTTTTTAGCCCCCATCTTGCTTTTACCAGCATGAGGCATCCACATGGTACACGTCTTACCCAAGCTGGTCCCATAATCAGTGTCAGCAACTGACACAAAGACCTTGGTCTCCTCACCTCGCTTCATACTCCTATATACCAAACTATTTTTCTCTCTATTATTTTAATTCCAACATTATGATGAGGTCGCACAGGTCTCATAACTATAAACTTATTTTATGTCAAAATCCAGGATGTTTTGAAAGAATGAATCATCTTCATTAATAGGCCAATATTTTAAAGCCTATAAATGTGGTAATTGCTGAAATGTATCTATTTTTGGTTGATTTTGGCTTCCATGAAAAAATTTTCTTTCAATGTTTGTTTATTCATATGCACAATTTTAAGAGCCTAGGAGTTCTAAAAAGCCAAGAGTTACTAACTGTTCTCTGGACGTGGTTAAGAGACCTCGCCACTAATTTAGTGAAATAAGTTATAATAGGATTTATACATACATGAATGAATGTGAATCATATTTTAAAACCTGGGATTTTTGCCCCCGAGAATGTGGAATTTTTGGTTTTATTTTTATACCACACATTTAACTTTGAAATAAATAGGTTGCTACATACCATAGTAATTGTGGATGGACAGGGGTCACCAGGAAACAATAAAACTGTCAACACAAACTAATGACAACTGAGCACAGGGTAGCAAATAGGACATGAGTGTTTTATGAGAAAAGGTCAGGAGGTTCAAGTCACGGGGAAGAAAGATGGGTTGTGCCATCCAAACCGAACGCACTTTACAAGTTAATTAGGCTTCTAGAACTTGTTCCAGATGGCAAAGAAATAGCGTAGGAGACGGATATACACCAGCAATAGAGGAGTCAGGGATGAAACACAAAGCAAAGTCTGGCATTGAGACTGGGGAACAGGTAGAAAATTAGGAACAGAAGAGGACAGAGATATGGGACTTGGGACAGTAAGGAGAGATCAGGGCAACATAAAGCCAGAGGTGAGGGGCTGAGCAATCCCATGGAGGATCATGAAGTGGGAAGATAACAGTGGCCTCAGGGCAAGGCATGTAGCTACAGGGCATGCAGTCAGCAGTCTTCACTGGCTCTTTTTTTTTTAGACAGACAGGGTCTCACTCCATCACCCAGGCTGGAATGCAGTGGCACAATTATGGTTCATTGTAGCCTCAACTTCCCAGGCTCAGGTGATCCTCCCACCTAGGCCTCCTGAGTAGCTGGGACTATAGGCACAGGTCACCAGGCCGAGCTCATTTTTGTATTCTTGGTAGAGGCAGGTTTTCGCCATGTTGCCCAGGCTGGTCTCTGACCCCTGAGTTCAAGTGATCCGCCCACCTCGGCCTCCCAAAGTGCTGAGATTACAGGTATGAACCACCATGCCCAGCCTCCACCAGCTCTTTATGACCACATAGGACAGATGTAGACAACAGCTAAACCTCAGAACCAGATGTGGTGCTGTGCAGCAGGATTTCCAAGCTAAACTAAGAGATGTTGAGTCAAAAATGATGCATGTATGTTCTCTCTGTGTCTCAATCTGCTGACCCTCAAACACTTACTGTAAATTTTTTAAGGATCTCATGAAGTCAAATTAGTTACATACAAACACACACACACACACACACGCACACACACAAAATCCCAAATATTTATTATAACAATATGCATCCCATATACGCTAAATTATAAAATGATCAATTGCAAACATTTCTAAATCATGTGCTGTGACTTGTCACTGCAGTGTGAGGTGGGGCTGGGACTAGGGTGAGATGAGCAAGACACTCACTTCAGGCACAAAATTTAAGGGAGCATCAAAAATCTCAGGGACGGAGAGATAACATTTTCATGAAATATTTTTAAAAGATTAAAATTAATTTTTCCATGATGGGCAAAATATCAACATTTTGATATCTATTTTTCAAAAAGATTTTAGAGTCTCCATAAATTTTTCACTCAAGAGTCAAGTGCCTCACTGAACTTACCCTGGAGTGAAGTGTTTGATAATAGGATAGGGCATGCTTAACAGTCCTCAGTCTTTCTTAGTCTCTCTTTCTGTGAAGCCTCCAGCATTTCTGCAAAGCTGCAACAGTTGTAGGTCTTAGGTGCGAGAGTCCCCTCCAAACTCCAGTCCTCTGCTGCTCTGAGTCCCACCGATCTAATGCCCTTGTTCTAGAGATAGAGCTGACATTATAAGAGTCTGCTGACTTCACGTTACCTAAGTCCTGTGTTTTCCCACAGGACCAGAAGTTCCAAGGCAACTGAGACCCTCTATCTTCACTTTCATGATATCGCACATACATGTTCCCAATAAATATTTGTTAAGTAAATGAGGAACTCTTCCTTAGATCATACTCAGAGGTGAACCAAATCAGAGACAAAGCACTCACAAAATAAAAGAAAAAGGTAATGGCAGTTGACAAAATGAATTAGCAGAGTTGCTTAAACTATGATTTAAAGAATTTAGATTTAGAAAGATCCCAGTGGCTTAAAAAACAAATCAGCAAATGCATGTGTGACACATGTGTCTAGAGCAGGAGCGCTTTGCCTGAGGTCCAGTACAAAAATGGCTTTGAAAGGACAGAATCCTTGAAATTGATTGCAAACTGTATGTACACATTTGAGAGCAGACAAGGGATTGAAGGCTCATGTATGTTTCAAAGTTTTCTTCAGATTTGGTGAAAAATCACTGTGCTAAAGATTATTATAAATGGCAAAACTCATCCCAGATGGGGCTCAGTAAAACTTTTTCTATAAAAGTACTACTAATTATGGTACATTCAAGGTGAACCTGGTGGGCTTTTCACCCATCTGTGGAAGTTTTTAGGGGCTCCAGTGATACTGCTCTTTAAGTTCTGTTACTACCATGAGGACCAAGAACACCTCTCTCCATAAGTGTTCTCAAGTCAATTATTCAGCATGTGCTTGACAGCCTGGAGCTCTGCCCGAGACAGATAGAAAAATCACATAGAGTATCCCAATATTAGAGCACTTTACAAGCAGCCCTCACCTCTGGTCATTCGGCAACTTCACCAGCATTAGGGGGAGAAAATGCCTGTGTGTGGCCTCTGACTGTGTTTTCTTTACCTGTTAGTGCTTTCTCCTCCTCACTCTGCTATCCCCTTTGCCCCTGAAATTCCTACCCACCGAGTGCTACAAATGTTCATAAGTACAGAAAACTTAATAATTCTAAGGATTGGCAGGAAACTTTGAATCATCTAACCCAGAGGTTTCCACACAGAACCAGGGGATTAGAGGAATGTCAAAGGGGTCAGGTTTTATTTCCCACCCTCACTCCTGCCTCCTCTCACATACACAGCAGTATTTGTGTTCTATGTAATATTTAATTGGGAAAAAAATAGTTTCAATTATAAAGGATACACTCATTTTGCAGAGGAAGAGGCAGCATTCAGCCATTCTACAACTCAGGACTCTTTTGGTAGCAATGAGAGGAATGCAAGTCAAACTGCCTTGAGGGGAAAAAGTGGAGGGATTCACTAGCTTATTAATGAAAACTACAGGGCCCCCAAGAATCACTGGCTTCAGGCAAGGCTGGATCGGGGACTCACAAAGCGTTCTTAGTACTGATCTCTCTCCATCTTGTGGTTCACTTTTCTCTGCATTGGCTTCATTCTTGGTCTGACCCTTCTCTGTGGTTCCAAGACAGCTGAAGCAAGCCCCAGACATTCATCCTCTCACCTTAGCAGCTTCAGCAAACAGAGATCCTACCTGCACAATAGTTCCAGATTAAGTCCTGAAATGGAATCTCATTGTCCAGGGCTCTGTCATATGTGCATTCTTGAACCAGTCATTGTGGGCATGGAACATATTGATTGGCCAGACCTGAGTAACATGCCCACTGGAGCTGGAGCAGAAGATCAGCTCCATCTGAACTGTGAGAAATAAATGTGAAGGGTGAGTGTTTTCTCAGAGTAAAGTCAGGGCGCGGTTAGCAAAGACTATGAAACTGAGTGGTTTGAATAAACAAGTATACAAGAACTGGACCACACGGCAAATGGGAAGGCTGAGTGATATGCCCAAAGTCAAATATAATTCAGGAGTGACAGAAACAAGACAAAACCCTGTATTTCTTTATTTCCAATCCAGGTGAGTATATGAGTTTGTTAGAACTGCCATAACAAAGTACTACAGGCTGTGTGGCTTAAACAACAGAAATTTATTTTCCCACAGTTCTGGAGGCCATATATCTGACAAGATGGTATTGGCAGGGCCGGTTTCTTCAGGAGCCTCTCTCCTTGGCTTGTAGACAGCCATCTTATCCCTGTGTCTTCCAATGGTCTTCCCTCTATGTCTCTGTCCTAATTTCTTCTTAGATGGACACCAGTCACACTGGATTAGAGCCCAAACATACGGCCTAATTTTAACTTAATCACCTCTTTAAAGGTCCTATCTTCAAATATGGTCACATTCTGAAGAACTAGGAGACTTCAGCATATGAATTTGAGAGGAACACAATTCAACACATAATGGTGGATTTTATTACACCAAGAGGGTAGTTTACGTAAATGAGTAAACATAAACACACAGAAAGAGGCCAGGCACACAGATAAGGGTACGAATGCATACACTGCCCTGGCAATATGTGCACGGAGGAACATACATGTACCATCCCGATACCTCGGTGCATACACATACCCCAAAGATAACCATAATGAGTCAACTGCCAGTTTCCCTCCCAAATTTCACAAATTAAAGATTTTATAAACCCAACTTGCAACAAATCTAACATTTTTTTCTGAGTAAACTACTTTACAAAGTAGCAAGTTCTTATATTAAATTTTTATTAAATAAGATAAATTTTTATACCATTTATACAAATGTCAGTTTCAACATTATCTTTTTCACACTCCTTATGCACAGGGCAATAAGGAATGGAAAGTACAGAGATTAATTTAGGTAACAATTACCATAATTCACAATTGCATTAGCGCCTATTAAGGTTCATTGTTCTGTGGAAATTTTAATGATACATTCCTGAGTGAATAAAAGCAGAAGATGATTGGAAATAAAATTGTTTCTATGTATGCTGACAGGACTGCTGAGTGTAATTATACATTTTGGAGGCGACCTGTTTGGAGTTTACTCCATAATTTTATGTAAATGTTAAATAACTTCACGTGTCTTCCTCCCAGGTTAAACGCTAATTTGTGTTATTTCAACAAGGGGAGAGCTTCGGGGTTATTAACAGACTTACTCTGCCGATGAAGCCAAAGTAGCTCCACATTCTTTGAAACCATAGAGCTATTTTTTAATTTTTCTTCATTTTACATCTTATTAGTGCGCTGGCAAACTTTTAGTTCTGAAAACAGCTCCCCATTCTTAAAATTGGTAGCAAAAACCCCAAAAGTGAGAATTTTTTCTCTTAAATACAATCAAGCTCATTCACCATGCTGGTTTGCACTGACTGCTTCTATCCAAAAGAAAACAGATAGAAGACCTTGAAATACTCTTCGGTACAACAATTTTAATATATGTAGATACAGATGGCTCAATATGTCTCCCAGTTCCTAGAGACTAAAATGAAGCCAGCACATAGTAGGTGTTCTTAAGTATGCATTGACTATATGTAGGAAACCCCCCCATCTTTCCAAACCCTCATTAAACAAATGAGAGTTAAGCCTGCTGAAGCATAGTAGACCTGCTTTGTTTCTGCGGAAATGTTCACCCTTATTACCCACATGTATATTTCCCCAAGTCAACAAGGAACCAGAACAGGCATAAATGGAGAAGGAAGAGGACAGAAAAAACAACACATCCATTTAAGAGAGATGAAAAACTAATTATAATTTCTTCTAAAATTTCATTATCACATTGTCACTAAAATTTCATTATCATTATCATCAGTGCATTGTAGAAATTGCACTGATGACTTTTCCAACATTATGTGTAAACATAAGTATATTGTTCAACATTGGGATAATCTAGACTATGATTTTTTTTTATTCGTTTGCACAATTTTTAGTCTCACAAATCTCTGGAGATCAATATCCTACACTTCACTATTGCTTGGTCATATCAAATTATTTTTCTTTCAGATATCTGTCAAATACCTAAGGTGTCAGTGAGAGAATGTTGATTTTTCTATCGGTATAACAGTTTGTCAGGTCAAAGCCCCACTTTGAAAAACATTCCCCAAATAGAATATCATCATGAATGTCATCATCAAAATCACAATCAACAAACATTAACTGACTTCCTCCATGAGGCAAAGGCTTTATTCCAAAAGAAGCTTAAGTCTAGTTGGTAGAAACCATAAGCCATAGTAGGTCTATAGTTGTCCAAATTGCATAGGTTATTGCCTAAATTGCATTTAAGTTCTCTACGTGCATTCTACTTTCCTTTGTGAGATCCTATTTCTCCAGTATCGCCTTCTCTGTTCTTTCTATTCCAAATGTGCTTATGCCTCCTGTTCTACTAATGCAAAACATGTTTCATAGATAGTTTCCTCTATCTCAAGTTTTGCCAACTTTATCCCAGTTTCACAAACACATATACAGAGATGTCACATGTAGTGATAACATGGCCTAGAGTAAGATAAAACATAAGCCAATAGTGGATAAATTTTAAAACAAGGCACTATTTTGGTGATTCAGATAACAGATGTCAACTCAGAATATATAGTGACACATATCAGGAGGCAACTGCTGCTGAGAATTTAGAAACTACAAATAACTATTGAATCATTTCCCAAACAACTCACCATGCTAAGGGAAAAATCAAAAATAGAAGTACATTCAGTACTTCAGTTTGTCTCCAAAGTTAGGGGTATTGATATATTTTTATTCTTAAACACTCTTTTACTAATAAGAGTTAAGTCTATACTTCCTCGCTACAAGAACTAAGTGTCCTTGTCAATATCTGTCTTCTTACACAGTTATATTTTCCAATAAAGTACTTAAATTCTTGAAAATGTAATGTCAAGTTATTTTTTAATATATCTGTCTTTCTCACTAGAACCAAGCTGAATGGCAGCAGGAACTGTCTCTATCTTATTTATCACTGTATCTTCAGGACTAGAAGAGTCTCTGGCACAGAGCAGTTGCTTGATAATTTTTTTTGAAAGAGTAACTGAAGTGTGTGTGGTATTTGGTGGCAAGAGGGTTACTTAGATATCTGATCACCTGCAGGCATCTGGAATCACCAGCCTATAGAAGGCAGAGGTTTGGGGGATCAAGTAGTGGTACCTTAGAATATTTTGGTAGAAATAAGGAACATAATGGGATTGGTTAGTTGCTTCCAAGTAAAATAGAGAACTTAGGGAAAGAAAACAGTGAAGTCGGGGCTTTGAATTCCCAGCTCAAGGTCTGCATAAGGGAGCAGAATGCTTCAATGAGTACCTTTTTTTCTCCTGTAGACATAGGGCCAAGATTTCTGAAAAACAAATTCAAAGTCTGATCTTTCTGGTGGCTAGATTACAAGGCAAATTGAATTCATGTTGAACTTGGTACACTGACTAAGAGTGAGACTCTCTCTAACAATTAAAAGGGGACATATGGACAAATTCCAGTGAAGCTGGAGACCATGAATCTCTAAATTCTTCAGAGCCCCTTTTGCAGATGGAAACCCTTTCTCCAAGATTAAAGTTAGTATTCCTTTGCCTTAAAGATTGTGATAACTTCTTTCAAGGTAATTGTCTTGCAAAGGATTGCCAACCTTCCTGAAAACCTTCAGTGCCTCTTGTTTCTACATTTGTAACCAGATTCAAGTCTCACCAGGCCCCAGAGTGTGAGTTACAAAGTGTGAACCATGAGAGGATGCAAGTTACATCTAAATATTGCAAGAGTTTATCAATTTATATAGACAGAAACCCGAGGAACATGCATGGAAATGGATCCTAAGGGTCTGATCAGGAGGAAAGGAATATAATATTGGACAAGGATGAAATCTTGATATAGAAACGTTAAGCCAAGATTCTGGACTCAATGTGTCCGTTTGAGTGGCTCTAAGAGTTTGCTTGGTTAATTGACTAAAATGTGGTGGCCTAGACTAAATCCAGGTGAAATGCCAGAACTCCACTGGTATGTTGCAGAAGGTCTACAGGGCCCAGGGAAATTGAAATGCTAGAGTAGATTTCTCATCGAAGAACCACTCACCTACCCGCTAAACTACATCCAAGAAGAGTCCAAAAGACCCTTTACCAAGGCAGTGAGAAATATAATTGTAAAGGGAGTCACAGCATCCTGAAAGGGATCCTCAGTGAAGCTCTTCTCTGTACACCAGTAATGACAGTTAGAACAGTTGCAACAGAACTAAAGCTCCCAGAATCCAATTGGATGCTGGGTTGCAGGGTGGTTAGAGCTATAGGCAGTGAGCTGAGGCAGGAATCAGATGGCTTTACCCATGGAGATTTTTGTTGCTGGCTAATTTGCTACATATTCTTAGAACTGGTTTGATTAAGAAAAAAAGCTGTTGGTGTGGTGACTGGAAGTCTAACAACAATCACCACAATAGATATCTGCAGCCCTGAAACCAATTTTCAGGCTTGAATTTCTTTTACTTTTCTTCTTTCTTTCTTATTGTGTGTCTCCAAGTCCTGAGTCTACTGGGGTTATGTAGAAAAAAAGTTTTAAACATTTTTTTGGGAAATAATTGCAAAGTTACAGCTAAATTATAAGAAAAAAAGAAGAGTTCTACACTTTGGGAGGCCGAGGCGGGTGGATCATGAGGTCAGGAGATCGAGACCATCCTGGCTAACAAGGTGAAACCCCGTCTCTACTAAAAATACAAAAAATTAGCCGGGCGCGGTGGCGGGCGCCTGTAGTCCCAGCTACTCGGGAGGCTGAGGCAGGAGAATGGCGTGAACCCGGGAAGCAGAGCTTGCAGTGAGCCGAGATTGCGCCACTGCAGTCCGCAGTCCGACCTGGGCGACAGAGCGAGACTCCGTCTCAAAAAAAAAAAAAAAAAAAAAAAAAAGAAGAGTTCTATACCTTTTTACCCAGGTTCTCAAATGTTTAACATTTTATCAGATTTGTTTTCTATATATACATATAATTATCAATATTTTTCCTTAAGCTTTGAGAATAAGTTGCATACAACATGGTCCTTTACTTCTCTAAGTACTTCAGAGTATATTCATTCACAAAGTAGATACTCCAGTACGTACAGAGTTTATCAACGTGAACAAATTTAACATTACTAAAGAAATTTTATTGAATCTTCTTTCTGCATGACAATTCTGTCAATTTACCCAGTAATGTCCTTTATAGCACTGTCTTCCCTGGAGTACTGGTCTACCATAAGACCGCATCTCATACAGTATGTTTCTGTAGTCTCCTTTAACATTTGAAATTTTCCAGCAAATTTTTGCCTTTTAGAATACTGATCTGTTTTTTAGAAATATACTTCAGGCCATTTGTAAACCCTATTTTCTCACCTGAAACTTCTCTCTCTAGATCTTACCTATGTTCAAACTTTGAAGGGTATTTTTAGATCTAAGAGATCTGGGTCTTTAAAGTCAGTCTTGGCCAGAATCAGGCTGCAAATGCCAAAGCAAGAGATGTCAGCAATGAGTTGCAGGTCTTTGCCAAACAGAGCATCATCTGGCAGTGAAAGGAGAGCAGAAGAGGGGATTTTGAAGTGTAAGTCCTTTGATGGGGACGGATTATGAACAAGCTGTCTTGCCAGAGAAAACAAACAAAAAGGGAGGTTACAACTCTTGTGAGGTTTCATCATATGGGAGGAAAAAGTTTTGGCTGTGGTTGATTTATTAGAATTATCATGAGACTTGAGGAGATTAATGAGGAAATGATACGATGCTTGCTTCCACCAGGGTGGGATCTTAATAATGTAGTAGTGAGCATCACAACTCTGTGAAACAGTGGGATGCTCACTCTTTTTAAAAGTACCATTGCTGGTATTCCATGGTGTAAATACTCCACCACTCTATCATTTCAATATACCAACATGACAGCACTGCTACAGAGCACTGAGAAGATCTGCACAGTGGCTTTCAGGAGCCGGCATACCAATGAATGGCAATGCTTTTTAAGCTGAGCTAATTGAATCTATTAATATGAGGATATAAAATATGGGAGCAGTCAGGCGCGGTGGCTCATGCCTGTAATCCCAGCACTTTGGGAGGCCGAGGCGGGCAGACGACCTGAGGTCAGGAGTTCGAGACCAGCCTGGCCAACATGATGAAACCCTGTCTCTACTGAAAATACAAAAATTAGCCAGGCGTAGTGGTGGGCACCTGTAATTCCAGCTACTTGGGAGGCTGAGGCAGGGAGAATCACTTGAGCCTGGGAGGCGGAGGTTGCAGTGAACTGAGATCGCGCCACTACACTCCAGCCTTGGCAATACAGAGCAAGACTCCATCTCAAAAATAAATAAATAAATAAAATACGGGAGCGTGTGTGTGTGTGGCATATGTATGTGTGTGCGCATATGTATGTGTATGTGTGTATATATGTACACTCACATACATACACATCATAAAACAACCCTTCATGGGGAAACAACCACTGGTGTGATTCAAAACAAAACAAAAAGAGAGTGCTTTACATCACTGCAATTTCTCTCTTAAGTTATACCAAATAGAAGGCCTCCTATCTGTACTTCACATCTAGATGGCTTTAGAATGTGCAGGTAGGAACAGCAGGGACTCCTGGGAGCTGGCTTGCTCTGTATAAAAATGGGAAAATATTTTAGATTGTTGGGAGAGAGGGAGGGACCCTGGGCAAGGGGAGGAGGATGCTGGCAGGTTGGGACTACATGGGTACAAGTGAGAGGCTGACAGCCCTCAAGGGCCAAGCAGTGCAAAAGGGACTTTCAAAGGAAATTATCACTAAGAGACAGTTTTAAATTTGGGGACACGGGGTGTGCTCACCGCTCCCTCCTCCTCAGTCGCTCTAATAAAGGCCACTTTGCTCACTGATGCTTCTCTGTAGATGCAGATTTGGGGGGAAATTGTGGAAGTAAACTGGGTGGCTGGGTTCAGCTTTGTCAGAACTCAGAAATAGCCCAAGGAGCTTCAACAGAGTGAAAGCTGAAGCAGCACAAAAGCAGCTTAAAAACAACAAGGCAGCTTTGCTGTGTGTTTCCTTGCCCTCGCCCCACTCTCTCCCTGCTTGGTGATGGTCTTGAAGAAGGTGGCCAGGTTCCCAGGATGGGAACCTGGTCCTTGGTTCCCAAGGGAGCAGAGAAGAATTCTCAAAGAATTGTGTATGTTTGTTCTAACCTGTCTGGGGGTTACCTGAAGGACTGACACAAGGCCATTGCCTTTGTTTTACCTAACTCAGAACTCATTCGGGGCAGAAAAGCTGCAGCAATGGTGTAGTCAAGATGTGGGAGGATGCAAACTTTGCCAGCGTCCTGTCCTGGGAGTGCTCCTGGCTGTAGTCAGTACCGCCTGTCTCCTGCAGCCATCTGGGGAAGTTCCCATTGAAAGTAGCCTTGTGCAAACTCCATCAAGATCTCTGCAGACAGGGGTGCCACAGAACAGCTGGGGGAGCAGGACATCCTGTCATGAGAGCTGGTGGAGGAAGCTACTCCCTCTGTGTCCCCCTGGGATGCCGCAGCTTCCCTGCTAGAGTCCTTGCTAACCTTGGCCTTTTCATCTCTTGGTGTCCACCTGCCCACATGACCCAGCCACCTCATCACTGTCCTTTCTTTCCCTTCACCACAGGGTGTCTTTGTGCCACTGGCCCTCAATCTCTTAATGGTCTGGTTCTCACATCAAGGTAGTGATGTTTTCTTTTTAACTCCAAGGCACACTCAGACACTGTATTCTATTACCCATCCAAACCTCTTTTGGTCTCTGACCCAAGCTCCCCATGTGACCCACTCTCTGTCAGAATTTCAATCTTTCACCTAATTTAACTCATCCCAGGAATCACACTGATCCACTGGACTGAGATTTGCACCTACCACCCTCTCTGCTCCTCCTTGGGCAAACTCTGCTTTAACTCTGACTCATGGGACTCAGTTGCAATCTTTTTTTTTTTTTTTTTTTTTTTGAGAAGGAGTCTCACTCTGTCACCAGGAGGGAGTGCAGTGGCATGATCTCAGCTCATTGCAACCTCTGCCTCCTGGGTTCAAGTGATTCTCCTGTCTCAGCCTCCTGTGTAGCTGGGACTACAGGTGTGCACTACCACCTCCACCACATCCAGCTAATTTTTTTTTGTATTTTTAATAGAGGCGGGGTTTCTCCATGTTGGCCAGGATGGTCTCAATCTCGTGATCCACCCGCTGTGCTCTGTCCTGAGTGCTGCTCTCCAGTGACCTCCGGCTGGGTGTTCCCTTCCTCCCTGAAGTCTCAGGCAAAAAGCACCCAGCTTACCCCTTCCCCTGACATAGATGTGTTCCATCCCCTTCTCCCTCTCCATTCTCTTGCAAGAGCTCATTTCTAGCCACCTGCCAGAAGCCTTCTCTGGGAGGTCCTGCAAGCAGGCATGTGGAAGCTGCTAGACTCCCCCTCTGTGATGCCCAGGAGCACCTGGGGAGACGTTATCCAGAAAGGGGATGTCTGGATTTGGGAGGACACATAAAGTGGGGATCATTTCCAAAACTCCTGAGGTCAGGCTACCAAATGAAGACTGGAAACACCTGAGATTCAGTTGTTGGCAAGCAGGACACCACAGGTGTCCAAACTTTCAGGAGCAAAGAAGACAATGAAAGCAGCAGCGCAGGCCATAGTGGCCTCTGCATCCCACAACCATGGGGCACCCTGAGCGGCAGGTGTGGGGCCAGCTGTTCAGGGTGTCCTCTGCCTGCACAGTGAGACTCAGGGCTGATTCTCCCCATCTCTGGTAGCTCTTCCCCACTAGGGTCCCCTCTGTCTTAGGTGGGACAGCTCATGTACCCTCAGTCCTAAAGCAGGCTAAGTGGTCCCCACCCACTCCTTCCTCTCCCCAGAGCCTTCCCCACCCCACAGCTGTGCCACAGCTCTGGGCTGAAGCCCTGCCAGTTACCACCCCACATCCGGCCCTGGTACAACCTCAGGCCCCACTTCCACCCCAATCCTGCCTTGTGCATTGCAGATTAGAGCCTGCACTAGTTTTCAATGCAGAGGTCCTACACATATTTTATGTTTATTACTAGGTATTCAATGTTTTTGATAATGTTTTTAAATTTTATTTTCTACTTATTTATTGCTAATATGTAGAAATAAAACAGTTTTATTCATTCAATGTGTGTTCTATAATATTGCTACATCCAGTATTAGTTCTAATAATTTTAGATTCCACAAGAGTTTCTAGCTACAAAATTATGTCATCTGCAGATAGTTTTCCTTTCCTTTCAAATCTTCATCCTTTTCATTTTAGTTTTTGCACTTGGTAGGCCTTCTAATACAATGTTGAATAGAAATGGTGAGAAAAAAACATCCTTTTCTTCAATCTTAGAAGAAAGCATTCAATCTTTCATCGTTATGATACTTACCATAGGACTTCCATGGGTGCCGTTTAACAGGTTGATTAAGTTTCCTTCTATTCCTAGTTTGCTGACAATTTTTATGAGAAATGAGTTGTGTGTTTCGTCAAATGCTTTTTCTACATATAGTGATTATATAATTCTCTTCTTTTAACCTGTTAGTGTGGTGGATTACATTAATTGATTTTCATACGTTAAATCAACCTTGCATTCTTGGACTAAAACCAATTCGTTCATAAAGTATTGTACTTTTATTATACTATTGTAAGATTTGCTTTGCTAATTTTATGTAATATTATGTTAAAGATTGTTCTTTAATTCCAATAAGACATTAAATTCTTATTCTATGAAAAGTGTCTTCAATTGAGAATTATCATTGTAAAAGAGAAATTTTGTATTTATTGACAGTAAAAGTACTCAAAATAGGTATGAGGCAGAAATCAGGCAATTATTGTCCTTCTGATATTATGATTGTTATTCACCTAATGGCTACCAGACATATTTAACGACACTTTAAGAGTTAAATGTGTTCACTTTGAGAGCTTACTGAGCAACAGCATAGTCATAAATACAAGCACAAATTAGATCCCTGAGGTTGAGAGGAGAGTATCCTGTTATAAGGGGATTATTCAGAGAATTAAAAGATAAATATATTAAATTTGTAAATCCTCATTTAAATAAAAATATAGTATTTTAGATTTCTCATAGAGAACTCTTGGTTCTTTGAGAAGATGTTTGTGGTTGAATCCCCCAAGAATCTATAGAACCCAGTTTGAGAAAAGACAACTTAGAAGAATGTAAGACTTCAAGGAAAGTGCTTAACAAATAAAGATTTAAGTGAAGAAAAATAGTATAGCATATATGAATGTTTGGTTGGCTAATTAACTTATTAACCTATTATTATGGCAAAAGACCATTGAGATTTTGTTAAATAGGCTTTCTTATCTGAAACATAAATTCCAATCAAAGGAATTTGTGGCTATTTATTCCTGCATTGTCCTTAATAGGACACAGTGTTATTGATAGGAAACAGTGTTATTCTCTTTAAGATGATAAGAAAAGTCAGGGTCAACATTTAAAAAGAGAGGACAGAAGATGAGAAGACAGAAAAGAAGAAAAGAAGACAGGGAGAGGAGGGGAAAGGGAGGAGAGGGAGGGAAGAGGAAGTGAAAAGGGGACAGAGGGGAGAGGTAGGGGGGAAGAAGGAGAGGGGAGGGAAGAGGGGAGAAGGGAGGGAAAGGATGGGGAGGGGAGGGATTGGGAGGAAAGAGGAGAAGAGAGGAGAGGAGAGGAGCAGAGAGGAGAGGAGTGGCTAGACAGGTAGCTATAGTTTGTATGGGAAACAAAAGGATTGAGAAGACATTCTAGACTTTGAGGCTTGTGGAAAGAGAGATGAGGGAAACCAAAGCTTTCAAGGCAGAAAAGCAGACAAAGATATAAAGAATACTCTTCCATATTTTCAGACAACTAGTCTTTGATGCAATATTTCATGCCTTGCTTACATTTCAGTTGGTAAAAACCGTATATATATTTACCCTCAACACTAGTGAAGAATATGTTGTTTTCTTAATAACTTGCTCTAGTGCAATTGCCCTACCATCTTAACATTATTCTGTATTCATCTGACTGTACTACTTGAAAAGAATACACAATCAGAATCAAGCATTAAGAAGTACTGCAAATTGACATATTTCATAGACTATATGTAAATTGAAATTCCCTAAGATCACCTGCTTGTTTTCCCAAAAAGTCATTTCAATGGCAATCCCCAAAGTCTAGGAAATTACTCAGTCTCAAAGAATTCAGCCACTACTTCTGTGTCTCTTAAATAGTCCCTGAATTTGGGATCTTGAGGATCAGGGAGTGTCACACACATAACCAGAATTTCTGCAGGTGTCTTTAACTTGCTGATTTGTAGCTCTTCATGCAAGCTGGACATACTGGAAATATCTACTTCAGTTATGACTTGCTTTCATTTTCTCTTTGGTGTATTTACATGAAGAGAAATTCTTAACTTCTATAAATTAGAACTTACCAATTACTGTTTGCATGTTTTACATTTGTTTAAGAAAGCCCAGCTTTGCACTTATAATAGTCTATAATTATCCCTACAAATCCAACACTCTCATTTCTCAGATGTCCAGGTTACATTGGTCTGTTCCTATTAGCGATGTATTCTGCTCCATTGGTCAATGTCTCCATCTCTCACAGTACAACAAAATATTGAGTATTATAGCTTTATAACAACTCTTATTATCTAGTAAGGCAATCCCTCTCCCATTTTATTTTTGTTTAAGGAAAATTTTGACCGTTCTTGGCATTTATTTCTGCTATGTAAATTTTAGAATCATCTCGTCAAGTTCCTCAAAAATATTCTATCAAGATTTTGAGTGGAAGTTCTTGAATGTCCTGTGGATTGCTTAGAGCAAATTATCATCTTTAACAGTCTGAGTCTAATGAATACGAAATGTCTCACAATTTATTTAGATCTTCTATAATATCTTTCAAGACATATTTTTAATTTTTTCTGTAGAGGTTATGTAACTTTGATTCCAATGTACCCTTTTTAAGAAAAATCAGTATTGCTTATTTCTTTTGGTTAATTGGCTTAGAATAATTTGTCCATCCTTTTATATAAAACTTTCTGTGCCCTTAAGTGTTATGCTTGTCTAATACAAATAGCATGTGTCAAGATTTTCTTTTTTTTAATCTGACAATTTGTTTTCTAACCAGCTAGTTTAGTATATCTAAATTAATTGTGGTTAATAATATATTTAGACTTGCCTACTCTTTTATCCTTGCTATGTGTCCCTTTGCTTCAAGAAATTTCTTTTTTCTTGCTTTCTTGCCTTTCTTTTTTAACTTTAAAAAAACTTTCTTATTTTATTGATTCATAATAGATGCAATTTGAGATTACATGTGATAATTTAATACATTCATATAATTTGTGAAGATAAAATTAGTGTACTTGAGATATTCATCACCTTAAATATTTCTCTTGTCTTTATGGCTAGAAACATTAGAATTATTCTTTTCCAGCTATTTTGAAATTTGTAATAGATTATTATAAATCATGGTCACCCTACTGATCTATCAGACACTAGGTCTTGCCTCTCTTTTTAATTTAACTGTTGTTTTGTTCGTTATTTCATTTCTACATACCCAGAGTCTGAAAAGTTATATATGCTATTTTAATTTTAGTTACTGATCTTAACTTGTTACCATGTATGCTTTTAAAAAGTTAGTATCTTAACCTTCCCTCAAAAACAGTATGAGAAATGTAATGCCTTCAACTCTTCCCTCCTGGTGTGCATATCATTATTTGTATCATTTTCGTCATTTTCAACCCTGCTAATTAGACAACACTATGATTACTCCATATGACATGGCTTAATTTTATTTAGCTACATGTTTATCTGTTTCTATGCCTTCTTGATCCTACATGTGAGAATTTCCTTCTGATGTTATTTTTTTCTTCTTTCTTAAGTATAACTTTTAGAAGTTGCTTTACATAAAAACTTCTAGTTTTTGAGCGCCTAAAATGAAATCTTAACTTTACATTTATTCTAAAATGTATTTTTCCTGAGTGCCCAGTTTGTTGCTGACAGTTAGGTTTTGTCTTCTAATCTCCATTGTTGCTATTGAGATGTTAATTGTCATGTAGCTTTTGTAATTTGCTGGATTATCTATATTTTCTCACTGGCTGCTTTTAACCTCTTTGTCTTTGATATTTTACAGTTTCTCTACAATGAATCTGGGTCTAGATTTCTTTTCACTTATATCTGTGAGTTCATGTCTTTAATCATTTCTGGAAAAAATGCTCCTCAAATATTGCCTCTCCTCCTTTCTCTCCTTATATAATTCTGATTAGATGTATGGTGAAACTTACAGTTCCGTCCTCTATACCCATTGGCCTCTTTTCATGTTATACATTTTCTTGTCCCTTTGTATTGTCTGATTTCTTCTGATCTAGCTTCCAGTTCACTAATTTTTTTTTCAGTGTGCTAATCTGTTGTTTACATAAGTCCTTGAGGATTTCTTTTTACTTTGACAATACATTTTTGTTTCAAAACCTAGTACATAGTTCCTTTTAATATCTGCACTGTGTTCTTATTGCTTGTTTAAATTTGTGATTACTTCTTTTATTTATTAACATCTAATAAGAGTCATTTTAATACTCCACACTGAAATATTTAATATCAGAAGAATCTGCTTTTTCTCCAAATTTTTACCCTTGGGGGCCTATTTTGGTGGATGACCTTTGGTTGTGAGTTTATATGTGCTTGGTTGACATTATTCTGTGGTTTTGCCTTTGTGTCTGCTGGGAACCAGAGGGACTTCCTATCTTGAACTACTTCCCTATTCAGGGTTTCTGGTTTTATACACGCAACTATGGGTCAGATTTACTTATTTACCATTAGCCTGAGGCTTAATTCGCATGGTATGATACTAATGTTGGTTTTGCCCTTGGGAAAATCCAACTTTTATTTGCTTGCCCTTCACTGCTCTACTTTCAGCACACAGATTCTTGCCTTTCTTTATTATAGATGTTTAGAGGTTTCTCTTATGTCCTGGAAGACCAGCACTAAATCCAAAAGTCTATTTAATGCAGAATCCAGCTGACTTCTAGCAGAAAGGCTCGTGAGGGTACTTGCTTCACCACACTTGTTTTGAAGCCTGGAAACCCTCTACCTCTTCAGCCCATGGATACCATTACCAATAGGCTGTTTGGCCCACACCTATAAAAGCTTCAACTCCAAGCTCCAGGAGCACCTTATTTTAATGTTCTGACTCCCAAAGTTCCACAAAATGTCTTTAGTTCTCATTTATTTTTTATTCTCTTATTTTCTATTCTTATGACACATCCATAATTAAGGCTCCTATTGAAAGAGTCCAGTCTATACTGTCCAGCACTCTCTGTAAAGAAAACAGATTCCCACTGAACGTCTTGGGCTTCCAGTGCCACAATTATTTAATTTCCACCTACAAAACTCTCTTTTTAGCAGTGTTTAGGCAGTCTAGTAGGAAATAATGCAGACTAAATTCAGTCACAGCCTGACTCTCTACCCAAAATCATTATCCCTTTTGAAAAGTGGGTCTTATTTCTGAGTCAGCCCTAGTAGACTCAATCCCTTCTGCACTTTCAGAGATTTTCTGCCAGTCACTCTCTGAAATCTGACTTCCATCATGACTTTTCTCATCCACTAGTTTGTATAAATCCCAATTATGATGATGTCCAAGGTCTTTTTCTTGAGTATATTTACTCCTGATAAAATCAGTGAGTGTGACTTTTTAATTAACAGTTAATGATATTATTTACTGGTCCAATCACACAAAGGATCTTAAGGAGGCTAATAATTATTCCATAAATAAGTGAATCTAAGTTTGGTTATTATATTCACTCCCAAAAGTGGCATTGAATCTGGGCAATACATTGCCATATTATGAGTACTTTTAAGCTAAGTTGATTATTGGGAAATGTATCAACCTAAGAGTAGTAATGAGATTTAATAGCATATTTATTTTTCTCTTTTAAGACATTTTTAGATACCATAGTTAACTAAGGTTTAGATTAAAATATCAAATTCTTCAGAATCAGAGAAATTGTGTATAGATAAATTTTCTAAAATGAAAAATTAATCTTTGAAATTGTATTTAGCAATTTTTTTGATATTTGTTTTGTTTCGTTGTTTAAGACAGTGTATCACTGTGTTACTCAGGCTGGAGGGCAGTGCATGCTCATGGTTCACTGTAGCCTTGACCTCCTAGTCTTAAGAGATCCTCCTACCTCAGATTCCCAAGTAGCTGGAACTACAGGCATGCACCACCATGCATGGCTAGTTTTAATATAAACATTTCTGTAGAGACGAGGTCTCATCATATTTCCTAGGCTGAGCATCTTCCTTTTATAGTCAGAAAAGTTTTAGGAGTATTTCTATTAGGTCTTTAGGTACAATTGTGTTCTTTGAACCCAATATGAGGAATTGGCATGAATTACATGAAGTGAATTAGCCAGTGAGACTAGTATACACATTGCCTGCCTGGATATATTTGTGAAATACTCAAGGTGTCTAGATTTAAAAGTGGCATGCATCATGGATACCCATCTATCTATTCATTATTTATGTAATTTCTTTTTGACATATTTCAGCAGAATGTTTTTCCTCCTTAAAGATATGTTAAAAAGCTTATATAGAGCTCAGACTATTTTGACATGGCACACTTTACTTCTCCTTAGCTAGATTATATAATTAAAGTAAGGAATGTATATGCAAAATAGCAAAACAGGTAAACAGTGAAAATAATTTTCCCTCTCATCTTACTACTTAAAGTTTTTATGTATATTTTCTGGAATTTTCTATGTAAATTATTGTGTCCTGTGTTACCTTTTTCTACAACTTTCGTTATTTCTCTTAACAATATATCTTAGAGAAAATTATATTTCAGCATGTCAGAACTTAGGGAGGTACCTCATTTTAAAAATGGCTGTAAGGTGATCCATTATATGAATGCACTATAATTATTCTAGTCAGTTTCCTATTAATGGGTCTTTTAAAATGTTTCCAGACCATTACTAATAACAATGGACACATATCTTTGCTTATGTGTTAGACACATCCATAGGAGAGAGTCCTTGAGATGGAATTGTCGGGTCAAATAGTATATACATTGAAAAATGTGAAAGATATTTCTAAATTGTGCTTCAAGTGGCTATCCCAATGTGCATTCCTGTTAAAATTGCCTGAAAATTTTCATTTCTCCACATCTTCAGCAATGATTTTTGTGATTAATATAAAAGTTAAAATGATATTTCATAGTTATTTTAATTTTAATATAAAATATGAATGCTACTGAGCATGTATTCATATGGTCTAAGCTATTTATATTTTCTTTTTTGTCAAACTATTTATTCATATCATTTCCCTATTCTCTATGGATATATTTACTCTTTCCTTTATGATTTATAATAGCACTTTAAATGATAGTTTAATTCTAAACACAATCATATGTACTGCCAATATTTTTTCTTCTTTTCTTTTTTTTCTTTTTGACATTAGGATAGTTGGCCCTAATAAATGTGAAGGTATTGAGATTTGTCAGCTTTCCCCTTGGGTCAGTGTTTAATTTTCTTTTATCAAAAGACACAATACTATTTTTGGAGGAATAAATGATTAGATTGTTTCATACAATTATAGACATAGAACAAAGTTTTAGTTGCCTTTCATTTAAGGAGAAGTCCATTTTAGAAGAAAACACAAATAACTTGGAAACATGATTGAACGAATGCTCAATTTCACCCATAATTAAATACTAAAATTTAAAATTTTTCATTAAAAAATTTAGATCATCATGATTTTCATCAATAGCATGTAAGAAAACCTTAGTTCTTATTTTTGAGAGTATTAATATAAGATTCTACAATAAGAATTTTGTTTCTACTGGTTTTCTTCTAGATTGAGAAGTAGCAGTTGCCCTGGTACAGGGCAGAGGTTAAGTAACACAGAGGGCCTCTCATCTAAGAAGCCCTACAGGTTCCACTTTGCTCGGCTATGGGGACCTAGTGAATTCATTAGGGCCTGGAATACACTATGTCATGAGGCAGCCTCTCTTATAGCGCACTTTAAAGTTTAACTTGCCCTTTGTATCTTAACAACCTGTCTTACAGCTTCCTGCACACTTCCGACAACTTGATTGAACTGGACGCCCTTGGAAGTTCATGGCATCGCCTATAACAGAGTCTGTGTAGGCAAAACCCCAGCCTATGCTGGAATTTAACTCTTAAAAAGCAACCTAAGTAGAACACAAGATTGTAAACTCTAAGGAGATTCTAACACCAAAAGAAAGTATGACTTGAGCCAATGAAATGCCAAAATCCAGTTCTAGCTGACAACGTCAGTAGTGGAGGACAGACTTCCACTTGCCATTTGAGGAAAAAGCATGTGGATTCATGAGCATAACAGCAGATACCCCACTACCAATTACCAAATCCTGTGCACATTCCTGTTCTCCAGTCACCTTTTCTCCATAAATGTTTGTGGTATAAAATGAAAACCTTCCCAAATATTAACCAGTCAACCTTTATTCTCTGATTTCTTTCTCTAAACTAGTGATGCCTTCATTTTCAGTGTCACTGACTTGCACCTAACAGTTCCCAGCTTATGTTGTAGGTGCTATCTCATCTTAAACTGATCCTGTTCTCGAGTTTCCAGAGCGAGTACAGCCCTGCCACCTCTGGAGTTCAGCCCAGTGAAAGTGCTTTCAGACTTCTGACCTCCAGAACTGTAAGAGTATACATGTATTTTGTTTCACGCCACCAAGTTTGTGCTAATTTGTTATAGCGGCCATAGGAGACTAATGCATACTTAACAGGAACTGTTACTCCAGGGAAAACATGTGACTGCAGACACAGTGGAGAGCCTAACACACAACTGTTAACCCTGTTCTGGGGAGCTGAAGCTTTGGTTTTAAGGGATTTCTGAAACCAGTACAATGACTGTCACTTTTCCCAATGTTCATCCGGGGAATAAATGCCTAGACACCTGGCAGCAAGAGGTCTTTCCTTCCCCAGAGACCCTCTCTTCTCCTATTACTTAAAGGGAAAATGTTACTGCTCATCACTGAAGTCACATTATTCTTTTCCTTTCTACCCTGTTTCCAATACATTTCATCCAACCTGCCTTTCTGAACTTTAAGGAGAATAGAGTCTTGTCTCAGAGGACTTAGGTGCCACCGCAAGTTAATATTCAAGCCATATCTCAGGCCCTCTCCCAGGACTCATCCCTGAGAACTTCTGAACTTAAATTCTCCCCAGGTTCCAACATCACTCACTTTCTCATTTCCCTCTTCTGTCTTTAGTTCAGATTCTTGTCAATTTAGTCCTTTCCTTACACATGGTTTATAATGAGGTGGTACAGCCAAGTGACAAAAGTTCAGATGGTCTGGTTATAAATCTGGGTTTTTGCAATCTACTAACTGTGTGACATTGAACAAGGTATTTAACCTCTCTGGGCCTCAGCGTCCTTAAAAAAATAAACAAGTAGAATTATAAATGATACCTATCAATAGAGTTATTATGAAGATTAAATGAATCAGAATTTGCTAATGACTTACAATAGTGCTTGGCATAGAGTAAGCACTATTTGTTAATAATAAATGCAAATCCGAAGCTCATCACTTACTCCACTTTCTGTCATAAGTATTGATGTCCATCAAGGTTAGGCTCACAAATATCTCAGCATTTTCAAGGCTTACATTTTCTGTGCATATATGAGATATATATTTCGTGAAATCATCAAACTTCAAGGGAAATCAGAAGAAATACTTTTAGTGATTGTCCCTGTGGCTAACTTGGGCATTTCACTAGTCAGTGCTTCTAGCCTAGGCTAGTCCAATGGCAAGTTAGAAATTGACCTAGTATGTGTTTTGAACCCTTATCTTCAATGCAGTCTCCCCACAAAGCCCTATATTTTTACTCATAAGTGTTCATATTTCCCTCCATCCTGTGAGACCTACTTCCAGGAAAGCCTCTGATATTAGTCATTAACAAAAAAATAAGAGCTTAAAGAAAAGGTGCTATTTACCTAAGACAAACCATTTTTTAGCAGAGATTCTGTTTGGTTTTGTTTTTCTGGTCCCTCCCATGCCCCGCTCCCTGCCTTCAATAAATCCAGGATCTAGATTGTGGCTCTAAGATTTAGCCGCTATTTGATCCTAGGATCCTCAGTTTTCCTATCCAGAAGGCATTCTTGAAGATGACACTCCTGTCCTGGGACTTCTGGGAGAGTCATTCCCAGCTCTGTCTCAGGAAAAGAATGAGCTGTTGTTCAGGAGGCCCTCACTGCATCACATTGCCTGGGGTCACAGTAGTGACTGCTTCAGGGAGGGCCTGGGAACGCTCCTTACAGCCAGGGGCAGTTTCTAGATCTCTAAAATGAAAATATTTAGAGCCAGAAAGACATGCATCCACATCTCTGAAATTCTAAAATTTCCCACATGCCACTTTCTAGTTCCTAAGAAGTAGATGTATACTCTGCTTATTAGTAACTACGGTTTTGTCCTCACTTCCTATATAAAATTATTTATCTGATGAGATGAATGGGCCCTTGGTGAGCCTTCGCCTAAGGCCTGAAGTAGCATTTGGAGGAATATGAAATGTGGACTGTCTGCATCATAGTTAGCCAGAGTGCTAGTTGAAGTCCAGATTCTTGGCTCTACCACAGATCTAGGAAGTTAGGATGACGAGGTCAGAATCAGATATTTTTTGTAATGAGTGATTAGTGAACACTTCTGGCCTAACCTAAAAGCAATATGAGTGGCTGCTTTGGCCCTCTTTCTTCTGAGACTATGTCCTTACTTTGGCCTTAAAGCTTCCAAATGGAGTTGGGGAGGCACAAGGTTTCTGGAAAAGGGAGTGATCCAGTCACATAAACAATATTGAGTCTGAAAATACGAAATACTCTCTCATGGCAAAGAATGCAAGGATTTAAAAGAGACAAGTCAAATGGTAGGAAAAGCAATGAAATCTATATGGAAAAATAATAGTTGAAGTAAAATGCAAAACAGAATATAACAACCATTGATGGAAAAGACATAAGTTGGGGCCCTCTACCTACAAAGAAGAAACTATAATCCTATCCCACTGTTTTCCCCAGGACTGACCAATACTTAAATTGACAAAGGTGAGTTGCGCAAGGGAAAAGGAAAGGCAGAGGAGTCATGAGAATACAGTTTTGAGCATAAAGTCCTAAGATTAGAGTAAACATTGATAAAACAAGAACTTAATAGAAAAAACTTGAGATTGTGTATTGGATGCTAAAGTCTACAAATGCATTGTTCCACTTAAGCATCATGAGCAGCCCATATGGTAGATATTTGCCTTTTCCCTGATTGACAGATAAGGAGACAGAGGCATAGGAAGGCTCTGTAAATTACTCAGGGTTGCAGAACTGGTAAGCTAAAGAGCAAGGATTCCAAACCAAGTGGTCTATTTCCAGAGCCAATGCTTTTAGCCACTATACTACCATTTTCTCTCACCAAAAAAGCTTACAAAACTACGTGAAGTTATAAAACGAAAGCAGCAAAATTAATAAAATGAATATGACACATGAGAAGAGATGGGGAATATGAGTGGAAGTGGGAGTTTATCGTCCTCCCTTATGTTAGGGTGGTAGAAATATTTTCTAAAATGGATATTTCACGACACAGCAGAATAAGCATAAAGTTTAGAAATACGGGGGTAACAACAAAGTGGCTAAAGCCTATCTTCGGAAAGGGGAACTGGAGTAGGAAGGGTTGAATTTCAGTATTATTCAAATTTATATTATGCTTGTTTGAATAAAAACAGAAGAATCTATTTGTTTAGAAATAGTTACAGCTGTGTAAGTGCATCAGAACATAAAAATCAAATTCATCTTTATATCTCTCACATATTTCTTTAAAGTTTGTCTTATCAGAATAATAATTGAAGGTCTTCTCTAAAATGTCAAAAAGTATGAGTTTTTAAAACTTGTCCCTGGTGATATTATTGCCAGGCATGGTAGAGACAGGGGGCAGGACTATTAAAAGCAAACAGATTTTGTCCCTGCTTCTGTAAGGCAGTTCTGACCACAAAGGGAAGGTGATTCTCTGTACCCATTGCACAGGAACTTTGACCCTCTGGAACTGTGCTAAGCAACTGAGAGTAAAGGAATCAGGCAGCAGGGCGCCAGGAGGAGTCCACTAGATGGTTTTGTTGTTACAGGGCTAATCTCATACATATTGCACTAGGCACAATGCTGTGCATTTTTAGCCCTATTTATCATATTTTTACAGGTGCTTACTTCATAAAAGTAAGCATTTTTATGCTCCCTTTAAAATAGGGTTCTTCTATTTGCATTGCCTAGTAAAGGCAAGCAGAAGACCACTGCTTAAGGAACTTACTCACAGAGCACACATATATAAGTATCTGCTCTCTATCTTCATTATGTATCTGTCTATCTATCTACCTATCAAGCTACCTAGCTACCTTCCTACCTACCTACCTGTTTATGTTAGTCAGCTTGGGCTGTGTATTAGTCAGAGTTCTCTAGAGGGACAGAACTAATAGGATAGAGATACAGACAGATAGATATAGATATAGATATAGATATAGATATAGATATAGATATAGATATAGATAAAGATATAGATATGAGTTTATTAAGGAGTATTAACTCACACAATCACAAGGTCCCACAATAGGCCGTCTATAAGCTGAGAAGCAAGGAAGCCAGTCTGAGTTCCAAAGCTGAAGAACTTGGAATCTAGTGTTCGCGGGCAGGAAGCATACAGCACGGAAGAAAGATGTAGGCTGGGAGGTTAAGCCAGTCTAGTCTTTTCATCTTTTTCTGCCTGCTTGATATTCTGTCAGTGCTGGCAGCTGATTAAATGGTGCCTACCCAGATTAAGGGTGGATCTGTCTTTCCCAGCCCACTGACTCAAATGTTAATCTCCTTTGGCAACACCTTGACAGACACACCCAGAATCAATAGTTTGCATCCTTCAATCCAATCAAGTTGACACTCAGTATTAACCATCACAGGCTCCTATAACAAAGTGACATAGACTGGTAGCTTCAACAACAGACATTTATTTTCTACAGTTCTGGAGCCTGGGAAGTCCAAGATGAAAGCAGATACTGTTTCTTGTGATGACCCTTTTCCTGGCTTAAAGGCGGTCACCTTCTTGCTATGTCCTCACGTGGCAGTGAGAAGAAGCTCAGGTGTTTCTTGCTCTTCTTATATAGGCACGAATCCCTTCATGGGGGTTCCATCCTCATGACTGCATCTAAAACTAGACCCCTCCCAAAGGCCCAGCCTCCTAATAACAGCACATTGGGGGTTAGGGTTCCAAAATATGAATTTTTGAGGGAATGCAAAATTTCAGTCTATACTTCTCTCATCTGTCTATCCATCCATCCATCCATCCATTTATCCACAGAACAATAACAACAATGGCTTCCAAGTTACTTCCTTATATTATTTCATGTTATCCTTTTAGAAATTTTCTCAGGTAAACAGTCCATAGCATAAGAACTGACTTCACTGAGACTCTTGAAGATTGACTCTACTGTTTGTACAACTAATAAATGGTGGTGCAAGGAATTCACCCCACATTTTCTCTGTCCTCCTCCCTTCCCTCTCTCCCTCCCTCCCTCCTACTGACTCCATTCCAGCCACATTGCCTCACTAGCTGCTCCCTGAGGACCTGAGAGGCGTCCTTCCCCTGAGCCTCTGCAGTGACTATTCCTATTATCTGGGATGCTCTTTGCTCAGATATCTGGCTCAGTTGCCTCTGAGGCTCACATTTCACTTTCCCAGTGAGGCTTGTCTTGTCCACAGTTTAAATGGAATCCCCTGCTTCTCTCTATCCACAATCTCAATCCCCCACGTACTTCTTTATTCTCCATAGCATTTCTTACTGGCTAACCTACCAGATAATCTCCATGTTTGCTGCTTCTTTTCTCCACTTCAACTAGAATGCAGAGTCCACAAAGTCAGGAATTTTTCCTTTCTTGTAATTGACACTACTACCTACAATAGTCCACAGCACATCCCAGTTGCTCAACAGATACTTTAAATTGACTGAGTAAATGAACTGCTTTCCAAATAGAATCTGGATTTTCCACCATCATCTCACACTATGAAAAGTAGAACTTAAATTTTTGCCAAAATCACTTATGTTTGTTCACTCAAGGCAGATGATGAGGATAGGCCGGGGCTCGTTGCTGTCACCCATTTCACTTCCCTCTTCTCTGACCTCCTCACTATCCCTGCTGTCAGGTTCTTTAGACCAGGAACTCATTTCTTCATCTTTCCTTGACTCACTGCAGTGTCACTAAGCTTCCTTGTCTCTGCCCTGGCATCATTTACTTCTTCTTTCTCACATAGTCACAGGGAGATTTCTACAATCTACATATAATCTTGTCATATCTTTGCTTACAATCCCTTCATGACTTCTCATGCTTTCAGAAAAATGAACAGGTGCCCCACTGTGGTGTTTAAGTTTGTTTTCTATCCACTCTTGTGGAACCCTGCAGGTGCACCTCCCACCTTTGGTTTCACTCTTCAAACACACCTGACTACCAGTCTAGTGTCCCACTGACTGGTCATCTACATTCTTTCTCTAGCCTTTTAATGCTATTGCTTTGACCCAGAAGTAGTCCTTATCCACTCAACTGTCCCCTTCTCCTTGAAGGTGCAGTTCATCCTTCATTTACCACAGAAGTAGTTAATGTTCTTCTTACCTGCTCCCATTATCTCAGCACCTACCTATCCAGTTAATTGTTTGGTCTGGTCATCTGTCCCCCAGAATACATTGTAAATTTTCTGGGGCAAGAGATGTCTTTCAACTCTGTATCTTCAGGGCCTAGCACAGAGTTTATTGTAAAGTCATCACTAGCAAATGGTGAATATGCTAGAAGCTGAGGGAAATGCTTGTACTTTTCTTCTTTCCCCACCTTGAGATGGTTCTCCTGGGTTGTGAAATACCTTAGAAAAGTTTGTATTTTTGGCATTTCAGTCTAGTGGAGACCTAGCAGAATGTGAAGGTCAGCCAGATCTGGGTGTAACTGTAACTCTTGTGATTTGATACCTTGGTGATTTAGACTAGAGCCAGAGCAGTTTTTAAAAAGAATCTTTTCTGATCATTTTAAGCAGCCTGATAAATTCTAAGTAAACATGAATTTTCAATAATTACAGAGTAGGCATGAGTGCTTCCTTTCTTGATGGCTCTATGTGCAAGAAGCTGGATGTTAAGCCCAACCTCTCTTGGTGAAGCGGGAATCTGTAAGGATGACGTGCCTAAGTCTAAATTAAACAAAAAGACACACACAAAAGACATTTAAACAATTTTTTAAAATGAAAATGAGAAAGTGCAGGTTCCTAACACACATCAGGAAATATATTGCTTCCAATGACATAGGAGAGAAGAACAGACAGAAAAGGCAAGGACGGGCCACCTGGTCTCGCCCTGGTCTGAACCTCATGTTTCACTATGTTGTCATCCCTGATGCTCAAACCTCACACAGAGGCTTCAGGACTCAGCCTGTGAAGTCAGAAAGGGTGGCTGCTTCCACATCCTATTCCCTGGCATACAGAAAGTTTTTCGTAAAGTCTGCCTCAACACATCATTCCTCAAACATGTAAATTCTTTCTCCACAGTTGAGTCAAAGAGCAAAGACACATGAGCAGAGGCACATCAGCAAGAGCAAGCTTTTAAGACACAATTGGGAAAGATAAGGGCTTATTGTGAAAAACGGGCAAGTGGAAAAGTAGCACCTGTAAATAACAGAGGATATCCTGCCAGTTCAAAGATTAGAGAACTGGCTGGGCACTTGGGACACCCAGGTTAACAGTCAAGCCAGAGAAAGCACAGCTGACACATGCTGGTTTCCTCTACCTTCCACAGGGGAGTGTCTCAAATACACTGTGGTTCTGACTGGGCTTATCAGCCTCCTCATGCCCTCCAACACACAAACACACACACACACACACACACACACACACACACACACACACACACACACACACACACCCATTGAGGTTTGGGGCCTCTGGCTTCTAAAGGGAGAGAGCAGCTTAAGTTTAATTTAAAGAGACTAAGCCCCTTTCTCCAGGGGCAAAGTTTGTTCATGGAGATTGCATGTGGAGGGGAACTTGCTTCTTATTTGTCCCCCATCACACCACAGGTGGACCTCAGGTGCTCTTTGTGAATGGAGAATTATAAGTGTGACCACTCACAGCATTTGTGCTGTTGTCCCCCATGACACCATCTAATCATTGTCCAGGTGGCCTTGGGAGCTTGGCTGCTGTGACGGCACATGAAGGCCTCTCATTATAGCTATGGTGGAATTCACTGTAGATGCACTACCTGTGTTTTGTCCAGGTGGACCGACCATGGACTGATGGAAAAAGGAACCACGAGGAGCTCCAACAATGGGAATGTGGTTGCCTCTTCCTAGTGCAACACCTGGGTTCTGGAGTGGTGCATGCCAGGTATTTGGCATGAAGGTGGAACAAGCAAGGATGGTGCTGGTGTTTGTAGCCACAACCAATGTGGTGTGAGCAGGTGAGCCCCAGGCTACCTGACCAAATGGGGGTACAGGCTGGTGCTGGTTGTTCCCCTCCATCCTGGTATAGTTTTCGGTGTTCTTGATGTGGAACTGCAGAGACATGCTAACCCCAATGTTTTCACCATGTTTAGGGGCTCCAGGTCTCATTATCCCCCCTGGGCCTAGAGTAGAATTGTCAACCGATGCAGTTACTGTCTCCAGTGCCAGGCATTCTGGTGGTATCTCTAAATGTAGATGACTTGGCTGTGCCAATGAGGGAAGCACTTGGTTTTTTAATCATACCTGGCTGCACATTGATAGGCAAATCAAATGCAAAATATGGTAATGTCACACTGGTGAGATCTGCTGCCATTGTGCTGTCACTGGGTGGCTGGCTGCAAGAACACCTTAGGCCTATAACTGGTGCTGGGGTTGCTGGGTTTCCCAGAATAAAAGAACGGTCTGACTTATCCTGCCCATGAGAAGCCCCAAATATGGGCTGGGAGGTGGATCATGGATTTACATCGTTGTGGGAAGTTGGGATCGGTCCCATGACTGACTGTGCAGGCAAATTGGTGAAGATGTGGGCTGAGACAATGTTGCCACTGGGTTCTGTGTTACCAAAACCATGAAACACCAGACAAGATAGGATGCACTTCTTCCTTGAGACAGCAGCAGACTGAAAGACAACAGCTTTTGAATAAGGAGTCGTATCCACAGTGCTGCTGCCAATGGTAGGAATGGATGATGATGATGCAGAGGTTCTACTCCCTAAACTGGAGGTGTCTAGAGGAGCCATCATGGGAAGGCTCAGAAAAACAGGGGTACTGGGGAGACAGGCTTTCCAATGCTGCCCATCAGAGGCCCCCAATGTGAGCTGAGCAGTGGCTCCCGGATGTATAACGTGATTAGAAGTTACAGTTGGTCCTACGACTGACTGTGCAGGCAAACTGGTGGAGATGTGAACTGAGGCAGTGTTTCTATTGAGTTGTTTGTTTGTAGAAGCAGAGAGCCCCAGATAAGACAGGATGCACTTCTTCCTTTAGACAGCAGCAGAGTGGAAGATGGCAGCTTTTGAAAAATGGGTGGTATCCACAGCCCTGCTGTCAATGGTAGGAAGGAAAGATGATGTTGCAGAGGTACTGCTTCCTAAACTGGAGGTGTCTGGGAAGTCTCAGAAAACCATTGAGGAGAGAGGCTTTCCACTGCTGCCCATCAGGGGCCCACAGTGTGAGCTGAGCAGTGGCTCCCTGATTTACAGTGTGGTTAGAAGTTACAGTTGGTCCTACCACTGACTGTGCAGGCAAACTGGTGGAGACATGAACTGAGACAATGTTGCCACTGGGATCTGTATTCCCAGAACCAAGGAGGCTCAGATGAGACAAGGATACACTTCTTCCGTGAGACAGAGGCAGACTGGAAGATGACAGCTTTTCAATAAGGGTGGTATCCACAGCACTGCTGTCAATGGTAGGAATGGATGATGATGCTGCAGAGGTTCTGCTCCCTAAACTGGAGGTGTCTGGATGAGCCATGATGATCCCATCATGGCTCAGAATAACAGGGGTACTGGGGAGACAGGCTTTCCACTGCTGCCCATTAGGGGCCCCCAATGTGAGTGGAGCCGTGGCTCCCAGATTTACAGTGTGGTTAGAAGTTGTCATTGGTCTCATGACTGGCTGTGCAGGCAAACTGGTGGAGATGTGGGCTGAGGCAATGCCCAAGTCAGGGGTGGGAGGAGGACCTGGGACCTGGGAAGTGTAGGTGGCCAGGCACAGGGAGTATGAAGTCTCTGCAGGTGGGGAGACAGCAGGTGCAGGCTGGGGGGTGCTGCAGTTTGCCTTGGCCAAATCAGGGACCCAAAATTTGGGCTGAGGGGTGGGGCTGGGGAATATAAATGTAGCTGGGTGATATAGGTTGAGTCTTACCAGGGGGCCCCTGCTGTGCACTGCCATCAATTTGGGAAACTAGTAGAGAGTTCATCCTGGAGCTTGAGGAAGTTCTGAACATCACAGCCTTAGGTGGGAAAGTGGTGTCCCTATTGAGGACCTGAGGATCTGAAGGAGGCTGCAAGGTGTGGTGGGCAGATGTGTTTGCTGTGATGGTGAAAATGACTGCTTTGAAATTTATCTGCTTGCTGGTGGTAACAGAGATCCTGGTGGAAGGTCCTGGAAGAAGGGCGGGAGAGGAAAGAGGAGGAAGGGAATGCACATACACAGCTGTAGGGAACTCCCTTCTGAAGGGAGGCCGGAAGGAGAAAGGTGTGGGGCTAGGTGTCAGGGGGTCAGAAGTGGGAGATGCTGAAGCTACTCCAGAATGAGAAGAACCTCCTTCCTCATTAGGTGGAACCCAAAATATGGGAACAAGGTCAGTGGGAAGAGACAATGGAGAGTTAGGGATTTTGGATATTCTTGGTGTGACAGACAGGCAGCGGGGTCTGGTAGCCGGCTCAGCCAAGTCAAGGGTGGAAGGAGGAGCTGGGACCTGCAAAGTGTAGGTGGCCAGGGACAGAGAGTCTGAAGTTTCCGCATGTGGGGAGATAGCAGGGGCAGGCTGGATGGTGCTGCAGTTTGCCTTGGCCTCTGTTTTGTGCTCCAAATTGTCCATTTTATCCTCCAAGATTTTGCTGTTCTGTTTACACCCCATGCTGTTCTCCAAGTTGCCCAGGTATCCCTCAATAGACAGGCAGGGAAGCTTAGCAGGTGGAGACAACTCACTTCTATCCCACATCAATCACAGGGTGGGGCCAGGAGCAGCAGCGGTGGAATCCACATTTTCCTTTCGCAGGGCCTGTTGCTGGCAGCTCTGAGTGGACAAGAGTTCCATGACAGAAGAGCTGAAGGCTTCTTGTCCTGCATCTTCTTCCCCGACATCAGCAAGCTTGGAGAGCTGGGTGGGTGGTCTTCATCCAGCACCTTCCTGGCCGCCTTCTCTGGCTGCAGGGAGCAGCCCGGGGCCGGGGCCGGGGCCGGGGCCAGGAGCACTGCTGGAGCCGGGTCAGGCTTCCCAAGGGGAAGGCCACCTCCAGCAGGGCTGTGTGAGCTGGGGGCCTCATGGCCCTCCCAGAAGGAGCCACTCACTGGAGACACCTGGGCCTTCTCTCTCAAATGGTTTTCCAACAGGTAGGGGTGGGCATTTCCCTGCAGAGGCCCGGGCCTGCACCCGAAGGAGGTGAGGTCTCCCTGGGTCTCCAGGGCCCTAGACGTGGATGAAGTCCTGCCGTGGCTACGGGGGCTCTTTTCTTGTCATCCTGCTCCTGGGTCTCTACGTGATGCTCCTGCGTCACTGTTCTGGGCTCCTCTTCGGCCCTACCCTCAGTCTCCTTCGGGAGCCTGGCTGGGACCTGCTTAGGTGGTGAAGGCAGCGGGAGGGCGAACTTGCGGACGGGAGGAGGGTCCTCAGGGACCCTGGGTGCAGCAACCTTCGGGAGTTCCCAACAGGTGGCTCAGAGGCCACAGCCTGCAGGAACTCCAGAGGGTCACCCTTGTCATGTGGGAGAGGACAAGGGGTGCCACACAAGCTGCCTGGAGAGGAGGGCCTAGGAGGCCGCCGCGGGTTGAACAGGAATAAGAAAGGGCCTGGCTGTCCTGGGCAGGCGCAGAGGCCTTTAGGGCAAGGGGCGGCCGCTGGCCCGAGAGCCTGCAGGCAGACCAGAGAAGAAACGTGTGAAGTAAATTGCCCATCTCCACCGAGGGACAGAAGCAAGGCAATGAACCTCCATCCGGCTACAGGAAAGAATGAGAAAACACCATGTCTCCACGATAAGGAGGCACACAGGCCAGAGCGTGAGCTGTGGAATCACACAGCCCGGGTTCACAGCCTGGCTGGGCCACTGCCACCTGAATGACCTGGAGAAGAGTCTCAGGCCCAAATGTTGTTTTAGCAATATCCAGTACAAAACGAAGGAGTGTTTTAGCAAATTTGTAAAAGGAAGTGAGCACAACTCGCTCGAGATGGGCAATTTACATGTATTTTCTCTGGGTACTTTGCACGGTGGCATATGTGTAATAAGCACATGCACTCCTAGGATGAGGCCTTTACCTCAACTCATAAGTTGACCATGGCCCACAGTGGGCTCCAGTCCTCTAAGAAAATGTAGGGCAGGGACCAGCAATTGTCCCACAGGGTCATGCCACATTTCTCTTCTAATGGAGCCTTGCAGCTCAGATGATCTTTTTGATCCTGTGTGAGGTATCTAAGTATATAAAGATTATGTTCTAGACCCATTATGGTCTATCCTGAAAGAAATTCACCAGCAGTTTATTTATTATGGATAAGAATCCATGTTCTCCAATGAGAACACTTGGACACAGGGTGGGGAACGTCAGAGGGTGGGGAACGTCACATGCCAGAGCCTGTCGGGGGCTGCGGGGCTGGGGGAGGGATAGCATTAAGTATCAGGGAACCTGCCCCAATAGTCACAAAGGTTCTTTTCTATTTTCCCTAAGCATCAGCCGGTTTGAGAAATAAGTACAAAAGAGAGAAATTTTAAAGCTGGGCCCACTCCCAAGTCAGGGGTGGGAGGAGGACCTGGGACTGGGGAAGACATCACATGTCAGTAGGTTCCGTGATGCCCCACAAGCCACAAAACCAGCAAGTTTTTATTAGGGATTTTCAAAAGGGGAGGGAGTGTACAAATAGGTGTGGGTCACAGAGATCACATACTTCACAAGGTAATAGAATATCACAAGGCAAATGGAGGCAGGGCGAGATCACAGGACCACAGGACCGGGGCAAAATTAAAATTGCTAATGAAGTTTCAGGCACCATTGTCACTGATAACATCTTATCAGGAGACAGGGTTTTGAGAGCAACCAGTCTGACCAAAATTTATTAGGTGGGAATTTCCTCTTCCTAATAAGCCTGGGAGCACTATGGGAGACTGGGGTCTATTTCACCCCTACAGTTTCAACCATAGAAGATGGCCACACCTAGGGGGGCCAGTTCAGACCCACCCCCAAGCACATATTCTCTTTCCCAGGGATGTTCCTGAGAAAAAGAATTCAGCAATATTTCTCCCATTTGCTTTTGAAAGAAGAGAAATATGGCTCTGTTCTGCCCGGCTCACCGGTGGTCAGAGTTTAAGGTTATCTCTCGTTTCCTAAACATTGCTGTTATCCTGTTCTTTTTTCAAGGTGCCCAGATTTTATATTGTTTAAACACACATGCTCTACAATTTGTGCAGTTAACGCAATTATCACAGGGTCCTGAGTCGACATACATCCTCCTCAGCTGACAGGATTAAGAGATTAAAGTAAAGATAGGCATAGGAAATCACAAGGGTATTGATTGGGGAAGTGATAAGTGTCCCTGAAATCTTCACAATTTATGTTTAGAGATGGCAGTAAAGACAGGCATAAGAAATTATAAAAGTATTAATTTGGGGAACTAATAAATGTCCATGAAATCTTCACAATCCACATTCTTCTGCCATGACTTCAGTTGGTCCCTCCGTTTGGGGTCCCTGACTTCCCGCAACAATTAGGAGAAATACCTAATGTAAATGATGAGTCGATGGGTGCAGCGAACAAACATGGCACATGTGTACATATGTAACAAACCTGTACATTGTGCACATGTACCCTAAAACTTAAAGTATAATAAAATAAATAAAATAAAAGAATCCATGTTTTCTGGTCTTCCTGAAATATGTCTAGAAAGCAAGTATATAATTTATTTGCCAGTTAATGTTGGAGAAATGTATTGAATTAAAATATGATCAACACAATTTGGTCTTTGTGAGCATGCCAGCTGGACCTACTCCTCACCACACATTATTGTCACCTACATATCACTCTAAACCTTCTTATGCCCAAGAGAGGAGACATGATCTTCAGTGTCAGGAAAAGAGAAATGTGTGTTACTGTCCTAGGAGCTAGAAGCTTCAGCATGACAAGAAAGATTTGAAAATCCTACAGAGATTTGTCTAGTTTGAATCTTGTTTCTCAGGCTTATTTCAGTAATGTGTTTTTCTCTCTTGGGGCTGATGTGGTGTATCAGATATATGACATGCGGAAGTTTCAGAACCAAGAACAAAGCTCTCTAAAAATTTTTCATATGTTACATTTTAAAACATCTATTTAAAATAACACTGTACATAATTAACATACTATAAAATTGGTTTTAGCCCTCTCCTCATAAGATTCCTTTTATAGCATGTCAGAGCAAATTTGGAGTTCCATTCCCAAAAAGGCTGAGGTTGGTAGAACACAAAAAGTTTTTGCTCAGACCCAAATTTTGTTTGAAAAGAGGAGAAATATTATCAGCCCTTTCTAACCACGGCATAAATGGTTTACAGTTATGGCATGTAACCATAATTCCTTGCTATCATTTGGAGAGAGTTCAATTAGGAATAATCTCTTGATTTTGTTTTCTGGAACAAAACAAACTGGTACAAATTTTGGACAAAGACTTCCTAGAGGAACTAGGAAGAAAGATGATATGTCAGACGTATTTAAAAATAATAAATTAATACCATATTATTTTCATTTATTCTCCAAAAAGGAAAAAAAATTATTAAACACAATAATGCATATTTGGGCTTCAGGACAATACAAGGAAATTTGGACAAGGATATTCCACAAAAAATCACCTCTATCTTTTTTTGAGGAAAAAAAGGAACAATTTTCAATCATAGAAAATGAATCTGGGGTTGGCCAGTTTGGGATGGAATTGTGGTAGTGACAATAAACCATAGCTGGCAAACTGTGGTTGACACTCTCACTCCCCCTTTTCTTGTCTTAATCACCAACAATCCATTTTAAGTCATATAGAGTCAATATGGGGACATACTGAGTCCTCTAGACTTTACTGACCTATGGAGTTCATTAAATAGACTTTTTTCCTCTAAAATACCTTTTGTCTCCTTGCTGTCAGTCACTACACATTCCTCTCCTTTCCTGGATTGCTTTAGCAGTTTCTTTGTGTTGATTTCCAACTTTGTCTTGGATCTCATTGAGCTTCCTTGCAATCCATGCTTTGAATTCTTTACCTGTCACTTCTGAGTTTCCATTTTGGTTAGGAATCAAACCTAACTAAATCTCCATCCATTGATGGAGAGCTAGTGCAATCCTTTGGTAGTATCACTACTTTCAGATTTTTCATGGTTCCAACATTATTTGACTGGTTTCTTCTCACCTGGAGACACTGGCACTTCTAACTTTTATAATTAGTTCCGTGCAGGTAGTATTTCTTCTTTTTCTTCTTTCTTTCCCTATAATAATAGTATTATTGTTTTTTCTTTCATTTTCCCTTTCTATCCTCACCCCCTTCCTAGGGCCTAGGGGGTGTGACTGTAGACAATGCTGAGTAGAATCTTTTTTTTTTTTTTTTTTTTTTTGAGACAGAGTCTTGCTTTGTCACCCAGCCAGGCTGGAGCGCAATGGCATGATCTTGGCTCACTGCAACCTCCACCTCCCAGGTTCAAGCCATTCTCCTGTATCAGTCTCCTGAGTAGCTGGGATTACAGGCACCTGCCACCATGTCCAACTAATTTTTTGTATTTTTAGTAGAGACGGGGTTTCACTATGTTGGCCAGGCTGGTCTCGAACTCCTGACCTCATGATCCGCCTACCTCGGCCTCCCAAAGTGCTGGGATTACAGGCATGAGAGTGTAATCTTTTGGCTTTGCTTCTATAGCCCCATGCAATTCTCTTGGTAGGTTTTATATTAGGCTACACGGTTCACCCTACAGGGAAGGCTTGAGTTTTACAGCAGAAATTTTCTGTCTAGGTTCCCATTCAGGTCCATTTACACAAATGAAAGGTTAGAAACTTGCTTAATTCAGATTGGTCAACACAGCTGAGTTCCAATAGTTTGATGCAACTGAGCTCTAATTAGCTGATACAGAGAAGCCCTGCCTCGTTCATACAGCTGAGCCCTGATTGGCTTAGGCAGGCGAGCTCTAATTGGTTGGTTCAGGTGATGTCTGAAAGTTCCCAGGTTGAAATGGTGTGGATTTTGAGGGAATTCAAAGTACCTGTGTGACCTCTAGTCAGCCAATGGCTGCTTGGAGTCCAGTTAACCAATCAGGGTCCAGGATTGGCTCTTTCAGTTTCACTTTGTTCACACACTTCTGCCTTTGACTATACCGAAGGCTCAGCAAAAACAGACTGACTTTGTGCAGTTGCTTCTTAAGATACTCTTCTTGATTGTTTTATTAATTACCCCTCCAGTTCACTTTTTGTTTTCCAGACATGTAACAAAACCTTTCTGTGGTTGATGACTTCCACAATCTCTTGACTTTTATTGGTCTACTAATTTCGGTATCTTTATACTTTTATTTAAGTATGTTTTCAGGAGGAACACAAGGCTAATATGTGTTCATGGTCTATCCTTTTTTACTACAAGTCCCTGTTGATTTTAGTATCCAATGTTCTCATAGGAGAAAACCAACCTCTGTTAACAGATGTAGCATTTATGATGTCAACTTTTTTTGAGCAATCAATCACTAAAGATTTAGGATACAGTAATTTCTAATAAGGAAATTATACCTCTCCCATGCAGTTGATTTGAAGGTGAAATGAGGTAATTAACATGAAAATGCTTTGTAAAATTTTAAGTTCTATAAAAATACTTTGTGTTATTATTTTTGTTATTACTATACAATTTTATGTATGACATTGTCTAGGTGACACAGTGCCTTTTTGTTTATTCTTTTACAAACCGACCATATTTTTCAATATCTCAGTGGAAATTATGACATTGTGAAGGTTGGGAATGAAACCATAGACATTTCTTAACACCTATCGCTTCACAATGTTTTTAGCAACTATTTTCTCATGTATTTCTGTTTCCAATTTTATTGAGAACCTACTTCCAGTTACATCCTTTACTTGAAGATTTAGCAAATATTTTCCAGACTTTAAATATTTTATGTTTTGTAGGCCGTAAACAGTTTCTGTAGTTCCCCTTTCTCCTCCTTTTTCTTTTTCTTCAAGAACCCTTTCAAAATGTAAGAATCATTCTTAGCTCACAGGTCATACAAAAAGATCTATGGGCCATTTTTTTGCCCATCACTGATCTATTTCTTTACTGAGTAGAAAGCAAATATTTGAGTAAATCACTTCTGTAAAGGAATTGGTCTCCCTAATTTTTTTTTTTTTTTTTACTTTTCTACAATTTTTAATTAACATTCATCCAGAGAGATCCTGTTAAAACCTAAATCAGATTGTATCACTCAAACCTCTATAATGGCTTGCTCAAAGCAAAAGCCAAAGTCCTCTAAATGCCTCCAAACCCCTAGCAACCCATGTTCTCCGTTTCCTTGCTGACATCATTTCCTTCTCCTCTCCACTCTGATCCCTCTCTCCCTCACACACTGGTGCCCTTTCTGTTCCCTAAATACTCATGGACATTCTTGCCTCACAGCCTTCCCATTTGGCTGTTCGCTCTGCCTGTAAGGCTCATTTCCCAGATATGCACATTATTGTTTCCTGGAACACCCTCAGGCTCCTTCTTAAATTTCACCTCCCCCATAATTTCAAGTTGCAACCTCCCCCCACCATCTAACAGTCTTTATCTCCTTTCCCAGTTTTCTACTTCGCCCTAGCAATTATCTGATGTACTATTTATTTTACCCATCTATTTTTATTTATATATTTATGTATATGTTTATAAGATTATTCATTTATTTATTTTTGTGTCCCCCTCCAACTACAAGGTGAAGATATTTATCATTTTTTGTTTATGGCTATATTTCCTCAATGTACCTGTGAAACATACCAAAGGGCAGTACCTGGCATTTGGTAGGGGATTAATAAATTATCTTGAATGACTAAATGTATGCACCGATTAGTAAATGAATCCCCATAGTGTCTGAATTGAGGACTAGTGTGAAGAAGAAGGCAGCATGGTTGGGACAGGGTACTGCAAGAAGCAGTATTTGGAGTTCTATGTTTGTAAATATATAGGGTGTTGTTCATTTAGGTAATTTTAATGGAGTCTGGAACTATTTGAGGGAGACACAATCACGATTTTTCATAGTGCATTCTACAGAATTCATTTTAAATATTTGTAAATATTGGAAATACATGCATGCATATACACCTCTATTGAGTTTATTATAAGAGCCCCCTGAGGTAGAGACAGCAAGTATAAGTATCTTTTTTGTTTGTTTTGTTTTTGAAAATTGAACAATCATTCTTTATTTAAAAAATAATCTCAGCAAACTAGGGATACAGAGAATTTCCTCAACCTGTTGAAGGGCATCTTTAAGATATCTACTGCTAACATCCTATGTAATGATGAAAGACTGAATACTTTCCCTTAAGACTGAGAATAAGACAGAGATGTCAGTTCTTACCACTTCTATTCAACATTGTACTGGAAATTCTAGCCACTGCAATCATTTTTTAATTGGGAGTGGGGAGAAAGAGGGAGGGAAGGAGAATAATAAAAGGCCTTTAGATTGAAAATAAATAAGTAAAACTGTCAATTCACATATGTGATCATCTATGTAGAAAACCAAATAAAATCCATTACCAAGTTACTGAAACCAGCAAGTGAGTTTTGCAACACTGCAGGATGTATAACTGATATACAAAAATCAATTGTGTTTCTATATGTTAAAAGTAAACAATTAGGAATTGAAATTTTTAAAATAATACTATTTTCAATAGCATTAAAATATAAAATTCTTGGGAATAAACCTGACAAACTATGTGGAATATCTGTACACTGATAACTAAAAAGCATTGCTAAGAAAAATTAAAGAAGACCTAAGTAAATATCTTGTTCATAGGTTGAGAGACTCAACATTGTTATGATGTTCATTCTTTTCCATACTCATCTATAGATATAATGCAATTCCCATCCCAAGCCAAGCAGGCTTTTTTTTTTTTTTTTGTAGTAATTGAAAACTGGTTTTAAGATTCACATGGCATGCAGATGATCCACAAGATCCACAATAACTCTCCTGCTGTGTAGCCTGGTTCCTAACAGGCCTTGGACCTGTCCGTGGCCTGCAGGTTGGGGACCTCTGCTATAGAGGATCCAGATTTAAATTTAGAGGCAGCTTCATCTACTTCTGTAGTTTCATTTTCTCGTGACATCCGTTGCATCAAACTTGAACTTCACAGGATTTTCTGAAGCCACTCAATTTGGTCATCTTAGTTTTTAATTGTATTTTTTGACTTGGAATTTTCTATGTCAAGCTTTTGTACGTGGCGTTGCTTCTCCTTACTACGTCTTATAGTCACTGTAAGTTGATCCTGTATTTCTTTTATTTATTTATTTATTAATTTATTATTATACTTTAAGTTTTAGGGTACATGTGCACAATGTGCAGGTTAGTTACATATGTATACATGTGCCATGCTGGTGCGCTGCACCCACTAACTCGTCATCTAGCATTAGGTATATCTCCCAATGCCATCCCTCCCCCCTCCCCCCACCCCACAACAGTCCCCAGAGTATGATGTTCCCCTTCCTGTGTCCATGTGTTCTCATTGTTCAATTCCCACCCAAGAGTGAGAATATGTGGTGTTTGGTTTTTTGTTCTTGTGATAGTTTACTGAGAATGATGATTTCCAATTTCATCCATGTCCCTACAAAGGACATGAACTCATCATTTTTTATGGCTGCATAGTATTCCATGGTGTATATGTGCCACATTTTCTTAATCCAGTCTATCATTGTTGGACATTTGGGTTGGTTCCAAGTCTTTGCTATTGTGAATAATGCTGCAATAACCATATGTGTACATGTGTCTTTATAGCAGCATGATTTATAGTCCTTTGGGGATCTACCCAGTAATGGGATAGCTGGGTCAAATGGTATTTCTAGTTCTAGATCCCTGAGGAATCGCCACACTGACTTCCACAATGGTTGAACTAGTTTACAGTCCCACCAACAGTGTAAAAGTGTTCCTGTTTCTCCACATCCTCTCCAGCACCTGTTGTTTCCTGACTTTTCAATGATTGCCATTCTAACTGGTGTGAGATGGCATCTCATTGTGGTTTTGATTTGCATTTCTCTGATGGCCAGTGATGATCAGCATTTTTTCATGTGTTTTTTGGCTGCATAAATGTCTTCTTTTGAGAAGTGTCTGTTCATGCCCTTTGCCCACTTTTTGATGGGGTTGTTTGTTTTTTTCTTGTAAATTTGTTTGAGTTCATTGTAGATTCTGGATATTAGCCCTTTGTCAGATGAGTAGGTTGAGAAAATTTTCTCCCATTTTGTAGGTTGCCTGTTCACTCTGATGGTAGTTTCTTTTGCTGTGCAGAAGCTCTTTAGTTTAATTAGATCCCATTTGTCAATTTTGTCTTTTGTTGCCATTGCTTTTGGTGTTTTAGACATGAAGTCCTTGCCCATGCCTATATCCTGAATGGTAATGCCTAGGTTTTCTTCTAGGGTTTTTATGGCTTTAGGTCTAATGTTTAAGTCTTTAATCCATCTTGAATTGATTTTTGTATAAGGTGTAAGGAAGGGATCCAGTTTCAGCTTTCTACATATGGCTAGCCAGTTTTCCCAGAACCACTTATTAAATAGGGAATCCTTTCCCCATTGCTTGTTTTTCTCAGGTTTGTCAAAGATCAGATAGTTGTAGATATGCAGCATTATTTCTGAGAGCTCTGTTCTGTTCCATTGATCTATATCTCTGTTTTGGTACCAGTACCATGCTGTTTTGGTTACTGTTGCCTTGTAGTATAGTTTGAAGTCAGGTAGTGTGATGCCTCCAGCTTTGTTCTTTTGGCTTAGGATTGACTTGGCGATGCGGGCTCTTTTTTGGTTCCATATGAACTTTAAAGTAGTTTTTTCCAATTCTGTGAAGAAAGGCATTGGTAGCTTGATGGGGATGGCATTGAATCTGTAAATTACCTTGGGCAGTATGGCCATTTTCACGATATTGATTCTTCCTACCCATGAGCATGGAATATTCTTCCATTTGTTTGTATCCTCTTTTATTTCCTTGAGCAGTGGTTTGTAGTTCTCCTTGAAGAGGTCCTTCACATCCCTTGTAAGTTGGATTCCTAGGTATTTTATTCTCTTTGAAGCAATTATGAATGGGAGTTCACTCATGATTTGGCTCTCTGTTTGTCTGTTATTGGTGTATAAGAATGCTTGTGATTTTTGTACATTGATTTTGTATCCTGAGACTTTGCTGAAGTTGCTTATTAGCTTAAGGAGATTTTGGGCTGAGACAATGGGGTTTTCTAGATATACAATCATGTCGTCTGCAAACAGGGACAATTTGACTTCCTTTTTTCCTAATTGAATACCCTTTATTTCCTTCTCCTGCCTAATTGCCCTGGCCAGAACTTCCAACACTATGTTGAATAGGAGTGGTGAGAGAGGGCATCCCTGTCTTGTGCCAGTTTTCACAGGGAATGCTTCCAGTTTTTGCCCATTCAGTATGATATTGGCTGTGAGTTTGTCATAGATAGCTCTTATCATTTTGAAATACGTCCCATCAATACCTAATTTATTGAGAGTTTTTAGCATGAAGGTTGTTGAATTTTGTCAAAGGCCTTTTCTGCATCTATTGAGATAATCATGTGGTTTTTGTCTGTGGTTCTGTTTATATGCTGGATTACATTTATTGATTTGCATATATTGAACGAGCCTTGCATCCCAGGGATGAAGCCCACTTGATCATGGTGGATAAGCTTTTTGATATGCTGCTGGATTTGGTTTGCCAGTATTTTATTGAGGATTTTTGCATCAATGTTCATCAAGGATATTGGTCTAAAATTCTCTTTTTTGGTTGTGTCTCTGCCCGGCTTTGATATCAGGATGATGCTGGCCTCATAAAATGAGTTAGGGAGGATTCCCTCTTTTTCTATTGATTGGAATAGTTTCAGAAGGAATGGTACCAGTTCCTCCTTGTACCTCTGGTAGAATTCGGCTGTGAATCCATCTGGTCCTGGACTCTTTTTGGTTGGCAAGCTATTGATTATTGCCACAATTTCAGATCCTTTTATTGGTCTATTCCGAGATTCAACTTCTTCTAAATGCTCCAATTAAAAGACACAGACTGGCAAATTGGATAAAGAGTCAAGACCCATCAGTGTGCTGTATTCAGGAAACCCATCACACACATAGGCTCAAAATAAAAGGATGGAGGAAGATCTACCAAGGAAATGGAAAACAAAAAAAGGCAGGGGTTGCAATCCTAGTCTCTGATAAAATAGACTTTAAACCAACAAAGATCAAAAGAGACAAAGAAGGCCATTACATAATGGTAAAGGGATCAATTCAACAAGAAGAGCTAACTATCCTAAATATATATGCACCCAATACAGGAGCACCCAGATTCATAAAGCAAGTCCTGAGTGACCTACAAAGAGACTTAGACTCCCACACATTAATCATGGGAGACTTTAACACCCCACTGTCAACATTAGACAGATCAACGAGACAGAAAGTCAACAAGCATACCCAGGAATTGAACTCAGCTCTGCACCAAGCAGACCTAATAGACATCTACAGAACTCTCTACCCCAAATCAACAGAATATACATTTTTTTCAGCACCACACCACACCTATTCCAAAATTGACCACATATTTGGAAGTAAAGCTCTCCTCAGCAAATGTAAAAGAACAGAAATTATAACAAACTATCTCTCAGACCACAGTGCAATCAAACTAGAACTCAGGATTAAGAATCTCACTCAAAACCGCTCAACTACATGGAAACTGAACAACCTGCTCCCGAATGACTACTGGGTACATAACGAAATTCAGGCAGAAATAAAGATGTTCTTTGAAACCAACAAGAACAAAGACACAACATACCAGAATCTCTGTGACGCATTCAAAGCAGTGTGTAGAGGGAAATTTATAGCACTAAATGCCCACAAGAGAAAGCAGGAAAGATCCAAAATTGACACCCTAACATCACAATTACAAGAACTAGAAAAGCAAGAGCAAACACATTCAAAAGCTAGCAGAAGGCAAAAAATAACTAAAATTGGAGCAGAACTGAAGGAAATAGAGACACAAAAAACCCTTCAAAAAATTAATGAATCCAGGAGCTGGTTTTTTGAAAGGATCAACAAAATTGATAGACCGCTAGCAAGAATAATAAAGAAAAAAAGAGAGAAGAATCAAATAGACGCAATAAAAAATGATAAAGGGGATATCACCACCGATCCCACAGAAATACAAACTACCATCAGAGAATATTACAAACACCTCTACGCAAATAAACTAGAAAATCTAGAAGAAATGGATAAATTCCTCGACACATACACCCTCCCAAGATCCTGTATTTCTTGAAATTGACTTCTCATCTGGCCTAATTTCTTCCTTGAATCCTGCATCTCACATTCTAGATGGACGCAGTGACACAATGAAGCATCCAGCAGAGCTTTTGTTGTTGATTGTTTGTTTAGAATATCATCCTGTTTTTGTTGAAGTTGTCTCACAACTACTCTTTCTTTTTCTCTTTCATATTGACATTGTTTTTCTTTCAAATGATTAAATTCATTGATCAACTTCTTATAATCTTCTCCTAGCAAAAGACAGTGCTTTCTGCACTCAGCTTGAAGGTTTTGTACTCTAACATCACATTTGGCTTGAATATCAATTATTGTTTTTTCTTGATTGTCAGATTTGTTGTGAGCATCATCCAGTTACTGTTGAAGTAACATATTTTGTCTTTGTAGTTGACATAATTTTATTTGCTTTTCTATGCATTTTTCTACTTTATCTTGGCCATCTTTGTACATTTTTTTCAGTGTCCTTCATTTGACACTGTGTTTGGTTTAGCTCTCTTTGTACGTGTTCAAAAACCAAAGCCTTTTCTTTCAGAGCCTCTATTGTGTAATGGAGCGCAGTTTCGAGGCCCCCGGACTTACTCTCAGCTTTAGGAAGTTGCTGAGAAAGAATCAGAATATGAGAATTCAAATTTTCCTGTAAATGACACAATTTATCTACTGTGTAAGTATCTTTCTTTTACAGATGAGCTTAACTTGCTGAAGGCTACATTACAATTTTGTTATAAATGTAATACTAGACTGAGAGTTTTTCAGCAGATCTTCCCTAGAAACCTGTGACTTATAAAAGTGATACTAGTAACCCACAAAGATTTATTCAGCTTTCAACAGTACATACACTACAGACTCAATTATAGCCCATCCATTTAAATGAATGGAAAAAATTATTTAGCACAAAACCAAGAGAATATTAAATGCTATACTATATTAATATTAGTAATGGGAAATAGGCTCCATCCCTTCTAACATAATTTGAGCCCATCATATCCACATTATGGTCATGGTGATAGTAAGGCTGCCCTTCTCTGTCTCTAGAAGAATTCTCATATAATTGTACTTATTGAAACAGACAAGGGACACTGGGTAATTAAGAGTTTGTCAGCTTGATTTTTCCAGAAGTCTTGCCTATAAAGCAAAGATAGTTGGTCTGGATACTCTCAGCTACAAAGAGGTTGTCAGGTTCTTAATTTTCATGGTGAATGAAGTGAGCTTATTTCATCTCCGTGGCCTCCCATATACCTATATTCAGTCTCTGTTCTATGTTTGGAAAGAATGAAGTAGAAATTAAAAATCAAGAAAAGCAAATGATAAATGATACATGGGATATTTTATTGATTTACATCAGTGTATGTAGATGTATGCATGTCTGCATGAATGCATGTAGAACTCAATGTGATCTAGTTGAAAAATTTATTTTGTTTTAGAGTTGTATGTTGGGTTGGAGCCTTCAAGGTACCAGAAGAAAATAACTCAACTATCCTATTAGAAACTACAGTCCTCATACACTTTTATTTACCAGTTCTGCTCATCTACAGTATCAGAGTTCTGTATCCTACTTCATTTTCAGAATTTTCCAAATGCCTCTTAATACTCAGTGCTGCAATTTTGATATTGCCAAACCCTGCACAAGTTACATAGAACAGAAGGATTTTATTTTCTGTTTATGCATCTGTGTTTAGGACTCAATGAAAGAACAATAGAGTGGAATTGAGGAGATCTAGGTTTTTGTTCCAAGTTGGCCAGAAAATAATTGTGGCCCCTTGGAAAAGTCAGTTATTCTGGGGCCTCTTTACTTTTGTTTCCACAGAGTCTACTAGATGACCCCAAATAACATTTGAATTGTCTGCAGTAATAGTTTAGATGTCCTTGGTATTCTAAGATAAATGAACACAATTACACATAAAGCTGTGCAGCATCTCTCACTACGTTTTTAGAGCTTCCTCTATTTTATAGATGATAAGCTGACAGAGATATAGCAGAAGTGAATAATTTGACCAGAGGCTCCATAGTAAATGGAACTAAAACACAAGTTTCTTTCCCTTCTTGAGCTCACTTAGCCAATACATAGGTCGTTGAATATTTAACTGCATTTTAAAGGAGGCTATTCTTAAAGGCCTTCCAACCAACAGCAGGAAGTATTGAAATTCCTGAAAGATCCCTAACTTTGAGAGATTTCCAGCTCTATTTTCATGTCAAGCATGTTGTATAAGTGTTCAGATAATAACTTCTCAATGCTTCTCTGAACTAAAGTTCTGAACCTCATAAGGTTTGCTCCTTGCTGGCTTAAGTTTATCCCAGATATCAAGGAGCAAACCAAGGAGAAAAGAAAAGTTTTCTATTTCAAAATAGAAAAGTGGTTAACTGGGTTTTGATGCCAAATAACTATATGTTTACCTATAACACATTAATTTATTGTACCTACTAATTGTGTTCTCTTTGGGAAACGCAAAAGTATTTGAGGCATAGGCTGTTGGTTTTTTTCTATTTTCTGCAGACTGTAAGCTTCTGCGGTAGAACTATATTTCACTAGCATCTGTAACCAGAACTGAACACAATGTCTATGAAACAGTCAATAAATAAGCAACAGATAAATTGACAGATAGAGACATGACTTTATTTCCAAATGAACACATTATTAAGAAAGATCCAAGGCATAAGCAAAGAGAAAAACTGTATTTCCAGTCACAGAGTTGCAACTGACATATTTATAAATGATACAGATAACAAGTGCTACAGCGATTCGAAAGAGGCATAAAAGTTCTTATTGGATTTCCATAGGATAAACCATGCGAAAAAAAGGGAGAGATGGATTTTGAGTTATTGGTGGGGGGTGGGGTAGTCACAAGCCTAATCTTGATTTTTAAATCAAATTTGCAAAGTGATTATATTACAGGTAAAATAATGAAATAACTCACTATACTGAGACTTGCAGAGTTTATGATGGTTGTCCAAGATACAAAAACAAGTAATTATGGACCAGAATTTTAACCAAGTCCTGATGATCTCAAAACCCCAAGTCCTTTCTCTGTCATTAAGTTGCCTTTGACAGTAATTTTTGGTGGAATGGTAGAAACTGGCTATAGGATGTGGATGGAAAATAATACCATTGAGGACTGGTGAAATATGTATCAGTGGTGCTTTAGAATGAATGGCCCCTGTCCTGTTGTCAATGAATGAGGAGAACTCATTAAATGGTTCAATGAAAAGACTAACTGACAAGAGTGACATTAGCAAAATGGCAGACTAGGAATCTCTAAGCTCTGAAAACACCAAAAACACCAAGGAAGAACCAGAAACTGGCTGAACTAACCTTATAGAAGCTCTGAAAAAAAGTCAAAGATTTACAGCAAATGAATGTACACTCAATCAGGAAAAGGCCACCTTCATATGGTAGGACATTTTAAGGTGTTTTCACCTGCCTTTGCCCAAATTCCCATCTCTCTTCTGTGTTTCATGGTCTTGGCCTGGAAGAGGTGACAGCCCAGCTATCAGTTCTCCCCCTCAAACTGGAGAGAGGGGAGAAGATTTTATCTGCAATGTTCTAAACTGTTCAGGGACTGCTCAAAGGCCTGGTTTCTATTTCGCATAACTCACATCTTAGGTGGTATAAGTACCAGGCTCTGCTTTTGAAAGCCACAGGGAGACTTCAGACCTGATGATGTCTATGACAAAAGATTACAGGTAGAGACATAGAATACACCATCTAAGGCCCTGAGGAGAATCTAGGGTAAGACTCTTTGGAAAATTAGGACGTTTGAGAGAAGTCATGTATATTTTAGAGTTGAGAAGGCCAATTTCAGACCCTGGAAAGATGAATACTCAGAAAATACCTTAAACTTCCACCTTTAGCTGATCCCTAGGCTCAGAGAAAATCCAGCTAATCAGTGAAGTACTGTCCTAGACAGAGTCTGTCTTCAAAAACTGGAAGATGTGTCTGTTTTTCAGATGCTCACTTTTCAACAATTACAACAAATTACAAGGCATGCAAAGAAACAAGAAAACATGACCTACTTAAGGGAACAAAATAAATTGTCAAAAACTATTGATGAGAAAGCCTACAAAAAAGAATGAAAAAAGTCAAAAAAGCTGAAGATACCTGTGGCACCCCATTAAGAGGACCAATATATGCATTATGAGAGTTCAAGAAGGCAGAGAGAACAAAGGGCAAAGGGATTATTTGAAGAAATAATGTCTAAAAATCTCCAAATTTGATTAAAGGTATGAATCTACAAATCCAAGAAGCTCAATAGACTCTATGTGAGCTAAACTCAAACTACACTGAAACACATCATTACCAAACTGTTGAAAAATAAAAACAAGGAAAAAGGAACATGAAAGCAGCAATAAAGAAGTGATTTATCCTGTGCCAATCATCAGCAGTAAGATTATCAACCAATTTATTAGGAAGAAACTTTGGAATCCAATGTTGGTTGGCTAATATATTTAAAGTACTAAAAGAAAAACAAAACTCTAAACTGAGAATCCTATGTCCAACAAAACTGTCCACCAGAATGAGGGAAAAATTCAGACATTTTCAGATAAGCAAAATCTGAGGGGTTTATTCCCACTAGCTCTGCTTTACAAGAAATGATAAGGGGAGACTTTCAGGCTGAAATGGAAGGATGCTACACAGCAACTCAAAGCCAGCCTTTATCAAACTTTTCTAAAACTCAAAGAGCAGGAAATCACTTTCTAGCTTTTCCTGTAGGGCCAGCATTATCCTGATGCTGAAGCCAGACAAAAATGCTACAAAAAAAAAATACAGATCAATAACTCTTATGAAAATTAATGTAAAAAATTTTAAAATTTCAACAAAATATGAACAAACTGAATTCAGCAGCATGTGATTATACACCTATGATCAAGTGGGATTTGTTTCTGGAATGCAAGGATGTTTCAACATATGAAAATTCATCAAATACATCATATGATTTAGCAATTCCACTTCCAAGTATATATGCAAAATAATTGATATCAGGGACTTGAGCATATATTTGTAAACCAATGTTCATAGAAGCATTATTCACAATAGCTAAAAGCTGGAAACTGACCAACTGTCCAATTATGGAATAATGGATCAATAAAATGTGATATATACATGCATACCTTATTTTATTAAACTTTGCATTATTGTGCTTCACAGATACTGCATTTTTTACTAATTGAAGATTTGTGACAACCCTGCATCAAGTAAGTCTATTGGTACCATTTTTCCAATAGCATGTGCTCACTTTGTTTCTTTATGTCACATTTTGATATCACATTTTGATAATTGCCAAAATATTTTGAACTTTTTCCTTACTATTTTATGTGTTATGGTGATTAGTATCAGTAATCTTTGATGTTACTACTATATTAATACTTTTCTAGGTCTGCCATAACAAAACTCAGTTGCCACTCTATATTTGTGGGAAATTGGTTCCAGTACCCCCATGAATACCAAACTCCAGGGATGCTCAACTCTCTTATATAAAGTGGCATAGCATTTATTAGCATAGAACCCAAAAATGCAAAAGCCACAATTACGTTTGCACCAACCTAGTAATTACTTTGGAGCGTCACAAACCTCACCCATATAAGATAGCCAACTTAATCAATAAATGTTGTATGTGCTCTGACTATTCCATGACCAGCAGTTCTGCTATCTTTTCCCCTCTCCTTGGGTTTTCCTATCCTTGAAACACAATAATATGGAAATCAGGCCAATTAATAACCATACGGTGGCTATAAGTGTTCAAGTGAAAGAAAAAGTTACAAGTCTCTCATTTAAATCAAAAGGATTATGCTTAGTGAGGAATGCATGTCAAAAGTTGAAATAGGCCAAAAGCTAGGCTTGTTGTACCAAACAGCCAAGTTGTGAATGCAAAAGAAAAATTCTTGAAAAAAGTGTTACTGCAGTGATAAGAAAGTGAAATAGACTTATTGCTGATATGGAGAAAGTTTTAGTGGTTTGTATAGAAGATTAAACCAGCCATGACATTCTCTTAAGCCAAAGCCTAATCCAGTGCACGTCCCTAAATGTCTTCAATTCTTTGAAGGCTGAGAGAGGTGAGGAAACAGCAGAATAAAAGTTTGAATCTAACACAGGCTTGTTCATAGGTTTAAGGAAAGAAATCATCTTCGTAAGATGAAAGTACAAAGTGAAGCAGTAAGTGCTGATGTAAATCTGCAGCAGGTTATTCAAAAGATCTAGCTAAGATAATTGATGAAGGTGGCTACACTAAACAACAGACTTTCAATGTAGATGAAACAGTCTTCTATTGGAAGATGTCATCTAGGACTTTCATAGCTAGAAGAAGTCACTGCCTGGCTTCAAAGTTTCAAAGGACACAGTGATTCTCTTTTTAGGGGCTAATGCAATTGATGACTTTAAGTTGAAGCCAATGCTCATTTACTATCCAAAAATCCTAGGGCCCTTAAGAATTATGCTAAATCTACTCTGTCTTTGCTCTATAGATGGAGCAACAAAGTCAGGATGACAGCACATCTGCTTACAGAATGGTTTACTGAATATTTTAAGCCTACTGAAGAGACCTATACCTCAGGAAAAAAAAAGATTTCTTTCACAGTATTACTGTTCATTGACAATGCACCTAGTCATTCAAGAGTTCTTGAATGGGGACGTACAAGGAGATTAATATTGTTTTCATGCCTGCTAACACAGCATCCATTCGGCAGCCCATGGATCAAGGAGTAATTTCAACTTTCAAATTTTATTATTTAAGAAATACATTTTGTAAGGCTATAGCTGTCATAGATAGTGATTCCCCTAATGGATCTGGCAAAGTACATTGAAAACTTGCTGGAAAGGACTCCCCATTATGGATGGCATTACGAACATTTGTGATTTATGGAAGGAGGTGAAAAATCAACAAGAACAGTATGGATGTTCTTATTTTAAGACATTGCCACAGCCACCCCAGCCTTCAATAACCACCACTATGATCTGTCAGCAGCCATCAGCATTGAGGCAAGACTCTCTACTAGCAAAGATTACAGTTCGGCCGAACAAGGTGATTCATGCCTGTAATCCCAACAATTTGGGAGGCCGAGGCGGGCAGATCACTTAAGTTCAGGAGTTTGAGACCAGACTGGCCAACATGGTGAAAACCTGTCTCTATTAAAAATATAAAACAATTAGCCAGGTGTGATGGAGCATGCCTGTAATCCTAGCTACTTGGGAGGCTGAGGTGGGAGGATGGATTGAACCCAGGAAGCAGAGGTTGCAGTGAGCTGAGATCCCAACATTGCACTCCAGCCTGGGCGACAGAGACTCTGTCACTTCAACTAGGTGGGAGGGAGGTGGCATCTAGGACCAATCTCTAGTTAACAGAGCTTAAGATTACAGCATCACAGATCTAAATAACCACAGCAGAGTCAAGAGTACTTTTTATCCAAGAATTGGAGAGGTTAGTAGAGTAAGAAGATTCCATTAAGAAGCTCTCATTTAGGTAGACCAGGAAAGAGAATAGAGATGCTTGGAGCTAGTTTAATTTATTTTTTGGAGAGACAGGGTCTTGCTATTCAGCCCAGGTTGATCTCGAACTCCAGGCCTCAAGCAATCCTCTTGCCTTGGCCTCCCAAAGTGCTGGGATAACAGGCATGGGCCACCACACCTGGCCTATTTTAATTTATTTTTATAGTGAACAAAAATATAACACAACAATTCTCCTCATTGCTCTTTAACAGTAAAACTGGAGAAATACAAATGTATTATACTTTGACAATTCATAAACATTATTCAAAGCTTTTTATACATTTCTTGCATTTTGATAACCAGCATTTCTGGTTACAGAGACTTTGCCACAACTTTTTACTGGTGGAAAGCTGTTTAGAAAAGCTTTCTTTCCACCAGTAAGAAAGTGATCTATTAATATTATATAAATTTGATAATTTTATAAGCAGGAACTAAAAAGCCTCCATGGTGATGATATTTTAATCCAAATATCTCTGTTGTCAGCTATGAAAACACAAAAATATAACTGAAATCCCATTAACAATATTAACAATTTTATTGCCTACAAATTTAATTGACTTAGTAGTAGTCTTTAGAAGGGTGATTTTTTTTTTTTTTTGAGCTCTGCCAAGATGGCTGACTACAAACAGCCAGGAAGAGCTTCTCCCATCGGGAGAGACCAGACCATCAGGTAGACTGGCACACTCTGAGCAGATCTGAAAGTAGTTTCTGAATGACTTTTGGGCATTGGGAGTTGACAGAGCGAGGATACAGGCTGCAGGATAAAAGGAGAGATAGCTGGGAAACCTGCATGGGGTTTCTAAGAACTGGCACTCATACCTCACCATTAGCAGCTCCTAGGAAAGGAGCAAGCGAAACAGGTGTGGACTGGCCAACTGTAGCCATGGTCCTCTGGGATTGTAGCTGCAGCAGACCCCATGATCCCCACAGACATCTGAGCTGGTAGGGAGAACTGCCCAGAGAGTTTGCAGAGGCAGAACTCCGGCCTGCACAGAGCCCAGGAGGTTTGGCATGGGAATGGCTGCAGTGGAGAATGGTTATTGGTGCCCATCCTCCAAAGCTCAACATACTCCCCCAGGTAGCTTTAGCTTTTATTAGCTGCTAGATGTGGACAAAGCAGGGCTGTCTTGCCAGTGGGGTGAGGCCAATGTGATCTGAACACCCCTATATCTGTCAGCCTCTCCCAGGGTCCCTGCCTGGCTGCACCCATTAGCAGCACAGCCTCAGCTTGCTAGCGGCCACCACCACAGCTTTTTCACTGACAGACATCACCTACCCATCATAACACTTTTGAAGCTAGATCCCCACCGATCCCCACCAGCATGGACCAACCCACAGCCTTCCTTGTCCTGTGCCCACTCACCCTCAACCTCCCCACAACCAACCCACTGCTGCACATGTGCATGGGGCCAGCCACTGCCCCATCAGCATGCATAGATGCACAGACTTGCAGATGCACATACACCTGCAGATCCATAACCAGTGCATACGCACACAAGGACCCCTGCCACTTTGCTGGCATGTGTATGTGAAGGAGGTCACTACCGCCCCCCTGGGGTGCTTTCGCCAGCAGCCTCCATTGGAATTTTGATGCCAGCAGGCTGGGAACCCCTTAACCCCTCTAGTGCAGCAGGTGCTTAACCTTGAGAGGCCAAATAACAAAGCTGCAGGTGGCCTGATCCCAGCCCCCAAGAGTTAGGGCATGCAGCCCAAGAATGCCAAGATAAAATTTGGCCCCCTGAAAGCATGTAGAAATGATGCCACTTGACTAAACCCAACCCATACCACAGTCAAATGCTTAAAGGCATCAAAGAATACAAAAGCAAAAAGCCTCATCCAAAAGACAACAACTTCAAAGAATAAGGGAACATTAGACCACTCAGATCAAAATGAACCAGCACAAGAACTTTGGCAACTCCAAAAGCCAGAGTATCTTCTTACCTCCAAATGACTGCACTGGCTCCCCAGCAATGTTTCTTAACCAGGCTGAAATGACAGACATAGAATTCAGAATCTTGATGGCAAGGAAACTCATTGAGATAAAATAAGGTTGAAATTCAATCCAAGGAAAACAATAAAATGGCCCAATAGTTTAAAGATGACATAGACATTTTAAGAAAGCACCAAACTGAACTCTTAGAAATAAAAAATTCACTATGGAAATTACAGAATTCAACTTGAAGCATTAATAACAGGATAGATCAAGCTGAGGAAAGAATCTCAGAGCTTGAAATTCCTTTGAACCAGCAAAGGCAGTCAAAAAAAATTGTTAATGATTTTTAAAAATGAACAAAACCTCCAAGAAATATGGAATTATGTAAAGAGATCAAACCTGTGACTCTTTTGCATTCCTGGAATAGATGTGGATGAGAAAGCGATTTGGAAAACATTTGAGGATACTGTCCATGAAAATTTTGCCAACCTTGCTAGAGAGGTTGACATGCAAATTCAGGAAATTGAGAGAAGTCCTGCAAAATACTGTACAAGATGGCCATCCCTAAGACATGTAATCCTCAGATTCTACAAAGTCTACACAAAAGAAAAAATAATACAGGCAGATAGACAGCATGGGCAGGTCACATGTAAAGAGAACACCATCAGGCTAACAGTAGACCATTCCGCAGAAAACTTACAAGCCAGAAGAGATTGGAGTATGTATTCAGCATCCTTAAAGAAAAGAAATATCAACCATGCATTTCATATTCAGCAAAACTAACCTTCACAAGTGAAGTGGAAATAAAATCTTTTTCAGAGAAGCAAATGCTAAGGGACTTCATTATCACCAGTCCTACCTTAGAAGAGGTCCTTAAGGGAGTGCTAAATATGGAAACAAAAAACAGTTCCCTGCTACCACAAAAAAAACACTTAAATACACTGCCAACTGACACTATAAAGCAAGTACATAATCAAGTTTACATAACAACCGGCTAACAACACAACAACAATATCAAATCCTCACATACAAATATTAACATTGAGTATAAACAGGTTAAATGCCCCACTTAATAGGCACAAAGTGGCAAATTGGATAAAGAATTAAGACACTACTGTATGCTGTCTTCAACAGACCCATCTCACATGCAATGTCATCCATAGGCTCAAAGATAAGGAATGGAGAGAGAGCTATCAAGCAAATGGAAAACAAAGAACAGAAGTCACTATTCTTATTTCAAAAAAAAAAAAAAACAGATTTTAAGCCCATAACAATAAAAAAAGACAAAGATAGGCATTACATAATGATGAAGGGTTTAATTCAGTAAGAAGACTCAACTATCTTAAATATATATGCACCCACACTAGAGCACACAGATTCAAAAAGCAAGTTCTTAGAGACCTGAGAAGAGACTTAGATAATGGTACAATAATAGTGGGAGACTTGAACACCACACTGATAATGTTAGACTGATCATCAAGACAGAAAACTAATTAAAATATTTAGGACCCAAACTCAACACTTGACCAAATGGACCTAACAGACATCTACAGAATACTCTACCCAATAACAAGAGAATATACATTCTTCTCATCTGCCCATAGCACATACTCCAAGATCAACCCCACAATCAGCCATAAAAAATTCTCAACAAATTCAAAAAAACCAAAATCATACCAACCACACTCCTGGACCACAGCACATTAAAAACTTAAATTAATACTAAGAAGATCTCTCAAACCATACAATTAAATAGAAATTAAACAGCTTGCTTCTGAATGACTTTTGGGTAAAGAATAAAATGAAGGCAAAAATCAAAATTTTCCTTTTTTGTATGTTGTATCAAAGCAAAGATACACATACAAGAATCTCTGAGACACAGCTAAACAGTGTTAAGAGGAAAGTTTATAGCACTAAATGCCTACATCAAGAAATTAGAAAGATTTCAAATTAACAAGGTAACATCACACTTTTGAAGAATTAGAGAAAAAAGAGCAAACTAATTCCAAAGTTACCAAAAGAAAAGAAATAACCAATATCAGAGCTGAACTGGATGAAATTGAGGTGGGAAAAGCCATACAGAAGATCAATTAAACCAACAATTTATTGAAAGAATAAATAAGATTGGTATACCACTAGCTAATGAAAAAAAGAAGATCCGAATAAACACAACCAGAAATGACAAAGATGACATTGCCACTGACCCCACGAAAATATAAAAAAAATCAGAGATTCTTATGAATACATCTATGCATGCAAACTAGAAAACCTACAAGAAATGAAGAAATTCCTGGAAACATATAAGATCCCAAGGTTGAACCAGGAAGAAATTGAAACTCTGAACACACCAATAACAAGTTCCAAAATTGAATCAGTAATAAAAAGCCTGCCAACCACAGAAAACCCTGCACCAGACAGATTCACAACTAAATTCTATCACATGTATAAAGAGCAGGTACCAGCCCTACTGAAACTATTCCGAAAAAATGAAAATAAGGGACTTCTCCCTATCTCATTCTACAATGATAGCATTATTCTGATACCAAAACCTTGCAGAGTCACAGTGAAAAAAATAAAACATCCAGCCAATATCCCTGATGAACATAGATGCAAAAATCCTCAACAAAGTATTAGTACACCCAATCCAACAACATATCAAAAAGCCAATTTACCACAAACAGGCAAGATTTATTCCTAAGATACAAGTTTTTTTCAACATATGCGAATCAACACATGTGATTCATCACATAAACCTAACTAAAAACAAAAAACATATGATCATCTCAATAGATGCAGAAAAGGCTTTCTACAAAATTCAACATCCCTTCATGTTAAAAAAAAAAATCCCCAACAAACTAGGCATTGAAAGAATATACCTCAAAATAATAAAAGCCATTTCTGACAAACCCACAGCCAACATCATAGAGAGCAGACAAAAATTGGAAGTGTTCCCCTTGAGAACCAGAACAAGAGAAGAATGCCCACTCTCACCATTTCTATTCAACGTAGTACTGAAAGTCTTAGCCACAGCAATCAGGCAAGAAAAAGAAATATAAGGCATCCAAATAGGAAGAGAAGAAGTCAAACTATCTTTCTTCACAGATTATATGATTCTATACCTAGAAAACCCCATAGTTCTGCTCAAAAGCTCCAAGAATAAAGAACTTTAGAAAGTTTCAGGATACAAAATCAATTCTATACAGTAGTTACATCCAAGTTGACTGCCAAGTCAAGAATGCAACCACATTCACAATAGATACAAAAATAATAACATGGCTAGGAATACAGCCAACTAGGGAGGTGAAAGATCTCTGCAATGAGAATTATAAAACACTGCTGAAAGAAATCAGAGATGACACAAACAAATGGAAAAATGTGCCATGGTCATGGATAGGAAGAATCAATATTGCTAAAATGCCTTATTGCCCAAAGTGATTTACAGATTCAGTGCTATTTCTATCAAACTACCAATGTCATTTTTGACAGAACTAGAAAAACTATTCTAAACTTTATATGTTATTAAGTAAGAGACTTAATACCCAAAGCCATCCTAAGCAAAAAGAACAAAGCCAGAGGCATCAGATAACCCAACCTCAAAATATACTACAAGGCTACAGTAACCAAAATGGCATGGTACTGGTACAAAAACAGACACATAGACCAGTGGAACAGCATACAGAACCCAGAAATAAAGATGCATATCGACAACCATCTGATCTTTGACAAAGTCATCAAAAACAAGCAATAAAGAAATGACTCCCTATTTAATAAATGGTGCTGGGATAACTGGTTAGTCATATGCAAAAGATTAATATTGTACCCCTTCCTTTTGCCATATACAAAAATCAACTCGAGGGAATAAAGACTTAAATGTGAGACCTAAAACTATAAAAACTCTAAAAGAAAACCTAGGGAATATCATTTTGGACATAGGCCTTGGCAAAGATTTCATGATGGAGATGCTGTAAGCAATTGCAAAAACCAACAATTGACAAATGGAACTTAATTAAACTAAAGAGCTTCTGTACAGCAAAAGAAGCCAAGAATAAACAGACAGCTACAGAATGGGAGAAAATGTTTGCTAACTATGCATCTGAGAAAGGTCTAGTATCTGGAAACTATTAGGAATTTATGCAAATTGACAGGTTAAAAAAAAAAAAACAAAAACCCAAACAACTCCTTTAAAAAATGGGCAAAGGACATGAACACTTCTTTTAAAAAGACATGCATGTGACTAACAAGCCTATGAAAAAATGCTCAGCATAAATGCAAATCAAAACCACAATGAGATATCATCTCACACCAGTCAGAATGGCTATTATGAAAAAACAAACAAACAAAAAAACAAAATCAGAAAATAACAGATGTTTGTGAGGTTGCAGAGAAAAGGGAACACTTATACATTGCTGGTGGGAATGTAAATTAGTGCAGCCACTGTGGAAAGCTGTTTGGAGGCTTCTCAAAGAACTTGGCGCTACCATTCAATTCAGCAATCCCTTTACTGGGTATATACCCAAAGGAATATAAATCATTCTACCAAAGAACACATGCACACATATGTTCACTGCAGGGCTATTCACAATGGCAAAACATGGACTCAGCCTAGATGTCCATCAACAGTGAACTTGATAAAGAAAATGTCATACATTTATACCATGGAATACTACACAGCCATAAAAATTAATGAGATCATGTCCTTTTCAGCAACATAAATGTAGCTGGAGGCCATCATGCTAAACAAATTAATGCAGGAACAGAAAACCAAATACTGCATGTTCTCATTTATATTATTATATTAGTGAGAGCTAAACATTGATTACACATGGACACAAAGAAGGGAAAAATAGGCACTGGGGTCTATCAGAGGGTGGAGAGTAGGAGGAGGGTGAGGATCAAAAAATTACCTGTCAGATACTATTCTTATGGCCTAGCTGACAAAATAATCTGTACACTAAATGCCTGCAACATGAAATTTACCCGTGTAAAAAACTTGCACATGTACCCCTTGAGTCTCAAATAAAAGTTGGAAAAAAAGAATCCTATCAAAAAAAAATAGACATTGAGGACTGCTAGAGAGATAAGTGAGGGAGGGGGAAAAGTGCTGAAAAATTACCTATTGGGGTACTATGCTTGCCACCTGGGTGACAGGGTAATTTATACCCCAAACCTCAGCATCACACAATATACCCATGTAACAAACCTGCATATGTACCCCTTAATCTAAAATAAAAGTTGAAATTATAAAACGAAAAATAGTGCTGAAATTAAGAAACCCTGCTCTAGGATACTTGAAGGCCTAAATCATGACTTGCTCATCATTGTATCTCCAGAATGGTGTCTGGCAATAGACGGAATTAGATAAATCATTTAAGAGGACCAAAGGCAGTAAGTACTCTATAGAATATCATCATTTAGGGAGGTTTATTGAAAAGAACATGCACTTTCACCTCATCTGATTTTTACGTCATTCACAACATGCTCTTTCTATTCCAATTCTTTAAATGTTAGTGACCCTGAGAATTTTCTCATTGGCCTTTTCTTTTCTTGTATCCTCTTATTTCCTCTTTTCCTATTCTTTTTGGAGTCTCATGCTCATAGACTTCCTAAATAATCTCTTCCAATTGTATAACTCACTATGTATATTAGAAGACCACAAAGTTCTATTTTCAGCTCAGACATCTCTCTAGGGCTCTAGTATTACCTATTCACATGTGAACGCTCACAGTCTCCTTTCTGTACAGGATCCCTATACACACCACTCATGATGAACACAAGACATACAAATCAGATCTCCCTCCCAATTCCCTGTTTCACAGATGAATGACCAAAAACCCTGTTTGTTGCCCAACACCTGGACTCTTCTCTGACCTCTCAACCCCATTTTCAATCCTTACCATGTGTTGTAAACTCTACTTCTTAAACAGACTAAATTGATGATGAATTTATACCTTGTCTTCAGCTTGACCCCTAGAAACACATTTCTTACCTGGATCCTGTCCACTGTCTCTTATCTTGCCTTCATGTTTCCATTTTTGCCTCTTCCAGTCCCTTCTTAGAGTTACCTCCTTGATCTTTCTATAAATACATATCCCTCTCTATCTTAAAATTCTAAGATTTAAGTATATCGATAAAATCTAAACTTCCTAGCTCTAAAATGCAAGACAACTTATGATTTTTTCAGCTCACCTTTATAAATCTTTTCCTTCTTCACTCTGAGTTTTTTTTTTCTTTCTTTCTTTTTTTTTTTTTTTTGCCACCTTCCATCCCACCCACAACACTCTGAGTTTCCTTCAATGCTTCTATGCACATGCTGTTCCCACTGTCTGAAACACCCTCCCCCTCACAGTCACCTAGTTAGTGGAGAAAGCTTGCTGTTTTCCTTACTATTTGTGATGGTCCATTTCCTGTGTCAACTTGGCTAGACTGTAGAATCTAGTTATTCAAACACTAATCTAGGTGTTGCTGTGAAGTATTTTGTAGATTGGATTAATGTCTATAATTAGTTGGCTTTACAGGAGGAAAATTATCCTGGATAATCTGGGTGAGCTTCATCCAAGCAGTTGAAGGCCTTAAGAGCAAAACTGAAGTTTCCCTGAGGAAGCAAAAACTTCCCCTGTGAACTGCATCAGCCGCTGGTTGAGATTTTCAGTTTGCCCTTCCTGATGATCCACCCTACAGATTCTTGATTAGCCTAGTCAGTCCCCACAATCACATAAATCTCACTCTACACACACACACACACACACACACACACACACACACACACACACACGCAATATACATTCTACTGGTTCTGTTTCTCTGTTGAAACCCTGGCTGATATACTACTCATGCCTCTCAATCTGACATTCTGCACACAGGAGGAAGCATTATAATAAACAGTTAGGCTTGCTTTCTCTCTTGCCGTCTCTCTCTCTCTCTCCCCCCTAACTGTTCCCCAAGCTCACTCTTTTCCAAGGAAGAAGTAGTGACTATGGTAAACAATTTAAATAGCCAGGGCTGGTATTCAAAGCCTCATGCTGTTTTACTAATGAGTGGAGTTACTCTGTCTTGTAACGGGAAACAAGACTGGCATTCTGCTCAAGCATGTACACCTGAGTGGGATGCTTCTGTGGTTTAGATAGGATTCGTGTGATCCCTGCCAAGTCTCGTGTTGAAATTTGATCCTCAGTGTTGGAGATGGGGGCTAATGGGAGGTGTTTGTGTCTTGGGGGTAGAATCCCTCATGAATAGCTTGGTGCCATTCTCATGGAAATGAATGAGTTCTTGCTTGATTAGTTCTTATGAGAACTGATGGTTAAAAAGAGCTTGGTACCTCCCTCCCTCCCCTCTCTCACTTCCTCTTTTACCATGTGATCTGCATATGCCAGGTCTCCTTCACCTTCCACCATGAATGGAAGCAGCCTAAAGCCTAAAGCTCTCACCAGAAGCAGATGCTGGCACTATATTTCTTGTACAGTCTGCAGAACTGTGAATTAAATAAACCTTTTTTCTTTATAAGTTCCCTAGCCTCAGGTATTCCTTTGTGACAACACAAATGGGCTAAGACAGAAGATTGGTAGCAAGGAGTGGAATGTTGCTGTAAAGATACCTGAAAATGTGGAGCAGCTTCAGAACTGAATAATGGGCAGAGGTTGGAAAAGTTTGGAGGGCTTATGAAAAGAAAGACAAGGGAAAGTGAAATTTCTTAGAGATTGGTTAAGTGCTTGTAAGTAAAATGTTGATAGAGATATGGACAGTGAAGGCCAGGCTGACAAAGTCTCAGATGGAAATGAGGAACTTATTGGGAACTGGAGCCAAGGCCACTCTTGTTACATTGTAGCAAAGAACTTGGCCACATTGTGTTCATGCCCAAGAGCTTTGTGGAAGGCAAGTTTATCAATCTTAATATCAGCCTTTCACAAAGGCTAGAGTGTACAACATGTTCACTTAGACTCAATTGGAACAATTTTCCTTCATGAAGTTCAACATACTGCCATATGCTCCTACCTGAGCCTTACATAAAGCCAAAGCTTCCTCGCCTGAGCCACTGCTGAGAACTTTCTTGTTCTGAATCCTGACAAGTGAAGACCTCTGCCTGCCATGTGCTTCTGCTCCCAAACTTGCAGTGACTGTGGATTTCTTCAGCTCCTTCTGGCTGACATAACCTCCCCAAACCTGTGACTCAGTGGTCCCTGAGAAATAATGAACCTAAAAGCTTTTCCTTTTCTCAGTTTTCTGGAACAAGAAATGTCTAAGCAGCAAAGCATTCAAGAAATGTCATAGCTGCTTTTAGCAGCTTATGATCAGTTATGGGAGCAAAGAAATGACCTAAAGTTGGAATTTATAATTAAAGAGTAAACAGAGTGTAAACATTTGGAACAACTTGCTAGAGAGATTAGCAAGAATAAAATGGAGGCTGACGCCTGTAATCCCAGCACTTTGGGAGGCCAAGGCAGGCGGATCACGAAGTCAGGAGATCGAGACCATCCTGGCTAACACGGTGAAACCCCATCTCTACTAAAAATACAAAAAATTAGCCAGGTGTGGTGAAAGAAAAGAAAGACAAGGGAAAGTGAAAAGCTGTAGTCCCAACTACTTGGGAGGCTGAGGCAGGAGAATGGCGTGAACCCGAGTGGCAGAGCTTGCAGTGAGCCAAGATCGTGCCACTGCACTCCAGAGCCTGGGCAACAGAGCAAGACTACGTCTCAAAAAAAAAAAAAAAAAAAAAAAAAGGGAGCCAGGTGCTAACAGTCAAGACAATAAGGAAAAGGCTCTGAAGGCACTTCAGAAATCTTTGAGGCTACCCTTTCCATTATAATCCCAGAGGTCTAGGAGGGCAGAACAGTTTTGGGGAACTGGTCCAGGGTGTCACTGCCCTGTGCCACTTCAGGATGCTGCTCCCTATCTCCCTGCCACTCCAGCTCCAGCCACAGCTCAAAAGGACCCCAGGTACTGTACAGGCTGCTGCTCCAGAAGGCATAAGCCATAAGCCTTGGAAGCTTCCATATGGTGTTAAATCTGCAGGCTCCCAGAATTCAAGAGTGATGGAGGCTTGGCAGCTTCTACCTAGATTTCAGAGGATATATAGAAAACTCTGGGTGCCCAGGTAGAAGCCTGATGCAGGAGCCCATGCAGAGAACCTCTACTAAGGCAATGCCAAGGAGAAATATAGAGTTGGAGCTCCCACAGAGAATGCCCTCCAGAGCCCTGCCTAGTGGAGCTGTGAAGAGGGCTGCCATGCTCCAGACCCCGGAATGATAGAACCACTAGCAGCATGCACCCTCAACCTAGAAGCTGCAGGCACCAGACTACAACCCATGAGAGCAGCCACATGGGCTGCACCCAGCAAAGCCATGGGGCTGTGGATGCCCAACACCTTGGGAGCCCACCGCTGACACCAGTGTGCCCAGGATATGGGACATGGAGTCAAAGGAGATTATTTTGGAGCTTCAAGAATTAATTTCTTGGCTGGGCACAATGGCTCATGCCTGTAATCCCAACACTTTGGGAAACTGTGATTGGATAACTGCTTGAGACCAGGAGTTCAAAACCAGCCTGGGCAACATAGTGAGACCCCATTTGTACAAATGACTTTTTGTTGTTGTTCTTGTTGTTGTTTAATTTGCCAGGTGTGGTGATGCATGCCTGTGATCCCAGATACTCAGGAGGGTGAGGTGGGAGGGTTGCTCGAGCTTGGAGGTTGAGACTGCAGTGAGCCGTGATCATACCACTGCACTCTAGCCTTGGTCACAGAATAAGACCCTGCCTCAGAATAAAAGAAAAAACAAAAAAAGAAAAAGATTTAATGTCTGCCCTGCTGAGTTTCAGACTTGGGCAGGGCCTATTGCCCTTTTCTTTTGGCTGATTTCTCCTTCTTGAAATGGAAATGTTTACCCAATGTCTGTATCACCATTATATCTTGGAAGTAAATTACTTGTTTTTTATTTTACAGGCTCACAGCTTAAGAGACTTTCCTTGAGTTTCAGATGAAACTTTACACTTTGGACTTTTGAGTTGATGATAGAACAAGTTAAGACTTTTAAGGACTATTAGAATGGATGATTGTATTTTGCATGTGAGAAAAACATGAGATTTGGAAGACCAGGGGCAAAATCCTGTGGTTTGGGTATGATTTGTTTGGCCCCACCAAGTCTCATGTTGAAATTTGATCTCCAATATTGGAGGTGGGGCCTGATAGGAGGTGTTTGGTTTGTGGGTGCAGATCCCTCATGGATGGCTTGGTGCAGTTCTCAGGTAATGAGTGAGTGGTAGCTCTATTAGTACTTGTGAGAGCTGGTTGTTAGAAAGAGCCTGGCACCTCTCTCCCCTCTCTTGTTTCCTCTCTTGCCATATAATCTCTGCACACACCAGCTCCCCTTTGCCTTCCACCATGAGTAAAAGCTTCCTGAAGCCCTCACCAGGGACAGATGTTGGTCCCATGCTTTCTGTGCAATCTGCAGAACTAAGAGCCAAATCAACCTCTTTTCTTTATAAATTATTCAGCCTCAGGTATTCCTTTATAGCAATACAAACAGGCTAATACTGACACATATCTACATATCTGCATGGGACCCACAAACTGTCTTTTACAGGCAAGCTTTTAGTCCTTGTTTATGGAGCTATTTGGGACAAAGGACAAGACATTCATTTGACCACTTTTAGTAGAAGGCAGGATCTCCATGCCTCCAAAGCAGAAACTAAATGATCAGCTTCCTTTTTCACTCCCACATGCTCAAGAGAAGCATGAGCTTTTTTCTAGTTCCATTGGTTGTGGTGAGTGAGATGCAGGCCACACTCCTCTCTCTGTTCCAATTCTTCTGCTGCTTACAGTGTAGATCATTATGGCAGCTCTAGAATGACAAGGCCAAGGAATCTGGACTTAGCAATCATAGGCCCCAGCAATTGAGAATCATCTGCACCTGTGCCAGGGATCCTAATGCAGTTGGCCACAGGTGGAATTATAACTAAAAGGAACTCACTGTTTATTTGGAATCTCAAAATGAATAAGCAGGGATCTGGTCTGGAGCAGTGATAAAGACTTCTCATCTGGCATCAGTTAAGTTTTCTTGGACCATCTAATTTCTCCAGGAATTCAGGATCTCACAGAGCCTTTCACAGACTACAGCCCTAGAAAGAATAAGGCCTTAGGCCAGGCGCAGTGGCTAATGCGTGTAATCCCAGCTCTTTGGGAGGCTGAGGCAGGTGGATCAGCTGAGGTCAGGAGTTCAAGATTAGCCTGACAAACATGGAGAAACCCCATCTATATTAAAAAAATACAAAATTAGCTGGGTGTGGTGGTGCATGCCTGTAATCCCAGCTACTCGGGAGACTGAGGCAGGAGAATCATTTTAACCCGGGAGGAGGAGGTTGCGGTGAGCTGAGATCGCGCCATTGCACTCCAGCCTGGGGAACAAGAATGAAACTCTGAAGAAAAGGAAGGAAGGAAGGAAGGAAAGAGGGAAGGAGGGAGGGAGGGAAGGACGGAAGGAAGGAAGGAGAAAGAAAAAGGCCTTTAATAGAGTTAAAGAAGACTCATCTCAAGGGCCTAGAAACATCCAAATGTTGGAGAATTCAAATGGATGAGATGTTTGGAGAGTTGAGCATGTGAGAGGCAAGGTTACTTGCTTAGTTTTTCCCCTTAGTCCATTGCTATGGATTTAATGTATCAGGACATGGGTGGTTAAAGGGATTTTGTGCTGCCACTTGGGCAGCTAAATTTATTCAAAGCCTGGGGGAATTAAGAAAAAAATTGGAAAAAGGAAAAGCTTTTGGGGTTCTTATTTCTCAGGGACCACTGAATCACATGTTTTGGGGGTTATGTCAGCCAGAATGAGCTAAAGAAATCCACAGTTACTGCAAGTTTGAGAAAAGAAGCACATGGCAGGCAGAGGTCTTCACTTCTCAGGATTCGGAAAGAGAAAGTTCTCAGCAGCGGCGCAGGCGAAGGAAGCTTTGGCCTTATGTAAGGCTCGGGTAGGAGCATATGGCAGTATGTTGAACCTCATGATGGAAAATTTTTCCAATTGAGTTTAAGTGAACATGTTGTATACTCCAGACAGCTGGCATAGAGTAACTGGCACACAGGCAAATCCAAAGACAAGATGATTTTTCCCTTCGTACTTTTTTTTTCCTCTGTGCTACTTCCTCCACATAACACCACCAACTCTCTGCTTTGATCCATTGCTGGCTAAAGTAAGAGGGGAACATCGCTTCTATTTGTGAAATGCTTTTGCTGTGGAGATTATGTATAAATGGTGTTTGTATGGGTCTGATGCTCTGATCAATCATCTCATGAGTCAGGGTGACTTTTTGACCCTTTGGGAACCTGGGACACATTAGAGCTCTGGGGTTGGCTGAATCTACTCTTAGGAGGATATAGCAGCTGCAGCACTTCCCTAGAAATCAGAGCAGCCTGCAACAGCCAGGCAAGACTGACTCTGAGCAGAATGGGAGATGGAGGAGGAAGGTATTTTAGAATTATGCTTCTTTGGTTGACAAGGGAAAGGGGAGTTCCATTTTTATGTCACTTTTGAGCTCTAATTTCTTCTAGGACTTTAGTAAAGAGACAAGTTATCTAGTCTTGATATTGGGGAACCAATAGTGCATTATTTTGATCCAGTCCCTAATCTTGGATAAGCTATTTTGGTTAGTGTGCCTGGGTATTGGCCGAGGCATGAACTCAGCCTAAAATTCAGCTTGGCCTTTGAAATAAGTTAACATCTTTTTGTAACCCTTCTCTATTCTACTGGAGTGAAAACTGAACTGCATGGGTCTCTAGGGCCAGGACACGATCCTCAGAGTCTTGTCGGGTATTGGGCAGTGGCCCAGGAGAAGGAGCAGAGTGGCCCTGGTGCTGCTGACCCCTTCTCTCTGGGGACAGCTATGTCCTTGGCTGATCATATGCTTGACCATCAGTCCAAAAGTTTGAGAGAGAACAGAAAGCTGAGGAGAATTTGGGAACACCTGGCCATCTCTCGACCTGTCTGTGCTCATGCTGTCTCACTGTGCAGGGAAGTGTTGGCAGGAGAGATTCTGGTTTTTCTCCACTCACATCTTTATCCACTCACCCTTCAGGGATGGAGAGGAAGTCGCTAGCCTAATAGGTGAGAATTTGAGGCCCTCAGTTTGCCTCACAGCACTAGTGGTGCAGTTACTGGGCTCACGCTCCCGCCCCAGCGTCTGGGCCAAGGGAGTGAGATGGTGGGTACTGGGAGATGACAGGAGATGTCCATGTTCATGTTGAGGAATGTTCTATCCCAAACATTGTCTAGAAGTGTCAGAGCATGATGATAATATGAAGCAGAGGACTGTCATTACTACCACTGTCTTTAAATTCTCTCCAGACAATGCACCCCCTATTGCAGGCACGAGGACAGACCACACCCACTGCCCTTCCTGGGTGCACCACTGGGTAGAGGTCCCCAAGGCTTACCTCTCATACACTACATTATATTCCAGATTCACCCAGCCCTCTCTGTCTCTTTCTTGCCACCCTAGCTACCACCATCGTCTGTCTTCTCTTTTGGACTTTTTTTTTTTTTTTTGAGATGGAGTCTCACTCTGTCTCCCAGTCTGGAGTGCAATGGCGCCTTCTTGGCTCACTGCAACCTCTGCCTCCTGGGTTCAAGCAATTCTCCTACCTCAGCCTCTCGAGTAGCTGGGATCACAGGCATGCACCACCAGGCCTCGGTAATTTTTTTGTATTTTTAGTAGAGAAGGGATTTCACCATGTTGCCGAGGCTGGTCTCGAACTCCTGACCTCAGATGATCCGTCCGCCTCGGCTTCCCAAAGTGCTGGGATTACAGGCATGAGCCACCACGCCCAACCTCTTTTGGACTTCTATAAGATAAGTCCTCCTCATTGTCCTTCCTGCTTCCTATTTGCCCATTTCATTCCATTCTCCTCACAGCAAGTAGAGTGAGAATTCTAAACTTAACCCCTGCCCCCCGTAGTGTCCCATCACACTGAAAACCACATCCAGCATCTTTATGCCAGTCCTCAAAGCCCTGCTCATTCTAGTCCTCTGTTACCAAGTGGTCATGAGGCTTTAGCCATACTGGTTGCCTTGATCAGTTCAGGCTGATTAACAAAATACCACAGACTGTGTGGTTCAAACAATAGGCACTTATTTTCTCACAGTTCTGGAGCCTGGACGTCCAAGTCAAGGTGGCTGCAAGTTTAGTCTCCTCACATAATCTCCTCACTGTCTCCTCACAGTGTCTTTCCTCTGTGCACACACATCCCTGGGTCTCTTCCTATAGGGACACCAATTCTTTCGGATTAGGGCCCCACCTTTATGACCTCAGAAAGCTTTAATTACCATTTTAAAGGCCCTGTCTCCAAATACAGTCACATTGAAGATCAGGGCTTGAACATATGAATTTTGGGAGAACACTATTCAATCCCTAACGCTGGCTTCCTGCCCCCAGGACCTTCGGCCATGCTGTGCCCTCTGCTTGCAAGACCTCTCCAGGTCTTGGCATGGCCAGCTCTCTCTTGTCATCTAGCATTTAGCTTGAATGTCATATCTCTGGAGTGACCCTCTGGCCACTGATCTCAATATCCCCCAGCCACTTGCCATCACTTCGCCTGTTTTGATTCCACCACAGTACTTGCTCTCTCCTGCTATTGATCATATATCTGTGTGTTTGCTTGTTGCCTGCCTTCCTCCATCAAAATAAAAATTCTTTGAGAGCAAAGGCCTTGCCTGCCATGCCCACTGATCGCTACTGTGTTCCCAGAGGCACACAGCAGCTGCCTAACAAACATCTATTAAATGAATGAAATAAAATTGCCTTTGCCTTCAGAGTTAAACTGATACATTGATTCATAATGAGGTAAGTCAGACAGCTTTCCAAACTGAAAAATAAACTATCATTGGTGCCCAAAGAAGATCTTCCTCTGATCAAGTTAGCAGAGTGTAGCTCGAGGCCAAGTTGCAGGGCATTAGAAAGTTAAAACACTGGCAAAATTCTTGCTGAAGTGCCTTCCAAAACAAGTGAGATGGTTCACACCGCCATCAGGAAGGCACGCGTATGCTGGGTTCCCACCCTCTCACCAATGCCATGTGGGATCAAACTCATAAATATTTATCAATTTTATGAGTAAAATGATATCTTGTTTTAATTTTCATTTCTTTAGTGATGAGTAAGATTGTGTATCTTTTCATTTGCTCATTAACCCATTGTATTTTTTCCCTGCCACTTATCTTTTCCTTTACCTAGTTTTACATTTTTTAATTCATCGTTTACTTATTGCTTTGCTGGAACACTGTGAACCTAAAATAAAATGCCTTATTTATCAAACTAAAAATATATGCATACATTCTTTAAACCAGAAATTATACTTTTAGGCGGTTATCCTTTCATTGCTGTGAGATCAAGCAGTTGCACCTCAAGTGCATTCACTGGTATAATTTCTAGCAGGAGAGACCACTTCATTCCACATTGGTGCCCCACTCATAAGGCAAGATAGATTTGCCTTAGTGCACAAAAATACATCTGCACAAGGAAGTCCACCACAGTTTTGCTGTAGTAGCTGCAAAATAAAATCTGCCTAAATGTTCATCACCAGGGACTGGTTGCCAAAGGTGTTCCTGTTAATGAAACTGTTCACAGTGGTTAATAGTTACAGTAAGAGAAGAGGAAGCAAGTGAGAAAGAGATCTTAAGGATTCAAAGGGTTTTATGTTTTTTTACGACTTTTTTAGAGCAATTCTAGGTTCACAGCAAAATTGAGAGGAAGTTACAGAGATATCCAATATATCCCTTGCCCCCATAACGTGAATACAACCTCCCCCATTATGAGCATCCTCCACCAGAGTAGTACATGTGTTGTAACTGATGAATCTACAGTGACACATCACATCACCCAAAGTTCATAGTATACAACAGGGTTCGCTCTTGCTTTTATACATTTCATGGGCTTGAGCAAATGTATAATGACACATATTCATTATACATTTGTGTAATTACAGTATCCTGCAGAGTATTTTCACTACTTTAAAGTTCTCTGTGCATCACCTATGCAACCCTAACCCCCAACCCCAAACCCTCTGGCAACCACGGATCCTTCTACCGTCTTCATAGTTTCGTCTTTCCCAGAAAGTCATATAATTGGAACTATAAGGTATTGTTTCATTTTTAAAACAGGCCTTAAAGAAGCAAATCTCTTTCTGTCATCCCTCTAGCTCTCTGCAGATATTCAAAATTGCCAATAGCTGTCCAGAGTTTTCTCTATTACCTGTTTATTTGAAAACATGGAATACTTCTTTAAATTCTAGAATCAATCTTGACTCATTAAAAGGTATTAATTTTTGCATCAGGCCATTCTCTTGCCACTTATTAAGCCTAGCTGTGAGGGAGGCAGTGCATTAAGGCTTGTTGCCCTGCATGCAATATTACGCCACTAAAGGCACATTACAAGAATTCTATTTGCATTCAAGCATTTCCACACAAAGCAATGGCTCACATACAGTGTGAAAATTGAGTGTGCACCACTCTCAAAACTTGGAATTCTTGCCAGGGTTGAAGAGGCTTCCACTGGGGCTACCTGTTCTGAAAGTATTTTGCATCCAAGCCAACTGCTTTTTGGTAGCCCCCTCTCTGCAGTCCGGGTGTGCATCCCCAGAAAAGTATGCCTTATTGCATCTTCGGCACACTCCTCACACCCAGGACCTGTGCTCAAGCCACCAAACCATGCTGGTTCCTAAGAGCATCTCTGCAAACCAGATGTCTCTTTGTATGGTACATGCTGGGAGCATGAGTGGGGCACCAATGTGGAATGAAGTGGTCTCTCCTGCTGGAAATTATATCAGTGAATGCACTTGAAGTGCAACTGCTTGATCTCACAACAATGAAAGGATAAATGGACACAAATTTAGCTGCTTTTGATATGCTGAAGACAGGCCCCCATTTTTATTTATTTCTGAGGCTTAATGTTAACAAGAATAGAAAAGTGGAACTGTTATTACCACCCTGTGACTTTTGAGCTGGGCATGGTTTGGGGCATTGAAATTAGAGTAGCCTTGACTCATCTACTCCTCAACTCATTTCCAACACCGTTTTCCATTACACACTTTCAAATCTACTCGATTGAAGAGCCATCCACACATTCAACTGAAAAAGATTAAACTCCCCTGGTCTCCACACCTCTCCCTGATTTCCAAGCATTCAGGATAAGACTGCCATCCTGGGCCCCACATCACCACTGTCAGGAATAAAGAGAAAGGCTCAGAACACTCCCAGCAAGACTCCACCACTCACTGTCCTGGAACACTCCAAGCCTTCTCCTCAGTGCTTACATTGAGAACATCAAGGCAAATCTTGTTTTGCCATTCTCTCATGTACATCAAACTTCACAAGGAGCCTGCAGCTCCCAATCAACTCTGATCTTCCTGGACCCTTATTCTCAATTATCTCTATAGTCTCCCTTTTCTCATCCACTCTGCCACTCATCCCAAATACCTGAAACCAGTCCACACTGTCTTCTGGAAGTCATGCTCAATTGTTAGCTCCTCCTCACTTCTTCTCAGAACTTTTTTTCACTTCTCGCTGTAAATGGACAGACTCTCAGGAAACCACTTGCTTTTACCCAGCAGTCTGAAAGTGGTAGCTGTGGTATCTTGCAAGGTTCTCGTAATGCCAGATCTGGAGGTAGGGGCAGGTGTTCTGCTTTCATACTGCCACTGGAACATCCTTTTTCCCGCCACAAGAACAAACAACAACACAAAGTTCTGATCTTTTATTACCATGTGATTAGTCCTTACCAAGCACCATTTTAGCTTATTCCTGTTACCTACAGATCCACAGGTCACTCCCCTAATTCCTTGAAGATTTTAGCACCTAACTCACCACCACTTCTCCAACATATTTGGTAATTTCAATATCCATATATATATATGATCTTTCCAATGTCCTAGACTCGGTTTTTCGAGGCCCTCTTTTCCAACTCTCACATTTTCCACCCTGCCTCAACCACTCCCTCCAAATGCCATACTCTATCCTTATCATTACTAGTAAAGCAATCCATAACTACAATTTCAACCATTCTGTCTTTCCAGCTCACTCTCACCAATGCCCCAACTCCAAGAAACCTTGACCCCACTAGGAGCTATTAGCCATTGACTGCTTAAGCTTTTCTTGGTCCCTCAATTTCCTCCCCCACCTAGATTAGATCTGATGGTCCATCATCTCACACTCTTGCATACATTCTTAACAATCTTGTTAAGAAGATTAACAAGGCCCAAGGCCAGGTTAAATCAACTCAGTTTACTCTGCACACCAACACAGATGGCCACGGCTGGAGAAAGCCACACAGCTTGCTACGGCTGGAGAAAGCCACACAGCTTGCTGACTGATCTCATTTTAAGTTGATGACCCCTACCTTCAAAAAGGTCTCGAGCTCTGCCCATCAATCATTCCATATTTCCATAATCCATTCACTCCCCTGTTACCCTAAACTGGTGATTTTCAAACTTGAGACTGCCACAGAATCACCTGGAGGATGTGTGGAAACTCAGATTGCTGGGTCCTGACCCCTAAAGTTTCTGAATCAGGCAATCTAAGGTGGGCTTAAGAAACTGCATTTCGAAGCCAGGAGCGGTGGCTCATGCCTGTAATCCCAGCACTTTGAGGTCGAGGCAGGTGGATCACGAGGTCAGGAGATCAAGACCATCCTGGCTAACATGGTGAAACCCTGTCTCTACTAAAAATACAAAAAAATTAGCCGAGCGCGGTGGTGGGCACCTGTAGTCCCAGCTACTCGGGAGGCTGAGGTAGGAGAACGGCATGAACCCAGGAGGCGGAGTTTGCAGTGAGCCGAGATCGCGCCACTGCACTCCAGCCTGGGTGATAGAGCGAGACTCCATCTCAAAAAAAAAAAAAAAAAAAGAAACTGCATTTCAAACAAGTTCCCAGATGATGCTGACCCTGCTAATCTGGACCACACATTGATAACCACTGCCCTAGATGATTATTTCTTGACTTTTTCTTTCTTCTCAAACCTCCAACACATATTTTCCATCCTTACTCTCCATTGATGACTTAACTTGCACTCACGCACACGCACACACACACACACACACACACATCAGAAAAGAGCTTCCCAAGCTCCTGACCCCAAATCTCCTTCCTTACTGGAAACAGTGTCCATATGTTTGTCCTTCCCTCCTGCTGCTATAGCTGAACTGTCTAAGCTTCTCCCTAAAGCCAACACTTCACATGCATCCTAGATTCCATCTCCTCTCTCTTACGTAAACCCGACTCCTGAAACTTCTCCTCTCCCATCACTCTCCCTACATCAAGAATTTCTTCCTCTGTACTGGGTCATGCCCATCAGTGTCAAGTGTCTTAAAAAGAACCCCTCCTTACCCCCATATTATCCTCTATTTCCCCTTTACAGCAACATTCCATGAAATTTGACCTCCTCAGTTTTCTTCAAACTCAACCAGGTACACCCTTACCTCAGGGCCTTTGACTTGATTTGTCTCCATTCCGAAGTTTCTATAAGGCTGACTTGATCCTCTCCTTCAAGGCCTTAATCAAATGCCATCTTGTCAATGACATTGACCAACCCATTAAAAATTGCAACATCTGTTTCCCAGTGGCCAGAGCTCCCACCTCTCAACTCCGCTGACCACCAGTCTCCACTCCTCCTCTCACCTTTACTACTCACAGTCTGAAATTCAATCTCAGTTGGAATTAGGTGATAATCGGCATTAGGCAAAACTAACATCTTTCAGACAGGGCTTCTAAGAATGCTCTTTGACAACATCTAAATTGGTTAAGGCCTTCCTGTTTTTTCATCCTCTTGGTTTCCACACTTTGTGATGAAGTTCATGACCAATTTGACACTTCATGGCTTTGTCTTGAGTGTATTTAAATGCCATTGGGTCTTGGAGACTAACAGATTTCTCCTGAGGCCTCTTCAAATGTAGCTTAATTCTTAATATTTTTGTGGCTTTTGTTAATTTAAAAGACAGATCTGTAAGACCTACCTCATCTTCCTTTCTGTCTACTCATCCATCTCTATATTAAATCCTGCCTGGATACACCAGGAAAGAAGAAGAAGAAAAAAAATGGCATGTCCTTGTCCTAAAAGAATCACCATGTCAGTTGTGTCAGAGGAATTCCTATGTCATTCAAGAGGTGCTCAAGTGCTCTTAAGAAATCTAGCACTGGCTTCAAGCAAGATCCCTGGTACATCACATCATCTGCAACACAGTGAACCAGAGGGGAATGAATTTAGCTGAATCCAGCAGAAAACATATGCTGTGTAGTACTTGGGAAAGAAAATAATCAAAGTGACAAAACCAACGGATCACCCTGAAGATTGAAGGACACGCAATTTCTCCTCTGCACAGTGCCCAGATAAAGGAGAGAGCTCATACGAAAACCCCAGACATTAACGAAGGAAAAAATGATAATTAAAATATTTGTGGAATCTCCTTCTAACTAGAACTCTACCACTTTCGCTTATGGGGATAGTTGGTCAGCAATAAGAAAAAAAATGAAATCTCCATGTTAAAGATTTAAAAATAGGTGAATTTTACATACCATGGTTTCTCTATTTGAGTGATATAAAAAATAAAGACCCACTGAGGCTTTAAGTACTGCAAGTGCCCCAGGCAGAAAGATCAGGCATGGTTAAATTATTACATAGTCCATCATTTGTGTATCATGTCATCAGAGGTGTCAGTGAGGAAAAGAAGTGTGCCTCTTCCTTCGTGTTGGCCAAAGTGACAGAAATCGGTGTTCAGAACTGAAATGATGAGCGCTTCACATTAGAAGAATGCACATTAGAGCATTTAGACCTTTCAGTTATCTTATGTTAAAACAAAATAAATAAAATAAAAACACAAAATTTTAAAGGAAGAGGGGAAAATGCTAGGGCAATCAGATCAGGAAGACAAAATCTCCCCCTCTGGCAAGGTTCAGAAACATTCTGCAGCAGAAGTTCTCCACTTGTCAGAAGAATTTATTTTTCCAATTCCTTTCTCTTGGGGAGCATGCGTTTCCCCAGCAGATATGAGAATGACCTGATTCTCCCAAGGTAGCAAACTCTCAACTGGAACTCTGTTGCAGTCGCTCGTAGAAAATTTCCTGTTCCATTATTGCACCAAATGAGCTCTGGGCTAATCAGACCCTCTAGGGAAAGGATAAAAAATAAAAAGCACCCATCCCCTAAAGCGAGACTCTGAGCTGCTTTGAACTACATTTACAGCCTTAATATAACCCAAGAGATTTCACAATTCACATGAGAAGCTAAACCCTTCTTCTAATGAAATATTTATTGGGTTTATCATGGAGAAAAGGAGAACAATTTTTGATGAGCATATTCTTCTATTTATTGTGTTCATTAGAAGTGCCAGTGAGAGGTTTCAAAGTAATTTTTTCATTGTTGCTTGGGATGAAACATATAATTTTCATCATAAGCAAGATGACCGTAAATAGAATACAATTCTTGCAGAGTGCTGCCCAGGTGTTTGGTGAAGAGGAGGGAAATGTGTATCAAATGCCTCCTCCTGCACCTTACTGACTAAGCCTTATGTTGGCAACTCACCCCTGGTATGCACTCTCTGCATTCTGTAGCTTAGTGAAGGATTTTGCCAGGCCAAAATAAAAAGACTCTAGCAAAGAAATCAAGATCCCAAAGCAAGCAACTAGTGAAAAACACACTGGGGAGATGGTGCTGCTTGCCCTTAGAGCCTTGAGAAGACAGAGGGTTGCAGCCAAGCAGTCCTGGTGTCCACCGGACAGGAGAGGGAGGGTTTAAAACTCCACTGATTTCGTGGTGCTCTCTTTTGCCTAATAATATGTGTATATTTAACGCTCACTTCATACTGAGGAAAAGTAACAGACTCATTATTTTATTACAGGCAGATATTCTTACTCCGTTTTTTGTTTTGGTGAAAAGTGTGCCGACACAGCACTGAGCATTCCTCGGCTTCCAACTGCCACCTCTTCTCCCAAGGGGTAAGAAAGCTGTTATCACTTCCATGCTAATAATAGAAAATTTAGCACAACTGCCTTCCCATCTTTCAAACTACTTCAATATTTTAAAAACAAAAAACAAAACCCCCTTGGCTCAAGAGGAAGAAAGAAAAGAAAAATTAGATTACAGTTGATCAGATCTGAAAGCAGTTGTCTAACGTCTCTGTGCAGGCTTTTTTTCCTGTAATTAAAAGAAAAAATTTTTTGATGTCTCACTTTTGTCCTATCAATTATGAGAAAACTGAAGTACCAACATTACACTCCTCGTCCTGCATTTCCTGCCTGTCCCACCAGGCTGTTATTTATTTCTTCCTTAGACATCAACTCTCACCTAATGAACGGGTGCTGTTATGAAAAAGAAATTTAATTTATATAAACATTAATGTAATACCCAAGGAACTTGCTGAAAAATAATTTTTTTTTTTTGAGATGGAGTCTCACTGTGTTGCCCAGGCTGGAGTGCAATGGTGCAATCTCAGCTTATTTCAACCTCGACGTCTCAGGGTCAAGCAATTCTCCTGCCTCAGCCTCCCAAGTAGCTGGGACTACAGAAGCCCGCCACCAAGTCAGGCTAATTTTTGTGTTTTCAGTAGAGATGGGGTTCCACCATGTTGGCCAGGATGGTCTTGAACTCCTGACCTCAGGTGATCTGCCCCCCTTGGCCTCAAAAAGTGCTGGGATTGCAGGCGTGAGCCACCGTGCCTGGCCAAGATATAAATTTTAAGTGCATCTCTGGTTCATAGTCCAAGTAAGTACAGCTCACTGGGTCATGTGAATTTTTTGTCCCTCAATATTAAAATGTAAGATTATTATATTAAAATGTAAGGTTATTATTATAAAAATATAATCATGGCACTATTTAGAATTTAGATAACACCTTTCTTCTTAGGAACAACATATCTGGAAATAGATGACCTTATTTCATATTCATTACAGTCTTGTATGTTAGAAGAGGTATTCTATGCTGGTATACTTATAAGAAAGAAAGAGGAGTCTTAAAAACTCAAGCATGTTACATACTAGAATGGAATTGGAGCACCAGAATTAAAATATTACATGAGAAATTCACAGAAGTAAGGCTACTCAGTCACTCATTGAGTTCAGAGTTTGTAATCACCCCCACATGGTGCTAAAAACTTAAACCTCCAAAGTGTTCCCAGTCCGCCAGACCAGCGCATTTGCCTAAAGCAATTTTCTGACCTGAAGAAGGACCAACTGAACCAACTGCATTAGAATTCAACATGGTCCCGTTAGCTGGGCTTGGTGCTGCTTGGTTTTCCTGGGATGTCTGGCTGGCAAGAACTCTACCTTTAGTGGCAAAATGGGGGATGGAAGGATTGTAGAATTGAGCTCTAAGGATAGAACAAAAACTGCTCTGAATATTCACATTTCCTTTCTTTTGTCTCTCAAATGTTGTTGTAAATGAAATTATGTCAGAGTAAAACACTAATAAACCAAAGTGGGTTGTTTTTGTTTTGTTTTTTTTTTTCCTACTATGGAGAGCAGCCAGTCAGCTTTACTCCAGCTAGATGTGGTTTGCTAACCCTGGTTTAAAAAGCAGTGCAGGTATGTAGTCATTTACTTTCAGCCTGCAAGTCCTTTTGATAAAAGAAGCCCTTTGCAAGAAGCATTTCTCGCCTGTCCTTATAAATCAAATAAATAAAAATAAAAATTTCTGCCAAGCCATATGCTTCTGTTTCTCTCCTTCAACTGGCCTAAAATAAAAAAGATTACCCTTCTCTGTTCTTTTTCCTATCCCTCTACTTGAGGGGAAAAAAAGAGCTAGAGAAAGAAAAAGAGAGAGAGAAATCAAACAACGTCTAAACAAATCAATCCAACATTTCCAAGGGCTTTTGACCTGCAGCAATGTCAATCTCGTCTTTTTTTCCCTTTCCTTCTTTGAATCAACATAACCTATGATTCTGATCACTCCAATATGTCAGTGCCTGCTGAGGGCACATTTTATTGTTCACAAAGCCCCAGACAATAATGAAAAATAAGCAAGAAAATGATAAATTCATCAAAGTTGTGAGAATATTCGAGGAAAAAAGGAATTTCCTGAGGTAACTGTCCTTGACCCGGCTCTTTAATCGAGTGAAATTTCATCACTTTATCTAATATCATGCTTCATGCTTCAGGCTCCCAGCAATACTATTTTAGTGTGGTCTAATGGGCAGCTGACACATCCACTCAGCACCAGACTGCATAATATGTGCTGACACACTGTGTGGCAAGCTGCCTTGCAGGGGCTGTTTATTTGAGACTCGCCAGGAAGAATGTCATCACAAAAAGGTTCTTTATAATTCCGGGCTCAGCTTTCCGGGACTGGGTGGACTTCCCACTTTAAGAGGTCTGGGAGCCCTTGCAGGAAGGCAGGCAGTGATTTGGGTGGCTGTGCACATTTGACTTTAGGTGAGAGGTTGGGAAAGCCCCGGTTATGGTTGTCTGAAACCTGAATCTAGATAGTGTAATGAAGAGTGTCATTCTAACGGCTTTTCAGGCTGCTCTTCTCAGAACCTCTGATTCAATTTGATATTCTGAGGTTAACGTACTGTATTGGGCCTGAAAACAGGAATGCACATGAAAAGCTTTTATACTTATTCAGTTCAGTAAGCATGGCAAACTCATCAACAGCTATTTGTACACTGTAGGCATGATGGGACTTACTTTGATGTTCTGATTTATGCTTGCTATTTTCCCCTCAGTATTACTTTGGAGTTGAAATGCACTTAAAAAAAAAGTCAGCTTTTGACATAATAGCTAAGGATATTATCATAAATGAAGCAACACACACATGCACACACAAATATAGAAATGCCACAATCTTTGACTCTAAATTTCCAATGTAGACAAACTTCAAATTTTTAAAAAATATAAAGGAGACTAAAGATAACTAGATGAAATGTGGGACCCCGGACTGAATTCAGTGCTACAGAATGGAAAAAATGCTATCAAGGACATTATTAGGACAACTGACAAAACATGAACTGTAGATTAAAGTATTGTATCAATGATAAGTTTCCTGAATTTAATTATTTGTTGTGGTTATGTAAGAGAATGTGTTTTCTTAGACAATTCACAGTGAATTAAAGGTACTAAAGAGTATGAGGCATGATGCATACAAATTACTCTCAAAGGGTTCAGAAAAATTTAATTAGAGAAAGAGGGAATGACAAAGGATATGTGGCAAAATGTTAAACATTAGTGAATTAGCAGAGCAATGCAAAGTAATTCTTGTCGAGAGGCAGTAAATAAATTCTGTCAAGTAGAGGTTGTCTTCCTTCCATTTCTGCAGAAGAAGCTAGCTTGCATCCATATGCAAATGTATTTTGATATTCCTGATCTATAAATGAACCTTTGAACTAGCTGTAATATTTGCCTGTTTCCCTCACTAATGATGAGCTAAAACCTCTAGCACGTGTTCCTTCAAAATAAAATTGGTGAATCCAAATAAAGTCCTTAATTCTCTAAACCAGTCTTGTGACACTTTCATAAGTCCAAAATCATTGCAAAATAAATATTTTCTAAAATTACTATTCACAGCAAATAACGATGGGTGGGGAACTGGTGTAAGAATAAATACCTGCTGCATGTGCACGTATTAAATAGAAATGTGCTTTACAGGGAGATAATGTGCTTACCCCAAAATTGTGGCACCAGTAAGGTTAAGCAAGCTATGGTCAGTCTAATGCTACCACGACTCTGACCATAATGGAGTTCTGTGATTTGTGGCCTCATTAGAACCCTGGGATGGCTATTTAGATCTCCATGTATGCTATGCCTTGCTTCACCTCACAACCTTTATATTTAAGAAACTGGAGTACAGTAGCTTTACATTTCCCAGAAAGATCAAATTTAATCTCAAATGGAGTAAGACATTTCTATCTTATGGGAAGTAAGAAGTCACACTGGGACTGGCCTAGTGATCCCCACAGTCTATCTAGGGAGGAAGAGTCTTTTGTCACAAAATACTGGTAGTTGCAGTTAGGGAGGAAGAGCATGGTGGGGTGGGATGTAAAAGCAGCAAAGACATCTGTCCATCAAAAGGTTGAAAGCAGGGCATTTCTTCAGTGGTGAAATAAGAACATTGCTCTGTCTTACAAATTCCAACATTTACACCACAAACATTTTTCCCTTTAAGCAGGAGTGCTTTAGTAAGACCGATCAAATATCCCTTCCTCAGTGATTTACAGCTTTGCTTTTTTCTAGAAAGCAATTAGTACTAGTAGCAGTATAATAGGAGCCATAATGATAATAGTCTTTATATTAGATTGAGCCCTTACAATGTGCCATATACTCTGTCAACAATATCACATTACCCCTTCATTCTTCACAGTTCTCTGAACCAGATATTATTAGCCCCATTTCGCAAAGCAGTAAACTGAGGGACAGGGAGGCTAAGTGATTTGTGACACCAAGAGCTAAGCAGTGGCAGAGTTAGATTTCATATTAGGTTAAGTCTGGTTCCAAATCCAGAATGCTTGCATTTACACTACACAATCTCTAGAACACAGACTTGATGAAAACAAGCTTACACATTACTTTATTAAAAGCTCATTGGGCCAGGCATGGTGGCTCACGCCTGTAATCCCAGCACTTTGGGAGGCTGAGGCAGGTGGATCACCTGAGGTCGGGAGTTCTAGACCAGCTTGACCAACACGGAGAAACCCCATCTCTACTAAAAATACAAAATTAGCCGGGAGTGGTGGCGCATGCCTGTAATCCCAGCTACTTGGGAGGCTGAGGCAGGAGAATTGCTTGAACCCGGGAGGCGGAGGTTATGGTGGGCTGAGATTGTGCCATTGCACTCCAGCCTAGGCAACAAGAGCGAAACTCAATCTAAAAAAAAAAAAAAAGAAAAGAAAAAAAAATGCTAATTGAAGAAAACAATATAAATTAGGTGCTCACAATATGGTACTGTTCATGTCATGGCCATGGTGATCAATGGTCTTGTGGAACATCATGCCAATGAAATAACTAGTTTAAATAAAGCAGGTAAATTATTTTGAGCGAAGACTGCAAAGCGGGTCTATTTCCTTTTATTTCCTTAGATTAGCTAAAGTTACTAAGAACAGAAAAAAGGAACTACTCCTTAATTTTCCATTTTGAAGATTTTTTTTTTTTCCTTGAGATGGAGTCTCGCTGTCGCCCAGGCTGGAGTGCAATGGCACCATCTAGGCTCACTGCAACTTCCGCCTCCTGGGTTCAAGCGATTCTCCTGCCTTACCCTACGGAGTAGCTGGGATTACAGGCGTGCATCACCACGCCTGGCTAATTTTTTGTATTTTTAGTAGAGATGGGTTTCACCATGTTGGCCAGGCAGGTCTCGAACTCCTGACCTCACGATCTGCCTGCCTTGGCCTCCCAAAGTGCTGGGATTACAGGCATGAGACACCGCGCCTGGCCCATTTTGAAGATTTTAATACTCTACTTGGAGAGACCTTGTATTTCCTAAAACTATAAAACAAAACTGTCAAATTATGATAAATTTTTTAATGCAAGCATCAAATGTTGTTGTTTTAGTAATGGTAATAAACGATATCAACATTTTTTCTAGTAACAGCAATAATTTTTCTAAAGGGGAAAACTTTAATTTATAATGGCTTTTGCTAGCCAAATCATGGCTAGAAGTATTTGGGGTCTGATATTTTAAGTAAATTGATTGTATCTCAAAATTAATCCTGTCCACCATTTTATGTGACGGCCAATTTTCCTTAATTACAGGAAAGTATCAAGTCTCGTCAATGAGGTTTAAAAAGGTATGAAAGAACATAAGTCAAATAAAATGGTGACTTTAGATATTATTTCATTTGTTGTCTGCCTGTTGGGTCCTTCATTCAGCTAAGAGACAAACATTTATTAAATGTGTTTTGATTCTTGCTCTCAATAATCTTAAAATTCAAAGATCAGATACAAATAAACAGTTAGCTGTAACAGAGGGCAAATGAAAGTACCCAATAGAGAATGTAACAAATAAAAATTACTTTTTTTGGAAACCGTTTCTCACTCTACATGATTCTGCCTGTTCATCACATGACCCTACCTCCTTCATCATAGAGACAAGCTTATGACCCAGACTGGCCAATCCGATAACCCAGGCTTCCCAGAGACAATGATAGCCCCAAGGTAGACACATGTCCCACCTCCAAACAATCCAAGTCATATGACGAGTTGATATAAATGCTGTGAAAGAGGATTTCTCTCCTTCGGAGATTGAGAGCTAAAAATACTATGTAAATCTGGAGCTTCTGAGAACCGCTTTCCCATCATATATGAGTGTAGGGTCTGCTTAAGACTGAACCCAACATGGAGAAAATCAGAGCCAGGAAATATAATAAGGGACAGATCGCTGAGAACATTAGCCAGGCACTGAATTCAGCCAGCCGAACTACTGGATTTTCAGTTACTTGAGCCAATAAATACTTCTTTTATTTACTCTCATTTGTATCTTTCATTGAAAACTAAATTGCCTCTCCAATACCAAGATGATGCCTGAATGGAGAATGATTGAAGTGTAAAACTTTTTCCATCTCTAACATCATATTAATTTACTTCACGTAGGGGATAGAGGAAAGAACAATTACCTTCAGCTGAGTAATACACTCAGGGTTTCATGGAGGAAGTGATATTTGAGTTGAGCTAGGATTTCCAAAACTGTAAAAGCAGAGTAAGGACTTTTGGGATGAGGAATTAACATGAACAGAGACAAAGAAATGTGAAACTATCCAGTGCATTTGTGTAACTCATTGGTACAGAAATATAACAAGGAAGGGAGGAGAAGTTGAGACTGAGATGGTATTTGAGAAGTCAATGATAAAAGATCTTGAATATTTACCAGGTACTCCAAACTTTTGTTATATAAGCAAATACAAACCCCTGAAGGGTTTGGAAGAAAAAAACAATTCAGGATGTATCGTATTTCCTGGGAAAATAATCCTGCTAACAGCCTAAAGAAATAATTAAATTAGTGAAGATTGGAACGGAAGGCAACCTAGGACCTAGTGACAGGCTTGGTGAGAGGTGTTAAGGACATAATGAAAGTGCCTAGAGGGATGGATAAAAGCAGATATATTCAAGAGACATTTTAGAAATAAAATTAATAGAGCAGGGTAACTAATGTTAAACCTTTTAAATGATAATATCTGCCAAGAGATAATTTTAAAAAAGAAATTGTGATCTGACGAAGTTTTGAGCCAACAGTTTTTAATGGTTCAAAACACGATCTTTCAGGCAAAGTGGAACTAACCTTTGAGAAATGCTTAGAAATGATCCAAAACAGGCAGATGTACTACGCTCACTCTAGTATCAGGAAGTGAAAGAATTTTACTTCTAAGTTTTGACTTTATAACACATTTTAAACTGCAGACAAATGAGCTGGCATAATGATAGAGTCACAAAATGAATTGCAAGTTGAATGTTAAATGATGCTTGCTTCCTTTGGGTTTTCGTGTGGTCGGGCTTAATCTCAGGACAGCAACCAAATGCGGGTGCAGACTGTCTTCATTTCCTTCCTTCCTCCCTTCTCTTTTCTTCCTCTGGCTCTCTTCCTTTTTTCTTTTCTCTTTCTTTCTCAGTCCATCCTCTTACTCCTCCATTATTATTAAATTCTTAGCTAGATTTAGACAGAAAACTTTTTATTTTCATAGTGGAAATTAATCAGCATGCTGTTTTAAAGCAACACAAGAAAAATTAGTAAAGCTTTCCCTGACTTTAAGAGTGGGTGACCTTTTCAGTTTTAATGCAGCAAATATTTATAGAGTGCTAACAATGTGGCAAGCACAGGGCCGAGTGTAGTCATTGTCTCCAAAGTCTCAGTGCCCAGAATCTTTGCTTAGAGAGTGGTGACTCATCAAATTTAATAATTAGAAATTTTCTATTTCAGCGAAATTACACTTCTAATCATAATACGAAATTTTAGGATGATTTTCTTTCCTGAATTGACTATATTATCATTTGAATTCAAATAGGGAGTATGGCAACATTCCAGAAATTTCCATAATAATTTTTCTAAAGGTATATGCAAATGTTGATTTCAAGTTGTAACCCCTGGGATCGGGGGTGGTGCTTCATAGCCGGTCTTAACTTTCAGGTGGCTGGTAAGCATTCATCGGTCATATTTAGTTAGGCATTGAACTTAACAAACTGTAGTATTCATTACTTAGTATGAAATAACAAGTACTCAGGGCGGGCATGGGGGCTCACGCCTGTAATCCCAGCACTTTGGGAGGCCAAGGCGAGCAGATCACCTGAGGTCAAGAGTTCAAGACCAGCCTGACTAACATGGTGAAACCCCGTCTCTACGTGGCACATGCCTGTAATCTCAGCTACTGGCAGGGCTGAGGCAGAAGAATTGCTTGAACCCGGGAGTCAGAGGTTGCAGTGAGCTAAGATCATGCCATTGCACTCCAGCCTGGGCAACAAGAATAAAACTCCGTCTCAAAAAAAAAACAAACATAAAACAAGTGCTCATGTCAGGGAGGGACAGCAAGTGGTAACTACAGGATGACTGAAGTTGAAGGGAGAACAAAAAGGAAATCTAGTTGTCAACACCAGAAATCAGTTGGCAACCATCACCCATTAGCTACCTCAGTGATTTTTTTTTTTTTTTTTTTTTTTTTGAGACAGAGTCTCGCTCTGTCGCCCAGGCTGGAGTGCAGTGGGGAGATCTCGGCTCACTGCACCCTCCGCCTCACATATTTAAGCATTCTCTGCCACAGCCTCTGGAGTAGCTGGGATTACAAGCGCCCACCACCATGTCCGGCTAATTTTTGTATTTTTAGTAGAGACGTGGTTTCACCATCTTGGCCAGGCTGGTCTTGAACTCCTGACTTCGTGATCCACCTGCCTCGGCCTCCCAAAGTGCTGGGATTACAGTGATATTTTTAACTGTACCTAAATCTAATAGCATTTTTAAAAAATAAGAATTAAAATTTTCTTAACTCATAGCATCTTTTCAGGTAAATACCACATACTATTATTATTACTCTAAGTAATCATCTAGGAGTTTAAACTTCACACAGATAATGTTTTCTTCATCTTCAAAATGCAAAGAGGAAAAAAAATGAATTCCTGTAATCATCTTCAAGTTCTCCCTCAAAAAAATGTGGGAAGCTGGGATACAAGCCAAGAGAAAAATCCCATTTTAGAACTTCAAGATCAAGTACCTAGGCCAAGGGTGAAAAAGGCATCCTTAAAGAGACCAAAGTCTTAGAAACCAGTTCTGAGAAATTTGTAAGTTTTCTTACAAAGTTGAACTTGGCCAGGCGTGGTGGCTCACGCCTGTAATTCCAGCACTTTGGGAGGCTGAGGCAAGAGGATCACTTGAGCCTAGGAGTTGGAGATCAGCCTGAGCAACATAGGAAGACCCTATCTCTACAAAAGATATTTTTTAAAAAACCAAAACACCTAGCTAGACCTGTTGGCACTTGCCTGTAGTCCCACCTACTCAGAAGAATGAGGTGGGAGTATCGCTTGGGCCCAGGAGTTCCAGGTGGCAGTGAGCCATAATCATGCCACTGCACTGCAGCCTGGGCAACAAAGTGAGACCCTGTCTCAAAAAATATGTACATATATATAAAAACAAAAAGTTGAACTCATCAAACTGTCCCAGATGAACAAACCAGTTAACACTATTAAAAACACTTTTCAATAAAATATAACTTCTAAATTATAAATTACAATGCCACACAGATTAATGCATTAATTAAAAAATGAAAGATATATGTCACTCAATCAAAATTCTTGAGTTTTCAGATCTTAAAGAAAATTATGTTCTTACAATTTCCTTTTTCAACTTCATAATCAAAAAACAGTTTAACAAAAGGCAGAGGAGAAATCTGTAACATGCATTAAACTTTCACTTTCATTAGCAAAACAAACATTGAACGAATGTGCTTTTACCACATCTGCTTAACCTTGAAGACTCTGTATTTTTTTCACTCTTCTTCTGGAAGTTTTAAATGGCAAAAACATTCCTGGTTTCATTTGCAGTCTGAATGAGTAATTTCAATGATAACAATGACATTTGAAATATTTGTGGTTTTGTGCAGCCTTTCCTCCAGGAATAATAAAAAAGCCAAGAACAGTGAATAATCCAAAGAAGACCTTCCTTAAGAATCATAGAGGAAAATAAAATCCTGTGCAAAAGTCATTTGTTTTGGCTGTGTAGCCCCATTCAGAGTGGAATTCATACTACCCAGACTTTTTTTTTGGACAATTAATTTATTAATAATAAATTTAATTAAACAATCAATGAATCAGTATTTAGGTCTCCATTTCTGAGCTGATAATATTTGTCCAGCAGTGGTTAAAGTCCAGTTGTTATTTGTTTAAATTTAGACTTATATAGGTTCTATATGTTCAAGGGATCTTTATCTTTTACTGTCCTCTCTGTTAGCCAACATTCGAGCATGGGAATTGGGGAGTGGTATGTGATGTTCTAGTTCAAAGGACTTTTTAGCCAAACTGAGCTTAAATATGTACATAGGCATATTTTAAGTTGAGTACACAGTATTAGCTGGTCTCTCAAGCTATATATTTTTAGATAAAAAGCACTTATACTAAATACAAATTCTTTCTGAACTAATCAGACCACCAACCACAATGTCAAAACGCTTTTAAAGAAACTTCACAAAAATACCAAGCTTAAATTGTCTCCTTTACTTGTAGCAAAATGAAATAAACAAAGAAAAAGGAAATTTCCCCCAAGCCAACACATAGACAGGAAAAGACTTCAGAAATCCAGGAGGAATGACAAACATTTTTAAAATAACATTGGATTTTAAATTAAAGTCTTAACTAAAAGTGTTCTAAAAATCAATGTGTTCCGCTTAAGGGAAAGAGGGAGGACTCCAACACACTTCTAAGCACACAGTAGGCACTCAAGAAATCACTGTTGATTGCTAGCAAAGCAGTGACAAAAATCTTGTGTTTTTCTAGAATAGAAGCTGAATCAAGGTTTTCTCTCTGTCTGGATAGTGTGGATGTTCCAGAGAGTGTAACGGTAAAAGGACAAGAAAGTAAGAAAGAAGCACTTAAGGGAGTGAAAGAGAGACTTTGGAATTAGCAAAGACAAGATCCGTTTCTCATTTCCCTATCCCTTCACAAAAGCAGGGGAGAGGGACTAGTTATCTCATCATTCTAATAAAGCAATTGATCTAGATATACTCTTAGAGGGCCATAAAGTGCCCAGTAGACAGCATTCAATCGATTCTCACTATACTGTTTTATAATTTTTTGAAAAAAATGATGGTATTTTCTCTATGTTCCTCATAGCATGGAGAAAGATCTAAGAAGGACCTAAGAGCTCCCTAATCAATTGGTCCTCATTGTTCCAGGAAGTTAATGGATAAGAGATTGCTTCCAGTTTTGAGGAATTATTGAGTCATTCAATTCTTTCACCTCTCCAGATCCTTCTCAATATCCAAAAGTAAATAAAATGCAGAGATAGTGGGACCACCAGAGGAACTCTCCTCACTGTTCCTTTAATATCCAGTTGAATGGCACTGTCTAGTCTCCAGGTAAATATCATTGCTCCATGCATGCACTTTAGCCATATGTGGAGAAGGTGTAACCCTGAGAAGGCTGAATAAGAGAGAAGCTAAATAATCACAGTTATAGACAACACAGAAGATTCTAGGTGGCACGTTCTTAAAAATCGAGGACTTTTTTTTTTCCAAGCTCACTGTTCAAGCAGGTAGACAATACATGCAGATTCATTGCACTCTAGACACAGCCACCAATGTTTCCCTGTCTTAAAGCGTTACCATTAAAAAGGAATTATCCTACTTAGGAAAAAAGGCTGTGTGTATTTAACTTGAAAACAAGATTTGACAAGGTGACCATCTGTTTTCTCTTTCCCACTTAATTACAAAAGGAATGGCACTTGAAGCCAACCAAAATACCCAGGGAGGAATTGGGATTATGACATATTCATTTTCTCTGCAAAGTGCAAACCTAACACTTGCTCATATGGCCACATTGAAGGGTAGCAGAATTAGCGCAGCTGCAACTGATCTCCCACCACAGCCACTGGGACTGAAGTTAGTTAACCTGAAAACCTGATGCCACTCAATGTAAGCACACTGAAGGGCACCCAAACCATTGGTAAAACCTCCCCTTGGGGAGGAACAAATGCTCCACTGGATAACACCTCATTTCACCAGCTTGCATGGGATCATCTCTACTCAAGGTCTGAGTTTCTTTTCTTTCCTTTTCCTTTTTCTTTTCTTTTCTTTCTTTCTTTTCTTCCTTCCTTCCTTCCTTCTTTTCTCTCTCTCTCTCTCTCTCTCTCTCTCTCTCTTTCTTGACGGAGTCTCGCTGTGTCTCCCAGGCTGGAGTGCAGTGGCACTATCTCCGCTCACTGCAACCTCCTCCTCCCGGGTTAAAGCGATTCTTCTGCCTCAGCCTCCTGTGTAGCTGGGACTACAGGCACGCTCCACCACGCCCTACTAATTTTTTGTATTTTAGTAGAGATGGGCTTTCACCATATTGGCCAGGCTGGTCTCGATCTCCTGACCTCGTGATCCGCCTGCCTCGACCTCCCAAAGTGCTGGGATTACAGGTGTGAGCCATGGTGCCCAGCCCAAGGTCTGAGTTTCTATCAGCAGAGTTCGTTTGGTGATATATGCTTGAATCCAATTGTATAGAAACAACCCCTTGCAATGGAAAACACAGAAGACTAAAAGTCACAAAATCTAGGTACCAGTTCCAGGTAAGTCAACTCCTTACCTTTGTGGCCCCAAGCAAGTTATACAAACTCCCTGAGTCTCAATTTCTTCATCTGTAAAATGGGAACACTAATACCAATTCTGCTTACCTTATAGGATGTCTAGAAAAGTTTTATAAGATAATTGGAAACTGATAAGTAAAATATAAATTATTTTACCAATATAAAATATTAATAAAAATATCAACAAAAATATGGTCACAGTAAACCTAAGTAAACTTAAGAAGAATCCCATAAAAGACATCTCTACATCATAAGTAAATACCCTTTGCAATAATAGGATAATTTTTCTAGCTGCTCCCTTTTGTTTAAGCAGAGATCTCCTGACCAGCTTCCAAAAGGCCATGAAAATAGTCAAACTGTCCCAGAGAAGTAATTACTTCAGAATATTTGCACTTGTGTAGACATGACTTTTTGCAAGAGGTTTTTGCATGACTTTTTGCAAGAGCAAAAAGTGAATTCTGTGTCCCTTAATTCTTTGGTATTTTCCTGAAAATACAGTTACCTTCATTCCAGTGCTGCCCTATTCAGTATGGGAGCCACCAGCCACATATGCCTGTTTAAAATTAAATTAATTAAAATTAAATAAAATTAAAATGTTAGTTGCTGAGTCACACTAACCTCATTTCAAGGGCTCAATAGTCCCAGGTAGCTACTGGCTATACCATAGTAGACAGCTCAGATGGAGAACATTTTCATCAGAGAAAGTTCTTTTGGACAGCACAAGTAAGGCTTTAAAAAGTAAGGCTTTACTGGGATGAAATTGGGGAAGGAAATACAGTATGTGCTTTCAAATTCAAACTTTGACTCAGTTCTGCCTTTCACTTGAGTGAATGTTAAGTTTAAATTCCCTAAGTCTCTGTTTTCTTCATCAGTATAATGGGGACAATAACGGTAAATCTTCATAAAGTAATTATAGTAATTACGAAGACTAAGTGAAATAAGTAAAGCATCAAGCATATTATCCATACTCAATAAATGTTATTTATTACTGAATTTCATCAAGTCTAAGATGCAGAACTTTTCACATTTTAACATATCTCAAATTCGCATGTAATTTATAACCAGTGCCAAAAGAAACTTGGCAGAGGAGGGAGTTGTGACATAGATGTCAATGCCTGCACATGTGCAAATTTAGCATGTGTGTAGAAGGTTAGAGATTCATCTGAGTCTCACCTAAGCTGAGATATAAGCCTTGTTAGTATGGCATGTTGTTGAACCTTTTTTAAAATTTGGATTTCAATTGTCATTTAAAATGTCTTCGAAAAGAACATATGAAATTTTACAGAGAAACAAATGAGTATTGTTTTTGCAGAATTATCGTGCTCTGTGCAGCACAATTACATGCAATAGCAATTGCCAAATCTCTTAGGATGGGCATGTGTTTCTTAAAACTATGAAGGTTTGATGATGTCTGTTCTTGAATCCTAAATGACTATCACTCTGATACCATCATCCATCCATCAGAAATTCCCAGCTGACTCTTAAGAACTGTCTAATGTCCATCAATATGTGATTCAATTAAAAGGAAAAAAAATGTAATGATGATTTTAACCACATGGGAACTGTTCATGAAGCCTGAAATACTGTGATATGCCTTGAAATTAGTCTTTTGTTCCTGAACATGCTAAAGAGGAACAGACTATAAAACTCAGGTTCTGAGAAGTGGAGAAGTCACCATGATCCCATGGACGGTGTCCAAATAGACCCAGGAGAATATTTGGACTTTAAATGCAAAAAAGCTTATGCTTTAACCAAACTTATGAACTGAAGAATATATATCTGTCAGGAAAAAGAAAGTTGTGCAACTTTATAGGTACCTATTTTTTTCTGAAAAGCTGTTGTTATTCAGTTCATGATGTATTTAGCAACTTATGGTGTCTGCTGTCAAGGAAATGTGAGATTATCAACAAGAAAAGACATATGATGAGAGAAGAAAGAGATAAATCCCCAAATCTCCTAATCTTAGCTGTAGAGGAGAGAATTTATTCAGTTTTTTTCTTTTTTTTTTTTTTAGTTTTGTTATTATTAATATATTTCATCAAACCTGATAACTTAGCTGAAAAACACACAGTTATTTTAATAGCCACCAAGGAAAAAAAACTTACCAATTAAACTGATAAAAATGCCTTCTTATTATTTACATTTTTTTATTTTATACTTATTGAAATTATTTCTTAAAACTTATTTTTCCAGACTCCTCTGTATCCAAAACAATGAAAGTGCTAGCTAAAATGCTACCAGTTAAGACATTACCAAAAAAAAAAAAAAAAATCTTCATGGAAAGAACCCAGAAAATCTTCATGGAAAGAACCCAAGCTCATCATCAGAACATTATACCTGGGCAATCTGGAAAACAACCAATAAGGATTGGAGAAAATCCCTCATGAGTCAGCATCAAAGACTGCCAGAGTCAGGGGTGGACAGGTTGCTTGCTTCACAAGCAGGAAGAGGCAGGGTCCATTGACACAAAGATTGTCAAGGGCCTCCACAGTCAAGAAATATAATTCACCCCCAGTCTGTGAGCCTGAGGACATCCAGAGCTTCTCTCACAAAAGCCATCCCACAACCCGGCATATTAGTCTTCTGACATGGTGCCTTCACAAAAATAATATTTGCTGGGGTTTGTGGGGTTTTCTTCTGGTTTTGAACAGTATCCTTGTTTATTATAATGAATCCAGAAAAACAAAAACAAAATATAAATGAAAAAATAAGTGTCCCAGAATCTCATCATTAGTAGCAATTTGATATATTTCTTTCCAATCTTCTCCCTGGGTGTCAATTAGGATAATATTGATTCTGCAACGCTGTTTCTTATCACTTTCACTTAATATTTCTCAAAGCCAATAAATATTCTGAAAAAAAATTCTAAGGAAAAAATTCAGCAGGAATCACTTTTATACAGAGAATCACCAATGATATGCCTTAAAATTAGTCTTTCTATGTTTTTCTTTTTCATTTTTTCTTTTTCTTTTTTTTTTTTAAGATGGAGTCTTGCTCTGTGGCCAGGCTGGAGTGCAGTGGCACGATCTCGGCTCACTTCAACCACTGCCTCTCGGGTTCAAGCGATTCTCCTGCCTCAGCCTCCTGAGTAGCTGGGATTACAGATATACGCCACCACACCCAGCTAATTTGTGTATTTTTAGTAGAGATGGGGTTTCATCATGTTGGCCAGGCTGGTCTGGATCTCTTGACCTCGTGATCCACCCGCCTCGGCCTCCCAAAATGCTGGGATTACAGGCGTGAGCCACCGCGCCTGGCCTCTATGATTTTTTAAATAGTCTCTCTATGTTTTTCTATACTATTTTGTTGAAAGATAATACACGATAGAATACTCCACTATTGACTATGGAATTTTCTTCCAAAGGACTGACACCCAGTTGGCAAGTGTTGATACTGGTGCTTCCTTGATCTTTTCAGGCAATATCAGGACACACATTCCTTTCTCAAATGTTCTTACTTGGCTTGCTGTCACCAATGTCAAGGAGTTATTGAGGTCCAGTCATGAATATATCAAATTTATACCCCTCTATTCTGTTTCTGTGTTTCTGCACACACAGTAATTTTTCCTTTCAATACATAATCATAGCATAATCTTTTTGAAAAAAAAAATATATGGCATTTAAACTCAGCACACGTAATACCACACAACTCAATTGATGCAATAAAAATATAAATAGCCAAGACAAGTTTGCACAGGCTGGGCAATGACAACAGTATCATAACTGGCACCTGAGAAATTATAATACAATGCCATTGATGATAAGATGTGTCCTAATTTCAATTTGTGAAAAATGCTATCTTAAAAATAAATGATTATCAATTTATAAGGAAATATAAAGGACATGATAAATGAACACCACAGGGATCCAACTGGCAAAACCCAGACTACAGGAAACTGCAGGTCAAACAAGCTGGCTTCTTCAACAAGTAAATTGCAAGAGAGAAGAGAGAAATAATAGATTAAAAGTGACTTCACATATATTTTTAAAACATAATCAATTTCAATGCATCATGGTAGTCATGAGACAACTGAAAACTTGAACACTGGATATTTGAGAATATTTTTGACATATTTGGTTATGTATTTTTTGAAGGAGCCCTTATCTTTTAGGCAAGTATGTTGAAATATTTACAGAAGAGATGACATGATATCTGGGATTTGCTTTAAAATAATGTTGGAGGGTAGAGATGAATGGAGGCATGGCAGGCAGACTTCGGAAGTGGCCTCCAAGGATTCCTGCCTCCTGGCATGTAATCCCCTCCCCTTGGGTGTGGGCTGGACCTAGTGACTTTTTTCCAAGGAGTAGATATGGCAAGGGCGATCAGGTACCTCTTTCGTGAGACTGAATCTTCCCGTCTTGCTCGCTCTCCCTTGCTCTCTCTTTCTTGTTGGCACTCTGATGAAGCAAACTCCATATTGTGAGATGCTCTCTATAGAGCTGCCCATGTGAAAAGGAACAGAGGGAGGTCTACAGCCAACAACTCATGAGGAACTGAATCGGGCCTAGGAAATGGATCCTTTCCAGGTGAATCTTGACATGACTGCAGCCTGTGAGAGAACCACAGCTAGAGAACCCGAATAAGCCCAATGCAAAGACCAAGTCCACAGAAACTGTGAAATAATAGATGTACTTTTTTTAAGCTGCTACAATATGGGATGACTCATTTCATCTTAATAGAAAACTAATGCAGTCAAGGCCATGGATGGTTGGTTTTTGGGGCTGAGTGACAAGTATATGTTCATTTACTATTCTTTCTAATTTTGTATATGTTTGAAATTCTCCATGATAAAGAGTTCTTAAAAAGGAATCCGTGAAATACAGCATTAACAATTCACCATTCTTTCTGTCCTGCACCATTTAATGGCAGTAGAGTTCTTTTCCATATAGCTAAGTTTTGTCTATCTCTTCTGTTTTGATGTGTTTTCTACTCTGATTTGTCAACTGAGCTCTTTATGACAGTAAACATTTGCTGAGTGTCTAATAACTACTAATGAAGAAATGGCCTAATGCACAGATTAAAATAGAAACTGAGAGGAAAGTCTCTTCCTACATTACTTTTATATCCAACTTGGGGAATTGTAGCATGATAAATGGAGATAAACTGAAGGGAAGATTTTAAAAATGTATAAATAGAGGAGGAAAGGAACTCTGGCATTGGACTAAGATAACACAGATGAGGGCAAATTTGTTAGTTCATTTTCCAGGCTGTGGATTAATTGGTGCCTCTGTTTTCATTGTTTTATTTTGCTCAATGTTTTTGACTCTTGACCATTTCACTAGTTTTTAAACCTCCACTAGCGGAACAAGAGAGAGAAAAAAAAGGTAATGCGGTAGTCAAATATTTCTCCTTGTCACCACATGTCGATAATGTTAAAGATGATGGAAACAAACAGCAAAATTAAACACTGAGTTAATTAATGCAAAGTGAATATTGAGTGGGGATTTGGATTCCTAGTGAGCATGTAGCTTGCTGATACATTATAGGTCTAAGTTTATAAGGTCACAGCTCGATAAAATTTAACAAGTGTTTTAGAAGAGATATAAAATGTTTTTTATCAAACCCACACGTAATTTTCTTATCTTCTTTTGACAGGGATAATTTTAAATTAGCTATTTGCCACTTTGTTCTCATAAAACGATTATAGGATGTGACTCATTGAGGCCTAAATTATGTGAGAGTGCTAGAAAGAAATCTGCTGAGCATCAGCTGTTGAGGACCAATAACAGTTCAGACCCCAGGAGCAGGCTTCCTTCCACTGTGATTCAGCCACAGAGGGAGAACTGTGCAGAAGGACTTCAACATACAGGCTCTGGGTGAAACCACTGCCACCTACAAACCGTACAAGCTTGGGAAAGCAGTTTAAATGTTCAAAACTCCAGTGTACTCATCTGATAAGAAAGTATGGTAATAATATAGTTAACCCTACATTTGTCATGAGGAGCAAGTGAAATAACACACACAGGTGACTTAGCACATGGCTCAGTTTCTCAATATATGAGAACTAATCTTGTTGCTATTACCAAAACAAACAGATGATCTTGCATCCTTGGCCACCCAAACTTGCACGCTTAGGATGTATGAATGTGAATTATGGGGTAGAGTACAATAAACATCCTCCTCCTTTTCAGTTGATATTTCAATGTTAAAACTGAGGAGGTAAAGTTGGGAGGATGGGTTTATGCATATAATTTGCTTCTTTATGATATTTCAATGTAATATCCTTTTAGGATCTTTGTATGCCCCTAACTTAGTGGTTCTGCACTGAGGGTAATTTTGCCCCACAGTGGGCCCCAGGGGACATTTGGGATATTCAATTTGGGACATGTGAAGATATTTTCATTGTCATGACTGAGCAGGTGCCAAACATCCTAAAATGCACAGGACTGCCCCCAATAACAAAGAGTTATCTGATCCAAAATGTCAAGAGTGCCAAGGCTGAGAAATTCTGCCCTAGCTACAGCTAAGGACAGAATTCTTTTAGTTCATCTTTAAAGGTTTGGGGCAAACATTTCACAACAGCTAAGACTTCTTTTAAACTCTCTTACTTTCAGCCAGTGGAATTACTCATGATCCTTTAATTACACTGACCAAGACTTCAGAGGGCCTCTTTCTGGTGCTGTTAGCCAAAGCAGACTTTACTGGGAGAAGAAACAGGGAAAGAACAGACATGCCATGAGTGAACAAAAGCCTCTCATTATTCCTCAGCGTTGTGGCCTGGGAAAACAGATGCATATTGCACTCTCTCTATAGTAAATGTATAGCATATAACTACAAATGATGTGCTATTTTATACCTTCCAGTGCCTAGAACTTGTGGTCCACATGACCCAATACCATTGAAAGTGAAGGGTGGGCAGGAGAAGGTAGGAATTGAGCACCACTGAGATCTCCTCAGTAGCTCTGATCTTCCAACCCATCTTCCTCTCCACTCCAACCAAAACACTTCTAACAGTCTCTATGGGTGTTTTTACACTAAAACCAACAACAGATCCCCACCACCATCAGCTTCCACAGCATTTCACAACACCTATTATTTGAAGAGCTTGAAACCAGAAGCCCTGTTTTTCCACACTGAAAATATTTGAATGGGCTGTCAAAAAGCCTCTCAGAAATACGCCCCATCCAACAGCAACAAACCCTGTGCAAACAAATCAAGTGGTGCAGAAATCCTTTGCACAAGATGATAGGGAGGCCTCCATGCTGACACTGTAGGCGAGCCAAGTTTTCATGTACTTGGATGGCTGACCTCCAACTTCTGACATATTCATTATATTCCAGCATGTCGGCTGCAGATTGCATTGAAGTGATGACAGCTACAAGACAGCCAACGAGGAATATGGCCATTCTGGCAACAGGTGGCCTTTCACTTGTACTGGGAAAGTTAATCTAGTTTATCATGAAAGTATATTGTGTTCAAGGAGTGTCATGTTTTGAGAGCTCTAGTGACAGATCAAATAGAGAAAGCATTCTTCCATGGAACGTGACATTTTAGGGAGACCAACCCTTTCAAACCACTTCATTGTTTATGCTTGATTCAAGTCTGTTAAGTTACTCAGTTGTTTCAAGGTTTACATTACAGGTTGCGAATTATGGTTTGTGTCTTCTGTCAAAGGCTGACAGAGGTATCCACAGTCTTACCTTAAATAATCAACTGCCTCTACTGCAAGGAATTTTTAATAGCCCTAATTTGTCAGCAGAATAATATATTAAAGAAAAGGCCAGCAGCAAAAGTATATTCCTATCCATGCAAACTGACTATCACATTTCCAGTCACATTTTCAAATTATAGATGCTCAAAACCAACTCTGCCTCCTACCAATTAAAATACAATTTTAAAGTAATCAATGAAATTACATGGACCCAGGGGGTGGAATCATAGACATTGGAGACGTGGCAGGGTGCAATGGTGGGATGGTGGGGGTGAGGGATGAAATACTAGCATTGGGTACAATGTACACTATTCTGGCTAAAAGCCCAGACTTCACCACTATGCGGTATTTCCATGTAACAAAACTGCACTTTTACTCCCTAAATCTATCATTTAAATAAATAAATAAATAATAGTCCATGAAGGTTCATAATGAAGGAACAGTGGCCCCTGAACTAGACTGCCTTCTCTCTGGGTTTAACTTTAGATTTTGGCAAGAAATGCCTCCCCAATCTTGCCCACATCCTACTAAAGCCTGAGAGAAATGATGCTAGATGGTAGTATTTATTCAGTCATCCCATTCCATGGCTGTCTTCCAAGTGGGATGATTATGTTCTGCTGCACTTTGGACCTCATCTGAAGAACTCTTAAGATGTCTACAACATAGGGAAATAATCCAAATGTTCATTTGCCTTGTGAAAAATAATATTCCTTTGCTTGAAAGTCTTCTACTCTATTGGGTCATACTTTATGAAGAGTATTAGTATAGGAGGAATGGAATCGCATTGTTTAACTTTCATTTCTACATGAACTCCTTTTTGCCCAGGAACAGTCCAAGACATTGAATCTCCTAAAAGCAAATTCATCTCTCTAATCCACAACTACCTTTCTGTACTTGAAAGAATGGCAATAGTCCCGTAAACATATAGAAAGAAGGCCACCTATTCATGATACTTCTCTACTATTCGTGGGCTCTACTGAAGAATCTAAAAGTAGGCATCCGCTGACTCATCTCAGATGTTGATGATTCTGAAGCAGTAACCTCACACCCTACCAGTGCTACAAGTGCTTCCTTGGATATTGGTCAAGTTGAGGACCCTTCAGGCTAACAATCTCAGATTTTGCAGTTCAGCTGGTTACTGAACACTCCAGAGAAAAACAAATATTGGCACATGTAAGAAGATGGAGTGACATGATTTAGTTTGTTTTATAATTACACCATTCACTTTTTGCTTTAAAAATGTATTATGCATTTTATTTCAGTCAAACAATCACTTAGATAGCAATTAGTAGACATTGTTCTCAGTGCTATCAATCTATCTATACATATATATATATACACACACATATATATATATATATATACACACACACACACACATATATATATCTCCTCATAAAAATGCCATGGGGTAGATAATATTATTATATCCTTTTTGCAAATGAGAAACTGAGGCATAAGAGGTTACATGCCTTTCCAAGGCCACAGAACTAGTAAGTGGCAGGCCAAGTTTGAACCAACAACCCTTACACCAGAGTCCACAATATTAACTATCATGTTTGGCTATGTCCACCAATAATATAACAACAATATTAATAATATCTAAAATTCAATGATCCAGGCTAGCCACCGTGCATAGTATGTTTAATCCTTACCACAGCCCAATGAGGAAGGTACAATTATTACTCCTTTTATACATGAGGAAACTGAGGATTAGGGAGATTCAATAATTTGTCCAAAAACTCACAACCAGCAAATGGTGGAGCTTGGGCTGAATATTGTGGAGATAAAGAGATGAAATGAAAAATTATTCTGTTCAAGTTTATAATCATTTATAAAAGGAGATATTTGTTGGTCCGGAAGCATTTGGAATATTTTTAGAAGTGTGATTTTTACTATCCCTAGAAATGGAAAGTGAAGCTGAAATTTTGCTTTTCTGGCCTTCCTGAGATATTATGTCTCATTCCTAAAGGATTTGGAGATTTAGTTGTTACTCTGTTAAGTTAATAAGACCCTGAATCTTTAAAAATATCCAAAGCTAATTTACTCATGATAGGAAACTCAAATAATTGAATTCTTTCACAAAGGTAAAATTATATTTCCTTTAAGAATACCAGTGTTCATTATTCCTTTTTTGAAAGGAAAATAATTAGATATCTAAGACACTGACTTTAGAAAATATGATAAAAAATAAATAATACTAGCAAATGTCATTGTTTCATCAGGAAAAATACAAGCCTCCCAGGAAAAAAATAACACAAATTTTAAAATTATCAACAAAATATTAAGTGTAAAGGCTATACATATGCTTAAATATTAAACAAGCATTTAAAATTGTGTTTATGAAGATTTTTATAAACTTGGGGTAATATGCATTTATGTTAAAGAAAAAAAGTAGCCTAAAGCTCTGTACACAGAGTATAATTAAATTCTTTTAAAAATCCATTCATTTAGTAATTTATATGCATAGAAAGCTTCAGTAGGAACTGTTAACACCATGCACCAAAATGCTAACAAAGGATACCCCTGAGTGTTAGAAGTGGAATACCCACTGAACAAGGGATACCCACTGACTTAGAAGAGTGCTTAATTTCTTCTTTATGTTCTTTTTATTTTTCAATTTCCTACAATTACTTGTTACTTTTATAGTCAGGAAAAAAACCCTAATTAGAAAACTATAGAATAACTATCCCAATCTGCATAGGCCCTGATTCCAGTCTGTCTGCTGTGAGCTCTTCACCTTCAGCCCAGGTCCCGGGAGTACTGGAGACAGATTCCTACACTGGACTGAAACTACCTAGAGAGGGATGTTTAATTGAAGAAAAACATGGTATAAAGGAACAATAAAAATCAAACACATGAAGCCAATCAATGGATGTTTCAATGTTATATGTGGAAACACAACAGTATCTACCCTATGGGGTATGAAGAGGAAAGTCCACAGCCAGAAAGACCAGAAGCAGAAGTGAAGAGCTGGAGCTGAGCAGGGGTAAGTTCGGAAAGAGGACCAGGCATCGCAGGAAGCTACAGAGCTTCACTTTATGCATTGTTGGTGCATGTTTCTAAGATGGTCACAGTAGCTTAAGGGAGCTATGCAAGTCAGGACCAGCTCATGGCTGGTTTCCTAACACAACCATGTGTGCCAGTTACACAGCAGGGAAGGATAAGTCCTTGACACCTAGAGCAGAATCACCCAAGGAGGCCCCTGTCTTCTGCCATATCTTTGAATTCAGGACAACTTTAGCATTCCAAGAACCATCCAGACACTCAAGCCTGTACAGAAAAAGGTTGGTGGGTCCAACGACCATAGCTACTTTTGGAAAGCTAAAATGATGTGGATTTTAGGACAAGTGTAAGAAGAAAAAAATTCTTAAGAGATTTACAAATTCCAAGAAATGAATCACCCTGAAGTGAATTGCCCAAGTTACAGGGATCCCTGACTTGTTCCTGAAGAAAACCAAAATTAGCCTTGTTCAAGGGAACTCCTAATCACGAACAGGTGAGATGAAAAGCCTATCCCAACCCCAGATATAACCAAAGACATTGAGCTTGTTCAGACACAGCTACAGCTTCTTGAAAATACTGTTAGTGATACTTCATTTTTCTAAAGTCCTTTTCTTTCCAGCCTGCTATCTTTCTTTTAATTATCCCTTAGTTCTCTTTTGCTGTTGATTTATTCCTTGATTGTGTTGTGGTTAAAGTAATCTGTGGATTACCAATCCTTTGAAATTTGTTGAGTCTTGTTTTCTGGTCCAGTACGTGGACAGTTTTTGTAAATGTTGTATGCACATTTTAAAAGACACCATGGCTTGCAGGAGTCTATATATTTTCATTAAATAAAACCTCTTAATGGCACTGTTCAGATCTTTTATACTTGAAGTTTTGTCTACTTGATCAGTACATTAAAGGGAAAAGTATATTACAATCCACACTATGACTGTTAAATTATCCTCTGCTCCTTGAAATTACATCATTTTCTTTATTAGGTATTCATGTCCAACTTTTAATTTTCTCACCCATACCTGCTACTTCTCTGCTGTTCTCCTTCTCAGTAACTGACAACTCTTATTTTTCCGGTTCTCAAATTAGAATTCGTGAGGTTATTATCTGCATTCCCCTTTTTCTCTCACATCAAATCCCATGGACTCTATTTTGAAATTTACCCAGAACCCGATTCCTTCTCCTCACCTCCAGTGGTCCAAGCCACAGTTGTGTCTCATCTGGACCACTGCAATAGCACTCAGACTGGTCTTTCTGCTTCTTTCCTTGCCCTCCAAACAGTCCAAACTCTGTACTACAGCCCAAGTAAGTCTTTTAAAACAAAACACACAAAGACTTTCCATTTCACCCTGAAAAATAAAATCCAAAATTGCTAAAATGGCCATCAAGGTCTCCATAATCTGACCCCTGTGACTTTTTGGACATTATTTCTTGCCACTTTCTGCACGATAAACTCCACTCCTATCACACTGGCTTCCTCGGTGTCCCATGAACACATTAGGCATACTCTTACCTGAAGGACATTGCACTTGGTAATCCCTATGCTGTGAAAGATCTTCCTTCATATGTTTACATTGCTTATTCCTGCCCTTCCTTTGGGCCTTAGCTCAAATGTCATCGTATTTTTAAAAGCTTTCTTTCACCACCCTATGAAAAGTAATACCCCTGTATTGTTTTTCTTTCTCCTCTGACACTATTTCATTATTTTTCATAGCACATATTATCTCCTGAAATTTTTTTCTGTGAGATGGGGTCTTGAACTGTTAACCAAGTTAGAGTACAGCAACGAGATCACAGCTCACTGTAACCTTGAATTCCTGGGCTCAAGTGATCTTCTCGCCTCAGCCTCCTAAGCAGCTAGGACCTCAGGTACATGCCACAGCACACGGCTAATTTATTAGTAGTAGTAGCAGTAGTAGTAGTAGTAGTAGTAGTAGTAGTAGTAGTAGTAGTGGTAGTAGTATTTAGAGATGGTGTCTCGTTGTGTTGTCCAGGCTGATCTCCAACTCCTGACCTCAAGCAGTCCTCTTGCTTCAGCTTCCCAAAGTGTTAGAATTACAGGCATGAGCCATTGCACCAGGTCTAGTAATCCTTTTAACCCTAAAGATGTTCTTGGCCAGAATTAAATGTAGCTATACCAGCTTACTCCAGGTTAATGTTTCCGTTGCGTATCTTATCCCATTCCTTTCCATTCAGCCTTCCTCAATCCTACATTCCCCTACAGATCTTTTGTGTTTGCCTCTGTCAGACCACCAAGAGATATCATCAGACCCAGACTGATGTTGACCATAAATTCTTGACTTGCAGATTACAAAATTGTAAAAGTAGTGTAACAAACCTACTTGAGTGTAGAGCCATAATTATGAAATCACACTTTTTCCCCCCACCAAGAACACAAGTCAAAAAACAAGATTGTTCTCCCCCTCTCCTTGGGCTGATAGGTAGCTTTGTAGTTTGGTATTCATTTCTTTACATTTTCTTAGTTGGCTTCCCCTACACCATTGTCATTTGGGTAATTCTTGTTAGGCTTCTATATGTCGAGATTTAAGATAAAGTCCATTTCTCTTCTATTTCCATTCCTTACATAGACCAGAGATTCAGCTCCTCTTGTCTTCCTGGTGGTCATTAAAATATATGCCCATAGTTTTCAGAACCAGCACTCCACCTCCAACCCAAGGCAGTCAAAAGTTAACTCCCACATTCAGCTCAGTTCCTCAGGCTCCTTTTCATCTTTGGTCCCTAGGACTCCTTTGAGTTTCTGCAGTGCTCAGTTCTTCATTTAGAAATGCCTTTGTTATATTTTACCAAACAGTTTCAGCTGTTTTATAGCCCAAGATTTTCTTGTTATTGTTATTTTTATTCCATCTAGTCTGCCACATATTGCCAGAAACTGAAATCCCAATCATCTGTCTTTAAAATATATTTCCTTTCCCTTTGTAATTTTTTGCTACTGCAAAATCAAGCAGCTTTCGTGTGTAATTTACTTTTGATCTTACTTAAAATGTCTTCATTCTTTATGGTTGGAGTTGGCACAGTCAGCCTCTGCCTTGATTTGGCTCTATGCCTGGTTGAGATTTTCTCCAACACCGTGTGTTCCGCAGTCTGAGGCTCTTTCAAAGTGATGTTCTTTTCCTCCCTTTCTCCTTTCATAGGTGTCAAACCTTTATTATGATCTGAAGGCTTTCTCCACTTGTATCTGTTCCCTATCTTTTTTATCATTCCGGACACTTTCCCCAATGTTTCTTAGTATATCTGTCTTGGCATCTGACCCATTCAACCCATTACACTCAGTGAAAATGAAGTTTGCTCCTTATGCTTGTTCATCTTTGTCATATAAATTTCATGGTACTTTTGCTTAAATTGCAATAACCTCTGTCAGATTTTCTATATTTCTCTGAAGATAGTCTTCCATTATTATTATTCACTGACCAGGACTCGTGTGCTCCAAACTGATTTGGAGAAGCTGCAGATCGTGAAATACTTATGGTCTGTGTTATATTTGCAGGATAACCTTCCTAAATAGTTGTGGAACTCCCTTGCACAATTGCCATCCTATGGCTTGATGAAAAGAACAGTGATTTGGGCAGGACATGCTTCATAGTTTGTCCATGTAGGAAAGCTTTGTTCTTTACACACCTTCCATGGGTTCTCCATGTAGCCACTGATGAGGGAGGTTTGGATAGAATAAAAATCCCTTGTCTCTCAGGAGTTCTCCCTGACACACTCCCTAGCCCACTCCCAAAACAATTAGGCTGTTTATCAAATTATACTTCATCATCAAATTTGATTAAAATTTTTGTGTTTATATAGTATTACTTGTGACACTCAGATGGTCCAATTCTCCAATTAAATTGAGGTTTAGATAAATTAATTAACATTGTAAAAGTCTATGTTTTGCCTCTTTCATTTTGACTATTCTTTGAATGCAGTGAGTTTACCTCGCATTTCTTTTTATTCTGTGCAACACAGATGATCATTACATATTTGATTAGGTGTCAAATTAAAACCTAAAAATGATTTACTTTCCCACTCTCTATATTTATTGGCCAGGTTTCTCAAAAATTAAACTAAGTTTTATAAGGAAATATGCAGAGATTAAGCACTTTTACTAGAAGTGTTAATGGGTATAAAAATTTTGAAGTAATAATAATAATTCCTTTTTATTTTATAGATGATTCAAAACAGAATCTTAATTTATTTCTATTTTTACATAAATTGGTTCAGATTTTGAAATTACCCATTGGTGTAATCCTTTGGAGAAGAATTTAATATAATATCTTTCGGTTTGTAAGCAATTCAGAAAATATATTCAAGAAAGTAATCACATAATTCAGTCTATTTCTTCAAATTAACATTTCACTATTTAACTGCCACATTAACTAATTTTCAATTAAAAGAATGTACTTTTAATTTAATAAATAAGAAATTAAGTTTCACTAACATGTTCTATTAAATACTAACACAATACACAAATAGAAAGACAAGGTGGAGGGAATAAGTATTCATTGACCTTTGGTATTATAATGAAACATATTAATTGGATTATTTTTAATAACATAATACTGAAAAATGTATTATGTCGATTTTTAAAGATCAGTAAAAAGGAAAAGATAAAAGAACTATGTATTTGCAGGGCCTCTTTTTATTAGAAAACTTTTTCTGTTCTGGGATGCCAAGATGTTCAGAGAAGTTTTACGTATAATGATTTAATTGGCCACAACCTAAAATTAGCTATGATTTGAAATGTTTAGCAAATTATTTAATGTGGATGGAATGGGATATAATCTGAAACAAAAGATGTTAATAATATTCTAACATAGAAAATACTTAACAATTACCATTATACTAGTAGGATAATCTTCCTGAATATTCATGGAAACTCTTTTCAGAATTACCAGACTAGGGCAGCATTCTAGAAACTCCTATGGATTAATAAAATGAGAAATGATTTGGGCAGGTGCCCTTCATGTTCCATCATTGTAGGAAAGCTTTGTTCTATACATTCCTAGAGCAAGCAAGAAGAATGAATAATGCTCTCTTATTATATGATCTAAGTCAAGATTATTAATTCCCATTGCATAAGATAAAAATATTGAGAAAGAGAAAAGAAAAATTATCAAGCAGACCATAAGAAAAGTAACAAAAATTAGATAAACTCTAACTACAGTCCAGAGTCAAAAGTTTGACTCCCCTTTTATCTTCTCGCCCCTCAAGACCTCTACAGAGGCAGCAGAAATCAGGAGGTAGAGAAGCTTTGGCATTCACTGAGCAGATAGAGTGTAAAATTGGCAAAGTGCAAAGAGTTCTCTGAATGTCATTATTTCCATATTGAGGAGTAGCCTATTCTGTGAAATGCAAGAGACAGGGAGCAAAGAGAATTGAGGTGGGGGAGAGGATTCCTATAAAGGTGATAGCTATGGGTTGTGGAAAATGAAGGCGAGAAAGGACAGATGTTAGAGAAGAAAAGTAGTACAGAGAACTGTGGAATGCTTTTTCAGTTGTTGCCTTAAGTTGACATTTGCCTTTTGGTGTTAAGACTGATGACCAAGACTAAATAGAGGCCAGATGTTTATTAACTCTGGGTGACAAACATAACTCTGAAGTTCCTTTTTAATCTGTACATAACAAAAAATCAAAATTTCCATGAAATTCACTTCTACAAGTTTTAGAATCCTGTCTCCTCACCTAATGCTTTGGTAGTGAGGTCTCCTGTGTTATACAAGGTAACCAGATTAGAGTATAATACTTGATCCACGAACCCACCCTCATCCTGCCCCACCCTATCTCCAAAGGGCATTAACAATCACTACCTAAACCCCTTCTTTCAGAGACGTGCTGGTAAAGAATTATCTGGCCCATGGAGAAGAATGGTTCCCTTTCTCCACGGCTGTTGATAGATATTGACCACCTCCTTAGAGATGGTTAAGGATATCCATCTGTGAAAAGCTGTGGACCCCCAGGTGTTGAGAATTCAGGACAAACTCACAGCAACTACAGTAAATCCAACATTTCTAAATTCCTTTTTACCACTCCTTCATATCCCAGAGTAGGTAAAAATAACTCTCAGGGACAAAAGAGGTTAGGGAGCGCATGCATTGAAAATACCAGCAAAAATAAAATTCATACTGTGTTCAATGACATCATGTTCAAATTAAATAGCAAAATATGTTTACTTATAAGCATATTATTATTGTGTTTGTTTGTTTGTTGTTGTTTTTATGAGACAGGATTTCATTCTGTTGCCCAGGCTGGAGTGCAATGGCGTGATCTTGGCTCACTGCAACCTCCACCTCCCAGGTTAAAGCAATTTTCCTGCCTCAGCCTCCCATGTAGCTGGAACAACAGGCACGCACCACCATGCCAGGCTAATTTTTATATTTTTAGTAGAGATGGGATTTCACCATGTTAGCCAGGCTGGTCTCAAACTCCTGATATCAAGTGATCCGCCTGCCTTGGCCTCCCAAAGTGCTGGGATTACAGGTGTAAGCCACCACACTTGGCCTACTTATAAGCATATTATGTCTTCCCATATAATACAGGTATTTTCACACCCTTTTTGAATCAATGTACAACTACCTCTTTCCTTTTGTGCGGTGTCAGACAAGTGAGCCTCAGGACCCATGCTGCTGTGGAAACAGTAGGAGAGGGGAAGGATAGAGCAGGGAAGTCTTAATAGAATATGCATGTATCTTTTTTGGCTTATATAGAAAAGAGGCTAATCACATCATTTCCCCTTAATTCCTCCTGAGTCTACAGGTTGGGGAACAGAAACACAATGACACAATTCAATGTGGTTTTCTAGCAAGTGAGCTGCTACCTTCTCCTCTTATTTTCTCACTTAAGCCAGATAAGGAGTATAAGATGAATGGGGCAGAATTACAGGGAATGCTTTGTAGAACTTTTTTGTAAGAACAGAATGCTCTATATGTTGAAGTGAGCAAGAAGACAAAAAAAAAAAACAAAACTTGGAAAACGATGGCTCTATTTACATGTTATTTTTAAATTCTTTACCTAGAAAAAAAAAGACTAGAAGGAAATACTTTCAAATAATGCTGAATTCCTTTGGGTTTCATAACTCTTTTTATCTTCTTTTCACTGTTCTGTTTGCTCCAAATTCCCTTTCATGAGAAAGTATTGCTAAAACTTTTAATATATTTAATAAAATTTAATAAATACTTGTTTAAGAACCAAGGTGCATGGTGATTTCAATAGATTTTAAAATTGGTATTTTTAAAATGTTCTTTTTTCTTAATAAGCAATATAATTTTTATCTCAATTTGATACATTTATCCTAAGAAAATGAGAAGAACTTTGCCTTTTGGAATAAACATCTTTATAGTTGAAGCTGGGCACCTGTGAGTGGAATATACTTAATTTTTTTTAGCACACTTATTCTACTTAGGCCCAGCATTAGGAAGACCCCAGAGACCCTCTGGAACAGAGCTTTATAGATGCTGTAGATCTACTTCCCCAAAGGCTGGAAAGAATTAACATGCACCCAGCAGTATCCAGAGCAGTGATTTCAGCGCTATTGTCTTCGTTGTGCAACATTCAGAAGGTGGAAATTATTTTAAATCATTTTGTATAATTTTTAGCAAACTGTCAAAACAGAAAGTACTAATGCAAAATCTTGGAAGGCATTTTTAAGCAGAGTCATAGAGGGAGCATCATAAAACTAAACAGGCACTGAGAGATAAATATACAAATGAACAATGGCTGGACCATAAGTAAAAGTAGAATGCTGACCCACAACCTGAAGCAACCTGCCCAGGAAACCAACTCTTTACCTATCAAAAGCAATCCAGGAAGCCAGCCTAATATAAATCAGACTTGTAGGAAGTCAGACTCCTATCTCTAGTAACAATCCAAGAAGCTTAATGATAACTTCTATAACAGCAAAAAATGGCAAGAATTTGGTTAACCTGACAGCTTCCCTCATTTCTGTCCCCATTTCTAACTTAAGATCAACCAGACAAAGCCAAATACGTACCCCTAACCAATCACATAGGATGCCCCACTTCTAGTTAGCCTGCCTACCAACTTCCCCATGCCAACAACCGTCAGTCAGAATATACCTGAACCCTTCCCTTTTTTCCACTATAGAGCTTTCCTACCCTTCTTCCTGCCTTTAAGTCTTTGCTAAAATGCAGGCAATGGTAGCTGACTCCCTTGCTATAACAATCTCTGAATAAAGAGTCTCTGCTTTTGGTTGGTCTTCACATATTTCCACACCATGGAAGAACAGAAAATTCCATGACCAACCTGTAGAAGAATTCATTGAAAGGCACAGGAATTTAGCAATTGCAAACTGTGTACATGAAATTTACACCTAAATATGACATATAAGGTAATAAACACACATACACTTTATAGAGCACTCCTTGGGGAATCACTACAGCAACTCTTTTTAAAATGCATTCTCACATACAGTGATCTTCAAGCATTTTTAATTCAGCATGCCATCAATAAATGTTTAGCAAGCATTCCAGAAATATAGATACTTATTTATACATCTTATACGCAGCAAATTTAGAAAATTTAAAAGATGAAATAAAGTGTGTGTTAGTTCACTTGTGTGTTGCTATAAATACCTGAGGCTGTGTAATTCATAAAGAAAAGAGGTTTATTTGGCTCACCATTCTGCAGGCTGTACAAGAAGCAAGGCACCTGCATCTGCTTCTCATGAGGGTTTCAGGCTGCTTTCTTTTATGACAGAAAGCAAACAAGAGCAGGCATGTGCAGAGATCACACAGCAAGAAAGAGGGAGCAAGAGAAGGGGGAGGTGGGGCCTCTTTTTAACAACCAGCTCTCTGGGGGACTAATAGAGCAAGAACTCACTCATCAACCTCAAGGACAGTACCAAGCCATTAGTGAAAGATCCACCCTCGTGACCCAAACACATCACATTAGGCTCCACCTACAACAGTAGGGATCAAATTTCAACATGAGATTTGGAGGACTGAAACAAAACAAACTATAGCAAAGTTAGATAAAACTACTTATAAACATTCTGCCAATCATGACGACTTCATACTATTAGTAGCTAATACCTTTGTTATGGGTATAAATTCACATGTCAAAAGGTCTTCTTGAAAATTTTGCAGCTTTATGTCTAAGAATTAGATAATTAGATTCTCATTGCTTTTACTTCTTAAGTGGCTAACCATGAACTCATATTGTAGGGGGTAGCAAAAATGTCAGCTCTGTCTCCTTTTTTTCTGATGCTTGCCTGTTGCTTACATCATTGTTACTAACATATTTTATTTTTGGTATCTTTGCAAGAAGCTTTTAATCCACCTCGCCATCTAAAGGTTGAGATGCACACAAGGTAACATTGTCTATAAAACCACATAAGGCTGGGAGAGGTGGCTCATACCTATAATCCCAGCATTTTGGGAGGCCAAGGCAGGAGGATGGCTTGAGCCTAGGAGTTCGAGACCAACCTGGACAAGATGGCAAGACCCCATCTCTACAAAATTCAAAAAGAAAAAGTTAGCCAAGCATGGTGGCACATGCTTGTAGTCCTATTTGGGAAGCTGAGGTGAGAGGATCACTTGAGCCCAGGAGTTTGTGGCTGCAGTGAGCTATGACTGCACCACTGCAGCCTAACCTGGGCAACAGAGTGAGACCCCCATTTCTAAAAAATTAACTGCTTACTTTTACAAAATAGAATCACTTAACAGATTGGCTATAAAATGTTGCAAGATGCTGAAAGCAAGCAAATCATCAATCGTCTACCAACATCTCCTCTTTTGTGGAACACTGAAATAAATATATCCAAGCCAACCAATAAATTAAATTTCAGTAAATTTAGTTCATTTCTCATTTTGGAGAATATATTAATAGAAGTAGAAGATTAAGAGACAAAGAGAAGCACTACTGTTTTTCTCCCATATTTCAATTGATCCCTCTGTGGAGACATGCTTTGGAGACTAGACAATCTTCCATATTATTTCCCTGAGTTTAATAAATGAACACAGCTTTTTTCTCTTTTTACAAATAAGAAAGAGAATGAAATGAGATGAAGAATGCGCCTACATTTTCTTAGCTTAAATTCACATCAGATAAGGGATTATGCATAATCCTTTTCAACTATTGGCCTTCTGAGCTAATAGTGGAAAGGGGTCAATTTAAAGAGTAAAACCATGGAGCTGGTGCCTTCAAATATTTGTTACTCAAATTTCCCTCCTTTCTTTCTTTGAAAATTGGCAGCTCCAGAGTTCAATGCATTTAGATATTTAGTTCATGTTAAATCAGCACAATTATCTTATAAAAATTATGCATCATAAGTAGTTTGGTAAACACAGTAGCTAATTCTCGTATTACCCAAGAGGAGGCATACCAACCAGATGTGCTGATATATCTAAGTTCCAAGTACAGACTGTCACTTACCTGCATTTTTGGCAGCCATGTTTGTAATTTTCTTCATTATTCATCAGTGGTCTAAACTCTCCTTCTTTATTTCTTTTCATAATTACAGAATTTAAACACTAGAAGCTCAGCCATTTTAGAGTCATTCATGTTATGCCCATCTCTACTGATTATTGAACTTTTTTAAAACTTTTATCTATTTCTTCCCTGATATATTTGTAAAAGTCCCATTATCATTATCTCCCTCTGCTAACAAACTCCATTTGCATTTTGGCTATTATCTTTTCCTTGTCAGTCATAACTAATGGGGCAGAATCTCGTTTGATTTTTTTCCATCTATTCTATTCCTGTCATGCATTTATTACCCCCTACATATAGATCTTAAAATAAGTCAAAGGAACCAGTTCATTAAAAAATTATTTGAATGCTTCTCACCGCACACAGGCTTTCATTTTGGTGTCAGTTCAGATTCCTTACCTCATTCTTATTCTCCCAATTGGGTCTTTCTCTTACCGTAGAATACAAGGAAACTCTTTAAAATAATCTTTCTTAAAAGCTGATATCCAATGTTATAATCTGTAAAACCAATCTGTATGATAGTCAGCACTGAGTTAGCCATGGTAACTGGGGAAACATTGGCCTGTCCTAATTAATGGAAAGCTCTCAAAAGAAGCTAGAATTCAGGTACAGTATAGCTCTTTACCCTCCACCAAACCTGCGCTAATATTCACATAAATATCCACATTCAAGAGATATCATTCTAAATGTGTTCATCTATTTTCCCGTAGGCATGATAATAAATATTCAATTAAGTAAAAGAAGGTCAAAAACAATAGCTGAAAAGGAAGTATAGACCACTGACATCAATTCTTAAATGTGGTTACTTCTGGGTAAGAGTGTGTGATTGAGGAGTGAGAGAGAAGATAAAAGAGGATGTTCAATTTCTATTGTATCTTCTTCTGTATCAGTGTAACATTTTACAAAAAGCATGTATTTTCTATAATTTAAAATAATATAAAGAAAAAGAAGGGGGTATATGAAAAATAATTACCTGTTTAAATTAATTACCTGTATAAACAATAACCTTAGAATATATTGTCAGCAATTTCCAACAAAGTATATACGACTGTGTGGCCAGCCACCATCCTCTTAAAGGTAGCAGGACTGAGAAGACAGCAAGGCACCATGAGCAGCTTGGGACACATGGAAGTGAGGTTGGGATTGGGTTTAGAAAAAAGCAAGCTAAAATAATAACCAAAATGTACCTGTGCCAAATGTTTGTGACTTGGATATTTTGCTAAAGGCCAACCCTACTGGAGACTTGCTGCTATATATGCTTCCACACAGTCACCAGTCACCCAAATAGACATGTCATTTTCTAGACTTCCTCTCTGCCTCAAAGGAGACAGGCACATATTTGGATCAAGCCTGGTGGGAGATGTGCTATTGCTGGTGAGACTCTGCACACTCCAGGAATTAAAGACAGGATATGCATAGCTCTTCTGTAAATGCTTTATGGGCAATTGGTATAATCACCAACATCACAGAAGGAATTTTTTTCTTATGATTTCCCAAATGAGACTATTCTCTCTTCTGGAAAAAAAAATGTACAAAGTAAATTCAGATGGAAGAGACAATGGCAGAGGTGGGGGTGAGGAGATAATCTCCTGTTGATAGTGGAGGTTTTGGAAAATGTTCTCAAGTCATACTTGGCCACAGTCCCCAGACAAAATCCTTTGTCATACGCTTCTCTCAGCAAGGTAAAAACACAAGAACAAAGTGTAAGTCAGAAGCACAGTGGAGCAAAGAGGGAGGCATCTCCTGCTTCACTCAGAAAAATTAAGTTCTGGCAATTCTGTAAATTCATCTTAAAAATGACATCTTTATTTTGATTGAGTGACAAATAACATCTTATGACTTTAAGCAGAAATTTACGTATATGCTCCCAGCAGTCAATTCTTCAGGGTAGAGCATTTGAGAATAAAAAATTTCCACTGCAGCCCCTTGCTCCTTACTAATACTGTTGCTAAGTTTGGCAGAAATGTTCCTTAATGTTCTTAGGTAACAATGGGGAAACTACACAGAGGAGCATCAGGAAAAAATGATGGGAAAAGTGTTGGGCTACCCTGATGGAATAATACAGAAACTGAAACAATGTCATCCAAGCCACAATCAAAATATCCTATCTATCCAATTGAGTTACCTGAGAAAGGGACACTCATGATTTAGACAGTATTTAAAGCAAGAAAGTCTGTAAGAGTTGGAAGGTGGCAAAATTTGATGATGATCATTTGAGTTGAGATCACTCGAAGAGTAAAAATATCTGTCCAATGGAGTCTCATCATGAAGTTAAAAACAGCCACAGCCTGGGCAAGTATGTGCCTTCATTCTCTCTTTTAGTGAATCAGTTAGTCAACATACACCACACCAAGCATCTGAATCCTTACAAATAAACTATAAGATAGGTTTGGTATCCCCATCTTAAAGACAGGAAAAATAAAACCAGAGATGTTAAAGCACTGCTGTAACTGGTTTCTCAAATGGGACAAACTCAAGAAAGACCATCTTAAATACCATCAGCTTTTCATTCCCTGTTCATTGACAATACCTGAGGTAGATTCTACAGATTTTCAGTCATTTTTAGGCACTGAAAGAGTTTCATTTTCAGATATTGAAAAGTCCAATCCAGCTGGGCACGGTGGGTCACACCTGTAATCCCAGCACTTTGGGAGGCAGAGGTGGGTGGATCATGAGGTCAGGAGATTGAGATCATCCTGGCCAACATGGTGAAACCCCATCTCTACTAAAATACAAAACATTAGCCGGGCATGGTGGCATGTGCCTGTAGTCCCAGCTACTCAGGAGGCTGAGGTAGGGGAATCACTTGAACCCAAGAGTCAGAGATTGCAGTGAGCCAAGATCACGCCATTGCACTCCAGCCTAGCGACAGAGCAACACTATGTCTCAGAAAAAAAGAAAAATCCAATCCAGTCCAAATCAAAACTTCAATCTCTTTAGCAATTAAGAACTTCTCCCGTCCTGTACCCCTAATCTGAACCCACCATTTCTCAGACCATGAGTGGACAGTAGAGGAGGCATGGTCTCTTCTCTCCCTGTCCTTAATCCAGCTCCTCACCTACTCATCCTGTTGGCTGTGGCTCCTCCACGGTCAAGAGCAGTAAGTGGAATAAGCTTTTTTCTTGGCTGATGCTTTTTTATAGTTCTTTTTTATATGCCTAATAGCTCTTGCAAAGCAGTCATTCAAACTCTGGCTCTTCTGTGGGGTTCACTGTAAATGTTTTCATCTCCTCCTCAGAGATCTCCCCACTAGACCATTTCCCCAGTGTCAGGGATGCAATTTCAAGCTTGTTTCTTTCACTCCACCTCAATCCTTACGCTCTATTTGTACACCATATGCAATCTCTTTCTGTGGGGACCCCGTCGTCCCAGCAAACATTCCTCCCGGACAGCATTTTTCCAACAGCGTTCACTTTTGATTGTCCTGCTCAGGGTCAATTAGCCTCCAGGAAACACTGTGAATCCTTGTCCCAACAAACAATTCAAGTGCAGGCCTCTGCATGTCTTCGCCTGAGTTCCCTAAAAGTAGGGCCTGAGACAGAGGCTTGCATGCAGGTAGTTAACTTGGGATTACAATCCTAGGAAGCAAGAGAGCAGGTGAGCTAGAAAGAAACAGAAGGAAGCAGAGCCACGGCAGGTATGCTTTATGAAGTTGACCCCAGTGAACGACAGGGGTGGTCATCCTGTCATGGCCAACTATGGACCTTTCTGAAATGCATCTCGGAGCTGGTTGGATGGTGGCCAGGGTTTGGGGGTGGCGGGTAAGCAGAGGAAAGCGGAAAACATTTATCTATTGTCTCTCATTCCTGGTTGACCACGTGTGGCCCCACTGGTATTAACCCCCTACATTTCCAAGTTGAGTATAAATGAGTTCAGGGTCACTATATCAGAGAAACCGAAGGCCAGGAAGGGAAGGGGATGCAGTGTGGGCCTGAGGCCAGGACCTGTCTCACTGCACCTGTAGGAAAGGGCAGCAGTGATTGGAGTGAGAGGTAGGTGGCCAAGAAACATCTGAAGTGATGCACAAGAGATGCCCAACACACTTTCTCTGTGTCCTCTCTCCTTTCCTGGCTATTAAAGAATAATTGCTTTCAAAAGGATAAAATCATCAGGCACAGTGGTTTACACCTGAAATCCCAGCACTTTGAGAGGCTGAGGTGGGTGGATTGCTTGAGCCCAGGAGTTGAAGACCAGCCTAGGCAACACAGAGAGACCCTATCTCTACAAAAACTATTTAAAAAGTTAACTGAGTGTGATGGTGTGCACCTGTAGTTCCAGCTACTTGGGAGGCTGAGGTGGGAGGATGGCTTGAGCCCGGGATGTGGAGGTTGCAGTGAGTCAAGATCACACCACTGAATTCCAGCCTGGATGAAATGTCTAAAAAAAAATTAAATAATAAATAAAAGGATGAAATCATGACTCTCACATAAATATAAATGAACATGCATAGGCCAGGCGCAGTGACTCATGCCTGTAATCCGAGCAATTTGGGAAGCTGAGATGGGCAGGTCACCTGAGGTCAAGAGTTCGAGACCAGCCTGGCCAACATGGTGAAACCTCATCTCCACAAAAATACAAAAATTAGCTGGACGTGATGGTGGGCACCTGTATTCCCAGCTACTGAGGAGCCTGAGGAGGGAAAATCACTTGAACCCGGGAAGCCGAGGTTGCAGTGAACCAAGATGGTGCCACTGCACTCCAGCCTGGGTGACAGGCTGAGACTCCATCTCAGAAAAAAAAAAAAAAAAAAAAAAGAGCATGTATAAAGATTATCTGCAAGTCATTAATTAATGAGGGAACCAGTAAGATGTTAGAATCAGTTCAAAAAAGAATCCAAAATGCAGATTTACACTTAGGCCCTTAATAATGCTGAAGTAAAAATAATTTCCTTAGATATAAAACTTGCTTCTTTGGAGAAGGGAGGGAAATCAAGCGCCTCTCCATTAGACAAAGTTCACTCGCATGTCTATGGACAGGAATAATTTGCATTACTCAGTTTTCTATAAGTTACAGCATTGTAAAGCTACTCAAAGCGGATGAAAGAGACCCCAGGAAATCACACAACTATGGAGAATGTTCTAGGAAATGTCTAGCTTTCTATTTAAAAAGACCCAGTTATCTTTTTTGCTCCTTTCAAAACCTTTTACAATTTTTCCCAACAAGGCCATCATAAGATACTCTAGTCTTTATTTTCCCATATACCCATCAGACATTCTTCCAGGAATTCATTTGTGATCCAACCAAAAGAACTAAAGGATAAATCTGTAAGTCAGGGGTCAGCAAACTATGACCCACAGGCCAAATCTGACCAGTCTATTTTTGAGGATAAAATTTTATTCGAATACAGCCATATTTATGTATTATCTATGACACCTTTCACTCTACAACAGCAGAAATGAATAGTTGCAACAAGGACCTAACGCCCACAATACCTGAAATATTTACTATTGGGCTCTTTGCAAAAAAAGTTCGCTGATCTCTGCTCTAGTCCATAAAGCAAACAACAGGATTGTGAAATGTCCATTTTTCTTTCCATCAGATGGCCCTTTTCTCTAACAATGGTTTTCCAGAGATTGAGGCCAAGAAGGGAGTACTGGAGAAAAACTCTGACATTTTCTAAGCCTGTTATGCCCTTCAATGAATCCTCCTCTTCTCTGCTGTATCACCTAACTTTTTCTTTTATAGAATGAAGCTGGGCAATGGGGACAAATTGTGAAATGATGAGTCTAGCTGCTTCCTAAGGAAGTCTACTTAGAAATGTCAGCATTTCTTGCAAAGTATGGGCACTTACCACCCATTGTTTTAGTTTATGAGACTTCATTGAAATTCCTAGATCTCAGGAAAGGTCTTATGCTACACTGTGTTCCATAACTATGCAAAGGCAAAGCTGCTTAATTAAGGTATTAGGACTGAGATTCAAATCCAGGTCTGACCTAATTCAAAGCTTGCCCCGCTCTCAGTATAGGCACAATTCATAAATAGAGAGCTCGTAGGGACCGACCTCAGGCTGACGTCATAGACTTTCAGAGCCATTTTGCTGCTATTTTAAAAGACATTGGATATGGCAAGAGCATTAGGGTGAGAAAAAATGTTTTGGGTGGAAAGCTTGATACCTCCTTTCTGCTTCCTCCGATATTCAGCAGAGGGAGGAGACATGGGTCGGCTTCCACACCAGCCTGGCAGAGGAAACAGACATCTGTCTCAGGACGGTATTTCTTACTGTCGATAGCAGCCAGGAGTGCTTTCTGATCCAAAAGAAAAAATGTGCCTCAGCTAAGAAATGTGAGATTAAAATTCAAGCATACTGAAACTAAACTTTGAATTAAGTTTCTTTCCTTTTTTTTTTTTTAAGAACTGCTTAACAACAACAACAAAAAGAATCTTCACATTTTGAAAGCACCAGGTAGAGTGTTTCTAATTTAGACTTAGAGAAAAAGCTTCCGGAAGCCAATTAGTGTAAGGTGAGGGGAGACCCACAGCATCAAGGTGCAGCATTTTCACCTTTCTTTCCACACACAGAAAAACCAGCATAGTGATTCCCTTCTAAAATTACTATTATTGTTAATATTGTTATTATTATTATTATGGTTATAATAGGAGAATGAAAGACATGGGTTTTGAGGCAATTTTTTTATAGTGCAAATAGGGACTCTCAATCTGAGTGTCAAGACTGTATCTTGGGCTGACATTCGAAAACCTTAACTTGCTTTCCTGGTTTTCTGTGAGGGTGTTTCCTCTGGTTATTTTCACCTACGGAGGTCAAATGTCACATTTAAAGCACTTGTGGGGATGTCTTGACCCACCCTTTCTTGAGTCATCGTGAAATAATCAGGGGATACCATATAAAGTACGGTGTTTGTAGAGCGGGGCAGAAAGGTATGGTGCCTTTCCTTTCCCATCAAAAGGGTCACAGCTGACACTCCTACAACAAAAAATAGATTAATACAAGAAAAGCATAACAAATGTATTTAATCCAAATTTTATGTAGCATGGGAGCCTTTAGAAATGAAGACCCAGGCTGGGCGCAGTGGCTCACACCTGTAATCCCAGCACTTTGGGAGACCGAGGAGGGTGGATCACCTGCGGTCAGGAGTTTAAGACCAGCCTGGCCAACATGGTGAAACCCTGTCTCTACTAAAAATACAAAAATTAGCCGGGTGTGGTGGTGGGCGCCTGTAATCGCAGCTACTGGAGAGGCTGAGGCAGGAGAATTGCTTGAACCCGGGAGGCGGAGGTTGCAGTGAGCTGAGATTGCTCCAGCGTAGGCGACAGAGTGAGACTTGGTCTCAAAAAAAAAAAAAAAGAAAGAAAGAAATGAAGACCCAAAGATCAAAGGAGGTTGATGGGGGGGCAGGTGGGGTGCAGAATCTATCTGTTTTTAAGCTTAGATTCGAAGAAGAATGAACAGCATGTAGAAATGTGATTGAACAGAGGGTATAATCTAATGAAAATAGACTGAGGAAGGAAGTCTGGCCAGGCCTGTCTGTTCAGATTCTTCTTGGCCTCTCTGTGTAGCATTCTTTCCCCTAGGTATGGGCAGGTCCCCTATGGAATAAGAGTCTTCAAGGGACAAGAGAGAGAGTGACCTTTCTAGGTTTTATGGCTTGCTTTGTGAGAGAGAGGTTCTATCTTCTGTGACCTCCTTGGGGAAGAGGAATTTTGGTTTCCATGTCTTGTTTTGGGGGAGAAAGACAGCGAAAGACAGGAAAGCAAGAGAAGGTTCAAGAGAACTTTTCTTCTCAGGCTGCTTCTCAGGCCCTCCAATCCGCTTTCAAAGTACTCAGGATGCCAAAGCACCATACTTTGGGGTATTTTTTTCTGAGCCCTAACATTAGTAAACTGGAAACAAGTTAAGCTTTTAGATTTGAATTTGGGGTCAAATCCTGGCTCTGCCATTTCATATCTTTGAACTTTAGTTTTCTCATCTGTGAGTTAGGGATAATAGTAACGTCTTAGTTTTGTTGTGAGATATAAATGAGAAAAATTAGGAAAATCTTACCACAGAGACTGTTACATGGTAGGTGTTTGTTTATTTGTTTGTTTGTTTGTTTGTTGAGATAGGGTCTTACTTTGACACACAGGCTAGAGTGCAGTGGTGCGATCACAGCTCACTGCAGCCTCAACCTCCCTGGACTGAGGTGATCCTCCAACCTCAGCCTCCAAAGTAGCTGGGACTACAGGTGCATACCACCATGCCTGGTCAATTTTTGTATTTCTTGTAGAGACAGGGTTTTACCATGTTGCCTAAGCTGGTCTCAAGCTCCCAAGCTCAAGCGATCTACCTGCCTTGGCCTCCCAAAGTGCATGGTAGGTATTTCTGTAAGAGTTTGTTCCTTCTCTCTCTTGCTACTCTGCTATACTCAGAAGTTATTATGCCTCAGAGAAATTTTATAAGTTTGCATATTGCCATCACCCAAAGATGCACTCCACTACATTATTAATTTCTCCTATTTTCTATCCCATTCCTATCACAGATGCATCTGTATTTCTTCTCAGGTTAGCTGGCAACTTCTTGACCAAGGAAAACAAAAGGAAACTCAAAGTAATGGCCCATAACAAAACCCATCACCAGGGTTGGGTCTGATTGAGAAATTTTTCTGTAGGTTTTAATACCAAAGGGCCCTCAAGAGAGTGACACAGTTGAAGACAATTAGTAACGACTGGCATTTGAGAACAGTGCAGAACATGGATGTAAGAAGAGGAGGCTGAGCTTTGCAAAGTTAATGGCTCTTTGTGTGTGCAACAGACCACCAGCTGCTTTCATGGAGGGTAGTTTCAGAACAAGGTCCTTGGGTGTCTTCAATTCAAAAGGAAAAAGAGTCCTAAACAGCATGATAACAAAACATATCAAATATGCAGAAAGTCTAGAAGCAAACAGTCTATGAAAAGATGTTGACTGTTTATTTTGGTTTAGATGGACTTTTCCAAATGGAAAAGTCACATAGTCGAAATAATAAATACATAGCACTGATGGGGTATAGCTTTATGTTGATTTTTCAGTTCTTCAGTGGATTGGAAATAAAAGCTACATAACAATTTAAAATGTGATTTTCTGTATTTTTCCAAGACAAATAATTTTACAAATTACACTAGGGTTAGAATTTGCTGGAGGCCGAGAATGTCCTCGTACATAACCCAAAATAAGGAATAGTATATACTCAATATAAATAACACCAAAGATGTCTGCTTTCAAGTGTACAAATGGCTTCATGGTATTTTTTCTAGTTATTCCTCTCGAAAGTCTCTATCAATATTACCAAACAACCCCAGACCAAGAAAAAAGTCTATCAAAATTAATCTAAAGTCCAGGAGCCTGGCTCACAGTGATCCAGTTTAACCAGCAACGCAGGTATGACAGCCAAGCAGACCAAACAAAGTAAGGTGATACTTCCTGGTTATTTTCTCTTGGAATCTGCTTCAAGCAGATTTTCTGCCATTAATAGCTGTCATCATAGAGGACTTCCCAATTGCATCCTACTCAGTGCAATATGTGTCAAAAGGGAAAATTATTTTCTCATCAATCATGCTACCTTAATTCCAAGAACAAAGAGCTACTCTCTCCAAGTCAAGAGACGTGGGAAATGTCTGTGGCTCAAGCTGCTAATAGTTACTCATTCTTTCCTAAACACTCATCTTCAGAACACATACTTTATGTTAATATAAATATATACAATGATACTTGAATTTTTCTGGTGATAACTGCCAGTTGAAAATAAATTTCACAAGCATAAAACCACTAAATAATTTAAGCTATAACTGTATCCCTAGCTCTTAGAAGAATGCCTGGCACACAGAAGGCGTTCAATAAAAGTTTGCAGTGTTAATGGCTGCTGGCAATAAATAGTAATTAAGCCAAAGGAGGGGATAAGCTCACCCTTGGAGAGTGTAGGGAAAGAGAAAGGAAGGGAAATATGGGAATAAAAAGGAAGACAAAGGAAGGAAAACAGGGCCTTCAAAGTAACCATGGAAACCATCAAAAAGTAAGTTAGAGCAAAAAGAGACTACCAAAAAAAAACTGAGTAAGGGAAGCCTAAGAGATGGAGAAAACCCCCAAAATACAAGACGTTGTGGAAGAGTAACATTAGACTCTTTTACGGTGGTGCACAATATTTCCTCCCTTTTAACTAGCCTTTTCCTTTCTCTATTGTCTTCTAAATAAACAAATATACCCATTTTCAACTTCAACTTTTATTCTGATCCTTTGTAATAAAAAATTTTACGTATCTATAATTTTACTGACAGTAAAATAAAAAATAGTAAAATAGAATGAATTGTGATAGAAACACTTTTCTCTCACATTGATAAAGACAGAGAATAGATAGATGAATATGTAAACCAAATTAAAATTCCAAGACCCCCCCCAGCCAACTGAATGGACCTCCCTCTCAGCCAAATGGATTCTAAAGAAACCTGAAAAACTAGCTCAGGCCATGTCAGGAAGGACGGGTCAGACATGCCTCATTATACCCTCTCCCTTCTGGATTTCAGACACAACCGATCAATATTAACATTAAAATAGAGACTCTAAGACTAACAGAACAGACTCTTTGTAGCAATAAGACCACCAACTCCAACCTGATGCTGGTATAACATCACATGACAGATAATAGGTCCTAAAGGAAATCAAAGTATTTTACCCCTAAAATCTATTTTTTGACATCTTTTGAAACGGCCCTGCAAAGCTATCTCTTGTCAGGGACATCTACGTTGTGTAGAGAATTCCCTTCACTTTCCCAGTCTTTTCCTGAGTCAGGAGAGAATTAACTAAGAGTCTGACACCTTTTAAAGTCCAATAAGAGACATTCACCATCTATCTATTCTGTCTGAAGCCTGCTATCTGGAGGCTTTATCTACATGACAAGAACCTTGGTTTCCACAACCAATTCCACCCCTTACCTTAACTCAAGCTGACTTCAACTCTTCAGGCCGGGCTTAACTCTTTCAACCAATTGCCAATTAGGAAATCTTTGAATCCACTTATGACCTGAAAGTCCCCATTTCAAGATGTCCCACCTTTCTAGGCTTAACCAATGTATACCTTACATGTATTGATGTATGTCTTTGCCTGTAACGTCTGTCTCCCTAAAATGTATAAAATCAAGCTGTAACCCAACCACCTTGGGCACATGTTCTCTGGATCTCCTGAGGCTGTGTCACAGGCCATTGTTGTTAACCTTGGCAAAATAAATCTCTAAATTGAGACTTGTCTTGGGTACTTTTTGGTAAATAGATAGGCACATAGATACTAGATAGATTATATAGATAGATGTGATATATAAATGGTTTAGCTCCTCCTTGATGGTACCAGTTTAATTTTCATAGAAAGTACCCTGAATAAAACAAGAGTGTTCTAACAACAATGCAGAAGCTGCCTCACCTTTTATGACCAGCCTTGGAAACCACACAGCATCCCTTCTGCATACTCCATTGGTTAAAGCTGTTACAAGTCCACCCAGATTCAAGAGGAGGAGAATCAGACTCAACCTCTTGATAGGAGAGGAGAAGTTCACATTGCAGAAAAGCATGAGAGACAAAAGAGATTGTAGTAGCTGTCTTTGGAAAATGCCATCTGCCACAATGGCATTCTGAAATTCCAGGTAGGGTCAAAGTTCGGGGTCCATCTTTTACTACAGGACTTAACCCTGCTGCCTTCTCTGGGAATGCCCATTACTCTCAGACTAAGAATTCTTTAATTGCCACAGACTTTCTTGCTCAGCTGGAATTGTATTCAAAACCATCAACTTAATTCCTCAATCATTCAGTCTCCTGACCACAGAAAGAAGAATTACTCTTTTATATCCAGAGCTTGTGAAATATTGCCATGGACCAAAACTCCTTCTCCTAAACACAACAGCCTGAACTCCCTTCACCCCCATCCTAATAGAAATAGGCCCTCCTTCCCTTATGCCTCATTCTGTAGCTCTTAAGATTGTTCTTATCAAATCGTATTGCAAAGGTCCTGGCTTTCCTGTCTCCCAGATGAACCCCCAAACAGCCCTTGAAAACAGGGAAGATGTCTCATTTATATTTTATATTGGTATATAATAATTGTACATAATTATGGGGTACATTTGATAAATTTGATACATGCATACAATGTGTAATGATCAAATAAGGATATTTATTAATAGAATATCCATCACCATAACTATTTATCATTTCTTTGTGTTGGGAGCATTTCAAATCTTCTCTTCTAGCTATTTTGAAATATACAACAAATTATTATTAACTATAGCCATTCTACATAGCTATTGGACACTAGAATTTGTTATTTATTATTAACCAACCTTGATTTCATGGAGGTAGAGAATAGAATAACATCTCATTTGTCTTTGTATCTCCAGGGCTAGCCCTAACTATTCATTTCTATCTTGAAAATCATAATGCTGTAACACAGAAGTCAGGACTCAGGTAGAGAACATCTGGGTTCCTAAACTAGTTATTCAGTATACCAGCAAGATGATGCTGGAAAATTCACTGAACCTCTCTGAGCCTCAATTTTCTCATTACTAACATGGGGATAAAAGAACTTGACCTGCCTGTATCACACAAGGTTATTCTGAGAATCAACTGAGCCTCAATTTTCTCATTACTAACATGGGGATATAAGAACTTGACCTGCCTGTATCACACAAGGTTATTCTGAGAATCAACTGAGATGATAAACTTTGAAATTACAAAGCATTGTTTTCCAACATTAGTTTCTAAATAAATATAGGTCTTTACCCTTTATTGCCAAAGCCTGTAAAATTTCAGTACTTTGCACTACATATTTTCTCTGCCCCATCAACCATACCAGACTTCATACACTGTTGACTTTAAGTGTTTAGGGTCATAAATCTAAGCTGCACAGACTATAACTCTTAAATATGCATTTTAATTAACTAAATAAAGGTTTAAACAGATACAGAGAGTAATTTATTCGTGGAGTATTTCATTTCAAAGCAGAAAAAAATTCTAAGTATATAAAGAAAGGATTCCTAAGAAGCACAGAGGAAATGGAAGGGGTATACTACATGGCTAGGAAAGTACTAAAGCAATATGGAGATTGCTCTTCTAGGGATTTTGCTTGGCATTTTGCATTTAGAAATAGTCTTCTTGAAAGTACTTGCCCCAAAAAATACATCATCATCATCCCTCACTCATTGTAAACTATAATTTTTAGAGAAATAAAACAATTCACCTTCAAGTCAATGAATATGTCTTACTTCAAAAGCAATAAAAATTAAGTCATGCTAATAGCTGCCCTCTCTTCTTCCAACTCCCAAACCTTATTTTCATAAAACAAATACTTATAGATCATAAAACTTTTAAGGTTACTGCATTTAACAAAAGGGGGAACCAAATTCTGAATATCCATGGTAATAAGGAATTGGCTTGATTTATCTCTGGGGGGATTTGCAACTCAAAAATGTAAGAGAATATATGATGAATCAAATACAATGTTTTTACTCATTTTCTCTAATGTCAAGAAATGTTGATTATAAAATTAAAATGCAATTGAGAAAAACAGAGATTAAATAATATTTATGTGCAATTAGTTCTCACACAGGAAAGTTTTCCAACCAATTTTCAATCTACCAAGGGGAGCTATCCCACTCACACTAACATGTATCTAACCTGTAAGAAACCCAGCTGAGGAACTGGATTGCTGTCTCTATAGCTGATATGAACCAAAAGTTTCCCAATCCTCACCGGGAACTAAGGAACTTACAATGTCACCAGGTGACAATCATACAGCCTTGGAAACCATGGCTTGAGCTACATTCCATTTCCAACCTCCTTCCTGCCATTTCTTCTGTCCATCTTCCCAACTCTCTAACACCCATTTAGCAACCTGCCTTGTTCTTCCAGCTCACCTTGTCACTCTCTCTTTCTCTCATATGTGATTTAGGTACCATAACATGCTGATATTCTCAAAGTTAACATTTACAGTTTTGACTCTTTGGAACCATGGAGTGCCAGCAAAAAGGCAAAGAAATTTGTCATGTTGCCAAAGCAGAAATTTGAATCCTATGTATTGCAAAGCCACTGTGAGGACAGAAGTCAGTTTAACAGGGGACTGTGTTCACTTAGCATCTCTGCATGGCTCTCAACACATCCTGTAGGCAATAACTCTGGTCCTCAAAAAAAATCCAAAGATTACTGCCAGTAACACAGTGAAAAGAACATGAGGAAGATTCTTATGTATTGTGTAGGTCCTTAGCCAGAAAACAGAAGCTCACCAAACATCCATGTAGTAGATTGGCCACATTACTATGTCTCTAGATCTTCACCCTTTGCCATGTAGCTTTGCATGGCTTCTGATGGTGAACAAGGTGATCTCCCTCACCCCTTCACTCTGAGCTCAGCCATGTGACTTGTTTCAACCAGTAAAATGAAGTGTAGAGTTGCCAGATCTAGCAAATAAAAAATACAGGACATCCAGGTAGAAATGAGGTGTGTGTGCTCCAAGCCTAAACCTCAAGAGTCCTTGCATATTTTATATGAGGTTGGGCACTATGGCTCAAGCCTGTCATCCCAGCACTTTGGGAGGCTGAGGTGGGCGAATCAATTGAGACCAGGAATTTAAAACCAGCCTGGCCAACACAGTGAAACCCCGTCTCTACTAAAAACACAAAAATTAACCAGGCATGATGGTGCATGCCCATAATCCCAGCTACTTGGGAGGCTGAGGCAGGAGAATCACTTGAAGCCAGATAGCAGAGGTTTGCAGCAAGCCAAGATGGCACCACTGCACTCCAGCCTGGGCAAGATGGTGAGACTCTGTCTCAAAAAATAATAATAATAATAAATAAACAAATAAAATATATCTATGGAACAGAGCGAAATCTCCACTGTCGCTACAGCTAAGGTCAGCCTCAATCACCTGTCTAATCTTTATTCAAGTGAGTGAGCCCAGCCAGATCAGCAGAACCATCTACTTGAGCCCCAATTGACCCCCTGAATCATGAGCAATACATATTGCCTGTTATGTGCCACCAAGCCTGTGGTCATTTGTATTGTAGCATTATTATATTAAAAGATAGCCAAATAGCCCATAAGGGAAATATGTGATAGTGGAACTTGTGAACTTATTGATTAGAGAAGGAATCTAGTGATTTCCCCCTAAATACAATGAATATGCTCGTCTCCCTTCCTACCACATCTCGTACATTGAAACACTAGGGAGAAAACATCCTCAAGTTTTCTGTCTCTCCCCTCACAACGAGCTAAAACCCTTCCTAAGCGCTTATTACCCTCCCCACCTCTACCTCCAAGAATTGGGTAGAAATGCTGGCATTGCCTTGTGTTTTTTGGTTTTTTTTTTTCTTTTTTTTTTTGAGATGGGGTCTCGCTCTGTCACCTAGGCTGGAGTGCAATGGCACTATCTTGGCTCACTGCAACCTCTGACTCTCAGGTTCAAGCGATTCTCCTGTCTCAGCCTCCTGAGTAGCTGGGATTACAGGCGCTGTCACTACACCCGGCTAATTTTTTTTTGGTATTTTTAGTGGAGATGGGGTTTTACCATGTTGGCCAGGCTGGTATCAAACTCCTGACTTCAGGTGATTCGCCTGCCTCTGCCTCCCAAAGTGCTGAGATTACAGGCTTGAGCCACCATGCCCAGCCGCCTTTTGCTCTTAATAAAAACGACTGGTCACCATAGTCTATTCTTCTGTGGCTTCTGAAGTTGGCAGACCCAAATGGCTTGCCCAATATTGCTGGGCAAGGGCAGAGTTAAAGGCCCATCACTTTCTAGTCAGAGCTACTTTGGGTAACATGTGCAGCCATATGTGAGAACTGAATCCTTCTAGCCTCAGCTTTGACTGGGATAAAACAACAGATACTGCATATCAAAGTGAATAAAACAAGACCTTCACCTCCATATACAAATGGGAAAAGAATATGGCCTCAAAACCTTGTCCCATGAATCTTGAACCTTCTAGCCAGATCAAAATGATAAAAGGACATCAGAGAAGGTACAAGAAGAAAACTGGCAAGGGCTTTTTTGTTTGTTTGCTAGAGGTGTTGCTGTACTGTGAACCCCCATTCTCCCTTTCTTGGGAAATTATGAGGGGACCAAGGTATAGGATGACAGGCTGGTGAAGGAGATGTCTAAAACCCCACAGTACATTTTGAAATATGTTCTCTGCAGTTGATAGAGGACCGGTTCCTGACTCATGACTGAGAAAGCCAAAGTGAACCATTGTCTAAGACCTGCCCTCCAGTGGGGAGCAAGGCACTGTGCTGGGAGCAAGGAACTGTCTCACTCTTTCATGACAAAGCCAGGAGAGTGCTCTGCATGGGGTCAGCCTGCACGCCCAGGACTTGTTGGGTAAAAGATCCTGGGGACTGGGGTGAGCCATGCCCCTGGAGAGAGATCAAGCTCATCTTGTCTTGGGTCCTGCCCAAGAGGGTAACACAGAAGGGTGGGAAGACCTCAGCAGGAGTTCAAAGGGTACAGCCGGATCCTACAGGCTGATAGGGAAGTTGCAAGTGGCCACCTGAAAGAGAGAAATCCACACAGGCAAAGGAAGCCACAGGAGAAGGAGCTCAGCAGGATACATCAAAGAGGCCAAAAAAGCATCCATGGAGAAAGGGTCTGTTTTAATCATCTTCTTATCCAAAACCTACCTCAGGACAGCAGCCTTAGGCCCAAAGATAACAGAGCTACCCAGCCTTGTAAAAACCACAATGCGCCCTTATCTCTCCTTCTCCCACCTTTGACCCTGGCAAGGAACCAGAAGGAAGAAAAAATGTATGGGAAGAAGAGGTGAGCAGGGAGAGGCAGTTGAGAAAGAGTCAACCAGAGGATGGAGCCCGATGCAGGTCAGCACTGAAGAAATGGAAATGATGCAATGCTATCACGTTCAAAGTTTTGATGAGCATCTTTACCATGACATTCTAATTACTGAATTGAGAGTGTGTTTGCAACCTGCAGTGACCTTGGAGTACCTTCTGTATAAGAATGGAGGCAAAAGCAGTAAGATCCACAGAGCTGACATCCCAAGCCAGGGGAAAATTAATCCCACTTAATTGAGCTTCAAGATATGCTGGATGAAAGACTATAATGCTGTGTTTTGCTTATAACCCAATTGATGCTTGTAAAACCCACTGGTTACATATGCGTGAAGCTGTATTTTCTACTCCTGATTTATGCTTACTGTTTTCTGATGTCTTGCCAGCACTTAGGGACAGGTGAAATTCTTGTGCTTTCAGTTACTGAATGCTGGTTGTGATCAGAAAGAGACTAGAGATGATGAAAATTCTTAAAGACCAAAGACCACTGGGGCCTGAAATATCCAAGATGGATTGGAAGGACTAGGGGACATTTCATGTCTCCTTTATTGCCCCTGTGGCCTGATTGAGATGTGTTGGATCATTCCATTCACCTGCTTCCAAATGCCTCTCTTCTCCTGCGTCTTCCATAGCCCAGACAGCCCAGCTGAGTCACCAGGAGCTGAGGAGAAACTCCTTCCCCAAGCCCTCAGACTTCCCTCTCTCTCTCTCTCTCTCTCTCTCTCTCTCTCTCTCTCTGTTTCCCTCTCTCCCTCTCTCCCCCTTCCCCAAATCCAGGCTCGTAGAGATGGGAATTATTCTCAAGAAAGAAATTGTCTAATATTTCAGTTAGGGGGCCACTGCAGATATAGAACATCCCCTGTTTTAAAACAAATGGCCCAAAACAAAATGAAAACATTAGGGTAGGAAGAGAAGAATTTCTGTATCAGCTTTTCATTTGTGAACTGTTGCGCCCAGTCCTTAAGATATACAAAAGCAAGCATAGATTATTATTTTAAACAGCAAAGGCAAGCTTTGCCTTGGGGCTGGTGAGGCTAATCCCCAACCAGCTGGTATGAAAGGAAACTTGTTGCTTACATTGTCTTATCTTCTCCTGGTGCCAAACAAGTCCAAGCCTGGTGGCCAGATGAGATTCTCCCTCACAGGGAAAGGAGGTCAGCGCTGCACTCCAGACTAAGAGAGAGGAGAGGCAGGAGAGCAGCCCTGCAGGAGCCCAGAGAGCCCCTCCCCTCCACTGGCAAAAGAAGCTCTGCTATAACCCAAAGAGAATGCCAGAAAAACGAATGCTCTTCAGTTAATCTCTGAAAAAGCAAGAAGAACAAACAGACCATATAGAAGAAAACAATGAAAATGATAGATTGCTTAGGGAGGAAACAGATCTACACGGGCTTGGTGTAGAAATCAAACTTGCAAATGTGTCTACTCCCTGGGGCCTCATCTATTTCTGCCTCAATCCACCACCCAAATCTACACATTTTCAAAAATATTTGATGTTTTCACTTCAACCTGGACTATGGCAGATTTTTAACCTGCTTCAATTCAACAAGAAGTCATTAGGCATTCACTTTGTACAAGGCACTATGAAGAGTGATATGGAGGCAGCAATGAGGAGGAAAATATGAATCCTACCATCAGGGAGCTTTCAGTCAAGGTAAGATGTGAACACAAATAATGAAGATAAATACAAGATAGTCTTTGGTGTGTGCTATAATACAGGAAGCACGAAAGAGAGAAAGACTAAATCCAGCTCCAGAGAGGAGTAAACACTATTGGAGAAGCCTTGTAGACTAGTAGCCTCTGACATGCACCTTGAAGGGTGTAAAGTATTTCAAGAGGTGGGAGAGGGAAAAGGAGGATGGAAGAGGCTGTTTGACTGCCTGAGAATAGGTGAATTCCCAATACTGCCAACCTGCATTGGACTAACCCATGCTAAGGGGCCAAATGGATGGAATTCCTAAAGGTCATGGCATTGGGGGAAAATTGGAAACACACAATGTGTTGTCACTAGACTCATGGGGTAAGAACAGAGCAGAGAATCAGACCCTGCTCCTTTTCCATCCTTAAAAACACCTGTTGTCACAGATAACTCGGCATTCTTTGGCTCATATGTGAGCAAATCCAGTGCTGTCTAGCCTGGCTCCCAGGTGGCACTTCACCTATGCCAGCTACTATAAAAAACAGCATGGTGACCACACTTGCCTAGGGTTTGAATCACTTGCCTTCATCAATTTTACCTGCCTTCCACATTCTTTCTTACTCACTTTACTCCAATTTTTCAATATTGTCTGCCAGCATCCTGACAAGAATCCCGGTTTACCATTCTACTACAGCAGATCACCTGCTTTGATCATCCCATCTCATTTCAACCAGACCCCAGCTGTAGGCATCCTACCCTGGTCATGTTGTCAATCAAATTTGAATCAGGTTCTTCTGGGTTCAAAGAGCAGGAGTGGATCCCAAATGCCGTGCACGGGCTGTTACCATGCTGCCCAAATTATTCCTAATTGTCTATGGAGTAACTGGATGTTTAATTCCACTTTTTAAAATCTTCCTTTATTTTACAGTAATGATGTGTCTTAGTCCATTTTGTGTTACTATAAAAGAATACCTGAGACTGAGTAATTTATAAAGAAAAGATGTTTATTTAGCTCACCGTTCTGTAGGCTGTGAAAGAAGCATGGCTCCTACATCTGCTTGGCTTCTGGTGAGGTCTTCTGTGATGAGTCAAAACATGTCGGAGAAGGTCAAAGGAGAAGCAAGTATGTGCGAAGAAGGGACAAACCTGGGGACACCAAGCCATTCATTAGCGATCCATTCTCATGATCCAAACACACCCCACCAGGCTATATATCTAATATTGCCACACCAGGGATCAAATTTCAGCATAAGATTTGGTGGGGACCAATAAACCATATCCAAACCAAGCACCATTCCAGAAGATATAATACGCAATTTTGGAATTTGCTTCACAAATGTATTCAAACTGGATAGACTATCAAGAGTGCTTTCAAAATCATTTGAGAAGAAATGCACATTGGTGCCTTTGCTTTGGAAGGAAATGTGAGATGTTTTACAGAACCACAGGCATGAGGTCAGAGGCTGAGAAAATATCTTAAAATTACAGGTGTACTCTATGACCGTCCAGGCCATCTGCTCTATGACATACAGGATCTAGTATCAGCGATGCCTCCCGGTGGTACTCTCCCCTACTGTCCAGATTGTCTGTCATTGTGTGAAACAAACATACTAATTGCTTAGTGAGCAAATGGTGCGGGCTAGATCATTTAGGAAAAATTCATTGGAAACTGAGACCTTCAAGTCAATAGCCGTACAACATAAAGGATCCCTAGCAATAGAAGGGTGCTAAGAAAGCTTTGCCTCTCTCTGCCTCTGTTTCTTCCTTTGTGCATTAGGGATAAAAATGCTGCCCACTTCATGGAGATGCTGTGAGGAATAAATGAGCTAAGACCTGCAGGACACTTGAAAAAATGTGTCACGTAAGTACTCAGTAAACATGCACACAGGGCAAACGAATCAAAGGCCGGCCATCAATCTTTCCAAGGAAGCCGTACTATCGGAATTAATACCAAAGGCATTAATTTCAATAGTAAGAGTGCCCCATCTGAGTGACATGGGAGTGATGAAAGCTGAACAGAATTTGATTCCAACCTCTTTTCTGCCCCAAAACCACACATGAAGAGAGATGAGAAGCCTTTCTAAAGAAAGAATTCCTCTATGGTAATAGCCTCAGCTCTCCCCTTCACATCCAAACCGACCCCCTGCACCGTGACTGCCTTATCCACAAGTATGGTTTTTTAAATGACCACATACCCCAGGAATCCCTTCCTTGGCTGGTCAGGTACCTCAGGCAAGCTCAGACTCTGCCACCTCCGATCACAATCAATAAGGAGACTGGGAAGTTAGAGAAGCCTCACCTCGAGGCACTTACAGACCTTCAGCGATCACTCCTGAACAGAATCAGATAAGTGCTATTTAGCTTTACGATTCTGCTTTAAGAGAACACACACCAACAAGCTCGCTCTGTAAGAGAAAATCTAACAATACCGAATGTCTTGCAATGAGGATTTAATACTTTTCACCTCCTGTTCCTTGATTTCCTAGGGATTTCTGCCTGGAATCTAGAGTGAAAGCATATCCATCAGGTGCTGCAGGGGACTGCTGTAAAGGCAAAGAGTGCTAATCCCGCTGAATCTCCACTATATATCAGACTCTGCTGAGCTTTTTTCTATCAATTAGTAGTCTCTAGATTTCGATATTGGCTTCCATTTGTACTTTCTCAAGTGAGTCTGGCTTTTGGCTATTAAACAGAACACGTGTAGTAAATCCTTAATCATATGGAGATTAAGTCTGAGGGCCTGAGGAAGGGGTTTCTGTTAGCTCCTGCTGACTCAGCAGGGGCTTTCGTGTATCCATTTTACTGGTGAAGAAACTGAGTCTCAATTAGGTTAAACAATATCTGAAGGTTACACCAATGCTAAGTTCACAAGCCAGGAGGATCAAAACTGCTGTCTGCCGGCTTCAAGTTCAGCACTGTCTTCCCTCCACTCAGCCGAGCAACTGTGGTTCACACAGGAACAAAACAAAAGGCAGAACAGAAAGTCGCCACCAGAGTTCATCTGCAGGGGTCTGTCATGGAGAAGAATTCAAGCTGGAAGCACCTGACCTATGATTAGGTGGGGTTCTGCTGATCATTTTTGATGCAGAGAGACTTTTTTTTAAATGTCTCTGGTGTCTGCTTGGTCCAGCATAGAGACAGATGGAGGTAGATGATAGGCCAGCAACAGTGGCAAGAAGACAAAGTGAGTCACTGCTTTAGGAATGAACCCCCGAGGGTTCTCTCTGCTTTCTTTCTCCAAGTGGAGTGACTATAGTTCAACAACCAACGTGGGGAACCTAGAAACAAGAAAAGCAAAACTCCTAATGAGCACGCTCCATTGGAATCTTGGAGAAGTACCAGGGGACTCCAGCCAGATCAGAGCTCACTGCCTTGGTCACAGGGGGAACCCCTAGACAAGGCAGGCTTGGATGAGGAGCCCTGGAAAGGGAGCATCCTGCTTTCCAGAGGCAGAGAATAAGGATGGACTGTAGAGTGGATATTCTGGGTGGAAGCCAGATGTTTGTACAATAATGATAATCATGTATGGTCTGTATCTGTGCGTGCCTTTCCCTCTGCTAACTGAATTTTGTTCCATAAACTTGTACTTAGAATGCTGGTAAAAGATTTGCCAGTCCCTGCCTATCTGGAGCAGGCATTCCCGGGGAATGGAAGAGGAGATAATAAACCTAATCCAGGGCTCTGACGGCGGTTCACAATGGCACACTTGTGGCGGCATAATCCTGTAGAGATGGTACTCAACACTTCCCAAACTTTGGTTTTGTAGCCTGGTGTGTGGACTTGGATGCCTGCCAGCACCTCTCCTCCTCATGAAGTTGCAGTGTGAGCTGCAAATGGAACTGGGGCCGCAGAGCTGATGAGTGATTTAATTGACTGCTCATGAAAAGTGGACTTCTCCATAGATTCATGGGTAAAGAAAGATGTTACATTTAAACCCAGAAAATTTTCTGCCTGCTAAGAAAAGCAACAGAATAGATAATTAAAGTAGTCCTTTGTAAGAACTCAGAAGGAAAAGACAGCCCAGATGAAAGGCTGGCTTCTCATCCTAGGCTCTTTTTCTATCCCTCTGTGTTATTAGAGGTTCAAGCTGTTAGGCATGAAGTCTGGCCCACTTCAAAAGCTGGAGGTCTTGCCTTAAGGGGTCATGATTATTTTAGTTCCAACCTTCTGTAGTATCAGCCACGGCATAAGAAGTGAAAATGCCTAGAGTTGAGGCTTTTTTTTTTAATGACATTAAAAACATACACGGTATAAAACTGTAAAGTACACAAGGCATGAACTCTAAAATGTGAAAAAAAGGTGTGTCAGAACTATGATAAAATGTAATGGAGAAGAAACGTAGAAAGCTTGATCTTGTGTGAACACCGGAACACCACTTTACTTTAATTCCCTTACTATTTCTTTAGAATATATTTATTTACTATTCCTTCAGGTTACTCATACTGCCTACTTAATGTCAAAGCAGCAACACTGAAAAAAAAAGTTAGATTGATAAAATTCCATCTATTTTATCCAGACCCAGGATGGGTGTTTGAGCTGGTCTATCTTTGTGTAACAGATGCAGTAAGAGAACATTTTCAGTGAGCAAAATTTGGGCACAGTACCGTAAATTTGTAAGGAAATGCTCCTATTTACGTGTATTTAGGTCTTTAGCAAACTACTAGGTTTTCAGTAATTATTTTGTAATGGGATCCGTCTTTTTGTAGAGGCATTATCATTCTACATATATAAATTTTCACATGCTGAGAGTTCTTACAGTGAGGGAGGGCTGAGTTTTATCATCTTATTACTTCTGATTGGCTTGATTTTTGTAAGAGTCTTGTACAATTTGTACTGCTAGTATAAAACATAACTATACGGGGCCTGACCCCATAAGTGAGAAGAGAATAAATTGGAGGCCACTGGGGTACAATTCTGTATATTAACTCACCCCTGATTTAAATTCCAGCCTAATGGAATGAAGCCATAGCTGGGTGGAGAGAAGAACGGTTTCCTGCCAGTCCATGGGGCTGCCCAGGCAGGACGAAAAGTGAGAGGACCGGAGCATCCTGGGCAATGGCTAAGGCTGAGCATGCGCGGAAGAGTTAAAGCGCTCCATGCTCACCTAGAGCCACACAGGCGCGCATGTGCACCAGCTGGATTGTAGTGCTTAGCGTAGAAATTTAGCCGTGGGCAACAAAGATCCAAAAAGAATCAGAGTTTTCAGAAAGAAATTTATTTCTCACACATAAACAGGCAATTCAAGATTGTCGGGTAGCTCCTCCTTTATCTGGGACTCGGGGTGCTTCTGTCCTTTCTCTCCTCCGTCACTGGGACATGATTACCAACCTCATGGTCCAGGATGTGATACCAGCAATCATTCCACTTTCGAAGCAGTATTACAGAAGAAAGTCTATGGGAGGAACTTTAGACTGTTTTATCTGTTCTCCTTTCCCAAGCTAATGGAAGCTGCGTGGCCACCTGAACTAAAAATCACATTCCCGGTGCTGCAACTAGAACTTCTGGCTAAGGGGACATGAGGGAGTTTCCTGGCTGTTTCATTAAAGGCAGTGTCTGCGGGCAGCTTCTTCCCGCCTTTACTCCATCTTGGACGATGAGGTCAAAGGCCCCTGGGACCTCCACTGGAGCCAGGACACCAGCCCTGCTCTGCCTATAGTAAGGCTTTTGCATGTGCATGAAATGAACTTCTATCTTTTTAGCCACTGTCCTTGAGTCTCTGTTGAATGCTGTGGAATTAAATCTTATCTAATACACCCATCTTAAGGGAAATTTCGTGAGAGGAGAAAAATCAGTATTTTAATTTACTGGAGTCCAGTTAGCCCCATAATCTGACCACTGGCCCTTTTCATTTGTGCATTTAATAAACATTTATCTAGTATCTGCAATGTGCCAGGCCCTTAAGGTGATGCAAAATGAGCGTGCCCTGATCCCTTCCCTCAAGGAACTTCATATCAAATGGAAGACAGAAAGAAGGGATTACTGGATTGAATACTAGTGATATGCCAGGTACTGCTGTCACGGTTTTCACATGGTTGTTTTTTGTTGTTGTTGTTGTTGTTGTTTTTGTTTTTGTTTTGCATTTGTATCTCATAAAATGTCTGTGTGATCCTCATCTGATAGGAGTGGACATTAAAGCTCCAAGGGGTTATAGAATGTGCCTAGGGTTACACCTAGAATAAGGTATGGAGTCAAAATTTAAGTTTAGATTTCTGACCCATGAGTCAACGATTGCACCAGGCTGCCTTATGGACATGGACATGAAAAACAAGAATACATGGCTCTATGTGACAAGTGCCCAACACATCTAATGCCTTAGCTGATGTGTAACTAACTCGTCTGAGAGGCCACTCAGATATTATAGTTTTTCCAATGTCACTATGTGTCTTACATCAAACAAGTAAAGTCTTATTCCTACCTACTCTGTAGAGAAGAATAAATTCATGTAGGATCACCATGCCTACATCATGGGCACTAAAGTGTCACCTTACAGGTTCCATTACTATGACTACAATCTGCAATTTTATATATATTTTTAATGTCTGCCAAACAAAATCACTGGAAAACTCCCCTTCTGACCATCATTTTTGCCTGCTCATTCACTTTGGTTTCTAGCCTTTTTCCCTTGGCTCATTTCTCTCCCCACATTCCACATACATAAAATAGCATTTGTGGCCTGTATTTCCCCTCATCCAATGGGTTTATTATGTGTAATCTACCCTGAAGCATAAAAAGTAGCCTGTCCAGACTTTTGCAGAATTATTATGCCATCTCCTAAATCATATCACACCTTCTGCTAAAAATACCCAGCAATTATTTTACCATTTGCAAAGGTAAACCAATGTTCAAAATTCCAGACACCCAAAAAACTCTAAATGGGATCCATTGTTTTAATCAATCAAAGCATTTTTGTTTGCCAAATTATAATACCAATTCTGAATGATCACTCAACACATGGGCAGAGCCTGGCTTGCCTAGCCACTTTAAAGGTAGTGAGAAAAGATGACAAGCCTCTTTTTTATACCAATGAGAAAGATTTGTCCTAGAGCATTATCTGAATTCAACCCAGCACAGTTCCTTGTCAGAAGTATCTTTGAAGAAAGGAACTATGATCTTTTATATTTTTTGATAGTTACTAACACTAGCTCATGAAACTAACAACCTCCAAATCTCACTGACTTCATAAAATAAAGGCTTATTTCTTGCTCACATCATCATCCAATTGGGTTTTCAGTGGCCAGCCTTCAATGTGGTGATTTGGGAACACAGGCTCCTAACATCCGGTGGCTTCTCAGAGTGGTTCCTCTGCATTTGGCTAAAAGAAAGAGACATAAGAAAGTATGAAATATTAGGCTGCTGTTCCATCATCAGGCTTGGACATCACATCCCATGTAACATGTTCCATTATCCAGAACTTAGACCCCGTAGCCCTAACCTAAGTAGCCTTGCAGTGTGCACTGGACAAGGAAATGGGGCTGGAAAGCAAAGAGCCAGTTTCTGCCCCACCTTTGGGGACAACACTGTAGAGGTTGGCTTCACCACCCAGGTCAGATGATTGGCATGTGTTTTCTCACTCCCTCAATTGCCTGGATGCAGGTGTGTCCAACAAAAATGATTGGCCATCATCCTCTGTGAAACACAAAGAGAAGGGGAGGTCCTGGGCATAAATCTGCAACCCCCAGTGGCCATGTTTTCCAGTAAGCTTGGATTTCTGTTGATATCCCTGCCCGCCATCCCCTACCCATCTTAAGTGCCACCCCAACATGACTTTCTACAATTCTGGGAAGTAGAACAGTGAGCCTTTCACCCCTGCAGATAACAGACAAAATCCATGAACTTTTATCCAGATAAGAGGCTTTTACTCCATGAGGATGACTTTTGTTTGGACTAAGAGTATCCTATCTTCAGAAGGAACTCTCTCCTAAGACTATCAAGATCATCGAGAAAGAAGCCTTTTTAAGTCAGCACTTTGTATCTTTATTAGAGTTGTAATGGAAAATAAGCACAAATGTGTGTTCTTCTAGAGCTTGGCATAGAAGCAGCAGCAATGAACTCAAAATTTGGCTGTGGTTATACGGTAGTCATTATGGCCTTTAAGTCTGTCCACAAATATTCAGGTTCTCTTTCTACAGACACAGTGAGATTGTACTTTTCTGACATCTTTGAAGTTAGCAGGGCCTTAGGGCTTGACTTGGCCAATGCAATGTGAGTGGAAGTGACATGTCATTTCCAGATAGAAACCTGAAGAGCCAGTGCTTGACTCATCATGTTCCTGTCCTCCTTCCCTGCCCCAACCCTGTCATGATCTGGTGATAACTTTACCCACAGGCAGTAATCACAGAATTTCTTTTCCCTATAAACTCTTGAGTCTGGGTCCCTGAGTTACCACAAAAATCAGAGGCCCCTGATGACTCTCATTGGACATGTAGCATGAAAGAAAAAAAAAATTTTACTTCATTAAGTCACTGAGAATTTGGAGAATAAACTAATGAGACATACAGGTCCCATGTGATTTATTTTTAGTCATACTCTTCTTTTCCATGTACTCATATTTTGTTATAAAAATTTCACACTTGCAAATTATATATAACATACCTGCCTAATTTTTAAAATGCACACATGAACCTACCACCCACTTTTAGAAATAGAACATGATCAGTTCCTTCAAGCTCCACTGGTGACTAACCTCCATTGATTGCCCCCTCCCAAAAGATGACCCAACTCACCTCCATTGATTGCCTCCTCCCAAAAGATGACCACTATTTCACTTTGTGTTAATAATTCACTTGCATTTCTTAATCATTTTATCTCACATATAGAATCTTTTTGTTTTATACATTGTTTAACTTTATGCAAATGGAATCTTCCTGTATGTATTCTTCTCAAACTTGCTTTTCAATCTAATATTAAGATTCATCCATGCTGATGCATGTAGCAGAATACTATATTGTATGAGCGTAACAAAATGAATTTACTTTTTCTCTTATTAGATGGTCATTTGGATTTACTGTTTGGGATTTTTGCTATTAAAAGCTACACTACTAAGAATATTCTTGCATATATTCTAGCGCATATATGCAATAATCTCCTTAGGGTGTACACCCAGGAGGGAAAATGCTGAATTGTGTAGTATTCAGATGCTCTACTTTATGAGATAAGATAAAATTGTTTTCCAAAGTGGCTGTGCCAATTCACACTTCCACCAGCTTGTATAAGTGTCTTTGCAACACGTCCTCACCAACACTTGGTATTGTTGGCCTTTTTCTCTTTTTGCCTCTGTGGTGGCTGCAAAATGGTATCTCACTGTGGTTTTAGTTTGTATTTTCTTTAAGGCATAATTTCATCATATATGAATTCAAGAAACCAAAATGAGAAACATTTTGCCACCTGTATCCTTAAAAACCAGAAAAACTTCACAAATTAGGCCCCTTCTTAAAGGAGAGGTTGAATAATTGGAAAAAGCACAATTATTCATTTTCTGGACATTAGAAAATACCAAAGGGCTTATGCTACTGTTTGTGTCGTAGGTTAAACAGCTGTTTCTTAAATGGCTCCTCCTAGTGGGTATTATCAAAAGCAGTGAGAAAAGCAAATACATTTCAGGGAAATCATAAACATTCCTTTTATCTTACCAGATAAAGAGATTTAGTATAAATCCTAATGCACCCACTTGGCTGTAGACAATTTATAGCAGAGGAAGAGTTTGAAACACTTTCATGTAAATAATCCTAGATTTTTTTTCCCTGAAGGTTGCTAAAAGGCTGTTTGACACTCTTTGTAAGTGGGGAACATCTCAGAGTAAGAACCAGTTCTGGTTAATATCAGAACTCATTTCCCACTAGCAAAGCAGCTCCATTAAGCACTGTTTTCATCTCTGCAGTCTTTACTTTTATGTAATGTTTACATCATTGACACCTTCTCTTAGTGAATCCCTAATATAAACAAGGGGTATATTTTAACAAGATTTAAATACATTAAGCCCTAATGTATTTTAACAAGATTTAAAAGGATGTGGCCTTGGGATGAGAATAGCCAAATGGAGTACAGACTAAAGCAAAAGTTGTATAATACTTCCATCTCTTATGACAAAGACAGCTCCATAATTTAAGTCTGGGAAAAAAATAGTCTCCTGTGTTTATTCGTCAATTATAATTTGATGGCCTCCAAATGTCATCTGACCAGCCAAATTTCGCAACACAACCTTTTAACAGAAAATTATAAACTCAGCTCTATTTGGAAGAGAGACATGAAAATAAATTTGCTTTGCTCCATAATATCTACATACTCATGGGAACTGTGAGTTTCATGAACCACAGCAGTAATACACGAAGAGCAAATCTTTGTAATTCATCATCCTAATGCAATGAGAGACAAACCATCCACCTGATCTATTTAAGCTGAGAAGGGTCATTTGAAAGTGTGTTTAGTAACTGTCTGACCAATCTAGATAGAAGAAGTGGCTTCTGATTAACTTGCATGTCCATGTCTTTATTCTCTATAAGGCTCTTGGTGTTTCCCTGGCAAAGATCTGTAAGTTCTAGGCAGCAACAGTGGCTATTCTGGATCTGAAAGGCCAGTGAACTGGAGAGGTATGGTCTGGATGAATGCTACTCAAATGTGGTCCATGGACTGGTACCAGCCCAGGGACTCATGTTACCAGTGTCCAGTAAGAAAGGTACACAAGTTAGAGTAAGTTTTTTTTAAAAAATGTTGTAGCAATTGGACATTCCTTCAGCAGGCCAGTGAGTGATCACTGGATTTGTCTTGCTGCACAAGAAGTTTTCTAAAATAATGGGTCAGTAACAAACTTAAAACAAAAACAAGAAATTTAGCTCCTTCTCCACAGATAGTTTAGAAAGCACTGGTCTGACTCATCTAGAGATCTTGTCAAAATGCAGACTCTTTACTTGACAAATAATTGTATATATTTATGGGGTTTTATGGGGTACAATGTGATGTTTTGATAAATATTTACATTGTGGAATGATTAGATCAAGCTAATTAGCATATCTATCACTACACATACTTATTTTTTGTGATTAGAACTTTTAAAATCTACTCTTCTAGCAATTTTGAAATATGCATTATTATAACTAAAATCATCATGCTGTGATGATTCTGAAATCATGACTCTAAGTTTAGATCTCTAAAACTTACTCCTCCTGTCTAACTGAATCACTTCTTTCCCTCCCTACCACTCCCTCCCTAGCCCACAAGTTCTGGTAACTATCATTCTACTGTCTACTTCTACCAGCTCGACTTTTTTCAGATGCTACAGATAAGTAAGATCATGCAGTATTTGTCTTTCTGTGCCTGGCTCATTTCACTTAACGTAATGTCCTCTAGGCTAATCTGTGTTGTTGCAAATGACAAAGAAGAATTTCTTTCTTTTTTAGAGCTTAATAGAATTCCATTGTGTATATAAACCATATACACTTTTCTTTACCCATTTATCTGTTGATGTACACTTAGCTTGATTTTATATCTTGGCTATTGTGAAAAATGCTGCAATGAACATAAGAACTCATATATCTCTTCAAACAGCAGATTTTTTTTTTTCAAATCACCAATCCCAATAATTCTGATTCACTAGATTTGGAGGGAAGCTTGTGAATTTGAATTTCTTTTTTTGTTTGTTTGTTCAAGACACAGTTTCACTCTTGTTTCCAGGCTATAGTGCAATGGCACAATCTCGGCTCACTGCAACCTCTGCCTCCTGGGTTCCAGCAAGTCTCTTGCCTCAGCCTTCCAAGTAGCTGGGATTACAGGCGTGCGACACCATGCCTGGCCAATTTTGTATTTTTAGTAGAGATGGGGTTTCACCATGTTGGTCAGGCTGGTCTTGAACTCCTGACCTCAGATGATCCACCCGCCTCGGCCTCCCAAAGTGCTGGGATTTCAGGCGTGAGCCACTGCACCGGGTTGTGAATTTGCATTTCTAACAGGATCCCAGGTGATGCTTCTGGTGGGGACCACGCTCTGAGCAGCACTGGTCTAGAGTAAACCAAATGCAAGGTGCTCCACACCATTTGTCACTGATGATTAACAAACCTGGATATTTTAATTTTGTGGTTTCAGAACATAACACCTTTTAGATATTTATATTTGCCACCTTCTGTGCTTTTAGGAGAATGCAGGAATTAGCATTTGTTATCCTCAGTGTTCTGCTCTTCAAGATTCTTCCATGTTACCACCTTCTACCCTCAGAGAATTGACGCTATGGTGGCATATTTCCTGTATTTACAAAGCTCCCTGTTTTATTTTTATTATTTGAAAGATTTGCCAATGTGTTAGCAGCATAGAGCATGCTGGGTCTAATGACCATAGCAGGCATTGCCTTCATGCAATAGACATAGATTATAACTGGTGTCAGCACTGACCTGAACTTTTAAGACATACTCATAAAAGAAGGGTAGGGGTTGATCTCTCACACAGAAAACCAATCGTGCCTGCCTATCCAAAATGCTTCAGTAACTTAAGACATCTTCTCTGAGTTTCTTTCCTATGGTTTCTAGAACACTGGCCAATCGAGGTTCCCTTCAAAATGAACAAAGCTTAGCACTTAGAAAATTAACTGCCTCGGCCGGGCGCGGTGGCCCATGCCTGTAATCCCAGCACTTCGGGAGACCAAGGTGGGCAAATCATGAGGTCAAGAAATCGAGACCATCCTGGCCAACATGGTGAAACCCTGCCTCTACTAAAAATACAAAAATTAGCTGGGCGTGGTGGCACATCTGTAGTCCCAGCTACTCAGGAGGCTGAGGCAGGAGAATCACTTGAACCCAGGAGGTAGAGGTTGTGGTGAGCCAAGATCACACCACTGCACTCCAGCCTGGCGATAGAGCAAGTCTCCATCTCAAAAAAAAAAAAAAAAATTAAATAAACTCCCTCGGCTGGGCGAGGTGGCTCACGCCTGTAATCCCAGCACTTTGAGAGCTCGAGGTGGGCAGATCACCTGAGGTCGGGAGTTCGAGACCAGCCTGACCAACATGGAGAAACCCTATCTCTACTAAAACTACAAAATTAGCTGGGCATGGTGGCGCATGCCTGTAATCTCAGCTACCCGGGAGGCTGAGGCAGGAGAATCGCTTGAACTCAGCAGGCGGAGGTTGCAGGTGAGTCGAGATCGCACCATTGCACCCCACCCCGGGCAACAAAAGCGAAACTCCATCTCAGAAAAAAAAAAAGAAAACAAAATTAACTGCCTTAGGATGGTCACCTTCTCTCCTATGTGAACAGACATCTAGGAAGTGCAACCCAGCTCTTCCCCAGACTTCAAGTCTTCCATCAGTATCTCTGGCATAGAAAAGCAGGAGCTTTCTTCGAGAGCAATTCCATTGCTAAGTCAATTACCACAGGGTGTGGCAGGCTTTTAAAAGAGATTAAACTACTCTTTCTACTGAAAGAAAATGGTGAATTCTCAAATGGGACCCCTCTAATAATCCATTTGCTCAGATACAATGTACTCCTCTTGGCCAACTATCTAGTTTCATCTACATTGTTTGAATAAATGCCTTAGAATTCTGGGAAGGGATGTACAATTCAGAAAGCAGCTTGCATACAAAAACGAGGCCAGTGTCCTAAGAGGATGAAAACATTCTCAGAAGTCCAAATAATTGAAACCAAATCTCTAAATCAAAGCCATTTAAAGAAAGTTCTGAAAGACTAAGTTTTAAATTCTGTGTATATCCCAATTGCAGTTGTTCCTTTAATTTGATTTAGCGGCTACTAAATATGTGTACATGCCTCTATGCCTCAGTTCTCTCATCTGTAAAATGCAGATAATTGTATCTACTTTATAGGATTGTGGTAAGGTTAGATAAAATAATAAATGTCAAGTCTTGAAAAACATTCCTGGTACATAATAAGCATGATACAAAACTTCTGAGGCACTAAGTTACGAAGAGTTTTATGACTTAGTGCACCCCGACCTCACCCCATACCCACACCTGGTAATTGGCATGCCTAGCCTGTGTATGAACACAATCCATGCTGAGTACAGTGGAAAGAGTGTAGATCAGCTCTGTCAAATTATAGAAACACAATGTGAGTCACCGATATGTTTTGGCTCTGTTCCCACCCAAATCTCACCTTGAATTGTAATAATCCCCATGTGTTGAGGGCAGGGGCAGGTGGAGTGGTTTTCCCAATACTGTTCTCATGGTAGTGAATAAGTCTCATGAGATCTGATGGTTTTATAAATGGGAGTTCCCCTGAACACAGTCTCTTGCCTGCTGCCATGTAAGACACAACTTTGCTCCTCATTCACCTTCTGCCATGATTGTGAGGCCTCCCCATCCATGTGGAATTGAGTCAATTAAACCTCTTTACTTTATAAATTACCCAGTCTCAGGTATGTCTTTATTAGCAATGTTAGAACAGACTAATACAGTAAATTGGTACCAGCAATGGGGTGTTGCTGTAAAGATACCTGAAAATGTGAAAGCAATTTTGGAACCAGGTAACACGCAGAGGTTAGAACAGTTTGGAGGGCTCAGAAGAAGACAGAAAAATGTGAGAAAGTTTGGAACTTCCTAAAGACTTGAAGGGCTCAAAAGACAGGAAGATGTGGGAAAGTTTGGAACTTCCTAGAGACTTGTTGAATGGCTTTGACCGAAATGCTAATAGTGATATGGACAATAAGGTCCAGGCTGATGTGGTCTCAGGTAAAGATGAGGAACTTGTTGGAAACTGGAATAAAAGTCACTCTTGCTATACAAAGAGACTGGTGGGTTTTTGCTCTGCCCTAGAGATCTGTGGAACTTTGAACTTGAGAGAGATGATCTAGGGTATCTGGCAGAAGAAATTTATTTATTTATTTTTTTGAGACAAAGTTTCACTCTGTCACCCAGGCTGGAGTGCAGTGCTACAATCTCAGCTCACTGCAACCTCCTCGTCCCTGGCGCAAGTGATTCTCATGCCTCAGCTTCCCCAGTAGCTGGGATTACAAGCACGCACCCCCGTGCCCAGCTAATTTTTGTATTTTTAGTAGAGATGGGGTTTCACTACGTTGGACAGGCTGTTTTTGAACTCCTGACCTCAAGCAATCCTCCCGCCTGAGCCTCCCAAAGTACTGGGATTACAGGTGAGAGCCACCACATGCAGCCTTTTTTTTAAACCAAGACTGAGTCTCACTCTGTTGCCCAGGCTGGAGTGCAGTAACATTATCTCAGCTCATGCAACCTCTGCCTCCCAGGTTCAAGCAATTCTCCTGCCTCAGCCTCCTGAGTAGCTGGGACTACAGGCACGTGCCACCATGCCTGGCTAATTTTTGTACCTTTTGGTTGAGGTGGGGTTTTGCCATGTTGGTCAGGCTGGTCTTGAACTCCTGATTTCAAGAGATTGGCAGAAGAAATTTCTAAGTGGCAAAAACCTTCAAGAGGAAGCAGGGCAAAAAAGTTTATAAAATTTGCAGCCTGACAATATGATAGAAAAGAAAAACTCATTTTCTGGGGAGAAATTCAAGCCAGCTGCAGAAATTTGCATAAGTAATGGGGAACCAAATGTTAATCACCAAGACAAGGGCAAATGTGTCTCCAGGGCATGACAGAGACCTTTGCAGCAGCCCCTATCATCACAGGCCTGGAGGCCTAGGAGGGAACAATGGTTTCATGGGCCAGGCCCAGGGCCCCCCTGCTCTATACAGCAATGGGACATGGTGCCCTGTGTCCCAGCTGCTTCAGCTCCAGCTGTGGCTAAAAGGGGCCAACATACAGCTCAGGTCATTGCTTCAAAGGGTGCAAGCCCCAAGCCTTGGTGGCTTACATGTGGTATTGGGCCTATGAGTGCACAGAAGTGAAGAATTGAGGTTTGGGAACTTCTGCCTAGATTTCAGAGGATGTATAAAAATGCCTGGATGTCCAGGCAGAAGTTTGCTTCAGGAGTAGGCCCCTCATGGAGAACTTCTACAAAGGCAGTGTAGAAGGGAAATGTGGGGTTGGCGCCCCCACACAGAGTCTCTACTGAGGTACTGCCTAGTGGAGCTGTGAGAAGAGGGCCACTGTCCTCCAGACCCTAGAATGGTAGATCCACTGACAGTCTGCACCGTGCACCTGGAAAAGCTGCAGACACTCAATGCCAGCCCATGAAAGCAGGCAGGAGAAAGCCATAGGGGCAGAGCTGCACAAGGCCATGGGAGCCCACATCTTGCATCAACGCACCCTGGATGTGAGAATGGAGTCAAAAAAGATCATTTTGGAACTTTAAGGTTTCACGACTGCCCTATTGGATTTCAGACTTGCATGGGGCCTGTAGCCCCTTTGTTTGGGACAATTTCTTCCGTTTGGAGCAGGCATATTTACCCAATTCCTGTACCCCCATTGTATCTGGGAAGTAACTAACTTGAACTTGCTTTTGATTTTACAGGCTCCTAGAGAGAAGGGACTTGTCTTATCTCAGACAAGACTTTGGACTGTAGCCTTCTGAATTAATGCTAAAATGAGTTAAGACTTTGGGGCACTGTTGGGAAGGCATGATTGTTTTGAAATGTGAGGACATGAGATTTGGGAGGGGCCAGGAGTGAATGATATGGTTTGGTTCTGTCACCACCCAAATCTCACCTTGAATTGTAATAATCCCCATGTGTCAAGGGTGGGGCCAGGTGGAGATAATTGAATCATGGGGATGGTTTTCCCAATACTGTTCTCATGGTAGCAAATAAGTCTCATGAGATCAGATGGTTTTATAAATGGAAGTTCCCTTGAACACACTCTCTTGCCTGACACCATGTAAGACATGACTTTGCTCCTCATTCACCTTCCACCATGATTGTGAGGCATCCCCAACCATGTGGAACTGTGAATCAATTAAACCTGTTTCCTTTATAAATTACCCAGCCTCGCGTATGTTTTTTATTAGCACTGTGAGAACAGACTAATTCAGTCACATATATAATGTTAATTTTTTTAAAGTAAAAAGAGGTGAAACTAATTTCAATATTTTAAATTTTAACCCAATATATCCAAAATATATCATTTCAACATATCATCAATGTAGACATTATTAGTGATATATTTCACATTCTTTTTTTCACAATAAGTCTCAAAATGTGTTTATTTTACATGTAAGACACATTATGGTTTAGATGTTAAGTTTTCATTAGAAATACTTGATGAGAGGCTGGATGCAGTGGACTCATGCCTGAACTCAGCATTTTGGCCAAGGTAGGAGGATCCCTTGAACTCAGGAATTCAAGACCATCTTGGGCAATGTAGTGAGACCTTGTCTCTATTTTTAAAAAAATTACCTGGGTGTGGTGTCATGTACCTGGAGTCCCAGCTACTTGGGAGGCTGAGGCAGGAGAATTGCTTGAGCCTGGGAGGTCAAGGCTGCAGTGAGCTATGATCACACCTCTGCACTCCAGTTTGTGCAACAAAGTGAGACCCTGTGTCAAAAAAATTTTTTTTTTTTTTAAGAAATACTTGATGAGGCTAGGTGCAGTGGTTCACACCTGTAATCCCAGCACTTTGGGAGGCCGAGGATAGAGGATACTTTGAGCCCAGGAGTTTGAGACCAGCCTGGGCAACAAAGTGAGAACTTGTCTTACAAAAAAATTCTTTTAAATTAGCCAAGCTTGGTGGCACACTCCTGTGGTCCCAGCTACACAGAAGGCTGAGGCAGGAGAATTGCTTGAACCCAAGAGGTTGAGGCTGCAGTGAGCCAAGATCATGCCGTTGCACTCCAGACTGGGCAACAGAGCAAGGCCCTGTATCAAAAAAATATATTTAATAAGTACTTAGATTTCATAAAATTTACCATTGAAAATGTAGATTCACTTATCCAAGTTGTTGCAAACATACTTGAAATTTTGCAGTAACTAAATTGAGTTTTCCAATAACTGAATTGAACATTGTTTTTCTTATTTAAATTAAATTAAATTATAAATTCAGTTATTCAGTCAAACTAGCCACATTTAAGTGCTCAAGAGCAACATGTGGCTGTGGGTACCATATTAGATAGCACAGATGCAAACTTTGCAAACAGATAGGCTTGCCATTGAATTGTATGGTCTTAGACATGTTAGTTGAATTGTCTTAGTCCCAATTTCCTAATTTACAATTTACAAATTTACTAATCCACAAAAAATATATATCCGCCGTGAATTATTCTCTTCAGTAGGTGAGGTAATGTATCAACCCTGCATAGCACAATAACTAACAAATTTTAGTAAGTCCTCAATAAATAGTGACTACTTTTTACTTAATATTTTAAGAACAAAACTGAAACACCACTAAAGCTAAAGAATTATACAATGAATGCCCATACACTAATTTTCTGGCTTCTATAATTGTTAACGTTTGGTTATATTTGCCTTATTATTTATGTATCTAAATATCCATTCATCAGTTCATCTTTCTTTTTCATGTATTTCAGAGTAAACTGCAGACATCAGTACACTTCACCTCTAAAACTCCAGCATGTATATCATTAACTAAAGTTTAATATTTGGTTTTGGTTCTTTCTCTTCCCTTCTTCTTTCCTTCCTTCCTTGTGTTTATCCTTTCTTTTCTTTTCTTTTTTTCTTCCTTGTTTTCTTCTCCCCCTTTGCTTCCTTCCTTCCTTCCCTCCTTCATGTTTTCCTTATTTACTTTTAGATCAAATGTGTGTCTAGTGAAATGCAAATATATTAAATGAACCACTGGCTAAGTACTGCCAATGTGCATATCTGTGTGAGCCAAATCTCTATCAAGGTATAGAACATGCCCATTATCTAGAAAGTTCCCTCACACACCTTCCTTGTTAATTCCAGCCCCACTGCACTGCCCCCCGCCCCCTGGCAATGATTGTCCCAGTTATCCTCCATAGATTAATTAAGCCTAATGTAGAGTATCAAGTAAATGGAATCATACAATATGTAGCCTTTTGTGTAAGGCATCTTTCACTCAGCATTATGTTTTTGAGACTCATTCATGTTGTATATTTACATCTTTTTACTACTGAGCAGTAATTGTGTCTATTTTTAATCAAGGGATCTGATGACCTGACCCCCCCAAACAGCTCATTCCATTCTTTCACAACAAAAAAAAGTTCTTCATCCAGTCAACCCAACATGGATCTCCCTAAAACTTGCAGGTTTTGATGCTGGCTCAACTCCTTAGTATTAATGAAATAAAAGTACTTTTTTCATGTGACATCCTCTAAAATTTACATAGAGGTAAGAACTTCTTCTGAGCCTTCTATGAAAAAGACAACTATCTTCCTAATTCCTTTAGTTTTTCTGTACACAATTGTGTTTTAGGTTCTTTCAGTTTCCTTATTCTCTCTGTTCACTCTCTTAGCACAATTTGTAATTTATATTAATTGTTTTCTTGTTTATTGGATATCTTCCCCACTAGACTGTAAGTTCCAAAGGAAAACACTGTGTCTATTTTATGCACCACTGTACACCCAGCACCTAGTACACCTAGTACAGTGCCTGGCACTCAACAAATATTTGTTGAATGAATAAGTGAATATATGAAGGAAGGAAGAAACTCACCTGTGAGCATGTTTAATTTTTGTCAATATGTTAAGTGTGTCTGGAGCAGCAAGCAGATCTTCCAGGGGCCAGAGGCTGGAATTTGTAGGAAACACTAATTCCCAAGAGATACACCTTAGGGAATACACCAACCAAATGCACTGACTTCATTCTTGACCAGAAGAAGAACCTTGAGTCGCTATCTCCATTGGTTTTTTACTGAGCTGAATGAATAGCCTGAACCAAAACCTGAAATTTCACTTAAAATCTAAAATCAATCATAATTATCTGGGCCCTTACTTTTATGTTCCAACCCCCTCAGATCTCCAGAATTAAGCAGACACTGTTCAAGAGGGTTTCGCCCACATGCCCAAAGTCCAAATGTATGAGATGATTTTCTAAACCATCGATTTATTTTGCTCTTCTTGTATTTTTCCTTCCCCTCTTCCAAGAACATAGCCAGACCTTTGTGTTCACTTTCTTGTTTGTGATCCATAAAAGCAGAAATTGTGTTTAGATAATTTGACTCTGGCTTGTTTTTCCAGAATCACAGGACTCCTGAAGGAATTATCCTAGGGATGGGGAGGAAGGAGGGATTTCAAGGTGGTAATGGAAGTAGAGATATTGCCCCCAGACTGGGAAGGGGTTGGGGTTGTCAGATTCCTCAAACAGTGTGACCCACACTCACCTCCCCCCTGCACCATAGAGGGTGGCAGGACCTCTGGAGGCTATGGATGTGGGGTCTGGGAGAATCTGGACTCCCACCACCGGGTTCTCAATGACAGACAGAGTCCTAGCTTCACAAAAAAGCTGGAGAACTGACCACCTTCAGTGAGTTACCTAGCTTGGGACCCAGGATTTCAGTGTTCAGTCTGATGTCCTGAGTGAAAGAGCCTTCTCCTGATTTCAGTGTAAGCTTTCGGATTTCTTATATGGCCCTAGAGAAAGAGAAAGAGGAAGAGAATCCCATTCTTATGCCCTCCTCCATAATGACTGAAATGGGCATATTTTTGCCATTTGAGAGAGATAGAGACTCCGAGATTAATTTAATTTGATTTTTAAAAATAAAAAACTAATTAAGCACTTGAGATTGTGGAGTAAAATTTACAAGGACAAAGAGGAGAGAAGAGATGAATACAAGGGAGAAATGGAGCCACATCTGAGGGAAGAGAAAAGAAAAGAAGGGAAAATGAGGGAAGAAAGATGGTGAAATGTGGCAAGGGTATGAATGGATGCTGCGTACCACAGAGCTAAATAATTATGAGCTAACAAACTGCCATGTAATGGCTATTCTATCCTTTTTTTGGACAAACACATATTCATAATGATAAAATGAAAAAAATTTTAAAGCTATGGTTTTTGCAAGACTGAAAGTCAACAAACTCTCAAATATGACTGGGTTTAATTACATTGTGTGTCTAGGTGTTTTCTTGATAGTCCAGCAGTGTTTGATAAGTAATAAAACAGGTGTCATTAATTCACAAATACAGTTCACAAAGTTGGTTTTTCTTGCCATTGTTTCAACAGAACACTAATTATGTTGTAATCAACACTTTCACTTATTTTGTATTCTATTGACAGTAATGCCAAAATAGATGCTTTTCTTAAAATTTTATTGTCCTAAGGTAGTTTTTTTATTACTAATTTCTATTTGGAGAACATTTACTCTGCTAACACAGTAGCAACTGGAGTTGTCAATAAAATTCCTTTATATATCATGTTCAAAGATTGTATTTGGATTGTCCATCATAGATTATTTTTACCACAGACAATATTACCAAATATTTTCATTTTAATATATAGTCATATCACAATTTTCACCATCTCTTAAAGCAACATCTAGAGCCATATACGAAAAATGACCACTTCTCACAAAATGTCTAGATGTGCAGCTATAAAGATGTAGGAGTAATTTGGATGATTTCATTTCAGAATATGCTCCTCGAACTCCATATGCTAGTGTTCTGAATGCTGCTCTAATTTGCAAATACCTGTGGAACTACAAAGAGAAGTAAGAAAGTAGTTGCTCAGCACAACTGGGAAATGATACTCGATCACACGAGGCTCTATTGCATTCATGCTATCGGAGAAAAATGATTTGACAAGTTAATTAATTTGTCTTTTCTCTTACCTAAGTGCTTCTGCCACTCAAAATCTTTTCACAGACTCTAAAGTAGTGTTCATCTCTTATGTGAGTAGCAGCAGGACAGCCCATACGTCTTTAAGGCATTTGGATAGAGGACAAGGATAGAGAAGTATTTACCTAGGGCCTGAATGGTGTTAGTCATGAGGGTGGGTATTTACGGTCACACTGTCTCAGCACTGAACACTGGATCCCAAGTGACAGAGGTGCCCACATATTCTTTAATTAATCTGTGTCTCTATGTGATGTCTAGGGCTCTCTAAACTATGGGGCAAGGGCTGGGCCGCTCTTGCCTGGTCTAGCTGAGTACTCAGAAGGAGAAGTGAGAATGAAAGAGGGAAAGAGGAGAGAGAAAAAAGGAAAGTGGATGAGAAAGAACCTGAAGTTACCTCCCACACCTCCAAGAAATTAAAACCTCTAACCTTAATGATCTCATTTAAAAAAAAAAAAACCTTCAGCACTGGTGCACCCATGAAAGAGATTCAGCTCACCTGCATTCAAAGAGTGTCTACAAATATACTTAAATATGTAAATATGAAATATATATTTACTGAAATTCTTTAATAAAATATATTGGTTAAATGTATCTATGTCCCCTTCTGTTTTTTCTATTGCAAATTAGATCATTTTCTTCTTTCCAATTCCTTTTGCTTTACTCTTCTTAGACTGTCTCCACGGATGAGTTTGGGGGGTGTAGGTGTAGGATGGTAGGGACAATAAACATATTTCACATTACAGGTTGCCACATTTAGAATTTCAGGGAACAGTGGACATTTTTTGATAATCTTGGGTATCCATCTGGAATTGACCATTTGCAGAAGGGAGAAGGTAAAATAGGTCATTGAAAACAAACATCAACCATCTGAAATCTCCATCAATTCTTGAAAAAGACATTTCTAATGCACATACAGACAATCATGAAAATATATACTTAGACTAAAGACTATTTGAATGGGTAGTTTTTTTTAAAAGAAAACTTACTTATTACACTTACTATTCATTTCTTTGTTTGTTCATGCATTTGTTGCCACAATCTGTTGAAAGTTTTATGAAAAACATGACCCTGTCTTTGGTTTATCTTTTGGGATCTGGTGCCTAGGTGTGTTCACCCAAGCAGAACCAATGAAGCTCTTACAAGTTCTCCACTGAATGACATGGCAAGAGTTTTGATACTGCAGAACACATTGTGCGTGTGTGTGTCTGTGTGTGTGTGTGGGTGAGCAGTTGGTGGGGACTTTGTTTCCAAAATTGATAGAAGTCTAGCAATGATTGAATATCACTCATTACATTGACTTTAAAACATCCCTAAGATAGTGGCCCCGAACACATCAAGCCATCAAGATATTTTTTGTTTATTTAGGCATTAAGCATAAGAAAAACAGTAGTATATACCTCTAACTTGAACCAGAGTCTAGAAAAGAAGAGAGGGAGAAACATAGACGTCACTGTGAGAAATATGGCCAGATGAACGGCACAAACTCTTGCACTCTAAATGCCCAAATGACAGCTGGATGACAACAATCCTCGGAGGAATGAATAAGGACTTTTTCCTTGCCCGGAAAATTGAAGGGCTTACAGGGCGCTGACAAATGGCTGATAATCCCCACTGTAAAGCAGGCCTGGTGCTGAACTATCCCATGTAGTCTCTCAAAAGAACTGCCCGAGAGTGGCTGGCCACTGCTGCTCACTCCCCTCCTCAGTAGAAGTTCAAGGACATAAGTGACACCCAGGCCACAGGACAAGGACTCATTTTCCCTCTTGGATAATCAGGCTTTTGGTGCAATTCACAGGTGGGCTTTTCCTCATAGGAGGAAAAGGTGGAGCGGCTGATGATGGGCGGTGAAGGTCCAGTTGAGTAAACTGATCACACCACTTACTAGTTATGAACTCTGCGCCCACCACTTTGCTTCCCGGAGCCTCGATTTCCGTGCATTTAAGCAGGGCTAGCACCACCTACATAATTGTGTTACTGTGGGCCTTTGATAAAATGTTGTAAATGCATAACCTACTCAGCAGATAGTTATCACTTTTCTTTTTTTCTTTTCTTAAAATTTATTTTTCAAATTGACAAAAATTTTATCATTTATAGTGTACATGTATTGTAGAATGACTAAATTGAGCTCATAATATACATATTGCCTCACACACTTAACTTTTTTTGTGGTGAGAACACTTAAAATCTGTTCTCTTAGCAATTTTCAAGTGTACAATGTTGTTATTAACTATAGTCAGAATGTTGCATAATAGATCTCTTGAACTTCTCATTTCTAATTGAAATTTTGTACCCTTTGGCCAACATCTCTCAATCCCAGTATCACCCCCCAGGGCCTGGTAACCACCATTCCACTCTCTGCTTCTATGAGTTCAACTGTTTTATATTCCCTATAAGTGAGATCATGCAGTATTTGCCTTTCTGTGCCTGGATTATTTCATTTAAGCATAATGTCCTCCAGGTTCATCCATGTTGGTGCAAATGACAGGATTTCCTTCTTTTTAGAGCTGAATAACACTTTTTAGAGCTGAATAGCTGAATAGTATTATATAATAGATAATAGATAATAGATATATATATTTAATATATATAATAGATTATATAAATATATATATAAGATATATAATCTATATGTGATATATTATATTATATATAATCTATATGTGATATATTATATTATATATAATCTATATATGATATATTATATATAATCTATATATGATATATTATATATAATCTATATATGATATATTATATTATATATAATCTATATATATGATATATTATATATAATCTATTATATATGCCACATTTTCTTTATTTATTCATCATTCATGGGCACATAGATTGGTACCATTTCCTAATGATCGTGAATTATGTTGCAATGAATACAGGAGTGCCAATATGTCTTTGACATACTGATTTCATTTCCTTTGGATATATACCCAGCAGTAGGATTCCTGAATCCTATGGTAGTTCTATTTTTATTTTTTTAAGGTTTTTTTTTTTTTAGAGACAAGATTTGGCTATGTTGTCCAGGCTGGTCTTGAACTTCCTAGGCTCAAGTGATCCCGCCACCTCAGCCTCCTAAGCAGCTCATACTAGAGGCACACACTACCACGTGTTATTTTAAAAATTTTAAGGAAACTTTATACTGTTTTTCATAGTGGTTGTACTGTTATCTCTTTTCAAATATTATTTTCCTGTCTGAATATGAATATCCCATGAGCCTTTCAAATTTTCCATAGGCCTATCGTCTTATAAAATGACTACCACCATCAAAAAGGGAGGAAGAGGAAGAGAATGCTTGTCACTGGGGAGGATGCATCATCGCGGAATAGCTATGGGCGTTACAGAACTCCCTAGGCCTTCCTGATAGAACCCTGAGCCACTTGCCAGCCCCCAAGTCCTGACCCAGGCATGAGGATTCCTGCTACAGGAACTATCCCAACTCCTCAAGGAGCACATTCAGAGAATGGCTATTTGCTGGGCCCTCTTCTTCTGTCACTACTTGCTGGCTCATGAGAGCTGAGCCGTCCTGTCAAATACACACTAGCTTCCTTCACACACATGCAAAAACTCCAATGGAAGCTCCCCCTCTATGGTATGAACCAGATTCCTTCTATTTATAAGCAGCAGCCCAACAGGCAGGCTTCGTTCTGTAACTTGCAGTTCTCAGCAAGCTGCACCAGAATAGAGATGTGTTCATACTTTCCAGTCACCCAGATTGCCACTTCAAAAAGAGAGTGATAGACAAATACGCTGCAACCCGTTTATAACATTTTCCCATGTTTAACTTCCAAATTGGAGAGTCTTAAGCACAGTTGCCAAAAGCAATTTTTTTTTTGAAATGCAATACTCTTTTTTTTTTCTTGGTCTCTTAGTAAATGGTAACTGAATTTTCCCCCCTACTGTTTCTTTTCAGAGGCCAAGAGTTTTTCACTCTCGGTCTGCAATACCCTGCCTGGGCTATCACCCAAATGGCTTTCACACTTAAAGTGAGAAAGAATTAAGTGCTTCTGCAATTGAAAAATGGTTCTGTCTGCCTTGGAGCCACAAAGCTCTCTTTACTGAACTATTGCTTTTAAGATTCCAAAGCTAAGTGTACCAATGAGCCTATGATGGTGCCAAGAAAGAAACTAGAGAATGAAGAAAATCCCATCAGTTCTCTGTCTGGAGCACATCTGGGTATATTCACCTAGTTTTTACTCCCAGATGTTTTGGAGGAGGATATTTAACAGCTGTTCTCTGGTTTTCATACAGTGAGCCTAGTACAACCTCAAAGGTTGTCGTCTTGACATAATTTCCACACAATAACAGTCTAAATTGGTTGTGGACTACATTTTCAAATTCAGTTGGTTAGAAGGAGATTTTTCACCTATGCTTCCAGTACAATACAATATTGAACTTACTCGAATGGCAAGAAAAAGCAAGTAAGCTATCTCCAACGATGATTATCCTCTTCAGAGGACTAAAGAAATCTCTTTACATCTCAAAAGTATATATTATCCTGTAATCTGTATATGTCTTTTACAAAGCAGGCTTGCCAAGGGGAAGACATATTTGAATCAATTTGCTTTAAACACCTTTAAGCATTTCACTAAACATTTACTTATTGTTATGCCCCTAAACAGAATGGCAATCTTCCACCTTCTAGCTAGCATTTAAGGCCAGCCTTAGCTCTGTGAACAGTGGCCTAGCAAATCCTCTGGGAGTTTGCCAGTTTGTAAGAAGCTCTGTATTACAATGCTTATTATCATGTTTTCTTTTCTAAAATGGACTGTAGATGTTCAAGTCATCGTTTCCTTTAAGTGTTTTCTCTTACCGAACTTTGAAGCAAGGCTAACAGTGTTTTTCAAAAGCAATTTAAAAAATTCGACAGGGATCAGCAAGGACACTAAAAACCAATAAAAAGTAGAGAGATCTATATTTGAAAAAGAGAAAGGGACAGCCCTGAAAATCATAGAGCAGTCAGTTTAGTTTTCATACTTGGAAAATGCTAGAACAAATCATCAAAAAATCAATTTGCAAACACCCATAAGATCACAGAATACTAGGTAATAATCAACATTGCTTTGTGAAGAACAGTCTTGTCAGAACCATCTAATTTCCTTCTAAAACAGAGTGACAGGCCTAGTAGATCAGAGGGATTAAATAGATGTAACAGAGCTTGAATTTTACAAAGCTCTTGATTCTCTCTTCCATGATATGCTCATCAACAGATGACTTCAGACCAGAAGAAATTTGCTGTAAAGGTTTACTAAAAAGCAGAGCTCTCAGTGTTTCGGCATTAAATTGGCAGGTGGGGATTTGGACAGGAGGATATTTGGTGTGATACTACTTGGCACAGGAATAAGTGGCTCCTGGACACTTTAACATGCCCATCAGCCCCAAATATAGTCTTAGCACATGCTATGTCCTCAATCAACATTCGTTCAATGAAAGAATGATTGATCAGATAGCAGCTCCTTGCTGAACTATCATGACTCTAAAATGAATGGATAGGCCTGGTGCGGTGGCTCACGCCTGTAATCCCACCACTTTGGGAGGCCGAGGCAGGTGGATCATCCAAGGTCAGGAGTTTGAGACCAACCTGGCCAACATAGTGAAACCCTGTCTCTACTAAAAATACAAAAATTAGCCAGGCATGGTGGCGGACGCCTATAATTCCAGCTACTCAGGAGGCTGAGGCAGGAGAATCACTTGAATCTCGGAGGTGGAGGTAGCAATGAGCCAAGATTGCACCACTGCATTCCAGCCTGGGCAACAGAGGGAGGCTCTGTCTCCAAAAAACAAAAAAACAAACAAACAAATAAATAAATAAATAAATAAATAAATAAAAATAATAAAAATAAAATAAAATGAATGGATAGATCAGCATTTTGTGGAGGAGTGTTTGTCTTTCCTCTATGAAGAGCCAGCTCACTACAGGCACTGGAGACTCTATTGAGTAAGGGATTTACATTGTTTGGGATAGGTTTAGTTACAGATTACTTTGACAGGTTTTACAAATATGCAGAAATGATGTGAAGTTCATATTGGAGAAAATTAAACGACATAAACTCAAACTTTATAAAATGCAAAATGAATGGTATATGAAATGCTGGTTAAGTGAAAGGTATGCCATATCTTGAAGACATCTTGGAGTGAAAATTTTGAAAAAGGTCAGGGGATACAAGGAGCCAGCACATCAAACGCAGAATCTCAAAGGCTTGGCCACTTACCAGTTGTGTGACTTTGGAAAAGTTATTTAACTTTTCTCAGGCTTCTGTGTCCTTGTATGTACAATGGGCCTCCAAAGTCTTGTAGACTTGAAGTCAGAAATATATGAAATATATATATTTAGGTAACTAGTTAGATAGGTACCTCCCTCAGAGTCAGACATTACCGGAGGCATGTAATAAATATCAGATTCTTCACTTCCATTCACACCCACATGTGAATTGGGTGATGATATTTATTACCTGCCTCCAGTATGCCAACTGAATTTAGCTAAATCTTCCTCAAGAAAGTGACCTATCAGTAGATTCAGTGACGCAGCTACCAAGTTCCTATCTTCTGCCATCATTCTGAAGTCATGGATGGCTCTCTGCTGTTCACCATGTTTCTCATCCCCCATCCCAGTTTCCATAATTTAAACACCATACCGCATCTAGCGTATGGCTTATCATGTGAAAAAGCAAACTTTTCCTGTGGGTATCTAGGGGGTTGCCTGCCCAACTGGTAGACCCTTCCCCTCCTCCCAGATGCATGGCTATGCATTTTCTGGTATCGTCAACATCTGGGCCACAGTCAAGTCATCTGCAGAGGGCACCTGAGGCAATCCAGGCCAATCATCAGCATCACAACAGACTGTTCCATGGGTGGCCATCTGATCCTCCAGACTCGGCCTTCAGAATCTCTTCATAGAATTGTTTTTGAACTAGAACTCAGAGAATTTAAGAGGAGTCAGCCTTTCCTTTGTTGATACAGTCCGTTGGACCAATGGTGATGTTTCCTACCATGAGAAAAAGGCAGTCTGTAGTAAATATAAAAGACTGCTCAAAGAGCAGCAGATGACCGTGAAGGGTATGGCCTGGAAGCCTTGGAACCCCAATTCCAATTGTTCCTGAGGCCCAGCTGCATTCCAGCTCTTCTGTAGCTCAGTTCTTCAAACCTTTCATTTCCCCCAGCCCATCAACTCTTTGTTTTTGTTTAAGACTTTTCACGTTGGGTTTCTGTTATTTGTAATTATATTTAAAAAAAAAAAGAATTCAATTAAAATCCCTTTTTTTAAAAAAATATTTGAACATACCCTGAAATATTTAGAGTAAAATGATAGAAACTGCATTGAGTCAAAGCTTATGTGCATTAAGATGATTGAAACACATTTCCAAAAAGTCTTTCAGGCCAGGCACAGTGGCTCTTGTCTGTAATCCCAGCACTTCGGGAGGCTGAGGCGGGTGGATCACTTGAGGCTGGGAGTTAGAGACCAGCCTGGCCAACATGGCGAAAGCCCATCTCCACTGGAAAAAAAAAAATACAAAAATTAGTCAGGTGTGGTGGTGCACACCTGCAACCCTAGCTACTGGGGAGGCTCAGGCACACACAAGAATTGCTTGAACCCAGGAGGCAGAGGTTGCAGATCGCACCACTGCACTCCAGCCTGGGCAATAAAGTGTGATTCTGTTTAAAAAAAAAAGCTTTCAGGATAGTTTTATCAATTTCAACTTTCATTTACAATATATGAGAATTGAGAATGTCTGTTATCCACTCTTTCCTAACACTGGAATAAAAATAATTGTTGTGGCTAGTTTGATAGGTGAAAAATGCTATCTTGAATTTGTACTCATTCAGTTATAAATTCTAATAACATTTTTCATCTTTGTTGAATAGTCCAGTTGTGTCATTTGGTACACTTTACTATTAGTTTGTAAAAGGCACTTACACATAAAAATATTAAAACTTCGCTTGTCATATGTGCTGCAAATATTTCATGCAGTTTTGTTATCTGCATGGTTGCTGTGCTTTTCTACATAACAGTCAGTTGAAGGTCAAATAAAGAACTATAATTCCCATACCTTTTTCCAGAAATATTACTACAGTTGCTTTTTTAGTGAATTCTCCAAACCAATAATACCCACTGATTCTTAAGTATCATTGAATTATTTGAATATAATCAGAACATAATCAACACTTTCAAGTTTTCTTAACTATTCGAAACCTTAGATTTTATTTCATTTTCCACCCTTCCAGGGAAAAATGTTGCAGTTGTCCTTAAAGAGTTGACCATTTTTGCAGGGAGGAAAAGCTCAAGTACTATTAGCAGCTCTGCTCAATCTTGACATCTTGACATCTCTCCATCTTGTCAACTTTTGTTCCTTCTTTCTGGCAGGTCAATTTCCCGGTCCTTTCTTTTCTCCACTATAACTTAAGAAAGTCTTCTTCATATAGTTTACTCCTTAGATGTTAAAAAATCTGGCTGGGCACAGTGGCTCACATCTGTATTCCCAGCACATTGGGAGGCCAAAGCAGGTGGATCAATTGAGCCCAAGAGTTCAAGACCAGTCTGGGGAAAATGGCAAAATCCTGTCTCTACAAAAAATACAAAAATTAGCTGGGTGTAGTGGTGCACACCTGTAGTCCTAACTGCTTGGGAGGCTGAGGTGAGAGGCTTGATTGAGCCCAGGAAATCAAGGCTGCAGTGAGCTGAGATTGCACCAGTGCACTCCAGCTTTGATGACAGAGTGAGACCCAGTCTCAAAAAACCCAAAAAACAAAAAACGATTTAATCAATCCCAAGAAGTTACAGTTACAAGACTACTAAAGTAACAGAAAAAAAAATCTAAAATTTCTGCATATGGCTAGAAATGATTTTAAGTGACCCTGAAAGTCATTGTCGGTTTAATAAGAACTTGGAGGGAGATCAGAACCAGACATGTGACGAGAAGAGCTCTGGATGATGGATTTCTCTTTCAGTGCTGGGGAAAAAATGTCAACTAGACCTGAATTACGGGTAACCTGTGTATTAGTTATCTATTGCTGTAAAACAAATTACCTCAAAACTTAGTGGTTTAAAACAGCAAAAATTATCTCAGAATGTGAGTCAGAGATCCAGGAGCAGTTTAGCCAGGTGGTTGTGTTTCAGGGTTTCCAATGAACGTGCAGTGTGTGAGGTGGGTCTGGAGGCACCACTTCCAAGCTCGCTCACAGGGCAGTTGGCCAAGCCCAAGATCCTCATCACAGGAGACTCTCCTCAGGATGCTCACCACATGGCAGGTGGCTTCCCTAGAGTGAGTGACGGGAGGGGTAAGAGACAGCAAAGCCGAAACTGCAGTCTTTTATAATCTGGTATAACCTAATATACCATCACTTTTGCCACATCCCGCTGGTGACACAGCTCAATCCTGGTACAATGGAGGAGGGCTGCACACAGAGGTGAGTCTTTGGCAGCAAGGCGGGGTCTTTGGCAGCCATCTTCTTTTTTTTTTTTTTTTTTTTTTTGAGACTGAGTTTCGCTCTTGTCGCCCAGGCTGGAGTGCAGTAGCCTGATGGCGGCTCACTGCAACCTCCGCCTCCTGGGTTCAAGTGATTCTGCTGCCTCAGCCTCCCAAGTAGCTGGGATTATAGGCGCTCGCCACCACGCCCAGCTAATTTTTGTATTTTTAGTAGAGGTGGGTTTTCGCCATGTTGGCCAGGCTGGTCTCAAACTCCTGCCCTCAGGTGGCTCGGCCGCCTCGGCCTCCCAAAAAGTGCTAGGATTACACCGCACCCGGCCTAGCAGCCATCTTATAGGCTGGTGACTACAGCCCGTGGCCCAATTATTTTAGCTCTGTTTTCTCTTCTCTTAGATCTGCCTATCTTAATTCTCGGGATTCTGTCCAAGCCTTTCCTCCCCTCACTACATACTGTGAGGCCATCTCCTTCATCCCCACGGCAGTATTTCTATGGAGATACTGACAACTATCACCTCTGCCTAGACGTTCTTCTCATGGCTCCAGACTTAATTTTCACTTTCCTCCGAGACCTTTCATGTGTATGTCTCATGGTAAATGCCATTCCCCACACCTCACTTATCTCAGAGTATGACACTGCCAGCCATTCAGCTGCCCAAGCCAGACACCTGGACCTAATGCTTGACTTTAATACGGGTGGCCATACACATCTGATGGTTTGTGTATTTACCTAGACATTAAAATATGGTCTTTCTTAGAAAGCATTACAGTAAAAACAGAATTTGCCTTTTAAAAAACTTTATCTGCCCCCAATCTGCATTGTAAAAAGTTGTGCAACTTTTCTAACCAATCTGTTTGATCGTTATCACATTTTATATGACAACTTTTATACATATTAGTCGAGTAATGGTTCCAAGAACAAATATTCACTAAGAATTCAGTCTTAGCTTAAGAGGAAGGAATCGAGGGAAGACCTCATGCTTATTACTGCCTCTGTGCCCGCCACTGGCATTGCATGCTATTGTTATGTCCAAAGCAAGGATGGAAGGAGCAAGGGGTCAACTTTCCATTCTTACATCAATCATACCTCCCTGGACAGTGGAGGTTTCAGGAAAGATTTCTCAGGAACTACAGATGAATAGGATTATAGTTTTGCAACGTCCCGAAAAGATGATCTCACTTAAAACACTCATAGCTGCCCAATTCTCCTCTAGGGAGCCAATTATGCACTCATCTAAATAGCTATGAATCCTGCAGTGGCTCTGGCAGCCCTTGTTTTTCACAGGAAAGCAATTCAGACAGTAACTTAACTGGTCCAAGTTCTGTGATGAGATCTTAATTAAAACTCTACAGTCATCTCTCTGAATTCCCTAAGTTCTTGGCAATGGGGAGAGAGTCAGCCTTCTTTAATACATGTATGTGACACTGAGCCCTCAGGCCACATAATCAGACTGCCCTCAGACTTGAGCAACAGATTAAAATGGCTTTGTGCACCCAGAATTGTGGCAATCAAGATTTCAAGCAACCTGTGTCCTTTGCCTTGAAGCCCATCAATCTATTCTGTGAACGGGGCCTCCTGTTATCTTAGTGTAACTTTAACATGACTGTAAACAATTGTTTAACCACCATGGTTGGGCCTTTATGGGGTCATGAATCAAAACACACAAAAGTAATCAAGGAGAAGCTTCCCTTGTGGCCCATCTATCATACAAGAATGTACATGTTACAAAGTACTTGTTTTTAAGAAGAAAAAAAAAAAAAGAAAGAAAAGGAAAGGAAAGAAACCAGGCCAGAACAAAAAGCACCATGTTTCTAAAAAAAAAATTATCACAAAATTGTTTATGTTTTAAAAAGCTAACCACATTTTATTGAGGATTTTCACATCGATGTTCATCAGGGATATTGGCCTCAAATTTTCTTTTTTTTGTTGTGTCTCTGCCAGGTTTTGGTATCAGGATGATGCTGGCCTCATAAAATGAGTTAGGGAGGAGGAGTCCCTCTTTTTCTATTGTTTGGAATAGTTTCAGAAGGAATAGTACCAGCTCCTCTTTGTATCTCTGGTAGAATTCAGCTGTGAATCCATATTGTCCTGGCCTCAATTTCAGAACTTGTTATTGGTCTATTCAGGGATTCAACTTCTTCCTGGTTTGTCTTGGGAGGGTGTATGTGTCCAGGAGTTTATCCATTTCTTCTAGATTTTCTAGTTTATTTGCATAGAGGTGTTTATAGTATTCTCTGATGGTAGTTTGTATTTCTGTGGGATCAGTGGTGACATCCCCTTCATCATTTTTTATTGTGTCTATTTGATTCTTCTCTCTTTTCTTCTTTATTAGTCTGGCTAGCGGTCTATCTATTTTGTTGATCTTTTCAAGAAACCAGCTCCTGGATTCATTGCTTTTTTGAAGGGTTTTTTGTGTTTCTATCTCCTTCAGTTCTGCTCTGATCTTAGTTATTTCTTGTCTTCTGCTAGCTTTTGAATTTGTTTGCTCTTGCTTCTCTAGTTCTTTTAAGTGTGATGTTATGGTATCGATTTTAGATCTTTGCTGCTTTCTCCTGTGGGCATTTAGTGCTATAAATTTCCCTTCAAACACTGCTTTAGCTGTGTCCCCAAGATTCTGGTATGTTGTCTTTGTTCTCATTGGTTTTGAAGAACTTATTTATTTCTGCCTTAATTTCATTATTTACCCAGTAGTCATTCAGGAGCAGGTTGTTCAGTTTCCATGTAGTTGTGTGCTTTTGAGTGAGTTTCTTAATCCTGAGTTCTAATTTGATTGCACTGTGGTCTGAGAAACTGTTTATGATTTCCGTTCTTTTGCATTTGCCAAGGAGTGTTTTACTTCCAATTATGTGGTCAATTTTAGAATAAGTGTGATGTGGTGCTGAGAAGAATGTATATTCTGTTGATTTGGGGTGGAGAGTTCTGTAGATGTCTATTAGGTCCGCTTGGTCCAGAGCTGAGTTCAAGTCCTGAATATCGTTGTTAATTTTCTGTCTCATTGATCTAAGTTTGGAGGAGAAAAAAAATAAAACATGGATTGAGACGTCTCCAATCAGAAAATTTTAAAGATATTTTTGATGCTGCATGTTTTTTGTTGATGTTTTCATTACCATTGAAATATACAGTTGCTGGGTGCAGTGGCTCATGCCTGTAATCCCAGCACTTTGGGAGGCCGAGGCAGGCATATCACCTGAGGTCAGGAGTTCGAGACCAGTCTGGCCAATGTGGCAAAACCTCGTCTCTACTAATAGTACAAAAATTAGCTGGGCGTGGTAGTGCCTGTCTGTAGTCCCAGCTACTTGGGAGGCTGAGGCAGGAGAGTCGCTTGAACCCAAGAGTTGGAGGTTGCAGTGAGCTGAGATGGCACCACTGTACTCCAGCAGGGGCAAGAGAGAGAGACTGCATCTCAAAAAGCAAATAATAAAAATAAAATAAAATTATCTATATATATATATATCTCTATATATATATATCTCTCTCTACACACACACACACAGCTTTTTTTTTTTTTTGAGACAGAGTCTTGCTCTTGTTGCCCAGGCTGGAGTGCAATGGCGCAATCTTGGCTCACTGCAACCTCCATCTCCTGGGTTCAAGTGATTCTCCTGCCTCAGCATCCCAAGTAGCTGGGATTACAGACGCCCGCCACCATGCCTGGCTAATTTTTTGTATTTTTAGTACAGACCGGGTTTCACCATGTTGGCCAGGCTGGTCTTGAACTCTTGACCTCAGGTGATCCACCCACCTTGGCCTCCCAAAGTGATGGGATTACAGGCGTGAGCCACCGTGCCCAGTCAGCTTTTAACAATGCCTCTCATCTAAAGATTAGATGAGTCACATATAGCATCAAATTAAAAACCAAGTTTCGCAGGGCCAAGGACACACGGTCTGTATCAAAGCCCATGCCTTACTTTGTTTTTTTTTTTTTTTAAAGAAGTATGGATTTTTTTATTGGGCATAGTGAAAAAGTAATTTTCAATGACCGATTAGAAAAGATGCAGAGAACATATGGAAGTAGTATGTGGGAGACAATACAAAACAGGGAACCAAAAGAATATTCTAGATAGTGTTGTCATCCCAGTCCCTGAGGATGACAGCACATACTGACAGTGGACAGATGCTGAGACACCAGCTCTGGCATCAGAGCAAGCTTCTGTCATTGTCCCTTGATCAAGTCACTTAACCTCTGTGAATCTGATTCCTCATCTTCAAAATGAGAACAAAAACATAGATCCACAAACTCCTTTTCAATTCCAAAATAAAAAATTCAGAGGAAGCTAGAAGTTTCTTCGTGATGCATTTGGGGACAAAACCAACCTAAACGGAGTTGTATATGTTTATAGTCATTACCTACTCCACTGAACATGAACATTCAGACGCTTTGCCCCGGAAAGATGAATGTGCTTCATTATGGGGTGCTACTAAATGGGACATGTTTGGTGCACACACAATCTGCATTACTTGGCCGGGCGCGGTGGCTCAGGCCTGTAATCCCAGCACTTTGGGAGGCCAAGGTGGGCGGAACAGTTGAGGCCAGGAGTTCAAGACCAGTCTGGCCAACACAGTGAAACCCTGTCTCTACTAAAAATGGAAAAAATTAGCTGGGTGTGGTGGCAGGCGCCTGTAATCCCAGCTATTTGGGATTAAAGGTAGAAGAGAGTTCAATACATATGAACATTTTTCAATCAAAAAGCTTGTTTCAGTTTTTCAAGGAGTAAATATCAGTTTTCTAAAAAATTAACATGCAATTTTTCACTTCCTGAAAATGTTGGATGACAGAGGTAAATTATGATGTGACAATTGTCACCATGAAAATAAGAAAATTTTTTAACAATTTAAATAGATGAAACTTTGTAAGCTTGGACAACACCAGATTGCCTTATCTTATTCTCTCCTGCAGGTCTGAGGTCAGATTATAAATTTAATGAGTTCTAGAAACCTAGTGGTATGAAATATGAAAAAGACACCATAACGCTGTATTCTGTAATTTGTGCATGAGCAAATCTTTGGCAAGAAAAGTGCACACACACACGCACACACACACGCACACACTGCAAATGCTGTGTGCTGAAGTTGGAAGAGCTGAGCTGGAAGTCTGGTTGCTAAGTCTCCTGCTCGAAGTCTATGCTGCATACAAAGCAGGATGTCTGCAAAGCACAAGCCAACCACCTCACGCAGAGCCTCTCAAGGTAAATGCAAAGGTGACTCAAAAATGTGTAAGTCTACCCCTCAGGGATTGTAGTTAAATCCTTTCACTTTCTGTCAGCTTGAGTCACCACTAACCTTCTTATTAGGGGCACTTTATGCTTTGTTTTTAAGACCATCACTCAGGAACAAGTGTCTGCAAATCAAGGCCTTTGTTCTCAAAGTAACCTTTACAACCTTCTTGTGCCCAGGAGGCTGTTCTTGCCCATACTAAAACCTGGATTCCTACAGCTGCACAGGTGGTGGTGGGATAACCATCAGCGTGGAAACCATAACTTTGAATTTCCTGACTCAGCCATAAAACCTGAAATCACATTTCATTAACACTGATTGCCTACTCAGAGGAAACATGAAAGGGGCTATGAATCTCTGACGGAGATTTAAGAGCAAGGTTTAACGGTTGATTTCTTCAATTACTCCAGAAACAAAGTCTTGTTTTCACGTATCTGGGAAGGACCAGCTGACTTCTGAGAGGGATGCTTTATTCTCGGCAGTAACAGGCTTCTCTGCATTTGGTACATTATCCAAAGTTGACCCCTAACAGGTGTTTAAGTGAATAGGTATTTGTTTAAACTCAACTCTTCTAGGGCAAAGAGGCGTCCAACTGAAGTTCTTCAAGCAATGGGAAGTCATCTTAAGGAACAGTGCTTGCAGCACAGTGGTCCTGGAGTCTCACTCCTGCCCTTGTGGTGCCTCCTGCTAGTATCTCTCCCAGTCCCTGTGCTGCTGGGACGAGGAGGAAGGACACAAGCTTGGTCTGACAGTCTTCCTTCATGGAGCCCTCATGGTCACAATGCCTGCATTTCACCCTTGACTCAGTTCCCACCACTCATTCATTCTCCTGCAACTTCCCAGCCTCCTGAGAATAAAAAGTTCCCTAGCTCATCTCATACTTTCTGCCACATAAGATACAGCCAGGGTACCAAGTATGGTAGTTCCTCTTGGAAGAGGCAGGGGGGGTGTCTAGTGGAGACTGGGTAATGGCCAACTGCTCCGTAAGTCTAGGGAGAAATGCAGGGCCATCCAGAAACACTAGGGCATGAGTTTCGTTAGATCCTACCTAAACAGAGTCCCAAAATTCTGCTGCCTAAATTTTCAACAACTTAACTACTTCGTAAGTACCTTCGTGTGTGTATTTTGCTAGACCCAAGTCAAATATGACATTTATGTGAGTTTAAATCTTCTTCCAAAATAACCTTCCCAATGTTCTCATCACCCCGCAGGGTGAAGTTAATGGGCTCCCTGCAGCAGATGCCAAGGGTCGCGCATACAGGGGACATCTACTCACACGCGAGTGGGTATCTGCATTGTACGTACCACATTCAGTCCACAGTGGGAACACACAGCACAGGAACAAAGAAGACAATTTGTGATTGATTTCAAGAGTTGTCAAAAGGTTCTGTGATGCTGAAACCAGAAGCCAGTTAATTTGTGTGAAACTGAGAGACAAAGAGCAATGAAGTGTCTTGAATCCTTCATTTCGTGTTCCAACCTGCCATGCTGGACAGACAGTACAGAATTCTGGACCACAAGTCAGGAGCCTTGAGCTTGTACCCCCGGGAGATAACGGATTTGGGTAAACACCTTTCTCCTCCGATCCTTGGTGCTCTTGTGTGTAAATTCAGGATTCTAGCGTCCACCCTGGCTAGGCCTGCAGTGAGATCAAATGGGACAACTTTCATGAAAACACTTGTGCTCATCATTTTCCTCTGGACTAAAGGCAACCCTGTGGGAACTCTCTGCAGGCCAAATATCTGAAGTCTTAGCCGAGAATTTTCTTTCCCTGAGGACAGGTAAACTAGAGTCTCCTGTGAATTCCTTTCTGGGACCCACAAGATTCTATCACAGGCTGCCAAAAATGCAAACTAAACTGCTTGCAAGGTAAGAGTTCTATCTTGATAGCATTACTCTTAAAATGTTCTAATACATGAGAGGTTTTCTAATATGCTCAGGTCATCAAAAATAAGCCATTTTCATTGTTAGTTCTGAATGTAAGTTTCAACCAAAAGGCAGATAAATGCAATTAGCTCAAAAGAACAGGGGTCGTTATGAGCTGCTGCCACAGTGAGAAACTGTTGGGCGCAGGACCTTGGAGCTTGTTGAATGCCTCTTTGCAAGTTGCAGCAGCTGGTGGTTTTGGATATGAGCATCCAAGAATATCAAATAAATAATTTTTTTGGCACTGACATCTTCATAATTTTGTAATTGCTTACTCAACACTGGACACGGAATCTCAGAACAAATTTCCATAAAACTGTCAAAAATATCAATCAACAAATACCTTAAGTTGGACACTTTGCTTCTAGGACAGCACAACTGTAAAACTTTCCAGATTGAGGCATGTCTAGAAGTAGATAAGGTGACAGTTGAGGATATTTATAAGGCTAGCATGCGCACAGCACCTCTATCCAGAATACTACTTCTGGCTGAAGAACATCAATTTCCCCTGCTTTTGGCTGCAGGAACCCAGAATTACATGGTTGTGTGTGATGGTTTGAAACCAAGTTTTTGGATATCCCAAGGCTGTGTAATTTCCAACCACTTGCAGGTATTCTGAGGCTGCAGCTAAGGTTCCAACATACACTGTTTTAGGACAAAGCTGGATCTCTTGCACCTCAGACTATGAAGCCATATTGCTAAAGAGTGGCCCAAAGCGAGGTGTGTATCCATAAATACTCTAAGGACTTAGGTTCTGTCACTCTCCATTTGACCCGCCAATCTTAGGAAGGTCATGATGCTTTCCTTACTCTGGGTTTCCTTGTAGTGTCCTGAGAGTTCTGCTGTCTTCTCTCATTGAAACTAAGCTTTCCCTGGTTCAGGGAGATTCCCATCTTTGTTCTTCTTCAGACTCTGCAAGACTACATTTGAAGCAAAAACTATGGTAACCTAAAAACCAAGTTTAAGCAATTACTTTTAACATTATAATTACAACATCAAGAACATCAAGACTGTGCACATCAAGCCAGGGCTGAGCTTTATATATAGACCTAAAAATTTAATTTGGTAATACATTAGCAGTGAAAGGAAATAGATGCCCACTTGTCTAAAAAAGTTAAATCTATGCATTCATCTCAGTTTTTTATTCCATTCAACAGCCAATGTTTTGGATTTCTCTAAAGATAACTAAAGGCATCACAGACTTCACCCATCAGATACCCAAAAGGAATTCCAACCCCTTGAGACAGGCACGTTCCACCTTCTAGAGGTGCACTGTGCATGTGTCATACTTTTGTGCCAAAGCTATTTTACTCCAAAGCTCTCTCATCTTTTAAACATTTTTAATAACGTTACACAAGAATTAATGGAGGAATACTTTAAAAGTGGGAAGAACTTACATTTCTATGCTCACTACCCTCCTAATCTGCCCAATTCAGCAAAGATTACTACTATATATATATGCTACTACTATATATAGCTGGGCACTAGAGGAGAAAGTTCACACAATCCCTGCTGTCGGGAAGGGGATGCAGTGTCTCATGTGGGGAGGGGAATCCAAGCTCTCGGAGGCCAGGTGATGCTGCCGTCCAGACCCTGGGATTGCCACTCTATGAGGGATCACCAGCTTTTCCTCTCCAAAGCCACCCAGAGCTCAGATGTTATTAGGACAATGTGTGGTCCACTGTGTCGGTCCACATGGACAACTCTGCTCTGTGCCTTACCTAGATAATCACCTCCCTCTTACTCCAGACGCCCCCAGTCTTCCAGTGTGTACAGATATACTCGATGCATTAGTACCTTCCTCAGACTTGCTTTTCCCTTAGGGTTTCCAAATCTTTGGACCATATAGGTACACAAGCTGTGAAAAACCTGAGATAATGGGTAGGTGGCTAATATTGTATGTATATATTATATATACGTATATATATAAAATATGTAATATAAGCCAGTACAGTGCTCTGTACATAGCAGATATTGAAGATTATTCCTTCCCAGTCCAACATAAACTCCATCATCCTGTCTAGGGACACATCTTTGAAGATGATCACTTACCCCCATGTTTTTTATGGTTTTTAATTTTTCAGCCAGCCTTCAATGACTTGTGTGTCATCATTTGATGTAACAACGCACATGGTATCACAATGGAAGTGCGGCTTCCAGTCCAACTGATGAATACTGTACTTAACTCAGCAACCGAAGTATCTCTTATAGATGATCCCTCCAGACTACTGTGGGGCTTCCAATCCTCCTACTTAGTAGAACCTTAAAATGTCGGATTTTTGAGTCCCAGCACTTTAGAATTCTTAATTTAAACTCCTCTTTATACTGAATCTTCATACACCCAACCAGTAGCAGCCCAAGAAGCCTGGTGTAAAGACCTCAGTGTGTTATGCTAGAAATGCTTCCCAAATCCACATGGCTGGCAATGGTTTACATTGGCTAACTTAAAGCCCGTGTTGATGTGTCTAGTCCAATACGGTAGCCATTAGCCACATGTGGCTACTTGACACTTGAAATGTAGTTTGTGTGACTGGTAAATTAGATTTCTAGTTTTATTTAACTTTAATAAATTTAAAGAGCCACAAATGCCTAGGGTAACCATATTGAACAGCATAGCTCTAAAGCATCAAGGGTTTGAGGGACATGATAACCTTTTGGTAAGCAGTATTTTTATAAATCAAAGAGGTACTCAATAAATATTTAGCACCAACTGGTCACTGTTAACTTCTATCACCTACCTTTTCTAGCTCCTCTCAAGTAAAGACAAAACCAAAACAAAAACAGCAACAGTGAAAAAAACCCACATTACTTTAACAACAAAAAAAACCACTTTACTTTAACAACAATCTCCCTTGAAAAAACTAGGCATTTTTAATATATAGGAGTGGCACAGCCAAAGATAAAAAATAAACTAATGTCATCAAGACAAAGAATTAGAAAAATAAGCATACTAGAAGTTATTTATGTTTAATGCTTAAAAGTCTGAATTCACAAACAATCTACCATTATAGAAGTACTGGTGGTCAATACAATGCATTAGAACTATGTACAACGCACAGTTTAGTATCAAAATCTTTCTACACTGTAGAGTTTTACGAAACTGTTAATGACATCAAACACTAAGCACTTAAGACACCATTTTTTTTTTTCTGCTACCACATTAGGAACGTCAATGGACAGTCCATTTCAACTTGCAGCATCCATCCATTTCTAGTATGAAATTAAGTAATTTTCTACTTATACAATAAAGTATATCTACACGGTTCTTTTGATTTTGATCCATAGCAGCAAAGGCACTGTACATCAGCAGATCCACAGACTTAAAAGATTTTTAAAGCATTCAAACAAAAAATAATAAAAAAAGAAGTCACATATTATAGTTTAACAGCAACAACAACAACATAAAAGATAACACAATGTTTCTGGCACAATGGCACAGCCTGTGTCCATTTCAGGGACATCCAACTAAGACATGGAAAGAACCGGAGGTAAAGAAAGCAAGTCCTCATCCCAGGAGAGAGTCCATTCTTTGTGTTTTTCAGAGGGAGGTCTCTGCAAACCCTCCTCTGCTGTCCTTGTTTTGTAAAAGACTTAACTTGCACAGCAGTGGGAGTCCTCCCCATAACTGTGCAGCTCCCAAAGAGCATGCCACAAAATAACCCATAATTTCTCATAACAACAAAACTGACTAAAGATATATATATCTCCTTTTGCAAAGAAATGTGGCAAAAATATCCAGAAGGGAGTAAGTTCTCTCTTTGAGGCCAAATTTAATTTGTTCATCTGCCTATAATACAACAAAAAAAGGGAACTAAAAACATATTACAAAGACACTTGTCAACGAGTCAAAAAAAGAAAAAAAGTCCAATTACTTTTATCGAATATAATCTAAAGCTATAGATATATTGGTTAACGTTGTCTAAATAGATCCAAATGAGTATGAGTTGGCCTGTTGTGTTCTAATTGTTCAGCCAAATTTCCAAAAGTCTTTAAAAGATGTAGAAAACAAAAACAAAAAAAACCTAATAACAACACAGCAACATATTGCTTCCATGTGTAATTATACATTTCACATCTCTATACAGTCATCAGTCTACACTTAGTGACATTTTAAATCAATTATTTTAAACCTTCCTTTCCCCTCCTTTGCCAAAAAAAGGGGGGGAGGGGTATCAAATACAACGCACCTTCATTATCAATGCAGGAGCAGACAGCTTTATTTAGTCAGTCATTGTTAGAAAGCCTTCTTTAAACAAAATAAATATATTACAGATATAATACATAATTAAAGATTCTTTTCACTGTTAAGTATGCTTATTCCATGTTCTTCCAAGTAGACAGCTGAAGATTTGGTATCACAGGTTTTTAATGACTATTCACAATTCAATAGCAAGTGGGAAGTGAGGTTAAGAAAGGGGATTAAACTCCACAACTGCAATGAGTATCTGAAATCCTTGGTTTTAGATGCGGGGATGGGGGTGAACAAAAAGGATGACAGAGCAAAGTGCTACCAGGAGGAGAAGTCCAGTCTGCATGAAGATTTGTCTTTAATAAATAACTTCATAAACTGTGGCCTTCTTATCCCCAGAGCCAGTGACAATGTATTTGTCGTCCACGGAGATGTCACAGCTAAGCACCGATGAGGATTCTTTGGACTAGGAAAGAAACATATAATCAAAAATGTTAAATACTGAAAGAAAATCCCATGAGTATGGAGGACTTAGAGCAAATGCAAATGTAATGTGCTCCTTGACCAAACAGAAAGCCCAGTCAAGGAAAGGTGAAAGGTGGTCATGGACAGTACTGCTGCTTTTTTTTTTTTTTTTTTTTTTTTTTTTTTTTAATAAGACAGGGTCTCCCTCAGTCACTCAGGCTGCAGTGCAGTGGTGTGACCATGGCTCACTGTAGCCTCGACCTTCTGAGCTCAAGCAATCCTTCCACCTCAGTCTCCTGAGATGCTGGGACTACGACACTGATGTGTCCAATCACACCTAATTTTCAAACTTTTTTTGTAGAGAGAGGGTCTCACTAAGTTGCCCAGGCTGGTCTCGAACTCCTGGGCTCAAGAGATCCTCTTGCCTTGGCCTCCCAAATTATGCCTGAGATTACAGGCATGAGCCACCACGTGGCACTTTCTTAAAATGGCAGAGGTGGATCGGATCCACCCTTGGCGACACCTCACCAGGTCAGTCAGGAGGCTTCTGTCCTGGGGACATCAGCTAGGCAGGCAAGCCAATGGCATGAGCACCTCTGCTGGCAAAGCAAGACCTTATTTCAAACCCTATTCTACCATTAAGACGGGGTGTTACTGGTATGAAAAACCCTCAACTTCAAACAGATGGCTTGGAGTCAGGTTGAGCTGTGGAACACGGCACAGGTCACTTAACCTGTCTGCACCTCAGTTTCCTTACAATAGCAAACAGGTAGACATTTTACCTGTCTACCACCTCAGAGGGATGCAGCAGAGTTCAGTGAGATCAGATATGAGAAATGGCACTGAGAATACATTAAAAAAAAAAAAAGAATGTAAAAATATTCCTAGTAAAAAGCCTAATGTTCCCACTGTAAAAATGTGACACAAATTTGCGAGAGGGGAGAGGTTCAACAGTTAAAAACATACCATAGAATTTTGTATACCATATTCAACTGTAGTATGAAGGATTCAATGTTAACTTTTAACTAAACTGTGCTCATTTAAAATGAAAACAACACAGGATTTTAACCAGGACTCTGAATACTTTAAACACTTAAAGACATAGTACTTATGCTTACTATAAAAAATGTACTACTCTTTTTTTAAAGTGCAGTTGGGACTATCTAACAAGTGATAATCCATGTTATGAAAAATGCTCTATTAAATTCTAAGCTTCATGACTGCAACAATTGGCGTTTTTTGTCCTACTGATTATCTTGCATACTATTTTGGATTCGATGGAATTAATCTACTTTATGATAATACCACTTGGTCAAGAAAACTGCAAGTCTATTATATTGCTTGTAAAAAAGAACACTAGGAAATAACATCCTAAATATAGAAGGTTAATAAAGGCAAGTCTTTCACCTTGCCTATGAAATTCTCACATACCAGTAGGAGAGAGGAGGAGAGCGTGTGTGTGCACGCGTGCATATATGTGTACTATGTCTACAATTTGGTCCTTCTACAAATAATTTCACAAGCTATACAAAGTTCCACTGAGTCAATAGGGAAAATAAAAGTTTATAAAACTGATTTTTATCAAACTTTTCCATAACACTCTTCTTTGGAAAAAATAAAATAAAAAAACTACTACTACTAACAAGAGTGTATTTAAGCAAAATGCTCAAGTTTTAAAATTAAAAATTACAAAAGACATACATGTATAAAATTCTCAGAAGACATAAAACCTCTACTCCAAAAAGGGATTGATGATGAAGCAACAGTGAGCACTGAATCAGGCACAGCACTGGCTCTGAGCTCAGAACACTGGGGACTATCCCCAGCTCCACGGCTTTGCTGTGACACTTAACCTCTCCTTGGACACAGTTTCCTTCTCTGTACAATGTGCATAATACTAGCTCTGACCTCCCAGGACACTTCTGCACATTATTAATCTGAGAGAATGCACAGAGAGTTTGATTAAACAAACATAAGTGGTAGTTAACAAGTTCCATGTTACCTGGAATATACTGGCCCCATAAGGTGTTCTCCAGGCATTCAGAAGGTTGTCCTTTCCAGTGCTTACAAACCATTTGCCTATAGGTAAAGGGTTTTGAAAAAGGCAATGTTTGTGTTACTCTGTCAGACACCAAGATTTGCTTTATAGAACACCAAACTATTAACAGAAAACTCATCCATTTGTAAAAAATAACTTTCACTTCAAAAATAAAGCCTATCTTTCTGGATTTAATCGAGTCACTAATCCTTAAGGTTAAAGTGGATTAATGCCAGAAAATTACATGGTGTTGGGGAAGCAGGCATGTATCAGGAAGTAATAGAATTCTGAAGAGGGGCATGGTAATGAACTCAAGGATTCGACTTGGAAATAAAAACACAGGAAGGGGGAAGGAGCAATTCTGGTTGACAGAAAATGGACAAAAGGTGCTTGCTTACCACAATGGGCAAACTTGAGCGACAGCACACAGCTCTCATGAAGATGTAGTTGGTATTTGTCTGGCTTGGTGACATGCAAAACTTCCACATTGCTGTTCTCCATCCCCACTGCAAGCCACTCTCCAGTTGGGCAGTAGCCCAGAGAAAAGATCTAGAATTAAAACAGGTGATGGTGACAGTGGCCACAGTGGACACGCTTCTTTTATCTGGGAGGTACTATCTCTTCTGTAGATACTACTTAAATTATGAAGAAAATCAAGATAATTTGAATTGTACAGGGGAGAACCAAAGTCAAATGGGCGATTTCAAAGTAATGAGACTTCAAAGTGGTTAATCCAGAGTCAAAAGTGACATCATCACACGGTAAGTGAACTGCCTCTTCTTTCAGTAGGTGATATGTTTCATAAAACCGTATCATTTTTGTTTTTTTTTGTTTTTCAGACAGAGTCTTGCTCTGTCGCCAGGCTGCAGTGCAGTGGCAAAATCTCAGCTCAGTGCAACCACTGCCTCCCGCATTCAAGCGATTCTCCTGCCACAGCCTCCTAAGTAGCTGGGACTACAGGCACATGCCACCATGCCCAGCTAATTTTTGTACTTTTAGTAGAGATGGGGTTTCACCATGTTGGCCAGGATGGTCTCGATTCCCTGACCTGGTGATCCGCCCACCTCAGCCTAAAACCGTATCTTTAAAATGCCTCAGCCACGGATCATACCTGGGAGGTGAAGTCGTGCTGCTGCAGCTGCCGCCCCTCGCGCAGGTCCCAGGACCTGACCGTGTTGTCCAAACCACCTGTCCAGAGCTTGGTGCCATCATTAGAAATGTCAATACAGCTGGCTCCATCTGTGTGGCCCTGGAATTGCCTGAAAATGTCAAAATGGAGGGAAAGCCCTTGAAAAGTTAGCTTTTAGTTAAAATCAATTTAGAATTCCTTGATGATTCAATTTCAATGCAGGCCTTATTTGTAGATTTCATTTTGGTTTATTATGGTTTCTAATTATTCAAAGTAATAACAAAGCATATACAAAGAGATGCCACATGTCCTGTACTTTTTGCTTGGTTTTGAATACTTAGGAATTCCTCAAATTACTTTTTCATGAAAACATGACTGATATTACTAATGGGAAAAAAATCTCTGAAATTAACAAAAGAAAACACGCCTACACATATATGCACTAACTAAAGATATATTCTGAGACCTATTCTATTACTGTGGTATGAGGGAGAGAGAATTTAATTTTCCCTTTAAAGAAGGACTGGGGATGGCACAGGGAGCGACAGGACCAGTCCTGCCAGTGAGCAGCAATGTGTCTGTGGGTGGCTGTGCAAGACGGAAGGCGAGGCTCTCAAGTAAGGCACCTGGAAAGACACTCAGTGTGAACTACTGGCCCAGGAATCACTCATGGCAAAACGTACCAAGGTCACCAGGAGAAAACAGGGTTAGAAGCAGCTTCTCATAAGAGGCTGCCTGATAAGCAATGAAAGTGATGATTTGTTTTGGGATCTATAGGTTTCAGTACTTTGAAATAACAGATAGTAAAGCCTTCTTCTTTTACACACCTGACTTGTAGCTACCTCTGGTTACAACCTTTTCATACCTGTAGCTGATCATTCTACTTGCTTGCTAATCTCTTAGGGTATTGACACCTAGAAAATCATTTCAGAGCTTTTCCCATCTACCAACACCAATCTTTTATAATCTCATTTGTAAAGTTATATCTATCCAACCTCAAAGGTGGGACAACAGATAATCTAGACCATTTCAGAGTGAGTTGCACCCAATACAGTGCATAGGCCCATGGGAGTTGCTAAATATCTGCTGAAGGAATGAACCTGTTAGATGTGTATGGCACTCAAGACAGTACCATACACTGTGAATCTTCTCAGTGAGGCTCTATCAACAATAATCGTTTGTTAGCAAGCACAGATGGCAAATTACAGATGTCCATGGAGCTCATGGGGTCATGGAAACTTTATGTACATTAATTATGTCAAATTGACCTCATTTTATTAAAACAAATTGGCGATGCTTTAGTATAAGTCAAGGAAGGAAAAAAGACCTCATTTTATGAAGTTCAAGTACTACAGAAAACAAGATTTTCACACTGATAATTTATTTTTAACATCTTAAAATGGACCTGTTCTGAACAATTTTTAGTAAGATAATTATATCACTTTACACACACACACACACACACACACACACACACACACACACACACACACCCATACCTATATACACAGCACTTTGGCAAAATATGGTAAAATCGGCTCCTCCTCACAACCTGGTAACAGATCCTGCTAACCTACCTCACCAAGGTCTGGTTGTGCAGATCCCACACAGCGATGTTGCCGTCGCTGCAGCATGAGAAGCAGACCTTGGAATCGGGGCTGATGGCCAGGGCATAGCAGGCGGGGGCCGAGGATGTCAGCTCTGCCTTGATGCGTGGGGTTGGAGCCGCCAGGTCCCAAATGGACAAAGTACTGGCTTCCCCTCCAACAATTAGGGTGCGACCATCAGGGAGCAATCTGCAGGAACGGATGTAGTTATCCCTGTTCTGTAGAGACAAAAACCATCAAGAGATTACTCATGAGGAAAGGAAAACAGCATTAACATGAGAGCAGAAATCCATAAAAGTATTGTGTTCCCTCCTGGTTTAATGAGCCGTTTATACTTATGACAATGATAAAGTGGATTAATGCTAGAAAATTACATGAAATTAGGGAAGTACTTAAAGTTGATCTACAAAATGTAGTACTGAGATATTTAATCTTAATTAGCATCAAAATGCAAAGCTCTAGACCCACTCCCACCACCACCAAATTAACCAACTGCTTGCATCATTTGCACACACAGATACACACGTACACTAATGCAGGAGCTCTCACAGTCTTGGAGTATCCAAACTTGGAACCTTGGTAGACTCAGGCTCAGTTCTGCTGTTGAAAGGTCCTGCTACTGATGTCAAGAAAGTTTCAGGGGGTAGATCCCTGGCAGTCTGTTCCTTTTGCCTGGGCCTGCATTACGTGACTAAAGGGCATCATGCATTTGATGAAAGCTGCACCAGAGGCAAGACTTGATCATGGAGTGTTAAGTTACAGAAAAAAAAAGTTCCTCCTAGCTCATGAGGTTACGGGAATCTTATGTATATTTAATTATGTTCAACTGATGTAGCCTCATGCTATAGCAAAAATTCTACTAAACTGACATTTCCTAAGGAACTCAAGGGAAAAGGCCAATGAAGCAGCTGAGGGGCTATCTAGTATTTGCCACATGAGGCAGTAAGTTACTCTTTACATGTGACAGATGATATTTAGGTGCACACTCATAGTCACTGTATGGGCTCTTAGTTTGCTTAACCATCAGAGAGGAAAACAAGCGGTTTGCCTTTTCCCATGGGAGGCAGAGTTAATGAAATCAGTATGGTGCACATGCCACACATGAAGAACTAGATCACTGTGTGTCTAGGAAGCAAAAGACACACCTCCAAGTGAAAGATCGCAGTCCCCTGAAGAGCAACTATCCACCTGGGATCAATACTGTGTGGTGTTGCTCATACATACAGTTCTCTCATCAGCCCCTCCTGTTTTCTGAATGAAAGTCTAAGTCTTGTTCATCCATGTTCACTCACCAGACAGTCGAGCTGGGAGACAGGACTCTTATTGCCTGGGTGGCTGATGTCCCAGACCTTGACGCAGCCCTTCCCACCCGTGTACACGTGTCTCGTGGGGTTGCTGATGGTCACCGCGCACACCACCTCCCCGTGGTTGAGGGTGTTGATCTGGCGAGCATGCCGGGGGATTCCAGGTCCGATGAGGGCGTCGGGTGGAAAAGGGACAGGCTGCATCTGACCATCTGCGCTAACATGGAAGGAGTATGCTCTAAGGCAATGGAGAGGAAAAAAGAAAGAGGGGAATGTAAAAAAATGTCACTTAACTGTTCAGTGTAATGAGATGAGAAATAAAACACCTTCAGTGCCACTTGTGATTTACGAACAAATCGAATTTGTCCATACAGTGTAAAGAACATAATTTCCAGAATCATACAGCTAGGCTGCTACAGGGCCAGATCTCAGGCTGACTCTGTACAAGCTGCTGTGGGACATCAGTAGTTACTTAGAATCTCTAAACTAGAACAGCAGTTCTAGTCTCTAAAATGAAGAGAACACTACCTATACCTCACAGAATTAAATGAGATAACCACCGTCAAGTGCAGTAGCCACCTTTCAGGGATGCCCTATAAACCTGCATTGCCTTCTCCTTTGGATGAATCAGAGGCCTGTGATGAGACCTCGCCTATAGATCAATTCATTCCCGGCAAGGGACTTACTAAGGGAGATGAGTAGGCCAAAATCAGGAAGCTTTAAGGAGTTAAGAGCCTCTAGGCTTAGACGTTGAAATGACAGATGTGCCAAAAAAAAAAAGATAAAGCCCTATTTTAAAACCTTGATCAGACTTGACAATCACAAATCCTAGTCAATCCAAATGGAATGAGAACCTAAAAAGGCATCCTGACAGCCCCAAAGGCCTACCTGTGAGTATCTCTTGGCAGTTCCATCTCCAGTTCATTTCCAGGGAAAGCCCTCAGGTGGTAAAAGCATTTGGTCCTAAAATGCAACTTAAGTAAGAGCGTCTCCCCCAACAGACTCATTTTTATTTTTAGGGCACTGAAGTCAGGAAGGGACGAGTGAGGCTGTTGTGACGCATGTTAGGTTTCTGGAAGCAGAAGACGCCAGTGGCAGGCAGGAGGCAGCTGGGCCTATCTTGGGGACTATCATAGGCAACAGCCCATTTTGGAAAAGATGCTACTCTACTTGGGCACGGAGCTTGGGAATCTGCTCTGCTTACAGAAAATAGTTTACAAAAGACATACCAAGGGAAAGCATTGTGGGTGCGTAAAGGACAGGAAGCTGGACCAAACTGCGGAAGTTGTAGAATTAAATTAAAACAGTTTATCGTTCCTTAATGCAAAAATTTACAGGCTGGCCATGTTCATCAAAATTCAGTCCATTATTGAATGGTCCTCAACTACCTGAATGCTCCCAGAAAAAATGACGCATGCATTGTGGCTGTGGAAGATGAGGGCACTAGACAGTGGCGGGCTTTTACTTCCTCCACAGACTACAGAGCGTTGTAGAAGAACATAGTATGTGAGACTTGCTGGAGGGGAAGGAGGTGGGAAGCTAGGAAGCCAATGGACAGAAGACATTTCTTGCATCAAATCAACAGGACTTGGAGATACACTGGATGTGTGACCTGAGAGAGAGATGCTGAAGAGGACCCTAGGGCTAAGAACCTGGGTGACTAGGTAGACTGCATTACCTAGTAAAGATGACAGGAAAGCATAACTCAAGGGTACACCTATGGGGAGGTGAAGGAATTGGTTTTCTTGAACTTCAGGGCAGAAATCCAAACAGCTGTGATTCAGGAGAGAGGTCAGGTTAGATATCATCCATAAAGAAGTGATGGCTGAAGCTAAGGGGACGGAAAGAAGAATCCCAGAGCAGATTATGCAGTGAAAAGCAGACCAGATACAGAATCCCAAAGAATGTGGACATTTAAGGAATCTCCGGCCAGAGTAGTTATGGAAGTAGATTATTAGCAGAGATAATAAAATAGAAAGGGGGAGAAGATGTTCAATCACATGACAATTTACTAAGATTCATTCACTTAACACATATTTCTTGAGTATGCCAGTGTGCCAAGCATTATGGTAAGAATGGAATAAGAAAGAAATGCACACACCTTGTTCTCCTGAAATTACAGCCTGAGGGGCACATTCATTAGTGAGATATGCACATAAGTAACTATCAAAATGTCAGATGGTCAGTGCAGTGAACAATGCATGGTAGTCTAGGAATTTAACAGAGTGAAAAGGACAGAGAAAATGGCAATAGGGCTGCAACATAAAGAATGGGTACGAATTGTCTGAAGACAGTATGATGATTAGGAATATGGCAAATTCGAAGGCCAGAGCAAGAAAGCGTGCTAATTATTCATTTATTCAGCAAATACTTCCTAAATGCCTCGTATGTTCCAGTTACCATCAGGTGCTGGGGAATCAGGTGAACAATACTGACAAAGTCCCTATCCTTCCACTAGTCTACATCCTAGAGAGGAAAACAGGTAACAGATAAACATAAATACCTGATAAACACCTCAGACAGTGGAAAATACCATTAAATATACACACACATTTTCAGATAAAAGAGAGTAGGGGAGCACACAGTGGCAGTCAGGTGGCCCTCTCTGAAGAGGCAGCATATGCGCGGAGAGCTGAAGGAATGACACAGGCCTTACAAATAAGTAATGGGGAACGTGCCAGGCAGAGGGAACAACAAATGCAAAGGCCTTGAGACCAGAACGAAGCAAGGAGGCCAGAGTGCATTCGGTGGAGAGCATATAGGATATAAGAGTGAAGGGACAGGCAAGGCCAAACTAAAAAGGGCCATATAGGCTGTGATGAGTACAGATATGATTCTGGAGACTTGTGCAAAAAAAGTGACATGATTCAGTTAACGTCTTCAAATGATCTTCTGATTGCTGGGTGAAGAATGGAGTGTAGGTGGCAAAACGAAAGACAACTAGTCTGGGGACTACACAGTAATCTAGAGGAGAAGCAGTGGCTAGAGCCTGGGAGATAGTGGTAAGTTGGAAATAGAACGTGGAGCACTCTGGCTGACTGGAGCCACAGTAGGTTGTACTGGATGGGACGCTTAGAATCTGGAGGTGACACAGGGGTGATGATAAGCTCTTCTTTGTGAACCTGTAAATACAGGTAACTGAAGGTGAGGAGGGCAGATGTTCACTAGAGATGAGGGGGTCCAAGACCATGATGAAGATACTGGGGGGTTGTCTTTGTAGATACCAGAGTCAACCAGGATTATGGCAGCCTCTGGGTAGTGGAAGACTCTCAGCCATGTATCAAGTCTTTAATACACTGGGGAAATACTCCCAACAAGGTGGAAGAGGGGGTAGTCCAATGGCACGAGCCTGAAAGGAGCAAGGTTTTCACCAACAGGTAGAAAAGTTCTGTTCATGGAGAGGCTGGAGAAGGGGTGGCAACCACAGCTGTTATTAACCCCACCGCTGGTGCTGAGGTCAGTGAATGAAATGGAAAGGTCACCCTGTATAGGGCTGCAAGTGAAGGGATGATCTCAGGAGACGGCCAGATTTCAGTTCAGACAAGGAGAAGGTGGCAGTAACGCTTGTGAAAGGCTGAGGTTCTGAGGGATGATGGCCGAGAAAAAGGCTAATTGATTTAGCAATTAGGAGGTCATGAAGACTAAATCTTAAAGGAAGAGAAAGAAAGATTATTCCAAGTTTAGATGGTGTTATACATTCTTAATGATAATTTATTAGAAAAGCCATCTCATTCTCTAGTCTAGAATCACTAAATGGTTATTAAAGAGCACTGAGATTTCAAATAGTTAAGAAACCAGGCACACAATTTCCTTCAAGGCCTTCAACAGGACAGCCTTCACCTCAACAACAACCACTCTGTGAGCACCTACTATGTTCCTGGCAAGAGTCCTTTCAAAGAGTCCAAATGAATTCCAAGAGCCTGCTTTCATTAATGACATTAATGTGGCCCTCTGTTTGCTATTAGTATACATAGAAGGCACTCAGAACTGGAAATAATAAAGCTCTAGTACATACTTATTATCAGATTTCGATAAACTCTTTGACTGTAACTAGCAAATACTCCTGGAAGGTATGAGGGAAGTCAACATTGCTAGGAATCAGAGAAACCGAGGCGCAAAGGGCTACTCTGTTTCTAACTAATTTAATGCACAATGTGTTAAGTACCTCCCATCCATATACTCTGACGCAAACGTCATGCTAAGGATACAAAACTAGGTAATGCACCTGGTCTTGCCCACAAGTGACTAACAATCTAGTTAGCATGATGAGAGAAAAGTACAGAAATGACAATATCAGGTCACATTCTAATGGAAAGTATTCTGAAGTGTTTTGAAAAGGAAAGAAAGTTTATGTTGGATGAGAGACAGACATGGTAATAGAGATGGGTTTTTAAAGAATGAAAAGATACCATCGAGTAAAGAGAAAGATGGAAAAAATATTCCAGATAGCAAGAATAGCAGAGAGCAAAAGTTCCAAAAGGATGAGGTAAAATGAGCTGGGAAATCCTTGAATTGGTTTTAATCCAGGAATTCATTCAATAATAACTACACAGTAGGTGGATGGAGGAACTGGCCAAGCATAGTCTGAAAAAACATACCAGATCTATATCTCTATATAATTAAAATCAATGTAATGCTATAAAAGGGAAGGACCAGAATGCCAGCCTGAGACCTTCCCAGAATTGACTGAAGAGATTTTTGAGGGATAAAGGGAGTGTGCCATTACTGGGCAAAGCTATTCATAAAATAAACTTGGTAGCAAGGAGTAGGATGGACAGGAGGAATTAAAAACAATTATTCCTGTTGGGCGCGGTAGCTCAGGCCTGTAATCCCAGCACTTTGGGAGGCCGAGGGGAATGGATCACTTGAGGTCAGGAGTTCGGAGACCAGTCAGTGAAACCTCATGTCTACTAAAAATACATAAAAATTAGCCAGGTGTGGTGGCGCATGTGCCTGTAATCCCAGCTACTTGGGAGGCCGAGGCATGTGAATCATTTGAACCCAGGAGGCAGAGGTTGCAGTGAGCTGAGATTGAGCCACTACACTCCAGCGTGGGTGACAGACCGAGACTCTCTCTCAAACAACAACAACAACAACAACAACAACAAACAACAACAATTATTCCAACAATTTAAGTAAGAGGTACTGGGGGTCCTGAACCAGGCAAGGGCAAGGATGACAAGTTAGAAGGTACAATGGATATAAAATCCTGTAGGACTAAATTGACGAGATCTGAGGAGGAGCTAGAGTAACTGAGTTTCTGAGCTCAGGAAAAAAGAAACATGGTACTTGTAGTTAACAAAAAAAGGGCAAACTGGGAAGAGGACCTAATTTACAAAAGTACTTTCTGAATATAATGAATTTGTGGTGCAAGTAACATACACCCAAGATCCCTAGCTAAGATGCCCAACAAATAACTAGAAATACAGGGCTGGAGGGAGAGGGTGCAGGGAGTCAGAGAAATAGAGTGACCTGACCTCCTCTCAACACGAACACACACACCACAGGTTAAGCTGCTACGAGCAGAGTGGCTCTCCAACAAACATGGCGATGAGAATAAGAGACAGTTGAAGAAAATGCTAGGCTTGGACTCTCTGACATAACTACACTTTAAACAATCCAGACACATGCAATTTGCTTTTTTAAAAACATGTGTGTCAAACTTGTTATATATGGATTATCATCTTGACAAAGACCCAGCATATTTAAAGAAGGTCACTGGCTTTCCCACCTTCCCCTCATTCTCCTCTCTGAGGCCCAGTTCTGTTATGCTGTGCTCATCTCTCACGCGCACAGTACCTTCTCCACATTTCCAATGTGTCACAAGATGGGCTTCGACCTTGAGGTCACAATGAGAGGTCTGGTTATTGTATTTTACATTGAAATACGATAGAAAATTCTGTTCTAAGTAGCATACAGACCAGTGAGTTAGCCAACAAATACTCGTTGAAGGTTTTTACTATGTATCAGGCATTATTCTCATTTGAAAATCTTGCTTTATAAAAATAAATCAATGCAAAAGAGTCAGATTTCTGAATTGTGAGCAGCCTATAATCCACTAACGTGAGATCTTTTATTTTTGCTGTGTTCACATGTCACATCTCATACAATTAGTACCGTGATGTTAATCAAATAGTTATACACTAGCCATAGAAGTCTCATTTGAGTAGCAGGTGAAGGAGAAGGGCCATTTTTGGCTTATGTTGAAATTAAACTATGCTGTTATTCCAACTACATATGAAGTAGAACCTCTGCTAATTCACCTGAGCAGACAAGAGGATTCAATGTGAATTATACAATAAACACCATTTTATTAATTTGGAACATGCATTTAATTATAATTTCTGATCATATCTAGCAATTCATTGTGTGAAATAATTAGAACAGAGACACATAACTTTTATAAGTCTTTCTGGAGAAAGGTAGTTACATTGTGGGTATGTATGGTGGAGGAAGACTTTAGGTGATTTTTTATTTTATTTTCTAGCACACTTAAAAAAGTTTTGTCTTGAAAAATATGCACAAGACAACATTGCACAATTCAGTATCTTATGATCTGGAGAGCCACATAACTGTTATATTCATTTCTGCTGTAAAAATCTATAATAAAAGTATATTATCTCTGTATGCATATAAGTGAATGTAACTTTATACGTCTTCATGCTCTGTTACATAAAGACACACCAATGACCCATCTTCTTGGGTCACTTCTGCCCCTAAAACACAATGTACCTCCTACTACATAAGTAGCTGAAAAATGAATAATATGCTGGGACAAAGCTGAAAGGGAAATAATGCTGGGGTTGACTAAACAGCCACCATGTAACAAATGTGGCACTGAATGAACACACAACATATTATCTTACTTCCTATCTTCACATCCTTCTTGTTGAGGAGGGGCCATCCCTGATTCATGAATGAGCTGATTGAAGCTCACAAAGAAATTGTGCATAAAGCCACTCTTCTCAGTGGTTCAACTGGCAGAGTCTAAATTCAAACTTGGATCTGTCACACTCCCAAAACCATACTCTGTTGACTGCACCACATGCTTTTTAGTAGTGTCATTTTCCTGGTAAAGTGTCATTTGCCAACTGCAGTAGATGTGACTCTGTCACTCTCATAAACAAAAATTCTCAACAATCCTCCAATCCATTAACCCACCCTAAAGGATCTTAAACATTTAAACATTTTATAACATCGAAAGTTAAAACTGATGAAGGGAAGTCAGCCCAAGACTCAGAAGCACCATCTGAGTCAGAGCAGCTGTGATTCCACAGTGGTTTAACTGGTCCAAATCCCTTAGCCAAGGTGTTTCCTTAAAGACACTTACACCCCTTGCCCCTCGAAGCAGCAGCTGAGGCAAGAAGCATCATCTCATTTGCTCTAGTGGTTATGCTGTAGCTCTGGGTACAACTGTTGGTTACCTAAGAAGTAACCAAAAAAAAGGGATAGTACTTCTTCCCTAAAGGAACCCTTCCACTTTCCCCACAAGTTCATATGGAACTTGTAGGTATCTGAGTCATTATTTGATTAATTGTATAACCTTGTTATTTAGCATTGCTTGAAATAGACCCAACTTTCACCTTCAAATACATCAAAGTTTCTTGGTCAATAAGACTTGTTAGTCAACAACTATTTGCAAAACACACACAGGTACACAGAATTTTATGGTAATTGATATTTATACCTTCAACTCTTGAGGAACTCTAATTTGTCTTTTCTCCCCTATTAATCAGCCAAATATTTACCAAGCAACTTGGCTGTGGAGCCAGCACTGTGCTTGATACAACAAAGGAAGGTTAGGATAGAGTCTGTAGAGAAGTATTAATATGCTACAAAAGGAAGAACTGAGATTTGGATTCCTCAGATGGAAAGTAAAGAAAGGGTCTAGGTTAGGCAACACTGAAGGGATGTGGGGAGAAGAGGGCACGCAATTAACACCAGGGTGAAAACTAAGTGCCCGAGTGTGTGGGAGTGAATAAACAAGCAATGGGAGGTCCGAGAAGAAAGAAATCAGCACATATCCATTCCCTGAATAAATCCATACCGTGAGCACCACTATGAACCAGGTACCATTCTAGGCAGTGAGACTGCTTCTATAACTGAATAGCAGAAAGTTCTGTTCTGTTTTCATGGAACTTATAGTCAAGAGGGAGAGGCAGATAATGGCTATAAAAAAGCATTAAAAAGGTAGTAGAAGAGGAAAGAATAGGGAGGAAGGGAAAGAGGGATAATAGGGTTGTCAGGGCAGAACGCTCTGACATAATGACATCTTAGATAACTAAATGAGACACTAAGCCACAGAAAGTTTTGCAGGAAGAAGGACAGTAAGGACAAAATACCTCAAGGCAGGCAAGCTACCAGGGAAGCCTCTGGGAGAAGGCGCCTTGAGCTGCTACTGAGGGTCAGGTCTGGATAGCCCTGGAGACTGGGGAGGCAGCACATACACGGCATGTGTAGTGACAGAGGGGATGCCCACAGAAAGAGTGATGAGAAAAATGCACACACACAGGTGACTAACAAGGCAAGGAGGATCTGCGGGGGAGGCTTCCCAAAGGAGAAGCGAGAGAAAGCAGCCAGCTGGGATTTTAAAGAAACAGCCAGTGCTACTTTATAGTAAAATCTTTGTTTCTGGGAAGATGAAGCCAATTAGCAGAGACAACTGTGATTAGGTAGTAATAAAAAGGTGCATTAGATTAAAATAAAGTATTTGGAATGAGATCCGTTCAGAGAAGGCTAGAACAACTGGTGTGTTGTGTTTTGTCTTTCCTAACTCAAGGAATCTGTGAATACAGAGGCTCCAGATGCCCAGAGCACGGTATAAGAAGCCAACTAAGCAAGTCACCTTTTCTGAAAACAGAACTAAGCATAAGAGTGCCCTTATTTCCTTTCAGCCTTTGAGGTTTGGCATGTCTTTTCCCAACATATTCAAATTTTGAACATTCAGGTTTGCACATAATAATCAGACTTTTGGAACAAAGAATTGCCTTGAAATCTGCAACAGATGTAGAGAAGACCTGACTACTGGAGATGCCTCTGCAATTTGCATTTACATATTAAAGCTCAAAATTTTACAATGCAAAACCCCACTTCATTACTTCTCTTCTTGTGCTAAGAGAAAATGAAAAATACCTTGCAAGGTAAAAAAATACAAGTCATGGGAACTCCCCCAACACTGTCTAGTGGTATTCTAAGTCTACGGGGCCAGCAAGGGACCTGAGTTTGACACACAATGAGCACAGAGGCAAAAAGGTACTCACGGTTTTCCTCCTGGAATGCCTGTCAGGTTTGGAGGTATTGCTGGCACACGCATGTGATGGTGTGGATCAAATCCCACCTAGAATTTTTCCCAAGCAAACAACAGAAATAAGCACAGTTACATTTGACTTGTTTTATCCTTCTCAAAATCTATTCTAAAACCTGGGAGAATAGATCCTTTAAAAATAAGGTTTTAGAGATATATACAGAAGTATTTATTGGTGAAATGATAACCAATGTTTAGGATTTAATGGTAACATACTTGGGGGTGGAACACAGATTAAAAAATTATACTAATGATTATTGAAGCTCATGGTAGAACCAAAGAGTCATTACATTCATTATACTATGTGATCTAATTCTGTAGGTTTGAAGTTTCCAAAATTAGTATCATTTTGGAAAATTTAAAATTAGTATTCTTTTAAAAAGACATATAAAATAAAAAAGAAACTTCTTCACCTTACAAAAGAAAATGGACCTCAAGATTATAATCACATGTAGCTTAACTTATAAATACCCACAGATCTCTAAATACCTTAGATTATATAAATTACATTAAAAAATAGATAGGCCAGGCATGGTGACTCATGCTTGTAATCCTAGCAATTTGGGAGGCTGTGGCAGGCAGATCATATGAGGCCAGGAGTTCGAGACCAGACTGGGCAACATGGTGAAACCCTGCCTCTACAGAAAATTTTAAAAATTAGCTGGGCATGGTGGCGCATGCTGTTTTTTCGAGCTACTTGAGAGGCTGAGGTGGGAGGATCGCTTAAGCCCAGGAGGCAGAGGCTGCAGTGAGCCAAGATCATGCCACTGCACTCCAGGCTGGGTGACAGAGCGAGACCCTGTCGCAATCAATCAAGCATGACAATCCTCCGTGTGCTAAAATATTATTTGTGAAGCTCACAAACGCACCACTGGTGATCTCCCATAGGCAGCAGCAGCAGCGGCGGCGGCAGCAGCTGCGCTCATCTGAGGGGAGATGTTGTGGAGCCCAGCGTAGGCCGCTCCGGGGCTGGTCAGCTCTCCGTTCATTCCAGCATGGGGCACAATCCCAAATGGAGTTGGATATGGACAAGGTACTGCCATTGGGGTCCTTAGGCTTGAGGCTGCAAACCAAAATGGATGGAAGAAAAATGAAGAACACAGGAAACAACAGTGAAGACATTTGTAAACATGTCACAAAATAGAATCTATGGTTCAAATGAGCTTATTTTAATATTCTCAAAAGTCATTCAAGCCTTCAGAATTCACTCATTCACTTTGTTCTATTGAACACTTACCATGTGCCAGACAAGGTTGGTCCCAGGTGCTCGGTTCAGGTTAAGTAACTTTGTCTAACAGCCATTCAATGCTGGTCATTAGCACTTTTAATGTACTGTACTCCTTAAATTGCTTTAAATTCTTAAAAACGAGCATAAAAATATAGAAAAAACTTTTTTCTTACTAACCCAAAGGGTCAACTCCTGGTGGTTTTCCAGGTACAGGCCTCAATCCGGGAGTAGAGTTACTGCCTGGGGTGGGCGCATCAGTTCGTGGAGTAGGGGTATTGGACTTTGAGACGGGAGTAGTAGATTTTTCATTCTAACAAGATGAAATGACATATACCAGCAATTAGAACATGGTTTTAACAATGACGTTAAACAGTAAAAAGGTAAAGAAAAGGAAAGGAGGAAAAGAAATGGAAGAGGTTCTTCAGCTTGGGCCTTGATTTTCTTTAATAGAAAAGTTAACAAAGAAACAAAAGAGTTCCTTGAGACAGCAGACCTAATATTTGGGAAGACATAAACTGAAGCTGAATTTAGAGGAGAGCAGCTCATTTCTAGGAAATTGGTCTGAGTCAGATGAGGCTCACAAACCAGGATGTCCTAACTGTGGCCACTTGCTGGTGACTTTGGTAAAGACTGGGGTAACTGTGGGCTCCTGGCAGATTGTTCATGTCACAAGAGGCTTCCTGGTGAACAGGTCACATTAGAAAACACATCCAAGCTTGAATTGTCATAGAGACTAAGCAGAGAGCAGGTGCCATTAAAAGAAGGCCAGAAGGCCAAGAGAAAATAAAATTTAAAAAAACAACACCAACAATCTAGCCCGTCGCACTTATCCCCCCTAATTTGCAGACCAAGTGAGGAATTTCCTTTCCTTTAGCTGTGAATTCCAGAGGTTATTAGAAAACTGAATTTGTCTTTTTATTCTTTTTTTAAATGTTATGTTACAAGGAAATAACTGGTGAGGAAAAAAGACACACCACACAAAGTTGCAATTAACTACACAGCCACAGAAGAATAGGGTGCAGGGAGATTATCCTGATGGGTGAGCAGTTCATTTTTGCATTTGTGATTTGTGATGTAAGTCAAGATAGACTTTTGTAAATGAGAGATTACTTTTTAGATAGGAAGGGAAAATTATTGCCGTCATATGTAGCTTGGTAATTCAAACAAAGCTAGCAACAAAATCACATTCAAGCCCCAAACTAAATTTACCATAAACCACAGGCGACAAAACCATCTCTGTAACCCCAATGTGCATTGTTCATCTTCGCTAAGACGTGTTTCACTCAATTTCCCCATATCCCTCTTCTATCCTTGCAAAAAGAATCATAAAATAAACACTCATCACCAACAAGTTAGTAAACTTATTCTGCTCTACATACTTTTGCCAATTAAACTTAAATACCGAACATATATACATTTGGAAATAAAAGTCCTGTTAAAAATGTGAGAAATATAAAGATAAAAACATCAAATTCAAACATCAAATTGGCAGAGGCCACACTCAGAGAGATGGTAAGGAGCTGCTTACAAGGCTAAGTTCTTTGGATTTGGAGGAGGGAGTACTGCTGGAAGATGCAATAGAGGCTGGACTAATCGGGGCATCTTTCTTGAGCAGGCGTGTCTTGTCTAGGCCATTCTCTCTGGGGGAATGTGCTGGGCTCCCTCGAGGGGAAGATGGATCCTACAAAGGAACATCGTGGACAGTAATGCAAGCACAGCACATTTATAATGCTGGGGTTGTTGGGTGTGGACATTTCTAGCCAAAAGCATTTAATGCATGCTTAGAAGCACAAATGTGCTAGAACAGATAACAATACTCACTGAAACTACTAACGAAAATATTCAGTATTGAGGGCCCCAAAATTATAGTATTTATAGTACTTATTTAAAACCCAAAGAAAAATCAAAACCCCACCCATCTGCAAATTGCACGTCAATGAGACCTGCAGGCTGACCACAGAGATCTGGTGTGCCTTCACTGCAGTAGAGAATGACACCTTATTCTTAATAGAATAAGAACAATGAAAAAAAAAAAGATCAATAACATATAAAATCAGTAGTACATAATTTTTATGTAAATAAAAAGTGGGTCCCTTTAGAAATCAAGAATATGTTTTGGGCCAGGTGCAGTGGCTCACACCTGTAATCCTAGCCCAGGAGTTTGAGCCCAGCCTAGGTAACATAATGAGACCCCATCTCCACAAAAAATTTAAATATGAGCCAAGCGTGGTGGCACGTGCCTGTAGTTCCAGCTACTCGGGAGGCTGAACAGGGAGAATCACTTTAGCGTAGGAGTTCAAGGCTGCAGTGAACTGTGGTCACAATACTGTACTCTAGCCAGGGCAAGAGAACAAGACCCTGCCTCAAAAAACAACAACAATAACAAAACGACAAACCTCAAGATATTTTGGATACTAATTGTTTGGGCAACTAGTCTTTGATATGGCTGGGCAAGTGCAAAAAATTAAAGTAGCCACAAACATACCTCATTGGAAACGTCAACCACCAAGTTGTCATCACTTTTCTCACCATCGCTGTCCTGCATTGACAAGTGAGAAGCATTATCTTCTCCCCTCACAAAACATACCACATTTACCCTAAGTAAGTCCAGACTAATTCCTCATATCTTATAAAGATGAGCTGTACCAAACAGTGTTAAATACTTGACAATGTCCTATTTTCTTTAATCCTCATGATGATGCTATGGAGGTGGGTAATATATTTTTCAGATTATGAGACTGATGCACTACCCACTGCACCAAGAGGGTGACCTGATTACATTTTTCAGTTACAAACTTGAAGCTGATGGTTGGCTTATTACTCTAGAGTAGAGGCTGCAAACTGACAGGCCCAGGCTAAATCCGGCCTACAGATAGGTGTGGTCTGGTTTGTTGGTATTTTAAAAAACTGCATATTGGGAGGTAAAAATCCAGATTTCCAGCTTTTCATGAGGCCTGCGGCCCTGTAGGACACCAGCAGGGAAGCAGAGCAGGGGCCGCCTGCCTCCACACTGCTCCATCCAGCTTGCTCCCCCATCTCACTCCTGTGACCTGCCCAGCCACTAAAGGAAAATGAGCTTCATTCCAGGCTAGGGATGATCTTGGATGTCTCTCCATGTTTTATTCCACAACATTTGGTATATCCTTCAGCACATGAATCCATCTAGGCATTTAAACACATTTTTTATGATTTTATATTTTTCTGCTTAACAATTCCAGCTAACCACAGAAAATCCAACCACTCTGAAATGAATGGGGAAGCAAATACACCTATAGAAACAATAATATGGATCATCCAGGTCTTCTGTTAGCTGCCCAATGAAGCATTCTATCCTCACATGCATCTGTACACACACAGGACTTCAGCTAGCCAATGGCTACAGAGCTATAAATACAATAAATGTTTTTTGTCTCCTAAAGGATGTTATCCTGTGTTCCTGTGTTGGCTGGTAATAGTCAAAGGGTAAAATGGCTGCAGATAAAAAGGCAAGCTGGCCTCCCCTAACACAAAGGTGAATGAACTTACATAACGAGCTGCAATTTCCTTTTCTTCAGTTTTCTGCTTTTTGCTCTCTGAGGAGTAGTCTGCGGAGTTTCTGTGCTTCTCAGCACCTCGGAAACTGGCTGATGGGGATACTGAAGAGCTCTGGAATTAGAAGGAGAGGAAGCATGGTTGAGAAATTATCATCTATTTAGCCGAGTGATTTTTAAGTCACTTGAGACTTTCTTTTCTTTTTATTCTTTAGCATATACTTGCAAAGCTGTTAAGAGGAGATAGGAGAAAGCGGAGGAGACGAAAGGAAGAAAACAGGGATATAAAGGGAAAGACAAGTAGCAAAAGACAAGGGGGAAAGATAATGGGAAAGAAAGAAAAAACGAGAAGAGGCAGAGAGATGGGACAGAGGGAGGAGAGGAAATAAAAAGGGTGGCAGGAATTAGTGTAAACTCAAAACAGAATGGGTTTGGTTTTACGGATATATTGTACTGTTGAAGTGCCTTTAGAAACTTGGGAAAGGGGCTGGGCATGGTGATTCACACCTGTAATCCCAGTACTTTGGGAAGCCAAGGCGGGCAGATCACAAGGTCAGGAGGTCGAGACCATCCTGGCCAACATGGTGAAACCCCATCTCCACTAAAAAGACAAAACAAATTAGCTGGGCATGGTGGCGTGCCTGCAGTCCCAGCTACTCAGGAGGCTGAGGCAGGAGAACTGCTTGAACCCGGGAGGCAGATGCTGCAGTGAGCCAAGATGGCGCCACTGCATTCCAGCCTGGGCGACAGAGTGAAACTCTGTCTCAAAAAAAAGAAAGAAAGTTGGGAAAGGAAGCATATATGAGAAAAAAGGGAAGGAGAAAAAGCCAGGTTTTTTTGTTTGTTTGTTTTGTTTTGTTTTTAAAGTTTGCTGGCTAATGGGAAGCCAGCATTTCAAGCTTCTATAGAAAAACTATAAAGTAGAGCTTTTAAGAGGTAATTAGTAAGTCAATGAAAAAAAAAGGGGGGAAAGTAATTTTGGGGGATTTGAGCAACCAAAGATGGCAGTCATGTGACATATAGGTCATATTTATGAAGTTTTGCTCAGCGCCATATGTTAGGGCCTGGAAGATACAGAGTGGCAGGAAAAACACCACCTGCAGAAATGCGTATTATTCCTTTCTCACTCCTATAGTTTTCATGAACCCACACCTTTCAATGTCTGGAAACCTAGGAATGCCACTGGGGCCAGGGAATGGAGAAAGATGCTCCATGCCTCTTGGGACCACACTTAGGCTCAGCCTGTATGCTTCACCTCTGCTTTCAAGGAGCTCTCAACTGGAGAAGTCTCCTATACACACAAGAGACGTGGGTGACAAGACCTGAAGCAGAGAATGACTCTATCTGCCATGAAGGTCAGGTGGTTATTGGGCACATTTAGATAATATGAGAGCTTAAAATCATGGATGAAGAAGTGAAAAAAGTGCCAATGAAAACTGGAACAATCTTAACAACTGCCTAGTGACTAAGCTTCAGACAGACCAAAGAAAAGATCTAAATGCAGGTGAGGTGGGAGAGCGGGAGCTGGACTGAGGGCTGCGCTATGCTGCTGAGTGGTGAATGGCAAAAACCTGAGTAACACAGTCCCTTGGCAGGGCACCAGGGCAGGGCTCCCAAGTGTGAATGACCCTAACCCAGGGTAACAAAGGGCTGATCTTGGAGAGTAGTAGAAAGAATATCTGAAAATCTCTATGGAAAAAAAGTTATAGGAAGAACAATCACCACTGGAACGTCTCTGTCTGGCATGCAAATCAATTCAGAAAACTGGTCAGGAAAGCTCTTCCTCATTTATAAATTTATTTCATATAAGACTAACTCTTTGAACGGGTTTTTTTTTTTGCTTTATCTTAGTCTGTTGGTAATAACTGATGTTTATAAAAACATACAACATTTACGAGGCCCTTTTAATTAACTATGAGAGAAAGTGTGTTACCCAGAACTTTTGGGTCTATGTTCCATTTTATTTCCACTGAGCCTTAATGTCACAATCTCTTTTGTGGCATTTCTGAACTTCCAAAGCACATTGTTAAGAAGATTGATGGTCTTTCTTCATACCTGTGGTGATGGCAACTCTTTATTACAAGCTCCAAAGATGTGCAGGTGGGAGTTTGGTGGGGGAGAGAGATGGGACCAGTGAGTGGGTGCCCACTGGGCGGGCTGGGGACCTCTAAATCCGTCCCTGCTGTGCCAGCCCCTCTTGAGGTTTTATATGAATACTCTAGCCCTAGACCTATCAAACGTTCAGCCTTAAACTTAGTGGCAGAAAAGACTGCAGGCATTATTCAGTAAGGCTGAAGATTGACACAAAACATTACGAGCCAAACGATTTTTTAAAGTGGACTACTTCTTGACTTTTGTGTATCTCTGCTGAGTTCCAAACCTCACTCCCAAGCCATGAGACTTGGGTCAACACTTCTGCTTTGCTTTCACACAACCCAATGCACTCAGTAGGTTTTCATGACCACTGAAACCATGCATGCAATCATCATCTGTGGGTTACTATCTACCATACTTCATGCCTCAATCCCGTTTCTAGTTTTCCCCTCTCCAGTCTATCCACCTCACTTCTGGAATTCATACTTCCCAAAGAGAGGTTCAGCCTGTTTTAACTCCTCTTTTAAAAGGACAGTTTCCTACTGTTCACAGGGGGAAAAAAATTCCAAATTTCTGAGTATGGCTGTTTTCCAAAGTCCTCACTCCACACCCCAATCCAGAGTCCTGGCCTTGTATCCTACATCAGCACTATAAGCCAGTGTTCCCCTGGGCTCTGTGTATTTTCGTTGCACCTGTAGCCTTTTTTCCTGGCTTATGGCAATGACTATTTTCTCAAGATCTATCTTTTGAAATCCCCCACTATCCTTAAGAATCAGCTCTAATGTCACCTTTCAAAGCTTCCTCAGATGCTGTCAGGCAGAATTAATCATTCATTCCTCTTTGTTCCCTTAACATTTTGTTCCTCCAATGAGTAAAGCACTCACAACAAATTTATTGCTGTGTTTACAAGGCCACTTCCCACTTTAGGCTGTGGGTTCCCTGAGGGTGGGGCACCTAGCATCATGAGCAGAAGGGAACTGCCCAGAAATATTTCTCAACACAAATGGCTGAACATCCCCTCTGCACGCCTCAATCTCACTCCAAATCTCTTATGATACATTCCTTTTCTGAGCATCACTAGGATGAACAATTCCATGGGAGACCATTCACTAGAGTAAGATTTGTGTTGTGGTGCCCTTGGAATCGGTAATATGGCAATTCAGCCCCTTCCTCACCTTTGCTCCTTTACTTACCTTTAGATGCACTAAATCTGGCTAATTTCATATTTTACAAAAAGAAGAAAAATGGAGTATATATATCTTTTATTAACAATTCTCTGATTCTGCTATATTCTATTGAAAGTTATTTCCACATTGTTTAAGAGGAAAAATTTCTAAACAAAACAATTTCTTAAAAATACTAAAAGGTAATGCCTATTTAGATTTAGATTTTATGTTCATTTATTGGCTCATATGTACAACCAAATACTTTATATTTTTCTTAAGCTAGCTGTTTCCGGTTTTGCAGGCAGCGTTGTATTTTTGAAGTTGACTGTAGAACAGAGTTACATGTTGGAGTTTCTTGGTAGAATGATAAAGTAGTTAATTATCACTAGCATTTAAAGGTTAAGCTGCACAGTGGGCACTGGGGCAATCAGCAATGTTCTAATAACATAATTACTCTGGAATCAAATTGGACTTGGCACAGACTCTCATCATGAATCTTGTAAGTCCACCATTCTGCCACAGGAATGCCACTTGGATCTTTGCTAGGCATGTGAATAAGAGGAATTAAATAAATACCGATAAAGTCATGCTTTTACTAGAAAAGCTTTTTATTTTATTATTTTTTATTTCTCTATTATTATTTTAAAAGCTCAATTTAGATATTTCTCAAGTTTACTACATAAGAAACTTACTGAAGCTGCATTGTGACCCTATAAATCTACAAATTTAGAAGGATTAAACACAAGTCTTTCTCACTACAGTTTGAGTGTGCGTGTGTGTGTGTATGTGTGTGTGTATCTCAGCAAATCTGTTATGATTGGAGAGTCACGGTCACAAGCAATGGCTGATCCAGAGAAAGCAAAATACCCTGAATGTGAATGTTTAGTAAAGCTCTGGATTTTAAAAGTAAACACTTATGCTGGGATATTTAAAAAGAACAGGGTAGATCTGTTTAAGAAAAAGAGCAGGAAAACAAGGAGAAACCAAGAAAAAAATACTAAAGGATTAAAAGACTTATTACATGGAAACCCCAATTGCTTTGGTAGCAAAAGGTAAGCTTTAAAAAGCTATAATCAGGTTCTAATTTCACTATGAGAAGATTCTAGTTCCTAGATTAAAGACCATCCCAGACTTTACTAGGGCTGTTGACCAAGTCAGATGGAAAACTGACACCTCCAGCAACTTGAAAGGGAAGGCCCCACCCCTCCACCTTTACTCCTCTGCCACCTCAAGATCAAAGATGACAATGTATGAGAAAGACTTCTATAAAGTAACTTCCCCCTCCAAAAGAAGATGCTGTTGTTATAATTAGCTAATTTTAATAACAGGGAGCACAGATTTTAATAGCAGGCAAGAGCATCTCTCTGGAGTCAGACTGCCTGGTGTGAGTCTAGAGTCTTCACTTAATAGCCGTAAGGGATGTTGCTTAGTCTCAGCCTCTCTTTAGTCTGGGGTAACAACACACCATTCTCAGCCCCACGGGCTGCTTTGAAGACCAAGAAAAATAATCCACATAAAGTACAACGCGCAGTCCCAGGCACATAGCCTAGCCCCTCAACAGTGCAACTTAGTCCTATCACTGTATACTGGACTCCAGTTGATTCTACTTACTTTAGAGATTGGGATGGTGACCTAGTGTGGATCTTCTATTTTAAACCTTATGTTAGGTCTTTTCTAGACATTTGTGTAGGACTTCCCCCAGCATAGATATTCTGATGCCCCATAATTATAGGGTTTTAATATGCTACTATTCACCAAAACTTTTCTCCTTTCAACAATCACGATAAGGTTTTGGTTCAATACTGCACAGAGGCAAGACTGCAAATACCATCTCCACAATGGACTTTCTAATTTGATTTCAAATGCACACCATGCCAATTTTGCTTTCCATTCACACAGGTGCAGTGCTTAGACTTCCCTGCCCATAGACGATAACAACCAGAAAGAACATGCTAAAGGTCGCATGGAAACCATGATCAAGCAGCCTAAAACTCATTCGTTATGGCTTGTTTGCTCATCAGCTATGGCCTTCAAAAATCGTATCCACACGGTACAAAAGGGTAAATCAGTTTTCAAACAGATAAATGGGATAATGAGGAGTCAGAAGGTACCACTAAAATATGTCAAGGGTAATTGCAAGTCCTGGTTTGCCCTTTCTACACCTGTTGTCCAGACTTCCCTTCACTCTCAAAAATGGCCAAGTTTAGACGATAAATTATAGTTACTCTTAACTATAGTTCAGTCACTATAGGAATTCTCAAACATTAATCAGAGTCAGGGACGATTCAAGTTGAGTTTGTTTTTGGTGATGGGGACAGGGGTGGAGGCACAGAAGACAGAAAGCTGAAGAAGGCCCCTGTAGATCCTTTACTGATGCCATAACCAAAGTCCTCAATCATATTTTCCTCTGCAACCCCTTAGAAAAGCAAAAGACCCATGTCAAAAATAAAAATGAACACTGGTGACTCTATAGTCATGAATCATCCAAAGAGTTGATCATGTTCACCAGACCACAAAGCACTGTATTTCTGTTTTTTTGGAACTACTTTGAGTAAGTTTGGAAAGTAATATCCTGAATAAACCTACGTACATCAAACTACTGTTGTACCATAACCCAGCTAGTTCTGCTTGGATTTTATTGTACAGAATTACACAAAATGTTTATTTTCCCATTCATTGAGCTCTTTATAACTGATAAAACATTTTAACATATTATTATCTCATTTACAGGGAAACCACCAGGATATACATATATATATATATATGTATATATATATAAGAAATAATCCTCAATTGGAAAAAAGTAAATATAAAACCTTTAAAATGAAAATTACTTGGTCAAAATGCACAAGTCTCACATACTAACACATAACACATGTAAATTTATGTAAATGAACTTAAAATTTATAGCATGCTGGTGGTAAAAAACTTGAATATAGTAGAGCTCTGACTGAGCCAGTCACTGGTGTCAGTTTACTGCTCATCACAGTAAGAGGTTTTTCTTTTTTATAACCTGCTTGATTAAGGAAGTCATTAAAAGCACAATCTGTATAAAACTCTCACAGAACTTGCTTTTTTCAAATTAACATAAATCAAAACTCACCTTCAAAAATGACTGGGACTTTCTAAAGCCCTGCCCTTGTTAAAAGAAGATTTAATATAATCTCCATATAAAGTAATGAATCTATTCTTAACAAATGTTTCACCTTCTGTAACATTTCATGAACAATATATTCTTTAAAATGTTCTATTGTTTTTGTCTCTGCTTCTCTACTGGTAAGAGAAACCTGGATCAAGGTAAATTTCTTTTGCAGGTAATCAAAATATTATCAAACCAGAGGAACCAACAGTCAGAAGAATAACAGAAGAGAGGCAGTGTCTACAATGGTTATGCTACAGGTATAAAAGTCAGACAGCCTTGGGTTCAAGACCAGGCTGTAACACTTGCTATGTGACCTTGGGAAAATTCATGAACCTCTTTAAGCTTCCATTTCTCCAGTAGGTAAGACGAGGGTGTTAGCAGCACTTCCTTGTAAGTTGCCATAAGGATAAAGAAGAATTCAACCTAGCATCTAGTACTAGTAAGCCCCCATAGACAGCTATTCCCTTTTGGCAAATGTGGAAACAACCGCATATTTTTTGTCTGCTTATGGACTCATTCAACAAGTATTTAACCCACTAAGTACAGAAACACATGAAATGTCTTGAATAAAATATTAATACACACCTTGAAGAATGAAATATACACCTTGTTTTTCAGTAGGGCTCCTTGAGTCAAAATACTTAGGATACAAAAGTATTACATATTTTTTTCTTCATGTGTAGTAGAAAATACAGCACTTCAATATTAATTCATTCATGTTCTGTTTTCATGGCCTCAGCATTATGTATTGCTTGGTCAGTATAAAACGCTCTAATAATTTATAAGATATCAATAAAATTGATTTTAAATTAGAACATTATCTTAATGTCCTCTCGGGGGTTTCTTCACTGTTGCTTCCTCTTCCTGGAATAAAGCTATTGGCTCCACCCCAGAAATTTCATTGAACACAGTTACTTTAGCTGACAAACTGAGCTGCTGGGACATGATGCTTTGATGCCAAAGACACAGGGTTGATTCTTATGTAGGGAGCTTAGTTGCCCTCTCTTGAAAGCTAGTCTGCATGTGGTGCAAGTGTTGGGCCACACAAGGAAGAAAGTAGATGAATGAGTTGGAACAAGTACAACCCCTCACCACTGATGGAGAGAAGAATCCAAAGTACAAGCTGAATTAATCAAGTAATCCCTCTCCTGATCATTAGAGATGGCATGGTATTAACAGTCTAACAGAAATTGTAATAAAAATTGCCAACTGCATACAACTTTGTATTGTGTTCATCGTTTAAACTACCTATCACCCCAAAGTCATTTCGCACTTTTCAATCCAATGGACCTCCTCAAAGTTTGCAAAGTCTAACATTTCTGTGTCCATTTGTTCTCCAGCAAGAATTCTCGCTCTCCTTAATACAAATTCTATAAATCTTGTATGCTAACTCTGTAAATTACAGTTACATGCACTGGCCACTTTCTTCTGGAATTATTTTTTTCAGTATATGACCTGTAAAACATATCATAAACCACTCATTCACCTACTGCTTTATAACCAATGTTACTAAGTCTCACTGGCAAATCTCATGTGGTACATGAGTTTGACTGCCCTAAAAACAAAAGTGGAGAGGGTTGGCAAAAATCTCTTTCCTGGATGTTCACGGAAGGTGCACTGGCTTTATACCTATCCCTGCACTGTGCTCTGTTTTTGAATGAAAATATCAACACAAGCATAACAGCTGCTTTGACAAAGCTGAAGTAGGGTAACAGCTCAGAGAAATAAGTTACTAAGCTTTAGGACTTGGCAAGCTGTATCTTAATGGACCAGAATCTTCATTTTAGTAACTATTAACATTTATTAGAAAAGAAAGTCTTTTCATGTTGCTATTTTTTTTTTCCAGTAAACTGCTTTAATCTATTTGAAAGGCTAAACTTTTTTTTCCAAAGAGTGTTAACTCCACAGATTCTCATATATATTCTTATGTATTCTGTATGCAAATATACTCTATACAATGTCTGAGGGTAATACAACAGGAACAAAGAAAGAAATGACAATATATCAATTTAAAGGAAGGCTGCCTAATAAGTTTTAAGGTCGCTAATCAGGAACTCTGGTCTTCTTCATATCACCACAAAAGGGCTAAACAGTTTTCAATTATCGCTTAACTGATTGGTCTTAAGGGCCTTCATTAAAATATTAAAGTTATTCTTTAGAATGGCGCTGACAGACAGAAATATAATGTGAACCACCTATGTATTTTACACTTTTCGGATAGTCAGATTTTTTTAAATGTATAACAGTAAAATTAACTGTGGTCATCTATTTAATCCAATACTTCAAAAAATACCATGTCAATACACATATTAATATGAAAATTATGTGACATTTTACATTTTTTTTAGTACTAACTGTTCAAAATCTGATGTGCATTTTATACTGACAACAGTACACCTCAATTTGGACTGGCCACATTGCTGCTGCTGAAAAGCCACATGTGGCTTGTGGTTACCATGTCAGACAACACAGGTCTAAAAGTTCTCAGAGTCACAACAGAAATCAACACCCAATAAGACAAACATCTCACACTTGATATAAGTAGCAGGTGTCATCTAGCTCCTGCCCACCTTCTCCAATCTGATCTGAAAATTTCCTTCTCAGAGCATCAGACAACCCAAACGTTTTCATCCTTCAGAGCCTCTGTGCAGACTTCTGCCAAGAACTCTCTTTCCCAGCCTGAGTGGCTAGCATCTTTTCATCTTTTATGTTTCAGCTTAAATGTCACATCTTCAGAAAGGTCTTATCTGTAATGCTATCCAAGGAGCTCCCTCCAGCCGATCTCTAACACACTCCCTTGTGTGCTTCCTTCCCAGCACTGTGGCTGTGGCTACTCTTTTGATTATTTATCTCATCTACTTGACTAGAAGCTCCATGAAGGCAAGGACCACGCCCGTTTGGATCACCACGAAAATCCAGTACTTCGGTGTTTTAATTGACAGCTGCTGAACAAATGAATGGGCACAAAACTTGGTTCTGCTCATGTATGCTTCATGTTACCATATTATGTTCATTATATTAAGATAGGAGATTATGCATTCCTAAAGGTCATGCACTATTGTGTCTTATTTCTTTGCATCCTCAGTGCTTAATATAATGCCTGTAATACAAGAACAGTGGTGTGTGTGTGTGTGTGTGTGTGTGAGATATGCATTTGTAGGCACACCAAAGGAGGGAGGCAGCCTTCAAAAATAGTAATTTTGAAAGTAATAGGGTGACAAGATAATTTTCAGAACTATGTTGAAAAGACAGTTAAAGCTGGTGCCTTTTCACTGCTGCTCTCCTCACCAATCAAGGATGCAGGCCCCTCCCCCAAGGTCAGTGCCCAGTCCTGGCCACTGGGTGGGCATGCAATGAATATTCATTGTTGGATAAATGTATGAAGGCCACCTTTTTAAAAATTGTAATAGAAATTAATCTTTCCTATAAGAGGGAAAGTTTTCAACAGGTTATCCCTTTCCTTGTCTCTCATCACACACTCCTCAGCTGTCTGTGACCACAGGGAAACAAATCTTACTTAAGTCTGACCACTGAAAAGACAGGATTTAAAGGAATCCTGCCTGACAGACCCAGGGAAGAATGCACGCATCAGCAGTTTTTCTGTGCTGCTCATTTAGAGAATAGTGACCCTGGGGAGCTCCTTGAAATGTTTATCCCCCAAGGAGGTATGTGGTAAAAGGAAAAACATCCTTAGTCCTCCCCCCTGCTTTTTTTTTTTTCTGGTTAGTAAGTCACCACACACAGATGATGAAAGAAAAAGCCAAATATAAGGCAGACAGATATAATACTTGTTTTTTAAGGAAGATGTTTACATTGGTTGATATTTAAGTCATAGATGACTACCTGGTGCTTTACGTAAATTTTTATTATGTAAAGCAACATAAAGCATTATTAGTATCAGTTGTGACTGATAGTAACTTCAGTATGCTGAGGAATGAAAATAAATGAGACATAGATACTTAAGAGATACAATTTCAGTTCATTCTACAGAAACGATTTCGAGCTTTCACATGACAACAAGATCTAAGATGCAGGAGACTTTGAGGAAACAAAAAACACTGGAAGAACAGGTTGATTCACCAAGCATGTGCCAAAATTACTCTGGTCTAACCAGACAAGAGCACTCCACTAACCAGTGCTAAAATGTTGAAAGGTAAGTCCAGTTATGATCTAATCTCTCACCCTCCCCCAGCAAAAGATCACAGGTCAGAGAACTAAATTATAAAGGACTGATGAAAAATATCTTAGCTCCATTCTACTTGCCATTTCAGACAATTGTGAGTCCTGGTCTATCGCTCCTGTTTCTCTGACCTTTCCCTCTCCCTCTTTCTCCTTCCATTCGCTTCTCTCTTTTCCGTTCTCCACACTCCCCCCTCCGCCCTTGCCCTGCCAGCAATACCTCTGTCAATACTCTGTCTTGCTGGTGGCACTGTGGGCTAAAGAGGTTGTTGACCCTTATTCTAACATGTCCTTTTAGGTTAATTACTTTTGTATACTTGGTGTACCCAGTGACATTTAATCACTACAGCGCTACTCAGTAAACAGAAATGAATGGAGCCAACTGCAATTTGGCATCAAGCTAAGTGGTGCAGTAATAGCAGCATGCTGAAAATGGACTGCAAGAAAATACTCTCACTCACCACACAGAGAAATGAGGTGAATGCCATTTGATCAATCACTATTTTATTAAAAAGAATGCTAGCTCAGTGATGCGCTTTTGCTATTTAATACTAAATATGGTTCGAAGGACATGATGCACTTTTTAATGCAAGGACAATTCATAAGTGTTTGCTGAACAAATGAAGGAAGATTAAAATAACTCAAAGCAGAGGTACAACTTTTGTGGTTGAGTTTGTCTCTCTCTTTCCATGCATGCACACGTGTGGCATGTGTGCATGCATGTCCCACCGCAGGACAGCTCTCTGCTAACACAGCCAACAGTCTGCTATCTGGTAAGTCTTATGGTTTATAAACTTCCAGGGTATAGTAATTGAAACGCAGAAGATCCCACAACCTAATGCGTACAAGCAAGTATCCAGGAGCATGGGATTAAACAAATGGCATGTCACAGACATTTGAGCCACTGACAACATTTCTAAAACAGATACCCACTGACCTTCCTCCACTGAGAATAGAGAGTAGACTGGAGAGGTTATTAGCAGGCTTGACAGGGCCAGCTAGACCACAGAGGTTGGGTGGGGGAGATTCTGCCTAAGGGTTTTCAATGCTAGCAGGCAGATGGAAAAATGAGTCTTTATTCCTCTATCTGAAGAATAACAACGACTTCACAAGCAGAGATTCACGTTGTAATACCAGAAGAATCCCGTGACATAAGTTGAATAGCTATTCTGTGTTGGTAATGTTTTAGACACTGGAAACACAACAGTGAAAAAGGCACCAGCTTTATAGCCAGCACTGAGATTAGAGAGTAGAGTCTAAAGGGAAGGGAAGGGAATACACATGCACTCATGAGGTTTCAATCCTCAGCTCCAACATTTATCAACTGTGTGACTCCTAGCAAGTTAACCCCTTGGGGCTTTGTCATACCTATAAAACGGAGATAAGGATATTTCGCCTACAGGATTGTCACTGCTATAGTCTGAATGTCTGTGTCCCATCAAAAGTCATATGGTGAAACCTAACCCCTGAGGTGATGGTATTTGGAGGCTGTGCCTTTAAGAAGTGATTGGGTCAGGAGGGTAGAGCCTCAGAAATAAGATTAGCACCCTTATAAAATAGGCCTAGAGAAGCTCCTCTGCCCCTTTCACCATGTAAGGACAGCAAGAAGGCATCATCTATGAATCAGGCACTCATCAAGCATCTAATAGAGGCACCTTGTTTTTAGACTTCCCAGCCCCCAGAACTGTGAGAAATAAATTTCTACTTAAGCTACCCAGTTTATGGTAGTTTATCATAGCACCCCGAACAAACTAAGATAGTCATGACAATTAAACGAGATAACTACATGAAGTGGAGGCATACCGCCCTTCCTTTCATGATTGTTTCTGGGATCTGTCCTAAAAGGCAATGGCCAAGTCTCTGCCAGCAAACCAATCTGGGTAGCAGGAGGCCTGGAGAGCTGCTGTGAATGTCTCCTCTAAGCCTTTGAAAGAGGGTAATGGACACTTTTTCAAGCCTCAGGACCCTGGGGAAAAGCCACTCCACTTCTCCACAGTCAAAATTTCAGACAGCACATTCCAAAGTCTGGGTATCTTCCTGCCCTCCTGGATTGGTGTTCTCTTCAGAAGTCGCGCTCTTCCTCCAACTTGCAGAATTCATGTCAAATGTGCCTTCTAGGGCAACCTTGAGTTACAATGCTAAGTGAAGACTAGGTTTGCATCCTCAACTTCACTGGAATTTGACAAATAATTCTAAAGTGCTCTAAAGTGAGTGGGGCCTCAAAACTAACATGGGGGAGGGGGGCATGCAGACACATAATCCCTTATCAATAACAAAGCAGGAGGGTTATTATATTGAGTCCCCACTATTTGCCAGGCATTCTGCTGGGCCCTAAGGCACTAGAAATACAATTAAGAGGGCGAATGGGGACCTTGTTCTCACAGAGCACTGGTTCTAGTTAAGGGACATTAAAAATCAAGTAAAACAAGCTGCTAATAACATTAATAAAAAATAAAATAAATGCGAATGGCAATGTGTTACAAAGAACATAAGATGCTGAGACTGAGAATAACTAGCAGCCAGGTGGTCAGGAAACGCTTCTGCAAAAAGATGACATTCTGGCTGACACCTGAAGCAAAAGCTGGAGCCAAACCTCCTGACAGCCAGAAGACTGTTCTAGAAAGAGGGAATAACACATGCATAGCTCTGAAGAAGCGGAAAGCTGGCAATGGCACTGGAGCACACAGGAGGACTGGGTGCTGACGTGGAGGGAGCAGGTGGGAGAGCACAGAGGGGTGATGCTGGGAGAAAGGGGGTCCACAGTGTGCAGGCCCAGCACACGGTGAGGTGTGTGTTTTATTCTAAGGGCCACTGAAGGGGACTGTTGAGATGACACACATATCCTAAAAATCATTCAGAGAGGAGGCTCGAATCACAGTAAGAATTTTTAAAGCCCATAAGAACAGAAAAGATTACACTGCCTACCTCCATCCTTTGCAATTAAAAACAACACTAAGTGTACAATATAAACCTTCTGTGTATGCTAACATTAAATAGTAGAATTCTGGTTTCAAAATTCTGAATCAGATCATCAAAGCTGAGTTTTTACCACTTTTGGTGCCCCTACTTTACTCATGCTGTTGGTGTGGGCTAAAGTGGATCTGGCAGGTAACAGAGCCTTGGAGGAGAAATGGGGGGCCAGTAAGGAGCTGTTGCTGTGGTCCAGAGGGAAATGCTGGTGGTTTAGACTGGAGGGCTACTGGGGAAGGGGGAAGAGGATGAATCTGAGACATTAGGATATAAATGAGTGACTCACTTCACACAAATGTGTGTTCCTATGTGAATACAAAATTAGAATGGAATCAAGTTTGTCAATATAATGATGCCATCTTCATGCATTTGCAATAAGATACAGGTTCTTAGTGTAAAAATGGCAGGAATCACCAGGCATGGTGGCTCATGCCTGTAATCTCATTGCTTCGGGAGGCTGAGGCAGGCAGACTGCTTGAGTCCAAGAGTTCGAGACCAGACTGGGCAGCATGGCGAAACCCTGTCTCTACAGAAAATACAAAAAAAAAAAAAAAAAAAAAAAAAAAAGCCAGGAGTGGTGGCACATTCCTATAGTCCCAACTACCTTGTGGGAAGGTTAAAGTGGGAAGATCTCGAGCCTGGGAGGCTGCAGTGAGCAGAGATGGTGCCACTGCACTCCAGCCTGAGTGAGAGTGAGATCCCGTCTAAAAATTTGAAAAAAGAAAAAAAAAAAGAAGCAGGAGTCTTAGGTAACCTAAAAGAATATTCCTATCCTTAGGGAATCAAGGGACTGCAAGATGCGTGTGAACAGTATCCTCCAGGTTTATCAAAGAAGGTGAGAAACAACTAGGAACTTCATAACTACTGATCTAATCAACCAGAATTAAATTTCCACAAAGTGGTACCCAGTACTTAAGACAGATGTTAAAGAATAAATTCTGATCCTTACTCAAAAAACTTAGATAAAGGTTAAGCCATATTTATGTGACCAAGAGAAAACTGAATTGTAAGAGCATAATGAGGCATTAGTAAGAAATGACACTTCACGTTTATGAAGAGGTGAAATTTACCCACTGACACTTCCTATGGGAGGGGTAGACCTGGAACTGCTTGGGAAGAATTAGCATTACTAGGACCCAAATCTGCACTGAGGCTATTTCAAGCATGTGCATGTGAGGTGGCTAGGCTTAGGCTAAGTCTGGAAAGAAAGAGAGGAAGAGTAAGGTATAGAGCAACAAGGACCCCCAAAAGGAGTCTTAAAATCTGGGATGGGGTCATGGTTGGAATGAGACAAATCAGCAAGGAGTAAATAATTCAAAGGACCGGGCAGTGGTTCTAAGGTCTGTCAGGGGATAAGAATCACCTGTGGAGCTTTCAAAAAGCCCCATCTGGAACCCACCCCAGAACAATTAAATCAGACGCTGTCCAGAGAGGGTAGGCTTAAGTAAGTGGCCTGGATACAGGCAATCTTAAAAGCTCCCAGGTGATTCTAAAGTTGACAACCTCTGACCTAAGGCATATTCAGATAATCAACAAGCCACTGTGATTGCTATCAATTACCACTCCTAATCAACTAGACCTGCTTACCTATCAGCACAAGTCACCTTCATCCTTTCTGAGAGCACAATTAGCTCAGCAACAAATCCCAGACTTTCTCTCCCTATAAGCCAGTCACGTCAGGATGAACTACATTTCAAAACCACAGTTGGGAGAGAGAAAAAACGCAATCATAACCATGTCATAAGATGAGGCAAGATGCTCTTTACGCACTTCTGAATACTGAATGCAGTGCTTCCATGCTTGACTCTACAATGCTGACAAAGTGATGTATTTTGAGTGCCATAATTAAAACAATAATCTCAATAAAGTGGGCATTATGAGATAATTGCCCATCCTCAGGTATTAAGCAAACTGTGGTAAAAGCCAAGGATACTCATCGCCAAGGTCAATTACAATAATTGCTTATTTGAATTACATTATTGCTATTGTAAACCCTGCCTGATTAAGAAAAAAAAAAAACAACAATAAAAATTGATGTAACACACACCACAGGGAAATTGACCTGAGAAGGAGTTCTTGTTCTACTACTGGTCATTTAAGAATTCTTATCAACTTTGCAAAGCCTCCACTTACATACGCCCTATGCCTTTAAACATACCCACACACACACATACACATTTCCTTGGTTTTGCAGTCTGAATTCATCAAGGAAATATGCCTATCAGAAATTAGAGAAGTGGCTTATAAGAGCAACATATGGAAACATATAGGAAAATGGAGTAGTGGGTCAAGCTAATAATAAAATTAGAGGGTAGAGAAATGCATTACTCTGTGAGTTCATTCATTTTTCATCAACACATTACAGAAGAGGTCATCACTGCCTTTTGCAGAAACTGAGTCTCTCAGTTATGCTGGCTTATAGCTTGGGGGAAGATATGTTGTCCTCCACATGCCACTGTCAGCTTGTCTAGATTAACACTCAGGCAGCTCAAGTAACCAATGGTCAACCAGAAAAGCTCTGAAGATGAGATGGAAGAAAACAGAATTTTTGACCTTCCTTCAGCTAATTGGAATGTATTTGGCAATTGAAGAGTATAAAACTTCTTTTTAAGTTGTGATTAAACATCGAGGCTTTGATGTTTTATACGGCATTCTTCCCCACAATTAACTTCATTAGTGCAGTTAATTAGTGGGGAAGAATATCGTATAAACATCAAAGCCTCAGTGTTTAGTGTCACCATCAGTTCAGCTAAACAGTAATAAAGAAATAATTTCTTAAAACACATTTATGCATGCTCAGCACTTCTATTTACAAGCTTAAAGTGTATGATAGGAACATATTAAAAAATATCCAAAGATGCTATCTATACTGCAATCCAACTGCACTGACAGCAACAAGACACCATTTAATGTAGTATAATTAAGTGCCCAAGAACGCCACATAAAGCAAAAGAATTGAGACATTTAATCAGTTATGAGGACTGTTATAAATCTACCATTACTGTGAAATGAAGGAATGGCAGATAACCAAGGGAAACAGTCACAAAAACTATGTAACCTGAAGGCTAATTCTAATTAGGCATTAGATAGTGGGTTTTCAGTCTTTCGGGGGTTGAAGGGGAGAAGGCCAAGCTATAAAATAAGAACTGCAGATGGCAGGTCCTTATAAGCACTATAGGACAGCACGAAGTATACTGTGACCTTTCCTTTGGTAGACAGTGTGCAGAGATGGTGAGACTATTAAAATGTGAAGACCAGCAAGGTGGGCCTTCTCAACGTGGAACAAGGGAAGGAAGTTCTCATCTTTAGGTGGGAGGGACCAGAGAAATCATCTAGCCTCTTGCTACTCAAAAAAGTGTGGTCCACTGTCCAACAGCATCTCCTGAGGGCTTGTTAGAAATGCAGAATCCCAGTCTCACTGCCAGACCTACTGAATCGTGTGCTTTTAACGCTCATTAAAAGTTTGAGAAGCACTTGTCTACCTCAACCTCTTCACTTTGAACAGGAGGAAACTTGAATCCTAGGGGACGAAGTAACTCATGCAAGGTCACAAAGGGCTGATAGTTGAAGACAGGCCTCTGATTTTAAGGACTGCCTCTTATAGGAGGCTCAGCAAATTACACTTGTGTATTGTGAAAAGAAACCAGCCTGTACAAAGAGCAGTAAGGCAACATCAAGAAAAGAGGGCAAGGAAGAGGCCAAGGAAGGGCAAGGAAGAGGCCAAGGAATGACAAGGGACTTGCTTCATTAGGGTTGACAATTCTGGATTCAAATATATTTGATGTAGGCTGAGAACTCTATCAAACATGTAAGAAGTAAAAACTACTTAAGTTCTATAAAAATGAAAGACGAGGAAAAAAGAATGTTACAAAATTTTATTTTGTTTTGTTTTCTGAAAAGATTAGAGAAGGAAAAGCTCTGAGGTCTCCACTTGAGAGATATTTTTGAAGGGAGAGACAAGGAAGAAAATCTGGCACCCATGGGGCCACCACATATGACCACACAGGATGTAGATGCTACAACTCCAGGAAACACCAGAACATCGTAGATTCATGTGAATTGCGCTTCTGTATAACTTGTACGTGGCCATGGCAACACTAACCCAAGCCCATGAGCAAGTGAGGAGCATGGTGAGCTCGTTGCATCACCCACGGCTGGATCCAAGGGCAATTACGATTCGGGGGAGAAGAAGAATGTAGGCTACATAAACGCAAACTGAGGCAATACTGTCATTATTGCTAATCTATAATTACTGTGTGTCTTCCCAGTGAAATGTGAGCTGCATGTGGGCAGAAATTTATTCAGGGTTTTCACCACAGTATCCCCAGAGCCTAAGTGCAGTGTCTGCACCTGACCAGATGATACCAAATGACAAAATTTTAAAAGCTTTTAACATGTACAGTTCTGGGGCTTATTAAACGTAGATGCTCACTGGATTTAGCATCATACAGCAAGTACTTCACTGATGATGAAACACAACTGACAGATAAACTTCGCTCTTGGGAGCCATTATTAGTTTCCTGGGGCTGCCACAACAAACCACCACAAACTAGGTGGCTTAAAGCAACAGACATTTATTTCTTGCGGTTCTGGAGTCTGCAAGTCTGAAAACAAGGCATTGGCAGGACCATGCTCCCTCCAAAGGCTCCAGGGAAGAATGCTTCTTTGCCTCTTCCAGCTTCTGGTGGTTGCTGGCAATCCTTGGCATTCTTCGGTTTGTGGCAGCACAACTCCAGTCTTTCCTCTTTGCTTTCTCATGGCCTTCCTTTCTGTGCCTCCTCTGTATCGTCAAACCTCTCTCTCCTTATAAGGACATGAGTCACTGGATGCAGGGCCAACTTGATTCCCGGATGACCTCATCTTAACTCGATGACATCTGCCAAGACCCTATTTCTAAATAAAGTCACAGTCACAGGTACCGGGGATCAGAATTTTATTACATCTTTTTGAGACACAATTCAACCCCGAAGAGAAACCAACATTACAGATGTTTTGATAATGTTTAGAAACTGGTTGTTGGTTCAAAGCTTTTAAAAAAGTTTTAAAAAGATTAATATGCCTAAATAATATGACTGATATATAAACTTTCTAAATTACAGTCATCCTTAGGTATCCATGGGCGTTTGGTTCCAGGACACTCCTCCCTCTCCCCTGCAGATACCAAAATCAGAGGGCACACAAGTCCCTGATATAAAATGATATAGTATCTGCATATAACCTAGACACATCCTCCTGTATATTTTAAATCATCTCTAGTTTATAATGCCTATTTATAGTATTACTTATACCTCTTTATAACTAAATCATCTCTATTATTTATAATATAATGTACATGCTGTATTTTTATTTGAACTTTTTATTGTATTTTTTTTCCAAATACTTTCAATCTGTGGTTAGTTGAAGCTGAGGATGTGGAACCCAGGAATATAGAGGGCCATCTGTACTTGGGAGTCAATTTGTGAATCACTAATGTCTCAATTATGAAGTTACTTCTGACGTGAAAATACCTTCTGGGTAAGTAATAAGCAAACTCAAGACATTTTTAATACAAGACAAAGTAGCTAAAAAACAAAAATCATGCACTCTTACATACTAATATCCTGCCAAGTAGTTAAGTGGGATAAGTGATGTTCAGACATATGACCTTCTGTTCAATCCAAATGAGTTATCTTTAGATATTTTGTGATGACTATCTTGTGATAATAAAATCCATGTTTTGTTTTGCTTTAGGAAAGGCTTGAATAATCCCCCTAGAGTAGTATTCTGGTGAACACTGTTAAATTATATAATTCACCAGGTTCAATTCTGTTACTACAATCACTTTCAAAGAAGATGGTTATAATACATTATCATTACAGCTATACAATCCAAGCTGAATTTTCCTTGGCTGAATTCCTAACATTTTAATGCTGAAATTGATCTGTTTTAAAAACATCATGTGAGGGGTTTTTAAATACCACACATGCCCAAGCTCTTTATTTTAAATGCTTTAGAAATGAGCTTGCATAAACAGAAAAAAAAATCTGTTCTAATCTAGCATTAAGCATATTTTAAAGAACAACGGGCATGTTTTCAAACAAACTATTGCAGTATACAAATTACCCAGCAGGAATGAGGGTAACAATGCTTCTTATATGGGTTTAGAACCCAGGGAAAGCTGACATTTCATCAAAGTCGTCTTGGAAACAATACTCTTTGTGTTATTTCAAACACAAGAGGTGTGTATTTGGGCGTGGGCTATTTCTCATGAAGCAGTCAGATGGTAAGGCTGCCACGGTTCTAGTGCAGCTATGAGAAATGAGAAGGGAAGCACTGAAATTACCAAGCCGTTCGCATGCACACGGGCCCAACCATGACGCATGTGCCAGGCTACAAGCCAGTCACCACTTGGGCAGACTTTCCTTTACCTCTAAAACTACTGTGTTAGACTGACTGCAATATTGGCTGCAATTTTTCACACCTCCCTGTATCCACATTTGGTAGGGCTCTGTCACTGATGCTAGACTCAGCCATATGACTTGCTTTGGCCAATGGCACAGTAGCACACATGATGCAAAGAGAGGCTCTCCTAGACTCTGGACTAGTGCCAAAAGAACAAGCCTTGGCTAGCCTGCTAGAGGGATACCATAGATACATGAGGGAGAGCCTGGTCAGTTGAGCTGAAGACGTTCTAGACCAGCAGTCCCCAATCTTTTTGGCACCAAGGAATGGCTTCATGGAAGACAATTTTTCCATGGACGGAGGTGGGGTGGCGGTAGTGGTTTGGTTTTGGGATGAAACTGTTCCACTTCAGATCATCAGGCAATAGTTAAGATTCTCATAAGAAGTGTACAACCTAGATCCCTGCATTGCACAGTTCACAATAGATCCCTGCATTGCACAGTTCACAATAGAGTATGCATGCCTATGAGAATCTAATGCCACTGCTGATGTGACAGGAGGTGGAGCTCAGGTGGTAATGCTCACTCAGCCGCCACTCACCTCCTGCTGTGCAGCCTGGGTTCTAACAGGACACAGGTCAGTACCGGTCTATGGCCTGGGGTTTGGGGATCCCTGTTCTAGACCACCCAGCTGACTGCAGACATATAAGCAAATTCAAGCCCAGCCTAGAGAGAAAAGCTTCCACCGCAGCCAACACAGAGACCAATCAGATGTAGCAAATGCTTTCGATTTCATACCAGTATGGTTTAGAGGAAGTTCTTAGGTAGTAATTGTTAACTAATATAACCATTTAATTGAGGATATGCATTATAGGAATAAATACTCCTTCTCATTTTTAAGACATCCATATTAGAAATAGATGAAAATAATGTAAATTAAAAAGCAACCTCATTCCTTTTGGTTCTCAGGCTTTCTATGGAATTATGGTTTGTGATATCTTAAGAAATGAGTCAGTATATGTATAAATGATAAACTGTCGTCATAAGTTCATTACAGCTTCACCAATACCATTTCTGCACGTTTCATCATTGTACATGCCCTCCACAAAACTTTATTTGGATAGTATTATTACTGCCATGTTAATGAGCAAACAGAACTCCTGTGAGATTAGGTGACTGCTTAAGGTCACAAAGCTAGAGGAGTCAAGCTAGTATTAGAATGTAATATTTCTGACTCTAGGTCTCAACTGATTTTTACTAATCTCCTAATACAAAATACGGAGAATATTTCAAGATCAGTGAGATTAACCACACCTTATCAGTTCATGGATTAAAAGGCAAGATATAAAAAGTTGTATGTTGATGTAACTTACATAATTTAGAAAAAAATAGAATGGCTCACAGTATGATTCCTAAATTATACTGATATTCCAGAATTACATAATTTAGACATGGATCATTGTTGATTAAGGGACCAGAGTAATGGTGCCTTTGTAAAATTGGCATAGGTACCATGTAAACTCTTTAACTGGTTCTCTCCACACCTGAATATCAAAATAAGTTTAAACTTCATGTTTACGCTCAATTTAATTCTACCTAAGAGTTTCTTCCTGTGTACATTTCAAAAAGGGGACATAAACCATCTTTTAGGGTTCTCATTTCATGCAAAAAAGTAACTATGAGCCCTGAATGACCACAGAGTCAGCCAACTCTTGAAGACAAAGGAGAATAGGAATGGAGAAGGAAAGAATCAATCTTAAAAATAGGAGCAGTAAGGCTGGGAGTTAAACTGATGGTCTACATCAAAGGTCGGCAAATCTTTTTGTGTAAAGTGTTTGACAGCTTGACAACAATCATTTTAGGCTCTGCAACCCACATAAGGTCTTGTACATTTTTTTCTTTGTTTACTTGTTTATGCCCTGTCAAAGATGTAAAAACTATTTTTCCCTTACAGGCCACAGAAAAACAAACTGGGAAGTAGATTTGGCCTGTGGGCCATAGTTTACTCATCCCTTTGTCTATGTAAGAGCAGGAGAATGTAGTGTATTCCTACATTTTTTTATAACCTGAAGACTGTCACCACAACGATCATAACAAGTTTCTGGCATTCTCTTCTTAGGATGCTCTCAATAGGATCCAGGAGGTGAGATAATGGCTGTGGGCATAGTGTGATCTGCAACCCCAACCAAGAGTCATTTTACCACCCTGAGATGCTTGAGCATTTTCATTCTCATGATTTTAAATGCCGGGGAAAGGTCCTAAATTGTTACTTGATAACTTCAGTTTCATCAGGCAACTGAGTTTCATGGCTTAATTTAAGCCTAGGACACTGGACAGGAAATTGCTGGCTGACTGGTTTGGAACACCTGCCTGAACATTCCTCCCTCCCTTCACTGATTTATGACAAACGACTACTACAACGCAGGCCCCTCACAGGAATGCAGGAAGGCTCAAAGCTGAAAAGGACAAGGTTTTTGACCGCTTTGCCTCTTTTCAATGAGAGTTAGAGATAAGGTAAGCACACAAGTTCCAAGGCTGGACTTGGAAAAGGCATGTCAGGAAATCCTTGAGGGCCAGATGTGCTTTAGAATTCAGTATCTGGGGAATTTCCTAAAGGCAATATGATGCATATACTCTAACAGGGGCTGGAATAACAGTCTATAATCAAACATTAATACACTTTTACATCACTTCAAGCCAGGTTCAGTTTTGTTATGAATGAGATGCAAAAAAAACCTTTCAGTTTTCAGAGCTTTCTGGATTTCAGAATAGTGGATAAAAGACTGTGGGCCTGCCTGATCTTAAAAAGAGCCTGTATATTTATTTTCTCTTTTAAAATAAAGTTTTAACTTAAGAAAACCACAAAATAGGATGCTTCCAGATCCAAACTCCAACCAACTGCCAATGTGCTGAATCTGAGTGGCCCTCTTTATGGCACCACATCTTAACAATAACAGGTTACATGAGACACCAGTGAGGTAAGTTCAAACTAATCAAGATTTCACTCTTTTGGTAACATTTTCTTATGCTATCCAAGAGTCATTAAAAAAATATCAAATTATATATAACTATATTATATACCAAATTACACACACACACACATACACACACACACACACACACACACACACACATGCACACACTCTCTCTCTCTCTCTCTCTGTCTCCCTCTCTCCCTCTCTTCCTCCCTCCTCCCTCCCTCTCTTTCTCTCCCTCCTTCCCTCCCTGCCTCCAGGAAGTAGTTAAGGAATCCTTGGAAAATATGTAGCATATTTTTCTTAAAAAGTTATCCACAGAATCACTGAACAGATCTGTATCCATGTAGCCAGAAAAGTCAGTGTATCCTTAGAATAAGGACTTAGAATGTCTAGAATGTCCTTAATGTGGACATTCGATCTTCAATTCCTGAGAGAAATGTCCTAACACCCAGTAACATGAAAGCTAGAGATCTTTCAACTTTACCAGGCATGTATGCTGTCACTCTATAAGGAAAGAGCCTATATCCAATGAACCTTCGCTTCTGCTACAACAATGTATGTGAAGAGCTCTTTACCATATGAAGCAAGCTCTTCATCAAAATCTAACAAATATATAACAGCTATTTTTATTTGTACATCTAAACATAAAAAACAAAATAACGTTACTGAGTTGGCTGATAGTGACTTCCTTTAACCACAGCAGATTAAGTATATCCAAGACTCATTCTACTTCATCAGTACATAATTTCCCCCAGAGTAAATCTTAATTTTTGGATGTATTCACAGACTTAGAGAACTCCTAGTCCAAATATTTTGGTGTTAAATACTAAGTATTAATAAAAATACAAGTGAAGGGACTTGTCTGAGGTCCTGCAGCTAGTAAGAGACACAACCGAAACAGAGAATTTTAGACCAATATCCTTGATGAACATTGATGCAAAAATCCTCAATAAAATACTGGCAAAACGAATCCAGCAGCACATCAAAAAGCTTATCCACCATGATCAAGTGGGCTTCATCCCTGGGATGCAAGGCTGGTTCAACAAACGCAAATCAATAAATGTAATCCAGCATATAAACAAAACCACAGACAAAAACCACATGATTATCTCAATAGATGCAGAAAAGGCCTTTGACAAAATTCAACAACGCTTCATGCTAAAAACTCTCAACAAATTAGGTATTGATGGGATGTATCTCAAAATAATAAAAGCTATCTATGACAAACCCACAGCCAATATCATACTGAATGGACAAAAACTGGAAGCATTCCCTTTGAAAACTGGCACAAGACAGGGATGCCCTCTCTCACCACTCCTAGTCAACATAGTGTTGGAAGTTCTGGCCATGGCAATCAGGCAGGAGAAGGAAATAAAGGGTTTTCAATTAGGAAAAGAGGAAGTCAAATCCTCCCTGTTTGCAGATGACATGATTGTATATCTAGAAAACTCCATTGTCTCAGCCCAAAATCTCCTTAAGCTGATAAGCAACTTCAGCAAAGTCTCAGGATACAAAATCAATGTGCAAAAATCACAAGCATTCTTATACACCAATAACAGACAAACAGAGAGCCAAATCATGAGTGAACTCCCATTGCTTCAAATTACAATTGCTTCAAAGGGAATAAAATACCTAGGAATCCAACTTACAAGGGATGTGAAGGACCTCTTCAAGGAGAACTACAAACCACTGCTCAATGAAATAAAAGAGGATACAAACAAATGGAAGAACATTCCATGCTCATGGGTAGGAAGAATCAATATCATGAAAATGGCCATACTGCCCAAGGTAATTTATAGATTCAATGCCATCCCCATCAAGCTACCAATGACTTTCTTCAAAGAATTGGAAAAAACTACTTTAAAGTTCATATGGAACCAAAAAAGAGCCTGCATCACGAAGTCAATCCTAAGCCAAAAGAACAAAGCCGGAGGCATCACGCTACCTGACTTCAAACTATACTACAAGGCTACAGTAACCAAAACAGCATGGTACTGGTACCAAAACAGAGATATAGATCAATGGAACAGAACAGAGCCCTCAGAAATAATGCCGCATATCTACATCTATCTGATCTTTGACAAACCTGAGAAAAACAAGCAATGGGGAAAGGATTCCCTATTTAATAAATGGTGCTGGGAAAACTGGCTAGCCATATGTAGAAAGCTGAAACTGGATCCCTTCCTTACACCTTACACAAAAATTAATTCAAGATGGATTAAAGACTTACATGTTAGACCTAAAACCATAAAAACCCTAGAAGAAAACCTAGGCAATACCATTCAGGACATAGGCATGGGCAAGGATTTCATGTCTAAAACACCAAAAGCAATGGCAAGAGAAGCCAAAATTGACAAATGGGATCTAATTAAACTAAAGAGCTTCTGCACAGCAAAAGAAACTACCATCAGAGTGAACAGGCAACCTATAAAATGGGAGAAAATTTTCTCAACCTACTCATCTGACAAAGGGCTAATATCCAGAATCTACAATGAACTCAAAGAAATTTACAAGAAAAAAACAACCCCATCAACAAGTGGGCGAAGGATATGAACAGACTCTTCTCAAAAGAAGACATTTATGCAGCCAAAAAACACATGAAAAAATGCTCATCATCACTGGCCATCAGAGAAATGCAAATCAAAACCACAATGAGATACCATCTCACACCAGTTAGAATGGCGATCATTAAAGTCAGGAAACAACAGGTGTTGGAGAGGAGGTGGAGAAATAGGAACACTTTTACACTATTGGTGGGACTGTAAACTAGTTCAACCATTGTGGAAGTCAGTGTGGCGATTCCTCAGGGATCTAGAACTAGAAATACCATTTGACCCAGCCATCCCATTACTGGGTATATACCCAAAGGACTATACATCATGCTGCTATAAAGACACATGCACACGTATGTTTACTGCGGCACTATTCACAATAGCAAAGACTTGGAACCAACCCAAATGTCCAACAATGATAGACTGGATTAAGAAAATGTGGCACATATACATCATGGAATACTATGCAGCCATAAAAAATGATGAGTTCCTGTCCTTTGTAGGGACATGGATGAAACTGGAAATCATCATTCTCAGCAAACTATCACAAGGAGAAAAAACCAAACACCGCATGTTCTCACTCATGGATGGGAATTGAACAACGAGAACACATGGACACAGGAAGGGGAACATCATACTCCGGGGACTGTTGTAGGGTGGGGGCAGGGGGGAGGGATAGCATTAGGACATATACCTAATGATAAATGACGAGTTAATGGATGCAGTACACCAACAGGCACATGTATACATATGTAACAAACCTGCACATTGTGCACATGTACCCTAAAACTTAAAGTATAATAATAATAAAAAAAAAAGAAAAACAATAATAAAGTACTTCCTTAAACTAGAGTGCCACTGAAACCTAAAGCAACGTTCAGGTGATTTTGATGAGAATTACTGACTGTGTATTGTTTTTTCTCAGATACAGTGGTAATCTTTATAAATGATAGTTATTACCAAGCTATTTTAAGAATTATTGATAGAATAAATTCATTATTTTTCTCTGATTTAAAAAAAAAGATGAAGTTAGGATTAGGGAAAGGTCTGTATGTGGTTTCCAATTCAAGCTTGCAATGAAAGTCTGCTGATAAACAAGGACATTTACTCAAATACAATGTACATAGATTAACATCTACAAAGTTTTTTGGCCTTACTGCATTAGGTTCATTATAAAGTCAGGATTATGACAAAAGAATGGTACTAATTATTGAACAGGCAGATTCACGTACATAACTTGATGAAGATCATTATCTGTGGACCTATGCATCTAGATGCTTGATGAGGCTATGCATGATTTTTTTCTGCCTCATTTAATATATTTATAGTTCACATATCTACTAATTTCTTTAACTGAGACAGAGACTGCATACGTATAAAACAGCGTACTGAATTTGTTTAGCAATGACATCACTCACTAGTTGCTTTGTTAACAAGCTACTGAATTTGATATTCATCTTTATACATAAAGAAGCATTCAAAATAGAAGAGAGAAATTACGCCAGAAGTACCTGGTAAGGCTAACCTTTCAGTACTCTTCCTTCTAAAGTTCCATAGTTTGATAAATGTGTAGAATCTCTTACACCACCCACTTCTGATTCTATAAGTAAAAGAGCATCCACAAATTGACCACATTTTTATAGATGTGAAAACAATGACAAGCCTACAAAATTCACAAACAGGATAGTTGTGAAGATGCCACATCTTAAAACTTCTGGAATAGTATAAGCTCAATTAAGTTTGTTTCCACAAAAGAAAAAAAATTGAATCCATCTCAGATTATACACAATTCAAAACGCAGAATTGTTTTACAAAAAAAAAAAAAAAATGAAGAAACAACTATAACAAGTTATCAGGACCCATGATTACCAATTCAAAAAAATTAAAAAAGTTTCTACCACGGCATCTTGTCTCTGCTGTTATCATAGTCCAATACTTTCAACTAAGTAGAGTTAACATTTTGAAGAAAAAGAGAAGGAAATCTTAGAATGAGACAACATACATAAGGCACACAGCCCAATGCCTGGCCCATGACACATGCTCAGGATGCTCTAGCAGTCTGCTTATTATTACTTCTGTCATGGATACATCTTCAAAAGGACAGAAAATCATACAGAGGCCACGAACTAAATTAATACTAGGCACTACAACTTTTAGCATGCAAATAGTTTTTGAATTAGCCAAAATTACTACTTTGAATACATGATACATTTACTGAGAATTGAGTAAAATGCCAGGCACTCTGCAATTACACACACTGTCTCATTTAATCTTTTAATAACCCAATAAGATAGATATTATTGCTGCTACTGTTACTATTAAAAAGAATCTAGTTGGGGAAAACTGAGTAACTTGCTAAGTCATCTATCTCTAGTCTGCGATTTGAGCCCAGATCTATCCTTCTGGATTTTATACCATTATACCTTCCATAATACTATGTTTTATTCATGGCTAAAACCATGGATGCATGGGAAATGCATCTTCAAACACATGAAAGAAATTAAAATACTGAACACATCTTTGATTTACATGTCTGAGGCAGCTCCAACATTTCACTGAGAATATCTATATAGAATAACATTTAGCTCAAACTAATAATTTGAGGATTTTTTAAAATAATAAAGCTCTGCTATTAAATATCAAGTAAAATAAATCATAGGGTCCATCATACATCAGAAGAACCTAAGTGGTTATGCAGTAGAGGAAACTGAGGCTCAGAGAGAACAGACGTCATAGATAAGGCTAGACGATGGCCACGCCTCCCCTGAATCTAGTCCAGTGCTCTTTCTACCATATTTCTGGTTGGCTTTTCTCTCTTTCCACATATTTTATTTAAAAAACAAAATACAATACCACTTGCATATCCTACTTTTCTTTGTTTTCCTTTCCAGTATTCCATTCCCTTTTTCCCTGCCATCTCCTCCTGACCCTCCAGAAAAGGACATCTTAGTACCTTAGTTGGGTGGCAGTCACAGAAGAAAACTTGATTCCAGTGTTATATCAAATTGTTGGGGCAGCCTAAGGAATTAAGTTGAGGGCTGCATATCATAGTGATTTATACTTTAAGAATACCAAATTGGGGCCCATGGCTTCATAAAGGCATTTTCTTATATTAATTTGTGAATCTACATGAAAACAATTAATTTAGAGTATTGAGCCAAAATAGTTTCAGTAGTAACAAAAGCAATAATTTATTTACTCTATTTGTTGTGCCCTTTGCCAGAAAGGCCTTGGGGAGGCACAGTGACTAAACAATATCTAAACAAACATGACTGGCAATTAACAGATCATCAAATATGGCAGTAGTATAAAACGAGTGTAAAGTCATTATCCCTTATTGTCACTCTACCAGGGCAATCTAGCTTCAAGCATCTTGTGTGATGCCTGTTATCTAATCAGTTCAAAGTGGCCAGTACAGGTTGAGCAGCCCACACCTGAAAATCTGAAATCCAAAGTCCAAAACTTTTGGAGCACCAACCTGACGCTCAAGGGAAATGTTCATTGCGCATTTAAAATTTCAGATTTTTCAGATTTTGGATGCTCAACCAGTGAGTATAATGCAAATATTCCCAAATCTGAAAAAAACCAAAATCCAAAACACTTCTAGTCCCAAGCATTTCGGATAAGGGATACTTAACTGGTATAAGATTCTAAGACATTATCTCTCACCTCACTTTAGCTCCCTAATGTAAAGCTGAGGACTGTGTTTAAAAGAGAAGCAAAATGACCAACCACAGTGGCAGTGACAGTGCTTAGTGAATCAAAGAAGAACCTTGAAAATGATTAAGCCACCAGTCACAAATAGTTAATGCCTACACATTCTGGATTTTAAGGATATACTGATTTCAGGATTTTATGTTTGTTTTAAAGTGGTTGGTTAAATGAAGAATAAATGAAATTTAATTTCCATGTCTTAATTGTTTTCATGTAGATTCACAAATTAATATAAGAAAATGCCTTTGTAAAGCCATGGGCCCCAATTTGGTATTCTTAAAGTATAAATCACTATGATATGCAGCCCTCAACTTAATTCCTTAGGCTGCCCCAACAATTTGATATAGCACTGGAATCAAGTTTTCTTCTGTGACTGCCACCCAACTAAGGTACTAAGATGTCCTTTTCTGGAGGGTCAGGAGGAGATGGCAGGGAAAAAGGGAATGGAATACTGGAAAGGAAAACAAAGAAAAGTAGGATAAGCAAGTGGTCCCTACTTAATCCATGCTGTAAATCTCCAAAAGTCAGCTGATAGGAAACAAGAGCCAAAACATTGCAAGTGTAAGTGCTTGTTCATCAATTAGGGAAGGGCAGAAAGGACAAAGAGATTTAAAAATTATAGACACTTAAGTTATAAAGTATTATCACTACATCTGGTTAGTGGTTATAAAAAAAACCAACCAAACAAAAACTACCCTTTTTTCTTCATGAAATAAAAATGACATCAAGCTAGAAAATCCAAATTGGGGGATTCTGTTACTGCAAGAATATTCCTATTAACCTCCAGCAAACTGATGAGGCTACAAGTTAAAATCTTTGTCAGATTTTTCATCTGCATACATTTTAATTAATCAGATAGCAGATTCTGAACTGGTAGAAGAGGAGGATACATCTGTTGGATATGAGAAATTTAACACAAAAACACGCACGGGACTGTGTGATGACATTCCAAAATGCTCCAAAGTGAAATGGTCTTGAACCGCCACTTTGAAGGTCCTAAAAATTGTGAAGTATTAAAACATCCCGCCCCACGTGACAAGTTTACACTCTAAGGACATATGACAGACAAGTCACATGAAAAGAACACATCACAACAGCACTACTACAAATACACATATACAAAATCGATACTTTGGATTTTTGCTGATCTGACAGGAAAAGGAGGAAGCTCCTATAATCTTAAGTATTTTCCTACGTGGCAGGCCCCTTGCTGGGGCTCCTCCTATCTCTAATCTTTGCATTTTGCCTACATCAAGTAAGGTACATCCAGATGAGGGTTTAAAACTGACCCTAGAATAGAGATAATGAGCATGGGCTCTGAAGACTAACTGAATCCTAGTCAGCTCATCACTTATGTTCTGGGTGAACCAGAGGCAACTTACTTAGTCTCACTGTGTCTCACTTTCCTCATCTGCAACACGGAGATAATAGCAAACTCCACCTTAATGGGCTGTTCTGATGACAGCACAGAGTATATGCACCCACAGTGCTAATTATTATTCATGTCCAAGGTCATAAAGCTAGCAGGGGCAGAGCTGTCTCCAGAGCCCATGGCAACGGCTACAAAGCACATGGTTTTCACTCTATACTAAGCAGCCTTCTAGTGGTTTTCCTTAAACATTGAGAAAAGCAATAAACCACTTCTCAACTCTTTTATCTGGGAAGGGATCCCCACTTGGAGGGAAGCCTGAAGCCTGGGAGGACTAAAGAGGGCAAGGGTAATTAGGAGGAAGAAGATCCCTGGGTTCTGAACCCAGGGACAGGTTGAGTCAGGAAACATTAAGCAGAACGGCCCTACAAAATCACCCCCCAGGAAGGCATGGAGAGGCGTGACTGGAATCAACTGACCAGGGGTCGGGGCAAAAACTACTCACATGCAGCAATGGCCATCTACTCTATTTTGAGCCTGTGTTTTGTTTCATATTTAGTGTATTTGATCAGGTTGTACCCTGTGGTTTTGGTGGTTGACAAGAAGTAACATGTAAATTATGCTACTACTTCAATAGTTTTTAGGGGGAAATTACTCTGTTAAATGCAAGAAAAACTTTTTAGGTATAAAAGTATAAGAAACTAAAATAGGCAAGGAGGAAACCAATCAGAAACCAGAATTTCATTTGGAGTAGTCTCTTCCCACAAAAACAGATACTGTAAAATGGAACTATGCAGAAAATAATTTGAAAGATAAACTACACTTTTAAAATCATATAGTTCCAAAGGTAAATAAACATTTTTGGAATCACTGCCAATTGCCTATATGAATTCCAAAAGGTAAGGAACTCATGAAAGAAAAACTCCAAGACTAACTCACATTATTTTGCCTTAATGGAATTGGGTTACATTCAATATTGTTTTAAATAAGTGGACCACTGGTTGGGGTCTAGAAATTGTTTGGTTAGAGGGATATTTTTGTTATAATATTTGTTATAATCAGATTTGATTTGTACATCTCCCAAAACAAATGTTGTGACACTATAAAAAAATTTCAGGATCTTACGCCAAACACAACTAGCTCTTTAAAAATTTCATTCCTTGCAGAATGAAAAGACTGTACAATTCTCTCTGATATTTATTCTGAATATTTCAGCGATGTATCCTCCACGTTCCTGAAAGCCAAAGGCACATAATTTATAGCAGGGTTTCTAAAACCGTGCCCTTTTCACTGGTTGCTGGCATTTAAAGCATGTTTTCACACATCTTGCAATGTTCTAAGACTATCCACATTGATTGGAATTACATTTTAAAAGCATTTTTAATTGAGTCCCTGTGCTGAGAGTTTTCTATGCTCCACCTGCCCTCACTTGCACTTGTTTCTTTAACATAACTCTAATTGTCGCTGTAGAAAGTTTCCACTTTATCTGGTCCTTCCTCTTAGGGTTTTCTGAGCTACAGAAACACATGCTCCTTTCCCTTATCTTTTAAGTAACATACATCTCTACAAAGAAACACAATTGATGCTAAGTTCTGATAAACAGAGAAATGTGAATCCCTCTTAAATCAAATTCCAAACCTGAGCTAAGCAAGCAAAAGTGGCATCTCAGGTAGGTGATAAAGAGTAACAAAGATTCAAGAATTCTCAAGCACAGCTGACCCCACAAAGGCTTCTTGGGCCTTTGGTGAAGATTCCACTTCTCTAAAAACAAAGGTCTGGCGGTTGGTAAGAATGAACCGCCTCAAATATGGCCTCATGTTTCCCAGGTCCTCTGTCTCACAAAAACAGGTCATGCAGGAAGCTGACTCTATACATCCAGAGGTAGAAAACATGTAGAAAAACAGATTCACTTGAAAGACATCTCCTAAACCTTTGCCAGACCCACCCTGGCTCATGTGGGAAGTTGAAATCCTGTCTGCTCAGGGGCCCCTCACTGCCCGCCCACAGTGGGAAACTTGGCCATGTTGGTTGGTTATTCTGGATTCTCCTGTGGGAAAACCACACTCTTCCCATGAGGGCAAACACCATCTTATGCCCAGTGTGTATCTTACTTTCCAGGACTCTGGCCCCTTTGTCATTCTTATTAAGAAAATATGAAATCTGCTAGAGCCCTGTTGGTATGACTCTTTGAGCAAGCTGAATTTCCATTCTGCGCACCCTCTCTCCCCAGGACAGGAGGGCTCCTTGACATTGTAGCTCTGGAAGACAACTATGTAGCAGGGCACTAATCACTGAAAGGGCATCCCCCCTCCCCCACCACCACCTCTGCAAAAAAAAAAAAAAAAAAAAAAAAAAAAAGTGTTTTGTTTCAATGGCCTAAAAAGCATAGGCCGTATAAAATCTTCCAGACTGACTTTTTTTTTTTTTTAACGGAGAAACTGAGGCTAATCTTCACTGAAAACAAAGCAACCAGGGATCACACTATGAGAGGCATTCATGTCTTGAGTAGGGGTGGGAGTATAGTCCTTAACCTCCCCTTGCTGAACCAGGTCTGCTGTTCCCCAGCACCCTGAATACTGCAATCACTCCCTTCCCTTCAGATATACTTCTGTCAAAGTCCATAGCAAGGCTGACTCACTGCCTTGTGAGACTCCTCAGTTAACTCGGTCTGAAGAAAAGAAGCTGCAAATAAATCAGTATTATAGTGCAGGGATGTGTGTTCTTTCCCCAAACAGCCAACCTTATTGACAGGGATTAGGTGTATGAGTAGTAAAATAATGAAAAGCAGCAAGAGTCTCTCCTGCTCGACAAGCATCTGTTGGGTATACTCCCTCTCCCCACACAATTAGAGGAATGCCAGAATTGTTATGGTTTACAACACTGGAGGGAGAAGTCCATTTTACAGATAATCTGACACGAAAATAAAAGAGGCTCTCTGCAAAAACGGTAAACTGTGAGATCACAGTCCTCGGGCCACTCGTTGAGCTCGTCAGGGTAGTTATTAGCTTTTCCTACCAGTAGAAGCACACAACACTAGCATGGCAGGTGAATGTCTTTTAAAATCAGGATTTAGACTGACAGGAACCCAGAAGGTTCTTCCTCTTTGGTCTCCAATTTCATCCATTATGAGCAGCAAGTAGTTTTGCTGTAAAATACATAAAAGTCACATTCTCAGCCAAGGTTGAACTATCCCTAAACACAAAATCCCCAATGGAATTAAATATGTGCTAGGATCAGCTAAAGTTAATTCTCAACCATCTGCATGTACAAGATCCATTTTGTAGATTTTTTTTTAGGCAAAATTTAATCTCAATAATTTCCCTGTGGCCTGGCACACTTCTAGTTTGCTCCTTTCTGCTGTTAGTTTTGTGTTTGTTTGTGGAATGCAAGTTAATTTAAATATTAACCCTCCAAAGAATAAACACAACCAGGTCATTTTCAAATTACTCATACTGTACACTAAAAAAACAAACAAAAAAAAAACCAATAAGGACCTACTATATTGGGCAACTTTACCACTCCCATGTTACACAGATAGAGAAGAAGACTGCCAAAAATCACAAGGATGGTAAATAGCATAAGGCATGATTTGAACCCAGACCACCTGGTTCCAGAGGATGAGTGTCTAGCTGGTATTGCTACACTGTTTCCTGCCTACTGGCTGTCTAGAGTTCATAGCATGCCACATGCACAGAAGTAGACAGGTCCCAACACACACCAGCTTCCCAACCTTAAGAAATGCAGTTTGAACAGAGTATGTAGAGTCACCTTGAGTCACCGTTAACAAGGGTGATATTTTAGCTTTAAAAGCACAGCAAACATGAATACCTGCTTGAGCAGTGGGAAAGGAGGGGGAGGAAAGACTGAGGCATATCTGTCTGTAAAACAGGTCTTTTACAAAAATATGCTTACCCTTGCATCTCTGGTCACTGCCTGAGGGTGCAGTGTACCAATCTTTTTGACGTGGCCTAAGTAAATTTCTCTTGAACTCATTCTTTTCATTTGTGAGCCTTTTGTTGTGCTTTTGCCCAGGGTCTCATAATTTTGGAGTCATGCTGAGTCAAGTCGGTGTAGTCTCTTTCTTTCTTCTGGCTTGTTAATGGTGATAAACTTCTTGCCTTATTGTCTTCTCAAGTTTTTTTTTCTTTCTTTTTTTTTTCTTATTTAACTGTTACTCATTTTACTCTTTAGCTATCCCCTCTAAGGTGAGTCTTTTCAAGTTTTCTACTTGCACGATTTCCCTACCTCCTCTCTTGAGTAATAAACCCTGGAAGAACTACCAACTACTTAATCACATAGATGCATTTATCCCCATTCAGTGTCTGTCATTTCAGGGGTTTCTTCCTCATGAACTTCAGATCTAGGCCTTTACCATTTGACCATCTAGTACTGAAACAAGCAAAATATCTTCTGAGAGCTGAAACGTGGGGAGCATTCATGTAACTTTTTTGAGTGGAGCACAGCCATGTAACGCATGCCCCCATTTCTGAGAAAATCCTGACCTCTTCTCACTGGTCACTGCTCTCTAGGATTAAGATGCTGCAAAGACTAAAACAATTGGGCCATTCCCACTTTTAACAAACTCAGTAAATTCCTATTCTTTCCTAGATTTGGTCACATGAAGTACTGGAACAAGCACAATTACACAAAGGTATAATCCATTCTTTTTGTCACCAGTAGCAGAGGGGAATCCAATAAATGAGGTTGGAGAACAGAATGTTGAAAGGAAGCCTTAGCCTCTTCCTTGCTCAGACACTAGGTGAAATAATACCAACAAAACAATGTGAGTGATGGTGCCCAGAGCGCCTCAGACCAAAACTGCAGGCCAAAAAAAAAGACATAGCTTAATTTTCCTGACTATTCAAATATATTTTTAGTAACTCTTCAACTATCACTGAAACGCACTCTTCCAAAAGACATTTTAATTGCCTAAATACAGTTTCTGCCTATTCTTGCCCATGTTTTTTAAACATTTTTCTGGCCTCACTACTTATTCCAAATCTTCTACTTGTCAGAGAAGGCATATTCTGTGACAATTTCCATCTATCAAACGGTGGTGAGTTTTGCTGGCTTTTAAACAACTGCCATAGACCTATTTAGATAAACTGTTCAGAGGGACCTATCTCTGAAGCCTAACCACCTCCACTGACCATGTGTGCACTGAAAATGAACTCCTCAGCTTCTGAGTCAATACTCAAGGGGAACTTTCATTTGGAGACATTTTAAAGGAAGAAAAAATATGCATACAATCCTAAGCCAGGGAGACTTTATATTTTGGTTTGTGATAGGGAAAATACATGCACAAATGAAGCCTGGGGAAGCCTAAATGCAAAATGAAATAATCGAGCAGAAGGATGGCGGGCTTCTCCGACACTCAATCATTTTCAGTCACACTATGTTGTCCAGTAACCTGCATTGATAATTCCTCATGAATAAAATGCCAGCATTATCATCTGCAGCTACATTGTTGACATGCTTTTGCTATTTCACTAAAAATACCATTAATTTTCTGGCTTCACAACAGCTGAGCTACTCTCCATTTGAATATACAAAAGAGTATTTTGTTTAAAGCAAATTAAAAGCGTTCCAGTAGATGACTTCCATTTGCTAGCTATACTATTTTAGCATATACTGTTCTTCTTAATCCTCCCCACCTCAACGTCATGCCTGTCATCTCCCCAGTCCAAAATACTTCTATTATTAAAATTTTGTTTTAAGTTGAGGAGGGGGAATCTGGAAACTATTTCTGTTGTAACATTCTTGGCCTGCAAGCCACCTGACTGGCATGGTAAAGAGCGTGGCTTTTTGAGGGTTACAAGATACGGTGACCTCCTTGATTCTCTCACCTCTGTGAGCCAAGGTACATAAGCAACAAAATTTTCCAGTTTGGTATCGGAAGGGTAAACTGCTAAACACACACACCGAATACACCTTCCACTTCCCATCTAGATACGTTCCGACATCCTCCACTTCAGTCAGAAAGAAAACCACTACTCCTGCCAAGCCCTCCTGGCATCTCACCACTTTATTTGTTCCCATTTGTATCTAATGCTTTTGTCAACAGTTCAACAAAAGTCAAAGCAAACAACCCACTGCAAACACTGGGGGTAACAGCAACAAGCATGAATCCTTCACAATTATCCAGCCCAGCTGCTCACAGCTCGTCTGGGCTGCTTTCATTAACAACAATGTCAACAAAAGACTGAAACCCACCCAGTAACTAGATGGGTCAATACCACCACTGTATACCCTCTGTAGGAGGAAACGCTGTTCTCCTTTGTTGCTTGGGCAAACATGTAGAATAATTCAGTCAGATGGACAAGTGCTTGTCTAATCATTTGTTATGTGAATTATTCAACGACTTTTCACGTAAACTACTAAATAGGGCTCTTCAAATATTTCTGTGGCACTTCCAGCTGTCCAACTGTGGAAGTGCATAAAAGGAACAAAGGCAGATGAAAAGAGAAATCATGACCCGAGTTAGTTCCCAGTGATAATCTTTAGTTTAAGAATCTCGAATCTTCATGACTAATCCTTTTAGGCCTAACCCTTGCCTGGCATTTTCACTAGCATCCAATCTTTACTATGTGGACCAGATTGAGGGTGGGGTCGTGTAGAAAATCCTGACTTCGAAGCTCCACACTATCTTTACCTTGCTCAGCTTTAAATGGTACCCCAACTCCCCACCTTCCTTTCACAAGCACTTCCAATAGGCAGGATACGCATTTCGGATTTTTAATGGAGTATTTTAAAAACATACACATCCGTAAACAGACTATAAAACACAGTGTCAAAGCAGCTGTTCCTAGAGATTATCTTTAATGTTTTATATACATATATATATGTGTATATGTATGTTATATTTTAGAATTCCCTGGATGAATTTTGATTAAAACTATTGACATTTATTTAACAAAGAATTATTTTAAGATAAAACAGTTCTAAGTTCCCTTTCTTTCCTCTTAAGTGTATAGCTTATGAAATCATGTACAAACCAAGCAGCCTGGCGAGAAGGAGAAGGGCCCCTGACGTGGGCCCTGGCCCTCAGTTGGCTGAGCAACACCCTGTAAGACCAAGGGGGCATGCCCACACACAGCCTTTGTCCGTGGCCTCTACACCATGAGCTGGGTACCCAGGACCCTGAAATTCCCTGCCCTAACACCCCAGGCCCACTTCCAGGGTTTACTCAGTCTCAGTCCTCTTCCTGAAGCCTCCCAGGGTTAGATCAAGCTGCTGGTTTGAGTGTGTCTAGATCTGGGCGCAGCTGTAGGGGTTCGATGAAGCTTTGAAGTAAGAACTAGGGTGTGTACAAGAAAATACGTGAGGACCCACGTGGTTAAAGCAATGAACTCCAAAGTGCCTGAGAATTTTAAATTCCAACCTGGTCTTTCAGGTTATCACTAAGGTGTATTTATTTATTGGATTTATAACTTTTAAATACTTCAGTGTATGGTATGAGGGCCTCCATTTGGACTCTTTCACTGTCCCTGGGTAGGCCCAACAGGTTAAGTATCAGGTACAGTTTTTGGTAGCCCAGTCTTAAAATGCTGAAGCCACTGCAATCACCAAATGTTTCCATGTAATGTTGTGTGTCTAAGAAAACAAGCAGCATTTTTTTCCCCTAAACATTTTCACTTTTATAGATACACATATCTACAACACTAATTAAAGTGCTGATTTTATTTCTATTACTGCTTTTAAAACACAGTAAGAGTAGAAAAGTTAAAAATAAAATTCAAGAATTATGGCTATTTACCAGCCTAGTACATAGGAACATGACAGAGATTTTAAGAAACTGTTAAAAATAGATGAAGGGGTGGGGCGTGATGGCTCACGCCTGTAATCCCAACACTTTGGGAGGCTGAGGTGGGTGGATCGCCTGAGGTCAGAAGTTCGAAACCAGCCTGGCCAACATGGTGAAACCACATCTTTACTAAAAAATACCAAAAACAAAAAATTATCCAGGTGTGTGGTGGCACGTGCCTATAATCCCAGTTACTTGGGAGGCTGAGGCAGGAGAATCGTTTGAACCCAGGAGACAGAGATTGCAGTGAGCCGAGATCATGACACTGCACTCCAGCAGCAGCTTGGGTGACATAGGGAGACTCCTTCTCAAAAAAAAAAAAAAAAAAAAAACAAAAAAAAAAAACCCCACCCACACACACACACACACACACACACACACACACAGATGAAGGAAACAGCAGAGATTCATACTCATTCCACCTCATTCCTGCTTCTCACTCTAGCCAGTTTACTCACTGCCACTTGTAATTGTGGAATTTCTACTTTTTACCACCAGTGTCTACAGATTTTTAGTTCTTGGCATAAAAAATTGTGCTTTCAAAAACCAAATAACAGTCCAAGACATAGAAATAAAATTTGAGAATTTTACTTCCTTCTAAAGGTCTCTAATAATCCGTGTTAACTGTTCTACTTCTGAAGCTGGCTTCAAGTAACAACTAGAAAGCTGGCAATTTTTAAAAATACTCTTGAAAGAAGAAAATATCATCAGAGCTAAATGGGAGCAGCAAAAAAACAAATAAAATTATTTACTAATTTTGAAAACAGAGAAACCACCTGAAAAGCAAGTGAGGGTATTCAAGTGCCAAAAAATCAGATGATAAATATTTTAGCTCTGTAGTTCAATTGTTTTGCCGATTCCTACAAAACACTTTCTGAATTCGAGTAAAAGGCCCATATCCCGATTGGGAGTCGACAGAACGTTGCCACTGGCATTACTGTCAGTGTTTGCTAAAGGTTCATGTTTGCATGCATTTGCACATCAGCCCGGGCAGCTTCCTGGGAAGACTGCCTTCAGAGCTAGTCCTCCCATCATCATAAACTGGTTTTATATGCACATTTTAAAGAATTCAGGACTCACCAGAAGCTCTGAGAAATGAAGAGGAACGATCCATTAATATATTTTATTCTACTCAGAAGGCAGCATATCGCAATTCCATATTTTAACAGGAACATGATTTGAAGGAAGGGATTGTATCTAATCTTTACTGTGCACCCCCAATGCAGTACAGGCCTGTTTGCCCTCCAGCTGCTGAATCAATACCTACTGATTTAAATATTTTATTTGGACTGCAAGTTCATCTGTCAATACCAACAGGTTTCAAAGTCAGGAACCATTAATATAATTTTTAGTCAGTTGTCTAACAAAAAACAAATCAGAAAAATCTCTCAGCTACATACAGAGGTATAGCTGTGCCTTTTTAATAATCAAAGGAAAACATATACAGAATTGACAAGGAGTTCTTCCCACCTAAATACCTTTCAGTACTAATGCAATCGAACTTCTGTTTTAATACATTTGTTATAAAGGAAATTTTCACCCTAACAATTAACCAAATAGACTACATCCATCGTGAAACATTTCATATGTAATATTCTTCTTTCATTTCTCCCCAGGAAAGAGGGTTGACCCATAAGGAAGAATGGAGAGAGAAAAAAAAAGGGAGGCACAAAGAGAAAAAAGGAAGAAAAGAGAAGGGAATTGAAAATGACAAGGGTGAGCAAAACAGTTTACAAGTGAACATCTGGTATTGACAGGAGGAACTGAACACAGTCTGTACAGTCATGCTGAAGTCTAGAAGGAGGATGGCAATTTGAAAAGAGGGAGGGAAGAAGTGGCAGCGGGAGGCAGGAGGAGGGAAAGAACAGAAGAGGTCAGGGGTGGGGGACTAACTAACAAAAGTACTGTTCCTGGACGCTTACGTATTTAGTCATTATTTGCTCTATTCTCCCAAAGGCAAAAATGTCACCAGCTTAGTTTAAAATTTCCCTAAATAAGGTCAGACTAGGTTACTAACAGATTTTATCATCAAATCAGATTCCAGCCTACGCATCCAATTCAGGAGTCTCATTCAGAGCAGTGACAGTCCAATATGGTTTGGTTATAATCCCTGAGGCGGGGGCTGGGCCAAGGATGTGGAATAACTCAGCTTTCAAGTCCTGATAACTGTGGTACAAACACAAGTGATTATTTCAATTTTCTCTGCAGATTATTTTTTCAGGGCAACCCAATAAACCCAATAATGCCCAGATTTACTAGAAAAATTTTTATTCATTTCCCCATGCACCAGAAAGTAAGCTAATAACATCCCGCTGAGAGTGCTGTCAGGCTAAATCCCTGCACTGCTGAATGCACTGCCGGGATAAATCTCCCTTCACTTTCCATTCCACTATCCACTTTAGGGCAAGGCCCTGGGGACTGCTCCAGATTACCCCTCTGCACGCAGTGTCACAGGCACAAGCCCGAGTGGTCCAATCAGTGCCAAGAAAAGAACAAACTAAAAAAGATTAATTCACAGATGTTCATGCATTTCACATACACTGTGCCCCGTGGCCCGTTGCTAGGGCAACGGGAGACCACCAGTGCGCGCTTTATTGGCTTTATGAAGTGCGTCTCGGGGACTATAGTCCGAGAAACGCTGCATAATAATAGTGTGGCTTTTCTGAAGCCTTGTTTTGTGTTTATCCACATTTAACCTTCTGAGTATTATAAAGAGCACCCTTATGCATAGCTTTCAAGCACTCCTCCCTTCCCCCCAAAACTGCCACAACTTTCTATCTAGAAACATTAAATTGCATCTCTTAGGGGTCCATTTTGGGAAGACCCATGTTTATATTGCTCAACCAGTTCCGTGACCAAAAAAAAAAAATCTACAACCATTTAAAGATCACTACTATATTAGTGCAGCTAACCACATCAACCACCCAAACCCGAATACACACATGCCTTGTTTTCTATGAAACCAGGGGAACCTTGCTTTTGAGTATCAGGAGTCAGTTTTAGCCAGAAGGAATGTCAGAACCAGCAAGCCTCATCAGAGTCTGTCAGAGACGCAGCATCATCCAATAGAACTCTCTGCAGCAGTGGGAAGGTTCTGTATCTCTGCCGTTTTGGCAGTTTCTACAGCCACGTGTGGCTACTAAGGACTCGATATGTGGCTAATATAACTGGGAAAATGGGTTTGAAAATTCTATTTCATTTTAACTTTAAATAGCTTCATGTGACTAGTGGCTACACCATATTGGACAGGGCAGCCTCAGAGGCTTACCAGACAACTATCTATGTTTTTAAAAGTTCCTAAAAAGCTGTCTCTTCAAGCTTTTAGTTTCTGCTTAATTCATAAAAATATAACTTCAAGTAAATGTACACAGAATGGTCTTCATGATTGCCGTTGCCGCTAGCTGTGCGAGTCCCAATCAGCCAGAGTCTTTGTGAAAAAGGCTGAGGGAACAAGACTAACTTTCCCCTCCTTCTCCACCCCCACCCCCACCCCCACCCCCACCCAGGTTGGGAGGTTAAAATCACAAATGTCACGACTCTCAGAGCAGTAGCACAGATCAAGTGTTAATCTAAAGGGAAGGGGTGGGTGAGGGGGAGAACACAGGCTTGTGGGGGCGAGGGAGGATCTGGAATGAAGAGGAGAAAAATAAAGCCAGTGAATAGATCAATAGAAGCAACAGCTTACATTCAGATTCACAGGAGAAAGAACACACGGAGACAATCATTTCCTGGGAAAAGCTCAAGCCTAATGAGAATTTACTCTGCTCCTTTATGCGACAACCAGCCCTTTTGTGGCACGGGTTTCCTGACTGACAGGAACCCGGGGCCCCTTAATAGGATTTCCATATTATTTCCAACACCTGCCCAGAAGTTATTTGTTTACATCGAAGGAGGCAAGATTCTCAAATCAGACATCTGCTTCTAGTTCAGGCATATCTTAGGAAACCATCTAGAAAGCAGCTTTGTTACCATGGTGACATTTTTATTTTCCTCCTTTAGTTGGCTCAAAACATTAGCATTTCCAATTTTATTTTGTTGTTCAAAAGGCCAAATGTCGCTCACAAAAACAGAAGTTTAAAAAAAGATAAGTGAATAGAATTCTCAAAATTCTCTAGAATAATTAAAATGACCATAAGGAGCAATAAATAACAAGGAGATCTTATTATATAAGCCTACTGGCTTCTCTCACTGGGTGGCATCACTAACTTATTTACCTCCCCTCTCCCAGCCCTCTTCTATTCTCAAATTTGAAGTCAGCAACTTGAAAAGTAGCAATTTAAAAAAGAAGATTCAAGAATCCTTCAGGATATGATACAATTAAATAATGAGTCCATTTCCATGAAAAAGAATTCCTCATGCTCACCCTTATCACCATATCTTAGAAAGTTCACTTACAACAAGAATACTTAAGACATTTTAACTTCCACCTCACTGCCTGCATTTCTGTAAAAGGGGAGGGAAAGTGTAAGCTTTTCACGAACATTTAGTGGATGCAGAGGGGATGGAATATTAAACAGTGTGAAGGAAGAAAGGTGGACCGCACGTGAGCGGATTACATGTATGTGTGTGTTGTTCTCCAGTTTCTAGTGAAGGAAAACTAGAGGCAAAACTGAACCCAGGGGTTGGGAGGAGGAGGGTACTTAACCACCAATTCCAACTATCACAAATGAGCGGGAATTTCTTATGTTACATTACAATACTAGAACTCTCAGCTTACACTGTTTTTAAGCAGTAAAATTTATTACATACAAAAATAATTGGATTGGTTCTAAATAATGAATAATCTGATAAAGTTAAAGCAATGTGACTTATTTTATTCAATATTTAGATTCAAAGAAAAACAACTAAGTATTCAATGCTAACATTTCAAGTTTTGATTTGCCAAGTCTAAGCAGCATTACTGAGTTTTGAAATAACTGTATTATCTTCATTTAACAGCAACCTTATTTAAAAGCATCAAAAACTCTTTCAGAAAGTACTACTCAGCTCCTCAGCAAACTTCCTTTCTATTACTCTCTCATGAAGCCTGAATTCTCTTCAACCCTTTCACAAGGCAGTTGCCATGGCAGTAATCAGATATGACTCTCTAAGTCCAAAATTACAGCCCTTATTAAAGTGGTGGGTCCTACGCGTAGAAAGTCTTTTAACCCAGAAGATAGCTGAGCTACTTCAAATCACCACAGAACAAAATACATAAGTTGGACAGAGGAAAGTGTTGCAGAAATAATTCAAGAAAGAAGAACAAGAGTATTAAACTACCCCATGAGTGATTTTATAATTTTTCCAGAGTGGGGTTAGTGTTACTGTAAGAATACAAAAAAAAGATGGTGAACGATTCTTTGGAATAATTCCATTGGAAGAATTATCTACATTTTGAGAAACAAATGTTTTTGAAATTCAAGCGTCAACTATTAAAACTTAAATCTTAGGCCCCTCTAAATTTTTAAAAATGTTAACTATAAACGTTATAATATTTTTGCAAGAGATGAAATGCATCCTAATTAAGAAAATTAGAAATTAACTAAACATCAGTATGAAAATGTCTAATAACTAAGAGGGATGGTTTATGGAGGGAAAGGAATAAACCATTTTGCCAAATCAGCTGGAGAAAGCCAACCTGCCAACCAGGCCGCCCCTGTTAATTAGTATTTGTTCTGCTTCAGCGATCGGCGGAGGAGGGTGCTGCAAAACAAGCGTGTCTCCCCGAGTCACTCACATCATTAATCCATTTATGCTCACCACCTGAGGACCAGCTATGCCCTAAAGATATTTATTCATCTGTTTGACAAACAAACAATTACCACACATTTTTCTAGAATTAGGACACCTGTTACGTTTCACACAGTTTACATGCCTAGAGGCAGGTATCAATTAATACTGAACAAATTACTGCATCATAGATTCATAGAACAAAACTTCTTAACTGTTCCTTGATAACTGTAAATAGTAAAATACATGGTAGAAATAAATACCTAAAAGTCTTGTAAACAAATAATTAAAAAGCAATAGCAATGCTAAAACACTTAATTTCAAATTACCATCTTATTTTGTTATTTTGGGAAATTGAAAGAGTTATAACGTTAAATGCTTGAAAGGCATACTTTATCACCCTACCACCGAACCCCTCAAATGATTTCCTCACTTCTAACCACTGTGTTTACTTGGCTAATGGTATGGCCAACTTTATTGCTGAAACATAACCTATGGTATAAGATTTTTATTTCAAAATTTGTTTCTAGGACAGGACTAAATAACACATAAGAAAATAGCTACATTCCAAATACTTGGAAGAATGCCTTGAGTTACAGCCTTGAGATCCATGGAGGTTAAGTGACTTGTCTATTGATATTCAGCTTACCCAGTGGTAGAGAGGATTGTTGCAGAACCTGGCATAGCCTTCCTACAGAATGGCTCATATTCTAAATGTTTCAGTGTGCTTCCTTGTGGTGTCAAGAATACTTCATGGTGAATTACACCAGGAAAAGCCTTTTCCTTATGATGGGAGAATGGGACAGAATGAAATCTAGGTTTGTCTGTATACATTGGTGATGAACAATGAAATGGATTTTACCAATAATCAAGGGAGTAAGATATCTAGAAATGTATGCTGACCGTAAAAAGGTAGAGTTCTATTTCTATTCTTTAACCTTGAAACACAGGCTATGATGTATTTGAAATACAAATCCACTGTCCAAATAAGTATTGCTCAAGATAGGCTTTTAAAAACATATTTTAAAATATGATTTTAAAAATATATTAAGTACTTCTATTTCCTTATTAGGTGGTATCCCTGATTCCCCATGCCCTAACTAAGTAAAGTTCTCTTCCCCTAAATTTTTAGCTTCTTGAGGGGAAGAGTCTTAATCTGCTTTGTGGAATTGTATAAGAGGACAAATCGAAGATTAGTTTGAGAAGGAAATTATGAGTTAGGGAGTGGCAAAAAACAAAAATTTTTTTAATAAGAAAGATTTATAGAGACCTAACAGAGATCACAACAAAATAAAATGAATCCTATTCGAATCTCATTTCAAGTAAACCAATTATTTGAAATAATCAAAGAAGTTTGATTATAAGCTGGGTATTAGAAGATATCAAAGAATTATTTTACTAAGTGATTAAAGGCATTATGGTTATCTAAAAAAAAAAGGGCCCACTATTTAGATAATGTGTTCATTTTGCATATTGAAGTACACAGGAGCAAAATGAGCATACAAATACTTCGGCAAAGAAAAAGTATAGATAGAAATATGGCTACATATTGATAGCTCTTGTACCTAGTTGCTGGGTGTATGAGGCGTTCTTTGTACTTTGTAGTATGTTTCAGATTTTTAATAACTGAGAATGAAACTGGGTTACCCAAAGAGCTTTCCTTTGAGGGCGGCGCTGGCTGTGTGACCTTTGACAGGTCTTCACACTTCTAAACCTTTCCTCATGTATGAAATAAGGGTAAGCATAACACCTACCTTCACCAGCAAAATCTAACCTATGAGCTATACATGCAGTGGGGGCTGCTCAGAGGAGATCAGTAGGACTGAGTGGACACTGTGGACCCACCTTATTTTTCCCTAGGTTACAGTGGATATGCTGAAGTGTTACAGCCCTTAATTAGACAACTTCTCTTCTCAGATTGCTGATTACTGAGGGGAAAACAGAAGATACCAAAAGTCCATGACTGTTTTGTTTGCTTAAACACTCTTTAGTGTTCTGTGGATTTCAATGATTTCCCCTTTTTAATCTACCTTTCTATTATTTTATGCCTTTGCCTTTTTACAATATGTACTTCTAAAGTCTGGAGTAATACAAATTTATCCCAGCAAGTTATCTCCCAAACGGTAAAACTCCTACTTAAAGGGGTGTATGAAGTAATCATTCTGTTAATTCAGACTAAAAACCCACATTCACCGGTTAACACCCAATTAATGAGGCAAAAGTGCTTTCTTGGCCTGAATCATGCCCTTCAATTTGAACATAAAAACAACCTTATTCTAATTTTCCGCTGATAAACCTTTATTGTCAACATAATAAATGGGGGATAGAAAAAAGCAATGTATGATGTTTTAGTCATCTATGCCCCAAAATACAGATGCGGCAGAATAAAAATGCATTGCCTTAAACACAAATAATGAATGAATCATTATAAAAACCTTTAAACAAAATCAAGGAATTTGCACAGGAAAAAAACAGTGTATATACCCAGAGAAAAGCATTTAGCTAAAAAATAATTATACGTAAATTAAAAAAATAAAGTGCACCATCCATACTCATTATGCCAACAAAAATTACAAAAACTATAAAGTTCCATATTGGCGGATTGTGTGGAAACATATTCAAACATTGCATTTGGCATTTTAAATTAGTACAGGGTTTTAGGAGATCAATTTGGCACTGCACAAGTCACTAAAAATGATCATACTCTTTGATGATGCATCCAGCACTCTGGGCTTGAAGACATTCCAATGAAATAACAAAAATAAAAACACCACCACTCAGATGGAAAAAATGTTTGTACTGGGTAAGCATAGGCACAGAGGAGAAAAAGTACTCGTGCTATATTTTACAGATAAAAAAGGCAAATCCCTCATAGATGTGACTTGAGAAGGCTATTGCACTCAGGATAAAACACAGGAGAACCAGGCAGATACATGAAAAGGACTTACAAAGTAATAAAGAATGCACAATAATAGCAACTTGGTTGAGGCCACGGAGCTAATGAGCATTTGGTGATAGTGAATTTTGCGACTTATATTTAAGCTGGTCTTGATTTTGGTGCCTATTTTTTGCTACCTGATATTGGAATTATGCACACATTTGGGACGGAGTGGGAAATAAGACGATTTCTGAACCTCAGATTCTTACCAAGTTTCAGGCAATTTTGGCCTTCACAGCTCTGAATCATTACCCTCATTTCAGTCACTCAGAAAAGAACTGGAGAGTGCTATGAGGAACCTAATAGCACTGGTTCAGTCTGGGCAGCTGACTCCTCTTAATGAACTGGAACCTCCATCAAGTGGGAAGCTCCTGGCAGCACAAGGGAATGTCCCCTCTGACACCATTTTAGAGCCCATCACTTTTACCCCTCAGCCCTCAATGAGAGGGGGTGGGCAATGGAAGATTCCATCACCTCAGAAAACATTTCCTTGGTGTCACTTACGACTTTTCTAGGGATGAGAGAAATGGTTCTTGATACTACATAAGATGGTGAGAACACTCCCCCTTAGCCTACGTTGGATTCTTTTTGGAGAGATAAATTTGGGCTTTCTGCCCTACCATTAAGGGTGAGAGTGGATCACAGTCTGTGTTTCTTGTCATTTTCAGGCCTCAAATGTGGGACTTACTGTTGGGCACATGGAGTCACTGGACAGCCAAGTGACAAGCAAGGAAGGCTGCAGGTGCCATGGCTCCTGACTTCAACAGCCCTACAACACACACTGGTCTAGTTTCTCATCATCAAGGAAACTGATTCTTGGGCTCCTACAGTGTTTTCTCCTTTAGATCCATATTTACATTCTCCACCTTTGTTGAAAAACTTCAGATACAGGTCTGCAAATAACAGGCTTAGGAATGAACTTGGCTACAGGAGCTATAGAAAAAGAGATCAATAAAGCCAACAGCGTGCAATTTGGTGGCCACAGAACTTCCCAGAAGAGAAAGACAAAGGAAAAAAAAGGCCCAACATGTTAACAAGTGAATTTTACTTGGCATCTAAAGGTAAAGTACCTAAATTACTTAAATCTTTACAGTAAGTTTAAATTTATAGTTTATAAGCTATTCTGAAATCTGCCCTGTTTAACAATCTGTAACGTCAAGAAAACATTTTAAAGTATCTCTCACAATCAAACCCATCTACAACCTTGTATAAATCAAAATTTTGCTACCATATCAAAATGTTCCACTGGGGCTGTATAAGATTGCCCACATCCTCATTACATGCAACACTAATTACTACCAGCAGATTCCGAATTTTCTGCACATTAGAGGCTTTTAGAGGAGCTATAAAAAATTTCAGGCACCATTAATTTAAATTTGTATTGAAATTTCCTTTTGACAGATGGCCAAAAATTACTTATTATTTAGAGTACCAGAGCTGCCTGTTTGCACATTAGAAGAGGAAAGGGAAAAATTAAAAGCAAGAAGGAAATTTATGTCACGTTCATTACCTGTTAAATGTTAAGGAGCATTATCTTGCATAAATAAATTATTTCATACAAGCTCGACTCCAGCTGCAGGCAACTGGCACGCTCTGGCTGATAAAAACCATCTAGAGTCACACAGCAGACAATCATAAAAAGCCCCTCTTAACCAGGAACCACTTATGGGAGGACGATCGATGGAACAAGCAACTACAACTGCTTCTCTGAGCATCACAGAACACATTCAGAAAAATAAGCAAACTATCTCACCTTGTAGAACTATAGGACAGTCCCAGACCTGACGTAATACAACTTCAAATTTGAGAATGGTACCCAACCAAAACATCTATTTATAGATGCCATCCCATAATAAATCAAGGCAAAATCATCAGCCTTTCTTGTTTTTCCCTGGCTTCTAGCTATACAGATACTCATTTCCAGGCTCACCCTGAATGATTATTGATGATTTCAAAACACACCCTTACTCTTGCATGAGGGAATAAGAAAATGTAATTGACACAAAAGTGTACACTGAAGTATAAATATTTTCACAGTCTTCTGGGAGTGGAGGCTTTTGTTTAGTTCACTGGACTGCCTAAAGGTATATATTTATAATAAGAAGGCAGGGAATGTTTATATTATGACCTCAGAATAACTGGACAGGCTTTCAAAGGCTGGTATCAGTTAATCCTAGCCACTGCATTTACTTACTACTTCCTAAGTACACATGTGTGAAAAACACTTAATATACTTTAAGAATGCTTTTTTAGTCTAAGTACTGATATGCATATGATACAACAAAATACACAACTGCAAATGCATAATTAAATAATTCAATGTGTTCAGTTCTAATTGTAAATGTTGACATTTACATGGGAGTGCAGATGCCCTTTCAAATTACAAAGATTCTTGAAGGGTAAAACAGATAGGCTCAAGTTTTATTTTCCATTACTTAAGGGCTCTGAAAAAAAAATTCCTTTAATTGTAAAACGACAAGGAGTAAAAAGGCATTCAAAGTGCTAGCACAGTGGTTCTGGGAGAAAATTTTAGCATTCATATACATAGCTCCATTAAAAACTGCAAGATATAACTACCTATACTCCAAAACATTCAACTGTTGTAAGATATAAAGAAATAGACAGCATTTGTACCTCGGCCAATGGTTGAGAACTGTCCTTTCCTTCTAACCAATAAGTAACACAATGGCATATGTAATACAATTACGCATAATACAATGGTGTACATATGTATGTATGTATGTATGTATGTATGTATTTTTGAGACAGAGTCTCACTCTGTCGCCAGGGTGGAGTGCAGTGGCATGATCTCGGCTCACTGCAACCTCTGCCTCCCAGATTCAAGCGATTCTCCTGCCTCAGACTCCTGAGTAGCTGGGGCTACAGGCGCAAGCCACTATGCCCAGCTAATGTTTGTATTTTTAATAGAGACGGGGTTTCGCCATGTTGGCCAGGATGGTCTCGATCTCTTGACCTCACGATCCGCCCACCTCGGCCTCCCAATATGCTGGGATTACAGGCATGAACCACCAAGCCCGGCCTACAATGGTGTATTTATATTGTGTCTGGTTCATAAGTGATCACATTAATTTTCATGCCTTACTCATTTCCTGCCATGGCAGCCTATTTTTCTTGTTTGCTTACTAAATAACTTCAGGTATCCTTAGCACATCCCATTCTGGAGGTATAGAAGCATACCCAAATCATTAGACCTTAAATACTTTTCCTCTTTCCCTACAACTTGTCTATAAAGAGATACAAAAGGCAGATAAGACAGATGCAAAACCTAAAGAGAATTAACTTGTTATACCAGATACCAAAATGTTAATTTGAAAGAAAAGTTGGTGAAAAAAATTCACTTAAATTTAAAAGAGAAAATTATTTCTAGTGGTAAAAAAAAAAAAAAATGCACCATTCACTTAAACAAATATTTTTGTAGGTTGGAGCTGTTTCCTCAAATATGAAACTAATATGTATCTCTTTACAAACCAATTTATTTAATTCATTTCATTGTTATCTTACAGCCAAAGCCTAAGTGAAGAAAAGCAGTTATTTTTTTTTCACATGGCAAATAATAAAATGAGCAATGCAAGCCAGATCTTGCAATTCAACCTGGGTCAACAAATCTGATTCTGATAGAGAAATGGGACCTTTAAAAAAAAAAAAAAAAAATCAACCACACACCTGAAAGTAATTTTAAAAATGCAGTTAACCACTACTAACCAATGAAATCATTCTCTAAATCTCAAAGAATTCTTTACTAGATTCATTCAAATCATTTACAGCCCTTTTAAGCCATTCCTTAGTCTGTAAATTTTGAGTCCTACCTTGATGGAGTCTCTGTCTATATGCAAAACAGCAGCAACACAAGCAGATAAAGTGGTGGGAAGAAGAAAAGAAAAGTACTAGTTAGTTTACATAAAATCATACTGATTTATCAAACTTGATCTCTGCTAAATAATAAATTACACAGATGTCAACTGTGCTGTAAAATTAATTATTAATACTGCACAACCAAATTCATAAAGTACCAATCTACCTTTGACACAATTTCAGAAGAACCAAAGCTGGACATTCTTATTATCTGTGCTCCTTATAGACTTTTTCAAAGTATTTACAATCATGCATCAACTCTGTACCATAGCATTAAGATAACTGGATGACAAATTACAGTGTTTTTAATATCAGAGATGGATATTTATGCATATGTGATAAAAATCACTGACTTAATATTATAATTCACAGTAAGGATGCTGAAACAGGGGTATGAGCTTTTAATTATGAAACACACCCTTCAAGCCAATGAACCACCCTTGTGCTAAGTAAATTCCCAAAAAGGAATGCTGGGAGAGACTTTTTCATCTGCATTTCTGTCATCAACTAATAAAAATTATCAGTAAGCACCAAAGAAAAACAACAGTCACATCAAAATGTTTCTGCACCATCATCTACCTTAGTGGAGGAAGGAAATCAACCTAGAAGGAGCACAACTGGCCTTTAAATCAATTAATTGCATAAACAATTATGTTGGTCTTCTAGGAAGAAATTAGTTAATTTCATGCTTCTAAACAGACTGGGTGAGAGAGAGAGTTAAACCAACAGATTTCATTAATTTGGTCTGTACCTTCTTAATTACTAAGACTACTGAAATTGTTTTCTTACCTGTGAGATTTTTACTGCTCTATATAGGCTCATTTGTTTATAAATAATAATTGATTTGGTCAAATATCAAGTGAGCATTTATCAGCAAGACATTCCCCAAAATAAATTCAGTCAAAGTTAACTATTAATGCAACATGCTACTTCAAACAGAGCATCATGGGATTTCATTACTGATTTAGACCTGGGGAACATAGAAGGTAGCAAGAAATCAAAGGCAATAACCAGAAATAGGCCCCTCTGCCTCTAGGGAGTATGTTAGCTCTTGCCAACCACTAGAATATCATTTGGCAATTGACTACTTGCAGTAATTAATTTACCTTCCAGTGGAAATCCTTTGTTTAGTCACTGGTAAAACTAAATTCAGAGAGAATAAACAATAGCATCCAGAACCTACCCTCAGCAGCAAGTAGGTCATCTCAGATTGGCATTCCAAGAGAGTTACTCACCTCTTTGGTGATCATTGTCATGGTGCTTCTTCTCATCTTTAATTGGAAGATGGGACTGACCTCCTAGAGCACTGGAGAGGGCCAGAAGCCCGGCACTGCTACCGATGGGTGGAATGGCAGGGGGCTGGAGCCCTGAAGGGTGTGGAGTCAGAGGTACGGGGAGACCATGTCCATGTGATAAATGCTGGGCCTGGAGTTGTTGCTGCTGTGAAAAATTAAACACAGATATTGAATTTGCCCCCATATCCAACCCCTGCCCCAAGAGAAACAGAAAGGAGGCATAAATCGGCAGTAAAAAAGCCAACACCGGCTGGGCACGGTGGCTCACGCCTGTAATCCCAGCACTTTGGGAGGCCGAGGCAGGCGGATCACGAGGTCAGGAGATTGAGACCACCCTGGCTAACACGGTGAAATCCCGTCTCTACTAAAAATACAAAAACATTAGCCGGGTGTGGTGGCTGGTGCCTGTAGTCCCAGCTACTGGGGAGGCTGAGGCAGGAGAATGGCGTGAACCCGGGAGGTGGAGCTTGCAGTGAGCCGAGTTCGTGCCACTGCACTCCAGCCTGGGCGACAGAGCAAGACTCCATCTCAAAAAAAAAAGAAAAAGAAAAAAGCCAACACCTACGTAAGATTTACTATTAACATATATATATTTTTAAAAGGGGGAAGGAGCAAATGAGCTGTGTAGTCAATAAATGCTACCTTTCTTATACTTGGAGGTTTTGCACATGCAATATAAATAATTTAATTTTTAAGTGGTGAAAGTATATAAGTAACTTTCAATAGTTGATATGCAAACATATTTCTTTAACAAACCTCATAAAAGGCTTTTTTTATCTCAAAAAATAAAATAAGGCCTCGCTATCATACATTTCTAATCAAAACATATACGTGAGTAACTGTTAAAGCAGTTATGTTGAACAAAAAAAGCTGAAAATTGAGAAAATTAGTGTTAAACAATTCTCCCAGAACCACTGCACAGCATGCAGGGAGAGTTAATTTGAAAGAGAAAACCTGAATTAACAACCCAGAAAAGGAAACTGGTTGCAGCCACCGTTTTAAGCCCTTTAAGTGTCCTCAGCGGTACTTGAGCAAATTACTAAAGAAAATCTAATGTAGCAAGGCTTGGGTCCTCCTGTAGGCTTGCTCAATAATGCTGAAATAATTGGGCACTCTGTGCACGTTTAGTGATGCTCGAATGAAAAGCTAGAGGCCTGCCCTTGTACTCTTCTCTAGCGGCCGACTCTGTGTTGTGACAGGTTTATTTGAGTGGGACTGTGATGCATGCACCAGTAACTGCGCTGACAAGAGTTTAAAGTCATTTTTACCAGCACACTGGCAACACATAGAGAAAGCCCTCAAGAGGCTGGAATGGGTGTGCTTGACCTCAGCTGAGGCTGCGTCAAACTCTGCTACAGGAACCGCGGTGGGCAAGCCTTGCTGCCTCTTCTGAGTGGGAAGTGGGGGAGAGGAGGAGTTGGTGGTGAAGGAAGGACATTAAATGTATTACTCAATAGGAATCCCTTCAACTCAAACCCTGCTTAGCAATATTGTATGACAACAAGTATTGAGTAATTCTCAGGTTAAATTTTGTAGTGACTGAATTTTAGTTTTTGCCTTTAAAGAAATCACATTCCAGGCCTAACCTGTGATAGCCAAATAGTCCCTTCTATAATTTTCTTTCCAAGCAAAATTTCACAAAATATCTAGAGATAGGGACAGGGACAGAGAGAGAGAGAGAGAGAGAGAGAGAGAGAGAGAGATCGATCATTCCACCAAGAAAAATCTCAAAATGCTTTTATTAATACCTCAGAGAAAAAAAGTGGACCTTTTTTTCTCCTCTCCAAATTAGGTTTATTTTCTTCCACTCCCACATGTCTTCCTATGTTTGACTACAAAAGTCCAAGTACAGTATTAATTAGTTCTTTTCTCTTACTGACTTGTACCTATGTTCTGGCTACATGCACTTAAAATATAGTCAATAGAATAAAGTATGAACACTTTGAAAAGCAAGTTTACAAGCAGAAAATGGAAAATGGGAGCCACATCCAGATACTCCACCAACCAAGCCCCACCCACGCTCCAAGTCCTGCTGAAGGTTTTCTTAACTGGGTAGTTTTGAGATAAGGTGATTCTCTTCATTTAAGTGGCCAAAATCATGTTCATAATTCTTTACATACTGTTATTCAGTGGGGATCAAAAAGTATGCACACAAAATTATATTTCCTAACAGTGCAGAAAATAACGTCTATGAAGAAAACAAAATAGGGACTTGAAGTAAATATATGGCAAATTTGTTTCAAAAACAGAAATAGCTCCAATTCTTTCTCCTCTAAATTCCCCTAATACTCCTTGTGTATGTTTTGGACACACAGCCACTTTCTACCTCAGATCAGAGGTCAATGAGCAGGCATTTATTAAGATCCTGCATGCTCATCTTTCTTACCTCCCTTCTTAGAATCTAAGCTCTATGAGTCTACATCTCACAAATCCTAGCTAACTGCAGACCCTGAAATATTCACACATTATCTTGATAGTTTTAAAAATGTATCTATTACATTAGACCAAAAAAAAACCCAAGCCTGGCGCAGTGGCTCACGCCTGTAATCCCAACACTTTGGGAAGTTGAGGCGGTCAGATCACTTGAGCCCAGGAGTTTGAGACCAGCCTGGGCAACATGGCAAAATCCTGTGTCTACTAAAAACACAAAAATTAGCTAGGCATGGTGGCGCACATCTGTAGTCCCAGCTACTCAGGAGGCTGAGGTGGGAGAATCACCTGAGCCAGGGAGGTCATGGCTGCAGTGAGCCATGATTGTGCTACTGCATCCCAGCCTGTGTGACAGAGTGAAACCCTGTCTCAAAAAAAAAACAAAAAACAAAAAACAAAAAAACAACAACAACAACAACAAAAAGCCCTCAGCCAAAGCCCAATACCTTTAATGATCCAGGTGTGTCACTTTTATTCTTTTTCTCCTACAGGATAAAAAATAAGCACCGACTCATCGTTCCATTGGACCAGAACTTTTCAAAGGCAGAAATCATAGTTATACATGACATTCACAGTAAGGCTTCCTGAGGTCCTTGTTTGGTTTTATTCTATCTCAGAACAGTTCTAAAATGAGCTTCTTCTCTTCCTCTTGTATGCTAATCTTAGAGAAGGGTCCTTTTCCTTTCAAAGGCCAGCCTCTCCACCTGCACATCATGTTTTCTTCCATTCTTTTTCACTGCTCCTTCAACTCTCCAACTCTCCTTCATCCTCAGTTGTTTCATCACTGATTTTGTCCAACATTTTGTTTAAGATGAACTGCCCATCTAAAGTCAAAAGAACTTGAGGCAGTACTTTTCAGGGGAACAGAAATCCCACTATATTTTAATCACTTTTTGTGTCCTCCACTGCCCCCTACACAGTGTCTTGCACAAAACTGGCACTTGATGTTTGTTAAATTTAACTACAATACCCTTCTTTTGCCCTCTTCAACTACTGCCTTGTTGTGTGTGTGTGTGTGTGTGTGTGTGTGTGTATGTATGTATGTCCGTCCCTGTCTTCGCACACCCAAACTTCTTCAAACACTGAGGTAAATCTGCTGCCTCCACTTCAACAAGCCCCTCCTCTACACACACACACTTACTCCTTAGACCTGATCATCTGGACTGCAGGCCCACCATTCTTATAAAACCGAGGACCACTCACACGTGACTGAGCATTTCTCAGTTTTCTTTTTCTGATGTATCTGCAGTCATAGACAGTATATCCTCCACCTGCTTCAAGAACACTGAAATCATCACGATGGCCAGCCTTTCTTTGGCTCTCTGAATGCAGCAGTTGTATATCCTTCTTGATTTTTTCTCCTTTAGCTCCTTTGCTCCTCTCTGGCCTCACCCATCTTTATCCACCTTTGACCCACAATTGTCTTCCAAACTTTGACACCCCCATTCTAACTTTTTGTCAGACAATTGTACTTGGAAGTCCAGCATTACCTGGAAATGAAAATGTGTGACACAAAACCCAACCTCTACTGGCTCAAGTTACTGGTCATCAACAATTTGTTATCCTTCTGTGCTATCCTATATTGATAATTGCCAAGTCCTGAAGATTCTCAAATAATCCCTTGTTTCTACTTGTCACGATACTCACCAGACTCATCACCTCACATGCTGATTATTTTAAGTCTCCATCAGCTTATTTTAGTTACAATGAACCCTTACTGCTTTCTCCACCTGTGGTTTTTTTCCCTAAATTCATATCCTTCTGCACCTTTTAGAACAACCTCCACATTACTTATCTAAGTTGTACTCACCTATCTCAGCTCAGCTTATGTTTCACCTGTTCCCTACAGCCTTCTCCAAGCAATCTAAGTGTCCATCATCTTATAGGGCTCCCTGTATTATTCACTGGCATATACTGCCTCATAAAGGCATTGTTATTCATCTTTTTACAGATAAGAAGACCCTGACTTGCCAGAGACTGTGAGACTTTGGAGAGAAGAGACCAGTCTCAGGCCTCTTAGTACCCCTGGCACCTAGCTCAGTTCCCTAAACATAGCGAGAACTCAATACAAAACTCTGATACTACTGAAAATAAAATACTCCTTTGATAGTTACTCTCTGGTTCCAAAAGCAACAGATCCCTTTTATTTAAAAACAAAAGTTCCAATTTCTTAGCATTCAAGACTTTCCATAAACTAGCATCAGCCTAACTCCACCCTACTGTGCAACACCATCCAGGGAACTCTCTGCCCGCAACACTAGTCTGTTTAGGGAGACATCTAAACTCCTAGGGCTCAGCTTTACTACTAATCAACACACACCCACAGAGTACTCTCTCATCTGTCTCTATATGTATAAATTCTACCCATCCTTCCAAGCTAAACTCCTGCCTACTTTCTCGGTGGAGACATCCCTCATCACCCCGGCTCAAAGTAATCTCCACCACTGTCTCTCAATTCTGACACCACTTAAGCTCAATACCATTAAGATACTTAACAATCCAAGACAAAAAAAGACTTTTTAAATACATATATATGTGCTACGTGTGTGTGTGCACAAGTCTGTGTATGCCATACCTCTTAATTAGAGCTATTTAAAAAATATTTCCCATAGTGCCTAGATATTTCTCACACTTAGTAGGTATGCAAACAGATTACCAACTAATATCAGCATGATTTTATACACTGATGAATTCTGACTCTATTTTCTTCCAGATGTTTCAAGCTTTTGAATTTAAAATTAAACTAGAAGAAATAAAAAAGCTGCTTGTACTATAAGCCTATTCTGGACATCTTAAGCAGCAATAATCTAAAATGAGTAAAACTGATATTTTTAGTGATCGAACATACAGAACTTGGTGCCCTCATATGAAAAGTGCATTTATTTTTATTGTCGGTCTTTTAATTTTTAAATTCCTAATTATGAATTATAAATGGGCTTAAATATAACTACCACTAAACTTTCCCTGAACTAATTAATGAACTCAAACTATGGTCATATGTCTCTATATATTCAAAGCTTTTAATGAGTTAAGCTTCTACTACATATAGAGTTCCCATATATTCTTTACCTACCTTTCACTAATGTTAACATTTTATATAACCATAAAATTTATCAAAACTAAGAAATTAACATCAGTTCATTGCTATTCACCAAACTAGAGACTTTATGCAGATTTCTGTAGTTGTTCCACTAATGTCATTTTTCTGTCCCAGAATCCAAACCAGCATACAACGTTGCATTTAGAGAAGCTTTTTCATTTGTTATTATACCAAAATTATAAAGTCCTTTCAAAGATTTTATGAATGGTAACAACCAACCTACAGGCATACTGCTTAATAGTATATGCCTTGATCTTAAAGAAGAATAAATGAGAGGCAGCTACCATAAATTCATGTTTATCAGTCACCGTTTTATACATATACAAAATATCAAAACAGAAAAATTATACTCAGGCATCCTGTAGAAGGGAGCAATTTTTATCAAGTGTTTTAAAAATATTAAACTATAAGATAAAATGAAATTAAGTCACCAAAAGGCATATGACAGAGATATTAAAATATTACAGTAGGCTTTAAAATGTATACATTAATAAATGAGACCCCTTTCTGTACTTAGTGGTCATTTTTAAGCTTCTTTGCAAATTTTCACCTTAGGAACTAGCCTAGAACTAGAGTAGCAGGTATTTTATAACTGATAAGGGTTAGTCAATAAAACATATTAGAAAACATCTTCTTTAAATAAAAGTAGTAAGTCACCAATGGCTAAGTAGAACTTCACCTTTTTCTCTGCTAAAATAAATGGCCTTAATTTATCAAATGTCAAGAATTCATTAAAAATATATTTCTATTAAGTCATCTTATCAACAGAGGAACTCAGGATTCCCTGGAAAAGGAGTAAGGTTTCTCTGGATATTAGTCAAGTAGCTGAGAGTACCATAATCTAATGGATTGCTCTACAGTAAAGTGAAAGCTTGCTGATGTTTCCCAACAGGGTTAAGTCAAAACTGTCCTCTGCCCTCTGCCCCATCTGGGTTAATTACAGAGCAATTAACCTGCAAAGATATTCTACTTTATCTTACAGTCCCACTAAGAAACATAAAACCCCTTGCTTTTTAAAGACCAAAAGGAAGGGAAATGTACATTAAGAGTACACAGTATAACACAGATTTGTTACGGATGTAATTTAAGATACATTATAAACTAGCAGGTTAAAAAAAATATATATATATATAGGCTTTAGAAGAAAAACAAAACAAAGATCAAGCCAAAGAATTAAAGAGGGCATAGACTAGAGTATTAAAATAAACGTACATACATAACCACCACTGAGGAAGACCTATTGAGGAAAATATGTATCATGGCAAAATTCTTCTCACTATCCTTCCTAGGCCTTTATTATCTTTGGGTGCCTTACTTAAAATTAATAATAAATAAAAACCTCTCTTATCTCAAACCACAATACAAAATAAACTACTTCTTCCTATTTCCTTGATGGGCCACTCAAGAAAATAAACATTAAAATGGAGTGAACTTTAAACTTAAGCAAGTAAGTACTCCATTAAGATAATTAATTTAATTCTGAAAAATAGCAATGATGTCTGAAAATACACAGCCATGAAGTGGCAGACACAGCCTCAATGCTGTTAATAGGTCTTTTCTGGATTCTCTGTAACAAAGATTTCCCTGCAGTTTCAAGTTTGGCACAAAGGGCAGAAAAGGACCACTGGAGAATAGAATTCACAAGAAATGTCTTTTGAAATGTTGTCTTTCTGTCAGCAAAAAGAGGAGTTCTTTGTAATCAAAGGTCCCCAACTGCTTGATGACAAGGGACTGACAAGTCATTGACCAAGCAGGAGCCAGCAAGGACAGAGCTGCAGTCACTGACATCCCTAGGAATTTTGGGCATTTCCAATTGAAGGCCAGGCAGCAGTTTCCTTGTTCACCCCCACTCCAACTCTACTACGCTATCAACAGCAGAATAATTCTCAAAAAACACGCACCTTCCTTAGAAACAACAACATCTCAGTAGCAATGAGCACACTTTGTGCTCATATTTTGGTTTCTAAAAAAAGTGCAAGTGCAAGGTGAACCTGCTATATCTTGTGCCAGAAATCAAGAAAGCTATCTAGACTAACGGATATTGTGTCAAAAGGACAATGAGCCAAATTGAAGGGATCCCCACTGGCAAAACTTGAGACAATCTCAGCATCATTAAGAATAATGACTTTATAGGTTATAACACATTTTCAAAAAACATTTTCAGGAATGGAGTTTTTGGTACCCCAAGAAAATAGGTGAAGATGTAGGGCACTCTGGGGCCAAGGACTAGAGACAGATAATGACTCTCAGGCCAGTGCCAGCTCCTAAGTTCAAGGCTGGCTGTCTCCCAAGCCCACAACCATACTACTCATCCACCAGGAGCTAGCCAAGCTGTGAGCTGCTCGCTCTGAGCACGTGTGCCTCAATCCAACCAGGAGACACTGTTCCATTCTAGGAGAGAAGTAAGGGAAGACTCAGCAGACCTTGAAAGGAGCCAAAAAGGAAGAGGCAACAGACTCTGAAATAGAGCAGCAAGCACAGGGAAGGGCCCAGGACTGGGCTGGTAGCCATACTCCTTGGCTTGTGAAGACACTATTTACTATGGACAGTTGTTCTGCTGGCCTCGCTCCTGTCTGTAAGTCGGGCTAGGTGTGAGAAAGCACAGTCTGGCTGACATTTGGGAAGCATCACAATGAAGTGGCCTCAGAGTCACTGGAATCCTTATTACCTGTTTGAACAAGTCATTTAACATTTCTGATGCTCTGTTTCTTCATGTAAAAAGCGAGAACAGTTAGTTACAAAATCTACCTCCCAAGGTTGCTGGAAGAATTGTATGACATGATCCATATAAAACCCTTAGCACAGCGTATTAGTCCGTTCTCATGCTGCTAATATAGACATACCCAAGACTGGGTAATTTATAAAGGAAAGAGGTTTGATTGACTCACAGTTAAGCACGGCTGGGGAGGCCTCAGGAAGCTTAAAATCATGGTGGAAGGGGAAGCAAACATGCCCTTCTTCACGTGGCAGCAGGAAGCAGAAGCATGAGAGCCGAGTGAAGGGGGAAGCCCCTCATAAAACCATCAGATCTTGTGAGAACTTAGTATCACAAGAATAGCATGGGGAAAATTGCCCCTGATTAAATTACCTCCCACGAGATCCCTCCCACCACATATGGGGATTGTAGGAACTATAATTCAAGATGAGATTTGGGTGGGGACACAGCCAAACCATATCACACAGTGTTTGGCAAATAATAAACACTCAATAAATGGTGACTGCTAGTATTAAGGAAAGGTACCAGAAGCCCACATTTTCATATGCACAGAGAGTGAGGGAGCGAGGAGAGGAGAAAACAGGAAAAGCTCTTCTTTACAGAATATTAATTTGAAAGGAAAGAAATAACTTAAAATTTACTGTTTTACCATGTCAAATGTATTAACTAATGCAAGACAGACTCAACCATCGATATTACAACCACTGGGTAAAAAGTTGCAGGGAAACAGGTTATTCATAGTGCCCAGGTATCACCCCATGGATCACCTAGCTTCACCAGTAATATGATACAACTGGAAATACACATCACCTAGTTAGTATTCCTACTAAAAACACTTAACCGAAATCTAAACTTGAGAAAACAATCAGAAACAAACAGACAAATGTAGACTGTGGAAGATTCCAGAAAACTGGCCTGGAATCTTCAAAATGCCAATATCTTAAAAAGCAAAATGCTTTCGGACACTGTGATTTAAAGAAGAGTAAAAAGACATGACAGCAAAGACAATTTTTGAATTGAATCCTGGATTGAATAAAAAAGTGCTATTAAGGACATTTTGTGGACAATTGGAGAAATATGATTATGAGCTGTCACACTGGTATAGGAATGTGTTAATGGTATTATGCTTATACAGGAAGATGTCCTTGTTCATAGAAGAAGCACACTGAAATATTAGGGGGTGAAACAGCATGATTGCCTTTTACTTTCAATTAGTTCAGCACATTCCAAAAAGTGCACATGTATTTGTATGAGTATATAAACAGAGACAGAAAACAAAAGTGACGATACGTTAACCGGTAAATCTAGGTGACGAGTATACAGTGTTTGCTCTACTATTCATTCAATTTCTCTGTAGTTGTAGAGGCTGGGAAAATAAGATGTGCCCTTCTTACCTTACTTTAACAAATATCTCTAGAAAAAGCTAAAGGTTAAGTGAATATATGGAAAGAAGCAAGAATAAAGAGAACAAAGGAAGAAACTTTTCAAACTAAGCTTATCTGTAACTCATTCCTGATGACTTACAACATGAGATTTACTATAGGGAGAAGACATGCATTTAGAGCAATCCAAGTAAGATTATCACTGAAAGGATAAGCTTCTCAAGCTAAACAAACCACAGATCTCTGTAGTCCTCCAAATCTCTGGACTGGTCTTAAGGGGATGGCAAGTAACAACCAAAGCAAGCAAATCATGAGATCTTTGCCAGCGGCTCCATTGTCCTAACTTGTAGTTTAACTCATGAAGTAATAATGGCAAGAAAAGAAGGAGAAAACTACAAAAACCCTGATTTATTAACTTTCCCATTAGTGATCCCGTTAGCGTATTTTATGAATTGGCCAAAAGTTTATTAGTAATTGTACTTCTAAGCAAATTAATAATGGAAATACAATTTCCCAGAAGCTTGTTTAAGCTACTTAAGAAAAATTTTTAGTCTTTAACATCTTACTGATACCAATGGTTCTATTTTGTAAGTTTTAGTCTTTAAAGTCACCAAGCTAAGGGAATGTACTCAGAAAAGCTTTCTTTAGTTACTTCAGAGTACTTTAAAAAAAAGTAAAGCTGAGCCAAGCAGAGTGGCATATATGTGCCTGTAGTCCCAGCTACTCGGGAGGCTGAGGCAGGAGGATCACTTGAGCCCAGGCATTTGAGGCTGTGGTGCCCTATGATTATACCTATGAATAGCCACTATATTCCAATCTGGGCAACACAGTCAGACACCATCTCTAATTTCTTCTTCTTTTTTTTCTTTTTTTTTTAAGTAAAGCAGCATTTAAAAAGCCTATCTGCTTTAGGTTGTTCAGTAATCCTGCATTTGATCTTAGAACGTCAGAGGTGGAATGAACCTCAGATGTCATCTAGGAGACTTGCTTTCCAAAATTTTGACCACAATTTCTGTGTGTGTGTCTATGTGCATATGTGTGTGTGTCTACATAGAATATACGTGTAAATTAACAAAGTTTACCAAACACTACTATGTGCAACATACGCTAATATTTTCTATAGTCTTCTATACCCTTTTTTAATTAAAAAAAAAAAAAGTCCACTATGCCCACTAAATAGACTTCACTGTACACTCATGAGTCTCTTGAGCTGCAATTTGAAGAACGCTAAACCAGGCCAACACTCACATGTGTGATCTCCTAGGTGAGAGAGTCAGTGGGAGATGGTATTAGCATCAAGAAATGGAGCACAAGCCCCTACCATTTAGTCCAGTGATGTACCTGCTGCCCAATTAGGACCCTTTCTCAACTAGGGTGGAAGGGGTAAGCAATCATTCATTCATAAAAATAAATGGAGGCAGCTCCTCTGGGGAAATAACCTTTGAACTGAGACCTGCAGGATGCAAATGACAGCACACTGCAGACAGCTGGGAGAATCAGAAGCAAGAGAAAAGCAGTTGAGAGGACCCAGAACAAGAGAGACGCTTGCTGTGACCAGTGAAGTAAAAGGAAGCCTAGTGAGAATCCAGTGAGCAATGGGGAAGTCGGGTAGAATACAAGTATATTCTGGGAATCAGGCTGTGCACACTAAGGGTTTTTGACTTTTATTTAAGAATAATTAGAGCTCTAGGCTACGGTGGGTTTTGGGGTTTGGTTTTGTTTTTTAAGCTGAACTTTTAGTTGCTCTTTAACTGGTATAAATCTGGATCATAATCACTTTTTGGTTACATGTGTTGCAAATAACTTCTCCTGGTTTCTGGCTTGTCTTCTCATTTTCTTTAAAGCATCTTTTGATGAACAGATGTTTTTCATTCCAAGTGAGTATTAAATACTATCAATCTTTTCTCATGGGTTGGGCTTTCTGTGACCCTTTTAAGAAATCCTACTCCAAGAAAAAAAAAAAAGATTCTTCCTGTTTTTTTTTTTTAAGTTTTAAAGTTCTTTTTATGATTCTAGGATTGACTTCTGCATATGGTGACATGTATGTATCCAATTCTTTTCCACAAGAATAACCAGGTAGCCCCACAGTAATATTTACTAGCTTCCATCTTTCTCCCCACTGATCTGCTTGTCCATTCTGACATATACAAGTGAATCTATTTCTTAGTATTTTATTCTATTTCACTGGCCTATATAAAGAAGACCACCAAGTATTTTAAGCTTGAGTGTGTAAACCAGCTTAAACTGGCCTTTATAAAGACTAGTAAGTATTTTAAGCTAGAATATTAAAAAATAATAATTTTCTGAATCTGAGAGTGGCAAGAATGAAGGGCAGGAGACCGGCTAGTAGGTAATGCAGGGGGTTCAAACAAGAAAATAATGAATGATAACTTCAGTTAGGGTTGTGGCAGTACAGGTTGCAAAGAACAGAAGGAGCTGAGTGTTACTTTGAAGACAGAACTAGAAAGACCTGGTTATGGAAGACGGCAGAGTGAGACTAAGTGGAGGAATTCAGGACACCCTGGAAATTTGGAACATAAGTAACTAGGTAGATAGTTGTACCATTTACTCAGATGGGGCAGAAGAGAGAAGGAATGGCCATATGAATAGAATTTTGTCTTATAGCTTTTTTCAGATTAGAAACTTATATGTTAAATGAAGATAGGCGGAGTGAAAAAAAAAATTAAAAGCCACACATAATCCTACCAGCCAAAGAAAACTAGTAATATCATGGTGGGCCTATCCAGTATTTTTTGAATTCATGTTAGCATTTTTAACAAAAGTAACTCAAACTATCTTGTGGTTTAACCTGTTTCTTCGTTTCCTGTTTACCATGTATTAAGAACATTTTTCCACATCCTTAATACACCTTGACTACATCATTTCTAACAGCTACATGGTATGCCATTGTATTCATATGGCCATTCCTTCTCTCTTCTGCCCCATCTGAGTAAATGGTACAACTATCTACCTAGTTACTTATGTTCCAAATTTCCAGGGTGTCCTGAATTCCTCCACTTAGTCTCACTCTGCCGTCTTCCATAACCAGGTCTTTCTAGTTCTGTCTTCAAAGTAACACTCAACTCCTTCTGTTCTTTGCAACCTGTACTGCCATACCTGAGTTCACTTAAGTAGTTCCCCAGTGTTGGGTGTTCAGGTTGTTCCCAGTATTTTGATATACATAAGTCATGACATTAACATAGAAATATATATGTATCTATCTATAGTCATACACCACTTAACTATAGGGATATTCTGAGAAATGAGTCTTTAGGCAATTTTATTACTGTGCAATTATAGAGTATATTTATCTAGATGGTATAACCTACTACACACATAAGCTATGCAATATGGCCTATTAATCCTAGGCTACAAACCTGAACAGCATGTTACTGCACTGAATATTGTAGGCAATTGTGTCAAAATGGTATTTGTGTATCTAAACACAGAAGAGGTATAGTAAAAATACAGTATAAAAGATAAAAAATGGTACACCTATATAAAGCACTTATCATAAATGAAACTGGCAAGACTGGAATTTGCTCTGAATGAGTCAGTGGTGAGTAAATGTGAAGGCCTAGGACATTAATGAACACCACTACAGACTTTATAATTACTCTACACTGCTACAAAAAAATTATTTAAAAAGTAATTTGCTGTGGTGTTACGACAGCTACAATGTCACTAGGCAATAAAATATTTTCAGCTCCATTATAATCTTATGGGACCATTGTCATATATGTGGTCTGTCCTTGACTGAAACATTATTATATGGCATGTAACTATATATTTGAGTTAAGATAGTTCCTCTGCAAGGTATAGAATACCCAAAAATGGCCTGAATTTTTTTTAAAGGAATTTTTATTTCTCACACTACAAGTCCAGGGATGGATAGATGACCTAACATTATCAGGGCTCTGGGTCCCTGATTCATGTGGCATCCCTCAAATCCCATCCCCTCCCATCACAAGATGGCTGCCACAGCTCCACACATTACCTCATGCCTTCACATAACCATATTAAAATGCAGAAGGGAGGATAATTCTCTCTCCATGGGTTTCTGTTAAGAAGAAAACCACATCTTTTTATATCTCGCTGACCTGGATAGGGTCACTTGCCCACAGTTCTTCTGTAAGGAAGCCTGCAAAGAGCTCCTGGAATGCTTTAGCCTTGATAGCAGAGGGTAGCCTCTGCCTGCAAGGGAGAACCAACAAACAACAAAGCCTGCCTCGACATCTATCTTTGCTCAGAGGCCATTCTGAAGCTATTAGCTGAAAGAAACCCAAGAACAACCTCTGAGCTTTCAATCCAAGTAGATCTCAACTTAAACTGTTTTTTCCTCTCAACTGTTTCTTCTCCCAGATATTAATTTGTGCAGAGCTGTGTCTACAAATTGCTTTGAGTCAACCCAGAAACACTCTAGGGAAATAAAGAAAAAAAGCAACATTACTGCCACTTTGCTTCGGGACCATAGTGGCACTGCCCTTGATGGTCACAGAAAACAATCTGAGCAAAGATAAACTCTCACCATTTTTATGAATCTACCAAGAAAAAAAAAAAAGCATGAGAATCACAAGGGTCAGACTAGCTATAGAGCTGCCTTAAAAAGGATTCAAGAATGTACCATTCTGAGTTTTTCTTAAGAGGTTGGGGTCAAAGGCACAGTTAGCTCTAACTATTTAGTCAAAACCATTTTTTTAAGTTTGCAATATTACTCTATCTCATGAAATAATTGTTATTCACAAGTCAGGCATACAAGGTTTTCTCAAGATAGAGAAATAGAAGCAGAGAAGTATAGAGCTTATCACAAAGCAATGAAGTAATTTCAAAGATAGAACTCCCCACAACATAATGGCAATCCCTGTAAGTTCTAACTTGTTTATATCTCCTGACTAGCCACTGGCCTGGTGGGGGCCCCTTTATGGTCTTCACCACCAGTCATGTCCCCTGCCTCACCTACTGCTGCCTGCAACTAGAGTACCAACAATAGTTCTTAATCAAGAAACCCTCCTACAAAAGTAAACTCCTGATTTCCAAGTTTCTGAACAACCATCCTAGAATGTGTCCCCACGCTGCTACGGGCAAATATTTTTTGTCTACATGCACCCCACATGATATTTTGCTATTTCATATCAGGATTTTGCACAATCCTATTCTACTAAGGCATGGATTCAAACTTGTTTGTGTCACAGGACCCTTTGTGAACACTCTCCTCCAAAAACTATACATACTCCTCTCCTACCAACCCCAAACACACACACACACACACAGGCAATTCTGCAAGCAATTCAGGCATTTAATTGACAGCCCAATGCCCAAGCATGAAATTCCAGAAGATCCAAGGACACTGGGTTAAAACACCTGCCTTAACAGCTGTGTTTATAACAACTTTCAGTTCTTGTTCATAAGAGTAAGATACAACAGACAGGAAGCAACAACGTATGAGTCAAGAGTATCCAACTGACCTGTGGAACTAATATAATTCAGACAATTTAGACTAACCACTTAGTATGTGGACCCAGCATACCCAGTTTCCATTTTCCTTCCAACACTGAGCTCTGGCTGGACAATCCTATCAGTGGATCTCAAGATAAAGAGATTATTGATGACAGTGTGAAAGAAAGAACAGAGTCAAGAGAACAAATAAGAGACAAGTGTAGCATAATGGTTAAATGTGTGAGTTCTGAAGTCAGCTGGAGTTTGGATCCCAGTCCTGCCACTCCTCTTTTGTGTGGCCTTCAGAAAATGACTTACCTCTTCAAAGCCCTTGGTTTCATTATTTGTAAAGCTGGAACAGTATTTCCTTCCACATGAGGTTGATGTGAAGATTAAACAAAGTAATGCATGTAAATGCTTAACACAGAGCGAATATTCAATAACATCTACTATATTTAGTTACCTTTTTCAGGAAAAGAATACAAGCCTAGGGAGGTGATAAACCTAGAAAAATAACTATGACACAAAAGGACCCCAAGTTTTAAAATAAAAATTCCATTAACGTCAAAATAAATAGGCCAGCTCCAGCCTTGCATTCTACAGATGAAAAAACCTAAATGAAATTCCTAATATCATACTATAAGTGAAACCCAGAACTGTATATTTTCTACCAGTCCATGCGCTTCCTTTTCTATCTTGGCTCAAAATTGTACGGAGAATATCCAAATGAGAAAATATCCCAGAGCATAGTATTTAACAAACATCTATGGAAAATTATTATGAACAAATTACTGCAAATTTATTGAACAAATAGTTACTGAATATTTATCATACAAATACGTATTGAAAATTATGAGATACCTATCGCTCTAGGCTTCATGGCTACAAAAGTGAATGAGATTTCACTAGCTAGTCAAGGGAAAGTGATGCATAACAAATCAATGGTAAGTGCAATGACGACAATAAAACAGGTTAATGGGACAGAGAATGAATTAGAAGCAAAGAGTAAAAAGAGTGCCAGCCAAGAAAGTCCTTCCTCAGGAAATAACATCTGAGCTGACACTCTGAAAAGAGGCATAAGGAAGACCACTCTAGGATCCAGAGGATGGGCTATCCAGAGGACAGAGAAGCTGGTGCACAAACCCTCAGTCGAGAACACACTTGGAGTGACCCAGGGACAGAAGAAAGGGGCCAAAGTGGCTTAAGGACAGCTGAATGAAGAACATAAGTGGTATGTGACAGCAGAAAGGCCAGTGAAAGAGGGGTCAGCTCATGAAGAATCTTGTAGGCCAAGGTTAGAAATTCAGACCTTTTTCTAAATAAAAGGGGCAGCCATCAGGTTTTCCTGGGTTTTTCATTTGCTTGTTTTTTAAATTTTTTAGAAATGAAATCCTGCTGTTGCCCAGGCTGGTCTTGAACTCTTGCGCTCAAGTGATCCAGTAGCCTCCCGAGTAGCGTCTCAGCTACTATATATAGTCTCATATATATAGACGACACCACCACACTCACTGTGGCTTTAAGCAGAGGACCAATAGATCCTATTTCTATTTTATAAGAAGGTCACTCTGGCTGCTGTGTGTAGAATGAAAGAAAGACAAATGCGGAAACATGGTAGCCTATCAGGAAGAGGCTGGAAGAGTCTAGCTAAAGGCATTACTTGGACCAGGAGGAGATGGAAAAATGCGCTCAACCTTGAGAGAAATGTTAGGAGGTGGAGCAGACACCATTTCTGATGAGAGAAAGTGTTTATACTGAGCTTAGACCCTTTCCCTTCATCCATCAGTCAGTCTTTAGTATACTGATGATAAAGACCTGAAGTGCTGAGGAGTACTGCAAAGGGCAAGGAAGAACAGGAAGAACAAGTGCAAAACGGAATGGAGAACATCAATAATGAAAGCTATAGTCATCAACACAGTATAGCACTAGCAAAAGAGACGGCAACAGTTGATTGGAGCAGTCAGAAATACACTCATACATATAAGGTTAATTGATTTTCAACAATGGTGCAAAGACAAATCAATGGAGAAAGGATAGCCTTTTCAACAAATAGTGCTAGAAAAACTGAATCCATGTCCTTGTGGGAAAAAAAAAAAAAAACCTCAACTTAATGCATATATCTTACCATAAACAAAAATTGAACTGAATTATAGACCTAAATGTAAAACTTCTACAAGAAACCCCAGAATAACATGTTTGCGGTCTTCGGTTAGGCAAAGATTACTTACAGACAACACCAAAAGTCCATAAAGGAAAAAAAAAGCCTAAGTTTAACTTTGACAATGTTAAACTATAGATTGGGAGAATTACAAAATACACAAAAAAATCCAGAAAATTAAAGAACTCTTAAAACTCAATAATAAAACTGACTGATGAAAAAAAAAGAGGCAAAGATTTGAACAGATATCAGAAAAGATACAGAGACAGCAAAAAAGACACTTAACATCATTAATTGTTATGAAAATGCATAAAAAACACAGTAAGTACTATTATGCACCTATTAGGATGGCTAAAATAACCTCCCCAAAACCTGTAATTCCAAGTGCAGACAAAGATGTAGAGGAAAGGTTTTCTTACATGTAATATATTAGTGAAACTGCAAAATAGTAGAATCACTCTGAGAAACAGTATGTCAATTACTTGGAAAGTTTAACGTGCATTTACCATGTAACTCAGCAATCCCACTTCTAGGTAATCACCCAAAAGATATAACTTACATTCACTTACTTAAAATATCCAAATAAGAATGTTTCTCGTGGCTTTATTCAACCAACTGTCCTTTAAGGAGTGAACAGATAAACTGGTATATCCATACAATAGAATATCAGTCTGCAATACACAGGCACTAACTACTGATATGAGCAACCACATGGACAAATCACAAATGCCTTATGCTAAGTAAAAGAAGAAACCTCGGAAGGCTACATGATATATAATTCCATTTACATGACATTGTCAAAAAGGCTCACTTTGGAAGAAGACACATTTTCAATGGTTGGCGGGGGCTGGGATAGAAAAAAATGACTGACTACAAAGAGTAACAAGGGATTGGGGTGGAGGGAACTATCCTGTATCTTGATTGTGGTGGCAGTTACACAACTGTATTCGGTTGTCAAAACTCAAAGACCTACACACTGGAAAGGGTAAATTTTACTTTTTGCAGATTACGTCTCATTAAATCTGATGTAATAGAGAATATCAATAATGAATTTCTAAATTCCTAATCCAAATATCTGAAAATGTATCTGCAAATATAAAAAAATACAAATCCGTAAATGTATGCTGCTTCATTCTTATGTTTTTTATTAACTATTTCTCTTTACTCTGTTATCCATGGAAACTAGCTTTATTGAAATTAAAATGCGTTAATTAAAAGTTGATTATTTGTAAGTACAATGTAATACCAGCAAGCTGACAGCTACCAAAATTTTAATAGAATGATTTAAATGTAACTTGAGGATCATTTCAGAATATATTTCAGAAGACAATTTAAAATATCACTCAAAATGAAAATAAAATATGCCCCTTTAATAGGATATTGGTGAAAGTACTCAAATATTTACTGAATGAATGAATGGACATAATCATTAAATAACTCTTGCTATTCACTAAAGAGTTCTAACCTTTTCACAAAGGTCTTAAGGACAACACTTAAGACCACACATGCATTTTGGGGTAGAAGGATTCCCAAACTGGTTTCTTAGGGAGCTTTGAGAACAGGCAACAAAAGTCCTTAAAAACCTCACCTAAGTGCTTGACAGTTAACCACTGTCAATAACCCTTTAGTTGCCTGTTTGGTGTGAGACTGTCTCTTATAGCCCATGCTTCTTCCCTCCCTCTCAGCTTCGAGGGGTACAAAGCAGTCTGACACCACAAGGAAAAAGGTCTCTGACTATACGGAAGTTGGTGATGCTGCTTGTGGAAACACTGCTGGCAGGAAATCATCAGAGAATTACAAAAGTGACACAAAACCAAAACAAAACAACCTATAAAATGGGGTAACACTCTGGAACTGCAAGCTTGCAGGTTGCCTTATTCTCTGTTTTAGCCTGTTTTTCTATATAACCATTCCTCAGACCTCTGCATAAGCTCAGCCTGCCGAGCTCTGTGGATCTGGGAGAACTACTTTCTTCTCAGTGGAAGCCAATGCCCATATCCCTTCCTCAGATACATCTACCCAGACACATTCTGCAACTCTTATAACACTTTGAACTCAACTCTACAGCGATGGAAGTGCATTCACTGGGGGAAAGGAAAGGATGGCTCAGCTCCAAACAGAAAGAAAAATTGTAGCATTGCTGGCTAGTCCCAGTTTTGGAGGTGAGAGGATTGATAGACTGGCTTCTAGAAATTTCTTCCAGAGAAGCTTTGTCATAGAAAATAACGGAGAGCACATCACAAGCACAAATCAGAAATCCTATTCCTTACCTAGTGGTTTTTGGGCGTCTCTGAAGTGCAGGCAGAGTTTTTAAATTACTTAAATATATGAGAGTCTTTGTTATGAGAGAAGGGAAATTACTGCCTCTTAGAGCCTCATCAAACCGTAGCAGAAAGATTAGATTATGAATACATCATTCAATAATGTAGTCCCCTGCTCCATGGCAAATGAACCAGTTAAGAAAAGAAAAAGAGTGAGGGGCAGGCACACCCACAGAAGATAAAGAAGAAAGAATGTGATGTAAAACTGCTTTGGTGTTCCTGCCATGTGTTTGATGAATGCAGGTGAGTAAAGCCCTCCAAGTGAGTGCATCTTCAAGCCAGCCCCTTCCCCCATTGTGCAAGCTGTGTGTGTACACGACACAGACAGTGGCCAGCATGTTTTATAAAGCCTTTAAGCTCCAGGCACACTATTCAGTAAAGACAGTAACAAAGCTGAAATAACAATCTCTGATAAATCTATTTTATAGCTCATTTTTAATTTCATTCTGTATTACATACATCTAGAAAATACCAATAGTAATCAGCTGCAAGAAGCAGAACAAGATAGAGAAGCTCACCTGTAAGTTTACTGAAAAATATTTATTTAAAAAATAACACAAAAGCTGAGTTGTACAGTTGAGCTGTTAAATATGTTTTACGCACAGAACTCACATCAGAAAACAAGCCCTGACTCTAGTACATGACTACAATTACCTACCTACACTGTAAAGCCCCCTTAAGTAGCTTGAGGCCTATGAAATCAAATCCTAAGTGTCTGCCGGGAAAGTGGAGGGAGAGGGCTTGGCTGCAGGTAATTTTGAAATGATCACAGAACAGGAGTACGGGCCTATGAATAGTGAACCACGGAAGGGGGAAAACTCAAAATAAACATGTATTATCTAGCCTATCACTACTGTGGGCAACTGAAGCTCCATCCTACTGGAACCTTTTGTGGAGTAGCATAGAAGGCATCTTACAGGTGTCTCCCCCAGAGAATGCGGGGAGCATTCCACTAACTCTGTTTCCCTGTGGGATTCAGGGTTACCCAATGCAGCTGTAATTCCTGCACTTTCCAGGCTGTGCTTGTGTAAGTGAAGGGTGGATTCCCCACAAAGGTTTCCCACAAAGCACTGGGGGAAAGCAAGCACTTCGCGCTATGGCTGACTGGAGGTGCTGTCAGGCTGTGGGACACATGTTGTAGTGGCAAGGGCTAGAGAGAAAGGAACTGAGGGGTACACGGTGGGCCCAGGAAGAATACTTTTGTAAAAAAACGTAAATTTTTAAATTTAATTTCAAGTTGTGTGTTACTGGAGGCCATGTATCCACAGGGGTATATTTCCTACACTTGCAATGTAAGGGAGGGAAACACACACACACACATTTTTATATATACCCACATATTTATATCTTTCCCTTTCTGCCTAATGGCTAAACTGTTTAAAAAGAATACAAGGAAAATGACCACGGTGGCTCATCCAAATGCCTTTGAAAGTTAAAATGGCAGTTTTGAAATCTATAACGGAAAAGAAGAGACATACATTTTTAAACAGTCATACTGCAAGACCCTCTTACCACGTTGTCAATGTAGAAAACACACACACACACACACACACACACACACACACACACACACACACATTTAAGGTTCAATCATATGACAAGGACAAGAAAACAAAATACTAAGGGGGGGACCGCAAAGGTATTGTCTTTCTTTTTTTAAACTAACTCAAACACATAGGATGGTAAAGGCAAAGTCATTTAAATCATTTCCTTAGTAATACAAGTAATATTTAAATAGATTTAATAGTGCTGCTCCAATCCAATGAATTATGGGTTTAAAACCTATTAAAATGTAATGTTTTTTTCCTGAGCTGAGAGGAAAGAGATTTAAATCCACTGAATTTTAATATTTCAGCTTGAGCTGCAGGAGGTAGAGAAAGTCCAAATGAACTATTCCATCAGCACCATTCAAGCATGAACATTTTAATCAGTTTTACTTCCTTGGAGTTCTCTAACACAGTTTACGCTGTCATTCTGAAAGCACTTAACACAGAGAGTGTGAAAAACCACCAAGGCTTGTTATTGCCTTCACAATTGATGGCAAATAATTTTGCAGACTTCCTATCATTAAAATGTCACTGCTAAAAATTGAGGTTCAGCATTTCTTGTGCTAAACTGCAATTCCTACAACACCATGGCATACCTGTTTCCTAAGGGTTTATTGGGGATGGGGGTGAGCTTTTTTCCAAACGCATACATTTCTATCATTTTTTTTTCCTCAGAATTAGGTTTAAAAAGTGGGTTAGGGGGTTTCCAAAGGAACCCACATCGTCTATTTTTATAAGCCAAACATTTTCTTTTCCACTATTCACACTGACTAAACTTTTTTTCTTAATGGTAGTTTCTTTGGTGAAATTCTTATGAGGTTCCAAGTCAGCCTCCTTTATTAAGCATAACCACATTCACACAGCATGTACTGATTATATAGTGTAATAGATTTAAAAAGCATTTTAAGATAGTCAGGTGACTCAATTTAATAATACAGGAAATGAAAACATCATTTCTAATTAGATCATATTACTGATTTAAAACTACAATTTGTGTGTTGTTCCAACAGTGTGATCTCGCAGAGATTCTAATTTAAAAACACAGTGGCTAGCAGGACACATGACAAAATCAAACTAGATCCATAACGTTCCCCTAGCCCAACTGAGGGAACTTGGGGAAGGCCTGAAGGAAATGTGTAATATCACCAATTCAAAACAAAACACAAAATATCAACGATGGGAAACCAACACAGGAATTTTCCTGGTTTTCTTCCTTATAAATAAAAGATAAATGATATTTAACTTATTTCAATCTATCAACAGTTTTAAACTGAACATGACCTGTGAAAGAAATCATTATAACTGTGTTTCATTCCATTAAACACAACCAGCTTATTGTCAAGAGAACAGCCGCCTCTCCAGATTACGGGATCACTTCAGCATTTTGCATTTAAACTGCATGGATCACTCGTTTGGCTCATTTACCAATGAAGGTAGAATAATATTGCAGAGTTAAAAAGGTGCTTCATCAGATTTCATTAAATCTGGGAACATTTGCTCTTGTCTGGATGGTGTGCATACATATAAAATAGACACATATGTAGTGATAAATAAATGAGGGTCTGCAGGGGCTTAGATGGGTCTTTGCCTCTCAAAGGAAAACTGTCATTCCTTCAGTGCAGAAAATCACTGCTGACTACATTCTAAAAACCAAGTAACAAAAATCTAAAAACTGACCCCTAGTTGTTTTTGGTAGCGTGTCAAAATACCACCAACTCAGCCAGCCATCTACGCTCAAGGGACAGAGAACAGCAAGTGCCTTTAAAATACTACAATGTTACAACTGCAAAAACTACTGGATGCAAGCACTACCATGGCTAAAAAGACAAAGAGAACCTCAGCAGCAAAAATTTGTCAAGTGAGTTTGTAACTGAGCTCTTTCCTTCTCACTTGGTTTGTGGTTCTCTAAAACTGTTGGGTTTGTTTTCCTATTTCTGCAATCTATTTTCCAGAATAGTCAGATAATGTGATTTCCGACTCCATTTTCTGCTCAGATACCAAGAGTTTGGAAGACTCATCAGATCCAACTATATCCAACTATATCCAAGTATATGCCGCGTTGATAGCACGTAACGCTGCTTTGACAGAATGTACTGCTGAGTTAGTTCTTTAAGTTTTTAGGTCACAAAATTAAGTTAGCTTTATTTTAATAATTAAATACATATAAACACAATATGTCAGTAACTTGGCTGCAGTCTAATAAATCCTCATTTCCCCAAGAAAAGGCAATCGGCCATTCCATTCCAAATAAAGTATATAAAAATGAATAAATATAAAACAATATTAAAAATATTCTTGATGTGAAGTGAAGGGAACTTGTTCTGATTTTATATCTTCCCTCATATTAAGCAACATCCAACACATAAACAAAGTGTTTTTTATTTAGCTTAATCTCTCCACTGTACAGTCATTAAAAGACTCAAAAAAAGGAAAAAAAAATAATAATAATCCATTCTGTTTTCCTAGAAAAGGCTGCCAATCACACATAAGGCAGGAGGGCTATCTGTATTTCAGCCATTCATACAAACAGTAAACGCTAAGCTAAAAATGACCCAGCAACCTCTCCTATCAGGGATCACTCTGCACATTCTCTCCATGGTAAACAGTAGAGACAGTAGAGAAATGTAGGTTCTATCCCTTCTGACCCCTGGAAGATTTGGTAACAAAAATATCCACAGTGAATACAACACCTGCACTTGTGCACACACGTCAATGGAGCACAGCTGGTTTATACATATACACACACACACACACACACACACACACACACACACTTAACTTTAAAATTAAACCTTTCTCAACTTTTAAAAATTTAATATACTGCTGTTTCCTGGAGTTTTTGGAAACGAAAACCAATTGCGAAATGTATTCGTCTCTACTATCCGTCCCTTCCCCTGCCCATCACACAAAATGTATGACAAACATTATTCATGATTCTACATGGCTTCTTCTGATTCAGCCTCTTGTTTCCAAGGGGCACTCTGGAGGAAATAAAGGTCACTCTTTTCCATTCATTACATCTGCTAATTTCCTACCAGGTTTTTTTTGTTTTTTTGGTTTTTTTTTTGGTCAGAGGGACATAAAATAGAGCTCCAAATACCCCATTAAAAAACAAGCTACAATCAGACTATGGCGCCCTCAACATCAGCAGTGATCCCAGAGTTCTGATTTCCTTGTTAAAAGACAGAGGAATAATTGAAGCAATATCTTCACTTCAGATTGATTATCAGGCGACCCTTATCCACATCTTCACTCAGCAATTTGAATTTTAATGAAAGTAAACGAAATAATTAGCATTTCAAAGTGTGTTTGATACACTGACAGAAAAAAAAAAGACTTTTGTGTATAATCTATACACAAAAGAAAGTATTTGGGAGGGGACAGAAAGAGGAAAGTGCAGTTGTAGTGTCTTCATTAGAATAACCCAAGGAACTGCTTGTACAATCTGCATAAATAGAGAGGTGAATATTATGCTCTTTACAGCTGTGATTTCTTGCCTTTATTGTTATTTCTAAGTTTCAGCACATTATTTTATTGCCTGTTACATTAATCTGAGAAAAAAAAAACATACATATATAAGCAGAGTTGAAGTGACTGCCCAAATCCATGAATTCCAGCACAATTTCTATGCAACATTAATGCCACTATTGCCAGGAAGGATTTTCTAAATGGGCCACTGATTTTTTTAAAAATAAAGTGTAGTTCATCTATTATTTCTATTTCAAATGGACACTAACCCATAAGAGCCACTCATGACAGGGGAAGGAAGAATAAGTAGAACGGGAGATGTGAAAATGTACACCTCATTAAAAATGATAGTAAGATACTCTACATGATTATTCAAGGAAAGAAAAAAGAAACCAGGTCATTTTAACGTCAGGGCAATCTATATCTCTTTTTTTTTTTGGCCTAGGTTAGCAACACAAGCTGATTGCAAAGCAAAGAAATATGAAAAAGAGCTATCCAGTCTCCTTAGAGGAGAGTTTTCATGAACACATCCACTTAAATTGGTGAGAATGTGATCCAAAGTTTCTAAGGCAGCCATCAAATTTCACAGGAGATTGAAGGCAAAGTGCTTAATTTCATTTTGTAGTCATCTATTGCTTTTTGCCCCTTTGGCGGAACAAAATGTAAAAAGAGAGAGCGAGAGAGCTGATGACAAACACTAAGATCAGAGCTAAAATGGAAAGGCCACGTACCCCAATGATGGCGTTCAGTTCTGCCATGGTCACCTGCTTGGCCCGTTCCACAGCCTGCACCACTTGTTGCTGGTGCTATAAATGAAGATCAGAAACAGAATACAATTATTTGTTTTCTACTCAGTCAAGAACAGCTTTTCCTAACATGTCCTCTAACTTCAGTTACATGCAAAACAGCATTTGGGGGATCTCCAGGTTTCCAATACAAGCCTGAGGTGATGGATGACTAGATGTCTAGGGTACATCTGGGTCCACAAAGTTGAGGAGTCACTGGGCATCCAACTGCAGGTACCATCTCTGTGACCCCATGAAGAATGCTCCTTTACAACAGCTTAAATTTCACTTAAAAGTTATGGTACACTTGGACCACCCATCTGCTATTAGTACTAACAAACAAAACAGAACCCATCCCACTTGCTTTCTTTGTACTCACTACCTTTTCTCTTTGCTATCTACATTAAAATTTTTAAAAATTGTTTCCTGGAAGTAATTATTTTTAAATTTTCTCCCGATAACGGTTAGCGAAGACACCGGAAGGACATACATAATGCAACATACATATTTCTTCTGGAAATGTGCAAATTGTTGGTGTTTTAACCCCTATCATGAGATAGGGATTAAAAAGAGATCAAAAACATAGAACTCAAGTTTAAGAACTTCAGGTATTTCTTTTAAATCCAACAGAAAAACTAAAGCCCACAAAAGTGTACGATAATTTTTTTTCTTAGAAAAACTAGGACGGACAGTACAGGAAAATCCCTCCATCCACAACTCAGTTCCAGTGAGAATAAGTAAGAACTGATGTTAGTAATTTTTGTACAGAAAAAGTAGCATGGAAGTCTCTGTATAGGGGCACTCATATATATCTAGACACAGAAGTGCTTACAAGAATTACCCCCTCCAAATATTATCTAAATATTATTTCCCATTAAAACATTTGACCACTCTAGTATCTACAGTCAATTTTGGTTTAAAATCAGTCTTACTGGGTTTCTTTCAACTTGGTTTAGTGAATGAAGAACCAAAGGAACTGCGCCGTGAAACAAGTACTCCTCTGTACATCTGAAGAGTCTTATTTTGGTTAATCTCAGTTGAGAAATTTAGCTAACTTTCTTCACTTATTTGAGATGAGTATGAAGCTCAACTACCACACTGCTTAATAATACAAAGAGCTATCAGTTCAATGTGGAATTCTCCGTGAACCACCTGGCCCCCATTCCAAAATCCTCAAATATAGTTACTGAGATTAACTAGGGTGACCATTATTTCCACCTCTGAGCTGTGTAAGGGGAGTGGGGAGGCCAGGTGGAAAAGGAAACGACTTTAATTATTTACAATGTGATGTTTTCACTCTTGGTTTCCTAATAGAAATGTGTATTTTGTGTCTATGACTAATGGGAAGAAAAATGTCAAATAATAGACCATAGAATCTTAAGCTTTTAATAGACTCTGATTATTAAACTATATACTTTTTAATGTTTTTAAATTGTATGCATTCCATTTTCAAAGCAGGAGCTTAAGAAGCAATCCCAAAATATATATAAATATATATTTATTTATTTTATATAAATATAAAAGTCTATTTATAGATATGTCCATTCCATTCTTTTATTCCTTATAATATTTGCTAACATGGAAGAAAAAAATTTCTTTCTCTGAAGCAAGTAAAAGTCTTAAGGGATTTTGAAAATATTAGAAGGAATAGAAGGGCACAGTCAATAAAATGGCCAGCAATTGTCATTTCAGGTTCCCCTAAAGCCAACCTGACCATGTATGTATGTTGAGCACTTACTATGTGCCAAACACAGAGCTCATGTTCACATTGAAGACAATTTGATTCTCTAGATGGTGAGAAATGGCAGTACTTGGAAAACAAAAAAAAAAGTAGGATAGAAATGTTTATGGGATTTTCCACCTTTTACTTTCCTATACTCAACAATGATATCAGTTAGTGTAGACACCGGAAGGACATACAGAATACAACAAACATGTTTCTTCTGGAAATGTGCAAATTGTTCGTGTTTTAACTCCTATCATGAAGGGCTGCATATTTAAAAGCGATCAAAAACATAGAACTCAAGTTTAAGAACTTCAGGTATTTCTTTTAAATCTTAAAAGAAATAGATTTAAGGCCGGGCGCGGTGGCTCACGCCTGTAATCCCAGCACTTTGGGAGGCCGAGGCGGGCGGATCACGAGGTCAGGAGATCGAGACCATCCCGGCTAAAACGGCGAAACCCCGTCTCTACTAAAAATACAAAAAATTAGCCGGGCGTAGTGGCGGGCGCCTGTAGTCCCAGCTACTTGGGAGGCTGAGGCAGGAGAATGGCGTGAACCCGGGAGGCGGAGCTTGCAGTGAGCCGAGATCCCGCCACTGCACTCCAGCCTGGGCGACAGAGCGAGACTCCGTCTCAAAAAAAAAAAAAAAAAAAAAAAGAAAAGAAATAGATTTAAAAGAAACTTAAAACTTCGGAACTGAAACAAAGGACCACACTTAAGTCACATCCAACACAGGTATCATTCATTCTACTCACGCATTCATTCATTCAACAAAAGTTTTAAAGCTCTTACTCTACCAATTCTCCCTATTGTTGAAATATTATCTGCAAGTATTCAAAGAATAGTTTCCATGAGACGGAGATATGGAAAATACATCTACTTAGTGCCATTCTAGCATGAAGACTGTTCAACACTTACTTCATGAACTAGATTCCAATTGCTAAAATGGGCAAAGATGCCTTAGGCAGCAGGGGATATCTTTCCGCACTGGCATTAAAATCAAGTGCATTTTTTCAGAAAACCGGAAACGCACACCAGTGAGCCATAACTCTGACAGCCTAAAGAAACTCCTGCTATAAAGCTAAAATGACAATGGAAGTCATGATTCAGCTTCTTCTTTTTGATGGCAATGGCTGTGGGCTGATATCTGAACTTTACCTGCAGTTCAGAATTCTACTTCCCTATTTCTGCTTACAACCCATGAATCATTCACTGTTTAAGGACCTTTTGAATAGAAGCTCCCTAAGGCAAACAATGCCTCCTCCCCTGTGTGCTCTGAAAGCACCAGAAACACCCTAATATATTAGCTCACTCAGCCACACCATGTAACATTACGCCACAGCCTGAGGAAGCACCCACCAGGGAAGGTGAGAAAATTAAAACCCAAACAGGAAGAAGGGTCAAAAGATTACACACAAAAGAGAAAAATGAACATGCAAGGAAGCCCAAAGTACTCCCATAAACTGACCCAGGAGGCTTTTTTTTTTTTTTTTTCCATTTTCGGGTTTTAACAAGTAAGCTCTCACTCAGAAAAAAACAGCAAGTTTTTCACATCTTCTTAGAACTATGAGGGCTTTCCCATTATGTCTGCCTTGTCTTCCACTTTCCCTCCCCTCCCCAATCTGTCCTCTCTTCCCACTCCACCCACATCTCATTTCCTCTTCTACTTCCTGCTTGTTCCCTCAGCCACCAAGCCAGCACTAGCACCAGAGTGGTGGGTCCAGCCAATCTGCAGAGACCAAGTGTTGTCATTCTTACTGCTCCAGCTGCTCACTCAGATACAAGTGTCCTGTTTGAATGCGCCACCAGTACCACCAAATGAAATGCCACTAAGAATATATTAGTAAGCCAAGGGTAAGAGAGGGGACCTCTAACTGGGATTTTGAAGAGACAAAACAAATGCCCAATTATTTATTCTTTAAAATGCTGTACTTTACAATTTTAAAAAAATTCTAAAAAAAAAAAAAAAAAACCCTTAGATTGTGGTGATGGTTATACGACTCTGTAAAGTTACTGAAAAGTATTGAACCATACACTTAAAACTAGGGAATTTTATGGTGTGTAAATTATACCTCAGTAAAAATAATTTTTTTAAAAAAGTGATTTAAGCAATACAAACATGGTTGCAGGGGAAAGGGCCAGTAAAATGAAATTCTGTACATTAAATCACTTGCCTTACTTCCATCATCATAAAATTATTTCTGGCATTTGTTCAGACAAAGTACTAATATATTTTTTCTATAAGAAACTAAAATAATACCAGCTCATAAGTCCAAAAAAGCCTGCTAAAAAGCAGACCTTAACAAACCAGTAATATGTGTATAGTAGGTGTTTAATATATATTTCTCAGAAGGTATTATGATGAGAATACCTGTCATGCCAATGTTTTAGGGCACAGCAACAGATGCAGTACTTCTAATAAAAAACCGTAATAAAAAGCTATAGTACACCTCAGAATTAAAAAAAAATAATAATAAAACAAAAACAAAAGAACTCCCCTAAGGAATAAATGAGACAAAAAGACAAAATGCTGATTACTGCCGATGTTTAGTATGGGTACCTGTAGGTTCAGTATATTCTCTCTCTAAAGTATGCTTCAAAATTTTATAAATTAAAATTTTAAAAAAACATTTAAAAAGTACTCCCCATATTGACTGGGGTAGTAAAAGAGTATAAGGGTAGAGATAGATATAAAATGAAACAAAATAAACTAGGATTCTCATAATGAACAATATTAATTAAAGTCTCCAACATGTGGAGAGGTGAAAGTAAGACCAATGGCCCTGCTTCTCACGTGATGAACTCATACACAGAGCACATCTTAGAGGAATACAGGATATAAAACAGAAAGAAGTTTTAGGAGGAAATGGCCAGCGCACTTCCCGCGGCATCTGGGAAGGCTTTGTTTTTTTCATCCATTCATTCAAATATTTATTAAGCACCTACTATGGCACCAGGCACTGTGGTAGGGAGATACTAAGGTTAGAGTAAGGAACAAGAACCATAGTCTTTGATCTCATAGAATTTAAACTCTATCAAGGAAAACAGTCAGTGAATTAATGCTCAAAAGGCTCTATAATTACAACTGGAGGATAATTTCCATAAGAAAAATTACAGGATGCTACCCAATCATTTATCAGGGAAATATCTTAATCTAATATTGGGGCTAGGGGAAGATTCCCTTAGGAAGCTGACCTGACAACTGAGACCTGAAGGATTTCCAGGAATTCTGTAGATGAAGAATGAGGATAAAAGAATTCCAGGCAAAGGGAAGAGAACTGGGTAGGGGCCTTATAGGAAGAGCAAGAATGTCTGTGTGGCTGGAAGAGGGAGAGCAGGTAGGGGACACAGCTGCAGACAAGCAGAGTAGAATTTCATAGGGCCTTCTTGGGTATGATAAGACACATAAGCAAGAACACTTTAAAGTGGAAAGGGTGTGCACACAAAGAAAAATAAAGGAAAATGGATGAAGACATGAGTGTAGCATGGAAATGCTTTAAAGAACCAAGTATTAGTGGGAAATGAATTCTGGCAAGACAGGAGGAGGCCAAACAGCAAAGGGCTTTGCATGACATGCAAAAAAGTTGGACTTTATCCTGGTAGGAAATGAGATGTTATTAAAAAATTTTAAGCAGCTATGTGCTATCAGTTCTGCATTTGAGTAAGATGGATCTGGGAAAAGTAAAGAAGGTGGATGGCAGAGAGGTAAACCAGATTGAAGGGTAAACAGTTAGAGGGCTGCAATATTCTAGGGTGAAAGATACTTAGGCCCGAACTTGGACCAAATGCCCTTTTGGCTAATAGAAGCCATTAGCCACATGTACTTAAGAAGCCACTCATAGAAATTCAGAACTGGAAAAGGCCTTTAGAGACCATGAGACCCAGATGCCAGAGTACCCCAGGCACTATTAACAATCAACCAACCAACCAATCAACAAAAGACTCTCCCTATCACCAAAAGCACGCAAATTTCTAAACACTGCCGGGGCTGAGCAGATTGGGATGGCGGAACTACAGTACCAACCACAGCCCAAAGGCCACTACTCTATCCAATGAATCAATCTCCTCTGTCACACCCTAACCAGTCTCTCCTTGATCACCTCCTGTGAAAGGCAATTCACTACCTCATGGACAAGCTTTTTCCATTTTGGGATAATGAGCCCTAATACTAAGTTGAAATCTACCCTGCCATTAATTCTTCCCCACTGGACCCAGTTTTGTCTTTAAATTCTCCTCCATTGACTGACACTCCAAGTATATGACAATGCATAATGCATGTTCTCAATTTTATCTCTTCTAGGTTAACCATCCTAAGGTCACTCAACAATTTCTCTGTGTCATGGGCTCTAGCCCACTCATCCATCCTTCTGGCTAGTCTCCTTGTAGTGCACATTACTCCAGGTATGGCCAAGCAGATCAAATTCAAGTGAAAGTGTCGCTCCATGTCTGCTAAGTCAGGATAAAAAATCCCACTAAAAGCCTTTTTCAGCAACTCTATTAAATTTGCTAGTACAAATCAACTTAAATTTAACCCAATCTCCCCAAATCAGCCTTTCCTATACAGTATTCAAAGAAACATTAATCTGATACAGTTTGCATATTTGTCCCAACTCCAATCTCACATTGAATTGTAATTCCCAATGCTGGAGGTGGGGCCTGGTGGGAGGTGTCTGGGTCATGGGGGTGAATCCTTCATGGCCTGATGTTGTCTTCGCAACAGAGAGTGAGTTCTCACAATATCTGGCCCTTAAAAAGTGTATGACACCTCCCCCTCAATCTCTCTCTCCTTTTCTGCTTTCACCACTTCGCCTTCCATCATGAGTAAAAAAAGCTCCCTGAGTCCTCCCCAGAAGCCAAGTAATGTTGGTGCCATGCTTGTGCAGCCTACAGAACCATGAGCCAATAAAGCCTTTTCTTTATAAATTACCCAGTCTCAGGTATTTCTTTATAGCAATGCAAGAACAGCCCAACACAGTCACCCAAGAAATTAGATATTACTTTAGATATTACTTAGACACATACATACACGTACACAAACACAGGTTTAATTTGGCAAATACCCGGTAAACTGCAGGTTATCTCAGCACCACAAAGCTTAGAGAGAGTAAATAAGTATACCTGGCTTCCCAAACAATTTTAGCTGTGGAACATGGGATTAAAGCTCTTAGGAGCACATTACTGACTGCCTACCTGGCCTTGCCTTCTCCACTCTCACTTACATGGGGACAGGGCATTCTTCACGGATAGGTAAGCTCTACAAATTCACTGCTGTCCAACAGAACTTTGGGCAATGTTGGAAATGTTCTGTATCTGTGCTAATAATATGACAGCCACTAGCCACATATGAGTGGATACTGAGCACTTGAAATGTAGCTAGAGTAACTAAGAAACTGAACTTTTAATTTTATTCAACTTTACATAGCTACTACTGTATTGGACAATGCAGCTCTACTCAAGGTACCTTCAAACTTAGCTCCACTAATAATAATCTAATCACTACCTAACTAAAAGTCAAATAAATGAGTCAGTTCTCAAACACTCATTAATTTGTTGAGACATACAGATAAAGGTTGGCATTGCTGCCTTTGGATAGAGACCCACATTTAAACCACAGGAAAAAAGTTCTACCTCCTGAGAATCATCTTTCACTTCTTGAGGTCAAACAGGCCATGATGCCACCAGATGAATCTCACCAAGCAGCCAACTGTCACCAAAATACATGGTCAGGTACAGCAAGCCAATCAGTCAACCACGGAATATGGGACAGAATTACGCTCTCTGATGGCTCATTCAGTATTATGAGAAAATATATATTTTTTAAATGAAAAGTTACCCATGCCCACAACCTAATGTGAAAATCAGAAAACTGGGCCAAATCCCCAGAAGCCCCAATCCATGTCTATTATTCATTTTAGGACATTCTTCCGATATATGGCACTGTCATAACATATTACCAAGACTGACAAAATGGCTCCAACTGGGAAGCAGACGTGCCCTGTGCAGGCTGCTGGCACTTAACACAAGCACTTTCTGAAGATGGTCTTAGGGATGTCACTGCATACTTGCCAGGGGATCTCTGCAATTTTAACCATGCTCTCCTATATCAAACCTGTTATCACAAGCCATTGATTCCTCGCAAAGTTAACAAGCAATAAGACAAGTTAACCTGGCACGACTGTAAGGCGATAACACTTCCACCAGTGCATATAACCACTGTATTTTCTTCATTTCCTCCCGAAGGCACAATATGAAAGTGACTGATCACATTTTTCAACTTTCATTTCACAATTATTCTATACATGCAAAATGTGGCTCCAAGTAATTCAGTACCATATTAACCGAGATGCCCAAGTAAACAGCATCTGAGATATACTCATATATCACAATGTAGTAGAAGGGGTTTGTTTTCCATCAAATTACATGGACCAAATTTATGGCATGTCCAAAACAGGAGTTTATGTATCGTTTGATGTGACTAGCTTTTCTAGCCTGTTGGATTTATAATTCAAATAAACTCATATTATCACTATTATGTAATTGACTATTATTTTCTACCAAATAAATGCAATGGAGAGTGCCCAAACACTACTTGGTACTACGTGTTAGAAAAGCTAACAGGGCAATACAAACCAAGTTTTAAGTTAAAATTAAATTTGCACCAGAAAGCATTCAGGTTGGTATGGAAGTTCCCTTTTCCCCAGGTAAAATAAGTATAAAAATGGAAGGTTTCCATTTTTAGGTCCTAATTTCCCTTTTATATTCTCAATATTCTAATGATCAGAGAACTATTGTTAAATATTGTAAAAAGAATAACGTCTTCTTTATTTCATTTGTTAAACCAATATTTTCTTAAAATAACTGATGCAAGGGAAAAACAGCTCCGTTCATGTGCAAGTGCAGGCCCCCAGGTGTGCTCCTCATCATTGCTGTGAGGACTAGCCTGCAGGGCTCCTCCATCAGCCTCTGAGCAGCTCGGCTTCTGTTTCGACTCAAAAAACAACCACCACCACCAAAAAAAACAGTCATGGAATTACAGGAGTGTAGAAGGAGGAAAATGTCCATCCTCCTTGGCACCCAGTGACTAGAAACAAGTCTGCTAATAACAAGGTTAAAAATGAATGCCATTTCTCTAAAGGTAACAATGACCATGAGTTTAATAAATGAGAATTAGGAAGCCACTGGTCATAAGAAACACAAATATAGACAGCCCACAGAGGCCATACTGTTCATGTAGGTTCTTTTCCATCCCCTATGAATGTATGAATGATAAATAATACCTGATGGGTGACTCTTCTCCAACATTCGAATGGTAAGGAAGAGACTTCTATAACAAGAACTATGCATTATTTTATATCTTATGTAACTGAAAAACATGAGATGTGCTAATTACATAGTCAAAGCTAGAGTTTGTTATGTAAAGATAAACCATTAGCAGTAACAATAGCCATAATTTTTATTTTGTGCATAGCATTATGTCTGGAAGCAAGTGGCAGTTGTCCCCCAGTATCCCTTCTCTTACACTGGTGTAAGTTTTAGGGGGGCATAATGGTCACTCAGCTAAGACTACATTTCTGTATCTCCCTTACAACTATCTGTGGGCAGGTAACTAAGTGCTGGCCACTGCAAAGAGGGCAACCTTAAAAGGAAATAACTTGCCCATTCCTTTCTCTTTCCTGCCAGCTGACGCTGGGGCAAGACACAATGGTGCAAGGATGATGAACGTCGATATAAAAGGAACCGAATTCACAACATCATGGAGTCACCAAATTAGCTATAGATGGCTTCGCTGTCAACTGTTACTATTACATGAGAGAGAAACAAGCTTTTTTTTTTTTTTCCTTGAAAAAACCACTGTTCCTTTGATCTCTGTTAAAGCAGCCAAACATTCAGTGAGGTCCTTTTACACTGTCACGAATCCTCATATAAAAATCCTACAGTACAGGTATCCCATTATACCGATAAGCAAACTGCAGCCCAGAAAAGTTAAGTATTTTGCTCCACATTTTAAAGAAAGCAAGTGGCTGAGCCAAGATTTAGTCCTGGGTCTGGCTGACCTCCAGCTTTTATTACATTGCCTCTTGCCTAATGTGCCTCTTCCAATGAATGTGCTCCTTGTTACTGAAGCGACAAGTTTCTGAAAAATACAACTGTACCCTGGAGAATAATTTTCAACTATAACGTAATAAACTTTTCACCTACTGACCTACTGCTTTTCAAGAGTTTGAGGTTCTCAAAGATCTTAGGAACACCTTGTGGATCACTGTGAAACATACCCTATCTTAAAAGTGATCCTTATAGGGAAACAAGAGTACAAAAAACACAACTATCCTCCAACAGGTCCTCAACTAAGTGCACAATATTTCCTGCTTAATCTAACAGGTTAAGAAAAATACCTACTGGTTTACTTAAAAAAAAAAAAATTCCCTTCCTCCTGAAAGATAACCTGTGTGGAGCTAAATGTCCATCGTTGGAAGCAGCTACTGGAGCTGCAAGGCCTAGCTAACTCTGCAGGAAGACTGCCAGCCAGCTCGTTTGAAATATTACCTTGAACTCTTCCCAGTTTTTACTAAGTCATTCCTTTCCAAATGTCTTAGGACCCCAAATAACCTGAAATAGAATCTATTTCCCTGGAAGTAAAATAGGAAAAGAGCAGGTGGGGAAACGGCACTCCCTATGCCAAGTCTGTTACATTTTGATACATATAATACACATTGTAAAGGTGGGCTTACTCTCCTTATTCTACAGGAATACTAAGGCTTAGAGAGATCAACTTTGCAATGCAAAGCTAGTGAAGAGGGAGAGCTAGCCCAATTCTAAATTAGCAGAAATGCTGTCCCTTACTGCCAGGGTGTAACAGTGATGTAGAGTTTTAGGTCCACCTTAGACTCTCTACATAGATATGTTCCTGGAATTGGGGGATGGAGGAGGAGTTGTTACTGGGATACTGGAAGCAATACAATATTTATTGGCAATCCTCAGTTTTACTAAGGACCCACTGAGGTCTAAGGGTCTATAAGCCATATCCCAAAATTGCCAATGGAAACAAAAACATAGATTTTTAGCTAGTTCAAGGCCCTGGGTTCACTTTTAATTTTCATTTTTTCTTCTATAAGGACATTAGAGAGGAAGATAATCAATTCACATTCTTCCCAAATGCAATGATTAGAAAAGGGAGGGAGGGCTGGTTCTAGCTCCTCCCAAGAGGAGACAGAGCTCCACTGCTGCTACTGTAGTTAATCCCACTAGTCAACGGCAGTAGGTGCTTATTGTGTGCTAAGCTACCTGGGTATAATCCCAAGTAATCTTCACAGACATTGGATGTGTTTCACGCTATGATTAACTTCATCATACAGATGAGGAAACTGAGGCTTAGAGAGGCACATCACTTGCTAAAGGTCACCCAGCTTAGCCCAGTTAGAGTAAACCACACGATTTGTAATAGGGAGGCCAGGACCCAGATCCAACTGTCATCATCCTGGCATCTCTTGTTTATGGAACTGCCAACTCAGAGTTGATATTTATAGTTCTTCCCCTGCAAATGAGACCGAAATAGGGAAAGAAAAGAGCTTCCCGTTTACCACCTTGAGATGGCTTTTTGAAGAATAAATTTGAGTCTTATCCATTCCTAAAAGCTAAAAAGTGAAGTGAGAGAAAAGAACAGCTTGGGACAGATGAGGGTTCACAAGGTTTTTCTAAATTCTGATATTGAGAATCCTGTGAAATTCTATGAACTCCAAGTGATGAGTACTCACTTTTAATGACAAGAGTTGGCAATATCTTTGTCAAATGCCTGTAACGCTGGAAGCAGTTGTACGTGAGTGCAACAGCACATTATTAAAGTATATATTGGCTTTAATATTTTTAAATGTTTTAGTAAACTCTAATAGGAAAATATTTTTCTGTGATTTTCATATACAGACACACTTCAAGTACTTCTGAACACAATTATACAACTCATTTCTAAAAAGAAAAAGTCTTGAAGTTAAAGCTAAATTTAATAGTTATCATTCAGTACTATATAGTTTTTTTAAGTTTAAAAAAATGCGGTAAACCAGACGCAAGCAATATTAAGCAGGTATATTAATCAACACATGGGGGCTAAATTAAAAAGAGACTTCATCTAACAGTATGTAAATATACCCCTTGTTCCTGTCAAACTCCAAAAAGCCTGACTTCAGATGCTCACAATCGCTCCAGCCAATGTTCTGTTAGCTTATGCACTACTCTTCAGGAATTGTTTTGCTTTTTCCTAAATACGATCATTTAATTTTTAAATAAAAACATTTTAAAATAAATTCTAATGCAGCAGCTGCCGTTTTGGTAGCGAGACTGTCACACAGAGAGCCGGTGTTAAAAGATCAGATTAAGAGCCTTCAGTCCTGGCACAGTGATGCTCACAGCCATGCAAGAGTGATTTTCCATGCCTCTGAAGAGACAGGAAACAGAATTCATCTTCCTCTACTAACCTGCTCCTCCCCTCCCTCCAGATTATGGTCCATCTGGCTTCAGGGCAGAAGCAAGGAGTCCAATGCTCACAGAATGCACAGAAGAAGAAACAAGGTGGACGATGTTCAGATAAAAAACATCAGAGATGCCCTGATTTGAAGGAAACAAACATGTTTGTGTCTCACACAATAAAAGATACACACATACCTTAGGAAACTAGAAAAAGATGAGTAAATTAAATCTAAAGTAAGCAAAAGAAAATATATACACAGAACTAGCATTTAGAAAACCATGGCATAGATCACGGGTGTCCAATCTTTTGGCTTCCCTGGGCCACACTGGAAGAAGAAATCACACACACATCCCATTTTATGTGGGCTACACATAAAATACACTAACGATAACTGATGAGCTTAAAAAAAATTGCAAAGAAAAATCTCATACTGTTTTAAGAAAGTTTAAAATTTGTGTTGGGCCACTTTCAAAGCTATCCTGGGCCACATGTGGCCCACAGGCCCTGGGGTTGCACAAGCTTGGCATAAATCATTATACGTGAGTCAAGGATTTCAACCAAGAAATGTCAAAGTATTTGGGAAATAAATAGTTAAGTGGTATGACAACAGTTAAGTATGACACCTTTCTTCCCAGACTAGAGCAAATGAGTTGTCAGTATCTCCCCATGGCTTTCACCTACAGGTACAACTTCCTTAGACAATTAATTTCAGTCCAGTCTTGCTCAGCACCACTACCATTATACATTCTGTTCCCACTGGGCCTGCTCACACAAACAACATAATTCATGTGGGAAAACAACTCATTGGCAAATCAGCTTCATCAACATCCCCAAGACAACCTTCTACTTCTGAACACAACCCACAGATCCTGCAGAAATGTGATGAGACCAAAGCCATACCAGCGATCATATACAGGGGTCTGTGCCTACAGAGGCCCAAAGTCTAATACCACCCCAGGGATAATTCGAACTTTTCCCTGTCACCTTAGAACATGACACCCCAGCCTGGTTACAGCTCTGTAGGTCACACATTCTTCCCATTCTCCATCTCCATAAAGCAGAGCTGCTTAAAGTAAAAAATACACACTAGTCTGGATCAGGCAGGGGGCAGTCAGGTTTCCAAAAGAAATGCAGATACACCCCTTGACTCTCATTCACCAAGCCATCTAATCTAGCCATAAGCAAATCCTAAGTAAAAACAGGCAAATGGGGACATGACTGGTGGTAGGTTTTGTGGTCACAGCTAAAGGAGGAGAAAAGACAACATACCCTTTGTTTATCAAGACCCAAAAGAGCATGTGAATTCAGAGTGTCAACAAGATTTGTGAATATGAGTGCCCCCTCCCCAGTATATACCTATGAAGGGTACCCATAGTTACTCAAGTCTAACCCAGTCCAGACCAAAGAAAAAAATCATATACAGCAATCTGCATATCTATAATACACATGCAGGCTCAAATATTGGCCACATAACATTGGCACATGCCCGCTGGCAAGCAGGTGAATGAACCTCTCTCCTGAAAAGCAGTGACACAACACACTTATAGAACAACTGAAAGGGTAGGAAGAAAAGTGCCTCTGTGCCTTCTCAGCCCACAGCACAAAGTATTGCGGCTACAAGACATGCAGATATTTCATTAGCTCCTTCCTTCTTAGAGTGGATCTTACCTGAGCAAATGAAGGCATTCAGTAATCCAGAAGCAAAAAATTATCTTTTTCCAGTATTCTCACTTCAACTTTGTAACTACCAAAAGTAAGCAGGGAGAGAAAAAAAAACCACAAGGAAGCCAACAAGCACTAGAAATGCATCGCTTTATTCCAACCTGTGCCTGTTTGCTGATGGCATGCACTTCCCCTGTAGGTGAGCAAGAGAACTAGTGAGCCGCATGCCAGGCCTTAGCAATGTGCTAAGCCTACCATCACCAAAGCCTAATTTTGAGAAAAGTGGCACTCAGAGAAACGAGTTCAATGAGTTCATCTTGCAGGTCTTTTCCCAAAAGCACAATAATATAAAGACTTAATCAGGAAACAAGAAGTAAATGTTTAAAAGTAGCTAGCCAAAAGCTTCATTAGTTTGTTTACTACAAAAAGTCTTTCCATTTGATATGTCTTCTGCCAATTCTTAATGCCCAATGACAATAGTACAGAGTAAGCTCCTGTTTTCCTGGCAATTTTTCAGTCTACCCTATTAGGTACCATTATGACAAACAAGCATAATTCTGAGCAACACGACAAAGATAGCAAAATATTTTAACGACTGAATTTTGCTTAGCCCAACTAGAAAATATTCCATTATGTAAACACATATAAATTATATCCCACAGAAAGTTACTAAGGTATACAAGTTGGAGTGAGAACACTGTTTCTTAGAAATGAAAATAAAATACAAACACCAAGAGACTGGCAAGGCCAGAGAGTCAGTTCTACAATCCCTTTTCTGCAAAACCACTAAAATGGCAACTTCTAGTCCAGTGCCTAAAATCAACTACCTTACCTCTTGGGACAGGAAAGGAATGACTTGTGCACAGATAGCATTCAGCCTCTTGACAATCTCTGCCTGCAAAAAATAAGGGAAAGGAAAGCAATAAAGAGAACAGTCAGCTGGTTACAGATTCCCCAAATATTAACAGGATGATATTAAAACATACTTTATAATTTGGCTGGCATATTTCCTAAGGAAGAGGAAAACTATCTCATCAGTAAGCCCATTAAAAGGAAGCAGTGACAACAGTGCCACATTAACAGCACAATTTATTAACCAGCATTCATCTTAAAAAGTTAACCTTCAAGCATCAGGGCAATATAAAATGGAATTTAATTTCCATGACTGGAAATCAGTTTTCAACAGCCTTCACCAGGACCCTTGCTCATACTAATGTTTTCCATAAAACCTGCAGTCTTCTAAGTCTTAAGAATTTAGATAAGTAAAGATACATTCTTTCCTACATCTCAACTCCATCAATTAGCAAATCATTGGATTTCTATATTTGTGGCCTTTGCTTTAAAAACATTGGTGCTGTGATTTTAAACTCAAGACCCTAAACTTCTGAAACAGCAGCACCCAAACAACCCAAAAAAGTTGGCTAATTCGGATTCTTACAAATTCTTGGAGAACAAAATGTTTTCTTCAACCATAAAAATTTCCAAATGTGTCCTACCAAGGTTTTCAGTGTGCAGAGGTTGAGATATGCTAAAATCTTATTACACTTAGCAGGAAGCAATCTGTATGTATCTGGAAACTATCCTTGGGAACTTTTTTTTTTTTTTTTTTTTTTTACTGTGGATATGCAAAAGTCCCAACAATGTCAAAGAACAGTCTATTCTCTAATAATTTTTATAAGTACAGACATTTTAAACCAATAAGATGCTACAGTAAGTTAAAAGAAAAACCACCACTACATGTTTTCTTTAAAAAGTTACTCACAGTTTTACCAATGTTTATCTTAATTTGTATTTTTCAGATGGTGCCTTGTATATTTTGTGATGTATAAATACACAGTTTTTTTTAATACACGTACATACAAAATAGTTTATATTTTAATGATGGAATGGAGGAAAGAGAGCTAAGAAGAATTGAAAGGCAGAAAATGTAAAGCAATTACTATCCCTAAGACATTCTTAAATTCCATCCAGGGTCAGTTCCTCATTTTATGTGAGGCCCAAAATGCCTTTTCTTGCCAAGTCATTACCAGAATGACAGTGACACTCTACTTGTGCAATCTAGGCTTCCTTCTTTCATCAGCAACCCTTCTAACTGTGTAGCTATGCAATCTTTTAAATGCCAGCACCTTAAAAACTTTACCAGCCAAAAGAAAACACAAATTCACCATGAAGTTTCAAATCCAAGCTTTCCATTCCAGCCTGCATTCCTAACAGTATGGACAAAAACCCAGCACCAATAAGCTGCAGTGAATAAGGACCCAACTGTGCTGACCTGATTTAATTTACTGCACTGGCCCCATGGAGCATTTAGCCATCCTTTAAGAATGCTTAAGCCACCATGAAGAGCTGCAATGGGAATCACCAAACCACTCTCCACCTGGACGAACATACCACAGTGGTTATGGGGTGAAATTCCAGGGTGAGCAATAAAAATAGAGTAGCATTCACCAGGCTGAAAGTACAGCATCTCAAATGCATTTGGTTGTTAAGCTTTTTGCAGGGAGAGGTGGAGGGGGAGAGAATAAAAGATAATGAGACACTTTGGGGCAGACCAAACTGATGATTCTAATGCTTAGAACCATCTGCCAAGCATATTTTCGTCATTATGTTGTTTACATAAATAAAATAGTCCCTTGCTAGGAGGGCTGAAAAATGTGTGGGCACATAAGAAAACTGAGTTCTTTAGTTCGCCTACATAATCTAGGCAATAAAAACGACTCTAAGGAAACTTATTCATCTGGTGAAATAAAATTTTGGACCTAGGCTGTATTAAGTCTGAGCAACTATTTTTTAAAAAAATTCTACATTTTCTTAAAAATAAATGTAAAAAGGAGAAGAGCCTTTTTATTCAATCACATAGGTTAACACACACACAACAGAAACGGGAGGGCAGAAACCTTCCAAACTTCCGTTAAAGATCTCCTTTTGTTTAAAAGACTTCTTAATTTCTTTAAGTTGTCATGCCAATGGATTTTCATGGTCAGGCTAATTGGCAGTGGGGGGGTGGGGTGTGTGTGTGATTTCATAAAATTAAGCAGGTCATTCTTCACTTTGAAATCTAAAGTTGCCTCGGAAACACTGCTGCTCCCATGGTCATCTAATTTCGCCTCTTTTGTCCCACAGGACCCAGCTTTAGGGAGGCATCATTTATTTACAGGCCTTTCCACTGGGCTTTAGCGATCAGCCAATAACACTGTGGACACACACTTCTAATGGCCTATGTTTTGAAACTGAGTCTAATATAATGGCGTGGGGCCCAAACTCCTTTTCCAGCACAGCCATTAAAGGATGTAGGTTATTGCTGTTGTCACCATTGATATTTGTCATTGTAATGTAATTAGGGCCCTAAAATGATGCATTACAGCCCTTGGCACAGCTTCTATTAAAATCTTTTCTTCTGCTCACTGAACTGCGACCTGCTTTCTGATGAATAACAGACAGACAGCTTTAGGGTAAGGAGCAGATTCATCAAAGAAGTATTTTTCAGCTTTGGGGAAAGAAGGAAAAAAAGGCAACCTAGGAGGAAAAGCAATAGGGGAGGAAAAGCCACAACACACATTTGAATTTCATCTGACCACTTGAAATTCTGATTGCATCTGATGAATCTTGCTTAGACAATATATTCCCAGTCTTTGAATCACATGGTTAATCAGGGCTCTAATCTGCTATCCATCAGGCTACGCCAGTACTGTTAGCTTCCAATCAAATTTATAGGTGATGTGGGTCATGCATCCCTGAGCAAGTACATTCACAGATAGCCCATTTAAACAGGCAGGGATTCTGAAATATTGCTGTTAGGGTTACTAGATATTATAATGGTATTTGATGCTTTATGGACACTGCTAAACTATTGCCTTCAGATGCTCATGATATTCTAAAATAGCATTAACAGCCCCAATAAAAGGACAATTGTTCATGTCAAAATGTAACAAAAAGATCATACTGACAGCCACACTTTGTCAAACACATTAACAATTTTTGACAATTCCATTCTATCTTCCCTATCAAGATGCTCATTTAAAAAACAATAAAAGTTGCAGATGTATTTTCCTACCCTCAACTCACTACCATTCTATTTCCTCTCTCTCAAAATTACCCACCTTTACACCATTCTCCAACAAAAAAATAAATAAAATAAAAATGATCACCATCCCTGCTAAAGAAAACCTTGGTTTGGATAAAATATCTCAGAAAAATGTAAAGACAAAAAAGGCATTCTACGAAAATCCCTTGGCTACGCACTCAACACATGACATGTGACTGTCAACAGGCTAACTCTACAGTACTGATGGACAGTGGCCTAGGAGCATGACCAGGTAGTAACGAAACAGGAAAACACAGAAAAGAATCTTTTATCCTTTATTTCTTCATACTCCAAAACTCAAGAATCATTGGAAAATTTATCATCTATCTTACATCATGGGAAAGTGATGTCATGTGTTGAAAAGAAAGCTGTAACTCAATCACTAGGTTAAAAAGTAACAAATACTAACGCACACAATACCAAATACATATTTCCTTTATCACATAACAAATTTTACTAATCATTTAAAAGACAAAAACTTAGTTAACCCTATACCTGAATTTAACTACATTCCCTGAAATAGACCTGATACAATAAAAATCTGATTTTTATTTAGATCATTTCAGCCTATATGATTTCCTTAAAAAGACATAAATTTTATTTTAAAAACATAATAAACTTGGGTGAAAGTACCAATAGCTTTATTTTAGTAATCAAACGGATATATCAAAAGCAATTGTTGATTTTAAAAACTGTTTGATGGGTTTGTCTCTCATCAAAATAGGAACAACATTACTACATATGTATTGTTGAAATAAAACAGAATAACAAAGCGTTATTAGGAAACCATTTCAGCAGCTAACTTAAAGCAATTACAGTTTTAGGAAACATTCCTGAAGAATAACTTTTTACCATTCGTTTTCTGTACAGCAGTTTCTTGCCAAAATTTTTTTAAAGATGAATCTATTTATTTTATTGAATGTTTATCAAGAACATACATTCATCCACTTTAATATCAACATTTTTTAAAAAGGTGACAAAGAAGTCCTACTTACCCTGCCTGAAATACTTTTTGGAATAAACACAAATAAATCTTGCAACCTTATCACTTCACTTCACCACTAGAGAACAAAGACTGCAATTCTTTAAAATTTCAATCAGAAAATATCTTGATTTGTTCCAAATTTTCTAAAGAAACTGTACAACTTCTGAAACTGATCTTGCCTGACCCTAGATTAAAAAGTCAGAGGACTAATGAGAAATTCTAACTTAAAATCCAGACTAAATATAAGGAAAAATTTTCAAGTAGTACTATTTCTCTAAACTGACAACTCCATTTTTACCTTATCAAAAATCAATTTTACAAAAGTGTTAATAACATGTAACACATAAAACTAATCTTAGCTATTAACTCCTATTCAACATAGTGTTGGAAGTTCTGGCCAGGGCAAACAGGCAAGAGAAAGAAATAAAGGGTGTTCAATTAGGTAAAGTCAAATTGTCTCTGTTTGCAGATGACATGATTGTATATTTAGAAAACCCCATCGTCTCAGCCCAAAATCTCCATAAGCTGATAAGCAACTTCAGCAAAGTCTCAGAATTGGAAAAAACTACTTTAAAGTTCATATGGAACCAAAAAAAAAGCCCGCATTGCCAAGACAATCCTAAGCAAAAAGAACAAAGCTGGAGGCACCATGCTACCTGATTTCAAACTATACTACAAGGCTACAGTAACCAAAACAGCATGGTACTGGTACCAAAACAGCATGGTACTGGTACCAAAACAGAGATATAGACCAATGGAACAGCACAGAGGCCTCAGAAATAACACCACACACCTATAACCAACCATCTGACCTTTGACAAACCTGACAAAAACAAGCAATGGGGAAAGGATTCCCCATTTAATAAATGGTGCTGGGAAAACTGGATAGCCATATGTAGAAAGCTGAAACTGGATCCCTTCCTTACACCTTACATAAAAATTAACTCAAGATGGATGAAAGACTTAAGTGTAAGACCTAACACCATAAAAACCTCAGAAGAAAACCTAGGCAATACCATTCAGAACACTGGCATGGGCAAAGACTTCATGACTAAAACACCAAAAGCAATGGCAACAGAAGCCAAAATTGACAAATGGGATCTAATTAAACTAAAGAGCTTCTACACGGCAAAAGAAACTACCATCAGAGTGAACAGGCAACCTACAGAATGGGAGAAAATTTTTGCAATCTACCCACCTGACAAAAGGCTAATATCCAGAATCTACAAAGAACTTAAACAAATTTACAAGAAAAAAACAAACAACCCCATCAAAAAGTGGGCAAAGGATATGAACAGACACTTCGCAAAAGAAGACATTTATGCAGTCAACAGACATATGAAAAAATGCTCATCACTGGTCATCAGAGAAATGCAAATCAAAACCACAATGAGATACCATCTCACACCAGTTAGAGTGGGGATCATTAAAAAGTCAGGAAACAACAGGTGCTGGAGATGATGTGGAGAAATAGGAAGGCTTTTACACTGTGTGGGAGTGTAAATTAGTTCAACCATTGTGGAGGACAGTGTGGCGAGTCCTCAAGGATCTAGAGCTGGAAATACCACTTGACCCAGTGATCCCATTACTGGGTATATACCCAAAGGATTATAAATCATGCTACTATAAAGACACATGCACACATATGTTTACTGCAGCACTATTCACAGTAGCAAAGACTTGGGACCAATCCAAATGTCCATCAATGATAGACTGGATTAAGAAAATGTGGTACATATACACCATGGAATACTATGCAGCCATAAAAAAAGACGAGTTCATGTCCTTTGCAGAGACATGGTTGAAGCTGGAAATCATCATTCTAAGCAAACTATCACAAGGACAGAAAACCAGACACCACATGTTCTCACTCATAGGTGGGAACTGAACAATGAGAACACATGGACACAGGGCAGGGAACATTACACATCAGGGCCTGTTGGGGAGTGGGGGACTGGGGGAGGGATAGCATTAGGAGAAATACCTAATGTAAATGACGAGTTGATGGCTGCAGCAAACCACATGGCACATATATACCTATGTAACAAACCTGCACGTTGTGCACATGCACCCTAGAACTTAAAAAGTATTTAAAAAAAAAAAAAAAACACACACACACTAATCTTAGGTATTCTTAAAAAAAAAAAAAAGCCTGACTGGAATAAAGCTTAAAGATTTAGACCAAAGGTATCGTCAGTATAGCTAGCAAGTTGGTAAACCACATGCCTAAGCTTTATTTCAGTTCAAGTGCTTGTTAAAAAAAAAAAAAAAAAAAAAAAAAAAAAAAAAAAAAACAACTACTACTGCTTAATAAAGCAATAAAACAAAGTTGATAACATTATAAGAATCGAATTAGTAGGCCATCTATCAGGTTCCTAAAGGACTGATTAAAACTAAGACTTGCTGTTTTTAAAAGCTCTGCCCATCCTACTTACTCCAGTGAGAAAAGGATACTGTCTATAACAGAGTAGTTAATTTGTATCATCTTAAACAATGTGAAAGTGTCAATATTGAATCTCTTTTCACAACCCCCATACCTCCCTTCCACTGCTTCCCCCAGGGAGTTTAACCAAAGCAATGATTCTACTAATGATGATACCACAAGCAATGTCAACTTGGTTTGTGTTTTGAACTCATATTTATGCTATTTTACTGCATGTTAAGTGTGCTTTAAAGTACCCAATGTGCGGCTCAGTTAACTGGATATTCTCAAGTGTCCCATTTATTTGTCCTAACAAGATACATGGGGCTACTGTTTGTGGTGCTCATGTGGGAATAAGCAGAACAAAGTCCTTCTTGAAGAGAATCACGGTATACCCACATTTCATGGTACTATTCCAGTCTATCCCCAGAGCTCAAGCTATATTTTACTGAAGCATTTTTACAATGGTTAAAGAAAAAAAAGAGCACCCTCTTTTTCCTCCTACCATGTGAGCTCTCTAGAGGTATATCTTTAAGAGAAATCCTAGATAGGTGCCTATTCGCCTACATGCATATTCTGGGCTCTAGTTATTGTGTTTAAATACTGCTCCAATGTTAACAGTGATCGAGAGAGATAAATTATCAAGGTTGAGAATGACGATCATTGTGCCAGACATCCAGTTACTTGTACAAGGTCAAATCATTTCAGTTCTCAAGTCTAGAAAACACTGTAACCAATGTTACCACGGTTATACTCAGTTCTACCAGAGGGGAGAGGCAGGGAAAATAGAAAGGAAGGATGGGAGGGAAAAGTGGGATGTCAGAAGGAGCAGAGAAAGAAAATTACTTTCTCTAGAGAGCTTACTTTCAGCCTGCACAGAACAAGGTGGAACCGGTCAGAGAACCTGATTACTCTGATTACTAAGACATCCAAGTTCTACCAATAGCTCTTTCCTCAGCCAGTGTGTCAGAGCAAGCCTTGCCAGCTGCCTGCTTTACATTTTATTTCTCTTCTCTCTCCCTCCCCTCCTCTTCTTCCTCCTCCTCCTTCTCTCTCTCACACACCTTCCTCTTTCCTACTGACATAAATAAATGTTTGGTTGTCTTTGAATGCTGATTTACAATTAAGCTTTTCCATACTTAGCCACAGTAGAGGGAAGAAGATACTCCTTGTTCCCAGAGTAAACGGAGATTATTCATCTTGATTTTTCCCAACATATATGTATGATCAAAATGATGTGAGAAATACCTAAAGACAAAGGAATTTTGGATACAGGAATAAAACAAAACAAAACAGACTAATCGTCCTTACTCAGTTCTCATCAAGGATGCCTACCTTCAGGGAAACAAGCCACCTTTTATACAGAGAGCCATGCTCTATTTTTTGGTCTTTCCTCTCAGGCGAGGCTAAAGCTTCCTTGTCTGTTTACTTCTTTTCTCTGTTTTTCAGGAAATCTCCATCTATCCTGCATTTCTCAGTATTTTCTTTCCTCTTCTTCCAATTCCAGCATATGGCCTCTAGTGGTTTCTTCTCCCTCCTCCCAATTATATAAAATTCCAATTCTTTGAAGCTGTCATTACCAAAACATCCTTACAATCCCTTTGATTGTTTTCTCACTATGAGTAGCTGCTCTTATCAAAACCCAAGTTTTGGCCTTTTCCTGTTTACTGAGATACCACTCTGCCATTACACTTCCACCACACTTTCAGGTGCAGGCACAGTCAGCAAGTGAATAAATGGGCCCTGGCCTGGCTAGAGCAGAGGGCATAGCAAGGAACAAGGAGACAGTCCCTCTTCCTAGCATTTGCACTTGCTGTTCCCTCTACCTGGAACCACCTTCCCCAGATCTTCCCATGGCTCATCTCCACCCATCATTTAAGTCTCAGCCCACAGGACACTCCCTCTGATGCTTTCACTTACCATCCTCAATTACTCGTCCTCCTCCCACTCTCTGGCCATTATAGTTTTGTCTTCTCGTGACAGCATCTGTAATCATCTGAAATTATCTCATATATATTTTTGTTTACATGGACTAGACTAGTGCTTCTCAAACTGTAATGCACATACTAATCACCTGGAAATGTTAAAATCCAAATTGGAAAAGGGCCTCAGAGTCTATACTTCCAACAAATTTTAAGGTGATGCTGAAAATGCTGGTCCACAGACCAGACCCCTAGTAGTAAGGTTCTAGAGAATGTAGGCTCCATGGCAGATAGCTTTGTCTTATAGCCCCAGTGGCTGGTATGTCAAAGACACTCAATACGCTTTTGTTGAATAAATAGAAGAAACTACAGTTTAGGTGGTTAGAATCTCATGAATTCTTTTGCAGGCACGCTACAATTGTTTGGGAATACAGGCATACACAAGAGATACTGTGGGTTCAGTTCCAGACCACAACAATAAAGTGAATGCTACAATAAAGCGAGTCACACAAATTTTTTGGTTTCCCAGTACATGTGTGTACTACAGTATAGTACAAACATAAAAGTTATGTTTGTACTATAGTTTAAGTGTGAAGTAGCATTATGTCTTAAAAAAAACACACACACAATACACCATAATTTAAAAATACTTTATTGCTAGAAAATGTTAACCATTATCTGAGCTTTCAGTGAGCCATGATCTTTTTGCTGACAGAGGGTTTTGGCTCAATACTGATGGCTAATCAGGGTGGTGGTTGCTGAAAGTTGGAGGGCTATGACATTTTCTCAAAAACAGACAATAATTAAGCTTGTTAGCACTGGGGGTCTTTTCCTTCCCAAAGAACTTCTCTGTAGTATGTGATGCTGTTTGACAGCATTTTACTCACAGAATTTCTTTGAAATTTCAGAGGAGTCAATCCTCTCAAACTCTGCCACTGCTTTATCAACTAAGTTGATGTAATATTCAAATTCTTTGTGGTCATTTCAACAGTGTTCACAGCATCTTCACCAGAAGTATATTCCATCTCAAGAAACTACTTTCTTTGCTCATCCATAAGCAGCAACTCCTCATCCATTCAAGTTTTATCATGAGATTGCAGCAATTCAGTCACATCTTCAAGGTCCACCCCCAAAGAACATCCTCAGGGTCTTGAACCCCTCCAAAGGCATCCATGAGGGTTGGAATCAACTTCTTCCAAATTCTTATTAATGTTGGTATTTTGACCTCCTCCCATGAACCACAAATGTTCTTAACGGCATCTAGAATGGCTAATCCTTTCCAGAAGGTTTTCAATTTACCTTGCTCAGATTCACCAGAAGAATCATTATCTATGGCAGCTACAGCCTTACAAAATGTATTTCTTAAATAGTAAATCTTAAAAGTTGAAATTACTCCTTGATCCACGGGCTACAGAATTATTAGCAGGCATGAAAACATTATCTCCTTGTACATCTCCATCAGAGCTCTTGGGTGACTAGGTACACCATTAATAGGCAGTAATATTTTGAAAGAAATCTTTTTTTCTGAGCAGTAGGTCTCAACAATGGGATTAAAATATTCAGTAAACCATGCTATAAACAGCTGTGCTGTCACCCAGGCTTTGTAGTTCCATTTATAGAACACAGGCAGGGTAGATTTAGCATAATTCTTAGAGGCGCTAGGATTTTTGGAATGATAAATGAGCATTGGCTTCAAGTTAAAGTCACCAGCTGCATTAGTCACATAACAAGGGAGTCTGTCTGTCCTTTGAAGATTTGAGGCCAGTCACTGACATCTCTTCTCTAGCTATGAAAGTCCTAGATGGCATCTTCTTCCAATAGAAGGCTGTCTTATCCACACTGCAAATCTGTTGTTTGGTGTAGCCACCTTCATCAATGATCTTAGCTAGATCTTCTAGATAACTTGCTGCAGATTCCACATCAGTACTTGCCGCTTCACTTTGTACTTTCACATTATGGAGATGGTTTCTTTCATTAAACTTAATGAACCAACCTCTGCTAGCTTCAAACCTTTCTTCTGCAGCTTTCTCATCTCTCTCAGCCTTCATAGAATTGAAGAGAGTGAGGGGTTTTGCTCTGGATTAGGCTTTGGCTTAAGGGAATATTATGGCTGGTTTGAGCTTCTATCCAGACCACTAAAACTATCCCTATTTCAGCAATAAGGCTGTTTCATTTTCTTACCACTGGAGTAGCACTTTTAATTTCCTTTAACTTCTTTTTACTTGCATTTATAACTTGGCTGTTGGGCACAACGCACCTAGCTTTTGGCTCATTGGCTTTCGACATGCCTTCCACTCTAAGGTTAATCATTTCTAGATTTTGATTTAAAGTGAGAGATGTGAGACTCTTCCTCTCATTTGTACACTTAGAGGCCCTCCCGTGTAGGGTTATTAATTGGCCTAATTTCAATACTGTTGTCTCAGAGAATGGGGAAGCCTGAGGAGAGGGAAAGAAGGGGGAATAGCATGAAGCAGTCAGAACACACACATTAATTAAGTTTGCTGTCTGATGGGGGCACAGTTCACGGCACTCTAAAACTATTACAATAGTAACATCAAAGATCACTAACCACAAATCATGTAACAGATAAAGTAATAATAAGAAAGTTTGAAACATTGTGAGAGTTACCAAAATGTGACACAGAGACACGAAGTGAGCACAGGCTATTGGAAGAACAGCTCCATTCAGGGTTGCTACAGCCTTCAATTTGTGAAAAACAGTCTCTGTGAAGCACAATAAAGCAAGACCCAGTAAAACAAGGTATGCCTGTAGCTAAAGCACATTAATATATCAACCATAAAGGAATATCTATCCAGAAAACTTGCTTAAATTCTGATATGGTTTATTTAGTTTCCCATCACACATCTTTTCTGGCATTTAGGATACCATGCTATTCAAAAGAATAATAAATTATCATAGTGTGCAACAAAAGGAAATGCAAATTCATTCTGGACAATTCCTGATGGGTGAATAAATGATTAAAGCTTCCTATCTGAAACCTTGGCAAAATATGTGTTTTAAAGATTATTTTAAAATATAATAAAGGAAATGCAGCTCAACCTCCTTCTTGAGATTATTTATACCAGATTGCTGATCACCTGACCCACTGGACTGATGGATTTGTTAGAAGCACCCTAGGAGAGCACCTTGTATACAGCGTTCATGAGAAATCTCTATAATGTTATCTCGAGTGAACCAACTTGATGATTTTAATAGCCCAAGGAAAGGGCCTACTCATGCGACGGCATCACTAGGTCCACAGGAAGTAAAAGGTCAGTTCCTGATAATTCAAGGTGTGGTGGTGGAGCTCAGGAATTATACACACTACAATGTGTAGACGAGTTCGTGCTTATTAACCCTGCTCAAAACAACACAGTTAGAGCCAGGCTTGGGGAGCCATGGGCACAGCTGCAGCATGAGGACCCCTAGAGAGAACAGGCTATTCAAATCCCTTCTGAACAAGGTCCAAGAGTTGCTGCAGCATCACGTGTTGAGCAGCAGGCAACCGAACTTGGGATTCCACATACGGATTCTGATACACAAACTGCCTCCCCACTGTCCCTGACAAACCTGTCTGAATACTCTCACACTGTAGGAGGGTTTTAATTATTAGGAAGTTTTTACTGAAATTAATTCCTTGTCTGTTTTTGTGTGTTTTTGTTGTTGGGGTGGTGTACTGCACACAAAGTCCACTACCATTCACTGATTCCTCACTCAAGTTCCTTCAATGGCTGGGGGAAGCCACCCGAGACAGGCTGAGAAATCAGAAAAAACAAGTCCCCAACCACAAACTGAAAACTCTCTATAATCAGAAAAATAACAGCATTTTCCCTATAATCAGGCTCACATCCACTTTTGTTTGTTTTCTTCTTTTTTAATACTTGACTAGGCAGGTTGAGAAAATTAAAGGTAAAGCAAACTATTGTGTTCCTATATTCCTAGTTACTTTTAAAATGTACTTCAGGTTGCTTTTAAATTAAATTCTGTAGGCAATTTAAAATATTTAAACAAATGCACCTTAGAAAAAGCCTAAACCACGAATGCATTACTGCCCGTGTATTTTTGCCCATTCAACAAATACTTATTAAATATCTACTTACTATTTGTCAGGACTATTGTAGATGCTGAATGAAGACAGAGGGGTGAACAAGACAAGTAAATCCCTGCGGTCATGGAGCTCACATCATAGGTGGAGGGAGACAGAAGCAAACATACAAGTATATAAAGAGGAATTTCAGATACTGAGAAGTGCTATGAAGACAAAATTGGGGGTGTAAGAGAGAGCCCTGGGGCAGGAGGTGGGTCTGATTTGGATGACATGATCAGGGAAGGACAAAAAAAGAAGTGACTCAAAAGTTGAGAAGTGGCTAAAAACATTTTCTATACCACATGTTGCAGATGTTATTAACAAGTATTATATACATAAAAGTGTCTCTTATCAGACGACCTCACACACTATGAAGAAAGTTAAACAGTTTTCTTTACTGTTGGGTATCTTAGAGCCTTTCATTTGATAGTGTTCGTTGTACATCTTTGGAAAGGAGCACATTAAAAGCAATTACTACTCAAGCTTCTTTGACTTTGGGACCCTTTCTCGTCAAAATTCGGAGAGGAGATGATATTCCGTGGGAAACACTGAGCTTGTCAGTAGTTTCTAGCCCTGGCCTTACATCAGCATTACTAGTGGACCTTTCACAAACACCCACACCCAGGCCTCACTCCAGACGAATTAACTCACAATCTCCAAAGACAGGACCCTGGCTTCAGTTTTTAAAGCTCCCCAGGTGAATCTAATGTGCAGGCAGGATTGAAAACCATTAAGCTAGAGCACAGGATGCATGCAATAAAAAATAGAGTGGAAAATAAGGACAGAAGAGGTTCACTGGGGTCAGACTATGGAAGGTCTTGAATGCCACACTAAGGGGTTTGAACTTTATTTAGAAGGCAGTAAGGGCCCATCAAGGTCAATTCCTAGGAAAGTTATGATAAGTACCAGACAGGTCAAGACACCACAGTGCATTTCTGTCCTCCATCCTCCTCTTGGCACTGATTATATTTAATGTTGTGGACGGAAAGAAGAGATTTATAACCACAAAACATACCACAAGAGGAAAGATGGAGGATGAAAGATAATTTCAGAATAGGAACAAAATGAATTTCCAAAGCACCTCAGACTTAGGAAATTCAACAAGATGTTTTCAGTTACTGGCTCCTACTCTAAACTAGAAGCTCTGGTAGAAACAGCAGTTCTGAATGCAAAACTGATCTGAACTCGAGGTGTTTATAATCTGGGGGGGGAAGATCAAATATAAATAAACACAATAACAAACGCCATGTGTTAAGTGCCCTAGCTACTACACAGAGGAGCCCTGGAAATCTAAGAGTGAGGAGGGGAAGAAAACCCTTCTGGCTTTGGGGAGAGAGTAATGTGAGCCATATTAATTTCATAACTTTCGATTATTGTCTGCTACTCTGCCATATACTGCATTATAGTCTGAAAAAAACAGTACAGGAACAAGATAGGACTTACAGAGTCCATAATCTAGCAAATGAGACAGACATTGAAACAAATACAGAATGCAGGGTATTTTTAAATGCTTTTTAGAGGACTATTTCCCTGAGTAACTGAGGGTAAAATGAGTCTGACACACAAAGGAGAAAGGGGCAGAGAAAAGGGTAAGACCATTCCCAGCAAAGCCTGCCATACCAGCATGGGACACTGACGTTCAAATAAAAAAGTGAAAGGGTAGTATCAGCACAAGGTGAAGGTGGAGAAGTAGATCCAAAAGAACCTAGTGGACCAGAATTATCACTATCCAGGACATACCAGTTAGGAGGCTATTGCATTACTCGTAGTGAGTCTTTTTTTTTTTTCTTTTTTTTTTTTTTGAGACGGAGTCTTGCTCTGTCACCCAGGCTGGAGTGCAGTGGCACGATCTCAGCTCACAGCAACCTCCGCCCCCTGGGTTCAAGCAATTCTCTTGCCTCAGCCTCCCGAGCAGCTGAGATTACAGGCACATGCCACCACGCCTGGGTAAGTTTTTTTTTTTTTTTTTTTTTTTCTTTTTCAGTAGAGACAGGGTTTCACCGTGTTAGCCAGGATAGTCTCGATCTCCTGACCTCGTGATCCGCCTGCCTCAGCCTCCCAAAATGCTGGGATTACAGGCGTGAGCCACCACGCCAGGCCAGTGAGTCCTTTTAAATATGGTGGCCAAGGGTGTTCACCATCCTAACATTCATGGAACGCTTGCTCTGTGCCAGATATTTCACTTAATGTTCAGAACAATTTTAAGAGGATTACTCTCGTCCCCATTTTACAGATAAAGCCAAAGAATCATACAGTGGTTAATTTACCATGATCATATAGCTGGAGAAAAGTAAACAAATGCAAGAGTAACTGGGAGTTGATACCAGAAGACCTCATGTTTGACTGGGTGTGGCTAATGAATAAGAGGGAAGGACAATAATCAGCTGCCTCTATGGGTTTCTGGCTTGAGAAATTGGGTGGATGGTGGTGGCATTTCCTCAGATAGGAATCACTAAGCAGGCTTGTGGGGGGACTATGTCATTTTGGGACCTGTTGAGTTTAAGTATCTATGAGACATTCAAGGCAAATGAGGACATACAATGGTCTCAGAGGAAGGGTCTGGGCTAGTAGAAAAAAAACCCTGAGATTCATCTACTCAGAGTGAATAAAATTACCTAAATAAAAGGGCAAAGTAAGCAGAGAAGAGGACAGAGCCATATTGGAAATACTGGTAGGATTTTCCAAGGTCAGAGAAGGGACCCTAAAAAATGACCCAACACCAAAAGGTAGATATAAAAGTAGACCGGGAGGTCCAGCAAGCCCAGATAAGAGAACAGAGAAGGCAAAGGCTGCAGACAAAAAGCCTGGAGACCACCATAGCCTCTAGTATGACAACAAGGTCTGATGGTCAGTGATGGTGACCGTGGTGAGAGCAAGGAAAGGAGGCAGGCTGCACATGGAGAACTAGCAGACTATGTGGCTTCACTAGATTAGACAACCAGGGGAGTACGGAATCAATGATTCCAGTGTGTAAAACCTGGATGATATGGTGCTTCCTACCATTCATTAAAATAGGGAAATCACAGGCTCGTGTCAAGATTTGGTTAGGGGACAATTATGGAAAGGCATGGGAAGAATTCAGAATCAAGTGACAAAACATTCTGAAAAGAACACCAAATATTACGAACTATACAGCTGTGCAGTCCCAAATCCTAGTGTGACTCTAATTTCTAGACTAGCTAAACCATGACTTTAATAAGCAAACTCCAAAATGATTCTGGACTCCATTTCTATAATCATGAAATGGGAAGAATGGCTGCCCCATATCTGGCTGACAGAAATATTTATGAGGGTAGGCTTACGAATAAAATCCCTTAAGGTAAGTAGTTCTGTTTTAAGACAGAACTGAGATTAGATAGTGCTACAAATTGAGTGGCTGTATTGTTAGGTATCGATTCAAGCTTAGGGCTCTTTCTGTCTCTCAATTAAGAAAGCATCCCTTACTAATTTATACTACACAGGGGAAGGGCTGCAAGGACCATGAGGTGGCTAGGGAACAGATCTAAAGTGGGATGGGGATGCCAGACTCACTGGTACAGTGGCAGAAGACAAGTGCCTCCTCACTGATTGGAAGGAGTGAGCTCACAGGCCTAGCCCCAGAAAATTTGCTGTTTTTCTACTTTTCTTGCACTTTTACCCAGAAAAGACATTCTCAGTATTTATGTTTTGCTACTGGTGAAGGATCTCCCTTCCTCTTTTCTTGGTGAACAGATACTTGCCCTAGATGCAGTGAATTTTATATATAGTAGTAAAGTATAAAGAATATCATCAGGCAGGAGGAGGCGAGGCAGGCTTAATTTTAAAGCTTCTCAGACAATAACATGGTCCTGAAATTTAAGACTACAGAATAAAAATTCTTTGTGACTTACAGAGGTATGTTCTCTTCGATTAAGTAGATACTAAACGGCCGGGCGCGGTTCCTCACGCCTGTAATCCCAGCACTTTGGGAGGCCAGGGCGGGCGGATCACGAGGTCAGGAGATCGAGACCATCCTGGCTAACACGGTGAAACCCTGTCTCTACTAAAAATACAAAAAAATAGCATGGCGTGGTGGTGGGCGCCTGTAGTCCCAGCTACTTGGGAGGCTGAAGCAGGAGAATGGTGTGAACCCGGGAGGCAGAGCCTGCAGTGAGCTGAGATCGTGCCACTGCACTCCAGCCTGGGTGACAGCAAGACTCCGTCTCAAAAAAAAAAAAAAAAAGTAGATGGCAAAAAATGAAAAACAAAAATTCTCTCAGATAATTTAGAAGCACTCAGAAGAATTTAAACAAGTTTTGCATTAACCAAAGCACAAACTGCAGTGCTTCTTACAGCTTCTGTAAGAAGCTACTACTTGTGAACCTGTGTTAACTGCCTTGGACTTAACTATGCTACATACGTCCAGACCACCTTGAATTTGATTCTTATCTTTAACCTAACTTGCCTTTAAATTTACTTTTTTATTTTTTAGGCTACATTTTATGAACTTCTACTTTGGTCTATTCTTAAATTATAAAATAACCTGATACAACTTTTGACCGATTAAGTATTCTAAAGCAGAAAGTAGCTAGTTCCCACATTGTTACCGATCAGCAAAAAGATAACGGTTAACTACGTTTAGTTCAATGGAGTTTTTTGTTTTGTTTTTTAAAAATAAAGACATTCTCTATGAAGAAAACAGTGAGTTAATTTTTGCACAAGTAACAAGTACCTTATCTCATTCACCCATCTTTAAGAAATAGTTCACAGACCTGCACCAGTCCATGGACCACTCTCTGAGTGTCACTGCTCCGAAGCAACATTCCCCAATCGCAAACTATAATTTCTTATTGCCTTAGACTTTAGGTGATAGGTATGTTCTTCCAAGGTAACCAAATTCTCCAACACAGCCCTAAGAAATGGAGCATTCCTTAATCTCTTCCCTGGTTTACTTACAGAACCCAAGTGTCTACAGTTGCAAAAACTACTTAAGGGTGGGTGAAGGCTTAGAATATCAGCTCTCCAGACACTACCATTCAGGGGTCTTTCTACTGGGTCATGATGCCTGCCAATGTGAGATTGAGCTGCAGCAAACAAAAATAAAGAACCACAAACTATAAATAGTATTTTCTTATTTCTAAAAACAATTGCCAAGTGATATGGTTAAAGTACAGAGTTAAAAAATGTTACAGCTTAAGTATGTTTGAGCTTTAAGTTGGAGTTTTGCTCCCTTAAACTTACGCTTAATAAATTTTCTGCAGAGAATGTACATGCATGAGAACAAAATTAAAACAAAATGCACTTCATGATTCTTTTTGCCCATTTACCCCAAAATACAAGAGGTCAATATGGGGAGGGTACCTGTTGAAGAGAGGAAAGGTGACAATACAAAAGCCTAAGTATCTGTCGGAGTGGAGTGAACGAAGAAGAAAGAAATGAAAACCCTCTTCTCTACAGCAAATATAACAACCCACCAGCCACCAGCTAGAGCTGTCAGGCTGTCTAAAGCAAGGTACTATTAAAATGACTTCAATATGAGGAATTGTTTCAAAGATGCATGAATCTCCCAAAAAAAAAAATACAAAACAAAAACAAAAATAAAGATGCATGAGTCTGGATGGAGCTTAAGCAAAGAGAGGTTGTGCAGATAATAAGATAATACACTATCAATCTTAACATACTAAATGTGAGATCTCATTCAAGCAGCACACAGACTTCATGAACTATATAAACTATACCATGGAGATACAATGTAGAAATGGAAGACATTTTGGAGATGTTTTGGCTCCTTGCTACTCAAAATGTGGTCAGTGGACCAGCAGTATCAGTATCACCTGATCTTTTTGTTAGAAATGGAGAGTATCATGCACCAACCCAGACCTACAGAAACAGAATCTGATTTCAGTGATTTGTATGCACATTGAATTTTGAGCAGCACTGCTCTAGTTCGCTGGTCCTCAACCTTGCTGTACATCAAAATCACCTCTGTAGCTTTTAGAAAAATACTGATGCCTAAGGCCCAGATCAGGGGCCTGGGAACCAACATGTTATAAAAAGTAAAAATCCAGTCCTAGACCCTTGTTTTATGGATGAGGAACTGAGACTCAGAAAAGTTAAATAATTTACCAATGTCACAGGAAGTTACTGGCTGAATTAGGACTAGATTTTTAAAAATATTTAGGATCGTATTGCCTATAAGGAGTTGAAGAAACTGTAAAGTTACCAATAAGTCAATAATAATTTTAAAGATCTGAGGTTTCATTGTATCATTAATTTTTTGTGGTATGTATTTTATGTATCACCCTTTGAACCTAGACTAGAAAAGTATTTTTTCATTTGGGTGACATGATCTCCATCAGACACAGCATATATGATGGAGACACAGGGATGCCTCTGCCTGGTCAGCAGTTAAGGCACAACTGTAGGAACATGAGTGAGTTTCTTTCTTTTGCTTTCTAAAATTCACTGAATATTGTTTAATTTTCTTTAATATTATGTTTTTAGCAAAAATACAAAGCACTTCAAACCCATCTTTTAAAGGCCTCAATCTAACTTAGACTGAAAAGTCCATGAACAAGGACAATCACTGTGTTCTGACTGTTTAGAGTTTCCAAGAGTGTAGAACTGATAATTAGCACACCAAGAAAGAAACTTTTGCCACAAGTGCTGACCCTTTTGCTTGCTGATGATTATGTCATTAGATTCAAATTGCCTATAAATTAGTACTAGATACATGGGTGTGTGGTAGGAGGTGTGGGTGGAATGAAGGAAATTAAAAGCTGCGGTCAGACTTGAAAAAAACATCCCATAAAGCAACGTATGTTTCTGACAGTTGAAACAGACTGCATGACAGACAGCAAAACCACATTTCGGTTTTCGTTTTTTTTTGGAATGGATCTGTGGCTTTATGCCACCAAGCAATATTTTGGTTTACCAAAAATGTACTCTATGGCCTTTTTAATTTCATCTTAACTTTCCTTACTATCACTGCTGTTCTCATTCAACCAAGGCAGCTTAAGACAAGTGTCTAAAAGGGGTAAAGGTTGAAAATACAGAATATGCCTCACATTAGGGAGAAAAAAAGAAGAAAATTAACCACACACAAATAATTCACATTGACTAAAGCATCTATTGTAATTTCAGTGTTTAGCTCATCAGGGACATAATGAACAATGGGAATAATTATTTCTTTTGAAACACAGTAGTTGCCCAAGACAATTATTGACTCAGCCTTATGTCTACATGAAATTTCTCAACTTAAAAAGGATACACAATCACTGATATCCAGAGTTGTTGGCCAAGTCATACAAGAAATAAAAAATGGAAGAAAAGAATGACTGCAACAAAGAGTTTCAATGATAGAAGAATAATTTTGAGTATTCTGTACCTACTTCTAATGTTAAAAATCCTTTACAGACGAAAAAGTTAAAAATCAATTGAATTTACAAATTCCACTATGTCTATATAAAGGTAATGGCAGTAACCGAGCAAAATGACAGAAACTATCTCTGGCTGGGCACAGTGGCTCACCCCTGTGATCCCAGCACTTTGCACTTTGGAAGGATGAGGTGGGCGTGTGGCTTGAGCTCAGAAGTTTGAGATTAGCCTGGGCAACAAGGCGAAACACAGTCTGTACCAAAAAATACAAAAATTGCCGGGTGTGGTGATAAGCACCTTTAGTCCCAGCTATTCAGGAGGCTGAGGTGGGAGGATCACTCGAGCCCAGGAGGCTGAGGCTGCAGTGAGCCATGATCACGCCACTGCACTCCAGCCTGGGCATCAGAGTGAGACCCTGCCTCCAAAAAAAAAAAAAAAAAGAAGAAGAAGAAGAAAGAAGAAAGAAGAAGAAGCAGAAGGAAGAAGAAGAAGAAGAAGAGGAAGAAGAAGAAGAAGAAGAAGAAGAAGAAGAGGAAGAGGAAGAGGAAGAAGAAGAAGAAGAAGAAAGAAGAAAGAAGAAAGAAGAAGAAAGAAGAAAGAAGAAAGAAGAAGAAGAAGAAGAAACTCTCTTCCACACTCCTACAAACGTCAAATAGTTCCTAAAACACATGCCCACAAAAGGCTGCCTGGCAAAGTCCACTGTGGTATACAGAAGATGTGGAAAGAATCCTTGAGGTTCTTGGAAGGATTATAAATTTGGCAGGAGAGATGAAAGTAAGGTGATGAACGAAAGCAAAAGAAGCAACAAACTCATTCATTCCCTCCTCCTCTTCCTTCTTTCACTCCCTCCTTCCTAGGTACCACACCTGGCAGCATTATCAACACCAAGTTCTCCCCTTCTAAAGTATCTTTTTCTATCAATGAATGGTACCATGACTCTGTCCCTCTGCAGACATCAATGTCTTAGGGCCTTTCCTCCTATGCATTTCCATACTCCTCACCCAATGAAATGTCAAGTCATAGGGATTCCTCCTTTCCAGTTCTACTTCCCTAGTTCAGACTTCACTTCCTCCACCCTGTCCCTCTCCAGTCACGCCCCTCTCCACTCAAATCGTTTCAACAACATTCACTGACATTTGTTCTCAGGCCTCATGCTAGCTGCTGAACAAATTAGCAAAACAGATATGGTCCCTTGACCAACTACTGATTAATCTCCCCTTTGCTTTCTTTTTATAGCCCAAGCACTACCACCAGCATTCAAGGCCTTCTATAATGCATCCCAAACCTATATTCCCAATTATTCTCTCCTCTACCACTCAATAAAGCTGGAAACACTAAACACAGCCTGAATATGCACAGCAGTTTCCAGTCTCTGTGGCTTCCACTTGGAATCCTACCCTTTCCTTTCAACCTGCCTAAGTGCTCCCCATCCTCTGAGGTCTCACTAAACTGTGCCCACCTCCTCCGTAACAGCATCCTTAATCACTCAAGGAGCCAGAAAGACCCCCTTCTCTTCCACCTATGTCACAACTGTGTATCCACTGCACTGCTTTATATTTTTTACAGTGGTCCAAATGAAGTAAAAAGACTAGATTCTCCATGGAGGCAAGCCTCCTACCTTTCCTAACTGCTAGCCCTCAAAGCAACCTGCACATAGTATGAGGTTAATTAACATTAGCTGGATGAAAGAATAAGAGCCTTTGCATTCCCTCTGAGGTGACCAGGACTACTGGCTCTTAACCAAGTAACCCTCCCAATGAAAGAATAAAACAATCTCATGAAGATTAAGTTACTTTTTTCATGTTTAAGTATTTAGGTTATAATCTTCTTAACCTTTATAATAAATCCAGTTCCAGGTATTTCCATTTGAGAAGCTAAATATTTCAGTTTAGAAAGTTAATTTGCACGGTGAGCCTCAAACAGAAAGAAAGTGGCAAAAAAGCATGATTCAAAATGTAAAATCAAGTATCTTAAGAAAGTGGGATTTGTAAATCTAATCTGGGAAGAAGGCATAAATACCACCTCACAAGTGTGCATCCTAAACTGATGCAAAATAACCTAAAAATTATTGCTTAGATTATAAAAAAACCCTCCTATCAGCTCTGCTTACAACTAAAGCAGGTCTTTACTATGAGCCTCCTAGGCTAGCCATATGGAGCCTTTGGAAATGAGCTCCCATATTACAAAAGGAAGGTTTTTGTACATAATGTACTTTGCCTGCCGCAGCCTCTCCTAAATCTGACACCTCTGAAATATAAGGAGAAAACTTACAAGCAGCCTCTCCTAAATCTGACACCTCTGAAATGTAAAGAGAAAACTTACAAGCAAGTAGGGGTGCCAAAGTTTACCTCCCCATGCCCAGAACCTAGAGAAGAGTGGAAGCTTAAGAAGCACACATTGGAATTTTGGGGACACAATTTCTTCATTAAGAAGCCCAAACAAGTGTTTTGTCTTCCCCTAGCTCACCCAAAAAATGTTCAAGCAAACAAGCAGCTACAGAACTGCTATTGTTTTTTCACTAGCCACTTTAGGTTGACTATATTTTGGGGGGGTTAACCAAGCTAGCCAGAGGTAAAACCACATTTCCAAACAGTTCTCTGTCCCCCGCAAAATCAAAAGCCTTTAAAACAGCCACCCACATTCATAGCGCAGCATAGTGAAATTTGTTGGGGGAAAAGAAGTCCAAGTAAAACAGGTTCACTGATCAGCGCCCACACATTCAAAAATAAAAACGAACCCATATTGTGGACTCAGGTTACTTACAAAACTCAAGGTTCCATTTTGTGTATTACAGTGTGATCAGGACATGACAAAGACAAATATAATGTACTTTGCCCTAAAGAGAAAGAGCAGAAGGGCTACTTTGCAATAAGATCTGCCCTAATGCCTCAGTTGGGTAGAATCAGGCCAGAAACGTCACGTTGAATTCTCAGGCAGCCCGGTCTATCATATACATCTTGGTACCAACCAGACTGGTGTCTCAGGAGAATGGTTAAAATGACTGAGAATGCCCAGCATGGACAAAGGAAGGCTAATAAAGGGCAACACTTCTGAAAAACCTAGACAAGGAGTAAGACTAATTCTAGTGACTTCGATGGGGGACAGGACTAATGGGTCTCACATAAAGAAATTTCTGCCAATCCAATACCTCCACTGAAAATGTCTTCTGCCTTGCGCAGTAGTAGCACCACAAAGATCTGGATGTTTTCAGTGGAAATCAAGCTGATTTCCAGTGAGAAGCTGAACTTAAGTGTGAAAAGTCCCTCCCACCGAGAAGGTTTATCACGGTCCCTTCTTTAGGAAAAGGAAGATTACAAAGGATCATGTAATATCTCTATTCAGAACTTAACTACCACCAACCCCACTCTGCTTATCATCATGGGAAAGGGAGGAAAAAACCTGAAAAGGTTAAGTACGTTTAAAGGATTCTCTCAAATTGACTTAACTAGAGAAGCCAGACAATGCTCATACTTGGCCTTTCTCTACTCAAAGAGGTCATTATGCCCCAAACCTATAACTCTCCGGGCCATAAAAAGGCAACAGAATTTAATAGTATTTTCTTCTCTCTGGAGCAGAGTTTCTGAGTGTTGGCACTACTGAAATTCTAGGCCAGCTAAGTCTTTGTTGTAGAGGGCTGTCCTGTACATGCAGATGTTCAGCAGCATCCCAGACTCTACCCACTACATGCCAGTAGCAACTCCAAGTTGTGACAACCCCAAATATCATCACATTGCCAGACATCCTCTGAGGAAAGGAACTGCTCCAGTTTGCAACCACTGCTCTAGCACAGTACCTCCCTAATTCTTTTGTTTGGGTTCCAGTTTCCTCATTGAACCAGTAAGGGCTATGGATTCTGCCCCCACAAAAAAGGTACACAATTATGCATATAAATTCCAGAACTATATAGAACCTTTCAAACCCAGCCAAGAACCTCCATCTCTCCTCCACCCCAGGCAGGCACTCAAAAGTTTACAGTTCCCTGAACATTCCCATGTGACACGTGGTTATAAAAGAAGGTGCCATGCCTGTTTTAGAAATCTCACAGTCAGAGGTACAAAAATATCTAGAGGCCTGTGGTTATCCAGCCACGGACAAACAGTAGAATCTGTGATAAAAGATGAACCAATGAATGAGTCCACTAATCTAGTGTGTTAATTTGCAAAACAAAATACCCAAATGATACCAGCTATTATTTTTAACATTTAAGCTCACTGTGTACAGAACACAGAAGCAGACGATTTGTTTTTTCATTTAGAAAACAAGGATAGGCCGGGCGCGGTGGCTCACACCTGTAATCCCAGCATTTTGGGAGGCCGAGGTGGGTGGGATCACGAGGCCAAGAGATCAAGCCCATCCTGGCCAACATGGTGAAACCCCGTCTCTACTAAAAATACAAAAAAGTTAGCTGCGAGTGGTGGTGTGGGCCTGTAATCCCAGCTACTCAGGAGGCTCAGGCAGGAGAATCACTTGAACCCAGGAGGCGGAGATCACAATGAGCCGAGATCACGCCACCGCACTCCAGCCTGGCAACAGGGCGAGACTCTATCTCAAAACACACACACACACACACACACACACACGCAAGGATAAACAAAGAAGTTTACCATAGTCACTTATGAGACATTTATTGCCAGTGGTTCAAAACCAGAATGTAGGTTCTCAAGCCAGAATGCCTGGCCTTGACACCCCTACTCTGTAACCTACCAGCTATATATAACCCTGGGCAAATTTCTCAGCTTCTCTTTACCTTAGTTTCCTCATACACAATAAGGATAATCAGATCCCTTCCTCAAAAGATTACAAATTAAACAAATTAATACATCTGAAGCATTTAGTGCTTTACCTGGTATCCAGTGGGCACTCGATAAATTTTAACTGCTCTTATTATCACTAACACTTGCCCAAGATATACATATGAAAAATCTGTTAACTATATGTACTTACTGATGTGCTCTTAGCCTATAGAAGGACCAGGAAGATGCAGCTACAACTGCAAAAAAAGCAACACAGCAGATGGTTCTAGGTTGTGAAACACTGGCAATATTAGGATTGTTTTAGCTGTCCACACAATAGCCTAACATTGCTCAAAGTGAGATTCTACAAAAATACAAACACAAAAACAAAAAAAAACCTGGCTGTATTTCCTCTTATAAAAATTATCTTAAAACTTAACTTACTAAAATGGCATGCCTATAGTACCGAGCAATGGAAGTAGGGATGAATTTTATTTTTAAGCTGGTCATTTAAACATCATATGATGTTAAGAGTTGAAAGATATCTTAGAAATAAATCATCTGGCAAAGTATGAATCCAATTCTAAATTTTAAAAATGCCAATCAGCAGCTCAAGGACCTGTAGCAGACTGAGATAAGAACTCCCACTCTCTGATTGCCTATCTAGGCCTTTTTTGCTCAGCATAAAGCCAGGCCCTCCCTAAGCACTCAGAAACGAAGACAGCTTATATAAAGGTGGCTGATACTCAGAATATGTGATGCTACATGAAATGCAATAAAATGAAAAAATTAAACCACTCCTTTAGCTGTTCCATCATTCATTCATTCATTTCTTCTACTATATTCCAGGCATTGTTTTAGGTGCTAGTGGTACCAGCAGTGAACAAAACATATTCTTCTGTAAACAAAAATATAGTCAGAATGAATAAGGTATAGTGTTTGATAGCATAACAGAGTGACTACAGTCAACAATAATTTATTGTACATTTAAAAGTAACTAAAAGAGTATAACTAGAAAGTTTCTAACCCACACAAAAAAAGGGAAATGCTTGAGTTGATGGGTAGTCCATTTACCCGAATGTGATTATTATATGCTATATGCCGGTATCAAAATAGTTCATTTACCCCATAAATACATACACCTACTATGTACTCTTAAAAATTAAAAATAAAAAAATTTTTTAAAACCAAAACCACATTCTTCCTTTTTGGAACTACACTTTAATGAAGGAACTTGATCTCTACTGTGTCTTTGATTTATAAACTCCAAAAGGCCAAGATTAAACATTTCTCCCTTCTTCTACTTATGATTAAGTCATTTATTTACAATGAATTTATCTTCCCTAAGGAAAGGGTCCTTGATGGGACAAAGCAAGAAAGTCCTGAGGACTTGAGATGTCAAGCTCACTGTAAGCCACAGTTTACAGACACGCTTTACCTCAAGCTAGAGAAACTGACACCTACCTTAGATTCTAGAAGAGTAACCCCCGGAGCTAATTACACAACAGGTAATAAACTGCTACATAGTCCCTTTGCACATCTTTGGAAGAAAATTATTGGATCACTTTATAATTCATACAATTTCAGAAGTCACACAATTTTCTTTTCTTTTTTTTTTTTTGTGACAGAGTCTTGCTCTGACGTCAGGCTGGAGTGCAGTGGCGCGATCTTGGCTCACCGCAACTTCTGACTCCCTGGTTCAAGTGATTCTCCTGCCTCAGCCCCCCGAGTAGCTGGGATTACAGTCATGCGCCACCACGCCCAGTTAATTTTTAGTAGAGACAGCGTTTCACCACATTGGCCAGGACAGTCTCGATCTCCTGACCTCATGATCCACCCACCTCAGCCTCCCAAAGTGCTGGGATTACAGGCGTAAGCCACGTGCCCAGCCTAAGTTTTCTAATATATGCCAAAGGAAAAGTACAAAAACTAATCACTTTAAAGACATACTGATATATTTTATGTTATATATACTTTTATATTACATGTTTTATGAAAATTGCTCTACTTCTGTGTCAACATTACTTTAGCCTGAACGCTGGCCATAAGAGAATCAGTGAATTGTAAACCACCTACTAATTAAGTGAAGAACTTTGTCATCTAACATCTGCGTCTCACTGTGTTCATCCACAGGACGGGGGGAATGCTTTATTATTGGGGTTTACATGAAAAAAAAGGATGAGAAAGTACCTTATAAAAAATAAAGTATTAATAGTATATAAATATACATTTCTACTCCTAGGCACATTGGGTAACTTTGGATTTTAAAAATTCTGAAAATAAGTGCTAAAAGAGACTTTCTAAGACTGAAAAAAAAAAATTCAATTTCTGTTCACTGGATCACAGCAACAAACCAAACTGAAATGGTCATTTTAACCAAAAGAGCTAAAAGAGATCTGGGCGTTCACTTACGCCCTAAGTTAAAGATGAGAAAAGCATGGCCCTTAAAGGTACGGTACTCAGCAATATCACAAAGCTGGTGACTAGCAAGGCCAGAACTAGAATCTGAGGCTCCGGAATCAGTCAAGCATTTGGGGGAAGGTAGTAAGTATGCTGATGGTGGAGTATTCCAAACATATCAACTGGAATAAGGCAGAAATATCTGTCATACCAGCGTTCTGACCTTGAGTCAAACCCAAGATCTATTTTACCGGCTAGCTGATTTCAAGCAAGCTATTTAAGCTCTCTGTGTCTCAGCCCCAACATACGTAAAATGGAAATAATACTACTACTATAATCTCATAAGATTGTTGTAAGAATAAGTGAAATATTATCGACACTATAAGCAATCTAAAATTGCTTACTGTTATGATTACTATTCTTTCAACAACGTTATACTATCTCTACTAATAAAAAAAATTAAGACATTTTCAAAATTCCTTGTCCCTTGAAAAGAACTAAAACCTTGCATTTTTTACTGATTTGCAGGGAAGTTAGCTAAACACACAATATAGTCAAGATCGATATTGCTCCACATTCATTCAAACCACAGGTACACAGACCTATTAATAGTAAAAGAATTATTCAGATAAACACTGACTAGTGATACAGTGACGTTCAAACTGAATTTTAAATTCTGTTTGGAATGATTCATGTTTTCATCTTTAAAAAGGCAGACTCAACATACTAAAATACATACATTCTACTTTAGCTATACTAACTTGTTCCTCAAAGGCACAGCAAGTTCGGTTGCTTTTGCTTCCTCTTTCCAAGTGTCACTTTTCCACAAACTAGTAGACAACACAGACCTAAGTATGCCTGAGATTCAGTATTTGTTATCTATCTTGCAACCTAATATACCCTTAAAAATATTAAATCACACATATTCTTGGCTAGCTCTAACTGCTATTCTCTCATTCACCAAATATTTTATTGCGCACCAGCATCTACTATGCGATAGGCACAGGGCTCAACACCGGGTACACAGCAGTAAACAATAAAAGCTCCTGTTTTCATGGAGCTTACAATCTAGCACGAGAGAGAGACAGGAAATAAACAGGTAAGTATCTAACACAGTGTGTTTGCATGGTACAGTTCAGGAATGCCAGATAGCCAGTTTTATCAAGCACTTTTCTAAAAGTGGACCTTGGCTTTATATTTCAATATTGCTGATCCTAGACTCCCTTTGGGCAGGGCAGAGGCAATGAGAGGGTAGAAGGGAGGGGAGGGAGGAGCTGTCCTCAAACACAAACACAGATCAGATCTCTCACTAGAGATGACGGTGTAACACTCTTGGACTGCCAGTAGCATCACCATGCTCCTCATGTTGCAGAAAGCCAAACACATCATAGAAACAAGCATGTTATTTGCTGTTTGGAAACAGCATGGTCAGCGAAGGGAGCCCTGGAAGGGAAGTCAAGAAACCTACTATTTCCTCTTCTGCCAGTGACTCTCACTATGCAACCTCAGGCGCATTCGCTGACCTGCGTGAACTCTGGTATCTCCACCCCCGTGCTGATCCTCCCTGACTGTGACACTGGGCTAGTCTCTTAAGCCCTTAAGCCTCAGTGTTATCTATTAAAGGAGGCCAGTAGAATGACACTGCTTGGCAAACTGTTGGGTACTCCACTGACAGAAGCTATTTAAATAAATACATGGATCCAAGCTTGCTACCTGCTTCACAGAACATAAGGAACATTAAAGAGAACATATAAAATGCCTTAAGCTCTCTGTAAAGAAAGGGTGTTACAGAGTACTAGTGCTTATAATTTCTACTATGACTATTCTTTCCAGTTATATTTTCTTGCAGTTTCAAATTCAATAACCAAAATCATCCACAGACCTTCAGAAACAGAATACATAGTTCGAAAATAAGGACAGAACCCAAATTACAATAATAATAATAATAATAATGAGTTAAATAAGCCTGCTAAGAAATGAAAAAGCCAATATCCCCCCTCCTCCTTCCCCAACCTCTCACTTTGCCTAGGTTGCTGCAAGCAACAGGGCCCTGCAGAGGTCCCAAGCACACCACAGCCAGCCCAGGTTGGGGATAGAGTATTGTCTCGCACCGGGAGAGAAGTTATCCTTTCATTCCGTGAAACGCAGAAGCTGCCTCCACCATACAATTCTTGAAATGTGTGTGGGCAAATCCTCAAAAGAGATGACAGTGCGATCCACTCACCAGAGGACAGAGTACCTAAGGGGTATCCCAGAGTACTTCTCTTCTGCTTATTTGATGAACCAGCTAAGAAAATCCACACCCTGCCCATGTGTCACCCCTGGATGGAATAAGGGTTACACGTGCAGCTCTCCAGGGATAAGTTTTGGGTCAATGATATAGAAATAGCAACAGCCTGGCATAAATGCTGGGTAAGTTCCAATGAAAAGAGAGAGGGTATATAGATTTGTGGTGATGAATGCCAGCTAAATCCCTCTCCATAGATAGAAAACAACTACCACTGAGAGCTATTACTAAGGCAAAGACAAAACAGCTCTAACTCTTGCTTCTGACTAAAACTTCTGAGGCCCTTCCTCTTTAGAGTAATAATTTCATAAACTGTTCGCAGTATACTTACTTTGAACAAGTCCTAAGCCTTGCAAACTGTCATTATCAGTGTAAATACTCCATTGCCCATGCGTAAATGTGCTGCCCCCCTGCTTCTCTCCAACAGCCCAGCTTACAAAACTGGTAATAACTTAGCTAGTATAGGACCACTGAACCTACCACCATTGCTGGAACGCTGGAGTCATTTTAAGAGGGTGTGTAGAGGGATCAAGAAAGTGCCTTCTAGAACTCACATCCCTGTCCCTCTTTTCTCTAGCCACCAAATACATTATTGCTGTCCAGAAGTGGTAAACCAAACCATCGAATCACATCAAAGGCAAAAAAAAAAAAAAAAAGCCACATTAAAAACAAACACAAATAACTTATAAATGCATTTTTTAAACATTTAATTCCCAACTGGTTTCCTCTACCTATCTTATAACACAAGAAAAAAAAGAAGAAATAAAAAAGATGTATTCTAGGAAAGCAAAGATTAAATGAAGAATGTGAAGAACAATGGGCTGGTGCTTGTATTGTCTCCTTCACCAGTGCTGCAACAGCACCTAGAGATGTAGCTCATTAGTCCGGTCCATCATTCCTACACAGATCAAAGTGATATATACCTAGATACAAAGAACTTTGCCCATCAAAATAATAAATACAAATAAATAATATCCAGCAGGGATTAAGGGGCAGTGAAAAGGAACTATCCTTTTGTTTGAATGCTGCAAAGAAATTCTTTTAACAGTAAAAGCAAAACATCTGCCTTCATTTAAAACTGAGTTGTGTGATTTCCTGCATCGACGAACCTCTTTCTAAACTACAAAGAGGCTACAAAACATCACATTTTCCCCTCCCAGCTTCCCCCTTCAAAAGCCCACAAGATGGTGATTAACAAACAGCCCCTTGTCTGTAGGCACTCTCATAAGCCACAGGAAAAGATAAAAGTTAAAGAGAAGAACAAGTTTGTAAACAAATGAGAAATAGGTTGCCTAGGGAGGAAGCAAATTCCATCTTGATAAGCAAGCAGCTTCCCTAGCCCACATGTGGGAGATTCCGAGTGAAAGCAACCTCACCCTCTCACCCACTGAAAGCAGTCTGCAAGCAGAGGGCAGGCTGAGCCATCCATGGACTCTAGGCAGTTGCAGAGAATCCCCCAACTCAAGAGGTTCTGCGTATGAGCCTAAAGTTCAGGGACTCTCTATTTCAGGAATGAACTGGGGCCTGAATCTCTAACCCATAGCAAACCCATCTCCCAGGAGATATCCTCCCACATAAATTTATTTGAAGTCCTGAATCCACCAACTATTAGCTGTATCACCTTGTGCAGAGCTGACCCTGTTTAATCAACTTTTGATTGGATATAATCCCTGTCTTAGGATCATTATGAGAACTAACGATAAGAATTTTGGCAGTGTGCCCAGACCAGTGGTAAGCGCAAGCCAGATATATAATAAATGTTTACTTCTATTGAAAGGAAATTCCAATTTCACTCAAGAATCACTGCCTTAGGTGAAAAATCCAGATATCCTCCTATGGTATCTCTAGAAAGACAAAAGAATCCATCATGGGAGAAGGAAAAAGGGAACTCCCCACAGTATTCGGAAAACACACACCCTAAAACATACACACACTGTAACAGGTTAAATTTCATCCTCCAGATCTGCTTCCCGTGCAGGTGCTGTAATAAGTAAAAGGACAGGTCACTGGGTCCTGCCCAAGGTGCTTCCACTTACTTATCAACTGCCCTAATACTAGACCTTCTGAAGGGTTTTGGGAAAAAATCTAATTTAAAACCTACACTCATTTAGATTTACTAAACAGGAGTAAATGAAGTTGGCCTCCTATTTTAAAATGCCCAAATGAGAGGTAAAGGGGAAAAAACACCACCAATACCCTTCACTCCGTTAACATTAATTGTGGAATATTATCAGCGTGTAAATAATCTTAAATTAGAAAAGGTGGCTTTAAACCTTAATGAAAACCAAAAACACAAGAACCCTTCCCACCCCCACACACATAGTCTTATAATTGTATCTGAAGTTTATGCAGACATCAAAATTTCACTTGTCATCTTTAAGATTTTATAATCTAGTAGTATCTACCCACTATTCAGGCCCTCTAGATTGTTATTTCCTAATATTTCTGAAGCAAGATAAAGTTCTGTCAGCAAAATCTTCATTTATTAGTTACTTTCAGCTAGAACACCCCATCTTCCATGATAGTTCACTCTCATTATTATACAAGAGTTCAATTATACCTATCTCTGAAAAAAAAAAAGGCACTGGGTAAGAATATAACAGACACATTTGTGCCTCCATACTAAAACACCTACTCCTCCATCTACTCTTCTAAATCTAAGAGTACACAATAAGACAGAAGATGTGCAAAAAACTGGCAAGGTTGAAAAAAAAAGTTATCATAAGGGAAATGTGGTCTAAAATGAACTTTCAACAAACTTCATAGCAAGCAGTGTCCCCAAATAAATTTACTGCACCCTAGATTCAAGTACACTCAAGGCTAGAATGTCATGCCAGTCATGTATTACTTCAATCTCAATAAATCTCTTCTTACTCTCCAAATCCTAGCTGCTTTCTAAAATAGTTCACTAAAAAACACCAACCTAATTAACAACAGCTTCCTCTGCAACAGTGGCCTTGATTTCACTTATTTACACATTAACTGCAGCCTGCTTTTGGCCAATCCAGTCTATTCTCTGTACCATGCCGAGCCTTTTATCTGCCCTGGACAGCATTTTCTCCAGCAGATGAAGTAGATGCCGATTGATTTGCTGTCGAGCATGGTAAATTAATAGCAACAAATTGCTGAGGGCCCGTCTCGCTGCTCCACCATGCTTCGGCAGTTTTGCTTTATTTGCTCCATGATGGGCAGCAGTCGGCCTCTTCAAGTCAATTTCTTCTTAACAACCTGCAATACTTTTCAATGGTGAAAATAGAGCTGTTCCTTGTAAGTCAGAAATCAATATCTTATTGCCCTTAGAAAATGCTAAACAAGCAGTATTGGCAATCCACTTGGTACTAGAGGGTATCAGATACAATGCAAATCCATACTGCTTCCCTCCTTGTAGTTATTACAGTTTGCTAAAAGGTTCCTAATGTCATTTATCATCATTTACCATCGACCAAAGAGGCTATGATTATGATATCCTATCAGTTGGCAAGGCCCTTTCATTTCTATTCAATTAATATTTTAGCAGCACTCAAATGGTTGTGGCCCAAGTCTCGTAATAAAATTTACATGGCTTTAAGTGAAACAGGAGTTTTCTTGCTTTGATTAAATATACATATATATATACACACACACACACACAAATACACACACATATAAAAATACACACATAAAACATACATAAATGTGCAGTACTTACTTTCAGATTCTATGCGTTTTAGATTTCTAAAATTTCCTGATGATTACTAAAATTCAAATGAAGAAGCTTTCACATTGTAGAATACTAACTATAAGGAAGTCATAGATGTTCTCATGCTCCCCTTTTCAAAAGATGGTATGTTCATCTCCATATAGTTCCTATAGGTTGAATTCACATACCTACTGTTCCTAATCTATATCCAATACTCACTTTTTAGAATGGTAACCACTGCTGTCAGAGTCCATCAGTGAGGACTTCTTTAATGACAGCATTACAGGTGAAAGATGGGAAGAAGCAGCATTTAGTAATGCTATCAACTCCATGCATCACCCCACTGTGCCATTTAGAAGCCACCAACCCATTTAGAAGCCACACTGTATTTACAAAGAAGAACAATCAGCAAAAAAACTTAACAACTAAACCCTGGGTCAGCTGTCTCATACAAAACAAAAAACAAAAACCATACACTTAGGGAAATCCTTAGGGAATAAGGGCCTATGTTCTTTCATTTTTAAAAATTCCATTTTGAAGACGTCACACTAAAACATGTGCCATTTCTAACCATGTCCTATTTGTCATCTTCACTTTTATGCTAGAACTTGAGACAATGGCACAGCATTAATTCCCATTATAGCCTAGAATACTTCATCCTTTTTTTTTTTTTTGCTTCATCTGCTTAGCTCTATCAATCCTAAAGATTACCAGAAATTTAGATTCATATTTTATGTTCCAATTCCACGTCATATCACCAAGTTCCCCTTTAAAAAAAAAAAAAATCCACTAATTCTACCAGACTAATGCTATTTACTCAGTTACCAAAATTTAAATTAATTATGTTCTCAAACATAATTGTTAAAAATTGGCAACATTATGCAGGCTTAATTAAGATTAAATCCAATTTACTAAATGTACTTTAATTGGTACTAATTACATTAGCTTTCATTTCAGAATGACAAATTCCCCATAGGTTTCATTTTATAGTTCTCTATCAGAATCAACACAGGGGGACTGATGATGAGCACCACATAGAAAGGGTAGGAGGGAGAACACCGACCTCCACCCTGTTTGTCTTTGCTTCATACTTTTATCTTTTTATCAGTTTGCTAAGTCACAGAGCCATGACTGCATCACAACCACCATTTTCTGTTCCAATGAAAAATTTCTCTAAAAATAAATATTCTGTGGCTAGCAGCAGCCAAGAAGAACAGGAACGTTAACCAAAAAATACACAAAGGTTTCAAATATCAGGGCCACCAATTACTAGGGTACTTCCAAGGGCTCCCGGGACTCCTACTGTTGAACCCTTCGAGACACAAATCTAATAAGTGAATAAACCTAACCCGATCTTGAGAACTAGGCCCAATTATGCCGCAGGGCAACTTCCCTGCATTATTGCTGCTTTCCATTACAAGGGTATCCAGCGAGTACATCTGGAAGAGAGGCTAAGAGGAACTAAGGCTGTCTGCCTAGGAAAACAAATAAAGACAGATATGCCTCTATGCTTAAGGGGGAGAAAGAAAGAAAATATAATAAGTAGGTGGTTTGCAGGGCTGTCTGTATTTCATAATGTGATAAACTGCCCTCAGGATTCTTGATATGATTGAATTTAAAAGGAAACGAAAAAAAGGGAAAATGTACTGTTCTCAATTTTAAATGGATGGCATTTGAGGCTAGCTGGACAAGAAGATGACAGAATTATAGCAGTATAAAATGTGTAAAATTAAGGGATTTCACATACCCCCTCGAAAAAGAAATACATACAGCCAAATACAAGCTATGTGCCTCTTAGAAATGTAGATGGTACAAGGAGACCTGGAAACTAAGTGGTTAGGGTAAACAAGATACAGAAGGAGAAATAAAGGGACTAAATTAATCATCTGGTCCAATCTTTAAAAAGACACTAATTAATTTTGGGGAGTGGGGTGCAGACAAAAAAAGAGACATACACAAGATCCAGACCTCAAAGGAAATGTAATGGGATAATTAACAAACAATATCTCTCATGTAATTTATTCCTGTAAGGTAGAACTAAGAGAAGTCCATCCACAAGATTGAACAGATTTTGTTTAAGCAGAAGATATTTACATTACTAATCTAAACAGAAATGACAAAGATGCCAAAATAAGAATTTAATTTCAACAGGCCATTCAAACTATACTATAATGCTAATATTGACATAACCAAATAGCATACAAAGTAAAACAGTATCTGAAATTAAAAGTCCTCAATGTAAGCAACGTCTCATTTTTTTCCAACTTTTTGTTTTCCAATACTATTCATCAGATTGCCTTATTGTCTAACAGCCATCTCTTAAAGATCTACTATCTGGGATGTTCTGAGCATGTAGAAAATAACTATACCCAAAAAGGAATCCATAAATAGTGAAGGCCTAATAGTATGTGCTCATTTCATATTTTCTCAACTTAGAAAGTAATGACATCCACCTTGACCATAAATAGGAAATGAAAAGCAGTAAGTTTTCCCTTGTCTTTTTCCCAGCAGACAAACACATACACACCTATTCTGAAATGGCTGATGAGACCTGAAGTGCTTCCACTAGGAGATCACTAAAAATAAATGCTTCCTAGAGGAATTACTATCGCCAAACAATATTTATATATATATATGTATGTATATATATTTGTGTGTGTGTATATATATATATAGATAGATATACCCGCTATTATTCTTCTGTCTAGGAAATTTAAGCCAAACCATTTTATTCAGTCTCCTGCACAAAAAGAAGACTGTTTGAGTCGTATCTCTCAGTGCTTTCTGACTAATCATTTTTTTTTTTTTTTGCTACTGAACTAATTGCTAGATTTCAAGACCCAATGTTGAACCTTATCACATCCTCCTATCAGGCTCATTTACTCTGTACAAATTTTGGAAGTAACGGTTATAGTTCTTGGTAAGACCCAACTAAGTAGCCTCAGGGGACCAGTACAAGGATTTTACATCAATTTCTTTTGTAGCTCCACAGATTTCATTTTCATCCTCCCAGCTCACCCTCTATCCATTCTTTCACATCAAGCCAACGAAGGCGCCACACAATTTAATTTTACTGTTTAATATTTTCCAAGAAAAGCTCTTTCACAAGACAAGTTTGCAATGCCCAAAATACATAAAGCAACTCTTTCAGAAGAATAACAAGAGGATTTTAAAATTTAGCATCCTGCTTTTGAAAGTGTACAGAGTTTAATATGTATTCAGACTTTTTAAAATAACATTTTTAAATTATAAAAATTAGGATAATATGAAAGAAAGATGGGGAGCCACACATGAAAAAACAGCATTTTCTTCACTACCCAGACTTTTAAATACAGGTAGCCACAACGGCTTGCAGAATAAAACTGCAAAACATACAATTTTCTTTTCATAGTGTCCCAGTATTACTGTCATTTAAAATGGTTATAAAGAAATAACTTACCTGCTTGTGCATTTCTATATTCAACCCATAGGACATTTCATAATACTGTCAAAGAAGGAAAAGCAATTAAATGCATGACTTTCATCAAACAATCTCCCTAGTTTGTTCAAAATGCCCCAAGTAAATCTGAAACAAACATAAAAGCCTCACCTAAACCAGTATCTTCATATAACCTATGCCAATAAATCAAGAGCCCATCACTATCTTTAACCACCTTAAGACACAAATTCTAAGAGAAAACACACAAAACTAAGAAAAATTAAATTCAAACACAGCATTCTTAACATCTCCAGTTTCTTTATACATCCCAAGCAGATGCATCAAAAAAGTCTGATGAAAATTTGGTATCCTACGGACTCTTAATTCCTAAGCACAGCAGGCAAGTTAACAGCAAAGAATGCCTTATACAAACGCTGATGTTTTGAAAGGAAGGTTGGAAAAGGTGATGCTACTTAGAGTTTGATTTCTGATTTGTTAGTGTACTGCTCATATTCACACATTCAAAGCAAAAAAGCTAGATAGAAAAATAAATGAGTGGGTTATTCTGGAGCTTTCTTGGACAATCATAAAAATATGCTTCATAATACTTCTGTAAAAGCAGATCTGGTTTTTTGAACGTGTAGTATAACTGGCATAGAAATTCTGGCAGAACACATCAGTTATACAGGAGACTACAACATTCCTCAAACCAATATAACACTACAGAAATTGAAAACATACAAATATTAATGTAATAGTAACATAAAGAGAAAAAAATTTGAAAAATGGTCTGCTGTCTTTCCTTATCCATCACTCCTTTTCAAAGAAATAAAACATTATTTTTTAATAATGTCTTTAATAATAAGACATTTACAATGTTAACAGCATACAGAAAAACTGGCAAAAATTGTTTGGAGCAAGAGCAATAAAACAACAAAGAAAGCCACTAACACAAAAACATTTTTGCTTGTGACAAAACAAACAAGGTTTTGTTTTTATTTTTTTTCGATCTGTAAAAACAAAGCACAGAAAATTATACCCCATGTGGCTGAACTTTCTGAAAATTCCAATCAAAGCCAGTTGTCAAAGGCAAGTTATAACAGCCTAGAATTACAGGTTGCTAATAGACATATTCCCACAACTTCAACTGCACTGGCAGGGTGACTGTGATCTATCTTGCAGCCCCCAGCAATTTAAACATATTCTTGTTTTTGGTATTCCAAACTAATAGGCACTTTGAATCTGTGACATGGTTTTCTTACCATGACATAATGCCGCTGCATCTCTGTCTTCTCACTGGCGAGTTTCTCACATTCCAGCTTCAGACTGTTCAAGACATAAGATACTCTAAGTACAATGATCTTAACTTACATCCTTCAACTCTTAAACGCATATTCTAAATCTCACCTACAAACAACTAAATCAACAATCTTAAATAAATACCCCCATCATTATGGAAAGGGAAGGGGAAAGGGGTGATTGGAACCAGTCTGGACTTGCCCCTTCAATAAGGATCATATATGTGGTTTTTTGTTTTTAGGATTTTTTTTTTAATTAAGTTTTAAGGAAACAAATCCTCTAATCAGTTTAATTCAGGAACTTCCTCCAGAATTGAATATTCACTTAATAAAACAAACACGAAAATAAACTTCAATAATGACTGCACATACAAGCACAAATAAGTCCTCCAAAACGTCACAAGGGAATTTCTTTAATGTTCTACAAAGAGATTAATGAAAATATGAATCAAGCATGTCTTATGAATGATATCTTGTTTTTTTCCCTCCAAAACACACAGACAAGTTGAATACCACCACCCAGGGGCAAAGTGTCAATCGGGTTCAGTGGTTTGTTTTGGTTCTTGCATTTATGAAATAAGAATTAGGCATCATTAAAAAGCCAGCTAAAGAAAAATGTCTCAAAGGCACCCTAAGTCTAAAAATCGTCTATAAGATGAAAACATTTTTTTTTTTTTTAGCATAAAAGTAATGAAATCGCTCACTCCGACTTCCCTGGGCTCTCAGCTCTTCAGTGGAATGGCAGAAAAAAGTGAGAAGGAATCAAGTCCGGAGTAATAAAGAACCAAGGATGTCAAAAGGCCCCAGAATCTTCCCAACCTTTCATTCTCCCGGCCCCAATAAATCAATATCGAAAGTTTGGCCTCAGCGTTTTCCAAGTCTCCCCAGTTTCGATTGTTCTGCCTTCTTTTTATTTACGGTAGAAGAAATGTTTAATTTATTTACACCTGCCTAAGGAAGGAGGCCTTGATTTGCCCTTTCTGCCCACCGAGAAAAAAAAATAATACCTTTGTGACGCCCCCACAAAAAAGGAGGAGGGTAAGTGTTTGTGTGTATTTGTCGGGGAGACAAGAGCTAAGCAAACAGAAGGATCAGCTAAAGTCAATATCGTTACCTGTGGTATTGAGCCTGTAAAAACTGAAACTCTTCCTTAATCCGATCACAGGATTCGGAAATTGTAAATTTAAAGGGTTGAGCAGGCTGATGCGGTGCCTGAAGAACAACAATAAAATATTTAATTAGCCCACATCACAGGCGAAGCAGGGAGACGGAGAAAACCTACTATGCGGCGTTAGCGGGGGGTGAGGGTCATCGCGCACGCAAGCAAAGAGAGATTAAAACTCTCCTCCCGCAACCCTCCTCGCGCCCAACAGCCCAGGCAGAGGCTGGTTTCGAGGTGGTCCTGGGGCCCCGCATACTCCCGCCCGCAGGCCCCCGCGCCCCGGACCCCGAGGGTTCGAGTCCCGTCTCCCCTCCCCGGCCAAAGACAGGCACCCAGGGACCCGCGCGCCGCGCCCACTCCCTCCTCACCCGGAATCGAAACTGGCCCGTCGGGGGGACCCGCGCCATGGCGTCGGGCTGCGGTCAGGCCGGGGGAGGAGGGAGGCGGCCGCCACCCTCTCGGCTCGTTCGTTCGCCCGCTCGCCCCGGCGGCCCGCGGCGCGAGGGGCCGGCGCCCCGCACTTCCAAACCGCAGCCAGCCCAGCAGCGCCGCTGCCGAGGGCGCCCTCCCCGCCCGGGCGCGGAGTCGCGCCTCCTTCATCGCTCGCCACCCCCCCTCGAGGAGTCGCGGCGCGGGGACCGCAAACGGCTCGGCGCGGCTTCCAGGGGCTTCAAAGACAACAATAAGAAAATGGCTACAACTCAATTGCCTCTCCGCACCCCCTCCGAGGGCCACCGCGCCGGGGGGTGGGGGTGATGGCGGGCGGGCTGCTCCCGGCGCGGGGCGCCGATTTCGGGCGGCTCTCCACGCCCCTCCGGCCAAAAGACACAACTCGGTGCGCAGGGGGCGACGCGGGGAATCCCCCAGCACCCGGCGAGCCCGCGCCCCGCCGCCCGCACTCACTGGGTGTCTGGTCTGCGGGTACATCTTGCTCAGGTCGCGAATCATCCAAGCCGATTTAGTTGGCTGCGCTCGGCAGAGGCGCGCGGCTCATTGGCTTTAATGACCCCGAAGAGGAGGCGGCCGCGGCAGCGGAGGCGGCCGGCTCGGTCTGAGGGGCGGCTCGGGCGGTCCCGGCCCCCGCCGGGTCTCGCGTGACACGGGCGGCAGGAACGCGCGGCGGCGGCTGGGTGCCGGCTGCCGGGCCGCTCCGCATTCCCCGCGGGCGTCACTGGCCCGCCGCGGGCATTGTCCGGCGCGCGTCTCCCAAGGCAACGCTCCGACGTTCGCTCCGCCGAGGCGCACCCGCCGAGCCCGGCGCCGCGGCCGCCGCTCACCCGGCCGGGAAAGTGCGGGCTCCGCGCCCCACCGCCCGCCGGCAGCTCCTCTCGCTCGCTCTGCGTCCCACTCCAAACTTTTTTTATTTGTCTTTTAATTGGTTGTTATTCCTCCGAATGAATGATCTTTCTTCTTCCCTAAAAGCAAACACAAACTCCTTTGGTTCGGAAGAGGTCTCGGCGGTGCTTTTTGGTTTCTCTGGAGATTTTTTTCACTTCACAGCAACGATCTTTTAAAAGGCACCTTTTAGCTTCTTTTACCACATCTCATTTCCTTATTTCTCTTCCTTCCTGTTTTCTTGTCTTTTTTTTAACCCCAAATTGAAGGGGATTATAAAAATAAAAGAGTGAAACGCTTGCGGCTTTTTTTTTTAATTCTCTCTCCTTTCAAACTCTGCGAACACCACCTCAAAATAATATACAAGTGTGTGAGAAAGGGGGAAGAAAGCAGCCAACAACCCAAACACCCGCTCAGCACAGCTCTAACAACACGCTCTGTGTAGGTGACTTCTTTGACCAAATTTAGCAGCAGCTAATCATTAACATTCTGATACATATTCACAATCTTCCGCGGGGCGGCCGCGCAGCATCCCGGGAGATGTAGTCCGCCCCGGGCGACCCTGCCTGAGAATACGGCCAGATTGACTACAATCACCGGCCCGCCATGCGAGCGCTCTGGCGAGCTCTCCAAGCGCCCCGCCCACCCCCGTTGCGGTAGGCGTCTCCACCAACCAATCAGAGGTGGCTGAACATTAATCGCCGTTCTGTGTTAGTGCCCATCATTTCACTGCTGACAAATGGCAAGCCAGCGGGGAGGAGCCAACCCAGCTGAAACCCACGTGGGGGCCGGGCGTCGCCTGTAGCTCCGACCAATTAACGAAGAGGAATGAGGTTGGCGGAGGCGGGGCGGAGATGGCCCGCCCAAGGCGGAGCTTCGCCTTGGCTGACGTTCCTTAGCGCGAGCGTTCGAACCGGGAAAACATTTGTTCAGCTGTCAATCAAAGTAACGTGGGGCTGGGAGAATCGGCGGCTGCTGCTGTTGCTGCTGCCCTGGCTGCATCTTCAGAATTAGGTGTTGGTGGTGGTGGTGGTGGTGGCGGCAAAATAAAGAGGGTGGAGGGAGCGGTGAGCCTGGGGGCTGGTCAAAAGATCTTCTTCCGAGTCTCGTCCTCCCGCCCACCCGTCTCCCAACCCAGACACCTTCGGCCCCTCGCTCCGCAGCCGCGCCAGGAATGCGGACTAATTAGGGTCCAATGTCTCCTTAAAGAGACAAGCTCGGCCTTGTGTAACGCGCCGAAACCCCTGTTGAGACAAGAGGGGGAGGATCACGCTGATCTTACTTCGTTCGGTTCACATCAATTTTACGCGCCGCTGGAGCCGGCATAATTTTCCGTGTGAACGCGACTCGGTCCCCGTTCTTGTTTAGAGCCAGAAATGGAGTCGCGAGATGCTGGCTGGGGCCGGGGCCGCGGGGTGGGCGGGGAGCTCGTCCCTCCAAGCCCCGCGGGGGCTGTGATTGCCATTTAGTTCCGAAACAGGCCTCCCTCCCTCCACCCCCGGAGGCACTCGGAGAGAAAGCGCATCCCGACGCTCCATCGGGGGTCGCGGGGGGCAGTAACCGTGGGGGCTCCGGGTGGGGCTGAAGATCCGGGAATCAGAGACGCTGGACCTCCAAAGAAACTTTGCCGACTGGGCCACGTGAACCCCGAACACGGTCGGTACTGAACAGAGCAGGCCGACGGGGCACGGGTAGAAAACGCCCCTGCGCGCCCTGGGACGTTCCCTCCCCCAGATCAGTACCAAGACTGCGCCTCTTTTTCCCGCTCTTTGGAGAAGCAAGTCAAGTTTATCCCCGTTAAAAACAGAGCAGGGTGCCACGCGGGCCCGAGAGATGGCGGAAAGGTGGGGGTGGCCCCAGGGGCAGATGCTGGAGGAGGAGAGAAAGGGGCAGCCATGGCTGAGGAGGGGCACCCCTAGGGAGGGGCCTGGGAAATGGGGGCGGCCTCCGTCAGTGCGCCTTTCCATCCTTAGTCCGTGTCCAGCTGGAGGCAGCGCCCCAGTTCAAGGGGAGGCTGCTGAGGCTCGCAGTCTTTTCTAGCGAGCGGCTAATCTTGGGGACAGGGAAAAAATTCGGAAAAAGTCAAGAAGAGTGTTGGCTAATGTAACAGGCTGGGTTTTAGACGTTTATTTCTATGCGTGCTTGCCTACTGTAACTTGACCTGTTGGTTGAGATGGTGCCGCCGGTTCGGCGTTAGTGGAAAACTATTCTTCTTAATGATATCCCTTTCCTCAGTGGATGACTCGGTGACTTAATGTCCAACCTAGCACGTTCTGTGAACCTCCTTCCGTTCTGGCCACTGTAGTGAGCTGGTGCAAAGGAAGGCTATGGTGGTCTTCACCTGCCTCTAATTTCATACTAAAAACCCAGAGCCAAAGTTCACAGAATGTTTCAATTCGGCAAATATTTTCGCCTCCATCCCCAAAATAAGAGGACAGAGAAGTCCTTTTGACAGTTTTCTGAACCTCTGCTGTTCCATACCTAGCCACATGTGACTGTTAAGCACTTGAAATGTGTCCAATTCAAAATGAGATGTGCTGTAAGTACACATATATGTGGCATTTTGAAAAAATTAATGTGAAAAAACTGCAGCTCAATAATTTATAATTATGTCAAAATTGTGATATTTTGAATAACTCAATTAAAAATATTAGTAAAATTAATTTTGTCTGTTTCTATTTATTTATTGTATTGATGGGGGTCTTCCTGTGTTGCCTAGGCTGGCCTCAAACTCTGAAGCTCAAGCTATCCTCCTGCCTGAGCCTCCAGTGTTGTTGGGACTGCAGGCACACACTTTTTTTTTTTTTTTTTTTTTTTTTTGAGACAGAGTTTCGCTCTTGTTGCCCAGGCTGGAGTGCAATGGCACGATCTCGGCTCACCGCAACCTCCGCCTCCTGGGTTCAAGCGATTCTCCTTCCTCAGCCTCCCGAGTAGCTAGGATTACAGGCATGCGCCACCACACCCAGCTAATTTTTTGTATTTTTAGTAGAGACGGGGTTTCTCCATGTTGGTCAGGCTGGTCTTGAACTCCTGACCTCAGGTGATCCGTCCGCCTCGGCCTCCCAAAGTGCTTGGATTACAGGCGTGAGCCACCGTGCCCAGCCTCTTTTTACTTTTTTAACTTTGTTCCTAGAAGATTTTAAATTATGAGGCTTACATATTTCCATTAGACAGCCCTGCCCTGAAACCTTCCCAAGAATCAAAAGTGAGAAGACTTTAGTGATACAATTTGCACACGAGGACAGCGAAGTTTCTAAGAACACCAGCAACAACCATGTTTTATTCTAAGGTTGGTTAGTTGCTTGCTCCCACTAGAGCTTTTCAATGGTTTGTGAAATCACCCACAGTGCCTCTGTAGGAAGTTCCATGTTCTCTATTTTAGCCAGAATGTTAGCAAGTTCCATGAGAACAGGGACCTGGTTGTGTTCACAGTTGCACTCCAAACTCCCCAAATTATGTCTGCCATCACTGTCTGGTAGTTGGTGCTCAGTAAATATTTGTTGATGGCATTAATGAATGAATACCTCATTGCATCCTTATAGGAAGTTTCCACATCATTTGGGTCATATTTATTGAAATTCTGTGCAGTTTTCTCTCAGGACAGGAAACGAGAATTCTAAGAATAGAACCCGAAGAACTATTGAAAGGGTCAGTGGACAAAGAGGAAACTTTGCTCTGTTAGGAAATATCAGATCACTTATAGCAAGGATCTTTCCCCTAATCTCTCTCGATGGTTTGTGTCAACAGGAAAGTGGCTAGAGAAGTCAAGATGTTTCTTTATTTTTTAAGTTCTGTATTAAAATATAGCCCTTGGATGTGTTTCACATTTTGGCCACGTGGCAGAGCTATGTAACTCACCTCAATGTCTCAGAAAGATGCAAATGCAGCAACTGGCGGCCCAGCCCTAGCCGTAACACAGACTGTAAGTGGGGCTCATGGCCACTTTTTCTCCTTTTCTCTGCTGTGCTTCTCTCATTGCACTTCTCGCTAACTGTTGAGCCAAGCTATGATGTTATCTGGAGGCCTGTCTTATCCCTACCACAGAGTGGGGGGTAGGTGGGGTGTTCCAGAGTTTTCATGTGGGAGGCACTTGGCAGCAACTTTCATGTTAAAAGCTAGGCCTGAAAGCTCCAATCTTGAAGTGACATATGCCAAGCATGCTTTTCACTTTGGTTAGATGTAAATCATTTATTTATTACTTCACCAAATATTTATTAAACCTACTATGTGCCAGAATATGGGGATTTCACAATAAAAGTGGCTATTATTAATATGTTGCCTCTTAGCTCCAAATTCATCCTCATTGCCTGCCTAGTGAAACTGAATCTGAGCCCTTTAAATATTTTCCAGCTGTTAAAAAAGCTAGGTCAATAGAAGGCGCTGGAGAGACATTGCAGGAGGAAAGGGTTTGGTTTCCTGGTTCCTGGCTCTGGTTGCATACTGGGCAGGTTCCTACAGCACAGGTAGCAAGCAGCAGCACCCAGCAGCCAGCAGCTTCCTCCAGAAGCCCCTTAGGTGGCTTTGGAGCAAGTGCCTCTAATGAGTCACCTCCCTCAGCAGCTTTCCTTGGAACCCCAGAGAATGGATTTCCAACGAGTTCTGGAATGTGGATTTCTAGCAAGTTCCAGAAGGCAGAATTCTAGCAGGGCTCTCCTGCTATTCAGAAAGTTACAACTGTGCCCTCTCCAGCAAAGTCTGGATCTCAGCCAGCCCTAAGAGTGTGTCTGTGTCTTGGAGGAGCTCTTTTTGAGATGCTGTATCTCAGCCCTAGGGTTAGTAAGTAGCTGTTCCTTATATCTCTATTTCTGTATTATTTAGAGCTCTCTTTACCTCTTACCAATCTCCCTTTGATCCAATTCCCTGTTATAGGTAATAATTTTTTATATTGAACTTTCCTTGTTGAAATTACTGTTTTTCTCTCTTGATCGGATCCCGATTGATACAGTAAACAACATAAGCAAAGTGTCTTTCTTGCTGGAGCTTACATTCTGATGGGGGGAGATAGACAAACAGTTGCATAATATGAAGGAGTGACAGGAGTAGTAGAACTAGTTCAGATGGGAGTTCATAGAAGCCTTCTTGGAGGAGGTGACATTTAAGCAGAAGCCTGAATGCCTAGAAAGAGTCAGCCAAAGCAAAAATCACTGAGAAGCAAATTTCAGGTGGATTCAAAAGCCTCATTTGAGGAAGTGTTGGTGAATGTGAGCATTTTTTAAAGACTGGTACATGCTAGACACAGAGTAATATAAGATTAGGTCATGGCTACATCACTGGGTTCTGGTCACATTGAACTTCTTATGCCTAATAAAAGCTTTCATTTTCTACTCTGATTATAATAGCCATTGTGGAGGGAGAAAGGCTCGTAAGCAGGGAGTGACAAGATCATTACAAATATCAACTTGGTATAAGGTGCCCACGTTCATACTTGACCTAAGATTAAGAAAGTACCCTTTGTCATATTAAAGAATTATCAATTGTTTTTAATTGGGGGCAGCTGATAAAGAGTACAGAAGCACATATGCTGCCCTTCCCACACACATCCTTTGGTACTGCCACTACCTCACCCCCACTAATGAGTGATGGGTCCATTTTAATTTGGAAAGAGGATGCCTATGCAAGTTTGAATGTCAAGCTCTGCATTGAATATATAGCTAGAACAGCAATGATCATAGAGAATCAAGGACATGCACATCCATTTCTAGATCTGCAATTGACTTGCTCAGAAACCATCCTCCCATCTATGTTAAGATAGAGAGAACTGGACAGAAAACTCATTATTGAAAAAGATTCAGGACATCAATGCTAAAGAGAGTGACAAATTTCTTAACTTGTCTGGTTAGGTAGAGGTTTGTTGCCAGCTGCCTCAATGTTTAGTGGTGAAGACTGCCAAGCTATCTTTGTGTTGGGATGTCCCTTCTTATCTTGATGGATAAAAGGAATGTAGGTACCCGTTGCCTTTTTGTGGGGAGGGAACTTGGCTTGGGAGTGCAGTGGACAAATTTGCATAGGTACTAAGGAGGCTTCTGGGACAAAATAACTGTCCTTATTGAAACGCTACATTATTTGAATGCTTTGAGATTATCCCTAATTAAGTCTGCAGGCAAGAAGGAGCACTGAAGCTTTCTCTTCCCTCCCGGAGATTATGGTGCAGACACAGTGGTGTATGTGGGAGGGGCTATCTAGAACGCAGCTGAAGTCAACAGGAGAATGGACCAGTGACCCAAATTCACTAGCTGCAATACAGAGGCAGGAAGTATGGATCTTTCTCATTCGGAAATAACTCTTTATTGAAGATACAAATCTCCTTTTGGATTAGACATCCTGGCATTAATGGGGTGCTTCGGGATAAATAGCTGAGTGTGTGAGGAAGATAAGGCTGCATAGCACTTTTATAGGCACACCTTATGTCAACAATGGAGCTGAGGGAGACCCTGACTTCTTGCTAGTCTGAACAGTTGTCTTGAATAGTTAAAAAGAGCTGTGAACTTATTTATACTCTATAACAGAGATCATATCTAAGAAATACACTACTAAAAATGACTCCCTTACTTGAGGAACGCTCACATTGTCTTTAATTTTCTAGAATCTAGAAGGGATCTTTAACAGCTGCTTCTGTTTCATTCCCCTGCCTTTAAGCAAACAAGATATTATTATCCCCACTTTAAAGATTAATCAACTGAGGCTCAGAAATAAGTCACTTGCCCAAGGTTATATGGCTTGTAAGTACTGAAGCAGAGATCAGAACTCTTGTCTCCTACCTCCTGATTTAATACCTTGCATAAACCTGAATTCCACAAATGAGTATTCAATTAAAGTATGTAATTTGAGCACTATCCAACTCACCTGCCTGGTTTACTCCTTTTCAAGCAGATGTTTTATTGCAAAAATGGGGGCAGAGGGTGAATCAGGGAGATGACTGTGTTGCAGCTGCCACTGTGCAAAGGCTGAAACTGAGAATTACCATGGCTGCAGGAAGCATGGCTCACTCCCTTCAGCCTCCGACCTCAGAGTGTCTGAAGGCTCAGTAAGGAAGTTCCAAAGAGATGCACAGTGCTGAAGCCCTAGTCCTTTTACTTTCAACTAACAGCAGGGTTCACACCTATGCAGCTGCTCTTGCCGTGCCTTTCCACAGGCTCCCACTCTTGCTAACTATCACAACAGCCTATAGGGCAGACATTACAGGAGAAAATCTGCGCATTTCCTTTCTGAAATGAGTGGTGCGGGAATGGGGTAGGTGTAGGAAAGTGTAAGTAAACATCTTACTGCTTTGTACAAGAAAATAATTCATAAGAGTCTAGTATTATTTTTATTTATTTATTTTTTGAGATGGGGTCTCACTCTGTTTGCTCAGGCTGGAGTCCAGTGGCGTGATCTCAGCTCACCGCAACCTCCACCTCCCTGGCTCAAGCGATTTTCCCATCTCAGCCTCCCAGATAGCTGGGACTGCAGGTGCAGGCCACCACACCTGGCTAATTTTTTGTATTTTTGGTAGAGATGAGATTTCACCATGTTGCCCATGCTGGTCTCTAACTCCTGAGCTCAAGCCATCTAACCACCTCAGCCTCCCAAAGCTCTGGTATTACAGACATGAGCCACCACGCTTGGCTGGAAAGTCTAGTATTATTTTCATTAGAACTGGGGGTCAATTCACGGTCTACCATGATCTGGCTAACTTTGGGTAACCCCTTTAACCTTTCTGGTCTCATCTATGTTGTGTTTTATCCTTAAGGGAGGTAAGTATGATCTCTAAACCCCTTTCCCCTAAATGCAAACATTTGCTGCTCTAAAAAATGTTGTATTTTATCATCTCAGAGTTGGTCATATGGAATGGATTTTGAATTAGGATCATCTGCTGAGGTTGATTATATTTTCCTTACCCCTTTTTAATACTTCTGAAAAAATTATCTCTTGCAATGAAGATTATTTGGGGGAAAGTGGCTGCAGACGCATTTGTTGAAAATTGATTAGTTGTCTCATAAAATGATCTAAACTGTAAGGAACTATATTCTTAATGCTACTATGTGGGCTCCTACTGCTATAATTCAATTCAGGACTTGTCCTCAATATTATGTAGCCCGGAACAATTCTGGTAAATCACATGACTTCCTTTAATAGCAATCCTTGTAAAATAGTGTGAGTGAGCCATCATTCACAGTGTAATATCTAGTCCAGTGCACTACTACTTTTCAAAAAGACAATGATATTCTGAGAAATTTTCATTCATGGGGACACCCTCTGCTTCTGCTCCTTGCTTTTATATAGAACAAAATTTGAATGCTTTTATTATAGGTTTTTATTAAATATGTCTGCAAGAAAGACCATTTGATACCTTATTTTTATATGAACCCCGAGTGTTTACATAGTGTTGTTACATATTATTACCTCTGGTACTATGTAAAGGTACCAGCAGAGAAGCAGAATGGGTATTATAATCCCCATTTTACAGACTAGGAAACTAGGTTCACAGAAACCAATGGCCTCTTGAAGATTATACAAGTAGTAAAGCAAACAAGTTGGGAATCAAACTTGACTTTTCAAATTCCACTTTTTTTCTATTCTACTAGAGCTGACTTTTTTTTTTTTTTTTTTTTTTTAGACAAAGTCTCCCTTTGTCACCCAGGCTGGCATGCAATGGTGGGATCTCAGCTGCAACCTCTGCCTCCCAGGTTCAAGCAATTTTCGTGTCTCAGCCACCTGAGTAGCTGGGATTACAGGCGTGACCACCAGGCCTGGCTAACTTTTATATCTTTGATAGAGACGGGGTTTTGCTATGTTGACCAGGCTGGTCTAGAACTCCTGACCTCAAGTGATCCACCTCCCTCAGCCTCCCAAAGTGCTGGGATTACAGGTGAGAGCCAGGGCGCCCAGCCTAGAGCTGCCTTTTAATGCCTTACAATGATTATTATGCTTTGTGCTTTACAAAGTGCTTCCACATGCCTTTTCCTTCCTTCCAAAACCTTGTTGGATGGGGAGAGCAGGTGGTGGTGTGACCATCTTAAAAATTTGAAAACTGTAACTCGGAGAACAGTGACTGGCCTGGCTCAGAGTTGGTGTGTATGTATCAATACAGGTACACACCAACTCTACAATCTAAGTGTGTATGTATAGAAAGGTGTTATCAGTATAACCCATATGTCAGGAAATGGATGCCCTCATCTCCAGCCTCTGCTGGATTCCTTGTTTTTATAGCTTTAGACAAGAATGACTCACCATCAACCCAAGTACAATAAGAAGTTCAACATCCTTCTCAGTAGCTCCAGGGATTGCTGTGGGAGTACCTCTGTTTCTCTGTCATTTCTTGTTTCTGATGAAAGCTTGATCTCCCTTCTATGCCCCCTGCTCATCTGTCCATTTTCCACACCAGACTACCCTTTGGGACATCCCGTACTCTTCTGAAGTACCGTGACCCAAGCCATGTGTGAATGCCTTTACTGAAGTTTTGGGGGATGGAGGGAGTTAATGAGTCAGACGGGCACACACTGAAAGTGGAATAACAACCATCCCCATCCCTTGGTTATATCTGCCCCTTTGAAATGCTCAGTAGCAGAGGCCACTCAGTCACCATTCAGTCTAGCAATTCTCCTTCCCTCATCTACTCTCACCTCATAGAAAATCTATGATTAGCATGATTGGCATACTTTTCCCCCGTACAGCTGCTACTGTGTAGTGTTTTTATAGCTTAGGGTAGATTTCTGAATCTGACTAATTTTTGCAACATCTATATGAAAGAGAGAAATGCAAAAATAACTCGCCATTCCCAATTTGTAATCCAGACTGAGGCACCTTTTATAATTTTTCCAGTGAGAAATTAAAGAGAAATTACAGTTTTTAAAAGGAAAGTCATTCTGAAAATAATCTTATAATCTCCAGGAATGACTTTCATCAAGGACTTAAAAGCAATAAAGAACTTTTTCCTTTATAAGGTTAAGAAATTTGGTCCTTATGCTTTCTTGAAAGGAAACAGTTTATTTTTAAATCCTTAGAGGAACTTATATTCTTTGAAATTTTTAACATGTGATTAATCATTCGGAAAATTATTTATTATGATCGCAATTTTCATATATAAATATATTTTCATAAGACATTGAAAATGTGAATGAATTGTCAGATATTTATTGCAAATTAAATTTGGAAACATTTTTATAACATTTACATTGCTGGCCAGCAATCCTTCTCTAACAACTTGCTCTGAAAACAGTAAACATGTGAATCATGTTGTAAAAATTAGATTCAGAGATCTCCTCTAACCTATAAAAACTATAATAATGGCCAGGTGCGGTGGCTTACACCTGTAATCCCAGCACTTTGGGAGGCCGAGGCAGGCAGATCATGAGATCAGGAGATGGAGACCATCCTGGCTAACATGGTGAAACCCCATCTTTCCTAAAAATACAAACAATTAGCCGGGCATGGTGGTGGACGCCTGTAGTCCCAGCTACTCAGGAGGCTGAGGCAGGAGAATGGCGTGAACCTGGGAGGCAGAGCTTGCAGTGAGCCAAGATCGCACCACTGCACTCCAGCCTGGGTGACAGAGGGAGACTCTATCTGAAAAAAAAAAAAAAAAACTATAATAACTGTACTGGGCAAAAAGTATGGTTAACTGTACATTTTCTATCAGTTCTAGAGCAGGATGTTTAAAATACCTGAACACAACCACATTTAACACTTAGCTTTTGAAAATTTGAGAGAACTTTAGATTTTTGATGAATGAGGGATGTTAGTCACATACATTTTTGAATTATTTATGCAATGCTTAGGAAAATGTATAATCAAAGTTGCATCAAAGTAAGTTTAATTAAATTTTTATTATCTGTAAAGCTACTGCATACACAACTAGAACTTTACTAATTATTAAAACCAAATATATACAAAGTCATAGCTTAGGGAGGAAGAATTGGCAAATAGAGTACTAACTAGTAATTCAACTGAATATTTAAATATATAAAGGGATGTATAATTTTGTTTTTGATATTATAAATATAAAGACTTAGAGTACTGGAAAGTCTCTAATATGAATCTTGCCTCACCAAGCTCTCTTATATCCTGGAAAGGACTTATATTTATTCCACAGCTAGGTTCTGTAATCAACCCCATTGGTAGCTAACATTTATTGAGTGTGCCACACATCCTAATATAAATGATTGAATACAATCCCATAATCTCCATCTCATCTTCTTTTTAAAGGTGAATCCATGGAGCCTCAGGTTCCCTAACTTGTCTAAGTTCAGCCAACCAGCAAATTCAAACCCAGGACTTTTTTTCCTCTGGAAGGGTTTGTTTTGTTTGCTGTTTTCCAAGCTGCCTTCACATCAGAAAGAAATGATATTTAGATACATAATTTTGATATGAAATGTGTTTTGCTTTCTTCATTTTGTTTTCAGGGAATAAGTTGTGGTTAATAATATATTTTATACATCTATGTTGCAAAATCTTTAGAAGAATTTTGATGTGAATTAGTAAGTCAACAAAATGGTTGCTAAATTTATATTTCCTCCATTGAACAAGGTTAAATTCTAATTCATTTGGAATTGTTTTCATGTTCTGATGAATAATCAAATGGCCTATTCTTTAAGACCACCTTTTTACTTTTAATTCTCAGCAGAGAAATAATCACTAAAATTAGTGTTTAAAATATAGAACTAGGAAACATACTTAAATAACTTTCCAAAGCCTATAGTTACCATGATACCCTGGGAACTTAGAAATAGTTTAAGTTTCAGGCATGGTAACATGCAAAAAATATTCAATCATAAAGGAAGATATCTTGACTAGCAGACACACACACACACGCGCACACACACACACACACACACAGCCCTGTGTGTGTCAGCAATTGATTTCATAGATAATTTCCTGTCCACTGATGACTGCCCCCAAATCTTTCTTTAAGGGCAAGGGAAAACTGAGAGTACTTAATAATATAGCTTAATTAGCTGTATTTCTTATATTTACACTAATAATGTTCTGATATACTTGTTTTGATAAGATTAGAAAACAAGCAAAGCTAGTACAAGGCACTATATTGTTTGAGAAGATCTTTGATACATTTTAGCTTCACTGTTCCATAAAGATTCTTTTTTCTCAGTAGGCTTCACTTGAGATAGTCTAATATAAAAAAGAATATAATATTCATAACTTTTTTTTTGCTAACAAACTTAGATTTATGAGAGACAAACATCAGAGATATCAAAATTTCATGTCAGAGTTGAGAACAGAAATAAGCCGAATTCAACTTTTGTTTTCTGAAGCCCTGCTGAATACATTGTCTGGATTGTACCACAGAATGCTGAAAGCAAAACACGGGTGGGTCTATCAAACAATCCCTGACTCTGTTTATAACAACTGAAGCTGTGCCTTTCATATCGGATTCCCATCAGAAAGGGCAGGGGGGAGGAAGAGATAAGCTCATCAGTGAAATAGTATCCTTTAACAACAACCAGTTACTTCCTGCAATCAAAACCATGCTAGCATGTGGCTTGTTCAAATAAAAATTACTGGACTGGAGCCAAACAAGGAAAAAGTAATTGATAATGTGGTTTTTCAGAAACCATCCATCCATCAAATGTGTCAGTCCTTCATAATACTTTATTTCCCTTCTGAACAAAGATCTTTAAAATTCATTGTGTGCACTTAAAAACAAAGTGTCCTTGTGCTGGTTTATAAAGATTCTCTTTTAGTTTGGGTTTGTTTTGTTATTTGATTACATTCCCTCCCATCCTGCATTTTTTTTCTCCCAGATAGTTGCTGGAAATTTCTGCCATTCTTAAACAAAGCATCTTTGTGCTGTATCAGCTTGCATTTTCCTTGGATTGTGTTTGGATGATGCCTTTTCACTGACTTCAGCACTGGAGTATTGTAGCCATAGCCTTAGTAAGTAGAGTGTAACAAACAGATTCACCAGCCCTTTTTGTGTGTTGCATCCTATTAATCGCTGGTGAGAAACACTTCTTGGAGTAAGGCACAGGGCCTATTACAAATAGAAGAAAAAACGGGTGAGGAAATATTGGATCATACTTGCAACTAGAGAAAGCCATTAATAGTCATCATAAAAAGAAATGTCCCCCTTCTAGTAATTCCTCCAATACATATGACAATCTTATAACTAAAACTTTTTATTTATTATAGGATTCTAAAGATCAGTTTGCAAAACTGATAGTACGTTAGCTCACCAGCGGTTTCCAAAAGCAACATCTATAAAGTAAATTTCAGCAACATTCACTCATTTCTCCTCTTTATGACTTCCATATTAAAGCTGGGCTTACTAGAGATTTGATGCTACACACATACACACACACACACACACACATTTTGCCCAGATATGAGCAAGATCTTGTCCATATCTTGCCATATCTTGCCCATATCTTGTCCAGATATGGGCAAGATCACACCTCAAAATGCATAAAGAGATATTAGTTTCCCAAAAATTATATTTTAAATTATAGTTCTACGATTAAAACACTGAAAATATGAGAAATAATGAAGCTTTGGTGAAGAAGAAATGCCACGTGATTGAGACTTTTTTCACTTCTTTCAGCTACCTCTTTTATAAGTCAACACAATCATATTATGATTTCTTTTGAATACTTCTAGCGCTATCAACTATTGACCTGCCAAATACTTTAGAATTGTAGTTAGATTTCGTCTTCAGTGTCTTAGCACATGCTACCAAGGAGCCAGGCCCTTAGGAGATAGTTATTCCTGGGAGGCAGCTAAATCCTGGCCAGAGAAGCCACTCGTGTTACCTCACCAGGCATCTCAGGAAAGTTTCTTTTTAAAGAATGCCAGGAAGAAAAAGTTTCAGTAACAGCACAAAACCTCTATATTACAAGTCCTGCTTCTGAAATTTCTCTTTTGGCCTGCCCCAAATTAATACTAAAAAAGTTACATTCATACCAAGATAATAATAACAATTTTTATTTGTACCTTTTTTTGCCTACGAGATGTTACTACTAGAATACCAAAAAGAAACAAATGTTCACTCCTCATCCAAAGATTGCAACACAAAGAAATACAAAGTATATAAGGCTTCAGGGTTATTTTTGGTGGGACAGATATTATTCATTTGGAAATAGCAAAGATATCAAGTACTAAGTCATCATTCCTGGTGAGTTCCTTGAAAACAAGACCTAATTTAGCTTTTTTTTGTGTGAGAAATTACAAGAAAGTCAATGATACAAATTATATTTTCAAAGGTACTCACAAAAAAGAACTAGAAAAACACATATAAATATTTTCATCCTTTGTTTTTCAGCTAGAATTTGCTGTATGTCAAATTTGTCCATTGTTTCACAGTAGGTCTTGTGAGAAGATAAAAATGAAACAGAATAACTTTTTTTTGTAATATTTTAATGTGCTTTGACTTTGTTTTGTATTTTCTCAAACTGAACTTTTCCCTATTCTGCCAGAGACATCTGAAAAACATGCCTCAGAGAATTTTTGGATTGTTATAGATATGGTTCAAAATGAAAAAAAGACCTAATATTCAATTTTTGATATTCAAAAGGGGATTATGTCACAAGTCAACCTATTGTTGAAAGCCAGGCTTTGTCAAAACAGAAATAACTTTCCAGAATAATCATATTGTGACATCAAGAGCTAGGCATGAGGCTGGGAGTGGTGGCTCATGCCTGTAATCCCAGCACTTTGGGAGGCTGAGGCGGGTGGATCACCTTAGGTCAGGAGTTCGAGACCAGCCTGGCCAACACGGTGAAACCCCGTCTCTACTAAAAATACAAAAAATTAGCCAGGTTTTGGGGTGAGTGCCTGTGATCCCAGCTACTCCGGAGGCTGAGATAGAAGAATTGCTTGAATTCAGGAGGCGGAGGTTACAGTGAGCCCAGGTCACACCATTGCACTCCAGCCTGGGCAACAAAAACAAAACTCCATCTCAAAAGAAATAGAGCTAGGCATGGGTGACTAGATAATGATTTCTTCCATGGAGAGGAGAAGCTAGGCAGTGAAGCTTGCTACCCTGGGATAGCAGAAGGATATAATGATAGGAAATGAAAAACCCCAGACTTATTCCTCTTGGTCTGAGGGTTGTGGGAGGAGAGGAAGGATAGTAGTGGTTAGGCTACCATCTTTTCTCTTGGGGCCAATGTTCCTTGGGTAGACATGTATATCAGAAACATAAATCATTTAACTGATTTAATAAATATCTTTTCACGCTTTTCCATATCTGAAATCAGGATGCATCAGGATGTGTCACAGCTTTCTGGGCATTATTATTAGGTTATTATTATGTTATATTATTAGTAGTAGGAGTAGTACATAGAACAATGGTATATCTCAACACCAATGGCATCTTAGAGTCAACGAAATGTGTTAGGTTGAGGAGAAAGGGGAAGAGAGTGGCGTCTGTGCTCCTTTCCATCTAGGACTCTGTCCTCACAGACTGCTCTCAGCAACCAGGAAGGCCATATGAAAGTAAACCCACATGTCGCCCAGGGTGAGGTAGAAAGTGGACCTCCTCCATCATTTTCTGCTTCTCCATAGCATGAATGAACTCTAGAATATCCAAGGAGGGTCTGGAAAGCTCAAGGAGAGTTAGGTAAGAACCTTCTAGGAGGAGGGCAGTCACTGTGTTAGGGGCAGCAATTGAGGACTGCCTGGCAGAGTGGCTGGGCCTGGATCTCCTGGGAGTCCTGCACCAGCAAGGGTGAACATGGGACTAAGTCACCAGGGAGGTGACCAGCTCTAGATCAAGCTGAAAAAGAAAACTGGCCATGACCTACACTAGTCCCAGGCTCTAGGACCAGGTCCCAGCAGAACCTTCTGGAAAGAAAGCAACCTTCTGTGGTCATTAGTTTCCCAGCTCATGGGTCTTCTGCAGTAGACCTCATGAGAATCCAGGGTGGACTCTGCTGTTCTGAGGACCCTGTCTCCCAACTACTACACAGAGCCACCCAAGCCCCGCCTCTTCAAATGGACACAGGAGATGTCTTGGGGAAGAACATGGAGCAAACTCACAAATCTGAAAGACTGAGCATTTCTTCCAAAATAAGCTGAGTGTTAGGTAGAAAAACTGCCAAAATTAATGAAGAAGATGAAATTTCCTGGGGTGTTAAAATAAGTTTAGCTGTTTCTTTTTTCTTGCTGCCCAGTTAGGTGTTTATCAACTAATAGAAAAATGAAAGAAACTAGTTTCTATCAATATCTGATTAGTAATATAAGTGAATGTGTAATGAAGACACTGCCCTCGAGAAGTCTAGAATCTAAAGTGATAACATGAGAACATACATAAATATAAGTTACCTTTAACACAAATGTCTATGAGAAGTAGACCAACTATCTATGTCTTTGAGAGATAGACCAATTATGCATAAATAGCAAATTGTGATTCTATGATCTGTATTGTAATAGTAACGGTGTTTTATTGGAACCAAAGGATACTGTCATTATTAGGATGATTACTTGTGTAGTAGGAGTGTGCTAGGTGAACAGGGTAGATGTCACCAAGTGGATGGACCATTGTGTCACAATGACATAAAGCACATTGGAACATCCCTTTTAATTCAAATGAATCCCCTCTTTATAAAGCTGGGCTTATTGACTAAAGACCATTATCATGTAAAGAATGAATGAGAGGAAGCCATAAAACATGCTCTTTCACCCCTTTTGTGTTTATAGCTACCCAGAAATGAACATCAATATTTAACTGTCTGGATTATTTTAGGCTTGTAAAAAACCAATTAGCTATGACTCGGTCCCAGTGTTTGGAGCCTTCGTGGAGCACAGTATGGGAGTGTTTAGTTCTTGTGGTCAGAAGCAGAGAGCTTGGAGAAAGGTTAGAGTGGCAAGGGTCATTGCTGGGTTAGTGGGGTCTCGTGGGATGTTGTATCCTGAAGGGGCAGGCCGGGGCCAGGTTACTATGCAGCAGCCCTTGTAAGGCAGTCAGAGAAGGCTTCAGCTGGATTGTTGGCAGCACACAGAACCTTTGGCCACAAGAGCTGCATCCTTGAAAATACATCACAGACTTGAGCCTTTCATTCCAGGCAGTTTAGGACCACCCCTGCCTTCGGGTAGAAACCTCCAGGCTTATAAGACCTTAGTCAGCTGGAGTAATTCTGATTCCTCTGAATAAATAAGTCCTCCTCTCCAATCAAAGCTTACATGTTTTTGTGTGAAAATAAACCCCCATCCTCAGACTTAACAGGTCTTCTGTAGGGACATCTATGTTGGGCCTGGGGCAGAGAGATTGGAGTGTGGGGGCCTGGACTTACGCTCATTAGGAAGTTCTCCTGTTTCCTTAGTGGTCCAGAGTCCCATGGTCTCTGTCTTAGTCCATTTTGTGTTGCTATAAAAGAATACCCAAGATAGGGTTCTCTATAAAGAAAAGGAGTTATATCATTCATGGTTTTGCTGGCTGAATAGTTCAAGGGCATGGCCCTGGCTTCTGACAAGGTCTTTCATGCTATGTCACAACGTGGCAGAGAAGGTCAAAGGGGAGGTAGACACATGGGAAGAGGGGGATATCTGAGGGGCATCCTGGTTTTACAACAATCCACTCTCATAAGAACTAATCCAGTCTCCTGAGAGTGAGAACTCACGTACGTGCTACAGCAAGAATAGCACCAAGCCTGTCATGACGGATCCACCCCAACCCATACACCTCTTAACAGGTGCCACCTCCCAAAACCACTGCTTTGGGGATCAAATTTAAACATGAGTTTTGGTGGAGACAAACCATATCCAAGTCATAGTAGTCTCTGATGCTCAGAGGGCCAGACTTATTGTCTATTTTTTATTAATTCTTTTTTCTCTCAGACATCATTAGTTGTCTACCCAATATCTATTTATCCATATCTTCCTTACTTATGGAATCTCATATCTATTTGTGGCAAGAAAGGAACCAGCCCCAGGCAAGATAAGTGATTTCCCAAACTTCACAGGAGCTAGAGGTCATCAAAGAGGAATAAGTGAAAGTTTTCTGGGTGATGGTTTCTGGGAGATAATTTACCTCTCTCATCAGAGGACAGACTTAGCTGGCATGGCCTTACCTGCCTTAAACTCAGACACATTGTCTGGACCTGCATTGGGGTCCTCATGTGGCTAATTAGAGCACAGAGACCAGAGGCTAGTTATAGTCCACACTTGCATTTATTCAGCAATTACTTATTGAGCACCCACCACATTTCAGGCCCAATGTACAAAATACAGACACAGAGTTCATGTTATTACTCCTATCTATGATTGCATTCCTGAAGGCTTCTGATTGTAACAGAAATCACTGCTGGTTTAAGCAATAAATACATTAAAATATAAATACAAGAAGGAAGGGGGGTATTCATAGAAGATACTGGATATGAAGAGTTTCACTGTGAGACTGAAAAACGTGATTTGAGAAACAGAGGGAAGACAAGAAAGCCAGGCACCAGGAGGCATAGCATGCTCACTCTCAGGAATGGTCAGGTCAGAATCAGAACACCACCGCCAATGCAGCCTTCAAGCAAGGCTGTGACCACACGTGCTGCTGCCGCTGCTGACTTTTGCCCGTATTCAAGAGCTAGTATCGTTGGAGACAGCATCAAATTCTGCTGAGCTTTCTCACATGTCTAGACACCAGCGATTTCAGAAAATGAGTGGAAGCTTTCCTTTTCAGAAAAGGAAAACGATGCCTCCACTGTTGCCCTATTTTTTTGTGGGTGGGGATGATGAGACCACCATTATGCCAAGGCCACAGTGTTGTGCCAAATGCTTGTAGACTCCAAAGGGATATTCCCAGGTTCAAGAGGTCAGAGAAGAGACCCAGAGCCAGCAAACAAGACATGGGGGTTTTACTGGGGGCTTACATGCGTGGGAGAGAGTCCAGTGGTGATGGGCTGGACAGGAGAACCACAACCACTTGCCAAAGGTGTGCAGTTTATATAGCATTTTCACTTAACATCCTCTCCTCTAACAACCTCCACTTGGCAACCTTTATTTAAACTGAAACAAAAGGCCTCAATCCCCTGTATGGCCTGCATTCTATAGGACAGGGCTCAGATGTTCCTCACAGATAAAGAATGGATCTCTAGGTTGACTACTCCCAGATTCCTTAGCTTGGGACTCTGAACATACATTTCAGGTGCTTCCCCCATACAAGGTCCTTCTCAGGAGATGCTCAAGTCAAGTTGTCACTGTCAGGTGTGTCTACCACTAGGCACACTCACAGTTGTAGGCAACCCCAAAGGAGATTGGAGCAACCTCAAGGGACATTGAGAGATCATTCCCCTAAAGGAAGAAGGATCAATGATAAGGAGCCAAGTAATTTTTTAAAAAAGTCCATGATGGCAAAAATTATTTACATAGAGTATTAGAGTTTTCAAGGTGGAAAGCAATAAAAATAACTTTTGTACAGTATTTTAACATTTTCAAAGTGCATCTGATCTTCATAGGACTGAGATGCAGGCAAAGCAAGTATTATATCTGAGCCTCAAAAACTCAGAATCATTTTTATAGGATATAAAGTGTTCAGTTATTGTCTGACATTTTATTTAAGAGGAAAAAGATGTGTAACTTAAGTATGCAACAGTTTCAACTGGGGATGCCTTGTAACTTTTGGAGTACAAACAAAATCTTCTGTGGACAATGTTTATTTATATAAACAAGTGAACTAGTCTTCTGAAAAGTGAAGGTATTCTACTGCGAAGTGAAGGTAATTAGTTTTCATATTAGACTCTTCCCAAATTTTATCTCAAATACTTATCAAATTATGAAATTCATATTTTTAAAAGAAAAATCCATGTAACAGACCTGATCTTAAGCCTAATTGTTATAAAATAAGGGTGGAAAACATGACGTATATCTCATTACTCTCCTATCTCTTGACCTTGGCAGACATAACTAATTAATCACTGCATTCTTTCCCGCAGAATCCAGACTGCCTCAGAATCCCTCTCAGTACAGCACTGTACGAAGCCCCTACCAATCAATCAGAGTTGGCAATTCCAGAGCAGTGTTTAATATAAAGTGGTAGTGGTTAAGGATTTGTTTTGTTTGTCCAGAAAGTTGATGTTCTGGGTAGAGCACCCTTCTTCTGGAAACAGTCTACCAAGCTTATGGCTCAAATCCTGGCAGATTTGACACTATTGGTTAAACTGTCGTCTATGGTTTCTTGGAGTTCAAACCACATGTCCATGAAGGCTGAAGTTTTAGAGAATGTGGTAGGAAAAATATCATGATAGTGAAGTGTGGGGACTTCCTCTTAGGGCATTCAGTATGGTGCTGCAAGAGGAAGCCACACTTTGCCCTTGCTGAATGCAGACTGGCAGGGGAGAGAAATAGCTTTGTTAAGCAAATCCATTTCTGTCCTTCAGGAGCAGTATTATATTGCTGAATGTCTGGTATTCATGCACTGGCAAATTGTAAAAGTCCATTTCTCAGCTCAAGCTGAAGTGGAATACTGGGAAAATCCAGACAAATTAGGAAGTCTGATCTCCAAGCCCTCCCAAGCATTATCCTGGAGTTTAAAGAAAGTTCATTTTGCCTTCCCTCTCTATCCATTCTCCCAACCACAAGACGGAGGCAGAGATATGATTCTTTAAACTCCTAAGCAGATACAAGCTAGGAGAAAAAAGTGAGGATGACGTTTAGTTCAAATATCAGGCCGGACCACATTCCTGGTGCTGGTGACTAGGTGGCTGTGATGTTGCAGAAGAAATCCCAAACCTGAATACTGGAGTCAATGATTGCTTAAGCCCCAAGGAAATCCTTAGGCCTCTGGGATTTCCTGCGCCAACTGTAGGTGAACTGGATGGATGAATTTTTCAAACTTTCCAAGGCTCTTTCCCTTCCCTTAGGGTTGTTGCAGAAAAAAAATTGAGGAGGAAAATCACCCAGCTGGCAGAACCTGAGCTACCAGCTTGGCCATTTGAAGAACTCAATATATTGCCAGGGCAACAATTCAACACACAGATGCCAGTGAGACCCACTAAGACTATCATTTATCTTATTATCCCTGTCCAGCAGGATAATTTTTGTGTTTTTTTCTGTGAAGCTGGAATTATCTTCTTACTAAGGCCATGCATGCAGTGCCTAGTGGTGACTCCCAAAAGAAATTGGAGCCCTTGGGGGCAAGGATCAATAGCATGGATCAGTGCCAGGTAGCATTGCCCCCTCATGTAGCTCTTGTTTTCCCCATGTCTAAGTGGGAAGTTTTGATTGGTATTATCCTAATTTTCTGCCATCATTAAGTACTAGTGTCAGAATAGTCACATTTGTACCTAATGGACCGGAAGAGACATAATCCCATGATACTGGACATTAAGCAATTGGCATTTAGGTGGGCTGCTTGTATCTGTGGTTATATGTAGGATTATTGCATTTTGTAAACTGTTAGCTGTATTGGTTATCTATTTCCACAAAAATTCTGCTAACATGCAGCCACAAAATTTGGTAGCCTAAAACAACAACCATTTATTTAGCTCATGAGTTTGTGGCTTGGTTGGGTAGTTCTTCTAGTCTTGGCTAGGCTTGGCTGATCTTGGCTTACTCATACATCTGTAACTTAGCTGGTGGTTTGGCTGATGGTTGGCTGGTCTAGAATGGACTCACCTAAAACAATCTGGCTCTGCATACAGGGTCTTCCCTTCATCAGATTAGCCTGGGACTGTTCTAATGTTGGTGGCAGGGTTTTAAAAGAGTAGAAGTACATAGGGCCCTTAGAAGTCTAGGCTCAGAACTAGCCCCCTGTCACTTCTGTCACTTTTATTGGCCATAGCAAGTCACAAGGCCAGTGCAGATTCAAGGAAGAGGGTAATAGACTCCACCTCTTAATGGAAGTTGCTGCAATCACCCACAGAGGCATGTGGGAAATTATTTAAATGGTAAGAAGAGAATACTGAGAGAGCTAGGTGGCCATGAAATGGACAGTGGTGGAGATTTATCTCTAAGATCAGCCCAACACTCTTTTCCAAGCCACACTCACCTTGTCTACTCTAAGAAAGGCTTATTTTAACTACAAGACTTACTTGAATGGAAGCTGACAACTTCCCATAGACTTTGCTTCCTTGGCCATACTGATTGCCAGAGATAGGTGCTTGAATCAAACTAGGTTAATCAGAGTACCCCATATCTTGCTTTAATGCTTGGTCTAGGAGTTGACAAGGCCTAATTTAGGCCATTCAAAATGCTTCTATAGGTGGGACAGGTGAGAATATATGAATCCAAGGACTGACATCAGCCACAGAAGCACAAGCAAAACAAGCCTGTGGCAATGAAATTGACATCCAAAGAGAAGCAGTCCCTGGACAGGAGGAGAATAGAACCTTGGGGGCATTCTGTTCCTGGTACAGTTATCCCTGAACCCTGTCATACCCATCCTTTCTATGAGCTGGTTTTGGAGGTCAACTTTCTCTCTTAAAAATAACTGAAGCTGGGAGCTGGTTCATTGTAACCAAAGTAGTCTGATAATAGGTATGATTTGGGAAATAGACCTCCTGCTTCAAAACTTCCTCTCAATGTGTTTGCAATTCTATTAGCAGTTGATCATTTGGGTTAGGAAGGTATATGAATAAAAAGGAGCCACACATTTTGACACCTCTATATATGGTCTGAAAATTCTGATATAGGTGTAATTTGGGAAATAGACCTCCTGCTTCAAAACTTCCTCTCAATGTGTTTGCAATTCTCTCTATTAGCAATTGATCATTTGGATTAGGAAGGTATATGAATAGGAAGGAGCCACACATTTTTTTTAATTATTATTATACTTTAAGTTTTAGGGTACATGTGCATAACGTGCAGGTTTGTTACATATATATACATATGCCATGTTGGTGTGCTGCACCCATTAACTCGTCATTTAGTATTCGGTATATCTCCTAATGCTATCCCTCTCCCCTCCCCCCACCCCACAACAGTCCCCGATGTGTGATGTTCCCCTTCCTGTGTCCATGTGTTCTCATTGTTCAATTCCCGCCTATGAGTGAGAACATGCGGTATTTGGTTTTTTGTCCTTGCGATAGTTTGCTGAGAATGATGGTTTCCAGCTTCATCCATGTCCCTACAAAGGACATGAACTCATCATTTTTCATGGCTGTATAGTATTCCATGGTGTATATGTGCCACATTTTCTTAATCCAGTCTATCATTGTTGAACATTTGGGTTGGTTCCAAGTCTTTGCTATTGTGAATAGTGCTGCAATAAACATACGTGTGCATGTGTCTTTATAGCAGCATGATTTATAGTCCTTTGGGGATATACCCAGTAATGGGATGACTGGGTCAAATGGTATTTCCAGTTCTAGATCCCTGAAGAATCATCATACCGACTTCCACAATGGTTGAACTAGTTTACAGTCCCACCAACAGTGTAAAAGTGTTCCTATTTCTCCACATCCTCTCCAGCACCTGTTGTTTCCTGACTTTTTAATGATCGCCATTCTAACTGGTGTGAGATGGTATCTCATTGTGGTTTTGATTTGCATTTCTCTGATGGCCAGTGATGATGAGCATCTTTTCATGTGTTTTTTGGCTGCATAATTGTCTTCTTTTGAGAAGTGTCTGTTCATATCCTTTGTCCACTTTTTGATGGGGTTGTTTGTTTTTTTCTTGTAAATTTGTTTGAGTTCATTGTAGATTCTGGATATTAGCCCTTTGTCAGATGAGTAGGTTGCAAAAATTTTCTCCCATTCTGTAGGTTGCCTGTTCACTCTGATGGTAGTTTCTTTTGCTGTTCAGAAGCTCTTTAGTTTAATTAGATCCCATTTGTCAATTTTGTCTTTTGTTGCCATTGCTTTTGGTGTTTCAGACATGAAGTCCTTGCCCATGCCTGTGTCCTGAATGGTATTGCCTAGGTTTTCTTCTAGGGTTTTTATGGTTTTAGGTCTAACATGTAAGTCTTTAATCCATCTTGAATTAATTTTTGTATAAGGTGTAAGGAAGGGATCCAGTTTCAGCTTTCTACATATGGCTATCCAGTTTTCCCAGCAGCATTTATTAAATAGGGAATCTTTCCCCATTACTTGTTTTTCTCAGGTTTGTCAAAGATCAGATAGTTGTAGATATGTGGCGTTATTTCTGAGGGCTCTGTTCTGTTCCATTGGTCTATATCTCTGTTTTGGTACCAGTACCATGCTGTTTTGGTTACTGTAGCCTTGTAGTATAGTTTGAAGTCAGGTAGTGTGATGCCTCCAGCTTTGTTCTTTTGGCTTAGGATTGACTTGGCAATGTGGGCTCTTTTTTGGTTCCACATGAACTTTAAAGTAGTTTTTTCCAATTCTTTGAAGAAAGTCATTGGTAGCTTGATGGGGATGGCATTGAATCTATAAATTACCTTGGGCAGTATGGCCATTTTCATGATATTGATTCTTCCTACCCATGAGCATGGAATGTTCTTCCATTTGTTTGTATCCTCTTTTATTTCATTGAGCAGTGGTTTGTAGTTCTCCTTGAAGAGGTCCTTCACATCCCTTGTAAGTTGGATTCCTAGGTATTTTATTCTCTTTGAAGCAATTGTGAATGGGAGTTCACTCATGATTTGGCTCTCTGTTTGTCTGTTATTGGTGTATAAGAATGCTTGTGATTTCTGCACATTGATTTTGTATCCTGAGACTTTGCTGAAGTTGCTTATCAGCTTAAGGAGATTTTGGGCTGAGACATTGGGGTTTTCTAGATATACAATCATGTCACCTGCAAACAGGGATGATTTGACTTCCTCTTTTCCTAATTGAATGCCCTTTATTTCCTTCTCTTGCCTGATTGCCCTGGCCTGAACTTCCAACACTATGTTGAATAGGAGTGGTGAGACAGGGCATCCCTGTCTTGTGCCAGTTTTCAAAGGGAATGCTTCCAGTTTTTGTCCATTCAGTATGATATTGGCTGTGGGTTTGTCATAGATAGCTCTTATTATTTTGAGATACATCCCATCAATACCTAATTTATTGAGAGTTTTTAGCATGAAGGGTTGTTGAATTTTGTCAAAGGCCTTTTCTGCATCTATTGAGATAATCATGTGGTTTTTGTCTTTGGTTCTGTTTATATGCTGGATTACGTTTATTGATTTTCGTAGGTTGAACCAGCCTTGCATCCCAGGGATGAAGCCCATTTGATCATGGTGGATAAGCTTTTTGATGTGCTGCTGGATTCGGTTTGCTAGTATTTTATTGAGGATTTTTGCATCAATGTTCATCAAGGATATTGGTCTAAAATTCTCTTTTTTTGTTGTGTCTCTGCCAGGCTTTGGTATCAGGATGATGCTAGCCTCATAAAATGAGTTAGGGAGGATTCTCTCTTTTTCTATTGATTGGAATAGTTTCAGAAGGAATGGTACCAATTCCTCCTTGTACCTCTGGTAGAATCCGGCTGTGAATCCATCTGGTCCTGGACTTTTTTTGGTTGGTAAGCTATTAATTATTGCCTCAATTTCAGAGCCTGTTATTGGTCTCTTCAGAGATTCAACTTCTTCCTGGTTTAGTCTTGGGAGAGTGTATGTGTTGAGGAATTTATCCATTTCTTCTAGATTTTCTAGTTTATTTGCGTAGAGGTGTTTATAGTATTCTCTGATGGTAGTTTGTATTTCTGTGGGATTGGTGGTGATGTCCCCTTTGTCATTTTTTTATTGCGTCTATTTGATTCTTCTCTCTTTTCTTCTTTATTAGTCTTCTAGCAGTCTATCAATTTTGTTGATCTTTTCAAAAAACCAACTCCTGGATTCACTGATTTTTTTGAAGGTTTTTTTGTGTCTCTATTTCCTTCAGTTCTGCTCTGATCTTAGTTATTTCTTGCCTTCTGCTAGCTTTTGAATGTGTTTGCTCTTGCTTCTCTAGTTCTTTTAATTGTGATGTTAGGGTGTCAATTTTAGATCTTTCCTGCTTTCTCTTGTGGGAATTTAGTGCTATAAATTTCCCTCTACACACTGCTTTGAATGTGTCCCAGAGATTCTAGTATGTTGTGTCTTTGTTCTCGTTGGTTTCAAAGAACATCTTTATTTCTGCTTTCATTTCGTTATGTACCCAGTCGTCATTCAGGAGCAGGTTGTTCAGTTTCCATGTAGTTGAGCGGTTTTGAGTGAGTTTCTTAACCCTGAGTTCTAGTTTGATTGCACTGTGGTCTGAGAGACAGTTTGTTATAATTTCTGTTCTTTTAGATTTGCTGAGGAGTGCTTTACTTCCAACTATGTGGTCTATTTTGGAATAGGTGTGGTGTGGTGCTGAAAAGAATGTATATTCTGTTGATTTGTGTTGATTTGGGGTGGAGAGTTCTGTAGATGTCTATTAGGTCCGCTTGGTGCAGAGCTGAGTTCAATTCCTGGATATCCTTGTTAACTTTCTGTCTCGTTGATCTGTCTAATGTTGACAGTGGGGTGTTAAAGCCTCCCATTATTATTGTGTGGGAGTCTAAGTCTCTTTGTAGGTCACTCAGGACTTGCTTTATGAATCTGGGTTCTCCTGTATTGGGTGCATATATATTTAGGATAGTTAGTTCTTCTTGTTGAATTGATCCCTTTACCATTATGTAATGGCCTTCTTTGTCTCTTTTGATCTTTGTTGGTTTAAAGTCTGTTTTATCAGAGACTAGGATTGCAACCCCTGCCTTTTTTTGTTTTCCATTTGCTTGGTAGATCTTCCTCCATCCCTTTATTTTGTGCCTATATGTGTCTCTGCACGTGAGATGGGTTTCCTGAATACAGCACACTGATGGGTCTTGACTCTTTATCCAATTTGCCAGTCTGTGCCTTTTAATCGGAACATTTAGCCCATTTACATTTAAGATTAGTATTGTTATGTGTGAATTTGAGCTTGTCATGATGATGTTAGCTGGTTATTTTGCTCATTAGTTGATGCAGTTTCTTACTAGCCTTGATGGTCTTTACAATTTGGCATGTTTTTGCAGTGGCTGGTACCGGTTGTTCCTTTCTATGTTTAGTGCTTCCTTCAGGAGCTCTTTTAGGGCAGGCCTGGTGGTGACAAAATCTCTCAGCATTTGCTTGTCTGTAAAGTATTTTATTTCTCCTTCACTTATGAAGCTTAGTTTGGCTGGATATGAAATTCTGGGTTGAAAGTTCTTTTCTTTAAGAATGTTGAATATTGGCCCCCACTCTCTTCTGGCTTGTAGAGTTTCTGCTGAGAGATCAGCTGTTAGTCTGATGGACTTCCCTTTGTGGGTAACCCGGCCTTTCTCTCTGGCTGCCCTTAACATTTTTTCCTTCATTTCAACTTTGATGAATCTGACAATTATGTGTCTCAGAGTTGCTCTTCTCGAGGAGTATCTTTGTGGCATTCTCTGTATTTCCTGAATTTGAATGTTTGCCTGCCTTGCTAGATTGGGGAAGTTCTCCTGGATAATATCCTGTAGAGTGGTTTCCAACTTGGTTCCATTCTTCCTGTCACTTTCAGGTACACCAATTAGAGATAGATTTGGTCTTTTCACATAGTCCCATATTTCTTGGAGGCTTTGTTCATTTCTTTTTATTCTTTTTTCTCTAAACTTCTCTTCATGCTTCATTTCGTTCCTTTCATCTTCCATCGCTGATAGCCTTTCTTCCAGTTGATCGCATCGGTTACTGAGGCTTGTGCATTCATCATATAGTTCTCGTACCGTGGTTTTCAGCTCCATCAGGTCCTTTAAGGACTTCTCTGCATTGGTTATTCTAGTTATCCATTCATCTAATTTTTTTTTTCAAAGTTTTTAACTTCTTTGCCATTGGTTCGAACTTCCTCCTTTAGCTCGGAGTAGTTTGATCTTCTGAAGCCTTCCTCTCTCAACTCGTCAAAGTCATTCTCCGTCCAGCTTTGTTCCGTTGTTGGTGAGGAGCTGCGTTCCTTTGTTGGAGGAGGGGTGCTCTGATTTCTAGAGTTTCTAGTTTTTCTGCTCTGTTTTTTCCCCATCTTTGTGGTTTTATCTACCTTTGGTCTTTGATGATGGTGACGTACAGATGGGTTTTTGGTGAGGAGCCACACATTTTGACACCTGCATATATGGTCTGAAAAGCCTTCTGACTCAGACCTTGCAAACCTGTTGTCACCTTTCAACACTCAGCTCATCCACATTTTGAAGTTTTTTCTCTTCCTTTTCTGCCACCTCTAAATTAGCAGGCTTTTCCTCTTTGTGCTCCTAAACTATTTTTGACACATTCCTAGGGTACAACTCATATATCATATTATATGCTCACAGCTCTATTTGCATCTCCCTAGTTAAATTGTGATTCTTTCCTTTGGGCTATACATTAAAAAAATATTGTTTACTTTTGTATTCTTGGAGCATAGTATTGCATGGCTTTTAATAAAAACACAAGTATTCTAAAGATTAGTCTATTAAAACTTTAAGCCATTAATACCTTAGCTTGAATTCACTGATAAACGTTATTTAAGAACATACTTATGCAACCATCAGTAGTTCTAAATCTTGGCTGCACAGTGAAATCACCTGGGGAGCTTTTTAAACAAATTGATGCTGGAGCCTCACCCCAGACCAATTAAATCAAAACTTCTGGGATTGGGGCCTAGGCATCAATATTTTTAATAGATTTTCAAATGGTTCAAATATGCAGCCAAGATTAAGAACTACTGCTGTGTATGCGGTTTCTGTCCTTTACGAAGAACTACAGCGGAAAAAAGATTCCATCTAGTTGGGAGGAAAGCTTCAGGAAAGTGGTGACTTTTGAATTAAATCTTAATGGGTGGGTAGAATTTCAGTAGGGAAACATAAGGGGAGAAAACAAATGTGTAACCATGGGAGAAGCAGCTATGTATAGAAGATGGGATATTCAGGTAAGCTACAGTGTAGGGGTGTCCTGAGAAATAGCATTTACTGAGTATCTACTCTGTGCTAAGCATTTTACACACATTTCTCAATTAATCATCATCATTACTTTCTGAAAAAAATAACTATTTTGTGGATGAAAACACTGAGGCATAGGTAATTTAAAAACTTGCTTAAGGTTGTATAACTAGCTGGTGGTGGATCTGGGACTTAAGCCCAAGTCTAGGCTGATCTCCAAACCAATGCATGGAGCTGGAAAGTGGGTTGCACCTGTTGGCAGCTACCTTGGTTTCCTGCCTCTGTATTCTCCAACTGAAGCTATCAAAGGCTCATAGGAGCAGGCTTATGACCATCTGACTTCTTGAGTAAATATCAACAGGGTTACTGCATTTGGCAGTGGCCTGAATTCCCCCTGCAGGTGGGGCTTTGTATGGGTTGCTCTCCAGAGTGAGCTCTGGTGGCCCAACCAATGGCTGGCTGCCTGCCTGCCTCCACCCAGGTTCAAGCACCAAAGGACCAAGGGAAGCTTACCTCTCCCTTAAGCTGCAGAATCCCGACTCCTTTTGATGACCCAGATTTACCAGAATTATGTCTCTGAAATATTTGCTCTATGTCTCCAATCTTCCATATTTATTTCACTCCTGATTTTAGAAATGACCACGGGGCACTATTCCCAGACACCACGAATGCCCTCTTCCAAGGAGGCCACAGCACCCTGACCACTTCCCATCCAAGTCCTATTTTTTCTTCCTTCCAACTGGCCTCATGCTGCTAAGCCACATGCCTGAGTCAGCCAAGTTAAGGGACAGGCCAGATTGTGCCTGTCAAGCTAAGCACTAAAGATTTATTGTTAAATGTTCTTTAACAGGAGAGTGCTAGATCAAAAGGGAGACCAATAGGGAGATTTTTCTAGGAGAATTGGAAAGTGAGACTAACTGTAGTTCAGAAATATATTATTTAGAACTCTCTTACTGCATGTGACAGAAAACGCAATTCAAACTCATCTAAGCAAATGGAAGGAGGAATTGGCTGATATGACTGAAAATTCAGTACTCATTATCTTCAGGCAAGGTTTGATCCAGGGGCTCAAACAATGTTATCAGGAATCATTCACTTTCTCTGTCTTGCATTCGTGGGCTTCATTCTTGACCTCTGTGTGGGTGCTCTAAATCTCTAAGATTATTTCATTGTTAGCACTAGTCATCCCAGCAAAAAAGACAATTTTATTAGCACGCCTTCCCAGGATTCAGAATTAACTATGTTTGAATTAACTTGGGCTTCTGCCTATTTCTAAACCAATCAGTGTGCCCAAAGAGATGGAATTTTGATGGTAGGGCAGGACTGGCTCATGTGCCCACTCTGAAAAAGCAATATGGCTAAGGAAATTCAGGGCTTAGGTAGCCTAAGCATGGATCACAAGATCCATCTCAAGCCACATGTTCTGAAATTCAGAGTGGGGCTAACTTCCCAAAGCAAATTTGAAGTATTGTACCTGGAAAAGAAGAAAATAAATATCAAAAAGGCAAAAGCAACAGATGACCACTACAGAAAGCTATTTTGGAAATCCAGGCCTTGCCCAAATAAAGTCTTTTCTAACATGTGGCAAAGACAAGGAATGTAACAGGGTTGTCTTCATCAGCCTACAGTTCTCACATCTGCAACAGCACAGACTGGTGCATGGCCGCCAGACAAATCAGACCAGTGAGGAGCCAGTGAATTCTTTCTCATCTCTTCTGCTAAATATGGGTTAAGCTATGGGGCAGTCCAAGCTTTAGGAAATTTATAGCAACTTCTCAGCATTCATGTTAATAGATATCATGAATAATTGAATCCCACTGGTAAATTCAATATGTCATTTTATATAAACATTTTACTTTTGTCACCAACCTTTTTGTCAAAGCTGTTAACAAGTCACTGAATTAACTTATTGAAGGGTTCCATTTCTACATAGTATGGACTATCATCTGATAAATAGAAAAGCAGGCCTTGCAGTCTAGAGGTGGAGAAGCATCAAGCCTGAGTAATCTACAATTGGCTATTTATCTTTTGATATTCCAAAGTTGAGTAAGAATTATTATTTATTTCTTTATAATTTTTTAATGTTTTAAGCGTTGATGTTAGGTAATATAGATAACCCCCAGGTTTGGTTGATTGGCATGTTTTACGAAAATCAGCTTGACATGTTAGTACAGCAGTTTCACACTGACAGATGCTATGTGGTCAGATGCACAGTTCCATCATATTTCTTAGAATTTCATTGAACAAAACTGACATGGGATAAATGTAAGGCCTCTGGCATACAAAACTATTAGAGCTTCATATGTAGGACTTTAATATAGATTCGACAAAGTGATCCAACTTAGCTCCCAAGTGTTCACGACACTCATTTAAGGAAAGAAAGGAAAACTGTCAGTTCAGATGGAAAGTCACAGAGAACATTTGTGAATGGTAGGAGACAACAACTAGACTGAAATCAGCTTAGAACTTTCCAAGTCCTCCATCTCCCCTCAGTTCATGCCCTCTCTGATGTCTTTTCTCTTGTTCTTTCTCCATCTTTGACAGTTTAGTATATCATTTAATTAGCTATTAAGGAAAAGTTTTAAAGATCATCAATCAACTTTCTCAATATTAAAATAAAAGATATAATATACTGTTTTCAGAAAGGCAATGGACTGCTTAAAATTGAGGGCTCTGTAGTCTGACAGCCTCCAAAAGCCCCAGTCATTTCTGGTGATATGATTTGAAGAAGTTAATGGACTTCCTTTAGCCTTAGTTTTTTACCCGTATGTTAAAAGGAGACAATAATATTACCTACTTCCTAGGTACTTTAGCACATATAGTAAGCATTCAATAAGTGATAGCTGTCATCATCATCATCACCAACACTATCATCAACAATTTATATGTCTAGAAAAAAATATCTTTTTTGAGAAATGTAGAAGTCAAGAAAGTCTCCATGAGGGCATAGGATGATTTATTAATTATATATATGATATATAAAATCTGCCACAAAAAGATGTGATCAGCAGAGTTTTTTTTTTTTAACTTTAAGTAAAATAACTTTACTTAAGTTCTAGGATACATGTGCAGAACATGCAGGTTTGTTACATAGGTATACATGTGCCATGGTGGTTTGCTGCACCTATCAACCTGTCATGCATTAGGTATTTGTCCTAATGCTTTCCCTCCCCTTGCCCCCATCCCCTGACAGGCCCTGGTACATGATGTTCCCCTCTCTGTGTCCATGTGTTCTCACTGTTCAACTCCCACTTATGAGTGAGAACATGCGGTGTTTGGTTTTTCTGTTCCTGTGTTAGTTTGCTGAGAATGATGGCTTCCAGCTTCATCCATGTCCTTGCAAAGGACATGAACTCATCTCTTTTTATGGCTACATAGTATTCCATGGTGTATATGTGCCATATTTTCTTTATCCAATCTATCATTGGTGGGCATTTGGGTTGGTTCTAAGTCTTTGCTATTGTAAATAGTGCTGCAGTAAACATATGTGTGCCTGTGTCTTTATAGTAGAATGATTTATAATCTTTTGGGTATATACCCAGTAATGGGATCGCTGGGTCAAATAGTATTTCTGGTTCTAGATCTTTGAGGAAGCGCCACACTGTCTTCCACAATGGTTGAGCTAATTTCCACTCCCACCTACAGTGTAAAAGCGCTCCTATTTCTCCACAGCTTTGCCAGCATCTGTTGTACCCTGACTTTTTAATAATCTCCATTCTAACTGGTGTGAGATGGAATTTCATTGTAGTTTCGATTTGCATTTCTCTAATGATCAGTGATGATAAGCGTTCTTCATATGTTTGTAGGCCATATAAATGTCTTCTTTTGAGAAGTATCTGTTCATATCCTGCGCCTGCTTTTTGATGAGATTGTTTGTTTTTTCTTGTAAATTTGTTTAAGCTCCTTGTAGATTCTGGATATTAGATTTTTGTCAGATGGGTAGATTGCAAAAATTTTCTTCGTTTCTGCAGGAGAGGTTTTTAGACACAGGTCTGATAAGATTCTTCTTGTTTTAAGATCCATTAGCTCTTGCTATTAATGCAAAGGATTGTGCAGGATGTCTTGGAACATTTTATTTCAGCCAAGCAAACACAGCACGGGCACTGTTGCACATAAGGAGAAATAAACATGTTTACGCAATGCTCCAGGTTTTCAGAAGTGCCTTTAGTCACATTTTTCTTCATTAGCATTAGCCTGAAGCCCTTAGCATAAGCCCTGTGTGAACCCATGTGTAAATGTACAGATCCCCTTCCTGTACTCCTCTATAACCCCTTGTTCTGCTTATTGTCCACACATCTCTCCATATCCACATGCCTTTTTTCTCTATCTCTGCCCCTGGAGAGCTGACCTGCACCAACCAGCTACCTTGTTCTTTGGCTTCATTGGGATTTATGATTAGGATGCGTCAGTACTGTGAGGTTGGGGTATCTATTCCTTAGGCTCACCCTGTCAGCATGCTGTCCATTAGCTGTTTCCCTCCCTAAGGTAGCCTTTCCATTAAGGAATGCAACCCAGCTTCCATTGACTGCTCCATCCTTTTCCCTTTGGTTCCAAGAGTGATAATAGCTCCCTGCTTGTGAGCCCGGCACTGCCCCCAGCTCCGGCAGTGCAGGGGCTGCCTGATTCCTTGCTGATTTCCCTAAATCCTTGCCCACACATTTGTGAAGAGTCTATTAAACTCCCCTCAGCAGTTTACTTTGAGTGGGCTGTTTTCTGCTGGGTTTCTTATCTATTCCCTACATATAGCTTAGTCTTATACACTACAGACAGAAAATTGACAGAAAATTCTGATAGATAAACATTTCTTCCACTTCAACACATTAAAAAACACCAATAAAACAAAAAAGGTATTTTTTCTAAGTCTTATTGCCATAATTAGTAACTGTTTTTCTACTTATTTTAAATAACATACACCAATAGCAGAAATGCAGTATTAACAGAAATCTATGTGAAAGGGAAATTTACTCATGATTTTATGACCCCACACGCTAAACTTCTTTTATTTTTTTAGGTTGTGTACTTATAGAAAAGATACATTTTCTTTTATTTTTATTTAACATAATGTTATATCATGAATTTTCCCCAGATGCTTATAATTTTAAATGTTTTTTATTATTCCATTGAGAACATACAGTGTACCTTTGACATTTTTCTTCTTGTGTATCATGAAGGTTGCAAATTATTTTTATTTAGGGATTGTTATGAAATTTTATATAGAGCCATATATGTTTCTTTGGAAAGATGTTCAAAGAATTCATTATTGGATTCAGATCTCATAATTGGAAACAAATTCACACACATCATAGTCTTTAATTAGCACATGCCAAACTTTCTCTCTTTTTACTGTTGGAAGTAACTTCGTTGATATTATGTTTTTATGCTCCTGGAAGTGGATCTCCTTATAACCTTTTTACCTGATCTCACACCCCTTTAGATTTTGTTGAAACAATTCTGCTACACAATTATAAGTGCAAAGTGGGGAAAAGAATTTCTGAAACATAGGCCAAAAAAGCTCAAATGTGAACTGAGAGAAAACAAAAGAAAAAAAGCATTTTTTGCAGAGAATAAACTTTAGTAACTTTTAGTATAGAGCACTGTATTAGTCTGTTTTCACGCTGCTAATGAATACATACTTGAGCCTGGGTAATTTATAAAGAAAAAGAGGTTTAACGGACTCACAGTTTCACATGGCTAGGGAGGCCTCACAATCATGGCAGAAGGTGAAAGAGCAAAGGCATGTCTTACATGGCAGCAGACAACAGAGTGTGTACAGGGAAACTGACCTTTATAAAACCATCAGATCTTGTGAGATTTATTGGCTATCATGAGAACAGCAGTGGGTAAAAACCCACCCCCATGATTCAATTACTTCCCACTGGGTCCTTCCTATGACAAGTGGGGATTATGGGAGCTACAATTCAAGATGAGATTTGGGTGGGGACACAGCCAAACCATATCAAGCGCATAGGTAAAAATATGGCCAGATTAATTCCCTCTGCTGGGTTGACTCACAGGCTATTTGTGTCTTTGTAGAAGACCTGTCTCTATGCAAATTTCTAAGTTGGGACAAGGCTTCACAATGGTGCAGAATCCCAAACTGATTCTCATACATTTTTCTACTAAGTAAATATATTCCTGAATTTATCAGGAATAAACAAATTTTCTACTAAGTAAACATATTCTGAATTTCTGAGAAATTCTGAAATCACCCCCGAGTTGTCTAAAATGAAGCAACAAATTGGGACCATGTTTCTTTAAATATATAATTAAAACTTATTTACAGCTGGGTGTGGTAGCTCATACTTGTAATCTCAGCACTTTGGAAAGCTGAGATGGGAGGATCACTTGTGCTCAGGAGTTGAAGACAAGCTTGGGTAGTGAGACTGCATCTCTACAAACAATTTAAGATATTAGCCAGGAATGGTGGTGTGTGCCTATAGTTTCAGTTACTTGGGAGGCTGAGGTGGAAGATTGTTTGAGCCCAAGAGTTGGAGCCTGAAGTGAGCTATGATTGTTCCACTGCACACCAGCCTGAGCAATAGAGACCCCATTTCTAAAAAAATAAAGCAAAACCAAACTTATTTGTAGTAACATATTCTTATTGATTAGTTTGCTACATGTCTTAAAACAATAACCACAAATGTAACCATTATTTTTTAGATTCTATATTGTCTAGAGTATTGCTATTCAAGGAATGGTCTGTAGACCAGCAGCATTGACATCACCTGAGAACTCTATAGAAATGCAGAATATCAGGTCCTACACAGATTTCTAAATCAAAATATGCATTTTAACTAGATTCCCAGGTGATCTGTTTGCACATTAAAATTTAAGAAGCACTGAATGTATTCATATTTATCTAATAAATGTGTTTCCTACTTATTTTCAGACATTTGGATCATAGATGCATAAAGGGATTTTAGAAATGATCTAACCCTGCATTTCTTCCCCCTGTGTATTCCATGGACAATCATTGCATAGAATGTCAGTAGGGGTTATGCTGAAAAAGTGCAGGAAATGCTACTGGTTAAATAATGCAAACAGTTTTCTTATTACTGGTTTCTCAGAATCGTTAATAAGCTAATGTGCATTGTGACTCTCCAGGGAAGGGGGATGAGATATAAAACAGTGAATGTATTGCAAAACATGTAAACATAGGACATTATTTTCACCAGATACCTTACAGGACTAGTGTACCTATCTTAGTCTGTTTGGGCTGCTACAACATAACACCTTAGACTGGGTCACTTATAAGTCATAGTAATTTATTTCTCACAGTTCTGGAGTTTTGAAAGTCCAAGAACAAGGCGTCAGCAGATTTGGTGTCTGGTTAGGGACCTCTGCTTCCAAGAGGCAACTTATTGCTGTGTCCTCACATGGCAGAAGGATGGAAGGACAAAAGGGCAAAAAGGATCAAACAGGATCCCTTAAGTTCTTTTATAAGGGCACTAATTTCATTCAAGAGAGTGTAATCCTCATGGCTTAATTACCTTCTAAAGTCCTCACCTTTTAATACTATTGCACTGGGGATTAAGTTTCAATGTATGAGTTTTGAAGGCACACATACATTTTAACCATAGCAGTACCCTTTGATACATTTTGAAAAGTATTCAGTTAATATGAATATCTCATTTAACAGACTCATATTTTTAAATTTCATCTTATTATTTGACAAATATAAGGTAATCTATTCTAACTTCTTGTTGATTTTTAATAGGAATGTGACTGCTGCTGCACTGGTTGTAAAAATAGACCCAAACTGTAATGTGTTATTCATATGAGTCCAGGGGTTTTCTAGGGTGAGAAAGTAAGCAGGTGTCAAGTACTATGAATGTCTGGGATCTTATTCTACTTGCAAGCCTACTACAAGTTAGCCCATAATAGTTTCATGGAAGTTGGCAGAAGACATGAAATTCTTGGGTCAGAGACAAATGACTTTATTACTCCTACCATAGCAAGCAACATAAGCTTCATGTTTATGTCAGTTCCCCCAAGTCGCCCAAGTCCCACAGGAGCAATATGGATTGTCCCTGGTGAGTGCTGCTCATGGAGAGAGCTTATGCCAAAGCTAAGGATGCTGGAGCTTAGAGAACCCACAACTTTTTAAATTAGCTGGAAGCATAGCTGCCTTTTGCCCCATAGGGAGATATCATCTTTATTATATGGTACAGTAAACAAATCTGTCCTTTGCTTCCAAGGGAGACCCTATCTATCTTTCAAGTTTGTTCACTACACAAACTTTCTTGAAAAGACAGCCCAGAACAAAGGGATTCTATGCCTTTTTTTAATAGCCTTGAGTCAAGAATTGCAGGGATTGAGTGCTTTTGCTCATAGGGTGTGCAAAACAACAGCAACAACAACAACAAAACAAAAAAACCTGAGAGACCCATGGAGAATTGTATCCCAAATTTTCTGGGGGTGAGAAAGGGAGTAGGTGTTCTACTGCATGAAGTTATTCAGTAATTCAGACTGATAGTGAGTCTACCATGTTCAACATGTGGCTTCTAAAGTCACTCTGGCTGTGTGTGTTGAGGTGGGGGTGGAGTTCATCATTCCTGACTGTTGGAAGGGCAAGAGTTTGGCAGTGCATACATGTGAGGTTTTATGAGCCAGGTTTGGAAGTGGTGCATACCACTTGCTAACACTCTATTCCCTAGAACATGGCCACATGGCCACAACTCATTGCACAGGAGAAGGGGAAATGTAGCTTAGCTCTGTGCACAGGAGGAAGGGGAGAACAGGTTTTGAAGGCCACTCTACAGTCTCTACAACATTGCCAATTTTGGGTGACTTAGCTATTAGTTTCTCTGCCTTCATCTCAGGTAAAAAGGTGTAAACGTACACATAAATGCCTTGGGGTGGGGCTTTATATCTCACAGAATTTGGGGACTAGAAGGGCCCTTAGAATCATTAGCTCCAGCCATCTTTCCCTCCTTTCACCTCCAGTCATTTTAGAGGGCAAGAAGAAACGGAAACTCAGAGAAGTTAAATGGCACAGCTTCATAGCTTACTAAACACAGCTGGTTAGTCAGCTGAGTTGAGATTTTCAGATCTCTGTTCCACTACATTTTGACCTAGATCAAACTTGCAAGCTCACAGGACCATTTTGTATTTTAAATTATCATTCCCCAACTACCTGTTTTTTATTTTGGGATTTTTTTTTTTTTTCGAGATAGGGTCTCATTTTGTCACCTAGGCTGGAGTGCAGTGGCACAAACACGGTTCACTGCAGTCTTGACCTCCCGGGCTCAAGCGATTCTCTTGCCTCAGCCCCCCAAGTAGCTGGGCCTACAGGCTTGTACCACCATACCCAGCTATTTTTTTTTTTTTTGTAGAGACAGGGTTTCACCATGTTGCCCAGGTAGTTCAAACTCCTGGGCTCAAGTGATCCATGCATCAGGGCTTCCCACAGTGCTGAGATTACAAGCATGAGCCACTGCTCTGGGCCTATATTTGAAAGTTTGAGTGTCGAGATTTCTTAAATCTTCAAAAATCTATGTATATTGTTCATTCATTTAGGATTATTGAACCCTATTATGGCAGACACTATTCTAGTTGCTGGGAATACAGCTGTGGATGGGCAAGGCAAGGTCCCTGTTCTTATGGAGCTAGCACTGAGGTGAGATTCCAGAATATTTAGAATATGATTGACTTTTCAACATGAGAGACATAATGGCTAGTTTATGATATAAATGGTTACATATGAATTCCAAAAACTTATACTTATTGTCAGCTTAAGTCAGATAGCATAGACCTTAACAGCTTTTAAGTTTCTTTACAACTGGTTTATAGCAAGATTCCCTTTGTATTTAATATAACTAACCTTTCAAAATAAGCCCTATGCATTACTTCTATAACAAATGAGTTATTATTATTATTTTATTGTTGCCTTTAGGTTAACAGGTTTTATTATGTTAAAGACAGCTTTATTTCAAGTCTCAAAACAGATTGGAACATTTTTAACAGAAATCTCATTCGCATGTTTTGATTTATCAAAGCATTTTATGTTTACTTAAAAGAATTCTTTCTGTTCCCTAGAGAAGTCCATAATGTACTCAGTACAAATTGAACATCAGAAATATAATGTAGTCAAATGACAGAATAAAATTCAAGAGAAACTGCTGAAGCTTTGCTCTTTAAAAGAAAAATCTGTATTTCTGTGTTACATTGTGTGTATATATTATGGAAATATCTGAAAGATACACAGCACCCATGCACAAAAATATTGTTTATGAACAAGTATATATAATGCAGTTTATTGAAAAAGAGTTCAATTTAAAGTAATAGTACATGAAATAAGCACAGTGTGGCATGTTGCAAAGTGGTCTGAATCGCAAGTCTCAAGAATCAGGATCTAATCTTGACGGTGCTTAAAAAATTACACAATATAAATATTTGCATAGCATTTTATGGCATAAAAAGCTTTTTTTTTTCATTTAACAATAGCTAGCATTACTGAGCACTTACCATGTACCAGACATGGTGATGTTATTAATTCCTACAACACCTCTATGAGGTAAGTGTCTACTCCCTCTTCAACACTCCACTCCCCAACCCCACCCTCCCTGACCCTCCCGAGGAAATCAGGACTCCCCTCTTCCCAAGCAGTGATACTGAACAGTGCCACTGTCTGCCACCAATACATGGTTCCCTCCTTCCAGGACTCAGTTCCGGTATAGAGTGCTGACTAGTTGGTGGATAGTGAAGGCCAACTAGGTACAGAGCCATATTATTAATTATTATTATTATTTACATTAAAACTTTTTTTTTTTTTTTTTGAGATGGAGTCTCACTCTGTCACCCAGGCTGGAGTGCAGTGGTGCAATCTCGGCTCATTGCAACCTCCACCTCCCAGGTTCAAGCAATTCTCCTGCCTCAGCCTCCCGAGTAGCTATGATTACAGGCGCATGCCACCAAGCCTGGCTAATTTTTTGTATTTTTAGTAGAGACGGGGTTAGCCAGGATGGTCTTATCATGTTAAACCACCGCATTAGCCAGGATGGTCTCAATCTCCTGACCTCGTGATCCGCCTGCCTCGGCCTCCGAAAGTGCTGGGATTACAGGTGTGAGCCACCACACCCAGCCTAAAACATTTTTTTAAATGAAGGGGTCTTGCTATGTTGTCCAGTCTGATCTGGAACTCAGGGGCTCAAGCAATCCTCCCACCTCAGCCTCCGCAGGAGCTGGGACTACACAGACGCACCATCATGTCTGGCTCTTTTTGAAAATTTCTGTGTCTCACCAGGGTCAACAGGAGAATTAAGCAGGCCCAGAGTTCCCCCAGAGTTCTCAGGCATTCATCCTTAAGTTACATATTTTACAGACCTCCCCAAATCCCCTTTTTATTATCTCTTTTGACTTCACCCAGGTGCAAGCCCAGAGGCAGTCTATACCCCAACTCAACTGGCTGGTCCTCAATGCTGCCTGCTTCCGTGCCCAACTTAGAACTACACATCTGCTGCCTCTTGGTAACATGTCATTATAAGGTAGGGAGTGGGTTTCCGTTCTTGGTCACACTATTATTATTATTAGAGACACAGAATCTCACTCTGTTGCCCAGGCTAGAGTGCTTTGGTGAGATCACAGCTCACTGCAGCCTCAACCTCCTGGGCCCAAGTGTTCCTCCTGCCTCAGCCCCCGAAGTAGCTGGGACTACGGGTGCGCCACCACATCTGGCTAATTTTTTTTTTTTTGGTAGAGATGGGCTTTCACTATGTCGCCCAGGCTGGTCTTCAACTCCTGGGCTCAAGTGATCCGCCTCAGCCTCCCAAAGTGCTGGGATTTGAGCCATCGCCTTGGTCACATTATTGACAACAGTGCAGCCTTTCCTGGGAGGTAACCCCAATTCTATTTTGTTTATATTTTTTGTTTGTTTACAAGTGCTTGCAAAATGTTTTTATTTTCTTGATCTAAATTGTGCAAAGATTGAAGTATTTACCTCCCATTGTATCTTCACTTCCCTTTTTCTCCCATCTGTAATGTTTACTGGATGCTAGCCTGATATTCTTCACTTCTGTCCACTTACTTCTCAATTACCATTGAACCTCTTTTTCTGTTATTTTTTTGCCTTTGGTAAGTGCGATCATACTACATTGATTCTAAGATGAATGTTTTTCACATTTTAATGTCTCTGAAATCAGCCTGCATTTCACAGTGGTTGACAACTTACAATAAATTCTAGGACTTAAAAAAGTTGTTAGTAGAACATAAAATAATTGTGCATTTTAAACAGCCCAGGGCTTCTTGGATTTGATGGAATAAAGCTAATGCAATCATAACAAAGTCTGCAGTTTAAAGAGGCCAGTTGACTTGCCCAAGATCATGCAATGGGACAAGGTGAAGCTGAACAGGACTCATCCTCAAGCAGGCTGACTTCAGAGCCCTTGCTTTGTGCTCTGTACTATAGTGGGAGAAAGCGACATTCGGAGAGGCAAGGGCACTGTGCTGCCATGTGACAGCATCAGAATTTGAATCCAGAGCCCTTTCTCACTACTATATTTGGTTCTGTGACCTCAAGGATACAGGAATTTGGTCTAGAAAATCTCTAAGGTTTCTGATTTGAAATAAAGCCAGTTTTATTTTTTAATGCATAAATATTTTAAAAATACATTTTCTAGTACAGATAATGTACACAGCACAATTTAAATTAAAAATTTTAAAATTTAAACTTAAAAAATAAATTAAATATAAATTAAAAATTTTAAAAGTAGCAAAGGAAAATAAGGAAAAGTAATTTTTCCACCTTGTGCCCCAGCCACTACTCACTCCTACTACCTAGAGATAAACACTGCTGCAACTCTTTTGTGCACTAGAGGCATTCTATGAATATAAAGCAAATATGTACATATGGCATTTTAAAGTTATCAACCATATGTTCACACTGGTATCTCTAAGCTCAATCAGTCCCATAACATGTTTCATTCTAGTTTTCTCCCACTCCAAATTTGTGACTCCCATCTTCAAAATTTTCCTCAATACATTTTCTTATTTGATCAATTCCCAGGCGCATAAACAATCTCTTGGGCCTTTGTCCTTCTCTTTTGGGGATGTCCCTGGCATCTTGCTTGGCTCTGGCACCCCATGCTAACCTGCTGCCCCCTCTGCCCCTTCCCCATGTGAATGCTCTTCCCATCCACACTGGGCTCAGACACAGAGTTGGCAGATAAAATATAGGACATCCAATTAAATTTGAATTTCAAATAAACGGTAATTATTTTATATAGGTATGTCTCAAATATTGCATGGGATATACTTGTACTAAAAATTACTCACTGTTTATCTGAAATTCAAATTTAACAGGGCTTCCTGTATTTTTATTTGCTAAATCTGGCAACCTTACATGCTGGGCCACCCATCACCACCATACCTTAGCACAGAACCCTCTTCATCTTACTGGAGTTTTAACGTGTGAAACTGAGCAGCCCTCCTCCCCACTGTGTCTTGCTCGGCCCTGACGAATAGCTTTTGGGCTGAAGTGTTAGGGAAGGGATTGAAAGGACAGGGAAAGGGACAAGGAGAAAGTGGGAAGGGTAAGAAGGAAAGAAGGAAGGAGACAAGAAGAAAAGTGAGAGGAAGAGGAAGAATGCATTACATTTTTAAAATCTAGATTTATATTTTTTTAACCTCACCTAATCTCACCTATATCTATTTTTTAACCTCACCTAAACTGTATACAGTGTAATGGCTTTAAAACCCCACAGAGCCAGGCAGATCGCTAGATATCAGGAGTCTGAGAACAGCCAGGGCAAGACGATGAAACCTCATCTCTAAAAAAATACAAAAATTCACCATGGGTGATGGCTTATGCCTGTAGTCCCAGCTACTTGGGGGACAGAGGCAGGAGGATTGCATGGGTCTAGGAGGTGGAGGCTGCAGTGAACAACTATCTCACCACTGTACTCCAGCCTGGGTGACCCAGTGAGACCCTGTCTAAAAATAAATAATAATAATAAATAAATTAAACCCCACATGGACAAAAATGCCACCTAAAGTCAAGGAATATGAAATTATAACAAGCCTAACTCAGTGAATACTAAGTTACTAAGTCCATAGAAACTATACTGGTGAAGTAAGTTTGAAAATTTGGGAGGATTATGAAGGTCTGTTTTAGGCAAAATTTTTTATTGATGTTTACTACCTCCTTACTCAGAAAAACAAACAAACAAAAAACCCTGAAAAACAACAATATCTTATGTAGAAAAAAAAATCTTGGGAGAACTAGCCTTCTTTTGATGATTGCAATGTGGGAACATACGCAGTATAAATAACATAGAAAGACTTTAAAGTCTCCTCATGCAAACCTTGCCCTCTTTGTAAGTTGAATATTACCTTTCAGAAAGGAGTAAAAATGAAACGTTGGGTTTAAATGATTCCTTTGGTCAAAAGCAGCATCTTGGCTTTTTACATACTTATTACCTATAGATAAAACAATTAATTTCAAAGCACAGGTATATTCAAAGTAAATGCTTTTCCAGGGTGATTTTGTTTTTGTTTTTTAATTTTTTGGTTTTGTTGTTTTCTTTTTGTTCTAGCCCGAAGTGGACAAAAGCAAGTGAAGGCATTCAAACAAATCATTCAAAGTTGGAAACAGGGTTTGATGGGACATCTATAGCATGTAGAAATATTTATGAAAAATGGGGAAAGGCCTGCAGGGAGCACAGTGGGGCGATTCCTTATAAAATCACTTGGAAGTGCTGGGGGTAAGTGATGTAAGCATGAGGGAGGCTGGAACTCGCTTGAAAAGGCATACAAGGCAAGATGCATGTGGACAGATCACACGCTTCCAGGCATTATCTTGCATGTAGAAAAGTGGGATGCTCATTTTGTGCCTCCCTCAGAGGAGATATTATCTGAGCACATGCAAGTATCTGGATATCACCTTCTGGGCCACAGTGAGGAACTCAAGGAGTTGAAATGGTTTCTGGAGAAAAAGAAATGCTCAGAGGTACAAGATTTTCCTTTAAACTCCACCCTCATATTTCTGTGCTGTGGGTACTTTGGACCCTGATGGAAAGGAAATAGCTGGGAGCTTCCTCTGCCCTGTCCTCTGTCTCAAGACATCTGTGGAGGAAAGAGGAGTGTGAGGTAAAAAAGTGTGGACTTCAAGCCCAACAGAATCTGACTTCCAAGTTTTGTTTCCTACTTACTAGTTGACCTAGGGCAGAGGGCAGGTTACTTAAATCTTTTTTTTTCTTTTCTTTTCTTTTTTTGAGATGGAATCTCGCTCTGTCGCCTGGGCTGGAGTGCAGTGGCACGATCTCGGGTCACTGCAAGCTCCGCCTCCTGGGTTCACGCCATTCTCCTGCCTCAGCCTCCCCAGTAGCTGGGACTACAGGTGCCCACAACCACGCCTGGCTAATTTTTTGTATTTTTAGTAGAGACGGGGTTTCACCGTGTTAGCCAGGATGGTCTCGATCTCCTGACCTCGTGATCCATCCACCTCGGCCTCCCAAAGTGCTGGGATTACAGGCGTGAGCCACCGCGCCTGGCCACTTAATTCTTCAATAAGTGTTTCTTCTTCTGTTAATACTACCCTGCTATGTTATTGAGGTGTTCAAGAGAGAAAATAAGACTGTTTCTGAAAGTGTGGTTCCTGGGCCAGCAGCATCAGCCTATCAAGGGACCTTGTTAGAAACGCAAATTATTGGCCCTACTTTAAACCTATAGAATCAGAATCACTGAGTCTATGGTTTAATGAGCCCTCCAGATGATTCCAGTGCATTCTAAAATTTGAGTTGAGGACTACTGTAAAAGGAAAAGCCACTGGCAGAGAGGTGATGAACAAAAATGGTAACTGTCCTTTTTTTTTTCTTCTTTTTTTTTTTTTTTTTTGAGACAGAGTTTCACTCTGTTGCCAGGCTGGAGTACAGTGGCACGATCTTGGCTCACTGCAACCTCCACCTCCCAGGTTCAAGAGATACTCCTGCCTCAGCCTCCTGAGTAGCTGGGACTACAGCCACGTGCCACCACACCCATCTAATTTTTGTATTTTTAGTAGAGACTGAGTTTCACCATGTTGGCCAGGCCAGGATGGTCTCTATCTCTTGACCTCATGATCCACCCGCCTTGGCCTCTCAAAGTGCTGGGACTGCAGGTGTGAGCTACAGCGCCCAGGTGGTAACTGCCCTTCTAAGCATGCTCCTTCTTCATTTGCTGTCTTCCCCTATTTATATGGCTTTCCCTCTATTTTTTATTATTAGAATATATTAATGTTGTCCTCTATCTTCTGTTGTAAAGAGAGAGTGGCTGAGAGCAGACCTTGGGGAGAGGCTGGGCTGCCACAATTAGACTCATGCCTCAGGGACCCCAACACTCACTTCATGATGCTTTATAAGTCTCCAGGATTCCCGTGAAATACCACCCTCACTGGACCCATGCACAAACCCACTAACTTCTGGAAACTCCAAAGGAGAGGAGAAGACAATGTATAGTGAAATTTTTCTTTGTCTGGCAAGCCCTATTTGGATTTGTGACATTTTCTTTCTCTCCAGTCAATCCTCCTCACTGCAGTCAGATCATTTCCTAAATAAAAAATATCTGATCCTCTCATTACTAAAATACTCTGTAACCTCCCTAAGATTTTGCCCATAATATTAGGTAAAACTCCTTACTGTAACATGTAAAGCCCTTCTCAATCTGGTCTTGAAAGACCTCTTCAGCCTTGTTTTACTTGTCTCTGTTTACTGCTGCTATAACAGAATACCACAGATTAGGTAATTTATACAAATGAAACTTTATTTGGCTCATGGTACTGGAGGCTGGGAAGTCCAAGAGCATGGTGCTGGCTTCTGGTGAGGGCCTTCATGCCACATTATCCCATGGCAGAGAGCAAGCAAGCATGTGGGACAGAAGGAAGTGGGGCCAAACTTACCCTTTTATCAAGAACCCACTCCCTCAATAACTAACCAGCTCCCAAGATAACAGCATTACTCCATTCATGAGGATGTAGCCCTCTTGGCCTAATCACCTCTTAAAGGCTTCACCTCTTAATAGTGTTATAATGGCCACTAAGTCTCTAACACATGAACTTTGTGGGGAACAAACTCAAACCACAACAAGCCTCATTGCCCATTTCCTGCCATCTTTCCTCTTCCCATTCCCAACACACATGGGTACACATGCACATGCATGACTTGTCCCTGTGAGAAAGCAAGTGGTGAGCAAAACACCACTGGTGGATGTTACCCTTGAGCTAGTCATGAGGAAAACAGAGCAAGTATTCCAGGCAAGAGGAACAGAGATGTGAAACAGCATGGGGAACTACGATGTGGCATTATGGGGAGTTTTTTTTTTTTTCCTGAAAGTGAAATTTATGAGGTAAGGTGTAAAGACAGGTGGTGCTGGAAAAGAAGGCTCAGGTCAGGCCTGGGAAAGTCTTTAGTGATATGCTAACCAAGGTGCCCAGCAAAAACCAAACAGCATACTCATATGCAAGTTTCAACACATTGCAGATTGTCTAGTAGTTACATTAGATTCTTTTTGTTCAGGTCTTGAATAAAAGTAGGCATATTATCTTTGTCAAATAGCTGAAGAAACTGAGACTCAGAAGGTAAATCATTGACTCATGGGATGCTTCCACTATCAAATGCTGAGGATATGATCCACAGCATCCTATCCTCAGCCATCACTATGCTCCCAATCACAACACCGTTCTGAAGCCAGGGCTTTCCCTGGCTCTACAAAAACTAGCAATTCACTTCAAATCTGGACTACAGCTCTAGATCTGACTCAAACCCTCTTCATGGAGGTCCTCAATTTAGATGAATTGCTTTTGTAACCTTAAGATATTTGTTTCCTTATACTTGGTGTCTTAATTGTTTGTTATTATTTATTCCTTAACAACACTAGCTAGGAATATTCTGAGATTTGGGCAATTAGTTTTTCTGTAGACTCCCTTGATAAATTCTTGGTGGAGAGCCTCTTTTGTCTGCATAACTAGTATCAATATCCACAAAGACCCTTTATGCAATTTGTCAGCTCTGTAAGTGTCAATTTCGTAGAATGGGTGTCTTTAGTGTCCTACACTTAGGTTTGAAAAAATTTTAACGAATGCCTTTACTTCTGAATTCTTTCCTGAAAAATATGTGGCAAAAAAATCTTGAAAATAATATTTTGTTCTTTAAGAGTTGGGCTATTGTTCCCTCTCCTTCAGGAACTGTTTTACAAAACTTATATCCAAGGAAGCACAGTGAAACCTTAAAGTGTAGAAAAAACCCCAGAGGAATCAGTGTGTCAAACTGCAAACTAGACTTATTTGAAGTCACCATAACAATGACAAAATTAATATATTAATAGCAACCCTAAGGCTGATAAGTTATTTTAGTAAAGTGTCTAAAATTTTGAAGGATTGCTTTTCCCTATTGGAAAAATGATTATATACACCTTAGGGAGAAAAAGGTCGATTAATTGCCTCCATTTGAACATTATCAATAGTAAAACACACATTAAATTAGAAAAAGTTTTAAATTAATTAACTTCAGCCTGCTAAATTCTCAAACTTTTATGTCCTTTGAAAGCAAAGATTATGGTTGTATTCCTTGAAATTATACAGAGCTCTCTCTACAGTAGTGAATCTAAAAATAATTGTTGAATCAATGAATGAAACATCATTAAATCAGATCAATCAACCTAAAAATAATGTTCATAAACATGTCATCATGTTTCATTGTGCACTACGTATTTTGGAACATTGTTTCCATTTAAAATTGGTTAAAATAATTTGTACTTCTAGATTTTTTTTTCAAATAAAGTAGCAATTGTGCAAAATAGCATAATTCCAGAAATAGTCATTGCAGCATAGCTTGCAATAGTGTAAGATTGAAAGCAATCTAAAGTCCATCAATAGAGAACCACTTATTTCTGTACAATGGAATACTATGCAACCATTACAAAAAATTGGCATCCCTATATATCTGATTGGTTTATACGGCTAAGATAATTGTATTCCTCTTGGCCTGTGATTGATCTAAGAGTGGGCATGTGACTCAGCTCTTGCCAGTGAAGTGTAATGGGAGGGCTAGCAGGGAGGGGTTTCTTTCCTGAACAATAATGCAAACTTGATTGAGGAGGGGGCCTCTTCATCACCTCTCTCCATCCATGTAGATAATGCCTAAAGGTACAATAGGCTTTTACAATTGCAAGCAAGAAGGTAAAAGCCAACTTTCAAGAATGGTAGGATGAGAAAACAAGATCCAGGTCCCTGATTCATTCCTGAACTGCTGACTCAATGCCAGTAACCACTGACTTCAGGGATTCTGTTGTAAGAGAAGAATAAAATGCCTATTTGTTTGGATCTCTGTAAGTCAGGCTTTCTGTTATCTGCACCTTGATTAAAGAACTCTGTTCCATAGTCTCAATCTCTACTAAGAAAAGATCATTGCTAGTATTATATCCTTCACTGCAAGATAGGAACTGCAGAATTTAAGGAAATAGGTAAGGAATCTCTTTTAAAAGACAAGTAAATGAAAGTATAGAGCAATATCTACATGTTATTTTTGTATTAACAAGTGATTAAATAATATATTCATATTTTCTTGTATCTGCATAAAGAAACACCTTAAAGGACACACACATACACACACACACACACACACACACAAACTAAATAAGCAGGGCAGGCAGAAACAGGATGAATTGGGAATGAAATTCCCTAATTGTGTGGGCATTAGGAATAAAAAGTAAACAGGAAATAGAGAAGTAAACTCATTACAAAAAAATTGAAATTTGTGTTTACAGAAAATACTTTTTTGATAAAACTACATTTTAGTTCTTTTTATGCTATTTACTGACTCAGTGATTTTGGTCAAATCACCTAAATTCTCAGGGTCTAATTTTCTTACCCATGAGATGAGAAGTCATTAGTTTTCTAATTAGACCTTTTTCACTTCGAAAGCTATACAACTCTATGAAGTATCACTCAATTATGTCATCCTATACAATGTTAAATAGTTACATTTAATAACCAGAATTATCCAAGTTAAATAATTCCAATTTGAAGTTCTTATCTGGACAACTTTATAATGAGTTGGTGGTGGTGCATTTGGAGACAGCCTGGGAATGGGTCACATTAAACATTTCTGACTGTTTCCATTACGAAATGTTAAAACTATTCATACCACTTAATACTTCAACCTTGATACTTCAACCCTTGTCTGCCATTTCTGATTTCTTTTACTCTGCTTGACTTTTTCTTTTCTCCATAGCACTTGTGTCTTCTAACATCCCCAATAATTAACCTATTAATTATGCATTATGTAAGTGATCTCTCTCACCACACTACAAACTTCATGAGGGTGGGGAATCTTTGCTTTGTGCATATCAAGTACTTGGCACAGAGTAAGCGCTCAACAAGTATTTGCTGAATGAGTGAATGAATGAAGTCATGGTAGTGCACCAGATCCCTTTGAATGTCTAAACAAGCTTTTACCACCGTGTGGGAAGAGCAGTTTGAAAGATAGCAAATCATCAGTTTTCACATTTGGATGGTTGAATGGTTTGTTAGGAAAATACACAGAATCATAGTTTACGTTTTCCTGGCTCATCTTTTATAACAGAAACTTACAAAGCAAAAGTAGGCATCTTAAGGACTCAATACAAGAAAGCAAATCTAGATATTTATTAAAAATAGAGTAGCCTGTCATTAAATTAGTGTTAACCCAAGCATGCTTGGGTGCCTAGACTGTGTAGACCTGAGAATAGGCCACTTTCAGGCTTTTACTTCTAGGTTTCAGAACTGACGAGCTCTCGCTCTTAAACAGAGAAACTCAGTCCTTCTGTTTTTTTGGGGTCTCAGTTCAGGTTTCTAAGAAAGGTGTCCTAGTTTGAAATGTACACCCCAGCTTTGCTGCTCCCCTGCCTGCCTCGGCTGCAGCTCTTTCTCAGCTTGTCCTTCTTGGTGGCTGAGTGCTGGACTGCTCTGATGCCTGCTGGCTCTTGTTGTCCCCTCTGGCTGCCCAGGCAGTTGTGTTGACCTTCTCTACCTTGAACGTGATTGAGGTGACTGCTTTCCCCACTGTGATCTGGGTAGTGCCTTCTCCCTCTTATATCCCCTGTTCAGTGGCAATGGGACAGGGAGAGGGCCACTCAGCAGAGTTGCTGGAATCTTCGGTTGTTTTTCTTTCAGATTTGCAATGTAGTTTTCAACTTCCCAGGACATAGAAACACTTTCTCTAGGTTAGTGTAGATTCTAGTAATGTCTGCTTTGTATCATGAACCACTGCTCTTGCTCCCTTCAAGCAGTTACCGAGGTTGCCCTCACTTATGAATTTCTCTCTTCTCTAACACACAGGCTTCTTGGTTGCCATCTATAACGTTGCTTCCATAGTCCCCTATATATGATGTCAGGCATACATGTCTGTATATCTGAAGTACAACAGTGGACAGGATTAAAATTATTTTCCATCCAACTTCTATGTTCTGTGAAAATTCAGGGAATATAGTTGATGTGTGTTGGTAGAGGGGCCAGGAAGGAGAAGGACAACTCCCAATTCAACATGTTACTGCGAGGGAGACATATTGACCTGGGTTTGGAGCTTGGTTCTACCTTTTGTTCATTCTGTGACCTTTGGCAATTTATCTGATCTCTCTGCAACTCATTTTTTTTCACTTCCAAAATGTGCATAATGATAATACTTACCTCGTGGAGTTATTTAATGATTAAGTATGCTAAGGGTATGCAGGGCACTTTAAACAGGACCTAAATAGGCTCTCAAATGTTGGTACATATAATCATTAACATAGTCATTCTAATTCCCTCTTCCTTCTTCTTTATAATCATCCTCACAATCAGCACCATCACTACCACTACTATCGTCATCATCTCATCATTACCATTTTGAATCTAGCTGGGACTTCTGTAACACTTCTGGGATTTCTACCAAAACTCAATTTTTTTCATCATCCCAATGTAGCAAACACAGCATTTAGTTTCTTTTGGGGGAAAAGTTTATAACTTTTGTGATAGTTAATATTAGGTGTCAACTTGACTGGGTTGAGGGGTGCCTAGATGGCTGGTGAAGTATTGTTTCTGGGTGTGTCCGTGAGGGTGTTGCCAGAGGAGACTGACATGGAGTCCGTGGACCGGGAGAGGAAGACCCACCCTAAACGTTGAGTGCACACCATCCAATTGGCTGCCATCATGGCACGAACAAAGCAGGCTGAAGAAGGGGATAAGCAGCTTGCTGTGTCTTCTCTGGCTAGCTCTCTCTTCCCATGGCCTGCGGGAGGCTTGCTTCCTCTCTTGCCCTTGGACATCAGACTCCAAGTTTTTCAGCCTTTGGACTCTGGGACTTGGACCAGTGGCCACCTAGGGGCTCTCAGTCCTTCAGCCACAGACTAAGGGCCGCACTGTTGGCTTCCCCGGTTTTGAGGCTTTTGGACTTGGACTGAGCCAGGCTACTAGCTTCTCTGTTTCCCTAGCTTGCAGATGGCCTGTCATGGGACTTCGCCTTATAATAGTTTGAGTCAATTCTCTCTAATAAACTCCCCTTTACATATATATCCTATTGGTTCTGTCCCTCTGGAGAACCCTGACTAATGTACTTCCTAAAACTCAATTGTTAATTGATTTAAAATTTTAAAACTTAAAAGAATGTAACACAGAGAATTGCTTATTATAGCTTATCACTCTAATATTGAGACCAAGATTTTCTTTTCAAAAGATATCCTACCTAGAAGATAGTCTTAAACTTTAATCATGAAAGTCAATATCTAGAATTAAAGAAAATCACACAGAAAACATGAAATTTATTGTATTACAAAACCCCTATCCTGGAAAGAAACACCTCTAATGATACCTGTCTTCCCTGCCTACCATCCAAGCCCCATGCTTTATGTCCAAACACTAGGGGGAGAAAAAGTTAATTTTCAGGCACAATTCCTCAAATTAAAATACTAAGTATTGTCTACGAATTTAAAAAATCTCTCTGTTTTTCTACATGGAAGAGATATGATATGTGGTTATATTGAGAACATTTATAAAACTTTAGACAGAATTATTTGGAAGGTGGTCTCACTGAGAAATATTAGAAAGGGTACAATCTGCCAAAATAATTCTCTGAGAAACTGGAAATCAATAAATTGAAACAGAGAAAAGTGGACATAAATTTGGAACCCAAACTTTGAGATTTATCTTCTAGGAGACAGAACTGGGTGAAATAGACAACCATTTTTCCTTGTTATATTTTGATAGTTTAATATAACCTTGAATTATTTTTTGTAGACTCTGGGTCATTGCTTCTTGTATTTGTGTGTGTATGTGTACACACACATATTTGTCGCTTTAAAAAAGAGGGCTTCCTGCTTTTTATTGAGGGGTACTGAAAATTAAGCTTTTTTCTTTTTATTTTGAAATGATTTTAAATTTATAGAAAAGATGCAGAAGCAATACAAAGATCTCTCAATCTTGATAGTACTCCTCAATCAAGTTCCCAAATATTCTTTTAGTGCATTTATTTTACCATTCTCTCTGTCTCTCTTTCTCTCTATACACACAAACAACACGCAATATACATAATATGTGCATATTACTATACACTTTTCTGAAGCATTGGAGAGTAAGTTTCAGACATGATATCTTATTACTTTCAATGTGTATTTCCTAAAAACAAGGACACTCTCCTATGTAATCACAATCAAATCTTTAAAATTAGGGAATTTACAATGATAAAATATTGCTATCTAATCCATAGACCCCATTCAAATTTTGCCAATTATAATAACATTGTTTATGAAGTCCAGGAGTTGTTATGTTTCTTCAGTTTTCTTCAATATGGAAAAGATCCTCAGTCTTTTTTTTTTTTTTTTTTTTGAGACGGAGTCTCACTCTGTCGCCCAGGCTGGAGTGCAGTGGCACGATCTCGGCTCACTGCAAGCTCGCCTCCCGGGTTCACGCCATTCTCCTGTCTCAGCCTCCCAAGTAGCTGGGACTACAGGTGCCCGCCACCACGCCTGGCTAATTTTTTTGTATTTTTAGTAGAGATGGGGTTTCACCATGTTAGCCAGGATAGTCTTGATCTCCTGACCTTGTGATCCACCCACCTCGGCCTCCCAAAGTGCTGGGATTACAGGCATGAGCGACCGCGCCCGGCACCTCAGACTTTCCTTGTCTTTATTACCTTGGTATTCTTAGAGAATATAGGTCAATTATTTTGCAGAATGTTCCAGAATTTAGTTTCATCTCATGTTTTCTTGTGATTTATACATTGTATGAGGAAGTACCATGAATTGATGTTGTGTTCTTAGTACATCATTTCTGCAGGTATGTAATGTCCATTGTCTCATTCTTGGTGCTGTTTAAGTCTTATCACTTTGTTTAGATGGTATTTTCTAGGTTTAGAATATTTAATATATGTTTTGTACATATTAAGTAATAAATAAGTAATTTGTGGGGAATAGTTTGAGACTATAAATATCTTCTTTCTCGAGCTTTCACCCACTAGTTTTACCATCCTTTGATGACTCTTGCCTACATAAATTATTTCTATAATGGGTGGTAAATTGTGATTTTGTATAATCTATCATTCCTTTTACATGTATATCATTCTACTATAAGGTAGAGCTATCTGTCCATCTATCTACCTATCCATCTATTCATCCATTCATCCATCCATATATCATTTATCTTATCTATCTGCCTACCATATATACCAGTATTGGCTCAGAATCTTCTTTTACTCAATGAGTTACACTCCAATATTGTAATTACAATACTTGATGATCAAGTTGTCCCAGGCTTTGCTAATAAAAGCCCTTTCAAGCTGGCTTTTTTGTCCTTTTGACTTGTCCTCACAATTCTTTGAACGTGCTTTTACTTTCTGGCACAAGATGTTCCAGGCTTATTTTGTTGTTTCCCTGCCCTAGTCCTTGATTCAGTCACTTACCGAGGACCTTTGGTTTTCCCTTAGTAGCGAATGCTACTTTGAAATCAACACCTGAGTACCCTGGATATTTATTTCTATCAGGGTGTCATTGCATCTAGGCCCTTTTTGCAGATAGAGCCAGAAAAGATGTGCATGTATACACACACCCACTCATGCACACCTACAGCTCTATCTATTTCTGTTTATGTATATTTAAAAACCATGATTCTACACTGACACTTCCAATTCCAATTCAGTACTGCAGGTTTAATTGCAGCATTCATCTTTCTATATTTGTAATTTCTTCTCCAAAGGTGAGAAACCTGCTTGCCATTATCATCGATTTATTCATTTATTTGTTCAACACCCCTAAGTAGTCAATATTTTGATTTCACAGGCTTCTTCATCAGCCCTAACCCTGCCAACCACTCCTGCCTCACTGAATGTGCCAACGGATTGCTCAGCTCCAACCAAGGAAAAGAAGAAGGAAGTTGGATACTTTATACCCTCTACATTGTCCATTAGCAACACAACCTAGAGCTAGGATGGAGAAAGAAAATGCCAAAATGCTAATGAAAAATGTTCAGATGTATCACATATTAAGCATACATGATCTCAAATATTTTGCCTGATTTATGCTATGCATGCTATTTTCCATGTTGTGTAGGCTCTGATGCTAGTCTACATTTACAGAAATCTCCATCAGCTGTACAAATGGCAATTTAAATACATTTAACTATGTGCTAATAATCTCATAATACAATTTATCATGTATGATTGGCAGAAGAAATTATTTGGGGCAAAAGCTATGATTGTATTGTTGTAAGTTATTATGAATGCTGGGCAGTGTAGGGCATGGCACTTGCTACCACCTCCCAGAAATGTGTAAGGGCTGTTGAAGGTGCCTTGTTCTTCTTTCTTCTTCAATATAAGCAAAGCTATTTATATCATAAAGCTGAAACTTGAAATTCCACCCTTGCCTATTCTTTTTCCTCAGAAAGATGTCTTTCTTTCTAAGAATATATTGCACTTAAGGATAGGAGGTGTCTCCTTTGGACGTCTATGTGCCAAATATGTGTTGTAAATTACTTTTGTTTCTCTTAATAACCAGGGGTGAAGTTCTCAACAGTATTTGCTGAGGATGGTACAAGATTTAAGAAGAAAACATATTTTTACATCTTTCCCTTTGGAGTGCAGTGGTGCTATCTCAATTCACTGCAAGCTCCGCCTCCCGGGTTCACGCCATTCTCCTGCCTCAGCCTCCCGAGTAGCTGGGACTACAGGCGCTCGCCACGACGCCGGCTTATTTTTTTGTATTTTTAGTAGAGACGGGGTTTCGCCGTGTTAGCCAGGATGGTCTCAATCTCCTGACCTCGTGATCCGCCCGCCTCGGCCTCCCAAAGTGCTGGGATTACAGGCTTGAGCCACCGCACCCAGCCTCCATTTCTTCATTTTAGAATGATACTATCAGGGAAATAAAGATGAAACGTAGAAACTTTGGTGAATAATTAAGATCATACACACAAGCATATCCATGAAGTAAAATATTTTCTGCAGACCTCCCCTCACCTTTCCAAATCATAGTCATAAAATACTGAAAATCTTAAGAATGTTAAAATGATATGATGACCAGAGGCCTCGAAGTAAATGGCCACTTTATGGAAGACATTACATAATTCTGTTGACAAAATTCATATTTATATGTTCGTAGTCTTTGATGACTGAATAATTACATTGAAGTAGCTTCATCTTACAGTGTAGTGTTGTCTTTTTAACTATTATTAAGAATCTATTTCAAGGAAATATATGAATGATTCCACATCCTCACATTCATTGAATACTATTTTTCTTTTTGGTAGTTAAATCTTTTCAAACAAACTGAGTCCTCAGAACAGGAATGACAATTATCATGAGTTTGTTATTCTAATGCTTGACTTTTCTTTTCTTTTCTTTTCTTTTTGGTTCTGAAAACCCATTGACTTTCTGAATTGAAAAACCTAGCTCCGGAGAATGTATCATTGAACTTAAATAAATTTGTGTAAATAATTATAAACATAATGGTAAATTTTGGCCATTGTCTATTATAATACCTACAAACCATTATTTTTTTGTTCAATACTTGGGCAGGTAGGGGAATGCATATTGTAGAACTTTGTTAATAGAGAATCTTTCTGGAATAGATTGATAAGTATCCAAGAAGCACTTGGACAGCTTTAAACAAAAATGGCTCCAGATTATAAATGGATTACTTGATGGCATCTATACTCCAATGGATCAGTCTAGAAATGTTCCATTAGTCAATTAAAAAGGAGACTTTGGATTCAGTAAGGCATTATTACAGATTGATGGAAGGTGATTAGATAGGAATATCATCAATAGCTTTTACTTTAAAAGATCATATTTTATTTTGCTTTTTTTAAAAAAAAATTTATTTATTTTGAGACCAGGTCTCACTCTGTCACCCAGGCTTCAGTGCACTGGGGTGATCACAGCTCACTGAAGCCTTGGCTTCCCAGGCTAAAGCAATCCTCCTACCTCAGCCTCCAGAGTAGCTGGGACCACAGGCGTGTGCCTTCGTGTCCGGCTAATTTTTGTATTTTTGATAGAGACAGGGTTTCACCATGTTGCCCAGGCTGGTCTCAAACTCCTGAGCTAAAGTGATCCACACACCTCTGCCTCCCAAAGTGCTGGGATTAGAAGCATGAGGCACCGTGCCTGGCCTTTATTTTGCTTTCTTTACTTACAACAATAATCCAATATATTAGTGTATATACTATAGTGTACAGCACTTTCATATATATTACTTCATATAAATCTGCATGAGCATATTTACAATGGGAAAAGTAGACTAGAACCTTCAAAAAGTTAAATTCAAATGGAAGGATTCACAAAGTAATATAATAATTTCTGCTTGCAAAATATGGTGGAAAAACTGTTTCTTAGGGTACAGCACATCAAGACTATAAGAATATCCACAATAATCTTCCAATTTAATATATTCTGCTATTTTCAATCTTTTCTTTTTTTAGTGGGCTCTTTTTGTTGTTCTTGACTTATTGGTGGTGTAGGGGGGCACTAGTTTCATTTCAGATAAAATGTAAAATATATATGATTTTATAAGATAAAATGGATAATTTTTCTTTGGAATGACAGAAGAATGAACTTAAGTTTTTAAAAAATAAATGTTGAAGAAACTTTTCCTTCATAATGATCTCTTATCGTTGGGAGTCTTATTACTTCTAGTTTTACTGATGAGAGTAAAAATTAGGCAAAAATATGACGGAGGTTCTGCACTTACAATGCCCAGAGAGCAGTCAGTCCAAGGTATGGAGGGTTGAATATTTTATGGTGTTAGGTTCAGGATTGATCATCTTGGACAGTGGCTGAGCAGTCCTGGTGCAGAATAATTGGGTGGAGAGACCTGCAGGCAACATTTCAAGGAAAAGATTCCAGAACTTTAAATTGAGGAGTTGGTTCTATTTTTATTTCACTTACGAATGCCTGATTTCCTATCCCCTGTGCTATAAACAAGAGGCTGCCAAGTTTTCCAATTAAAATGGAAAACACTCAATCAGGGTCTATGGGGCACCACATAACTGGACCAGAACTTTCCTCCTCATGGAGCCCTGCCCCTGCTCACTCAAATACTCAGAATGTTTTGTCCATAACCTGCTACACATTGGGATTTTTGGAACATTGGAGATGTTTGACTGAATGTTATAGTTTTCAGACAGATGTTTTCAATTTATGTCCAAAGTTGGAGGGTTAGCAGGGATCATTTTTTGTATATCATCTTAGGTATCTTTCAGTTTGTCTAGTGATAATATTCTTTTTACCTGTTCTTAATTTTACTAGCAAAACCAGTAGTTCCCAGAATTTTAAATCTCAGAACCCCTTTATATTCCTAAAATCTTTTGAGAACTCAAAAGAACTTTGGTTTATGGGGCTTTATCTATCAATTTTTACCATATTGAAAATTAAAACTTGGAAATTGTTAAGGTATTTGTTAAATTATTGTAAAATAGCAATAATAAACCCATGACATGTTAACATAAATAACACTTTTTTTTTTTTTTTTGAGGTGGAGTTTCTCTCTTGTTGCCCAGGCTGGAATGCAATGGTACAATTTCAGCTCACTGCAACCTCCGCCTCCAGGGTTCAAGGGATTCTCTGGCCTCAGCCTCCCGAGTAGCTGGGATTATAGGCACACGCCACCACACCTGGCTAATTTAGTATTTTTAGTAAAGACGGGGTTTCTCCATGTTGGTCAGGCTGGTCTCGAATTCCTGACCTCAGGTGATCCGCCTGCCTCGGCCTCCCAAAGTGCTGGGATTACAGGCGTGAGCCACCATGCCAGGCCAAATAACACATTTTTATCAACATAGCTATACTGTCTAAAACAAAAATATTGAGTGAGAAAATGGCACTGTTAAACATATTTTTGCAAATCTCATTAACATTTGGTTTAATAAAGGACAGCTTATTCATTCAATCTAATGTGACATCACATGCCATGTAACTTCTGGAAATCACCATACCTTTATAAGATAATGAGAGTAAATGAGGCAAGATAATATTATGATCTTAGTGTTAGAGTTTTGACCTCACAGCTCCTCTGAAAGAGTTTTGGAACCCCTTCTGGTCTCTGGACAATGCTTTGAGAACTGCTGAGATAAACCAACCTGAGAAAAATTATGATCTGTTTAAGTACCCTGGTTCAGAATGTATAAAGGTAAGAGTTTTGACTGGCTCCTTAATAGTAACCACCTAATATGGTTTTGATCTGTGCCCCATCAAATCTCATGGTGATTTGTACTTCCATTGTTGGAGGTGGGGCCCGGTGGAGGGTGATTGGATCATGGGGGTGGATTTCTCATCAGTGGTTTAGCACTATCCCCCTTAGTGCTGTGGTCACAATAGTGAGTGAGTTCCCATGAGATCTGGTCCCTTAAACACGCGTGGCACCTCCCTTGCCCCTCTCTTGCTTCTGGCTTCTGCTGTGTAAGATGACTCCTCCCTTTTTGCCTTCTGCCATGATTGGAAGCTTCCTGGCCCCCCACCCCACCAAAAGCAGAAGCTGCTATGCTTCCTGTATAACCTGAAGAACATGAGCCAATTAAACCTCGTTTCTTTATAAATTACACAGTCTCAGGTACTTCTTTACCGCAATGAGAGAATGGCCTAATACACCACCTCAGAGAGGCTACCTTGAAAGTTCTCTCTGTAATAAGCGTTCCCCATTCTCTATGTTCTGAAGTTTAATGCTGTGTTTTTTCCCTTTGTGGAACTTATTTCAAGTTATAATTTTAAAATTCACACCTTTTTTTTTATTATGTTAACTTGATTCTCTCCCTCCCCAGATAGACTATAAACTTGAGTGTTTCTAACCCATCCATTGACTATATGTAGCATTGTGCCTAGCAAAAACTACACGCAATATCAAAAACATACAAAAAATAATCAACTTACAGTTGAATTACTGAACATTTTAACCCTGAATTCGGAAAGCATAAAGATGTCAGTTATCTATATTCAGTAGCTATTTGCTGACTTAATTAGTGAATAAGTTAGTTATATTATTGCTTTTCTCACTTATCTTTTGGTTCTTTTTTTTTTTTTGAGAATCTTACTCTGTCACCCAGGCTGGAGTGCAGTGGTGCAATCTCAGCTCACTGCAACCTCTGCCTCCCAGGTTGAAGCAATTCTCCTGCCTCAGCCTCCTGAGTAGCTGGGATTACAGGTGCCCACCAACATGCCTGGCTAATTTTTGTATTTTTAGTAGAGACAGGGTTTCACCACGTTGGCCAGGCTGGTCTCGAACTCCTGACCTCAGGTGATCTGTCTGCCTCGGCCTCCCAAAGTGCTGGGATCACAGGCATGAGCCACTGCCCCTGGCCTGGTCCTTAGTTCTTACACTGAGATGACAATGAACATAGGAGACTTGTAGTAAATACATTTTCATAAATTCATTCATTTCAAACAAACATTGTTTTAGAGTGCCTCTTATATACTGGTCAAGTCTGTAGGATAAAAAGATGAGTAAGACATAGTAGCCATCCTCTGTGATATCTCTGTATAATAAGGCACACTAAAAAAAGACAATACCTAAATAGAAAAAGTAGGTCCTGGCAGGAGAAAAGCAGGTCCTGTCTCTAAAATGAGTGAAAGCTTGATATATTCAAGGAACTATAAGTAAGTCAGTACATATGAACCATATAGATTGCAAGAGGACCTGGCTCTGTAGTGCAATGGATAGTGCATTGGACTTCTAGATTGCAAGAGGGAGCTAGGAAGCAGAGTAAGGTATGAGACTTGAGAGATCTATAGATCCCAGGACCTGCAGGTCTTGGGTTCTGTATTTAAGAGTTTGGAATTTACCCTGAAGGCAAATCGTTACGTGGATTCATCATACCTATCTACAACAGAAAGCTGTGGGCTCAGAGACATGTCCACAAAGCTCTGAGCCACTGCCTCCATTCTACCACTTGCTATGAAGATCCAGGGCACAGGACAACTCATAAAACTCAAAACTCTTAGCTAAATTTTGCTCATGGATGTCGAAGCCTTATTATCGTATAAGAGACACAGCACTGAATATCAATATCCTGGTGGAAAGAGGTTATTGGCCCCTTTACAAAACATCTGCAGAAAGCCACATGATGCCACTAATTGAGAAGCAGGTACCAATTATTTTGCCAACATATATTTCTTAGTAACATAGAGGCAAAATGTCCAAACAGAATCTTTGCAAGTTAAACCCAGCAGAATGTATAAAGAATAATGGAAAGCAAGTTAGCATTGTCCAGGAATGCAAGATTAGTTTAACATTTGAAAAGTCAATTAATGTAATTCATTTCATTTATAGAATAAAGAAGAAAATGCATGATTATATCAATAGGTGTACTAACAATATTTTGTAAAAGATAACACTTATTCATAACACAATTGTTAGTATATCTAATAATGGATATCTTCAAAAATATACAAAAAATCCTTAAGGTTGAATTGTTAAAATTTTTTATCCTGAATTTGGAAAGGCATAATGATATCAGTTATCATCACTTTTACTCGACATTTTACTGGAGGTCCTAGTCAGCAAGAAAAATAAAGGGTATAAATATTGAAAAGAGAGGGGAAAAACCATATTATTTACAGACGATGAGATTGTGTACATTGAAAACCTGGAAACTCTATGTATAAACACAGAGCAATATTAAAGAAATTATTATGCTTTTATATATTAGCAACAAATTATCATGTACAAAAACTGAAAAATACACAGGTATAATAGTATGAAAAATAGGCAGGTATAATGGTATAAAAAATAAAATACACAGGGATAAATTTAACAAAGTATGTGTAAAATTTCTGCACGGAAAACTAAAAAAAGATTAATGAGATAAAATACCTAAATAAATGCTCATACTATTTTTAAGAATTAGGAGACTAATTATTGTTTAAGATGTCACTTCTTTCTAAATTTATCTACAGGTTCAATAAAATGACAATAAAAATTTCAGATTTGCCAATAGCAAAGATAATCTTGAAGAAGAGAAAGAATGTTGGAGATTTTATGTAAGCATTTATTGAGACTATATTAATTAAAATAGTATTGATGCCAAGATGGACAAATAGATGAAGAGAAAAAAGAGCCCAGTGACAGATTCACATAAATAACTATTTACAAAAAATGTGCCACAGTAGTCCAATGTAAAATGAGGTGCATTTTAGAAATAGTGCTAGATTAATTTTATATCCCAACTTAAAAAATCTTGGCCCCTAATTTATGCCATACACAAAAAATCAATTCCAGAAACATCTTAGAACTAAATGAGAAAATTAAAACCATACAGCTTCTTAGAAGAGTTTTTTTTAACCTCCAGTTAGGCAGTTTTTTTTTTCTTTTTTCTTTTTCAAGTCTAGGAGTGCTGCTAATAGCCATAAAAGGAAAGATTGATAAATTGGAATGAATTAAAATTCAGAACTTTATTTTATTAGATGACACCATTCAATAACAAAAAGACTAGTGAGAGAATGGAAGAAATTTGCCATATATCTCCAACAAAGAATTCCTATGATTTTGTGTATCTATACATGTATCTTATCTGTTAATTTATGTCTTCTGTATATCAATAAGAAATAAATAGCCAACAAGAAAATGGCCAATAATTTTAACAACCATTTTATGAAAAAGAATATTCAAGTGACCAATAAGCATATGAAAAGGTGTTCAACAGCATTAGGTATCTGGGAAATGCAAATAGAATCACACAGAGTTACTACTATACATCCACAAGAATGATTAAAACAAACTCAAACCCCAGGTCCCCAGAATATAGCAAGTGCTTGATGGTCGTAGAGTAACTGGGAATTCTCATACACTTTGGGAAACGGTTTGGCAATACCTTCTAAAAACTAACAATATACTTATCCTGTAATACAATAATTTCCCTCCTAGATATACAGTCATGCATCACTTAACAATGGGGAAATATTCTAAGAAATGCATTGTTAGGCAATTTCATCACTGGTACAGCCTACTACAAACCTAGGCTACATGGTCTACCCTATTGCTCTTGAGCTACAAACCTGAATAGCATGTTACTGTACTGAATACCGCAGGCAGTTGTACTACAAAGGTAAGTATTTGTATATCTAAACATAGAAAAGCTATAGTAAAAATACTGTATTATAATCTTTTTTTTTTTTTTGAGACGGAGTCTCACTGTCACCCAGGCTAGAGTGCAGTGGCGTGATCTCAGCTCACTGCAACCTCCACCTCCTGGATTCATGCCATTCTCCCGCCTCAGCCTCCCGAGTAGCTGGGATTACAGGTGCCCGCCACCACACCTGGCTAATTTTTTTCTATTTTTAGTAGAGACAGGGTTTCACTGTGTTAAGCAGGATGGTCTCGATCTCCTGACCTCGTGATCTGCCCGTCTCGGCCTCCCAAAGTGCTGGGATTACAGGCGTGAGCCACCGCGCCCAGCCAAAATACTGTATTATAATCTTATGGGACCACTGTCACATATGTAGTCTGTCACAGACTGAAATGTCATTATGTGGAGCATGATTGTATATCCAACAGAAATGTTAAGTATGTGCACTGAAATGTGTACAAGAATGTTTATAACACCATTATTCACCTTAGTCTCAGACTGATGAAAATCCAAAAGTCCATTACAAAGTGAATGGATTAATTCTGAAATTATAATACAATGGAATAATACTACATAACAATGAGAATAGTAACAACAACATGGACAAATCTTACAGGTAAAAGATTGAGTGAAGAAGACACAGATGAGTCTACAGTATATGAAATCTACATGATGTAATACATTTATAATAAGTAAAAAGACAGGTAAACTGATCTTTGATAATCAATTTGAGAGCTCCTTTGATGTGGGGTGGGGATAGGGTAAGTAATGATTAGAAGTGGGTATGAGAGAGGCCTCTGGTTGGCTGGTAATTATTTATATCTGGGCTGTGTGGTGGTTGTGTTTCTTTTGTAAAATTCATGAAAACAGATATTTTAAATTTGTACACTTTATGGTATGCATAATAAAATAAATTTAAAAATAGAAGAGTAAAACAATAAAAATCTTCTGTTTTATACCTAGAATACAGGCACATATTTAAGACTTCCTCCTATACTACCGATTTGTTATATTACTCTGTCTCAGAAATACTTTTATTAAAGATCTATGTTTAATGTAATGGATTCTTGATTCTCTTATGACAGGGCAGCCAGTATAGAAGAAGAGTACATTGCAGTGCTTGGCTGTGTCTGTGAATGGGAACAGACCACTTTCCTCAATTCGAAAGCTTTATCAATGAGTTTGTTGACTCTCTTGAGTCTCTAATTCTGCTGTTGCTTTGTGTTCAGCTGAACAATTCTTTCGCATAATAGCTGATAAAAAGTGTGATAGTAAACATGGCAGAAGTGGGGCAAGTAAGACTAGCAAGTGTGATTTTAAAATTCAAGGGTGATGGTGGCTTGAGGTGCTCTCAAGGGAAAAGCTTGCAGGAGGGGAAGCAGAGGCTAAAGATCAGGTCACAACTGGGATATGCAGAAGACAGGCAGACATCCCTGCAGACAGGGAGAAGGACTACAGTGGGGTGGCTGATATCCAGGAGAAATAATGTCCCATGACTTGTGATGATTTCAAGGGAGTTCAAGTGAATGGAGAATCCATTCAAATATTTATTGAGTGTCTGCTCTCGAACAGAGACTATTTCAGGCACTGTAAATGATTGAACATATGCCATATATTCAATACATAGGAACCACACCTTCACACCCTATGGTACTGATTCATTTATCATTTCCATTTCCAACAATGCATCTCCTGTGCTAATGAGAGTATGATTATATCTTTAAAAAACCATACTTTTTATTTTGAACATAATCTATTACTGACTTGTACAGAAGGCCTGGTGAGGGAACAAGGGAATCTTGATTTGTCCACATTCATATCCAGTTCCTCTGCCAGGAACGATCTGCATTTGTAAGAAATTTAGACGATTAATAGTGACCATGAATTATAGTAAAATGCACCAGCTTATACGTGACTCGTACCAATGTCAATTAAATGTAAGATTTGCCTGTATAGCACAGCATGAGTTAATCAATAATTCTGTGTTAAATGGCCAGCTTTAGAATCTAGTCTACTCGAGGTTTTTGCATTTTAAGTGGTAGATTTAATTTGTACATATCCTGAAATTATAAGTGTCATTCTGACATGATGCATTTAGCAAAGTATGTATTCTTATGCATGGAAAGTACATTTTAGAATGATGGAATGACTCCTTCAAGCACATACATGCACACACAACACTGACTGATACCATAATTATATTGTGGCAATCCCGTGCACATTGCATATTGTGAAATAGTTTCATTATGCCTGAAGATCCAAAGATTTTACAAGTAAAATATAGGCTACGGTTGGTTTCTTTTTCATTACAATATAAAATAAGTGTGTGGGCAAGCAATGTGTAGAAGTGACTCCCAACGAAGAGTCAGAAGCTAGCAATATAAAGCAGTGACCATAGGCTGGACTTGTAGTCAGAGCTGAATATGGAGCTGGGTTGAGATATTTATTAGCTGTATGGTCTTGGCAATTTACCTAACCTTACTTAGTTAAGCTCAGAAAGAAGCCTCAGTTTCCTTCGATGTAAGATGAGGAATACAATAGTACTCATCTCTTAGGGTTATCGTGAAACTTACATGAGATGAAGTATACAAAATTCCAGCCTCACCCTAAGCATTAAAAAAAAGGACTATTGATTTTTAGAAGAAGCTTCTATACCAACCAGATTAATTCTAATACTCTCTGCTGATTATAAGCGTCTCTCGTTATTCAAGGTCCAGTTATGATGAAATCCTTCTGAAAAACTGCAGGACATTTTTACATTTCCTAGAGAGGTTGGAAGCTCCTGCTACAACATCCCCACTCCTAGCCTGTATTATCTTGGGTGTCTCTGTGAGGTTTAAATGAAAAGATGACATTTTGTGCCATGATACAATTTAATCACCAAGCAAACTGATAAAATAGATTCAAGGGGATAGAGTCATTAAGAATGAATGACTGGGCTGGGTGCGGTGGCTCACACCTGTAATCCCAGCACTTTGGGAGGCCGAGGCAGGCAGATCACCTGAGGTCAGGAGTTCGAGAACAGCCTGGCCAACATGGCAAAACCCTGTCTCTACTAAAAATACAAAAGTTAGCCAGGTGTGGTGGCACGTGCCTATAATCCCAGCTTCTGAGCAGGCTGAGGCAGGAGAATTGCTTGAACCTGGTTGGTGGAGGTTGCACTGAGCCGAGATCGCGCCATTGCACTCCAGCCTGGGCAACGGAGTGAGACACTGTCTCGAATAAATAAATAAATAAATAAATAAATAAATAAATGATTGTTAGCCAAAATCCATTTCCCATCTATGTCTTTGGTAGCCAAGCCTTGAACTTCTCAGGAGCCAGTTTCATGTATGCTTTAAAATTTAACAATCTATTTCTGATTCAGTGTCCACAGTTGAGCATATGCACTAAATTTAGTTAATTTTTTTTCTAGGGCCTAATTGTATACTCCTGAGACTCCACCCCATCTATGCTCTTTCATTAATTTTGCATGTCTCATTTGAATTATTGTATCAAAGATAGAATATTCCAATCCTAAGTGAAAGGGGGAGTAGAATTCTGTCTCCTACTAAGAGTGAAGAGAAGTCACAACTGGAGAAAGCAAGCGGAGACACAAAGAAGTAAAATGAATTTCCCTAAATTTATGTAAATACTTGTTTCTATATACTGTCTTTTCAATCTTTGCAGCCTAATCCCTCCTCTTTCTACTATAGGAATTCAGACAAGGCTTTCTCTTCAAAGGTGAAGATTACTCTTCATTAAAGAGTCCTTAGAGCTTCTTGGTAGTTGGTTAAAATCCAGAAGCATTACAGCAATCTCTCATCCAATCAAGAAAGGGAGGGAGCAATTCAATCACTCATTTCTGGCTTCTCTGAGAGTATCTCTGTGCCAGCAAAAGTACCATTGCTAGGAACATCGTTACTCTGCTTTCCTTTCCTCAAGTTTCCACTTCCTTCTGGTGAAATAACCAATATATTAAGCCACTCCATCACTAATACCACTGGTACCATGGGAAAAAATGATACGGTTATTGGCAACACTTGTTTGCTCACTACTGTTTAGCTGGTTAGAAAGTGGAGAAAACAAGAGGAGACAAGCAAATTGTGTTCGAAATAAAACTGACTTTTATCAAGCCAAGGTTTGTCAAGTTTGGTATATTCTTTCTTTTGCTCTTACTCACCCCAAGTTTTCTTTGCAGTCTGAAGATTGCCATTTGAAATGCTCTTTGAGGGATGCGAAGTCAACCCTGGATCCAAAGTAGCTTTGATGTTTGTCAGGAAAATGCTGGAATTCTATACACTACAGTTTCTACAGAGCATGAAGAACTCCAACTTCAGACAACCTGCAAAAAAAGTCAGAGAGCAATTAAATATAAAAATAAATTCCTTTGATAAAACAAAAAGAATTAGTGTCTTTCTCTCGGGCTCGTCTAGAAGATTTTCCAACCTTTCTTCCATAAGAAATATGTAGGCATTAAATTTACTTATTATTTCAAACAGAACATTTATATGTCAATTGAAAGAAATATGTATAGGGTGAACTTGACTTTAATATCTTATTGAGCAATGTAACAAGAATTTGAAAATGTATAAACTAACCACGGGATGACCTTTCAAAACTGAAATGCATAGGTGTAGATGACATTTTCTCATTCAATTACTGATTTTGAAATCTAAATTAAAGCACACACAACACCAAATTAAATATCTCCTCCCTAGAGTGAATATCTCAATCATTTACAACTAAGCAACTTAAACATCCAGTAATCAACAAACATTAATATGTAAATACTTTGTTTTAATAAGCCATAAACATTAATAAGCAAATGGCTGAAATTACTCCTGCTGAAATGATTCATCTGCAACCCAAAATATCGAATAAGGGCTGCAGAGAAATAAAACTGTTAAATTTGATTCTGAAAACATTCACGTGAGTTTGCATAAATCCTCTTTATTTTCTAGTGGATTTTTTTTCAAGGTTCTTTTTTCTTCCCCCTGCTAGGAGCCTTATGAAACTGAAATGTCAAGTGAGGGTTGCTTTATATCATGTTCTGTCAATCAAAGGAAGGGAGGCTTTATGCATCTGTTGCTAGTATATTGGCACTTTTTGAAGAGTGTTTCGGTGGGAGCGAGAATAAATAAAGATCCTTCAGGCACTTTCTCATTTATGGATGAGGAATCAAAGCCGTCTGAAACTTCATTTTCAGCCGGATACCCTGAAGATTGTTGGCTGATAATTCTGGATGGAACAGCTTATCTTGGAGGATTAGGGAGAACATGGCCTTCCTATTACTTCTGGCTTCGGCCTATTCAGCTGGGTAGACTTTGTCACACAGTATCTGGGCCTTTACATATGTCACTAATCTTACCTATATCTTTTCAGCTCCTTCTGTTGGAGCTGTGGTTTCCCGTGCCTAACCCTCCCATTTCTTCATTACACCAGATGTATAGGCATTAGCCTTTCCTAACAGCCTTTCTGCACCATGTCATTCGGTAATGGCGAGTTTTGCAGACGTGCAGCTTTCATGAGCAGGTTTGGGTAGGATTTTATCCCAAATCTTGAGACTCTTACATCAGCTACATTGAAAAGCTCTCTGTAGTCTTGAAACAAACTCATTTTTCATTTTTACAAAATCTGCCTAACAAAATGAAATAATCTCCACAGCACATTATCTTGGCAACCACTAAAGATAACGTGGACATCTCCCTTGCATGCCTATGGGCACATGACAGGTTGTCACTTCTCTCCCTCAGGTACGAGAGAGTTGTTCACCTATGGAACAAATATTAAACCCCTAGTGTATGTAAGACACACTAGGGAGGGAAGAGGCCAGAGACATGATTTTAAAACTGACTCTGTCCTCAAGATGTCTACAATCTAGTGGGGGAAATGTGAACTCACACAGAAAACTACGATGTGAGGTAAAAAAAAAAATGGTGCACACCCAGGAGAGGCACATTGAGTGCTTGGATAGTTCATAAGGGGCACATAAGAAATAGGAAGAATCTGAGAATGCTGGGTGAAAGAGGTGGCATTTGAAAACCACAAAGCTTTGAATACCTGTGATGGGGATCGGGAATCTTCTAGTTTCTGTTTCCCAGTTATTTTCAGAATAAAGGATATACTTTTAAAAGTGGTAAGAGAGTTAGCAACTGAAGCCAGAAGAGATCTGTATAGTCTGTACCTTTCCCCCATCAAATATCCATTTTCCACTTTACTCTCATATTAACCTCACATTTAGCTGAGCACTCTTCTCCCCTGAAATAAAGACCACATTTGTCAGCCACCCTTGCAGCTGTGTGCGACCATATATCTGTGTTCTGGTCAGTGATACACAAGTAGAGGAAATCATTTTTAACGTGAGGGATGATCTTTTCTTCCATAAACCCTTTTGGTTTATGGAATATAGATATGAGGGCTGGATCTCCAGCAGTCATTTGGAGTGTGAAGGCCACACCCTAGGAATGGTAGAGTGAGAAGCTGGAAAAAGCCTGGGCCTCTGGCTATGGAGACTCCACACCAGTTTTTCCCAGTTGATCTCCAGCCTGCTTTTACACAAGAGAGAGACAAACTTCTGTCTTGTTTTAGAAATGATTTTTTTTTTTTTTTGGTCTCTGGTACTCATAGCCAAGCTGCCCTAATCAATACTCACTACTAAAATCCTAGTTTTTTGATCACCTATTATACAATGATACCTAATAAAGTTTCTAGTTTCCCCTTGTAGCATTACAATGACATGATGCATCATCCACAAAATATTTTTTGAGTTCCTGCAATGTTCAGGGCATTTTTCCAGGCAAAAAGAACAAAAACTATGAAACGTAGATTTTACTCAGAGGGTTAAAACATGCTTGCAAATAGGTCTATATGTAGTCACTGAGAGTATAGAGGGAGGAATAGTCCTCATAATATCATAGATATTGAGAGGAGACAACAGGCACAACTGCAGTGGGATTGCCAGATAAAACACAGGATACCCAGTTAAAGTCAAATTTCAGAATTAAAAAGTAAATACTTTTTTGTATCACTAGATCCCAAATGTTTCAGGGGACACACAGGTATTTCAAAAATTATTTGCTGTTTATCTGAAACTCAAATCCCAAGTTCAAATTCCAAATTTTAATTATCCTAAACTTTGCATGGGATATACTTATGCTAAAAAATTATTTATCAATTTTCTGAAATTGAGATTTAACCAGGAAACAGTATTTTTATTTGCTAAATCAGACAACCATCAACTGTGAGACACTGGGATGTCTTCCAGAGAAGGTCAGAGCTAAGCTGTAAAATGAGGGAATCAATTGAAAGACAGGGATAGGGCCATCTTTTGCAAAGCATGGTTCATGGCCATGTACCAGACCTCAGGCTAGGGCACCAGATAAACATGACCAATTTTCTTGCAGTGTCAATTTTACTCAAAGAAAAAAATGTGTAAATAATATTATACTGAACATTGAGTGGAATACAAAATGTGCACGTATTTTAATATAAAGCAGGGTTTCTCAATTTCAGCACTTGACATTTTGGGCTGGGTAATTCTTTGCTGCGGGGAAGTGTCCTGTGCATTGCCCAATGTTTAACAGCAACCCTGGCCTCAACCCCCAGATGCGCAATTCCAGTTGTAACAACCAAAAATGTCTCCAGACACTGCCAAATGTCCCCTGTAGTTGGGTGGAAAAGTCATGGTTGGTTGAAAACTACAAATATAAGGCAAGATACTTCTAAAAATATTTTGTGATTGTGATGAACCATTTTGGGCTTTGTCCCTAGAGTGTCAACCATATGTGTTTATTCTCCCCATCACTGAGGTCCTTTTGTGGACAACTGTGAGATATAACCAAAGAAATAAACACCTCAGTGCCAATTTAAGCAAGGATGTTACTTTTCTTTCTGATTTATTAGTTTCTTTTTCTCTAACTTTCCAGATTGTAAACTTAAGGCAAGCCCAATTCATCTACCAAAACCCCTAGACCTAGCACATGACAGGCAGTCCATCCATGTGAACTGAACTGGGGAATAAAAGTTTTCAGTTTGTTTAGAGAATCCCAGGGATGGGTGAACAAGGTGGGGAGTAGGGTTTAGTGGGAGTGGGAGGGGAGCAGCAATAGTGAGGATGGCCTTTAAAATGACCTCAGGTCAATTTCTAGGTGAGGGCAACACAATCAATATTAGCAATATGTAGGATTGATTTCAAGAGCAGAAGTTTAACTTGAATGCAATCTTGCAGATAGTTTTCCCCAGATGCTTTAACATTTGTTGTTTGGAGTTATTGACAATTGTCTGCACTTCCTATTTTCACTTGAAAATTTCTAGTCTCTCTCCACTTAGTCAGAAGCAATATTTCCTCTAAACTGTGTGGTTTTACCAGTCTTCAATTACCACCGCCTAAGGCCTCTATTTGTAATCAGCCACCCACTCTGCTTTTCTGGCAAGAAAAGCACACCTGAAATGAAAATAAGCCTCTAGGCAAATGCAGCATACTGATAAGAAAACAGCCAAAGCTTTTGACTCTGGGTCTGCACAACCAATTTCTCCATGGTGACAGGAGAATCCAAGAGAAGGATGACACTTCTAAGAAGCATGAAGATCCAAGCGGAAGCAACTTGAATGGTATAAAAAGATAAGACTGTGTGTGTCTGTGTGCATCTTTTGGTGAGTGTGTGTGTACACCTGTGCGTGTTTGTGTGTGTGTGTGTGTGTGCATGCATGTGTGTGTGTAGGCCTGTTCTCATGCACATTAAAGAGAACAATGCAGTAACTAGATTTTTTTTCTTAGACCTACTTTGTTTAACAGCTGTTCCCATAAAGATCATTAACGTAGAGAATGGATTTTGCAGGCCTAAGACGTTATGCCTGAAAACAGTTCTTCCTGCTTAAATGGTTCTCACTCTTAACTTTTATCTGCTTCTTTCTTTCTCAAGTTCATTCTTTTGGTGTCTATTCTTTCTGTCCATGCTTGCTTTCAGTCCATTCTTTGGCCATCTTCTCTCTCTCTCTTTCTCTACCCACCCTCCCCCTTTTCTCTCTGAAAGGATGTTCCTGTGGCCCAGGCCACTGTGGTATCATGCCCCTTACTTCTTCCAGTCTTAAATTCTTCAGTGGCTATGATACTGAGGGCTGGTTCTCCTCAAGTATAGGGAGGATCAAACAATAACTTCTAAGAACCACTAAAATGAGGAAAGACAGATACCCAGCTCTCTTTACATCCCAGGCCCATAGTAACATTCTCACAGTTTTTCTAAATACAGCTCCCCAAGCAACCAGTACAATTCACCTGGAGTTGGCATTCTAGATGAAACTCCTTTGTCATCCCTGTCTAGAGTAATGGGAGATGGTAGGAGCGGGAAGAGTAGAAGAAGTAATCAGGAATGTGAGGGGTTACTGAAACAGGGGCATTAGACCTGAGGCTAAGAGGGTAAAGTGCTTAGGAAACTCTGGCTATGAAGGAAGCAGACCTCAGAAATATGTCTGTAAAGGAGCATGTGACTCTTGGTATGAATTGCACTGTGAATGTACATTGTCTTTATATGTAATGGAGAAAAGCTATAAAAAATGTTAGGGGAGGTAATATATATTGACATGGTTACAGATAATGGTAAACTCATAAAGAAAAGTACACATTAGGAGGAGCCAAGATGGCCGAACAGGAACAGCTCCGGTCTACAGCTCCCAGCGTGAGGGACGCAGAAGATGGGTGATTTCTGCATTTCCATCCGAGGTACCCGGTTCATCTCATTAAAGAGTGCCAGACAGTGGGCGCAGGTCAGTGGGTGCGCACACCGTGCGCGAGCCGAAGCAGGGTGAGGCATTGCCTCACTCGGGAAGCCCAAGGGGTCAGGGAGTTCCCTTTCCTAGTCAAAGAAAGGGGTGACGGACGGCACCTGGAAAATCTGGTCACTCCCACCCGAATACTGTGCTTTTCTGACGGGCTTAAAAAACGGCGCACCACGAGATTATATCCCGCACCTGGCTCGGAGGGTCCTACGCCCACGGAGTCTCCTGATTGCTAGCACAGCAGTCTGAGATCAAACTGCAAGGCGGCAGCAAGGCTGGGGGAGGGGCGCCCGCCATTGCCCAGCCTTGATTAGGTAAACAAAGCAGCCTGGAAGCTCGAACTGGGTGGAGCCCACCACAGCTCAAGGAGGCCTGCCTGCCTCTGTAGGCTCCACCTCTGGGGGCAGGGCACAGACAAACAAAAAGACAGCAGTAACCTCTGCAGACTTAAATGTCCCTGTCTGACAGCTTTGAAGAGAGCAGTGGTTCTCCCGGTACGCAGCGGGAGATCTGAGAACGGGCAGACTGCCTCCTCAAGTGGGTCCCTGACCGCTGACCCCCGAGCAGCCTAACTGGGAGGCACCCCCCAGCAGGGGCACACTGACACCTCACACGGCAGGGTACTCCAACAGACCTGCAGCTGAGGGTCCTGTCTGTTAGAAGGAAAACTAACAAACAGAAAGGACATCCACACCAAAAACCCATCTGTACATCACCATCATCAAAGACCAAAAGTAGATAAAAACCACAAAGATGGGGAAAAAACAGAACAGAAAAACTGGAAACTCTAAAAAGCAGAGCGCCTCTCCTCCTCCAAAGGAACGCAGTTCCTCACCAGCAACGGAACAAAGCTGGATGGAGAACGACTTTGACGAGCTGAGAGAAGAAGGCTTCAGACGATCAAATTACTCTGAGCTATGGGAGGACATTCAAACCAAAGGCAAAGAAGTTGAAAACTTTGAAAAAAATTTAGAAGAATGTATAACTAGAATAACCAATACAGAGAAGTGCTTAAAGGAGCTGATGGAGCTGAAAACCAAGGCTCGAGAACTATGTGAAGAATGCAGAAGCCTCAGGAGCCGATGCTATCAGCTGGAAGAAAGGGTATCAGCAATGGAAGATGAAATGAATGAAATGAAGCGAGAAGGGAAGTTTAGAGAAAAAAGAATAAAAAGAAATGAGCAAAGCCTCCAAGAAATATGGGACTATGTGAAAAGACCAAATCCACGTCTGATTGGTGTACCTGAAAGTAACGGGGAGAATGGAACCAAGTTGGAAAACACTCTGCAGGATATTATCCAGGAGAACTTCCCCAATCTAGCAAGGCAGGCAAACATTCAGATTCAGGAAATACAGAGAATGCCACAAAGATACTCCTCGAGAAGAACAACTCCAAGACACATAATTGTCAGATTCACCAAAGTTGAAATGAAGGAAAAAATGTTAAGGGCAGCCAGAGAGAAAGGTCGGGTTACCCTCAAAGGGAAGCCCATCAGACTAACAGTGGATCTCTTGGCAGAAACCCTACAAGCCAGAAGAGAGTGGGGGCCAATGTTCAACATTCTTAAAGAAAAGAATTTTCAACCCAGAATTTCATATCCAGCCAAACTAAGCTTCATAAGTGAAGGAGAAATAAAATCCTTTACAGACAAGCAAATGCTGAGAGATTTTGTCACCACCAGGCCTGCCCTAAAAGAGCTCCTGAAGGAAGCACTAAACATGGAAAGGAACAACCAGTACCAGCCGCTGCAAAATCATGCCAAAATGTAAAGACCATCAAGACTAGGAAGAAACTGCATCAACTAACGAGCAAAATAACCAGCTAACATCATCATGACAGGATCAAATTCACACATAACAATATTAACTTTAAATGTAAATGGACTAAATGCTCCAATTAAAAGACACAGACTGGCAAATGGGATAAAGAGTCAAGACCCATCAGTGTGCTGTATTCAGGAAACCCATCTCACGTGCAGAGACACACATAGGCTCAAAATAAAAGGATGGAGGAAGATCTACCAAGCAAATGGAAAACAAAAAAAGGCAGGGGTTGCAATCCTAGTCTCTGATAAAACAGACTTTAAACCAACAAAGATCAAAAGAGACAAAGAAGGCCATTACATAATGGTAAAGGGATCAATTCAACAAGAAGAGCTAACTATCCTAAATATATATGCACCCAATACAGGAGCACCCAGATTCATAAAGCAAGTCCTGAGTGACCTACAAAGAGACTTAGACTCCCACACATTAATAATGGGAGACTTTAACACCCCACTGTCAACATTAGACAGATCAACGAGACAGAAAGTCAACAAGGATACCCAGGAAGTGAACTCAGCTCTGCACCAAGCAGACCTAATAGACATCTACAGAACTCTCCACCCCAAATCAACAGAATATACATTTTTTTCAGCACCACACCACACCTATTCCAAAATTGACCACATAGTTGGAAGTAAAGCTCTCCTCAGCAAATGTAAAAGAACAGAAATTATAACAAACTATCTCTCAGACCACAGTGCAATCAAACTAGAACTCAGGATTAAGAATCTCACTCAAAACCGCTCAACTACATGGAAACTGAACAACCTGCTCCTGAATGACTACTGGCTACATAACGAAATGAAGGCAGAAATAAAGATGTTCTTTGAAACCAATGAGAACAAAGACACAACATACCAGAATCTCTGGGACGCATTCAAAGCAGTGTGTAGAGGGAAATTTATAGCACTAAATTCCCACAAGAGAAAGCAGGAAAGATCCAAAATTGACACCCTAACATCACAATTACAAGAACTAGAAAAGCAAGAGCAAACACATTCAAAAGCTAGCAGAAGGCAAGAAATAACTAAAATCAGAGCAGAACTGAAGGAAATAGAGACACAAAAAACCCTTCAAAAAATTAATGAATCCAGGAGCTGGTTTTTTGAAAGGATCAACAAAATAGATAGACCGCTAGCAAGACTAATAAAGAAAAAAAGAGAGAAGAATCAAATAGATGCAATAAAAAATGATAAAGGGGATATCACCACCGATCCCACAGAAATACAAACTACCATCAGAGAATACTACAAACACCTCTATGCAAATAAACTAGAAAATCTAGAAGAAATGGATAAATTCCTCGACACATACACTCTCCCAAGACTAAACAAGGAAGAAGTTGAATCTCTGAATAGACCAATAACAGGATCTGAAATTGTGGCAATAATCAATAGCTTACCAACCAAAAAGAGTCCAGGACCAGATGGATTCACAGTCAAATTCTACCAGAGGTACAAGGAGGAACTGGTACCATTCCTTCTGAAACTATTCCAATCAATAGAAAAAGAGGGAATCCTCCCTAACTCATTTTATGAGGCCAGCATCATTCTGATACCAAAGCCTGGCAGAGACACAACAAAAAAAAAAAGAATTTTAGACCAATATCCTTGATGAACATTGATGCAAAAATCCTCAATAAAATACTGGCAAAACGAATCCAGCAGCACATCAAAAAGCTTATCCACCATGATCAAGTGGGCTTCATCCCTGGGATGCAAGGCTGGTTCAACATACGCAAATCAATAAATGTAATCCAGCATATAAACAGAGCCAAAGACAAAGACCACATGATTATGTCAATAGATGCAGAAAAGGCCTTTGACAAAATTCAACAACCCTTCATGCTAAAAACTCTCAATAAATTAGGTATTGATGGGACGTATTTCAAAATAATAAGAGCTATCTATGACAAACTCACAGCCAATATCATACTGAATGGGCAAAAACTGGAAGCATTCCCTGTGAAAACTGGCACAAGACAGGGATGCCCTCTCTCACCACTCCTAGTCAACATAGTGTTGGAAGTTCTGGCCAGGGCAATTAGGCAGGAGAAGGAAATAAAGGGTATTCAGTTTGGAAAAGAGGAAGTCAAATTGTCCCTGTTTGCAGACGACATGATTGTATATCTAGAAAACCCCATTGTCTCAGCCCAAAATCTCCTTAAGCTGATAAGCAACTTCAGCAAAGTCTCAGGATACAAAATCAATGTGCAAAAATCACAAGCATTCTTATACACCAACAGCAGACAAACAGAGAGCCAAATCATGAGTGAACTCCCATTCACAATTGCTTCAAAGAGAATAAAATACCTAGGAATCCAACTTACAAGGGATGTGAAGGACCTCTTCAAGGAGAACTACAAACCACTGCTCAATGAAATAAAAGAGGATACAAACAAATGGAAGAACATTCCATGCTCATGGGTAGGAAGAATCAATATCGTGAAAATGGCCATACTGCCCAAGGTAATTTACAGATTCAATGCCATCCCCATCAAGCTACCAATGCCTTTCTTCACAGAATTGGAAAAAACTACTTTAAAGTTCATATGGAACCAAAAAAGAGCCCACATCGCCAAGGCAATCCTAAGCCAAAGGAACAAAGCTGGAGGCATCACACTACCTGACTTCAAACTATACTACAAGGCTACAGTAACCAAAACAGCATGGTACTGGTACCAAAACAGAGATATAGATCAATGGAACAGAACAGAGCCCTCAGAAATAACGCCACATATCTACAACTATCTGATCTTTGACAAACCTGAGAAAAACAAGCAATGGGGAAAGGATTCCCTATTTAATAAATGGTGCTGGGAAAACTGGCTAGCCATATGTAGAAAGCTGAAACTGGATCCCTTCCTTACACCTTATACAAAAATCAATTCAAGGTGGATTAAAGACTTAAACATTAGACCTAAAACCATAAAAACCCTAGAAGAAAACCTAGGCAATACCATTCGGGACATAGGCATGGGCAAGGACTTCATGTCTAAAACACCAAAAGCAATGGCAACAAAAGACAAAATTGACAAATGGGATCTAATTAAACTAAAGAGCTTCTGTACAGCAAAAGAAACTACCATCAGAGTGAACAGGCAACCTACAGAATGGGAGAAAATTTTCGCAACCTACTCATCTGACAAAGGGCTAATATCCAGAATCTACAATGAACTCAAACAAATTTACAAGAAAAAAACAAACAACCCCTTCAAAAAGTGGGCAAAGGACATGAACAGACACTTCTCAAAAGAAGACATTTATGCAGCCAAAAAACACATTAAAAAAATGCTCATCATCACTGGCCATCAGAGAAATACAAATCAAAACCACAATGAGATACCATCTCACACCAGTTAGAATGGCAGTCATTAAAAAGTCAGGAAACAACAGATGCTGGAGAGGATGTGGAGAAATAGGAACACTTTTACACTGTTGGTGGGACTGTAAACTAGTTCAACCATTGTGGAAGACAGTGTGGCAATTCCTCAGGGATCTAGAGCTAGAAATACCATTTGACCCAGCCATCCCATTACTGGGTATATACCCAAAGGACTATAAATCATGCTGCTATAAAGACACATGCACACATATGTTTATTGTGGCACTATTCACAATAGCAAAGACTTGGAACCAACCCAAATGTCCAACAATGATAGACTGGATTAAGAAAATACGGCACATATACACCATTGAATACTATGCAGCCATAAAAAATGATGAGTTCATGTCCTTTGTAGGGACATGGATGAAATTGGAAATCATCATTCTCAGTAAACTATCACAAGAACAAAAAACCAAACACCGCATATTCTCACTCATATGTGGGAATTGAACAATAAGATCACATGGACACAGGAAGGGAAACATCACACTCTGGGGACTGTTGTGGGGTGGGGGGAGGGGGGAGGGATGGCATTGGGAGATATACCTAATGCTAGACGACGAGTTAGTGGGTGCAGCGCACCAGCATGGCACATGTATACATATGTAACTAACCTGCACAATGTGCACATGTACCCTAAAACTTAAATTATAATAATAAAAGAAAAAAAAACAAAAAAGAAAAACAACAAAAAAAAAAAGAAAAATACACACTATAAAATCTCGGCTTTCCTACATAAAATGAATAATAATTATATCCATGCAAATAAACTATTTACTGTCTTTGTCTTTTTACCATGCAGTGTGACAAATCATAAGCATATTATTAATGATGTAACAGATTGACTTTTGCTGTACATTTTATTTCATGACAACATCGAACTCACAATATATTATCTCAAAAATTAGACACAAAGGCAGTCATATTTCTCTTGATTTTTCTAGTAACAAAGATTTGCTTACCTTAATCACTAGGGTGTTGCCATCTTCTCAGAGTGCCTGGCTACCAGTTTACAAATTAGAAGAGACTATAACACATTCTTACATTTTTCTCCTAAAACAAAAGAACAGAAGATGAAACATCTAATTTTATGTAGTTGACAATCTAGCTCCCAATTGTTACTGATGAAATACCCATGCTATGAGTCTGTCTTTTCATTTTTAGTGAAATTTTTTTGAATACATTCAGATTTTTTTTTCTTAGCCATTTTGTAGTAGAATACTGATAACTTTTCTTCTTCTTTTTTTGGCTGATTCACTGTGACACAGAAAGGCTGAATCCAGTCTTTTCCATTCCACCGAGAATATAACAATAGTAGGAGGCATGAGCAAGGATCAGGCATTGCTCCCAGGAAGACTGCAGTTTTTCCCACAGGGAAAATAAAGTCAGACATGCTTCAATTCATGAACATTCATCTTTCTTATTCCATTTCTTCTTCTTTCTCTTTAATTCAGACACTCTTTTTTTTTTTTTTTTTTCTGGAAGATTTATTTATTTAGCTCTGCCTGCAAGCCTTAACATTTCAATTTGTCAAGTATTCTCAATGCCAAAAGAATTGCAAACATATGCCTGATAGAGAGCACCCTAATAAATAAGATATAGGCCTGGCCATCAGCATTTTTTTTGTCCTTTTATAAGAAAGAAGCATTAATTAATAATTCCATATTATGTGGTAAGATAGAGCTTGTGGGAATCCAAAAATTTCATCCTACCTCAGCTTGATTTCTAGCTCAATTTCCCATAAAAATTTCTTCTTCCATTGAAGCAGGTCCTGTCAGTGGCCTACCCAACAGCCATTGCTTGACTTCTTCCTTGCTAATGGAATCCTAATTTTGTTTGGCCCAATGTGATAAATGATGATTGGCGTAAGCCAACCATGAGAAATTTATTTTCCTTTGCAATGCAAAGATATGGTCACCTGGCCCAACTTTAGCAAAGGAGTAGTCTGTGGTGGGGCTTCTGGGAAAGCATTTGCTTCCTGAAAAAAAAGACTGATATAGGGGAAGAGCTTTTGGGTGAACAATCTTACCCTTCTTTTATGCTGGGGATGCTATTGTGAGGACATTGTGCTTGAAGCTGTGGCAGCAATCATTGGACAGTGCAGCATTAAGCATAAATATGGAAAGCCAAATGCTGAGAATGGAGGCACAAAAGGATGAAAAGAGTCTGGATCACTGAGGACATTGTTAAACTTCTGAATGGACTGTCAAATTTCTACATTCAGATTTCTTGTTAACCATAATATACATGCTCTTATCATCATAGCTGATGTTAATCAGCTTTCTTGGTTCCTTGCAGCCCTAAGCACTCCAAACTTATAATCTTCTTGCTAATGAACTTTAGTGACATTGTATTGCCTATCAAATGTTACCCAAATGAGTCAACAACGTATCATTTTTCATTGCCCTATAGCAGGAATCTTGAACTATGTCCATGTGGGCCCAATCTGACTCACTGCCTGTTTATGGAGGCCCTGTGAGTTAAAGATAGTTTTTACATTTTTAAATGAAATAAAAATCAAAAGAAGTATAATGTTTTATGATACATGAAAAAAGATATGAAATCTAAATGTCAGTGTCCATAAATAAAGTTTTATTGGAATCTAGCCTTGCTCATTTATTTACATACTGTCTATGGCTGCTTTCATGCAGAGTTGAGTGTTTGAGACAGAACATATGGGCTGTAAAGCCTGAAATATTTACCCTCTGGCCCTTTACAGAAAAAGTTTACCAACCCCAGCTCTACCACATGAATTCCCATTCAAGTCGGTATAATGTCAACTGTATTTTAGGTATGACATTCTGTCTTAGTTTTGTGTTGCTAAAACAGAATACATGAGACTAGGTAACGTATAAGAAAAAGAGGTTTATTTAGCTCACAGTTCTGCAGACTGGGAAGATCAAAGGGCATGGCAATAGCATCTGCTTACCTTCTGGTGAAGACCTCATGCTGCTTCCACTCATGGCAGAAAGCCAAGGGGGAGTAGACAAGTGCAAAGAGATCATATGGTGAGGGAGGAAGCAAGAGAGAGAAACTGAGGAAGCCAGATTCTTTTTAACAACCAATCCATTCCAGTGAGAACAAGAATTCATTCACCCCAGTGGAGGGCATTAGTCAATTCATTAGGGATCTACCTCCTGGCTCAAACACTTCCCACTAGGCCCCATCCCCGAATGCTGCCACCTTAAAGATCAAATTTCAGTATGAGTTTTGGCAGGGTCAAACTACATCCAAACTATAACACAATCTCTCTTTCCTGGATGCTCTTGACCCTGTGGCTTCCTTCACTCTAATTATCCTTTCTGTATTCTCCCTGAAACATCCATACTTGTTCCTTTCTAAATTGGGTGTATAAAACATTTTCACAAATACTAGTTTATTTGATTCTTACAAAAAATTCTGTGAGAAGGAAGAGCAGAGATGATTATTATCATTTTTTTACAGGGAGGAAATGAATGGTAGGATGAAGCCCAAGGACTTGGGATCTATTATAGCTTGATCTCAGTCAAATGTTCTAAACTCTACCAGTAGCTATGTGACTTTGGATAAGTCACTTAGTTTTTCTTAGCCTTAGGCATTGTTCTGTCAAATGTGGATATAATACTCAACACAACCTGCCTTAAACCATAATATGGCTGGCACAAGTTTTCAGAAGTAGAAAGAGCTAAGGTTAGAGTTGAAATCTAGTTGATAATCTCAATCTATGTGCAAATTTACAGTTGGGTCTGAGAAACATAGCATTAGGAAGATAAACACCTGTTCAAAGATAAATAGGAAAATATCTTGGAATCTCCATTTCTTAGACTGGAACGGGTAAAGCAGTTAGGAAGCTTCTTATTTGCTTGGGAAAAAAGTGTCTTAAGAAAACAAGAGCAAGAGAGAGAAGAGAGAATACAGTGTTGGCTTTTAATGAAAATATATATGCCTCAGATAAATCAATCAGTGGTCTTTCATTAGCGGGTTTCAAAATGGAATGCATGCAAGACCCTGCAAAGCTTTCAACATTCCTTCTTATGGGTTATTTTCGTTCAAATATAGCAAAATAAAAGAGCTGACTTTCTCACTGAACTCCTTGGTCCCGAAGCCTCCTTTTTTCTTGCCCAAACTACTTCTCTGTCAGCTGCTGGCTCTCTTCTAACTCCCACAGCATATTTTGAAATTGCATATTTCAATCACCTATATGTGCTAACTGAAGCTGAGTAATGAGTGTCTGGAAGGTTTGCACAAGGTTATTAAAAGTTTCTTAATCTGCCACCAACTTCTTTTTTAATATTGTTTGTAGATTTCCTAAAGCACAGGAATAAATTCCCTTGACCCTCTTACTCATTAACTTGGAGAGTATGGCAGAAAATCAAAGGTACAAGCCTGTTAGGGTGTTTGTTCCCTTTTAATAACCTGAGGACTGCAGCCCTGAGAAGATAAGGATATCACCGCTGTTGATCAAAAGACAAGAAAAGGCAACTACAGGAACAGATACATCATTATGCCACTAGTAGTTTTAAAACTATTGCCTCTCAATTCATTTTAAAAATAGTATATTTTAATTAGGGAACATTTTAATAAAAATAATATAGAGAAAATGGCAGTTTTCAAATGTCTTAATACAAGGGACTTTGTATTGACTATCTAATAGGGGGTGACAAGGGACTAATCTTGAAGCAGTGTGCATGCAGTAGTACAAAGTCTTTACGTAGATGTTTCTATTATATGAAGAAAAGAGGAAGAAGTGAATTTTAAGGCACAAGAATAGAATTTGTTTCTAGATTCTACTACCTGTGTGCTGTGAGTAGTTGGACAAGTCATTTAATTTGAGATTCAACTTTCTCATTTGTAAATGGAAAAAATAACACCATAAGAAAAAGCAGTATACATTTGTTTTGAATGCCTAATGTGCTTTAAAATATTTCATCCTTTCAATAAGGTTTTGAACAGTTATCCCCATTTTATAGATGAAGAAAATGAAACTTAAGGTTTAGCTATTGTGTCCAGGGTTATATGGCCAATAAATGTTAGTGTTCAAAAGGAAACTCCCAAGCCTGTAAAACAGGACTTCGGTGAGAGTGGGGAGAAATAATTTAAAGTGTACTTTTCCAAATCGAAATTGCCAAGCTGTAGACCCTTTTTACGAAGCACCCTCCAGAGGCTTTTGCCTGCAAGGCTAAAAGAAAAGGTGGTTTTAAATGTATCTTCTAAACACATTCATATTTTGGGGATTGAGGGGAGGAAGGTCTGTGTGTTCTTTAAATGTGTGAGTAATAAAGAATAAATAGAACATGTCCTTTTGGTTTGTTTGGTTTTCAAATCATCCCAGCACAATTTGCAGTAAAAACTGCTTTCATTTTTAAGTGATCAAAGCAGTCCATGATCCAATCAGGTCAACAACTGCAACAAGCCAGAACAATGCAAACATGCCTAAGCTCCCTGTTTACTAAAGATGTCCACAGAAGATAATAATGTGCACTTCTCAGGATACTTAAAGAAAAATAAATACATACAGAGGAAACCGGTTTGAAGATGACTCCAAGGCAGGCCAGTACCTAAAACGTGCAATTGGCATGTAATGTCTTCGTTGTTTTAATCGTAATTGGGAGGAGTAGTTGAAATGAATTTTATCTTTTTTTCCTCCCCTCCTCTGGAATTTCTCTTCCTTTCCCCCAAAGGGCAGTTTACAGTTGAGGAACCTAATTTTCTCTGAGTCATAGAGGCCTTTTGTGGTCCTTGGAGGAAACTCCTGCATATTCACAAAATGTTCTGGCTGCTCACGTGTCCATTGGGTGTCAGCAGGACAGCAGGACCCAGCCAAGTGGATAAGCAGGCCACCAAGAGCTCAGCTCTAAGCATTCTGTTTCTTAGTCACACCAAAGCTGGTGGTTGCTGCCCCAGAACCAGGATAATGGCTGCAGTGTGCACGCTTGCCAAGTCCAAACAATGCTGCCCTGTGAAGAACAAAATAAAAATTAACTTTCGGGAGGGTGTATTATTCAGAGTTTTTAATCAAACTCTTTTCAACCTGTTGTATTTTTGTATTATCCGATGTCCCTTTCAGAAACATTTTATTTCACAGAGGCCCTATAATGGCAGAAGGTTAAGATATAAAAAGGCATTAGCAATTGCTTAGAGCCGATGGATGTGAAGGGCCAGTAGAATGCCTAGCCCATAGTAGGCCCTCAGTCAATGGCTACCATTGTCATTACACTCTACTACAGCCTCTTCTATTTGCCATGGGGAAACTGAACCTCAGAGAGGTAAGCGATCGATGAAGGTTAGACCAATAATTACAAGAACCATCTGGGTTGGCATCTTTTACATGGGCGTCACATCTCCTGATACATATTTTTACCTGTATTCACAGGTAAACATTTTAAACATTGTTCCCTGTAGATGCCATAAAGGAATCACTTTATGACTGAATGTCCTGGGAAAGATGAGTAAGGATCCCTGCCATTGATTTCCATCAGACTGCTGTGAAACCTTGCAAAGGAACTCACTAGTGAGTACTCTTGAGAAGTAAAAGAGAACAATGATTAAGGCCACAGGGTCTGGAGTCTGATCTAATTTTCAGGACTGACACCATCTTCTAACTTCATAACCTCTGGTAAGTTGTCAAACCTCTCTCTGTTTCAGATTCCTCCTCTATAAAGTAGAGAATTTAGACTGCATTAGAGGGTTGGTGGGAGAAGTACTTGCGACAATATAGAGTGCACAGAGCATAAGAGGAGAAAGCAGTAAAATGCTAATTAGCGGTATGGGCTTTTAAAATTGGTTTTGTTGTTATTTTAGTCATTATTGTAGAATAGCATTTGGTGGGTGTTTCCAAGAGTCTGATCAGGTACGATGCCAAGATCACATCTTTGTATGCTGTTTCACCCATGACCCTGTTTGTGGCATCGTCTTACCCATGGCTGCCAGAATATTCACTGACAAATAGAAAATGTTTTCAAATGCAACCAAAGCATCTGAACAAGTGAAATCAAGAGGGGAAATGAAGAGTATATAATTTGGGAAGACAATGAGCACTGTATAAATATCTAGAATTGGAGGAATTATTTTATTTAGGGGCAGATTGAGATGGTGAGTCTACAGTTGGTGTCCCTATTACTCAAGACTCTATCTGATGTAATTTTTTTTAAAGGGTGATGGTAGTGAAATTCATTGGTTCATGTGACTGAGAAATCCGAGATTTTGCCATGATTGAATCTCAGCCATGATACCATTAGAATCTGAACTCTTTCTCTTCATCTCTTGGTTTGTAAAACATTCTGAATGTTGATTTCTATTTCATGCATCCTGTTTATGGCAGCTCGGGCTATCATACTCATAGCCCAAGTCCAGCAGAAATAAAAAGTGTCCCTCTCCAGTTTTTTTCTCGCAAAATTCTAGTATTGGTTTGGTTCTGATCTGGGCTTCGGTCCACTGCTGATCTATTCATGGAGGCCCGGAAGAGTCAAGACTGTCATGAGCTGTTTCTCTATCTCATGCTTACCCATGAAGCCAGGTATGGAGTTGGCTCACATAGACCAAGAGTATAAGAACATGGTTCCCTAAGGAAAATGTAGGTTTCATTGTGAAAAGATGTATTCTGGAGAGAAAGACTATGTTCACTTTAAGTTGGGGACAGGTACACTAGTAGGCATGTCCCAAAAGGGTACCATGTGTATATATTTTGTTTTTATTCATTGTCATTCTTACATTTTTAAATTAATTAGCTCTTCAGTTTCCCTGCCTCTGTAGGACCTCAATCTTCCTAACTATCAGACCTTCAGCATTCACTGCTGTGACCATTTTAGCTGTTCATTAACAGAGCTGGTGTGAAGAAGGAAGAGGCTTAGGTAGTCAGTACAGCCAGCTGACCATTAGGCATTTGTATCTCATGTTATCATTATTAGATATAATTTGGGAGCTTGAGGAAGCCCCCCAAATAGTCACCTTTCCTGCCTACATCCAGAATGAACTGAGAGAGAGAGATGCAGGACTTAAGCAAAGAGAGATTAAAAATGTCCTTTTTAAACTTTTTAAACTAATAGGGCATAGGGAGCCCAGATGTATGAGCTTGCTATCACTCCTCTGAATTGAACTTACACCCTCAAACTGCAGGTCCTCCCTGTAAACTTACCCCATGGAATACGGCAAACAGATGCTATGTGATGCAGGCAGGCAAATGTCAAAGAGAAAAAGAAAGAACAAGAGACTGGTATAAAAGTCCTTAATACTACTAAGCTTAATTTTATTCTAGTTCTCTAGGTCAGGATTTTTAATACTCAGCAGTATTGACATTTGAGGTCAGATTATTCTTTGTTGTGGGGGCTGCCCTGTGTATTGCAAGATGTATAGGAGCATCCCTGGCCTCTACTCATTAGATGCTGTCCCCCAGTGCTGACAACTGTTTCCAGACATTGCTAAGGCAAAATCTCCCCTGATTGAGAACCACTGTCATACAGTAAAAGGGAGAGGCCAAAAGTGTGTTATTCTGTTGGAGTTTTCCACATAGAAGGTAACATCAGGGGTGAGAATAGCATACAGTAACTTTCATGAAATGAGTAAAAAACCCCAAACAAACCCACTTTATTTCTTTGAGGAAAATTAATTGTCCTCCCTAAAAGGCCAACTCTTGGTTCTGATATGAATGTGAAGAAATGTAAGAAAACATTCAGGAAATATTTCTGGAGTACATGCCAGCAATCTTATAGTTCTCAGGGCTGTATTGGAAAGGAAGGTGGGAAGAAGGAAGAAAGGAAGGAAAGAAAGGACAAAAGATGAAAAGAAAAGAAAAGAGAGAAGGAAAGAAAGAAGAAAGGAAGGAAAGAGGGAAGGAAAGAAAGAGGGAGGGAGGGAAGGAAGGAAGAGGGAGGAGGAAAGGAAGGAGACAAAGGAAGGAAGGAAGATGGAAGGAAGGAAGAAAGAAAGAAAGAAAGAGAAAGAAAAGGAAAAATATAGAAATAATGGGCTCTTTGCAATTTGTATGAGGTATCCAAAATATTCAAATGTACAGAAGCAGAAAATAGAATGGTAGTTGCCAGCTGACAAGAGCAAAGGAAATGAGGAGTGGTTGTTCAATGTAACTTTATCTTACAGTTACACAAGATGAAGTTCTGGAGATCCGCTGTACAAAATAGTGCCTATAATTGACAATATGGTGTTGTGCACTTAAGACTTTTTTGAGGATCGATCTTGTATTACGTGTTTTCACCTCTCCTCCCATCCCCACACAGAAGGAAACTTTTGGTGGTGATGGATATGTTTATTACCTTGGTTGTGTTGATATGATCATATGTATTTGCATATATTCAAACTCATCAAATTACATACATTAAAAACATGCAGTTTTTTATGTCAATTATACCTTAATAGAGCTGTAAAAAATAAAGAATGAGCTGGGTGTGGTGGCTCATGCGTGTAATCCCAGCACTTTGGGAGGCCGAGGCAGGTGGATCATGATGTCAGGAGTTCAAGACCAGCCTGGCCAACATAGTGAAACCCTGTCTCTACTAAAAATACAAATAATTATCTGGGCATGGTGGTGTGCGCCTGTAATTCCAGCTACTCAGGAGGCTGAGGCAGGAGAATCACTTGAACCCAGGAGGCAGAAGTTGCAGTGAGCCAAGATCGGGCCATTGCATTCCAGGCCAGGAGACAGTGCGAGACTCCATCTCAAAAAAATAAAAATAAAAAAAAATAAGTCAAAAGAATAATGGGCTCTTGGACAGTAACTATGAGTTTTGGGAAAATAAATGAGCATAATATCTATTTGGCAGTGACTTAAGTAAATAATATAGATAAGACCATCATAAACTTGATGTGGAAACAAGGAAATTAGATCCATGAAACTGTTCAGAAAAATTTGCTGGTCACTGCCAAAATCATTACTTGAGCAAGATCTAAACTTCAAAGTTTAAAATAATACTGTAGTTAAATTGTTACAACGTTGTGCCCAAGAAATGTATGCCTCTCAATAGGAATGCTTATACTATTATTTCTGAAGTCACAAATTTGGGGATTCCAAAGGTCTGTACCCCTTATGAATGTTAAGTGTCTACTATAATTACATAAAATTATCACTGTGCTTTCATTAATTTATTATTTAGGTCTGCTGCACTGCTTTCATTTCTCCCTCACCTTTATTTATGTTGCTTTTTAATCAGGGTTCAAAGTATTTCACAAGGTCATGTTGATTAAAACCTAATAAAAAAAAAGTCTAGGATAAAAGAAATACTATGTAGTCCCCGTTGTCAATAATATGTATATTTTAAATCAGCAAATTACTCTGAAGTCTGCTGCTTCTGGCAACTTCTAAAGAATCTGGAAACCTCGGTAAGGGGAAGACTTGTTCTTCCAGGAAAAACATCGGTGTTATCTTCAGGCCTTTTCTCTTTAATCCACAAACCCCTAATGCTCCATTCCATTCTCTGCCCCACTGTTTAGGATGAGTACTGTGGAGTTGGTAAAAATAATAATATGTTATATTTTCAGTGAGATATTAACTTTTCGAAGTGCTTTTATATCTCTTTGAGCTTCTAGGCACCCAAGAAGGGGCTTATCATCATTATTTTCTTTATGAAGTAATGGAATCCCAGAGAGGTCTAAGATTTGCCAGAGAGGTCATATAGGTAGCAAGGGGCGGGTAGTTCCCAAGGCCCACTGCTCCCATCATGCCTTGAATAAGCGTTTTCAAATGTCTCAACAATGAATATGGCTGACCATAGTCAGCCATATTGAAGTTCCATGGTGAGCCTGGATCATCTGTGGTTTTAAGCATTGGCTAAGTGCTCCATGGTGAGGAGGTAATGGGTGAAAGGGGCGCTATCTTAAGATAACTGATCAAAAGGAAACATTTCGTGGGTATGCATTCATGAATGTAATCATTCCTTTATGCAGTAAACATTTACTGAGCATACACCATGTGTCAGCTCCTTTCTAGGTATCTCAAAAACACACTACCACAATCTTCAGCCTCTTTATGATTTGTAAAAACTAATCTTAGCCTATAATCTGAGTATACAATAGTCAGATGTATGTAGTTTACTTTTAAACTCATAAAGTCCATAAATCTTACAGGGCGTATACATCTGGAGACCAGCAGTGTGTGTGCCTAGTATAGTGTGGAAATACATTGCTGATCGTACCTTGGTTTGTTTCTCATTCATACTCAAATCCAAGAGCAGTAGTGATTGTCCATAATACCGTATTCACTTTTGGAAATGATATTTGCCAGAAGGATGTTGAAGGAAGGAAGCAAATTTGGTGATATGCATCAAAGACCTTACTTAATATTTGGAAATGATATTTGCCAGAAGGATGTTGAAGGAAGGAAGCAAATTTGGTGATATGTATCAAAGACTTTAATAATATACAAACATTTTCACTTTTTTTTAACTTCTGAGAAATGATTCCCAGAATATAATTCTAAATAGAAAAGTCTTTTTGTATATGATGTTAAATTCTTTATTATTTATTATAGTGAAAAATTTCTTATAACCTAGCTATTAAACAATAGGAAATGGTCATATCATTGTTTTCCAAAGTGTGCTGTGGTGAGCACTATGTTGTATAATGTCATGGTGAAAATGGTTCCATGTTTAATTAAGTTTGAGAAAAGAACACACTAAGAAAGCTTCTCTCCTGGAGCTTCACAGTACATAATAGTATAGAGGAGTTGTTATAAAGTAACATCATTAACTTTTTCCAGGTAGGTGTATTCCAATCTTTTGGACTCCGGTTTTGGAAGTAATGTATATTAATATTTTTTGGATTTAGTGCCCGGTTACTTAAATTATAATCCACTCAGAAATAATATGCAGTCATTAAATTTTATTCTTGAAACATATAATGACATAAGAATGATCCAAATATAATCTTATGGAGAATGGGTAAAACAGAAAATTTGTATATATATATATATATTTGAATAATTGCAGTTATGTAAAAATGCGAGGTAAAAAGAGAAGGAACAAAAAGGTGAAAGGCCAACATCAACAGTTGTATGGTCATCATGGGTTATGTTATGAACACATTTTGTTCTCATTTTCTCTATTTTCCAAATTTTTAGTAACATAATTTTATTATTTTATTTTACTTTTGTCTCAGGAATAAAAGAAAAAAATAAAACTGTAATAAATACCTTGGGGCTGGGCACAGTGGCTCATGCTTGCAATCACAGTGCTTTGGGAGGCCAAGGCAGGAGGATCACTTGAGACCAGGAGTTTGAGACCACCATAGGCAACGTAGCAAGAGTTTGTCTCTACCAAATAAATAAATAAATAAAATAAAATAAAATAAAATAAATTATCAGGGTGTGATGGCATGCACCTGTTGTCCTGGTTACTCTGGAGATGAGGCAGGAAGATCGCTTTAGCTTGGGAGTTTGAGGCTGCAGTGAACTATGATTGAGCCACTGCACTCCAACCTTAGCTATAGAGCAGACTCTGTATCTAATACAATTTTGTGATGTCAATACATTTCAATATGTGTGGATAATAAACAAATCAGTAGACTAAAAACTTAAATACCCATATAGGTAGGATACATTGATTTTCCTTATTCCTGATTGAAGATTAGCTGATTTTAACATACGAAATTTAGGAATTATGTATACATAAAGCATAGTCGACAGGCTATAAACAGAGCTGAGTAGTGTTTTATTCTCTCCCATCTAAGGGGCTATGCTCTTCAGTGTTTACTTAATTTTCTTTTCTCTTTACTCTGCCTCCTTCTCATCTTTATCCATCTCTTCTTCCCACTTCTTTCCAAATCAACAAGCATGTGGTACCAAATGCCCACACTGTGGTATTCGATTAGGATCCACTTGACTGTACTTATCCAGTTCCTTGGAAATGTGCAGCCTTTGTTTTAACTTTCCACATGCTTAGTACTTATAATAGAAAGAGACAGGAACCAAGATGTTTGCTTTTTCTAGTGAGAGAAAATAAAACAAGAAGACAATCCAAAGGAAGCCATAGTGAGATCATCAGTAGATAAACATTTCACAAGAGAAATGATAACCACTATTATGAGAAGCAAATGCAGCTTCTTTTTTCTTGGCCATAGAACTTTAAAACAGTCTCTGAAAACATCCCGTTATCCCTCAGCTAGCAGACACACATCTTCCAATATTTGACAAATACCATCTTGAATCTTTCTTAGTGCAGGTGGTGCTAACTATGTCATGCTGTTACTCTCTTCTCAGTTAAAGTCACATTTCTTTTTCAAATTCCTTCTGCACAGGAGAAGAAAACCTTAGCAGATGGATTAGGGTAAAGGAAATGGTACATAATGAATCACATTTGAAACCCCAGCATGCAGATCAATATGTAAGTATATATAGTCCTCCTCCTCGTCGTCTGCGTTCAGTGAATTTGAGTGTTTCAGAGACTCAAGAGGCCAGACTCTTGCTTTGTGCTGAGAAAGCTTCTCTCTGCAGCTGTGCCTCTCTTCAGAATGACTTTTTTCCCTGCTGCCATTATGCCAGGAATGCACAAGAACCTCCCAGCTTAAGTCTTCTGAGCGCTTATAGATAGCAAGGCCAGAATTCTCATCTTCTGGAACTCTAGGGAAAATTTCCAGTGAAGCATTATTTCCCCCTTTTCATAGATACGACAGTGGATGAATTAAAGTGACTTGGCCAAAGTCACAGAACATGTCAGCTGAAAGCTAAACTCCAAAATGGAAATTGCTCATTCAACTAAATTGAATTACACCAAAGCATACTGTTAAGTTTGTTTTCTCCTAAAGGTTTACAGCACACAATCACTGCTTTTTTTCCCCCCAGCAACCTCAAGGAAACAAGCTATAAACGTTCCTTTATAAAATAGCATGGAAGGTCAAATCTTCAGGCATCTCTGCCCCTATGTTCCTAGCTTCCTGTTATGTGGCTAGAATTTTGGAATCCTGGATCTAACACCAGACAAGATTGTCACTACCAAACCAATTTGAGGTCTAACCGTGCATTTTAGTGTTCATAGGACAAAGGTGGGAACAGCTGCTTAATGGGTCAATTTGTAGAATCCCACAGCTTTTAAAGTCAGTTAGTGGACTAGAATTTTCATGCACCTACTGTTTGCACAATACTTTATTCTTAGTCCAACTGAGGAGGAAATGTATACATGTATAAGGAAAAACGCCTGCTGTAGTGCATTTTTAGTAAGAGAGAATAAAAACAAAAAATCAACAATTGACAAAATTTGTGATTAGCTGAATTCAGTTCTTTTGTTTTTAGGTTTTACAGTTCAATGAATTCTATTACCCTCTGTACTTGCTTTTGCTTTTGCGTAACAATTTTAACTGCTTGAAGAGTTTTGCTACCTTTCTTTTGTTTGTTTTGCATGTTGTAACAAAGCTTCTTGGAAAGTTAGAGCATGATTTGTATCTAACTGCAACACTCCAAACAATTTCCATTGTAAGTATCTAAGGGCCTTTCTCAAGTCAGGTGTGAGGCAGAAACTTGTCAGTTTCATTCCATCAAAAGCTACCAAACAGGCAACAATGTTGATGGCAGTACACACGTGGAAAGTATTTGCCGTGACTAAGAGTTTTGAAGAAACAATCTTCATGCCCTTGTAGATAAAGTCGTGAGAGTACAGTGACTTCCAGGGTCAGCAGTAAAGCTGAAGGTAATTCTTGCTGCGTATGGTACCAATGATGAACAGAAAGACTGAAATGTGTCAGGTCAGATTTCTGAATCACCATTTAAAGAGCTTTGCATATGGGGCTGGGGATAAAATATTCCATTAGAGAGGTTCCACTCATAGAGCATGTGTACTTTTTATTCTTTCACCCGAACAAAATTTAAATATCAGACAAAGCTGGTAAGATAAACACACACACACACACACACACACACACACACACACACACACACACAGCAACTTAGTACTTCTTTTGTGACTATCCTCACAAAGAATGCTACGGAAATCTGAAACAGAAGTGGGTAGGCCCAATATAATTTTATGAGACTTGCAGTCTGTCTCTCAGCAACCATGCCACCCATTTCCTTCATCCTATATCAGCAATGCAGTATTTGATTGAAAAATTACCCCAGTTTCCCATAGACGGGTCGTTTTCTCCATGGAAAGCAAATCAGAATGGCATGCAAAGAAGACAGGCTCAGGTAGTCCAATACCTGATTCTTTCAAATCAAAAAAGGGTAAGTGCACATACCCTTAAGCCTGTGCACTCGGGCTGGTGCATTTTTGCATGTCTGTATAACTGCCTCCTTTTCACATTTCTGATTCCATAGCCTTCATGTTGCTTAAATGTTGAAACCAAATGGGAACATTTTGAGAAATGCCGGAAAGCAAAGTTAGGGGTAGTGATGCCGAGTCTGAAAGAGTGGTTGAAGAAAAGCAATGAGACGTTTAATAACTTGTAAATTCTAGTAATTGGATTTTTTAATGAACAGAAATATATTTATTTCCAGAAAGTACTTTTCAGTATGTTCTGGGGGTAGATTTGTTTCAATCAAGGCTTGAACCCTGGATAATGAAATGTTGGTAAATGTATAACTGGTTCTTTGGAAAAAAAACGCATATGCAATTTAAACATACTTGTTATACCTTACCCAAGACATACAATGAATACACCAACCAAACAGCAGTTAATGCCACTGAGAGTTTTTATGAGTGTATATAGTACAGTGGCAGGAAAACCCCGCTAAAGGGAGGTATAGAACAGAAGACTTAAGATAATGGATTTGCAAAGTCAGAAAACCCTGCAGTGGAATCCTAGGGCCAAAATCATTTACTGAACTTTTCTGAGACTTAGTGTTCTGGTAGGTAAAATTAAATAGTACTTCCCTTACACACAAGGCAGAGGCAAAGCAACAAATGAAGCCTTGGTTTGTAGCATTTGTTATTTCCATGATACAAATACTCCCATTGTGGCTGATTTCAGTCTACCAACATGACAACACTGAATGCAGAGTTGTGAAATTCCATAGCATTTCCCCCATCCAGATATGATAGACACGAATAACCAAGGGTGTAAAAAATTGCATGACGGGGTAGAATATTTAGGAAGTGATGAGTTTTGAGTATTTACCATCTTTTTAAAAATATAATTTATTTAATTAAAAGGTTATATATTTTGATTTTAAATAATGGTGGCGTTTAAGAACCAGCTCATAGAATTCCTGAAAAATTGACATTGGATTCCATGGGCCTGGAACAGGCTCTCCACTGGTTCTGGTCAAATGCAAGTCTGCTTTTTGCTAAGGAATCTGGTGTCCATAGGAGCATCGTTTCTGGCTGCTCAGAAATTAGGCTTGGTAGGCCTGGTTCACATGTGTTAATGCTTATACAATTAGCTTCTTCAGTTTAGAGACAACAATCCCTGTAATTCTCTCAGGCTGACTTAAAATTCAAGGTCTGCCAAACCCTGCCCAGATGCCAACAGCCAATAATTTATGATGGGATTAGGAATGAGAGTGAAGAAAAGTTACTTGTTAATTATGATTGTGAAGACCACACACACTATGAAAAGAAACACTCTGTACAAATGAAAGGATTCCCCGTTAGCCCCACTTGGTGATACACAAGTCAGTGGGCCTTTCGTCTGCTCTCTGCAGCTCCACCTAGGGGTTTCCCACTTGCCTTTTTCTAACCGAAAGCCCATCAGTGAAATGTCTTATCAAAACCCCCAGCAAACTGCAGAGTCCCTGGGAAAACTAGCAGTTGACAAAGGCATTACAGTACCGTGTCATGCAGGCTGTTAAAGAAATCCAGCCCTGGTGATAATGTGTATATTCATTCTGTGTAAATGATTAAGTTCAAAAAACCATACAGTGAATCATGGTAGCAAGGCCAGACTTGCTTTGATTAACTACACTGGTATAATGAAACCCAACAGAGCAATCACTGAAACATTTAGCTCCAAATGTAAATCTTCCTGAACTCTGAAAAAAAATCATGTTAGGCAATGAGAGGTGGTGTATAATACAGCCATATTTCACATAATGAAAGTTGTGGCAGTTGTAAAGAAAAGGGAATGTTAAAAAGTTGTTATGCTGTGTTTGGCAAGAATGAGTCATTTTAAAAGTGTCAATCATGATAATTCAACATATTTTTAATCTAAAGGTCAATAGAAGCAGTTTCTAAGGTGGTACAATAGTGATGCCAAATATGAAAGCAAGCAGTTATAAGATGATTTCAAGTGTTAATACTGTATCATAATGTGTCTCAGTTCTAAATTGAAGAGCATGGATTGATCAAGGTGAAAGAATTTTTATTAAAAATGTACCGAAATGGCAAGCAACATGGTCATCTCAATCAAACTGCTCTGTGGAGTTCTTCTATTCAGACGTGGTTTGGTGAAGACAGTGTGGTGTCTTGTACAGTACAGGACTACAGGACGGTGTGGTGCTGCTGTGGTACAGTAGTTATTTTGGGGAAGATGGTTGGGGAGGGCTTAGGTCTTCATCTGCTAGTGGCAACATCTACAGAATAGAAACTCTTTCCTTACAATAACCTACAAGTCATTTTCTCAAAAGCAAGAGAAACATATGCCAATGAGACATAAAGTCAGTGTTCTGTGATGGAATGGCCAGCCCTTCATGAATACACAGAACTGTTTGCATTCCTGAATATTTTCACTTTTGTCCTTGGACAGCTTTTGAATATACCTCAAATATGCTTGGGTCATGTTGTATACACTTAAGTATTAGAAATATTCCATGAGAGAAAAGTAAAATTATGCTCTGCCTTTAAAGTTTATGGGAACATGTGGTCTTCCTTACAGGGAAAGCAATTGCTACCTCGGCAGTATTGGACTTTCATCTCATGGGTTTCGTGCATACAGGTTAAACATATGAGAAGTTTTATAAGGCTATAGAAATTGTGGCAGAGAAAACAATCTATAAGAGGTCTGAGAGACATAAAAACCACCGGACACATTCAGTTTCAGGACAAAGCTCTCTCCAAAGTTATTAGATTTCATAATTCAATCTGTGTTATTGTGGGGGAACTTGGGTCCAACCACTGCTGTAGATTATAGTAATAATTCTACATAGACACATTCGCATTACACAATAACTCTCCTGGAACTGGTTGCAGACTAGCACAAGCATATTGTCTTCTGTTAATCCTCATAAACCTAACCAATAGTTTGTTTCTGTTATTTTATCACACACATTAAAACCACTTTTATATTTAAAAATGCCTAGCACAAGCCTATGATTTATCTATATGTGACTCTTTCTGGTAATGTCTCAAGAGCATATTCTATTTAATTTAAATATATATGGATCTTTAAGTGTGTTTCCAGAAGGCTTTTGGTGATATAGTCAAAGAAAACAGAAGAAATCAAAGATGAAGAAACCACTCTATCACATTCTTTCCTTTCCCATGAAGAGAAAATGATTGCACAGAGGTTCTTATAAATGCCTTAGGAGACAGACATTTGGACCTTCTGATATTTCTTGCTACTCGTCTTTTCCTGTCGCTTCTTTCCTCTCTAAATTCTTAAAACATGCCATGTATCTTCAAAGTGTGGGTCTCACAACCATTATTCCAAGTATCTAAACAGGTCTATTGTATAGTTTACCTACCAGTGCATTGTACAGTAATGGTGTGGACACACAATTTATTCTGTTGCATTCTGTTGTTTTTTATTTTTAATTTTTTCTCAATACAAAAGTAACACATGCTGATATTAGAAACACTGGAAAAATCAGATAAGTAAAGAAGAAAATTAAAATGCTACATAAGTTCACCTCACAGAGAAAACCACTGTTGAAATTTTGCTGTATATTTTTCTGGTGTTTTAAATATATAACATATATACACATGTTAAAAATTACATTTGGGGTCATATTGTGCGGGGTGCCCAGAAAGTCCGTAAACATAGGTGAAAATGATATTATCTATGTTAATATTATTAATATTATAAGAATTGCTGACATTAGCAAGGATATATTAATATTATTTCATATTATTTATTCGTCTTACAGATTGGAGATGTCTTTGATGGCATTATATGTAATTCGCCTATGTTTCCAGACTTTCATGAACACACTGTAGATGAGCAGTATATATATATACACACACACACATACATATATATACACACACATATATATATATATATTTTTTTTTTTGAGACAGGGTATGGCTTTGTCACCCAAGCTGGAGTGCAGTGGTGTGATCTTGGCTCACTGTAACCTCCACCTCCCGGGCTCAAGTGATCCTTCCACTTCTGCTTGCCGAATAGCTGGGACCACAAGTGTGTCCTATTATGTTGGCTTTTTTCTATTTTTTTGTAGAGACAGGGTTTCGCCATGTTATCCAGGCTGGTCTTGACCTCTGGGCTCAAGCAATCTGCCTGCCTCAACCTCCCAAAGGGTTAGGATTAAGGTGTGAGCCACTGCACCTGGCCGGTGTATATATATTTCTTGACCTTTTTTTTTTCACCATAGCAGGTTCCAATCCTGACTTGACCATTCATTTAAGGTCTTCAAATGGGCAGTGGTCACAAATGTAGAAATATTCCCACTTGCCGTGCCAGAAAAGAAACAGTTTACAGATATCCTAGCTTGTTTTTCCAAAAGGTCAATTCACAAGCTCTCTGCAGATTTATCAGTTTCAAGCTCAATGACCACAACATTTGGCAAAAGTCCAACAACTGGAGACATTTAAAAGTAGCATATTTTCTGAAATCGCTTACCTTTCCCAAACACACTCCTTGTAGAAAAATTAGAAAGGGTAGAGGGTAAGAAGGTAGGGAAAAAAGTGCCAGCTGCGGCCTTAGCTGTCTGTTACATAGTCCAAATATGGACAGGGAGAGACCAATTCTTAGACAGGGCTTCAGTTATATTGACCTTCACAAAACAAGTCTCCCCTGTCATGCCAATGAAGTTATTGAAATTGAAATTTATTCTAGGCCTTTATGAAACAGCTGCAGGACAAGGCCGGTCTCCATCATCTTCTGGGGAAAGCCTTCACTTTCATGGAGCTAAACTCCATTGATCAGGGCAATTACAGACTTAGAGGATAAATGCTTCAGAGCCACATCTTTTCTAAAGGTTTTCCTTTCCAGAAATTTCTTTTTTTAAAAAAAGTTATTAATTTCCAAGTGGCTGTGGTTATAGTCATGATCTTTGTGCAATGTTTCCATTTGACCTGACTCATAAGCATTACAAATTGGATATTGAGAAAAAGCCTTAGCATCAAATGGATTCAAATGTTTGGTGCTATTCTAATTGTCAGGTGTGCATTTTATATGGCAATTTCATCACTGCTGAAGAGACATATATGTTTCGTTAGAATATGAGCCTGTTCCTGAGAGGTGAAGCCAGCTGGACTTCCTGGGTCGAGTGGGGACCTGGAGAACTTTTCTGTCTTACAAGAGGTTTGTAAAATGCACCAATCAGTGCTCTGTAAAAATGCGCCAATCAGTGCTCTGCAGCTAGCTAGAGGTTTGTAAAATGGACGAATCAGCACCCTGTAAAATGGACCAATCAGCACTCTGTAAAATGGACCAATCAGCCGGACATGGGCGGGGACAAATAACAGAATAAAAGCTGGCCACCTCAGCCAGCAGCAGGAACCGCTCAGGTCCCCTTCCACGTTGTGGACGCTGTGTTCTTTCGCTCTTCACAATAAATCTTGCTGCTGCTCACTCTTTGGGTCCTTGCCATCTTTAAGAGCTGTAACACTCACCCTGAAGGTCCGTGGCTCCATTCTTGAAGTCAGCAAGACCACAAACCCATGGGAAGGAATCAACTCCGGACACATTCCCGTCTATTGTTCTGGAGCCAAAACCTTAAAACAATGAAAATTGAAGTATCCTGACTATAGGCTGATTGTTTGAAATATGAACAAAATGCAAACATGACCTTGGCCCTTGCAGTACTGAAAAAGGAATTTTTTAAAGTGTTTCGAAGTCACACATATAAGAACTCTGTTTTATTTGCATGGCTTTGAACTATATATAATATTTTTGAACAGTCTCTCAATTTATATCCTTTGATGGGTAAGTCAGTTTTCTCCCACCACATTTTATGGACACATATATTTTTGTGAAAACAGGGAGTATGGATGTCCTTTTGTAAAGGAAAAAAAATGTGAGCACCTCAGGCAAGACCTTTTCCCAGCCTAGTGATTTGAGAAAGGGCAACAGGAAACTGAGGCAGTAGACGGCTAGGGTCATATCTGTTTGCTGCCTCTCTATCTTCAGAGCTTTATTGGACAGACTGACAAGTTTGGTTTGTCCTTTAAGAGAAAGGGGAGGCTGGATTAAAATCAAAAGTCCTCTGGTAGAGGAAAGGTACCCTGCATCAGAGGCCAGTAAAAGAGAGAATGAAGAAAAGGAAGCACATTCTGTAAGACTGACCAGCAACCTCAAGGTGCTTGAGTCAAACCTAGAGAAATATTGGATTGCACTGGGTTTTAAACAGGAGTAGTCTCCCCTTGCTACTCATGATGGCCATAGCAGCTTTAGGAAGTAAAGGATTTGCATTTTCTCTTCACATCTGTTTGGTGTGAATACACTCAAAACTTCAGTATACTCTCTTTCAGTGAAGCAGAGGAGAACTTTTCCACTTCCTCCAGAAAGTCTGTCTTCCTTTGCTCTTCTTATTCTCAGTACCTAAAATGTCATCCTCTCTTCCTCCATTTATTGTCCAGCTTTTTTTCCTTTTATCAATATTAGTTTCTTTTTTGAATATCCTCCAACCCACTCACTCCTGTCATTATTTTCAGCATGCAGAATTCCCTCATTTGGATTCTCTTTAAAGTTATTTTATTGTATTATTATTTTTTAATTTTACTTTAAGTTCTGGGATACATGTGCAGAATGTGCAGGTTTTTTACATAGGTATACATGTGCCATGGTGGTTTGCTGCACCTATCAACCCGTCATCTAGGCTTTAAGCCCTGCATGCATTAGGTATTTGTCCTAATGCTCTCCCTCCCCTTATCCCCCCACCCCCCGGAAAGGCCCCGGTGTGTGATGATTCCCTCCCCGTGTCCATGTATTCTCATTGTTCAACTCCTATCTAGCATGCAATTTATCAGTTAGCATTGAGATGTTCTTCTAGAGATGTTCTCCCCAGGCTATTGAGTGATGCCCTGACAGTAGGAACCTGAGAGACTTCTTCCCATCAGCAGAGGACCAAGAGGAAAGCAGATTCTCTATAAACCCACACACAAACCAATGGTGAAAGATGGCTCTTAGAGAAGTTATCCATAGTTTGCTTCTTATAGTTTATATTTATTGGTGCAAATGTCCTTCTTCGTCTCTCACAACGTGATAGCTAAGAAAACATAGCTTAATCAATAGCTTTCAAACCAAAGAATATGGGAACAATCTGACAGAATAGGACCTGCATTGTTTCTTCTGACTCTGAACACGTGTCCTGTGGTCAAAGGAATGAAGAGGGTGTTATAGAGCCCAGTAAATAAAAATCTCTGATATGCTTTAATAATCACAAAGCTTTATTTTAGCTACTTAAGTCCCTTATCAATTTTTTTAAAAAATGCATCTTAGCCTTCCTGTTGATTTGATCAATGAGAAAAGAAGAAGGAGGAGAAAAGGAATAAATAGTAACTTATTATGATTCAGGAGGATTATATATACATTATGATATTTAAGCCTCAGGACAATCTGAGAAGTAAGTCTCATTATCTCCTATCACAGAGAACTAAACAGGATCATAGAAGTTAAGTAACTCAAAATCACACAGAGAATGAAAGAAGGAATTGGCAGTAGAACACAGGTCTCCTAATGTCTGGGCCAATTTTCCTTCCACTGGACAGTGTTTCCTAAGATTAGAAGATTTGTAATTGTGACTTGGTTATGTAGCCTTTAAATATAAAGGCCTCATATCCTCTTCTGACAGATACCTGAAGAAACTGCTTCTGTGGGTTGCAAAGCCACTGAAGTACATCAAACAAAAATGAGTTGGTAGCGAGTACTCTTTGCTTTCGAGAACACATCTATACACCTTCCTTCTTGCTCTGGTGACAGTTTTCATCTCCAGCACATTTCACAGATTTGATCACTTACTTGAATCTGTTGCATAAGAGATCACACACACAAAAAAGCTCCCTATTATTCCCAAAGACCATAAATTTGTTGTGGTGAAAGCCTGCATAGCAAAGCAGATGGCCTCTCAGCAGACAGTGAGGTGAGTGTTAGCTTCAGTTTCCCTGGAGAAGGGAGGTTGCACATAGGGTTATATTTTATGCAGGGGGAGGTAAAGGGGAGAGTAACCCTGTCTCCATCAGGAGAATGAGTGAGCCCTTGAATCTCACTGGGTGATCTAAATAGAAGCCAGGCTCTGAAGTTGACAGTATAAACTGGAACACAAGTATGGTACAACTAGTGCCAGATTTTCTTTTTATAGTTTTAAAATTTTGGACAAAAATATAGATGTAGCAAACAGGCTACACTGAGCCCAAAAGGGCTGGCATCCTCCCAAGGGGGCATGAACATTTCACTGTAGTGAGTCTAACAGAGACATCTACTGGCTGAGCCCTGGACTTCCAGTGCAGGCTCTGTTGGCCCTTGTGATTGACTAATGCTCTCCATCTCTGACAAGCTTGTAAATAAATGAAAATAATAATAATAATTACATTTGTTCATACAGAATGACTAATTGCACACTTAGCATGTGTGCAAATAAGCAAATATTCACAGAGGTCCAGGTAGATAGGGTGGGTAAAGAATCACCCATTCACATGTTTATTTTTAAAAATGTCTTTACTACGTCTGACCAAGGAATGGTAAAGGCATCTTAGTTCTCCTATCTAAAAGAAGTCAGGAGTTCAAATTCAACCAAAGAACATCATGAATTACCATTTTTTTGACCACTAGATTAAAAGAATTGCGATATAGATAAAAAATATTAATTCCAGCATGATAAATCCTGTGATAAACTCAGAAGTGCCCCATTGGTAGAATATTTTCATATAAAGTACCAATTTATGGGGCAAATTTAAGGCACTGATGGATCTGTATTGGGGGAGGAACAGTTCCCATGAGCAGAACCCACCAGATAATCCTGTCTTCTGGCATCTGTGCTATGTGTCTGCTCCCTTGCTGCCTCTGGCGGGATTAGGTAACTATCTGCAACATTAGGACTGGGCCCCTATTAATCAGCATGAACAAACTTCCTGCTCTTAACTGGGAGGAATCATGAATTGGAGGACTAAATATAGGCAAACAAATCCAATAACGAAACCCTCATAGCCTAGACATAAGCAAATATAAATCCCTCTTGTGTTATTATAATGCCTACCAACCTAATTGAGAACACATTCATTTTAAGCTAAATAAATTACTGCTACAATTATGTAACCTTGAGGTCACCTCCTTTAGGAGACGGCCAACACTTGTATTAACTATTCCACGCTTTACTGTAAGTGGCCTCAGCCAATCAATGCCAGATAAATGCTGTTAAAATATGCATTTAATTAACCCAGTCCTTCATTTATTTGCTATTTTAGCCTAGGGATGAAGAAAGTGAAGTTAAATTGTGTGCATTCTGAAACAAGACTTCAGAATGGAGAGCTTTTTCTTTCTAGTCAAGGCACTCTCTTCCTTATTAATCTGGGGAAGAGAGAGCATTCCTCAGACTTTAACAGAATAGTACATCCATCTGAAGAATGGGTCTTTGCCTCTGATATTTATAGCCCCACACTCAAGGAACCAACTCCTTCCCTCTTCCTTAGAGAGATGGATTTCCTCAGAGAAATGTCTTTTGCACTGATGGTTTGATCCCTCTCTGGCTGTGAACAATTATTGCAGTACCTTTACAGTCACATGGATCCAGTGGCAATTATATTACTAATTGATGGATTCGTGAATTACTTTATTGTTTCAAGGCACAGAGCTGATTTTGGTTGTGTGTTGAAGTATTCTCTTTTCTTTCTTCCAATGTTATGCAAACAATCCTAGCAGTACCTACCTAGTAGGTTATATGTCTTTCACCAATACTTTTCTTTTGGATTTGATCCTGCTGTTGTAGGCACATTATTATTCACTGAATATCCATCTGCTCGCTCACATATCCCAGCTATGTTCGTTGAAACCAGGTGGCACTGGGCTGCGAACAGAAGTGATGTGTGTTACTTCAGGCTGAAGCATTCAAGAGCTGATGCACAACCTTCTACCTCTCTTTGTTCCATAGTGATCCTGAAAGTTGAAATGGCCAAGGTATAAAATGAAAGCAGCACAGCTTGTGGAGTCCCCATATAGAGGAGAGCTGCTTTGAAGGGGCATTCTGTCTTACACTGCTTTTTGCATGAGCAAGAAAGCTTTGTTTTATTAAACCACTGAGATTTCAAGGTTTGTTTATCATAACATAATCTAGCCTGTGTTGACAAATATAATTGGCTTCCATGGTAAAAACAAATCTATATTCTATAGCACTAAGTAACCACCTAAACTGTAGTAATTTGGATCTAATTTGCATGAATATTAATTCTTTTAAACAAGAAAGGAAAATTATGATATTCCCACAGCCTCCATACCTTCAGAATAAGCCATTTGTTCATTAATTTTTAATGAGAAACATTCATTATTATGAATTCTTCGACAAGACTTTGATTTTCTTTTTGGTAAGTGATGACCATAATTAAGCTCCTCATAATGAACACAGCAATTTTTAAACAGCACAATTTATATAATGTTTCTCCTCTGGGAGACTTAGTTTTCTCAATAAAAAGCAACAGTAGATATATGACTAAGTTTTCATAGTGCATGAGGATTTGTAGTTATTATTACATTCACCTCTGTTTTCATTGATTCATTCATCCATTGACACTTATCTTTTCTGCACTTCTTGCAGAACTGAGTTTTACTCAGTCAAAGAGTGAATTTTAAAAAAGGAAACTTTAAATATTGTACATTACAGGATGTTGGGTTACTGGCAATATAACATTTCCTCCCCAAAGGGCTTTCCTGTTATGACTGGCTTAATGGCTTCATTTATCCACGTAGTTCAAAATCTTTTAAAGTCTATCATTCACTTCTATAACACATAAATGTAGTCACATACACAATAAAGTCAATCATTAGTTAAAATACTAAAAATATTTTTCAGCAGCATTTGGTATCGGAGAAAAGGATACCAATAGAAAACTCTGTCTTATCTATTTGCACCACTAGGAAGCATTAATGGGTTGTATCTCACCCCCGATCACAATAGGAAATATTTGCTGGATAATGGTGGCCCACACAAAATAACTTTTCTGTAGTTCCCAACCATAATACTTTAGAAACTATTAGCACCTCTGCCTCACTCATCTCATCTGTAGTAAAGGCAAATAGGAACAGACAAATTTGAAGGTAAAGAGGCCCAAACTGGGCGGGATCCAGTTGACATTAACACATTGTCCCTTTTTCATACTACCAAGTCTCGCAGTTCAGATGTCAAACAGCGTTCTGAATCCCGGCACATTTTTACAAAGTCATTGTTTTCATTCACTGTTTTCTACAGGTAATGTTGGTCCCTTCTAAGAACTTTTACTACTTGAATCTTTCACTGCTCTGCATTTTAATATTACAATCCTTCTTCTACTCACCCTATCTATATTCTCGATGCCTCTAAGCCTACTCTGTTTTTACTCAGAACACTTTCCACTCTAAAAAATACTATATACTTATTATATTAATATTGGTAGATATTGTCACTACCACACTAGAATATAGGTTCCCAAAGGGCAATGATTTTCTTATACCTTTGGTTAATAATATAAATGCTGGCACATAGACAGCATGCACTAAATATTTTTCAGTGAATAAATGAACAAATAAATGAATGAAAATTTCCCTGGTCCAATAAAACATTCTGATACTTATTTTCCTGATATTCTCTTTTATTCATCAAAAATCTACTTTGCCTCTGGTCATCTTATTCCTGAATCTCATTCATTCTTCAACTGATCCTGGCAGCTTGTCACTTGGTTGACTTGCTTCACAATTCTCCAACTTTTCTACTTTATTTCTTGGACCCTGACCAGTGTCTTTTTTTTTTTCTGGCATGATGTCTTTCTGGACAGAAGATCTAGGTAATTTCCTGTGTGTGTTCCCATGGGCAGTGCTAACCAGAAATGATGAGGTTCTATAGATGGATTTTGGTGACCATTATACATTCAATTTAATTTAAATTATTTAAAATCTAATTATAACTGGATTTTAGGAGATATTTTGGTTAAAAATACACACACAGTGTGATTTAGGCAAGAAGAAAATAAAATCATCCATAACTCCACTATGAGAGAAATCCGTAGTTATTATTTTAAATAGCATTATTTATTATTCCTCTTTGAACTGACTTCTTAAGTTAAAACTTCTTAAGTTAGAAAGATTTCAAGCAAAGCTTATAAATGAATACAACAAGGAAAGAGATGAAAATAGGATGCTTAGAATTAGAAAAAAGAGAGCATTTTGTAAATGAAGGGGGCACTTCATCTATAAAATGAGTTCTCTGACCTCAAGTCACTATTCTTTTTTTTCTTTCTTTTTCTTCTTTTTGAGACGGAGTCTCGCTCTGTCGCCCAGGCTGGAGTGCAGTGGCGCGATCTTGGGTCACTGCAAGCTCCGCCTCCCGGGTTCACACCATTCTCCTGCCTCAGCCTCCCGCGTAGCTGGGACTACAGGCTCCTGCCACCACGCCCAGCTAATTGTTTGTATTTTTAGTAGAGACGGGGTTTCACCGTGTTAACCAGGATGGTCTCTATCTCCTGACCTCATGAGCCGCCCGTCTCGGCCTCCCAAAGTGCTGGGATTACAGGCGTGAGCCACTACGCCCGGCCCTCAAGTCACTATTAGACAAGCTGAACTTACAGAATACAGAGCTCATGTCTATGAAAGGAGCTTTGTGTAGAAACAGTTTCAGGGAAAGTTACGATCTCAAAGGAGAATATCACCCAAATCAATTGCACTGTTCAGTGGTGTTAGGATGACCAACTCTCCCAGTTTGCCCACGACTGAGGGGTTTCTTGGGTTGCTGGTCTTTCGGTGCTAAAACAGAGATAGTCCCAAGCAAACTGGTACAAGTTGGTCACATGAGCAGTATCTCAAACTGCTTGGGCATCCGGGGGGGAAGAAAAGCCCCAAACCCTACACATCCTTGTTTTCCGTATGTAAGGCTTGTCTTAAATAATTATTTAGTATTTGGCCAATAAAAGTGCTATTACGAAATTCTTCATGATAGAAATTTTAAAATAAAATAAACTCCGACACAGTGATGGTAAAAGAGGGACCATTCCTCAAAACTAAATCAAAAGCTAAAGTGGGCCCAAGCTGATGTTAAGAGTACAGAAGCATCTTCATTTCATTCAATTGCAGGAAATCAGTCCTTATCAATGTCTTTGCATCTGCCAGGCAGAGTCAGCAATAAGAGAAGAATGTAATTCAAGTGATTTGGATTAACCGACAGGCAGGAAAAACCCCCTTTCTTCCAGATCCTGACAGGAACGGAATGGTTTGCTGTGGCATCCAAAGCAGGCCTCAGACTGAGTCAATCTTGAGTCAATTAAAATAATAAGGATTGGACATTTTCTACCGAAATTGTATAAGGCAACTATCTGTCCCTGGGTGGTGTGTCTAAGATGAAGGCAGTGGAAATAGGAAATTTTGAGTATTCAGGATGTTTCCCTCTTTGTTTATGTTTACTAATGTTCATCAAGAAAGTGATTTTCAGAATGTTTTACGCATGAAACCAAATTAAGAGCAACTAAGGAAACACAAAGCTAAAAAAAAATAAAATCTCCCAGCTTTTGAGAGAAAAAGATAGAAGTAAAAATTGGAATTTAAATTGAGAAGAGATTTTTCCAGAAGTCAAATTTTTTGGGTTAGAAGAAAAGAAGGTTAAGTTATGATAGCACTGTCATGACTGAAAGCTTCATGAGAAGTATGAAGTATTTGAGGTACTCTAAAAAGTAACTTTTTGTTCCATATTACCAAGGTACTTTTAAGGAAATGCATACTTGCCTGTTGCGTTAAGGAAGTAGCAAACAAGTCTGCCTTCCACAGAAGATTTTACTACTGCAAAAATGTTCTTGAGCTGTTACCATTATACTAGTAACTCACAATCATTCAAATACTAACAGAAACTTAAACACAATAAAATGCTAAAATCAAACAGATTACTTACTTTTCCCCTCAGGTAATTATAACTCATTTGAATATCACTTTTGAATTTAGTCTCTCAATCATTCTGTGATTTAAGTGTTTATATTATTCCTATTTTACATGCAATGAAACTGAGGTCGAGGGTATTTGTAGTTTACTCAAGCTTTCACTGCTATGAAGTTCAAGGGCTACATTTGCACTTAGGTCTTTTGGGTTTAGATGTTAACTATTGACATAAAACAAGCTCTCAGTTTAATCTTATAATATTTTGACTATTAAGGAGACAGCACCAATTTCAAGATTATCTCTGGCTCACGCCTGTAATCCCACTTTGGAAGGCTGAGGCAGGTGGATCACCCGAGGTCAGGAGTTTGAGACCAGCCTGACCAATATGGTGAAACCTCGTCTCTACTAAAAATACAAAAATTAGCTGGGCATGGTGGCATGCACCTGTAATCCCAGCTACCCAGGAGGCTGAGACAGGAGAATTGGTTGAATCCGGAGGTGGAAATTGCAGTGAGTCAAGATCATGCCACTGCATTCCATCCTGGGTAACAAAGCAAGACTCTGTCTCAAAAAAAAAAAAATATTATCTCTGCATTACATTAGTAGGCATAGAAGTTTCTGGTCACTCACTTCAGCAACTGCAGTGGCCAGAGACTTATTACTTCCTTCATGTTGACATAGTCATGAAACCTCAGGGGTTCTAGCTGAAAACTCAATGCCAGATGGCTGTAGAGTAAAGACTCCTGAAGACTCTGCTACTGTCAAGTCACCCCAACAGAAATGTCCTCAATGCTGATAAAGATGGAGATAACACATGCAGACCATCTGTTCCAGCCACATGGCTTTTAACAAGGAAAACCTCTTAGGCTATAATGAATGAAGACTAGCTACAGGCAAAGGAACATCTAGGATACATTCTTATTTGTCTGTTGATCATTAGCTAATTGTTGATGGAGATAATTAAGACAGGTCTCCAAAAGTTGTCCCATAGTTCAGCTACTAGATACTATTACTGAACATGTAGGAACATGTTGAATGACGTGAAATTAATGTTGTTGGCAAAATTGCTAAATTACTTCAAGAAAGTCCAAATAAGCTTCACCATAATTTTTTTACCAGAATTTATTACTCTACTTTTTCTCAATATATTTGAGGTCACTTTTAGCAAAAGACAAGGTGAGTAAAGTTAGATTAGAAAGTCAAAAGATAAACATGATCAAAATTGATCACTACCTATAGAACATGTATTGCAACCAACTGATACAGAACTGTGATTGTAATAGGGGAAATTTTAAATCAAATTAGGGGCATTTCAAGCATTTGAATGTGTTACATAATCAAGAAACTGATTAATAATATTACACCAGAAAGTCCAAAATCACTTCCTTTGGCTTTGATAGTGATGCATAAAACCGGTACATGACCTCTTCCCATGGGTTTCATCATGACCTTGCAATCATACTTGGGATCCTGGAAACCTGGTTTCCAAGAAAACGTGTAAAGTAATGAAAATTTTTACCTGAAGGTGCTTGCTTGGAAACACACCTCACTGAGAGATGATTGTGGGGGGCACCATTGATGTTCACTTGCTGATGCATTTTGGCAAGGTCAGGAATGCTAAGGCTAGAGGGTTCTTGTACTTTGCTTTAAAATAGAATAAGAGCTCTTCAGTATATGGCTTCAAAAAAGGGATCAATTCTTTAACAAGCTTTACAACCATCATGTAAACAAGGAATCTATTCAAGTTTAGGTTGGAGGCCATTTAATCATTTAGCACTGGTATTTCTAAGTAGATTTTCATTCCCTGCTGTTGTCCAACTTTTTAAATAATAAGATATGTTGGGGCATCAATAATCTGGTATAAAACAAGCAGGTATTCCATAGAAGTTATTTGCAGAGACTCAAACATTTCAAATTACCACAATATCAATGCTAGGACCTTTTAGAGCAGAAGTTCCCAAACTTTTTCAGTTCATGGTGACCCCGGGGCAAAATATATACCTAACAATTGTCTATTAAATGCTTACGTCCAAACAAGTCAATGTATATTTACATTCTAACAACTTTAGTAGCCATGTGAAAAAATAATACATACATATAGAAAAAAATACTATTGTTATTTTATTATTAAATAACCACAGCTATTTACTAATAGGATATGCATATCTGTTGCATACTGCATAACTTCTCAAACCTTGGACTCAAACTAGGCAATGCTACCCTCATTTCTTGGTCTACATTAAATTTTGCATAGTACTTGATTTATATTACAACAACCTCTGAATACCCAGCTACACAAAAATATGGTGTCATCTAGTAAATGTAGTGTTAGTTAATGTTGAAACTACCAACTCCCTGGAGCTAGTAGTTTGTGTGGCATCCACGTTTCCTGCAACCAAGTACTGCAGTGTCCCCTCAATGATTTGAAATATTCCATGGTGCCCTCCTCTGAGTTCACTGTAGCACACTCAGGTAGCTTTTGATTGATAGGTGGGGAGCAGCAGTTATAAACAGTTGTAACTATACCTTTGAGCAATAACAATAATAATATTACTGAGATGTTGCACTCAAGAGACTGACCGAATTAAAAGCAAAAGCCACTTTGAGCATATTCTTATAAGTCACAACTCATCTGGAATAGAAAGAGAATGTGAGCATTGTGGTCAACATTGCTTGTGAACATTGGGAATTTTTGTTGTTCTTCTCAATGAAAGAGAAGGAAGTATGAAAGAGTTATGTTTGTCAGTGGCTAGGCAAGCCTGGCTTTCTGGAAGGCTGGGTGCAGAATGCAGTAGAGATGGATTAGAAGTTTTAGAATGAGAAGGCATCATCTAAATATTCTGAAAACTAAAGAGGAAGCTCTAATAGTGAATGCTTTCTCCCATTATTGATTTCTTTGTATTTTGCCTCAATCTCTTTAGAAAGGTATTCTGCATAAGTAATTATGGTTAATCACACATCTTAAGAAAACTGTCCTTTTAGACATGCAATTCACATGAATCCCACCATAGCCCTTCTCACAATTTTGCAGCTTTCTGAACAAATGATTCAGTAGCCATGCATATTAGTGTTAAAGACCAAAACCAGAAAAAATGAATTGCTGAAATCTAGACATTCAGAGAAGTCGTATACTAATGATACCTCATTTCTACATTTCATTCTGTTCACATTTGCTAAAGAACTTTGGAACAAGCAATCAATTGATGAAAATAAGACCTCAGCAATGATTAACACATAAGTTGTTTTTTCATTTTTTAAAAAAGTTTCATACCAATACGTTTTTCAAGAGAATTTACTGGTTCACTGAGATATGTAAGAAGTCAGTGTATTGTGATGTGAAGGAATTTACCTTTTTGCACTGGTTGAACTGCAAATTAACTACATGGTCTTAGGTTAAAGCCACTTTGCCTCCCTGCGCCTCACTCCTGCATGTACGACAGTGGCTAGATGTCTCTAAGGCCCTTGAGTTGCAACACTGAATACCCTATGAACTTTTTTGCACAAGTGGATTTTTGCTGTCTTCTGAACAGCGTAAGTATTCTTGACCCAATCAGTCAAATAGTCGAATTAAAGAAAGAAGATACTACTGCTGAAGTTTTTTTTATTTAAAAAATTGTAAAATTGTAGTCAAAAACACATAACATGAAATTGGCCATTTTAACCATTTCAAATCATATGGTTCAGTAGTGTTAAGTATATTCACATTGTTATGCAACCAATCTTCAGAACTTTTCCATCTTGCAAAACTGAAACTTTACATCCATTAAACAGTAACTCCCCATTCCCCTGTCTCCTCATTCCCTGGCAACCACCTTTCTGCTTCCTTTTTCTATTAGTTTGACTAGTCTTGATACTTCATACAAGTGGAATCATATAGTATTTGTCTTTTTGTAATTGGCTTATTTTACTTAGCATAATGTCTTCAAGGTTGATGTAAGTTGTAGCATGCGTCACAATTTCCATTTTTTTAAGGCTGAATAATGTTTTTGCAGGTACACACCACATTTAATTTATCCATTTATCCATTGGTGGACACGTGGGCTGCTTCTGCCTCTTGACTATTGTGAATAGTATTGCTATGAACATGGGTGAGTTTTAAAAGAGAGGAATGCATATTTATTTTCCTCGGGCCCCAAGAACATCACAGTACTGTCAATAATCTTCTGATTTCATCTAGAGAGTTTCCAGAAGTAAGGGAAGTAGGTCACCAGGGTGCTTAAAATCCATTCTGGTAGACCCATAGGACGATTATTTGAAATATTATTTCCAGATGTGTCTTAGGGCTAAAATGTGTTTCCTTCTGTTTTATTACCAGTCATTACAGGAAACAACAGGCAAAGAGAAAAACAAAGTTTTGTCTTCCAAAATGCTTTCACTATCAGGACAGTTTTTTTGAGAACCTGAATCTCCATAGGCATGTTTTAGTTCTAATTAGTTACAGCTCTAAACCTTTTTGAGAAAAGTCTCATGGGGATTTAAAAATTTTAGCCCCATGTATTAGTATAGCTGTCCCACTTCAAAAGTGTTATACCAAAGAATATTAATGTCCTTGAAAAATTTATATGTCTAAGTCAAGCCAGATCATTTTTTAAGCAATAGGCTCAGACCTTTTCAAGGAAAAGTTGTTTTTTGTCTTTTTATTTTTTAATGAAAGAAGATCACTCTTTAAACCAGATTAAAACTCCTACTTTTAGTTCAATCACTAATTAAAGTAGCATGCGTATCTTTGACTTCAGATGCAGCAAAGCATTGCCTGATAACTGAAGTCACTTCTGTGCTTCCAATATTTGCATTTTGTTTGTTTGTGTTGTACATTCTGCTACTCAAGTACTTTCTTTTCTAAGCAGGCTATATAAAGCTCATGTTGCGTGCAGCTAGAAAATCTTTTAATGAAGAAAGGCTTGCAACATTACTGACAATATTTTTATCTTATCTACATATAAAATTTTGTGGTAAATGTCATCAGGGGAATCCATTCCAAATTAGATGTTCAGTTTGGAATAGAAAAAACAAGTTCTACTTAAATAGGAAAATAAGTTGCTCACAATCCATAATTCCTGTCTTTCTGTATCTGTGATGAATACAGGTGTAGAGGTTTCGTGCATGCATTTCTCTAGGTAGAACTCCATATTGAAGGCCTTTAGGTTATCATTGTCCATAAAAATGCAATGTAAGCCATATATGTCATTTTAATTTTTCTAGTAGCCACATTAAATAATAAAACAGTGAAATTAATTTTAATAATATATTTTATTAATCCAATATATAAAAATCTTATTTCAAGATATAATTAATATAAAACTATTAATAAGGTATTTTACCTTTCTTAGTATTAAGTTTTCAAGATACCGTGTACGTGTTTCACTTAATAATCCATCTCAGTTTGGGCCAGCCATATTTCAAGTCTCAATAGCCACGTGTGGCTAGTGGCTACCATATTGGACAGTACATGCAGATTTAGATGACCACTTTCATTTCAACTGTTCTGCCTTATATACATTTATATTTATATGTACAATTTATGTTATCATTTATATTTATACATGCATTTCTAGATGTTTTAAACTTTTAAAAAGCCCGATATTCAGACACCCCTGAGTATCTATCATACCAAAAGTTTCCTTATTTCACAAAGAAATCCATCACAAGTTTTCTTTGCAGAGTGAGAGCTTCTGGTTTATTTCAAATAATTTAGTTTATAGAAATATAATATTCAAATGATTCTTAAGGAGTAACACACAAACTATGTAAACCAAAAAAACACTTGTATATCTTTACAATAAAGGAATCTAATTGGAATGGCAACCTTAGTCCTCCTGGGTAATAAAGAAGAGGTGAAGATTGAGTCAGGATAACTTCCCATCTGGAATATCTATTTATTGTGGTTCTCTCTTCGCCGTGAGAGGATAATTGCTTTCTGTTACTCAGATATTTACATGGCACTTGTTTTATTTAGGTCAGTTTAGAGAGTTTCTATGTCCAAAGTATAAAGGATGTAAACATCCTCCTTTTGATTTCAGGATTAAATACACATGCACAGAGTAGGTTAAACGTGAACAACAACATAAACGTATACTTTTTATCTCTTTGTAGAGAGTATAACAGAATATTAAAATCTGAATCTCATATATTTTCAATTTTAGCTTCCTCAATGTGACAGAGGAGGTAAGACTAAGAATCACTGAATGACTTACAGATCATCAAACATCTAGCCTACGCAGTAAGTAGTCTCCATTGTTTCTTTTTGATAGAAATAGTATTTCCTCTTCCCTGCTTTGTTCTTTTTCCCATGCCCTGTCTTTCTCTTGCTTCCAGGTGTAGCTTCCACTGGACAGTAATCATATCAACCTGGATAGTTTTAAGCTTGGTGAATCCTCAGCTTAAGTCTCATGGCAACTCCTCATTTGGCTTGTCATAATTGGCAAGTTTTGATGTCTTCCAAGCCATCTTAAAAACATTCTAATTTTTCTACTCCTATTACTACTGGATATACTGTGGGAATATTAAATAACCAACAAGCATAAATAGTGGGACTTTGTTGGTCAGGTGGGGAGGGGAATGCAAAGGAAAGGAGTTCACCAAAGAGACAAACAAAATGCTTGGAACATTGAAGAAAGCAGAGTCTGGTGCCAGTGGGCCGTTGTAACCATGAGTTTGTATCGGTGAGTGCTGACACAATAGTCTGAAAAGTTGAGAAGGGCCAGTTTGTGAATGGTCTTGACTGCTGGGTTTGCTATTGAGTTTGCTCTCTATATAGGCAGTGGCAAACCAACTACTGATCTGTATGTGTAGGTGTGCACATGTGTGCATGAACAAGGGTGTGTTTTAAGCAGGATGGTGACACGTTTAGGCAGTGATCTAGATATATAATTGTGTTAACAGACTTAATATAGCAGAAGGGTTTGAATTAGGAAGGCCAGAAGAGAAATGGTTGCAGCAGGGCATAGGAGAGCTAATTTGGATACTAATTGGTTATAATAATATCTAACATGGATTGAGAGCTGTATGCATTTTCTCATTTAAATCTCACCATAGTCATACAAGGAAAGTTTTGTTATTAGTCCCATTTTACAATTGAATTTGGAGTTCAGGGAAGTTAAAGTAACTTCTTTAAGGATAAGCAACTGATTCATATCATTGGCATTCAAATATTCTATTAAAATCATGTATCAAATGAGTGAAAAAGTTTTGAGTATCCTTCTTAAATACAGGCACCCTAATTTATAAATTTTTATATTCATTACTGTCTATCCACATACTAAATATTAATAAAACTTATTATTTTAGTGCAGCCCAATGGGTGATTTGGTGTAGCTGCTGGGTTAAACGCACCCTGCTCTGGAGACTACTGGTCTACATAATTGAATTGGAATACCTTTAGACATTGCATAAATCTTAAGTTGACAATAAACCCCATGCAGATCTTCTTCTATGTACAACGGGGTTATGTTTCAATAAACCCATTGTAAGTTGGAGATATCATTAAGTAAAAAATGCATTTAATATGCCTAACATACCGAACATCACAGCTGAGCCTAGCCTACCTTAATCATGCTCAGGGCTGGGCACGGTGGCTTACACCTGTAATCCCAGCACTTTGGGAAGCTGAGGCAGGTGGATCACCTGACGTCAGGAGTTGGCAACCAGCCTGGCCAATGTGGTGAAACCCTGTCTCTACTAAAAATACAAAAAATTAGCTGGTGTGGTGGCAGGCACCTGTAATCCCAGCTACTCAGGAGGCTGAGGCAGGAGAATCCCTTGAACCCGGGAGGTGGAGGTTGCAGTGAGCTGAGATTGTGCCATTGCACTACTCCGGCCTGGGCAGCAAGGGCAAAACTCCATCTCAAAACAAACAAACAAACAAAACACCATGCTCAGGACACTTACGTTTACCTACAATTGGGCAAAATCACCTAACACAAAGCCTACCTTATAATAAAATGTTGAATATCTCATGTAATTTATTAAATACTGTACTGAAAGTGAAAAACAGAATGGTTGTATGGGTGTTCACAAAGTACAATTTACTGAATGTGTATCACTTTTGTACTGTGTTAAGTTGCAAACTCCTGAGTCGAATCATCATAAGTTGGGGACCATATGTATCTCTGAGACCTGGCTGCTTTGTAAATTGATGTTAACTTTTTGGCTCCTGAAGGCATCTGAGTTTGAAACTCCATATTAAACTTCACTGTCAGGCTAAGCAAGACTTTTACTACTTGCATACCTTCATGTGATCCCTATTTGTATTTGTTTTGTTTGTTTTTTGAGTTGCTTTCATATATCAGTGACGTAGAAATGTTTTTAAGTGGTTGCGCTTAGAGTTTCTCCTAGTGATCCTTTAGTTCATCCCACCGACACTACAAATGAAAACGAGGAGAGGAATATAACAAAAAAGCGATTCAAGTTGAAGGTAGAGCTTGTTAGAGATTCATAATTAGAACTCAGATTTCCGAAGCTCACTGTTTTCCTTTCAGACACACAGGCTACCTTGATGGTGGCTTAGTAGGCAAATATTTTGAGCATCCAGAAAGCATTTTATATGCTTGTTAATGTGATATGTGATTGGCTGTAGATTTATTTAGTAAATTTTATATTATTATGATAATTATTTAGGATAGTGATTTTAAACTCTGGTTCCTTAGAATCATTTGTGAAACCTTTTTAAAAATACTAAAGTCCAGGCCCTCACTTGCAGAGGTTCTTTTTGTATCATTCTGGGATGTGCAATCAGGAATTCATACTTTAAAAAAGCTACTCAGATGATTATAAAGTACAACGAGGGTTCTGAGCTTCGATTAAGACCTATCCTGATATAATACCTGCCTTGGAGCAACGAGGAGACACATATGACTATAAATATCAGGCCTAAAATTGTTGTGAAATTATCTTTGAGCCGTGTCATGTAGATAAAAGAAATAAGATAGAGAGAATTTGAGAACTCAAAAGACTGACTTAATACACACATATATAATCTTGGACTTGTAACCAAAGAAAACACATTTAGTTTGGAAATGACTATGGAATATGTAAAAATTGTTATATTCTAGGCTTTCAAAACAACAAAAATATAAACCACTTAGTAACAAATCCAAGAAAAACTATGTGGAACCATTAATGAAGACAACCAAAAAATGTGTCTGATGAATATTAAAGATGAGTCTAATAAAAGGAACATTTTATGTTCCTGAAGAGAAATGTTCAATATTTCCCAAGTCACCAACTGTTCCCAGTTAATTTTAAGACCGTAATTTCAATTAAAATAAAAAATTGTCAAATTTTAAAGTTTATGTAGAGAAATGTGTAGGCAAGAAGATAAAAAAATTAGATATACAAGAAAAGAATTGCACTGCAATTGTTAAAAAGTACTACGTAGTTAAAACAGTGGGTATTGGTGCAAGAATGGACATGCTTTGGAGAGCAGAATATATATTAGACACAACATTTATACATAAGAATATTGTGTCTTTAAAAGTCACTATTTCATATCAGAAAAGAAATAAAGGATATTTAATATCAATTCTTAGGAAATTGGTTAACAGTTTGAAAAAATTTGTATCTGTACATTGTAGATGTATAGATACATACAATTTGAAAAAATATATCTATTTTATATATATACATCTACATTGCATGTTATGCCAAAATAAGTTGCAGACATATTAGAGAGTTAATGCAGAAAATGGAATTACTAGACAATTAGAAAATGCAGTATTGACAATCTTATATTAGTAAATATTTGAAATACAAAAGAAAAGAAAGTAGAAAATAATTTTGACTACATAAAATATAAAAACTTCTGTATGCCCAAAACATACCATAAATGAAATTAAGAAACAATAGGCACACTATGACGAACTTTTGCGACCAGATGTCGGAGGATATATAAAGAGTTTTATGAATCAATGAATCAAAGACAAGTATCTAACAGGAAAATGGGTAATGAACAATAAATCTGCAATTCTCAAATAAGAGATACAAATAGGTGGGCAAAAACTCCAGAATATACGAAGAATATGTACCTCAGTGGTAATCAATTTAGTAAAAAAAAAAAATGTAAAACAAACAGCTAGACATTATGTCTACAAAATGTTCAAATGTTTAAAATACATAAAATGTTTATTGTTGGGAGGGTGGAGTTAAGTGTTAGGGCATTATTATAATCCCCTGTGATTGAGAGGATTAATTAGTACATCCTCTTGAAGGGCAAGAGGATTCTACCATTAGTCCACACTCTATCTGCACTCACATTAGTGAGTGATTTAAAAAATTAAGCAGCTGATTTTAAAAATTAAGCAACATGATTTAAAAAATTAAGACTTTTTTGATTCAGAAATAATACTTCTAGGAATCTATCTTAAAGAAGGAAGATTCCTATCAGAGATGAGGAAAATTATACATATTTTGTGTGGTACATACACCTCCATGGAATACTATGAAGCCACAAAAAGAATGAGATCATGTTCTTTGCAGGAGCATGGATGGAGCTGGAGGTCATTATCCTTAGCAAACCAAGGCAGGAACAGAAAAACAAATACCACATGTTCTTACTTATAAGTGGGAGCTAAATGATGAGAACACATGGACACATAGAAGGGAACAACACACACTGGGGCCTATTGGAGGATGGAAGGTGGGTGGAGGGAGAGGATCAGGAAAAATAACTAATAGGTACTAGGCTTAATACCTGGGTGATGAAATAACCTGTACAACAAACTCCCATGACACAAGTTTACCTATATAGCTAACCTGCACGTGTACCCCTAAACTTAAAATAAAAGTTAAAGTTAAAAAATTGTATATTTTTTTTAAATTTTGTTCATCACAATACTATTTCTAATACCAAACATAAGGAAAACCTAATGCCCTCCAAATTAAGGAACAGTTGCATAAATCTTGGTAAGCCATGGTAAAAAAGTAATTTTCAGAAATGTAAAATTAAGAATCTCATGCAAATACATGACCGCATATTAAAGATTTTATTCTACTTATTAATTAATGAGGAAATCTGTAAGATGATAAGACTGGCTCAAAGAGCATTTGAGGAGTATTCATTAACAATTTAATAAATGAATATTAGTATAATAATGTTGGTTCAGTTATAAAACCAGCTTATATCCTAAAGGGCAATAAACCCTAAACTTTGGAGTTATGTTCCCCTTGGAAAGAAAATATTTACATCTCAGAAAAAATTCCACAGGTTAACATTTAGCTTTACTAATTCTGGAATCTTTATTAAATAGTAAAAGGTAAGTTGAATACATTTTATCTTTATAGACAATCTTATGGGGGGCTTTTGCCAGATTTAACATAGAAAGGGCTCAGCTTTTTGCCATATTTACGTTCTGTATATTTTTTCTTAACAAGCCACATGTGGAATGCAAGCAATCATTAAAATTTGTAGCACAGATAAGTAGGTATATATGGAAAAATGTTCACAATATTTTGTTAAATGGGAAAAAAGCAGATCAATAAAGGATTACATATTTTGATCTTAGTTGTAAAAACAATGGGTAAAATTTGTAAAATATGCACATAAAAACATAAATCATATTTATCAGAATATTAATAGTGCACCTTCTGGTTTTAGCTCTGATATGTAAAGAGCTTGGAAGTCATCCCTCCCATTCTTACAAGAAGAAATAGTTGAACAAACTGACCCAATTGAGAACTGAAGTTGCCGGGCAAACTACTACTCTGAAATCTGCAGAGAAAGACAAATGTTTGAGAGTCACAGCTGACACTTGCTTACCTGGAACAGAATCATCTGTAGCCGTAAACTGGTAAAACATCTAACTGATAATTTCAACAAATTACTGCAGGTGGAGTGTGGACTAATGTGAGAATGAGAAACTCCTGGGGGCCACCATCTCGGAGGACCCCGCATTTTGGCAAGTTTTTCTTTCAGGAAATCCAGCAGGTTCTCATGGTGAAGATCCAAGAATGATTCGCCTTGTGTCTCTGGTAAGAGAAGGAAAGACTAATCATTGTGAAATACACCCAGAGGATTCTTCATAACAAAAGTTTACTATCCAGGGAAAAAATCTTTACCAGAGCTTTATTCTAGCTGGGAGAAGGAATTTCTTCCCTCTCTAGTCCTTTCTAGACATCCTGTCTCTTCAAAATCAGGCAAAACAAAACAAAACAAAACAACAACATAAAACGATACCACCGTAGAAAACACTTCAGGTCATAGAACAGAGAAAGAGGCACAGTAAAAGACCTAGATTTAAATATAAAACTATAGAACACAACCTTTCTTCTCACTTGACCACAATACCACCAGGCCTTCAGTATAACAACCGTGGATTACGGTGGAAAGAGCTACAAGACACAGACTCTCTCTGAGGAGGAGTATTTAGGGAAGCCCAAAGTCAAGGTGGGAGATAAAAACAAGCACACAAGAGGAATTTAAAGACTATGACATCTACAGTTATAATTAATATCAAAGACAGCCTAATTCCTAGTCAGATTAAAATGAATCATCACACTAATGGCTTATTTACCTCCATTCCTATTACATGATACTACATATCTGGCTTTCAACAAAATATCACAAGGCATGCCAAAAAGCAAGCAAAAACACATCCTGAAGAGGCAAAGCAAGCATCAGAACCACACTTAGATATGTCACAGGAGTTAAAGTTATCACACGTGTAATTTAAAATAATTATGACTAATGTGTTAAGGTCTGTATTGGAAAAAGTAGTTAATAAAAAGCATTCAGATTACAAAGCAATAAGTAAAACTATATTTGCAAATGATATGATCTTGTATATCCTAAGGAATCCACTAAAAGACAATTATAACTAATAAACAAATTCAACAAGGTTGTAGAATACAGAATCTAAAAAAACAGAGCAAAGGTCTAGAAGGCAATAGTAATTAAGACTGTGTATACTGACATAAGAATAAACATATACATCAATAAAATAAAATAAAGAATCCAGAAATAAAGCAATGTTTCTATGGTTAACTAAATTTCAGCAAGGATGCCAAGATCATTTCATGAAGGAAGTCATGCTGTGAAAACTAATGAGCTATATTTAAAACACTGAACTTGCACACTTATATTGCACCATATTTAAAAAAAAATCTCAAAATTAGGCACAAATGGTTTTCTGGTAAATTCTACCAAGTATTTAGGGAAAAAATAATACCAGTTTTATAAAAATTCTACCAGAAAGTTGAAGAGGAGGGAACACTTACAAACTTAATTTATTAGGCACCAGTACCCTGATACAAAAACCAGATGAATAAAATACAACAAACGATAGACTCTCTTGAACTAAGACACAAAAATTCTTAGCAAAATATTAGCCAATCTAATCCAAGAATATATAAAAAGAATTATATACCCTGACAAGTTGAACTTATTGCAGGTATGCAAAGCTGATTTAACATTTGAAAAACTGATCGGTGTAATCTACCACATCAACAGATTAAAGAAAAATCTTACGATCACATCAGTTGAAGCATAAAAAGCATTTGACAATATTCACATACATTTATGATAAAAACTCTCAGCAAACTAGGAATAGAAAGGAACTTCCTCAACTTGATAATGAACATCTATTAAACACTCTATAGCTAACATGGTACTTAATGATAAAAAACAGAATACTTTCCCTCTAAGATCAGGAACAAGGCAAGGAAGTCCCTTTCTACTACTCCTGTTCAACATTGTACTGAAAGTACTAGCTAGTGCAATAAGACAAGAAAGGGAAATAAACATACAGATTGGGAAGGAAGAAATAAAATGTCTTTTTGTTTGTAGGTGACTTGATTATTTATATAGAAAATCCCAAAGAATTGACAAAAACAAAACAAAAAACTTTCCTGGAACTAATAAACAAATATAGCAAGGTCTCAGGATACAAGGTTAATATGAAAGTCAGTTGTTTTTCTTTATATTGGTAATAATCAATTGGAATTTGAAACTGAAAACAAATGTCATTTACAATTACCAAAAATATAAAATATTTAGGTACAAATAAAATACAGAGTCTATATGCAGAAAACTATAAACTTATGATGAAAGAAATGAAAAAGATCTAAGCAAATGGAGAAATGTTCTGTCTTCATAGACTGGAAGACTAAATATTGTTAAGATGTCAATTTTTTTCCAACTTATTACATAGTTCACTCAACCCCAATAAAAATCCCATTACTCTTTTTTGTAGCTATTGACAAACTGATTCTACAATTTATATAAAACAAAAAAATCCAAGTTAGCCAAAGTAGGACTATAGAAGAGAAAAATTTGGGTGGGGGGAGGTGCCTCATCAGAGAAGATATATAAATGGCAAATAATATTTAAAGATGCTCAACATCATTTATCATAAGAAAATTTCAAATTAAAACAATCACTATTATATAAATATCAGAATGACTAAAATAAAAAAAATCCTGACAGTATCAACTGCTGGCAAAAATATGGAACAACATAAACTCTCATTCATTGCTAGTGGGAATATAAAATAGTATGGTCATTTTGGAAGACAGATCGACAATTTCTTACAAAGCTAAACATAGTTTTACAATGGGATAAGGTGTTCCTAAATATTTACCCAACTGATGAAAAAACTTAGATCCACACAAAAATCTGTATGTGAACGTTTATAGTAGCTTTATTCATGTTTGCCAAAAACTGGAAGAAATCAAGATGAATGAATACGTGAATTAAACAAATTGTGGTGCACCGTGGCAATGAAATAATTTTCAATAAGAAGAAATTAACTATCAAGCCCTGAAAAGACATAGAAGAATTTTACATACATACTGTTCATTGAAGGAACAGCATGAAAAAGCTATATACTGTCCTCATCCAATTATGTAATAGTCTAGAAAAGGCAAAACTATAAAAGTAGTAAATTATAGGTGACCAGTGGCTTGATAGGAAAGAGGGAGAGTTCAATGGGTGAAGTACAGGGAATTTTTTAGGGTGGTACACAATTATTTTTATGATACTATGATGGTGAATACATGACACTACGCATTCATCAAAATCCATAAAACATAAAGAATAAACCTTAATGAATGCAAGTTTAAAAAACTCTTTTAGAAAATTGGGATATTCCAGGATGAAATGCAGAATGTGACAAAACAATCTAACTGCATCACAAACCTATGACACAACCTTACCGAATTTGGGGTGTGTGTGTGTGTGTGTGTGTGTGTGTGTGTAGGGGGAAATGCTTTGTGCATTTATAAGACTAAATTCAAAAGAAGCTGTACATAAGTATTGCACTCTATTTGATAAAGATTTTTTCTCAAGAAGGTATGAGTTAACAATTGTGATACCACTATATGTGTACACTGCAGAGGAACTACTAAGTAAATGGAGAGTGTCAGCCTGTTTTCTCATTGCTGGAGTGGGAGGTTACAGAGAATTAAGGGGATGAGGCTAGAATGATTTATATGGTAATGGATTAGAGTTAGAGACATAAACTCATGTTTAGCTGAATATAGACATAGTTATTACATAAAGAGATATCTAGAGATATGTGTATATACATCATCTGGCACACACACACATATATTTCCTTGCTCTGTCAGCTGAACAGGGTCTCAAAGAAAGACAATCCTTTAGCAACAAATGCATTAGCACCATGGTATAGGTTTCTAATATTCTCCAATCAAAGGAACCAGGATAACTGGGAGAAATGGCTTACTCCATAACTGGGCTGGAAATATTCAAGATGAGCCTGGAACCAAGAAAATAAGTTAGCAAAAATAATAACAAAACAACCATAACAAAACCTACAAATAAAAAACCTATTCACAGTGATGGGGATGTTTAAAGGATCATAGGAGCCAATTGAAAGCACTCCCAATGTCCAAAGCTGGAACAATTTGTTCAAGAAAATAAACTAGTATAATATTATTACCTAAAGTATAAAATAAATATCCATGAGTCCATTTATATTGAGATGGATATAAATAAATTATTGAATAAATTTAAAAAGTAGTTGAATAGACAAATTTTCCATGCAGAATAATTTCAACTATTTTATGTAGAGACTCTGCCCTCAAGAAAGTATAGCATAACTTCCCATTCTTCATATGTGGTCTGTGCATGGTGACTTCCTTCCAAAAAGAACAGTATGGAAGTGGGGAAAAAGGGTAGTGTTTGTCAGTCTTCACTAATAAATGAAGACCTTAACCTTATTGTGCTGATATAGGGTGAGTCATGTTGAAGACATATATATCCTTGATGCAATATGATGAAAATGGCATTTCACCTCTGTGTTTCTCCTCCCCTAAATAAGTAATTCTAGCGTAACGGTGAAAAAAAATCAGATAAATCTCATCTGAGGGACACTGCACAAAATACGTGAGCAGACTCCTCAAACCTCTCAAGGTCATCAAAACCAAGGAAAGTGGCCGGGCACAGTGGCTCACGCTTGTAATCCCAGCACTTTGGGAGGCCGAGGCCAGCGGATCACCTGAGGTCAGGAGTTCAAGACCAGCCTCGCCAATATGGTGAAACCCCATCATTACTGAAAATACAGAAAATAGCTGGGCATGGTGAATTGCGGCTGTAATCCCAGCTACTCGGGAGGCTCAGGCAGGAGAATCTCTTGAACCCTGGAGGTGGAGATTGCAGTGAGCTGAGATCGTGCCACTGCACTCCAGCCTGGGCGATAGAATGAGACTCCATCTCAAAAAATCTAAAAACCAAAAAGAAAAAAAACAAGGGAAGTAAGAAACTGTCACAGCTAAAGAAGAGCCCAAGGAGACAAGACAACTAAATGTAATGTGATATCTTAGATGGGCTCCTAGAACAGACAAAGAGCATTTGGTAAAAACAAAAGAAGTATGAATAACGTATGGACTTTTAATTAATAATAATGTATCAATGTGAGTTCATTAATTGTAATAAATATGTGTATTATACTAATGTAAGATAATAAGGGAAATTGAGTGTAGGCTATTTTTCTGTAAATCTAAGACTATGTTAAAATAAAAAGTTTATTTATAAATGTTAGTAGTAATTTTCTCTGGGTGGTTATATTCTAGGTTAATTAACATTTTTTCTTTCTGCAATTTTAAATGTTCCAAATTATAATAAACCCATACTAATTTCAAAATCAGCAAAAATGTTTTCTAATACGAACAAATACATATTTTGTTTAAAAGAAAACTATTTTCAGATTTTTTCAAATATACTTATTTTCCTCCAGCAAGATAAGAATACTATTCTGCTTTTCTTTTTCTTTCTTTTTTTTTTTTTTGAGATGGGGTCTTGCTCTGTCACCCAGGCTGAAGTGCAATGGTGTGATCTCGGCTCACTGTAACCTCCGTCTCCCGGGTTCAGGAAATTCTCCTGCTACAGCCTCCCGAGTAGCTGGGATTACAGGCACCCACAACCACATCCGACTAATTTTTGTATTTTTAGTAGAGATGGGGGTTTCACCATGTTGGCGAGGCTAGTCTCGAACTCCTGACCTCAAGTGATCCACCCGCCTCGGCCTCCCAAAGTGCTGAGATTACAGGCATGTGCTATGCTCAGTCTTAATGAACTCAACTATATGGCCATAATATGCATGAAGAGATGAGTCAATAAAACAAAAGAACTCAAGAAGTGCAACATGGCTAATTAGTGGATGCTTATACAGCTGGCTTTTGTTTAAAGAAAGGCATCTAATTGTTTAAGGGTTTATATATACACCAATTGATTTGGTCAAGTTGAGCTGTTTGGTGAATTATGTCAAAAGTCACAAAGAAAGACCCCTACTGTTTCATCAAGAGTTAACTTTCTACTCTTCAGATGAGCCGATCCTATAGCCAGCACTAAAAAGATTATTTTAGTATGAAATCTATTTTCATTACAACCAAAACTCCCCATAACCTAGCCGAGGAGCCGAGTCCTTTCGCCCCAGTGCAGTGCTAACCTCTTTGTCCTCTTTTTCTGAGGGCAGAAAATGTGTGCAAAACACTGTGGCCCTGTTTCACTTATGTAAGCAGGCCAAACTAAACTTCAGTCACAGTTGTCTTTATTTTATGAAGATTTAAAGTCAGAGTTGCCCTCATGCCCTTCATCAGCGTCTACAAGAAAGATTGCAGCCAACAGCAGGAGGCTGGAGCACGGCAAGGCCACCCAAATTCTGCCTGCTGCTTAGAGTGGTGAGAGCACACTTAAGAAGTCCTTCAAGATTTACTTCACACCCAAGAGGATAATGGGAAATGCCTCCGGGTTCAGGGTGGTGCTTTGTGTGTGGATATGTAAAGTAGCGTGCAACTTCTCTGCCCCAGAAATGACCCTCGCAGCATCCTTTGATTTGTAGAAACAAAATGCAAACAGGGAGGCTATTCTCAGCCAGGCTATAGGCACATGTTTATGATGCTTGCATAATTGCTCACACCTGTTTGGGAAATAAATTTTTAAACATTCCGTAGGTGTTCTGGGAACTCCACTGTTGCCTTTGCACCCCCAAACTTGGCATTTGAAAATAATAGTTGTTAATGATCCTAGAATTTTTTTCGTTTTCGTGGGGGTTTTGGTAAAACTAGAATTAGTTCACATGACTCCCCTATTTCCAAGTGATGAAGAAAGGAAACTGACCAAATGCCCTTATCTTTTAAAGTTATATTGCTATAACCTGAGAATGCAAAGTAATTTCCCAATAAAACAGTATAAGGTAGAATGCTAGATTCAAATCACTCCTTACACAAAGTTCTTCCTATGCACTCCAGTTTGTTAGCCCACTGCAGTACTCTTTTCTTTGATTACAATGCGATGCGTCTCACTTCGAGTTGTATGCCTTTCTGTTAATTTTCTTCCCCATTCAGCTTTGGAATTAACTTGTTAAATTAATCTCATCTTCATTTATTTTACAGTATCTTCATGTTTAAATGCTGATTTTATGAACATCTGTTTCAATCACAGTTGCAAACCCATTAGTTTTATGAGCTGTACATATTTTAGAGAGATTTACTGCTGACCTTTGTTGGTGAATTGAATGTTTTTGTTGTTGGTAACATTTCTGTAATTGATGCCATTTTTACTGCCACTGGGATAGCGGTTTCAAATGAGATATGTTTTGGGAAATCCTTTTGCTTAAACACATTAAATCAGACAGACATCACTTTAAAATTGTGTAGCTTTGGAAAAAAGTTTAGTGTGTTAAATCTTGCAGCATGAGAGCTGGGTAAACTGCCACTCAATTTTCCTTTACTTTGAAATAGTTTAAAAGTTTCATATTTGCTAGAAATGACATTTTTCCTTCCACAGTATTTGCCATTTAATAAAACAATTGGGGAAGCTACACTACTTATGTAACTGCTACGTGACTGTTGATAAACCCATCAATCAAAGGTGAATTGTGCATTCGGCTTTCCATGCCCATAGAAAAAAATACTGTTTTTCACAGTCAGATAGTACAGTAAAACACCACCTAAGTGTTCAACCTCCAGTCTCCAGGGAGACATTTTGAATTCCCTCTGTGTGTTAGGGATCTAGTAAAAAGTGAAATAAATTTTGTTTCTCATAGCAAGCTGATGAAAGTGGCAGGCTGTTTGAAATATCTTCCACTTTAATGAGTATGTAGGCTGACTCTTGCCTTCATCCTGGAGAAGGTAATCAGAGTTGGAGTACCTTGGAGGAACGGGGTGAAAAAGCCATAGCCATAAAGATGACGAATTTATTCTCTAATCTGTCTTAGAGACAACTTTCTAAGAACTTTGGTATGATCATTTCAGTTCTGTACACAGTGGTGTATTCTCAATTATGATGCTGAAAGAATTTGGTTTATTGTAAAAATTATCTATAGTTATGTGTCAATTTGGCTATATTCTGAATCAGAAGAAAATATCCAGTCTTTTCTGATGAAAAATGCCTTTATTTATTTTTATTTGGGTGCTTCCTTAACCTTTAGATAACAAGAGTCCTTGATTAGCATAAAATAGACTGCTAATTTTCATTTCAAAATGTTGCATTATGAAATAATGCAAAAGTACATAGCAGTTATAATGTGAAATTATACAAATATATATTTAAATTGAATTTTCTCTTACCAATAAAATATTGGGTTTTTACTCTTCATGATCCAAAGCATAGTTACAACATTCTTATCTTTTCAAGCACAGAAAACAATTATAAATCACAATTGTATGTAACAATGTGTGTGAGACGTCTTTTAGCATCTGTACTATCTGATTTAAAAAACTGCATTGCTCTTGCCTTTTTATTATGTTGACCAAAGTTCTCTCTTTTTCCCTCACTTCCTGGTTACAAACATAATGCTATTGTAGAAATCTTGGTTAGGCATAGAAAAGTATCAGAAATAAATCAAAATTAACTGCTATACAGTGTAAGTACTGCCAACATTTAAAAATATTTCCTTTTGAATAAGGTTTTGTGTCATGATTTTATCACTAGACATTATATCATCTTTCTGTCATTATAAAGTCTACAAAAGACAAGCTGTGATGCTTATACATTATTCCATCAAAAGGTTTATAATAACAGATTTAACTATTTATTTAGTTTTGCACAGATAGATTGATTCTGATTTTTTAAGTATCAAAAATAATATTGTGATAAATATGTTTGCATATAAATCTCTTTGCACATAGCTAAATTGTTATTCAGGATAAATTCTTGAAAGTATAGGGTAATGGTAATTTTGTTAAAGAAAACATACATTTGAATAGTATCTAAATTTTGCTTTAGGAAAGATGGACTGATTTACAACCCTATAGCAGAGAATGAGACTATTCATTTTACATTCTCATTTATGGTGGCTATTGGATTTGGTTTTTAAATACCTTGATGGATGAAAAATACTTAACTTTTGTTTTAATTTTACCTTGCATTTAAAAAATTGTTGAGATTTAACTTTTCTCATTATTACTTATTATTACCATGCATTTTTGTGAATTTACTGTTTATTTCTCTGATCCATTTTTCTATGGGTTATATGTTTATTATTAAACGTAAGAGCTCTTTATATATTAAAAATATTAACCTATCATTTTATATTTATGTGGCAAACATATTTTTATTTGTCACTGGCCTTTTGCTATGTATAGAAGTGTTTAATTTTGTGTTACCATATTTATTTCTTCTTTTGCTAGTACACTTAGACAGCCATTTGGCAACCAGAGATGATCTAATTATTTTATGATTTTCCTTCTTTTCATATAAATATTTTTTTAAGTTTTTTTTTCTTTTATTATTATACTTTAAGTTTTAGGGTACATATGCACATTGTGCAGGTTAGTTACATATGTATACATGTGCCATGCTGGTGCGTTGCACCCACTAACTCATCGTCTAGCATTAGGTATATCTCCCAATGCTATCCCTCCCCCCTCCCCCCACCCCACAACAGTCCCCAGAGTGTGATGTTCCCCTTCCTGTGTCCATGTGATCTCATTGTTCAATTCCCACCTATGAGTGAGAATATGCGGTGTTTGGTTTTTTGTTCTTGCGATAGTTTACTGAGAATGATGATTTCCAATTTCATCCATGTCCCTACAAAGGACATGAACTCATCATTTTTTATGGCTGCATAGTATTCCATGGTGTATATGTGCCACATTTTCTTAATCCAGTCTATCATTGTTGGACATTTGGGTTGGTTCCGAGTCTTTGCTATTGTGAATAGTGCTGCAATAAACATACGTGTGCATGTGTCTTTACAGCAGCATGATTTATAGTCCTTTGGGTATATACCCAGTAATGGGATGGCTGGGTCAAATGGTATTTCTAGTTCTAGATCCCTGAGGAATCGCCACACTGACTTCCACAATGGTTGAACTAGTTTACACTCCCACGAACAGTGTAAAAGTGTTCCTATTTCTCCACATCCTCTCCAGCACCTGTTGTTTCCTGACTTTTTAATGATTGCCATTCTAACTGGTGTGAGATGGTATCTCATTGTGGTTTTGATTTGCATTTCTCTGATGGCCAGTGATGATGAGCATTTTTTCATAGGTTTTTTGGCTGCATAAATGTCTTCTTTTGAGAAGTGTCTGTTCATGTCCTTCGCCCACTTTTTGATGGGGTTGTTTGTTTTTTTCTTGTAAATTTGTTTGAGTTCATTGTAGATTCTGGATATTAGCCCTTTGTCAGATGAGTAGGTTGCAAAAATTTTGCAGGTTGCCCGTTCACTCTGATGGTAGTTTCTTTTGCTGTACAGAAGCTCTTTAGATTAATAAGATCCCATTTGTCAATTTTGTCTTTCGTTGCCATTGCTTTTGGTGTTTTAGACATGAAGTCCTTGCCCATGCCTATGTCCTGAATGGTAATGCCTAGGTTTTCTTCTAGGGTTTTTATGGTTTTAGGTCTAACATTTAAGTCTTTAATCCATCTTGAATTGATTTTTGTATAAGGTGTAAGGAAGGGATCCAGTTTCAGCTTTCTACATATGGCTAGCCAGTTTTCCCAGCACCATTTATTAAATAGGGAATCCTTTCCCCATTGCTTGTTTTTCTCAGGTTTGTCAAAGATCAGATAGTTGTAGATATGCAGCATTATTTCTGAGAGCTCTGTTCTGTTCCATTGATCTATATCTCTGTTTTGGTACCAGTACCATGCTGTTTTGGTTACTGTAGCCTTGTAGTATAGTTTGAAGTCAGGTAGTGTGATGCCTCCAGCTTTGTTCTTTTGGCTTAGGATTGACTTGGCAATGCGGGCTCTTTTTTGGTTCCATATGAACTTTAAAGTAGTTTTTTCCAATTGTGTGAAGAAAGGCATTGGTAGCTTGATGGGGATGGCATTGAATCTGTAAATTACCTTGGGCAGTATGGCCATTTTCACGATATTGATTCTTCCTACCCATGAGCATGGAATGTTCTCCCATTTGTTTGTATCCTCTTTTATTTCCTTGAGCAGTGGTTTCTAGTTCTCCTTGAAGAGGTCCTTCGCATCCCTTGTAAGTTGGATTCCTAGGTATTTTATTCTCTTTGAAGCAATTGTGAATGGGAGTTCACTCATGATTTGGCTCTCTGTTTGTCTGTTGTTGGTGTATAAGAATGCTTGTGATTTTTGTACATTGATTTTGTATCCTGAGACTTTGCTGAAGTTGCTTATCAGCTTAAGGAGATTTTGGGCTGAGACAGTGGGGTTTTCTAGATATACAATCATGTCGTCTACAAATAGGGACAATTTGACTTCCTCTCTTCCTAATTGAATACCCTTTATTTCCTCTCCTGCCTAATTGCCCTGGCCAGAACTTCCAACACTATGTTGAATAGGAGTGGTGAGAGAGGGCATCACTGTCTTGTGCCAGTTTTCACAGGGAATGCTTCCAGTTTTTGCCCATTCAGTATGATATTGGCTGTGGGTTTGTCATAGATAGCTCTTATTATTTTGAAATACGTCCCATCAATACCTAATTTATTGAGAGTTTTTAGCATGAAGGGTTGTTGAATTTTGTCAAAGGCCTTTTCTGCATCTATTGAGATAATCATGTGGTTTTTGTCTTTGGCTCTGTTTATATGCTGGATTACATTTATTGATTTGCGTATATTGAACCAGCCTTGCATCCCAGGGATGAAGCCCACTTGATCATGGTGGATAAGCTTTTTGATGTGCTGCTGGATTCGTTTTGCCAGTATTTTATTGAGGATTTTTGCATCAATGTTCATCAAGGATATTGGTCTAAAATTCTTTTTTTTGTTGTTGTGTCTCTGCCAGGCTTTGGTATCAGAATGATGCTGGCCTCATAAAATGAGTTAGGGAGTATTCCCTCTTTTTCTATTGATTGGAATAGTTTCAGAAGGAATGGTACCAGTTCCTCCTTGTACCTCTGTTAGAATTCGGCTGTGAATCCGTCTGGTCTTGGACTCTTTTTGGTTGGTAAGCTATTGATTATTGCCACAATTTCAGATCCTGTTATTGGTCTATTCAGAGATTCAACTTCTTCCTGGTTTAGTCTTGGGAGAGTGTATGTGTCGAGGAATTTATCCATTTCTTCTAGATTTTCTAGTTTATTTGGGTAGAGGTGTTTGTAGTATTCTCTGATGGTAGTTTGTATTTCTGTGGGATCGGTGGTGATATCCCCTTTATCATTTTTTATTGCGTCTATTTGATTCTTCTCTCTTTTTTTCTTTATTATTCTTGCTAGTGGTCTATTTTGTTGATCCTTTCAAAAAACCAGCTCCTGGATTCATTAATTTTTTGAAGGGTTTTTTGTGTCTCTATTTCCTTCAGTTCTGCTCCGATTTTAGTTATTTCTTGCCTTCTGCTAGCTTTTGAATGTGTTTGCTCTTGCTTTTCTAGTTCTTGTAATTGTGATGTTAGGGTGTCAATTTTGGATCTTTCCTGCTTTCTCTTGTGGGCATTTAGTGCTATAAATTTCCCTCTACACACTGCTTTGAATGCGTCCCAGTGATTCTGGTATGTTGTGTCTTTGTTCTCGTTGGTTTCAAAGAACATCTTTATTTCTGCCTTCATTTTGTTACGTAGCCAGTAGTCATTCAGGAGCAGGTTGTTCAGTTTCCATGTAGTTGAGCGGTTTTGAGTGAGATTCTTAATCCTGAGTTCTAGTTTGATTGCACTGTGGTCTGAGAGATAGTTTGTTATAATTTCTGTTCTTTTACGTTTGCTGAGGAGAGCTTTACTTCCAACTATGTGGTCAATTTTGGAATAGGTGTGGTGTGGTGCTGAAAAAAATGTATATTCTGTTGATTTGGGGTGGAGAGTTCTGTAGATGTCTATTAGGTCTGCTTGGTGTAGAGCTGAGTTCACTTCCTGGGTATCCTTGTTGACTTTCTGTCTCATTGATCTGTCTAATGTTGACAGTGGGGTGTTAAAGTATCCCATTATTAATGTGTGGGAGTCTAAGTCTCTTTGTAGGTCACTCAGGACTTGCTTTATGAATCTGGGTGCTCCTGTGTTGGGTGCATATATATTTAGGATAGTTAGCTCTTCTTGTTGAATTGATCCCTTTACCATTATGTAACGGCCTTCTTTGTCTCTTTTGATCTTTGTTGGTTTAAAGTCTGTTTTATCAGAGACTAGGATTGCAACCCCTGCCTTTTTTTGTTTTCCATTTACTTGGTAGATCTTCCTCCATCCATTTATTTGAGCCTATGTGTGTCTCTGCACGTGAGATGGGTTTCCTGAATACAGCACACTGATGGGTCTTGACTCTTTATCCCATTTGCCAGTCTGTGTCTTTTAATTGGAGCATTTAGTCCATTTACATTTAAAGTTAATATTGTTATGTGTGAATTTGATCCTGTCATGATGATGTTAGCTGGTTATTTTGCTCGTTAGTTGATGCAGTTTCTTCCTAGTCTCGATGGTCTTTACATTTTGGCATGATTTTGCAGCGGCTGGTACCAGTTGTTCCTTTCCATGTTTAGCGCTTCCTTCAGGAGCTCTTTTAAGGCAGGCCTGGTGGTGACAAAATCTCTCAGCATTTGCTTGTCTGTAAAGGATTTTATTTCTCCTTCACTTATGAAGCTTAGTTTGGCTGAATATGAAATTCTGGGTTGAAAATTCTTTTCTTTAAGAATGTTGAATATTGGCCCCCACTCTCTTCTGGCTTGTAGAGTTTCTGCCGAGAGATCTGCTGTTAGTCTGATGGGCTTCCCTTTGAGGGTAACCCGACCTTTCTCTCTGGCTGCCCTGAACATTTTTTCCTTCATTTCAACTTTGGTGAATCTGACAATTATGTGTCTTGGAGTTGCTCTTCTTGAGGAGTATGTTTGTGACGTTCTCTGTATTTCCTGAATCTGAACATTGGCCTGCCTTGCTAGATTGGGGAAGTTCTCCTGTATAATATCCTGCAGAGTGTTTTCCAACTTGGTTCCATTCTCCACATCACTTTCAGGTACACCAATCAGACGTAGATTTGGTCTTTTCACATAGTGCAATATTTCTTGGAGGCTTTGCTCATTTCTTTTTATTCTTTTTCTCTAAACTTCCCTTCTCGCTTCATTTCATTCATTTCATCTTCCATTGCTGATACGCTTTCTTCCAGTTGATCGCATCGGCTCCTGAGGCTTCTGCATTCTTCACGTAGTTCTCGAGCCTTGGTTTTCAGCTCCATCAGCTCCTTTAAGCACTTCTCTGTATTGGTTATTCTAGTTATACATTCTTCTAAATTTTTTTTCAAAGTTTTCAACTTCTTTGCCTTTGATTTGAATGTCCTCCCGTAGCTCAGAGTAATTTGATCGTCTGAAGCCTTCTCTCAGCTCGTCAAAGTCATTCTCCGTCCAGCTTTGTTCGGTTGCTGGTGAAGAACTGCGTTCCTTTGGAGGAGGAGAGGCGCTCTGCTTTTTAGAGTTTCCAGTTTTTCTGTTCTGCTTTTTCCCCATCTTTGTGGTTTTATCTACTTTTGGTCTTTGATGATGGTGATGTACAGATGGGTTTTTGGTGTGGATGTCCTTTCTGTTTGTTAGTTTTCCTTCTAAAAGACAGGACCCTCAGCTGCAGGTCTGTAGGAGTACCCTGCCGTGCGAGGTGTCAGTGTGCCCCTGCTGGGGGATGCCTCCCAGTTAGGCTCCTCGGGGGTCAGGGGTCAGGCACCCACTTGAGGAGGCAGTCTGCCCCTTCTCAGATCTCCAGCTGCGTGCTGGGAGAACCACTGCTCTCTTCAAAGCTGTCAGACAGGGACATTTAAGTCTGCAGAGGTTACTGCTGTCTTTTCGTTTTGTCTGTGCCCTGCCCCCCAGAAGTGGAGCCTACAAAGGCAGGCAGGCTTCCTTGAGCTGTGGTGGGCTCCACCCAGTTCGAGCTTCCAGGCTGCTTTGTTTACCTAAGCAAGCCTGGGCAATGGCGGTCGCCCATCCCCCAGCCTCGCTGCCGCCTTGCAGTTTGATCTCAGACTGCTGTGCTAGCAATCAGCGAGACTCCGTGGGCGTAGGACCCTCCGAGCCAGGTGCCGGATATAATCTCGTGGTGCGCCGTTTTTTAAGGCCGTCGGAAAAGCACAGTATTCGGGTGGGAGTGACCCGATTTTCCAGCTGCCGTCCGTCACCCCTTTCTTTGACTAGGAAAGGGAACTCCCTGACCCCTTGCGCTTCCCGAGTGAGGCAATGCCTCACCCTGCTTCGGCTCGCGCAAGGTGCGCGCACCCACTGACCTGCGCCCACTGTCTGGCACTCCCTAGTGAGATGAACCGGGTACCTCAGATGGAAATGCAGAAATCACCCATCTTCTGCGTCCCTCACGCTGGGAGCTGTAGACCGGAGCTGTTCCTATTCGGCCATCTCTTTTCATATAAATCTTTAACGTATCCAGAATTTACTTTGGTGTATGGTAAGAAACAAAAGTTTATTTAATTTTTTCCCAAACAGTGAACTAGTTTTTTCAGCTTAATTTTTTCACTACCCTTGCCTCATGATTCCGTCTTTCCCATAGCATGATTCTTACATGTGCCAGGGTTTGTTTGGGGGCCTTCCATGCTGTTTTATTGACTAGTTTTACTTATTTTTTCTTGCATTTTAATAGCCACAATAATATAACATAATATATTAGTTTGGGCAAGTTGAATGACTTTTCCCCTCTCATCCTCAGAGATAAAGCTCTTGAAGTAGCTAACGCACAGTAGTATTGTCTAGCATGAAAAATAGATTCTTTTATGAAAAATTTTATTTCATTATTTAGAAGATGTACTTATTTTAAATTTTACCTCTGAAATGAAAACGTGTCCTGTAATTAATGTTAGCAGATGGCAGTCACTAAAAGAGTTATTAGGACATGCTGTAATGTTAGTATATTAGTACATGCAGTAATAGTTACAGCTGTTCCTATTTTGTTACATCAGTTACATTTAGTGCATTGCTGACATTATGAATGCTGAATTTGTGCACTTAAGATGTCCTCACAATTACATTATGATTGTTCATTGAAAAGAAAAGTTGTATGTAAAAACTAAACAGAAAGGCATATTTGTCATTGGACAAGGGACTTCAATTTTATATTTTCTAGCAAAAGAAATACCTATATGCATTACCCGACCTACACAAGGAAGATGCCTACAAGTAGCTGAAACTGTGTTATATGTTGTCACTAAGATACAGGAAAAGGATCGCCTATTATGCACTAAGCAATGCAACTGAAGACAGGAGAAATCACCAAATCCCTTGGAACAGATCAAAGGAATTTCAAAGCAATGAGTAACATATGTGAACTGGCTCATGAATTGTGCAGGATACCACACATTAAATTACCAGAAACTTCTTACTGACTTTGGACAGAAGTCAGTTAGCATCTAGCATCACGTGATTCAATTGAGTAAAAAAAGTGTTGCCATCAAAATTTGCAAAAGGGGGCCAGCCATGGTGGCTCATGCCTGTAATCCCAGCACTTTGGGAGGCCAAGGCAGGTGGATCACCTGAGATCAGGATTTGGAGAACAGCCTGGCCAACATGGTGAAACCTCGTCTCTAGTAAAAATACAAAAATTAGCCGGGGGTGGTGGCAGGCACCTGTAATCCCAGCTACTTGGGAGGCTGAGGCAGGAGAATTGCTTGAACCTGGGAGGTGGAGGTTGCAGTGAGCCGAGATGGCACCGTTGCACTCCAGCCTGGGGGACAAGAGCAAGACTTCATCTAAAAAAAAATAATAATAATAACAATAATTTGCAAAGGGGATAGATATAAGTGACTTAGAAGAAAATATTGGAGACAATAGTACAGCATTTTTCCTGAGTCACCAATCCTCTTGATGGTATGAGGAATGATATAGTGACAAAATCTGTCTAAATCTGAAAACAGCTCTTTCAATAAGTATTTTTTAAGTGAAAAGAAAGAATTACATTAAAATGTAATTGCTACCATTGGTACTACATAAAATAATGGTAATCAATACATAATATCATAGATTGGATAAAAAACAGCAGTTTTGCTGATTTTCTTCTTTGGAAAATTAGTGTACCCATGGGTAAATCCACCTCCTCTCTCTCATAGAACTCTATGAACAGATTTTGATCCTAACAACAAGTTTTCCTAAAGTTCTTGAAGGACATAATAGCACTGAAACTTCCATGTAGAGAACCTTGATCTCAATTTATAAGCCTTAGAACTCAAACGTGGTAATTCCAACACCCACTCATATCTAGGGCTCAGCTTCCCAAGTCCCTCTCACTTACAGTAATTTTTTTAGGCAAGTCACTTGGGGGCAGTTATGAGTGTCCATCCATGCATGACTCTAATCTATATTTTCTAACAAAATCTTCAATATCTTAGTTCCCAACACTCCACTATTTAAAAAAGTATTTTGATTATTCTTATTCTTTTTAGTTTTATAATGTGAGCTCTCATTTTGGATTCAGGTGGTACACATGAAGGTTTGTTACATAGGTATATTGTGTGATGGTGAGGTTTGGCATACAAATGATCTCATCTCTCATAGAGTGAGCATAGTACCCAACAGGTGGATTTTCAACTCTTAACCCCTCCTTCATTAGTCCCAAGTGTCTATTGTTCCTTTCTTTATGTCCATGACTACCCAATGTTTAGCTCTCACTTATAAGTGAGAACATGTGGTATTTGGTTTTTCTGTTGCTGGATTAATTTGCTTAGGATAATGGCTCTCAGCTGCATCTATGTCACTGCAAAGCACATTGCATTCTTTCTTATGGCTGTGTAGTATTCCATGGTATATATGTGCCACATTTTCTTTATCCAGCCCACCACTGATGTGCACCTTTGTTGATTCCATGTCTTTGCTATTGTGAATAGTGCTGCAATAAATATGCAAGTGCATGTGTTTTTCTGGTAGAATGATTTATCTTCTTTTGGGTATATACCCAGGAATGGGACTACTGGGCCCAGTGGTAATTCTGTTTTTAGTTCTTTAAGGAATCTCCAAACTGCTTTCTATAGTGGCTGAACTAATTTACATTTTCACCAACTGTGTGTACGTGTTCCCTTTTCTCTGCAGCCTCACTAGCATCTGTTGTTTTTTAAATTTTTTAATACTAGTCATTGTGACTGGTGTGAGATGGTATCTCATTGAGGTTTTGATTTGCATTTGTCTGATGATTAGTGATGTGGAGCATTTTCTCATATGTTTGTTGGCTGCCAGTATGTCTTCTTTTGAGAAGTGTCTGTTTATGTCTTTTGTCAACTTTTTAATGAGGTTATTTGTTTTTCTGCTTGTTGAATTAAGTTCCTTATAGAATCTGGATGTTAGACCTTTGTTGGATGCATAGTTTGTGAATATTTTCTCCCAATCTGTAGGTCGTCTGTTTACTCTGTTGATATATATATATTTTTTTCTGTGCAGAAGCTCTTTAGTTTAATTAGGTCCCTCTTTCAAGTTTTGTTTTTGTTGCAATTGCTTTTGAAGACTTAATCATAAATTCTTTGCCAAGGCCCATGTCCAGAATGTCATTTTTTATGTTTTCTTCTAGGATTCTTATAGTTTGAAATCTTACATTTAAATATTTAATCTGTCTTGAGTTAATTTTTGTACATAGTGAAAGGTAGGGGTCCAATTTAATTCTTCTGCATATAGCTATCCAGCTATCCAGCACCATTTATTGACTAGGGAGTCCTTTCCACATTGCTTATTTTTGTCAACTTTGTTGAAGATCAGATGGATGTAAGTGTGCGAATTCATTTCTGGGTTTTCTATTTTGTTTCATTGGTCTATGTGTCTGTTTTTGTGCCAGTATCATGCTGTTTTGGTTACTGTAGCCTTCCTTATGGTACAGTTTAAAGTCAGGTAATGTGATGCCTCTGGCTTTGTTCTTTTTGCTTAGGATTGCTTTGGCTATTTGGGCCATTTTTTGGTTCCATATAAATTTTAGAATAGTTTATTCCAATTCTGTGAAACATGATTTTGGTAGTTTGATAGGAATAGTATTGAATCTGTAGATTGATTTGGGCGGTATGGTCATTTTAATGATATTGATTTTTCCAATCCATAGGCATGGAATGGTTTTTCATTTATTTGTGTCATCTCTGATTTCTTTGAGCAGTGTTTTGTAGTTATCCTTGTAGAAATCTTTCACCTCCTTGGTTAGATGCACTTCTAGGTATTTAATTTTATTTGTGGCTATAGTAAATGGGATTGCATTATTAATTTGGCTCTCAGCTTGAATATTATTGATGTATAGAAATTCTACTAATTTTTGTACAACAATTTTGTATCCTGATAATTTACTGAAGTCACAAAAATTTCAACAAAATACTAATAAACCAAATCCAGCAGTATGTCAAAAAGTTAATTCCTCATGATCAAATAGGCCTCATTCCTGGGACATAAAGTTGGTTCAAAATATGCAAATCAATAAATATGATTCACTGCCTAAACACATTAAAAGCAAAAAACATATGATCATGTCAATAGATGTGAAAAAAGCCTTCAACAAAATCCAATATCCCTTCATGTTAAAAACTCTCAACAAACTAGGCATCAAAGGAACATACCTCAAAATAATAATAGCCATCTATGCAAAACCCACAGCCAACATTATACTGAATGGGCAAAAACGGAAAGCATTCCCCTGAGAACTGGAACAAGACAATGATACACACTCTCACCACTTCTATTCAACATAGTACTTAAAGTTTTTGCCAGGGCAATCAGGCAAGAGACAGAAATAAAAGGCATTCAAATAGGAAAAGAATAAGTCAAACTCTCTCCCTTTATAGACGGTATGATTCCATACCTAGAAAGCCCTGAAGACGCCACCAAAAGGCTCCTGGAACTGATAAACACTCTATTCTTATATGAAGCCTCAGAATGACCAGAGGAGAAGCGATGCCTTTCACTTTTTTATCCTGAGAAGTGTTTGAATTTGAATGTCTTCGTTCATATACTTAAAGTAGATTCCAAATGCAAATTGTGTCTCTCTTGTTCCAGCTTTTTTCAATCTCTCTTGCCAGTGTTCTCAATTTTTAGACAATTCTCCTCTGCCTAGTTACTGTATGCTCATGTATTCTGCTTTTAATTCTATATTTGATGAAATTCTAGATCAGATATGTAAGGCACAGTATCAGACATTGCTTAAGGGAGGGTAGAAAGATCCTTGAGTCTTTGTAGGTTTGGTATTTAAAAATACATACATAAATTTTTTGACTATTCTCTCCATTTAATGTAGATCCTGATGTTTCTCTCTCCGAGTTTGCACTAGACTTAGTGATTTGCTTCCAGCAAATAGTATATGGAGGAAGTAACATGTGTAGCTCTAAGACTAGGTAATGAAAGCCATTGCATTCTTTGCCTTGCTCTCTTTCTCTGTATCACTCTTTCTGGGGACAGCCAGCTGCTATTTTGTGAGCACACTCATGCAGCCCTAAGGAGACCCAAGAAACTAAGGCTTCCTGCCAATAGCCAGAGAGGAACTGAGGCCTCCTGCCAAAGCTGTGGGAGTAATCATCTTGGAAGCCCATTCTCCAGTTCCAGTTAATCCTTCAGGTGACTGGAACTTCATCTGACATCTTGACTGCAACCCCAAGAAGGTCCCTAAGCCAGAAACACCTAGTTAAGCCTCCCTCAAATTCCTGATCCATAGAAACTATGACATAATAAATGTTTATTGTTTTAAACTTCTAAGTTTTGGGGTAATTTGCAATCGAGAATTAAACAAAAGCAGATGACTATATCTAAGGTAGATGACATATCCAAAACATTTGCCGGTGGTAGCAGCTGTAGTCCCAGTGGGCAGGCCTCCGGGATGATGTCAGCTCTAGCCTACCTTATTCACACTAGTTTGTCCATTCTATTTCCCACATCTCAGTCTCGTCTTTATCACTTGGTACGGGGTTAGTAGCCTCATGTTTCCCAGTTGCCATCTGGAATAGAGAAGATTATCTGCTCTAGTCCAAAATCATGCTGCAAGCACTGTGCTATGTATTATTTGGGGGAGCTATTATCCATATTGAAAGATAAAGATTTCATGGTATAGAGTACAGGAAGCTTAGGCTATAGAGTAGCTATAATCTAAGGCCACTGCACAGCATTGGCAGAGCTATAATTTATTTTTGAAATTTGTAATTTGCATGGTGTCTACTTTCAGTAAGAATCAAATTGATACATACACATTTTTGGTGGTAACTAATCCCTTAAGTATAAAAATAAATTCAGAGAATGAGAAAGAGGAAGAAAAAAGGAACTAATAACTATTAGGGACCCACTGTATTCTAGGCATTGGGCAGATAATACTAATATAACAAAAAGATTGACATAGTTACTGTAATTGTTCTACCTCCTTTGCACCTGACTTTGATGCTGGTAATTTGACTTTTTTGCTGGTAATTTGCCCTTAATTTGCCCCTTCAGTTGCCTGCACAATCAAATTTCTCTTGACCGTGGACCTTAGCTACTTCTTGCCTATATTTTTCACATCTTCTCTTGGGTTTCCTGATTAAACAATGATTAAATAGAGTGCAATAAGGAAGAAAAAGATTGCTGGTAGAAATGCAAAATAAATATTAAAGCTCATTAATTCTCAAATATTCTTATCATACTCTTGCACATGATCTATCTGATTTGGGATTACCACTTCCTGTCACTCAAGTGACAGTGGTTCCTCCTTCTTCACCTGCAGTTACAATGTTCTGCCACTATTTGGACCTGGATAGGAGTTTATGGTTTCAACAGCCAGATTTTAGGCAAAGGTAATACAGATAAATGAGTAATTTTGCGCATCTGATGATTGTTAATTCAAAAAAAATTATCATAAAAGGTATAATAAAATTGTTAATATCAGAAAGTAAATTACTGAAAGAAATACAAATACCCAGATCTAGTCTAAGTGCTGGGAATTCTAATCCTAGTTTATCCTTGAGCTTGACCTAACTATTTTTTTCAACTTGATTTTGTACAGTTGGATTCAAAGTCTTCTTAGTGTATGCACATGGCAAGAATTTTGGGCTTTGGTGTCTTTCAAATGAAAGCTTTGCCTGCCTTCTGTAAATTGAAGACAAAGTCCTTTTCCTTTTTAACTTTACTCCTTGACAAACTGCTACTTTAAAAGGACAGACCTTATATGCTATTTGTGGGAGAAGATAAAATAAATTACAAAGTATTTTAAACATCTCTGACCATCAACAATCTTGGAAAACGGAGAGGATTTTTGTTTTTGTTTTTGTTTGTTTGTTTTGTTTTGTTGCTTGCTGTATGAGTTCCTAGGCATTGTTTTGCTGCACAGAATCTTGGTAAAGGAGGAACAGGAAAAGTGAAACAAGTCAGAAAGGTTAAAATGAGCCACATATTAAAGAAGCTGCACCAGAGACAGGTGAGGGAGGATACAAGAGATGGTATACCAGGCTGGAAGAGACTTTTGGGGAGTTGAAACTATAGGGACTTTGGGGGCAGTTGCCACATCTGGAAGAGGTTGACAAGACTGGAAAGATAATATTTCCAAAGATTTTCTGGATATATTCCTTCTTTGGTGTTTTTATTAAAGGCTTCAGTAAAAATTTACAGTGTTTTTAAACTAGTTTGGAGACTCTATTGATGCTTCTTTAACATAACATTATGCCACAAGAACCCATTAGTTGGCTGGACTTTATACAGATAATACATTTTTTAACTTTTTTGGGGGGTGACAGAATAATTGAACTGATGCCAAATTGCTCCTCATCTTTAAATATCTTGTATGCACATATGATGCTGCTTTTAGCACCAAGCTGTAGAAAATACAGTAAGCTCTTCAAATTAGTCTTGTGAGATTGAAATTCACAAAGTAGCCAGTGAAATACAATATGCAGACGTAAGGGGGTGGCAAAGCTCACCTTTCCAGTGTGGCTCCATTTGACCTTTCCTTTCTATTGCCTTCTGTGAACGCTTTTCCATGCCCATCTGTCTCCAGTGGCCTAGCCCATGGCGTTGTTACTTGATTATGTTATTCTGTTTTCCTCCATTTATGGCATTTCTGGAAACCTCTGAACTCTGCTGGACTTTAGTTTTGGGAATTGTCTCTGAGTTCCAGCTCCCTCACAGCTGATCCCTCACAGCTGATCCCTTACAGATGATCCTATTAGCCAGTTTCTCTATCTTGGCTCTATCATTAGGTGGTAGGCTCCAGGCGCTCCCTTGGAATACAACTATTTTCTATTTTAAGCAGGCTTTTGAAAGTGCTTGTGGTAAAAAGCAACAAAAGTATTTATTTTTGCTGGAAAGGCAATCCAGTAAGATCTGCTCTTTCTTAGAAGAACATTTTAGCTGGAAGCAACAAATGAAGAGAACTTTATAAGGTTTAACATAGCAATGGATAGTATTGTCCCTCAGTCATTTATTTTTAAAGACAAAGTATCAATGAACAAATAATTTGATATATATTTGCATATTAAGAGCTAATATTTATCATTTCTCAGAAGGCTTAGTTAACTCTTGGCTTAGGACCAAACCTCCCATTGCAATCACATAAATTTGGCACCTGCACAATGAATATGGCCAAGTGGATTAGGTTATCATGAAAGAACCAGGAAAGCATTTTATTTTGTTAACATAAGGTTTCTACTGAGCTAAAACAAATACCAACTTCTTAGTAAAAAGCACTATTCAATGATAAGAATGCAGTTGTGAAAGCTGAATCTCTCATTAGAAGGCAAATGAAATAATGGTTAAGTTTTCTTAAAAATTTATCACCACAAATTGGAAGGAAAGTGGGCACATCTATTTCATAATCGTTCTGATAGAGTTTCAAAGTTTTTGAGAAACACATCATAATGTATAATTAAATGTGTCATGGGAATTGTGCCAGTTATGTAACTGAGATAATTGTGTCAGTATATTTTGTGTGTGGAGTGGGGTTGGGGGTGAATGTTAATGGTATGAGACATATCCCTGATATCTTTCTTGATTGCATACACAAAAGAGATGTATGTTTGAACCTTGCCTCTATCTTCTTCATTGTGAGTATCTCACTATCTGGCTTTTAAAGATTTTAAGTTGGAGCAATTAAAAATATAAAAGAGCTTCTAATGAACATGCATGCAAATCACTGAATTCATTAAGACACACAAAATTCCACTTGAAACAAAATTTCATTGAAATTGACCATCTTTATTTGCATCCCCAACTCACTATAATAGGAGCTATCAAATGGTTCATTGCTAACAGGAATATTTTAAATATTTCATACTTTTAGATGAAATACAGATAGAGTGTGAGAGAGTGATAAAATGATTGTGTGAGTAGGGGGTGAAGAATGTCAGAAAGAGAGGAAAATGAAGTCAACTCTTAATTACCTGGGCTAATGGAGTATAGATAAAACAATATGGCATACAATCAGCCAATCAACCTGAGAGTTTTTCTCATCACCACAAACATTTCTTACTCTCACAGGAAACTCGGGTCAGGAGAGAGGTGGGCCTAGGTTGCAATCAGGAGAAAGATTTCTAGGATAGCAGTCAGGAATCAGATTTTTTTTATTAGACCCCTTTAAATATTGCTCAATAAATTTTCTTCATTTAGTAGAAAAGAAAAATGCAATGGTTTCCTTCAACCTTACTCCCATAATACACTTAAATCTCTGTTCCATCCCTACCCATGTATAATAGAAAGGAAGGAAAGGGGCTAGCTGAGATGCTTGTTCTGTTTCATCCAATAGCAATATAGTTGCCACTACTGTCAGATTCCTTTAGTAAGACATTCAGAGGAATATAGGGAAAACACATAAAAGTGCCTATGGAATTTGAGCTTAAAAACGTAATTCTACCCACATAATTCTAAGTAACTCCATGAGAAAGAAAAGGGGGAAGAAATTACAGAAACCAATATAATGGCCTGGGAATCCTCTGGTAGATTCAGCTTTGAAACAAACTGTGGACAAGAGCAGATAACCAAAAAAGAAATACAAGAGAGCAGCATGAACCTATAGGAAAGGCATCACGAAGGCTGAAGCCAGAGATAGTCAAGAAGTACTTCATTTTATTTGGAGAAAGAAAATGAACTCACGTAGTAAACATTTATAAGTTATCTGTGTAGCTTTCTTGCCAATAGTATCCTGGTTTTCTTTTTTTGAATTCACTCTCATATATAAGTTTCATGTGGGAATGATACCATTTTCGATTCCCGAGATGGCCCTTGAATCACTTAACTCAATCAATTTATTCTTTTCTTCTAATCACCATGTTTACTTCAAGGATGGATATCTGACCCAGTTAGGGCCAATGAAAAAGTACAAATCCCAGGATCTATGTGGGAGCTATCAGACACTCCTTCTCTTAGATGAGTTGATGTAGAGACAATGTGATGTCTTGAACTATTCTAGCTATTTTTTCTACCTTAGTGGGAGAGTTGTGAAATTAAATGGAAGACCCTAAAAGACAGAGGGGAAGGAGAAAACAGAAAATGCATCCAGTGAGTCATTAGGCTACTCCTCTCCTCAGGCTGGAATTACCTGTGGCATTTTTTTATACGAGGTGATAAATATTCTTTATTATTAAAGACTGTTTGAATCGAGTTGAATTTTGCTGTCATTTGCAGCCAAAATATGCTTAACTTACAAGAAAATAGGAAAGATATTGAAAAATAAGCTGGGAACTGTATTTTGTGAGAAAGTTTTATTTTCGGAGTCCTGTTTTAATCCTCACAGCATCTCCAAGAGTACAAAGCATAGCAGTACATTTCAGCCGACCTAAAAACCTTAACCTCACAGAGGGTGTCTACTTGGGAAAGTGACCCTGCAAACAGAACTCCCATCAACTCATTCTGCAGGAATGTGTTTGGGGTGTCACCAGGAACTTGTACCTAATGAATAAAAAGGATTAGAGAAGACATAAGAATAAAAGAGAAAAAACAGTGGTAATGGCAAAGGAACTTCTTTAAGAATTTGGAAAAGTATCTTCACAATGATCAGTAGATATCTTGGTGGTAGAGCATCTTTATGGAGTTTTGAAGATCAGGGAAGCTTGACTCTCCAAAGGGAACTGATGCTTTTTCTTCTGATCTGTGAAGCCTTTTTTGAGGAGTAGTTTTATTTATTCTTCAACAACACTGAATGAAATTGTATCTTTTGTCTGTTTGTATCTTTTTCGTAATTACAATATTGTTCTGATTAAACAGTGCACGGTAGAATATTGTTAAATTCCACTTTATGGTAAGGAAACTGTATGTCAAAGAGGCTGAATAACTTGCCAAAGATCACACCATGTGTTAATGGTAGTTCCAGGGCCTGAAATTTTGACTCTGTATCTTTAAAGCCCATGTGTTTTCCGTAACATAATTTTGCTTCTATCTTCTCCTCAGGGAGAATAATTTTCAAACTGGGTAGGATAGATAAAGCATTTCTAAGAGGAAATTAAAATACTAAATAGAAGAGTAGACCAAGGAAGGACCTGGATATGCTAACTGAGTTTCAGACTTCCAGGCCCCATTGAATTCTATATTACATGGGCCAGACAAACTTGTAGATGACATGAACATTTGAGAACTTGTGGAACAGAGATAGTAAACATTGTTTTCCAAAGGGGGAAGCAGAAGATTCTGGAATTATAGACTGATGGTTTATAATCTCTGGCCCAGAATGCTTCTCCGAATTTCAGAGCTATATATCCTATGTCTATGACATTATAATTAAGGCTCATTTGGAGGCAATTAAGCAAATTTTTAATAAAATTGTTAAGTTTTTAGTAGCTAGTATCTGTGCCATGCCACATTTTTTATTAAAAGGAATGATAGATGTCAGCTAAGTGGCTAACTAGAGGTTACTGGTGCTCACGTCTTCCACACAAAAAACACAAAACAACAAACAATCAAAATTCAACTGTAATGTTTGAAAGAAAGCGCTGGAGTGCAGCAAGGGAGTGGCAAAATCCCTGTGGAGCACAGAAGCCCAGGATCACAGCATAGAGGGAAATGAGGCATCCTGCCTCTGCCACCCTGTCTCTCCCACTGAAATCAGCTCTAAGCCAAGAGGGACTTCCTTGCCCCTTGCAAGAAAAAGGTAAGCAGAAGATGCCACCCACAAGCCCTCATTGCCACTGCAGAAACTTGCAATTCTTACTACAGGGAAATCGCACAGTCCTCACAAGTCCAGAGTCCAGTTTGGGGAGTGGGGAGCTGCCTGGAATTCATATGGTTACATTACTCCAGGGTAGGAGCACACATTGTGCATTACCCGTTACCCTTGCAACCTTGCAACCCCTCCACCCCCAACCAGGACACACGCGGCTGCAGCAGTACACCATCTTGAAAGTGGAGCCGCTGCTAAAGTGCATTTGGCTCTAGGGACCAGTAACCATGGGACCTCTCCAAACTTGAGGCTCTACGTGGTCATTCCAATGCAGTCATTCCTGGTCATTCTGGGCTCATTCCAAGGAAGTCACATGGGTGACTGCAATGCCATGACCCCCACTTCTTGGAGCCTGGGCCTGGAAATGATATGACTCCAGTCCTGCACAGCATAGAAGGTAATTTCAGCCTGGCTGAACTGCCATGAATCCATGCCTCTGGCTAGAAACAACCCAGTAAATCTACCTCTGGTGATTTAGCCAGGTGTCCCCAGTCATAGAAACAACCTGGATGGCTTGCCCCTAGTTAAGTCAATCCCCAGTCTACTCACTCACCATGCACCCATACCCTTGGCCTGAGAGACAGTCTGGAGGCCCTGCCCTTGGTGGACCAATTTCCAAGCTGGCTGACCCCTTACTTGCATGCTGTGAGAACCAGCCTGGTGAGCCCACCCCTGGCAAGGCTGCACTGCCACCACTGAAAACTCCTGTAGCCTAGGCTACTTAGGAATTTGCAGACAGAGTTAAAGTAGATTATAGCTGAATAAACGGCAAAGAGGCTATACTAATGAATTCACTCAGCTACCCAACTGACACCCTAGGACTCATCTACATTTCCCACAAAGTCACTTCCTACAAAACTATTGCATAAAATTGGAAGAGGCAAACATTTCACCAGATGTGCAGGTATCAATGTAGGAACACAAGAAACATTAAAAAGCAAGGAAATATGATGCCTTAAAAAAAAACACAATAATTCTCCAGTAACAGACCCCAAAGTAAAGGAATTTATTAAATGCCGGGAGAGTAATTCAAAATAATGATTTCAAGGAAACTCAGTGAGATATAAGAGAATATAAATAGACAATTCAACAAAATCAGAAAAACAATTCATGATCTGAATGATTAATTCAATAGAGATAGATATCACAAAAAAGAACTTTACAGAAATCTTGGACATAAAGAATTCAATGAATGAAGTAAAAAATGCAACTGAGAGCTTAACTAACAGATTAGGTCAAACAGAAGAAAGAATTTCTAACCTTGAAGACAGGTCTTTTGAAATAACCCAGATAGATAAAACTAAAAAATAGATGAAAAATAAAAAGGAAGGAAGAGAGCCTACAGAACTTATGGGACATTATTAAGCAAACAATTTTTTTGCATTGTAGAAACTCCAGAAGGAGAAGAGATGGAATAAAGGATAGAAAACCTATTTAATAAAATGATAGCTAAACACTTTCCAAGTCTTGGAGATAAGAACATCCAGATCCAAGAAGCTCAAATGTCCCCAAATAGATTCAACCCAAAAAGGTGCTCTACAAGGCACATTGTAGTCAAACTGTGAGAAATGAAAGATAGAATTCTAAAAGCAGCAAGAGTATAGTGTCAAGTCACATTATAAGGGAATCTCCATTAGACTGACAGCATATTCCTTAGCAGAAACCTTACGGGCCAGGAAAGAATGAGATAATATATTCAAAGTACTGAAAAAAAAAAGTTGCCAGTCTAGAACAGTATACCCAGCAAAGCTATCCTTTAGAAATGAAGGTGAAATAAATTCTTTCCCAGACAAGAAAGAAACTGAGGAAATTAACCACCATTAGTTAGGTCTTACAAGAAATGCTTAAAGAAGTCCTATATCTGGAAGCAAGAGGACAATAATTATCATCATGAAAACATGCAAAAGTGTAACACTCACTGGCAGAGCAGATAACAAATGAGGAGAAAAAAATCAAATCTTTTTATTTCAGAAAACCACCAAACCACAAAGCAAACAAGTTAGGAAGAAAGGATCAAAGAATATACAAAACAACCAGAAAACAATGATCAAAATGCCAAAAGTAAGTACTCCCCTATTAATAATAACCTTGAATATAAATGAATTAAATTTCCCAATTTAAAGACATAGACTGGCTGAATTGATAAAAAAAAAATACAAGCCCCAACTATATCCTGCCTACAAGAAACTTACTTCACCTGTAAAGACACACATAGATTAATAGTAAAGGGATAGAAAAAAATATTTTATGCAAATTAAAACCTAAAGTAAGCAGGAGTAGCTATACTTAGGTCAGATAAAAAAGACTTTAAGACAAAAACTATTAAAAAAGACAAAGGTGGCTGGGTGTGGTGGCTCACGCCTGTAATCCCAGCATGTTGGGAGGTCGAGGCAGGTGGATCATGAGGTCAGGAGATCGAGACTATCCTGGCTTACATGGTGAAACCCCATCTCTACTAAAAATACAAAAAATTAGCCAGGTGTGGTGGCGGGCGCCTGTAATCCCAGCTACTTGGGAGGCTGAGGCAGGAGAATGGCGTGAACCCAGGAGGCAGAGCTTGCAGTGAGCCATGATTGCACCACTGCACTCCAGCCTGGGCAACAGAGCGAGACTCCATCTCAAAAAAAAAAAAAAAAAAAAAAAAAAAGACAAAGGCTATTGTAGAATGTTAAAGGGATCAATTCAGAAAGAGGATATAACAATTATAAATATATGTGCACTCAACACTGGAGCTCTCAGTATATAAAGCAAATATTATTAGATATAAAGAGAGAGCTAGACTCCAATACAATAGTTGGTGCCTTCAATATCCCATTCTTATCATTAGGCAGAGCGTCTGGAGAGAAAATCAACAAAGGAATGTTAGATTTAAACTGCACTACAGACCAAATGGACTTAACAGACATTTGTAGAACATTTCATCCAGCTGCAGAATGCACAATCTTTTCATCAGAACATGGAAAATTCCCCAGGATTGGCTATATGTTAGGATGTATTAGGACACAAAACAAGTCTCAACAAATTAAATACCATTGAAATTGTATCAAGCATCTTTTCTGGTCATAATGATATAAAACTAGAAATCAAAAACAAGGAATTTTGGAAGCAGTACAAATAAATGGAAATTAAATAAAATTCTCCTGAATGATCATTAGGTCAATAAAGAAATTAAGAAAAAAAAATTTTAATTATACTTTAAGTTTTAGGGTACATTGCACAATGTGCAGGTTTGTTACACATGTATACATGTGCCATGTTGGTGTGCTGCACCCATTAAATCATCATTTACATTAGGTATATCTCCTAATGCTATCCCTCCCCCCTCGCCCCACCTCACAACAGGCCCCGGTGTGTGATGTTCCCCTTCCTGTGTCCTCTGTTCTGTTCCATTGGTCTATATATCTGTTTTAGTACCAGTACCACGTGGTTTTGGTTACTGTATCTTTATAGTATAGTTTGAAGTCAGGTACTGTGATGCCTCCAGCTTTGTTCTTTTTGCTTAGAATTGTCCTGGCTATAAGGGCTCTTTTTTGGTTCCATATGGTAGTATTTTCTAATTCTCTGAAGAAAGTCAATGGTAGCTTGACGGTGATAGCATTGAATCTAAAAATTAGTTTGGGCCGTATGGCCATTTTAACAATATTGATTCTTCCTATCCATGAGCATGGAATGTTTTTCCATTTGCTTGTGTCCTTTCTTATTTCCTTGAGCAGTGGTTTGTAGTTCTCCTTGAAAAGGTCCTTCACATCCCTTGTAAGTTGTATTCGTTAAGTATTTTATTCTCTTTGTAGCAATTGTGAATGCGAGTTCACTCATGATTTGGCTCTCTGTTTGTCTATTATAGGTGCATAGGAATGCTTGTGATTTTTGCCATTGATTTTGTATCCTGAGACTTTGCTGAAGTTGCTTATAAGCTTCACGAGATTTTGGGCTGAGATGATGGGGGTTTTCTAAATATACAATCATGTCATCTGCAAATAGAGACAATTAGACTTCCTCTCTTCCTATCTGAATACCCTTTATTTCTTTCTCTTACCTGATTTCCCTGGCCAGAACTTCCAATACTATGTTGAATTGGAGTGGTGAGAGAGGGCATCCTTGTCTTGTGCCGGTTTTCAAAGGGAATGCTTCCAGCTTTTGCCCATTCAGTATGATATTGGCTGTAATAATGCCACACATCTACAACCATCTGATCGTTGGCAAACCTGGCAAAAACAAGCAGTGGGGAAAGGATTCCCTATTTAATAAATGGCGTTGGGAAAACTGGCTGGCCATATGCAGAAAACTGAAACTGGACCCCTTCCTTACACCTTATACAAAAATTAACTCAAGATGGATTAAAGACTTAAATGTAAGACCTAAAACCATAAAAACCCTAGAAGAAAACCTAGGCAATACCATTCAGGACATAGGCATGGGCAAAGACTTCATGACTAAAACACCAAAAGCAATGGCAACAAAAGCCAAAATTGACAAATGGGATCTAATCTAACTAAAGAGCTTCTGCACAGCAAAAGAAACTATCATCAGAGTGAACAGGCAACCTACGGAATGGGAAAAAATTTTTTGCAATCTATCTATCTGGCAAAGGGCTAATATCCAGAATCTACAAAGAACTTAAACCAATTTATAAGATAAAAACAACCCCATCAAAAACTGGGCAAAGGATATAAGCAGATACCCCTCAAAAAAGACATTTATGCAGCCAACAAACATATGAAAAAAAGCTCATCATCACTGGTCATTCGAGAAATGCAAATCAAAACCACAATGAGATACCATCTCATGTCAGTTAGAATGGCAATCATTAAAAAGTCAGAAAACAACAGGTGCTGGAGAGGATGTGGAGAAATAGGAATACTTTTACACTGTTGGTTGGAGTGTAAATTAGTTCAACCATTGTGGAAGACAGTGTGGTGATTCCTCAAGGATCTAGAACCAGAAATACCATTTGACCCAGAAATCCCATTACTGGGTATATACCTAAAGGATTATAAATCATTCTACTATAAAGACACATGCACACTTATGTTTATTTCCACACTGTTCACAAGAGCAAAGACTTGGAACCAACCCAGATGCCCATCAGTGATAGACTGGATCAAGAAAACATGGCACATATACATCATGGAATACTATGCAACCATAAAAAAGGATGAGTTCATGTCCTTTCCAGGGACATGGATGAAACTGGAAACCATCATTCTCAGCAAACTAACACTGGAACAGAAATCTAAACACTACATGTTCTCACTCATAGTGCGAGTTGAACAATGAGAACACAAGGACACAGGGAGGGGAACATCTCATACCAGGGCCTGTGGGTGGGTGGGGGGCTAGGGGAGGGATAGCATTAGGAGAAATGCCTAATGTAGATGACAGGTTGATGGGTGCAGCAAACCACCATGGCAAGTGTACACCTATGTAACAAAACTGCATGTTCTGCACATGTATCCCAGAACTTAAAGCATAATAAAAAAAAAAAGAAAAAAAAGGAAGTAATTTTTTTAAAAACAAGTCTTAAAAGAAATGAAAATGGAAACATGCCAAAAGCTATGGGATACAAGAAAAGGAGTGCTAAGAGAGAATTTCATAACAACAAATGGCTACATAAAAATTATAAATATTTCAAATAGACAACCTACAGATATACCTCAAGAAACTAGAAAAGCAAGAACAAAGCAAATCCAAAATTAGTAGAAGGATATAAAGATTAGAGCAGAAATAAATGAAATTGAGACTAAAAAACAACACAAAAGATTAACAAAACAAGAAATAACAAAAATAACCCTATAAATAAAATCAGAAATGAAAAAGGTTACCAAAGAAATACAAAGGATCATTAAAGACTATTGTGAACAATTATACACCAACAAATTGGGAAACCAGAAAAAAATGGATAAATTTTTAGACACAAAAAACCTACCAAGATTGAACCCAGAAGAAACAGAAAATCTGAACACACTAATAATGAGTCACCAGATTAAATCAGTAATTAAAAATCTCCCAAAAGCAACAACAAAAATCCCAGGACCAGATCACTTCACTACTGAATTCTATAAAATGTTTAAGGAGGAACAAATACCAATTATTCTTAAATTATTCCAAAAAATTCAAGAGGAAGAAATTCTTCTAGTCTTATTTTGTGAGGCCAATATTACCCTGATACCAAAACCGGACAAGGACAGTACAAAAGCAGAAAACTACACACCATTATCCTTGATGAACATAGAGGCAAATATTTTCAATAAAATATGAACACATCAAATTCAAATTCAACAGCACATCAAAAAATATTATACACCATATTTAAGTAGGATTTATCTCAGGAATGCCAAAATGGTTCAACATATACAAATCAATAAATGTGAAACGTCACATCAACACAATGAAGGACATAAACCATGTGATTATCTCAGTAGATGTAGGGTAAACATTTGATAAAATTCAACATCTCTTCATGATCAAAACTCTCAACAAATAGAGTATTGAAGGAACATACCTCAACACAATCAAGGACATATATGACAAACTCATAGCTAACATCATACTGAAGAACTGAAACAAGATAAGGATGCCCACTGTTATCACTCTTATTCAACTTCCTCTTGGAAGCCCTACCCAGAGAAGCTAGATAAGAGAAGGAAATGAAGAGCATCAAAATTGGAAAGGAAAAAGTCAAATTTTCCTAGTGTGCATATTACATGATCTTATATACAGAAAACCTTAAAAATGCCATCCAAAAACTCTCAGAATTGATAAAGAAATTCAGTAAAGTTGCAGCCTACAAAATCAATCTACAAAAGTCAGTAGTGTTCTTACACAGCAACAATGAACTATCTGAGAAAGAATTCCAGCAAGCAATCCCATATACAACAGCTAAAACAATACTGAGAAATGAATTTAACCAACTATGAATTTAATAGTTTTCTGAAGTAAAACTATACAAGATTGATATAAGAAATTAAAGGAGACACACACAAAAACATCAAAAGACATCCTGTGTTAATGGGTTGGAAGAATTAATACTGTTGAAATGACCATACTAGTAAAAGTGATCAACAGATTCAGTGCAATCTATATCAAAATGGCATTCTTCACATGAAACAAAAAATGCAATACTGAATTTGTATAGAACCACAAATTCCCTGAGTAGCTAAGGCAATCTTTAACAAAAAGAACTAAGTTGGAGGCATCATACTACCTGACTTCAAACTATACTATAAGGTAACAGTAACCAAAACAGCATGGGACTGCCATAAAAACAATCACATAGACCAATGAAACAAAATGAAGAAGCCAGAAATAAATTCACTTATTCATAGCCAATTGATTTTTGACAAAGATGCCAAGAACATTCATTGGGGAAAGGACTGTCTTTGCAATAAATGGTGCTGGGAAAACTGGATATCCATATGCAGAAGAATAAAAGTAGGTTCCTATTTCTTACCATATACAAAAATCAACTCAAAATGTATTCAAGACTTAAATATAAGATCCAAAACAATCAAACTACTAGAAGAAAACATTGGGGAAACCCTCCCAACATTGATATGGGCAAAGATTTTATGCATAAGACCTCAAAAGCACAGGCAACAAAACAAAAAATAGACAAATGAGATTATATCAAACATGAAAAGCTTCAGCACATCAAAGAAAACAATCAACAGAAGGAAGAGACAACCTGCAGAATGGGAAGAAATATTTGCAAACTACTTATATGACAAGATATTATTCCAATTAAAAATGGGCAAATAACCTGGATAGACATTTCTCAAAAGAAGACATACAAATGGGAAAAATGTACATGAAAAATGCTCAATGTCACTAATCATCAGGGAAATGCAAACCAAAACCACAATGAGATGACATCTCAGCCCAGTTAGAACGGCATTGAACAAATGATGAAAAACAAAAACAAAAACAAAAAACAAAAACAGAAAGCAAATGTTGGTGAAGATGTACAGAAAGGGGAACTCTTACACCATGAGTGGGAATGTAATTAGTATAGCCAATACAGAAAACAATATGGTTGTTTCTCAAACAAATAAAAATAGAACTACCATATGATCCAGCAATCCTCCTACAGGATATATATACACAAAGGAAAGGAAATCAGTATGTTGAAGAGACATCTGGAGTCCTATGTTATTGTAGCACTGTTGACAATAGCCAAGCTATGGAATCAATCTAAGTGTTCATTGACAGATGAATGAATGAAAAAAAATGTGGTATATATACACAATGTAATAGTATTCAGCCATAAAAAAGAATAAAATCCTGTCATTTGTAACAACATGGATTATCCTGGATGACACAATGCTAAGTGAAATAAGCCAGGCTTTGAAAGATAAATATCACATGTTTTTACTGACATGTAGTAGCTAAACAAGTTGATCTCATGGAAGTAGAGTGTAGAAGAGTGGTCACAGAGGCTGGGAGGTGTAGGAGGGAGGAGAGAATAAGTAGAGTTTGGTTAGCAGATACCAAATACAATTAGATAGGAGGACTAAGTTCTAATGTTCTATACTACTGTAGGGTGACTACAGCTAACAATTTATTGTATATTTTTGATAGCTAGAAGAGAGAATTTTGAATGTTCTCAACACAAAGAGATAATAAATGTTTGAGGTGATGGATATGCTACTTATCATGACTTTGTCATTACCTCTTGCACACATGCATCAAGATATCACACATGTATGATTATTATGTGCCACTTAAAAATAATTTAAAAATAAATTGTATTAGGGTTCTCCAGAGAGATAAAAAGAGATAAATATTTATTACAAGGAGTTGGCTCACATGATTATGGAGGCTGACAAGTCCCAAAAACTGCAGTCAGCAAACCAGAGACCCAGGAGAGCTAGTGGTGTAGTCTCAGCCCAGAAGTTGGCAGTTTGTGCCTAAGGAAGAGCTGATGTTTCAGTTTGAGTCTAAAAGCAGGAAAAACTGACTACTCAGCTCAAAGACAGCTAGCCAGAATAAATCTCTTTTGACTCAGCCTTCTTGCTTTATTTGGGCTTTCAACTGATTGGATGAGGCCCATCCAGATTAGGGAGGGCAATATGCTTTACTTTGTATACCAATTCAAATGTTGATCTCATCCAGAAAAACTCTCATTGACAAATCCAGATATTTGATTAAATATCTGGATGCCTCATAGTCATTCAAGTTGACACAGAGTTAACCACCGTAAAAATATTTATCACATTTGAGGATGCAACAATGATGGAAGAAATAGCTTTACCTTTTACATTATTCCAACATAATAATCAGTGTTCAATGTAATTTTGAGACAAGTCTGGGTAAAAATTGCTGAGGAAGTAGATTTACAGAATGACTCCTTCCTAGTACTGAATGAAATAAATTAAAAAGAAGAAACAAATATACAAAATCCAAACAAATGAATATTAAAACAGTAAAAAAGGCATAAGCAGCAACAAAACAAGAGGACAAATTTCCTGTTATAAAACTTAAAAGTGGTGGCCAAGGAAAGAAACCAATCATTCTATTGCAACACAGGGTAGGTCCTAGCCCTACTCTCACAAGCAAAAGTGAGGGAAAGAAAGAGTTGATAATATTCGGAGAAACTTTACCAAAGCCCTCAAATAAGAAGAGAAACAAACCGAGGAATGATTGGAATAGAGAAGAGGAAAATTTTCCCTATAGCAGATGTGTCCAAATACAACCACCAGGTCTTGGCATAAGCAACAGGGGTACTAGGGCATCATGAAATTCACAAAACTGGAGAATTAGGGCAAGGAGATTATGGAAGTGGAATATGCCCTTAGATGAGTGAAGACAGCCCTAATGTAGGTATCCTAATGGGATCTCCAGCCAGCTCTTCCACCTCCCATGTTCACCATACATGATATAGAAAGCCAAAGAGAAAACAACATCAAATTCAGAGACTATATCAGGTGCCTGACAGAGTTGAAAGATGTTAAGGATGATTCACCCTCTCTATATCAGAGCCATGAAACAGAGCTGCTAATGTTAAATATGTGGTATACTGAAGCTATAAAAGTTGAAAGGAAGGAACATAGCATACACAATCCAATTAAAAATATAAATTGGGAAAAATATTATCTAGGGAATAGAAGAACATTCTCCATTGATATTTAATACTGGAAATGTATTTAATTAGAATATGAATTTAATAAAACAAAAGCAATATAAACAGCCTAATAGGATGAAAAGGGGGTTGCAGAGCTAAGAAAACAAGTTGAGATAAAACCAACATGGCTACTTATGGAAATGGAAAAGGAATAAATTGCAAGAAGTAAGAAACAGAACAGACACAACTGAAAACAAAAAGATGTCAAGGAGAGAGGAATTGAGACAATCCTGGAGAATTCAAAGGTGAAAGGCTACAAATACACTATTCAAGAGTCAATATTCCTATTGAGGACAAAGATCATCCAACATAATCTTAATTGTTATCTTTTACATACAGAATCAAAGAGATAACTAAAATTTTTCAGAGAGATAGTTTAAGAAAATGAAGAAACATTTGGATGTGCACATTGAGTGACTTCCTGTATATCATGAAATGTTTTATACTGAATGATCAATGTTGAAGCATATTCTCGTAAAGCTACCGAAATTTAAGGTTAAAAATTTAGGCATTTATAGCAAAAATCAAATACAAACGGGGAAAATCAGTTTGTCTTCAATTTTCTACACAGCGGTATTCAGTACCAAAAATGCTGATCTCTGAGTGAAGGTGTGGGAGACCTGAGAATGTTGTACTCAGCTAAGCTGCTGGTCTAGCAAGAAAGCCACAGGAAGAAATTTTCAAGCATAAAAGAACTTGGGAACATAATATCCATGAGTTTCTCTTAAAAAAATTTTTTACAATGATGTTATCTATCCCAACAGTCCCCAGCCTTTTTGATACCAAGAATTAGTTTCATGCAAGACAATTTTTCCACCAGGGGATCGAGGGATGGTTTTTGGGATGAAACTATTCCACCTCAGATCATCAGGCATTAGATTCTCATAAGGAGTGCACAACCTAGATCCCTTGCAGGTGCAGTTCACAATAGGTTTCGTGCTTCTGTGAGAATCTATTGCCACCACTGATCTGACAGGAGGTGGAGCTCAGGCAGTAATGCTCCTTTGTGTACTACTCACCTCCTGCTGTGTGGTACACTTCCTAATGGGCCACACAGGCCATGGACTAATTCAGTCCGTGGCCTGAGGGTTGGAGACCCCTGATCTATCTCGTGGAATGAAGACTCAAAACAAGGAATTTGAGAATGTAGACAAAGTGGTAATATTACAAGGGAGCCATTACGTTGGAGCCATTGAAAATCAGATGGTAGAGAAGGATGGTGTGGAATAAGTGGAAGAGTTAGCCTATCTTTCATGGTATGAACTTGGTTAAAATAAAAGCATAATGATTTCAATTCTTAGTGGTTTTACATTATCTACTTTAAAAAATAGACTTTAATTTCTAGATCAGTTTTAGGTTCAAAGCAAAATCGAATGGAAAATACAGAGAGTTCCTACATACCTCTTGCCCCCCTTCACATGTACAACCTCCTCCAGTATCAACATCCTGCACTACAGTGATACATTCAATGAACCCACATTGAAATATCATCACCCAAAGTTCATAGTTTATATTAGGGATCATTTCTGGTGGTATATATTTTATGAATTTGGACAAATGAATAATGTATACGCCATTGTAATATCATGCAGAGTTGTTTCGTTGTCCTAAAATTCCCCTGTGCTCTACCTATTTGTCCCTTTCTCTCCCTCAACTGCTGGCAACCATAGTGTCTTCATAGTTTTGCCTTTTCCAGAATGTCATATAGTTGGGGTCATATACTATGTAGCTTTTACACTTTGGTTTCTTTCACTTAGTAATACGCATTTAAGGTTTCTCCATGTCTTTATGCCAAGGTTATTCATTTTAATGCTGAATAATATTTCATTGTCTGGATGCACCACAATTTATTTCTCCATTCACTGACTGAGGACATCTCGGTTTCTTCTAAGTTTTGGCATTTGTCAATACAGTTGCTATAAACATTTGTGTGCAGATGTTTGTGTGGGCATAAGTTTTCAACTCTTTTGGGTAAATACCAAGGAGCATCATTACTGGATCACATGGTAAGAATATGTTTAGTTTTGTAAGAAAATGTCAAGCTGTCTTTCAAAGTGGTTGTACCGTTTTGCATTTCCACCAGCAATGAATGAAAAGTTCCTGTTGTTCCACATTCCCACCAGCATTTGGTGTTGTCAGTGTTTTGGATTTTAGCAATTCTAATAGGTGGGCAGTCGTATTTCATGGTTGTTTAATCTATAATTCCCTAATGACATATGGTGTTGAACATCTTTTCATATTCATATTTGTCAACTGTGTATCTTCTTTGATGAGGTGTCTGTTCAGGTCTTTTGCCCACTTTTTAACCGGGTTTTTCCTTTTCTAATGGATCTAAGAAGAGCGTTTGATTTTTCAGTTTGTTCCACTTTTTACTTGTTACGATGAAGTGGCAATTTCTAACCTCCTTACATGCTGGATTGGAAGCTGAAAGTTTACAATCTGCTTTTTAAGGTTGAGCAATAGCATAGAATTAATATCTGTTGTGGAAAATATCCACTTATCTGAACGTCATCAGTTTCTTCTGTTGTACTATATTTCTTTCTGTTAAAGTAATATTAAATTATATATTTCTTAAAAATGAAACTATGTTTAATGTTAACTTTTTGTAAATTTTTTCTTGTCGGTTAGAGAAATAATTTTTCTTTCTATTTCAATTTGTAAGTGAAAATGTGTGTGAATAATGTCTGTGTCTCTGAGGGTGGCATTGTCAGTGAGTTCTTGCTTTCTTTTTTTCGATATTGTTTATTTTTAAAAATTATGTGTGTATAGATCTTATATAAACAATCAATGCCTTTCCAGAGAAATACCTCAATGTGCTAGATCTGTGGGCCCCTGGGATGTAGGGTCACAAGAACATCTGTAAATTTCTGCTTTCAGTTCTAAAGAATGAGTTAGCTTATAAATGGCACTCTCAAGACTAAATTAAGGTTTTTGTTTCCATGTTCGATGTTAGCTTTTGTCCAGAACATGCGACCTGCAAAGGCCCTTGCAAAGTCCCTGACTAGAGTCCTGAAGCTCCCTTAAGGCAGAAACAGATTTAGATGTATGATTTTATTCTTTCTCAAAATTACAAGTATTATAAGTAATACTATTATTGCAAAACTATACTTTTATTTCAAACATGTAGAAAAGAATAAAAATAATATAATGAATGTCCACAAATGAGCCACTTATAAATCTTAGCATTTTGCCTCATTTGCTTTGGATCTTCTTTTCTTAAAAAAATTGTACACATTATGGATGACAGTGCAGACTCTTGTGAGCCCCTCCCTGAAGCCATTCCCCTATCCTGCTTTCCGGAAGTAGATCCTGTTAATTGCACCTCAACTAAATTTTGGTAGAAATCACATCCATATAGTGGCTTAGTGGTTTCTTGAACTTTCTAGAATACATTGAAATTGTTTGATTCCTTCCATTCCTAGTAAAAAAGTGTTTTGCCTATCCAATATAGCTGTGGTTTGTGACATATGGCAGTATCTGTTGTAAACACTGAAAATACTAGACAGATTAATACTTGAGTCCAACCTTGAAAAACTCCAATGTTTTCATTAAAATTCAAAATTCCCCATTAAGTATTAATAACATTCATTCCTGTTTTGCAGTAAGCATCAAAACAATGAATTTCATTTGAGGAGGAAAGGGAGCTAGAACCTGTTCACTGGTTTTAACTGTCCTGTAGAACTATATCACTTTAGTTTTGAACAAAGAAATCCCATTCATAGAAATAAATCAGGTGGTAACATCTGTCTTGATGTATCATATACGAAAAACAAAACTGTGTAGAAATGATGGTTTTATGGACACTCAAGGCACTAGGCCAGAAGTGACTCCAAAAAGTTACAAATTTGTCTTCAGTTTAGAACAGCCTCATCTCACTCTTCACAATTTACCAATTGCTTTTAAACCAAGGAGGCCTAAAGGATTTTGAGAATCATGCAAATATGATAGAATCAAATAATCAATAATCTGCCTTTCCTTGATTAGAATCCACTGGTGCCAGTTAAAATTTACAGTTGAATGTTCAAGAGAGTACTTTGAAAGATGAAGCTCTCTTCATGGTCTGAAACAACCTCTGACCAAAAGGCATTAAGTTGAGTGAAAGAAATTTATCAGATGCTCTCAAAAATGAGCGACCAGAGGGAGGCCGAATGAAATGCAAAGTGCCAGCCATCATGACATGGAGAAAATGAGCAAGAGCCTGACTCTCCCTGAAGAAAGATCAGGAATATAGAGGGAGAAAATGCCAAGTTTCTGAGTACAGGGGACTGGCTTGTAGCTAAACCATAGAAAGAAGATGAATAATATGAGCTGTGTAACTTGTATTTATATGCTGTCGTCCTCTGAGAAGTTCATAGTACTTTATGGATAACATCTAATTAAACTTTACAACATGCCTGGAAGTGAGGAATCAAGTGTTATTGTCCCTGTTTTACAGATAGGAAACCATGCTATCTGAGACTTGGCTCACCTTGTTAGTGGCACATTAGAAAGGGGGCTTTAAATCTGTCTTCTATATCAATGCTGCATCCATTATCTTTTCTTCCTGAAAACATCTAGAATTTTCATGTGTTGTAAGAAGAAATCAGATGAATCATTATTTCTGTTTACTGAATACTCTCCCCACAAATTGACGGCTTCCCTTTCCACCTAGGAAACACTCTCATTCTGAAAATAGCCATGCGATGTAGGAAAAGAATTCTCATCTCACAGAGGAAAAGTTGAGGCTCGGAGAATGAGAAAGCATTCACCTTTACCCAGTAAGTGGCAGGGCCAGGATATAAGCCAGCTCTTTTCTACTGTAAAACTCATGCTGTCTTAATATGAAATAGGATGAGATTTCTTAATATGAAATAGGATGAGATTTCTACCCTCTATGCCCTAAGTTTGGAAACATTGAGGTGGGCTAAAATGCATGGATTAAGCATCCTCTTTAACATCCTTAGCAAGTGCTTCATGATTTGGCCTTTGGATATCTCTTCTACCACATCTCTGAATACTTCCTACCTCCCACTCCAGCAAAACGGGGTGACTTTCAGTTTTCTATTGCACCTCGCAGTGTAGCCTCCACACCCTAAAACTTGAATTTTCTTTTCTCTTCAATACTCCACTAACCCTTTAATTGACTGAATTCCTCACTATCCCCAGGTCTCAGCTTAGGAGTCACTTCTTGGAAACAGTCTCTGATTCCCTCAGATTAGGCTAGGGGCCCTTCTCATATTTTCATAAAGCTTTGGACTGTTACCATTGCAGTACTTTCTACTATGTATTGTAATTCCTTTTTACTTATGAACTCCACATCAGAATGACCATTTCTAATTGGTTCACAGCTGAAACCTCAGCACGTCACCATCATTTCTGGCATCAGTAGGTGTCTAAAAAATTGCACTAAATGAATGAATCCTGAGTCTTAAATTATTTACATTATCCATCCCCCAGTCCAATCTGCCCTGGATTCTCACCTTTCTGGGAACCAACTGGCTTTGACATCCTTCTCTCGGTGAACCCAAGAAGTTTGGAGACAGTCTTAGCTTCTCCATCCTAAAAAATAGAGACTCTAGTTTTCCCTGCAGAGTTATCAGGTATTCACAGAAAGGCTAGGCTGTCTGTGGGGTCCCTTGTGCCTGGGATTTTTGGATGCCTTATTAGGCCCCTGGCACTCCCCACCTCTGGTCACCCCAACTCTGGACATTAATTGAGCCTGCTCAGCCCCACCACTTGGGTTGTCTTAATGACTCCCAATAAGCATAATCCACAGTCTTCTTTTATTCGTTTTCAGGGATTCCCTCATATAATTCATGGTGAATTGGACTCTCAACCTCTCTGCTGTGCTGTTCATTGCACCCCACCTCATCAGATTGACTGAAGACCTCTGTGTTACCTGGGATGGTGGAAATTTATCTCCCATTTTACTCCCTCTCCCCACTCCACCCTCATTCCAAAGCTGTTTTTTTCTGCCCTAAATTTACCCCTTCTTCTGACTGATTTTGTACAAAAGACTCTTACTGTGAAATCTTTCTCTCACTAAAAATGCCAACAACCACCAGCCACTTTCCCTTCCTCCCCAGTACACCCTTTAGCTGGTTCTTCTCTGTTCTTGGCACCTCCTAGAGGGAGGTTAATGTAGCCTGAATCTGGGAGTCAAGACCAACAGCTTCTTTTGAATAAACAGCCCGAACATACACACGCATACATAGTGGTGTACACACACATACATAGTGGTGTATACACACATACACAGACACACATACACAGACACACACACACATATAGACACACATGTAAACACACACACACACATATATACGTGTGGTAACATAGCTTTTAAAATATATATATGGGTATATATATATATAAAACCATATATATATATACACACATAACCATGCATATGTATATCTAGTTTTAATATACATACTTTTTTTTTTGGTGAAGTCCAGGATGCAGAGAACAGACTGAACAATGAATCATTATCCCCTTTCTTGACTGCTTTGAATGTCATTTTCTAGTAATCAGAACAGCCGAAGCCAACTAACATTTTCATTTGAGGGAAAAGAAAATCTCCAAGAACTCAGCAGTCATGGTCTTAATAAAGTATATTTAACAACATGTAGTTTTTACACAGTTGTATTAGAATTATTCATAAGGGTAGAAAGGCTACAAAAGCAGCAGTGAAAGGAAATGAATATTTTAAAAGAAGCTTTCCCCAACATATAAAGTAAAATCATGAATGCTAAAACATTTTATTGTCTTTTTAAAATTTTAGAGATGGCATTATCTCCTTTTCATAAGTGTATTAATCTATCCCTTCAACAGTAATTTACTTAGTTCCTACTATGTGTTTGGAATATCTTTAATGCTACATAAATATCAAATCCTTTAAAAAGTAAGTGAATCCAAATATTTATAAAGCTCTTCTTTGAAGAACCAAATTTTTATCCAAATTGTCAAATGGCTACAAGTTATGCTGCCTTTATATTTCTATGCAACACATCTAAAGAGTCTCTGTTGCCCAAATGGTCACTTTTTCCCCAATCATCTACCGCATTCTCATCTTCCTCTTTCATTACTTATCACACCACTGCAGGACGCTAACACATGTATTGAAGGATTTCTTTTGATGTCAGAAATAATTTCTCTATCAGGTAGGATGGAGTGAAGACGCAAGTATTCTTCCCACATATGGGAGAGAGGACTCCTCTTAAACAATCTAGGAACCGATAATAATCAAAAGCTCCTAACAGAAGCACAAACAGGCTTCAAAACTGCCCTGTGTGAAATTTCAGGCTTCTGCAAACAGGAGTTGAGTTTTGTGTTGCAAATGCTGAAACATTAAGAAAAGAACTCACAATTAGACCACCTCTGCAGAGCCCAGAGAGAGACAGGAGGATGGCTTTTCTTCCACATTTGATTTGTTGGAAACCAAATCCAAGGAGATTTTATAGCCTTTTAGAACTCATAAGCCCTTTCATTTTATCTCTGTTTTATAGCCCTCCTCACTGAGACCATAATGCACAGGGGAGATCTGCCAAGACTCCTGAACTCATCTATTCCATTTGTGTCTGTTGACAGGAATCCATCCCATTGTCAGCTGCCACTTCTTCTGCACAAAGGAGGAGTCCATGACTTCAGAATATCAGATAGGATAAGGAGATGATAACAGATTTCAGATCCAGAAAGACCTGGGGTCAAACTGACATAGCGTTTACTTACCACAGATGACATAATTTTTATGAGACTTAGTATTCTCTTATGCAAGATGGGGAAATAATTATGTGCATCTCACAGATTGCTATGGGGACTGAGGGAGGCCACACACGCTCTTTGTTCAAAACTTGTCAGCTGTATGCCTTTGCATTGGTTTCTGTAAAATGGAGCTAATGATAGTATCTATTTCACAGAGTTATTGGGATTATTAAATGAGTTATTTTATATAAAGTACTTAGAAGAACACTGGGTACATAATAGACCCCCATGAATATTATTCTCATTATGAGTGGTAGCAGCATATCTGAAGTCTCTAACACAGGGTCTGCCACATGTGGGTTGTCAGCATATATTACTATCACCCTACTTCTCCTTTATTTTGGGTAAGGGCTTTTATTTGGTGAAAGTTTTCTTGTTTCTAAAATTACATAGTGCCTAGCACATTGCAGACCTTTTGCTATTTTGCTATGTCTCTACAAGGTGACCTGACTGATTTGGAAAGATGAGTGAGCTCCGATTTTGTCTATGGCACCTGCACCTCATTGAACTCAGTTCATCTGAGTCAGAACCTTCATTAACCCTCAAAGTATTCAAGCATCCCATTTTGCTCTGACTCAGTAACTAACTGTGGTTTTTGCTATTTGTGGGCTGTTGACAGCAGACTGGACTTTCACACGAACTATCAAGACGATCTGTACCTCTATCAGTGGGGCCACAAGTAATGAATGTCTAAAGTTACCTCCCTAAGCTCTGTCAAAATGGCCAAAATGCTCCTCATTGGAGACACAGCACTGAGTTAACAAGAAAATACTGTAGCTGAAGTAGGATAGACAGTGAGGGCTCATCAACATGGCAATTTTTGGCCAAGGTCCTTTCTTAGAGAGAATGACTGTCTCTTGGCCCCTAAATAATGGAACACAGGACAACTCAACTTTGATAGAAAGGAGAGATCCACGTATCCATCAGGAAGGGTGGACTTAGGTGGAACTGAATCACTAGAGGGGGCCATAGGAGCATGAAGGGCCCATTGGCAACACCAAAGACAGGCAGGGAGACATCACCAAAGCCAACTCTGTAGCCCCTCTGCACCTCAGTTTGGCCCTGTCAGCCATATGAATCACAGGCAGCATTTATTCAGTTGGGCTTGGCTGACATGCAGTTCTGCATCCCAGTCTCAGCAGAAAATTTGGCTGGTCTTGATCAACTCAGATCCTCTCTCCTCCTGGTTTTGCCCTCTGTGCTTCTCTGCTGGCTCCTCAACAGTTTTTATAAATCCTAGGGTTAGATATCTTGGAAAGAGGCCAGGAAAAGCAAAATCAAGAAAGAAAATGAGGCTCCCTGAGTAGGCCCAGATTTGCTGAGTTTCACCATTTCCTTCCATCCCTTCTATCTTTGTGAGTCTGAATGTTAGAAAGTCTACTTGGGCCAGACTTCAGCATAGGCAGGGTAGGCGGCTGTCTGATATTCAACTTCTATGTTCTGCTTACATGGATTGAGCTTTGCCCACGGCAGGCACTGGGTGATGGGCTTTCACAAACCTCACTTTGTTTCATCCCCACAACAGACCCGAGGATGGCAGGAAATAAAGTGACTTCCCTAAGGTTTCATTGATAGTATAAGTGGAGGTCCCAGATCTGCCTGACCAAAAGGTCTTGATCGGTCTTTTAAAGTTGCAGATGAGGTTGTTTCCTGGGTATGGGGAGTGAATCTTGGTGAGAAACTGAGGGTTTTAAGAACGTGAAAAAAATTGGAAAAATTGTTATGGGAGTTGTAATATACTGAAATGAGACGTTCAACAATGAAGGCTTGGTTGGAGACAGGGGGCAGAGTTTCTGCTCAATAGGAGTGGAGAAATTAGTTGGGCTGAGACTAAAGATTGAGGATTTGTACAGAAACAAGATGTATGGTCTGAATGGCATCCCCCCAAATTTATATGTTGAAGCCCTAACCCTCAATGTGACTATTCAGAGATAGGATCTATAAGAAGGTAATTAAGGTTAAACAAGGTCATAGGGTGCTGCCCTAACCCAACAGGACTGGTGTCCAGAAGAAGAAGAGACACGGCCGGGCGCAGTGGCTCATGCCTGTAATCCCAGCACTTTGGGAGGTCGAGGCGGGCAGATCACGAGGTCAGGAGTTCGAGACCAGCCTGGCCAGCATGGTGAAACTCTGTCTCTACTAAAGATACAAAAAGTTAGCTGGGTGTGGTGGCATGCTCCTATAATCCCAGCTACTTGAGAGGCTGGGGCAGGAGAATTACTTGAACCTGGGAGGCGGAGGTTGCAGTGAGCCAAGATCACCCCATGGTACTCCAGCTTGGGCAACAAGACCAAAACTCTGTCTCTCTAAAAAAAAAAAAAAAAAAAAAAAAAAAAAAAAAAAAGGAAGAGACACTGGAGTTCTTGCTGCACCACATGACGACACAGGGAGAAGGCAGCAATCTGCAAGCCAGCAAGGGAGTGCTTGCTGGAAATGGAATCAGCTGGCACCTTGATCTTGGACTTCTCAGTTACCCTAACTGTGAGAAATTAATTTCTGCTGTTTAAACCATCCAGTCTGTGGTATTTTGTATAGAAACCCAAGCAAACTAAGACACATAAGGTCAAGGTGGGTTTTGTAAGCAAAGCAGTCAGGTAATTTTCAAGGAATTGGATGTTCTTTAAATATGTGAGAATGAACAAGACAGAAGTTGAGAAAGTAGTGGTTAGAGAGGTCTAGAGAATTTTGAGTGGATCATGGATTCCAGGTGTGGCTTTACCAGTGAGTAGCTTCAGTGGCATAGTAAGTGGAGTTGAGGAGGATGACGAACTGGGAATTGAGAATGTCAGCTGAATTGGCAACACAGATATATTGAGGTTGCTGAGAATAATGAGAGAAGAGGAAAAATAAGTCAGAAACTAAAGACGTCACCTCATATTTCTATCATACATTTCGCTAGCTCTAAGAAATGCATCATACATTATTTTCCTCAAGAAAGGGTCTTGTGGAGGAAGCATATAGTAACTTCTTTAATTTTGGGATTCTACACGCCCATTATTTAGACAACCACAACCAAATGTATTCCCATCCTATAAGATTGCTGTCATTTTCCATGTGTCTGAGGGAAACAAAAGGTGGCATTGTTTCAATGACCACTTTGGGGGGTGTACCTAAAGTCTTAGTTAACTATTGATGTTATAAACTAAAAATGTAATGCTTACTCATCTATTATAAGTGAAAGCTGCTCACTAATATCTTATATTTTTGAGGTTTAGGGTTAATGAATAGGGTATTTTCTTTTTCTTTTTTCCCTCTTACCAGGAACCACGTGGCCCTTGTCTCCCTTATTATAATTCAACTACGGATTTGTAGTCACTCACTTAAACAGCATGCAGATTTATATTTGTAGTATATTCATAATTATTTTTAAAAATCTATGCATAAATACTAGAAGGAGTTACATAAAAATATTAACAGGGTGGGTGGGGATGGTGAACTATTATGCTTTAGTCTTCTTTAATACTTTTCAGTTCTAGTTTTACCTTTTTTTATAATGGAAATGTGTTATTTTTATGAAAAAGCAAACCAACAACATTATACATAATATATACTGACTATGCAAATAAATAATTTTTTATCCACCCAGATTCTTTATGTCTTGTAAATGATACTATCATGAATTAAGATATTGCTCAAAGAAGAGGAATTGGAACCTGTTTTGAGCACCTGCTGGATTAATAACTGCTTCTTCCGGGCAAGATTGCCTACATGCAGAGTAGCCAATAAATCTCTTGTCACCTGGTGTACAGTGCCTCATTCAGAAAGAGAAATGACATACGTTTGCAAGCAGATGAACTACCAGAGATATGGACATCTCACACAAAGATAATGCATCATCTCCCTCAATTAGGTACTGGCTCAAATCTGCCAGTTTAGGTAATTAGTACTACATCTCAAATAATGTTCCCTGGTATTGTAGGTTAAATTGTGTGCCCCTCACAAAATGATAAGTCGAAGTCCTGCAAATGTAATCTTGTTATCTCTACAGATATAATCAAGTTCAGATGAGGTCATTAATATGAGTCATAATTCAATATGGTTGATATCTTTATTAGAAGAAGAGAAGAGACAAAAAGACAGAGATACATGAGGAGAGAAGGCCCTGTGTGAAAGAGACAGAAATCGAAGTTCTGGAGCTGCAAGCCAAGGAATGCCAAGGACCACTGGCAGACTACCATAGGCTAGGAAGAGGCCAAGAAGGCTTCCCTCCTGCAGGTTTCAGAGGGAGAATAGCCCTGACACCCCCATGATTCTGGACTTCTCCCCTCTAGAACTGTGAGGCAATGAATTTCTTTTGTTTTAAGCCATGCTGTTTGTGGTGCTTTGTTATGGCAGCCCTAGGAAATGAATGCCCTGTAAAATTACAATTGCTTATTTAGGTCAACAGACATTTATTTAATAAACATTATCTTACATCTCTGTTCAAAACTTTGATGCGTGAAAAGGTATTCATGTGAGCTGGGAGCCTACTGTAGATATTACTAGAGTTGCTTCAAGTTTCTACATAGAGTTAAATATTCAATGTGAAATGGGGTGAATACAAACTCTGGGTACAGAGGGCTGTCAAACAGGGTGAGGCACCAAAAGGAAGAAAACTTCCAAATTAAAATCAAACTTTCTAAATTAAGATCATGTGGCCATGCTATATGGATGGACAAGGTCGAATTCATAGCAAAAGGAAACTAAAATAGTCTCAGGAAGCACCTCAGGAGGAAGGTTTGTTCACAGACAGCTGTTGTGGTGGCAAAGGATTTCCCATTTCCACCGGACCAAGATGGCAACCAGGTTCCATATTCAGCATCATCCCATAACAAAGGCTAGTTGCTGCCAGGAGCACTATGTGGAGTGGCATTGGATGGCTGATTTTAGGGACAGAAGGAAAGAGTGCTGGAAATGATTATCAATGTTTGCCATGGATATAGTTGATATAGTTGGGGGAAATGGTGATAACAGAGCTACAATATATTTAAACTCTGTTGTGAGTTACTACAGTGGTGCAATGATCACAGGCCACTGTCATACACAACTTAATCACACTTCTGAGCTCCTGGCAGGACTTGAAACCATTCAAGCCTGGGGCCTTTTTACAATAATAATATAGTAAGTAAGAGAAATAATTAAACACCATTTTTTGAGTATGCTAAAGGAAATGAAGAATTTAAAGATAATTCCTAAGGGCTTCCTTGACATTTAAGTTTATTTAGCTTCTTCTCATTTCTCATTTTTTTTAAAAATGAAAGGTGATAGACTAGTGTTAATAATTGTTGGCATTTTCTGTTGCAATAACTATGTTTTTTTGTTGTTGCTGTTTTTTGTTTTTGTTTTTGTCCTTGTTTTTTTTTCAGTAACAACCATGTAGAATGAAAATGCTTGCTCAATCATTCTGGATGTAGGTAACCATCGTTATGGGACCCCAGAGTATTTGGAGTGAAAGGCTGTGGCTTGCTCACCATTGATACCTGATGGGTATAATGGTCTACATTTTGATTATGACACTGAGAAGGAAGATAGAATACAACAATCTCTTGACTGGGGACTTGTAAATCTAAGCTCAAATATGGAAGACTGTAGTGAGAATGAATTCCAAAATGCCAACTCAGTTGGGGTTAAAGAAGAGGCTTACAGATCATAGGTCAGCATGCAGGTACACAGTCACCCATTTCTTGGATCCTGCACAGAGGCATGTTTGCACTGGCACCTGGTGGAGGCTCTGTGCTTGTGCTCCAGGGCTGGGACACTTTCTGAGCCTCCTCCACTCCATTGTCCTCTTTTTTAATGGGTCAAGCTTGAGAGCGGCTTTTTTCAGGGGAATCAAAAAGACTCTTTGGATGCCGCACAGACTAAGCTTAAGTGCAGGTATTTGTAGTAATGGGTGGAAAAAGCTGGTTACCCAATCCATGGAGGTCTTGAGAGGTGTGTAGAGTTTCAATCCTTCCTACTTCAGGGAAGACATCCTTCGTCCAAAACAGTTATTTGTCAGGAAACCCAGAAAGCACCTGGGGACATTTTGGAAAAGGTTTTAGTAGATTATATTTCTGTTGAAAGATAGAAGCTCTTATCTACCAGGTTTGTTTCTGTAGAAGGATTATAACTTCTGCTCCACTGGCGTGTGACCTGGCATTTTGACTTGTTTTGGCCAATGGCATGTAAGTGCAAGTGACATGTGACATTTTGAGCAGAGGCTCTGAGAGCTATCATTGCCTTTGCCACCTCTTTTTTTTTCTCTGCCTTGAGACTGATAGGTCCCAGATGGGGGCTTTTTCTTCAGACTTTGTTTCCAAATAGAGCAAGCATGGAGTAGAGCTGTAGCCAATGTATAATGTGAATGAGAAATTAATGTTTGCTGCAGTAAGTGGTTGAAATTTTGGATTTGTTTGCAGCACAACCTGGCAAAAGCTGACCATAACATCATTTCAAAAAGCCACACACTAACTAAGGCAGTTATGGACTATCCCCATTTGTAGAAGGCAATTTCAGGAATCTAGGTAGAACCAAAGAGCTAACAGTCTACAAATAAAAATTAGGCCCCACATTGGTGATTCCAAGGACTCAGAGAAATCTGAAGGCATATCTCAAACTGGAAAAGAATGCAATGAGGGAAAAGGACATGTAGGACATAATTGCTAATACTATTATAAAAGATCAATAGTAGACCAATATGTGGGGTATGTGTGTGTGAGAGAGAGAGAAAGAAAGCCTGAGAAAGAAAGAACTAGGGGGAGGGGGTGAGAGAACAAGAGCTTGGAGAGTTTAAGATTGATTGGCCCAGCAGTGGCCTTTCTCTTTCTCCCAAAGAGTCTAGTCCTCAAACTGTGTGGTGAATATAGTAGTAGTTCCACCTAAGAAATGAAGGAATCCAGCTATTAGGAGACTGACTATAAATGGGAAGGGGGCCAAGGAAGAAATGCCTATACCTTCTCTTAGGAAATACGAGAAGGGAACTGATCCACAGGGGAAATGGGGGTCAAGACAAGCAGTGAGGAACAAGGACCAGACAAGAACCCAACCTCTTAGAAACTGGGATACTGAGGTCAGAGCAGAGCTGGGAACAAACTGGATCAATACTGAAGCAGCGAGGTACCAACTTTATGTTTCCCTCCAGGAAACTGCTTGGAGGCTGGAGTGGTTCAGAAGCTGCAGGAAGAATTTAAGTGGTTTTATCTGTGTAGGTTGTAAGACGGAATTATTACGTTCTGATGTTATGTGATAGGATAAAGAAGCAGGCCGATTATCTCCATCTTTTAATAGATGTAATGAAATCAAACCAGGCCAAAAAAAACCTCTTTTTTTCTCTAACTTCAGACAGCCTTCCCAAAGCTATGGGAATTCTTGGTGCATAGTGCAAGATGGCTGTGGAAAGAATTCTTTTTTCCTTCAGTCTACAGATTTATAGAGCTAAACAATGTGACCTGATGTGTTCCCATCAAATAAATGATCACAGCTTTTGTAACATATGATTTTTCTTTCTTTGTATTTCAGCATCAATGTGGCTTTACTACTGAACTAGCTTGCATTGAAGTTGCCTTAAATTCTTAAACAAGGGATCAATCATTTTCAAAGAATGATGTGGCAGAGATTGCTATTTGTCCCAATATCCATTTCCCCCCTCATCTTGTTGTTTGTTGGCCAAACAATATGGAAGCTGCAGGAAGAATTTAAGTGTTTCTATCAGTGTAGGTTATAGGATGGAATTCTCAATTTTTAGCTAGGCACTTGGCCACCGCAACCAAAGGATAGATTTCTCAGTCTTTCTTAGGTCTTGGTGCGGGGATATGACTAAGCTCTGGCCAATGGAAGGCCTGTGAGTGGGAAGTGTGCAAATGTGTATGAAGAAAAGGGCATATTCCCTTTCCTCTCTCCATTATTCTCCAGCTAGACTCTGGACAAGGTGCTGAGCTATCTTGAATCATACAGTTGAGGACAATACTCTAGGGATGGTAAAGAAACAAGATTAAATAGCTGAATCCATAGCCTAGTAGATAAAAATGGCAAATCAGGCTTTTATTTGCTTCCCAGGAGAAAGCTGGAACAGGATACTGGATGAATTAAAAAATCAGAACTGATGTTGGGAAATATATACACCAAGAGAAATAGATACACAGCCAGGAATTTAGTCTTCTGCATTGCAGGAGTGGATAGAAGGAAGGAGGTTAAAGGCCAGAGAAAGAGCACGTTTTCTTCTATTGACTTATTTTCTGCTGCAAACAGACTTCATTCCTGAGCATCATTACAGAGTCAGCATATGCACTTGTAAGGCATCTAGAGTCTCATTCTTCTTACTAAGCTTCTATATATATATATATATATACACACATATGTATATATATGTATATATATATTGGTTGGAGCTTGTGATGCTCACCCAAACTTCTGCAATCTTTGTTACAATTGCCCTCATCACAAGAAAACATCATTGATCCAATGCACACGGCTCTACTTCTTTTCCATTGTCTTCTCCTAGTTAACTCCTAATTACTCACAATGTGTTAGCTTAATCTCCCACAAGGAAGTCTTCACTGATTAAGGCTGGACTCCTGCTATATGCTCTCATAGTAAACTCTACTTCCACTTTCAGGGCACGTGACACGTTCTATTTGAAATGTCTTGCTGCATATATCTGGATTCTCCAAGAGGTTATGTACTCCATGGAGCATAGGCTGTGTCTCTCTGGCCCACTACTGAATTGCTAGTACCTAGTGCAGTACTTGCATATTTGTGTACATTAGTAAAATGAATGTTTGGATAAGTCAGATAATTGGTTGAGAAGTAGGTGAGTTCTAATTTCCTTATAGATTCTGCATGGAGTCCAACACTCATATGATATATCTGAGCTGCCCAAGCCATTTTTCTGTCATGTCCTACCCAGGAGTGATCTACTAAAAACAAGGTTTGAGCCTGTCTTCCCTCTTGCCTCCCTATGGAAAACTTAACTTGTCTCATGTCATACTTTCTCAAATGCTTAATTTATGTCAATATGATAATGTTTATAAGGCAATTTAGGTGCTACTAGGTTTATACAGTAATCTTAGATTGTTTTTCAATGATTTTTTTAAGTTTTTAAATTGACAAATAAAAATTGTACATGTTTATCATGTAAAATGATGTTTTGAAATATGTATACATTGTGGAATGGCTAAACGAAGCTAATTAACACATGTATCACCTCACATACTTATCATTTTTATGGCCAATTGAGAATTTTTAATGAATAGCTTGACAGTGAAACAAATGATCTAAAAAAGTCTCAATTTAGAGATACATTGCTTTTGTTGACAGTACTAAATAGCACTATCATCTTTCCTTTCATTTTCCAGAGATTCTAGAAATATGATTTTCAATATTTTCATGAAAAGAGGCTATTTTGATTCTTCACAGAAGCACTGAGGAAAGGAAGGTTTGAAATGATTCTAGAGTCTCCTGCCAGACTGTAATGAACTCGTTTGTTTGTTCATTTTAGCAAGTGGTGTGCACCACTTTTAAACTTGGCTTGTAAAATCTCCCTTGTATGCTCCTTCATACCCTTTCCCTTTTCAGCTCTCTGAGATGGTGACCTCACTCCTCCAATACCACAGTGACATTGGAAGCCATGTGCTGAACCTGGAGAGCCACCATCAATCTGGATCTCTTCATAACTTTGTGTAGTAGAATGCCTATTGCCTTTCTCACTCTGGAAATGTTGGGGAAAGATTCTCCACGAGTTTCTCCTGTTTCTGCAGGTCTTTCAAGTAGAGGCACTGACAGCTTTTGTTCTGGACTGCATATTTTTATTAATTAAACTTTTTATTTTGAGGTAATTGCAGAATCACATGCAGAAATAATACAGAGAGATCTCGTATACACTTTACTCAGTTTTCTCCAATGCTAACATCATGTAAAACTATAGTGCACATCACAACCAGGATATTGACATTGATGCAGTCTAGCAATCTTACTCAGATTTCCCGAATTTTACTTATACTAGTTCATGAATGTGTGTGTGTGGGCAATTGCATAGTTTTATGTAATTTTGTCACATTGCAGATTCATGTATCCTCCACCACAGTCAAGATACAGAAACGGCTCCACCATCACAGAAATCCCTCATTTTGCCCGTTTAAGGCCATGTACCTTCTTTTCTTCCTATACCGCTAACATCCAAAAACCACGCAATATTTTCCATCTACATATTTTGCCCATTCAAGAATGTTACATAAAATGCAAGCATGTAACTTTTTAGAATTGACTTTTTTGACTCAGTATAATTTCCTTAAGATTCATCCAAATTATTGCATGTATGAACAGTTTGTTTCTTTTTATTGCTCAGTAATATTCCACGCTATGGATATATAACAGTTTGTTTGACCACTCACCCTTTGAAGGACAGGAGAGTTCTTTCTGGTTTTTAGCTATTATGTATAAAGCAGTTATGGACATTTATGCACAGGTTTTTGTGTAAACATAGTTTTTATTTTTCTGGGTGGGAGGCCCAAGAGTCCAATTGCTCATTCATACAGTAGTTGCATTTTTAGTTTTTTTTGAGAAATTGACTTGCTCAATTCTGGAGTGGCTGTAGTATTTTATATTTCTATTGGCAATATATAAGTAATCCAGTTTTTGTATTGTTGTCAGCATTTTGTGATACTACTATTTTGTCTATTAAGCATTCGAATGGGTATGAAGTGATATCTCACCGTGGCTTTAATTAGCATTTCCCTAATGGCTAATGATGCTGAACATCTTTTTATGTGTATATTTGTCATCTGTACATCTTCTTCAGCAAAATTTGTGTCTTTTGCTTATTTTCTAATTGGATTTTTTTTTACTGTTGAGTTTTGAGAGTTCTTTACATATTTCTGTTACTAGTACTTTGTTGGGTATATGGTTTGTAGCTATTAAAATTTTCTACCAGGCTATAACTTGTCTCATCAGTGTCTTATATTTATTTTTTTACAAAAACTGCCTTAAATTTTCCTTTCATTGAGTAAGAAACTTTCACAGATCAGAGGGGAAGACATTTAGGACCTTTCTGTTCTAACTAAGCCAATTTTAAGGCACACAGTCAAAACAGTATTGCTTAGACTGTAGACATTGTGCACTTCACTTACTAACTTCATTATATTACTTCCTTACTTGAAAATTTTCAGTGATTCCTCATTACCCCAAGGATAAATGCTGCATCCTTAAGCCAAAACACCCCATGTTTTATAGAACTCATTAGTCTGATTACTTTTTCACTGTCCTCTCAACATACTGTGGGAATTCTTAACTTTTCATCTTTTGTTATTTTCATTGCCCTTACCAAACACAGCTTCCTTCCTCCTCTCCATTCATCCACCTGTGTTGAAGGATGGGTTCAAATGAACTGATATGGAGCTGTGGGGAGAGTAGGGAGGGGAAGAAAAGATAAAGGGAGGGCACCTGGTTAGGAAATTTGTTAATGCAGGGGAGGGACTGCACGGCCTGAATTAGCAAAGTGGCCGAGGTAGGGGGTTGTCTTAGTCCATGCTGTGCGGCTGTTAACAGAATACCACAGACTAAGTAATTTATAAACAATGGAAATTTATTTCTCATGATTCTAGGGGCCAGGAAGTCTAAGGTCAAGGGGCTGGCAGGTTTGGTGTCTGATGAGGGTCTGGTCTCTGCTTCCAAGATGGGGCCTTAAATGCTGCATCCTCAAGAGAGGAGGAACGCTCTTTCTCACACTATGGAAGAATAGAAGTGGGTGAGACAGGCACGAACTTGCCCTTTTGTAATGGCACCAATCCCACCAGTGAGGATGGGGCCATCATGCCCTGATCACCTCTCAAGGGTCCCACCTTTTAATACTGTTAAAATGGCAATTGAATTTCAACATGAGTTTTGGAGGGGCCAAACATTCAAACACATAGCAAGAGGTAAAATGGTGAACTAAAATTCTATGAGGAAGAATAATGGACAGGAGAGCGTTGGGACTATGGGAGCTCAAGAAACTCCTTGGAAGAAAGAAATTAGGGACTTGATTTGAGAGAAAAAAGTGATACACCTTACATTTTTGGTTTTGTTTCCCTTACCTTGTCTTTCCTTTCCTGGATATTGAGGCCTTACATGGAACCAGGTCGTAGAGTCCACACTGCCCACTGCTCCATATTCTCCAAGTCCAACTTCTCACTAGTGGGACTCCTTAAGCTCCTCTGTCTTCTTCTAGACAACTTTACTCACTCTGGTAGCTGGCAATGAAGAGGGAGTGGCGTATTCTTTTTTTTTTTTTCCTCCCAAGATAGAGTCTCACTTTTGCGAGATATTGGCTCACTGCAAACTCTGCCTCCTGGGTTCAAGCAATTCTCTGCCTCAACCTCCCGAGTAGCTGGGATTACAGGCACCCGTCACCACGGCCGGCTGATTTTTGTATTTTTAGTAGAGACGGGATTTCACCATCTTGGCCAGGCTGGTCTTGAACTCCTGACCTTGTGATCCACCCACCTCAGCCTCCCAAAGTGTTGGGATTACAGGCATAAGCCACCGCACCTGGCTGGAATGGAGTATTCTAAACTTAGTTGTCTTTCTTTCTTCTCCTTCTCCATTCTAGAAGCGGGCAGCATTGGTTTTGCAGCTCCTAGCTCACTAGGTCTGTTACAATTAACAAGGGAGACTAACTTGACCTCTTGCAAACAGATTTTGAAGGGTGACAACTCCCTTTATCCTTGGTCCTCTGTGCATACGGTGGTATGTGGCCTATAAACGTAGGGATAATGGAGCTGCAGACCCAAATCGCACCATAATCCAAAAGTATCCCACAGATAACATCTCCTCTCGTCCATGGTTAATGCTGGGAGTTACTACTTAGGCCAGCTCCTTGATTCAAATAACAAGGGGCCGTTCCACCACCCCTAACTGAATAAATAATAGATTTTTACGTTGCTTTTAGACAAAAATTTCTCTTTTCTATTTTACTGCTTGTTCTTCCTTCCTGCCCTCACCCGAGTCTACATACCTTTCCCTTGAAGCAGAAACATAAGTCTGCCATTTAACAAAACCCCAATAACGATCCTTCTTGAAAGGACAAGGGCTAATAATCACTACCCATTTAACATTCCAGTCACGTGATGGTGAAGGAGAATAAATCAGTTAAACAGCAAGATGCAGCACAACTAATTTTCATGTAAAAGGGGGTGATTGCTTTTTTTTTGAAAACCATTGTGATTTCTTAAAGCAGTTAAAGCCTAAACAACCTTGTCTATCAGTTTATGAATTATTAATAAAAAAAGAGAAAAGAAAAAAGGCTTTCTTTTTCTAAATATCATCTGCTAAGCCACCATGACCTGAAGAGGCTCACACTGATTCCTGATTTACATAGTCCCAGTTGGAAGTTAATGAAGACTGCTGAGCCACCTTTCAACATGCAGATAAACCTTCATGTATTTAAAAGCAGGGAATCTGTGCTTGTTCCTGGCAAATTATTCATCTAAGATCTGAAGTTTCTGACACCGCCTGCGTCAGATAAACTGTCACCCAAATTGCAAACTAATTAGTGATTCAAACATTTTCGAGCTGATTGATGACAGAATAATTTACGCTTGTTTCTCAGTTTCCAGCTGGCACGGGCTGCTGACTGGAGCCCTAATTAACGCGAGTACATCAGTCATGTTCTGCCAAGGCAGCACATACAATTAAAAGGCAGTTTAAATGGAATATCACATTAAAAAGGCTGGGAGATGCAAATGTGAGGAAACAGTGCTTTAGGAAGAAATGACAACAAAAACCCAAAAACCAAAACAGAATGGAAAAAAGATTTTTTTTTTTTAATGGAGAAGTAAATTGTACTCTGCATTGAGTATTTAACAAAAAAAATAACTGAGAGGAGTCAAACTGGGCATACTAAATATTTTTGTATTTAAGGAGTTTTACTGAGATGAGTGTTTACTGCTCTTTTTAGTGCACACAGTTTGGAGAATAGCTTTGAAAATATGTTCTCAAAAAAGGGAACCGCCTCTTCCTCCTAAGCAGTGTTGGGATGGGCGGGATTCCTTACAGGAGTCAAAGATTGTTCCTGTTCACCGAATCGTCAGTTCTGTCTTCTGGGCTGAGTTCACAATGACCTTCTCTTGGTGGTTCTGGTCCCCACCCTCCTTTGACACTTTGGTCTACCCCAAGCCCATGAAACTTAGAACTGCCTCACATTATTTATGTTGCTTGTTTTAAAATGTTTTTAAAGAGACTATTCTTAAAGGCAGTTTTAGGTTCACAGCAAAATTGAGCAACAAGTACAGAGTGTATCCTTGCCTCAACACACATACAACCTTCCTCGCTATCAGCATCCCACTGATATTTTTACTGTCTCCACAGTTTTCCCTTTTCCAGAATGTCATAATAGTTGAAATCATACAGTATGTAGCCTTTTTTTTTCAGGCTGCCTTCTTTCACTTACTAACACGCATTTAAGAATTTTCTGTGTCTTTGCATGGTTTGAGAGCTAATTTCTCTTGAGTATTCAATAATATTCCATTGTCTGGATATACCACAGTTTATTTCTCCCTTAGCCTACTGAAGGACATCTTGGTTGCTTCCAAGTTTTTGCAACTATGAATAAAGCTACTATAAATTTCTACGTGTGGGTTTTTGTGTGGACATACGTTTTCACCTCCTTTGGGCAAATACCAAGGAGTGTGATTACCGGAGCATTCATTAAGTTCTCACATGTACATGCTTTACCTCTTTCAAACTGCAAGCCGCTTGAGGGCAAGGACCACATCTTATATCTCTTTGCATTTCCCACAGAGCATGGCATGATGTTTTGCAGAGAATAACAATACATTGTATTATAATTTCTGGTTTACATGGTTTTCTATAGCTTCTTCTTCTCTTCTTCTCCTCCTTCTTTCTTACATTTCTTGATTGCTTTGTACAGTCCAGGATAACTATGCAGTGTTTTTATACTCGTATAACAATACCTATAATAACTCGTACTGTGGGTACAATGATTATTTTCTGTTTTTTGATAAGGAGGCAAACTCAGAAGTCATAAATTGCCCAGGACCATTTAGCCAGTGAAGAGAGCTGGGCCTCCTAAGGACGAACTGGATTGCTTCTCCTCTGAGGCTGCAAACTTCCTTTAGCGCTTTTAAAGAATCTAAGAATTCTCAGGACCCTGGAGTGAGTAAGTAGCAAAACCAGGTTTAGAAATCAGATTTACAGAGTTCTTCTAATCCATTTTCTGTTATAGTATTTATGCTGAGCCGACATACATAGACTTTGTTCATCCCCAGTCTTTGATTCCAGAAAGGACTCTTTCTGTACTTCAGAAGCCATTCGTTCCACAAATAATTAGTGAGTACCTGTTCTTTTCTATGCACAGAGCTTGGCTCTGGAAATATTGCTGTGTAAAAACCCAAAGTCGTACCCTGTGAGCCTACAGTCTAGAGAGACATTGATTGTATGTTAACACAATCGTAATTAATGAATCACGACTAGGACAGGTGTTAAGAAGGGAGGAGTGTGATGATGGGGTCAACGTGAGGGGGACTGTTTAGCTCACTTTCAGGAATTGCACCATAAGGATGTGACTATGCAGCAGAAAACTGACAAGGGTGTAGACTGAGGCAGGAATGTACTCCAGCCATTGAGGTATGGTCTGTGTAGGTTACAACCATGCTCAGATGCAACGGAGGGAAACTGATGTTATGAGCAAAGATGAGGAGATGTCTAATCATGGGTTAATCTCACAAAATACGTGGAAGTTGCACTTTCGTAGAGCCACTAATCTCCTGAGGAGCAAGGAGGTAAATATCTATTTGAGGGCCACAGATATTTCCCTTCTCCAAAAATCCCAAGGCAAGAATATGTTATAAGAATTGGCTTCTCTAGGTGGGCCCATCCCTGAATGGACAGGTGATGCAGGGTCTCCTGAATGTCATGTACATTGTGTCTAGGGTCCTACTGTGTGCAGAGGGCAGAGAATCCAGTGTAGCTTTAAAGAGGAGTGACTAGTTACTTTTTTCCTTTTGAGTGTCTGTATGTATGTACACATATATATACAAAAAACCTAATAAACAGAGATCTACTTGTCAACCACCTAATAAATGAATGTTATTATTTTGCCATACTTAGTTATACTCTTTCTCTGTTTTAAAGAAAGGACTGTAAGATGACAGCTGAGGTGCAACACCCATCCTTTCCCTTTCCCTCCCTTCTCAGAGCTAACTATCAACTGAAGGTGGTCTGTATTTTGTATTTTTTTTTTTTCTTTTTGAGATGGAATCTAGCTCTGTCGCCCCGGCTGGAGTGCAGTGGCATGATCTCGGCTCACTGCAACCTCTGCCTCTCGGGTTCAAGTGATCCTCCTGCCTCAGCCTCCTGAGTAGCTGGGACTACAGGCACAAGCCACCACGTCTGGCTAATTTTTGTGTTTTTTAGTAGAGACAGCATTTCACCATATTGACCAGGCTGGTCTCGAACTCCTGACCTCATGATACGCCCACCTCGGCCTCCTAAAGTGCAAGGATTACAGGGTGAGCCACCATGCCCAGCCTGTATTTTTAAAAAACTTTTACTTTGTTTTTACTTTTAAGTTGTATTTATAATTTTACTATAGAAATATCTATAAAAATATGATTCTGTGTATTTAAAAAAATTTACACAAATGGTATGCTACTGTGTATTTCATTTTCAATTGTTTTTTAATTCACCATTGTGTTTCTGAGATTTATCCGGGTAGAAGCAGTCAATTCATTTTAACTCTTGTATACTTTCATAAAAATGAATTAATCTCCAGTTCTATTATCCTGTTCCTTACAGATGAAAGCTGTTTCCACTCTTTTCTGTTATAAACAGGGCTGCAATGCACATCTTTGGACAGTCTTCTTACGCTCATGTGTGGGAATTCCTGCAGATTGTGTTTCTGGAAGTGGAATTGCTGGGTTGCAGGCGATGCATGCATGGAGTCAGGCTGACTAGGAACTACCAAATTGTTTTCCACAGTGATAATACAAATTATACCCAGATTATATCCTGCTTTCCCACGTTCTTGCCACCACTTGATGTTTCCACATTTAAAAGTTGTTCCAGTCTTTCAGAAGCGAAATGATATTTCATTGTTGCTTTAAGTTGCATTTCCTTGATTATTAGTGAGGTAGAGACCATTTTCATTAGTTTATTGGACATTTAGATTTTTGTCTTTGGTGAGTTGCTGTGTATATCCTTTGTCCGTATTCTTAGGGTGTTTTATTAGTAGTAGTAATTATTTGTGGGAATTCTATATTTATTCTGGATACTACTGCTTTATCAACAAATAGTTCCTTCTAGTATATAACTTGTCTTTTAAATTTGTTTAAAAGTTAGGATATGATTGATTTCTAACCAATGCCATGGAACATATTCTTTCACATGAGAATTGTTTATTCAAAGTCATTGTTTTTTTGGAAGAAAATGACTTTATTCTAATCAACTCACAAAGAATAAAATCATAACAGCTAGTTTAAGGAGGCCACACAAACATTTGCCCAGTCCCAGATTGTACAGAGTAGGAACACCCATCCCCCTCCCATTTCAATTCTGAAGCAAGGAAGCTAGGAATGACAGGAGAGGTTTAACTGATGGTTACACTTTATACCCTCACTATCAATTCTATTTTTATACTAAATTAACTTAGTTATGAGAGCTGACTTTCCATCTCTCCAGGTTGAACTTCTTGATTAGGCCAATCCTTTTGCAAGTCGGCACTGTTTCAGCACCTTACTGAAATCCTCACAGAGCTTGATGTCGCCCTGGTTCTGGGCACACTCCAGAAACTGTTTGATCCCATAGAAGCAAGGCTGCTGCTGCTGTGCCGGCTGGGTTCCCTGAGGCTCCTGGTAAGCGATGTCAGGCCTCGCAGGCTCAGCATTACTTCCTCCACTGAAGCCTCCGGTAACGGCGTGACCCTGTGTGTGCCCCACAGCAGAGCCCACAGCCACGCCAGCTGCAGTGGTTGCCATCTGGGCCATCAGACCTGGCTGCCGGGGCGCAGCAGCAGAAGAGCCAACTGCAGATGGGGGTGCCGCTGCTGGTGGCTGAGCAACTGGTGCTGGCCTGGGTGCAGCTCTCATCTGAGGGGCCCGGCTGGCTGGAGGGGCCATGCGGGAGGTGCGGCTTCGGCTTCCACGCGGCATCCTAGGTACGCGACGGCTCGGCCTCTGGACGTGTGACCTCAAAGTCATTTTCTTAGGGGTTTCTGTAACTGGTCCCACAATGCTGGCACGCCTAAAACTTTTTGGGATTTCTATCTTGGAATTGCATTCAAAGTCAGTAGGACGATTAATGAAGGAAATGAGTTTTGTTCATTTAGAGGCAGAGTTGACAAAATTTTTCTGTAAAGTGCCCAGATAGTAATTATTTAAAAATTTGCAGGCTAAGTTGCACCTACTCAACTCTGCTGTTGTCCTGAGTGAAAGCAACTGTAGAGAGCATGTAAACAATGAGCATGGCTATATTCCAATACTACTTTATCTACAAAAACCAGGCTGTGGGCCAGATTTGCACTAGAGTCACTGCTTTACAGTCACATATTACTTTTGATTGGTAAACTTATTGCACGGTGTGATTAATCTTTATTTACAAAATTTGGTAACGTATGTCATTTGGTTGCTGTCAGTAATGAAATTCACTCGGAAAAATGAAGAGCCACCTCTACTGGGAACATGAATGTTGAAAATAAAGTGAGATAGGATACAAAGGGAATGAGAAAATCAAACAGCTAGAAATATTTGAGCCATGGCCCCTGACCTTCCAATGCAATCGCTTTAAAATCTTCTGGGCTGACTAAATGCTGTGAAAACACCCCCAAATCTCAATGACAGCACAATAAGCTTACTTCTCCCTTTCTTACTGGGCCAATGTAGGTTAACTGGAGTCAGAGGAATCTAGTTTCTTTCCCTTTAGTGGTTCAGTCATGTCTCAGATGGTCTTGAGAATCTCCAACAGCTGCTCTGCGTGTGACTAAGAGATGAGGAAAGAGAGGGAATATGATGACTGTGCTGAAGGGTTTATGGCAGGCCTTAGGTGGAGGGTGCATGGTTCCCTTCTGCCCACATTTTAGTGGACAGACTCAGTCGTATGACTGCACCTAACTGTAATGGAGGTTGATGAATGTAATGTGGATGTACTTACTTTCTCTGACGCTGAGGAATGTATTTGGTTGGTGCAAAAGTAATTGCGGTTGTTTGGTAAAGCAATTGGCAAAACCACAATCACTTTTGCACCAAGCTAATAGTATAATCATAAGCTCAGGAAGAAGAGGACATGATGGGGTGAACATCTAGCTAATCTTTAGTATATCATTTGAAGAGCACAGGGTCTTTTAGGGGTAAGAGTTTAGTGTTTTTGTTGTTGTTGTTGTTTGTTTGTTTTATTGAGCATATTACTACATAGCCACATTTTATAACTAAAAAATGGTTAAAACTCTTGAGTCCTAGCTAAGCACCAGGTTAACCTATATGTTTATATTTAGTGATGCAAATAAATGATTCATTAATCTGAGCTAATGCCTGCCTAATGCACAACAGAAGCATTACTACCGGATTTTTACTTCATGCCCCCCAAAAGGGAACCAATGTTTTTAAAATGAAGACACAGTACGATTTAATTTGAGGAAAGAATAACGTAAGGCAAGTCTGTAAGTGACCAATGCTCTTTTATCCAAGTTCGCCAGAACTGTGCCAAGGGGAAGGCACATGCATGGTGATTTGAGAAAACCATTCATTTAAGCTACATGCCTTCTTTTTAGAACTAGGGGAATCATGTGTGCTAGGGTAAAAAACTCGATTACAACTCCTCAGGAGATCATAAAGTATAAAAATCACAGGATTTGGAGTTTTTGTTTCTGGCTTCTATAAATACTGTGAGACCTTAGGTACATTTTTGTTTTACTTTCTCTGAGCTTCAGTTTTTTGTCTCGTAAAATGGACATAAGATCTACCTTGTAGGGCTGCTGTGAGAATTAAATTAGAAGATGTATGTAGAAGCAAGTACACTATGAATTACAGATCCCCTTCCTCTCCTTTACTGCCAGCTCAGTCATTTACTAGTTGTTTGAACTTAAGAAATTCTCTTTACCTTTCTGGGCTTAGTTTTCTCATCTGTAAAATGAAAGTGTTGGGTTAAATAATATCTAAATTCTTTTGAGCTCTAAAATTCATGGACAATGTGTCAGAGTTTCATATAAATGACTTTAGCTCAAATGGAATATTTTAGGGGCTTAAGAAAATATAATTTTGAAAATAAAGTCATTCTTGAAAAGCACTTTTATGATCTCTTGTGTATATGTGTATATGGAGGCAGATTAAAGTAAGATGAAAGGAGCTCCATGTGCAGTAACTGTTTTTCAGTTACCATATAAACCAGGGTAAGGATTTAAGATAGAGCAGGTCTCTATTTCCATACCTCTTGATAATTTCCCCTCCTTTGAATATTCACTCAGCTCAAACATCCCTTATGACATTGGCCTTGTTTTCCTTGTCCTTAAGATTCTTATACAAATCCTAACCCCCTCCTAAATTGTTTAGGTTGGCGCAAAAGTAATTGTGGTTTTTGCCATTGAAAGTAATGACAAAACCACAACTGCTTTTGCATCAACATACTTTTCTTTGAGAGCAGAATCTATGTCCTATTCTGGTCACCTTTATAGATCCCTCCATAAAGACTAGTATAACAGGGTTTAGCAAACTTTTTGTGTAAATATTTTTGGCTTTGCAGGCCATACAATCTTTGCCACAATGACTGAACTCTGCTGTTGTAGCTCAAAGCCATAGACAGTACATAGATGAATGAACATGGCTGTGTTCCCAAAAATACCTTTTTTATTGCCCCTGAAATTTGAATTTCATATAACGCTCACAAAATAATATTCTTGTTTTGATATATTTTTTAACCATTCAAAAATGTAAAAGCTATTCTCAGCTCATAGATTGTACAAAAACAGGCAGCAGTCAGGCTTTGACCCAGGGGTGATAGGTGTTGACTCTGTTGTATGCCATAAATTCTTATTAGTGTTTGCTGCTGAATTCAATTAACTACGGATTTAATTACTAATTTTTGTTTTCAAAAGTGGCATGTAAGGCAGTGTCCTCTCGCTGTCCTGTAAGATGTAGAATTTCTCATAAAAGCCTATGATACCTATGGATTACTGCTTTGAACAGAAACAGTAAGGATATTTATGTAATAACTTTTCAAACAATGAGAATAATTCACAGTGACTGCAATAAGCTTTTCTCAAGGGTGTTGGGGCTACCTTTTGTTTGTTGATGAAGTGAAAAATATTTAGTATAAATTTTATGATAAAAGAGAAAGGGGGTGACCTTTGATATCTAGAATAGAATCTTGGTTCTATTTCTTGCCAGCTGTGTTCTTGGGCAATCTACTAAACTTAGATCTGAGTCTCTGTTTTGTCTTCTGCCACGTGGGAATAATAATACATTTATTACAGGATTGGTCTGAGGATTGGAGCTAATGTATGTGAGGACCTAGCACAGTTCCTGAAGCATGGTCCACTCTCAATAAATATTACCCAGCATCATCAGACTCTTCTCTTCCTTTTGAAGAGTGAACAATTAGGGATCCTGAAAATTTGAAACATCTTTGAATTGCAAATTCTCCGTGGATGTTTGAACCTAGAGTGCAAACATGAGAGGCCTTCATGACTCTGGTTTTATAACTTGCAGCCCTATGCTACTCTGTCCAATTAGGGCTAGACTCGTAGGAATGCCAAAGAGAAACACTGCAGCCATAGTGGGAAAAATTAATTCGCAGAACAAAAGCAGAAAATCTTCTCTTTTACAAATGAAGTCTTTGTTCTCATCTGTTGTCAGTTATTAGGGGATTTACTGAACCTAAGAACCTCATGCTCTTGTATTTCTGAAAAAAAAAAAAGGAAATAAAAAGAATGCATGGTTAATATAGAAAAATCCATGAAATAGAGAAATCTACAGTGAATAGTAGGGGTTGTAAAAGTTTTGGGGCCAAAGAATATTGGGGATATAAATCAATTTTTAAAACTTCAGTCATTTGGAAAAAGCAGACTTCCATTGGCTTGTGATGCAGTGCCATGTGGCTTGCCATTTAGCTAACTTGAAAACCCAGTTGCTGGCGGGTTACAGAATGGGAGTGATTTAGAGGAGTGAACAGCTGCTTAAACAGCAGGTTGTGGGAAATTCCACCACAGGAAGAGGGTCAACCTACATGACTCGTCTAGGTCAAAACACAAATCAGAAAAAATGCAGATTGACTTATAAAAGAATATACAGTATTGGCTACAGCTTTAAATCACCAGGGGCCAAATCATTTTTTATTAAATATCTAGTTACAACAACTTTTTTTCTGAACCCACTCAAAGTACCTGGTGAATGAAAATGTTTGCTGCTTGAACTTTCTATGCCCTCTTTTGGACAGGAGGGAAATGTACTACTTTTTCTATGATTGCATAGTACCTAGATTTGTGTGGAGGCTTGCAATTTTAAAAACACAATTAATTTCAATTCAACAGAAGTTTATGTAGCCACTGTTATGGGTTGAATTATGTCTCCCCAAAAGATGTTAAAATTCTACAGGGTCTTGCAGATGTTCAAGCTAAGATGAAGTTATTAAGGTGGGCTCTAATCCAAAATGACTGTGTTCTTATAAAAAGGGAAATGTGGGCACCAACAGCGCACAGGGAGAATGCCCTGTGCACATAAAGGCAGAGATTGGGGTAATACACCCTCAAGCCAAAGCATGCCAAATATAGCCAGCGGACCATCAGAATCTAGGAGAGAGATATGGAACAGATTCTTCCTCACAGCCGTCACAAGGAACCAGTCCTGCTGACACCTTGATCTCCAAATTCTACTCTCCAAAACTGTTAGACAACTAATTTCTGTTGTTTAAGCCATCCTGTTTATGTTAATTTGTTATGGCAGCCCTAGCAAACTAATATAGCATCTAAGTGACAATACTTATAGTAATCTTATAGGTTAAGTGATGTTTTCATTTCAATTTTGAAAAGAAGGAAACAGAAGACATTAGGTCTTAAAATCCATGCTTTTTTCTGTATGTCCAAGGACTTGTCCATAGAAGGCCAGAGTCTTCTGTCTCAGTGAGCTTACTGGTTCTAACTATGAGATTGGCATAGTCAAAGTGGCCTCTCTAGATAATGACAGAAAGTCATCGTGTTGAGACTTTTTAGCTGTAAGTAATGGGAAATTCAACTTGCAATGACTTAAACTATAAGGGAGATTCCTATCCCACAACAAAAGAAGTCTTGGGATAGAACAGCTCCAGAGTTATAAATGAAGTCAAAAGTTTGGTTAAGGACATCATCTAGGACTAAGTTTTCTTCACATTTCAGCTCTGCAACTTTTAGCATTTGGGCTTTATCATCAGTCTACCTTAATGTCATCCAATAAAAATATAATATGAGGAAGTCCTAGCCAGAGCAATCAGGGAAGTGAATGAAATAAAATGAATCCAAATAGGAAAAGAAGTCAAGCTATCTTTGTTTGCTTATAATACGATTCTATACCTAGAAAATCCTAAAGACGGCCAAAAGCCTCCTAAACTTGATAAACAACATTAGTTATGTTTCAGGATACAAAATCAATGTACAAAAATTAGTAGCATTTCTACGCACTGATAAAGTTCAAGCAGAGAGATCAATCAAGAACGCAGTCCCATTTACAATAGACACACACACACACACACACACACACACACACACACACACACGTAGGAATATGTCTAACTAAGGAAGTAAAAGATCTCTACAAGGAGAACTACAAAATACTGCTGAAAAAAATTGTAGATGGTTCAAACAAATGGAAAAACATTCCATGCTCATGGATAGGAAAAATCAATATTGTTAAAATGGACAAAATGCCCAAAGCAATCTACGGATTCAACACTATTCCTATCAAATTACCAAAATAATTTTTCACAGAATTAGAAAAAACTATTCTAAAATTCATATGGAACCAAAAAAGGTCCTGAATAGCCAAAGCAATCCTAAGATCAAAGAACAAGGCCAGAGGCATCACATTATCTAACTTCAAACTACACTGCAAGGCTATAGTAACCCAAACAGCATGATACTGGTACAAAAACAGACATATAGACCAATGGAACAGAAGAGAGCACCCAGAAATAAATCCACACACCTACAATCATCTGGTCTTCAACAAAGTCGACAAAAGTAAGCAATGGGGAAATGACTCCCTAGTCAATAAATGGTGTTGGGATAGCTGGCTAGCCATACGCAGAAGAATAAAAGTGGACCCCTACCTTTCATCCTATACAAAAATTAACTCAAGATATAATTGTAAGACCTCAAACTATAAGAATTCTAGAAGAAAACCTAGGAAACACAATTATAGACATCAGCCTTATGAAGGAATTTATGACTAAGTCTTCCAAAGCAATTGCAACAAAAACAAAAATTGATAAGTGAGACCTAATTAAACTAAAGAGCTTTTGCACAGTAAAAGAAATAATCAGCAGAGTAAAGAGAACCTACAGAGTGTGAGAGAATATTCACAAACTATGCATCTGACAAAGCACTAATATCCAGAATCTATAAGGAGCTTAAACAAATCAACATACAAAAAAAGAATAGCCCCATTAAAACATGGGCAAAGAACATGAACAGAAACTTTTCAAAAGAAGACCTACAAGCAGCCAAGAAACATGAAAAATGTTCCACATCATTAATCATCAGAGTAATGCAAATCAAAACCACAATGAGATACCATTTCACACCAGTCAGAATGGCTATCATTAAAAAGACAAAAAACAACAGATGTTGGCAAGACTGCACAGAAAAGAGAACATTTATCCACTGTTGGTGGGAGTGTAAATCAGCTCAGCTACTGTGGAAAGCAGTTTTGCAGATTTCTCAAAGAACTACAAACAGAACTACAGTTCGATTCAGCAGTCTCATGACTGGGAATGTGAATATAATTATTAGTGAGATATTTGATTAGCATTTCTCATTTTAGACTAGCCACATTCCAAGTGCTCAGTAGCCACCTGTGGCTATAATATTGGACAGCTCGCGTCTAGTTCATTTCACTGCTCTAAGATTGCTGCAGCAGTTTCAGGCATCAGATCCAGTCCTATCAATGTCTAGAGGTCATCTCTTCTGGTACTTCTCTTTTTTCATGTAAGGAAAAACTACCCAGAAGCCCCCTTGCATACTTCTCTCATGTCTCATTGGCCTGAATGACTTCTACTGCCCATGCCTATTTTAATTAAAAGCACTGTGAATGAGATACAAAATTGGCTGAGATCAAGGCAGACTCACTCCGTGTTCCTAGAGTCACTAATTCTCCGTGAAGGAGTACGGACTCCTGGTTGTTTCTCGCACATAGAGGAAGGTAGAGGATGGGTATGAGGGATGTAGCAAAATGTCTTTTAAAGCATTGAGAGCAAGGGAAAATGATGGTAGGGGCTAGTGGATTCGTCACTGTGAATCCTGGAGAAGACAAAGGCAAAGAGTTGTACTTCTTAGTTTGCAGAGGACATGGGGGTTTAATGACTCTAACTGGGCAGTCCAGAAAAGGATTGAAGTTCTGGCTCCAACTGGTAAGACGGCTTAGCTTCTTAAAGGTTAAAATTAGGGAAAGGTACAGTAGTCACCAAATCATGATTTGATTACATTCATGAGATTGAGGTGGAGGTAATAGTTGGTATTGGTTGTTGATAAAAAATAAGATAACAGATTTTTTTTTTCTAATCATGATGAAGTAGGCACAGTTCATCATAGGTGAGCCAATTTTTTTCCTCCAGAAAATTGTACTAAATAGTGCCCAAAATATTTTCATATCAAGAAGACACTAAAATAATCTATTTCAAAGTGTGCTTTTCTCCATCTTAGCATATTATGTCCATTGCATGTATGACCTGAGTCCCCTTTTCACAGAAACAGGTTCTTGCTGCATTATCATGGGATTATGACTGTGGGAGTTTTCTTTTGTTTTCCTTTTATTATTATTAATAAAATATTAATAATTAATATTATTATAAATAATAATTATTATTTTGCCAGAGGTATCTTGAATTTCAAATTCCCAACATACTGTTATTGTTATTTTTAAGAGACCAAGTCTTGTTATGTTGCCCAGGCTTGTCTCAAATTCTTGGACTCAAGCCATCCTCCTGCCTCAGCCTCATGAGTAGCTGGGATTACAGAGGTGCACAAAAGCATGTGTCCACCCCAACATATTTTTGAGGAAGCCCAAATCAGAAAATGGATTAGGGATTTCCAGAATCAAAAATTGAACTAAGTCCTAGGCAGAAGGAGTAGAAGGTTGAACCTCCTGGGAATAAAGGGCTATAGGTGGAAGGGCTGGATTTGGTTGCCTGGGTCATATTGTGGGGTTTATATTTATCAAGGAAGATGACAACCAATGTGGATTCTCATGAGTGCATAGATTAGGGTGCCTGGGGACTGGGCATTCTTTTCTATCACAGTCAAATGAGGCAAAGGAAAGGAAATGGGAGAATGGCACCAACATTCCTGCAATTCAACCTCAGGTTATCTTTTCCTCTTGCACTCCTGATCTTCATTGACTAGCAAGCCTGACCTTCCTGAGTTTCTGGGTTTTTGTTTTGAAGCTCACCTTTCAGAGTCTATACTGAAACAATGACAGAGAGGGCACCTACTCAGAAGAGGAACAAAGTCACTTGTGATTCTCAAGAGGATTGTTTGTTTAAGTCTGCAAGGCAGAGGGGGGCGTTTGCCTCAGAAACACTCTGCTGTAGCCAAAGGGTGTGAAATGTGACTCATTGTCAGGGTGTCCTGAACCCTGGCTCAGCACACTGGTGGCATGTTAGTGAAGAGAGGGAAGCATTGCAGCAGCCACACCTCCAATCCCAGAGCCTGAGTCTGTTGCCTTATAAATGATGTGGGTATTATTGGCTGCACGTGTGGACAACTCCCCTTCTATTGAGCATGCTTTAGGAATTTGGTCTTTGTGGGAAACAGAATGGGAGGTGATGGATTAAAGTGGGGTAAAGACACAAGAAAGAATCATGGACCAGCTTTACTGGCAAGCAGGGAGGAGTTTTTCCTTCCAAAGCCATCTGTTTTAAGGAGTAGATCTTAGGATGGTGAGCTCTTTGATGGGGCAATTACCTGTCTCCACTTGGTGTCTTCACTTTTCTTTTTAGTCTTCCCCAATGCTGATTGTTTGCTGCCAGAGGCAATTTATAAAACACCTGTCAATCACCTCAAAGCCTTTCCCAATGACAGTGGCTTATCTCCTCTGTAGATCTCTATGTTGCTTTGTCAGCATGGCTGTTCCCCAGCCCACCCCTCCCAGAGGTGTTCTGTACTCTGTGTTAGGACTCAAAACCTCTACTCACTGGAGCCTTTATTCTGATAATTAAATTTACAAGGAATATTTGTATTTTAACCACAGATCCTATAAATGTTTTAAAAAATGTTTTTTAAATGTCTTACAAGTAATAAAAACACATACCATTTTGGAAGTTGCACCTATAATTAATTGTATCTTCTTGGACTATATCCAATAAAGCTGTATCTTTTCTTTTTGACAGATACAGTCTTTTCTAACTTGTAATGGGGACTGAGGAAAAAAACTTATGTATGACATGGAAAGTTTCCACAAATAATTCTTAAAGGAGGTACTGCAACTTAGTTCATTTTACCAAGATGAAATGTCCCATCAAAACAAGAATCCTCTATTTTTTTTTTTTTTTTTTTTTTTACTAATATGAAAGACAGAGTGCTATGTATAGAGGGGGAAATGGTGAATGACTGAAAGAATGAATGAATGAATCTAAACAAATCAGCTGACCTACTGCAGAACTTGATTGAATTGAATATTTTGAAGTTGCTTTAAATTTCTCAAGAAATTCCAGGGTCCTGGTTGAAGGTATTGAACAGTAAAGTATTCTGGTGGTCCACAATCATTAGTGTAATTTCCGGACTTTTCACTACACACTGTTACCAGGAGAGAAACTTACACCATCGAGGTAACTTCTACAATATCTCCTTGTGTGAGCTGAGGTCATGAGATGGCTTTACAAGGAGCCCCATGACCTTGAAGAAGTCTTTATGTACTTCTCACAAATATAAAAGAATGTATCAACAAACAAAGACTGGTTGGAAGGTGTAAAAAAGACTGGATTCAGTCAAGTTATTTTGAAAAAGTTTACTAAATTTAGAGGAATATATAGTTTCTGAGCAGTTGTTTGCAAAATAAACAGGGTTTTTCACTTTGTTTGTCCCCCAACCACTGTGTGTTTGTAGACACAACTGAAGTGCCTACATATGTGGCTCTCTGAGAATGGAGTCAATGGCTGACATGGAGAGGGCTTTAAGTGTTTATTGCTATGATGATAGACTAGCACACTTGAAGAAGTGGTTCACTAAAGAGACCCTAGCGGCTAGAAAGAGTGGCCAAACATGCTGTGTGGAGCACAGCTGATCCATTCACCCTGACCAGTTTCACAACCCATAAAGACTGTAATCTGGCCAAATTGTCTGGAAGGATGGGCAACCATTTTGGCAATGGCAACAAAGATGAAGGAACTAACTATGTAGAGATTCAGGCTCTCTTATCTCTCGTTTTTATTCCCTCGTGTTCTCTCATACAGAAATGTATTCAATGTGTTATAGATACAGAAGGAATTGGAGTCCTTAAAGGTTAAGTCTAGTGATTTTTCAAATTCGTTTTAACAGTATAAAAATTACTCCCACATGGATTCCCAGTCAGGATTTCTAAATATGAGAGAAAGAGAAGTAGAGCTCCGGATGAAATAAAGTTGACAGGTCCAACGTTTAGTCATCTTAGCTTTCTCCTCTCCCTAACTATATCCCTCCCCCACTACTTCCAGGCTGTTGAGGCACCTTCTGGAACTCAAATCCAAGAGAACATCTCTGTTGGCTTCAAAAGGAAATCACCATAAATTCTCTGCAATTAATAACTTTACATTCACATGCTTGACTATTTCAATGAATAAACTTGGAGGATGTTTTAGTCTTTGTGGAAAGGGGTGAGATTTCATCCCTTTCTAGCTCTTGTACTTCAGGGATATTTTTACATAGCACAAATTTTATTTCATATGTCTTTTTGAGGCACATAAAACCATCTTTTAAGATCTTAAGTCACGTTAAAATTTTTTTTGCTTTAATATATATTTCAAAATTCTAAAATGATTCCCAAACATAAAACCTTCTGCCTGGTGTAGGGGAGTAAACAAGGGCTTTGACTTATGGCTTTATCAGCTCTGTGGAAGTGGAAAAGTGGCTTACCATCTTTTAGTTTCCTCATCCATAAAATGGGAACACCACCTGTGGTAGCTGAATGATGTCCCCCAAATATGTCCACATTCTAATCCCAGAACCTATGAATATGTAACTTGTATGGAAGGAACTTTGCAGATGTAATTAAGCTAAGGATCTTTGTGGGCCCTAATTGTAATCACAGGTATCCTTATAAGAGAAAGAGGCAGAGGCAGAGACAGAGTGAGATACTTGACTACAGAAGAGGAGAATGCAATGTGATTAGAGTGATGTGGCCACAAGCCAAGGAATGCCAGTAACCTCCAGAAAATGGAAGAGACAAAGAACAGATTCTCCCCTGGAGCCTCCAGAAGGAACCAGCCCTGCTGCCTCCCTGATTTTTAGTTCCAGAGTTTCATTTTGGACTTCTGGCCTCCAAAACTGTAAGAGAAAAAGAAATTCTTTTCTTTTAAGCCGCTATGTTTGCAATTTGTTACAGCTGCAATAGGAAAACTGATACATGTGTCATGGATGATTTTTGCAATAAGGTCATGGAATCACATGTTCAAAGTGCCAGTTTACACAGTAGGTTTTAACAAATAGTGTTATTGTCATTTTTCCTTCCGGGTAAAATGCATGTAACTTGAAAAATAAATTTTGTTTATAAATTAAATCACTGAAAGCCTATATAGAAAGGAAGACTTAACTACTCAGTGATTTGCCAAAAGGTGACAAGGCATTAATGAATACACAAACAAGTCTTTAGAGTGCCAGGGGAGAGAACATTATTATAGAGACCTGGTTTTGTTGAATTCATGTGTCAAGAGCTCTTTTCCTCATAGACATTTTGATGCCTATTTTCTCGAATGCCATCAGGGGTTCCCTGGATTACAAAGGATTTACTACACATAATTTTCTACACTGGATTCACTTTCCTAATTATGTTTAGGAGAGGCTGATTTTTAAATGTGTTTGAATTTTTGATTGATGATGGCAGGAGAGGGAGAAGCCAACCCACATTTCCCCACGATGCATGAAGTCCTCACAGGTGGTGCTTTAAGAGCTGACCGCATATATTTTGAGTTAGAAATGCAAAGACAAATTTGCAAATATGTGTGTATGAGTAATGCATGTAAATCCTCATTATAAAGTTTTAAATTTGAAATAATATGAGAAATAACTAACATTTGAAAGATGTTCATGTTCTATTTGGCAAAGCAAAAATATTGTGGGAGAAAATTAGGTATTGGAATAAATTATGATATTCTCTATTATCAAGTGGGTGGCATATAATTATCTCTCTTGATTCCTGAAGATGGCTCAGCCTTCAGGATATTTGTTTATGATTTGTAGGTCTTTGTAGTCATTCGTATTGAAACCCTGTAAGCTGAAGGTGTAGAACTATTGGTTCTTAATAGTTAGGTTTATTCCCTTAACAGGTATTTGCAATAGCAATCAGGCCATTCCTCACTGAGAAATATATTCAATATTCACTTTATAGATACACTTGTTTTCCTAGATTTATAAATATAATAAATGGGATATTCCTTTCAATCTTTATGATATCTTATTCAGTTTAAAGGAACTGGAGATTACTGGTGTGCATAAAACACCAGTAAAAGGAGGAAAATATGGATGATAAACATTCTTCATGTATTCTATAAAATTTGATAGCCTGATGTTTGCTTGAAACAACTTAATCATTTCTTTCCAAGACGAAACAGTGTTGAACATTCCATCTTGTTTCATCATGTGAGCATAATGAAGGCCGAGGAAAACATTAAGAGAGATTACAGGTTGCTGAGTTTTCCTGGATAGAGGCATTTTTCTTCCTTTTTCTTTCATGACACTTACAAAGAGGGCTCTCCTTACCCTACCAAATGCAGATCTTTTGTGAAGAGAAATGGTCAGTTAAAATACAGCCATTGTTCTGTTCTCAGCAGAGCAAGAAAATGAGTGTGTAGGGTGAAGGATAAATGAATACAAGATCTTTGGAAGTTGAAAGGAGACCACACTGCCTATCTTTATTTAACTCTTAATGAACAAACTAAACAAATGTTAAGGGGAGAGTTCTTAGAGAGAAAGTTTTTGAAAAAGTAGAGATGTGATTCCATTCACATCTTTGGGAGCTAGAAGGCCACAAATCTCATGATAAGTTTTTAAAAATCTTGAAATATCTACAATAACTTTTTTTGTTTGTTTTTATTTTCAAAAATGTTGAGAGCAAACAGTCCAAACAGTTTCTAACAGTCCCACTCCCAGTGGAGCTCAGTTCCTGAGTGTGTGTCCAAGGACAGTAACCCTGCCACTCACATCTTTTCTTTCTATGCACAGCTGTGGAAGGCATGTGACACTCAACAATTAAGATAAATATTTCAAGCTTTTAAAATGTTCCCCTTGTTGGGGCTCAGAAAACAACACCCCAAAATATGGTGCTTTGGCGTGCTGAGTACTTTGAACTTTAGGACATTGGAAGGCCTCAGAAGCAGCCTCAGAAGAAAAGTTCTCTCAGAATTCTCCTGCCTTCCTCTCCCCCTCCCTCTTTCTCCACCAAAGTGAGTCATAGAAACCAGAATTCCTCTTCCCCAAGGTGGATCACAGAAGCTAAAACTCCTCTCTCTCAAAAATGGCCATAAAACCTAGAAAGGATACTCTCTCCCTTCTCTTTTGAAGACTCGTATTCCAGAGGGGTCCTGCCCTGCAGCTGGGGGAGGGAATGCTACACAGAGAGATGGAGAAGGATCTGAACAGGATCTGAACAGACAGGTCTTGCTGAGTTCTCCCCTTCAGTCTTTTAGCCGTAGATCATACTCTGCCGTCTGATTTTATTTCTCTACGGCTGTCCATTCTTCACTGAAGCTAAGCATAAAAATAGACAGTTTTCCCTGGGCCATTGAGTCTTCATTTTTGAAATCTCCTGTTTGTCACTTAAAACTTTGATTGAGTAAACTTGTTATGCTTTTCTCTTGTTAACTTGTCTTTTGTTATAGGAGTGTCAGCCATGACCTTTATGATGGGTGAGAAAAGGTATCACACATTTTTCTCCCCATACTCTTAGAGTTCTATGATAGACTTAAAGTAAAAGCAACCATTTTTGTTTGTCAATTAAAAATTTAAAAAATTATTTAGAGCATTTTAGTATTTTGTGTATTTATTTTGAATTTATTTATTTATTTTTGAGACAGGGTCTTACTTTATTACTCAGGCTGGAGTACAGTGGTGTGATCACTACTTATTGGAGCCTTGACTTCCTGCACTTAAGTGATCCTCCTGCCTCAGCCTGGGACCACAGGTGTGCACCACCATGCCTAGCTATTATTTTTATATTTTGTAGAAACAAGGTCTTGCTATATTGCTCAGGCTGGTCTCGAACTCCTGGCCTTAAGTGATCCTCCCGCCTTGCCCCCCAAAAGTGTTGGGATTACAGGTGTGAACCACTGAGCTTGGCCCTAATTTTGTTTTAAATTGTTTATTTTTGCATTGCTGACACATGTCTATAAAACACAATTAAAAAGATACTGGAAAGTAAACCTACCTTTTACTCCTGTCCTCCTCTGGCAACCTTGGTTTCCAGAAGTTAATATCTTGATCTGTTTTTAGTGTAACTTTCCAAACTCATTCTATACATATACAAACATGTCTTACAAATGACCACATGTCTTAAATTTTATCTTACATCTTTTTGTCACTTAAGAATACAGCCCTTGAACAACATGGGTTTAAACTGTGTGGGTCCACTTACATGTGGATTTTCTTCTGCCCCTGCCATCTCTGAGACAGGAAAACCAACCCCTTCTCTTCCTCCTCCTCCTCAGCCGACTTCATATGAAGACAAGACAAATAATACCTTTATGATGATCCACTTCTACTTAATGAATAGTAAGCATATTTTCTCTTCCTTAGGATTTTCTTAAAAACATTTTCTTTTCTCTAGATTATAAGCATATACATACTATAAGGTTATACATATTATAAGAATACAGTACATAGTGCATATAACATAAAAATATGTGTTAGTTGACTGTTTATGCTATGAATGAGACTGATTATAGGTGGATTTATGACTATGGGGAGGGTCAGCACCCCTAATCCTGTGTTGTTCAAAGGTTAACTGTATGACTTATTCTAATCATTATATGTAGAGCTATCTCCTTCTTTTAAAAGCTGTATATTTTATTATAAAGAAGTATGGTCATCCTTTGGTAACCTTGGCAGATTGGTTCCAGGACCTTTAGGAATACCAAAATCTGTAGATACCCAATATCATATATAAAATGATGTAATATTTGCGTATAACCTATGGACATCCTCTTGTATACGTTAAACCATCTCTAGATTACTTATAATACTTAATACAATGTAAATGCTATGTAAATAGTTATACTGTGTTTTAAAAGGATGTATTTTTTAACTTGCAATGTAATTTTTATTGTTTTTATTTATTTATTTGTGTGGATAATTTCAATCTGCAGTTGGTTGGTCCCACAGATGTGGGATCTACAGATATTCTATATCTGTTCTACCACATTTAAGAAAACCCCTGTAGATTTGCCTTTAGTTATTTATAGTTTGTGACATTGCAAACAATTTTGCAATGACCTTGAAAATACATAATCTTAGCCATGTGACAGTGCATTAATAGAAGAACTACCTAGGTGTGTATTTTCTGGGATAAAAGGTATTTATATTTTAAATTCTGATAGATCTTGCTATATTACTGTTCAAAGAGATTGTGTCAGTCATTCATATGTGAGAATGTCTGCTTCATGTACCCTCACCAACACAATGTTTTACTAAACTCTTCGATATTTGGCCACACTGAAAAAATTACATTTTGGCAGTTCTCTATTTATGAGTAAAGTTAAGCATTGCATCATGTCTTTAAGAGTCATTTATATTTCTTCTTCTTCTTCTCTTTTTTTTTTTTTTTTTCCTAGAGACAGGGTCTTGTTTTCTTGGCCAGGCTGGTCTTGAACACCTGGCCTCAGTCAGTCCTCCCTCCTGGATTTATCTTTATAGATCTTTCTACTGGGTTGCTAGTCTTACTGGTTTGCAGGTATTCCTTACATATTAAGGACATTAGACTTTTGTGATATGTATTGAAATATATTCTCTACTTTAAAACATTTTTGACTTTTTAATGATATTTATGATTTTCTTTTGACTTTATTTTTGACATTTTTTGTCATACAGAAATTTCTGGGTTTTAGGCCAGGCATGGTGGCTTATGCTTGTAATCTCAGCACTTTGGGAGGCCGAGGTGGGAGGATCACTTGAGATCAGGTGTTTGAGATCTGGCCAACATGGCGAAACTTTTCTCTACTGAGAATACAGAAAGTAGTTGGGCATGGTGGTGCACACCTGTAATTCCAGCTACTCTGGAGGCTGAGGCGTGAGAATTGCTTGAACCTGGGAGATAGAGGTTGCAGTGAGCCTAGATCACATGATTTCAATCCAGCCTGGGTGACAAAGTGAGACTCTGTCAAAAAAAAAAAAAAGAAATTTTTGAGTTTTATTATATATGGTTAAATTTATATTTTATTGGTTCAGAATTTTTTGTGTGCTTAGAAATGCTGCCCACTTTGATATTATTAAAAGTAGTCTTCCCATGTTTGTTTTCTGATACTATTTTTTTCATTTTTTACTAGAAACATTGCATACATCTAAAATTTAAATTAGCATAAAGAATAACAACTTTTAGATCTTTCCATACCTGTGATTTTTTTCTGTTTCTTTACTCTTTGTTCATTTCCATATTATTTACTTTGACTTTTTTCAAACCTTAGACTCCATGTTTCTTAATATGTCTTCACGTATGTCTATTCTCATTCATTCTCCTTCTTAGTTTTCTTTTATGTGATTATTTTGTGTTTATGTTTCCTACTCCCTGATCTCTGTGTGCTCATTTTGTTCTTTGGCTATCTAGCCATCTTCTCCAATTTTTAGGAGATGTGCTCTATGACCTTGTATATAGTTTTAAAATTTTGCTGTTGATCTAGTCTGTCCAAATTTTCATATATTCACAGCACTGTCTCCATAGTGTGTTTTATACATTTGCTGGTTGTTTTTTGCATTACATTTGTTTTATATTACAAGAAGAAATGTCTTTATTTTCTTTCTGCAGTACCTTTGTATAATTCCTATGCTTATTCATTTTTGGCTATTACTTAGTTTTTGATAAGGTATACTTACTGGAGCTTCATGTGGTGAGAAGAATAAAGATTATGTTCTAGGCTATAAGAATCCCACTTAAGGAAGTGAGATAATGTGAGAGTGAGCAATTTATTTTAGCATTTACTTTTTCTAACAACATTTGACACTGCAGAATTAGTTACAATGCTGAGCTTTTCTTCTTCACTAGCTTGACAAACAGACTGTGTCTTGCAAACGTGACTGGTTAGTGTATTTCTCGAGATTTAGTGCTGCTTTAGTTCTAGGAAAGTTATTGTCATCTTATTGTTCCAGAAAGGGCATGTTTGTTCTTACCTCTCAATTTAGGCCAGTGATTATGAAGAACTGTTCTTTGGGCAGTCTCTGAAATCTGCAACCATAGGCATCGTCTTTCTATGGCACCCCTCTTGGACCTTCAATGCATCGATTAGCCCTTCCTTGAATTTTTTATTCTAGGTTATAGATGTTGTGTGGCTAATCTTATGTGTAAAATTGACTGACAGTGATGTGCCCAGATATTTGGTTAAACATTATTTCTGGATGTGTCTGTGAAGATGCTTCTGGATAGACTAATATTTGAACTGAAAGACAGAGGAAGACAGATTGCCCTCCCCAATGTGTGTGGCCCTCATCCAGTGCATTGAAGGACTAGAAGAAAAGGTTGAGTAAGAAAGAATTTTTTCTCTCTGTCTGTCATTGAGCTGGGACATTGATCTTCTCCTGCCTTTGAATTCTGTCTCGAACTAGAACTTATACCATGGACTCTCTTGGTTCTCAGAGCTTCAGACTCAGACGAGATGGTGTCATTGGCTCTCCTGGATCTCCAACTTGATGGCTGCAAATCTTGGGACTTCTTAGCCTCCATAATCATGTGAGCCAGTCAATTTCTTATAGTAAATCAATATCAATATTTATCTCTATCTATATATCCAGAACCAATATGGTTCTGTTTCTCTGCAGAACCTAGACTAATACAGATGCCTCCAACATTTGTCAAGTTTCTATTTCTCAGTCTTCTTGTTGCTGTTGGGTGATTTTGAAGAGGATAAAGGTAAAACCCCCACCTTTAAAATTAGAGTCTAAGATCACACTTCAGGCTACAAGAAAATCTTTTAAACAATTATGGTCGTGAGTAAAAGTAATTTTAGCCTGTGGGTACTTAAAGGACAATAAATGTGTACCAACTTTCATCTTATAGCCCAAGGATTAGTATGTACAGAACTTACATCAAAGATGACCTGAAAGCTACTGCCACCAAGGCTAGCTTTCTGACACCTGAGAGATTTATTGTAATGATTTACTAGAACAAACAGCTGGCAATACTATCCTTACAAAACAACATGGTATCTTTATTCTTGTTCTTATAACATAGACATTTACTTTTATCTTCATCTCTATGTCCTTATCCTGCAAGGGAAGGGGAATCTAATATTTACAGATCACCTATTATATTTTGGCATAAGTGATTTTGAGGCAAGTTCATATTCACTTACAAAACCACTAACTGCACCTTAAGAATCTGGTATCCCAAAGAGAAATAGTGAAACCAGTTGTACCATTTTGACAAGACTGCCAAATTCTACTTTTAACCATGGTAAAAATCAGTATACATAAAGGAATGAAGAAACATGCTTTTATGACCACAATTTTGAAGGAATGATAGGAGTGGGTGCAAGTATTTGAACATAAATTCTTGATACTTGAATACACTGAAACCAGTCTAGAAGTAAGCTAACAACAATTTGTCTGCTCTTCATGTACTGGAAGATTCTTAAGATGAGACAGTGTGGTGGCAGCTCTGTCAGGAGGAGGAAGAAATGGATGACTATAGATCCTCGCCAAGTGTCTAAAAACAGTGTTCAGAATTCCACCCATCAACCTGAGGAGATGAGCAACTGAGATCACATTATACCTATATTTTCTGAAGTGAAAACTGTCAACATTACTGTCACTGAGAATGTTCTGATTGAGATGGAAGGAGATTTTTGGCACTTCACAATCTGTTAGCTCATATTTCCACAGCTCTGGGGAAATGGCCTCAATGCTTCAAAACCCAATACTTGGATTGTCAGGGAGAAATCAGGGTCAGAAGTAGAATCATTGATCCAGTACTTTGAAAGTTCCAGAAGAAAGAAACAATATATGGTGTCAACAGAACTGACTGAGAAAGAAAGGGAGGGTATTGTTCAATATTAATTATTTGATGTCTATTTATTAAGTATTATTCCATGCACTATTCCAGATGCTGCAAATATAACAGTGAGAAAGCAAGCAAATCTCCTACCCTTAAGAGACTTACATTCATGCTTTGTGTATTTATGTGGTGATGGGAATAGGAGAGATGATACGAACATATAGTATACAAGTAAAAAAAAAAAGTAATAAAATAGATGGAGCATAGAGAGTGATTAGCAGGATGGTGGTTCTTTAGAAAGGGTAGTAGAGTGTCCCCTCTGAGGAGGTGTCATTTAAGGTCTGACATAAGCCATGGTATACATGATGTGTCTAAGTTGTTATAGATTGCAGTTGATCTTATCAGAGTGAATCAGGCAGTGATGGGCTAGGGAGCTGACACAGGCTATTATCGTTGAGGAGCTGAGTACTGAAGCAGTCATTTCTTTGATGGTACTTCAGTTTGATGCATGCTTTATATATGTACACAGAAAATTTAATGATGATGTTTTAAATAAGAACAAAGAATTTTGTGAACATGTTTTTTTTTTTCATGTAGCGACTGTGGTTTTTACATGGAGAATTTAGTGTCCAAGTTTTATACCTGTACATAGAGATCAAACATTTTTCTATGTGTCTTCTCCTGATGTACAAAACATTCACAAAACTAAAAATATTGGGTACTTGAGTTTACAAAGCACAGACAATCATTGTCTCATTTAATCCTCACAATATGATGCTGATGGGTAGATGTTATTATTACCTTTGTTTCATATAGAGGAAACTTAGGCATACGCGAGCACATTAAGCCAGCTCTTGAGCTGGGGGGATGATGCATACACATCATTTGGCATTAAATTTGACCTTCTTTCCACCAAACACGAAACTGTGTGTGGATACTACTTAAGTATTTTGAGAGAAGAAGCCAGCATTAAAACATGTTCAGGCTGTCTATAAAAGAGTCATATAATACAGACATGTAATACTGAAGCAACAAAATGTCTAAATGTTAGAACTATTTCGATTCTGGTTTGACAGTAAGTTTATTTTGCAGTGTAATGAGGCTTGACTTCAGATAGATAATGCCTTTGCTTGATACACTTTAGCAGAACATTGCTGAGATCTTCATTTTAAGGTGTGTAATCTAAAGGAATAAACAAACTGCCTTAGTACAAATACTATGCAAAATATTAGTTATTGAATTGCCAGTACATTAAAAATACAATCTGTTTTAAAAATGGGAATACACACACACACACACACAAACACACACAAACACACAGACACACATATATACATAGGCAATATTTTTTTTTCTTTTCCCAGGAACTCAAAATGCTTCAGGAACTTTTCCTCAGACATTCTCAAAGCAATATGCCTTTGGGCTGAGATTAAGCACAGTACATTCATTAAAAAATGTTCAATTTTGTGTTTCTAGGTAGTTCTGCTGCCAGGGATGGTGGAGAAGCCACCCAGGTTTAAATTCTTTTTTTCTTGAGTGATTTTGTCCTTACACTTTCAGAGGTTTATTGAGCTGGTGCTTCTCCTCTGCCTGACTTATCACAACATATTCTTGGGACAGACTCTGGTATTCATTAGTCTTAAGGTAAAAATGACTGATAACAGCTTAAAGTATTTATTCCCCAGTGGATAATTACATTTTCATTAGGATCAAAAAACAACTCAAACTGTAGAATTTCAGATACCACGAAAGGAAAATAGGAGGAACCTTTTGGAAATTACAAAAGGCAGTTTTATAATCTACTTATTTCTAAGGTCAGCTGCTTTTGAGCAATTGAAAACAGTATTTTCCGTAAACTGTCAGAAAAACTTTACTATTTTAATGATGCACAAAATAAAATGCATGTCTGCTGGGTTTTCTCACAGCCTTAGCTTTCTTCTCTACCTCATGGCCATGCAAGTTCTGACATGCACTGAAGTAATTAAATACCATGAAGCATCCTCCAATTTTGTTCATGCTCAGCCAAATTCATATCTTCTTCCACACCTCTCAGTAGGTGTGGAGCCAGAGCCTGAAGGAAGATCGCACACATTAGTCCCTCCAAAAATGATGAGCTAGTCATCATCCAAGTAACGTTTCTTCCGGAGCGGGGCCATTTCCGTAGTCACAGTGTGTGTGGGGACTTCTCCCTGAAAATTTTGTCCTAATGAACTTTGGTTAAAATGAACATCAAAGGAAACCTTAGAAAAAAGAAGGAGGAATAATATGAATAATAACAACAGGAGGCATGATTGTTAAGCATTTTATTCCTGCTATCTCATATAGTCCTCGCAATGAACTATGAGGCTGATACTGTTATACCTACAGTAGTCCCATGTTATCCATGGGGCATACGTTCCAAGATGCCCAGTGGATGCCTGAAACCTCGGATGGTACTGAATCCTAAATATGCTATGGTTTTTCTTACATGTACACACCTATGATACGTTTAATTTATAAATTAGGCACAGTAAGAGACTACCAACAACTAATAATAAAATAGAACAACTATAACAAAATACTTTAATACAAGTTATATGAAGTGGTCTCTTTGTCTCAATATCTTACTGTATTGTATTCACCCTTCTTCTTGTACTGATGTGAGATGGTAAAATGCCTGTGTGATGAAATGAAGTGAGATGAATGATGTAGACACTGTGATGTTGTGTTAGGCTGCTATATTTATTTATTTATTTATTTATTTATTTAGAGATGGAGTCTGGCTCTGTCCTCCAGGCTGGAGTGCCATGGCACAATCTCTGCTTACTGCAGCCTCTGCCTCCTAGGTTCAAGTGATTCTCCTGCCTCAGCCTCCAGAGTAGCTAGGACTACAGGAGCACCACCATGCCTGGCTAATTTTTGTATTTTTAGTAGAGACAGGATTTCACCATGTTGGCCAGGCTGGTCTCGAACTCATGACCTCAAGTAGTCTTCCCACCTTGGCCTTCCAAACTTCTGGGATTACAGGCATGAGCCACCATGCCTGGCTTATTTATTTTATTTATTTATTTATTTATTTATTTTTGTTTACTCTAGAGACAGGGTCCTGCTCTGTCACTAAGGCTGGAGTGCAGTGGCACAATCACAGCTCACTGCAGCCTCCCCCTCCTGGGCTCAAGCAATTCTTCTGCTTCAGCTTCTCAGAGTAGCTGGGCCTAGAGGTGCATGCCACCATGCCGGGCTAGGCTACTACTGACATTTTGACAATAGTCAGAAGGAGAATCATCTGCTTTAGGTGATCCTGGATCATTGAGTGAGGAAGTCTCTGGTTGGATGTCAGCAGCAGATGACATAGATGACTAACAGGCAAATAGCACAGACAGCATGGGTACATCAAACAAGGAATGGTGCCTGTCCCAGGAAGGCAGAGTGGATAATGTGAAATGTCATCACCCTACTCAGAATGGTGTGCAATTTCAAACTTAATGAAGTGCTTACTGCTGGAATTTTTTGTTTAATAGTTTGGACCATGATGGACCCTGAGTAACTGAAACTACAGAGAGCAAAACTGCTAACAAGGAGGGACTACTGTATACCTATTTTACAGATGGGGAAATGGAGGCACAGCGTAATTATGTGACTTGCCCCAGATCACATACACATTCTATTGTTTGAGCTTGTTTTTTGATCCTTATGAAAATATAAATGCCCATTAGGGAGTAAATACTTTAAGCTGTTATCAGTCATTATTTCCTCAGTACTAATGAAGGTCAGAATGTGTCTGGAGAATATGTTGTGATAAGTCAGGCAGAGGAGAGGAAGTCCCAGCTCAATAGGCATCAGGGAATGACATTTAAACTTACATGCAGCTCACTCCAACATCCGTTTCTTAGTCTCTCATGTATGCTGAGGACGTGAGCATCAGTGGAAGGAGACGGGAGTATTTATGTCAGGCCTTCCCAAGTGGGTGCTTGTTTCCTAGACCCCAGGTATGGCATTTTATTCCTGTTGCTACCTTAAAGTAGTTTCTTAATGAAGGTAATACCCTGAGGATGGAGATGAGGATACAAATAATAATAACAGTGATTTGTTTTTTTTCCTGCCTCTTACCTTGTATTTCCTTAGCATTTTCATCAAATATTTTGGTTAGTACTTGTCCTAATACATATTCACTTATCACCAGACTATAAGTTCCTTGACGGCAAGGACCATGATTTTATTTCCTTTTTTTCCTTTCTTCTTCTTATTTTATCCCCTTCCTCCTTACCTTTGTCGTTTTCTTCCATCCCTCCTTCCTTTTTCCTACTAGGGAGGCCTATAAGAATCTATGTTGGAACTCAACCCCAGAGCCAGTGGGTTTTTAGTAGCAATAGTGAACCCAAAGCTCACTGGTTTACACTGCAGCCTTTTGTTCTTTATGTTTCTTTAAAAGTTCCATTGGATAATGGTTTTTCATATGGTTAATGTGCCACCTGCTGAGCTCTCCTGTGGACTTTTGCTTTGAATATTTTAGTCTTTTACTATGATTGGAGTATCACTTGATAAAATTGGAATTATTTGTTTTCTTATATTTGATATGTAAGATTTGTGTACTTTAATGTGCGTTAAAGTTTAATATTGTGGAAGAACATGACTCAGAATATCCCTGGTGCCAAGTCACAGAGATAATTTTGACCAGCAGAGAGCTTTCAGGGGTTGATTGGTGGGTGATGCCTGTTAATGATAGGAAAGACCCATGGAGGAAGATGAGATCACCAGCTGAGTGTTATGACTGCAAACATCTCCAAATTATTCCTCTTGATAATGGTCCCTAATGCTCATAGATGGAAAGATGTTGTTACGGTGATGGGATAATGATACTGCAATATGCTGATGAGTCTGGTATAATGATACTGCAATATGCTGATGAGTCCGACTTGTAAATACTTCTCTGAAAGCCTAGTCCTGTAAGAAGGGTGAGAGATGAAGAGTTATCTAGTCCCATGACTCTAGTGGAATATTGACCACATTTTCCTGATAACCACAAGGAAGCCAAAAGTACTTGGGTTCAGAAGTGGTGGGAGAGAGGTCTCATGGTTCCACTGATACTTACATAATCATTCATTTATGAATGAGATTACAGGAGAATACAATATAGGATGATTTGTACTTTGTTAAAGGATAAGCAAAGGTTCAATATACACCCATAGAATGGGCCTCGTGTACCTGCGGATGGGTTAAGAAAGGCTTCAGGAAGAAGTGATGTTTTAGATTAGTTCTGAGCATAATGTAGGAGTTTGCCAGGTAAAGGAGGAAGAATGGAGCTGGGAAAGATGTAACAGGCTTTGAAAGGGAGTTATAGAGAGTTTAAAATAGTCCTGAGAATCAAGTAATAACAAAGAATGAGAAGAGTCCTAGATTTAGCAATGAAGAGTTTGTAATGATCTTGGGAAAGTGTTCTCATCTTTGGAATTAAGAAAGGAAAGATATATGATAACCTATGAGGACTACATAGCCGATGAGAAAGTGGAGATTAAATTTTGTAAGGTTTACCTATGAAATGGATGATAGTGTTGGGGTGGTGATGTTTTTAAGGGAGCTTAAAATTTTGGAGTTATGCTTTTTATTGAAGTATTACATATATGCAGTAAATGAACAGAAGTATGATGAATTTTCTCAAAGTAACCATTCTCCAGACCAAGACATGGAAGGTTTAGCTCTTCCGAGGCCTCCCTCATCCTCCCTTTCAGTCATTTCCCAGTTCCCAAAGGTAGCTACTCTTCTATTGCCATAGACTGGTTTTCCTGCTTTCGGATTTTATGCAAATTGAGTCACATAGCATGCGCTTTTTGTTTCTGGTATTCTTAATCAATGTCCTGTCTATGAGATTCATCCATATTGTCAGATAGAGTCATATTTTGGTCTTTTATATTGCTGTCTAATGTTCTATTTTATTATTATTTCACACTTTCTAATCTACTGTTGATGAACATTTAGGCTTTTTCCATTTTTGTTTGCTATGAAAAAATAATGTTGCCTTGCAAATTATACATATCTTTTGTTAAATGATAGTATGTGTTTCTGGTGGACATATAGGCAGGAGTGTAATTGCTGGTTAAGAAGAGATGAGTGTATTCAGCTGTAGTAGAAACAGTCAATTGGTTTTCCAAAGTGGTTGTACCAATTTTTAACTCCCACTAGTAATATATATTTCATTTTCTCCACATCCTCACCAACGTTTGCATAGTCCTCTCCCACCTTATTTTGGCTGTCCTGGTGGGTATGTGGTGATATGTCATTATAGGGTTACTTGTATATCTCTGATGGATAATCATATAGGACACCTTTTTAGAAGCTTTTTGACCATTTAGATATCCTCTTTTATAAACTGAATCTTCAAGTCTTCTGCCCAAATTTAAAAGTTGGATCATCTTTCTGCCTTTCAAAATTATTTCGTAGATATCTTTTTTTACAATAAAAAATATTTGACTGCAGGCAACTGTTTCAAAGACTCAAGTAATAATGGGAACTAACATAGATTGTCAGATACTCTTCTCAATATTTAATACACATTAATTTACTTAATCTGCACAAGTCAACTCTGAGATAGAGACTGTTGCCATCTTCTCTCTTTTAAAGGTGGGAAAATTGAGGAATAGATATATTCCAATTCATGTGCCCAAGATCACATTAATAGTAAAGGTCAGAGCTGGGATGTGGATGTAGACAGTCTCCTCCTGGAGCCCTTGTGCTTAACTGCTATGCCACTGTGCAGTAGGATGCAATGGATGGAGCAAGCATCCTTAGAAAGAATGCTTGGGATCCAGAGCACAGATGGGAAAGTTAGAAAGGAGGAGAGACATGCCTAAGAGGTTAAGAGGAAAACTGAGAACAGGTGTGGGAATTCCGTGGATGGAGGGTGACAGGAAGCTGAGTGAATTCTCACTGGAGAGTTTTTATTCTCTTTAATCAAGCAGGAGGCAACATCCTGTGAGAAAGTAAAGAGGTGGTGAGAATTTAAGAAGAATGGAAAAGATTTAGATGGACGCTTTGGAAAATGGAATACTGACCCACTGGAAGGCAGGGAAGGATTCCCGGGCACACATGAATACTAATTTCAGATTAGAGACTACAAATCTACTGTAGGACTAATCTTTGTGCTTGTTTAATTGACACTAGCAGAGGTTAGTACCCTATCTTGCATCCCAAGAAAATGCTTTTGACGATTCAGGGTTAGATTTTTTTGCTTTCAGATGTATTGTGTGGACTTGAAGTTCAGGGAAATTTGGACTATTTGGAATAGGGACAAGGAGACAGTAGATATAGGGGTTGGGCTGGAGAGAGATTGGCATGCAGACAGGAGCGGCGATGGGGAAAGACGAAGGGTCCAATGACTTCAAATCTACATAAAGTCTGAATATCCATGGTAAATGAATGAGAGGGCTGGGAGGATAGGAAATGGTGATTGGAGATAGGATATTTGAAATTGTTCTTTCTCTTGTAGAGCAGTCTTGATAAGGCACAAAGAGTGATCATGGAAGTCCATGACTGAAGTGAGGGTGGGTGGGGTGAAGATGAAGCTCATTGAAACTGAGGAGGTCAGGAAAGAATTGAGAGGCCAGGTTGTTAAGTGGGTTGTCCATGGGGAAACTGAAGACACACTGAATATTCGCAGATGTTGGAGATAGAGGGGAAGATGTGTCCAAGTCTTAAATAAATGTGGGAATTGGCTGCGAGTTTTATGGGTGACTGTGAAAAGAGAGGACAAGAGATGAAAGAAGAGAAGTGAATGCTGCAGCCGAATGACAAAATGCAAAAGAACAGGGTTTAAAAATGAGGGTGGTAGAATAAAGCTTGAGAAGAAGTATAATATTTAACTCTTGGAGCTTGGTTAGCACAATTTCTGGCATATCGAAAGCCGCCACCAAACGTTTGTAGAAGTAAATTCAGAAGAAAGAGTAGGAAGAAGGAAACTGGAAGTGATCTGAGGAGAAGAAAGAAGAAAGTCAGAATGGAGGAAAGGCCAGATAAGTGGCAGACTAATTTCGAGAACAGATACATGGGCAGTCTATTCATTGATAATTTCCTCCTTATTCTGGTTTATTACTTTTCAGTGCTTTTAAAACAGAGATTAGAGAGTTCTAACGTATTCCTTTCACATCACATCACAGCAAACTTCAAAATAAAACATGTCTTATCACATCTTCCAAATTTGGGGCTTAATCTTACTAAAGACACAGCAGTGGCTGCAAGCACACAACAACTAATGCATAATGCATCAGGCACAGTTCTGAGTGCTTTACAGTATATATATATATATATATATATATTTTTTTTTAAGAGACAGGGTCTTGCTCTGTCACCCAGGGTGGAATGCAGTGGCGAGACCATAGATCACCGTAACCTAAAACTTCTGGGCTCAAGCAATCCTCCTGCCTAGGACTGCAGGTGTGCTACCATGCCTGGCTAATTTTAAAAATTTTCTGTAAGTCTTGCCCAGGCTAGTCCTAATCTCTTGGCCTTAAGTGATCCTCCTGACTGGGCCTCCCAAAGTGCTGAGATTATATATCTGAACTGCCGCACCCAGCCAGCTTCTTAATCCGTTAAAAAAATCCCCTCAAGAATGATTTTAGCCATTCAGTTCAGGAATTGATGTGATAAAATTGAAGGAAATACAGTTCCGTGTTGATCATAGGTTCTCAGCTCTTTTCAACACGCTCTCATATCAAGATTTCGATAGCAAGTTCAGAGACGTAAGTCAAAACTTGCTAGCACTATATTTACTATATTTCAAATAGCTTCCCACAAAGGTTTTTGTATGACCAGTGGTGCCCTTTTCAGTGACTTCCTGGTCACTTGTATGACCACCCATTTCAGTCTCACTCCAGAAAGCTGTGATGTTGATGAGGAAGATTGATATTACTATAGGAATGACTTTGAATTTTGTCTAATTTATAACAAAGAAAATTAACTATGTGTCAATTTTGGTGCTTTTACTCTTATTAGGAACATCACTCCACACAGTCACCACCCTGCTGCCAAACCAATTGGAACTCATCCATGAGTCTGTTACATGTTGGGGCTGTGTTAAGAGTATCTGCCTTAGGTCATTGACAACACAATACTTCTGTTTGCAGATACCTCCTCAGATCTTTTTTTCTAAAAAGGACAGGGATTGAGCTGGCAGGTAAAAACACCATCCTCTTGTCCTTTGAGGCTTTCTGCTACAGCACGTTCACTTTTGTTCTCTCTCGTTAAAAGTAATTAAATCCGTGGCAGATGAAGTTAATATGTGGCAAAATTCATGGCAAATGGAAATTCTTCCTTTTCCTGTGAACATAAACTCCTTTCTTCCAGCCTCATCCTTGTTAGGCTCCAAAACCTAGGCTGTTTTCATTGCTTGGCGCTGCTTCCTCAGACATATTTGTACTTGCCAGGAAGGTTTACCTGTCTCTGGCTTCGTATCAGATCACAGTAGGAGGCTTTAGCGGGGGCCCTGGAACTGTGGGGTGGAGCAAAGTGAAGAAAGGGGATTTTGGGAAGTAAAATGCTTGCTTTACTCTTTACCTCTGATGTGCAGCTTCTCCCAGTGGTACGCCTTCTCCTCAGTCAGGACTCTGGGCAGGACTCTCCCCTCTCCTTTGTCCTAATCAAACAGTGACTCAGTCGGGGATGTTAATGTAAACATGGGTATTCTTATTTCATTTCAGCACTGGAGGTGTCTCTTGGCAACACAGGGTCCTGGCGCCCTGATGGACTGAAAAAGCAATATTTATAAACCATTCTTTCCTCAAGACTTGCATAATGGAGCAGAGATTTTCTCTTATCAGTTCACAAAGTAGACTGCCCTTTCTATTCCTTGGCCTTTTGAATGATTTGCATTTGGGAATGGAATATTTTTCCAGAACCAGAAATCAACAAAATCTTTCTTTCTTTCTTTTCTTTCTTTCTTTCCTTCTTTCTTTTTCTTTCTTTCTTTCTTTCTTTCTTTCTTTCTTTCTTTCTTTCTTTCTTTCTTTCTTTCTGTCTGTCTGTCTTTCTTTCTTTCTTTCCTTTCCTTTCTTCGTTCTTTCTTTCTTTTTTCTCTCTGTTTCTCCTTCCTTCCTTCCCTCCTTCTTTCCTTCCCTCTCTCCCTCCCTCCTTCCCTACTTCTTTCTTTCTTTGTTTCTTTCTTTCTTTCTTTCCTCCTTTCTTTCTTTTTTTGTCATCAGTAGAATCCTTTCAGTGAAATATTGTGTAATATATCAATGTATTTAACTGCTGAAAACTGAATGGCTGTAATTGAAGTGAGGTGAGGGGTCTGAAAGCTACCCACTGGAAATGCCTGTACCAGACTGGGTATGGTGGTTCCTGCCTGTAATCCCAGGATTTTGGGAGGCCGAAGCAGGTGAATTACGAGGTCAGGAGTTCGAGACCAGCCTGGCCAACATGGTGAAACCCCGTCTCTACTAAAAATACAAAAAACTAGCTGGTGTAGCGGTGGGTGCCTGCAATCAGGAGGCTGAGGCAGGAAAATCTTTTGAACCTGGGAGGTGGAGGTTTCAGGGAGCTGAGATCATGCCATGCACTCCAGCCTGGTGACAGAGTGAGATTCCGTCTCAAAAAAAAAAAAAAAAAAAAAAAAGAAAAGAAAAGAAAAGAAAGAAAGAAATGCCTGTACCATCCCCTTCCGGCCATGGGGTCCCTAATACATAGATATTGAACCCCGTGACTTAGTGGGAATATGGCTGGGTATCACTCTTCTCATCTTTCCTGGCTATTTGTATAAGGTGAACAACATAATGGTCTCAGCAGGGGTGTCATTGTAGTTATCCCCTGGTAGCTCCTGCAGACTCCTGCTCACCTTTAAAGTGCAAATACATAAAATGCTTGTCTATAGATTTGGGAACAAGGTAACTCAGTCCTCTACCAAAGTGTGAGGACTGCTGAAAATGAGTCTTTACTTTAAAGTAGTTTGATCTTACAGCTCCTGGAGATAATGCCCCAGACAGCAGAAACAGACATTTTTGTTCAACGCACATATTTATTATATGTCAACTATGTGTTTATCATTGTATCAGGAATTCCTAGGTCCACAGAGTTATTTGGCACACTCTTCTCAAGAACCACATTCCTAAAATACTTTCATATCATGGCTAAGTCAGCAAAGGGAATCTGAAACATTAAGAAAAGTATACAAAGAAAAATAAAAGTCACACATTCTCTCACCAATCAGTAATAATTATTATTTCTTTCTAGTCTTATACAAGATAGATTCCCAGTGATAGAATTCCTGGTCAGGAGACATTTGAAGGAGGCATTTGGAAATACTGGGTGCTTTTTAAATCTATCACCAAGGGATCTACTTTCTCTCTTAACACACAGGATGTAATACCAGTTAACATCCATGAATACTTCAAGTCAGTTCTTTGGGCTTCTCTACAAGTTTAGTCTTTTCTGTTCAAATAATTTTTATGGCAACCATTTTAATTGTCCTATTCATCACGGCAATCATGAGCTCTCTCTTTAGGTTATATTTTCTATCATAATTGTATGAAATCTATATATGCTATAAGTAGCATATGCATATCCATGTTTATGCATACACATACTCAGAGTACAGACAAGAAGTCCACCTAAATTATTTCTCAGCCAATGCACTGCAGAAATCAGACAGATTTCCCCAATGACCTTCTTTGAGTGCTCAAGAAGAAAAGTAGAATATATATGTATATATATATGCTTTATACATACATTGATGAAATACCCTTTGCACAGCTTATGCATGTAATCAATAAATTCTTTAAAATGAATGCCAACTTCCTGACAAAAAAATGAATTGGCTGTCTCAGCTTCTGATTCTTTATCAAGTTCTGAGAAACTCACTTTACCTCTCTATAGCTCAGTTCCCCCTACTGGTTTCAAATGCATTCTAACTGCCCTGAATATAGATCCCAGATTTTCCTCACTGAGAGCAAAGCTCTGGAGTAGGAGTGAACTGCATGTGTAATTGAATCTCTGGTTCAATGAGAAGATTTCTAAGGAGCTTTGCTACGTGTGCACGTCATACTTAGCTCACAGAAATGTGTCGCGAATTTATATTATAGCTATAGATGCCCATGAAACAGAGTAGAAGGTTGAGATTAAAATTTAGTTTTCCTCCATTTTCACAGTGGTTTAAGTATTTCTATGTTGAAGGACACACAGCCCCACAACCAATATAACATTTGGCCATTTATTCTGTTTTTTCCTAACTACTAACCATTCTTTCTCCTCTTGCTGCTTCTCCTACTCCTCCTCTTCTTCCTCCTGCTCCTCCTCTTTTGCCTTCTGTTTTTCCTTCCCCTCCTCCTTCTTCTGGAGGTCTGGAGTTGTACTGAGCTCCTGAATTTTCTCTAGGTTTGCTTTCGATATTAGTAATAAGGATATCTAAAGCAGTCTTGTCTCAGTCGTTACACTAAAGATAAATGTTAGATTTCTTAGAAGCTCTTTTCTTCTATTCTCGAAGTGAAAGAGGAGATCCACTGACAGTTTCATCTTTACAGATGAACAATTATTAAGGTAAATCCTTGCATCTGATTCTTTTCACTGATCTCCAGAGACTATTCTCTTTGTGGAATTTTGGTTTTACCATTTCTTTATAGGGGTGTATTCAATTTCCCCAAGCTCCTCCTCCTTTATATTTTTAACAGAAAAGTATCAAATTCCAGTCAATATTTACCTTTTCAGGTGTATATGGAGAACTCGCATCTATATAGGGTGAAGGGTAACTTTGCTTTATAGACATTTCGTACTTAGAGAATCTGTCTAGACATTTTTCATCTCTGTATCTCTGTTGCCAAGATTAAACCTTATTCACCACGCTGGAAATAGATAAATAATAGAGCTGGTTTTTAAAAATCTGCAAAATTATTTAATTCAATATAGATTGGGAAAATTTGGAGAGACAGAGATAAGGAGTGAAAAACTCCAATAGATAATATCTGTAGCTTTTTCAGATAGACACATAATTTATGTTTACAACACAATTCATCATGAAATACTAGATGTTATCATGAGATGAGCTAAAAAATGTACAAGCAGAATGAAAGCTCACAAGAAAAATGCACATGCGAAAATTAATTATTATGTTGATAGTTTAATTATGGTCTATTGCACTTTATTAAAGGCTCTATCTGGTGATATGAATGTAGAATTTCTTTCCTGAGTTTTCTACTTACTTCAGTAGGCTGGAAAGAACATAAGCATGAGATATAATCTTTTATGTCTTTCTTTGATAGTTAGCAGATTTGTTCTTCTGTTTTGCCAAGGAGGAACTAAAGGAATATCAATAGAGTAATAATGTAGGAGGTGCAGGACTCTGTGATGGCCGCAGTCTGGTTCCATTGAGTCTCTTAAATGTTTCTGGGTTGAGTCTATTCCATCATCATTTGTTGAGACCTGCTATGAACAATGGCTAGAGTTGGACTGGAGAAGAATCAAAGTTAAGTGAGATCAGATCCTTGTCATCAGGAAACTCACAATTTATTGTAGAAAAGTAATTCACATCAAACTGCTTCTTGGGCTTGGTAACAGGTATCAAAAATGTACAAAGGAAATTCTGGAGAAGAGGTGGTTGAAGACAGAGAAAGCATTTTTTTGTTGAGGGAAAATATCATTTTAATAGTACTTGATCTTCTTCAATTTAAAACACAGTAAGTCCTCACCTAATGTCAATGGTTCTTGGAAAATGCAATTTTAAGTGAAACCAAGTATAATAAAACCAATTTTTTTCCTCATTAACATTACAACAAAGGGCCTTGAAGGAAACAATGTTATTTGAGGATCTGCTGTATATTATATGGCGTCAAGTTACAGCTTTCAAGAACCTATCAACGACATTGAGTACTTATTGTACTTTCACAAGCTTTTGAGACAAATTGGGTTTGTAGTATAGCTTGAAATAATCATGTGGCATCTTCCTTTAAAGGTGAGAAATGCCACTGATTTTGACTTTGGAGTGGAAAGTTTGGGATAAGAGATAGGAATCTTTAGCTAGAGGATAAGCAATCTGAGGCTGACCTGTGTAATGTAGGGCACGTGGGCCAGTGCCTTCATCTGTGTGGCACTGGCTGCTTCTGTTTCCTGTCTCGTCAGCAAGAAGTCGGGAATTGCTTCAGAGGCACACCAGAACAGTCACATTTCCAGCCGACCAGCTTCCCCTTTTCACAGCGCAACTAATTTGGAAAATCTGACAATTATCAAAACTGTCTTTTCAATATGGGCTGAGATGAAGACCATGTATTTATCTTAACAAAACTGAAACTGCATTTCAAATTCTATGTTGCATGGAGGCTCGCTCAATACACACCTAAACAAATAAAGGAAGGGAGATTTTCAGATCCCCACACCCGACCCACCACCTTTTTTTGTTTTGTTTTGTTTTCTTTACTTTTGATATCCTCTACCAAGGCCTTTTCTTGTTAATTTTGCCAGCTAGTTTCTACTTAAAGCTGACTTCCACGAAGATGTGTGTATTTGCGGGTCGGCTTCATCAAACATTCATTGTTCAATACTGTGACAGCTGGTAGCAGGCATACACACTCTTTCCTTGTTTGGTTTTCTGATAAAACCTGTCAAGTGCTGGTTGACTATAACTGAATTTGTCACCCTCTCAGCAAGGTTATACCTCTTCTTACTACGAAATAAAACAATAAAACAACATTTCTAACCCCTCTCTGCCAACCCCTCACAATTTGACAAGGAAATGCATGAAGAACAGGTTTTAACCAGACTAACACCCACAAGGTTCATTGTTGATGAAAAATTCTCACACATCTAAAAATGTAAGGATCACTCTTGTGAGCACTTGCTCAGGAGACAATGGGAGATGTTGAGAAGGTTATAGCAAAAAGGTACTGAGCTTGTGTGCTGTTCAAACTGAGCATCGGAAATCTGTCAATTCGGGCAACAAATCATCCCAACGAGATGTTTGGTGCCCTGCAGGCCTTCTCTATGAAAATCTTCGACTTCTCAAACTAGTTTATTGACATGGTAAAGGCAGGTGCTTAAAGGAAAACTGACAAAGTCTGTCTTCTATAGGATGTGCAGTTTCTAAAGAGGAGAGACTATAATAAATTTGGAGTTTGAATTTCACTTTTAGATGGAAAAAGAGATGAAATGTTTCACTGGGCGAAGTCATCCTTAAGCAGCTACTAGGCAGACCTATATGAGGGTTCTGTCTGCCTCATGTAGAAACAACATCATCTTCAGCCAGCTAAAATGTAAAGGTTTTCTCAATGTTTCTGTTATTTCCTGTCTTCTTTCTTTCTTTCTTCCCTTTTTTAGCTTCCTTTTTTTTTTTAATTCTAGAAAACAGAAAAACAAACAGCTGCCACACTTATACTAAGGACTATTAATATCAGATGAGTTGATTTGGCAAAGAAATTTTTAAAGTGTAAAGATCTATTCAATTTTTTAAGTTGACTATTATTATTTATGATTAGTCTGGGAAGAAAATGTCTTAGTGTGTTTAGGTTGCTATAATAAAATATCATAAACTAGGGGGCTTATGAACAACAGGAATTGACTTCTCACAGTACTGGAGGCTGGGAAGACCAAAATCAAAGCGCCAGAAGACTTAGTGTCTAGTAAAGGCCCTACTTCCTGTTTCATTGTTGGCCTTCCTTTCACTGTCACTTCATATGGTGGAAGTGGGGAATAAAAGATCTCTGGTTCTTCTTTTATTTTATTATTATTTATATTTTGAGACAAAGTCTCTCTCTGTTGCCCAGGCTGGAGTGCAGTGGCATGATCTCGGCTCACTGCAACCTCTGCCTCCCAGGTTCAAGCAATTCTCATGCCTCAGCCACCCAAGTAGCTGGGATCACAGGTGTGCACCACCATGCCTGGCTAATTTTTGTATTTTTAGTAGAGACAGGATTTTGCCATGTTGTCCAGCCTGGTCTTGAACTCCTGACATCAAGTGATACACCCGCCTCAGCCTCCCAAAGTGCTGGGTTTACAGGCATGAGCCACTGCGCCTAGCCATCTGGTGCTTCTTTTATAAGGATACTGATCCCATTCACGAGGAGGGCTCTGCGCTCATGACCTAATCACCTCCAAAAGGCTCCACCTGCAAATACTATCACCTTAGGAGTTAGAATTTCAACATATGAATTTTGGGGGAACATAAACCTTCAATCCATCTCATTAAGTATTAGTCACAGAAACAAATGGTTCAGAGGTGGTTTCATTTTTAACATGGAGACTGGTCTGGAGAAAGGCTGAACACGAAGTATGAAATTATTTTATGGTAATGATACAAAGAGTAATAACAACAATTACTGTTTTAGGATGGCAACAATATCTGCAGATAAAAGTAAACCCAAATATCTCAGGAACTTAACACCATGGAAGCTCATCTCTCGCTGATGTGGCTGGGTTTGAGATGGTTGCACTCCATCCATCCTTCAGAAATGGAGGCTGAGCCATCCTCAGTGCAAAGCTCTGCGATCATCCTAGATGTCTGCCTTCAGCTGACAGATTGTTGAGGAGAGAGTGTGGAGGAAGTTATGGAAGTTTATATGGTCCATAACTGGAAATGGTGAGCCTTACTACTATGTATACTCCATCAGCCAGAACAGTCCATCATACATTTACATGCAATAGCAATGGGGGCTGGGATATAGAGTCCAGCATCAGGCCCAAGAGAAAGGGGAAACAGGTTTAGTGTTTAGCTAATCCGTCTCTATCATCCCTAGTTACTCATTCTTTCTCTTTTTCAGATTGAATAATTTTATTTGAATTTCCTGTGTTCTATTTTTAAGTTCCCTGACTCTTCCCTCTCTCCATTCTGCTTTAAGCCCATTCAATATGTTTTAAATTTCAGATTTGGTATTTTTTTTTCAGTTGTAGAGTTTACTTTTTTTTTTTTTTTTACAGTTTCTATTTCTCTGCTAATGATTTCTATTTCTTCATTTATTATGAACATATTTTTCGTTACATACTTGAGCATACTAAAAATACTTGTTGATGTGTTGTTTAAAATCATAGTCTGTCAATCCAACATCTGGAACATATCTGGATTGATCTTTGTTGACTGTACTTCCGCTTGTATTTTTCTGGTTATTCGTATATTAATTTTTATATCATATCTTGTTCATTGAAAAGGTTAGGTTGTAGACTCTCTGGTTTCCATTATTTCTCTTAAGAGTGAACTTTTGTTTGATCAGACTATTAACTTGTTTGAACTCACACTGTAAACACTGTTTCGCAGAAAGTTCAAATGTCAGTACAGTTATTTTATCCTTACCTGGGCTCTTTGAGTCCATTCCGCACATACATGGTTAAAGACTTAGTCAAAGATTTGGGCAGGAGTTTTACAAAAAATTTGGAGCTTCACACCTCTCACTTTTCTAGCACACCTCTCACTTTCTATTGGCTGTCGTTGCTTTGAACTCTGTCCTCTAGTTCTTTTGGCCAGAAAAAAAGTTGCAAGTCTTTCAAGTGTTAACTTCTTTCAGAAGCTGCTTGCTTGTTCACTCTTCAGTGCCTTTAGGTAGTTGGATTCCATATTTTGTTCAGAGTTTATAGTTCTTATTTGGGGGTGGGAGCAGTTGGTTGTCAGGCTTGGGGGAACTTAGTCATGCTCAAAGTGGAATTCCACACTAGCCATTCTAATGACTCATACTAACTTACTTACTATAGCTAGAGCTTCAGGGGTCAACATTTTGTACGCTGAAAAGTATTTTGCTTCATCTGGACCTAAATTGTCAAACCATTCTTACCTGGTCAATTTTTTTTTTCAGTTTCTTAAATCTCTCTCTCTCTTTCTTATTTATTTATTTATTTATTTGAGGCAAGACCTTGCTCTGTTGCTCAGGCTGAAATGCAGTGGTGAGATCACAGCTCATTGCAGTCTTGATGTTCCTGGCACAAGCAATCCTCCCACCTGTCTCCCAAGTAGCTGGGATTACAGGCACATGCCACCACACCCTGACTAATTTTTTTATTTTTTTGTGGAGACAGGGTCTCACTATGTTGCCCAGATTGATCTCAAACTCCTGGGCTTCAGTGATCCTTCTGCCTCAGCCTCCCGAGTGCTGAGATTACAGGTGTGAGTCACTGTGCCCCATGAAATGTCTCCTTTTATTCTCACTACTCCACTGTTTTTTATTCCAACAATGTACTATAAATAATTGAAAATATAAATAATTCTGTAGAAATTGTTTCACAGAGGCCTTTCTCACAAACTGTTTTTCCCATCTGAAATATGTTTAGATATTATGTAATTTTTTTAAAGTTGAAAACATCTGTCTTCTCTTGTAGCAAATTCTCTTTGGTTGTTGACTCAATAGCCATTCTGCAAATTGAGGAATTTTGTTCCTTTCATTTTACTTAAGTTGTTTATATGTAAAAGGGTATATTTAGTGGTCCCTTAAAGGAACAAGTTCAGGATATGCCATTTTTCAATTTAAAAAGTTTTTCTTAGCATTATAGCAAGTTTTAGAGGGCATAGTCTCTTCAAGGTTTGCTTTTTTATTTGTATTTTTTTAAGCATTAGAAACATCTATGGTACAATTAAGTTTGCATAGACATTACTTTGTGAATCCCAAAGAATAATACTCATTTGGAAACCAGGTTCCTCTACTGAGTCAGCTAATATTGATTGCAACTGGGGCAAGAGGCTCAGAATTTGTAAAAAGGAAAATGTGTCAAACACTATTATTTCCTTTTACAGTCATTTTGTTAGCCACCAATGGACTCTTCCTTTCTGGGCTGCTTGCCCTACATAAAGACTGAATTATTTACAAAAAGTTGACTGCAAAAACTGCATATATAGTTTCCAAGCAGGTGCTTTTTAAACCTTTAAAATGCCTACTCTTTTTGATTGCTTTCACGAATTAGGTGGAAAACACATATATTAGATTCAGTTTAAGCATTGTAGCATTAATCTGGTTGGAGAAAAAAAAGTATGCATCCTTTTATATTTAGGAAGCTTTCAGTTTTCTAGCCCTTCCTCTCCAGACTTTCTAGAGTTATTCTTTAAACATTCTTTCTCCTTCACTTCACTACACATTGGCTCATCAATCCACTGGAAGCTGACTTCTTCCCTTTATGTGATTTAGAACTGGTAAGTTCACGATGCCCTCCTAATTGACATGACATTTTCCTAATTCCTTAGAAGCATTTGTTGCTATAGTTGATCCTCATTATTGGCAGAATTCATATTTGAAAATTTGTTTACTCACTGAAATTCACTTGTAACCCCAAAATCATACCTGTGGCACTTTTGCAGTCTTTCATGGGCATGTGCAAAGCAGTAAAAAATTTGAGGAGCTGAATGTGCGTGTCCCCAGCTGAGGTCGAACAAGGCAGTAGTAACCTGTTTTCTTGTTTACATTCTCCTTTGGAAAATCGGTGTCCTTTTGCATTCAATTTAGTAACCAAATTTTTGGCATTCTTTTGCTTCTTGTTGGTAATGTCACTGTTTAAAATGGGCCCCAAGGGTAGTCTTGAATGCTATCTCATGTTCTAAGAACAAGAAGGCCATGATATGACTTATGAAGAAAATGTTTTAAATCAAGCCCCAGTTATAGTGCTGTTGGCCATGAATTCAATGCTAATGAATCAATATATATTAAATAAGGTGCCTTTAAGCAGAAACACACGTAAAACAAGGTTATACATTTATTGGTTGATAAAAATGCTGTGCAGAGAGGTTCACAGGAACCTAATCCTGTTCTTCGCCTAGAGCAATGGTTCAGTATTCTGTAATTCAGTTTTTGTGTGATTTTATAGACCATGACTACGAAGAATAATGGGAATTAACTGCACTTCATTTCTTTCTCCTTTGCAGGTATTTCTTCCTTAATCTACCCTTTAAACTTACATGCCCCTTGGTTTACATACTTATGGTTTCAAGTAGGTAACTTGTCAATTTTTTATTTGCAGCTTTGCAAGCCTTAAATGCCTATAGCCACAGATATGCTTGATTCTTGTATTTGGATGTCCCATAGAAAACACAGACTCAAAGTACCTACCTTCACAACCTTTTCTTTACCTATGTTCTGTCTTTATTGATGCCACTCAAGTGTCCAAGCAAGAAATATGAACTCTTTTCACTTTCCTCTCTCTCTTTTATTCTGACATTGAACAAAGTCTTGTCAATATTACTAAGTTTTTCTAAAATTTATCATATTTTTGCTATTCCTACAATCACCACTGGCCATTATCCTTACTTATTAGGACCGAAACAGTGAAACATTAAAAGTACCTTCACATAAATGTTCATTGTAACACTATTCAGAATAACAAAGATGTGGAACCAACCCAAATGCCCATCAATGATAGACTGGATAAAGAAACTGTGGTACATATATACCATGAAATACTATGCAGCCATAAAAAGGAACAAGATCATGTCCTTTGCAGGGACATGGCTGGAGCTGGCAGCCATTTTCCTCAGTAAACTAACACAGCTACAGAAAACCAAACACCGCATATTCTCACTTGTAAGTGGGAGCTGAACAATGAGAACACATGGACACAGGAAGGGGAACAACACACACTGGAGCCTGTCAGGGGTTGGGATGTGGGGAGAGAGAACATTAGGAAAATTAGCTAACACATGTTGGGCTCAATACCTAGGTGATGGGTTGATAGGTACAGCAAACCGCCATGCCACACGTTTACCTGTGTAACAAACCCGCACATCCTACACATGTACCTCAGAACTTAAAATAAAAATAAAAATTTTAAAAGATACATTAAAACTTCATTTTAGCAGAAACCATAGAAATTCATATTAATTCATCAGTCTTTTAGTGTTGGTCTGTAGGTCCAGACTTTCCTTATTGTTGTTATTGTTTTGAATATAAAATTAAGATTAGAATTCTTTGTCATCTTCCTTGCATAATCCATATTCATAGTGCATTTTTTATGATTCCCATCTTCTTTTTTTTAAAGATAAGTCATTACTCAACTATATTTACAAAGCGCAGCCTCTGCTGGCATTTGATTTTAAACCACTGATTTAGTTTAGTTCTGAGATTCTGTTAACGTTCTTTTCCCTGATCTAGGTGCTTGTTACAAAGTATGTTCACCTTGTGGAAATTAAGCAAGTTATGGTTTGTACACTTTTGTATATAGAAAAGAAAAAGTAAAAAATTAATGATATAGAATTTGAGGTGTGAACTGAAGGAGAGGCAGAATTTGGATAGACAGAGAAGGTGGAGGAGGAGGAGGAGAAGGACAAGGCATGGCGTGAGAAAGGAGGAGATGTAGGCATGAACTAGGCTTATGTGGGAGAAAATAAAGAGGCCATTGGGCCCAGCAAAGAGAGTGCACAGTGAGGATCACTGGTAAACAAGCTTGGGGAGGAAAGGAGGTTCATATTAAATGAACAGCATTTAAACAAGCTTGGGGAGGAAGGGAGGTTCATATTAAATGAATAGCATTGAAAGATAGTTTAAACTAAGGAAAAAAATTCCCAAGGAAATAGAAAAATACTTGCTCTATAGGGAGTGTTTCTTACTTCCTGGAGCTCACACAAAAAAATTATGCAATGGAAAAGCATTACAATGAAGGAGACTATATAAAATTTATTGCAGATTTTTATTTCTTACGTATAATTGCAGTTTTGCAAGGAATTGGGTCTTCATGCAGTTTGAAGCTTAACTTTGTCCATTTATTATTTGCTCATATTTTTAAAAACATAAATGAAATAAAAATCACTTTTATAACTAACCTGTTGAAATAATTTTAAATTATACTATTGGGAAGTAAAAAATAAAAACAAAACAAAGGCAGTAAATGCCACTTGTTAGCTGACATCACCCCCTGAAAATTCATCTGGGAACTTTTGTGCTTGTGAAAATAGGGGAGGGTTATACAGCAAGTGTTTTTCCAACCGCCTAAAGCAGCACTTACTTCCATAAATACTGTATAATATAATCTGTAGAGTCTCCAAAGAATTCAGAGCACTCAGAAATGGCTTGTACTTCCCATGCTTTTGTCACATGAGACAGGTGATGTGCTATGAATGCGGCACCATTTTGGTATGAAAACTGCCACTTACTGGGAGTATATTTGTAATAAAAAGGGGTTTTCCCACATGAAAGCACATCTTTAAAGTTTCATTTCTTCCCAAATGTAGATGCACTGGGGTCTCATATGTGCTCTTCACAGTTGAATTACTCTATATTGTATTTACTCAAGAAAATCCCAGTTGCTGTTCTTCCCTTTCCTTCTCCAATTCCTGATATAATATTGCCCTCTGGCAATTGGTTATGAAATTCTGAACTGCTGACTGACTTATATTCCTCAATCATCAAAATAGTTGTATCTTCAGAGGAAAATGTTAGAGGGTGATCATAAGACTAAGATTAATGAAGACTGATATGGTGGCTAGTTTCCCCTTGGTAAGTACCTTTCATATTGAAGATATTTTCTGGATCTGAATTATCTGGATAATTGCATACTTCAAATGACTCCCAAATAGCCATAGCTGACTCCATACAATTTGCCCACTTCCAGGACCATGTCCCCAACTGTTTGCTGAACATCTCCACAAATGTTGGCAGAACACCTGCTGTTTACCGAGTGCTACGCTAACATTTACAGAAGATGATACATAATAAATTATGATTCTTGTCTGCAGGCATCTTGCAATCCATTTTGTAGAATGGAAACAAAGGTACAGCAGAATATAAGTGCAGTATTGGAACAGTAACCAATTATTATTAACATCCAGATGAAAACCAATACATAGATAAATAAATAAATAAATAGTATTTCAGATGCTAAACATGCAATGGAGAAAAATGTAGCAGAGTAGGAGAAGAGAGAGTGGCAAGATTGATGAGACTTTGATGAGGTGGTCAGGGAAGCCCCCCATGATGGTATTTGAGTAAGATCTATAAGAACTGGGAAATCATATAACGTGGTAGTCTGTGGAAGAGCACGCTAGGTGGAGGGAGGAATCAGCACAAAAACTCTGAAGAAGAAAAATACATACATATGTTTGTATATGTAAATATTTATAATGTAATATGTTTGTATTAAAAAATTAATCAATACTAATATATTATTTACTATATGCCATGGATTGTTCTAAGAGGTTTACAAATACTGAGCCATTTAATCCATATAATATTACCTAAGTTTTCTCTGTCACACCATTATTGACATTTTGGGTCATATGATTCTATTTGTGAGTGCTATCCTGTGGATTGTAGTATGTTCAGCAGCACCCCTGATTTCTACCCACTAGATACCAGTAGCATCTCCCAAGTTGTGGCAATCAAAAATATCTCTAGACATTGCCAGGTATCTTCTAGAGGGCAAAATTATAGCTCCTTGAGAACCACTGAAGTAATCTCATAGCTAGATTTTGTTACCTGTAATTCATAAGGAAATGCATGGATGGTAAGTAGTCTGCCAAGAGAACATATCTATTAAGTAGAGTTGGGATTCAAAGGCAAGCCTAACAGTTCTGGCAATCACACTGATAACTCTGACAGGTGCCTATTTTTTAGGAACAAAAATAAAGCCTGAAGTGGTTGAAAGAGGTTTAGGAATTTGGGTGAGTGTGAGTGTTAGAAGATGATGTTACAGAGAAACTGGGGTTGGGTGACCGTACAAAGACTGCTTTCCACTCTAAGCTAAATGGGAAGCCACAGGAGAGCTTGAGGAGAGGACTGATAAGATCTGACTTGTGTCTTCAAGTGATCACTTTGCATTTTAATGGAGTGTAGGCTATGGATGGACAAAGGCATAAGGCTAGTGGCAGGACACAGCGCCAGTCCAGAGGAGAGATGATCGTGGCGTGAAACAGTGTGGTAGAGATGGGGATGGTTGGAGATGAGCTGAAGCTTGAAATGCTTGAACTGGTTGAAATGCTTGAAAGAATGGACTTGCCATTTACTAAGTAGAGAAGTCTGTTGGCGGTTTGAGACTGGGGAGGAGTTGAGGATCATGAGTTCTGTTCAGTCCATAATAAGTTAAAGATGGCTATCAGATGGAAATGTTTGGTAGATAGCTGGAAATATGATACTGGAGTTAGGAGATAAAATTTTTAGAATTATGAGCTTATGGATGACATTTATATCCATAATACTGAATGAGATTACCAATATAATTATGGATGATACATAAGAAGAGAAGTTCAATGACTAAGCCCTGAGACATTCAGTGTTCACAGGTCAGGAAGATGAAAAGGAAAGGGAGAGATAAGAGATTCAAATGGATTTCCAGTGTGGAAGGAGGAGAAGCAGAAGAGAGTGGAATTCAGCAAGCCAGTGAAGAAAACATTTCAAGAAGCACAAAGTAATTGACTACTTTAAATGCCACTGCTAAGTCCTGTAAGATAAGGTCAAAAGATTGTCCACTAGATTCGACAATGTAGAGATCAATAGTCAAATTGACAAAAGCTATTTGCACAGAGGTTGGGATAAAAGACTGATTAGTAGTGGTTCAAGAAAGAATGGGACAAAGGAAGTAGAAAAGCCATATAGCTATATTTATAAAACTCTTACAACTCTTTATAGCTTTGCTATAAAGAGGAGTAGATAAATAGAGTGGTAGTTTAAGGGAGAAGAGAAGTGGGAACAAGGTGTTTTGAAAATACATATTGGAGGAATTATAGCATGTTTCAAGCTGAGGAGAATGAGTCAGTAGAAAGAAAAACTGATGATATAGAGAAGGGAGACAGTTGTTGGACGGGTGAAATTGAGGAGGAGAGAGGGGATGGCATCAGTGCAGAAAGGATGGGATTGTCTGTAGATAAGAACTGAGACAGCTTATCCATAGTACTGAGGGCAACAGGAGATGGCAGAGAAACTGGGTGCAGATGCTGGAATATTGTCGATATAATGGTGGGAATATGTTGAAGTTCTATTCTAACTGCTTTTGTTTTTTCAGGGAAACAGAATGCAAAAACATTAGCTGATTAAAGAGGGAGAAGATGGTGATGGAAGTTTTGTGGAAGGAAAAGAAGCTATGAAATAGTTGTTTAAGAATGTGGGAAAGAGAATAAAATAAACTTATAGCATTGCTGGACAACAATAATGATTCTCTTAAGGTTTAAGTCATGAGTTAAAAGAGAAACCCCTCAGCATGGTTGTGGATTTTTCTCCAGTCGCATTCATCCATCTGGGCACAAGTCCAGAGTGGAAGGAGGGGGAGGATCAAGCAGAAGTTTGGCTCGGCCGGGAGAGTGTTAAGCAAGGGGGAGATTATAATGACAGACCTGGAACCTGAGGTGGTGGTCAGAGTACTTCCAGGGACATGCAGTCAGAACAGGGCTATAATCTGTGAATTTTAGGTCTTTTTGTGGCTAAGGAATTGTTGGGAGTGAGATACAAGATAGAGTGATTTGGGAAGTTAGGAGGTAGAGGCCAGCAGTCATGATGTAGTATAGGGAGTGGCCACTGGAGAGAATGCATAATTGAAATGATTGTCTGTCTACATGTTGAAATGACAGTGAGCTATGGCAAGAATATTGGAGGTAGTGGCAGCCAGCCATGTCCCAGTATCTTCAGAGGCATATATGAAGATGATAAGGCTGTACCAAAATTTGCCTTTCTTAGATTTTAATTTCATAGTACTATTTGTATTTGTGTATGTAAATACAGGTTAATTATTAAAACATACAGAAAGGGACAGAGCATAGAAAAATATTCACTAACTTAAAAACCAGATCTAAGAAATTGTTAACATTTTTCTTCACAGCTTTTTCCTTTTGTAAAGAAACACAACACTATAGACATAGCTGAATCCCATTTTATTGTTTTTTCCAACTTCATTTCCCTTCCCAAGCCTTTTCCTTCTTTCCTTTTCCTGAAGATTGAACGCATCCAAATCTTCATAAATTGTCAACACATACATAACAATGGATACACTGTCTAAAAAATAAACAAAAGTCATAATGAGGCAATCATCACTGAAAATTTATCAATATTAATAACAAAAGTAGATTTACTTCATTCATTTTTAACTGCTGAGTAATTTTTAGTTGAACATTATATAATAGTTTGTTTATCCATCTCAATGTACATTTAGGTAATTCCAACATTTGGCAATTATCTACAATGCTGTAACACACATCAGCACCCATGTTGCCTTGTGAAAGTGAGTGTCTCTTTGATATATACTTAGAATGGAATTTTTGCATCATAATGGATGAACAATTTTAACTTATTCGATAATGCCAAATTGTTTTCCAATGTGGGTTTCTCATTTACACTCTCCCATGAAGTGTATAACCTTCCCATTTCTTACATTCCATGCTAACACTTGATATTGCCAGACTTCTAACTTTTGTCAATTTGATGCATGTGATGAGGGAAAGGCAATATTCAATAACATAACAGAGCTTCTGATGGTGGATAAAGACAGAAATCCTTAGCATATGTCATCACAATGATGCCTAAGTGGAGTTAAGGAAATGAAACCCATATATACTAATGTTTAAGTGATACTCACTAAAGAAGCAGAAAAAGATCACATAAGTTACAACCAGCATAAGAAAATCAATGGAATATATAATAATCCACATTTTCAAGGTATTCAATAACAGGAGTGAAATACATAAATTTTCAGCAAAGCAAGAACTGAAAGGGTTTAACACTAACCAATCTACATTAGCAAATATTTTGAAGGATTTACTTAAAGAGGAAGAAAAGTGACCCAGGAAAAAGGTCTGAGAGTTAAGAAAGAATAGACAGTAAAAAAGATGGTATAAATATGGATAACTAAACAAATATTGAAGAGGGAGAAGATGGCTATGAAGTTTGCAGAAGGAAAGGAAGCTATGAAATAGTTGTATAAAAAAGTGGGAAAGAGAACTGAATAAAACAATAACTGTATTATCTAATTTGGAGATTAAAAATTAAAATGTGGTTAAACGTTGAATGAGAGTAATAGAGAAGACAGAATGTGGGATATTGGAGTCCAGGTATTCTAAAGGTCTTATATTATTTGGAAATATTATATGGAGGATTGATGTTACATATAAAGAGAAGAGAAATAGCTTGTATAACTCCAGGAGCAGAGATTGAAAAGAGTGAAAGAGAAATAGTAATTGCAAAGAAAGTGGAAAAAGAGGAACAAAAGAAACATAGAAAAAACAGAACAAATAGCACAAAATAAGACAGTAGAATAAATTTCAAATATTTCATTAATTACATTAAATATAAATGAATAACTTATTTAAAAAATACCTAGGTTGGATTAAAACAAGCAAAATCCAACTAGATGTCATATATATATATATATATATGGCACCTAAAGCATAAATAACAAAAAGATTGAAAGTAAAATGTTAGAAAGAGATATATCAGAAAAATGCAAATCAAAAGAAACCTATATCAATATTTGAAAAATAAACCAGGCATGGTGGCTTATGCCTGTAATCCCAAAACTTCGAGAGGCTAAGGTGGGAGGATCACTTGAGGTCAGGAGTTCAAGACCAGCCTGGCCAACATGGCAAAACCCCGTCTCTACTAAAAATGCAAAAATTAGCCAGGTGTGGTGGCACACGCCTGTAGTTGCAGCTACTCGGGAGACCGAGGCATGAGAATAGCTTGAACCTGGGAGGCAGAGATTGCAGTGAGCCGAGATCATGCCTGGGTGACAGCGAGACTCCGTCTCAAAAAAAAAAGAAAAGAAAAGAAAAGAAAAAAACAAAAGCTTGAAAAAAAGCTTGAAAAATAAAGTTTGGGCCAAAGAAAGAATTATTATGATTAAAGAGAAGTGAATAAATTGAAATGAGGGTTGAAAGTTAAGGGAAGTTATATATTCGGCATAATTTTCCAAAAAACCTATGAACCTATCTTTGGTTTTAACACTTCAACTTGATTTATTATATTTCATCATCATCATCATCATCACCATCATCATCCTTATCATTAGAATCCATATTTATTAATATTTGCAAAATGCTTACCAATTCCTTTGCTTGCCTTTGCTCGTTTATCTTGCTTTTTTCCTTCTGTGATTATAATTATTATTAATATTAATATTTTACAGAAATACATTATTTATTCTTTGTTGAGGGAGTTTGTGTAAGTTAACTCTGCCTTTGTCTTTATTTTCCCATCACTATTGAATGATAGATTGGATGCGTATAAGAATCTAAGTTGATTTTTATTGTTTCTTAGTTATGAGACATCCCACTGCTTTCTTCTGCTTTGGCAACTCAAATCTCAATTAACTTAGATATGATTCAAGCTTGGTTTTTGTTTTGGTGTGTATGAGTTTGTCCTCATCCACTCCCCTTAATAGATGAATGTCTCGTTGCCATTTTCTTGGGGAAAGGGGTAATTTGTGAAAAGTCATTTGTGTGGAAAGCTTAGTCCTTTAAGAGTCCAGATTTTATGCAGTTATTGGTACCAGCTCCTTGCTTTGCTGTGCTGGGAGCCATGATGTTTGTCTTCCTGTGAGTATTTACAATCCCAGCCTTTAGCCTCTTGAGCTCATATACAAGTCTATTTCCCATATGGATCACAGAGATGATAACAGTTTCTTCTTACTTCTTTGGCTTTTGGTTCTTTTTGGCTCCTGGAGATTTACTTTCTTTGTTTTGGACTCATCTATAGATTTACAAAAATAATTTTTTATGCTCTGTTTTGTCTCTTTCCCTCTCTCCCCACACATTGATGGCATGAGGCAGTTACTCCACTTTCCATGCTCTTTACACTTTGTATTTTCTCCTTTGTGGAATATAATTATACTTAATAGAATTATTTGTTAATTCCCCCTTTCTATACTATGAGTTATTTGATGAAATGTCTTATTCACCCCATTCTGTAGCACATTGCTTAATACTGCTAAGGACTCAATAAATGCTTGTTGACAAAATGAATGAAACTCTTTTCATTTTTTATTTATATAAGAAGATGTATTTGGGTACTATAAGCATACACTCAGACAAATGAGAAAATGTGGATCCACCAAGTCTTTAGAGTCTCAAACTTTATAGTTTGTGCATGATGTAGAATTTAAAGACAAGTCTTTCTTCATGTTAGTTCAATCTGCTTCCATTTTAGTCTCTGTTTTATAAGTGAGTTGCATCATTTCCACCAATTTACAAACGGTATGTTTTCTCATTTTAAACAATTTGGCTATTTTAATTCTGTAGAACATACCACCAAAAGTTCGAAAGTTCCAGTTGCCAAATGAATATATAATTTCTGTTTATTTATTTATTTTGGGACAAAGTCTCACCCTGTCACCCAGACAGGACTGCAGTGGTGCAATCTCGGCTCACTGCAACCTCTGCCTCCCAGGTTCAAAAGATTCTCCTGCCTCAGCCTCCCAAGTAGCTGGGATTACAGGTGCACACCACCACACCCAGCTAATTTTTGTATTTTTAGTAGAGATGGAGTTTCACCATGTTGGCCAGGCTGGTCTCAAATTCCTGATCTCAGGTGATTCACCTGCCTTGGCCTCCCAAAGTGCTGTGATTATAGGTGTGAGCCATAATCACAATTATGGGTGTGCCTGGCCCATAATTTCTTAAATTATTAATTTCACTGGAAAAAAATTTTTTTTTTTTTGAAACGGAGTCTCGTTCTGTCACCCAGGCTGGAGTGCAGTGGCGTGGTCTCAGCTCACTGCAAGCTCCGTCTCCCAGGTTCATGCCATTCTCCTGCCTCAGCCTCCCAAGCAGCTGGGACTACAGGCGCCTGCCACCGTACCCGGCTAATTTTTTGCATTTTTAGTAGAGACAGGGTTTCACCGTGGTCTTGATCTCCTGACCTCGTGATCTGCCCGCCTTGGCCTCCCAAAGTGCTGGGATTACAGGCATGAGCCATCACGCCTGGCCTTCACTGGAAAATTTGATTCCTCCCTGAGAGTTACCAAGTGATTTAGGTTTTATAAAAATAGTACTAATGGAGCCTAATAATTTTCACATTTTTGTACCAGGTTACACATTTATTTTGTCAGAAATTCCAAGAACAATTTGACAGAGGTATGTGATGCACACACACATATATCATATACATGTATGTATATACACACTTGAAGTATAGACACACACACACATATATATAAAAACTGGACATTAAAATCAAAGCACTTTTTGTCACCTCTAAGTTCCCCCATTTAAAGAGATGGTGCAAGAGTTCTTAGGCTTCTGGTATCTATCACAAGTGAACAATCAAATCAGTTCTGATTTGAGCACTGTCACTTGGATTACGTTTATTTATCGCATGGTAGTGCCAAGTTAGAAGGGCTCAGGGATGAATCACAGCACTGATTGTCAACTTGACAACCCGGAAGATGAGTAGCATTATTTTATTCCTTTTTCCCCAGCTGCATGTGTCAGAATTTTTGAGCTGCTACATGCTTCAAAATTTTGTGCGCCTTGAATAAGTGGTAACGTCCAGAATTTGGTCCGGAGTAGATCCTCCCAGCCCTGAAATTGTCCTTATGAGTCTCCTAATAGCTTTATAGTGAGTTCGTGATTGACTAAAATTTGGATTTTTAAAAATCATAACCACTGCTTCAAGCCATAAGAAAAAGAAATAAATATGTTGCATGATACTATGTAGTGGCATGTACATTTTTCTGTAACATATTATATAGTATAAAGGAAACAGTGCTTGGACCAGGAAGCAGGAAACTCCATCTATACACCCTAGCTAGCTATGTGATTGATCTTGGACAAATCTTTCATACCCTCTGTGCCTGAATATCCTCATTTGTAAAGTTTAAAATTTAGACTAAATGGTTTTTATGATCCATTGAGAGCAAACATTCTATGTTTTAAGGTAATGCAATGAAATTAATAGCTATTACTAGAAATTAGATTATATAGAATGTCTAAGAAAGAGTCTTTCTGGTTTCAGATGGTTAATTTAAGGCATTTATAGCTTTATATCATTTGATACATGGTCTCACATAACTTTGGAGGCCTTAGGTAAATCTGTATCCTCCCATACTTCCAATCAGCCTGTTCATAGTGACATGTGGTTCAAAGAATTTAAATGTGGTATTAATTCTGTGTTTGTAACAATGGTAGCTACTCCAAATTAGAGTTGTAGTAGTTAAGTTGACATCTCAAGAAACTCTTGTGGGACAGAAAGGTGGCAGGGGAACTTAACAGTGTCACACAAAAAGTACCTGGGCCCTGGTGTATTTTATCTCGCAGGAAGAATATCTATATTGCACAAAGGGGAAATTAATCTTTCACTGGGATTCTAAGGAGGAACTAAGCTTACTGACTATGGTGTTTATAAATCACTTCCAAATGCAACTCCTAGTGGTGGTAAACTCAAGTTAAATAAACTGAGATGTACTACTTATTTCTAAATTTAACAAGGAAAGAACAAAAATGCTGTTATCTCTAATTTAGGGGCATAAAGCAAGATGCAAGCATCCGGACACACTGTATGGGATAAAAGCAATATAGTTCAGACTGGACCAGCCTAAAGACTGTTAAGAAACAAAATTTCAACAAATTGTGTTTTAAAGATCTAATTGAGTTTATTAGCAATTCATAAATCAGGCAGTATCCCAGCCATAAAATAGCGCACCAATGAACTGAGGAGAGGAGGTGGGATTTATAGGCAGAAAAGGGCTGAAAAAACAAAAACAGAGAGCACAATGTGGGTTGGTTGTTTCAAAGTTATTTTCCTTATAGAGCTAAAACAGGAGATTTCCTTATTGTGCCAGTTTAGATAAACTGGGCTCCTTCTGATTGGTTGTTGTGATTCTCTGTTTTTGTTTGTTTGTTTGTTGTTTATTTCTTTGCTTTTTTTCAAACTGTTCCTTTTTTTTTTTTTTTTTTTGACGGAGTCTTGCTCTGTCACCCAGGCTGGAGTGCAGTGGCATGATCTCGGCTCACTGCAACCTCCACCTCCCGGGTCCAACGGATTCTCCTGCCTTAGCCTCCCCAGCAGCTGGGATTACAGGCACCCACCACCACGCCCAGCTAATTTTTGTATTTTTAGTAGAGATGGGGTTTCACCATATTGGCCGGGCTGGTCTCAAACTCCCGACCTCAGGTGATCTGCCCACCTCAACCTCCCAAAGTGCTGGGATTACAGGCATGAGCCACTGCTCCTGGCCTCACTGGCCCATTTTAAAGTTCCATTTCGTTATGTGGCACTTAGCACAAGTGACTCCATTCTGGTTTGGCCTGGTCTATTGGGCCTAGTATACCTAGTATAGTAACAGTCCAAAACAATGGCCTTAATATAATATTTATTTAACAAGACTAATGTCACATCTTCATTAGAAATCCATAGCCAATCTCAAAAAAAAGAAAGTAGAACCCTACTATCAAAAATAGAGAGTCAAAAACTAAAGCTGTAAGCAGAAATTGACATCAGTGTGATCCATATGGGAACAGAACTTGGTCATGAGTCCAAGAGGTTGGGGATCAAAATTCAAATATTTATAATAAATAATTTAAAAATTAAATACATTGAATACTGTAGAAAACAATATTAGAGATTTAGAGCATAATCTAGATATTCAAACAACTCAGGGAAAAGAGAAAAGAGATTAAAAGATGAGGGAAAGGTACTGATTAGAGATAGTATACTCTGTATAACAGGAATCTCAGAATGAGAGGGAATATTGAAGGAAAGAAACATCCAACAAAAGAACAGAAGACAAATTTTCTAAGCTGAAGAAGTCATAAGTTAAAAATAGAAGAATTTCATTTAATAGTAGGTGAAATTAAGAGTAAGACACACTGTTAGATGAGGTTTTGTGAATATTTCTGTCAATATTAAATAAAAATTCCCATGCGTATCCAAGCAGAAAAAGAGGTTACCTACAAGGAATATATATAAAATTGGCAACAGACCTCTGTACAACCCCCAAATGTGAGAAAACAATGTAGAAATATCTATGGAGTTTCAGCATAAAAATGTTGTTACCGGAACATTTTATGCCCGGTAAATTTATCATTCATGTGTGAGGGCAGCAAAAATATTCTCAGATTCTGCAAAAACTAAAAAATAATAAGACACAAGTAATATTTCTCACAAAAGTAGAGAAATCATAAGCAATGAAAAAATGAAACATTTATACAATCCTAAATAATGTGAAGAACATGGCCTTAAAAACACTACATACTATTTATAATAAAACTTAGACTTGTCAAAATAATTGTTACTACAATTTATGAAACATGTAATATCAGTATCAATTTTTGAAAGAGAATATACATATACACAAGAAAAAAGTACCACCTGATGATCTTGGTCTAAAATGCAAGGTCATTTCAACTGCAAAACAGAGGTAGGCAGGAAGGTTGGGAGACCAGAAGCATGAGTAGCACTGCTCATCCTCTTGAGAGAGGAGAAGGGAATCTGCAGTGGACACATAGGGGAGGGCAACATACTGAGGGTGAAGACCCAGCCCAAGGCTGGGGTAGGTGAAGTTCCCACCCCAAGGCTTGCATCATTTTATTTTGCATTATGAGAGACTAATAATCAGCATTAATGAGCAGGTAATAGGAAAAGTTAACTTTCCACTGGGAAAGTTAATGAGTTCTAATTCACTGAGGTACCTTAGTCACAATTCATCTAAACTCTGATTAATCTGAATATCAGCTGGATAAACTGGATAACAAAATGTTACCAGAGTTTTGTTTTAACAGTGATTCAAATTATGTGTGCCCCTACGCCCTGTATTAGCCTTATTTATTGTTGGTGGATTAATTGTATACCATTCCTAAGAGTTGTACACACAGTAAAAATAAACAGAAAGGCTCAAAATAAAGTGTGTTTGTTTTCTAGGGCTGCCGTAACAAACTACCACAAAGCAGGTGGCTTGCACAACAGGAATTTATTTTCTCACACTTCTGGAGGGTAAAATTCTGAATTAAATATGTCGACAGGTTGATTCCTTTTGAGGTCCATGAGGATGAATCTGTTCTATGTATTTCTCCTACCTCTTGGTGGCTTGGGGCCATCCTTGGCATTCCTTGGCTTGTGGATGCATCCCTTGATCTCTGCCTTCATCTTCACATGACATTATCCTTATGTGCATGTTTCTGTTTGCAAATTTCCCCTTTTTATAAGGACATCCATTATATTGGGTTAGGATGGGTAAGCCCCCCAGTAACCTCATCTTAACTAACTACATATGTAACAACCCTATTTCCAAATAAGGCTACATTCTAACCTTAAGTAGTTAGTTAAGAGAGCCTCAGGTTAACAAACCACTTGCAATGACCCTATTTCTAAATAAGGTCACATTCTGAGGTACTCAGGGTGAGGACTTCAACACATAAACAGACAAAATTCTAAAGGGGAAATGGAAAAAAAAAAAAAAGCCAGAGGTGGCTATTAATGTCAGACAAAATGGATTCTGAGGAAAAGAAGAATTAAAGACAGACTGATTTAATTAATAAAAATACAATCCAAATAGAAACTCTCACAGTCATGGATATGTTTGTATTAAGCAATAAGATAAAAATATATAAAACCAAAATATAAATATGTAAAAAAAATCAGAATCACAATAAACAACTTTAATGCACCTTTCCTACTCTGAGGCTTTCAGCATGCTTCAGCCACTTGGAAATATCAAGATAGTACACAAAGATCAACTCTGTGAGCTTTAATTCAAGGAGGAAAATGGGAATCTACTGGAATCATGCAGGACACCCCAGATTCTGGAAAGAAGAGTGCTGGCGAACAGCTCTTGTGATGGTGTCCAGTTGATAAAAGTGAGTGAAGCCCCATTATGTGAGAGGGACAGAGAGCCTCCCTCTGTGACTCACTTTTCCACTAGGAGTCCGAGCAACTCAGGTGGAGGGAGGGGACTTTGTTTCTCCCAAGCTCTGGAGTTAACCTGGTGAGAGGCTTGGAGACACTACAAGAGAAACACACTGGGAAAAGCTGCAGGTATTTTCTCAGAGCCAGGACCAAGTGCCATTTTTAATCTGGGTGCATACAAAGTCAGCCACTCCTTGGCAACCTGGCAGCATGACTATGAAGGCATTTTACTGTCAGGCCAGAGGTGGGAGTGCCTGCTCTCGAGCTGGATAGGGGCCTCCACAGCCAGAACTGTGGAAAGTGTCACAGCAGGAGGTGCTGGAATTGTGCTTTCCCCCCTCACAGGCCTAGGGTGGGAGGAGAGCTGCTACAGCTGTGGTTTCTTCTGGATGAGGCTTGCAGCCAGTGGAAGCTTGGCAACCTAGAAACCATCTGTGTGTGCCGTTGCTCAGTGCCCCGGCCTGATACCCTAAGATTGGGGTGCAGCAGGGCCCTCTCTGCTCCACATCCAGCAGAAATCCAGGCATTTGGAGTACCAGTTCACCTGGACTGGCAGCCTAAACCACCTCGCCCTTCCTGTGCAGAGATCATGTAGCAGGGAGACCCTCTCTGCTTCATGCCCAGGCAGATCACCAGGCATTTGGAGCACCTACTTGTCTGGTTCAGCAACCTGAGCCTCTCCATCTTTCCTGGACATAGATCATGGTACAGCAAGACTCTCTCCACTCCACACCCAGGCAGGCCTCCAGGCATTTGGAGCAACTGCTTGTCTTGGTGCAGCAGCTGGAGTCACCCCACTCCTCTTGTGCAGAGATCTTGGTGCAGGGGGGTCCTCTCTGCTCTATGCCCAGGCACATCTCCAGGCATCTGGAGCAACCACTCTCCTGGATTAGGAGTTTAAGCCTCCCTTGTATCCCCTTGCAGAGATTTTGAAGCTGAAGCAGTTTCTCAACTCCATGCCTAGGTACACCTCTGGATGCCTGGTGGCCACCCACTGGATTCTCCCTTGGCACTGGTGCTTGTGCTTGCCATCAGGGGACCTGTAGGCACACCTGCCTGATCCAGCCCCACCCTTTGTGGCTCTCCCCACACCCGCACCCCCTGCCCCCTGCCACACCCCATGCTGAGCAGGGAGCTCAGATCACTGTGCATTCCATGAATTGGCCCAATTACTTGAGGCAACAGAGAGCTTCTGCCAGTAAACAAGGATCAGGTATATACCCAGCCATGTTGGCTGCTGCTGGCCCTTACCTATAAGTGTCATCTATGGGCTTGTAGGACAAACAGCACAGCCCAGTACAAAGCCTGCCAAAAGAAGTGCATAAGGCTATCAAAGCAAAACCAAAAGCCCCTACTTAGCATTCTCTAAAGTCACACCCCATAGGGATAGGGGAAAAGGGAAAGAATAAGAAAATAATAATAATAATAATAACCTTTTATGGAAAGAAAGAAATGGAAAAAAATCTTACCCTCATGAAAATAATTACAAAAATTAGAAGTTCCATTGTCTCCAGATGAGAAAGAACCAGTGCAAGAATATTGGCACCATAAAAACTCTGAATCCATTGACACAATCGAAGGATTGCAGTAGCTCTCCAGCAATGATCCTTAACCAAAATGGAAACTCAGAAATGACATAAAGAATTCAAAGCATGGATTTCAAGGAAGCTCACTGAGATTCAAAACCAGGTTGAAAATCAATACAAAGAAACTTCTAAACCAATCCAGAAAATGAAGGAGGAGATAAACATTAAAAAAAAAAATCAATCAGAGCTTCTGGAATTGAAAAACTCAGTTAAGAAATAACAAAATACAATTGAGGGCTTCATCCAAGACTGGGCCAAAGAAAAGAAAGAATTTCAGAGCTTGAAGACTGGTCCTTTGAACTAACCCAATCTGACAAAAATAAAGAAAAAATAATTTTAAAAAATGAGCAAATCTTCTAGAAATATGGGATTATGTAAAGCGACCAAAGCTACAAATTATTGGCATTCCTGAGAGAGAAGGAGAAAAAACCAATAACCTGAAAAATATATTTGAGGAAATAATTGAAGAATACTTCTCTAATCTTGCTAGACAAGTAGACATCCAGATACAAGGAATCCAGACAACACCTGCAAGATGCTATACAAAATGAACATCACCAAAACATATAGTCACCAGACTGTCAAGTTTAACACCAAAAAAAAAAAAAATTTTAAAGGCAGCTAGTGAAAAAGGGCAGATCACAAACAAAGGAAACTCCATCAGGCTAACAGAGAACTTCTCAGCAGAAACTTTACAAGCCAAGAGAGATTTGGCCTATTTTTAGCATTCTTAAATAAAAGAAATTCCAACCAAGAATTTCATATCCTGCCAAACTGAGCTTTATAAGCGAAGGAGAAATAAAATCTTTTCCAGACAAGTAAGCTCTAAGGGAATTAATTACCACTAGATCAGCCTTACCAGAGATCCTTGTAGGACAAACTGCACAGCCTAGTATAAAACCTGCTTTATGCATAGAAACTAAAGGGAATTTTAAACATAGAAACCAAAGAACAGCAACCAGTACCAGAAAAACACAGTTAAGTACATAGCCCACAGACCCTATAAAGCAAAAACGCAATACATAACCATAAGGCAAACACCTAACAATATCATGATGGGAACTCCCAAGAGTACGTACCCTTTGTATTCAGATACCAGGGTGAGTAGGCAAGGACCATCAGGTCGGGGCAGGGCTAGGAGTGTCTGAGCTCAGACTCTCCTTGGGTGAGTCTTGCTGTGACTGCCGTGGGGGATGGGGGTGTGGTTCCCAGTTCAATGGAGTTATGTTCCTAGAAGGATTATGGCTGCCTCTACTGTGTCACACAGGCCATCAGGGAAGTGGGAGAAAGCCGGCAGCCACAGGCCTCATCCAGCTCCCATGCAACCCAAAGGGCCGGTCTCACTCCCATCGTGCCCCTGCCCCACTCAACAGTACCAAGTCTGTTTCCAGGCAGTGGGTGAGCAGGGCTGAGAACCTTCCCAGGCTACCCACCTCCCAGCTGCGAAAGCAAGCAGGGCTTTTGTTCTTCCCCTGCCTGTGGAGTCTGCACACCAGATTTACGCCCTCCCCTGAGTTCTGGTTAGGAGAGTTTTCAATTGGTTCAAATTGTTAAAAAGTTCATCTGGAGGTTTCCTTCTTCCTGTGGCCTTTTCCTAGTGTCTCTGGCAGCCCGCATCAAGGACCCCTGTGAGGCAAAGCAGAAATGCCTTGCTAGGGGACCCAGGGAGCCCACAAGGCTTTTGCTGCTGCTTCCTCTATCCCTATATTTCATTCGGCTCTTTAAAATGACTCAGTTCCAGGAAAGGTCAGAATCATCTCCTGTAATCTAGATCTTCAGGTTCAGCAGTGGGGGTGTGTGTTTGGGGGCGGGTGATCTCCCTTTCCCACTTCCACAGTTTGGGCACTCTTTGAAAACAGATGTAGAGCTAGACAATTCTGGAGGGCATGCACCTGTGGGCGCACATGCACACACACACACTGACAGACAGAAATTATATCTTAATTTATTTCATACAGATAACATTAGGGTGATAAAGATGTGATACACAAAAAGGGGAAAATAGATACCAGTTGCACTTAAATTTAAAGATGTAAAAGTCATAAATTAACACAAATCTAACAGTGTAAACTAAAGAACAACACAGCATGACCAATTATAGTTAATTCTAAAACTGAAAAGAGAGTTTGATGCAAAGAGCTTCACTCACATAATTTAACATATGGCTAGGCCAAAAATTTGAGTAAAGTGAAATTCATCCTGAATTAAAAAACTCTAAGTAAATTGAAAATAATAGAAGACTACCTTAGTAAAGAATATCTCTTACACCAATAGTACTTTGCACTTTTCAAACATTCCATTAAAATAAGAAAATATATATGACATACTGTTGCTCTGGAAGATTGATTCTGTTTCATAAGAGAAAAAAAGATACAAATAACCATAAAGAAAGATCCTAAATTATTATTGCTTGAAGATGATTTGATTGTTAGAAATGTAAACAATTCATTAAAAGTATTAGAACTAATAAAAAAGTTTAGGAAAGTAGCTGACCACAAAATAAATACACAAAAGTCAGTTTGAAAATATAACTTTGAAATGTTTCCATTTACACCAGTGTACATGTAAATGCATTTTTCAGTATGTAACATACGCATTGGTTTCAAAAGAAACTTTACAGAAGAGTGTCTGAATAAATGGAGAAACATATCATGCTATTTGGTGGGGATACTTAGCATAAAGATGTTGATTCTCCCCAAAGAAGTCTACAGAATAATATTTTTGTAAGATAAAGCAATCATTGTACTGCTCATTTGGACAACTCTTTGCTTGGAAAGAGCAATGGAACTTTCAAGGAAGATGAGCCCTGAGAGAAGATTTGCCCTCTGGATTGGGGGAAAAAAAAAAAAAAAGTGTAATGTTGAACTTACCCTACCCTACGTACAACAAAGGAAAAATGAAAGTATTAAGAATCCATGAACAAATCCAAGTACTGATAAAGTTTTGGGGCCTGATTATTATGCTATTTTAAATTGATAGGGAAGAGAATTATTCACCAGATGCTGTTGAGGCAATTGGCTGACCCTTAGAGGAAAGGAAAAAGGAAGTCAAAGCCTTGCTTCAAAACAAGCCAAAGTAATTTAAATATACACACAAATAGCAAAACCATTAATATAAATGAAAAATATGTCTGAATATTTATATAACCTTGGGGAGTGGAAATGCTTTCTAATTAGGACACCAATACCATATAGTATAAAAAACATTTCTAGGTTTAAAAAACAAAACCAAAAACCAAAAAAAACCCAAATTCTTGTAAGTGAAAATTGCTATTGAACATATTTTATAGCTGAAGATAAATTAGAAAAATGTTTGCACATCATACACACATTCCTCTCAATACTTAAGAAAATCATTTATGAAATATCACAGGCAACTTGAAAAATTATAAATCAACATGAAAAAATCCAGTTTGACTCTAAAAAAAGAAAACACAAAAGAAAACAAAAACAATTCTCTTTGTTGTGATTATCAAACTGGACAATAATTTTTAAGTTATAATATCCAATGTTGGAGAACAGTAAACATGTACATACATCTATGGTTCTTTTGGAAGAGTAGATTGGCAACATTTTCTGGAGAGCTATTTGGCTGATTTTCATCATGCTGTGAATAAAACATTACTTTTCAAGGAACATATCCTAACAAAAGGTTTATGGATGAGTACACATATGGAACCAGGAGACTGTTGTAATGGTTTAAAATACCAAAGAATTGGAGACAGACTAGCTGTCCCCAAGTTGAAAATTGGCTAAATAAATTGTTAAAGAACCACAGAAAGAAGAATCTACAAAAGACATTTAAAATGACATGAATACTAGGCCATGGGAAACTGTCACAGTCATGAATAAAAAAGAAAATTACAAAGAAACAGGTACATTATTACCCATCTGTTTCTGGAAGAATACAGTGTAAAATATTAAAGTATTACACTAGTGTGCATATCTTCCAGTTATGTATAGGATAAAAGCATAATTTTAAAAAGATGTCATGAGTTACATGAAAACAAGAACCAATGAGAAAAAACTGGGTGAATAAGAGGTATGTACTGGTCTAAAATGTTTGGGCACAGCTGAATAACTTTGGATCTCACATCAGAAGGATCCATGCTCAAGTCTCAGCTCCACTCCATCATTGGTGGGTGACCTTGGGCAAGTCATTCAACATTTCTTCAGTTTTTACATTGTGAATTGGAGACTGAAACGGCATTTACCCTGGGATGTGTCTGAGGATCAAATGAGATGTATGCAAAGCACTGCTCAAATAATATTCCTAATAGGAGAAGATTTCAGAAGGCATCAGGTAAGGGGAAAGACAAAGTTATAAGAAATGAGCACTATAGAAATATGGAATATGTGGGACAGTTTTCTGACTTATTTTTAGCTCCAGAGAAAATTAAAGTGAGACAGCACAAACACAGCCTAAAAGGGCATAGCTAAAAGTATAAATAGAATATTTCAGGGGGAATTTCTCCTCTATGAATAAGCAAATTTAATATGGTTTTGGGAAAAAGGAAGTTCCTTTAATATGAAGAATCACTGCTCAGTTTAGTGGAGAGTTTACTCCCCATGTAAGTTAATCTTTGGCAGAGATATACAGTGAGTGAGATATGGGAAAAAGTGGAAATAATGTCTATGACACAGGTTACTGTCTGTGTTGTTTTAAAAAAATAAAAGGAAGACATTACGGTTGAGAGTACCTGATGCTAGTGAATCAAAATAATATATCAGTAGGAATTTCATTTCTAAGCATTACAGTGGCAATTATCAATAAATAAGAGAAAGGACTTATTCACCCTCCCAAAGAACCTAAAAAGTCATGTAAAGAAGACATTGGGCAGCTTGATAGTTAATCAATCCATCAGTGAGGGTTCACTTTGCATCCACTACACTAGCTAAAATTTTAGCAGAAATTGAAATCTAGAAGGCTTGGCATTGGGACAGGGGAAAAAGCCATCCAAGAACAAGGATCTGACTTTTAAAAAGGTTGAGAGTCAAAGAAAAACAATGGATATAAAAGTTGAAAAAGCAAATGTGTACCTGTTTTTGGTGACATTTAGATTATCTGTACAATGTAACAGAATTTGATGCCCTCATTTGTAACAGTGGTTGATACTATGGAAATGGATGAATTTAACCATATAGCAAAATGAGATTAAAAATCTGAAAATCTTTTAAGATACAAAAAAGCAGTATTCATCATGAAATACATTTTTGAGTAATAATTACTCAAAAATACATTTTTGAGTAATGATTTAAGTTTAAATCATTAAATTTACGTAATTTATATTACTTAAAATTATACAGGCTATCTTCTGTATTGTTTTAAATTCAAAGACCTGACCAAATACTATGATCTTTTACTGTTATTCTTCAACTCACAAACCATACAAACTAGAAGACTAATTCTATCAAAAAGCAACAAAAATGAACCCACAAAAGGACAAAAGGTCTTTTTTTTCTGCTGGTAATCCAGCAATCCTTAGAGTAAGTCTAATAATTTTTTATCAGTTTGATTGATGGCTTGTTACAACAGCTGAAAATTTTTATTTGACTACACTGGTGAACATGGTTAAATCATTTTATCAGATTTTAGACTAGCATGCCTGTCTAAATGCTTTCATTATTACTCTTGCAATCTTCTACACCACTGGGTCTGCAGCATGCTAATATAACTAGTCTCTCATTTTTAAGATAATTGTCTGCGTGTGTTCTTTTTTGCACACAGAGTTTGCTCTAAGAATTACTCACTTTGATAGGCATCTACTTTTGATAAAGAATACTAAGAACCACATCTAAAGTTTCTCATTCATTTAATAAACCTTTGTGGAATTATTTCTCATTCATTAATTCAACAAATATTTATTGAATATAACAAATGTTATTGAGTATAGTAGACCCTGTGTGAGGCCCTGGAGATTTGGCAGTGAATAGGATATATAAGACAGTTATACTTGGCAGGGCGTAGTGGCTCATGCCTTTAATCCCAGCACTTTGGGAGGCTGAGGCGGGCAGATCACGTGAAGTCATGAGTTTGAGATCAGCCTGGCCAATATGGCGAAACCCTATCTCTACTAAAAGTACAAAAATATTAGCCAGGCATGGTGGCAGTAGCCTGTAATCCCAGCTGCTAGGGAGGCTGAGGCAGGAGAATCACTTGAACCCGGGAGGTGGAGGTTGCAGTTAGCCGAGATTGCATCAATGCACCCCAGCTTGGATGACGGAGCAAGACTCCACCTCAAAAAAAAAAAAAGAAAAGAAAAAATGGATAGTTACACTTGCCTTTTTTCTCTCCCTTGAGCACATGGTCCTTTGCAGAAATGTTGCCCTTTTCTAGATCTTTCCATGGCTTTCTCTCGTACTTCATTCAATCTCTGCTCAAAAGTCACCTCTTCAAAAATGCCTTCCTTATCTATATACTCCCTCCATACTTCCATCTTTCACTATCCTTTTATTCTCCTTTAATTTTTATTCACTGCTGTTGTTTTTGAGATTTTTTAAGTATTTATTTTTGTCTTCTCCAAGTAAAATAAAAACTCAAGAGTATAGACTTTTTATTACTTCCTCCTTAGACCTAGAATAATGTGTGACAATTAGTAGAATTATTTGTGAAATGAGTGAATAAATAATAAAATATTGAGATGTTACCTTTATTTTTGGAGCCCGCATTTTAGTGAGAAAAGAGGCAAGTAAGTGATTGCTAATGGAAGCTGTGCTAGAGTATAATTTCAAAGGCTATTTGGGAGAGTAGCTGATATAGTTTGGATCTGTGTTCCCACCCAAATTCATGTTGAATTGTAATGCCCAATATTGGGGATGGGAGGTAATTGGATCATGGAGGCAGATTTCCCCCTTGCTCTTCTCATGATAGGGAGTGAATTCTTATGAGATCTGATTGTTTAAAAGTGTACCTCCCTCTTCTCTCTCTTCCTCCTGCTTGGGCCATGTAAGAGGTGCTTCTTTCTTCTTCTCCTGCCACCATGATTGTAAGTTTCCTGAGGCCTACCCAGCCATGCTTCCTGTATGGCCTGTGGAACTGTGAGCCAATTAAATATATTTTCTTTATAAATTACCCAGTATCAGGTAATCCTTTATAGCAACACAAGAACAGACTAATACAGTAGTAACACAAGAACAGTTTATCTGGAAAAGCAAGGCTTGAGCTCATTCCTGATGAGAGGGAGCTAAGCTAGTTAATGAACATCAGGAAATGCCTTCCAGAGAGAGAGAGAGCATTAAAGGTAAAATCTCTCAGGATTTAGGAGACCAGAATGGCTGGAGAGCAAGGAGAAAAATAAGCGAAGGGGAGAGACCTGTTGAATGTAACTAAAGAGAAGGCAAGAAGCCAGATAATGTGGAATCTTATAGGCCAAGTTAAGAAGTTTAAATTTTTTTTCTTTTTTTTTTTCTTTTGAGATGAAGTCTCACTCTGTTGCCCAAGCTGGAGTGCAGTGGCGTGATCTCGGCTCACTGCAACCTCTGCCTCCCCGGTTCCAGCGATTCCCTTGCCTCAGCCTCCCGAGTAGCTGGGACTACAGGCGTGTGCCATCATGCCCAGCTAATTTTTGTCTTTTTAGTAGAAACAGGGTTTCACTATGTTGGCCAGGCTGGTCTCCAACTCCTGACCTTGTGACCTATCTGCCCACCTTGGCCTCCCAAAGTTCTGGGATTACAGGTGTGAGCCACCGCACATGGCTGGAATTTAAATTTTTAATATATACAAATATGAAAACTTTGAAGGTTTGGAATGCAAGAGTTAACCTCTCTGTTTAGAGAATGAATTATAGGGGCGTGGTTATTGCCATAGAGCAGATGAAAGATAATAGTAGCCTGTATTAAAGTAGTGTCATGGGAATCGAAAGAAGTGAACCAATGAGGAGTATAATTTTAAGTGTTGCCATCAGGACTTGCTGGTAGATTGGAGATAATGATTTGAAGATTGAGGCCAATAGAGGCCTCCACAATGGTTCTTGTGCTTTGGGCTTGAACATTTTGCAGAAGGTAATATCATTTACTGATTTGTAAGTTGTTTTGCAGTCTGCATTAGGTGGTAATTATGTTAGCTTATAAAGATTCTCATTTGACTTTGGGGTACATTTTGCATTTTAACACTCTAGAGTTTTTAATCTGTTTCAGTTGTCATAGCTAATCCTCAAGAACTTGAGTCAGTTGTTGATTCAGGAATATGGCTTTTCCTTTTCCTCCTGAGGCTTAATCTTGGGTTGAGATAAATGCTACATATGGAAATAAAAATAGACATCAGTATGTGTCATTAATGTTTCTTGTCTTTGGCAAGATATAATGCTTTATAAAGAATGTTGAAACTATTGACCAAACTGATATTTGGAGTAATATATTTGCTTTAATTTCTTACTTTTTCCCAAACAGAACTATTAGTGATTTAGTTTGAGTTCACACTGTCCTCTGAAAAACTTACCCAATCAAAGAGAAAATTCTTTTATAATCAGTAATCCAGCTATACAATTTTAATTACAATAATTATTTAAACAGAACTTTCAAACCATAAGGATACTGGAGAGGCAATTGTTGAAAAGAAGCAATAGTTTTTCACAAACAGTTGAGTTTTAAAGATCCCTTTTGTTCTAGCATCAACAGACCTGTCTGAAACTGTTTGTGTGGCTTTTCCTGAGTTTGTTATCTAATAGCTGTTAATAGAAGACAGTGTGCATTTTGCTGCCCTGACCTTCTAAAAATATTACAATAAACCTCTCTTGAGACGGTATCTTGAGATTTACAAAGTATAATACTATTTCTCCATTTGATTGTGATTCTCCATGTGATATTTATTTTCTTCATAAAAGTGTTGCTCAATAACAAGAAGCTATTCTAATGACAATTTAATGTAGACCCTTCAATGACAGTTTATATTGTCAAATTATTCATTTAAACATTACCCACATCCCTTAGCTCATCTGCAGTGAGAACTTAGTTATTCTTTTGGGTAGTGTATGTGAATTTTTCATCCCTTCCCTCATTTCTCCATAAGGAAATCTTGGAAGCCAATTAGTTCATCGACCATAATTTCATTTTTGTGAGCAGTAATTCAATTCTACTTTTTCTGGTAAAGGAAGTATTTAATCATTTCTTCTTTGAAGTGAATTCAGATATAATGCCTCCATGACTAGATCAAATGTCATGGTATTTCCTACCTAAAAGGGCATTGTTACTGAGGCTATTGGGTTGAAGCTAAAGATAAATTGATTGTTTCAGAAACTAACTTTGATAAGTTATCTTTCTGGTAAGAAGATGTCACTTGAATGATTCTGTCATTTCTTAACATGTGCATGACATTTACTACAATATGACAAGTGTAAATAGGTGATCTTAGGCTATGTCTCAAAATCTGGTTTATAGGACTCTGCTATAGCTGAAATGGCTACACCTGAAACTTCTAGTTGAGCCAGCCAGTAGTGGGTCCACATGTGGGAAGCAACTGACTCCTCTGTTGTGCCAGATTGTAGCTGATTTTCTAAACCAAAAGTTGAGAGTTAGAATAGGTCTCCATTTAAATGTAAGCCTCTTCTGGATATTTTGATTGGGCGTATACATTTTTCAATTTATAGTTTTGAAATATAAAATAGCAGTAAATTTGTATAACATAATCATGTTCTTATGTATATTAATAGAAAGTCCTAATGATAACTATAAATTCGGTCTTGCATTTGTGGAAAGCAAAGGGCAATACAGCTACTATATTGGACAACCATGCTAACCACATAGTCCATCAGTTGTTTGGGATGAAGACAGACAAAATGCGATGACAGGATATAGGTAAAGTAGGAATAGAACAATGATGAAGATATTTATGGAGGTAAAAGAATAGAACAAGTGGTACTGCTTAAGTGATCCCAAGAAATTCAGGCAGCCTTCCAAACTACGGATCCATGACTGAAATAGTAGAGCTGTACATAGCTGAACCCTACACAAGTATCTACTGCTGGCTCTGCCTTCTAACATTTCCTTTAGTGACTCACTCATTATTCTTGTTCTGCCTCACTTCTTCCTACTTCTCCCGCTGCCTCTCTGGGATACAAAGATTTGTGGAAATTAGAATCCTGTTTTTGTAGAGGAATGCTGAGTGGCCCTGACACTGATGAACCCCCACTGCAGAGCAGGAATGTAAAGCAAGCCTAACTGCAGGTGTGTTCCTCTTGAAGGCTTAAGTCATTCCCAGAAGTCATAGCCTAAGTTGGAGGTAAGATTGAAAGTGATAACCAGTATTCTTGTATCTAAGCTCACAATCACCCTGCCTCTGTAAACACATTCATATCAAATTGTCTTTAGGAATGTAGAAGGAAGGGTTTTAAACCTATTAACTGACACAAGCAGTGGTGTACCAAATTGTAGTAAGATCAAAGAGTACAGCTGAGATGGAGATACGTTTGTCTCTATGGAGAATGCATTCCTGAGGCTGGGCACTAAGATTTTTGCGGGACAGAAAAAAATTGTATTCCAAATGCCAGTGCCTGCTATAGTTGGAGATGGCTGAGGGGTACAGTGAGAATTAATTTTACTGTCTCCATTCAGAGTTAATTTAGTGTGCTTCCATCAAACTGAAACAGCTGAACTAAAACCACCAGTAGCAGCAGCAGTATCACTTAAAGCTGTTTCTTAAATCGTGTGGGACATATCGGAATGTAAGGGAAGAAATTAAGATGAAGGTTCGGGGCTGTTTAATCCAGGTTGAATACCAGATAGACTGATATCCCTGAAGACTATTATGATGTACTCTTCGTAAAATGTCCTTGAAAAACACTATCGCAAAACTAGAGAAAGGAAGATTTCATCTTAGGAGAGGAGGTTGGATTTGGATAAAATTGGAAACATTTCTTTGTTGAAAATTAAAATAATCTATTTGATGTAAAGAAAATTACACTCACCATAGGCAACATATGCAGGTAATTATTGCCAAAAGTTAAAGGTAATCAGCTCTTATTATTATTTCTTAAGAATAAAAGTAATTCTTAATTAGGACTCTCAAAATTTCAGCCACGACTTATAAGTCCATTCAAGTACTTTTTATTAAATATCGAAGACACCATTATTTTGAACCAGTAACTAAATAGATTCAGTAATGTGTACATTGAATCTACGACGATGCTTATAGATTTTAGATACCCTCTGGTTACCAAAACATAATATTTTGGGAATATTACACAAATAATAATAAATCTCATTTTATATGACATTCAATACAGCAAATTCACAAGATAAATATAACATTTTTTTGGAAAAGTGTACTTTATTCAGTCCTTTCAATCAGTTTATGATTTCTTCATGAACTCAGGTTAGTCATGATAAATGCGCCAGTTGTTTTTTTCTGGCAGAGTCCTGGCAACTTTTCATGTTGGTTGTGCTCAATCATCATATCACTTGCTTTGGTAGATGTTTCATGTAGTTAGATCAGAGTCATTCTCTCTGATACAAGTCGTACTGTTTAGCAGTCTCCTGAGTCAAACTGCCATAAATGTTTCCCCTACGTCCGTCTCTCCATCCTCTTAGAGAATAGCGTAATATATTTTTATTCTCAACTGCCAAATTCTTTTACAGATCTCCTGAAGATGGCATTGTGAGTTCCTGTGTTAGTTAAGTGCCCACCCACCCCCAGCTAAAAAGTGAACATAAATGATTAAACAGGGATTAGAGTAAGTGATGGAAATCTTGTGGGAAAGAAATGTGGTAGGAACACATAGGGGCTAAAGTTTTAGATCATTGGGTTGTGGGATTCCATCACGGCCACAAATTAAACTGCACATGATAAAAAGTGTCCTGCATATGTGGCTGGAGTCAAGAATTGGGTCCCCTGCATGAAACTGGTAAAGAGAACGATAAAGGCTACAACTGCTACCCAAGTATATAGTTTTTATTCAGTTGCAAAACTGATGTGGTCAGAGAGAAAAAACTAATGACATCATAAGTAAATATGCCAAGCTGCCTGCTGGGCTCAATGATTGGATTTTCCATATTCCCAATACAGAACACAACTCTCAAAGACCAGTGTCAGACATGAGTCTTTACAGGGGACTCCAGGGACTAGGTAGAGGATTCTTTGAAACTACCAGATAGGGAGGAATAAGCTGAGAAAAGAAGGGAAAGAACTCTCATTCAAGATTACTCATAAAAAACAAATTCCAAAGTGCATGAGGAAAAATAACAATAAAAGAAGGCAGCAAATAAATGCAATAACTGAAATAATTCATGCCAAAGAATACCCCAAATAGTAGAGCAATCAGATAGAGACTTTAAAATTAGTAAGTCTAAGATTATCAAAAAGATAAAGGAATAATAACCTATTGAACAGACAATAAAATATTATTAATCCAGAATAGGTAAATATTAATTAAAAATCTTAGATTATAAAAATATAGTCATGTAATGTTATTTTTTGTGTACTCTCAAGGTACACTGAATAGCCAACATAATATTGAAAAAGAAGAACAAAGTTAGAGACCTCACACTCCCTGATTTCAAAATATACTACAAAGCAACAGTAATTAAGACAGTGTAGTACTGGCATAATGATAGCTATATAGACCAATGGAACAGAATAGAGAGCCCAGAAATAAACCCTTGCATGTATGACCAAATACTTTTTGATAAGAGTGTCAAGATTACACAATGAGGGAAAGAGAGTCTCTTCAACAAATGGATCTCCACATGTAAAAGGAAGAATTTGGACTCTTACATAATACCATACACAAAAATGAGCTCAAACTGGATTAAATACCTAAATGTAAAACCCAAAATCTTTATACTCCTTGAAGAAAACATAGGGAAAAACTACAGGACATTGGCTTTGGGCAATGATTTATTGGCTATGACATCCAAAGTATAGGCACAACAACAGAAAATAGACAAATAAGATTACATCAAACTTAAAAACTTCCGGACATCAAAACAATCAACAGAGTTAAAAGGCAACCTAAAAAATTTAAGAAAACAACTGTAAATCACATATCTGTTAAGTGGATAATATCTAGAATATATAAGGAATTTTTACAAGTCAACAACAAAAAACCAAATAACCTGATTAAAAATTGGGCAAAGGACTTAGAGATTTTTCAAAGGAAGATATACAGTTGGCCAATAACTGTATAGTTATTGAAAAACATGAAAAACATGAAAAACCGTATAGTTATTGAAAAACATGAAAAGATGCTCAACGTCACTAATTATCAAGGAAATGGAAATCAAAACCACAATGAGATATCAATTCCCACCAACAGAATGGTCCCTAACAAAAGAACAGAAAATAGTAGGTATCGATCAAGATAAAATAAGTTGGAATACTTGACCACTTTTTGGGGAATGTGAAAAGGGATATTCATTATGGAAAACAGTATGGACTCAAAAGATTAAAAATAGAATTACCACATGATCCAGCAAACCAACTTCTGGGTACATACACAAAATAAGTTTTCTGGGGCAAGGAATGGGGGTCTTGTTCTCTTGTCCAGATGGGAGTGCAATGGTGCAATCACAGCTCACTGCAGCCTTCAGTTTCTGGGCTCAAGTGATCCTCTTGCCTCAGCTTCCTGTGTAGCTGGGGCTTCAGTCACATGCCACCATGCCTTGCTAAGATATACAGAAGAATTCAAAGCAGGATCCTGAAGAGATATTTGCACACCTATGTTCATCACAGCATTATTCACAATAGTCAAGAGGTAGAAGCAACCTAAAAGTCCATGGATGGAAGAATAAAGACATTGTAGTATATATATAAAATGGAATATTATGAGCCTTAAAAGAGAAGGAAATCTGTTAATGCCACAACATGGATGAACTACTAAGACACTATGCTAAGCATAATAACCCAGCTACAGAAAGAAAACTACTGTGTGATTTCACTTATATCACATATCTAAAGTATCAAAATCATACAAACAAAAAGTAGAAAGGTGGTTACCAAGGAATGGTGGAAAGAAATAGAGTTTCAGGGTTGCAAGATGAAAAAGTTCTACACATCTGTTGCATAACGAAGTGAATATACTTAACACTTCTAAACTGTACGGTTAAAAATGGTTAAGATGGTACATTTACATTTAATATTATGTTTTTCATTATAGTAAAAAAGGAAATACCCTAATGTCGATGAAAACTGATTATATTTGCTTGTAATTAAAGGAATATAAATCAGAAAAAGTTATTTAAATAAAAAAATCAAGAGTTGTGATTAATGATAGACTTGAAATCAAAGAGAGAGTTAATAGATTGCTATATAATCATAAATAAATCATCCTATACAAGTGTCAGAGAAATAAAAAGATAAAATTTGTCAGGGTGCGATGGCTCATGCCTGTAGTCTCAGCACTTTGGGAGGCCAAGGTGGGTGGATTGCTTGAGCTCAGGAGTTTGAGACCAGGCTGGGCAACATGGTGAAGCCCTGTCTCTACCAAAAACAAAAAAAACAAAAAACAAACAAACAAACAAAATTAGTCGGGCATGGTGGTGCACACCTGTAGTCCCAGCTACTTGGGAGGCTGAGGTGGGAGGATCACTTGAGCCTAAGAGGTTGAGGCTCAAGTTGAGGTGAGGTTGAGGTGAGCTGAGATTGTAGCAATGCAGTCCAGCCTGGGGAGAAGAGTGAGACCTTGTCTCAAAAAGAAAACAAAAGGATGAAACTTTAAAGAGGATTTAAGTAAAATGGAGAGTGGAATAAGCTGCTCTAATAAATTTCTAATAGGAATTCCAGCAATAGAGAATAGGAAGTGTAAGTAAAACAGTATCCCAGAAGAAATGACTGAGAATTTTTAAGTATTGAAGATGAGTCTTCAGATGGAAAATTTATACTAATTGCTTAATTAGATAAATAACAAATCCAGACCTAGATGCATTATAATAAAAATGTAGACATCTAAAATTAACAGTTTTAATAAAAGATTTCTGAAGGACAGACAAATTGATAGAAGACTTTACATTATCATCAGGCATCAGAAGTCAATGGAGTTACATTTTTTAAAGTGTTGAAAAGAAAGAATAGTCAACTTAGAATTCTATACCCAGAGAACCTATCATCAAAAATTTTAATAGATAAATTATATTAGTAATAATTGTTCGTTAGTTTTTTTTTATATAACTATATTTCTTGGAGAACATTCCATGTGAGTACATGCAGGTCAAATTATTCTTTTAAATTCTTGCATAGTAGTCTATTATTGATTTAAGTCACATATTTAACTTAACCAATTTTCATTCCCATCAGAGTTTTGAGTTTCTATTGCACCACACACTCAGTAAAATTAGATATCATCAGTTTTTAAAATTTTTGCCAAACTGGAGTGTCTGGAATTTATATCTCATCAATTTTCATTTCTATGACTACTTCTAAGAACGGGCATCTTTTCATACAATGGCGCCATCCCTGTTTCCTAGTTTGTGAATTACCTAGTCATGTCCTTTTAGCCATTTTTCTACTGGAGATTGGTTTTCTTTTTCTAATTATATTTTAGGAGTTATTTATAAATTCTAAAAATTATTTTTTGCTATCCAGTAGTGTTGTAAACAACTTTTTCCAGGTTGTGGCTTAAAACAAACTTTAAAAAATGATGTCTTTTGATGAAAAGTAGTTTTCAATTTAATGTAGCTAAATATATCACTCTCCCTCCACCACTATACCTTTTGGCTTTATGTCTTGGACAATATATTTTCCCTGGCTTGAAGGCATAAAGATATTTTCTTATTTTTTTAAGGGTTTAAAGTTTTGCTATTCATATTTTACTCTTATCTACTTGGCATTAATTTTTGCATAAGGAATGAGGTATAGATTCATTTCCATATTATGTTATCAGATACCCAACTATCCCATACCACTTATCTAGAGTTCTTCTTTCCCACTGATCTTCCGTGCCAGCTATTTTTCTACTTCAGGAATGTTTTTGTTATGCCTGTCCATTTGCTTTTACACACAAACTTTTGAGTCATTTTGTCAAATTCCTGTTGGAATTTCAATGAAAATTTCACTGACTTCATACATTAACTTGAGGAATGCTGACTTCTTCACAATGAGGAATTTTACTATTATAAACGTGGTATATCACTCTAATAGTACAAACCTAGTACATACATAGCATATTGATATAAACATAGTGTATCGTTACTTTTATTTAGGTCTTCTTTAATGTATTAATCACACATTTATAATTATCTCCTCAAAGTTCTTACACATATTTTATCAGATTTATTCCTCAGTATATTAATTTTTTATTGATATTGTAAATGTTATCTGTATTAGTTTGTTTTCATGCTGCTGATAAAGACATATCCCAGACTGGGCAATTTACAAAAGAAAGAGGTTTAATCGGACTTATAGATCCACGTGGCTGGGGAAGCCTCACGATCATGGCGAAAGGCAAGGAGGAGCAAGTCACATCTTAGGTGGATGGCAGCAGGCAAAGATAGGAGCGCTTGTGCAGGGAAACTTCCCCTTTTATAACCATCAGATCTCATGAGATTTATTCACTATCACAAGAACAGCACTGGAAAGACCTGCCCCGTGATTCAGTTGCCTCCCACAGGGTCCTTCCCACAACATGTGGGAACTCAAGATGCGATTTGGGTGGGGACACAGGAAAACCATATCGTTATCTTTTCTAAAATTATTTTTCTACATGTTCACTACTTAAAAATGAAAATGTCTTTGGTATTTGTATATTGATTTCATACCCAACAATCTTGGTAAATTCTTTTATTAATTAATAATATGTTTAAGATTATTTTAGAGTTTCAATAATAGGTAGTCATGTTGTCTCTGAATAAAAATAACATTTTATTTTTCTTGACTTAGTTTGCTGACCAAAATCTCCATTTACTTGTCTTTTTCCTTTGAAATACTGTATCATGAACCTTTCTAAAATCACTACCTTCTTTGAAAGGCATTGTCAAAGGGTGTATATCACAGCATGAAAAGTACCATAATTTAATTATCTTCCTGTTGGAAATATTTCTGTTGTTGTTATTTTTAATGTATTTTTTACTATTATAAAAAAGTTGGGATTTTTTGGCATATAAATCTTCTCAACAATTTCTCAAGATACATATTAATAGTTAAATTAGTAGTACCAAGGAGTGGAATCAGTTTTAAAATTCTCAATATACATTGCCAGATTAACTTTTCAGAAAGGTCACTACAGTTTATTGACAACCGGCAGTGTATGAAAACATCTCTCTCACCACATCCTCATCAGTACATGAGGTTAGCCTTTATTTTCTCTGGCTAATTTGATAGACAAAAATGGTGCCTCATTTTAATTTGCATTTATTTGATTACTAGTGAGGTTGATCTTTTTCACAAAGTAGTTTTCAAGCTTTTGGTGTTTTCTCTCTTTTGACTCTAATGGAGTTTCATAGGTATGAAATTGTGTCTCATCAATACAAAGAAGTTGATAATAGATATTAACCCTTTATAATCTACTTGTATTATATTTTTATTAATGATCTCTTTTTTATAACTCATGGAAGTTTTTTATTCTTGTGTTATTAAGTCTATCAGTTATTTCCTTGATCAATTTCTTTTCTTGCTTTTCTGCATCATTAGAAAGTACGCCCAATATTTTCTCTTGGGTTTTCATAAAATGAAATGGAACTTGTCTGCACCATAATTTTACATATTATTAACTAGCACTAACTCATTTTTATTTTCCTTCTAAAATGAAGTTCCAGATCTTGGGTTATGTCATTTTTATTTTTGCATCCACAGGGCTTGGCATAGTACCTGGTACATAAAAGCTATTCAGGAAATATTTGTTGAAGAAATTGGATGTTGTATGCTTCAGTTTGAAATTTTCTATGACTTTAGTTTTAAATAAAAATAAAGTGTCTTTTGCTTATTAGTTTGGTACTCTCAAGTGTTGCAGAAAGATAATACTTGGGATCTTTAGCTATTTTTGATACTTCTAAACTCTCTATGAGTTTAACTTACCCTTATTAACTCTCAAACTGCTACTGATCATCAGTGTGCATTAAATCAAGTTTGGGGGTATGGCCTATGGTCATGGAATAGTAATTTTCTCTTTGTGTGAAGTGACATTTGTCCATCAGGTCCAGAAGCTCTAATTTTTACTCTGTTTTGACCTCTGATCCCCATGCTGTAACCAAGAGAGAGAACTGCTTGACTGAGTTAGTTGAGTTGAATTGATATACTCAGGATCTTAAGATCATTATTTCTGGCAGGGAAATTTTATTCATATTTTAAATCACAGCTCAAATATTATACCTTCTTACTTCATCTTTCCTTCCCCTACAGAATTAGAGGCTTCTTCATCTGTGTCCCCATAAGTCTTAACACATTATATTAATAGCCAATAAAAGCAAACATTTGTTGAATGCTTACTATATACTATACATCATGTTAAAATATTCACATGCTCTTCTTTAATGCTCGCATTTATTCTGTAGGAAAGAAACTATCTTTACTCCTGGTTATTCAGAAGAGGATAAAAGATTAGCAGGATAACTTGTCCAAATTCATACCACAGCTAAGTGTCTACATTAGGGTTAGAAATAGGTTTTTTGACAGCAAAACTGAAGCTCTTAATTGTCTCTTATATCACTGCCCTTTAATACGCTACCCTTAAGAACACAAACAACAATATATTGAATCTTGTGTGTCTAATACCTAGTCTGGTTCCTGAAATTTAGAAGGCACTCAACAATGAGTTGGTAAATTGAAAAATGGAATATGCTTCTGGGAAGATCTGCCTAGAGGGACTTGTTTGGCTGCATACTTTCTCAGTATTTCTTGAATGGCTTGGAAGTTTTAGTCCTATGCAAACTGACCACATGTATGAATTCACAGGACCTGTACTTAAGTAAAGAGACAATTTCACCCAATGTGATCAGGGGTTAATTTTAGTTTTTAAAAAATATATTCTTCTGACGTACACTACTGGTGGGAGGAGAATAATGGATTCACTATAAGTCATTAAATACACACCAACAAATTGTGAGTCACAGCATCTCGATAATGTGCTTGACAGAGTGTCTTCAAGCTCATTTTGCCTTCTTCTTCTTGTTTTCCATTTCTCCTATTTTGCCCAATAAGAATTTCTGCAGGGAAAAAGAATTTGTATACCATTTTCCCACTGAGGAATAGGTAAAACCAAAAGGCAGCATTTTCTGCTCTTGTTCCTCATTCAGGGGCAAGATTAACGCACATATACAATAAAACTATTGAGCTATTTTAATACTTTTCCTGTCATGCATTTAGGACCCTCTAAAGTTGTCATCAGCTACTGTTTCATTTAATTCCCTGGCCTTCAGGGTAATGTAAGAAAATTGAAGAGATTGGGATCTATCTCTTTCCTGTTCAATGCATTTGTGTTGCTGTAAGTTGGCACCAACCTTCAATCTCATGGTCAGGGCTCTCCAGGGTCCTCCCACTGATATGACAGCCCAGTCAGCATGATAAATGATGCACACCCTCTGGCAGGACAGAAAATTCTTCCCTTCCTGCCTCCACAGTTCTCTTCCCTGAACTAGCAAAGAGGCAACATCTCACCATTTTACTGTGCTGAGTGGCTGCCCCATTATGTTGATACTCTTCAAGTTAATTAGATGATACAGTTTCCTTGATTAATTATTTCATGTCTACTGACAAAAATGACTTTGACAAGTAGTAAATTGGAATAAAGGAAACTTCCATCCAGAAAACTATACTTTAACACTATATTTTTTTCTTTTTCACCTGTTCTCCTACTGGAAAATTGTCTCATTTAAAGATAGAAGCAGTCCTACTGACTGAAGCTGCAAAGATCCCAGTGAGTCCAGTGACCCTAGTTGAAGAATTTGGAGTTTGCAGTTTTTCTTGCATGTGTATATATAACAGAAAAAAATAGATAACAACACACTTGTATAAGCAGCGAGGAAAGAGGGAAATAGTAGAAAGGACTATTCCCTTTAAAATAAAAGTACTTTTTTTTTTAGCCTGGTCAGCCCATGAATTCATGTTTATATAAATATGTGTTTAATCTAAAAGAAAACATTTTAAATGGCTGACTGTGACTGCAAAGAATAAATGATTGAACCTTTCTCCGAGTCATTTATTATTTTTCAATGAAACTGAAGTTCTGGGAATTTGAAGATACATGACAGTCATGTCCTCAAAAACGTTTTTTGCAGGGTAACATCTATTGTGGAGACAGCAGTACTTATAAAAAAGTTTAGTGCTGCAATTTTCCTTGACACCATATACTTTACCTGTTTACATGAAAAAGGCCAGAATCCTTCAGTAAACAAACTGTACAGTTCTCTGTCCTTCCGCCCTTTTGTATTCCCATGGACTAAGCCTGGAGCTTCGCACCCTCCCTTCTGCTTCTGTGCCCATAACATCCTACTCGACATCCACCCAGCATGGCTAATCTCAAAGTTCTGGCTGTTGAAGGAATTGAAGCTATAGAAATCATGGGTCAGGAAACCTAGCTTGCATAGCACATCCAGTGGTGGCCGCCAGAACACATGTTTATCCTACTTACACATGGTCTGAGCATGTTATTTTTTTAGCTCAAAAATCTTCTGTGATTCTCCAGTAACTAAATAATTAAAGCTCTTTAATATAGCATTCAAGACTCTCTACCACGTGAACTCAGTTTCCCTTCCCAGTCTTATAAATTTGCTGTATCCTCTTCTTTCTCCCCAAGAACTATAGGCTTTAGCCACCCAGGGGCATGCATTTGAACTGATCGTTTTGCTTTTTCTCCAGGTTTTTTTTCCCTCCACTCCTACTTGCTGTACCCTCCTCCCCTTTGCATGGGCTGTTTCTTTAGCTGTTGTCTCTCACACTCCAAGCTGACTATTCTATGCTCTGCCCAGCGATACGGTGGCTGGGGTCTGCAAATTACCTTTCCCAGATCCACTTGTCAGCTGGCTTCCAATTAGTTCTGCCAACAGGAGGCCCTTGAGGGAGATTGGGAGGCAAGAAAAGGGGTGAAGTGGCTTCCTTCTTGTTTCCAGTTCCTGCCAGCCTCACTGCAAGAATGGAGGGCAGGAGAAGGTCTCACCTCCAGCATTCAGCTGCACAGCTCTGCACCCTCAAAGAGGTCTGAGTGGTGCCAGCTCCTAAGTTCTGGTAACTCAGGATCTTCCTTTTGATTTATTTTTAAATAAAAACACATAAGAGTTGAGGACTTATTGTGTATGGGGACCTGCTCAGACATGGATAATCCAGAAATATATAGGTCCAGTGGTTATGAGACAAGAAGCAATTGCTTTGGTCTTATATGAGGCGAGTCATGAGTCAGATAGACAAAGATGGTAGAGATGGGGGAATTAGGGACAAGATGGTAAACAGAAAATCTGCAATATTCATGGACTGTCCAGAAACTTTCACCTGTATTCCCCAGCCTCAGGAGAACCCTGCTGCATTGGATATCTGTGCTAAAGTGTTTTCTCTTTCACTTCAGCCTCTGTTTTCAATTCTTCACCCACTTGTGACAGACAAGAGACCAGCTGGCATTTGGATCCAGAGCTCCTTCATCTCTATTCATTTTATTTTTTTCCCAGTAAAGTAAAATACATCCCTTAATCGGTGCCATGCCACACCATATTGGAGCCTGAGGCAAAACAGAAAAAGTCAGTCCTACTGATACTTCTTTATTTAAAATTCTAATGTTTTGTTCATATTGATTTTTTGCCTCATTTTGGATTAAAAAAAATATTGCCCTAAAGTATTACTTATCTTGTTTGTTGAGCTTTTTGCCAACCTCTTAAATGTTGTGCTTGACTAAATTTAAGACCAAAATTACTCTGGCTGAAGGTTTTTGGAATGAAATTTAATCTTCCATTGCTTTACCTTTGTAGTTAATTTTAATATTTATTCCAGGCATTTGTAAGAGGTGTAGTTTCTTCCTCAGAAGGACTTTTCCTGATTTTTTTTTAGGGATTGTACTAAGCACCTGGTACAACTTCCAGACTTTTTGGAGTAAGCATCGTGCTTCTTGACTTTTTGCTCATGACTCACCTCATGCTTGTGGAGAAGGTATATTTGAGAAAATCCATCTCCATCACCATAACCTTTGCTTCACCTGCTGTCCTTACTGTAGAAGAGGTCTGAGGAGAGAGGGGGAAGTTGGCTTTGAGGGGAATGCAGTTTGGGAAGAGGGGCCCTTCTCCTTATTTCTCTATAAACATTTAAGTGCCTAAACTGTTTTTCTCTTCCCCTCAGTGGCAGACTGGTGATTGTTTCTTGCCTGAAAGTTACCAAGCTATTGAAGCAGTGGAGACACTAATGATCCTTGAAAAATGAGACAGTCAGGAGATGGTGGAGCCTGAGTCGGGGCACCAGGCGGCAGCCTGCCTAGCAAAGTGCATTTCCTGTGGATCAAGCCTGCAATGCTAAAGCCTCTGAGGCTTAAGCTTTCTGATTTGTATTAATTCCACCCCAACACCCCACTGGGCTGCCTGCTGAGCAAGGGAATCCCAACAGCAAGAGGGTGCAGGGCGGGCCATTTATGGAGTTGTCAAGAGACAGGAGGAAGAGGTCACACTGAAGTTGCAGACCCACTTCCAGGAGCTGTGCAGGGGGAGGTCAGCATGGGCCCTTCAGACAATCAGTGAGGGAACCCGGAAGGCTAATCCGGAAACTGAACACCTTTCCAACAGAGGAAATGGATGCTGGCCAGGGTGAGAGAGAGAAGCAACGGCAACCAAATAAAGGAGGACAACCTTGTTGCAGACAATCAGGAAAGGGTTCTGATGAAACCGTAAAAGTTCCCTTGTCTCCTTCGCAGGGCATGCGATGGGGGTGTGACTCGCTTCTTCAGTGTCCTGCTGCTCAAACCTCTAGGGGGAGCAGGCAGACAGACAGGTTGTGGGGTTCTGACCCCACGGCAGTGTCTAGGGGTGAATGCTTACAGCTCCTGAAGCCCCAGTAGGCTTGTGTTACTGTGTGCTCTTTTCGTTTTGCTGTCCGTAGGTGGCTTGTGTTAGTCAGCTCAATTAGACCCCTGCCTTATCGCAAGGATAGAGGGCTTTCTGTATCCCGGGGTTTCTTGCCTTGGTGTACCAGAAGAGTAGGTCACACCTGTGCTTGGAGAATGAGTGCAAGGTTTTACTGAGTGGAAGTAGTTCTCAGCAGATGGAGTCAGAAGGGAGATGGAGTGGGAAGGTGGTTTTCTCCTGGAGTCGGGCCGCTCAGAGGCTGGGCTCTCCTCCAACTTCCCCGGCCAAACTCTGCGTATTTCCGCCAGCCAGCACCTATCAGTGTGCTCTCATGCCAGTGCGTTCCTCTCAACGTCCAGCCACTTGTGTCTGTGCCTACTAGGGTCTCGGAGTTTTTATAGGCACAGGATGGGGGTGTGGTGGGCCAGGGTGGTCTTGGGAAATGCAACATTTGGGCACGAAAACAGAAATGCCTGTCCTCACCTAGGTCCATGGGCACAGGCCCGGGGACGGAACCCTCGCCAGGAACCCACCCTTCTCTACCCAGCGCTTCCGGCCTCCCTCTTGTATCACTGACGCAGAGGAGCAAGCTCCATAGAGGGAGGGAAGGCGCAAGAGAGCAACCACTTGCCGGATGGGCTCGAGAGACTCCTGCCCATCCACCCTGGGTGGAAGAAGAGGATATGGCATGTATTAAGTGTGAGATTTAGGTTTTAAGAATGGGACTGAATCCTAAAGAATCGGTATAAGACTATTCTAACACCCAAAAGAGATTAAAAGGTTATGGGATTGAACTGAGATTCTTTAATAGAACTGATGATCCAGCAGGGGAAGGGGTCAGAAGGAGCAGAACTGGTTGTTAGTTATTGAAATAAATAAGACTATCTCTGTACCCCCAAGGACATGAGGCCCTCAGCAATGCAGTCCCATGCATCTTCATTAGAGGATTAGAATACAGATTTTCTCATCTCTCTATGCCCAGTTGCGCTAGAACAGGGCACTGTATAAGAAAGGCAGATATTGTGGACTAGAACAAGCCCTGCACACTAAGCAGAAGACCTTGGCTTCAGTTCTTCTTCCGCACAGTACTTAGGTGTCTTACAGCTGGTGGATTTTTCTCTTTCCTTACCACTAGCCTTGAACGTCTATCTTGATGTTAATTTTCAGTAGTCTCAATATCTAATTATTTCCACACGTTTTTTATTGTAAGATTAAGAAGAAAAGATATTGTAAAGGTGTTATACTCTGTGGAAAGGTAATTTTCTTTAAATTATTGCAAATCCTTCGTGGGACAGAGCAGGTTTGAACATGGACACAAATGACAATAACACACGACAAAATTCTATTTTTATGCTTTGGATAAATCCCTTAAATATTTTTACACCCCAGTTTTCTCAGCTGTCAAAAATGGGGGATAATTATACATAACACAGGTTGTTAAGAGGGTTAAATAAAATAAGGTGAAAAGTTTTAATAAACTGTCAAATGCTATTCAAACATAACATTATTATTATTACAATTTATAAGTATTTGTTAAATCATATTGCACAGGGATCTAGAGATAGAGTTAATAAGAACAGAAATCATATAATACTACCATGGCATACGCACAGTGGTAAACATTGAAGTTGGAGAAATCGTTTGCACTTAATGTTCTAGAATGTAAAGTACAACCAGTATCACCACAGACATTTTGAGTGGGCAGAAATCTTCAAGGTGATCTGGTCAAGTTTTGAAAATTCAGGGCTGATAAAGTGAGAAAAATGAAGCTAAATTCACAGAATCCAGACCCCACCCCTACTGCCAAAGCGGCCCTAATTAGTATTAATTATTGAGCAGAAGAAGTCCTGGTAAGATTTCATTTGAAGCAATGGTTTAGGTTGAGTTTAAAGATGACTGATTTTATCCAACCTCTGTGCTTTAATTAACGTTTAGTGGGTGCAAAGATTTACCAAAGTCATGAACATTACCAGGGGAGGATTGGAACCTTGAACTGGGTCCCCTGTCTGTTGACCGCCATTCACAACATACAGCTCCACTTTTCCGAGTCAGATTTGAGGTTCTTGGCTTTAACCCAAACTTTAGCCAGGCAAGCTAGACACTGCGCTGTTCCCCATCCACTTTGGTATAAACAGAACATTTTAAGAGGAAGAAGATTACCTTTTATAACAGAACACGGATACAAAAGACAAGAATTCAGAGTAGAATTAGGTGGGAGAATGGCCTTAGGAACCTGGGTTCACAAGTAGAATTCTATCAATTCCATGCACACAAAGGATTTTCAGGGTTTGAAGTTCCAGATAGCTGCCACCCATAACCAAGACAAATTAGATTTGCCAAAATTAATAGAATGTAACATGAATTATTTGATTCACTCACATTAGTTGCCAAATATTTCTTTCGGGGCTTGGATTAACGTAGAAGTAGGGAGGCCTGTAGAGAGGGACATGCATAAGGAAGAATTGGCCCCAGAAGTGGCCCCTGTACATGAAAGGAGGCAGAGGCGTTTACATACAAGTTATGTCCAGGAGATACTCTTATTGTTAAGCATGGACTTATCTTTTTGCAAGTGAATCAAATGGTTTTCTGGAAGATGGCAGTGTCTTAAGGTGGGGATACGTCTGACTCCCAAAAAGATCATTATGAACTACAGTGGTAGATGTAGGATGAAGAGTTTCTCTGAAAGCTCACATAGAAATTTCTTAATAAAGTTTGTAGGGGCTCACATCCTTCATTCTTCTCCACTGACACTTCTCTGTCTTGCCCAGATACCTTCCTTGATGGCCTCCTAGTGGGTTTATCTGCCATTCGTCTTGTCGCATGAGTCTGATCTCTGCTCTGCATTCACAATAATCTTCCAGCGAGGCAAATCCTACATGATTACAGTATTACCAGACCTAACATGTTCAGTGACTTCTTCCCCTTGCCTTTGAGATAACATCAAAATACTGCATTCAGATTACAAAGTTCCAAGATTTGGCCCCAGATCATGTTCCTGGTTTATCTGTCCCCTGCATCCCTCAAACCTTTGCTCCAACCTCATGGTACAAAATGAGCTCCATTTTCAGAGGTGGGAACACACCTTGTTCTCAATCCTTGGCCTTTCACATAGTGTTTGGCCTGGAAATTTCCTCCCTCTTCATCATGCAATTCCTACTTATTCTCCAGTTCTCAGATAACCATTGATTCTTTGCAGAAGATTTTGCCAGCCCCTGTTATGGGTTATATCTTATGTGCTCTCCCCATCATCTCTTGCACATCTGTTCTCATAGCATTAATATTTTGTGGTGATAACTTATGTGGCTGGGAAATTAATTGGCCTTTACAACTGTGGATACCTGGTAAGAGGTTGGGTCTTATTCAGATGAAAGGCCCTTTTGTTCTGAGGTGTGTCTTCATGGGTTTAGATAATTAAAAGTGGGCTGGAGCTGACCTGGTCTTAGGTCTGGGAAAGATTTGAATCGTTTTGCATTAAAAATAAGAGAAGTTTATTTTGCTATTTCCATGATTCTTTTTTTTTTCTTTATATGGTATCTTGCTATGTTGATCAGACTGGTCTCAAACTCTTGGCTTCAAGTGATCCTCCCATGTCCCAAAGCCCGGCCTGTTTCCTTGACTCTTAAGTGAGTACTTACTATGTGCCAGGCCTGGTCTAGATGACTTACATGTATTGATAACTTTCACTGTGATATTCTTGTGGAGGCACCATTTTAATTCCCATTTTATAATAACAAGATGATGCCTTCCACAAGGTTTTGCAAGTCCTGAGTGATGTAGCTGCAATATGTTCTTGAGAAGGAAGAGGCACAGGAGAAACAGAAGTGGCAAAGGAGACAGGCAGAAGGAAAATGATCTTTGAAAGCCACATATCATGGCAGTGGGCTGGGGAAAGAGGAGGCTGTTAAGATGCTGGGGGCTATATTTTAAGAAATAAGGTTTCTCATTTTTCAGCTTTGACCTCATTTATTTAGTCTTTAACAATTTTTGTTTTGTGCCTACTACCCGTTAGGCACAGTTTTAGGATTGGGTGTTGGGAGGCGGGCATAGGGAATCTTACTCCTGGACTGATAACGCAGTAGAAATCTGGAGAAAGGGATCAAGTTGCACATCTATTGGGGGGAGGGGTGCTCAAATCAGAGGGAACAGCAGATGCAAAGTCCCTGAGGATGGAGTATGTTTGGTGTTCTTTTTTTGTTGTTGTTGTTGTTGTTTTGAGATGGAGTCTCGCTCTGTCACCCAGGCTGGAGTGCAGTGGTATGATCTTGGCTCACTGCAACCTCCACCTCCCAGGTTCAAGCGATTCTCCTGCCTCAGCCTCCCAAGTAGCTGGGACTACAGGTGCATGCCACTATGCCCAGCTAATTTTTTGTATTTTTAGTAGAGACAGGGTTTTGCTGTGTTAGGCAGGATGGTTTTGATCTCCTGACCTCGTGATCCACCCGCCTTGGCCTCCCCAAGTGCTGGGATTACAGGCGTGAGCCACTGTGCTCGGCCTATGTTTGATGCTTTTGAGGAACTGTCTGGAATGTCTGGAGTGAGATGAGGAAGATAAGATCGCTGGAGATGAGGTCAGCAGGGAGTCAGGGTGGTAACCCGTAGTCCTTGTGGGCTTCTAAGCTGCAGGAGATGGGACAGTATTTGGAGGGCTTTGAGCTGAGCTGGGACTTCATCTGAGTCCCTTTTTAACAGGTCCCTCTGGGTGCTGTTGAAGAATAACCTCTGGAGATAAGTGGGAGGTCAACTAGGAGGTCAGTGCAACAACCCAAAAGAGAGATGATGTCAATTTGGAGGTAGTGAGAAGTGGTCAAATTCTAGATCTATTTGGAAAACGGAGTTCTCAGGTTTGCTGTAACGTATTTCTCCATCTCTCAAAACTTCCATTAAGTCTTGCTTGCTCACTGAAGCAGTGTTATGAGTCGTGTGTGTGTGCACGCACACGTGCATGTGCAAAGTAAGGAAGAGGGCTCAGTCTTACGACTAGTGAAAATGTGACACAAAATAGAAAGAACACATTCCAGACTGTGAACTTTTCCTAAACTGAACTAATTCAGCAGAAGGAGGTGTTCAGAGCCAGACATAAAATAAAACTGTAAGTTCCTTGAGAATTATCACATTCATGGGAAGGATACTGGACTGACCAAAATACAGGGAATGAGAATCAAGGAACTCTTAAGTGACGGAATGACCCCAGCTAAAACCTAGGTTAGATTACTTTTATTTTCACCTTCCCCACTAGATTATGAGCTTCAGGAGGACATGGTTGGGTTTGTGTTTCTATTATTTATCATCGTGTTCCTAGTGGCTGGCACATAATAGATGCTCAATACACATTCCCTGGAGAAACAAAATGAATAATTCTCTTATCTAAGAGAGACTTGTGTTGCTCCATAGTTCCTGTCCGTGCTACAGGTCCAGAGTTGCAAGAAGAACTAGGACTCAAAAACCTTGATGCTTTCTTAAGAAGTCCAGGCAGATCAGATCTAACTGCTATCTCGGCAGGCTGACTGTAAAGTCATCAGTCAGGTGAATATTTTTCAACCATCATCATCATTAGCAGTAGCAATATCAAACATTTATTTTGTCCACATCATGTGAGAGGTATCTATGCAGAAGAGAAACACGATTATTAATAGAAGGGCAGGAAATCTGAATAGGTGATGGAGAGAACCCTAGATCACATTGCAGCAAGACCTTGGGGGCAGTTCCCAGTTTTTCCACTTACTAGCTAAGTGCACTTTAGCAAGTGTTTTACTCCCAAGTTGAAACACTAAAGGGCAAAGAATTATAAAAATGGGGTATATTAAAATGCTAGCTCATGAAAACTCTGAATTAAGTAAGATCATGTATATGAATATGCTTTAAAAACTTTAAAACACAGAACACATATATAATGGACCTTACAGCATATTTGGTGAAGGTGCATCGAATAATAAAATGCATCTGATTATGGCCGGTGCTAGCATAAAGAATAAATGCTTTAGGAGAGGCATAACAAAGTTGACCTTTTTTTTTTTTTTTTTTTTTTTTTGGCCTGGGCAGCCTGATTGTACAGGTCCTTGCCATCGTGTCCCTGTGGTCTTTAGTATGTGATAGCTACAGGTTGGTGTCAGGCAGCACTGGAGAATTCGCTGTTCATTCTTAGCTCTCCATTTGCTCCCTTCTGGACTTAAGGCATATTATAGAATTACCGTAAGCCAATGAGTCTCCATTTGCAAATGAGAGATAAAATTTGCCAGCTATCTTCTACCCTCCCTGGGAGGAACTGGGGTTTAATAAGATAATGAACATTATTCTCTCCATATGCACTCTACACCCTTGGCTCCTGTGGTCTTCAAAAGGCTTTCCATAGGCATAAGTGCAGATCCTCGAAAATCAAATTCAAACAGTCAGAAGGCAAGCCACATGCCAGTGACTATTCATCACAGATTAATATTAATTCCCATTAGTTAATGTTTTCTATTAGCAATTGTACAATTAATCAAGAACAATGTGTCACAAGGCAGAGACAGCTGTGGGTAGATAATTGGGATGTAGGTGGCTTGCCTTCAGTGGCCACTGCATCACCTCTACTTGTCTTGTCAAAGCTTCCTATTTCCTCTGCCTCTTCTTTCTCTGGCCATCAAATCTAATAACAATTCATGTAAAGATATTGGGAAAGCACATCAGTAATTTCAGGGCATGGAGGAGAAGTTGCAGTTTTAAAGAAGATTGCAGGAAGAGGATGATGCTTAAAATAAAGTCACCGCATGTTCTCACTTATAAGTGGGAGCTGAACAATGAGAACACATGGACACAGGGAGGGGAAAAACACACACTGGGACCTGTTAGTGGGTGGTGTCAGGTGAGGGAGAGCATTAGGATAAATAGCCAATGCATGTTGAGCTTAATACCTAGGTGATGTGTTGATAGTTGCAGCAAACCACCATGGTTCATGTTTACCTATGTAACAAACCTGCACATCCTGCACATGTACTCTGGAACTTCAAATAAGAATAAAAATAAAAATAAATAAAATAAATAAAGCCAACCAGCCATTAATAATGATAATGAAAAGAATAATAGTAACAATAGCAGCTCTCACTTATTGAGTGCCAATTGTGTAAGGCACTGTGAAGAATGAAGACTATCAAAAATTGTCCATGATTGCCAGGCGCAGTGGCTCACGCCTGTAATCCCAGCACTTTGGGAGGCTGAGGAGGGCAGATCACCTGAGGTCAGGAGTTCGAGACCAGCCTGACCAACATGGAGAAACCCCGTCTCTACTAAAAATACAAAATTAGCTGGGTGTGGTGGCTCGTGCCTGTAATCCCAGCTACTCGGGAAGCTGAGGCAGGAGAATCGCTTGAACCCAGGAGGCGGAGGTTATGGTGAGCTGAGATCGTGCCACTGCACTCCAGCCTGGGCAACAAGAGTGAAACTCCCTCTAAAAAAAAAAAAAAAAAACTGTCCATGATTTTGAAGTTTATACTTTCCTTGGGTTGGTGAAGAATAAATCTACAAAGCTGAAATAACAACCCTCTGGATAATAACACAAAATTCAAAAAACAGCAGAAGGAAATTTCACAAGAGTGACTGAAGAGTCCTGACTCAGATTGGCTGGGTTTAAATGATACTTCTGTCACTTATTAGCCTTGTGATCTTAGCCAAGTTATTTAACCTTTGTGTGCCATAGTTTCTCATCTGGAGAATGAAGAGAGCAATGATTCTTATCATATAGGGCTGCTCTGAGGCTTTTATGAAATAGCACAGGCCAAGTACTTTAAACTGTCTCTGGTACATAAGTAATAATAATGACAGTAACAATAATTATAGTAATTATGATGCTGTGTGCTGTGTCTCACACCTATAATCCCAGAGCTTCAGGAGGCTGAGGCAGGAGGATTTCTTGAGCTCAGGAGTTCAAGATCAGACTGGGCAACATAGTGAGACACTGTCTCTACAAAAGGTACAAAAATCAGATGGGTCTGGTGGCATGCGCCTCTGGTCCCAGCTACTTGGGAGGCTGAGGTGGGAGGATCGCTTGAGCCTGGGAAGCCAAGGCTGCAGTGAGCTGTGATCATGCCTCTGAACTCCAGTCTGGGCAATAGAAAGAGAGAGATCCTGTCTCTTAAAAAATATAATGGTGGCCGGGCGTGGTGGCTCACGCCTCTAATCCCAGCACTTTGGGAGGCCGAAGCAGGCGGATCATCTGAGATCAGGAGTTAAGAGACCAGTCTGGCCAACATGGTGAAACCCTGTCTCTACTAAAAATACAAAAATTAGCTGAGTGTGGTGGCACATGCCTGCAGTCCCAGTTACTTGGGAGGCTGAGGCAGGAGAATTATTTGAACCCAAGGGATGGAGGCTGAAGTGAAATGAGATTGCACCACTGCACTCTAGCCTGGGCAACAGAGCAATATTCCATCTCTCTCTCTCTCTCTCTCTCTCTATATATATATATACACGTATATACGTATATATACGTATATATAGAGAGATATATACGTATATGTGTATATATATACACATATATATAATATGTGTATATATATATGATAATGATACATTATGAATTGCACAGTTGATCATTGAGACAATAATCACAATGGCAATTCAGAACAGGAGTCAACGCTATCTCATGGATAAGGGCAAATCTAAGTTGGATGTGACCCATGGATCACCTTTATAAAGGTGCAGAACATTTTAGATGGAGCCATAGGATATGATGTGAACAGGAGGCTGCAGGTGGAATAGAACAGCTATAAATCAGTTTTCCTGGAGCAGAGGATTTGTACAGAATGTAACAGATACCAGACCAAAAGGGACCTGAGCCCTCAGTGTCAGATATTAGCACCTTAGGAAGATGAATCTGGTAGTGATATGTGGAAGGGCTAGAATTGGGAGAGATCAGCAACAGTAAACGAAGTTAAGAAGAGACGTTCTAGGGATCAATGAGAAAGAAATTTGGGGTCCCTGGGAACCCCTTAAATCTGCTAATGCATAAAGCAGTTTCTTTCAGTAGGTTTTCTTCCCATTCTCGGAGCTAAATGTGAAGGGAAATGCTAATGCCCTCCCCAGAATGCAGAGCTAATGGTGTGCAAAGTTATAGGTGGAATTACTTAGTGGAAGTGCTGGAAGAATTTCTAAGGGAAAAGCCACATGGCTGGTGCACATGCCTGATGATAGCAAAAATGGGATGTGCTTTACTTAAAATCAGACATGCCCTTCCTCAGCCACCGAGGTTTTTCCTTCACTTGTAGTTGTACATTTGCAGCTTGTCAGGACTTGCCTGCTATCTTTTGAATATTCAGCCATCAACCTTTATGGTGGAATTAGCTCCACTTTAATTTCCTGATAACACCTAAATTAAGGTAAGAGTTCTAAATTCTTTATTAATAATGTACACTCTAATTAATAGAAATTACTTTTCCAGCATGTATTATTAAAGGATGTGTTCCAACATGTCTTTTTATGTTTTCCAATTTACTTGCTTAGAAAACTGGTTGCTGTTTCCACCTCTAACCTGAACCTGCTCCTGATAGACTCTGTTCAATATATGGAGGTACACCCTTCACTTTACATTTGAGAAGAAATATCTCATCAGTTCCCCACCTGGCTCTCTGTTAAAACAATTGTTTGTTCAAATAAGTCCCCTCATAAATTTGCTTTAAGTCAGACACTTCAGCCCTAACATTTTACCCTCCAAATGAATAACTCTTTACACTTTTAGATTGTCATTCTACATTTCTAAATATGAGGAAGAAAACTAGAATCTGTCTCAAATTTGAATTAAAAGAAACACAATAGGATGCTTGCTGCTTTTTGTTTGTTCAAGTTTTAGAGTTCAATATTTCTCATCTGGCTATTTTTGGTCTGGAATTAGCTCCGGTTCTAACCTAGCAGGAAGGTGAACTGAGGAAGTAGGGTGATAATTACCTTCCGGGAAACACCAGAGTAGCTGAAAGGCATGGGATCTTCAGCCAGACTGTTGAATTCAAATCCTAATCTTGCACTTCCCCAGTGAGGGACAGTGGCCAAGTACTTACCCTCTCTTTTTCTTTCTTTATCTGTAAATAGGGATGGCCGTTCACTGGGTTATCATGAGGATTTAACGAGTCAATTTGTGGGGAGAACTTAGATGAAAGCTCAGCACAAAGTAAGTACTGAACAAATTTCATTAACTCTTGCTTTCCAGGGGCCCCTTTTCCCAACTCTACCCCCAACTCAGAGGACCTATGTCCTGAGGTTCACATTAAAGCCATGTAGGAGCTCCTGATAATTTTTTCCAAATAATTTTCCATTTAATGCATGCTAAATGCGTGCATGGAGAGCCTGCCAGGCTACTGTCACCTGGTGGTCTAGGGCTCAGGTTTCTGCAGAGAGTTGGAGAAGAATTAAGCAAATAGGAGCCCTTCAGTGCTTTCTGTCCTGGGAGGTTTAGCAATGAGAAACAACACTGAACCAGCTTCTGTTTTAGCAACGGGCAGTCTAGCTTTCGAAAGTAACTAGCCACATGCTAAGCAGAGTCTGTTGTAGACTCTGCAGACCCTGCTTCAGTCCAGTAAGATGTGATTCCTTGATGCCTCCCTCCTTCCTGCGTCATGTCCAGACATTAGCAGATTTCAACTCTTGTAACTCAAGTCACCCTTGTCTAGTGAAGTGTGGGATGTTGTAAAGCAGATTAGATTAGACGTATATTGTTTTTTTCCCCTCTAATCATTAGTAAAGAACTTTTTCTTTTTCTTTCTTCCAAAAAAAAAAAATGTTTTGAATTCCAGGGCAAAAGCTTGACATAGTTCCCTAGTATCATTGGACCAAAGATGGATTTCTCTCAGGGGACCTGAGGAAGCCATCAATGTAATTTATTTCTGTCTCAATGCTCAGTAATGGATGTGACCTTGTGTGTCTCAGGGCTCTCTTAACACTTGTGGCCCTGGATATGAAGAGTTAAACATTCCACTCCTCTGTAGAGAGATGTAGATACCTTGACATTCAGAGGCACAGTTCCCAACCTAATCCTTTCTAAATCAGATTAGTCCATCCCATCGCTGACAGTTCACTGACGAGTGCATTCCTCAAAGAGAATCTCATCTGAGATGCAGAGCACTCGCTGCAGTTTTATAGTATCAGAGTAGTAATTCATGCCCTGAGTAATAAAGAAACTCATTAAATGTAGAATCTCGGTTCTTGCTTTGTACTTAGACCTCCCAGCAGTTTAACTTATGCATAATGAGTCTAAATACTTTAAGGGATAATATAAAAATTATCTACTATCTTTCATATCTAAAATTGTGCATTTGTTTCCCCTTCACTGCATTGCTAACATAACTAGGAAACAATATATTACCCTAATTACATGTTATTTATTAGAAAGGAAGCAAATAAGTCATTTGGAGACAAATCCCTGTAGTTATTCATGGAACTGCTTTAGATGACAAAGATAGAGTAAAGCCAGCAGTCTTTCATTATATTTATTACACATTCTTTGTGCTAATGAACAATAACGGGCTTCACTGAAATAATGGTCTCAGCTCCAAGTTGTATGGAATGCTATATGGGCCATATTTATCAAGGGCAAGTCAGGGCTTTGCTTGTCTTTTGTTCTTTGCTTTCCGTTGAAGGAAGAGGGTGGAAGACAAACAAAAGTAGCTTGGGAGATTTTAATAAACACAATGGAAACTAGTTAGCATATTAAAAAAAAGCCTTCATGCCACCTCCAGCAGCAATGCACTCTTGAAAGAAAATGATCACTAATTGTTGTATATAAATCCTGAGTAGCAGCTTCATTCCTTACCTGAGGAAACATGAATGCATACACACAAATATGTCTACCTGAAAATGTGAAATTTTGAGTAAAAAGTTTCTGAGATTTCCCTAAGATATTTTAACTATTTATTACTAATCGCATAAATTGGTTCAAGAAACTAATATAGGTCTTTGCTTTATAGTGGGAAACAAAACATGTTTTAGAAACTGCACCCTAAAAGATCACAGAGATTTTCTATTAATTTAATGCCAGAGGAGTTAGGGTAGAGGGTTATCACAGGAGAAAAACTTTAAAAAAATGCACAAGTGAAACCAGTTTTTCTCTATATGTCACATATTTTTAGTACAGTTCCTGCTGCATCTTCAGAAGAAGAAAATCTCCAGCATGAAGACAAGAAAGAGGTGAACCATTTTGTATCCATGTGTTTTTAAGAAAGCTGTTCAAAGTTGTGGTGGCTGCAAGAGCAAAAACATTTTTATTTTCTTTCTCTTGGAATAATTGAGCCAATATGTTAACACTTAAAAGTGTTACCTCATGGATAGTACCAGAACTGTATTTGAGGATTAAACGACAGATAACAAAAGAGTGCAGGAAAATCTAGGAGGGAAGGAAGCCAAGAAAGTCAGCTGGGACCGTCTCTTCTTTTGAATTAGCAGTTACCCTTCAGTTGCTTTTTATTCAAACATTTGTCTAGTTCCTCTTCAGAGCTGTTTCGTGCACTCTCTCCTGCACAGGAATATACAGCAGGATTTCCCATCCCAGATCAGACTGCTGGTGCATGGAGTGGGTATGCTAACATTGGCAACCTTCCAATAATGAGGCATCAACAAGGCAAACCATCAACAAAGCATATTGCCAATTATGCGAGGCTGTGAACAGGGTTACGCGGGAGAATGGTGCAGGCAGGGTGGGGTGGGGAGACAAGGAGGGTGGGAATGAACAGTCAGAGTTAGGCATAAAATTCCGCTGAAGAACTCACTTACCCATTTCTCCACTAAATCTCTTCTAAGCTTTTCACAAAGATCAAATAAAGTTAGTTTGTTAAATGTATATTTTGCAAAACCTGTCTCTGAGTTGAGGGCAATGAGAGGAAGCAAACCCAAGCTAACTCTGTAAATCTTGTTAGAAGAGTAAATCCTGCTAAAACTTTTCCATGTCTCTCCTCTCTGGTTTCTGGGTGACATGTTTTGGAGTCTTGTGAAGTGAGCTACATGTAACAAAGGGGACTGTGCCACCTAGTTTGCTTCAAAGTCCTGGTCACACCTGTTGTCCTGAAGGCATAATTAATAACAACACCCCTTTATCCTCAAAGTGTTCTAGTTTGGACAATAAATCCTGTAGGAACTCTAGCTATAGCCCAGAACTCAACTTCAGGCAATTAAATATACAAGGAAATATCCTATTACGTTTAAAACTCCTAGAAATACCCATCCCTACACTGTAACTATTATGGGTGGGGGGAGTTTTAAATAAATCATTCAAATTTGACCTATTCTGATGAACTGACTTATGGAGAATAATTCTAAGCATGCAACTTTCAAAGAGATTAGGAACCTACTGTTTTTTAGAGTAACCAGGCCAGAATTGGCAAAAAATACCTTGATGTTGGTTGTTTTCCCTTTGTTTAATAGGATTTTGACTTTTGAGCAATGTCAAAGTTACATTTGAGATCACAGGTCCATCACAGAGCAAATGGTCGCAACTCGCAACTCCTGCTGAATCCTTTGCTTCTCTTAGAGGAACATCCAAAATGAGGTGGTCTTGGCAACCAGTGCAAATCAAGGGACCCACCACGGCAAAACCCCTCAGACCTCTGGGCTTGCTCAGGAGCTTTGTTTGCATTAAGACTGGTTGGAGGGAAGTGCACACTGGGCTTTTCTTCCTAACACCCATGTTCTCAGTGAATACTTTCTTCTTGAGCCACAATTAGATTGCCTGATTATTTCTGAGTTTCATTTCTTATTGGACCATTAAACCTAACTGGAATTTCAAAGCCATAGGATTATCACATAAGAGAGACCCCAATTTTGGTCTATGGAATATAACTTTCGGCAGATTTTAATTGGGATCAGTTTATCAGTCTAATTTAGGCCAGAAGTCTCATGATTAAATGCTTAATAAGATTAAGCAGATCAAAAGAAGTATATAGTACAACATTTTCTTATAGCTCAGGTCTATTTTTAGAAAACATGACTACTGAAGCAGAGGGACTGAGCATTAGCATAGAATCTCTGTTTTAGGGTGACAACAGGATGTCACAGGGACAGTGGAAAAATGGAGACTATGTCGCCCATCAAAAAGGGAGCAACCAGACTCAGCTTCAGCCATCTGTTAACTTATGGAAATGGGATTCCTTGTCATGGAACTTTTATGTTTTTTTCAACAGAAGTAAAAATCCGTATTATTATATAAAACTACCTGCATATCATTGGGACTGGAGCTGTGTTCTCCAATCCCCAGGATCTTTTGAGGACCACCATTCTTCCATATCCCCTTAACATCACTACCCTCCAAGTGTATTCCTTTGAAACACAAGTCAGAACACTATTTTATCCATTCTTCTGTCATTCTTCAGTCACTGCCTTTGTTCACTGAAGGAAGACATTAGCCCATGGCCTAGTGTCTGCTACACCATCCTGAGATATCAAATAGTAATATAGATGGTCCATTCAACACTCTGGCCCCTCAGTCCCTTGGCCACCATAAATTCCATGACATTTCTTCCACTCCACCTTAGTTACTCACTTCTGGGGTCATTCCCTATACCTCATCAATGCCACTGCCTTCAGTTTCAAACATCCCACTCTCTGGCTACCTCTTCCTAATTTCCAGTTTATTCTCACTAATAATCAGACTCCAATTCAAGCTTATCAGGGTTATCAAATCCACTGATGGCTCTTACCAAGCTTAGATATAATGATCCATTATCATAATCCATTGCACATACTCTCATCTCCCTGACCCACCCACAGCATCGTACTCCCTAGGTCTTAAAAAAAAACCCTGAAAAATCCAATTTTATACATCTTTTGCACCTGAACCAAGTAGCTGAATGTGGCTGAAGAAAACACACAATCGTGTGGAATAAATGGTCTCTCTTGAAATTCATGACTTTAAACCTTAAGTGCATTCTTTTGTTGTCCTTTCCTCTGGCATCCACCCTCTCTCTCCCCCAGAAAATAAGTTTGCATCATTTTCTTTCTCTTCAAACCTCTAACACTTCCATCTCCTCTTTCAGACTCAGGTGATGATCTTGATTTTTATTTTACTAGGTAAATATAATCAATAAGAAAGAGCCTTATATTCTCCACCAGAGATCTATCAACTCTCTTGCATTTGTACTTCTGTACTAGGCCTGTTACGACAGATAAATTGTTATTGTTCCAATCTCTGAAATCCAATGCTCTGGATTTCATCCCTTCTTATTTATTAGAGGACAGCCTCCTACTATTTCATTCTGCTATCTCATTCTCTACTCTTATTAACACATAAATATGTTATCCCTCCTCTTATTAACCACCCTCCAACCTTTGTCTCAATATATTCCTACATACTGGACTCTTGCTCTTCTTTCACAAGAAAACCTCCTAAAAACGTTTTCTGTACTGGCTGTCTCTATTTTTTTGTTTTTTTTTTTTTTGAGACGGAGTTTCGCTGGAGTGCAGTGGCATGATCTGGGCTCACTGCAACCTCTGCCTCCCAGATTCAAGTGATTCTCCTGCCTCAGCCTCCCGAGTAGCTGGGACTACAGGCACGTGCCACCACGCCCAGCTAATTTTTGTATTTTTAGTAGAGATGGGGTTTCACCATGTTGGCTAGGATGGTCTCAATCTCCTGACGTCTTGATCCGTCTGCCTCAGCCTCCCAAAGTGCTGGGATTACAGGCGTGAGCCACTGCACCCGGCTGGCTGTCTCTATTTTCTTACCTTCCTTTCTATGTTGAACCCAACTCAATCAGACTTTCTTCAAGATATGCTTCTTATGAGACAAATCCAGTTCTATGAACCACAGTTGCATCTTCCGACTTGGAGAGCAGGAGGTATTACAGCTACAGTGTACTTTATAAATCTTATGTTCCTAATCCCATTTGAGCTTGACATTAACTCTGTGAGGTAAACAAGGGAAGAGTTCATCTTTCCTTAAGGCAAATGAGAAGAAAGAGACATGGGAGATTACATCACTTACTCAAATTAGGCGATAAATAGTGTCTGCATCACCAGTAATTGGAGCTCTCCAACACCTCCAGAAAGATGAAGTAAAGAAAGCACAGATTTGTTATGGTTATTGACATTCATAAAGTCTGAAATTTTAAGCTGAAAAGGTCCTTGAAAATTATTGATTACAGCAGAACACTAGTGAGGCTATAGACTGGCCTAAGGTCACACAGGTATTTGGTGGTAGAACAGGGACCTGAGGTGTCCTGACTGCTGGGAAATGCTCTGTCTCAGACACCATGTGTAAGATTTGAAAATTCAGCACCACCAGCAGCAAAGGGTGAGCAAACACTTGATATGTAGAGAAGAATTGTTCAAAAATCCCAACAACAACACAGCAACAGCAGCCATCACCAAATGGCTAACGTTCTTAAAATGCGGTCCAAGACTCACTGGCATCAGAATATAATTGCTGTAAAAACGCTAACCCATGGGTCTCAACCCATTTGTGCAGTATCTGATTCTTAGGACATGATGCTTTGGAATTTACATAAGATTTTAAAATAAGAAGTTATTTTAAATAACTTCTTCAGCTGATTCTTATATACTCTTAATGTTGAGGACCATTATGTGAATAGGAATGGACAAACACACTCAGCGCAAATTTCAATTCATAATTTTCATCTTCAAAAGGAAGATGTCATGTGCTTTGATTTCTCATTAATGAGAAAAAAAAGCAGAAGGAATCCAGCTGTCTCTCTTTAATTAGCTCTTAGAGTCCCATTCACTTTTGTTCTCTTTCTCAGTTGAGCATCTTTTTAATGTTAGGTACTGTAGTGATACAAACTTCAAAAAACAAGCTGTTCAGTGTGTTTGCAGCTGGGATTGAGGAAAATGACCCGCCAGTAAGTCATTCTAGAAACTCACATTCTGTAAACGCTAGGGATGAAGGAGGTTCATTCACCTCTGCCCCTCAGCAAGGGTGGGGCCTCTAGGTCAGGGTGAGAGTATCTGTGGAGCAGTCAGCAGGCTAGTCTGGTGATGAATAGGATGGAGCCCAGGCCACGCAGGGATCCATCTCTGCAAGTGATATATATTTGTGGACACATAGAGAGACTGCCGGCTCTAGAAATTTTATAGGGCTGGATGCCTCAACATCTCTGCAAACTTAGTGATGCATGGAATGTTTCTAGATGTGATATCCCTGGAAGCCCAGTCTTCTTGCTCCTAGCTTCTTCTCCTTCTCTGGCTAAACTTGATAAATACTGAGGCAGGTCTCTTGCCCATACCCACATCAAAGACTGGTTTCACAGTTTTAGCTTGGATGAAACTTTGATGTAGAAAAAACTGGTCCATAACATTTTCTTATATACCAAAGAACTAGTGAAATGAGAGCTCTATCTCTTGTAAGGTAAGAGTAAAACTGTTTACAAATAACTAGCAGAATATTCAAACCACTATCATTCTTGTATTCCTTGCCAATTGGGGAAAATAAATGCTTAAGGGTTGAATTTTCCGATCATTTCCTGTGCATCAATAACAGCTCCCAAGCCAGATTGTGAAAATCTTGAGGGTTTTATTTCTTGTAAGACTTTTATATCCCTATCAAGCCTAGTTCAGAATTGAATATATCACAGGACTGAAAGAACTACTTGATGATTAATTAATTGGCAAAACTAATTGGTTGTTTAATTTGTTATTTTATTTTCAGTATATAGATGATGTGATCATAATACAAAAAAAAAAAAAAAAAGAACAAATCCAGGCAAGGTCAAATCAAAGACTGAATTCAAACCAAATCTATTCCAGCAAACACTGCTTGGATGCCAAGAGTACCAAGGGCTGTTTCTCTCCTTCTGCGTATATATGCCCTTACCTCCTCATGTGTTATGGAGAAGGAGCCCAGGAACTCGGGAGAGAAATATAGATGATTGCACTTTATTGCAGCATTTTCTAATTATACTGATGTCTCTCTTCATAATGCATGCATGATTTTTTGCCAGGGTCTTGTGAGCAATTGTTTGTGCAGCTTGGGCCCTGCACTAGGGTGACTGAACGAATGGGTGGATAGGACTGCAATCTAGCATGGATTCAGCACCAGTCCATGCTTCCTGCTGCAGGCCTGCTTCTACCAGGAGAACAAACAGCATGCCCACTTCTAATTAGCACAAGGCACTAAGCTCAGCTATTGTAGTCCTGACCTTAGTGGCTTTAATACTTAGTCTTTAAGAATCCATGCCCTTTTGGGTAGGTTGCTTACCATCTGTGCCTGTTGTTTAGACGATACGCTAACTGGGTTTTCTGTTTCACTCGTACCAACATATAAGCTTGCTGATTTATATTAGCACACATAGTTTCTGCAGGAGGTAGGTCTTAGGTTCGAATGGATTGCTGTAGAATCTCATCTCTACAGATCTGAGAAAGTGGGACTGATGTTCTGGTTATACAAATCGAAACATCCTGTATTTTTTCATGAACAAGGATAAATTGAATTTGTTTGTAACATCAGGCTTGCACATTAGCCTTTGAAAATATTCACATACTTAAAGGACACATTCTTAATTTTGCACCACATATCCCTAAAACAGAGAACTGTTCATGTCTAATGAACTTTGGATTTTGAAAGAAACATGGTTAACATTTGGCCATGTTGTTCTGATCAATTTCACATAACATTGCCAGTTTTACATAAAGTCCAGAATTAAGAAAAGGCTCTACAGAAGGTTGAAGTTTTCATAAAAGCTACTTGGCTAATTGTGCCATATAATCTAGCATGAACTCCATATTTACAGCTATTAGGAATGATGTATGGAGTCTTTGAGAAATCCTGAAAAAAATCGCCTCATAGACACTGAGAATTTTAGAGCAAAGCCATACATTTTGCAGATAACTTCTTTTTAAAATTTTTTTTAAATAGCTCCTGTCTTGCTACAAGGTCCTGATAGAGACTGAACACTTTCCCATGTGACACCAAGTTTCTATGGATCCTAGGTTGCCTATCATGGACTGGGTGTTATCTGACGCACCAAGCTATCAAACTGGGAGTGTGCAGTGGTCTTGCATAGAGTAGAAGATCAGCCTCAAGCAGGTCTAGAAAGCCCAGGTAAGTTGCATGAACAAGTGGCTCAGATTCACATGGTACCTTGTTATTAGCTGAATCGCATCCCTCAAAATCCATATATGCAAGCCTCAACCTTCAGTGTGATTGTATTTGAAGATAAGGACTTCAGAGAAAATTAAGTTAAAATAAGGCTATACGGTGGACTTTAATTCAATCTTACTGGTGTCTTTACAAGGAGATGCAATTTGGACGTACAAAGAGACACAAGGGATGTGCGTCCATGCAGGAAAGACCGTGTGAGGACCCAGCAAGAAGAAGGTCATCTATAAGCCCAGGAGAGAGGCCTCAGGAGAAACCAAACTTGCCACCACTTTTATCTTGGACTTCTCGCCTCCAGAACTGTGAGAACATAAATTTCTGTTGTTTAAGCCATACAGCCTGCAGTATTTTGTTATGGCAGCCCTAGAAAATGAACATATACCTCTTCCGGCTTCATTGCCTAAAACACAACCTATTTATTTCCTCACAACTCGGTACATCAGAAGCCCAGGTAGGCTTGACTGGGCTCACTGAAAATCAATTTGCCAACTGGGCTGGGCTTTTATCTGAAGGCTTTAGAGAGGAATATCTTGTGAGCTCTTTCAGGGTGTTGGCAGGATCCTGTTCTTTCCACTAGGTCTGAAGTTTGCATTTTTCTGTAGCTGTTAGCAAGGAAGCCTCTCTGCTCCTAGAGGCCACCACAGTCCTTCTCACTTGGTCCCCTCCATCTTCAAAGCCAGCAATGGCACAAATCTCTCTCACCCTTGGAATCCCTCTGATTTCTGCTTCTGTCCAGCAGTTGGACAAAGGACACTGTTTTAAAGGGCTTGTGTGATTAAATCAAGTAGACCTGGATAATCTCCCTTTTGTCATGCACTTGTGATATGATAAGATATCACTCTCATGATTAAGGAACTGTAACCATGTGAGTGATATCATACCACAAGTGCCACCCACACTCAAAAGAGAGGGGATTATAAGTTGCAAAGGCCATTAAAGCTCATTCCCAGAATTGGTCACTGGTTTATGACATATGTTGTATTTTACAGGATAAAGTACCTACCACAGAAGTGTCCCAGAAGCACACTGAGAACGGAAATCCTCTTAATGAACAGTCCATCTTATGGTTGTTCACTTTGGAGAAGATATGGCCAAATTATGGATCTCAACTGATTCATGGACAGTCTAATGGTTTGGCCAAGTGGTCAGGAATTTGGAAGAAATAAGAAAGTTCGGGGAAGAGGTGTGTGGATAGAACTCTCAGAATGAGCACAAAGTTGGAAGACTTAAATGTCCTATGTGAATGTTGAACAAAGGTAACCATTTTAGAGGAGGCACTCTCATCAAGTGGTCATGATGACCTTTCTGTGGATATGTCAGCCTCTTTACCCTGCCATCCCAATTCTTGCTCGATGAGATGATAAATGAATTGGCTGCAGCAGTAGGAATAGAGTGTATGCATGAGCTCAAAATTATCTATTTCTTCTCACTAAAATTGATCTAGCTATATTTTCTGCTGGGTACCTAACCAGCTCGGGCACCAACTACAAGTCCCAAATACGGCATCTTTTCCTTTGGAAACTAGCCAGCCACCTGGTGTCAGGTAGATTACTTTGGACTTTTCGCATCATGGAAAGTGCTTTTGTTTTTCAGAAATACACTTTGGATTTGCCCTGCCTACCTGCAATGCTCTGTTACCAGCACTCCATGGGCTTCATTTATTGCCGTGGTATTCTGCTCTGCATTGTTTCTGACCAGAGACTCGTTTTACAGTGAAGTGCTGTAGCCATCCCTTCAGCCCATGGGATTCACTGGTTTTACCATATATGGTGTCATCCAGAGCAGTTGGCCTTGTGAAATATTGGAATGCACCACTGAAGACCCAGGTATAGCGCTGGCTGAGTCCAAACTCGGGGCTAGGGTAGTATCCTATAAAATACAATATATGTCATAAACCAGTGACAAATATGTTGTATCATTTTTCTCGTAACAAGAATACAGACGAAAGAACCACAGGGTAGAGATGGGAGAGGGTTCTCTCTATGCTACATTGACAACATTTTTGCTTCTGTTTACAGCAACTTTAAAGCTTTGCTGGTTTAGAAGCCTTCTTCCCAAAGGATGGATTCTTCTACAAGGGGACACAAGGGTCCCACTGAGCTGAAAACTGGGACTGGCCCACCTGGCCATTTTGAGCTTCTCAGGCCATTGAACCAACAGAGGGGTTACTGTACTGGTTGGGGTGATTTTTCCTGATTATCTATAGGAATTTTAGATTATTTATATATGATGGAAGGATGAGTATAGCTGAATCTAAGATTCTCTAGAAAGTCTCTTATTAATCCCATGTCCCGTAGAATATGTTAATGGAAACTGTAGAACTCAGCATTAGCAGCACTATTAATGGTTCACCCTTTTGTAGTGAAGGTTTGGTTCACCAGGCAGGTAAAGACTGAAAACAAATGAATGAAAAGGTGTGTCAATGTTAATCTCTTTGTTTTGTAGAAATTTGATTCTTCCTTGTGTGTGACATTTAGACATGAAAGTCCATGGACAATGCTAATGTCAGTCTACATGTTAAATATTGGGGAAGTTTAATTTCTTTATTAACTTTTAGAAATAAATATAAATAAAGGACCTAATATTTTATTCCTTCTCTCAGGTGAGAGGTCTTTTATAAACCATTCATTATATGAATTTATCTTGGTGTGTTCCCAAGTTATGGTACAGACATTTGCAATGCTATGATTTAAGTACAAGCCAATACAAATAAAAGACCCAGTATTTTCTTTTTGTTCCCTAGCGGGATGTCTTCTTCCACCCTGGGTGTGAACACACCCCCACTTTGAAGATTACTGATGTAGACTGTGGATGATTGTATGCATCAGCTGGGTAGAGGAATAATTTCAGGGATGCGAGAAAGGTCTACCTGTCCAAAATAATGTATGACCTTCTGAATGTCTGACCTAAAATTATACATTTTCAGATCCTGACCTTTGTAAATATTAAAATCATTCAGCATCACTGGCAACTGACCACATTTAGCATTAAGTTAATGCTTCAGACTATATCCCCTTATAGATGTTGTTGAAGATAGGGGCAACAAAAGAAGAATGTGTATCCAGTGACCTGGTGGAAAGAGCTTCAGGGAGAGAAATTGGACAAATGGTTCCTATTCAGCACTCTCTTTGTTGTGCTACAAAATTTTACATATTTATCTCATTAAATCTGCTGAATAATTCTATGAATTAATATTATCTATACTTTACAGATGAGATATCAGGGTTTCAAGAAATTAAGTCACTTGCCCAAACTCATACAGCTTGTACATGGAAGAACTGCCACAAATCCAGATCCGTCCTATCCTGAAACAGATGTTCTTTACACTGTGCTATTTGAAAACACAGATAAACTTTATTCACTTCATTGGCTTTGTTTCTGATTATTATAATTTTTTTCTTTATTAGAGAGAAAAAGAGAGAGAGTCCAGATTCCCATAGATAAGTTTGCAAATAAAAACACACTTTTGTTTTTGTTGTTTTATTTTATTTTTGTAAATATCTTGCTTTTCAATCTCAGAATAAGCTTTAATTAAATTGTTACAGAAGCTCAGAAGAATAGAGGGATATTTTTATCTGAAAGCTGAATCACCCACTGATTCAAGATTTGGGAGAGCCAGGCCTTCTGCCTCACTTAGCTAGGATTCTTCTGCTCTGGCACAGGAAGTGAATTTTCATCCAAGACAGGCCCGGCCCTGCTTCATCCATTCCCACTTTCCTTTCCCTGGAAGGAGGGTGCGGACAGAGATTGTCTAGTGAGGACTCCTGCAAAGAGGTGTTTGTCCAGGATCACCTTGCAGGCCGGAAGGTAGTTCTTCCTTCCCAACCTGCAAGTTTAGTGGTCCCAAGGCCTGGTATTAGTCAGAAGTCTGGGCATTAGCTGTCACCTCTGTCATGGCACCATCTGGATCACCTCAGTTTCCCTGAGCTAGAACACCAAGCTTGGTTAGACACTGTAGCTATTTGACCCTCTTTCTATCAGATCTTGCCCTCCTGAATACAAACATTAGGATGAGGACCCTGCAAACTATTAAAAAGGCTTGAAACTATTCGTAATATAAATATTATTATGATGAATTTATTTATTATCATGAATTTATCATGATGTGTTCCCAAGTTATTGTACAACTATTTACACTGCTATGATTTAGGCACAGGCCAAGTAGCTGTGCCAAAGCCCTGCCTGGTATTTAATTGATAGTATTTTGCATATGTGCATGGTAGCATGCCCACTTACCTGAGGTAACATGTGTGGGCCTAAATTTAAAAAAGAAAAAGAACAGTGCAGATTCCCTACCCTTTCAATCAATATAATATTTATATATGTGCCAGAAACATTAGGGCAGCTTTATTCCAAATTCTATACAATAAAATGCATTCAGATACCCTCGAATGACAACAGCCCAGTGTTCTGTACTACGTTAAATGTTGGAATGTAGCATATTTGGGGTGGATGATTTTTTAATAATATTTTAGATAGATAAATGTAAGACAACTATGTTAACCAAGTATCTGTGGAACTCCTGATGACCCTATGCAGAAGCCTCTCACTGGGGCAATACAGTTAAAAAAAAAAATCACAGTGTGACAGCACATGTCAAACTGCAGTTCTACTGCTAGTTGGCTGTATGACCTGGGGCAACTTACTTAACCTCGTGGAACTTTAATGTCCTCATCTATAAATCTGTGATAACCAAACCTCCTCACAATGATGTGAGATTTTATCAAAACTAGCAGAGGTTGCATCGTGACAGGCAAATAGCAGGCACCCAATGACTGCCAGTTCTCTCCCCACCACTTGCTCCATGTACACAAAAACACATATGCATGCACACGTGCTCAAGCATGAGAACTAAATACTTCCCAAGACATTGGGTTGTCTCTGAAACCTAGTTTTTCAGCCCTAAGATAAGAAACAGTGCTGTTCTAACAAAGCTACTTTATATTCTGAACTGACTACTTTTTCCTCTACAGGATAATTACTACCCAAGGAATGTACGGGAGCTGGGTATTATCACCTGTCTACCCAACAGGCCTCCGCTTCCCCCAGAACAGAAATGGGTTTGCAGGGCTGGAGATCCTAATGAACAGAAACCTTGTACACACAGCCGAAGCCCTGGGAATTCCTTGCTGCAGCATGCTTGGAGGCCACTGGTGCCGCTCATGTGGCAGGTGAGATGTGGAAGAAGAAGCATCTATCAGGTAATTGAGGCTGGAGGCAAGATGCAGAATTCAGAAGCTACCCCCTACCACCCCGTCTCCTGTCTTTTAAGGTGATTTTGTTATTTTGAAAACCAGGTGCAAGAGGGGCTTTTGCTATGTAACAAACCACCTCCAAATTTAGTGGCTTAAAATAATATAAACATTCATTAAGTTTATGATTGTGAAGGCTGGTAGTTTGGGCTGGGGTTACTTCTCATCTCAGCTGGGCTTATTTATGCATGTGCAGTTAGCTGTTGGGTTGGCTGGGAGCTGGCTGTACTAAGGCAGCCTCAGCTGGGATGGCATGTCTTTGTTTAACATGGTCTTTCATCCTCCAACAGGTCAGCTTGCTCACATGGCAGTTAGGCAGGACTGCGAAAGGGGGAGGGAGAGAGAGAGTGCGAGAGAGAACGAGAGAGAGCAGAAGCATTTTTTGAGGCTGAGAGTTTGGAAACAGCACTATGACATGTCCATGGCATTCCAGCTACTGGCCAAAGCAAGTACAAGGCAAGTTCAGATTCAAGGGAGAAAGAGATGCTTCCTCTGCATAGGATGAACTATCAAGTCACAGTGCACAGTGATTTGACATAGGGAAGGGTGAAGGATTATAGCCATTTTTGCAATCTACCACACCCTGGGAGTTCCAAATTGCAAACTCCTTGGGGGCCCGCTGGAATGACTAATGTGAGAGGCAAGATTCAGCATAAGAAGAAAATGTACCAGGCAATTGAGACTGATGGCAGACAGCATTCAGAAGTCATTTTTAAACATTCCTTCCTCTCTTTGCTGTAAGGTGATTGTGTCATTTTGGCAAATATCAGAAATATATCTGTACAAGAGGCACTTTGAGGAAGGAACACTTCCTGGCCTGGCATGATTGTGTGGACAGTGGCCAGACCACCTCATCCCTTCCAGCCACCTTAGCTGTCTTTGCAGATCGCTATAGGATTCCTGCAGCCACAGCAATCAGAAGTGATCAGGGAGAAGGGTGGCTCGTGTGGCTTGGCTGGGGTGCAGCACAGCCAGCCTCAATCATGCCTCTTTAATGTTTCCTGTCAAGCTTTTAAGGGTCTGAAAGAGCTGAATGCACAGGAATCCAAACAAGCCTTAAGACCGGCTTGTTCAAAATCGGCTCAGGACAAGGAAGAGAGAAAACAAAAGATAGGGTGAGGATAATGACCTGCTTGAAACGATGTTTGGTTTGAAAAAACATCTTTTTCTCTCCCCCTGCCCAGATGCCTCTGACTCCAACATGCTCCTTTCTTTGGGCACTGTGGCTCCCCCCTTGGTGGGGACCTTGTGGCCTGGCCTGCTCTGCGGCTGCCTAAGCTGGAAGGCACAGACTGTGACCAGAGACAACTGCTATCCTTGGAGAATATTTTATCCATCATTTTTTTTTTCTGTGATCAGTCAAGGAGAGAAGAGGCTTTGAATTTTATTCACAGAACCTGAGAAAAGGAAAAGAACAGCAGCCTTTTCCTAGGCGCCTTTTCTTTCTTAAAGGTTTTCTATTTTTCCTTTTTGACCCAGACCAAGACTGCAGTGAGGTTAAAACAAACGTAGCATTTCTCATCCTGTAGCACCTTACTTCTTCCTTAGCTCCTCTTCCCCTCCCTCTAATACAGAGTTAGATGCATTCAATCTAGGGCAATGTGAGAGGGAATTAGTGCCAACAGCTGGATCTTGTGCATTGGTGCTAAATGAGAATAACCCGATGCCTTTGGACATTTATTTTGTTCCATCTGACAGCAACCAGAGGGGTGCAGGGACAAACTGCAAGATGGCATTGCCCTCTGCCTTCTGGTCCAAGGTGAAGCACTATTACAGAGCAGCCTGGATGATGCTATAGGGCTTAAAGAAATGCCATTGAACTGCTCTCAGGCGATCGATCGGGATATTAGGGTTTTCGTTTTTCCAATACTTGGCTCTTTACAATCCAATTCTATAAAGATTTATGTAGCATGGGGGAGATAGTGGAAGATGCAGTGCATATGGGTTTGAAGCTGTCAGTCAAGAAAGGAGGCCAGCTGATGCCTTTGAAGTGCTGGTACCTCTCTGCTAGAGTACTTCCAGGAAGATAAAGGTCTGCCGAATGTCATCATTCTAAGGCTTTCAGAGAAGATTGGACTCCAGTTCACAAGTACTCATGCAGCACTTAACACGGGTCAGACCCTGAGCACTTTACAAATATGGACTCAATTCATCTCCATAATTCAGGTCTTATTCTCCCTGTCTTATAGATGAGGAGACTGGGCTGTGGGAAGTTTCAGTAGCTTGTCCAATAGGACACAGAGCTTGCAATGGTCAGAGGCTGGATGGGAGCCCTGCAATCTGTCTTCAGAGTCCGTGTTCTTAATCACTATGCCCTGCTGCCTGTCATATTCGTTAAAGCTTTTTGGCCCTAACCAGACTCTCCATTTTCCTTCTGGATTATTAATTTTTGAGAAGCTAGGAGCAAGAAGCAAAGGGAAGAGAGAAGGCTAACATCTACATGCTAGATGCCGTGCTTTATTGTTTATACTTAGCTCATTTCATTCCCAGAACTATGATTCCAAGGTATTCTTTTTTTTTTTTTTTTTTTTTTTTTTTTTTTTTTTTTTGAGACGGAGTTTCGCTCTGTCGCCCAGGCTGGAGTGCAGTGGCGCGATCTCGACTCACTGCAAGCTCCGCCTCCCGGGTCCATGCCATTCTCCTGCCTCAGCCTCCCGTGTAGCTGGGACTACAGGCGTGCGCCACCATGCCCGGCTAATTTTTGTATTTTTAGTAGAGACGGGGTTTCACCGTGTTAGCCAGGATGGTCTCGATCTCCTGACCTCGTGATCCGCCCATCTCGGCCTCCCAAAGTGCTGGGATTACAGGCGTGAGCCACCGTGCCCGGCCGATTCCAAGGTATTCTTATCCACACACAGACACGGCAACACAGAGGCCCAGGGAGGTTAAGTGGCTTCACGAATGACACATAGCTAGGAAGGAACAGTGCTGTCATGTGGGCTCAGCTTTCCTGGATTCCATAGCTCTTGACACCCTCTGTCTGCTTTAGTTAGCTAACCTTGCACCAGCTTCCAAGAGCTAAGAATACACCTCCTGTCTGGATCTCTGGATTGTCCTCCTAGTTTATCCTACTTTGTCTTTCTGGCTCATCCTGCTTTGTACTCAGGAAAATAGAAGTTTTGATATTTTGAAGCAGTACAAAACCCAGTCCTGCAAAAAGTTTCAAACTCTCTGGTTTTCATTAATATATGACTTCATAAATGTCAAAGTGTGTCTAATGTGCTTTTCTTTTTGGCTCTTGAAATGCCAATATGAGCTATTCATGGATTCACCTATTAGGTGACAATAAAGTTATCTCCAAGCACTTTCCTTTACATGATGATGGGAAGACTAGAAAAATAGAGATTTCAGTATGCATCTCAGGTCTAGGCTATGTATGCATATATCAGAGTGACAGAACAATCAAACCACTCTGTCCGTGTACTCTCATCTTGCACCTAACCTAAATGGGCATTTTGCAGATTCCTTAACTAGAGAACCTGGTGTGCTTGTGAGAGGCTCCATCACCACTACCAGAAAGCACACTCAGAGAGGCCTATGGCAGCACTGTCACATGGAAAGAAGAGCCTAGAAAGCTTCAGAGGTGTTCTAGCCACCAGCAGGTCTTCCAGTGCAATTTCCTTGACAGAGCAGGCCTCTTGAGGGCCTGGAATACATATCTTAAGTCAATGTTTTAAAGCCTTCATGAAATAAAACAAAACACATTAACTCCCAAGGATCTTAAGTTAATATTGACCTCCATCTATAAAACAGAGGAGCCAAGTATTATCATACTGTTTTACAGATAAGGGAGCTCTGAAGCTCAGAGAAGTTAAGTGACTTGCTTGAGATTGAACAGCTAGGAAGAGATGAAGCTAAGGCCTGGGTCCAGGTCTTCTTACTTCAAATTCAGCAATCTCTCCAAGATAGCTTAATCTTTTTTCCATATAGCCTATAAAATAATGCTAGCAATAAAGAATCATAGTGAAATCACAGTTTGACTATTGAATAACTTTGGGTTATTATAAAACACAAATGCAATAATAATTGCTAACTTTCTTTTGTGTGTTGTTACTATGAGCTAAATGCTCTGTGCATATACTTCTCCATTCATTCACTTGACCTTATGGGCACCTACTATGATGCAGATGTTTTGCAAGGAAGCAGGTATTACTTGCTTTATTTTTTAGTTACATAATCTGAGAGCAGGAAGTAAAATGACATCCCCAAATTTATACAGCCAGTAAGCCACAGAACCAGGACCTAAAGCCATGCCTCATGACTCCCAAATCTCTAATCTAAACTATTTCACATAGACACAAATCATCTAGAATTACCAACTATTTTTATTTTTATTTATTTATTTATTTTTAAACTTTTTTGAGATGGAGACTCACTCTGTACAATGTCTGGCTTTGAGCCATCATGTCTGGTTTCTATAGCTTACTCCTGGTGAAAAACAAGACAGAAATATACATTTGTCCCTGCACAACCTGTTGCTGGTTGGCTGTTGCATATTCCTCCTGTTATTGGTAATAATTTCTACTACATTTGGATCTGTGTCAAGAAATACATTCTAGTAATTGCATTTTTATAACATTAATTATTTTACAAAACATTTTCTATGTGAACCCTGTCAGTGCTCAATAAATAATCATAATAGTAATTACCATGACATATTTGACACCTATGGAAATAAGGAGTTCTTATCTCAGCCCAGAGCCAGGCAGGACATCTACATAAAGATGCAGTGAAGGAGGTTTTCTCCTCAGGGACTCTGTCACTTTCCTTGGGTCTAACTTACAGTTCTTGCTGACACCTCTGGCATGTGTAAATTTCCATAGAAATGTGGAGATGCTGGAGATGTAAAGGTGAAAGCCTGGTATATTGAAGGGGCTTGTCTTGGTCTGTTCAAGCTTCTATAACAAGATACCAGGGACTTGATAGCTTATAAACAACATAAATTAATTTCCCACAGTTCTGGAACTGGGAAGTTCAAGATCAAGGTGGCAACAGATTTGGTGTTTGGTGAGGGCCCACTTCCTGGTTCATTCATTCACTGATGGCACCTTCTCACTGTGTCTTCACATAGTGAGAGCGAGAAGCAAGAGCTCTGGGATCTCTCTTTCCCTCTTTTTTTAAATTTCATTTTATTTATTTATTTTTGAGACGGAGTTACGCTCCTGTTGCCCAGGCTGGAGTGCAATGACATGGTCTCGGCTCACCGCAACCTCCGCCTCCTGCCTCCCGGGTTCAAGCGATTCTCCTGCCTCAGTCTCCCAAGTAGCTGGGATTACAGGCACGCGCCACCACGCCCAGCTAATTTTGTATTTTTAGTAAAGACGGGGTTTCTCCATGTTGGTCAGGCTGGTCTCAAATTCCCGACCTCAGGTGATCCGCCCACCTCGGCGTCCCAAACTGCTGGGATTACAGTCGCCTGCCACCGCGCCCAGCCTGGGGTCTCTTTTATACGGGCACTGATTCTATTCATGAGGGATCTGCTCTCATTACCTAATCACCTTCCAAAGGTCCCACCTTCTAATATCATCACCTGGTAGGGGGTTAGGAATTTAACATGAATTTTGAGGGGACACAGATATTCAAACCATAGCAGGACTTAATACCATTTGCTAAGTAAGCCTAGAGAGTAAAGACAAGGATGAGAATCAGACATCGTCATTTGAGGAAGGGGTATGGCCTTGAGTTGCTGTGATCCCCTTCTCAATGAATGACACCAGAAGCCATGCAGTTTCCTAGAGCAGATGCTCAGGTATCTGCCTTATCTCCTTCCTCCTCTGCATCACTAATCAACTGCCATATTTTCCAACTCTCTGAAGCAGATGCAGTCACCTATATCCACTTGGCCCACCCTGGAGGTCACCCTGCAGCTTTGTGGACATTTGTCTAGTGGCTTCCTACCTCAAGCTCCTGCATCTTGTTGCTGCAGACTTTCCTGTGGCATGGAAATGGCCAGGGGGGAACAAGTTGGGGGCAGGAGTTGGTGGATAAACAGCCCAGCTTTCTAGGTGTGTGCTACAGTCAATTGCCCACAGCAGATACTTGATTATTAATAGAGCATTCCTTGACCTTATTGCATTCCCTGTCTCTCTTTCATACTTTCTCATTGTACTGCAAGAATCACCTACCAAATAAACCACTTGCATGTAAATCTTTTTCTCATGTACATGGGGACGTAGGTGAGGGGATCCAAACGGCGATGACTCTCTACTTACGGGTGATTCTGTCTTACTCTCACTATTCCTTTTGCTGGTTTAGGTGATCCCTGGCTTTTATCCACCTTGCAGTGGGAATGAGCTTTCTCAAATGCAGATATGTTATTGATACTCCTACATGTAGAGTCACTCATTGGCTCTTACTTGCTCTCAGGAAAAACTCTCAATGCCTTGGACTCAGCAGGGGTTGTTGGGGGTGTCAAAGACCCTCCATAATGAGTCTACTGTATATGCCCCCAACCTCCTCACCCAATACTCCCCTCTCCCTAATTTGCTCCAGCTCATTGAACCAAGAGCTCTACTTTTTTTCATCAGGGCTTTGATGCAGAATGTTCCCTCTGTTTGGGGTTCCTTTCTCATTTCTTCTCTCTCTCTCTGGCCCTTCCTCCCCATCTTCGCTATCTCACTCCCGCTTGTCCTTCAGGTCTCCAAGCCAATGTTACTCCATTAGCAAATGAAGTTCTTCCATTCCTCCCAAATCTGGATGAGGTGTCCTAGCCCCTGTGCCAACTCAACTCACATGCCTCATGGCTCTGTGCAATTATAGCCTATTAGCCTGTCTTTCTCACCAGAGTATGAACTTCTTAAGGGCTAGACCTGTCCTTTCATCTGTGAATTCCTACGATTTAATACTTGACATGTGGTAGGTGCTTATAAAATATTTGTCAAAAAAATTGCTATTGGAACTTATGTTTTATTGATGACTGATGTGGTTGAATCCTTTCCCCTGTTTATTTCCCAGGTGTATATGTATGTTTTTTTCTGTAAGTGGTCTGCATGGCCGTTTTATTATTTGTTTTCTATTTTGCAGTGGTGATAGAACACCACACAATAAGAATCCTCCCCATTGGATCAGATGTGGTTCAGTCCTCACTGGTAAACACCTACATACAGCCCTCAGGTAAAAAACTCACTCGAATCTCCCTCTGTGAACCGGGAAGAGTGGAACACAACCCCGTCCCACCCTGGGCGGTCCCACCTCAGCTACCAGCAAGACAAACCTGGAGAGTCTATTTCCTACATTATGGCAGGAACATCTTCCACCCTTGTTAGGAGCATTTCACAGAATTATTAAATCTCTGAACCTCTCTGCTAGTTGCCTGCACATGTGTTCCAATTTCTTGGTTTTAGGTTCTTGCTCTAAAATTCATCATCAACTCTTGAATGAAGCACCAATTTAATGTGCAAGTTTGGTCAAAATGGCGGACTTTGTAGGACGAATGAATAGCCACAGATTTTCCAGTTCTCACAGCTTTAAAGTGGGCCTGACTCAGGCTTATGACAAACCCTCCCAAAGAAGGTGTGGCTGCACATCCTCCATGCCTTAGCCCTACTCCTTGTCATCACAAGTGGCCTCTGAAGAGCTCTTATGGGTCCTGGCTGCAGAAAGCTAAAAGCTTTCCCAGGCTGCCTCCACAGAGCAGTAACTTCCTAGTTCTCAAGATTTCAGTGTTAAGGTTTCCAGTACATTCTTTGGGTTTCTTTCACTTTACAGGGAATCTGCTGAGGGTGCGCCCCGGGATGCTACTGGTCCTTGTGAGTATTAAATGACAAAAACACATGTAAAATCCCCAGTATCATTCCTGACACTTTAGTATGTTCTCCGTGAATATTACCTTCTTCCATTCCTCTTGCTGTTGGCCGATTCAGTGATAAAATCTCTATGTCAAGGGACCATCTCTATCATGGCTGCCATGTGTATGGCCACAGAATCCAATCAAAGAGGGGACCTTCTAGAAACTTACCCAGAGTTGCAGTATCATTCACAAGGATGACTGAGTGAAGGGAACCAACGTGAAATTCTGAACTGTTAGTACACAATTTCAATTATAATACTGTTAATAACAATGGTAGCAGTTACACTAGATACACGGAACATGCTGGAAACTACTTGTGCTATCTCTGGTCTTCACGACATTTTTGCAAAGCTGTTGAAGCTGTTGCATATTCACCCCATTTTACATTTTAATGTCAACTAAATAGTTTGAAATGAAGAGATTATAGTGAATAAATAGTGATATTTCTCTCCTGCCCACCACTGCTGCTCAAGCCCCCTCTGTCAAAGCTCATGTTCTCACACCCTGAGAAACATCTTGACCAACCCATGGCTTTCCAAGTCCTTTTCAGATATTTAAAAAGCCTTGTTGTTACGTCTTAAGAAGCCCAAATAATCTAAATCAAACTCCAGTCTCTCTTCCAAATAGAAGTTTTCTTCTTTGCCCAAATCCAGACCAAACTTAGGCTCTGGAGAGTACAGTGGAGAAAAACCTCTGCTTGTTTTGCTCCTTTAGCACTTGTACTTCCCATTTCTCTGGGGTCAAAACAGTGAGAAGGAATGAGAGGTAGAATGTGAGTGCCATTTAATGGGACTGGTGTTTGTGACTCTCTCTTGGCTGTTAAATGCCCTCTAAGTTAATGCCTTGGCATTAAGGCATAGGGCCAAATTCTAATGATGGATGGAGGGTTGTGGAAGGTTCTTTATGGCCTCCTCCCTAACACCCCTTAACCTTTTCATTTCCTCCAACTTCCCCTCCCCTAGCCTTCTGCCAACTCTGCCCTAACCTTCCCCCATCCCTCCCCTTTGCTCTCGGACTTCTGACCTGTGCTCTCTGACTTAGGAGGTAGATGCTGCAGCTGTCTACTTATAACTCTCCCTCTCAGCCTATTTATAGAGCATTGACTCACCTGGCAGGTAACCTTTATGAATGCAGCCACTCCTAACATGTGGTCCTAGGCAGGAGTACAAACAAAAGATCACAACTTTTAAATATTTAGTTATGCTTAAAAGTTGTCAGTCAGGCTAAAAATAATTTAATAGAATGAGTTCTATGCTCATTCCCTAACAACTGCAGCTTCATGCTTACCTGGAAGGCCAGGCAAGATTGTTTCTAGAATTCTCACACTCTGGAGAATTCTGGTTAAATGCCGGCTCCAAGCCTGAGACCCCAGCCCATTGTCTGTCTCTCTTCTCTCTATCCCTTGGCTCTCTATCCCAAGCTGACCCTTGAGCAGCCTCTGGGCCTGCTAGTGATGGGGATCTATCCTTGGAAACTGGCTTGACTTGAAGACATTTGAGAATGGAATTCTGGAGTCCCAGTTACCTAAGCCATGCTCTAGGAGAGGACATGGTCTTCAGGTGGGCATGGCCCTAAGGTAGGCATGTCCCCTGGCCTCATAAACCATTTCTTTGGAAGAGAGGAGCATGGCTGAAGGAAGGCAGGAATTCCTCTTGTTCTGGTCTAAGGGAGCTACTGCTCTTGGACGTGGGCCTTTCAAGACAATTCACACCCATCTACCTTCAAATAATTCATTCAGCCTCGGGAAAAACTCAAGTGCTAAACTCCGGAAGGGTAGGCTGCTCCCGAGAAGATTTTTGGTCTTGTATTCTGATAGCTGTATGGGCAGGCCAATGCCATGAGAGCTCAGTCTCCTTACCGACAATTCAGATTCCCCTAAGTGCATTTTCGGGGAGCCCTTCTCACTGGTGAAATAAGCCATTTATATTTATTGTTGCATCTTCCGTGCCTTGAACTGTGCTTGAAATATGACAGGGGCTCAGTCCATATTTGTCAAATAATTGAAGGTGTGGAAAACATTCTGTTCTTCCTCCTCGTGGAGAATTTCCTGCTGGAACAACAATGCTCTTCAAACATGCCTCACTCCCACCCTACTCTGATCAGTTTCCTCACTGCATCCTAGGCTTCTCTAATTTGGGAAGCCATTTAAGCCATCTCTTAGTTCTGCATGGATGGGAAGTGTGAGGTGTTCCCCTCTTTGGGCTTTAGCGGGAATTCGAAGACAACCAAAAACTTCCATTTAATAAGTTCCATGTAACTTGCATAGTCCATGGCGCTGCAGCTACAGAGAGTGGAATGGAACCCAGAGCTGACTGGTTCCACAAGACATCCATTTTCATTATGCCAAACCGCATCCGGGGCCCCATTTTAACAAGATGGGTAGGTCGAGGTTTGGGAGCCTGCATCAGCACACTGCCAATCACGCCGCGGCCGGGGGCTGCCTGCGTTCTGACGGCCCGGAATTGAATCACTGCCGCTTGACATACAACTGTTCCCGCATCTCATTTGGCGGCTGCTTTATGTCCATTGTCAGACGCTGGCCTCAGGAGACTCCGGGGAGCGCCCCCAGCTAGTGCGAAAGTTCAGTCAAATGGTTGCACAGATTACTTGGGACTGCGCCTGTGATTCAGCTGTGCAGTGATTTGTACAATTAGAACAGCTTTCTCGCCCGCGGCCTTCGAAGAACAATTACAAAAACAAATAGCAGCAGCAGTAGCAGCAGTCATAACAGCAGAGGGAAAAAAAGGCACCAAACAAGACAAAGGCCCCCTCCCCGGCCCCGTGCCCTGTGGCAGCGCACATCAGTCAGTGGAAGGCAATGCTGCTTCTGCTGCTTCTTTTTTTTTTTTGAGACAGAGTCTTGCTTTGTCACCCAGGCTAGAGTGCAATGGTGTGATCTCTGCTCACTGCAACCTCCGCCTCCCAGGTTCAAGCGATTCTCCTGCCTCAGCCTCCCGAGTAGCTGGGATTACAGGCGCCCGCCACCGCGCCCGGCTAATTATCGTATTTTTAGTAGAGACGGTGTTTCACCCTCTTGGCCAGGCTGGTCTCGAACTCCTGACCTCGTGGTCCACCTGCCTTGGACTCCCAAAGTGCTGGGATTACAGGCGTGAGTCACTGCGCCTGGCCGGCAATGCTTCTTTTTCATTCCGGGCTTCAGAGAATCAGCTTCATCAAGAAAAATAGCAGTTAGCTTCCCATGTAATTACTACAACAGATACCCATTATTTCATAATTCTTAGAAATGAATATGCCAGTAAGAGTCTCTCCCTGGAAATTTCTCCTATTAATGGTTGGATGAGCAGTGCAAGTCAGCAGGCTGTTGAAAGTCAGGCAGTCAGCCGGGGTATTGGGATGTGGCTGGCATCTGGGCCACTCCTCTGAGTTCCACTTCACCTGCTTGGCTCTTACCTTCGGGCCCTAATGTTTTCCCCAGCTCTAAGCCTGCCTGATGGTTGGTTTTCCAACATTTGACACCTTCCATTCCCAGCCTGGGTGACAGAGGGAGACTTCATCTCCAAAAACAAACAACAAAAATGTTTTTTATTCCTAGGTGATCAGCCAGAAGGAGTGATGCTCCCTGCTGAGGCAGTGCCCACCTTGGGTCTCTAGCTGCTGAGGCCCTTTCCTCCAAAGCTCTCTTATTGTATTCAGCTCAGGGTGTTCCATAATAAGGCACATGTTCCTTTGGATTAAGTATTTGTCCTCCATGAAAAAGCAACTACCGCATGAAGAAAGCATCTCCCAAGAGTAGGTTTTGATGCAGAGATCTCTGTTTATGTTTCTCATATTGTTATTTGTAATTGTTCATGAGTCATAGAGAAGCCATGGAGAAAAGTCATTATAAATGTGGACTCTGGAGCCAGCCGTCTGGATTTGATTCCAGCTTCACCACTTACTAGCAGGGACAGCCTTGGTTATTTAATGCATCTGTGCCTCAGTTTCCTTATCTATACGATGAATATAGTGACATTACCTGATATCACAGACATGTTGTGAAGATCGAATGGAAAATACCTAACAGGGTGCCCTGAACATAGATATTTACTCAATAAACATTACTTATTATCTTCCTAACTGGACTACAATCCCTCAAAGTCAGTGGCCATTCATTGGTTTGGAGGCTATGGTTGCTATGTCCAGATTCCCTCAGCACTGTCTGCTCCTCTGCCTGTTGACCCCTTCTGAGGGCAAGCATCTGCCTGAGGGCTTTCTCTGGCCTCTGGAGTATTCCCAGAGTTCACTCAGAGCAGGCTGGGAGTCCAAGTCCTGTGAGCTTCCTGGACCGAATGACAATGGGGCTCTTCCTCACCACCCAGGGAGGACAAATCTGAGACATGCTCTATAGCGCATCTGGAAAAGAATTTGAGGTCAAGAGTTTGAGACCAGTCTGACCAACATGGTGAAACCCTGTCTCTACTAAAAATACAAAAATTAGCCGGTTGTGGTGGTGGGCGCCTGTAGTCCCAGCTGCTGGGGAGGCTGAGGTGGGAGAATCACTTGAACCTGGGAGGAGGAGGTTGCAGTTAGCCAAGATCGCACAACCGCACTCCAGCCTGGGTGACAGAGGGAGACTTCATCTCAAAAAAAAAAAAAAAAAAAAAGGTTTTTATTCCTAGGTGATCAGCCAGGAGGAATGATGCTCCCTACTGAGGCAGTGCCCACCTCGGGTCCCTAGCTGCATCCCAGAGGTCCCAGCAGGATGGCGTCCTAGTTGCCCTGGTAACCTGCTCATGACACTGGTACATCAGTGTCCTTTGTTTGGTGTCTCACTTCACCTCTTCCTCAACAATGGGAGAACCAGTGGAACACCTCCCAAGAAAGCTTGGGGAACACAAGCTAGAGCCATGTATTAAAATTCTTTGAATATGTCACAGTAAAACAAACAAAAACACAGTGTTAATAACCTTGTGGTTTATCAATCAGCATTAATTTAATAAATTGCCTCCAAGAAGATGCAGCTGGAACACATAGCTCCCTTTTTGTTTCTGGGACTTCACCAGTAAGCACTTTGCTCCATTAGCTTTATCACCTGAGAAGCACAAGGTTCATCTTGGGGAGAAAAACAATTCTCTCGATAACCATCCTTTCTTTTTTTGTGATCCTAGGATGGATCTCTGAGGACAGATTTGAATTCAGGGATCACAAATTCACCTGGCATAGTAAGCCAAAGAAGTGAAGGGAGCCGATTTGAAACTGCACGGGTGGAAGCACTTACATAATGAAAGGGGTGAGGCCTCAGCTCCCCCCACTGGCTGCCATGCCAGTTGAAGGCCCATTGCTTCCAGATCTTCTGTCGCTTGTTATTTCTTAATGTATACTTTTGTATCAACTAGACTTATTTGAAATTATTGACAATGAGTTCAGTTTTTTCATAAACATCATATGCATAAATTCTACTCATCAGTGGCCTTCCAACAAGTTATCTCTGCTTTAAGCAATAACCCAAGTTCACCTTAGTAGCCACAAAACTAATTTAAATGATAAAGAAGGCCACAGCACCTGTCCCTGGTTTCCATAAGGCTTAGAGAAGCTGCCTTTACCGGGGATTGGCCCTCATTTCAAGCCTCAACCCCCTTCACAGTATGTGGTGTGGCCGAGTTCATTTGCCTCCCAAGCAGATACTGCTCTGGAATTATGCGTGGAGGTTTCATTTCCAGATCTCAGGTAAAATTGATTTTCATAATTCTCTCAGTTCCTGCCTGTCTATACATATCTTTCCTCATTAACCACTTTATTTCCACATCTGAACTGTCCCTGTCCCGTGCCTGGGAAGCAAAGATTGCAGGCAACTTTTAACTAAGAATTGGCAAAATGCATTCTGGAAGCCTGAGCTACTGATCTCAGGGCCTACCTCGCTGTGCCCTTTGAAAATACCAGTGTGGCACCAAAACAACTCAACAAAATAGCCTAAAGTTTCATTATGAATAATTAAATCAAATAAAATGATAGAGAATATTGCTGTAGTGAGAGAAATTTAGGTGCCTTTGAACCTACAGTGGGTCTTTGCTGAAATTTGATAACCTTCTTTGATTGGGTAGAGGATGTTTTACACTTATGTGAAAGGCTTCACCCAGGCACCCTGCTCTGAAGTGACTCTTTCCCTGGGAACAGTTCTTTCTGCCTGGAGTTTGAAACATTTCCTAATTAAGTTGGGCCCCATCCACCTACAGCTTACATCTTTCCAGTTGCTCCCTTCTGAAATTGGCCCCACGTGCCAGCCTATTAAGCATGTGCTCTTATTCCTGTTTACGTGGGTCAAGTGGAAGTTCTGCAAATGAAAGTCATTTAGTTGGGGTCCACAAGGCTATCCTCTGTAGGGGCTATTTTGATGTTGTTCTGTGTATTGGAGAGAGGTTTATTTTCCTCTTCGCTTTTTAATTAAACTACAGGTTTGGCACTGCTACCACAGGGTTCACACCATGCTATGTTAAAAAGGAGGTGATGAGACTCTGGGAGTCTCAGGCTCAAAGAATGTCCTGAACCAACCTGAAGCCATACCTGAACATCCATGTTTGGCAGAAGAGTGTGTGAGGAGGTATGTTTCATGCTTTTGCAGAATTATTTGTTTTCATACCAGTGCACATTTTTAATGCTGTGCCTCTTCCTTCCTTCCTTCCTCCCTCCCTCTTTCTTTCTTCCTTCCTTCCTCCCTCCCTCTTTCTTTCTTCCTTCCTTCCTCCCTCCCTCTTTCTTTCTTCCTTCCTTCCTCCCTCCCTCCTTACCTCCTTCCCTTCCTTCCTTCCCTTCCTTCCTTCTTCCTTCCTTCCTTTTTCCTTCCTTCCTTCTTTCTTTCTCCCCTCTCCCTGCCTCCCTTTCTTCCCTCCCTCCCTCCTTCCTTCCTCTTTCTCTCCTTCTCTCTTTTTCTTTCTTCTTCTTTCTTTCTTTCTCTCTTTTTTCGAATGCATTTTAAAATGAACTCTATGTAGTAGAGTTCATTTTAAGTTTTATAACTTATTTATAAGTTATTTATTCTTATAAATAAAAACAGCTGGACTTTTTGGAAAAGGGTGAGAAAAAATGTACAACTCTCCTCTGGTCCTCCCCTGGGCCTCATGGCACACCTCCGTGTAGTCCTGGGCCTCACTACTCAGAGCGTGGTCACTAGGCCACCTAGGTCACTCTGGAGCTGATTAGACATGCAGAATCATGGTCCCTACCTCTGCCCTCTAGCATCATAGTTTGTGGTTTAATAATATCCCCAAGTGATTCCCATGCTCATTAAGGTTTGAGAAACAACAGCCTAAGGCTTTGCAAAGCACTGGTAGAAAACTCTGATCTTGGGCTTGTCTCAATAGCCTAATAAAAGAGAATCCCGATCACTGGATGCATATGTTGTTTATTTGATTTCTCCAAAACAGGTTCCAAAATGTGATATTTGCATGAGCCTATATTGAAAACTAAAGCTAATTAAACTTCATTTTCTTTGGTATACTTTGAGACAACTGGAAATAATATTGTATCTAAACTTGGGAGTTGGTGCCTATGACTGGGAAATGAGAGCAATTCTTCACGGTTCTTTCAGAGCAGCATCTGTCTTTAACAGGACCTAGGCCCTCTGGGTGGACATGGCTACACTTCCTGGAAGCACCCTCAACTGATGGGATTACATATATTTTGGCTGGTCTTTGGTTCCAGAATAACTTTCAGCAAATAGAATCATTATACCTGACTTACTCATGATAATATATATTAAATGTCTAGGTGAAAATTCTACCAATATGTGAGGTGATTGAAATATCATTCAGCCTCACAGTGTCTCAGGGTGTATGTCTATAATAAGGTGAGCAATCTGTCTCTGTTTGCCCTGGACTTTCTTGGTTTTAGCACTGAAATACCCTCACCCCAAGAAGCCCCCCAGTCCTTGGAAAACTAGGACAGTTGGTCAGCCTAGCTTATAAACAAGAACAGAAATGTTTAATTATCCTAAACTCTGGGCACTGTGTTAATGGAAGTGGTGATGCAGGCTCCAAGTTGTGTTATTTTCTTCAATGCCCAAGTATATGAATTTTTTAAAGTAGCTTAATGATATTGTTTCAACATTTATTTCTTAGATAGCAGTTGCAAATTATTCTAAGATATGAAACAGGTGTTTCGGCATGGTCCACCAGATAGAATGAAGAAAAATGTCCTCCCAGATTACCCTACAGATGACGTACCCAATGATTTGTGTTTTCAAATGAAAAATACGCTCAATCAAATAGTCGACAGGATTCCATCTGGCCTGTCTGTAATATCCAGAGTTGAAATGGAAGCCTCTTTGTTGTTTCTAGGTTCAGGCAAAAACCTCACAATGTTTCATGAAGCAATTAAAACAGGTGTGTGTCATCCACACCTGATGCCTCTGCAAACAGTCAGCACCCCATACTCATGGTCCGGAAAATTACTTTTAGTGTGGGTCTGTGCAAGAGCAAACAAATGCTTTGGCAAGGCATGCTTTTGTAGCCACCAGCATCTTAATATGGGATTCTGGGTTCCCTTTATAGAACAATCACTTTGTGTATGGTCAAGGACAAATTCTCCACCCAAAGATCCTCTAATTTAGTGCTTTCAGAACTGATTCTCATCTTCTCATAGTTTTAATGTAGTCCTGAGTTCTAGTAACATAGTCATGTTTCAACATTCTTGCCTTATACAGACAAGGGGTATGGCCAGAATGTGATAGGCCAGGCTTTAAAAAAATCAAAAAGATTTTAAAAAATGAAATGTCATTCACAATGTCAACTCTAAAAATTCCATTAATGGAAACTTAAGATCTTTTAGGTCAGTGGATATCAAACCTAGTTAGTACACCAAAAATACCTGGAAAGCCTAAAAAAAAAAATTGATGCTGGATCATAAGCCACAGATTCTGATTTAATTAATGTGGAGTGAGACCTCAGCATGAAGTTTTTAAAAGCTTACTAATTTTAAAAGATTCTAATGTGCTCTAGGCACTTATATAATAAACTTTAGTCTTTTTTATTCTCTAACCAATTTTTTAAATTTTTTTCTTCTTTGCTTTGGTCATTCATTTCTGCTTATTACCTTTATACAAATTAATTGATTCATTGATCCATTATTTCATTTATTCCTCTTGCTTATTTCAGGCATTGTACAATAAAACAATAAGAGGGAAGAAAACTCTGGGACAAAAAAACAAACAAAAAATCCTGGGTTTTCCTTTCAAAAAAAAAAAAAAAAAACAACTATTAGATTCAAGGATATAATTCCAAGAAAAATCATAGTCATAAATTTTCCCTGAGCTTAAATGTAAATTCTGACAATAGATTTCACTTCTTTTTCTATCTCAGATATACCTATGGGATATGTCATTTTTAAAAAGTGTAAGTAATTTCTAAGTAATTTAATAACCAACAAATTGGGATCAACTTTGACTTCTGAATATAAGATTGTGCTAATTTGTTACTCGTATTTATTAAATGTCAATTCAATTACTAATACTTAGAGATGTCCTCAAACACAGGGCATTTCATGCTTTTTGTAATCATAGAAGATAATGAATGCTGTGGGAGAAAATTTATTCCTCATTAACAACTCTGCCATTTGAAATTGCTGAATATTCTTAAATCTAAAATATTGTACTTAGAGATCTATGCGTGATTTTCCAGTTATAATGGGAGGAACGCTAAACTGGGGAGTCCAGTGAGTCCTACCCAAGTCATCTTCCTCTAAAGTAAATCTAATAATGTTATTATCCTTATTGCTGATGCTCAAATTTTAGTGGTTTCCACTTTACTTGGAGGGCTTGGGCAGACTGGGTCCTGCCAAGAGTTTCTCATTCCATAGGTTAGTGCAGGAGGCTGAAGAATATGGGGACCACACTTTGAGAACCACTGCCCTACATCTGCACCTCTGTAGGCCTCCTGTTTTCTTGTGCCTTTTTCCTTAAGGTGGGGGTCTATGGCCCAGTAGCATTGATGCCACCTGGGAGCTTAGAGAGTCAGAATCTCAGGGTCCACTCCCGACCTGCCGAGTCACAATCTGCATTTTAACAAGAACCCTGAGTGATTTCTATACTCATTAAAGTTTGAGGGACACTGGACCATGTCCAAATCCTTAACACAATGAACAGAGCTCTTCAATACCTGACACTAAACCCCCTCTCTCAAACCATCTTCTGCCAGTTTCCCTTCATCTCTAACATGCAATCCCGTTGTTCCTTGATCTTTCTATGCTTTTGTGGCTGTAAGGTTTTATAAATGCCTTTCTCTGTGCCTGTACTGACTTTCCCCCTACTTTGATTAATAAAGTTAATCCATCCTTCAAGATATAGCTCAGGTTTCCTCTTCCATAGTACTGCTCATTGGGCATAGGGTGTGTGCTCAAGAAATGTTTTTGAATGAATAGGTCAATGATTGTGACACTTTGTTTAAGTCACTTAACTTTTTTTAAGTTTCTGTTTACTCATCTTTAAAATGGGGGCAGCGAATTACAGAATCTTGAGCTGCCCCTCTCCATTAAACGTACTGCTCTTTATACAATTCCAGATTATTTAAAAATTCCTACAAATATTTATTGAGTACATACTGGGTTCTGGGCATGTGGCTATAGACAGGATGATGGTCGTGGACTCTACCATGTGGCCTTTACAACCTGGTGGGAAACGCAGATTATAGACACTTCTTTAAACAAAACCAACTTATTTTTCAGTTGGTTAAGTGTTTATCAAAGGATATAAAAGGTGTTATGGCTCATATAAGAGGGGAAGTTACTGGTTGAAAAATTCAAGCTCTTTTTGCATTATTTGCATTAATGCTTTATTAACCCAAAACAAAGAAGACAGCTCATTAACTTTGTGTATATGGCTCCTATAATATATCATGGTAGTTCCAGGAAAACTGTAAGCTAAAAAGGTCAGCTAAATTTATGGGTTTTAAACACAGGTTAGCTAGTTTAGAATCTTCTCTGTGATTCTTATCCCTAACATGTTTTTCCAAGTGAAAGAGCTTTGAATGCAGCAAGCAATCTAGATACTATACTAAACACATGTGATAATTACAAAGTTATCCTACACAATTCCAGGTGATGGAGATATGGCCTGCTTCTAAGTAGTGTGGCTTAGTAGAGGGAACAGTGAATCAGGCAATAGGAATGCAGAGTTCTAGTCCTGAGTCTACCATGGAAAACGATGAGGCCAGGGCCTTCGTTTTCTCAATTGTAAAATAATGAAGTTGTATTGATGCCTTGTAAACTAAAATATCTTCCTAAGGACTTAAAAACCTGCCAGCCCTTATGTCAGACAGTGATGATTTTCAGAGAAAACAATTGGATATTTCCTTGGTGGTACAACTATTCATTCCTGAATCACTTGAGTAAATTAAATTGTCTTTTCCCATTTGCCCACAACTGTCCCTTTCAACTGATGGGATTGGAAGGGCCTGAATGTATAAGCTGGGGGTTGAGCCTTGGCAGCAGCAACATTGGCACAGACCTTGGTGATCCAGAGCCGGAAGAATCCCTCCTTCCTTCGATATGTTCTTCATTTTCAGTACAAGCTCAGCTAAGCTGCCATTCAGCAGTTGCAGGAAGAGATATATCATCTGAAGAAGCAGAGCCAAATATTTGATTTGGATGATTATGCTGCAGGTGTCTCATCAGAACTGCAGTGCCTAGATTACTAATTATTTTTTCTCAACCTAGTGCCTCTTGCAGGGAACACAGAGCATGGCAGGAAACATGAGGGATGGCTCTAATAAATGAGGCCCTGGACAGCTGATGCCAGGGGCTGGCTGGAGAAGCAGAAACTGCCAAGACAATGCAATCAGTGGGCAGAGGGGAGGGTGAGTCCTATCAGTTAGGCTTGGAGAAGTGATGATAGGGTCTATCTACGGTTCAAAGGAAAACAGCTATCATTTATAGAGGTGAGCCAGAAATGGCTGCTCATGCCCACAGGGCTCCTTCAGGCAGATGCTTGTGTATCATTCAGAATACTTCTGTTTTCACACACCTTTTAGTATCTGGTGGCAGGAAAGAGTTAATGCAACTTGCCAAGCTGCCTAGCTCTTCTGCAGTAATAATACAGTTTCATGTCTGTAGTCATTTTGCAGCATGTAAAGGGCATTTATGTTCACCTTTTTGTCTCAGCCTCCCGACCAAGATGGAGATATTTAGTTGTCTTGATTTTGACAAAGGAAAATTATAAAAGCTTAGTGAGGGTAAGCGATTCGTGCAAGGTCACAGGGTGAGGGAACGTTAGGACCTCATCCAAGTCCTTCAGATCTCAAGACCAGGACTCTTCCCAATCTGCCATCTTGCTTCACTCAAGCTGTAAGAGAGTCTCCTCAGCTCATCTGCTTAGCATGTGGTGTAAACGAGATCACAGCGAGGAAGTTCATTCCTATGATGGCCTGTTTGGCTTCCAGCTTCCAGGTCCATAGATCTCATTAGTCTCTCTAGAGCTCTCTCTTTACGAAATAGCTATGGATGAGTAGAAACCTGTGGCTGCTTCTAGAACAAACGGTTAAAGAAAATCTGTACATTGATGATGTCCAATTTTATATCTTTAACCCAGATTCCTTTTTTGAGATTCAAATCCGTATACTTAGCTACCTACTAGACTTGTCTCCTACACAATTAACCAATGCAAAGCGGCAAGCATCTTTTTCCCCCAGGGTCCCAAACTTGTCCATCTCTTTCTCTTTGTGTGAATGGCACTGCCATTCATCAGTTTTCTTAAGATGAAAACCTGGTATTCTCCTTATTATTCCCTCTCCATCAGTTTACCTTTTGTATCTTAACAGATATACCAACTTCAAAGTTGTGTCACCAGTGTAATCCCAAAGGGCCCTGTGCTCAGAAGGACCTTGTTCTTGGCGTTTAATGCACTTTACTTGCTGTCCTGAAATTCTTAATAATTTTTTCTTTGAATGTGTGTTTTTTAAGGGAAGTCCAATAGGAAAGTAAAGCACTTACTGAGGCTTGGAGCCTCAGCACATGGAGGGTCCCACCTTTCCCCGCCGTCCTGCCTCCCAAAGATGGATTCTCAGCTGCCAAGTCTCCTGCATTTGCCCAGTGACTATGGCTCCCTCGACTTCGGGTGTGGATGTGGTGGTGAGTGTATACACCCACCTGCTGAGTGATGGAAGTGGACCCGGAGTGCTTTGAGAATATTACTGTGCTCAAGGGAGCACAACATAAAACAGCAGATAAAACATTCTGTGATGGGTTGAGAGAGAGATTACAAAAAAGGAAAATGGTTTCGAACAGGAGGCCCTGCATTTTTGTTCGCACTGGGCCCTGCAAATTAGGAAGCTTGCCTTGCCAACCAATTATAAAATCTTAATGATTTTACCTCCCCAACTCCCCATAACTAAAACAAAAAACAAAAACTCTCTTAAATATGGCAATTTTCCTCCATTTTTGTTAACATTTTTCTAGTTCAGAAATGATTTCCTTTCACCAAGATGATTCCAACAGCCTCCACTGGTCTTCTGATCTTCAGTCTTGGCCCCTCCTCCAGCATTCTCTTTTGTATGATGTGGCCACAGTCATCTTCCTAAATAGCAGCTCTTGTTCTATTGTCACTGTAAAATGATCCCAATCCCCATCCCAAATAGCCTCTATTGATCTTAGGATAAATGTCAAACTCCTTAACAAGTTTAACAAGGTCATTTATAAGTGTTTTTTACTACCTGTTCATGGCCAATTTTATGTGTCAACCTGACCAGGTCATGGTACTCAGATATTTGGACAAACATGTGTCTAGATATTGCTGTGAAGGCTTTTTGAAAAGATGAGATTAACATAAATCAGTAGACTGGACTAAAACCAACTGCCCTCTCTAAAGTGGGCAAGTCATAAAGTGGAGTTCTTAAGAGAAAAAACTAAGGTCCTCTGAGGAAGGTAGAATTGAGCTTTGGACTCAAGTTGCAGTATCGACTCTTCCCTGGCTGTCTAGCCTGCTGGCCAGACCCACTGCATTTGGACATGCCAGCCCCTGCAATCACATAAGCCAGTTTCTTAAAGCCCTCATTCACTTCTCTCTAGGAATACACATAGTACTGGTTCTCTTTCTCTCTCAAACCCTGACTAACACACTACATCTGCTGCCTCTGTCTCACTACTCCCATCCTTTAACCACTTCGAACTGTCTTAAATTCTTTGAAAGTACCATGTCTCTCTCACTCAGGATATTTGCCATGTTGTTTTTTAGAATGGAATACATTTCTCCATTATTCTCCATCTTATTAATATTTACCTCCAGATCTAGGCCACAGGATTCTCCCAATCACTATACATTACCCTCTCCTTAAACATTATATTGCATTTAACCATTTTCTTGAATATCTCCTCCACTGGACTCTATGCTGTGTAAGGATAGGGACCATGTCTGGTTTTTTTTAGACTTTAATCCTCAACACAATACAGTAAGTACCTGGCTCATAGAGGGAGCTCTTGGATGAATAAACAAATTGAATAAATGAATTGGTTAAAAGGGGCATAACTCTGTATTGTTAGAAAAAATGACAAGTTCACACAACATGTGGCATTAATATGACCTTGGACTCCACAATCTCATAGGCTCTTCTAACTAGGTTTTGTTTTGAGGAGATATTGGCAGGCTGATGATGCTGGTTTAAATTCCAACCTGATTAAAAAAAAAATGGATCCTACACTAATTGCCTTATCTCTTTTAAGGCCTGAAGGTAGACATGAGGCAACATTAAAGGATTAGGCTGTATTTGATGGTCTGTGAGGGATATTATTAATGAGTATGAATAAAATCTCCAGGTATAAATTTCTTTATACCTGTAATATTCCATTATGGATCAAAGAGACTTCACAAAACACAAACAAATGACCATATTTTCTGGGAAGATAAAGAAGTCTGTAAACCTGAGGAAAAGGAAAATCCGAAGCACTAGGTTTAGTGCCTGCAGTACATTGTGACAAGTCTGAGACTTAATCAGCTATTCTCCTCTAATAAAAGAAACATCAATGCTGATAAGGACCATAGCAATCACCAACATGCTAATGATGATTATTTCAGGTTAGTGCACAACCACTCAGGGAAGAAGAACTACAGGATGTTGCCACAAATTATTCTTGATCCCAAGAGAAGGGGCTGTTTCCCAGGAGTTGTCCTGGAGCCATTTTCTTAGAAATTCCTGACACACGGGAACAGGTTATTGCTGAACTTCAACAGTACCTTTAGAAATAAAGCTTCCCTCTAAAATATAATTTCCAGCCCCATGAGGTGGGTTCTGGGTCTCCCAGAGTTTGTCCCTGATCTTGCCTCCTGGTTGTGGTGTAGCTGGAATGACATGGCCAGTGGCTTGTGGGATGCAAGGTTACCTGGTGTTCAGTGGCAGTACCTTTCCTCCTCCTCATATGCTGCTGTTCTGTGACGGCCCAACTCTTGCTCTGTAATAAGTAAGTTTGCTACTTCTGCTGATGAAGCTGCAAAGGCAATCGCCCCCTCTCTGAGACCTGAGCCTCCCTCCCCACCCATACTTCACCCCACAGGCTGCCTGGCAGAGGCAGGGGACAGGATGCGCTGTGTAATAAATTCTAACCACTGCTGAGCTGAGGGATAACAGATGGATAGGTTTCCTCATGCAATTTCCACTTCACTTGGTTTGGGTATAAAATAGCAGAAGGATGGTTTCTTCTTGTGCAATTTTCAAACAGATGAAACCAGAGGGAGGGTTTGTTAGGCTGGGAGGAAAGCGAGGGACTTGACTGTCCTTTAGAGAGAGCCAAATGAACAGGATGCCCTGAAAACCCTGTGAAAGATTCAGGCTTGTGTTTTTCTGCTAGCGAGCAGTCAGTTCTTCCATCCAAAGCCGCCTGCTCATCCCTACCAGGCATGGCAAAGGAAACGATCACGGGGAGGGCCAGAAAGTCTGTTGTTCATGTTGTTATAGTGTTATGGTGATTGCAGTACAAATTCTCCGGGTGGAAAAAAAGGTATAATGACAGATTGTGTGATTATACCCATACGTATAATTAAGCTGTTACAATACAGACAAGCGCCTGCTCTCTAATGTCACCAACAGAAACCTCTTTGCTTGGAAAGGAAAGTGACTCACTGGCAATTAGAAGGAGTTCCCTACAGGACTTCATTTTCAAACCCTGTGAGCACTCCAGTAGGAAGATGTGTGGCTCACTTGAATTACAGGGAAAAGTACAGACATCCAGGAGCAGCCACCTGGTCTCCAGGTATAGGATGTGGTATTGGTTAGAGGAGGAATTATTACCGTCGCAAATACCCTCTTTACAATGCACAAAGGGCTTGGTTCCCACAAAGCACTTTATCATAGTGTTTATATGCAACTCTGTGGTGTCAGTTGGATTTGTGATTTCCATTTTAGAGCTGGAAAAGGAGAGAGAGAAAGGCAGGGAGAGAGACAGAGAGAGAGTGCACCCAGGAGGCAACAGGGCAAGTTGGTGTCCAGCTGGGACTCCTGGCCACCTGCCAACATGGTCACTTCCACTAGCTGTCATTTGTCTGGTGGTAAAGTAGGTGGTGTCTGCCTGACAATCCCTCAAACCCCCAGAAGGGGATGTTTGGGTCTTCCTACTAACTTTGAACCTTTTTAACTTTAAGTGAAATAAGGGGAATTGGAGGAACTCCCCACTCTAAGGGGAATAAAAGGAACTCACATTTTTTACACTTTTTTTTTTTTTTTTGCTTTTTACCCATTTCTATTTGATTATTAGGTTTCATTCCCTTTTTTCTGGCAGCTATGTTTCCTAACTGACATTGCTACAAAGGAATCCACCATGCCTACCTACAAATATGTGTTATGGGCTTCTATTCAAGTAACCCATGATGTGACTTATGTAAACATTCTTCAATGATGAACACGTTCCTCTGTGTAGCAGGCAGCTCTTGTGATTTACACACAGAGCCCCTGGTGTGGTGTGAATTTGGAGTTTTTCTTGAAGAGGACTTTTATATGAGGAAGAAATAATGATGAGAAAATTATTTGGGGCTCATTGCTGGGTTTCTTGAATTTTGTGTGATCTCTCTGCATATTGTTTCCTTATCTGCAAGATGAGGCAATACATATCTACCTCCAGAGAGGCATCTTGAAGACTAATTAGTTAATGATGCTTGTGAAGTGTCTTAAAGATGCAAATCACAACACAAGTGGCAAGAATTAATACGATCTATATTCACATAAAATTCATTTTTATGTGCCTATGTTTGAGGAACTCACCTGGAATTATTTCCGTAAACACATAGAATATATGGCTAGTAACAAGAATTTCTGATTAAAAATAAAAAAGACCATTTGGTTGATTGATGATTGAAAGAAATGACCTGCATCAAGTTAGGTCTTTGCTTGTGTCACACCCCTGTGCTTCGGTATTCAGCCAGTAGCTTTGTAGTCATGGGCATGCTGCATAGCTTCTGTGCATCTTTGCCTAAATGATGGGCAATATTGCCTTGTCATCCTCCCCATGAAATGTTGGGGGGAAAATGGTGGAAGTAAATTATTCTGTGGGTGAGAGAGCCAATGGGGAAAATATTAAATTGAGAAGGAACTGCGTTAGTCCATTCTCACACTGCTATAAAGACACACCAGACACTGGGTAATTTATAAAGAAAGGAGGCTTAATTGGCTCATGTGTCTGTGAGCTGTACAGGAGACATGGCTGGGAGGCCTCAAGAAACTTACAATCATGGCTGAAGGATAAAGGGGAAGCAAGCACATCTTCACATGGCTGCAGGAGAGAGAGAGAGAGTGAAGTGGGAGGTGCTACACACTTTCAAACAACCAGATCTTCTGAGAGCTCCAACATGAGACAGCATTTGGGGGATGGTGCTAAACCATTAGAAATCACCTACGTGATCCAGTCACCTCCCACCAGGCCCCTCCTCCAACACTGTTAATTACAATTTGACATCAGATTTAGGTGGAGACACAGAGCCAATTCTTATCAGGAACAAACAGGGTCTTCAGGGTAACAGTTTCCCTAACCTCCTGGAGAGGACATTTAAAATTTTTCTGGGAGGCCGAGGTGGGTGGATCATGAGGTCAGGAGTTTGAGACCTGCCTGGCCAATATAGTGAAACCCCATCTCTACTAAAAATGCAAAAAAAAAAAAATAGCTGGGCATGGTGGCACGTGCCTATAATCCCAGCTACTCGCGAGGCTGAGGCAGAAGAATCGCTTGAAGCCAGGAGGCGAAGGCTGCAGTGAGCTGAGATCGTGCCACTGCACTCCAGCCTGGGTGACAGAGTGAGACTCCATCTCAAAAAATAAAAATGAAAATAAATAAAGTTTTTCTACCCAGTAGTGTCTCTTTATTCTTATGGTATTAGTACCTCCTCTTGGGAAATCGCCTCTCCCACCCTTAGTCTTGTTTGTAATGCCTAAATCAGTCAATACCTTCTGCCTCCTTGGCCAAAGGGACTTCCAGGTAATTCAAGTGGCTCCACTCAAGAAACTCCAGGTTGAAACTATTAGTAATGGAAAATCATGTAAGGTAGAAGGCATAGATGAGAATTGTGCCATCAGAAGAGGAAGAATTACATAAGAGTGAGGCCAACTCATAATGAAGGATACAACAAAAGCACTGAGTCCTGATATAAACTCATGTGAGCCCTGTATTCAGTCATGCCTGGATTTTCAATTGCATGTGTCAATACTTTCTCTTCTTAGAAACAAAATTTAAACTAGTATTCAGTTTAGATTTTGGTTGTTGGCATCTGAATGAGTCTTAACTAATATAATTTTTTCAGCAAACTTTTACTTGGAAATTTACCTCCAAATTAAAAGTGGCTGAAGCTGTTTGATCCATTGAGCTGGCTCTCCCCACTGCCTTGCTTCCCTGTGAAATCCTGATCCCAGGAATCATCCATTTAGGGAGCAAGTCCTTACTGCTCCTCCACTATGTGCAAGTGGCTGGGAGAGACTATGTGTTCCCCATTTTCAAAATGCTATGGTCTAATTTGGAGTTTGTGGCATGCATTTCAGGCATAATAATGTGTTTTAAGAAGGATCTTGATAATTTATTTAGGATTTTCAGAAGTGAAAATGATTACAAATATTTCCAGAGAAAGATATGGAAAACAATTAAATCTGAACATAGACTTATTACACCTTGATAGGATAGTAGAGCCCCAGATCAAGTAAAAACCTTTCAGCTAGGAGGTGCAGTGTGGGCAAGGGAGGGATGGGAGACTGTCGGACAGGGAATAGTAGGGCAGTGGATAGAACATAAGTTTCCTGAAAGCTGACAAGGGGAATTGTAGTTGGAAAAATTAACATAGTTCTGATTGTGAAGGGCATTTGTTTTCAGGCCTAAGAGTTAGATTTCATCCCCGAAAGACAGTGTGGATCTATGTAATCTTATTGTCAGGAAAAAAAGATGGTTATAGCTGTGAATGGTTTGAAAGGGAAGAGAGATGATAGGGACTAAGCCCTCTTTGGAGGCTATTGTAATGGTCTAGGCAGGAGATAACAAGAGTCCCAACTGCTTAGCAAGAATGATTGCTAGAGATTAAAGAAGGTACTGGGATGAATGGAAAAGACATTGTGAGAGTAAAGAGCATGGTTTTTAGCAGCTGGTTGGATTTGGGGAAAAGGGAAGTTCCTGGTTTTTAATCTAGATGATGGGAAGATACCATGCCATGAACAGAATTAGGAAATACAGGAAGAGGAGCAGTCTACGGGTGAGGTAGCTTTGTCTCTTTAATTCTTTCAGAATTCCTTTCCCTGTATGATTCGGGTTAGTATTGGCCACAGGACACATGTTGCATGAGCTCTGGCAGTGGAAGTGAGGCAGGACCATATATCTGATGTTCTGAAGCTTGATGCCGGGGACCGGGAACTGTGGCAGCTCATGTGACAACTCACCTTGTTGGCATAGGGTCTTACCTGAGCACACGCCTCCCTCTGCTCCTGTCGAGTCTCCTCCTGCAGCTTCTTCAAGTGCTGGGTCAAGTACAAAGCAGCTCTGTGAAGAAGGGTAGCAACTTATGCTGGAAATAACCCAAGGCAGCCATTGGAGGCTGTGAGAGACAGATGTGGCAGATGTGGGTTCTAGGTCATCCTCACAGAGATCCTTTTCCTTAACTGCACCCAGCTTTCCCTTCCAACTGCCCATCTGGCTGACCCCTAGTGACTTCAGACCAACACAGGCATGGAAACAACAATGTTGCAGAGACTCCCACCAGCTCCTGTGACTGTAGAAGTTCTCATCCCTGTGTTACACCCTTTATTCCACATACACTCATGATGATCCTACTTCTCTGATTGAACTCAGGCTGATTCCATGGGGTCAGGACAAATGAATCCATTCTTTTCTACATCATTGGAACTTGAGATGTTGGTGGCACATTCAGGTGGAAATGTGTATCGCAGGCAGTTGGAATGATGGGTATGGATTTTGAGAAGGTGGTCAAGACTAGAGAAAGAAACCGGATAGCCTTCTACACAGAGATGATAATCAAAACTGAAATCATGGATGAAGCTACAGAGTCAGAGTTTAGACAGAGAAGAGGATGAGGCCAAGGACGGGACTCTGGACAGTGCCGATGCTACCAGGCAGAAGGAGGAAAAAGAGACACAGAAGGAGCCTGAAGTTAACAGAGAGGCCAAAGAGGACCAAGGAGAGCACATTTATAAAACGCAGATGAAAATAGACTCCAGAGGAAGTGACTGTGCAAAATTATAGCATGAGAAACAGGCACTTTTTTTCTATTGTTGAACTTAGTATTACAGAGTAAACCTTGGGCATCAATTAGTTCAGCTGTCTCATTTTGCAGGTGAAAGAACAGAGACTCATGAGCGCTTTCTTGAGTTTAGTTCAGAGCTAGTTTGAGGCAGAAAGAAAATCCAGTTCTGCCTTGTGTGGGAACTATCTTGCTGCTACGCTATTCTTGTTTATGATGCTGCTAGAATCAATGAGACAATATTGAAAAATATTAAGTCCCCGGAAGGAAAGATTTAATGATGATGCTGACACAAATTTCAATATTACCTTGTCTCTGAGGCGCACAAAGCATTTTGCATAGATGATTCTTTCTCAAAAGAGTCATACACCACAAGAAGGTGGCAAAGATTTTTACTATTCTTCTATTACAAACAGAGAAACTGAGTCATGCTGAGGTTCCTTGCTTTTGTGCAATAACTAAAATGTCTTTTGAAGACAGATGTGCCTTAAATGCTGTTAACAATGAGGCTATGTGAGTATCATGTAAGTTTCTATGTTTGACAGTTATTTTTTGAAAGAGCAACCCCCCAACTCCACCTCTTTACAATTATAGCAATAGCTGGGTAGCTTATGAACCCTGTTTCCTTGCCTTATGCTTACAATTTATGGGCAATCTTCATATTTTGATATAAGGATCCACACTGGGAACCTAGTAGGCACACAAGAAATGTTCTCAACCCAAGTATTATCAGGGGTATTCCTTCACTTTTGTCATCTTCAGAAATGGGGAACAGTATGAACCCTACATGCTTTTCGTGACTAGCTTCAACAAACCCCCATGCAAATGCACTGGGATGTTGGCAGAGCAGGAACTGATCCAATTGAGTTACAGCTCCTCGACAGTGATCTGAATATTTGCTTAAGATTTGCGACCTCATCCATGGTGGTGCATCAGGGTGAAATGAACAAAGCGTGAGAGTTGGAGATACAAAGGGGGAGCAGAGGACCTCCTGGTACCAGTCTGGCAAGGAAAATTGACTGAGGGTTATCATGTGTCCAAGGGTCACATCTAAGTCTTCCAAGTGGCTTTTATATCAATCTATCTGTATAGGAGGGTCTTAGTCAGTTCGGGCTGCTATAACAAAGCACTGTAGGCTCAATGGCACATAAACAACAGAAATTTATTTCTCACATTTCTGGAGGCTGGAAGGCTGAGATGAGGGTGTTAGCATAGCTGGGTTCTGGAGAGGGCCCTCTTCTGGATTACAGACTGTCAACTTCTTATTGTGTCCTTACATGGTGTAAGAAGAACAGGCACTCTCTGGGGTCCCTTTCATCAAGGCACTAATCCCATTCATGAGGGCTCCACCCTCATGACTTAATCACCCCCCTCAAAGGTCTCACCTCCTAAAACCATCACCTTAGGGGTAAGAATTTCAACATAGGAGTTTTTGGGAATACACGAACATTCAGTTCATAACAAGGACTCTAAAAAGAAATAATATGTTTTAAATTCCTACTTTGTGCCAGGTACTTGGCTATACTGACCAGGTACCATGGACAAGATACTTAGGGTTTCCTTCCTGGTTTCTCTCTGTAGATCCATTATCTAATTCTCTGTCTAACTATGTAGCCAACTTACAAAAGACAGAAGGCAGTTTACAAGACCCAAAAATTTAGTAAGAAACCTATACCGAGGATCAGTCGGGAGGTGGAGGCGTGGATACAGAGGCGTTACTGTCATAAGGAGGGCTCCCTCTCAGCCAGCACAAACTGGAAGCGTATCGACAAAGGCAGGCCACCCCTTCGCGGCTGTATCGATTTCCTTTCTGGCTTGCAGGCAGTTTACTGCTGTTACATGTCCACGCAGCACAGCCCCAGGCCAAGAGGAACCGCTGTCCCCGCAGTGCGTTGCAGGGAGGGAGAGGCCCCTGATCACGCCTGCCTGGTGCTGTTCCTTCCTATCTCTCCCATCCTTTGTGTCTGCAGTTCAGACTGCTTTTTCTCATTCTTGCCGGTGGAGTTTTCAAAAGCAAAAATCCTGCTTTCTTCAGCCACTCGGAGAGTATACAGTATATCTGATGTCTGAGACATCAAACAAATGCTTGTGCTCACAGAGCAGAAATAATCCCAGACAAAAGACTACGGCCATGGGGAGAATACGAAAGAGAGAGGGTCGGGAAATTACCAGGCAAGTCGAAGAACAGGCTGTTTCACAAACAGCCTGTGAGAAGTAGGAAAGTAGGAAGCCCGAGCTGTGGGGAATCTGCTGGGACCACCCTGACCCCAGCCCCCACCAACAGTGCCCACACCAGGGAACCGTCCCTTTACTCATAAATCGGTAGCTGCACCTCCTTCTCCTTGCAAGCAGAGTCTGGAACAGTCTCACAAACGTTCCTAAACGTGGGCACAGACGTTCAGTTGTGAACACACGTATGTGCACCCCCTAGGAAGGAACTGATCCCAGTCTAGCATTCTCATAGAAAAGCCAGGTTGCTCGGCGTCCGGGGAAGCAGAACCCAGTTCTCAGTTCCTTTCTCTCCCGGGGCTGCGGGGCTCTCGGAAGGAGACGGGAGTTGACAGGAATCCGTGGGATTTCCTCTTCAGCACCTGCCTCCTGGCCACACTCCCACCCGCTCTGCCTGTCTTTTCCCCTGCGTGGCAGCCTGATCCGTGAGGCCCTAAGAGTGAAGGGGTGAATTAATTGGAGGAGGAGAGAGGAAAGGCGAGGGCAGGGGAAAACTCCACAAATCAAAGGGGTTTATCTCCCAGAGGGCTGGTGGGAGTGAGCCATACTCACAATAGCGATTCAAGTTCACCTTGTGTGAAGGTAAAGAGGTGTTTTAATGGCTCTGTAGAAAGTGGGGCGGAGAGAGAAAGAGGGATAGAAAATCAAAAGAGAGAGAGAAAGAAAGAGAGAGAGAGGTGCAAATCCAAATGTCGATGTGTAGACATAGTGAGGAGAGCCTGCTGGCTGACAGGGTGATTTATTGGATTCTTCCAGTTAATCACTGCCGGCCTGTGGCCAAACCGATCTCCAGCAAAGCTGAAAGGCAGCCGAGGGAAACAGGCTTATAAGCATAAAGCCGCATAATGGTGTTCAATGAAGTGTGAGACTTTTAGTTCAGTCTCGCTGAGCCGGCCGCACCGCCGGAATGTCAAAGAGGGATTGTGGGTGGAAAAATTATGGATTTAAACTGCTAGCTGTAAATGAGGTCAATATGTCTGGTTCATAAACAGTCCGAGCCTATTCCAAGAATGCAGTGAGGGGGAAAATTAGCGTGAAGCCAACACTGTAGACAAACCTCATTGAGATATAATTGCAGCTATAAATACAAGCGAAAAGCTTACCGAGTGCAATAAAATACAGACACGCTTTTTTATTCCCCTTCTTCTTCCTTCTTTGAATCTATGCATTTGTTAAGGGTTGTGCATCCCTAATGCTCCCTTCATCTCTCCCTCCCTCTCCTAGTGACACCCAATGTTGCAATTAATTGAGTGTTCTTGATCTCTCATTCCATTTTATTCAGGCGAGATTGGAAAAAATCAAAAGAGCACATCTAAAGCATTTTCTTCCCTTTTGCTTTTCTATTTGAATCAGGTTGAAATGTGTGAAAAAAAAAAGCAGCGCTTATTTTTTATAAGGGGGAAAATCCAAGTATAAAGTCTTTTTAAACTAATACATCTGTTAGATTATTTGAATCTCAATTTAATGAAGGGACATGAACGGCACCCACAGGATCCTATGGTTTGCATTCTTTGGAGGGCTACCTGGTCTTGGCTCATAAAACATTGACTTAAATGAATATGTTTTTTTTTTCTTTTTCTTCTTTTTCTCCCGCCTCCCCTTTTTAAAAAAAAAAAAACTCGAAAGACTCTCATTACTGTGTTTTGTACTCAAGCTCAAAGGATAGAGGACAGACATTAGCAAACTTGCTTTGCCCAGTTTAAAAGCCGATACAGTAATAAATTGAAGTCTAATAGCTCTGGTCAGGCTGCCTTTCCCCCTAAACCAATTGATTTAAATGGCAGTAATTTGGCCAGCGAGGCTAGTCCTGTTTAAATTAAACCCATTAATATAATAGCACAAGTCCTGAATGAAATCCATCTGCAAGAAAGGCTCCACCGGTCAGTAGTTTCATAACTGCCCAGGGACGTCCTAAAACGCCCACAGTCGTGTGAACAGGAATTACAGATTACAGGCAAGACCCTGAAAGGCTCCTGATGAGAGAGAGAGAGAAAAAGAGACAGAGAGAAGGATATGAAAACAATTGTGTGAGCACACACATTCAAAGCAAGTGGGAAACCGACCTGAAGATTTCAAGGGAAATGACCTTGGTTATTAGTAACAGTGAAAGGTTAATTGTATTAATAACAACAAGCAGCGGTGCTGCAGGAAAAGCCCTCAGCATCTTCTTTTCCTCCCCCCTGTCTCAGTAAGGAGACATTTTTCCTCTTTAACTGTTCTGCCTAGACCCCATGGCCCAAAAGGACAAAAATAATTTCTTCAAAGCGGGAATTTGATCTTTGCAGCTGAAGGTGTATGTGTGTATGTATTTCAGTGCTGGCTCTCGAGACAGTGTCTCTGCTGTGTCTACGCTTGGTTCAGAGTGCATGTCCTTTGCTAGTTTACATTAAGTTGACCAAGCAAGTGGGATTTGGATTTGAGAATCAGGAACGCAGCTGCCGGTTTTATCACTAAGTCTGAGTCAGTGTTTAAACCTGAGCAAATTGTCTGCCATCTGTTCGAAGGGAAGAGATGCTTCCTAAACAGAACAGAAAGAGCTTGAACTAAGGAACTGTGGAATTGTAGGGACTTCAGCATTTATGTGGATTTGAAGGGTGACAGTAAAATAATGCCACACATGTTCACAGGTGGCTGATGGAAGGAGCTTAATTACTTTAAGGCCACACTCTGAATCCAGCTCTTACAAAGCCAGTAGGAGGCGGTACGGGTCTAAGAGTGAGATTAGGGTTAGGGAGCAGGGCTTCTGGGTTCCAGCCCATTTCTGTCATTTGTCAGCTGTGCAGTCATGGAGAAGCACCTTCATTTGAGTTTGCTTCCTCATTGAAAAGAAAAAAAAAAAGGAAGAATACTTGTTCTGCATTCCTCACATATTGTTGTTGGAATCAAGTGAAAAGGTGCATGAGAAAGTCCTTGGCAATCAATAAAGCATTAAATATATTTAAGATAGTAGTACTAGTCACTGTACCATTATTATTAGGCTTACTAACAAGGCAATAATTAATAACTATTATATAAGTTATTATATAACTATTTTATATGTAAATATATAGATACAAAATTATAACAAAATTGTATAGCTGTATCCACTCTTTATCAGGTGCTTACCATGTTTGGGATATTGTGATAGGTTCTTGCACATGAAATGCTCTTTTATTTACTTTCATACAACCCTGAGAGGTAAATATTATTATTATCCTCTATTTTATAGACAAGGAAATATAAGCTTTCTTCTGTATTCAGTTTTAATATTCTTTGAGGATACGTAATGATTTCCTTCCTCAGAATTGCTACCACATTTCTTTACCCAATTATTTGCACTTCAGATCAGTGGATCTAAGCAATGAATGCACATTAAAATCACAAACACATTTTTGTTTGTTTTTAATACTGATGTTTAGGGCCTACCCCAGAGCTTCTAAATTTGGTAGTTCTATGTTACACTCAGGATGAGAAATACTAGATTAGTCTATCTGGAGAGGAAGAATTTGAACAAGTATCCCACTACTCCTTACAAACATTGTGTCTTATTCTGCATGATTAAAACACACACACACACACACACACACACACACACACACACACCTTGAGTTTACAAACAAGGAAATGTCAAAATTTTTTGTGACTGCTTCCATAATTTTCTCCTGAAGCAGTGAAACAACAGCATAACCGTAGACCTTTTTACAAATGCCTTCCTTCCTGGTGAGAAGATAATATTGGTTATCCTTTTAATCTGGATAAGATGAGGCTATCTTTACAAAGCGTAAAAGCCCACTCTCTGAGTGACAGTCCCTTTTGCAACTACCACACTCTGGTGATGCTGCACAGCTGGTGATGGGGGGATGCACCCAACAGGTGAGAGGTCAAGAGTGAGAGCGGGGGCTCACCCATTTCCACATCAGGGTGCTATTTAGGGAAATTCATTTGCTGCCTCTTCTTTAATGGAGTTTTGAGCCATATCATACCCAAGTGGGTTGATCTTAACACAATATACACAGGTAATTTACATGAAATAGGAAGTAAATAAATTCTTTTCTATGTACATGATAGTTGCTGAGTCCTACTGTAATCTATATATAACCAAGTATAGCTAATAACAAATATCTCATGAACTGAACAACAAAACTGGACCCAAGAAAAGAAAAATAAGAATGAGAGAGTTTAGAATCCTTTTAAAAATTTAATTAACTTTTTTATACATAACAGATGTACATATTTTGGGTTGTATGTGATAATTTAATATAATATAATTTGTAAAGATCAAATCAGTATAATTGAGATATCCATCACCTTAAATATTTGTCTTTTCCTTATGCTAAAATCATGCAAATTATTCTCTTCTAGCTACTGTGAAATATGCAATAGATTTTTGTAAACTATTGTCACCCTACTGATCTAACACTTGGTCTTATTTCTTCTATCAAACTGTATATTTGTACCCATTAATCAGCCTGTCTTTATCCCTCCCTCGCCTCTCCTTTTCCCAGCCTCTGGTAACTACTAATCTACTCTCTACCTTCCTGAGATCTACTTTTTTAGCTCCCACATATGAGGAGAACATGTAATATTTGTCTTCCTATTCTTGGCTTATTTCCCTTAACATAATGACCTCCAGAATCTTTTTGAGGTTTGAAGTAAATTTTGGGATATAAGAAATGATTTTAGACTTGCAAGAGAAAAATGGACTACCAGGAGCTGTGCAATTAATTAAGGCTCAATTTCATTTGTAGCCCAGCACCACCTATCTCTTCATGTCTTCAGAGAGGAAGCCCTGAAAGCTCATTTCCTTCTCTCTGACTGTGACTTTCTCCCATCCAAACCTATGGGGGCCAGGAAAAAGAGACTGTTCTCAAGAAACATTATTCCAACTAAGTTGTTACTTCCTTTGAGTCTCCTATTGGTGAACTGGTATTTCACTAGTATTCCTGAGTGATATGGTTAGGCTGTATTCCCACCCAAATCTCATCTTGAATTTCCACATGTTGTGGGAGGGACCTGGTGAGAGGTAATTGAATCATGGGGGCAGGTCTTTCCCTTGCTGTTCTCATGATAGTGAATAAATCTCATGAGATCTGATGCTTCTACAAGTGGGAGTTTCCCTGAACAAGCCCTTTCTTTTCCTGCTGCCATCCATGTAAGACGTCACTTGCTCCTCCTTGCTTTCTGCTATGATTGTGAGGCCTCCCCAGCCATGTGGAACTGTAAGTCCATTAAACCCCTTTTCCTGTATAAATTACCCAGTCTTGGGTATGTCTTTATCAGCATGGTGACAATGGGCTAATACACTGAGAGCAAAGAGAAGAATGCAATCTCCAGAAGCTTATGAATGTAACTACATTCCTTGTTGAACTGCCCAGAATCAACGTATGTGCAGATGAGACAAGGGAGAATGACAACAAAAATAAATAAATAATAACAAAAATACCACAAGGCACAGACACCCCCCAAAAAAACCCTTATTATTTATTTATTTATTTATTTATTTGCCTTCTTATCTCTGTTCCTAAATGTATGGCATGGGCACTCCATGCACTGTGTTTCCAATTTGTGCATGTGAATCTGAGTCTCAGAATATTTGAATGAGAAGGGATCTGGTGTAGGTCCTTCATTTCACATGTATGGAGAGTGCAGCTGGCAGCGGGTAAACCACTGAGGATGTGGAGGAACTGGGGGAACAGAGGCCTCATAACTCTCAGACCAGGACTCTGCCAGTCCTCATTTGTAGCACTCAGTGCATCCTAGAATTCATAGATCACTGCTTCTCCTCTGAGAACATCCATATTAGACCAACTCTGGATTGTGATAAACACAGTTCCTGTCTTACCTGGTTAACGTTATGCATCTCAAACATTATTATGCTAGGATTGATCCCTCTCTGAGAAATATCAGCTAAAGAACACCAGACACATAGATGGTTGACTTCTCAATTTATAGTTCACTTCATAAAGATTCTAGGAGGTAGGCAGAATGCATATTTTAATGTATATTCCACTAGTAATGAAACAGGAGATGGATGACTTGCCCACAACTTAGGGCTGAAGCATATCATAGGGGAAGCATGTTTATTATTAAACAAGTGTAATAAGTGCCTACTATTTCCCATGCAGTCTTCCCAGCTCTGGGATATCTGCTTTCGTGGAACTCACATTTTCATTAGGGGAAGACTGGAGATGGGGAATGGTGAAAGATGCTAGTTCATATTAAGTGGTCAGGGATGTCCTTTCCAATAAGGTGGCATTTGAATGAACCTAAATGAAGTGACAGAGGTAGCCTCGGAATAGCATTTTAGGAGGAAGAATCAGCAAATAAAAAAAAATCCTTGAGACATGGTTGTGCTTCTCTGTTGAGGGATTTCAAATCAAGTTTCTTAATCAAAGTCCTATAGTCTTTCAACTATTCAGTATAGTCAGTACAGACATTGTATATCCTAGCACATGGCATCTCTTCATCCTTGGAATCTGTGCACCTAATCTCAGGTATATAAGCAGATCTTCTAAGACAAGAGACAGATGGAGCATATACTCCTGTCTCTAGCTTACAGATTTCCTGAGAAGGAGAAAGGATGGTGGAAATTAACTCAATATCCTGGAATGGTCATAGCTCAGTGGGGAAAGGGGCCATTTTGCTCCCTCCTTTCTTCTGCCTCTGAAGCTGGTTACATGCAGCTCATTATGAAGCCAGAAGATTTTGCTTCCTTTTTATGTGCTTTTCTCATGGGTGGATTGGTTTACTATGGAGCCAGTATGGGGGTACAAAAGCCATAGAAAGCCTTAGTTCACAGCCAAGCCTTGGTCACTGCCAAGATCTGGGCTGTGCCATTGAAGTGTCATGGAAATGTCATCTAAATGGCAGTGGAAATTTAGAAAGTTTCACAATGCCTTTGGGTCAGTTCCCACTGCCCACGAAACACCATCTCCATGAAGGAAGCCTCCTTATTTTGGGAACCAGTGCCCTACTCTATTTTTTCCTCTCCCCATCCTCAATCACCATTTAAGCCAAAATGCTAAACCAAAAAACTTGGGAAGGAAGAGCATGTGGGATGACTAAAATAGCAAAAATGTAGTTGGATTATGGATCAACTTTTCCTTTCCAATTAACAGAAGTATGGAGATATCCTTATGCCCCCTAGTGAGACTTAATTTAAATGTTTATTATGTCCCCCCTTAAACATCTAACATCAGGGTCAGAATCAATATTTATAAATATTTGCTTGGAAAATCATGCTTACCAACAGTGATGAGCCCACATATGCCTACCAATAAGTGATAGCTTAAGACCTTGTGCTCCCTGTACTACTGCATGGGAGTCTTTTTTTTTTCTTAATTATGATAAGAACACTTGCCATAATGTGAGATCTACCCTCTTAACATATTTTTAAATGCGCAGTACTGAATTGTTATCCATGGACACAATGCTGTACATCAGATCTCTAGAATTTTTCATTGTGCATACACTTTGATTAGCCACTCTACATTTCCCTCTACCCCAGTTCCTTGCCATTATCATTCTGTTCCTTGTTTCTATGATGCTGTGATCTGAATATGTTTCCCCAAATTCATGTTCTGGAAACTTAATTCCCACTGCAACAGTATTGGGAGATGGGATCTTCTCGGGGGTGTTTAGGTAATTCTTGAGGGCAGCCCTCAAGAATGGATTAATGCCTTTATAAAAGGGCTTGACAGAGGGAGTTTGCCCCTTTTTCGCTTTCTACCTTTTGCCATGTGAAGACATACATTTCCCTCTCCAGAGGACCCAGTGTTCAAGGTGCCATCTTGGGGAAGCAGAGAGCAGCCCTCACCAGATGCCTGCATCTTAATGATGGACTTCCAGCCTCTAGAACTTTGAGAAGTAAATATCTATTCTTTATAAATTACCATATGTGTGGTATTCTATTATAGAAGTACGCAAAGACTAAGATGTATGAGTTTGACTGTTTTAGATGCCTCATGTAAATGAAATTATGTGGTATTTGTCCTTCTGTGGATGGCTTATTTCACTTAGACTAAGGCCCTTCAGCTTCAACCATGTTGTTGCATATTGCAGAGTTTCCTTTCTTTTTGAGGCTGAATGACAGTCCATTGCACATATATACCACATCTTCTTTATCCATTCATCAGATGAACATTTAGGCTGTTTCCATATCTTGGGTATTGTAAATAGCACTGCAATTAACATAGGAGTGCTAATATCTGTTCAAGATTGATTGCAATTCTTTTGGATAAATACCCAGAAGTGGGATTGCTCGATCACACAGTAGTTCTATTTTTAATTTTTTGAAAAACTCTACAGGTTTGGTCTTGGAGAACACACAAATGGCTTGTACCATCACCCAGGAACTTTCTTCCTTGGCTGTCAGAAGCTTGTAAAATTGTTGGTTTCACAGTATCCAGTTTTCAAAAATTCATTTATTAAAACTAATCACCCCATAAAGATGAACTGTAACTTGCTTCACAGGCTTTTTACTGTTTTAAACTCTCTATCACTCCTCTCTTAGCCTTCCTGATACAGGAAGAAAATTATCAGGAAAGAGCATTCTTTGATACACAAACTTCTCTGGTAGCCTATTCTTATACTCCAAAACTTCAGCCATTTAAGCCAATAGAAGCCCCCAATGCACACAGCCAGGCTTCATCTTGTCCCTTCCCTGCATTTCCTTCAATTCCTCCATATACATGTGTTTGATTCCCCATCATGGGCAGAGGGCGGCTCCATCACATGCCTCAGTTCATGGTGCACTCTCATGACTTGTGCCTGAAGTCTTCTTGGATTTTTTCTCTTTTTTTTTTTTTCTTTTTCTTTCGTTTTTTGAGATGAAGTCTCACCCTGTCACCCAGGCTGGAGTGCAGTGGCGTGATCTCAGCTGACTGCAACCTCCGCCTCCCGGGTTCAAGCAATTCTCTGCCTCAGCCTCCCAAGTAGCAGGGATTACAGGCGCCCACCACCACGGCTGGCTATTTATTTATTTATTTAGTAGAGACAGGGTTTCACCATCTTGGCCAGGCCGGTCTTGAACTCCTGACCTCGTGATCCACTCACCTCAGCCTCCCAAAGTGCTGGGATTACAGACGTATGCCACCGCACCCGGCCGGATTTTTTCTTTTCTCTCTTCTTACCCATAGTCCACATCTTTTCCATTCCCCTCCTCATTAGGCAATGATTCTCATCAGTTTAACACATATCATTTCTTTTGTGAATGCTTTTTAAAGAAATTTATTGTTTTCTGCAAACATTTTAAATTTATGTAAATAATATTGTCTGGTATGTCACAATCTATTTCCTTTTTTAACTCAGTGTCATATTTAAAAAATTAATAGACTATATTTTAGAGCAGTTTCAGGTTTATAGAAAAATTAAGTGGAAAATACAAATAATTCCCATATATCTCCTCTCCGACTCCCCTTTCACATGCTTACAGGCTCGCCTATTATTAACAACTTGTAATAGTGTAGTACATTTTCATTAATATACTGATAAGCCAATATTGATCCATTATTATTAATTATAATCCATAGGTTACCTTGGGTTCATCCTCTGGGTTGTACATTCTGGGGTTTTTTAAAAATGTGTCATGACATCTATCCACTATTACCATATCATAAAAAATAGTTTCACTTCTCTAAAAATCTTCTCTGTTCCATTTATTCATTCCTCTCCTCCCTCTAAACTCCTGGCATCCTCTAAACTTTTTACTGTCTTCATAGTTTTGTCTTTTTCGGAATGTAATATAATTGGAATCATGCAGCATGTAGCCTTTTCATATTGGCGTTTTTCACTTAACAATATTCATTTAAGGTTTCCCCATGTCTTTTGGTAGCTTGAGAGCTTATATCTTTCCCAGCTTTATTAAACTGAAAAATAAGATTGTATAAATTTAAGGTATACAATGTGATATTTTGGTAAGTGCATATATAGTGAAAAGGTTACTCAAACTAATTAACATATCGGTCACCTAGCATACCATATTCTTGTGGTGAAAACATTTAAGATCTACTCTCTTGGCAATTTTCAAATATACAGTACCTTATTATTAACAATAGTCACCATGCGGTACATGAGATCCCAAGAACATGTTCATCCTCTTTGGCTGGAACTTTGTACCCTTTGACCAACATGTCCTTATTTCCTTCACCCTTCAGCCCCTGGCAACAACCATTCCACTCTCTGCTTCTATGAGTTTAACTTTTTTAGATTCTACATGTAAGTGAGGTCATATAGTAGCAGTCTGTCTTTGTCTGGCTTACTTTACTTAATATAATGTCTTCCATATATATATGTATATATAAAATCACATTTTCTTTATTCATTCATCCATTGATGGATACCTAGATTTTTTTCTGTATCTTAGCTGTTGTGAATAATGCTGCAACAAACGGGGCGTAGATATCTATTTGAGCTACTGATCCCATTTCCTCTGGATATGTATCCAGAAATGATATTGCTGGATCATATGGTAGTTCTATTTTTAAGTTTTCTAAGGAATCTTCATACTATTTTCTGCAATGACTTTTCTAATTTACATTCCTACCAACAGTGTACAAGGGCTTCCTCTTCTCCACATCCTTGTCAACACTTGTTATCTCTTGTCTTTTTGATAGTAGCCATCCTATTAGGTGAGAGGTCATATCTTATTGTGGTTTTAGTTTGCATTTCACTGATGGTTAGTGATGTTGAGCATCTTTCACATAGCTGTTAAACATTTGCATGTCTTTTGAAAAATGTCTATTCAAGTCATGTACCCATTTTTTAATTGTTTTTTTTTCCTTCATATTTAGTTGCTTGTGTTCCACACATATTTTGGAAATTAACCCCTTATCAGTTGTATGGTTTGCAAATATTTTCTACTAATAGCTTTCCTTTTCATTTTGTTGATGATTTCCTTTGATGGGCAGATGGGCAGAAGCTTTTTAGTTTGCTGCAATCCTATTTGTCTATTTTTGCTTTTGTTGCCTTGTCCTTTTGGGGTCATATCCAAAAATTCATTGCCAAGACCAATGCCAAGAAGTTTTTCCCCTATGTTTTCTACTAAAAGTTTTATTGTTTTAAGTCTTACATTTAATTCTTTAGTCCATTTTGGGCTAATTTTTTGTATGGTGTAAGATAAAGGTACAGTTTTATTCTTCTGTATGTGCATATCCAATTTTCCCAACACCATTTATTGGAGAAACTATCCTTTCCCTATTGTGTAATTTTGGCACTCTTGTCAAAGTTTAGTTGAGAGGTTTTTGTTTGTTTGTTTGTTTGTTTGTTTGTTTGTTTGTTTTTTGACAATGAGAATTCTAAATGATTACCTGGGGGCACAGATGTGATATTGTGGCATAAAAAAGCCTTTGTGTAAAAGAATCTTTGAGTTGTTTTTTTTCTAATTCCAGAGAATAGAGGCTGACTCAGTGTAATGGGGATCTGCATGTCAATGTCTTCTTTGGAACTCATGCTGTTCTTAAGGTCTGCTATCTGCGTGTACCTGAGATGGTTATACCATCTCATTCTCATAGGTAAATGAATACTGCATGCTAAATACTTGTTGACATTTCCATAGCAAGGGTCATAGTTCCAATTATTGGGTTCTAAAAAAAGGGATTTAGGCAGGGGCATGCTGGATTTCTGTACATATTTATTGCAAGTACAGTGATGTGCATCTGCTGAATGAATAAATAAATGAATGTGGTGAAGATTTAAGGTTAGATTTCCTCTCTGCAGGAAACTCTGAATTTTAATAGAAGTGTCTTGAAAAAAATGAAAGAGACAAATTAAAATAAAATCCCTAGAAAAGCCCAAGCCACTACCTTTAAAAGAGTTTTAGCATGGCCAGAAATATTGAAGATACCTTGAGTAAGTGGAATTAGCCAGACACTCTTCAAATGACACCTCATAGGTAACTTCCAAAGTTATCCATTCACAATTCAATTTTATTTCATTCAGAAAAGTCGTTGAGGGTCTGCTATGTTTGGGCTTGTTCTGAGATGGTTATATAAGTACCCATTCTCACAGTTTAAAAAGGAAAACAGACAAAATTTACAAAATATGGTAAAATATGTTAGGTTTTGTCTGTGAGGTGCATATAGCGTTATTGAATGCCGGAGGCAGGTAAAGCCCTGGAGGTTTCCTAGAAGAGGTGGTATTTGGGTTAGATCATAGATATAAGGAGTTCAGCAAATGGTCCAGTAATAAAATGATAGAAGAATAAAAATACCAGGGACCAGTATCAATATATTACCAATCGAGATAGTAATGACCTGCCAAATCTCTCAAAGCAAAATGCTTCGGGACATTTTGCTGAAATAGTGTAAGATATGGTGGAACATATTATTCAACCATGCCTATTTCCCCTCGTGTCAACCTTTTTCAAGGTCAAAGTCTTTCTTCTTTCATTTTTAGGTTGCCTTTGTACACGTCTGTATTGTGAAAATCAAGGTTGATTGTCTTGGATTAGTTGTACTATTGAGCTTAATTTTCCCTTTGAGCTGTTAACCATTCCAAATATGCTTGAGTCTGTGATTAGTTTTGCTGAGGAGGTTTTCTGTTTGGGGACGTGGGTAGCCTTTCAACCCTGCTTTTCTGGTGGCATTATGCAGATTTAATAACTCCAGTTACAGGAAATGTAGGGAGACAGGCATGTTAAACCAAAATTATGTTAATATTTATTACTTTCTGTGCATATTCTGAGCAAGGAGGGGGAAATGGCCTTCTACCTAAGAGGTCATGGCTAACAAACAAATGACCAAATATGTTTAATTATAAAGACTGACTTTCCTCTTACGCACCACCCCCTCACCCAAGTCTTTTTTAAGGAAAGAAGGTAGCCATAGGGAAAAGCCATTGTCTGCCATCTGTGTCTATCTGAGTTGGGTATACCATCTCGTTCTCATAGATAAGTGAATACTGCATGCTAAATATTTGTTGACACTTCCATAGCAAGGGTGATAGTTTCAATTATTGGGTACTATAAAAGGAATTTAGGCAGGGGCGCAATGGATTTCTCTCTATGTATTTATTGCAAGTACGGTCATGTGCATCTAAAAAGAATCATAAGAAAATGCTAAGGCAGGTGGGGAGGCATTTAAGCAGGGTAGCCAGGAAAACTGACTCCTTGTTTTGAGTAGATAACTGGCTTTTGAGAGTGAACCTCCCAAGGTCTCAGCTTTCTTGCCTGAAACATGAAAGTGGACTAGATTTTTTTCACGCTCATTCCTTTTTTGGAAATGGAATTTCCAAAATTTTCCAAATGGAATTTGCCATTACCTCAAATGGCAATTTGATGTAAGCAATGTTGTATAATCCAAATTTTTGAGGATTTGGTTGGAATTCTCAACTGTGACATGATTATTTGCCCAATATACCTCTCCCTTTCTTTTTCACTAACACAAAGCTAATGTATAGTTTTTGGAGAGGGGCAGGATTGTATACAACACTGAGAGAAAAATCACGTCCCCAACATTATTTGAAAGTAGATTTGGCCACATGACATCTATCTGGCCAAGGAGACCAAGAAGAAGTCTGCTGACAACTCCAGGAAGACTTCTGATTTTCTCAATAAAAGCAAATGACCAACTGTGTCCCTGTTCCCCCTCTTGTCTCCTTAAACAAGAATGTGAATTGTGGTAGCATCTTGTGACTATGAACTAGAATCATGTTGTGCAGAATATAACTGAGCAACCATTTATCTACAGAATCATTATATGACATAAATAAACCCCCCATTTGTTTAAACCACTAACACTATCCTGCATCCCCTTAAAGTCTTGAAAGCCAACATATGCAATCCCAGTAAATTGGAATTAACCTCTTCAGAATGAAGATGTTGATTTAAAATGTTAAATGTTTAGATTTTAATTGCTTACTCTGTAATCTTTAAAGTAGCAGTTCTTTTAAATATGTGTGGAAAAATACCAGAATATTTCAAGGAATCTACACTTATTTCAAGGCATCTGCACTGTGTACCTATTGATTTATAACCAAGGTTAACTTAGAGTACAGGGTGGTATAGGGGTGTCAGGGACAAAACTTCACACAGAAAAGGTACCTCGACAGAATTCACGTTTTTTTGTTTTTGTTTTTGTTTTTGTTTTCCATTAACCTTTAGAGTCTTGTTTTTCCATAGGAGGATAAGACACTAAATTGCAAGATACTAGATAGTCAATAATTACTCCACAGAAAATGTTTAACCCATAAGAGCATATAGATAATGGTGGAATCATAGTCATCTATGTAGGAAGGTTTTTTCTTTTTCTTTTTGATGACTGAGGGAAAGTTTTCATTAAAACTTCTTATTTTTCTTTTTAATTAATTTAAAAAACTGACCAATAAAAATCATATATATTTATTGTGTACAACATGTTTTGAAATATGTGTAAATTGTGGTATGTCTAAATCATGCTAATTAGCATATGCATTACTTCACTTACTTTTTTTGTGGCAAGAACACTTAAAATCTACCCTCTTAATTTTCAAGAAGATGATACATTGTTATTAACTATAGTCACCGTTTTATACAATAGATCTTTTGAATTTATTCCTTCTATCCAACTGAAATTTGTTATCCTTTTATCTACATCTACCCAAATCCCCTCTCTCAGCCTCTGTAATCACCATTCTACTCTCTACTCCTATGAGTTCTTTAAGACCTCTTTAAATAAGAAAGTAATATCCTGTAGGTGAAAATCTACCCCACCTCTATACAAGGCCAGTTTGACCTCTCTAGTATAAGCTGATAAAAATCTACTTATAGGTTTTATTCTTACTGATAGAGGAAAAATTGAGAATGTAGAACTATAGATAACCCTAAATCATTTATACCCAGTTTTTGGAAGCAGTAAGGAATAGGCATTTAGCTACATGCTGACATGCCATCCATGCACACACACATCATACACTCACTTACCCATACATTTCTTTTTTGTTTGTTTTTGTCACAGTGACACTGACATGTGGAAGGTAGCATCAGAGAGAGACAGATAACTATTAGTTCACTGTAACTACAATTTGGCACTAATTCGTTTCTTGTCAATGGAGCAAGTATACAAAGACTTCACCAACACAGGAAGCTATGGTATATTGCCTTTTGTTTCATCATAGCCCCTGCTAGCCTGACAGAAAGCCACACCCTGGGTCTTTATAGCATGGGGAAAACACTACACTTCTGCTCAGAAGCACTCCATGTCTTAGATGTACCTCCTGGCTTTCCCATGCACAGTAGCTCACATAGAAACCCTTGATGTATGGGCAATCCATACTCAATGCGTTTACAGAGAGATCCCCAGCTGGGATCTCCTGCTGGAGTAAATGCTAGATATGATCCAGTGCACAACACATTTCAATTAAAGCAGAAAGGAGTTGCTACTTCATACAGTGCAGTAAAAGCTAGAAGATGTGTCTAGAATGTAAGATTTGAAGAAAAAGGTATCGGTAATATTAGGCAGTAGCTTTCTAGGTATACAATCACTTGGAACAGATGGCGCTGCCTTCCGTTTCTTACCCTCAACACTTTATTTCAAATCTAGGTGAAATCAGGTTAAAATAATTGGCTGCTTTCTCAGGACAAAAGAAAGAAGAACCCAGCTTGAGGAGGCAGTGTACAGATTGGCAGGGCAGGGTAGAGGGAAGAGAGCAGCTCCCTCATTTTGCCTAGGTGATATCTCAAGTGAAGTGGTGGTGGTCATGAGTGAATGTTATGGGCATTTTAAGTGCATGGGCTCACATTAATTCAAAACTGTCTCTAGATTTGAACTCAGGAAGTAGACACTTCAAGTAGGGAATAGGAATTTGATTAGGCCCTAACATTCTCTACTGCCCCTAAATTGAAGTAGCCCCTTTGGGATTTTCTAAAATTGTGTAATTCCTGCTGTCATCATGATGATCAGCTGCAACAGGTCTATGGCTCTTCCTCCAGCATTCTAATCTAGTGTGAACAAAAACCCTTCTTTTTTTTTGTTTTGTTTTTGTTTTTGTTTTCCCTCAACATAGTTGATATTAATATTTTCAAGAAAAGTCAAAATAATAGAATATTTTTGTCTAAGGAATATAAAAATAATAATATAATTGAAGAATGTGTTTTTAAAAGCCCTATGAAAATAGAAAACTTATGAAGTATGAGGTTTTTGGTTTTTGTTTTCTTAAAGTTACTGTGTTATGATCTCCAAGTACCTAGAACTACTGCACTGGCTTTGGATTCTTGATTGCCTGATTCCTGATCTCCACTGAGTACATAAATTTTAAGTTGCCCTTATTGAAATCATCTCCTGAACCATTTGTCCTTATTTTAGTGCAAACCAAAAGATATTATTTAATTATTTTATTTTAAGATATTATTTCATGATGATTCCCCCTTTGGCCATCTTCATTAAATTCTTTGTCATGGGTCTTTCATTGCTAACGGTTGGACTATCCACTTGGTTTCCCTAATGCTATGTCTACCTCATGGAAAACAAGTGACACTATCTTGACCACAGCACACATATGCATTGGATGTTGGATTTTTATCTACTTGGTCCAGTTGCAAAACATGTTTATCCAGTAACAACTAGATCATCACATTAGGTCATCAAAGAAAGAATAATTTAAAATTAATTCAGGTTCTTTCCTTTGCTTGCATTTCTTGAAAACAATTAAGATCATTCATAGCTCTCAGCATACCATTTCTACTTCCTTTCTTCAGAAACTTCCTTAATACCAAGCAGTACTCTTTACTGATTTATTCTCAAATTCCATTAAAAAAAAGTCTTGCCTCCTCCCACCTCCCCACTCCAACAAAAATGCTTTTCCCTAACCTAAGTCCATGCATTTCTTCTTTTTCTACTGGGCTTGATTTTACATTACACAGGCCTGAATGACCACCTGGGGATGCTAGCAGAAGTCTGCTCAGCAAGCTGGCAAGGGAGAGGAGAAACTAAGAAAGCGAAGCCAAGGTTCTTTTTAGTGGGCAGGGGAAAGTTTGGGAACCCGCAGATGTTAAAAATTTTTGTTCTTCCATGCCTAGAATAAGAGTATACGTACTCAGCCTGGGAAGGTTGGTGTGTCTAGTGTTCTTTGAAGGGTAAATTGGCCAAGCCCTTTCCTGCAGTCCTCCTTATTCATAACCTCCTTATTCATAACCTCATAACCCCCTTATTCATAAGGGCCCAGGTCCTTCTCTGATCCTAGGATGACCTATTTTTAGTTATTTAAGTTGATGGTATAGCAAAGCTATAGCCCTCATAGTTGGAGTGAAATCAAAAACCCTGAAAATATCAACAGTAACCCCAATTCTTTCAAGTTCATCAAACCTCTTATCCATTATAAAAGAGAAAAAGCCATGTTGCCAATATTTTTTGAGATGGTAGCTGGGTTTTTCAAGTACTTTTCCCCCTACGCATATTTAACTTTGGCCCTAGACATGTGAATTTTACTTTAATATGGCTTTTAAAAAAGGAATATAGCACTCAAAATAGCAAAAGCACACTTGAAGTAATTGCAGGATTTGAGAAGATATGAAATTGGGAATGTTGAAAGTAAATTCTTTTTTGAAATTTTCAATACTCTTTCTGGACCAGCAGTCCCCCTTCCCCCTTGACAAGAAACTCTATGGTTTGCAGGAACACACTGGTTTAATAAAATTGGCCTTCTTCCTTCTACTAAAAGTTTACCTGCGAGAGCCCCGAACATAATAAAATCAGATTATGAAGGCAATCATATTTACTTGTAATAAATCAAATCTTGCAGACATCAGTTAAGTCTCCCTACTGCACTGGTACAATATCATGCGTGCATACATCAATACCTGAGGTGTCAGAAATATATTTCATAAGTTCAGAAAAATTGCACATATACTTGCAGCACCATTATGAGCAGTGAATTTGTAATGTGAACACTATGATGTATAAAGTGGCTTTGTTCCTACATTTAATAAGCACCGCATGTCAAGCCCACAAACATAATGGAATTTGCTGGTGATTTCTTACCATTAAATGTAGGTTATTGTTTTCAGGAGAAAAAAAAAAAAAGAACTTTTCCTTGCTTTGCTAACATTATCCATTTCTAAGCACACAACCTTCCTCTATATAGTAGCAGCCTCTTTAAATTAGTAAATAAATAAATAAATAAATAAATAAAACCAGACCCACCACTGTGACATCAAATTAGGTTGGACTAAAATACCCATTGGCCCCTCTCTTTGTCTAGAATTAGCTGCCATGAAAAGCTATGCCTTTTCTTTTCAAAGACACCTTTTTAAATTATAGCAGTCCCAAAACTCACTGTCTTCTGTAGAAAGGCCTTGAAATAATACAACATTTTCACCATAGCTCTATGGAACTTTTATAACTCTTTTCCCCAACCCAATACTTCAGATTGCTAGCATATTTACATGACTTATGAAATGAAATTTGAATTTGAAGAGTTACTAAATTTTGCAGTAGTGATTTGGGGGACTTAGTATTTGTGAGTCTTTAAGTGTTCTTTAATAATTTTGTAGGTTTATTATGACTATATGCCCCACTATTGAGACTCTCTAAGAAACAGGCTAGTGTCTGATAAAAAAATAAGCCTAAAATATCTCTTGTTGCCTTTATTTTCTCAAAAATATTTCCTCAGCAACCTATGTCTGGGAGGTCTTGCTACATTAGCTTATTAGCTCATATTCTCTTAGTGGAGGGGGGAATGGTTAGAGTAGTGTAGAAACTAGAAGGGGCAGCAGTGAAATTGATAAATCTATATGGGATCAATGTCTGAGACAGGAGACAAGGGCCTATCAGACATACCTGATGCTGCTAGAAATGTAGGTTCTACTAGGCAAGAGTACAGTCCCTCTGGCCGATTCATTTTTTGTTATTTGTCTCAAGCCCTGGCATCTAGAAAGATTTCCCAGAAGTTTCTTTTTCATTCTTTCCCATTTCCTTGTGCACCTTCCAATCTGTTCTATTCTTTTCCATGCCACTTTATTTTTACTGGAGTACATACTTGGTGCCTTTGATTGTTTTACGAATTAGGTAAATTGAAATGTGTGATGAAGTCTCTATTTATATGGGGCTTACAAGATAGGGAAATAAGACAGTGACACCACACAAAGGTGTCATTGAGAAGACAAGATCCTAGCACATGCTCAAATGAGTGTTTACTGATAACAGATGTGATGTTATTAAAGAAGAGAGAATGTGGAACTGAGTGGTGGGTTTGAGTGGGGACCGTGAGGGGTAGGTTTTGTATTTGAACAGAATACAGACAGAGGGAAGAAAGGTCTGCAAATATTCTTTCCACTTTCTGGGAGAGAAAAAAATTCATTACTGTTTAATTTTGCTCTTTAAATTCTGCCCAAAGAAATTTCAAGCACCTCTCTTTAAAAAGTTCAGAACTTTTACTTATCACAGAATATTTTTAAATGGAACATTTCCCTCCTTTTGATGTCTTAGAAATAAGCATTTCCATTCACAGCTGCTCTCAAAGATGCTACTTCAAAAACCACCCACTCTGGATCTCCAAAACAGGTTGGTATTTAAAGAGCCCCATGGCTTATTGTTCATAACACTTAGATTGGATACACATACAGTGGAAAAACAAAGTTCGGTGCTGCAAGGGACTGAAAACACCAGTTTCATTGCCCTTAAATCTAAAGAAACAGAAAAGGAAGAAGAGAAACAGGCAGAAGGGAAGGAGAAAGAGAAAAGATTAGCCAACACTGCTTCAACACTTACTACATGCCAGCTTTGTGCCAAGTTCCCCTTATGTCTTTCAACCACGAAATGACCCTTTGAGGCAGCTATAAAGATTATCCCCATTCTTATGGGCTGGGAATGCAATACAGAGAGAGGTCCCATGCTGCTGTGTTTCAAACTTGGATCCATCTGTTTCACAGCCTGAGTGATTATCCACCACATTTATTCCCTTGCTAAGAAGACTATCAAGAAGGGCAAGTGTCTGATTTTGTTTTGTTTTGTTTCCAAATCAACCTAATTTAACTGAACATAATCCTAAGATCTCAGGATCTTAAGGCTTCATGGCCTTCAAATATTTTCCTTATTGCTAAATAGTTGATGAAACAAAAGCAAATTTTACTGGTGAGTTTAATTTTCAATTATTCAATTAAAACTTTTTAGGTGGTTGATGGTAATTTTTTTATTAACAAGCAGAAATGAAACATCATTAGGAGGTGAAATGTCTTCCCTGTGTCTCAGATGGGGAGTTGTTATGGTCTGAATGTTCATGCTGTCTTCAAATCCCTGTGTTGAAATCCTAACCCCCAAGGTGATAGTATTAGGAGATGGGGCATTGGGAGGTGATTAGGCCACAGGGGCAGAGCCCCCATGAATGGAATTAGTGCCCTTGTAAAAGAGACCCAGAGAGGTCCCTGGCTCCCTCCACTGTGAGAGGTTAGAATGAGCAAACAGCTGGCTCTGAGGAAGCAGGGCCCTCACCAGACACACCAAATCTACCAGTGTCTTGATCTTGGAGTTTCCAGCCTCTAGAACTGTAAGAAATCAATTTCTGTTGTTTATAAGCTAACCAGTCGATGGCATTGTGTTATAGCAGCCTGAACAGACCAGGAGAGGAGTGAGAATGACTTGGTTTCACTATCTTCATTCATATTATCAAATACTGAATAACGGATGTGTAAAGTCTTCAGCGTTGTGGCTTTATAATGTGTCAACTTGGCAAGACTGGACTACGCTTCCCAGAGATCCCCTTTCCTGCATGTTTTTGGGCCACCAGAGAGATTCCTGTGTGGGATTTGGTGAGCAGAAACAAAGCAGCAGCCATGCTGTAGCTCACACATTATTGTTTACCCATGGTCTCAATCACTGTTGCGGGGCAGTGGACAGGCTGGAACTGGCCCACCTTTCCCAGATCCTCCTTCAACCTCTCTGACTCTTATACCAGGTTAGAATTTAGCTCCATGATGAAGTTTACTGTTTTCTTCTGCAGGATTCCCACAATATCAATTTCAGAGGCAATGCAAACTGACATGGTTTCAGTCCATGCCTGTGGGTTCCAGCTTATGTGTGCATGTCCCACTTTGTTCTTGCTGCCAAGCAAGGGGTTGAATTGCATCCTCTTAGAAAGATATGTTGAAGTCCTTACCCCTGGTACTTCAGAATGTGACCTTATTTCATAACAGAATCTCTACAGAGGTAATCAAGTTAAACGAGGTCATATGACCTCATCCAGTTGGACCTAATCCAGTATGACTGGTGCCCTTATTAAAAGGGGAAATTTGAACACAAAAACATGCACAAGAGGTAAGATGATGTGAAAAGACACAGAAAGAATGCCCTGTGAAGGCGGAGGACTAAAATGATGCATCTAGAAGCCCAGGAATGTGAAAGATCATTGGTGGAGTGCATGGAACAGGTTGCTCATATCCCTCAGAAGGAGCCTACACTGCCAGCAGACACCTTGATTTTGGACCTCCAGCCTCCAGACTTGTGAGAGAATAAATTTCTGTTATGTTCAGCCACCTAGTTTGTGATATTTTGTGATAGCAGTCCTGAGGACTTCAAGCTCCAGTGTCAGATGCAAGGACAACAGCCTTATAAGGATTACTTAATCAGCTTCCAGAATCATATAAGATCAAACCCCTGTAATGATTCCCTAGCAGTTCAGCTTCTCTGATTGATCCCTGACTGATAGGTGGAAAAGAAGTTAGTTTAAAAAGGACCATAAAGCTCCAAGCACAGTTGCACAGTAGGTAAATTAAGGGTAACAAGAAGAGGAACACTACTATGATGTTAACAAACAGTATAATCCTCAATCTTAATCAATGTGAAAAGCTGATGGCTTATCGCAAAACTTCTTTTTCTTCTAAAAACGCAGGCTACACTATTAAACTTGTTAGTTTATTGATGTTACCTGTGTTTTCACTGTTTAAAAGCAATAATTTTTTCCACCAAGTCACCAAACAAGCCTTGAACAATTTATGCTCTTTCAAAGAAGTTAGATACAAAGTCAGGGAATTTTGTCTCTCACATTGCTGTAGACAACATAATTATCATTTACTAATATTGTAACTTTCTTTGAAAAAAATTTCAATACTTGGCAGATATTTACTTTGTTAAAACCCTACCAGTGTCCTTCTGATTTAAGCTGCAGTACAATTAATTAACATTGCTTTCAACACAATCTTGGTCCAGTAGCTGGTCAGCACAATAGTGAGGAACAGCACCCTGGTGGTTGTTCAAATTCCCACACGAATATGTTATTTCCTCATGGAGAATAGCAAATCTCCATCAAGCTTGTAGATTTCCTGGGATTTTTATTAACATTATTACAATCGTTTTTTCTTAAGATTGCTAATTGTTTTGGATCTACGCTGAGGAAACTTTATTAGTTACTAAACTATACAACCTAACTGTAGAGAAATGTGTTCAAGTTAATTTTCTCCATGAACAAAAGCATTTTAATATCTCAAAATTTGCCTTTAAATAGTTTGCATATTTTTATACAGCAAGGTATCATCTTATAAATTATCACTTACTGATATTTAATCCTTTCTTTTAAAGACTTTAATCAGATATTCAGAAAGCTCTCAGAGACTAAACCATTTGTAAAACATTTTATAAGTAGTGTTGGCAAAACAAAGATTTAGTGGTCATCCTTAAAACACTGCCTTATCGCCTTTAAGCAGGTCATCAGTTCAACTATAAACTCCTAGAAGTATACCAACCCATTCTCAAATAGATTTGTGAATTTAATATCTTTTCCAAGGTAGAACACACGAACAAATCTGATCAGCACAAGCTCACGGTATCTAATGATTTTAAGCTTGGTTCTGGTGTTGCTTCTTTACTTGATACCATATAACTTATTTATATTAGTATGGAGAAGTTTGATATAGAATATTCATCGTTTTGTCAAATTCCATTTTCCCTATTTATCCTGTTCTGCATGCTGCAACCAATATAATTATGTAGTACATCCATTTAAACACATGACAACTCTCTCATAAAGCAGCCCCTATGTAAGAGGTGGTTTTTCTTTTTAATAGTCTGCTCTGTTTCAGTTGTCTTTTTTAAATATTAAGATAAGGGAAAGGATTTAAGCTATTTTTTTTTACCAGAGATCTTTGACAGAGTAACAATTAGTTATTGGATTATTTTAACTCACCTATGCAAATTAACTTATTTGCTTCTATAGTCAAAATAGTGAGCTTAAAGTTAGCTGCAGGAGGTGACATAATTATGGTTGTTAAGAATAAAATATTTCTGGTTAAGGGAATCACAGACATTTTGCAGAGAGAGTAAGCAGGAAAAGAAAGACTGAATACATCAGTCACAGAGCTGTTGGGAGCAAAGTCAAGGGAAAAGGAGAGAGGAGAAAGGAGAGAAGAGAGCGGGGAGAGAATAGGAGTAGAATCAGAGTGAGAAAGAATCATATACCAGTAAATGAACAAGTAATAAAAAGACAGTGCTTTACTTCTCTGAATCATCAAGGTGTAGTGTTTGCAACCAGGGAATTAAATACTTTATTCAACAAAACTGCTCACACAGCAGATGGAACAGGCAGAACTGGCCATATGGCATCAAATATAATAAAATCACTTAGTAAATTAAGAGTTAAAATGAGAATTAAATATTGGATACGGTTTTATAGAATTCCATTTTGGGTGCTCATAGATGTATCCATATTTCTTCTAATTATGTGCCCAGTTGCATATTTTCTTAAGAAACAAAGTTAACAAAGTAGTAATTTACATATCATTTAATAAAATATATTTGCTTTAACAGAAAGGCAACATTGCCAGGATCATTGGTGTGGGAGAAAGCAAATTAATTAGCTTTTAAGAGGCCTGGCTTTTGGTTCTAATCCTGCCATCAGATTTCTTTTCACCTTGAATAAGTGATTACTTAAAAGGCTCCCCTTTCTGTACCTGCCAAATAAAGAATTTGAGATAGACCAGCATTTTTCAAACTTGATTTTCAGCCATGCAACAATTTCTTCCAGCATACATTTTATCGGGAAACTCAGTCCACAAATCTAGAGCTGCTTTGCTTGAAGCTCTAGGTGTAGTGAGGAGGAGAGCCTTGGGAGGCCAACTGAACTCCACCCTTCTCCTGCCCCCACCACATCCTAACCTCCAACAGCAGGGGGCAACCTATTCCAGAACTGCAAGCACTGGAGAAAGTAACCACCCTCCAGAGGCTATATTTTGGTGTTTTTATTTCTCCTTTCAACTGAATCTGAAATGCCTGATTTAAGGTGATCTGCTTTGGGGACGCACCATATGTAATTATTCTGATTTTCTGTTCTTTTAGTTACTTATTTCAGTCATATTGTGAATTTCCTTTTCTCTTGTCATTGGTTCTCTCCAAACCGAGGCAGGCGGATCACAGGGTCAGCAGATTGAGACCATCCTGGCTAACAGGGTGAAACCCTGTCTCTACTAAAAATACAAAAAAAATTAGCCGGGCGTGGTGGCGGGTGCCTGTAGTCCCAGCTACTCCGGGGGCTGAGGCAGGAGAATGGCGTGAACCCGGAAGATGGAGCTTGCAGTGAGTCGAGATCGCACCACTGCACTCCAGTCTGGGCGACAGAGTGAGACTCCGACTCCAAAAAAAAAAAAAAAAAAAAAAAAGGTTTGTCCTGCGCCACATTAGCAAATTAGTTTCACTTTGCTAATCCATTTTCATTGGAAATTCTGTGATTTCGGTTATATTTCCTCACCTTGGAGAAAATCTTCTGTCACCAATTTACATCAGCTTCACCCTTCAACATTTCAGAATGCTCAGGCCTCCTTCCATTTCCAGTATACTGTAATGCTGATGTTTTATAATTTCAAACACTTTACATAAAGTTGTGTTAAAGGTTTATTTATCAAATGAAATAATTAATGGCAAATTCATTCAGTCATAGTCTTTTTGCTTATACGGTCAACTAGAACAATCTGCTTGTTTCTCTTCAGGTTGCCATTATTTCAGTCCCTGCCACTAGTTGCAAATTTAATAAAAATTATAATGAAATTTCGCAAGTATATGTCAATTGCAAATTTATGTTTTAATTTTTTGGCGTCAGAGAATATATGTGCATGCTTTTAAATGCCTTGCAGCTTCAAAAGGCTTGTAACATAAAACAGCATTTCTTTCTTCACTTCTCCCTGATTCTTGATTCCTGTCTCTGGCAGGTGACCATTACTTACATTTACTTCTGGTATCTGCTTCTATATTTCTAAATAATATCTTTATTTTTTAAGTGTTATTTTAGATATTACCTATTGCCCATTGCCCAAACCCAAACTCCAAAAGGCACACTTCTACTCCTTCTAAAAACCTAATGAAGTTATGTCACAATTTACATAAATAAATAGTGTTTACATGGTTATGACTCTGTGAGTGTTATCTATAGTTGAACCATGTAAAACACAATAATTACATTTTTATATGCACTACTTTTTGTTTTTCCCGGAATTAGTAATTGCCTTACTTTTTAATTTTACAAGTTTTTTAAGTACTTACTGTTCACAAACTATCTTTAGAATTGCAATTCCTGGCCAGGCACATTGGCACATGCCTGTAATCTCAACACTTTGAGAGGCCAAGGCAGGAAGATCTCTTGAGCCCGGGAGTTCAAGACCAGCCTGGGCAACATAGTGAGACTCTGTCTCTACCAAAATTTTATTTTAAAAATAGCCAGATATGGTGGCATGTGCCTGTAGTCCCAGCTACTTGAGAGGCTGGTGTGGGGAGTCACTTTAGCTTATGAGTTTGAGGTGCCATGAGCCTATCATGCTACTGCACTCCAGCCTGGGCAATAGAGTGAGGCTTTGTCTAAAACAAACAAACAATAACAAAAAACAAACAGAAAACCAACAACAGCAGTGTATTCTTCACTTAATATCCAAAAACATCAGGTAATCTGTGAGTTTTATTATTTAATTTTTTGAGAGCTATCTTATTCTTGCTCCAATTTTGCCTGTTTGCTCTTTTGTCCTGGTGCACCACTGTAATTCTAGGGTTTTACTTCATTACCTCATTTTAGTGTAGTACATTTTCTAGTGGATTTCTGATAAATGGTTCACGGGAGCTACATTTCTTAAAATATGCATATCTGAAAAAAATGTCTTTTTTTTCTATCTTCTCATTTGGTTGATAGTTTGACTCCACAAAATTCATGGCTAGAATTTCAAAAGCACTTTTTGTTATTATTCTTTAGTTTAAGTTCTGGGATACAAGTGCAGAATGTGTAGGTTTGTTACATAGGTATATGTGTGTCATGGTGGTTTGCTGCGCCTATCAACCCATCATCTAGGTTTTAAGCCCCACATGCATTAGCTGTTTGTCCTAATGTTCTCCCTCCCCTCACCCCACACCCACTCACTGGCCCCGGTGTGTGTTGTTCCTCTCCCTTTGTCCATGTGTTCTCATTTTTCAACCTCCACTTATGAGTGAGAATATGCAGTGTTTGGTTTTGTGTTCTTCAAAGGGATTTAATAATCATCTTCTATCTTTCAACTTTGCTTTTGAGAAATCCAGTGCCATATTGATTCCTAATCTTTTGTGATATGTTTTATTAATATGTTTCTCCTCTTTGGACATATTTGTCAACTCCTCTTGAGCCATGTTATTCTGAAACTTTATAATAATGTACTGAATGAATGTTCACTTTCAATTGCAGAACCTCTGGCATTTTGTTCTAGAATTTTTGAGTGTGGATTTTTTTTTTATTTGATCATTTATTTCTGCTTTTTTTCTTTGTTTTTTTTTTTCCTTCTGGAAATTCTATTATTTAGATTTTGAACCTTTTGCACAGATCCTTCAATTTACTTATATCTTATTTCTCATTTACTTTCTCTTTTGTTGGTTTTATTTTGTTTAATTTTCTTGTTGTGATAAAAGCCCAGAAATCACCTAATCTTTCATAGGTCTTAATTTTTTTATTTATCCTATTTATGTTTAATTTCAATAGTTCTTTTGAAATTTTCTCAATGTTCTTATTTTTAAAAGAATTAGGCTTATTATTATTATAATAGCTTCTCTTAATCTCTCTAAAGATAGTAATGATATTTTATAATATAATGATATTTTCTACCACTAATGTACTGATTCCTCATAGTTTCCTCTTACTCTTTGTTTTAGTCCTTATGTTTCTGGTTGAGGTTTTCCTCAAATATCTGATGATCTTTAGCTCTCCCATTCATATTTGAGGCACTAAGGGTGGAAACTGGATCCTTAATCGGACTTGTCAGGTGATCCAACAGGAACTGATTGTTTAATTGAAAGATTCTTGAGTATTCTTTCAGGCTGGTCAATTTCCTCTGAGAAGAATTTGGTCGTTCTTCTGGCCAGTGGTATAAGCTTGGCTGCAAATATTCTCTGTTCCAGTGGAGGAAAGGAGCTGGTAATATCACTATTCTCTAGGTGACATTCATTAGGTCTCCTGTTTCCAGCTGTACCTGATGTCCTCATCACTATGCTCCTTTTGATTCATCCTTCCCAGAGAATATACCTCTGACCTTTCAGTCCTCTTCTGGAGTTGGGGAGGGATAGATGCCTTCTTATGTGGGTAAAGGGATAGATGCCTGCCTATGTGGGTAAAGGGAGAAGATTTAGGATGAACTGCCTATATAAATTGCAGGTCCTAGTGAAATATGAAATTATCAAGCCACTTGTTCAACATTTTTTAAGAGTTTCAAGATGGCAATAGCAGATCATTAAAGTGCATGGGGTGCTCCTAAGCATGGGACCCTGTGCAAGTACACAAGTTGCAGGCCCATGAAGCCAGCCCTAGATTTAGATATCTAAGTACCTAGTAATTAAATTTTAATGTAATTATTTACAGTCCCACCTGCATGCCTAGTTCTTCAGGGATACCTGGTGCCTCTAATCCCTGAGTTTCTTACATGTCTATGGCACAAATAAACTTATTTCTTGGCTTTCCTCTTCTTCTCCAAGACTCCCTTTACAGAGTGCTTGATTTTTATGTTGCTTTAGTCATCTTTCTGTCTTTGAGCCTGCACAATTGTGTTGAAATCTTTCATATGTTGTCCTCTCCTCTCTTGTTCTCTTCATCCTTATAGATTATTTGTCTTTTCACAAGTCTATTGTCTCTCATCTTACTTGTGTTTTGGAAGAAAGTTGAAATAAATTTTTGCCATATTTAATAGGAAATCTAAATTTTAGTTTTATAGTTTTCCCAAAAATTCTTCATTGATTTTTAATAGATTTATATTTTCTGTAAGGAATAGAATGTTTATTTGGTCAATAAATTATTATATTTAAAATATTTTAACAGAAAAATATTAATTTTAATAATCTGTAATAAAGTAATAAAGGCATTTAACAGTTACTTACTTTGATAATTAAGCCAAGTTAATTCTTAGATGTGCTTTCTATATTAAAGTTATCTCTATTATTTAATCATTTGACATTCAACAAATATTTATTGAAAACTTCCTATGTTCCTATTGTTACTGGTGGAAGGTCCGACTATGAGACTTCCACATTCCTGGTGTTTTGAACAAAGAATTGGACAAAACACACAAACAAAACAACGAAAGGATGAAGCAATAAAAGCATAGATTTATTGAAACAAAAGTACACTCCACAGAGTGGGAGTAGGCTCGAGCAAGCAGCTCAAGAGTGCTGGTTACAGAATTTTCTGGGGTTTAAACACCCTCTAGAGGTTTCCCATTGGTTACTTGGTTACACTCTCTGTAAATGAAGATGTAGCCTGTGACCAGTCTGATTGGTTGTGGGAGGGGACCAATCAGAGGATGAAGTAAAGTTACAAAGTTACATGCAAATGAAGACTAGGCCTGCCACCAGTCTGATTGGTTGTGGGAAGGAAACAATCAGAGGTACTTTTCATTTTTCCTCTACGATGAAGTGCAAAAAGAGTAGCCTCTGATCCTTTTGTTACTTTGGTGTGGAGAGGTGGGGTTTTCCTTTCGATTCGTTCTAGGAAGTTAGTGCAAATCAGTCATAGGTTCCCTGCCTCCAGATCCTATTCTCCTTCCTCACAAATGGCCAGGAACTGCTCTGAGTGCTTGGTTATATAACATATAACATGACTGTATTAGAAAGCCTTGGAACCTCCCTTGGGGAATCTTGGAGAAAGTCAAGTTCAGTGTCCTTACTTTAAAGATAAAGAAAATGAAGCCCAGAGAGGTTATTAAATTATGAACTTCTTTAAGAAAGAGACCTAAAGTCTCTCTAGGCTCTTTGTTGTTAGTTGCCTTGTATTAATAAATCGGTGATTCATAAGATTTTATTTTTAAGTGTTTTAAGAGATACAGCATAATTTAAAACATTCAGTTGGCCAGGCACAGTGGCTCATGCCTGTAATCTCAGCACGTTGGGAAGCCGAGGCAGGCAAATCACGAAGTCAGGAGTTCGAGACCATCCTGGCCAATATGGTGAAACCCCATATCTACTAAAAATACAAAAATTAGCCGGGCATGGTGGCAGGCGCCTCTAGTTCCAGCTACTCGGGAGGCTGAGGCAGAAGAATCACTTAAACCCGGGAGGTGGAGGTTGCAGTGAGCCGAGATCGCGCCATTCCACTCCAGCCTGGGAGATAGAGTGAGACTGCTTCTCAAAAAACAAACAAACAAACAAACAAAACATTAAATTATAGATCACATAAAACCTTATTTGTTATAAATACTTTGATATGGTGAAATGTATGAATATGTACATAGTTCTCAGATACTTGGATTTTGAACATTAAAAAGCAAATAATTTTAAAAGATGAAAATCAAACAGAAAAAATAGGTTGGTGCAAACATAATTGTGGTCTTCGCCATTAAAAGTAATGGCGAAGACTGCAATTACTTATCCACCAGCTAATAATTTATACAAATGAACCAAATGAAGACTGTTGATCAAAAATCGAAGAATCTTTGCCTTAGGGAAGAGCATGTCATTGGCAACATCTCCAGTGAAAGTCTTTTGGGGCAGCAATGATACTCTGAATGTGACCTTGGTTGGGTAGCCCGAGAGACATAAGCAAGAGAAAGACCAGGAAGAAACTAGAGCCAATTCAGTGCTGATGAATGAAAACCCCACCACTATCTTTCACTGGATCCCCAGATTTGTGGTAACCCCAGTAGTCAGAGTCCTCATGAGCAAGAAGCATTCAGCTGTAGCCCCTGTTAATAGGGTGGCCTCAGGAAGAAAGCTGAAAATAAACTTTCAGTTTGTCTCTTGTCAATGTCTTCTTGATAACAGATTAAATAGCTTGAAAAGGTAAAAATTAGACTCTCAAAGTCTCTTGAAAGCAAAAAGCAATTAATAATTTGAAGGGTCATTTGCTATCTTTTTGTACTTTTTGCCCCACTAAACAATGACTAAAATAGTCAAAATTGATTAAATACCTAGTTGCATCAGGAGTTGGGCTAAGTGCTTTTCGTACATTGTTCTATTTGAATCTTTGATTCAAACTTTGCAAGGTGGATGTTTAATAGAGAAATTAAGGCTCATATAGATGGAATACACTTGTCCAAAATCAAAGGGTAAGGGAGGGTGCCAGATTTTGAATTCAGTTTTCTCCTACTTCAAAGCCCATGTCCAACCAAATATGCAGAAACCCTGTTTATGGCATAATGGATTAGATTTATTCTAGTGTGCATTTTTTTGTGATGCTTTGGCTGGCTATGTTGACCAATTGATTACCTGATTATGAGAAAGAGTGAGATGAAGAAATTAGTAATATCAGTGAAATTGTATCAAACAGGACTGAATGAAAACAACAGAACTTTATGGAAAGACATTCATAGGGCCCTCTGATTCCAGTGACATACATATGACATCTGACAACAGGTCATCAAATATGATGACTCAAATGTATCACAACATGTAATGAGAATTGTATCACAGATTATTCTTACTTTACTCATTAGTTGTCCGCCCCGCAAAGTATGAATTGAACAAAATGAAACAAAACTAAACTCAACTAAATCTGAATTCTTTCTTCAGGATATTGCATTATCCCCAGAAAAACACTGTATGTCTGATAAAACACAACTATTGGGAGAAAACACTGAAGTTGTGTTTTAAGACTGCTCTGTTTATGCCAAAGCATTAAAGTTTTCTGAAGATTAAAAACATCTTGCTTCTAATAGAAACCTCTGAGAAGAAACATGTGCCCTCCAAATCTGCAGAAGATGCAAAATTTATTGAGGAAATTACTAGAATATAAATGGTAACAGATAAAAAAGGAAAAAAATGAGTACAAATTAGTTTTTTCTTTTCCTTTCTCCAAGACAATATGCTCTGCTTAAAAATAAATTAAAAGTTCATTATGAGAGAGAGAACTTAGCTTGGAAGAGCTGTGTGTGTGTGTGTGTGTGTGTGTGTGTGTGTGTGTGCGCGCGCGCGCGCGCGCTTACATTCCTAACTCAATGATTTATTTTTCTCCACCAACAACAGAGTATAATACTATATGAATTTAGATCAAAGAAAAAGTAATATGGACTACAGAGAGTGTTTTAAAAGGAGAAGGAGGAAGGGAATGAAGGAAAGGAGGGAGGGAAGAAAAGAAGGAATGAAGAAGCCAGGCGCAGTGGCTCATGCCTGTAATCCCAGCACATTGGGAGGCCAAGGCAGGTGGGTCACTTGAGGTCTGGTGTTTGAGACCAACCTGGCTAACATGGCAAAGCCCCATCTCTACTACAAATACAAAAATAAGCCGGACGTGGTGACACACAACTGTAATCCCAGCTATTTAGGAGGCTGAGGTATGAGAATCACTTGAACCTGGGAGGCAGAGATTATAGTGAGCTGAGATTGTGCCACTGCACTCCAGCCTGGACAACAGAGTGAGGCTCTGTCTCAAAAACAGAAAGAAAGAAAAAAAAGAAGTAGGAATGAAGGGAAGGAGGGAGGGGGTAGGGAGGGAAAGAAGGATTATGGTTCACTGGCATCAAAAAAAATATATGCATAACTAAGGCTATAGCCAAGTGAACTTCAGGAAAGCCAGAACAAATAGTACTGGGAGAGGAAAAATATTCTGTGGTTCTTAAACCAGTTGCCCAAGTGCCAGTGCTATTCATTGCTTAAGGTTTGGCAAATATGTTCTTTAACTCAGGTAAAGTAGAGTTCAAGTTTTTAAAAACAAGATTTATAAAATTTATCAAAGTCTTTGGTGGGTTTATGTTACCTTGCAAGTAGAGTAAAATTTCAGACTCTTCACAGTTTTTGACATGCTAGCAGAAGACATGAGAGTCCTGGGTCAGAGACAAAAAACTTTATTACTCATTGCACAGCAAGCATGGGTTTCCTTTGTCTAGGCAGGGAGATGTGGAGGGTTCTAGGTAGATGCTGCACACACTATGCTTTTATGTCACAGTTGAGAAAAGCTGAGCTTAGGGAACCTGAATTTTTTATAATATGCAATAAACAAACCTGCTTGCCCTTTGCTCCTGATAGAGACTTTCTGTTTATTATACTTGGCAGTATGAAAACCTGCCCTCTGCTCCAGAAGGAGACACTATCTTCCAAGGTTGTTAGCTATCCAGACATCTATGAAAAGATAGCCCAGAAGGAAACCACACTGAGGACATTCAGAGACATGACAGGTTCATGGAAAATTGTCTTCTGACAGAACCATAAGGGTATTATACTAAAAATTCTAAGTGTGGATCAGTAATGAATTCCTAGGGAGATCCCTTAGATCATAGATTTGGCAACTCATCAGCTGAGCCTGCTCAACTGTCCTTTCATGTGTGAGTTACAGGTAGGATGATAATCAGAGTAGGAAAGACCTCCTGCGAGCCTCCAAATATCTGCCTCATATGGCTTAATAATTAGTATTGTATTTGGTAGCAAGCTTCTCAATTACAAATTAGACAAATTATTTTGAGCTTTCTGATTGCATATTATTCTATCTATCTATTTATGATATTTAGAATGAGGTTATGCAGGGATTACAAAGCCAAATGTCTACAAGCCCTGGCAAGTAACCAAAATGTGAAGTGAGTCATGTATGCACTGTAGCAGAGTTTCTCAATCTCCTTACTCTTGACATCTGGAACTGGATAATTCTTACTGGTTGGAGGCCATCCTATGCATTGTAGAATGCTTAGTGTTAGCTGTCGTTTCTACTTACTAGATACCAGTAGCATACCCACTCCTAGTTGTGACAACCAAAAATGTCTCCAGACATTGCAAGATGTCCCCAGAGGGGAAAAATCATGCTGAGTTGATAACTGCCGACTGTAAAAACTAAATAAATCTGCTTAAAAGGTGCAGGGTCTATTCCCCCAGAACTGATGGTTGCAAGGTGGGAAGACTGGTCCCTTATTAAAAATTTTTCAAAGGAAGAAATATATACATTTTAATGTATGAAAGCACTCAGTTTTAAAATATTGGTGTGTATATATGTGCCTTTCCTACATTATTTCTAGAGTATGACCAGGAGGGTCAGATATTTGAGGGGTTTTGGCCCAATATTTATCTGCTCCTCATAGTCAGGACCATATCCAACATAGAAACACAAGTTTTCATATATGTGTATGGCTGGGATAGGTCATTTTTAAGTACTGCTCAGTAGGAGAGAGAGTGATATAGGGCATCCGAAGCATACAAGGCAGCTTGAAACAATGGGGAAAAGGAGTCGATCAGAGAAACAATAAGGTTAAAAAAACTTTGCTTTCAGATTGCTATGCGTATTTATCCTTTATGGACCCTCCCTAGTATTCCTTTTACCTATTTTGGCTGCTCAGGGACTGCATCTGTAGCAAGTTGTTGGAAATTTTAACAATGTCATTGTCAGGGAGCTTCCCACCATGTCTTAGCTCTCCCAGAGAAAAATAAACTCATGGGAGGAAGATATGTTATCACAGCTCTTTTATCAACCATATCCACCATGCTGGTGTATCTACCTAGGGTATGAGGTGTGCAATCTACTGGAAATAAACATCTTTATAAAATCAATTTTTAAAACATTGTATTCATTTGTATTAAGACTTCTGCTCACTCTCTTATTATATACTATGAAATAAATGTCTTTGAGTCAATTCTCCAAAAATACCTTTTATAACAAAAAATTTTGATAATAGTACTTTATTTATGAAACATGAAGCAATATAAAAGCAATTCTTAGGATGATATTCTCCTCTTTTTGGTTGAGAAACATTCTGAATATGTCAAATCTACTGGGAATATACTAATTAAGAATTATAGTTATTTTCATAAAGTATTAAGTAATTGGTTAATACTTTATGTATTATCATATAAGTTAAGTAGTAATTAGGAATAACAAGTTTTTTCATCATAAGAAACAGAATTCAGAGTGATTCAAATGAAACAATACCATATTGTAATTAAATGACCTGGTCAGAGGAAAGTGAATGCTCACTGAAACTTTCACCTGTTATTCGTATATAGCCACTTATTCCATAAATCAATTTGCTGACTTGGAATCCCTGAAGTCCAGTTTTGACAAGACTAACTCTCTAAAGTGTGAGAAGATAGTGATAGCAGAGTCTAGCAGTTTAAAAGTTATATGCTTGGGAAATATTTCAAAGGGTGTTAGACTGAATAAAGAAGTCTACCGTCTTTATGATGCCAATGAATCTAAACTTCACAACATGATATCTTCAGTTGCCAAGGTGTGTACTTTGTAATTCAATGACCAAAAATGGTTTCTGAAAACTTCATTCTCACAAATCTCTTTAGAAACAGATGGAGTTCTAAGGCAAGCATGAGGTAGAGGAAGATTTGCTTAAATTTGCCAGGCCAATATTTCTTTTTATTTTACTTACTGCTCTTCCTACTTCACCTTTGGTTTCCTCACATTTACTCCCAAATTTATTCTTAGGAAATTATCTGATATTTACAATTTAGAGTGTGTTTGAGTCATATGTGGATGTATAAAGTAAGCCTTATATCTGACTATGGAATGAATGACTATTCCTTGTTATATAAATTTCAAGCATCAGCTATTAGATGAAGAAAAACCTGTCATGTCAGAAATCCTTTCTTTGGCCCTTGTAATCACAACATATGGATGGCATGAAAGAATTGCTAAAGAAAGGTTAGACTTATGATAATTATGTCTATGTCAAACTCTTATAGCCTGGCTCAGCCTAGGAAGCATTCTGGATTTATCGTTACTATAGTTTAACCTGAAAACTTGGATGTAAAACAAGGATACGTATATATGAAACAAAGAGAGAGGTGTAGCTCCCCAGAGGGCATTCAGACATGGGGCAGTGGCTCATGGAAACTTTGAGTCATATTGGCTAGGCACTGTGCCTCATTAATTCCTCTTCCTCACCCTTATCTAAAGTCCTCAAAGACATCATGGAAAGTTTCATGTGTTAAAAATCTTTTCCAAACTGTGCAGGCAAAGAGATGGAATATAGTCTCCCTGTTAGATTTTAAGAAATTGTATGCATTTTATTCCTTCCAAAGCTGATACACACCTGGTCACTGTGGTAGTGAATGAATCAAAGCACCGTCTGTCACCTGTATCTTGAGTAACTGCAACCCATGCAATGTAATCCTCAAGCAACTTCTATTTTTACTCCCACTGTCTCCCTAATTGCTCTGTTTGGTTAGTTCTTGCTCCTGGATTAAAAACTCAGTCCCCAACTAGTTCAACTAGTTACTTTTGGGTAACACAGAGTATTCTCTAGTCACTTCCTGTCATAAAACACAGTCTCAATTGAGTAATTGTAAAGTCCATCTTGATTTGAAAATTAACACTGCCATCATGATTTAAATCTAAAAGCTTCTCCTCACTCGTCTCCTGCCTGCTGCGTACTAGAAGCCTCTGGTCAGCAAAGAGAGGGACAGCAGTCAGCTTCTCCCCTTCCAATCTAGGGCAGTGATTTTTTTTTTCCCCCTTTCCATGTTGCTAACCAGGGTTGGTTCATAGGATGGGACAAGATATAAGAAGTCAAGAATATAACTTAGTGGGTACTGTCATTCTAATCCAAGGTCAGTGGATTAGTCTGTTCTCACACTGCTAATAAAGACATACTCAAGACTGGGTAATTTATAAGTAAAAAGAGTTTTAATGAACTCACAGTTCTGTGTGGCCGGGGAGGCCTCACAATCACGGCAGAAGGTGAAAGGCATGTCTTACATGGCGGCAGACAAGAGAGAATGAGAGCCAAGTAAAAGGGGTTTCCCCTTTTAAAACCATCAGATCTCGTGAGACTTATTCACTACCATGAGAACAGTGTGGGGGGAACTGCCCCCATGATTCAGTTATCTCCTACCAGTCCCCTCCCACAACACGTGGGAATTATGGGAGCTACAATTCAAGGTGAGATTTGGGTGGGGACACAGCCAAACCATATCAGTCAGTATTTTATGGGCTCAACGGACATTAAAATGTGACTCTTTCTATGAATTTCTGCAAGTTCTTCAGAGACCACTCCCATTACTCCCCTCATTGCTGAGGATCGTATCTACAATTCATTTGATGAGATCAAACACATCTCAATTCTGACTTACTCCTTTCTCAGTTGCTAAGAATAGAGTGACTCTTTCAGCATCCTCTACTAAAGTCTGGTCACACTTTTGAATAGGCTCTAAGATGCCCCGAGGCCAGCTGTCTGCCAGGCATGGCCCAAGTCATGCACAAAGGAAATAATCACTCATTTCTGGCCCTGAGAAACTCCAGGAGCATGAATCATCCATAGCAGCCCTGCTCCATTGCTCAATGTCTGGTACTGAGACCAGGGGTTTTAACCCCTGTAATGTCAGTACTTTATCCACTTCTATCCTACTTAATCCATCAAATAGTGGACTTTAGAGCTATGAAGCTAGAGACAACACTGTAGTCCTCAAATGATTACCAATGACTGCAATTCACATGGTCCCTTTTCCTTTGCCTTATTAACAGGAAAATTATGAGAGTTTTCAGGAATAAGACACATGGTCACTTGAGACTTTGTGTGGGTGAACATGACAGGTTTTAATGCCTTTTTAAAAATAGTTATCTACTTCCAACAATGAGAAGAAATGCTTTGTGATTCTTCCATTTCAAACATCAATCTCTTGGAGGATCTCTCCCTAACTCCCTTCTAATAAAAGCACTCCCCAGTGATCTAGTGTCATAAGAATTTGCTCAGTCTAGGGCTAGTTTATTTTCCAAAAATGCCATCTGTAAGATCTACGTCAATTTCCTTTATAGCAACATTTTATGTAGTGTAGGGCATTAACAAAATAATTTTTAATCTTCATTTTGCATGGGTTATTCACTGAAGAATACTTCTAGTCTGGAGAATTCTGACAAGGACTACAATTAAAGCTAAAATTTAGCTAGAAAGCAGAGTTTTATTTTTATGTATATTTATGGCCACCAACTTGAATAACTCCAAGGTCACTTCTCACATTGTAGTCAATGTGCATGACCTTATGTGGAGACTCGCATATATTTTGGTGACTCCTATACATGTACATGCATTCTTATTCTTTTTTTGGCAAGAGCAACAGAAAAGAAATTGTGCAACAGTCACAAAGCATATGGGGTGTGTGTGTGTGTGTGTGTGTGTTCTATTGACTGGAGATGGGCTTTGAAAAAAACCAAGAAAATATCTTGTTGCTCACTAGACTATAAGCTTTATGAAGGCAAGAGTTGTGTTCACTGATGAAGCCTAAGCACTTAGACTAATGACAGCATGTAATAGACCCTCAGTAAATATTTGTTAAGTGAATGAATTGTGTTTCATTTTTCTCCATAAGAAAGGATTGAAAGTGATATTCCACCCAGTTCCCATGTGAGTCATGAAAAAAATCTAATTTTATTTTACTTTATCTCTCAACAAATGACTTTTTCCAAAAGATATTTTGGAAAAAATAAATTTTATTTTGATAATAATTTATGAGGATTCTAATATGTTCCAGTTACAATCCTAGGTGTTTTCACTTAAGTTATTTAACTGGATCTTCCCAATAATTCTGCAAGGAAAGTATCATGATGCATGTTTTTACAGATAAGAAAACAATACTACAGGGAGTTGTCTAAGGTAATGCATAATAAATAGCAAAATAAGGATTTAAATATTGGTCTTTTGACGGCAAGTCCAGCAGTTTATTCACTCTACTGAAACATGCACTTTAATTTTCATGTGGGAATTAGATTATGTTATTTTATGACATGCTTCATTACAGTATGTATTTCAGATTTGTTTCCTGTGCTGTAGTATGAGAAACTATACCAAAGGAGAGGAGAAACTTAGAATACCTTTAGTCTTTTCTACCTAATCCTTCTTCCATTCAATTGGAATAAATTCTTAGGCTGGATTGATTCAAGCCGAGATGTGTAGTTGTTATAGATATATAAGAGATGTAGGGCCTGGGGTGGGTGGTAGAGTAGAAGTGGGTGGGGGAGTATTGATATGGGCATTGTATTGACTAATAAGGGTGTGTGAATGCGAAAGCACCCCTCAGATCCAAGGCTATTTGAAGCAAAACCTGTTTTAATAACCATAGGTAGGCCAGGCACAGTGGTGGCTCACACCTGCAATCTCAGCACTTTGGGAGGCCAAGGTGGGTGAATCACCTGAGGTCAGGAGTTTGAGACCAGCCTGGCCAACATGCGGAAACCCTGTCTCTACTAAAAATACAAAAATCATCCAGGTATGGTGGCACACGTCTGTATTCCCAGCTACTTGGGAGGCTGAGGCAGGAGATTCACTTGAGCCTGGGAGTCCAGAGGTTGGAGTGAGCTGAGATCACACCACTGCACTCCAGCCTGGGCAACAGAGTGAGACTCCATCTCAAAAAATAATAAAATAATAAAATAAAATAAAATAAAATAAAATAAAATAATAACCAACAACAACAATAGGTAGATGTTAAAGACTTTCTTATGATCAAGATACATCGAAGCCCACTTTCTACATTACAACAGATATCTTCTTGGCTTGGGCTTGGTTCCTGATTGCAGTAAAAAATATGAGCCACAACGAGGAATATATCAATTCTGAGACAGAAGGTAGAGAAGCAACACTGATTTTGAAAGATGATTATCCACGTGCTCCTAATTGAAGATCTCAAGGGTTTTGGAGTCAACTTAATAAGTTATAGAAAAGCACAGTTAAAATGAGAAAATTAGGTTTTATTTTAAATAATCCTGATGATATTTCTTAATATAAAGTAGATAAGGACTATCCATAGCCTTTAGTTTTCTGATTCTGGAAAAGTTAGGAAGTAAATCCCGGCATTGGGCTTCAACTCAAATGCTTGTCCACTGTGAAGGATTTCTTAAAATACTGAGAAAACGTAGATGTTTATCACTCACACTCACCCTGTACCTCCTTTAGTCACTTATCTTATTGACCTGGAATTATTAATTTATTTACCTGCCTTCCATTACCAAATGTGTATTAAATGAATCAATGAATGAGCACCAGGAAATAATGTTGTTGGAACATGTTGTTTTCTTAGAGAACTGCTATGGTTTGAATGTTTGCCCTTTTCAAAACTCATGTTAAAACTTAAGCCCCAATGGGACAGTATTGAGGTGGGGCCTTACAAAGTGATTGGATCATGGCGAGGGCTCTGCCCTGGTGAATGGATTAGTTTATTCATGGATGAGTGGATTAATGGATCAATGAATTAACTGGTTATCATGAAAGTGGTACTAGTGACTTTATAAGAAAAGGAAGAGAGATCTGTGTTAGGGCTCTCAGGCCCCTCGCCATGTGACACCCTGAGCTGCCTTAGGACTCTGCAGACAGTTACCATCAGCAACAAGGCCCTTGCCAGATGCTTTACCTTGGACTTTTCAGCCTCCATAACTGTAAAAATAAATTCCTTTTCTTTACAAATTACCCAATTTTAGGTATTCTGTTATAGGCAACAGAAAATGTACTGAGACCAGAACTTTGATTTAATATTTGCCTAAATCATGCTGTGTCAAATAGTCTGCACCATAAATATGTCTCATGATTGTTCTTTAGCTTTCTTTCTATTTCTAAGTGTTAGCAGTGGCTATAGATATTCTTTCCCCAGGACAAACCAAACGGTATAGAATGCATTTTGTAGTGATAACAAACAAAGGACAAGCATCAGTGACTCTTTTCTTAGAAATCGGTGATTTTCAACTTCAGTTTGTATACACATCATCTGGAAAGATCATGAAGAACACAGAAGATCAGGCTGGCTGAAGAAGGATTGCTTCTGGCCTTCTTATTCTTACCAAGTTCCTAAGTGATTCTGGTAACTGGAGAAAGTTTAACAATAGTTTCTCTGGTGGAAAACCATTGAATTGTAATACAATTTATTTCCCCATTTGTGAAGCTCTGAACCAATGGAAACTCACCAAGGAATACAAGGGAACTACATAAAGAAATAAATAGTGGCCGGGCACAGTGGCTCACGCCCCTAATCCCAGCACTTTGGGAGTCCCAGGTGGGTAGATCACCTGAGGTCAGGAGTTTGAGACCAGCCTAACCAACATGTTGAAACCCCATCTCTACTAAAAATACAAAAAATTAGCCAGGTGTGGTGGTGCAAGCCTGTAATCCCAGCTACTCAGGAGGCTGAGGCAGGTGAATCATTTGAACAAAGGAGGCGAAGATTGCAGTGAGCCGAGATAGCGCCATTGCACTCCAACCTAGGCAACAAGAGCGAAACTCAAACAAAAAAAGAGAAAGAAATAGCTAATGTTCGACAGCACTCCCTAATGCAAGCATGTGGGTATTACACAGGCCCTGGGCTAATGGACAACCAATAGTCAATCAGAATCCTTTGAGTCTGAAGGGAAATACAAATTGTTTGAGGGTTTTCATATAGAGTTTGTGTGTGTCTGTATGTTTCCAAGATTTTTTTTTTTTCCAAATGAAATCTTATGTGGACTCTGGGCATGTAAAACCTGATTGAACAGAAGTGTCTCTATTGAAATAAATGTGGTCAAGGGTGACGTAGGGCAAGTCAGGCCTGCTTACCCACAGACCTACTCCTTTGCATCTTATAGTGGCTTTTAAGGGCTCCATGAATTCCTAGGGTTTCTTACAGCACAGTTTGAAAACCAGCACTGTATTTTATTACCTTTTCCCTACTATCCTCCCATATTCTTTTTGGTGGACATGATCAATGCTGATTTAACAAATCAATAAAATCTAATTTATGTCTAGGTGTAGTGGCTCATGCCTGTAATCTCAGCACTTTGGGAGGCAGAGGCAGGCAGATCACTTGAGGTCAGCCATTCTAGACCAGCCTGGCCAATATGGCAAAACCCTGTATCTACTAAAAATACAAAAATTAGCCGAGCATGGTGGCACACGCCTATAGTCCCAGCCACTTGGGAGGCTGAAGCACAAGAATCGCTTGAGCCTGGGAGACAGAGGTTGCAGTGAGGCAAGATCATGCCACTGTACTCCAGCTTGGGTGACAGAGTGAGACTCCATCTCAAAAAAAGAAAAAAAAAAAGAAAAAGCAAAAAAAAATCCAATTTATGGCCAGGTGCCAGTAGCTCCCCACTGTAATCCCAGCACTTTGGGAGGACAAGGTGGGAGGATTACTTGAGGATAGGAACTCAAGACCAGCCTGGGCAACATAGTGAGACCCCATCTGTAAAAAGAAATTTAAAAAAAAAAAAAGGTGTGGTGGGGCATGCTTGGAGTTCCAGATACTTGGGAGGCTGAGGCAGAAGGATTGTTTGAGCCCAGGGGTTTGCAGCTGCACTGAGCTAGGATCACACCACTGTACTCCAGGCTGGGTGACAGAGTGAGAGCGTGTCTCTTAAAAAAAAAAAATGCAATTTATACTTGATCCTCACATTTCAAAAGGTACCTGTAAGCCAGGAAATTCATGCCAGATCTACTGAAAGAAAAGGCAAGATGAAATTCTTGGCGTAGGTTTCCCTCTGGACAGACAGAAAAGCCTGAAGAACAACAACACTGAGCATGCCAGGAGGACGAGTTTTCATCCTGTAGTTGCCAGTTTGGCTTCCTAGTCCCTCCTTCCCCTTTTAGGAGACACGTGTCTTTTTCAAGGGGAAAGGAAAGGAGAAAAGGTTCCTTCTGCTATTCCATGTGGGGCAATTTGCTCTCTTATCCTCAGAAAATGGTAACATGACTTTCAAACTTATTATTCAGATTGGCTCATTACTGCCTTATTTGATGCAATCATTTTAACCAGAAGTTAATTTTTTTCTTTTTATATGGACCTTGAGGAAAGTTTCTTCCTTTAATTTTAATTTTATAGTTTAAATTTCTTAGCAAACTGAATGCAGCTTTTAGAGGTTCAAGGGAATACCTGATATTGATTATTAATCAGACTATGTAATCTCTGAAGACAGGAAGCAGAGGTACGTTTCATAAAGCTCCATCTACTTTATTTCAAAAGGAACTTGTCTGATATGACACATGGAGAGATGATACAATTGTTTTTATTTTTAAAGCAAAAACCATATTTATCCATGTTGCAAAGAAACCCAAACGAGACGTACAAGCATAAAAACAGGATAGAATGAAACCTGCAAAGATTCCTTTCATATCTAACATGACAATCTCCCTTTTACAATTATCTCCTAGGATTAAGTCACTAGAGGATAAAGCTCCTTAAATCTACTTTCCTGAAAACAATTGTTAGGGAGTCCTAAAACCGATCCTTAATTATTTTAATAGGGTAGCAGGAAGAAATTGTACTTTTCCTTCAGACTATCAGAATCCTTTTGGGAAAAAGATATTTAGATGATAACAGTAGAATATTTTACTATAGTAGAATATTTTACTCTATGTTCTATACTTCTTTATTGTCATTCTTAAAGAAAACTTTGTTCACCTGGTTGAATTTAGAGATGTTTACAGGAGAAAATTCTCTCTAGCTCCAAGAAGAACAGTGAAACAGAAAAGAGGTAAATTTCTTATTTGTATTAAAATACACATCTGTAAATGTAGACTAAAATCTAGTATTGGCGTATTTAAAAATTGGTGGAAATAGGCAGCAAGATGTGCAGTTAGTTCATCTCTGACCCTCATACCTGTGCTTATACACGAAGACCATGCGCCTGCATGCATGTGCTCAGTGCAATGTGGAGCCTATTGTCCATTTGCAGACAGATGTTATGCTGGCAAGCATATGTATCAGCTAATATCAAGGTTGCACATTCAGAATGACACCAAAAATTTGGTCTTTACATTCGTAAGTGTAATACACTTTCAGAAATTTCATCTTCTCTGGTTGCTACACCTAGACTCACACATTTAACAAGAGCTTAGAATTGAAATTGGTTTTTCTATCATGCCACAAATTTTTCCCCACTTTGATTTTTGCCTTTAAAAAGGCAGACAAAATATAAATACAGAAAGCTGTGGGTAAGACACACAAAATACATGTAATTCACTTTAATATTAGACCAAACAGTCTTTCATGTAAAAAATTTAAAAAGATAAACTGAACTAAGCCAAAAATATTACTTCTAGCATCAGGATGTTGATGTTTAGTGATGTAAAAAGAGATCAAATGGCCCTTTCTTTGATAAATCTGCAGGTTTTTAATGATCTGGGCATACTCCGTGCAAAAGAAATCTGGATGGTTCACTATAGGTTGCATGAATTTTAACCAATCTAGAATGTTAAAATAACAGTATGTCAGTAGTGATGAGAAAAGAGAATTATCCTATCTAAAATTCTTGGAATAATGCCTAAGGAGAAAACCCAAACCTCATCTGTAGTAGTCAGTGCTTGCTGCCTTCTGATATGGAAGAGAATGAAGTCAATTCTATTAGAACCTCAGTGCTTGCACCAATTCCTCTTCCAGATGAGAATGTTAAACTATTATTTATTTATTGCCCTACTTCAGGGCCTCAGTAATCTGAAAATATTTCCACTTCCACTGGGATAGGTTTATAGGCTTTTCCTAAATGCCATTTCTCTGTTTGAAGCAGCATTAGGAGAGAATGCCATGTTCTGATGAAAATGACATATCCCTACAGGAGACAGAGAAAGATCTCTTACAAGGGAACTGACGTGAATCTCCTAAAGTTGGAACATTAGGGAACTGTGTGCTGGCTAAGTCCTCATAGCTGAATCACATCTGTGGTGGCAGCCCAGGCCAAATTCCTAAATGATGATAACTACACCATCCCCTCTCCTCTTTTTCCTGCTATAGATGAGTTTAGGGGCTTACAGGGGTGTGTGAAGGTTAATTTTACATGTCAATAGGCTGGGCCATGGGGTGTCCAGACATTTGGTGAAACATTATTCTAGGTGTTTCTGTGAGGGTGTTTTGGGTAATATCAACATTTAAATTGGTGAACTTTAAGTAAAACACTTTGTCCTTCACACTGTGGGTGGGCCTCATCCAATCAGTTGAAGGTAGGAATTGAACAAAAAGACCAGCCTCCCTCAAGCGAGAGAGAATTTCTCAGAAGACAGCCTTTAGATGTCATCTGCAGCATCAGCTCTCCTGGGTCTCCAGCATGCTGGTCCACCATGCAGTTTTTGCACTCTGGTTTCTTTAACGGTGCAAAGCAATTCCTTATAATAAATCTCTTTCTCTCTGTACATGTAAATATCCTATTGGTTCTGTTTATCTGGAGAATCTTGACTAATATAAAGGGTAAAACTTATATGTAATTTCTGAGGACTTAGAAACTAACACTGTTTGGCTCAGAACCAGAAGATTATGGTCACCAAACTCCTTGCTAATGATTTGATGACTCTTTGATTAGATGTGACAAAAGTAGAGATGATGCTTTGTCAGGAGACATTGAAATGCTAGTCTGCAAGACAGCCAATGTGCAAGAGTTAGGGATCCTTTACCCCTCTCATTCACTCATCCCTCCATTCATTTGTTGAACATTCAATGAATATTTACTGGTAACTTCCAAGGTGTCAGGCACTGCACTGGGCAAAGAATATTCTTGGATTGTAGTGATCAGGAGATAGAAACCACACTCTGTAGGTTTTACAGAGGAAGTTTAATATAAGAATTAAGCTATAAAACTAAAACTCTGTAGGTTTTACAGAGGAAGCTTAATATAAGGATTATTAACTATAATAGATAAGGAAACTTTATATAGTACCCTAGGGCTGAGGGACAGTAGCGAAGAAAAAATAAACTTGGCAATCACTTTGAAGTTATATTCAGCTACAAAATGGAGAGATATTCACCAGTTTAGCCAGTCCAGTGTTAGTCTGGAATTGCAAACAACAGTCAGCCCTCGGTACTGCAGGTTGGGAGCAGACCATCAGCAACTATGACATGGCCATTCAGGCAGCCCTGTTCATGGTGGGATGTGGAGCAAGGGGTCTTTGAGTTCTGCATAGAGAGTTGTGAATGGGTTATTACCAGGCCCAGGCTACGCGGTGGGGTAGTTCCTGACTGTCTGTGGCTCTGGCAGGCAGCAATGGATAACTCTGGATGTCCTTCTGCCTTCCTCTCACCAGAAATTACAGAAAGCCCCTTCCACCTGCAATGCCCCTCCAGTGCCCTCTACTAAGAAGGCTTCACATCATGTTCCCTTTTAAGGAGAAATGCTTATAGGAACTCTGTGGTTTATCATAGCATATATTGAAGGATGTATTTGGACCTAAGAGGCAATAAACTGGTAACTGACACACAGGTGAATAAGATGTAGTCCCTTGCCTCAAGTTGCTCACTGCTTAATATGGGGCACAAACCACGTATTAGGCTGCTTCAGAGGGACAGAACCAGTAGGATCCATATGAAAGTGGATTTATTAGGGGGAATTGGCTCAAACAATCACAGTGGCAAAGTCTTATGATAGGTCGTCTGCAAGTTGGAGAACCAGAGTCTGGTAGTGTGGCTCCCAGAGAAGCCAGTAGCCTGGCTCAGTCCAAAAAGCCCCAGAACCAGGGAAGCCAACAGTGCAGCCTCCAGTCTGAAGCTGAAGGCCCAAGAGTCCATAGGGGTCCAGTGGTGCAAATCTCAGTGTCTAAACCTGAAGAACCTGGATTCTGATGTCCAAGGATAGTAGGAGAAAAAGGCCTCTCACTCCAGAAGAAAGAGAAAAAGTGCTCTGTGTCCCCTTCTTGTGCCTGCTTTGTACTAGCCGGGCCCCCAACAGATTGGACAGTACCCTTAAGAGTGGATCTTCCTCTCCCAGTCCACTGACTCGAATGTCAGTCTCCCCTGGCAACACCCTGAAAAACACACCCTGACACAATGCTTCACCAGCCATTTGGCATCCCTCAACACCATCAAGTTGACACCTAATATTAACCATCACAGACAACTAAACAGACAGTTATTTAAAAGTGTGACAAATGTTGTGTCTGAGGTAAGTGTCGTGTGCTAAAGGGAGACACAACAGGGCACCTAATCCAATCTTGCCATGGTGGAGGATGGCGCTCAGGCTCCGCCACAAACGTTCCCTTGAGTGTTATCCCCATTTGGTGGCAGACTCATGAGTCTATACACTCCATGCATGTCTCCTCAACTTAGGCAAAATGGAGTTAGAGTTACCCTCCGACAGCATGGTCTACAAATTGTCCAGAAATCCCTCAAGATAATGTCACTTCTTTTTTCACAGAATGCAGTTTACATCTTACAGTCATCATTCCCAACACCCGATCTGAATCAGATTTCTTACAGGGCATTTAGATCTCTTGATTTCCTTAGAGAAAAAACAAACCAAAGACTAGAAAGACATTTTAAATCATGAGTTCTCTCCTCCTCTCAATGAGGAGAGGACTGAGAGCCTCTCACCCCTCCCACCTTGTACAAACACACTAAAAGAAGAAGATGAACAGTTCCATGGGGCAGTGCCCCACACCAAACACATGTACTCTGCCAATGGAAAAGTGATTTCTTTCTTTTGTCTGTGTCAAAAGAACCAGGTGTCTGCAAAAGCTTCTGCCATCAGTGAACACTCAGCATCCTCTTAATGTAGAGCTTATCCTAGACATTATTGTATCAAATGACATAACATCCTGGAAGTCATAAAGAATCATATAAATGTTATTGTTATTACTTAGGATCATTGACCTGTAGGTTGGAAGAGCTGAAACAAGTATTTTTTATGTGTTTAAGTATGACAAAAAGACCAATAAAGACTACAGTCATGTTAGACCTTGGCTTTCAGTTCCAGCCACGCCTCCTTCCCAGGCTTGTTGCTGGCTTTTTCTCTTTTACTTCATGGCTCTTAAAGTTTGCGATCTTAACTAGCCCCAGAATAGGTAGTGTCTGTTCAGTTCGGAGTATTGCTTTGGGGCGGCATTTTTTGTTTCATCCCTGATTAACTGGGGGAAATTCTAGGACTTGTGGGTTGGTTGAATCATTTCTTGTTAAGATTCATAGGACTGGGCATGGTGGCTCACATCTGTAATCACAGTGCTTTGGGAAGCCAAGGCAGGTGAATCATTTGAGGCCAGGAGTTTGAGACCAGCTTGGGCAATATGGCGAGACCCTGTCTCTACAAAAAATAAAAAAAAAAAAAAATTCTAGGCATGGTGGTGTGCGCCTGCAGTCCTAGCTACTTGGGAGGCTGAGGCAGGAGGATTGCTTGAGCCCAGGAGTTTGAGATTACAGTGAGCTGTGATCACACCACTGTACTCTAGCCTGGGTGACAGAGAGAGACCCAGTTTCTAAAAACCATAATATAAAAGTGTAAAAAAGATTCATAGAGCTAAAGAGAAAGAAATCACAGGGTTGGGTGGGGTGGTGGGGAACTTATCCGGAATAGAAACTCAAAATCATAATGGCAAAAAAATAAAATAGTAGGATAAAATTTGAGTTGCTTAGAACTACTTTCTTGTCCTTAAAATAAGCCTATTTCTCCATTCTTTTCTCATATTGAAGTGATAAAAAAGACAGAATTTTTCCTAGAGTGATTGTTTTAGGTCATAAAGAACTGAGTGGTCGCAGGTTGTCTGAGGTGCTCCTTATAAAGGACTTGACAGCTGATTGTGAAAATGTATCATTATCGCAGGGCTGAAATGATAGCCCACCCTTGCTTAGCCTCAGGGAGGATAAGCTGAGGAAGTTTTGAAAGATTATATCTGCCCATAGTGCAAGGGAAATGTTTCAGATCTGAAGGAATACTTCTCTCTGTAAACCCCACGGATGCGTACATTTCTAGCCAGCCTGCTAAGATAGAGGTTGCTTTTAGTCATTCTCCTCAACCACATTAACTGTTAAAGGTATTTGATGTTACTATTAAAAGTTTTAAAAATAAAAAAACTTCAATTTTTTATTGCCCATGTTCCTTGGTAGAATAATGACCTAGAAAGTAGGTATACAAGGTTTAACTATAAATTCCTCTCTGAAATCTCCTTTAGAAAAAGCTACATTCACTGATCTTATAAAATAGCTTTAAATCATATTATTTTCTTTTTTTTTTTTTTGCCTTTGAAGGGGGAAAAAGCTACTATCTTCTGAATGGGACAAAGAAGTTTGTCTTGTACCTCCTGCTTGATGCTTTCCTGGGTTTTAATGAAACCCTCATAAGTGAACAGCTAATCAACCAATTATTTGAGTCCAGACTTTACATTTAAATACAGGTAAAATATAAAGTATTAGTTATATAAAAGGGAATGTGCCAGATTTCTCAATCAAAAAGCCCCCTATGTCATAAAAATGTCCTTTCACTAATCAGAATATCACCTGAATGAAGTCATCATGTTAGCCTGATTGCATTTCCCTCATATATGTGCAGCTGCATTTGCGGCTCCATAAATGTCATTTGATTATGAGAAAATAAACAGGAAGAGACTCAAAGGGAGTCAGTACAGGGCCTGCTTGTTTACCTGCAGCAGCTTTCTTAGCTGAAGAACAAATGTCATGCAAATGGTGCACCAGCAATGAGCTGCCAATCACCCTGGCTTGGCATTCATGATGATTTGCTAAATCATTTAAAGAGACATGCTTTACTAAATGAAAAAATATCAGCGGCAAGGGCCTGTGTTTAAACACGGGGCTGAGTTATTATCCCAGTAGGCTGGAATGAAATGAAGACATCTTCCAATTAAAGCTTGCAGATGAACCCAGACAAACCCCCCTTTTTTCATAAAGACAGGCAGATTATGATTGGGAAGGAACAGCGACAGAGGCTTTCATTACACGCTGATTATGGTGATAAAATTCCCAGCACTGTGTGTCTGTGGGCCCAACTTCACATTTGAAGGTTTTTAATATAATTTCCTTAGGGTGAAATGCTGAAGATTTATTAAACTTTATGAAGGGCTTACAGATCCAATTTAAGAGGACATATCATAGGGGCAAAACTGACAGACGATAAAATACATTCCAACTATAAGAAAAAAAAGCAAGGAGAAAGTTGCGCCGTGAAACTGTTTTTAAACATTTTTTGTTGGTGGTGGTGTTTAAGTGAAATCAATCATTTCCCCCAGTGTTACAGCCTTGTTGGTCCATTGAAGTTTTCTTCATGCTTTTTACAGAAGGTGGGTATTGAGCGCAGTGAAGGGATGTAGAGTTTATCTAATTTTATTTGGAAGAAAAAAATTACCAAAATAATTTTGAGATCATTGGTTTATAAGAACTTCTCAGCAGTTATAGTTTTTCTGCAGTGAAGCATGCATCATTCCCTTTATTGCAGCATAAGACCATGAAGACATTACGCTGATGTGGGTGCTGATCTGTTTCTTCCAACCATTTTCATACAAACAGACACCTGTCAAGAAGACAAGTTTAGCAACTTTCATTGGCTCTTTTTTCCTTTGGAGCTTTCAAGATAGTTGTGGGGACAACTTTTCTTTCATTTTTATCATGATTTCATGAGCCTGTGCTCCTGGTATGAATTCAGGGTAGGAGTTTTATATAGGAAAACAAATAGTACAAAATCACTCTTCTATGTGGCAGTGAAGAAAGGTTTTCTAGGTACCAACAGAGTTTAGATAACTCCTAAGCTTTGCCCTTTCCCTCATATATGGGCAGCTCAGAATAGATCACAGGTAAGAAAGCAGTCACAGGAAACTCATGTCTTCTGTGGCCTTTACTTGAATTTGCCTAAATTACTTTATGGATAAGACTTCTCTGGCCAGATATATTTTCTGGGCTTTCCTTCCTCCCTTCCTCCCTCCCTCCCTCCCTCTTTCCTTCCTTCTTTCCATGGCTTTTTTTTAAGTATAATTTATATAGAAAAAATTACCTGTTTTAAGCATACAATCCAATGATTTTTAGTAAATTTACAGAATTACACAACTCTTACCACAGTCCAGTTTTTAAACATTTTTATCACTCCAAAAAGATCCCCCATGCCTGATTGCAATCAATACCAGTTTCCACTACCCATCACCAAACTCTAATCTGCTTTTTGTCTCCATAGATTTGCAGTTTCTAGACACTTTATACAAATGAAATCATACAATATGTTGTTCTACCTAGACTTTTCTTTTTTAAACCATTTCAGGGCCAAATCCAGATCTCACACTGGCACTTAGCAGAGACTCAATTTATATTCAAACCATTCTGGAAAACAGGTCAAGTCAATATAGGATTAACCCTGTGGCTTTTTCATGATAAAAGGCTTTTTTTTTGTTTTTTTGAGACAGGGTCTCACTCTGTCACCCAGACTGGAGTGCAGTGACATGATTTCGGCTCACTGCAGCCTCTACCTTCCAGGCTCAAGTGATCCACCCACCTCAGCCCCCCATGCAGACACCGATATGTCTGGCTAATTTTTGTATTTTTTTTTATAGAGACGGGGCCTTGCCATGTTGCCCAGACTGGTTTTGAATTCCTGGGCTCAAGCGATCCACCCACCTCAGCCTCTCAAAGTGTTGGGATTACAAGCGTGAGCCACTGTGCCTGGCCGAGAGATTTTTTAAGTAAGTAGCGTTTGTGAAAGTCATTAGAAAGGTGAGAATAAAGTCCCTCTGTTTTTTTTTTAATTTATTTTTGGCATAATAAAATTAATATTACTTGTAAAGAATCTATTATATCTCAAAAATATTTTGCTTTTTACTGGGAAAAAAGTTTTCATTAGAGAATTTTGCACTATGCAATCACAAAGCTCTCAGAAGAAGGATATAAACCCTAGATGGGGTAAATGAGGGAGAAAACTAAATGCGACACACAGCCTAGCTTGGATCCTGGATGAGGGAAGATAAACACTATAAAGATATATTTAGAAATAATTGGTGAATTTTAACATGGACAGTATAGAGAAAATAGTATTATATTGATCCAGGATTTGATAATTGTGCTGAGAATGTATTTGTACTCAAGAAAAACATCATGGCAAAGCATTTTGGGTAAAGGAGTGTGGTGTAAAAAAATTGTCTATGTAAAGAAAGAGAAGAGGAGAGGGAGAGAGCAAGACATAGGAAGAGAAGCAGAGAGAGAATGCGAGGGACAGACAGAGGTGAAATGTTGCCAATTGGTCAAGGCTGTATTGGAATATGTTTTGTACTCTTCTTGCAACTCTTCTGAAAATTTTAAATTATTTCAAGAAAAAAGGCTAAAAACATGGCAATGGTGTAATAGTTGTGTGAATGATAGTTATAAAATATTAAAAAAATAAAGCCTGCCCATTTATCCATCTTCCCTTTTCTCAGGGTGAGCCTTACCAATTAAAGCTCAGGCCATCAAGAGTGTTGATGCTGATGTTTTGTGAGAGCTCATTACATGCCAGGCATTGCTAAGTATTTTGGGGTTTTTTCACTTCTAAACAAAATGTAAAGAAAATGGCCTGACAGCCAAATGCTTTGTTTAAATATAATGACAAGAACAGGGATGTTCATAGCTTTCTTGACAACAACATCTTGACTACAGTACAAGCACATGCAGAGTTCATGAAAGGCGAAAGATAGATCATTGTCCAGTATCCATGGCAGGCCAGCAGGTGTTGGATCCCAGTACTTGACTGCAGGCATCTAGGAGGAGGTATTGAACACTGCAATTGTATCATTGAAAACACTAAGAAAAAGTAGGTGCTTTTGTTATAATAAAACTACCATCCACATTTAATGAATACTTACAATGTGCCAGCTATTCCTGAAAGTGTGCATGTGCAATGGATGCTTATGTGTGTGTGTGTGTGCATTTGTGTTTGTGTATGTGTGTTAGATCTATATCCTCATTAATTCCTCAGAATAACCTCTGAGATAGATAGGTACTAAACGTCCAGAATGAAGAAATTTGAGCTTGCCCAATGTTACTTGGCTAATCAGTGAAAATGGAAGCCTCAAAGCCAGGTCTGTTTGACATTGCAAATGGCTCTCCACCTCTAGTAGGTTAGCCTATATATTCAAATATAAGAAATAAAAATATGTGTTTCCTATTTGCTTTGTAACGATGGTGAGAGGATTTATGAAACAAATATATATTATGATATGCTTTGTGGAAGAAATAAAGTTTCTTTAGCAGAACAACTGAAGCACTGGGAACATGATTATATATCAAAGAAAATCCAGTTTCCTGTCCCCTGGCTGTGTCATTGTCCTGTATACTAACTGTATATCCCCACGGTTTAATAATAAGACAGAGGTATGAAGAAAGGAGATATTTCTTGTTACCTACATTATTGTTAAGAGATTTATTTACCAATACAACTACGCATGACTCAGAATGGATTCCTGAGAGCAGATTAATTCAACTAATAACAGTTACATAAAATAAACATACATTTTATTATGTAATGTAATATTTATGACTGATACACAACAATGATTGACATCAATGAAAATATGTTCTATTTTTATCTTATTATTTATTTTCATCACATGGTAACTATTTTACATGAACGGGATTTGGGTTTTTGTTTTGTTTTTATTTTTATTTTTTACCCTAGCTGCTGCCACATATTTTCTGTGGAGAAATATGGTTCAAATCACCATTGCTTCTCTCATTTTCATATTCATTTCTAATTATATCTGGAAAGTGCCTCAAAAAATTTACTTGGGATTGGAAATGTCCAACTCTGTTCAGGCTGCTGTGGCAAAATATTATAACTGAGTAGCTTATAAATAACAGAAATTTATTTCTCACAGTTCTAGAGGCCGGGAAGCCCATGATCAAGAAGCCAGCAGATTCAGTGTCTGCTGAGGGCCAACTTTCTGGTTCATAGGTGGCACCTTCTCACTGTGTCCTCACATGGTAGAAGGGATAAGCTAGCTTTCTGAAGTATTTTTAAATAAGGGCATTTAATCCCATTTATGAGGGCTCATCCTTCATGATCTAATCATCTCCTAAAATGCCCACTTCCTCATACCGTCACCTTGGTTAGAATTTCAACATATGAATTTTGAGCGGACAAAAACATTCAGACCCTAGCAAGCATTAACTTTTCATTCCATCTGTCCCCTGCATAAACTTTCCTTATTCCTCTGTCATCTTTTAGATCTGAAGAGTAAGCCAAAGTTAAATTTTGCAATACACAGTTCTTTCAAAATTAGGTCTCACTTAATTCATATTCCTGGGACATTGCACTGATATATAATCCCTTATGGTAACTTGGGAACTGGCAACATTGTTATTATACAATATGACAAAAATATAAAATATTCCCCAAATACATGATGGAAACAAGAAGGAGACATGGCAGCATTCCTCCCTTGGAGCATCCAGACAATGGATTTTCCCAGTCTGCAATTTTGCTATGTAGCTATAAATGCATCTTTATCTCAACAACACTTCCCTTGACCACACTGACCCCCTCACGCCAGGATGGAAGCTTCCTTGGCTAATGAATTACTGCACTCTTCTTTCCTAGTGCCCCAAAGACCTCTGTACAGCTTTAAAATAACACCAGAGTTAAAAATAAGAAAGCTTAACCAGAAGACAAGTGTTAAGTTTCTCATAACAGATTCTCAAGTTGTGAAACTTGTTAAACTGTTGACTTGTTAAACTGTTGACTTTTAATGGAACTAAAAGAAATTTTTGCGATCATGTGAGCTGATGTCAGATGTTCTAGATTGATGTACTAGTTTGCTCAGAGTTTTGGACAAGGCTGAAGGAAGGGAAATAGTGGAAGAGAAGTGAAAGAAAGAATTAAAATGGCAGAGAAAAGAGATGCAGATATAGAGCAAAGGCACAAAAAAAGAAAGAAGCTAGGTTCCTTTGGGGAATTGTAAAGTGACATTTACATTCTGAGAGTGAGAAATAAAATGGAATTGCAAGATGATATCGAGAATTAGAGAAATACCAAATGGTCTTTTCTATTCTATGGATAAATATGAATAAATTTTAGGAGACTTAATTCAATCAAATATTTATTGAAACCTATCATGTGCAAGGCATTCTGACAGGTGCTGTAGGTTATACGGAGATGAATCTGACATGATTCCTGATTTAGAAAGAATTCAAATGACGGAGAGACAGAGGAATTCTCAACAAAGGAGAGATCATGCCATTTAGGGAATGGGACAAAAATAAAGACTTAGTGAAAGATTGTGTCCTTGGACTAGGTTAGAAAGACAAGTGAGATTACAATAGTTGCAGATAGCAGTTTACAGGTGTGGCCATTCGAGAATTGCATGAGAAAAGGGACATAGCAGAAGGATTAGGTACCTTCCAGAACCAACAAAAAGTCCAGTTAGACAAGCATATGCGTTTTTATGTCAGCCAGTACAGGGAAATAAGCTTTCCTGTGTTGGAAGAGTTTATAATTTAGCAGGCAATGAAGAACACTGGACATTGACTTTGGGTGTCTTTGCTTGTTTTTTATTTATTTTACACAGAAAACTGTAGGTGAAGAAGAGTTGAAGCAGTGAGTCAAAAGGAAGGAGTAAAGGCAGAGTGAAGTCTGAAGAGAATCCAGGTAGAAAGCTACCCCAGGAGAACCAAACTGAGAACTTAAGCTGGGGCAATGGCAGAGAAGAAGAAATGATAGATTCAAGAAACATTAGGAAGGAAGACTGAACATTTAGAATTGATTGGGTAAGGGAAGGGAAGATTCAGAAAAGATTTTATTTGCAGATTTTCCTACAGGGAAACAAATTTGGAATTCAAACTTTCCTTTGATTCATTTAACAGATAGATATTTAGCTTCGACTCTGGACCAGATCCTACATTAAGTGCTATATGGATGAAACAGATCAATTAGATGTGATCTACCCCCAAGGAACTTACAACCTGTAGTCAAGGTTAAACAAGACACAAATAAGCATTGTACAAAATAGAATACAGTAGATGTTGTTACAGAGGTAAAAATCAAGTTCCATGGGTTTATGGAGAGAAGCACCAAGAAAAGGTTTAGGAAGGAAGAGGTCTTTGGACAGGGCCAGGAAAGAAAAAAAAAAAAACAATTTCGACAGACTGAAATATTTTAGTGAGCAACTGGAGGAGGTGGTAGAGAAAGCGATACAAACTTACATAGCATAATTCCAGAAAGAATTTACATATGAAAAATGTCAATCTTTTTTTTTTTGTCTCTCTCTCTCTCTCTCTCAAGCCTTCCTTTAGATTTAGACTACAGTTACAATCAGAGAGGCCTCTTCCCCATCATCTTAATCTTTATCCATGTATCTCATATGGATAGTGTCAGGATTATCTAAAATATGTAAAGGTCTTCCATAAATTCAGAGCAAAACACCAGAGAAATATGTGTAAAATATGAATATAAATGAATAAGGCTGGCTTTCATTATCAGCTTACAAATACTTCGAATATAGCTACACAGCTGATCCCTCAAGATAGTCACTATTGGAAGACTTCTCTTATGCTCCCAACTGAAGGGATATTTATTCAAATTTCTTTTTAAACAAAACTCCCCCAAACTTATTCAGTTATAGATATTGTTTTATTATTTAGGATCTCTAGTTTGAAAATCTGACAGGTAATGCCTGATGCTTAGCCTCTGAAACAAAGCAACAAAACCTTACAGTGGGCTTTTCTTAGTAATATCTGTTTCTAAGGTCATGAATTGAAAAGCCAGAGTTCTAAGTTCAAATCCACACAAGCTCAAGTTTAAGGCCAGTGCTGTAATGAACCTGAGTCATGGAGAAGATGAAATTACCAAAAAGCTGCTTTCTGCCCTGAGCAAAGATTTTAGAACGAAATCAACAACATTGCATACATCATATAATACAGAGAATTATGAGTTTGGTGTACTGTTTTTAACCTGGGTTCTCAGTGAGCCAATTTAAAGGCAGGAAAAATAACCACTAAGGAAAAAGGGCTGGAATTAAGCAATGTTTACTTATTCATCTTCAAAGGAATTTGAATGGCTCTTGATGAAGCATGAGGAAGCTCCAGCAGTGTTGAGCCTTGAAGTTATCTGCATTGATAATTGTTATCTGCATTGATCCTAGGGGATGGTCTGCAGAATACCAAGTACTCAGGGTTAAATTCTGCATTTTCTAGTCGTGATTTCTGTGATCTGGGAAATGTTCTCTCTCTGGTTTTCCTTTCAGTCACAAAAAATACCAGCTTCTTTTTCTTCCCTCTTTCAAGAATTACTAAATTCCTTAATGAGTAGTGTTCTTCATTTGCAATGTCAGTAAAGAAACAGAATATACAGCAATCTTCTGTCTGGTGCAGAGGTTTATTAAAGGAACAGTGGCTAGAAGAAGGTAGTCACAGGTATTATCAAAGTCAGCTGTTAACCCACAGCCCCCAGGCCCTCACTGCTTCCTATATGACAGTGAGGAACTCAGCCACCTACCTGGTTTCCAGAATGTCCACCGTAGTTGTGCCACTTGATACAGAGAAAATCCTTTTAGCTATATGCTCAAGGACAGACTGCCATCAGATGGGATCAACAATTGATGTACGTTCTTGTTTTTATTGTATTTTAAACTCTTGGGCAGGCTCTTTATCATTGAATTAAACATTTTTCAAAGTACCTGGTCACAAAAGGAGACAGAATGAATTATTTGACCAAGCAGAGTAATAATTCCTTCCTAATATATTGTGCAATACCATCTTGACATATACATTTTTGATCATCACACATGGGTGGTTTCCCTACTACTAAACTCACTAGGCATTCCCTAGTACAGAATTTCTATTAATAATCCCCATAGCTGCTGCAGGGAGACACAGGGGAAACTAGATCCAAACAAACCACACAACTAAGTTTACACTATGTGCTTCGGAATTCTTGGCCATGGGTGAGCCATGTGATGGCCCAACCCTGTTTTACTTCCATATTGTCTATTGCAACTATATTTCCAAGGACTAGGGAACAATATGCCAACTTCTAGTTAATAGCTAACAGTAACAGACAAACCTGTAACATTTCAAGCAAGAAAAACTAAGACCTATAAAACCATGATTTACACATTATTTCTTCCTACCATGAGCAGCTATTCTTAAAAGGAGCCTTATCCTGATATCACCCCCATCCCTCCCACCCACATTCCTCATTTTTCTTTCCATCTCTGGCCTTGGCCACATTGTCTGCCTTGCATTAGCCCTTGATTGACTGCCCTCTGCACTTTCCCTCTTCTGTTCTATGCTAGTGGGTATTGATTTCTCAGTATTGGAGCTCTCCTTCTATGTCCCTTACCAGGCACTATTAAGTCTGTAATATATTCTCTCTGCAATGCAACACTGTCAGCTGCCTGAGTATAAGTAGAAACATAGAGTCACAGAATGTCAGAGCTAAAAGGAAAGCCAGAATTTATGCTACTCAACTCCATCATTTTACAAATGATGACACTGAAGCCAGAGAGGTAAGAGCCTTACATAAGATCACCAAAGTACTAAAAGCGAAGGCTCTAGGACCCAAACCTGTGGGTTCTGTTTGCAGGTCCAGCTGTGGACTTTACTTTGCACAGTGTTTCATCTCCTAGAATTGTGAGGCTTACTCAGGAAGTAAACTCATCATCCTATGGGTTTGGCTATTAAAAAGTAACATATTAAAGAAAGAATTCAGAATAGACGGAAGCCCTCTATGGTACAGGATATTCAATTATTTAAGATTTCTCAATGCCAGCCAAATTATAGACAATTTAAAATATTATTACTCTGTTACCCAAGATACTTCCTTGGGCCCCCTAGGTGAAGGTAGAAAATGAAAAAGAGATATTTTGAAAATTTCAATCAAGTAGGTTTTTTAGGGCTGGATAATCATTTTCCTGTACTAATGCATTAGTGCAGGAGAAGGGCTTAGCAAATCCAACTGCTTATGACTTTGTTCTTTTTTACTTGGAGTGTCTAAAAGCATGCAGAAGAGAGTTAGGGTATAGAGTGGTTGAGTAAAAGGGATAGCAGAATCTAAACAACTGCTTCTTATTTTGGCTCCTGTGTTGGTCATTTTAAATCAGGTTGTCCTCCATCCATTCTCTGTCTTCTCTGCATTACACTTGCCTGGGACAGGGAGAGGGAGAAGACTTCTATGCTCTCTGTGACCTCTACTGGCTATATTAGCCAGGTTCCCTTGACCTCTGGCTTCTGGTTGGAATCAGTTAATGGGAAGCTCTGCCTGGCAGGAGAGGAGAGAGGACTGTTTTTGTTTGCTTGTTTGTTTGTTTGTTTGTTTTGTTGTTTTTTTTCCACCACTCTCATCCTGCTTTATGCTGTGGTTCTGGTAATACCTCGATCCCTCAACTACAGCTTCTGCGAAGTGGTTCTTCTCCATGGCTCTAGATCTCATCAGAATCCTCTAAGACTATTCCCTCCCCTTCCTTCTTCATGTCTAGGGCTGTTAATAACTTCTCCTTGTTGCTAGTCTCTGACTGCCTCAATGTCCCTTGGAGCCTCCTTTAATACAGCTGCATAAATAGTTCCTTCCCATTCTGTAAATTGTCTCCTCACACTTTCATCTGAACAGGGCTTCTTTGCTTGCCTGGGCACCGACTAAAACAGTTCATTTTGGGTTAATCATAGTCTGAAGTCATTTATCTTCTTTGCTGCAGCAGCAAAGCCATCATCACAAAGGATAGGATCAATTCTTGTTCATTTTGTATCTCACAGATCTGCTAATCCATGAGAAATGTGGCTAATCTGAGCGGAGGACTGACTCTCATCTCCAATTGCATTTTTGCCTTTTGGATTTGGTTGATACTAAATATGAAAAAAGACCATTAGCAGACAGGAGGATACAAGAGCAAAGGTTATATGTGGTTTATGTTTTTTACATTCTAACACTTTCTCCTGAATTATGGAGAATGATGTAAGGACTTTGTTGTTTATATAGAACCTGATAACATTCAACAATCAGAAACATGGCTTGTTTGGTTGGTTATTGCTGGACGAGCCACTACATCTGCAAAATAAATAAATACATACATAAATAAATAAATACATAAATAAAAACTCATTAGTGGGTAGGTTTGAAACTGGCCCCAGTTTCCCTCCAGAGCAGAATTATTGTTGACTTGTTTTAAATTTTTTTCTCAATCATTGTGGAATTACCAGGCTGATTAATAAGAGTTCATTTACTAATGATTATAAATATTAATTTCAGGTCGGATATATTATTTCTACCAGTGGAAAAAGTATTTACCTGTATTTTTCTTTTAGAAATGGATGCTGTATGTTTACTCTTTTCAATGAATCTCTTATGAGTTCAGGGAGCTCTGCAGAAGGATAAAGGCACCTTTTCAATCATAGATAGGAAATGGGAGAAGAAGTAGAAAATATGGAGGTTTCATGTTTTATGCTAGATGTTGATTGGACTTAGGTGGTGGGTCATTCATTCTTTTAAGCCATTTACATTTATTAAGTTAATATTTATAAAGTCCTATCAAGTTTCAGAAGCTGGGGGTGGAAAGATTCATAAGACATGCTTATGTCACAATGGACTGAATCCAATGGAGAAGGAGACACCTGACCGAGAAACTGTTCTTCACTAAGTAGGAAGATGGTGCCAGCCGCTACCCATTCTTACTCACCTATTTAGTATGGGTTAAGAGTAAGGGAAACTCTAATCCTGACCCCTTGGCTTCATCATTGTGAAGGTAGACTCTAGAAAAAGCTTCTAGCTTCACTTTGGGGAGCAGTGTGTGACAGGAGGGTCTTAAAGGGGAGCACCAGGTCTGTATTAAAGATTATTTTGATTGAAAGGTCAACTGCTAAAAGAAAGAAGAGAGGGAGGAGAGAGAGAGAAAGGAAGAAAGGAAAGAAAGGGGAAAAGAAAGGAGGTAGGTAGGAATGGAGGGGAGAGAAAAAAGAGAGGAAGAAGAAGAAGAAAAACAGGATGAGGAGGAGGAGGAAGGAGTTAGAAAGAAGGAAGGAAGGTTGGAAACCCATTGACCTAGAGCAAAGGTCTGTGAATATTTTTTTATAAAGCACCAAATAATAAATCCTTTAGGCTTTACGGGCCATACAATCTCTGTCACAACTACTCTGATCTGCTTGGTAACACAAAAGCAGCTGGAGACAATCAGTTAATTTATGGAACACTGAAATTTGAATTTCATATAGTTTTCGCATGTCACAAAATATTACTCTTCCTTGGATTATTTTGACCACTTAAAAGTGTAAAAATAAGTTCTAAATTGTAGGACATATTAAAAGAAGCTATATCCCATGTGCCATAGTTTGCCAAATCCCAGGCTAGAGTGACAAGCCTAAAGGAAGAGAAGCATCATATACCATTGCTCTGCCAGAATGCCCAATAATACAGTCTCTAACACCTTCCATGGTTATTTGGTATATTCACTGATGAGGATCCGCCATTAACTAGGTGCAGTATCCTCCCTGCGACCCTGGGTCGAGTGGATCAGTTGACCTTCATACAACTCTCTTCTTTGCCTGTAAAATAGATAAGTTTTGGCCGGGTGCTGTGGCTCACGCCTGTAATCCCAGCACTCTGGGAGGCTGAGGCAGGTGGATCACAAGGTCAGGAGATTGAGACCATCCTGGCTCACACGGTGAAACCCTGTCTCTACTAAAAATACAGAAAATTAGCTGGGTGTGGTGGCGGGAGCCTGTAGTCCTAGCTACTCAGGAGGCTGAGGCAAGAGAATGGCATGAACCTGGGAGGCGGAGCTTGCAGTGAGCCGAGATTACACCACTGCACTACTCCAGCCTGGGCGACAGAGCAAGGCTCTGTCTCAAAAAAAAAAAAAAAAAAAAAAAAAAAAAAAGATAAGTTTACCTGGCCTTTGAAAACTCACAGATTTTGATGAGGATAAATGAAATAAAATCCATCAAAAGTACTTTATGCTGTTAGGAAGAAAAGCATTCCACAAACCCAATGTATTATTAAAGAAAAAGCAAATTTGTCAGGAGGAATTGGAAAGCCCCAATGCACAGTACCACATGACTGAAAAATGCAGCCACGATGGAGCTCTCCCCACTGAGATAAATGATGTGGCCTTCTCTCCTTAACATGCTCTCCCCATATTTCATCATCTGCAAATGGGATGACTTTACTGCCTGTTCTTTTTCTTTCTTTTCTTTTTTTTCCCTACCTCATTAATCCATGAGAGAATCAAATTGTTCCTCAAATGGATTGCTCAGTGGCATTTGGCTGGCTCCTTCTGTCTGATGCAGCCCATGGGGCTGTACTTAATGGGCCAAGGTCTGTGTTCGCTTTCCAAGTTTAATAATCACTTGATAGGTTACCCCTTGTATAGTACACTATTGAAAACCTTCTTATACAATTCAGGGAAAATATGCCTATGGTCTTTCTAGAGTCAACTTGTTTAGATAACCAGATAGTCTTTTCAAGGGTGGCAGAATGGGATCATTTTTGTGAATTAGATCTTTCTTACTCTTGGTATGATGTGACATTTCTTAGTATTTTATAATGGTTTTACAGGTTGAATTATTCTGGCATCTTCCCCTACAAAGCAATTCTAAAAGTCTGTTTTTTTCTGATAATTCTCATCCTCTCTGGCCCCAGGTAGAGTTGACCAGTTACATTTAAAGACTACACTTTGTCTGCCTTAGATTGGTTCAAATTTTATCTGAAAGTTTTGAGCTTTCTGTCTTCCAATGTTATGGTTTCCAGATTTTGCTCTATCAAATGCAGCTGTGATTTCTAAGAATGACTAAAACAAGGTTGCATAATATCTTCCTTGTCACAGGGGAATTTCTTCTTTCCATTGGAGGCTGCCTTGGCCTCAAGTTCTTGGTATATTTGTCTTAGAAATTATTTATTTTCATTTCCTGCACATCATCTTTTTTTTTTTTAACTTTATCTGTCAAAGCTGGCTCTTCAGACTAGAATTAGGCATAGAAACACTTAAGTAGGAGACACTGAAGAGAATTTTGCACAGTAAAAAGGGATTATACTTGTTTTTGGTTAAGGTTAAAATTTAGTTACTTGGCTTTTAGAGATAGTACGATTAAACACATGTTTTCTGTAATATCATCATTCATGCGACATATCTTTTTCCCTTAAACTTTAAAGTTCCCTTCTTTATCCTGGCTTTATTTCTCAATGTTCTTGTTATTATTACAGGAATAATATTTCTACATGTGTAAGTGACATGAGTTAGCCCTTTCCTGTTTTATAGTTCTCTTCCATTTATTTCTTCCAAACATTCTCTTGTGCAATATAACTCCAATATTATATAATAACCATCATCATCGTAGTTTGACGCAAACTTGTAATGTCAGTGCTAACAGAGTAAAAGATATTTTTCTAAAGCCTTGTCTCATGAAACTTGAACCATAATTTTTATCAGATGGAAAAAAATTGCTCCTAGTAGAGTGGAAGAGAAGAAAAGCACTTCTTTCCTTTAAACGGAATTTTGAGTAGTTTTAATAACAAACCATTCTGGGCCATTGCTATTGTGTCTAAGAGGTACCAGTGTCCCTCACTTGTGCAGTTTGTGCTTAAAACAGTGTCACTTGAATTCAATCAAGTACAGTCCTCTGATTACTTTTATTTCTGGGACAGATTTCAAGAGCAACTTCTAATTTTAGGTATTGTAGCTGAGATTCTTCCCATCCTCTGTACTCCACTGATGTTCTATGTGCATTAGCTTCCCTTTAAAGGCGACAATCATAGGCACTTCACAGAGGAAGCAGAAAGCTCATGTGGGTGGAGGTGAGGGAGGCCAGAGAGGGAGGCAGATATATTTTTTGTGTGTTTTTGTCTGTGAGTTTAATTTCACACGACCGTTTTTACAAATAAGAAACTTTTAGAATCTATTTTGATAATTATAATCATAGAGACTAGAGTACAATGTGGGCTATTCTAATTATTTAGAATAAGGCATAACGTCTCTTCTGTGAATACAACACAGTTTGCATTCTTACTGTGCATGAGATACATATAACACATACGGCATTCTCCTGGATATTTTAAATGTGCACATAATGATCAGCAGTCTTTTCTGTCTGGTATTATTGCAAAGACCAGGGCAGATGAGCCAAAGAAGAGTGAGTATGGGTGCACAAATTAGGAAGTTCTGAAGTTTCATTCTGAAATATGTGTACCTGGGTGAGACTGGGATGCTTACCCAGATAAATGCAACTGTGCTGAAATGAAATTCTCTTAAATAAATTCCTTCGTGATCCTGATATACCTAGAGCTCCGAGTTCTTACCTGTCTGCATGCAAATACCTGAAGGTGAGCAGGCACTAGTTCCTAGGCAGGAATCCCAGAGATTATGAGTGTCATAAAGGACTGAAGATTAGTGCCAGCATGGGAAAATGAAGGAATCCATCATCTTTCTGTTGGGAATATGGAGAATCATTTATATGTCCCACTTCAGAACCGTACTATCCACTGTGTACCTCAGCATGGTTTCCATTATGTGCTTAATCACTCTCCTTGAAATTGCATATGGGTACTCTCAACTTCCCTGTGAGTCAGGATACCAGCCAGAATCGGATGGCATTTTCCTGAGCATTTAGTAAAGTGATTGCTTTCAAAGAAGTGAGCAGAATTAAGGGGAACACATAAGGGCTGATGCCACACCCCTGGGCTAACCATAGCGGGAAGCCATTCCCAGCTACAGGGCCAGGGTCAAGAGCAGGAGGCACATCCCAGTGGGAGCCGCTGATAGATAGCTATAGCCACAGTGACAGTTAAGAGTGCAACCACTACCACAGCACGACCCAGCACTAGGGAAGAAACTAACCTCTCTTTAGGCTTGTTCTCTGGTGGCTGAAACCTAGTGGCTGCAGAGGGGACAGGAGCCACTGACGATTCCGCCTTCTGGCCAGAGACCAGGGCAGAGGAGGCTGGGCTGAGCTGGAGCGGGGATAGAGGATGCCCGCACATTCTCCTCACATAACCCTGCTTCTTCATGTTCCTGAAGTTCTTGGCTTTCCTTCTTGGTTTTCTCCTCCCGGCCTTATGCTCTCAGTTTCCCTGCGTAGCAGTATTTCCTCACTCTGTGCTCGCTGTCTGTGCCATCCCATCGTGCGATTGGCACCGCAGGCCTCCTCCATATGCCCGCTCCGGCGCCTCCCGCCGGCTCCGCGTGGCGACATCCAGGGCGTACGCCGCTCTTCCCGCCGCCGCCCTCACCTGCGGGAGCTGTGCACGGGATGTCGCAACCGCCTTCCGGAACTGGAAACCTTTCCCGCACCAATATTTTGAAGTCACGCTTTGAGGTTGCAAATCTGTCACTGATACATCCTTTCACATAGCACCGTTTGTATTTTGAGTGTTGCGTAGTAAATCGTAATTGCCACCAACTAAAATAGATTTAGGAAATAGGAAGTGTGGGCATTTCTTATAATTTACCATTCACGTTGAATCTTTTCCTCAGTGTGACTGCAATCACAGCTCTTGCATAAAACACCAAGTAACATGTTGGCCTGAACTGAACAAAACTGCTTATTCTCTTCAAATTGCATTAAGCTTATCGTTTCAAGCCTAGCAGGTTTTCTCTCCACAGGAATTCTGAAGATGTCAGTTGATAATACGTCTACTTTCCAAAGCCCAGTTGAGTAATTTAAATTGTTGGTAGTGTGGTCACTGGAAGTGCATGAATGTATTGGGATGAAATTTACATCGTCATGATTCTCTTTATGAGAATTCAGAGAAAAACTTTGCAGATCTCTGCTAAGAATTACTGTGCTCCATCTGACACAGCTGTGGGTGTTGCTGTATCCTCTGGACATTGGAAAACTTGTGTATGTGAATCATGCATTTCTCTTGGCTCTGCAGTTAAGTATCTAAGGGAAATTTGAGATTCACCTCTAGCATGCTGCTATGGTCTGAAGGTTGATATCTCCCTCGAATTCCTGTGTTGCAATCCTCATCCCAAGGTGATGGCATTAGGAAGTAGGGCCTTTTGGGCAGAACTCTCATGAATGGCCTTGGTGCCTTTATGAAAGAGACCTGAGAGAGACGCTTCACCCCTTCTGCCGTGTGAGGACACCGTGAGAAGGCACCATGTGTGAGCCAGAAATTGGGCCCTAACCAACCACTTAATATGCCTTGATCTTGGACTCTCCAGCCTCCAGAACTGTAAGAAGGAAATTTATTTTGCTCATAAGCCACCCAGTCTATGATATTTTGTTATAGCAGCCTGGATGGACTAAGACTGATACATTTTGTGCAGTACAACACCTTGTCATTATTATTTTTTTCACTTTCATTTGTTCATATTCAATCTATGAAAAACCTGTTACTTCTGCTTCCAAAATACATTTGAGTCTACCTTCAACTTTGTTTTTCTTTTTCTTTCTTTTTTTTTGAAACGGAGTCTCGCTTTGTCATCAGGCTGGACAATCTCGGCTCACTGCAACCTCCACCTCCCAGGTTCAAGTGATTCTCCTGCCTCAGCCTCCTAAGTAGATGGCATGTGTCACAACGCCCAGCTAATTTTTTTATATTTTTAGTAGAGACGGGGTTTCACCATGTTGGCCAGGCTGGTCTCAAACTCCTGACCTCAGGTGATCTGCCCACCTTGGCCTCCCAAAGTACTGGCATTACAGGCATGAGCCACCACGCCTGGCCTGAGTCTACCTTCAACTTTACTCTTAATGTCCACTTCAGTGATGGAGGGAAAGCCACCAGCATTTCTTCTGGATGCCTGTCACAGCCATGTGACTACTCTGTTGCATTCCCAGTCATCTCTCTCCAATTTCTTCCCCACACAGCATCTTGAGTAACTTTTAAAAACATGAATCTAATTATTTCCCCCTAATTTGCAAGAATAATACAATGAACATTCATACACTTGTTACCTGTGTTTACTCACATTTTACCCCTGAACACTTCAGCATATATTTCCTAATAAGAAGTTCAGCCTTCTACATAGCCACAGTAATGTTATCACACTCAGGAAATTTAACTTTGATAAAATACTATTATCTATTATACACTAATATTCAAACTTCCACAACCATCCCAATAAGGTTCCTCATAGCTGTTTTTTGCTGTTGTTGTCACCTGCGTGTATGCTTTATTCATGATTAATTTAAAACCATATATTGAATTTAGCCATCATGACTTTTTAATTTCATTTTGAAGAGTCCATGTCCATGGTATTGCAGCATATCTCTCAGTTTGGATTTGTTTGATTGTTTTTGCAGATTCGCTTCAGATTAAAGTGTTTAATTTTTGCAAGAACACTATAGAGCTGATGTGGCCTCAGTGTATCACAGCAAGGGAACAGACTGTTAATTTATTCCATTAAAGGTAATGTGAAGTCTGATCATTTAGTCAAGGTATTACCCACCAGATTTTTTCATTTTAAATGTTTCCTTTTCCTTTTCTAATTTATCTGTAATCTGAAAGGTGATTAATCTAATTATCTGAAAGATAAAAATCTCCACTTGAAAAAATTATATACAGAACACTTCCAACTCTTTTCCATCTAACTGCCTTTGTATATGTTTTTCTCACCACTGTGTTTATTGCATAATTAGCTCCTTCTTATATTTCATGTCTAGGATTAAATTTCTGTCTTCAGAGGAGCTTTCTGTGATTATCCAATCAAAAGAAGCCTCTCACCAGCCATCAGCTACTCAGCATCTTAGCACCTTGTTTGTTTCCTTTCTAGTACTTTCCAAGGGTGTGATTATGTGCCTGGCTATGCACTTAATATCTATAGCTATAACTATATTATAAGGGCAGAAATATCAGGACTTTCTTTTTCACTATTGTAGCCCCAGTGCTAAAATATATAGAGAGAGCTATACACGTGAGAGACTATCAAATAAACATTTGTTGAATGAGAAAATCAATGCATGTAAGAATAAATGTTATATCTTGATAGATTTTTTTTTTACATACTTAGATATTTTAAAATAATTTTTGCAGCAAGAAGGCCAAGTAAATGAGACAGAGTTGTGAGGGTTTTTGTTTGTTTGTTTGTTTTCGATACAGTCTCGCTCTGTCACCCAGGCTGGAGTGCAGTGGCCCAATCTCAGTTCACTGCTACCTCCACCTTCAGGGTTCAAGTGATTCTCATGCCTCAACCTCCCCAGTAGCTGGGACTACAGGCATGTGTCACCACTCCGGTTAATTTTTTTGGTATTTTTAGTAGAGACGGAGTTTTGCCATTTTGGCCAGGCCGCTCTTGAACTCCTGACCTCCGGTGGTCAGCCCGCTGCGGCCTCCCAAAGAACTGGGATTACAGGTGTGAGCCACTGTGCCTGGCCGAGAGTTGCGGAATTCTATACCGAAATTTATACTCCTCTTTTCACGATGTGGCTTTGTCAGTGGGAAGCAGCTGCCCTGACAGGGACTATGTTTCCATGTCCCTAGCATCCAGGTGTGGCCAAGAGATCAGTTCTTGCCAATATAATGTGGGTAGTGTTGTGTATTTCACTTCCTGGTCCTGCTTTTAAGAAGTGAGTGGGACTTCTTCATTGTCTCTTTCTCTCTGTCAGCTAGAAGCTGTTAGGACTTGGCATAGCCACAGTCCAGGAGGATCCTAGGTCCTTGAGCTGTGACAGAGAAACAGCTATCTACAGACTATAATGGGAATAAGAAATAAATTTTTAGTGCATAGATCCATGCAAAATTTGCCATTTACTTGTAATAGCATCTAGAGTTACTCTGAATAATATAGAAACAAAAATTTGGAAGACGTAACCAAAAAGTAAGAGAATAAAAGTGAAAAGAAAGTTGTGATTACTTAAGATTCCCTGTTAGAATACTATTTTGAGAAGTATATGTTTTCCAGATTCTTCAAGCCATACAGAGTAGGATTAGACATGAAAACACTCAGGAGGGATACTTTGAAGATAATTTTACTGTAGAATGAAAGCAGGAGCTATCTTTGCCTTTGGAAAAGGTGAAAATGCCGTTGCTTAGCTTTTAGAGATGGTATGGTTAAACCTCCTCATTTCTCAGATGCTATACCCTACCGCCAAACTAATCTGGGGAAATTCCAGTATGATTTAAGAGACAATCCATCAAATCTTTCCTTCATTGCCTCCAGTAAATTTTATCTGTTGTGGGTAGCATTACTAATGGAACAGCAATCTAACCCGTGATTATTTATTATCAAGCCAGTGAATAAAAGGATTTGCTGAACTTTAGAGATGGAGGGGATCTTTAGTTTATTTTACAGTGGGCCAGATAATGTAAGTGCTTGCCTCCCAGCATTCAATACAGAGTTAGTTACTGGCCAACATGAGCCCAGAAGCCAGGGCTCCTGGCCAAAGCAGCTAGTCACCTCCTGGATCCAAAGCTATATGACACTCTGACCATGACTTAGTAAAAACGATTTTGAAGGATTCAGTTAATATTACCCACACCTCCAGTTTGCTTCAGTTGTAACAGAAAAGTTGGTAGGGCATTTACAAATGTGTTTCCTATATTTGTATATTTCTACCTTGAATTAATGTGACTGTCTCTAAACAAACATCACCAAGACACATTCAAATACTTGTGAGATTTTCAGGAGTCTGCATTTATTCTAGTGATAGTGTCATTACTCAGGACATTTTAAAATCTGTATGTAGCATTATTTAAGAGCTCATGACACATTATTCTTTCAATTATTTTTTTCTTTTGATTACAAAAGTGATAGTACATACCCTGAGAACTGAAGAAAACAAAAGAAATTTTAAAACAATCCAAATTGGTTCACTCAAAAGTAACCATTCTAAACATGGTAAATTAATCCCTTAAATGTAAATATGTCTAGGGGTATGTTTATGTGTGTGTGGTTATGTAATACTACAGAAATGGTTTTGCTTTGAAAGTTTTATCATGTATATTTGCTTATAAAATAAACTTCTTAATTTTAGCTATCATATTGAGTTGGACAGCATTCATAGATCTTTGTTTAACATTCCAGCTATGGCAAGTTACTGAGTAAAATTTAAAGGCTTTTGATCATTAAGTGGGCCCATTCTCTTGAATTAATTGATTAAATCAGCTGAATTGCTTTCTGTTAGTAAACATTCATCCTCAGATTTGTCATTTGAAAACAAGCAAAAGATACTGGACCAAAATCTGGTGATTAAGATAAGTGATTAATTTAAGGAATGCTATTTTGAAGCAAATAGAAGGTGGCTAATATACGGTGAGACACTCTGAAGGTGTCACAGAAGGCAGGTTCAAAAGAAGGGTTCCAAAAATATTTTAGTAATGGAGGCATTTACCAAATAAACATGTATTATCACTTGATGGCTACTTTAAAGGAAAACATCACTTCAATGCTTGAGTTCTCATGTGAATATCATAAAATGAGCTTCTCGAAGCTATTGTTATTCCTAGACATTTGCACACATTAGCACGTAAAGGTGGAGGGCAAGCAAACAGAATTTGCCATCTTATGTGTGTGCAGGAGAAAGCTGGGTTTTGTCATTTCTTATATCCTGTCCTATTACAAAGAAAGAAAGAGAAACAAGAAAAAAGAAAGAAGGAAGGAAGTTGGGAGGAAGGAAAAGAAAAAAGGGAGATACGAAGCACAAAAAGGAAAGGAAAGAGAGAGAAGGAGAAAGAGAGGGAAGAGGGAAGGAAGAAAAGAGGAAAAGGAAGGAAGGAAGATGGCCGACCCAATGTTCCTGTAAAGTAATAATAAAGCCAGTACTTACAGATGAATTTAGGAAGCTACTCTTAAACTTAGTACAGACCAATAATTTCCAAAATTTTAGAGATAATGGTACTCTTCTGTAATATTTCTAATAAATACTCTGGAACTCCAATTACAGCAAAATTTGAGGATGAATTGAAGATGATGGAGAGATCCACACAGATACACATTAGATACTGTCTTCATAATCACAGAGTTTCCAGAGAACAACTTTTGAAAACCAGTTTTAGGCTGATGAAGCCCATTAGTGTGGTTAGCCTATCTATCTATCTCCCCAGGGGTTCCAAAGAAGGGGCGCTCATGATAACCAGGTAAAGATAGCTGAACAAGGTTTTTGGAATCTGAGATCCTTAAAGATGAAGCACTTTGACCAGAAATGGAATCTTAGTGCCGTTATCAACTCATTATCCTGCTTGTGCTCTAAAAGGGTAGCATTGTGCTGAATATGCCCATTAAAATCCACCACCTTCAACAATAAAATGTCACCCAGAATGACAGCCTATCTTTAATCATGTTTTAATATAAAGCCTGAAAGAAAAATTGACTTAGAGATACTTTTTTTTTCCAGATCTGGGAAATCCAGTCACCACTTTCAATAAATTTATACTATTACTTAAGTATAGTCTTTTTGAAAAATTATGCACACAAACACACGGCTCAGAAACAAAAATTACTTTTCTATTATTTCCATCTGACTGTGTTCCATGATTCTGGAATGAAACCATTATTTGTAAAATTCTTATAGCAGTGATTGGATCACTACATACTAACTCCTATGCATATAACAAGTAGAATGGTAGATGCTAGAAAGAATCTTTTACTCTTCCACTTTGTGTAGTGAAATAAATACTTTTCTGTAATATAAAAATATAGAAATAATAAAATAAATAATGAAAAAACTACCTCAAGTTTGTTGTTTACCTAATTATGCCTGCCAATAAAAATTCAGGGAAAGAAGGTAAATAATATAATTATTAAAGAGGTTTTATTTCGTGAATCTGTATGGAGCTAAGCAAACTGTTTTATAAAAGGATACAATACATCAAGGTCTGCTTTCTGGGAGTCTACATTTTTAGAGCAATTAAGACAGAAACAGACCAACAGAAAAGAAGTACAGAAGTAACATAAGTAAATAAGTAATATCTATAAACAGAAAAGGAAATAGGGATTACAAAAAGGAGGATGTAGTAAACAAAGTTATTGGCTGAGCGAGGTGGCTCACATCTGTAATCCCAGCACTTTGTGAGGCCGAGGCAGGTGGATCGCTTGAGGTCAGGAGTTTGAGACTAGCCTGACCAACATGGTGAAACCCCATCTCTACTAAAAATACAAAAATTAGCCAGGTGTGGTGGCCCGTGCCTATAGTCCCAGCTACTCTGGAGGCTGAGGCAGGAGAATTGCTTGAACCCAAGAAGCGGAAGTTGCAGTGAGCTGAGATCACCCCACTGCACTCCAGGCTGAGTGACAGAGCAAGACTCTGTCTCAAAAAAGAAAGAAAGTTATTGTTTATTATATTTTATCTTAAAAAATAAGACATTTGTCTACCTTTGTAGATTTCAGTAATTGAAAATATATATCATAAATAAAGGATATACAAATAATAATAACTCAAAAATGTATTGCTGCTCAAACGAGTGGTGGTGAATAGACCTTCAAAATCAAACTATTTCTTGAGGTTTGTATTAGATGTGGTAGGCCAAGAAATGACCTCCTAAAGCTGTCCACATCCTAACTTCAGGACCTGTGTATAGGTTACTTTACATAGCAAAAGGAACGTTTCTGTAATTGAATTAGGAATCTTGAGATGGGAAAATTATACTATATTATTTGGGTGGGCTGAGTGTATTGACAAGGTCCTTATAAGAAAAACAGGGGAAAAGGAGAGTCAGAGGAGACGTGAAGATTGAAACAGAGGTGGGAGTGATGTGGGGCCATGAGCCAAGGAATGTGGGCAGTCTCTCAAATCTGGAAAGAACCAGGAAACAGATTGTCCCCCAGAGCTTCCAGAAGGAATGTGGCCCTGCCAGTCCATTTTGGACTTCTGATCTCCAGAACTGTAAGACAATACATCTGGGTTGTATTAAGTCATGAAGTATGTGGTAATTTGTTATAGTGGCAATAGGAAGCTAATGCATTAGCTTTGAGGGGAAGGTGGTTTCTTAAGTAAAAGTCACACAAAATCAGATGCAATTTCTCTTCAAACAGATGATTTCTCAATTCAGACTGATGTCAGATCAGCCAGCAACTGTTTGCTTTTCTAACAGCTTTTGGACAGGAAATGGACTGTTGTTTCTTCTATCTCTTCTAGGTACCAGTCAGAGTGATGGTATTTTTTGTACTATTACTTCATTTAATCAATATAACAACTCTAAAATGGAAGCATCAGCTCCTATTACAGATGAAGTAGTTGATTCTCAGAGAAAATAAACAACTCAATGTATTTCTAGTTGGTGATAGAATGAGACAAATTCAATAATGGGATAGAAATTAGAATGTAGGTAAATTTATATTCCCTTTAGAGAGTAAATATACAAGACAGATAGATGAGAAAGATAGATTTAGATATAGATATAGATAGGCAGGCAGGCAGGCTGACAGGAGAGGAGAAAAACACGGAGAATTTTACAAATAGAATTTAGTGTGGCCGAGTTTACAGAGCAAACTTCTGGCCTAGATAGTTATTAGGAAAAAAAATCTTTTGGACACTCCATCTACCTCTTGGTTTCCTCTTCTATAAAAGAAAGATAACAATAGACATCTCTCTCATAAAGAATCCCAAGGAACAGGGCTGAATGGTGTGACATTGAAGAGCTCTTTAAATGTTGATTCAACACTCTGTGGTCTACTTAGGACCCCAAACCAATTTGTGACTCATTCAACACTAAGAGGTTATCTGTTCTGAAAGAGGAAAAGAGACATTGTAAATCAGGTGGCAATCAATGATTCCAAAGGGAATTGAACATATTCTTTGTCCAAATGAACAGAAGATGTAGGTGTGAGTTGTGTGCTCTCAATGAGCCGAAGCTGGTTACCAGAGGGTGAGCACAATGCAAGCGAATTTTCAAAAACAGCAGCTCCCAAGACATCTTGGATAAGTGTCTCAAGTTAAGTCATCAAGATGAATGAGGTCACCTAGATACAGTTTAGACAACTGCAAAGCAGAACAATATGACTGAAGACTGGCTTAAGACCTTAGCACAACTACAGAGCCAACAGCAGCTGGAAACTCTTAAGAACTAAATGCAAAGGAGAGAGTAATTTTGACATCAAAGGGATCAGTTTGACAAATGAAAATCAAATTGGATGGACTTTAATGCAAACAGCTGGGTGTGATGCAACCTAAAGAGGCAGATTTCCTGGAGTCAGCCAAAGAGATTTATTAGAATCCCACATACTACCCAAGGAAAATGTAAATACAGATTTTTTAATTTTCAAGTTTTTTTCCATTTCAATGGAGAGGAGAGTATGGTAAGATAAATAGACTGTACCAAAATCTATGGAATGATTTGATGGCTGAGCTTGTTCTGTGTCAAGATGTTTTCTTTTGTTCCTTCTACATTTTCCTTCCTTCCTGTCTTCTATCTCTCCTTTTAATGTGTAGAAAATTTTATCTTGAGATAATATATCTGAATGTAATATGATTGATTCAAAGAGTAAATATATTCCTGCTGAATGATGTTTGTTACTGGAAGCTCATCTGAAATGCACCAAGTGTGATATGGTTATACATTGGCTATGATTGAGACCAGAGGGTAGGTAGCTCATTTGCTGCTGGAAAGAGTTTAGACTCAAGGTAAGTGAAAGGAGGAACCAAAGTTTATCATCAGCTGTGAAGTGGCTTGAGGGAATACTGTCTGTTCTATTTTGCAACAGCGATCTACCCTTATTCTGTTACCACTGGTAAGCCACTAGATTCGGAATGCAAATATCAAGTATAAAAAATTAAAGTTGTTGGAAAAGGCAACACTATTGCACGTGTTATTGCCCTAATTCCTCCACTGTAATATAGTGAAAACTCCTTGAAGACAGAAACACTTATCCAAGAAGCACAGAATCTGCTTAACACTGCACATTATTGTATCCCCAGAAATTTAACAAACTTTAAGACATCCAAGGGGCACACAATACATAGTTGATGTGGTAATGAGTAACATGAGCCAGAAATCTGTAAATTCATCTAGATATGGTTAAGTATAAAGGGAGAGATAAGATACCCTCTGTTTCATTGTTGTCATTATCCATTTAAATTACCTCATGTTGCAGGATCCGCAAAGAAAACTTAAGCCATAAACTCTAAATTTAGGCTTTATTGGAGGGTTCAAATAAGACAAAGCAGAAAAAAATCCTCTCGTTTTTGATATCACTTAATAGGGTCTGTTTGCCTAATTTGAGAACCTACGCAAGGATGTCTAAGTATCATGTAGGAGACTAAGCTAATACACCACTTATCATGTTTTGCTGGTGGATCAGGGAATGATTTCATTGACCTGCAGCTTTGCTCTTGTTCTTGTATCCTTCTAGTTTATTCCATTAATATACCGAAGAAAGACGTGCAGGTGAGAGCTAATGGGCTCATCAGATATTAAGCCCCTTTTCTTTCTGTTTACTACTCGCAACCCCTGCTGGTTTCAAGGGTTTGGTTTTTCATTTAAAGGTATATTTTGTTGACATAATAAGCTATTTAAGGCCAGAACTGATTTAAGGTGAAGGTTTTCCTGAAAACTCATGCTTACAAATCAGCAAAATAGAAAATAGAGTAAAGGTACATGTATTTGTGTCTGGAAAGTCCTGTGTGCAATTAGCTGATGAATCTGCAGCAAAGCCTTGGGCACTGAAATGGTATATTTTGCTAATCATATTTGGAATAAAATATTTCAGGTTTTTCAAGACTTACTACTATTGTAAGGAGTTTAAGAATTAATAAATAACGGAGGAGGAGCCAAGATGGCCGAATAGGAACAGCTCGGGTCTACAGCTCCCAGCGTGAGCGACATAGAAGACGGGTGATTTCTGCATTTCCATCTGAGGTACCGGGTTCATCTCACTAGGGAGTGCCAGACAGTGGGTGCAGGTCAGTGGGTGCGCGAGCCGAAGCAGGGTGAGGCATTGCCTCACTCGGGAAGCTCAAGGCGTCAGGGAGTTCCCTTTCCTAATCAATGAAAGGGGTGATGGACGGCACCTGGAAAATCGGGTCACTCCCACCTGAATACTGGGCTTTTCCGACGGGCTTAAAAAACAGCGCACCACGAGATTATATCCCGCACCTGGCTCGGAGGGTCCTACACCCACGGAGTCTCGCTGATTGCTAGCACAGCAGTCTGAGATCAAACTGCAAGGCGGCAGCGAGGCTGGGGGAGGGGCGCCCGCCATTGCCCAGGCTTGCTTAGGTAAACGAAGCAGCCTGGAAGCTCGAACTGGGTGGAGCCCACCACAGCTCAAGGAGGCCTGCCTGCCTCTGTAGGCTCCACCTCTGGGGGCAGGGCACAGACAGAAAGACAGCAGTAACCTCTGCAGACTTAAATGTCCCTGTCTGACAGCTTTAAAGAGAGCAGTGGTTCTCCCAGTATGCAGCTGGAGATCTGAGAACCGGCAGGGTGCCTGACCCCTGACCCCCGAGCAGCCTAACTGGGAGGCATCCTCCAGCAGGGGCACACTGACACCTCACACGGCAGGGTACTCCAACAGACCTGCAGCTGAGGGTCCTGTCTGTTAGAAGGAAAACTAACAAACAGAAAGGACATCCACACCAAAAACCCATCTGTACATCACCATCATCAAAGACCAAAAGTAGATAAAACCACCAAGACGGGGAAAAAACAGAACAGAAAAACTGGAAACTCTAAAAAGCAGAGCGCCTCTCCTCCTCCAAAGGAACACAGTTCCTCACCAGCAACGGAACAAAGCTGGATGGAGAACGACTTTGACGAGCTGAGAGAAGAAGGCTTCAGACGATCAAATTACTCTGAGCTATGGGAGGACATTCAAACCAAAGGCAAAGAACTTGAAAACTTTGAAAAAAATTTAGAAGAATGTATAACTAGAATAACCAATACAGAGAAGTGCTTAAAGAAGCTGATGGAGCTGAAAACCAAGGCTCGAGAACTATGTGAAGAATGCAGAAGCCTCAGGAGCCGATGCGATCAACTGGAAGAAAGGGTATCAGTGATGGAAGATGAAATGAATGAAATGAAGCGAGAAGGGAAGTTTAGAGAAAAAAGAATAAAAAGAAATGAGCAAAGCCTCCAAGAAATATGGAACTATGTGAAAAGACCAAATCTACGTCTGATTGGTGTACCTGAAAGTGATGGGGAGAATGGCACCAAGTTGGAAAACACTCTGCAGAATATTATCCAGGAGAACTTCCCCAATCTAGCAAGGCAGGCCAACGTTCAGATTCAGGAAATACAGAGAACGCCACAAAGATACTCCTCAAGAAGAGCAACTCCAAGACACATAATTGTCAGATTCACCAAAGTTGAAATGAAGGAAAAAATGTTCAGGGCAGCCAGAGAGAAAGGTCGGGTTACCCTCAAAGGGAAGCCCATCAGACTAACAGTGGATCTCTCGGCAGAAACCCTACAAGCCAGAAGAGAGTGGGGGCCAATATTCAACATTCTTAAAGAAAAGAATTTTCAACCCAGAATTTCATATCCAGCCAAACTAAGCTTCATAAGTGAAGGAGAAATAAAATACTTTACAGACAAGCAAATGCTGAGAGATTTTGTCACCACCAGGCCTGCCCTAAAAGAGCTCCTGAAGGAAGCGCTAAACATGGAAAGGAACAACCAGTACCAGCCGCTGCAAAATCATGCCAAAATGTAAAGACCATCGAGACGAGGAAGAAACTGCATCAACTAACGAGCAAAATAACCAGCTAACATCATCATGACAGGATCAAATTCACACATAACAATATTAACTTTAAATGTAAATGGACTAAATGCTCCAATTAAAAGACACAGACTGGCAAATTGCATAAAGAGTCAAGACCCATCAGTGTGCTGTATTCAGGAAACCCATCTCACATGCAGAGACACACATAGGCTCAAAATAAAAGGATGGAGGAAGATCTACCAAGCAAATGGAAAACAAAAAAAGGCAGGGGTTGCACTCCTAGTCTCTGATAAAACAGACTTTAAACCAACAAAGATCCAAAGAGACAAAGAAGGCCATTACATAATGGTAAAGGGATCAATTCAACAAGAAGAACTAACTATCCTAAATATATATGCACCCAATACAGGAGCACCCAGATTCATAAAGCAAGGCCTGAGTGACTTACAAAGAGACTTACTTAGACTCCCACACATTAATAATGGGAGACTTTAACACCCCACTGTCAAAATTAGACAGATCAACGAGACAGAAAGTCAACAAGGATACCCAGGAATTGAACTCAGCTCTGCACCAAGTGGACCTAATAGACATCTACAGAACTCTCCATCCCAAATCAACAGAATATACATTTTTTTCAGCACCACACCACACCTGTTCCATAATTGACCACATACTTGGAAGTAAAGCTCTCCTCAGCAAATATAAAAGAACAGAACAGAAATTATAACAAACTATCTCTCAGACCACAGTGCAATCAAACTAGAACTCAGGATTAAGAATCTCACTCAAAACCACTCAACTACATGGAAACTGAACAACCTGCTCCTGAATGACTACTGGGTACATAACGAAATGAAGGCAGAAATAAAGATGTTCTTTGAAACCAACAAGAACAAAGACACAACATACCAGAATCTCTGGGACGCATTCAAAGCAGTGTGTAGAGGGAAATTTATAGTACTAAATGCCCACAAGAGAAAGCAGGAAAGATCCAAAATTGACACCCTAACCTCACAATTACAAGAACTAGAAAAGCAAGAGCAAACACATTCAAAAGCTAGCAGAAGGCAAGAAATAACTAAAATCAGAGCAGAACTGAAGGAAATAGAGACACAAAAAACCCTTCAAAAAATTAATGAATCCAGGAGCTGGTTTTTTGAAAGGATCAACAAAATAGATAGACCGCTAGCAAGAATGATAAAGAAAAAAAGAGAGAAGAATCAAATAGACGCAATAAAAAATGATAAAGGGGATATCACCACTGATCCCACAGAAATACAAACTACCATCAGAGAATACTACAACCACCTCTGCGCAAATAAACTAGAAAATCTAGAAGAAATGGATAAATTCCTCGACACATACACTTTCCCAAGACTAAACCAGGAAGAAGTTGAATCTCTGAATAGACCAATAACAGGAGCTGAAATTGTGGCAATAATCAATAGCTTACCAACCAAAAAGAGTCCAGGACCAGATGGATTCACAGCCAAATTCTAACAGAGGTACAAGGAGGAACTGGTACCATTCCTTCTGAAACTATTCCAATCAATAGAAAAAGAGGGAATCCTCCCTAACTCATTTTATGAGGCCAGCATCATTCTGATACCAAAGCCGGGCAGAGACACAAGCAAAAAAGAGAATTTTAGACCAATATCCTTGATGAACATTGATGCAAAAATCCTCAATAAAATACTGGCAAACCGAATCCAGCAACACATCAGAAAGCTTATCCACCATGATCAAGTGGGCTTCATCCCTGGGATGCAAGGCTGGTTCAATATATGCAAATCAATAAATGTAATCCAGCATATAAACAGAGCCAAAGGCAAAAACCACATGATTATCTCAATAGATGCAGAAAAGGCCTTTGACAAAATTCAACAATGCTTCATGCTAAAAACTCTCAATAAATTAGGTATTGATGGGATGTATCTCAAAATAAGAAGAGCTATCTATGACAAACCCACAGCCAATATCATACTGAATGGGCAAAAACTGGAAGCATTCCCTTTGAAAACTGGCACAAGACAGGGATGCCCTCTCTCACCACTCCTATTCAACATAGTGTTGGAAGTTCTGGCCAGGTCAATTAGGCAGGAGAAGGAAATAAGGGGTATTCAATTAGGAAAAGAGGAAGTCAAATTGTCCCTGTTTGCAGATGACATGATTGTATATCTAGAAAACCCCATTGTCTCAGCCCAAAATCTCCTTAAGCTGATAAGCAACTTCAGCAAAGTCTGTGGATACAAAATCAATGTACAAAAATCACAAGCATTCTTATACACCAACAACAGACAAACAGCCAAATCATGAGTGAACTCCCATTCACAATTGCTTCAAAGAGAATAAAATACTTAGGAATCCAACTTACAAGGGATGTGAAGGACCTCTTCAAGGAGAACTACAAACCACTGCTCAAGGAAATAAAAGAGGATACAAACAAAACAAATGGAAGAACATTCCATGCTCATGGGTAGGAAGAATCAATATCGTGAAAATGGCCATACTGCCCAAGGTAATTTACAGATTCAATGCCATCCCCATCAAGCTACCAATGCCTTTCTTCACACAATTGGAAAAAACTACTTTAAAGTTCATATGGAACCAAAAAAGAGCCCGCATCGCCAAGTCAATCCTAAGCCAAAAGAACAAAGCTGGAGGCATCACACTACCTGACTTCAAACTATACTACAAGGCTACAGTAACCAAAACAGCATGGTACTGGTACCAAAACAGAGATATAGATCAATGGAACAGAACAGAGCCCTCAGAAATAATGCCGCATATCTACAACTATCTGATCTTTGACAAACCTGAGGAAAACAAGCAATGGGGAAAGGATTCCCTATTTAATAAATGGTGCTGGGAAAACTGGCTAGCCATATGTAGAAAGCTGAAACTGGATCCCTTCCTTACACCTTATACAAAATCAATTCAAGATGGATTAAAGACTTAAATGTTAGACCTAAAACCATAAAAACTCTAGAAGAAAACCTAGGAAATACCATTCAGGACATAGGCGTGGGCAAGGACTTCATGTCTAAAACACCAAAAGCAATGGCAACAAAAGACAAAATTGACAAATGGGATCTAATTAAACTAAAGAGCTTCTGCACAGCAAAAGAAACTAGCATCAGAGTGAACAGGCAACCTACAAAATGGGAGAAAATTTTTGCAACCTGCTCATCTGACAAAGGGCTAATATCCAGAATCTACAATGAACTAAACAAATTTACAAGAAAAAAACAAACAACCCTATCAAAAAGTGGGCAAAGGACATGAATAGACACTTCTCAAAAGACATTTATGCAGCCAAAAAACTCATGAAAAAATGCTCACCATCACTGGCCATCAGAGAAGTGCAAATCAAAACCACAATGAGATACCATCTCACACCAGTTAGAATGGCAATCATTAAAAAGTCAGGAAACAACAGGTGCTGGAGAGGATGTGGGGAAATAGAACACTTTTACACTGTTGGTGGGACTGGAAACTAGTTCAACCATTGTGGAAGTCAGTGTGGTGATTCCTCAGGGATCTAGAACTAGAAATACCATTTGACCCAGCCATCCCGTTACTGGGTATATACCCAAAGGACTATCAATCATGCTGCTATAAAGACACATGCACACGTATGTTTATTGTGGCACTATTCACAATAGCAAAGACTTGGAACCAACCCAAATGTCCAACAATGATAGACTGGATTAAGAAAATGTGGCACATATACACCATGGAATACTATGCAGCCATAAAAAATGATGAGTTCATGTCCTTTGTAGGGACATGGATGAAATTGGAAATCATCATTCTCAGTAAACTATCGCAAGAACAAAAAACCAAACACCGCATATTCTCACTCATAGGTGGGAATTGAACAATGAGATCACATGGACACAGGAAGGGGAACATCACACTCTGGGGACTGTTGTGGGGTGGGGGGAGGGGGGACGGATAGCATTGGGAGATATACCTAATGCTAGATGACGAGTTGGTGGGTGCAGCGCACCAGCATGGCACATGTATACATATGTAACTAACCTGCACTATGTGCACATGTACCCTAAAACTTAAAGTATAATAATAAAAGAAAATAAAAAGAATTAATAAATAACAATAAATATGAAGCAGTGGATTTCAACCATGATTTTGCAGCCCAGATGATATATATTTTTTGGACTAGTTCAGAAGAGACAATACCAGTGTTGTTGTGTGTGTGTGTGTGTGTGCGCTTTGTGTGTGTGTGTGCACGCACATAACTGTGTGTGTATACACATTAGGTATAAAGTCTAAACGCTGCATTGTGATTACATTAGGTAGTTTACAAAAGCCAACTTGGCTGGCAAGGAAATTCTAAGCTGGAAACAAAAATTATAAAATATGATTTGGATATCAGATAACTTAAGCATTAGTAAAAAGGGTGAGATCAACTTTATCTGGCTAAACAGTCACAGAGTTTTCAAACACATTGGATATCAGTTCATAGTAGCAGTTGATTTTGGCACTCTCTGGATAAAATTAACTTCAAATAATACATGAGCTCACTCTGTAATGTCAAGCAAGACTTGGAGTGTCCAGATTTAAATTTCAAATGGTTCCCAGAATACTTAAATCCATTAAAATTATTTTCAGATCACAAAAATTGCTTTTTCTCCCATTTATCAAAACCCTATCTTTTCCTTCTTACCTTTTACACTAAGAGAATAGAATAGACAGAAATTCAACAGAATTCAATATTGTAAACTTACCATACATCCAAGATTGGTTCAATTTAGGCAAATCTCATGTGTTTCAGATGCTCTAGACCTGTGCCATTTGAAGTTCTCATGAATAGTTCTATTTTTGTCTGTTAACCATTAGGAAGTTGACTCATTTATCTATGTGAGGAGGCTCTCGAGTAGCTGGTTCATTTTAGAATAAAATAGTTTTGAGTCAAAATAGTTTTAAGAATAACACTAGACTTTAGACTGTGTGGACACAAAAAAAAAGATAAAATGAAAAAAATAGCACAATAGCAGAAAAAATAGGAGAAGGAGCTCAAAATCAGCTTCAGTCATTTGTGAGACGTCCTGACTTTGCAGAAAGGGTTATCTCAGCAGTTAGGAGTTTTCTACGTAGTTAGCAATGGGAGCCAAAGAGGTTAAAACAGCTCATCATTTTATCAGATTACTGAGGGTATGAGGGAGGCCTTAATGGTCTGGCAGTCCTTTTTGTCACAATTTAATGGCATATCGATCTTACAGGGTGAACAATCATGACCTTCAACTGTTTACAGATGCTTTGGAGGGAAAAGGCTTTAGAAGCTTATTCCAGGGAAGCTGAGAAGGTTCAGCCCTGACCAGTCAAGTTGAGGAAGTCAAACAGCAATCAAAAAATCCCAGTTTGGGGGCAACTTTCCACTAGGGGTGGCACTTACAACTGGGAAGATCACAAGTGCGTCAAGAAAAGCCAGTGGTGTTATAGACAATCAATAAATCAACCAGGAGTGTCATTAACCCGGGGGGGTGGGGGGTGAGTAGTGTGTGTGTATGTGTGTGTGTGTGCACACACACATAAACACACATGCCAGTGAAAGAGGAACCCTGTGCATTGGGCTATGCATTTCTGCTGGAACAAGTTTCAAGAAAAGGTTTCACTTAGATGCCTGTAAGGTTTGGAAGCTTGACATCAGCAGGCTGGAGATCCCAGGATGAGATCCTATATTTCATAAGACAAATCTGGGCAAAGAGCAATATGACAGAGTCTCTTTCTATATAACACAATTAATTTGAGGCTTACAGAAGACATTTTCATGAGTTCACGTGAAACTGCCTGCTCAGATGTGGAGAGCTGCTTTTTGAGGGAAGATGAATGCACTGCCATTAAATTCTCAGAAGGGAGAGGAGCTGTGATGTTTAGCTGCAGCATCTATTTCAATGAATCTAACCTAAACTACTGTTGAATTCCAAAACCAAGGTTCCAGCCTTGGCTTTGTCAAATCTCCACTATGTGATCTGCAAGCTCCTGGCTGCTATCCAAGGCAAAAAACACAGATCCTGCCCTCAAACAGCTTATAAGTACTCTAACCAGTCACAGTTTCACATATTATTTCTGGCTATGAGGCTCTACCCCTTTGAGGGTTGTATGGTGTCCCCACAAAAGATATCTACATCCCTCTCTGAACCTGTAAATGTTAGTTTTTTTCAGAAAAAAGTTTCTGCAGATGTAGTTAAGGACTTGAGATCATCCTGCTTTTCTGGGGGAACCCTGAAACAATGGCAAGGGTCCTCATTAAAAGACACACAGAGAGGAGAAGAGGATGTAAAGACAAAGGCAGAGCTTGGGGTGATTCAGTCACAAACCAAGCAACACGAGCATTTCTGGCAGCCACCAGGAGCAAGGAGATGGGCATGGAAAGGACTCCCCTGTAAAGCCCCCAGACGGACTGTGACTTTGCCAACACCTTGATTTTGGACTCTGCCCTCCAGAAATGTGAGGAAATAAATTTTTCTTGATTTAAGCCACCAAACTGGTGGTGATTTGTTAATGCAGCCCTAGACAACTACTGCAGACTTTTACCGAGATTAGCTTTAACCTTGTTTCCATGTACTTGACTTAATGATAATACACAACAATGAGAGCCAAGATGTGTATCTGCAAAGTTACTAAATTGTAATAACAAAGTGCATCATTTCTGTCTTTCATCCTCACTACCAATTTGTTTGTTTTCTTTCAAATTTGTTTATAAGGGATTTTCCCCGGATGCTCTGGGAAATGCCCAAAGAAATGGACCCTGCACTCTACTTGTCCATCTCTTGCCTGAGATGGGTCTGAACCTGTGAACCACCTTGCCCAGCCTCCAGCCTCTCTACAACCATTTCTTACTCTGACAAAGATATCTTCCCATAATGCCAATTTGATCGCGGTTCCTGTCTATTCTGGCCATATGATGGCTTGGTGACCTGTCTCCAACCTAAATCCATCTCTCACCTCATATTTTCCCAGACCCTCCTTGCATGGAGCAACACTTTAGCCATTCTTAAGCTCTTTGCTCTGCATCTGCAAAGGTGCTGGGCCTTTTCTGTATATCCACTTGGCTAACTCATTTATGCTTCGAAACAGAGCTCAAGGGTCTTCTTTTGTGAGAATCACCTTGATTCTTAAAACAGAGTTAGTTATTTATTATCTTGTTTGGGCTACCACTAGCCTACACTGAACTCCAGTTGGAAATTACTCATTACATGGCTCTGTTGTGTTTATATAACTATCTGTCATAATAGACTGTGAGCGCAGGGAGTAGAGAATTTGCTTTCGCTGTAAATGACTATCTTCTGGGTCAATGTGTATCTTTTGTATCTGGCCTAGAGCTGGACAAATAATTGGTATTCAATCAATGTTTGATGAATAAATGAAAGAATAACTAGTTCTTACTGTGATTAGTAAGCTCTTAAAAGCTCTTAAGACATGTATGTTTATTCACAAGTCATTAACGTATGATAAGTTTGTCTCAGCACTTAAAAGATATCTGAAGGGGGAGACCGCTTTTTCTTGTGTTTAAAAATTTAATAAGTTAATACTTTTTCATTATAAATGTAAAACAAGTTTCTTGTAGAAAATATGAAAAATAAAAATAAATATAAAAACAGAATTCTTCTTAGTCATGTCACCCAAAGATAAACGCAATTTTTATTTTCATGTAATTAAAAATACATCCATATGGTCATGGGAGCAGATAATTGTGATAAAGTATAATATGTATGAAAACACAGACAACCATATGCTAATATTGTCTCTGTCTCACACACATACACAGACACACACACAGACACACACACACACACCCACACACATTGTAGTCATATAGTCTTTATTAGTTAAGGTCACACAAGTTGCTATAAAGCCCAGCCCCCAAAAGTACAATGGCTTAAACACCATAGAGATTTAGGTCTCTCTTGCATAATGTCTAAAACAGGTATGCATGATCAGCAAGATGAGGGACCTGGACTACTTCCACCCTGTGGCTCTGCAGTTCTCACCAGAGAGCTTCCAGGGTTTCTGTGTTCCCACTAAAGAACAAGAAGCGTGTGAAATTTCATGTGGGAGGGTTGAAGTATAGGCCTAGAGGTGACATGGATTAATTCCATTCTCATTCCATTGGCTAGGACTCCACCAAAGTTGCCTATCCAAATCAAAGCAGGATGGAAAACATTGTTAATCTGTGTGCCCAGGAAGAAAAGAAAATGGGTTTGCCAGTTTCTGCCATACACTGAATATATTCTTTTGTAACCTGATATTTTTCTTCAAAAAATATTTTGCTATAATGATATGATAACATTAACTACTATTGTAGAATTAGTAAGGCAAGTAGTAATGTTTGTTTTGCCAAACTGTCAACTTTTAAAAATGCTTAAAAACAATTGTTTCATATATTGTGATTACATGTAATTAGCCACATACAAATCCCTGACAGTTATATCTTCATTGTGAATTTTGCTGTTAACCAACATACTATGACTCTACTTACCAATACCTGAGGGAAATTCAGGTTCCATTTTGCTTTAAATAAATGTCATCTTTCATGCCTCCCTAGGGTTTGCATTTGCCTGGCCATGTTCTTAACATTCCTGAATCACTTTGTTTTGTTTGTATCCCTTGTAGATTGTAGACCAAATCTCAGAATCTTTGTACCTTAAAATAAAGACTTTTAACTCTTTTTATATTTGCTTGTCAATTAAACTATTAGCTAATAACATGTTATGTTTTATCATTCTGAAAGTCATTGTTCTTACATACAGACTTTGTTACACATTTTATATTTATGTTGTCAATCAACATGCTAGTTTATACTTTTATTTTATATTTTATGATTTACTTCACTAAAAGAAGTTTTTCTTTATTAAATAGGAAAATATTTATTTTGTTTTATATCCTACAACTGCTTACCTTTGTAAAAATGATGCTGAATAGATAACTCAGTTTTCCAAAATTGTTGTTCCTTCAATGTATGAACACATGAAATAAAGGAGGAAACAAATCCAATTATTTATTTTTAAATATGAGTAGAAAATTTTCTTGCTTTTATTTCCTTCTACCTACTCCCACCCACTGCATAGTTTTAATAGCTTGTATAACCTGAGCTGCTAGGTTTAACAATTAACATTAGTAATTTTCCATTATATGTCTTTTTCATGTATGAACAGGAAATTTATTAGCTATAGAATTGTTGGGTTTTATCTTAGTGCCACAAAACTTGTATTTCTGTGATGCTCTTAGTCATATTTTACTTAACTCAAAACATTCCACCAAATCTTCAGCATAGCTTAATTCTGTGAGAATAGATAATTTATTCTGATAATTTCACAACAGAAATAATTATAATGCCATAGTAATAAATGTTCGACAAATGTAATCCATATGGAGCCACACACCATTTATTCAACCTTATTTTTACCTTATGAGGTATACTTTAAGTTCCACCTCCACCAAGGGGCCATCCTCCTCCCTCCACTCCACTTACCTCTGTCTTCTGTAATATCTGTGGTTTATGTTTTGTAGTTAAGCCATTGATTATAAGCCAGTTTCTATTACTACTTCATTGTTTGCATGCTTGTCTTATCTGACCAACTAAATGGCAATTTCCTTGATGGCAAAGGCACGTTCAATTTTCTCTGTATAACCACAGTCATCTGGTGTGGCAACGAGCACTATGGGCACTGCCTGCATATTTATTGCTTGGTTTGATAATATTGAAGGGTAATTTTAGTTGCTAATTTCAAATTTCTTCTTTCATTTAAGTTTGCAAAAGTTAGAAAGAATATAGTAGCTATCTGAGTTCAATTGTGTCGCTATAACAAAATACCCAAGATTGGGTAATTTGTAATGAACAGAAATGTATTTTCTCAAAATTCTTAAGGCTGAGAAGTTTAAGATCAAGTTGCCGGCATCTTGTGAGGGTCTTCTTGCTGTATCATCACATAACAGAAGGCAGAAAAGCAAAGAGGGACAACGAGAGGCAAAAGGAGGCTGAACCCACCCTTTTATAACCGTGTAATTACTTCTTAAGGGCTCCAACCCTTCACAGTGTTACATCGCAAATTAAATTTGAACCTGCGTTTTGGAGGGGTCAAACATTCAAATCACAGCTCTGCCCTAGCTCAGATCAATTATTTATTTTTAATCCTCACACTCAGTACAAAATGACCTAAAACGTTGACATGGTTGAAAGGTGGGCACCGCACCTGACTAAAATGAGAAAGGAAACAAACTCTGCGAGAGACAGGAACATCTTTCTTTACCACTACTACGATAACAACCACAGCAACAACAATCAGCAGCAACCATAATAATAACTACAACCTTTAATGAGTGCCAGACACAATGCTAAGTGCTTGCATTGTCTCAAATAATTCTTACCTCAATCCTGTAGTTAACTGCTATTCTCCCCATTTATAAACATGAGAAAACAGACTTACAGAGAGAGAGATGAGAGAGAGCAAGAGAGAGAGAAATGAGAGAGAGAGAGATAGCAAGAGAGAGAGAGAAAGGGAGAAACAGAGATGGTGAGAAAGACTACATGAATTTCAGTATTACGTAATTTGGAATTTTGGAGCCAGGATTTGAATTACACCTGAGTTTCCCTCTTATTCTCAAAATTATAGTCCACATTGATTGGTTACCTATCATGAAAATACCTAATATCAAACTTTGCTTTTAGATGCAGCATCATATACTGAAAACAAAACAGGATTTTACAATAAACAGAAATGGGTTAGAAATTTGACTCTCTCCTAGTTGCTTCTGTGTGAACATGGGTATGTTATTCAATCTCCTTGTCCTCAATTTCCTCATCTATAAAATAGGAATTATATTTATATCATAATCCTTTTAGGATAATGAATGTTAATGTATAGAATGTGTTAGCACATGGTAGTTAGTTGTTCAATTGATGGCAATTATTGTTAAAACAACTATCACTCATTATCTTCCTGCCCTCTCCATATCTCAGGCTATCGAGATCTGAATTTTCTGTTCAAATCTCATCTTAAATGACAAATTTTTATGCTAATGTTCATAATTAGGAGGTGACTAATGTCCCTTGCATCTTAATATCTCTTTGTGTTATAGGGTGCTTCTTATATTTTCTCTTTAGTCAATTATATCTATATCTGTGTTCCTTTCTCTCTGAGCTTGCTACTTTTTCAATCTAAAAACTACCTCTTACTTTTCTTCACACTGTCTGCAGCCTTATGTGGTGACTCCCTTAGAGTAGGTCCCCAACAGCATTTGACAACTTTGATTGACACAGCACTGTGTATTTGTTAACTGTCATGTTTGCTGAATGATTTGGAAAAATACAACTTCATGTCCTTTCTGCCATTGGTAGTTGAATCAAGTGGGCAGATGAGCAACACTTTTTAAAATGCCTTTAAAAGAATGAATTTTAAAAATATTCTTACAGTAGGGCTGCGGTTCTCAGTCTTAGTCGATTGAGTTAACACTTGACATGGTTTTTAATAATCAACATTGCTTTGAGTGAAAATGAGTTCCAGTGAGTTAAGGAGAACTTTAATGACCTTTAAAATATTGTATTAAATAAAATATAGGAGTATTGGCATGGCAAGATGATACCGTTTGAAAGTATTTTATAAGGAGAGAAAAAAGAAGAAAGACTGTCCTGGAATCCTGTAAATAGCCAATAAAAATTCACCTTGTCTGTGTATTGTCCTAGGAGACACAATCTCATTTACATTTATTAGAAGTAATGATATCGTGTCCTGCAGATAATTAACACAATAAAATGCTGCTAATTTCATAGTGTCATTATAATATTTGCCGGTTCAAATTAGAAAGTGATTAACCCTCTGAGTGAGGAAATGACATTTCCATTCCCAGTTTGTGAATTAAATTTGAAAGGATGTTTCCTCTAGTTTGAAAATTCAGCTCTTTCCCCATTCTGGTATCTTCTCTTTACCATGCCTTTCCAAGAATGAAGGCTCTGGATTTAGCAAGATAATTTATGACTATTTTGTATCTTAGAAGGTTCAAGCTCTGAAAGAAAGAAAGAAAGAGAAAGAAAGAAAGAAAGAAAGAAAGAAAGAAAGAAAGAAAGAAAGAAAGAAAGAAAGAAAGAAAGACAGACAGAAAGAAAGAAAGAAAGAAGAAAAGAAAAGAAAAGAGAAAGAAAGAAAGAAAAGGCTTGTCTTGGAATAGTAATGAAGCCAATTTACTTTATTTAAGAGAAAGAGTGAAATTAAGGAAGGAAGGGATGAGAGAAGGGAGGAAAAGAGGGAAAGTGAGAAAGAGGAAAGGAAGGAGGAAGAGGGAAATAGTAGTCTCAGATGAGTGTAATTTCATTGAGTAATGAACTTCTTGTTGGTGCATCTAAGTATGAAAATTCTCCATTAACAAGTTGCCTTTGGAATGTGCTTCATTTCAGTTAATGGCAGTTACTCCTTTACATTTGCCCAGACACTACTTTATTCATTTACTGCATATCTCTTCTCCACAACTGATTTTAATTAATTCCTGAAAAAGGAATAAATTCATTAAAGGGAAAAGGTGTATGGTGCCTCATTTTAAATAGTCTTACTCAACTGAAATCCTCTTAAAGAATATTTAATGAGGAAATGATATTGTAAATGAATGAAACCTTGAGTTAATGATAAAATTGCCCAACCTGTTAAGACAACTATTAATTGAATAAATCTAATGCATACATTTATAAAGCTGCTAAAAATATGATGGCATGCCCATATTCCCACCTTCACTCCTGTACTTCCTCTAATGATTCAGGGCTAAAGAGTATATAACTGACATGTGTAGGATGCTCTCTTAAAAAGTAGAAACTCATTTCCAAAGCACTAGAACTTGCTATGTATCTTCAGGGAATAAAAATAATGAGAAATATTCAGAGAGCTATTAAAGACATCATTCTAAGACAGTGGAATTTCACAATTTCCTCTATATATGTGAATGCATCTGTTACTGTTGATTCCTTCTTCACGAAGCTATGCAATTTTAACACTGAAATACCCAAAGGATTTTGTCTTAGGACTTATTAGGTTGCAAGTGACCAAAATTTAACTGGAACCAGTTTTAATACAAAGAAGAAATCTGCTTGGCTATTGGTCCTGGATCCAGGGCCTCAGAAGATGGCATTCAGACTCTGCCTCCCCATCTTTTAGCTCTCCTTTCCTCCATATGACTTTATTCTCAGGCAGATTCTCTTTACATATGACCCTCCCAGCAACAAGTTCATATCTTAGCAGCTAAACAACCCTCATCGAGAGACAGCAAGACCCTAACCTGGTTCTCATTGGTGGAGACTAGATCAGGTATGATGCCCTAACCAACAACTGTCACTCTGACTAGCAAGCCCGAGGGACATGTCCACCCTGAGCAGAAGGGTTAGTCCTACCCAAACCAAGTGACTAAGATTGAGGGACAGGAGATTCTCCAAAAGTGAATGGGACATTATTACCAAAGAGGGGAAAAGGCAAAAACAAGGACTGTTGAGCCACTAAAATTAACTGATACCCAAAGCAACTATCTAGTGTAAACCCATTTTCTGAGAAGACTGACATCTAAAGAGGCTATACATGCATACCTGGCAGTGCCAGAATTCTGGAATCATGCTGAGCTTTAGTCATTCTTCTATCATTCATCTGTGCTTTAGAAAACCGATGGACTAAATGGACTCCACTGTCCTCAATCTGACATCTGGCGACTCTGATTCTGGGTGGAGTATGGGGGCAGTGACTCTGAATGAGCCAGACACCAGCAGCCTTAGTCCCAGCTCCATCATTTAAAAGCCATGTAACTTTGAGAAATTCACTTCTGTTCCTTGGCCTTTAGTTTCTTTACCCATAAAAATAAGAAATTAGTATTAATCAATGGTTTTTGTCCTTTTTATTGGGGTCAAACCTTTTTTACAAATTAAATGTCAATAACCCTCAATTAAGTAGTTCCTGGTCCATGTGTATTTAACTGAGGTATGCTTCTGACTTGGATGCTTTATGAGTGCCTCGCTGTTCAAAAGAACTTGTTCATCAATGACTAGGAAAATTCTTAAAAATGTCACAGCAGCACTCAGTGGGATTGCTACCAGACAATGTTGTAAGTAATATGGCGAGTCATGAATAAAATACCCCATAGAGCATCCCATCCTCCCATCCTTAACCAGATACTCGGCACTCCCATTTGGGACATGGAGTTTATACACCGGGACTGAAAGGTTTTCTGTTAGAGTTGTCATTTGTGCTTTTAGGTAAGCAATTTGTGATTATCAGAAAAGTATCCTTTAGTGGTTCAGAGGGAATTTACCAAAGACTATCTCTGGAACCCCAAAACTCAGAAGGGCTTGTGGTGAGAACATGGGGAGCTAAACTGAGAGAATTGGAGCCAAGTGTCAAGGGTGGGCAGCTTGCTGGTTCTCATTTTCACTGACAGGAAAAAGCTGTCTCTTACATGAGCTCTTTGAGAGTTGACTACCTACAACTGGCACAATGGAATCCTTCACTGCAATTGCCTAGAAACAAATACCTTTTAGATCCCTGGATTTTTAAGTCACGCATGCTTTCCAAGATGCATCCCTCTTGTTTGCGAGTGAGTGCCTGCCTACCATACAAATCAAATGTGGGGAAGGGGGTTCATCTCGCTAATTCCCTCTGTGGAACATTTGGGCTCTTGGGAACTTGTTGGGAAGCCAATGAACCAGATAATCTTTCACATCCCACCAGCTCTAAAGTGTGAAACACAATAAAAAGTCAGCTGTTCTCAAGTTCTTAATGTCCACTGGTGGGCAAGCTGAGAAAAGAATTTTCTCACATCTGAATTTTCATTTACTTAAAGTGCTCTCTTGCTCTCTCTCTCTCTCTCACACACACACACACACACACACACACACACACACAGAATCCTTTATAGTCTAACAAATAACATCCTAACCCACAACCTAAGGTCATCATTCCTTTTTTGCTATTACTAGTTTTTTTCCCTCAGTAACTTTACAAGAAATTAAAGTTTCTTTGCTGTATCTTCTGCTGAAAAGGCAGACTGAGGGAAAGTACATATTTAGATTTGATTTGATTACAGCTCCTGCAAAAACCCTATGTGGAGATCATGTCCTGGTGGTATGTTCGATTGCACAACAGAAGGTAGCAAAACAGGCATTTAAAGCTAGTCCCTGATTTATGGGTGAAATCTTCAGAGTGGGAGTGCCTGGGAGCAGAGGGTGTAATTGTTGAGTGTGCTGATTGGAAAGATAGCAGAAGAGAGAAAACAAACGTCTGGTTGCACAATATTGTTTTAGTGTACTTAAACTGAGATTATTTGGTCCACCGTCAAGGAAACAAATTGCTTAACCTTAATCTATGTAACAATTTCTCCCACACATAGGTGTCATTTCACTATTAAATGAGGTCTTTTTTCTGCAAACTTCAGTCCACAGCCTATCTTGCCTTAACGAGGAGGCTTTGCCTTTTCATCTCCCTGTACCTACATCATGCCTTTTCTCCCCATGAAGGTTTTTCTCTCTGTATTACTGTGCACTTAATTTTATGCAATTTTTTAATGATATTATTTATAGTATAATTGTAGCTTAAAATGTATGTATTCTATTAACTAAAAAAACTTGAAACTTATCTGTTAAGCTGTGCTTACATGAATAAACATTCCATCTTTTATGTGATCCTTGGTTGGAGTTAGGAGGCTAGCTCCCCTAATTTCCCTTTCAAACCAGTGAAAATCTAAAGGAAGGGAAGTTTAAATGATGTATTTACATCTTCACTTTTTTAGACAGCCCTTGAGTACCAACAGCTGTGGTATAATTTCTTTTTTCTTGGAGTTCAGACAAAACTGGTGAATCTGTTAATATATCTTCTTCATGGTTAGTTTTTTCTTTGAGAAAGAAGACCTATGCTATGTACAATATTAAGCATTTTACAAGCATAATTTTATTTATGCCCCCTTTACATATGGGGAAACAGCCTCTAATTTAACTTGACTGACCTAGAATTAGACAGCCAGCATTTGGATTGGGTCGCTCTGACTCTAATGTCCGCACTTGCCCACTGCATCATGGAGCCTTCAGTACAAACCAATTTATTTTTAGTATGCCAAATTTACATGAACATTCAGAAAGGGTATTGACTTAAATAGGGTGAGGCTGACTCAAGTATTACGTAAGTGCTGATTAATATCTACCAGTCATGTGATCACCAGACGCATCGTTTCCCTACTTGGAGCCTCATTTTTCTCAATAGTGAATTGAACAAAGCTATAAGATGTCTTCTAGTGCTAACAATCCAACAATGTGTTATTTGATGGAAAGTTTCAGCTTAGACTCCTATAACTAACTGTATAGGAATCTAAAACTGAAAAAGAAAATATGTGAATTCAAATCCTCATGAGTTTATAAACCTAATCTATATTAAGATAATAAGAAGACTCCACTTAGAGAAACAACAGCCAGAAAAAAAGGGCAGAACCCTGTGTGTACCTTAATTTGCTACATAAACTTCTCCCCACCCCCAGGGGCAAGTTTGAGAGTGAAGGGCAAGATAGTATCATAAGCGTTTGCAATGATACAAAGAGCCAAAGATTTTTCATTTATTATTTCACCTGGAGATATTTTTCTGCTATCATTGATTTAGCTGCATTTATTTCTGCTTATTGTCCTCTTCTTGGATCGCATTAAACCTTAGCTAACATACAACTCAAACAAATCAAGAACAAAGGCTTTTGTAAAAATGTTGTAACCATTTCAACTGGGGAACACGCCTGAGTCAGTGCAGCAGGCTGCCAAGCCCGACAGTGGCTTAGTAGCTACTGCTCTGGAGCACCTGACCCTGGTGGCTACTGTTCCAGGTCCTCCTACCTTGATGAGGTTTTAGGGATGTGGTTGATATAAAATCCAGCAAGTTTTGCCTGTCGACAGGGAACATGACAGGGTACACAGTTGATAGGTTGCAAAAGGGGAAAACAATGTGAACATGGTATTTCTTTTTCTTTCTTTCTTTCTTTTTTTTTTTTTTTAAATATTTTTGAGATGGAGTCTCACTCTGTCACCTAAGCTGGAGGGCAGTGGTGTGATCTCAGCTCACCACAACCTCTGTCTCCTTGGTTCAAGCAATTCTGCTACCTCAGCCTACCAAGTAGCTGGGATTACAGGTGTCCGCCACCATGCCCAGCTAATTTTTGCATTTTTAGGAGAGACAGGGTTTCAGCAGGTTGGCCAGGCTGGTCTCAAACTCCTGACCTCAGGTGATCTGCCCGCCTGGGCCTCCCAAAGTGCTGGGATTACAGGCATGAGCCACCGCACCCAGCCTGAACACGGTATTTCTAATTTTCCTGGATGTGATTAGATGGAGGTTTCCCTGGTGGGAGGAGTAGGCTAAAAGCCCTAAGTAATAGGATGATTAGAGAGATGCAGAGAAATATTTAGGTGGCTACAGGAATTGTTCTAGAGAGAGATGGGCAAAATTTAAAATGTGGCAATGACAATGAGAATTGAAAGAAAAATGAGCAGATAAATTTTTTTTCTAAAGCTGAATCACTGGATATGGAGGTCAATTATACAAAGAAGGTGAGAAAGAAGGCAGGATCAAAGATGTCTCTGAGGCTCTTGGCTTAGACCACTGAGAAGAGGGTGGTGCTGTGGTGTAAGAGAGGGGAAGCAGGAGGAGGAGCATGTATAAGCGACATCTAATGGGTTCAGTTTGGTAACATGTTGACTCTGTAGTAGCCGCTGGTTATCAAAGCAGAGATATGGAGTGGGCAAGAAGTCTGAACTAGCAATATAAAATTTGGATGTCACTAACATATAGGTAGCAGAAGCTACAGATATGGGAGAGATCCTCCAGGAATGCTAAGTAGACTGAAGCAGGAGAAGGTTTGAGGATAGGACTCTGAGGAATACCAGTTTGTTAGATGTGGGCAGAGGGAAAGGTATCTGCAAAGAGAAATAAAGAATCACTAGGAGGTAGGAGGGTAAGGGAAGGCAAAGATCAAGAGAGCTTCAAAAAGGTGAAGAGTCTAACGATGAAGAAAAGCCCAGAACAGGAAGCTGAGTGAAATTAGACAATCTTCACCAATTTTTCAACTTTGACTGTGGACAAGGTTATTCAAGTGCATAAAAATAATGTGATACATGGTGTAGTAGAAAGACGATTGACCTTTCCTTTCCCACCTCTATGGCCTTGGGCAGGTCCTTTAAGTAATTGGAATCTCATATTCACATCTGTAAAATAGGAGCCAAATTAACATTTTTGTGTTTAGAGGACTGATATAAGAATATACAAATGAAATAAACATATTTGCACTTGGCAATATGAAGCAAATGCAGGATAGACATCTTGGTGATTATTGACATGGTGTACATGTGTGTATGCCTAACTTAGGACATTTTTAAATGACTTACTTCTTGCTGATATGAAGTATGAGCTCTCTAAAAATAGGTATTACTTTTTGGTAACATATATATCATCTGGTAGATGCCGAATACTTAATTAAAACTTTCCATGATGATAACCATTATTAGAATGAATAAACCAAACTCTAAAGTAAAAGCTTAATTGCCAGGCTGTCTGAAAAAAATAAGTTAAATTTGGCTTTTCACATCCTAAGCAGGTATTTGGCAGCAAATATTTCCATTCAAAAAGAGAATAATGTACACTGTGAAGACTTCCAGAAAAGCAGTGCTCCCCCATTCAGAAAGAATACAATCTTTTGCAGCTGTTTCTAGATTCCAATCCAATTAAAGCTCTACTTAAATTGTTCTCTCCTAATTCTTGATTGATATGGAATGCAATAATGCCTGGCAATTGTCCATAGTAGGGATTAAAGGTAATGGATTTCTTAGAATCCCATTCCTTACCTATAATGAAAATATCACCCACCTATCTCATACAAGCAAGATGCTAAATTAGCCAAGAAGATCTTGGCAGCATTTGCAGAAATGGGTAAAAACCAGTACCGGAAGCTGTGGCTTGCTAACTGCTTTGCATTCTTCATTATGGGTGAGCATTGAACACACACGTATTCCATAAATACTGATTCTTGTATCTAAAGAAGGTATAGCATCTTCCTCAGATTCCATGTCTTTACTCACAGTCACTAAGTCTAAGCTTGGAGAAAGTAAGAGTTATCATTTTTCTACCATGATTGGAGAGTTATTTATTCAAACAACCTGGTAAAAATAAGTAACTCTAACTTTTTAAATACCAAAACACAACAGTAGCTTAAATGTGCAAAGTATCAAACCATGCTTGATTTAAGGTCTTACCTCTGGTTTCTTATTTAATGACGCTTCCTTCCTGACTTGAGCAATATCAGACACAATCACAGAGGTAATAAAAACTCACAGGAAAGAGTAAACGGTGAGATATTTAGCTTCTGGGATGGGACTCTGAATCTATACTGTATTCCTAATCTATCAAAAATAAAATAAAAAAGAGAAGGGAAAGAAAAGAAGAAATAAAGAAAATAAAAATGCCGAGATTAATTGGAAAATTTGCAAAATTAACATACCGCTAAGGAGAGACAATAACTAAAAGCCGCTGTTGGGGCTTCTGGAGCACTAATGAATACTTATTGAGACCTTTTAATGTTCTTGGAATGAGACCATCACATTACATGATTATTTCTTAAAGAAATTCAGCTGTTGCTTCTAACTGTTTTAAAATAGTTCCTGAAGAGTTCCTCAGTGCTAGGCACTCTGCCATGTGCTCTGCATACAGAAATCAACCAGACGTTTGTTTGATTTATCACCATTATGTAAAGCTGTGGGGTGTGCAGCATAAGGAAGGGAAGGGTAAATTCGGTACCTGAAAGTCTTGTGATGGGTAATCTACAGCACTCTGGAGAGTTAAGTTCCATGCTAGGTTGTCAACCATTCTAAATGAAAGAACAATCAACTCCAATGAAAGAACTTGAAGAATGTACCTGATACTTTTCAAAGGAGTAATAAAGTGAGTTTTAAGTAAGGGGAGTAGATAGTATACATATATTTTCATGCTCTGAAAAAATCCTTTTAAAAGCATGTCTTCTTCACTTATTTGTAAATAAGCAAACTGATTCAGGGTTTTAAGTAACTTGCTCAAGTTCCCACAGTTGTGTGTGGCTTTTTCAACCATAACTATTTTGATTTCAAACGAATGAAAGAAACTTGGCTTAAAACATATCAGGTAGAAGGAAGACTAGTTGTTTACTTAACCAAACTACGAAAAGAGTGGAAGTGCAGCTGGTCCTCAAGGATGACTAGAATCAAGTTCAAATGCTGCCAGGAGTCCCGCCCTCGGCCCCAATTTCTATTATTTCTGGCTTCATGCTTTCATGCTGCTCTCCGTCCTTGGAGTTAGAAACATGGCTATTTGACAACTCAAGTTCGCAACTCCAAAAACCACCTCGGTGTCAAGTTAAAATTTTCTTAAGGAAATGCAGTGATTGGTTCAACCTGGATTTGGTGCCCATCCTTGGACCAAACAATGATCCAGGGTGCTGGGTTATAAGTGAACCACTTGAGTTAGGTAACTGTGGCCAATGGTGTAGGGGGTCTCTAAGACAGTAGAAGCTTCTTTTCAAGCCACCACTGTGGGCTGACAAAGGCCAGATGTCAATTACAATTTTTCATCACCTATATAATTGCTTCCAAAGAAAAAGATCAAGGCATTTAAATTTTCAGTAGGGCAATAGGAAAGAAAGCTGCCTACGTTCAAATTCTGGCTGCATAACTTATTAGCTGTGTGGCCTTGGACAAATTACTTAATGCCTCCTACTTAAGTTTCTCATCTGAAAAATTGTAGTAATAATGTTACTTACTTATTGAATTTTGAAATTCAATAGCCCCAAACTGCATTTCGCCTTCTTTCCCTTGAAACCTACACTTTCTCACAGCTTCCCTTTGTCAATTAATGGTATCAACAATTCCTCAGATTTCATGTTCAAAATCCTAGAGTTATCTTTGAGGCTTCCCTTTCTTCCATGTCTTATTTTCAGATGTTCTTCTACTTGCTATTTCATCTTTCAAGATGCCTTTTAGAGTTATCACCACCATGTCCCATGAGGCCCAATCAGTATTTATCTGGAGTATGGTTTTAGCCTCCTAACAGTTCTCTCTTCTTAGAAAACCTAAACTCTTTGATCCAGTTTTGACAGCTTTTCCAGGTGACTCATTCTCTTTGAAAATAGTTTTCAACTCATTAATCTAAATAAGAAAAAAGACAAAATTTTAAGTTTTCTGCTATCCTATATCATTTGATTTTTGGTTTCTTGAAATTCTAAGCTTTAGAAAAAGACTGGCTGTCGGATTATTGAGTATATATATAATGCTTTTTAATAAACTAATGCTTTTAATATAGCATATATGCATAAATATTCTATACTTAATGTTTTTATGAAATAATGTATGTGCCATGTTATTATTTTATAAATATGTTTAGTATATATAATTAACAGACTATATCAAGAGCATTATTTTATAAATAAGTTATAAATATATTAATGGAAATGTACATGATGTTAACATAGCTTATTATAGATTATTTATTCAAGGGATTGATTCTAAATTATTTTCTTTTATTTGCAAATAATTTTCTATCAGTCAAATTTTGCTTTGTTTTAGTTAAGTGGGATTTGAAATATTGGACTGGGGAGAGGGAGCTATACAATTTTTAAAACAGAGCAGTCATATCTTATCATGAATGTGCTTAAGAAGACGCTGATTATATTGAGATCAGTATGTTGGATGGAATGAAAGCCTGGATAAAGACTTAGCAGGTAAATGTCAGGTGAGTTACCAAATGGAGAAAAAGTATCACACTACTTTTCTTCTTTTTTGTTTTTCATCTTGATTTTTTTAAAAGAAGATATATGCTAAAACTCTAGTTCTTTCTTAATTGATGACAAATTAGAAAAAAATCAGATAACTTTGAGTTATAAATGTTGAAAGGCAATAGAGTGTGTTACTTGAATAATTAAAAAAGAAGGAAAATAATTGTACTTTGAGGCTGTGAGATTTCAAACTGTGGTAAGAAATAGACTGCATAGGTGTATAATATCCCTGGCACTAATTTAGAAAATATACTATGAGTATTTATTTATTCTCAGAATTATTTAAAGTGGTTTCAGTGTGGGTTTGTACATCTTAAACACAAGTAATTTATACCACTTGAAAGTCGAAAAAAAAACTACAAAAAAACCTTACCTATGTTTCAAAATGCTGAATTTTTTTTTAATTTTGCTGTAAGTTGTATAACATCCTCTTAAATATGTAAGTGTTCAGTAAACATTTATGCTTTCCTGTGCTCATTAAAATTTCACTTTTCATAGTAAATGTCATTTAATTTAAGCCTTGTTAATATTAACCAATGTAGAGTAAACATGAAGCAAATAAGAGTAAGTTTAGAAAAGTATGCTATTTTTGCTATCTTCTCTTTGGTGCAGATAATGTAGCATGTTGAATGCCTTCTACTTATGTAAAAGTACGTAGTTTTGTATCATTCAAACCCCCCTTTTATAAAGGGTGGCAAATGATCAACCTGCTTTTCATCCAAGAACAGCCTTTTTGGTTTAACTTCTTATTAACCAGATACTGAAAACTAAACCAGCCTCTTTTGTATTCTAAAGAGACACACCACACGCAAATGCACACACTCAGACACATAGTCAAACACACGTCACTGCACACCAATAATGTAAACAACAAACAAACTGAAGTTAAGAATCACTTGGTGATTTTGAAGTCAATGACTTCCATGACCACTTTTCCTGATCCTCCGTTTCAAAATAAGTCTACATATGCTCGTGACCCTTTCCAATATCAGGTCAGGGTCTAATGGTTTCTAGCTATAGCAGACACGCATCTTTTTATTCTAAAGGGCATCATTATATGACAAGACAGTTGCTATATGAAAAACTTCAAGCTGACCATGGTTTCTTATTTTACATGGGTTATGTGACAGTTTATCCATTGTAGGGTGACATGTGAATAGGCTGCATTAAGAGTTAAAAACGACTGAGTAGAGTACCTAAATTATGTTCTCTTTCTGATATTAAGTTACCACTTGTCTGTAAACTATATGTATACTTTTCTTTGAAGGCAAAGGGGATTGAGGTAAAGGAAGAGTATATGGAGAGCTTTTGCTATATTTGTAATGTTTTATTTCTTTTAAAAAATTTTGAAGCTAAATATTAAGATTTGACAGGACTGGATGATGAATACCTGAGTTTTGCTATATTATACTCTATATTCTTTATCATTATAGTTTCCTACTTGCTTAAAATATTTTATTCTGAGAAATTAATAGAATTTTCAGCCTTGGCAAAAGGTTTCTAGGTGCTGAAAAATAAAAGCCCAGCTTCTTAGCCTGGCAAGCACGCTAGTCATTACATGGCTTCTGCTTGCTCCTCTGTCCTCACCACTCTCCCTTTGTCCTCTCTGGAATTATTGACTCATTAACAGTTTCTAAAAGAGACAAGGGCCTGCATTTCACCTCTTCGTATTCTCAAAATATCCCCCTCCCAGTCTGTTTGGTGAACTCCTATTCCCACTGTAAAACCTCAGCTAGGCATCATCTCCTCTCTAAAGGCCCATGTGACTCTTCCCCATGGAACTGGATTATCTTTGCACCTGCAAGAAGCACATTACCGCATTGTGTTTTTGTATATTTATCTCCTCTAGACAATGAACTCCTTATAGGACAGAGTTATCCACTCCTAGCACTGTCTGGCACAAATTTTTAAAGATTTTCATAGTTATTATTCCTAATTTTTAAAGTAATGGATTCCCATTTCAAAGTTTTCAACAGTTTGGAAATGTTTAAGGTAAAAGTATGTCCTCTTTCCCATTCCCAACTTCCTATACCCACTCCATGGTTAACAGTGTCTTATTTATATTTCTAGAAACATTATTTGCATGTACTAGGATATAAGGTTATAAACTAACATATGAATACATAAAGGCCCATAATCACTTTATATAAAAAAGGGAGAGTGAACATTGTATATAATGTTCCCATTTATATATATATATAATATATACAATGTTCTGCATCTTGATTTTTTTAAAAAATACAACAAATTGCATCTTACTTTGTCTTCTATTCATATCATTACATATAGATCCTCATTATGCTTCTTAAAACCTGTATATATCCTATATTATGCCTGTAATTTAGGGTGACTTAAGAAGCAAGTAACACACAACCTGGTTGAAACTGTAAAGAGGATATAGAGGTTCATTAATTGGGAAGAACAACTGCAGGACTGGCTTGATTCAGCAATCAACACTGTCATCAAAAACTTATTTTTATCACTCTACTTGGCATTTCCTGTTATTAGCTCTATCCATGGATGGCTTCTCTCATGGTGGAAACAAATTGATATACAAAGACTAGGATTCACATCTAAAGCCACACTCCTGAGAACAATAGAGTATGAGAATGCATGGTTTTCTTCATCCTCGCCAATGCCAGGATTTATCATTGAAACACAAGCATGTTGTTGTTGCATATTGTTGATCAGACAACTCTTGAATTCAGAACTTTCTGGTACCTTGTAGTACCAGAGATTAGTGTGAAAAAATTAGATTGATATATGGTCGAGATGATGGTGTTGATAATGGAGGTGAGAAAGTTTGGGCCCAAGGAATAGTTATACAAGAAGCTTGAGATATTTAGTCAATTTGAATTGGAGGTCAGAGGAAAATCAGATTGCTATTAATATAAAAAATACCTTAAAGAGAAGAGACAAGAAGTCCCACATAAAAAGTTTTCCTGGCCAAGCACAGTGGCTCATGCCTATAATCCCAGCACTTTGGGAGGCCGAGGTGGGCGGATCACTTGAGGTCAGGAGTTCGAGATCAGCCTGGCCAACATGGTGAAACTTCATATCTATTAAAAATACAAAAATCAGCTGGACGTTGTGGCAGGGGCCTATAGTCCCAGCTACTCTGCAGGCAGGAGAATTGCTTGAACCTGGGAGGCGGAGGTTGCAGTGAGCTGAGATCACACCACTGCACTCCAGCCTGGGCAACAGAGCAAGACTCCATCTCAAAAAAAAAAAGAAACCAGTTTTCCTTTTCCTTTATCTTCTGGCTGATGCTTAAAACATGACCATAAAATATCTGATCCTTCATTTACAAAGAATTTTGTTAAAATTTTGATGTATTTGAAAAGGTAGCAGAGTGTATCATTGTGTGTCAAGGATGGTCCACTATGGGGAATGAAGCACCAGACAACAGGGAGAGAAAAATGATCCCCCAAGGACGGCGGTACAGGTGGGGCCAGGGAGGAAAATGCAGGGGATGAGCAGAGGTGGCCTACCAGGAAGGAAAGGTTTCCAGTCATAAGGGACTTTTTCAGAGTTTGTCCTAAAGCTGGAGTTGAAACATTTAGTCTGAAGCCTTCAGTACAGTAACTATCAATTCAGTTATATCCAATAAGAAAAAGTGTCATCACTCATGGTACCAGGGTCTGGGTGCTGGGGAGGTTTAGAGAGGATGGAAGCTCAGTGCTCTATGAATAAACTCATAAACATTTTTTTAAAAAATTAAAAAAAAAAAATTCAGTTCAAGGAAAATTTCAGATTGGCTACATATATATGCATATACAGACAAATTTAGACCATCATATTCAGATTAATTATACACCACACACACACGCGCACACACACACACACACACACAGACAGAGAGAGAGAGGTGAATTTAGGACTCTAAATCATGGTAATTGGCTAATAATGTTAGTAATAATAAATAGACTTAAATTGTAAGTTAGGGACTCCACTCCAGGTATGATAAAAGGCATTAATGGCCTACAATTAAACCAGCAAAGATCTCACTTTGCTGGTATGAACTAGGTGTGGCCCTGCCCCCAGGTGGTGAAACAGACTCAAGTACCTACCTGTAAGCATCGTTCTGTTGCTTGTCTCTACAATGCAGGCATGTTTGGAGTATCCATAAGATGGTATCTGTAGGGAATTTTAACTCTGAGGAAAGGCCAAAAACAACCTCTGTGCTGTGTTATTATCATTCTGTGAATCACTCAACAGAATTATAACTAATCCTCCTATGATGAGATTCTGGAACCTCCACCACAACATTGAAAATCTGGACTTGACTTTGGTTGGCTGAAGTTACTCTTTCATTACAACTCTCATCCATTTTTCTAGTGTGCATCAAAGGTGATTGTTTCACCAATGGCAAACTTTCACAATCTCTTCTTGCTTCCCTCCCCAACTGGCCTCAGGAGTAGAGAAGAATTGGACATAGACAGAGAAAACCTTCTATTCTCAAAGAAGAGGGAAACTTCTGAATGTAACTAATCACACCATAGCAACCAAGTGGCTGGAAGCACCAAGAGAATTACAGGAAAGCATATGGGACACAGAAGGTCAACTAGCAAACGTGTCTGGCAGACGTGGTTTTGCAATCAAGCTAAAAAAAAGCTGGAGCTCTCCATTTTAACTAAGAGTTTGCTAAGAGTCCAAGTACTGTTTCTCACTTAGTGGGACTAGGAAATAGCTAGCTCCAAACTTCTTAGAAATCTTTCCCTCCATTCCCCATCAAAAATATAGGGGTTCTTAACAAAATTAAATATATTAAATCCAATATATGTTATATATAGTCAAAATGTAAGAATTCAACAATCATTCATTCACATAAGTTTTTATTAATTCAACGACACGTTATTGTGGACTTATTTCATGCTAGACTCTGAATTAGGTATTGGAGATGCAGGAATGTACATGATCCTACTGTTAATGATGTTCAGTCTAACAGCAGGGACATAAGTAAACAGGTAAGTACAATGCAGAATGGTCATGGCAATGATAAGACATGTTCAGGACGCATTGGGATAACAAAGGAAAAGCACTCAGGCCAGCCTGTGGCTGTGTAGTATATAGGCGTGTTTGTATTTACATATGTATGTATGGGCAGGCTGTAGACTGTGGAGGAGGGCAATTCAAAGAAGGCTTCTCAGATCTGGCGATTATTTACCTGTCCTGCAGAAAATAAACAGAATTTATCCAATCAGAGGGAGCCTGAAGAATTGACAAGGTTGGTAAGCTGTGGGTATACAGGTCCAGTGGTGTAAGCAAAGTTTCAAGACCCTACAGCTGGTTCTGGATGAACAGAACATTCAATGCGTGTGGTGCAAATTGGGAGATAAAAGTAAAGAAGAAAGTAAAGAACATATAAAGTGTTTTGCATGCAAAACTAAGGGTTTAGGGTTTTATCCTGATAGTGATAAGGGCTTTTAAATCATTTAAATATTATTCAGTTGACACAAAGACAAGTTGGAAATTGTCCCTGGAGGCAGCAACAAATTAAGAGGCTACAATCTTTTGCTTTTTTTTTTCCCCTAAGACGGAGTCTCTCTCTATCACCCAGGCTGGAGTGCAGTGGCACAATCTCGGCTCACTGCAAGCTCTGCCTCCCGGGTTCATGCCATTCTCCTGCCTCAGCCTCCCAAGTAGCTGGGACTACAGGCGCTCGCCACCATGCCCGGCTAATTTTTTTGTATTTTTAGTAGAGACAAGGTTTCACCGTGTTGGCCAGGATGGTATCGATCTCCTGACCTCGTGATCTGCCCGCCTCAGCCTCCCAAAGTCCTGGGATTAAAAGTGTGAGCCACCGCACCCAGTCAGGAGGCTACAATCTTAATAATCTTCATCCAGAGGTGAAGAGAAAGATGCTCAAATGGGAGCAGTCATAGTGAAACTGGTAGGGAGAAGAAAGAGTTGAGAAATATATAGAAAATTATTTATATAGACAATGTCAGAGAGCCATTAAAAAAAGGGGGGGGAGTCTAAAATGACGATTACATTGCTGCTTTGGATAACAGAGTTAACATGTTGCCTTTACCTGAAATGCTAAAATTAATAAAGAATAAAATTTGGAGTCTGAAAATAATAAAGTGGAAATGAAGAGCTGGTGGCATGGGATACAAGGGAGCTGAGATTTCCATGCTGTAGAAGTCTATTGGGGGATCACCAGTATCAAGTACACTTGAAATCAAGTGTGTGCATAAGGCTACTGAAGAGGAGTATATAGAATGAGTATAGAAAAGGGCTAAAAAGGGAAACTATCGAGAACATCACATTTAGTAAGCAAGTAAACACAGAGGAGAATATGATGAACATTAAGAGGCAAAGTCCAACAGGTAGAAGGAAAACCAGATTAGAGTAGCACTCTTTGAAGCCAAGAGAGTAGTTTCATGGAGGAAGTGGTTAACAATGCCCAACGTTGCCAAGGAGTCAAACAAGACCTTGAAAGAAAAATGTTATTTGGACATTGTAGAGGCCACTGGGGACCCTTCCCAGAACAGCTTCATGAAAGTGGCAGTATGGATATGGTGGAGGGATAAAGAAAGTAAGCTGTAGATGCCTGCAGAAAGCTCCTAATTGTGACTCTATATACTTATCATACACACATACTTGACTGTACACAAACGTTTAATTTCAATGCAAAGGAGGACAGTTATTATTGTTCAATTGACCCAGGAATTTTGATAAATAAGATGCAGTAGACCACTTCTCAGACTGTTCCTAGTGATGCCTACCTTGTGGTCTTCATGTCTTTGGGTAATTTCCTCTGCTTGAGTGTGGCTGGAATTAGTGACTTGCTCTTCGTCAATAGAATGCTACAAAGGCAACGGGATGTTACTTCTGAGATTCAGTAAATCTCAGAAGAACATGGCTTTCATCTTGGGGGTATTCTCTGTCTCTGCTCCAGCTCTGGGGGAAACAAGCTTTCATGTTATAAAGAGCCCTGTAAACAGGCTTGCATGGCAAGGAACTGGTGTCTTCAGCCAAAAACCAGGGAGAGCCTGAGGCCTGCCAGCAGCCTCATGACTGAATCTGGATATGGATCAGAGGGCTGCCAACAGTCATATGAATGAGCTTGGAAATTGATCCTCCCCTAGCTAAACCTTGAGATGACAGCAGCCTTGGCCAACTACTCGATTGCAGCTTTGTGAGAGACTCTGAACCAGAGGCACTCAGCTAAGCTACATCTGGATTCCTGACGCCCAGAAATGCTGAGATTGAAAATGTTTGTTGCTTTAAGTCACTAAGCTTTGGTGTAATTTGTTACACAGCAATAAGTAACTAGCACATAGGATAAACATCAGGTGTTTATGTTCATCAGAATGAATTTTCCTATCTTAACGTGTGCCTCCAGCTACAATCTCAGCCATGAGCGATTATATTATAATAACAGGACTTTTTAGGGACACAGCTTACTTCATCGTTTTTTAAATACAAAGTAACAAAAGTCTCCTGCTTAGCCAAAAACCAACAGCAATTACAGAGTTTTTAGTATTTCTTAACACGCCATCATGCATGTGCTCAATTCATAATTGAAGGCTAGAAATGCAAAAGAGGTCATCATGGTTCATTCATTCCCTGCCAGCCTACGGAACAGAACCCAGCCATTATTTCATTGCCTTCCTAGTGATTAATTCATCACATCTGTCTCTCCTACCCTCTACTTTCCTCAGCTAGCATCTTGTGCTCTCTGTTTACTAGACTCAGAAATGCCATGTCTCCTAATCCTCCAATCCTCATGTATAATCCTGTGCTCAACTCAAATGTTTCTTGATTGTATTGGATGTTATCACATCCTATTGACTGCCTGGAGTTTGCTGTTATCTCCAGAGGGTGTTCATCCTTTTGTAATTAACAGCTTGTTTGATTCAATGGTAACAGAGGTCAGACTGTGTGTATTTTACCATTCTGAGTTCGCAGGGGTATTTGCCCTCCCCTTTGATATCTTTATTTTAATTACTTCTGAGATTTGTGTCTATATCCATAGGATGTGGAGTGTCAGTTATTTTAAATATTTCTTTTCTTTTTAATATAGCTTGTGAATACTTCATTCACTCTGGAAAGATGCTATGCCAGGTTTACCAAGCATTTGGTTTCTTTCTTATTTTTATTTATTTATTTATTTATTTATTTATTTATTTATTTATTTTGGTTCAGCTCCATTTTCCTCTATCCTTAACAACCAAATTTCGGTTTGCACATTTTGATGTAGATATCACAAAAGGCTAGTTGAATCTCTCCCAGCAGAAGTTAAAATAAATATTGGGAGGTCAAATATATGTATTTTGTGTACTCTACATCTTGTTTCTTGGCATGTTCTGAAACATAAAATGCAATATGAGTAAACGTGATTGGCTTTTATAATACTCACCAAAACTTTCTGCAACTATATAAAGAATCTTGTAGGTCAGTGAATAGGAAAGACTTCCTTTTAGGTACAAATTATGAAGGTTATTTGAAAATTTAAAAAGAAGAAACAATAGTTCCGTGATACCTGTTGTTGGTATCAGTCATTCGGCTTAAGATAATAAATATTCTTCATTAAAAGTTTGCAAGAAAGCAATACCGATATCCATGCAAAATATATACTACAGAAACAATTGCAGCCATCCAAGAAACAAAATGATCTCCCCCTTTCTCCCAAAGATAGCAAAATTAAATATGCTTCTAGTTGATTACAGTAACCAGTGCCATATTTTGTCTTCAATAAATTTGGGTTTTGTGTTTGGTAAGGACCAACCTGGTCATTCAAAGATGGGTACACAGATTTGCAAATGGGCATATTTAATTTTGTGATCAATTCATGTGATTATCCTAGAACATTAGGCAGGACTTATCAGTTGACTGAAGCATAGACACTTAAAAGTGGTGGCTGGGCACAGTGTGGCTCATGCCTGTAATCCCAGCATTTTGGGAGGCCTAGGCAGGTGGATCTTGAGGTCAGAAGTTCGAGACGAGCCCGGCCAACATGGCGAAACCCCGTCTCTACAGAAATTAGCTGGGCGGGCGCCTGTAATCCCACCTACTCGGGAGGCTGAGGCAGGAGAATCATTTGAACCCAGGAGGCAGAGGTTGCAGTGAGTCAAGATCATGCCATTGCTCTCCAGCCTGGGCAAGAGGGCAAGACTCTGTCTCAAAAAAAAAAAAAAAAAAAAAAAAAAAAAAAAAAGAAAGAAACTTAAAAGTGGTGATGGGGAAACCCAACCAGTTACTTGAAAGAAAAAAAGCCTAAATGTCCAATGTCAGAGAAGGCCACAGCCATGATTCCAGGTAGTTAGGCAAGTAATGAAAAGTTGGCCATGTAGCCCATAAGGGTGATGAATATACAGATATGCTGACTCAGTTTCCCCAATGTATCCGAGATGAAGACAGCATAATGACATCTGATTCATATATTCTCATGTAGTAACTTTCTAGGTAGCTGTAGCATTCTCTAGAGGGCCACCTAACTGACTCCTTCTTCCAAAATATTAACTAGATAATAGCAGACACATTTTTATATTCAAATGGCACCATCAGTAATATAAATGAACTATATTTCCTAATTCCATTAGTTCCCTGGATGTTGCTAACATTTTAAAGTAGTCAAATTACATGAAAAACCAATTAAAATGTCTTTTAATTAAATAGTGTGATACTGGTACATCAAAATAATGGAACACATTAGAAAGTCCAGGTATAGATTGAAGTTTAAAAGGAATTTAGTATATGATAAAGGAGACAAATTAAGGAGGAACTGAAACTGTTTTTTTAGAGACAGAGTCTCACTCTGTCACCCAGGCTGGAAGAATTCAGTGACATGAACATGGCTTCCTGCAGCCTGGACCTCCCCTCCTGAGCTCAAGTGATCCACCCGCCTCAGCCTCCCATGTAGCTAGGACCACAGATGCACACAAGCACGTCCAGCTAATAATTGAATTTTTTATAGAGACAGAGTCTTACCAGGTTGCCCAGGATGGTCTTGAACTCCTGGGCTCAAGTGGTCTTCCATTTTTAAAAATGGTTTTGGAAAATTTGAGAAAAATGATGAGTCTCTATGGAGTATTTTCAGATATTATATTAATGGAGAATATCATATCTCACTTCAAGCTACTTGGATTTTCAGATCGTTTAAAACGAAGAACATTTGAGGGCAGATAGGTCAAAGCTTTCTTTTATAGACTAGAAAGCATAGAGATAAAGTGATTTGTCCAAGATAATACAGCAGTGTTGATAGGTCTAGAGTCTAACTCTAGACTCATGTTGTGGGACACAGAGATCCCAAGCCTGAGGGGCTTTCTTTTGAGCCACACTATTTTCGATGACAGTTATATATCAGGAACTGCTAGGTTTTCTGATTTGGCTAAATACAAAGAAAAAAGGAGAAAATATCTATTTCACATTTCCCAAAATGAGTTCCTTGAAGCACCAGAAACACTTTGCTAAAAACAAACAAGCAAGAAAACAAAACAAGACTTTCATGGTTAAATATGTTGGAGCAAATGCTACATAACTTTCTCCAAGGGTCAGTACACATAAAAATTCTCAGAAGTCCTGCAATAATGAAGTTGGCTTAACTTTATTTAATGTAGCATTTCCCCATTTTCCAAAGATCTCTTTTATATAACATCTATTAATGCTGCAGAGAAGAGCACACTATAGGCAACTGTTCTGGATTTAGGCTAAAGAAAAATAATTGCTGGAAATAAACAAGGGAAGAAAGTAGGGGGTGGGCAGGGGATTAATGTCCTGTTCTTCTTCCCAAACTCTTTGAATAATTGCTTCGATCCTCCATTTTACTTGGTAGTTCCAGGCCTATAATTAGGTGTGTTCTTTTGCCTCTTCCAGTAGCATGGGGCTCAGTAACAGGCCTGCCACCTGTAGTTTGGGACCCGCTCAGGTTCTGAACTGAGCATCCACGGACAGGGAGTGTATTGGTATCCCCAGCCCTCCAAACATGGGATTTGGAGCTAGTCACAATGACATAGATTTCCATGACTCATAGCTTGTTATGCCTCCTCACTATGTTGACTGAAGCCCTTTAAGGCTCTTTACCTCCATTTGATGTATGGTGTGAATTTTATCCAGAATCCCACATGTTCAGGAACCTCTGTTTCTAGGACTGCAACCTCCTACCAGATTCTTTTCACGTGCCTAACTTCCCTTTAGACATTGGCTAGGGTCTAAATAGGAACAAATAACTATCATTAGAGCTTGTATTTATTGAGCATTTGCTATATGCCAGACATGGTTCTAAATAATTTACATCATATAAAGCATGCCAATTTCATGCTTTCAATACATACTTTGTGCCAGGTACCGAGCTAAGTAATACAACCAAACTAGAAATGGCTCCTGCTCTCATGAAGCATAAAACATAAGGGGATAAAAAGATGTTATTCAAATAATTATATGCATACAAAATCATAACACAAATGAAGAAATCATCAGAGATAAGTAATATGAAGAAAAAATATAAGGTCCTGTGAAAATATATGTTAGGCATCTGAACAAATTAGGAGGACAGAGATGAGTACTTTGACGGAAAAGTCAAGTTTGAACTGAAATTTAAAGGATGGTGAGCAGTGAAGACAGTATGAGCAAAGGTCTAAGGTGGCTATGGACATGGCACATCCTGGGGAGTGTAAAAGAAGCCATTTGGGCTAGAGCTCAAAGAAGGGAAAGATGACTTCAAAGATCAGAGAGATAGGGTCACATGTTACAAGGATTTCAAGACCATGCTTAGGATTTTATGCTGTGAACAATTGGAAGCCACTGCCAAGATAACTTGACACAGATTTTTAAAAAGTATCACTCCTCTATAGCATGAAAAACTAGTTGGAAGGCGATGAGAGGAGATGAAGGAAGATGATGAGAAAACTACTGCATGGCCACGCGACACTGATGCTAGCTTAGGCTAAGTGGAAACTGAGAAATACACATATTCAAGAGATGTTTAGGAGGCAAGATCAACAGAGCTCAGTGACAGATGGGATATTGAGAGTGAAGAGAATGTCCCAAGGATGACTTTTACGTTTGTGGCCTGTGTGCTTGGGTGGATGAGATGTCTCTCATTGAGTACAGTAATCAGGCTATGAAGTACTAGTTGCTGGAAAGAAAATCTCAGGGACTTAACCAAGTAAATATTTATTTCTCATTCACAATACATTAGGGCATTCATTAGGTGGCCATTCATGAATGCCAGATCTTTCTATCTTCTGGGGTCTTGAGAGACTCCTACACTGATCTTTTGCTTTTAGCGAGCCAACAAGTGAAGATCTCACGGGAAGTTTTAAGGCCAAGACTGGAGTTGGCGTACTTCTGTTCACACTCAATTCACCATTAATATGTCTCAAGAGAGCTGGGAAATAAAGTCTTCCTCTATGTCCTGGCATTGGTGAGCTTCTAGCCAATCTGCTCCACTGAGATTGAAAACAGTGGAGGTGGATCCGATTTGGGAAGGATGGTAGACATTAAGCCTGTTACCAATATTCTGGTTTTTCTCCCTGTGAGTACATGGTAGAATTGTATTTTTCTGAACATTTGAATTTAGCATGGCACAGTTTGGCCAATGGCATGTGCATAGCAGTAACATGTGTTATTCATGGGATGGAAGTTCTGAAGAACCTAGGTGTGGCCTTCTCCTGCCACAGCAACCAGTGATGTTCCTGATGATGGAGGCTCTGTCCATTGGGGTCCTCAAGTGAGGATGCCCTGGAGCAGAGCCCTCTGCCTACCTAAGATGGGCAGGTAGTACAAGAGAGAAATAAGCTTTCATGGTTTTAAGCATTGAGAGTTTATGGTTGTCTGTAGCTGCAACATTACCTAATGTATCCTTACTGAGAAGGGGTAAGATTATGAGGGTTTTTTTTATATGAAAATTGTGAGGTATCTTTTAAAAATCAAAGAAAGGATTTTGAGATCATTAGGTATATGGGTCTAAAACTCATATGTCTGGGTTAAAGGTATAGATTTTTATGTCATCAACATATCACTTAATACTCATTACGATTTTATGAGTATTATTATTATTATTATAATAATACATTTAATACATAAAATAATAATACATTATTATTTTATGTATTAAAGAACCAAGGCTTGGATTAATGCCTAAATTCATTCTAGCCATACCACTAAGGGGCTGAGCCAGGACTGGCGTTCATATTATACTGATAGATAAACGTTGTCATTTGATTTCCTTTCTCTGCAGCTTGCAATCTTAATGTACTCTCATGAAATAGTTTTTTATACAGACCTGCCTGGCTGCCTTCATTCCTAGAGTACCCTTTCTGGACATAATCCAGAGGGTGGTTGAGAAGCTGGGGAAGCAGATGGGAAGCTGACTGTTCAGCATGTAATCCATATAGTATTTGCGTTATGGCATACATATTAACAGGATAGGTGAGGAGAAGGTGGGTAGAGGGTCAGTGAGTAGCAGGCACCCAGTAGGAACTCTACGTGAGAGTTTACAAATGGGCTAGATCATAACTTGAAGAGTATAAAAGTGAATGGCCATTCCATAAAGAACCACAAACTCTACTCTAGGGGTTTTATTTTTAACTACTATTGTAAATGTTTTTTGTTTTTGTTTTTGTTTTTCCTTTTCTTTTCTCTGTGCAGTGTATTAGGTCAGGTCCATGAATGGCTGGGACTTTTTCTAGGTTGAGGTGCTGATTAAATTGTCTGTGAAAGGTTCATAGTCAATAGTCATACTGAGGTAGGAATAACCTTGTCTTTGTCTGTCAGAGCAAAGTAATTCCAGTCATTGTACAGGGATGAGACACATATCCTGGGTAATAAGTCAGCCCTCTTTTTCTGTGCAAACTTCCTACAGCTACCCCTTGCTACACTGATTACATTTAAACGGTAACATCCTCTTAACTGATTACTGAAGCAACGGATGGATCACGTGACCTAGACAGATCTCAAAAATGGGAGACCACATGCAAAGGAAACTACGTTTTCACAACACATGGTTGGAGAGGTCAAAGAAAATGTGATGTATTACTTTCAGTTTTATCATCAGCGGGACCATCTGGGGCTAGTGGTGGGGCTCGAAGAAGGAAGAAGAAAATAAAGAAGAGAATCAGGCAAGTGGACATCTGTAGGAAGAGTGATATAGGTAGAGAGAACAACCAGATCAGAGGAAGGGGTGTACCTGACAAAGTTGAAAAACAAACTCCACTTGACTTTAAGATTTACTATAAATGGTAATCAAGACAATGTGACTGGTAAAAGAATGGAAAAATAGATCAATAAAACAGAACTGGGAGCCCATAAATAGATACACAAAAATTTAGTCATCTGATCTTTGGCAAAGAAGAAAAAGTAATACAATAGAGAAAAAATAGTTTTTTCAAGAAATAATCCTAGAACATTTGGACATCCACATGTCAAAAGTGCATCTGTACAGAGATTTTACCCCCACCTGTCACGAAAATTAGCTCAAAAATGGATCGTAGACCTAAATGTAAAATGAAAGCTATAAAACTCCTAGAAGATAGCATCAGAGAAAATCTAGATGATGTTGGGATTAGTGATGACATTTCAGATACATACAACACTAAAGGCACAATACATGAGACGTAACTGATAAGTTAGAATTTATTAAAATTTAAAACTTCGCTCTATGAAAAAAAATGTCAAGAGAATGAGAAGACAAGCCTTAGACTGGGAGGAAACACTTGCAAAAGCTTCATGCAAGTTTCTGTTGCCAAGGGTAGACACAGAGAGACCAGTTAGGAAGATATTGTGTAATTCAAGAAAGAAATGCTGAGGGCTTGCAGTAGTATGATAACAACAATGAAGAAGAGAGGTGGCTGGGCACGGTGGCTCACGCCTGTAATCCCAGCACTTTGGGAGACCGAGGCGGGTGAATCACAAGGTCAGGAGATTGAGACTATCCTGGCTAACACGGTGAAACCCCGTCTCTACTAAAAATACAAAAAAAATAGCCAGGCATGGTGGAAGGCACCTATAGTCCCAGCTACTGGGGAGGCTGAGGCAGGAGAATGGCATGAACCCGGGAGGCGGAGCTTGTAGGGAGCCAAGATCGCACCACTACACTCCAGCCTGGGTGACAGAGTGAGATTCCGTTTCAAAAAAAAAAAAAAAGAGGTGATTGGATTTTATATATAAGTGTGTAGACACAGCCAAAAGGTTTGAATGTGAGATGTGAAAGAAAAGAAAACATCAAGGAGGACTTCCCAATCTATTTTGTCTTTATCATATGCTAAACTTTTTTTAAAACATGGTGCTTTGAAAAGCATATGAGCTGTGGAATCAGGAATGTCTGAATGCATTCATGTTATCTCACTCACCAGTTATGTTACCTGTCTGAGCCCCAGTAACTTCAATAACCTCATCTGACATGATATAAGAACACCAATATCTCAAGGGTCATGAGTGTCAAACAAGAAAACTATATAATGCATCTAGCTTCATGAACACATTACCATAAAAAGTGAACAAGAGTTCAATTCTTTTGACTTTGCACTATTTTCTAAGCCTGATAACAATGGGCCCATTTAAGAGGTGTTCTGTAATTACATCAAGCTTCCATCTAGTTTTCGGATTTCCAATTTCATAAGATTTTCTAATTGACATTTTCAATTTCCTGTGTTCAGTAGAATAGAAAGAGGGAGACACCAAGAATTCACTGCTCGTAGGATGTGAGGTAGAAGTCACAGTCTGACTCCTACAGTTACATACTGTTAGAAATTTAAATTATCTAATTTCATTCTTTCTCTAACGTTAGAGAGTCTCATAGGGGATTAGGTTGTGGAGAATTTCCTCGCTTTCTTAAAAAAAGGGGCTTTGGGGAAAACTTTCCATTTTTCTAAATCTTTTCCAACCAGTAGTGTGAAAAAGACAATTTTGTAAATTGAGGTTCTTGGGCATTGTCATAATTTATAAAGATGATAGAAAGAGATGAGATAACAGAGGAAAAAGATATATGTTCCATTAATGTACTTCAAGGCTATGAGAACATACCTGAACAAATATGCTACACTGAGCAGAAGACACCATAGCACTTCTAAGAAAAGAGGATGCTTCCTCAACCATGAAGTTCCCATAGAGATGCCTACTTAACCCTGGATTGCCATAAAGATTCTGACACTTTCTTCAAGCAGCTCCTGTTTACCATTCACCTAGGTGGTCTTAATCTCTTCTGCACTTTCCCAGTTGTTTTGAATACTTCAGGCATGAGTCTTCTTACTAACCAGTTGCAAGTAAGAAGTAAAAACCATAAGAAATTCCTGTTTTTGGAGAGATTGTCTAGGTCAAAGTTCACTTTTTCAAGCATTCTACCACACTAGCCTGCCTCAGTTCTAACTTAAGTTCTTCTCCTGCAGATCCCCAAAGTAGAGAGACTGAATTACAGCAATGACCTCGACTTGCATTTACTAGGTATGAAATACAGAAGGTTCAGTTTCTTCTTTCCTGATTTTCTTCACAGTTTTCTTGTGACACCTCTTCCACCAACATTATACATAAGGACAAGAAATCCTGCCGTAGGGCCATATTTGAGGGTTGATTGGTTCTATAAGACTGCTTTCTGCAGCTTTCACAGCTTTGGGTTGATTGTGTCTGGTGTGTGCAGGAGATGTACTCTATGGGTGGGGAGGGCTCCATGCAGCCACCTACCTGTTCTGTAGGATGGAGATAGGTAGCCCTGGAGCTTGAAAATAACTGTAAGAATTTTACCTACAGGGAAGTCACAGGGCTGTTCAGAAATTGATGAAATTAAAGAAAGGCCTGAAAAGGCAAAGGAAGGAACATTTTTGGTCCCAGGGGAAAATAAGACCTCTTTAACATGTGCAATGGCATTCCTGGAATGGATTTTTAATCAACAAGAGTTCTCATCTAGTGCAAGATCCAGCCAATGAATAGACTAACACTACTGACACATTATGGCCTATTCGTCAGCTTAAGTTGTCTAAAATTTTCAGCTGCCAGCAAAGGATTAATATTGATTTTCAGGCTGTCTTTGTTAAATACCTGCTAGAGAGTACCACTCTCTTATTCTCCTTGCCAACTCTTCCCCCAGTTGTCACTAGTATTAAAATGAAACCTACCTATTATTAAATCAATCATGCCTGGCAAAACTATTCAAAAAGAAGGGGAGCATCCATCATCTTAAGTGTCAACATAAAGCCTGATTTTTTTTTCTTTTACTTGGTCAACCAGGAATTACTGGTGCACTGAATTAAAATTTCTTTACATAACTAATGTAAAACCTGAAAGTAAAATTTCTGTGGGAGGACAATGTGTACATTTCCCTCTGCTCTGTATTAGTGGATTCTACACCATCAGGTTCAACTAACCTCAGATGGAAAATATTTGAAAAAATAATAAACAATAACAATACAACAACAAAATATAAAATTTTAAAACCCAATAACAACTATTTACACAGCATTCACATTGTATTAAGTATTCTAAGTAATTTAGAGCTGATTTGGAGCACATACAGGAGGATGTGCATAGGTTATATGCAAATATTATGCCATTATATATAAGGAACTTGAGTATCCACAGATTCTGGTATGTGTGGGGTTCCTGGAACCAATACCCTGCACATAGCAGAGGCAAACTGTATCCTTTTTGCTTTTTCTTTCTTTTTCTTTCTTTTTTTTTCTTTTTAGATGGACTCTCACTTTGTCACCCAGGCTGGAGTGCAGGGGCACAATCTCGACTCACTGCAACCTCCACCTCCCGGCTTCAAGCGATTCTCATGCCTCAGACTCCCCAAGTGGCTGGGATTACAGGCGTGCATCACCATGCCGGGCTAATTTTTGTATTTTTTAGTAGAGATGGGGTTTCACCATGTTGGCCAGGCTGGTCTCAAACTCCTGACCTCAAGTGATCGGCCCGCCTCAGCCTCCCAAAGAGCTGAGATTACAAGCATGAGCCACCATACCCAGCAACTCTATCATTCTGATAGATGAATGAGCATGTTTTTATCTTGGGTTGCTCCCAGCTGAAGCCAGGAGGTTTGGCTGGCATGATATTTGACTAGAAGGCCCAGCTTTTTCACCTGAGCTCCACAAACAGAATGTGTGAGCCTGAGCATAATGCTTTTGGTAAACTTATGACCCTTTTCGGCTCACCTTCTATGTTTTTGCTATATCCTTTTCAATCCCAGAAACATGTCAGCTTTGATATTTCTCATCTCCGTATCTTTCCACTGGTTGTCCTTCTAGAACACTCCCAGTCTTGTGCCCCTGGTAAAATTCCTGCTCATTCTCCAAGATTATCCCTTAATTCCTCTGCCAAGCAGCCCCAGGCCAACCTGGGTAAACTAGTGACAACCTGAAGGTGGCCTCAGTGTCCCTTGTTCAAATCTCACCATATTGAATCACCCCCATAAAAGGCTGTGGACATGCCAAGGATGGAAGCTGTTTTCCTCATCATCTTTGAAAGCCCAGCAAGGGACTGTTGAAAAACTGAACAGAGAAGGTGCATGATAAATCTTTATTGAATGAATGAATGGAGTGGGTTTTGAAGTACATGATTCCTGTCTGGTTTTCTTGTGCAGAATATGTATTTTCTGAGTCTATTTAAAAGTCAGTAGGGCATAATGGTTAAGACCTCAGGCCATAAAACCAGACTTTCCTGTTTTGAGATCAAAATCTGTCACTTATTAGCTGTGTGATGTTGGGCAAGTACTAAACAGTACTTAAAATATTACTCCATTTTACCTGAACTTCCTCATTTGTAAACCGAGGGTAATAATAGCACCAGTAGGGTGGGTGATTGTGTGGAGTAAACAAAATAATCCATGGAAAGCACTTAGTGTAGTGTCTGGTATGCAGTGAACACCCAGTATTCATTTATATCTGAAAGCCTTAGATTCATTTTGCTACATGTTTTAGGAACTGCCTTCTTCATATTGCCATATTGCGATATGAAGAAATTATACCAGATACTCACGCAGCCAGTATTCCTAAAGGAAGTCATGCATTCCATTCATTACACATAATTTTTTTCCTTAAAGCAACAAAATATATTCTTTCAAGAACTTCCTTTTAACAAATATTTCTTGATTACTTATTATGTACCTACCTCACTCTGTGAATGCAAAGGTGAATGCAAAGGTGAATGACCCCACCCTGAGGGAACACAGTTTCCAAAGAGATTGTTACAATATATTAAGTGTTTATACAATATATTAAGTGTTTAATAACAATATATTAAGTGTTACAATATATTAAGTGTTTTAGGAAGCTAGAAAGTTGGGATATAGGTTACCTAACACCTGCTTTCTCTTATATGGGTGCACAGGGAATGTTTATAACTAAGGATTTGCATCATGTGAGCTTTATACTGAAATACCAGTAAACAAATATATAGGGGCATCAATTTAAGACATCCTAATGACTACTGAAATGAACTATAACGAAGAAAATGTGCCCTCCTAATAGTTTAACCATCACATTCTATACAACATAAGAATGTTTATGAAAGAATGGTCTGAAAACAAATATTCCCTGTTACTACCTGAGTACCAAAGATATGGAATGCCTTACATAGGATAAATTTAAAGATCCATGGATGTCCTAAGCAAGTTTTACTTTATGTGATAAATTAATGATGCAACTCAATATGAATGGAGTTCAATATGCATTTTTAAAAGGGTTATTATTTCAAATAACAATTAAAACACAACTTGTTTTTCTTCTGACTTTCCCCAGTTTGGGCACTATTCTCCGGCAGTGTCCTAATAGCTACTTGAGGGATTATGGGAACTAGGCAGGCCTGTTTACCCCTTCCTTCCATGAGAGTAATTGTAAATGACGTAGAGAAAACAAAGACTCTAGGAACATAGTAGCACTTTTCTATCCTACAGATAGTCACTGTACAGAAATAGAGTGTATCTACAAAGAAGCTAAGCAAAATTCTGTCTCAAAACACATTTACCATTAATTTTCATGGTCAAATTAGAGGTATGTTCGTCTAGGACAAAAATCAGGTGTACCTATTAAAAACAATCATACAAAATCTTGCAGACATTTTATTACCAGTCATAGATAATTATTGTGTTCATGTGAGATTCACATTTTAAATATATCAGTATGTTTTAGCTAACAATGAGGACAACATCCAAAATTGGTTTTTAGATGTAAATTCAAAGGAGCGAGGCAGATATTAGTTGAGTGTAATAAACTGAAGTCTGAAAAGTGACCAGCAGTGTTAGCTTGACTCAACTCAGCCTCTGGCTGGAGATGCCTTCTGGGTTTTACATGCTTCACCAAATCTTAGGGTTCCCTGTGAATCTTCTTTGTTGGCAACCTCTTTAGCTGTCCTTTCTCTACCAGAGTATGCATTGGAATGTATTGGTTTTAAGACCTACCTGAAGTGTTTTACTATAATAGAAAAGTGTAATAAGCAGACACTTAAAAATAGGAAAAATGGAAGCTCCCCAAAAGTCTACTCCAGTAAGTTATGCCCAGGTATGTTGCGCCTTTTGCCCCTAAAGGTAAATTTCTAATTTATCCTCATAACATAGTTTCTCTTCTTGTTACTTTTGCCCCCAAATAGGATGAGCTGTTGTGAGAGTAAATATGAAAGCTGGAATTCATAATTCATTCAACCTGTGTTTCATCCACTTACCCCAAACCAAAACATAACAATCATTGAGCATCCACCATTCACATGTAACTGTGGTGGAGAGAGAGATGAAAAAACACAATGCCTAACCTCAAGGAGTTTACACACTACTCAGAGAGATAAATACCATAGACAAATAATTATACTATACTGTAAGGCTACTTGGGCTAAACCTATACCAAAATCGTAAGTATAATAATTAATAACTTATTTAATTTTCAAAATGAACACTTATTGAAACTGTTATCTTCTCCATTTAACAGACAAGGACATTGAGGCTCAGTAAGGTGAGATGACTTGCTCCAGATCACACAGGGTTGAAGCTGAAATTTTAATCTAGAGTCCAGTTCCAGAATCTGTGCTTATAAACTGTGCTGTGCTGTATTTGCTTTAAGAATATAAGGGTCATTTCCTGCTTGAATAATCAAGGAAGGCATGATGGAAAAGTTAGGTATGAATTGCTGGTTAAGATATGGGCTGCCTCAACAATTTCTCAATAGGTGGAATAGTATGAACAAAGGCTTAGGCGCCAATATGCCACCCAGTGCTCCAGAGTGATTTGTCTGGTTTGGCTGGTATGTAAAACACATGTGGGAAGGTAGCAGGAATATAATATCCAAAAGGTAGATTGGACTCAGATTTTAATAGGATTTGAAAAACTAAAAATTCTGGGGTTGTTTTTCTTAGCATTGGGAAGCTATTATATTATTTTTTCCTCACTGCTATCCCAAAGGCATTCTTTCTGAGTTAAAAATTTATATGCAAAAAACAGGATAAAATGGGTGAATTAAATACCATAAGAAAGAGTGTGCAATCACACCGCTGATACAGCCCACCACTAGCTAGCATAATTAATTTGCAACTCTCGTTCTTAAAATGACTTGTTTAGCAGATATGCCACTTCCATATTTACCCTTTATTATCTTTCCAACTGCTATAGTTACCAATTATCCAAAGTGAGTGGGGAAGTTTCATTTCAAATTTAGTAAGTAAGAGAGTAAGTAAATAAATTAAGGTAGCTTGAGGAAAGTGTGAACAACCTATCGAGGTGTGTGTGTGGGGAGGGGGTGTTGGGGTGTGTGTGTGTTTGATGGAGTGGACAGAATGTAAACTGATAGGTGCTTTCTGTGAAGCATAGTAGTGTGTTAGTTTGGCTCTGCCAAGAAGCAGATATGAAGACAGGGTTAAGTGGGCAAGAGATTTGTTGAGGGAGAGAATAACATTAGATGGTGAGAGGGAGGAAAAGGAGGTAGAGGGAGCCATCAGTGAGACCATGGTGCAGGTCTGACAGCTATGAAAGGAGAGAGGCAAGAAAGGAATACAGAGTAGGAAGAGTCATGGGCTGCAATGGAGTTAGTTCCAAGAGTAATTCAGTCAGGTCAATGAGAAGTCCCTGAGTCCAAGTTGCTATGAGCGCTGCATCTTCCTGGAATGGACCTGCCTTGGTACTCACTCTGTGTCCAGGCATTGGCTAGGAGTAGCCTGTGAGAAGCATGGCTTTGGTGCAAATATGATAGTGGATCCAGAAGGGCTCTCAGTCAATCACGCTCTGTGATTTGAGTGATATATTTTCATGGCTACCAAAAGTAGCAATTTTCAAACATCAGCATTTTGTGTACATATTTGGCTCTTAAACTTATGTTGAATCTAACTAGAAATAGATTTATGGTATCTATTAATCACATCAGTTACATAAGAAATTTGTTGTGTTTCTATATTATCATACAGAATTAAATATTTTTATAACATAAAAATAAGTTAAATATGCAACGTCATTTTTTCCTATTTGCTTTTAGGGGCATCATAAAACCCAAAGACAATTCTGATCATATTTTTACTTCAACACTTCTACAGGAAAGAAAGCCTTCCCATCACTAATAGTGAGTTCTCTGGCAGCAAGCCTCAGTCATTGCAGCAGGAATACTGCTTAAATATTATACTGGTATGTGTGGGGTAATTTGAAGTCTACCATCCATCACCATCACCACCAAACCTAATGTATGAGTTGCCTATTCCTTCCCGGGATAGCACACTGCACTACTGAGGATCACTGTTCTATGGAAGTAGTTTTCAAACTTGAGCATGCATAAAAAGAAGAGCGAAGAGGCTTGTTAAATACAGCTCTCTTTCAGCAGGTCTGGGGTACTTACTACTAATGAGCAGTTTTTAGGAAGCATCCTAGATGATTCCGTGTATCCAGGTGGGCCACAGAAACATTTGCAAAAACATTACATCGGAGCCATTGTTGACTATCCCTAATCTGTAAGAAGCCAATAGTCATCGAGACCCAATGGAGCAATGCAGCAGAATGGGGGAAGCCCAGGGGGCAGAGTGAGGGCATCACCAGGTGAGGAAAAGCAAGATGGTAAGGCAGAAGGGAATGGGGAAACCCAAACAATGAAGAAATAGATATCATCTATATATCTATATCTTTCAATTTATCTATATATCCGATTACCAACTTCATCAGGAAAACCTATTTCAGTTTGGTGAATGGAAAGGGAACCAGCCAAAAAATAGTTATTATTTTCATACATCTTAGTATTTTATTTTCCTAAGGACTATCCTCATGAAATATATACATACATTATACATTTACACATATGCATATACATATTTGAGAATACACACACTTTGGCTTCTTAGGCCATCTTAGCTTTATTTTAAATATAAAGAAACTGGTGCTGATTCTGCATATCATATATATTTGACTATACTTCTATAAAGCAGAAGTCAAGAGCCATGATTATTGTGCAACAGTATCTGCACAATTAGAATATTAGCAATAGCACAGTTTTACTTTTGTTTTACAGTTTTCGAACTATAAATCAAGTATGAATGGCTGATGGAAAGCCGAGGCTAGCAAATAGATGATAAACCATGTTACCATGGGAGGTACAGATTCATTTTTAATTTTAGTTTCTATGTTATCCCCAAGCAGCTTTTTTGTATATTGATACGGAAAATAATGCCATCTATATGCTGCACAACAGAAGTGTTGATTTGTTTCTGTACCCCTTGGCTTGCATCCCTGTTGTCATCACCCAGCTGATATCATTGTGACATTTTGACATTGCCTTGTGACACAGTGACCTGGTGCTTCCAGGAGCCTAGAAGGACAAGTTGACTAAGACACATGGTGCATTAGGAAGCAATGAAGCAATTCATTACGGCTACAGAGAGAGTCTGCTCTGGAGACAAGAATTCTTATCTAAAGCACAAAATACTCTCGATTCTATTTGCTGTTCTGCTACTGATTTACTATGAGATCTGTAACAAATAATCTCAATTCATTTGTAACTTAGATTTCCGTCTGTAAAATGGAAATGACCCAACATATGTGATTTTTTTAAAATCCTAGGGCAGTGATTGCATTTGCAACCCATTCTTGCCAAAGAGAAATTCGGAAGCACACTTCAAGGAACTAAGTTCAGTGATAATCACACTTGATTGATTTTCAGTACTGTCACAGTTTGAGAACTATTTATTGCCCTGATTTGCTCTTTTCTCTGCCCTGTATTAAAGATCTTGCATGACAGTTGATCCATGAAATCTTCTTTGGTCTTTGCTTAACATTAAAATTTTCCCTTTACTTCTTAATGATAGCAAGCTCTATTTCACTCTACATGGTATTACACATCCCACTCAGCTCAAAATCCCACTTAATAGGCATGCTCACAATATTTAACCTCAATTGTTGCAAAATAATTACTGGTTGGTTCTGACAAGCAGGATTTATCTTGGAGATCATGTCACAAATTCCAATGGAAAGGTTGCCTTCCAAAGTCATGGCTATTCTCAGGTGACTACTGGTCCAGCCCATTACCTATTTTGCACACTTGGTCTTTCCACATGAAAAATACAACCTCAGACCTTCTCAGGCCATCTTGATCAGAAGTGTTTTGGAGCCATCAGTCCCTGAAGAAGCAAATGCTATCAAGTATGATAAAGCCCGGTCGCTAATAGAGTAGCCATCTATTCTGCAGCAAGTGGCAGAGCAGAATCTTAACCCTCTCATTCTCCCCATGTTATGTAAGAGGCAAGGTAATGAGCTGTGGGGGGTGAGCATAGCAGGAATTCTGTAATCAAGCCACAAGGGGGCAGGGAAACACGCCCACTTGCCACCTCAGCCCGGAGAACTTGGTGTGAGCTGTATTTTGATAGCCTTGTTTGTTTCCACGGCTATCTGAAGAGCATACTAATAAGTGTTGTCACAGAAGAAGGGGAAGATGGGATTAAATACCAGGGAAAGTCATTAAAATGAAAGAATGGGATAAGCCTCACAACTATTTCCAAAGCTTAGCTATTTCCTGTCCAAAGGCAAGTTCGATTTATTTTGTAAAAGATGAGTGAAATGAAGGAAAAAGCATGCTTATTCCCTAGGTGCCCTGTATTAGCCAAATCCTGCTAACAGTGAAGAGTTTGATCAGATGAATTACTAGGTGCCTCATAACCCTTTTCTCTTAAATACACAAAACTCATCTAGTTATTTTTAGAGGAGTCCTGTGTATATTTCTTAGCACACAAACTCACTGCTTCTAACTACAGCAAAACCAACAGGAAAAAATGCAACTGGATTCTTACAGGAAGACCAGGCAGAGCCTAGCTACCATGGTTGATGGAGTGGCACTTACTGGGGAAAAGCTTGACTCTTGACTTCTTATGACCAAACTAGCTAGGTATATGTCATAAGTATCTCACCTTGATTGTGGGAATTTTTTGTTATTTATGAAAAATGCAATAGGACAAGTTCAGTGCCATTAGTAAAGATTATGAATTCCAGGATAGAACCATATCCATTGTTTTTTTGGTATGTGTTAATTTTTTTATATTTAATTATAAAATAATTTAAAATAGAATAGAGAAATAATGAACACTTATGAATTCTTCACCCAAAATTAACAGACAGATACTAACAATTTGCTAGATGGATTGCTCCACAGCTGCATTCCCCTAAAAAAAAAAAAAAGAAACAATATTTATGGCTACAGCTAAAGTCCCCTACCTGTCTCTTTTTCTCCTCTCTCCTTTGCTTTCCAAAGGAAACCAGTCCCTAACTTGGTGAATATTATTCCTATTCAAGGAAATGTCTACAGCAAAAACATGGGCATTCTGGATAGCAGAATGGATAAATAGACTGATTTACCCATGAAAAGGAATACAATTTAGTAGTCAAATATAGATAGACTTAAAAAAAAAAAAACACTAAATGGAAAAAGTCACAAAAGGATGCAAAAAGTATATCACTTATGTAAATTTTAAAAACACATGACATTAATGTAAATCATTTATGAATACCTACATATGTAGCAACAAATGTGGATGTGTTTATTTTTCAGTACCATGTTAAATTTTCCCTTATTTAATGTGTGTGCTCTGCATAGCTGTTATGTACTCTGATAGGTATTGGGAGGATCAAACTTGTGTGACTGGGGATCCCTACCCCACCCTGTAATGTGGATGTGGACAGGAAGATTACTGCCGTAACCTATGGAGAGACTACTGTCCATATTAGAAAGTGGAAAGTGGCCGGGCGCGGTGGCTCACGCCTGTAATCCCAGCACTTTGGGAGGCTGAGGCGGGCGGATCACGAGGTCAGGAGATCGAGACCATCCTGGCTAACACGGTGAAGCGCCGTCTCTACTAAAAAATACAAAAAAAAAAAAAAAAATTAGCCAGCCTTGGTGGCAAGCACCTGTAGTCCCAGCTACTCGGGAGGCTGAGGCAGGAGAATGGCGTGAACCCAGGAGGCGGAGCTTGTAGTGAGCCGAGATCGCGCCACTGCACTCCAGCCTGGGCGACAGAGCAATACTCCGTCTCAAAAAAAAAAAAAAAAAAGTGGAAAGTAACATGAAAGATAAAAATTAGTCATTGTATCAGTAAGGTGGCATCTCACAGAGATTTAAACAAGTCTACCAAATAATGTAGTATTCAATAACTGTTGCTGATTATTGTTATGCCATTTAACAGATGAGAAAACTGAGGCTTGGCTAAATGAAGTAATATATCTCAAATCAGTGTGAGCAAGGGGCAGAGCCAGGATTGAAACCTGCATTTTTCTGACTCCAGAGTGGCCCTCTTGACTACATCTTATTACACTAATTGGACCTCCTTACTGTGAAAAAGGAGGGCTTTTCTGTTGTCAAAAAAAAAAAAAAAAAATTTAAAATAAACCTCTCCGGACTAAAGATAACACTGTAGGGACAGAAATAAGATCAATGGTTGCCCAAGATTGGGCTTGGGGATGGTGAAGTTTGACTACAAAGGATTGTCAGAGATTTTGGGGGTTAGTGAACATTTTCTATGTCTTGATTGTGCTGGCATTCATGTCAAAAGTCATAGAACTGTACATCTAAAAGGATGGATTTTACCGTATGTAAATTATAACTCAATAAACCTGACTTTAAAAACAAAAATGGAAAAAAGAAAACCCAACAAACAAAAATCTTCAAAGGCTTGTGGATAAATACCTTGTTCTGCGTGCAAAGGCACTTTTCTTTTTACCACTGTTGACAATTTATTCCCACTAAAAAGTTAGAGGAAAATTTCAGGGAAAAGTCCTAGGTCAGTGCACACAAAGTCAAATAAAAACTTTATAGTCTGTTTCCACTGCAGCTTCTGTTTGATAAACCAAGTAAGCTGTGCCTGCATTAAGCAAGACCTTTTCTTTTGCTGAAGGTGGAAGGGAGAGGTCCTCTGAGAAGCCCTGCTATGTTATCCAGGGAACCCTTCCTGTTGAGTGAGCCTCAGGTGTTCACACTGTTACTGCCCTAGAGGAGTGAGGCTCCCTAAGCTCCCAGGATCTCTGACACACCTGAGCTGCTCTCTACCCAGACCACCTCTTGGCGCTGTCCCTGCAGACTGCGCATGGGAAAGCATATGTGTTTGGGGAAAAAGGAAGCCTCTCTAATCTGCAGCCTGACTATCTGAGAGCAGCCCTCGAATCCTGGCAGCTTAGATTCTCTGATGATTACTGGGACAGAGGCAGAAAGACAATGTGGGAAGCAGTTTAATCAAGGCAGTTGAGGAGCTATCACCACAGAATAAAGCCATCCGCTGTGTAGCTCTGGACTTTTGGTCTTCCTCCCTGAAAGCTGCATTTCCTTGTAATTCTGGTTTGAGGAGTCACAGCTATTCTTTGAGTCAGTTGTAGAACGCAGCGGGATAAGACATTAACAAGCTTAAAAGGTATTACCTGCCTTGCCTTACCAGGAGGTTTGCAAAGACTGTAGGGGTTTCAGTAGCTCTTGTACTTTCCTGAGGGAATTAGTTAAAATTGCCAAGGTGGAAAGTATTGATTTAGATTAATCTCACTTTGCCAAGCAGGAGAGCCTCATTACTCTGATTGGCTGACCTAACCATGCTGCCCTTCTTGCTCCAGGAAGGGGTGAATGGGGGCAGGAAGCTTCTGGTTCATAGCTCTTGATGGATAAGTAACATAGGTCATTATCAGCCTTTTGTGAAACCTGTAAATGGCATAGAATGAGCTTGGAGGGCTAAGCCAATGGGAGGGGTGGCGAACTATGACATCCACCATCCTCAGCATGACAAGAAACCCTGAAAAGGAATATGCAAATACCATGTCATCTGAGTGCATTCATTCTTCCCGGGTTCTCTTCAAATAATGACCAGCTGATGTTTTAGGTCCAGATAAAACCAGCTGGAAAAAAGCATTCTTTACAGATGGTAAAAGTCTTTATTTGTTGCAAAGAGGAAAACAACTACAACCACAAATGGGACTTCTTATAATTGATTCTAAATGACAGTTTGCTGTTCTAGGCTTTATGAACCATCTCTATACTAAAAGTAGAAGGGATGCCCCTTTCAGGGAAAGCAAATTATTGGAAATAGAACCCTAAAATAGTGTTTCTCAAACATAAGGGTGCAACCAAATCATCTATAGACCTATTAAAATACAGACTCTGACTTAGCAGATGACGATTCTGCATCTCTAACAAGCTTCCAAGTGATGAAACTGGTCTAGGGAACATACTGTGAGTAGTAAGGCCTTAAAAGAGATATATAATACATGAAAAACTATTTGCAAACTAAAGGCCCTGAACCATGCAAATTACTCAAATTATTCAACATAGCATATATATTCACTTTCAGTTTCCAGTCATATTTTGTTAAGACTTTGTATCAAATTTCTTTCCCTTTTGCTTATCTGATCATCTATGGACAGCCACCAGGCTGCCTGGCACAGCACAAGGAACCTAAAATGGTCTTTGCTGGTCATGGACTCCACATTTACTCTGAGATGTCTGGTTTTGTTTTGTTTTGTTTTGTTTGTTTGTTTGTTGTTTTTCCTGATCATGAGGAAAATTTACAATGACCTCACTTTCCTAAATGCATACAGGCATTTATGCCATCATTGTTGCTTTTTGTCCCCAAATTAGAATCAGTTTCTCTCCAAATCTTGGAAATGCTTGCCTCTATAGAAATCTGTTTTTGAGAAAGTGCTATAAAAATAATGTGGTTATTTTGTCTGAATCCATTGGAACTCTACTCTACGTACCTGAACATGGAGTACCCCGATGAAGACATGGACATGAACAATTAAAAACCCCACGAAACTAAAACCACCAATCTTTTGTTTATTTACCAAGCAATTGACAAGCTATGCAAACAGATAACTCTAAAAGATTTTTAAAATTTGTATAAAATTGTTAATAGGTACTATTTCCAGGCATAATTACATATTTTAAATAGAAAGAGAAGAGGTGGGTGTTTCTGAAATCTTGAGCAACAACTGGACCCATTTTTAGTGATTTAGACACACATAATTAGCAGTTTAATTTCCTCTGTGGCTAAGTTAGTCCTAAGATTTCATCTAATAACAGGCACAATTTTATAGCCAGAAGCAAGTTTCCAGAGCCAGCTTCAGCTCAGCACTGCCCTCTGCCGTTTTCCAACCAATTTACGCTGCTCTGCTCAGGGTAAAAGCATCAGAATTGCAAATTGCAATTGGGCTGCACAAAAATTAATTGTGAGAGAAATGGAGAAGTATAATTCATTTAAAACTCTCTTTAACGAGGCTTTTATTTTTAGCTGAACAACAACAAAAAAGCATGAAAGATTATATTCCGAACCGCCTTTTTTCTGGTCTCTCAGATAATACTCATTATCATATTAGCCTTGAAGCTGGTTTCCCCTTCACACCACTTAGCACAATTAAAGATTATGTTGAATATTTCTATGCAAAGAATGGCCCCAAAGAACTGTTGCTCAAAACAGCAGTTGTTACCCCTTAAGTAGTCAAACTAAGCATGATATGTTTTATGTCTGGCAAGCCCAATTTTGGCTTTAATTCCAAATCTCTTTATGCAATTATATTTTAATGGGAAAATAAAGTTTCTTCTATGCCTAGAGGGCCAGTCCCTTTGTGTTAACACTGAGTGCGACTGACCACCAAGAGTGGAAATGTGTCCTGAAGGTTCCTGCTAATGAGCTGACAAATGTCAAAGCTGTTCTGTTCCAAGTCTGTCCTCCTAGCCTTCTCTTTTCATCAGGATGGGGAGATTTGACAATTATATCAGTCTTTTTATTCAAAATTCAGAAAGGGCTATGTGCTGTGTGCAGAAATGCTATCATTATGTTACAGAAAGTTGTTGCTTAAAATAAGAATCTGAAGAATTTACTAGGATATGGAGAAAACAAATGAATATTCTCATTGGAAATGCAGGTAGACTGAAAGCCCAAAAAGCAATGGCAGCCCAGTGCATTGAAGCTACACGACCTGTGTCCTTCTGTGTGTCCTGCTAGCTAGCTCCAACAAGATTAGCCGGGCTGAGATGCTGTAGATAAAATATCCATGCCACCAGAGTCTTTTACCGGAATTTATAAAGTTTTAACTTAAGTGAAGGCTGGGGTTCATATGTCAGCTCTGGTGCTGTATTAGCTCTGTGGTTTGATCTGGAGAAACTTTCTTCTACTTCCTAAGTCTCAGTTTGCTCATCTGTAACATCAAGGTGATAACCTGACTCATCTAACATGGTTGTTATGAGGTTTCAATTATAATAGATACCTTGTGAACACACATGGAGATGGGCACCCTAAATTTTCATGGATTCTGAATGGTAGGTACAACAAGACAGCTAGGAGAGGGATGCTGGAACAGAGGTAAACAAAGAGCAGACTCATCTCTCTGACAGTAGCTGAGATCCTGGGCTTTCTGGTGCCCAGGCCTGGATTTAAATCCCAGATCCACCATTTTTGATGACCTTGGGAATGTTCCAAGAACAGACTTGGAACAGAACAGTTTTGGCATTTCTCAGCACCTTAGCAGGAATCTTCAGGACAGTTTCAAAGGAAACTCAGTGCTCTCATCTATAAAAGAGGGTTAATGGTGATTCCAACTCATAGCATTATTGTGTACAACACAAGAAAAGTCATCACCCTAGGGCCTTATTCACCTGAAGTGTGTCAACAAGTAGGAGATGTTAGTATGGAAGGAAGCTGGTTTGGGGACCCTTGGAATTGAACAATGAGAACACTTGGACACAGGAAAGGGAACATCACACACCGGGGCCTGTTGTGGGGTGGGGGAAGTGGGGAGGGATAGCATTAGGAGATATACTTAATGTTAATGACGAGTTAATGGGTGCAGCACACCAATATGGCACATGTATACATATGTAACAAACCTGCACGTTGTGCACATGTACCCTAAAACTTAACGTATAATTAAAAAAAATGGCATCCTGATAATTTTGTGTAGGGGAAAAATACTAAAATGCTGAAATATTTTTACCTCCCACATTTTCTGCAGCTTTAGAATAAAGTTTTATTTCTCTTATTTCAAAAAATAAAAGAAATATCGTGACAACATTTTGGTTGCCTTTATGTCCTTGCATAGCATAGCTAAATGTTCTAATCACGATTTCTCTGTTTTAGTTCATAATAAGGTTAGCTATATTTCATCTAACAGGTTAATAGTGGCAAAGAGAAACGAGCTGCTTAGGGAAAAAGTCTGATCTGAAGATCTAGAAAATCTGCCAGTGTCTGTAGAGCTGTGTTAGGCTCTATGCCCAGTGGCTAAGGAAGAATCTTTACAGCTGGTTTACAGAATTCTTTGGATTCACAACAATGACCTTGACTATTATCACCTCATATTTTCCTCCTCTTTTAAAGGGCAATGACCCAACGAATTTATAGCTCTGATTCTGGGACAACCAAGAAGGAAGTACCTTGCTTCAAGCTTTTGTCTGGCATCTGGTACCAATGCGACTTAAGGAACAATTAAGAAACCTCCTGGGAGGAAGCGGAGCTGCCCATTTTCCTGCACTGCCTCCTTCACTGTAGTGTATTCCCAGCAGAAAAATAAGAGATGGAGAGAGACTTTCAGGCTGGCCAAGTTTTAGAGGGCCAACAAATGGTACTTTTCTGTGCGGCCGGAGTTTTAAACCAATTAAGAAACAGATGTGGAACAGACAGATGGAGATCAAAATATTAGCTTTGTGAGAGGTCAGAGCTGAATTGGCGATATGGCATTAGATCTATGCCCATATGGGCTTTCTGGTACTTCAGCTCAGAAAAAGATGGACATACCAATCAGGGACAGAGTTAAACCACCCACCTCCAAGCCCTGATACCATGTCTGAGGGCAGACCAGCACTAAAGCCCTGCACCCAGGCAGGTGTGGGAAGAGGGAAAGGGAAGGGCTGGAGTCAGGCTTTTCCTGCTGATTTTAGAACTCTCATCACTCAGATCATCACTGTTCTTCTTGCTGGTATCAGTGAGTGAGGGGTGCAGCAAGAGACACCTGTGTTACTCCTAGTTCAGGGGTTTACATTTTAATGTGCTATGCCCTCCTTCCGAGTCCAGTGAAGCCTCTGGTCTTCTTCCAAGGATTCATGTTTAAATACAGAAAATAAAATATATAGACTTGCAAAGGAAATCAATTATGATAAAATGCAGTTATCAAAATATTTTTTAAATTTTGAGATACAGTAATACCTGTCTTTCTCTAACACCTTAATAATAATGTCTGGCAGCAGGCCTAATAATGATTATAATTTCAAAGTAGTAATAAGCGTTAGTGGTATTTTCAGATATCTGCAACCCCTAAAATGTGGCAGAAAAATATCTCTGATTTCTATTGGCAACATAAACTGCTACATGCCACTCTGGTTTGTGGCCCACCTTCATAATGGAAGAAAATGTTAAATTTTGGTTAGAGGTTAGTGAAAATAAAAATGGATTTTTTTTCCTCATTCAAGCTTATGAACATTTAGTGTCTTAGTCAGTTTGGGCTGCTATAACAAAATACAATAGACTGGGTGACTTATAAACAATAGAAATGTATTTCTCAGAGGTCTAGAGCTTGAGACATCTAAGATCAAATTGTAGGCAAATTTAGTGTCTGGTGAGGGCCTGCTTCCTGGCTCTTCCATGGCCATTTTCTTGCTCTGTCTTCATGTGGTGGAAGGAGCAAGGGATCTCTCTGGGGTCTGTTTTTTTTTTCTTTTTTTCTTTTGAGACAGAGTCTCACTCTGTCACCCAGGCTGGAGTATGGTGGCACGATCTCGGCTCACTGCAACCTCCACCTCCTGGGTTCAAGTGATTCTCCTGCCTCAGTCTCCCAAGTAGCTGGAACTACAGGCATCCGCCACCACACCTGGCTAAGTTTTGTATTTTTAGTAGAGACGGGGTTTCACCATATTGGCCAGGCTGGTCTCAAACTCCTGATCTTGTGATCCACCCGCCTCGGCCTCCCAAAGTGCTGGAATTACAGGGGGCCTCTTTTATAAGGACATTGATCCCATTCATAAGGTCTTCACCCCCATGACATAATCATCTCCCAAAGGCCCCACCTCCTTAGACTACCACATTGGGAATTAGGATTTCAATATATGAATTTTGGGGAGACGCAAATATTCAGTCTATAGCATCCAGGTAAAGTATACCTTAAGAACCACTTGAAATCAGTGGTTCTCAAATTTGAGCGTGCATCAGAATCACGCAGAGGGCTTAAAACCACATATTGCTGGGCCCCATTTCCAGAGCACCCGAATCTGTAGGTCTGGGTTGGAGCCTGAACATGAATATTTCTTACAAGGCTCAGATGATGGAGATGCCGCTGGTCTAGGAACTCCACTTGGAGAACACTCTTCTACATGAAAGCCCTCCACATAGAAGCATTTAGCATGGTGAATGTGTTCTTTGCTGAACAAATCCCTGGCACCTCAGGGATTTCTCACCTGGTTTTTAGGCCTAGTAGACAGAATCCAGACGGATATCATTACCATTATTGTCACATTACACACACAATTTCAAAAGCCAGCTCAAATCTCACCTCTTCCTCAAAGCTTTCCTTATGACTTCATGCACAGTGACCTTTCCCATCTCTTAAATCCTCTAAAACTCTTCATTTCTCTCTCGAGCCCTTGGGAATCTAGAGTATTGTCTTGCTCATCTTCGTTTCCTATAGGGTATTCCTCTTCCCCTAACTGGAGTGTATTCCTTATGGATAATTCGTTCCTATACTAACACTAAAATTCTCCATGATGCCTTGTGCATGGAAGGATTTGGGATGTCCTTGTTGATTACGTGGTCTTGTGAACCCACAGTTAAGTTCACCCAGTCAATTGTAGTATGGGTCAGTTTTCACTGATACAACGTAGAGTTAAATTTTGTTGAGATGTTTACGTTGCAAGTGTCAGAAAACTTACTTTGAGCAAATTAAAATTTTTAATGAGACTTCATGGTTCAAGTTTGTGTGTTTTCTAGTACATTTCAATGCTGAGATTCCTGTCGCCATCAAGCTTCTCTTTCTCTATGCTTCACTGTTATGTATTTTGCCCTTCTTTGTGTATTCAATTTTTCCTCAGGCTAGACTCTCATTATAGTAAAAGAAATGGCCATGCTAGCTCTAGAACTCACTCCTCAACTCTAGACTATCCAGAATAAGAGTGGCAGTCTCTTCTTGTAGCTCTCTCTAAGCTATGCAGAAACTTCTCTCTCAGAACTCCTAGCAAATGCTTCTTTACATCTCATTTGTCCAAATTGGGTCACATCCTCAAAAGTGAAAATATCAACTAGGCCCAAGGGAAATTTTGAAGTCAAACTCCTCTATTCTTCCATGAATTGGGAGGAAGCAATGCTCACATTTAATCAGCATGTTGTTACCAAGGGACAAAAAAAGGCAGGGGTGGGGGGAAAATTAATGGATTTTGGAGAATCAAGACTAGCAAATATTTCTACAATAGCTTCATTTCTAATTTTATATTTTAAGCTAGCCAACAACTCATACAGTAACACAGATAGAAGCTTCCAAAAAAAAAGTACTTTGATCAAACCCATTGCTTCAGAGAGTTATGAACCTAAACTACAAAATAAAGTATAGTCCCCAGGAGTGGAGACTTGTTTATTGAAGTCAGAAGATCTAGGATTGAGTGAACCATTGGCCATAAATAGCGGAAGGACTCTGCATATAAAAGTTCATCACTCTGACCAAAGTCTCTTTATCTTTAAAGTGAGCAAGTGACAACACAGGATTTCTAAGGGTTTAGTCAGTTCTCAGATTGATCTTAATTTAATGCATACATGTAAATGTGTGTGTCTCTGTGTGATGTAGTGTTATGTGTATGTATGTATGTGTGTGTATTGAGGAGGGAGGCCTCTTGAGTTTTTTCCTATTACTGAAATTTAAACCAATTTCTATTATTCTATTCTCTATGATGGGCTGTAGATTCTCAGCCAACAATTTTTAAGGAGTTTGTCTTTGCTGTTCAGTTTCCTGAATTGCATCTTAGCCTAACGTTTGGAGATACATTTTTCCATTCTTCTCAATTCTGCAGCTCTCACCTTCTTTATAACCTCTTTCCCTATCAGGCTCTCTGAAGACAGACAGTTTGAAAATTATTGACACTGAAGTGTAAATGATTAGCTCATATTAGAAGTGCAACTTTCCCAAGGGCATAAGAAAACGTTAACCCAAAGAGCTGGCCTTTTAATGTGGTATAATGGAAAGAGCAAAGGTTCTGAAGCTGACCAACCTAGCTTCAAGTACTGGCTCCACTCTTGATTAACTGTGTGACTCTGAGTATGTTCCTTCACTGTAGGAGGAAGATGATAGAGCCTCTGCTCATGGTTCTTTTAAGGAGGTATTTGTGCAGGCCATGAATAGTGTTTGGCTCATAGAAATGACTCAGTCCATTTTAGTTTTCTTTTCTAACGATGGAAATTCGGATATCTTAGGGGTGGTTTCTGGGATAACAGGCTTGCTTAGCCCCCTTAGAATCATTTCAACAAAGTTACCTAACATAATGATTCTTAGAATCATCCTAAGCAAGTTTGATATTTACACATTGAGCCAAGCCTAAATCTACTATCCAACTTGTATTCCCTGTCCAGGGTCCTGCCTTTATTCTTCTTGTATGCAAAGTGAACAAGAAAAATTTGCTCCTTAAACAACCAATTTCTCCCCCATTCTCAAGTACTATTAAGTAACGCACACTGAGTTATCTCAACTATTTTAAGCCAATTTTAAATGTAAACATGAAACCCGATGGGAGTACTGGTAGGACAGGTTTATAATTTTACTGTAGAATCAGTCAACTTCCATACTCGTGTGGATAATAACCTCTACTATTTGCTCATTTGCATGGCCTCGGCTACCTCTCTCCATCTTGGATCTTTATCCTACATTGAAGACCCCTGCCCTCTTCTATTTCAAATATGTTTAAGGAGGAAGGACATTTCCCTTACTCATTAACGTTAACTTGAATTTGTATTAGCAACTCCTTCCAAATGAGGAAAGGAAGGTTAGTTGCCCTCTTTGGTGGCCGCTAGGAAAGATCTTGATTAGAGCGACCACAGTGGGGTCCCTTTTGTATTTTTCTTGCCATTTTGTTTTTTGTAACCCCCTTTTGAAAGTATTCACCTTTTCATCTTTCTAATTTTAATGTCTTGGTTTAGGCGTTTGCCATCTCTCACTTCTATTTGTTAAAGCTGATAATTGATCTTGCTCCAGAAAAATTCTCCTCAATCAAGTCCACTCTCCACATTTCAGTCAAAATCAAACAAACATCCCAAAACAACATGAGGCCAAAACAGAAAAAAACAAAAACAACAAAAACACAAAATTCACAAACCAAAAAGCACAAATTTTTTAAAAAGCAAGGAATCTAGCAAAACTAGTTATGTCATGACCATGCTGTTAACCAACCTTCCTTCCTTCTTTTCCTCCTCCCCCTCCTCCTCCTTCTTCTCCTTTTATTTTCTTTCTTTCCTTTTCTTTCTTTCTTTTGTTTTTCTCTTTCTCTCCCTTTCTTTCTCTTTCTTCCTTCCTTTTCTTTCTTTCTCTCTCTCTTTCCTTCCTTCCTTCCTCTCTTTCTTTCTCTTTCTTTCTTTTCTCTCTTTCCTTCCTTCCTTCCTCTCTTTCTTTCTGTCTTTCTTTCTTTTCTTCTTTCTTTCTTTCTTTTGTGTATGTGAGACAGGGTCATCTTTGCCACCCAGGCTGGACTGCATGGTGCCACCATAGCTCACTGTAGCCTCAAATTCCTGGGCTCAAGGGCTCTTCCTGTGTCAGCATCCTGGGGAGCCAGGACTTCAGGTGTGCACCATCATATCTAACTTATTTTTTGTAGAGATGAGCATCTCACTATGTTGCTCAGACTGGCCTCAAACTCCTGGCCTCAGATGATTATCTTGCCTCAGCCTTCCAAAGCACTGGGATTACAGGAATGAACCACCATGCCTGATGCCTGTAAGTTTTCTGTTGTTTCCCTAATGGCTATAGCACAAGGTGCAAACTTCCCAGCATGGCAGGCAACATCCTCAATAGATAATTCTGTGACCTCATCTTCCACTATCCCTTCTCAGCACCATGGACTTGAGTAAGGCCATTTTCTTCCCACTCACACGATGTAATAATACCACACATATTTTTTCAAATTTCTAAAACAACCAGGGACTTCCTCTCTGTTGATCTTTGTGTTCCTGTATCTCTAACACCTGAGTCATGACAGGCCCTAAAATAACATCAGGGGATGAAGAACCCAAACTAGATCAATTATATTGTTAGGTCCAACTAGATAAATCCATTTATTTATCTTTTAAAGGTATACTTAAGCAGAGTGGTCTTTCTCACAGATTGGCTTTCTAACTCCCATAACTCGGTGTGATTATTTGATTCATGTTCACCTGGCAGGACTGAGAGATGGTGGAAAAGGAGCAAAGACATAGTCGGAATGAATGGGAAGGTACAAATTTATAAATAAATTGTACTGGCTCCACAGTTTCACTCTTGGTTTATCTAAGGACTCGGGAATCCCCATCATGATCTACAGAATGTCATTTAGTGAATACAGGAAAAATCTAGATAAGTGAGTGAGCACAGGGGTTGAAAGTGGCATTCTTTTTGTCCTCCAATTTAGGAGAAGCCAAGCGGAGACCTGCTCTAGCTGCACTGCCTGAGCTAGTCCACTTGTGCTGCCATCTGCCATCAGGATAACTCAGTCTTCCTGCAGATGGTATTCCCTGCTATCGAGGCCATTGAGGTCAGCTCAGGATACAGAGATAGCGTCACATAAGTCGACCCTGAGAGTTCTAACTCTTGGGCAACTCTGGCTTCTCCAACACAGATGGAAACTAGTAAAACAGGTGCATGTCAAAGTTGGTATTAAAGCAGCTTAGCCACTTTATGTAATAGTGAGTGACCTCATTTTATATTACCTCATTAATCTGCAGATTTTAACATGGTTCAACTTTCGATGTGAAAAAGGCAAAGATTGCTGTGAAGATGATAAAAATGAAATCCCTTTTAGTGTTGAAAGAAGAGAGCTTTGGAGATTTCCAAGGGCCTAGAGCCAGGCCAGCCCTTCATCAAACCTTATCTTATCATCTCTCAGAGGCCCAGCAAGAGGAGATCTTTGGTTTCATTTTTTCACTTCTATGTAAGCAGACAAGTTAGCAGAAAGAGTGTAGGGAGGAGAATTCGCAGCAGGGCAGTGAACCCAAAGGGGTGACCTAGAGGTTTTAGCCTGGAGTTTAGGTGCTCTTGCTCTGTTTACCTTAGAGACAGCACAGAATTGCTTTTTGTTCTCTGCGTGATCCCACTAGGTGCACTGGAAGATCTTTACTCAACTACTTCAGCCCCTCCTGAGTGTCTAATTAAGCCTCTTTTCTAGTCTTTCCTCACAGGTTCTAGCCCCACCCTTTGGTCCCTGCAGTTGGTACTTCCCTGGATCCTCTCCCAATAGCTCGAGCACAAGTTGGCTCACAAAGCCCTGGCTTCCCCCAGGGTTCACAGGCAGCCTAACATCTCAGTGAGAGAAAGAAAAGAACAGGTAAAAGCAAACAAAGGAATACAGGCTTCCATTCAGGGCAACAGCTTCCTGGTGAGGACCTGATCCCTAATGACACTCCCTTGGCATGGCTTAGCTATTAGACCAACTGGGATTTTGTCCAGACCTCTCTCCAGGTGAAGAAGCAAGCCCTGCTTCAGGCTGAGGAGGTGCCATTAAGTCATTTTCTTAATGCCTTTCAGACCAGTTCTGAACTATAAATAAACCAAATGCCCAGGAGTAGCCACAATGCTAGCTGTAAAGTTATTTGCATCCTTCTCTAGATCTGAATTCCCCTTATGCCAACTCTCCCTTTTAGAAACCCCACAAGGTTGGCAGGGCCACCACTCCTGCTGCCAATGTCAGTGCATTAGCACTTAGCTTAAGTGAAACACATACGTTGGGGGGGCTCATGGCTTCTTCCTCCTCTCTTTCCTAATGGAAACACTTCAGATAAAGAATTAGCCCTCTAATATATTCCATATACTTATTATATTGATTCCATTCTAGACTGCTAGTCCCTGAAAATAGTACTATATTTGCAAAGATTTTGTAGAATGATGAGTATGGGCGTGTAACTATAATAGCAACAATGAAGAAAATGATGATGAAATATTAATAACTAGTAGTGATAACAACTTAGGGTTCAATGAACGCCTACTACAGGCTTCAGGATAGGTGCACTTTGTATTATGCATGATATGTGTTATTTCTGATCCTCAAAAACCCTGAGAGTTTTTCTAATCTTTAGATGAAGGAAAGGAGGCTTGGAGCCTTTAAATTACTCGTCCGAAGGTCCATGCGGGCAAGTAGGGCAGTCTGTCTTACCCCAATGACAAGTGGCCTTTCTACCCTTCCCAAGTTGCCTCTATTTAATTTCATGTGACAAGAAAAGCCAGAAGGGTTTAATCTTTAAATTCATTCAAAATTTTTAAGGCATTCTCACTTCTTTTAAATTTCATGGGAAAGCCAGAGAGCCAATAAATTTCAAAATGTGAAATTCAGTGTTGGAAACTAAGGCCACCTTCCAGTAGATTAAGGTGGATATTTCTTCACAACCATGATAAGCTAAAAATAGAACATTTAATATTCTTTTAGCTACATTGTCCAAGATATTTACTTTCCAAGCAATTCTTTTTTCTTGTAGGCTCTAGAGGTGTCATTGGTAATATAAAGAAGACAACATTCCAAAGGTTTACATGAGTTTAAAACTCCATTTTCTCCTCTTGTACAACTTTTTATTGCATTGTGGAAAGAACTGAGTTTCTTTGACTTCATAGATTTGGAGATCTGGTGTGTGTATGTGTGTGTGTGTGTTTGTGTGTATGTGTTAAAAACAAAAGGGAAGGAAGAGCTTTTAAACAAATTATTTGTGTGAACTTGAAAGAAATTTTCATCCACATTTTAATCATAGGCAGAATGAACCTGAATATAAAAAGAGAAGATTATTAACTCAGTTACCTATTCAAAAAATTTGAATCAATTCACTGCCCATTGGATCATTTTGCATTTCATCACCTTTGTTTACCAGTATAATATTAGACTTCCTAATTGCTAAGGTTTGATAAGGTGCACAGTTTCTAGAGAAGTCAGAGACCCTAAGCAATATGACATCTAGAGAGAAAGAATTGGCAGGGAAAGGACATTCTCTAACCCTTGCCTTTATGAAAATAAAAATGTTGACCATGGGTTCACTCATTTGATTTTGTGATCGAAAATATAAATGTTGGCTGGGTGTGGTGGCTCACGCCTGTAATCCCAGCACTTTGGGAGGTCGAGGCAGGTGGATCACAAGGTCAGGAGATCGAGACCATCCTGCTAACACGGTGAAACCCCGTCTTTACTAAAAATACAAAAAAAAGAGAAAGAAAATATAAATGTTTAATATCTGAAACTGTGGTATGGAAAGAAAATAACTAAAGTCTATTAAATTCTTTTATTAATTGCTTACTATGAGCCAGACATTCTTCTAAGAGCTTAATATATATATTTGTTTCTGTTGAATCTTAACAACTCTATGAATACTTATATCATCATCCCTATCTTATGTGCATATGTATGAAAACTGAGTTATACTGAAGAGTTCAATCACTCATCCAAAGTTACACAAGTTCAGGTCCAGAAAAGGTTGAGATGGGATTTGAACCCAGGTATTTAGGCTCTGGAACCTCTGCTTCTAACACTCTTCCATGCTGCAAGTATCCACAGAGCACAGAGAGTGAGTTCAGGTTGTCTACCTATCTACTGCTCCAAGCCATTAGCAGGAATAGTTTTCTGAAAAAGAACTCAGTTTAATTATTTGTCCTCACAAATCGGAAAGGAACGTTCTGATTGCCTTCTGCATATTTTAGCCGTTGATAATAATCTTCTTAGCATCCTTTTTAAAGCTTTCGTGTACCATTTCTTTTAAACATCTACTGGAGCGGGTCTCATCTCACCATGGGCTGAGGAAGACTTACCCATGACACATCCACCAGAGCATGCTGCATTGAGACCCTGCAAAAAATTACCAGACAGCTTAATCAAGTCTGTGTTTCCTTGATAGCCATGGGTGAAAAGGGCTGGAGAAGCACTAACTATCATTTATAATTCAGCAGCATTATTTTATGATGATCACCTCTGCTCTACTAGGTTTGTCTCATATCTACCTTGCCATTTTCAACAAAAGATGCTTTCCTCCAATTCTCCTTCTGTTTTCCACTAGGACATGTTATGTCTTGTCACATCAAGTCATGTTTGATGTGACTTGACATGGGTGCTGTGCAACTCAACCCAATCAATAGATGAATCAAGAACAGCCCTGGTGGGTCTTTCATGCAAAGCTGGGATCCAGGGTTGCAGACTGCTTTTTGACAGTTGCTACAGTTCTTTTGGTAACCAGCTAATGACGGGGTTAGCGATATCCTCATAACATGTGAGAATGCTCTATTTGTTGTTTTTATTTTCCCCACTACAAGCTGCCTAGTCGGGAAAGCTGCAAAGGAAATAGATTTCAATGGTACACACTCTCACTAGGTACATTTTGTACATCTAGCACTGGCAACAAAACTTGTAGAGCCCAGTGCAAGATAAAAAATAAATGTACACCACCAGGTTCAACATTATTAAGAATTTCAGGCTGGGTGCAGGGGCTCACACCTGTAATTCTAGCAATTTGGGAGGCTGAGGCAGGCGGATCACCTGAGGTCAGTGGTTCAAGACCAGCCCCAACATGGCAAAACCCCATCTCTACTGAAAATACGAAAATTAGCCAGGCATAGTGGCACATGCCTGTAATCTCAGCTACTCAGGATGCTGAGGCAGGAGAATCACTTGAACCGAGGAGGCGGAGGTTGCAGTGAGCCGAGATGGCACCACTGCACTCCAGCCTGGGTGACAGAGTGAGACTCCATCTAAAAAAAAAAAAAAAAAAAAAAAAAGTTTCAGTTTTGAGATGGTAATGTCAGAGCACTTAATTAAGCATGGAGCTCTTCCAAGTGCGGGCCCCTGTGTGACTGCCCAGGTCACATTTCCATGAAGCCTGCCATGTATACATGGCTCACACATGCTGATGGCTTTTGGTGTTGGCATCAGATGTAGGAGTCTTCCTGTCTTTAGAAAGTGTACCCTGCATGATAGTGCACATTTTGAGGATGGCCTATCATGCCAGACACAAGAGAGAGAAGAGGAACGTCATTATAACTACATTCAGGGATATTTCAATTGGTGCTGATTGCTACTTCTCCTTAAAGCACAGCAATTTGCTGCGCAGATTCTGTAGTGGTGGAAACGGCACCCACTGCTATTTCCAACCGCCGCCTACCTCCTTCTCCTCCTTACAACAGTTCCTTTCTTCTGTTTTGGTTTGGTTCATAATGCTTTGAGAAAAGATTACTTCCTTTACATTTTTACATTCCCACTTTTATTCTGAGACAAATCTCACTGCTTCCTTTTGTTTTATTGGTCCTCTGTAAAATGGCAGCATCAGCGTATTACACTATTAACTGGTGCAATTTATGGACTCAAAGAACTGACCCCTTTCCTTTGAGGTTTAAGATATGTGTATTTGTGTGTGTGTGTGTGTGTGTCTGTGTGTGTGTGTTTTCACATCTACATCGAAACAAACACATTTTTTAAGCAGCAAATATACTAGAACAAATTCATTTGGTATAGAAACACATGGCTTTAAAATTTGTTGAAATTTCTAAAAGTGCAATGGGCTCGAAACAGGAAAAAAATAAGAGGAAAAAATGAAAACAAAAAAGAATTTTTAAACCAAATATGTTCTTCTTCAAACAGGTTGGTATAATGGACCCAAATCTCTTGTTTCAAAACAAGTTAAGGAAAATTGTTTTAAAAATCCTAAACACTCAGTCTGTGAATATGATCCTGGGTCCTCTCAGAACTGCCAACATTCTAACACCAGCTGGCACCAGAGACCCTGCTCTGAGGTACTTTGACACGGCAACCCTGTCTTTGGAGATCTGAAAAAAGAAATTACCCAATTAAGATGTAATGGCCCTCCAGCCTTCCCAGACTGTGAATGAGAGGAGGCATATTTACAATCACAGTGCGCCATAAAATTTTATCCAGTTATATTCAATCAGCAGGGCTAAATTAGCCTAAGCTGTCCTGATGAGGACAGCCACATGTGCTCACGCAAGCGAGGGTGGCAGGAATTAGGACCACATGGGGTCAACAGTCAGGGAAATTTAGAGTGATGTTCCCTGGGCATGAGGTTAGGGTAAAGGGGTATGGAGATGTAATGCGGATGTAGAGTTCACCCAAGATGGTTATCATCTGTCTACAAAGAGATTCCACTAATCAGAAACAAAGTATTTCTCAAAAAAAGACCATCATTTAGTTGGCATAGGTGTTTTTAAATGTTTTCTAGTAAAATTAACACACACTCATTTTTAAAGGTTCATAATGTTTTGAGTGGTTCCAAGATATTTGGTTTTAATCACCTTTTAATTCTACCAGGCTTGCATGGAGAATTTCATTTTTTCTAACCATGAATGTTATTTATATTTATGAAGGCTGAAGGACTAAGTTTCCTTTCTAAGCAAAATCTTCTCTTCCTCCAAAGGTCAGGGATGATGTGAGCAAGTGGTCTAATAATTCCTCAGAACTCTTTTTCTCATTCTTCTTCCCTCTCTTCCTCTTCTGCCTTACCAAGAACAGAGAAATGGTAAGTAGAAACAACCCCAAGGCTGCAAAAAGGAGGCTTTCTTTCATTTGCTTTTGAAGAGAACAGGAGCACAATTTGCCATGAATACAGTACATTCATGACTCCAAGCTGTACACCATCTCCTTCCATTTACTGCTCAGAAGACACAAAGGAGGCCTCACTCTGCCAAGACTAACGGAAGCCACAGCATCTGAAAGGTGAAGGGAGAAGTTCTCCCACGGGATTGTGCTGCCCAGCTCTGTGAGTGTGTGTTTGTGTGTCTGCGTGTGTTGGGGCAGGGGAAGAAGAAAATATGGAAGTAAAAAGAAGGGCGCAAGAGAAGCATGAGTAGCAGCTCAAACTTGCTCTACTGGGGTTTCAACTCCTCTGCAAGACTGTCTGTGTTTTACCAATCTGCATTTTAAAATTAAGATTCTCTCAACCTCTGTTGTCCAAGACAGTAGCCACATTAAACACATGTGGCTACTGAGAGCTCGAATGTGGTTGGTCCAAATAGATGTGCACTGTTAGTATAAACTACACACCAGCTTTTAAAATCTTAGTATGAAAAATAGAATGTACAATGTTTCACTAATAATGTTTACTAATAATGTTTTACATTGATTACATGTTGAAATGACATTATTTTGGATATACTGGATTAAATAGAATGTATCCTTAAAGTTAATCCCATCTATTTTAAAATACATTTTAATGATGCTATGAGAAAAATTGAAATGATATGTATAGCTTGCATTGTTTTCTACCAGACAGTGCTTCTCTCAATATTTCAGTCTCTGATGGGCGTAGAGGGAGGGAGGGTGTGTGTTGGAGGCAGAGTTTTGCATCCTCGTCCACATGTGTACAATTCTTTGATCTTAGCATCCTGTCCCAATCATCCCAAAACTTCTCACTTGAGTATCCCTAGCCCAGGAAGATATGACACATCCCAGCAAGGACTATCTACGTTTGTCAGTTTCTCCATGTCCTATAATCCTGCAAAGGAAATATATTTACAAGGCACTTATGCTTGGCAACTCTCTTATCTTTCTTAAAATATGGGTGAGGGACTGGTTCTGTGATTGAGCACAAAATGAGAGCTGCTCTGTCACGCCATCTTCCAAGCAGGTGGTATTATGCACCAGGCTATTTATGCAGCAATTCCAGAGCCCAAACAGGAAAAGAGAAAAAAAAATGAAAAAAAAAATCTTTACTAAAAATCCTTGATTTCCTTCAGGAGTATACAGAGCAGAAAAGACATTTGGTATTAGCAGTAGTAGTTCATTCTCTGGATCTTTTGTAATTAAAGCTATCTTTAAAGATAAAAAGCGATTAATACTATCTTCTTTTATTTGTATTTCTCTTTATAATTTAAAAAGCAATCTTCAGTTATTCTCTGATCTCTCATGATGACTCTGTGACTTGAAGGGTTTTATTCCCATTTGCAAATGAGGAAACAGAAGCTGCCTGAGTTACTGAACATATATAGTTAATGGTAAGCAAGGAGAAGCAGCCCAGTCATGAAACTACAATTCTAATTGTATCTTCCCCTCAACTCTTTTTATACTTATGGCTTGGTTACTCTCAATTAAAGGAACTTAAAGGTGTTCTTCTCCTCAAACTCTGTAAGATTCATAAGAAACCAATAAACTCTTGGGAGGGGGCACACAGACCACTAAAGACCCTTGTCATAGCTGTGTCACTTGAAATCAGTTGATTTCATCCATAACTGTGGATATGGTATGGGTTTGATGACCAGAAAGGGCTAATTGTGAACAAACAGAGGGTCTCAAATGTTAACAAGCATTAGAATCACCTGGAGGACTTGTTGACATACAAAGCCCTGTGGCCCATCTCTATAGTTTCTGATTCTGTAGATCTGGAGTGGGCCTGATAATTTGCATCTCTAACTAGTTCCCAGTTGATGCTGATGCTGCTGGTCCAGGGGCCACATGTGAAGAATCACTGCATTAGGATGCTAATTACATGGCAGAAATTCATGGGGACAGAGGGCACATAAGTGCTGTGACAGCAAGAAAACAATGAAAATGGGCGTTTTGAAGCTGAGCTGGGTTTTCTCGAATGACCTTTTTGGGATCAGGATACGTCATATGAGTGAATTTCTGGGATATAGGCTACTTAAGAAATTAGAGCAGAAGGCAATAGAAGGTAGGCAGTAGAGATAAAAGGCAGACAGAGAGAGTGAGAAAAAGAAACAGAGAGACAAAGAGAGGGAGATGGAGGTGGACAATAATTTAAGACAAAGAACCCTTCGTAGCCAACTTACCAGATAAGAATAGAAGAGCAAATCAATACCACAGTTTCCTGTTGTACACATGTTAAGAATAATCAAACAATAAAAAGGTCAATTAGTTAGCTATTTAAATGTTTACAATGTTTCCCCTATGAAGGGGTATGGTCATTTATCATCATGGTTGAAGTCATTTAAAAAGTCTAAATACACAGTTACCCAAATTGTCAATGCAGGCAGAATCTCTTGCCTCTAAATTGGGGCCAAGCAATAGGATTTCAAAACTTTGTTAAAAAATATAAAACTGTGAAAGCAGGTTACTTTTCAAGGAATGCAATGAACTACAGGTATTTTTGCCTATGACATAAATATAAATGTTAATGAAATTGATCACTCAACTGTCCCTGTTTCAACCTCCCAGAGCAGGGGAGGGGAGCACTTCCCATTCTTTTGAAATGTCCTCTTCCTACGCTTGTTTCTTTTCCTCACATTCCTTCATTTGTTTGCTCTATGTAATTCTAAGTTTAAAAAATGTTATGGAATGACAAGTATTATGTAGCAATGGTCAAAAATTAAATTACCCAAAGTACATTAACAAAAACCCTTGCTTTAAGAAAATCACTCTCCTATTTCAAATGTGGGATAAATGAAATTTTCAAACAAATGGTTTTTGAGGCATTAAGTTGTTCGTAGTGACACAGTGAAACAGTTTGATAATTATAAAGCAGCGTGTCACTTCAGAGAGTAATTTTTCATTTGAGAGAGAGCCCAATAAGCCAGTTTTCACAGGAAGTGCTTTCCGATTCGGTGGTTGTGGGCATGGAAGTAAAGTGTTGTCTGGCTCCTGGTTGTCATAAATACATACCTGAATACACATTGCCCACACTTGCACGGTCTCAGCACAATTTTGGAAGAGGCCTCCTTTTTGCCCTGCTCAGTTAAAAGTTGGAAAGAGTGCAGCCGTAGAAAGCTATGGCTTGCACATTTTTTTTATGGGTAAAATTTATAAAGTAATGTATCTACTTTTAGCATGACTATTGTTAAACCTGGAGATCAAGCAAAGTGACACTGAGTATATTGCTTTATCAATTGGATTCATTCGAGTGAAAAATGCTGATCAGGCCATGTCTATCCTTTGGGTGCCGAAACCCTACTTCAACTCTAGAATGGTCGATACACAAAAGTCAAATTCATTATAATTTGTAGCTTTTTTTTCTTGAAGAAGCACGCAGTTCTCAGTACATCAATATCAACTCTTAAATCCACATCGGATGGAGAGGGTACAGCACAGTAATTCAATCTCTTTACACTTAATATGGTCAGGAAGGGAGAATGAAAACAGCCTCTTGTAAAATGATGGAAAAAACAGGATGCAATCACTCTGATGGAGCGGTGCAAAGGAGTCATTTTACACCATCCGTTACCAGGGCAACAAAATACAGTGAGCCCTATACATCTAACAGGTGACATTTTAGCTAAGAAATTGCTTCTTTGGTATTTTTTCTGTCTATGAAAAACAATGTTACCAGCGTTTTCACTTGTCATGTACAATAGGGCAACATATTCCTGCTGACAGACCATAATGGAAAAATAGAGGAGTTAAATAGTATTACAGTCTAAGTTTTTGGATACATGTTAATATGCTCTTTAAAGAGATTTCAGACACTTTCCAACACCCTGGAGACTCAAGGGACTGAAATCTCTGCATACATCTCTGCCTACGACTTGGAGTTTAGATAAGGAGAAAGTACTTTGTTTCCAGAATGTGGTGTAAAGTCCTGGATATACTTTTAAGAAAAGTAATTAATATAATTGTCTCATGTCATGAGGCCCCCTAGCTTTGCAAACTCATTATTGTATCCCTACAGGTCTTTCTTAAAGAAGAAGAAAAGTAAGAAAATGATATTTTCATAGCAGAATAGTCTTCTCTTTCCAGTTTATCCCCAAGGTAATTTGGAATTGAAAAAATAAGAGATGGAGAAATGAGGTTTTCCAAGAGACCACTAAACAGTTTCACAGAACGCAAAGTCAATGTTTTCTTAAGTACCTGGAGAAGATGATCATCCCTCTCTCTCCAAAAAAAGTCATGCACAATGGTTTAGAAAATCCTGCATTAGGCCGGGCGCGGTGGCTCACGCCTGTAATCCCAGCACTTTGGGAGGCCGAGATGGGCGGATCACGAGGTCAGGAGATCGAGACCATCCTGGCTAACACGGTGAAACCCCGTCTCTACTAAAAATACAAAAAAAAATTAGCCGGGCATGGTGGCGCACGCCTGTAGTCCCAGCTACACGGGAGGCTGAGGCAGGAGAATGGCGTGAACCCGGGAGGCGGAGCTTGCAGTGAGTCGAGATCGCGCCACTGCACTCCAGCCTGGGCGACAGAGCGAAACTCCGTCTCAAAAAAAAAAAAAAAAAAAAAAGAAAATCCTGCATTAGTGTCTCTCTTTGGATTTTGTTTTACTGCCCATCTAAGGAATTTTTTGGGGGCCAAAGCTACTCTCGTTCTTCTAGGCTTAGATTCCAAAGGGGAATATTCAAATTTGTGGCTGGATCATTATTTTTCCTTCTCATGATGTTCTGTTGGAGCCAATGATGTACAGTAATAGATTTGAGAATTAAGAGAGAGTTTAGAGAATGATTTGTCCAAACTTTCATCTGTACAGATCAGTAAACTGGTATCCAAGGAGGCCAGAGAGTGTTACAAATGGGACTAATCCCCTAATGCTGGAGCCAGTGCTCATTCAATCACTGTGATTAATTGTAATTACCACAATAACTAATTTCAATTACTTAAATATCATTCCAATATTTATTGAGCACCTGCTACATACCCAGCCTTCTGGGATATAGAATTAAGTAAAGCACAATCACTGCTTGCTGGGTACCCACAATCAGGTGGGAGTGGCAGAGAGTTATAAATACAGTGGGCTGAGTGATCTGCTGAGTGATCTACTGAAGATACACCCAAAGCATTGTGGGAGACAGAGTTAGGAAAGCTCTTGTTTAAAGCAAAGGTTATATATTGTCAGCTATCAAAACTAACCCTTCCCCTCACCATTAGGCTCAAATAGGAAGTCACATATAAACCAATACATCTGTGTCAACAGCCAGAAATCTCTTTTTAAAAATTTTTATTGGGCTAAAAACTACATTAAAAGTTTGCCATCTTAACCATTTTTGAATGCACAGTTCAGTAGTATTAAGTACGTCCACATTGTCGTGAAACAGATCTCCATAACTTTTCATCTTGCGAATCTGAGACTCTATATCCAACTCTCTTACCCTTCCTACTCCCCCCAGCCCCTGGAAATCACCATTCTACTTTCTGTTTCTATGAATTTGACTAGTTTAGATATCTCATAGAAACAGAATCATACAGTATTTGTCATTCTGTAACTGGCTTATATCACTTAGCACAATGTCTTAAAGGTTCATTCCTTTTGGAGCATATGCCAGAATTTCCTTCCTTTTAAGGCTAAATAACCTTTCATTATATGCATATACTGCATTTTGTTTATTCATTCATCCATCCGTGAACAATTGGGCTGCTTCTCTGCAGCTCTTCATTATTATGAATAATTCTGCTATGAACGTGGATGTGCAAAGGGAACAGATCTATCATAACACAGAGAAAGGCCAGACATCACAAGGGGAAGCTCAGAAAAGGAGAAAAATGAAAACAAAATTTAAAGTATGTTTGTGACTGTGTGTGTGTGTGTGCGTGTGTGTGTGTGTGTGTGTGTAGGTAAGGGAGATAAAATGCCAAGGTGATTGCTTTAAGAATTCTTGTCTAACTTCAAATTTGAAATAAATAAAATTACCTGAATTTTACCACTTATGGTCCCATTAAATAAGGCAAATAAATACTAAAAGACTGAGGTAAAAACATTCAGTAAGAAACGACAAGAAATGATAAGATGACTGAGGCAATGTAAAAGCAAGGAAGTCATGACCTAATGGGGGAAAAGGAAAAAACAAACAAAAAAGTGGATCATTTCAGCATTAACTCAAAAGTCCACAGTCCAAAGTCTCATCTGAGAGAAGGCAAGTCACTTCCACCTATGAGCCTGTAAAATCAAAAGCAAGTTAGTTACTTCCTAGATACAATGGGGGTATGACATTGGGTAAATACAAATGGGAGGAATTGGCCAAAACAAAGGGGCTACAGGCCCCATGCAATTCTGAAATCCAGTAGGGCAGTCAAATCTTAAAGCTCCAAAATGATCTTTGACTCCATGTCTCACATCCTGGTCACATCAGTGCAAGAGGTGGGGTTCAATGGTCTTGGGCAGTTCCACCCCTGTGGCTTTGCAGGGTACAGCCTACCTCCTGGCTGCTTCCACAGGCTGGTGTTGAGTGTCTGTGGCTTTTCCAAGCACAGAGTATAAGCTGTCAGTGGATCTACAATTCTGGGGTCTGGAGGATGGTGGCTTTCTTCTCACAGCTACACTAGGCAGTGCCCCAGCGGGGACTCTGTGTGGGGGCCCCCACAACATATTTGCCTTCTGCACTGCCCTAGCAAAGGTTCTCCATGCAGGCCCCACTCCTACAGCAAATGTCTATCTGGACATCCAGGTGTGTCTATACATCTGAAATCTAGGCAGAGACTTCCAAGTCTCAATTTTTGACTTCTGTGCACCTGTAGGCTCAACTTCACGTGTAGGCTGCCAAGTCTGGGGGCTTGCACCCTCTTAAGCCATGGCCTAAGATGTACCTTGGCCCCTTTTAGCAATGGCTGGAGTGGTTGGGATGCAGGGCATCAAGTCCCTAGACTGCACACACCAGAGGGACCCTGGGCCTGGCCCACAAAACCATTTTTTCATCTTAAGCCTCCAGGCCTGTGATGGGATGGGCTGCCACAAAGGTCTCTGACATGCTCTGGAGACATTTTCCCCCACTGTCTTGGTGATTAACATTCCACTTCTCAATACTTATGCACATTTCTGCAGCCATCTCAAGTTTCTCCTCAGAAAATAGGATTTTCTTTTCTATCACATAGGGTGCAAATTTTCCAAACTTTCATGCTCTATTTCTGTTTTAAAACTGAGCGCCTTTAACAGAACCCAAGACACTTCTTGAATGCTTTGCTGCTTAGAAATTTCTTCTGCCAGATACCCTAAATCATCTCTCTCAAGTTCAAAGTTTCACAACTCTCTAGGGCAGGAGCAAAATGCCTTCAGTCTCTTTGCCAAAACATAACATGAGTCACCTTTGCTTCAGTTCCCAACAAGTTCCTCATCTCCATCTGAGACCACCTCGGCCTGGATTTCATTGTCCATATCATTATCAGATTTTGGTCAAAGCTATTAAAGAAATCTCTAGGGAGTTCCACACTGTCCCACATTTTCCTGTCTTCTTCTGAGCCCTCCAAACTGTTCCAACCTCTGTCTGTTACCCAGTTCCAATGTTGCTTCCACATTTTCGGGTATCTTTTCAGCAGCACCCCATCCCAGTACCAATTTACTGTATTAGTCCATTTTCATGCTGCTGATAAAGATACCTGAGACTGGGAAATTTACAAAAGAAAGAGGTTTAATGGGCTTATAGTTCCAGGTGGCTAGGGAGGCCTCACAATCATGGTGGAAGGTGAAAGGCACTTCTTACATGCTGGCGCAAAAGAGAAAATGAGAACCAAGCAAAAGGGGTTTCCCCTTATAAAACCATCAGATCTTGTGAGACTTATTCACTACCACGAGAACAGTATGGGAGAAACTGCCTCAAGATTCAATGGTCTCTCACCAGGTCCCTCCCACAACACATGGGAATTAGGTGAATACAATTCAAGATGAGACTTGGGTGGGGACACAGAGCCATACCATATCACCAGGCATGGTAGCACACACCTGTAGTCCCAGCTACTAGGGAGGCTGAGGCGTAAGAATTATTTGAACCCAGGAGGCAGAGGTTGCAGTGAGCTGAGATAGCGCCACTGTATTCCAGCCTGGGCAACAGAGCAAGACTGTGTTTCAATATATATATATACATATATATATATATATATATATATATATATATATATATATACATATATATATATATATATACATATATATACACACACACACACACACACACACACACACACATATGTCAGAAGTAATTTTTCATATTTGCATTCATTTGGTGTAGAGAATTTTCTTTCCAGTTTTATTTTTCATATTAAAACATTTGACCTTTATTTGTCTTTATGACTTCTTTGTAAATATTACTTTTCATGTCTGTAATATTCCATTAACTGGGTGGATAATAATTTCTTTAATTTGTACTCTATTATTGGCTATTTAGGTTTATATTTTATCTTTCTCCTATTAAAAATAATGCTGTGGCAAGGTGTGAGGTTTATTGTTTTATTTTGATTTTTGATAGCAAACTGAAGCTATTAATTATATTAATACAGTTAAATCTGTTTATGCTTTCCTCTATGATGTAGTCCACTGGTTCTAAACTTGGAAAGTTTGCCACCATTTTAAAACTGTAATAAGAAGTCACTGCCTTTTCATTATAGTTTTAAAACACTGAGGTTCTTCTTTTCTTCTACTCCCTAACAAATCTGTAAATTTTCATGAATCTTGTGAGGTATGTATTTAGATAATGCTCTTTTCCTAAATACACAATCAATTCTTCAATAATTGACTTATTGAACAATAATTTTTTCCTACTGATTTCTGACATCACTTTATATATATATAGTAGATACTAGCACACCCTGTGGGCTTTTTCTGAGCAAAGTAGTTGTACTTTGAAGAGCCACCAATCTATTAAAATATAGTAGGAAAAAATTCAGAATGAGATAAACATAGTTTCATGTGTTAAGATGAGAACCTTATTAAATAAGAATCATAATGATCCCTCATCTAGTTTTGTTAAAAATATTTTTTGGTATTTTCCTGAGTAAGCATTAAGCTGATGAAACATTAATTTTACAAAATGTATTTGTAAACTCTGGTGATAAGGAGCATCTCATCCTCAGGTTTAATTTTAATTTTAATTTCTTCAAATGTAATTCATTCACAATCCTCTCAGGAATCTCATGAGTAATTATAGATACAGTATTAATCACATATTCTGGGTATAAATGGTGTTATAGAAAATGTAATCTATAAAATAACCATAGTAAATTCTGCCATGAGATGTAGATAAATGTAACCACTGTTAATTTGAACACAAGATGGCCAGTAGAGTAGGGAGAGCAGGGTGCCATTTATTATTCTTCAGAGGGCTTTTGGTTTCTCAAATGAAAGTTGTGAGAAAAATAAAAAGTGTTGCAGTCAGAAAGCAAGATGATGCAAGATGGGAGAAAGTAAAATAATAAAATTTAATTTCTGAAACTTTGTAAACAATTTAATAACTGATTTCTTGACTTTTCCATTTTCTGGGGAAGAAAAGGCAGCAATAATCATGGAGGAAAAACTGAGAGCAAAAGTTTGTAGCCTACAATTTGTAAATTAGAAATATATAAAAGTAAAACGGTACATCAGTGAAAATATATTTTTGTGTTGACATTTTAATTTTAGTAAAATATATGAAGAATATAAGCTTTACATTTAAACGTCAAGACAATTTTAGTCATATTAATGATTATAAATGATGATTTAAACTTTGAGAAACATTTATTTACTTTCCTATACCACTTTCTTTTCTGTCCAATTTCAACTACTTAAAAAAATTGCTATATATTAGACTATAAGTACAGATGGATTAATCTCTGGGGACTATTTTAATAACCTCCTTAATACTAGTGTCCCTAACACTATTGTCATTTGCCTCCTTGTAATCATCCTCTATTATGCTAACAGAACGATTTATGATTTGCAGATCAGTCACTATTCCTTTTATTCTACAGAATAAAGTCCAAACACTTTGGCATCAAGTACAATTTGACCATTCCCTAATTTCCCACTTTGATCTCCAGTTCCTGGAAACCTCATGTTCAGTGAACAGGAATTTCTAAACTCAGAACCTTTGCTTATCTTTCTACCTGGATTGCTATTCTGCAAACCTATGCTCCTGAAGAATTGCTGATGGGATGTAATTTTTTTTTTTAAAAAAGTCATCTAATAGTGCATTAGAAATAGACATAAGCAAAGAAATACCAACCTTGCCAAAAAAGCTGACCCCAAAGTACAAGGACAGTGAAAAAAGAGTCAAGTCAGCTTAACCCCAACTGGCATTTACAAGATTAACAATATGGTTTGCAATGCACTTGGAAAGAAACCAACCGGCTTTAAGATAATTAAGTGCTACCATCAAGGAAGGATTATGCAGGTGCCAAATAAGGTTGTCTGGGACACCAAATCCCTTCGTATCTTTTAATGCTATAAAAATAATGAAGAACTTGAAGAAGTATGGCCTTAATCATATTTGTGATACTCTAACTCTGACTGAAGAAAGACTTAAGACAGGAAGCTAGATGGAGTAAAGACAGCAAACAACAAGAGAGTCACATATTTGCTTAATATGTAAATCCAAAAATTTCTTGAGTACTCAAGATATTTTCATTCTTCCTCTAGCTCTTGTCAAGTTAGTACAGGCAATAAATCATGTAGTTGCACATCCACATTGTCTTGCCTCTTCTGCAAAAAAGGTACTATACACCAGGAAAGAAAATGCTTGCTCTTCTTTCTGGCATGAGAATAGAAATAAGAGAGATCTTGTTGGCATGTTCTTACCAATGCCCAGGAGGGCTGGGTCAACCCAGCAGGGTAAGTGTAGTAAAACCAACCACTACTACCTCATCCTTAAAGTCCAGCTTGAAAACCATTTCCTCTCTGTGTTTTTTTTTTTTTTTTTTTCAAATTTGTCCTAGATTTTCCAGACAGATTTTAATTACTTGTCATATCTGCCTGTAGAACTTTATATAAACCCACAACATATTTTGCATTGTAGACATACCCGCACAAAAACCCACAACTGTTTGAATTCATTAAGGCTGGGGGTTTAGAGTTTCATCTTTTATAGTTCCAATGCCTTGAGTATAGTCTGTATTAGAAAAATGTTACATTCATTGAATTGTTAAATTAAGCTATGAAGCCACAGTTTTCTAAGTCACACTGAAGTATCTTTATTCTTGAAGTTTACTTCAGTAGTTTCATGAAACCTTCCCTTTCCCTACAGCCTGTGACCAATGACCTTTTTTCTCTAAACTCCCATACCCATGAGAATCTAGAGCCACATGCATGACCAGGGCTGTTCACATTCCCAAGAAAATCCTGAAAAAGCCCTAAGCTGTCACCTCTGCTGGCTTTGAGTCTCTGCACAACCAGATTGAAAGCTAACAAAGAGTTGTGAAACACAATACTAATTGTCAAAGACATGCTCTAAAACACACAGAGCCCCTCTGTAAAGACTGGAAGATTCTTTGTGTTTGTTTTGGTTCCGGGCATTTAAGAAAATATCTATCCAGGGGAGGAGCCAAGATGGCCGAACAGGAACAGCTCCGGTCTACAGCTCCCAGCGTGAGCGACGCAGAAGACAGGTGATTTCTGCATTTCCATCTGAGGTACCGGGTTCATCTCACTAGGGAGTGCCAGATAGTGGGCGCAGGTCAGTGGGTGTGTGCACCGAGCGCGAGCCAAAGCACGGCGAGGCATTGCCTCACTCGGGAAGCGCAAGGGGTCAGGGAGTTCCCTTTCCTAGTCAAAGAAAGGGGTGACGGACGGCACCTGGAAAATCGGGTCACTCCCACCCGAATACTGCACTTTTCCGACGGGCTTGAAAACCGGCGCACCACAAGATTATATCCCGCACCTGGCTCGGAGGGTCCTACACCCACGGAGTCTCGCTGATTGCTAGCACAGCAGTCTGAGATCAAACTGCAAGGCGGCAGCGAGGCTGGGGGAGTGGCGACCGCCATTGCCCAGGCTTGCTTAGGTAAACAAAGCAGCCTGGAAGCTCGAACTGGGTGGAGCCCACCACAGCTCAAGGAGGCCTGCCTGCCTCTGTAGGCTCCACCTCTGGGGGCAGGGCACAGACAAACAAAAAGACAGCAGTAACCTCTGCAGACTTAAATGTCCCTGTCTGACAGCTTTGAAGAGAGCAGTGGTTCTCCCAGTACGCAGCTGGAGATCTGAGAACGGGCAGACTGCCTCCTCAAGTGGGTCCCTGACCCCTGACCCCGGAGCAGCCTAACTGGGAGGCACCCCCCAGCAGGGGCACACTGACACCTCACACGTCAGGGTACTCCAACAGACCTGCAGCTGAGGGTCCTGTCTGTTAGAAGGAAAACTAACAAACAGAAAGGACATCCACACCAAAAACCCATCTGTACATCACCATCATCAAAGACCAAAAGTAGATAAAACCACAAAGATGGGGAAAAAACAGAACAGAAAAACTGGAAACTCTAAAAAGCAGAGCGCCTCTCCTCCTCCAAAGGAACGCAGTTCCTCACCAGAAACGGAACAAAGCTGGATGGAGAATGACTTTGATGAGCTGAGAGAAGAAGGCTTCAGATGATCAAATTACTCTGAGCTACGGGAGGACATTCAAACCAAAGGCAAAGAAGTTGAAAACTTTGAAAAAAATTTAGAAGAATGTATAACTAGAATAACCAATACAGAGAAGTGCTTAAAGGAGCCGATGGAGCTGAAAACCAAGGCTCGAGAACTACGTGAAGAATGCAGAAACCTCAGGAGCCAATGCGATCAACTGGAAGAAAGGGTATCAGCGATGGAAGATGAAATGAATGAAATGAAGCGAGAAGGGAAGTTTAGAGAAAAAAGAATAAAAAGAAATGAGCAAAGCCTCCAAGAAATATGGGACTATGTGAAAAGACCAAATCTACGTCTGATTGGTATACCTGAAAGTGACGGGGAGAATGGAACCAAGTTGGAAAACACTCTGCAGGATATTATCCAGGAGAACTTCCCCAATCTAGCAAGGCAGACCAACGTTCAGATTCAGGAAATACAGAGAACGCCACGAAGATACTCCTCCAGAAGAGCAACTCCAAGACAAATAATTGTCAGATTCACCAAAGTTGAAATGAAGGAAAAAATGTTAAGGGCAGCCAGAGAGAAAGGTCGGGTTACCCTCAAAGGGAAGCCCATCAGACTAACAGCAGATCTCTCGGCAGAAACCCTACAAGCCAGAAGAGAGTGGGGGCCAATATTCAACATTCTTAAAGAAAAGAATTTTCAACCCAGAATTTCATATCCAGCCAAACTAAGCTTCATAAGTGAAGGAGAAATAAAATACTTTACAGACAAGCAAATGCTGACAGATTTTGTCACCACCAGGCCTTCCCTAAAAGAGCTTCTGAAGGAAGCGCTAAACATGGAAAGGAACAACCGGTACCAGCCGCTGCAAAATCATGCCAAACTGTAAAGACCATCAAGACTAGGAAGAAACTGCATCAACTAACGAGCAAAATCACCAGCTAACATCATAATGACAGGATCAAATTCACACACAACAATACTAATCTTAAATGTAAATGGGCTAAATGCTCCAATTAAAAGGCACAGACTGGCAAATTGGACAAAGAGTCAAGATCCATCAGTGTGCTGTATTCAGGAAACCCATCTCACGTGCAGAGACACACATAGGCTCAAAATAAAAGGATGGAGGAAGATCTACCAAGCAAATGGAAAACAAAAAAAGGCAGGGGTTGCAATCCTAGTCTCTGATAAAACAGACTTTAAACCAACAAAGATCCAAAGAGACAAAGAAGGCCATTACATAATGGTGAAGGGATCAATTCAACAAGAAGAGCTAACTATCCTAAATATATATGCACCCAATACAGGAGAACCCAGATTCATAAAGCAAGTCCTGAGTGACCTACAAAGAGACTTAGACTCCCACACATTAATAATGGGAGACTTTAACACCCCACTGTCAACATTAGACAGATCAACGAGACAGAAAGTCAACAAGGATACCCAGGAACTGAACTCAGCTCTGCACCAAGCAGACCTAATAGACATCTACAGAACTCTCCACCCCAAATCAACAGAATATACGTTTTTTTCAGCACCACACCACACCTATTCCAAAATTGACCACATACTTGGAAGTAAAGCTCTCCTCAGCAAATGTAGAAGAACAGAAATTATAACAAACTATCTCTCAGACCACAGTGCAATCAAACTAGAACTCAGGATTAAGAATCCCACTCAAAGCCACTCAACTACATGGAAACTGAACAACCTGCTCCTGAATGACTACTGGCTACATAACGAAATGAAGGCAGAAATAAAGACGTTCTTTGAAACCAACGAGAACAAAGACACAACATACCAGAATCTCTGGGACGCATTCAAAGCAGTGTGTAGAGGGAAATTTATAGCACTAAATGCCCACAAGAGAAAGCAGGAAAGATCCAAAATTGACACCCTAACATCACAATTAAAAGAACTAGAAAAGCAAGAGCAAACACTTTCAAAAGCTAGCAGAAGGCAAGAAATAACTAAGATCAGAGCAGAACTGAAGGAAATAGAGACACAAAAAAACCCTTCAAAAAATCAGTGAATCCAGGAGCTGGTTTTTTGAAAGGATCAACAAAATTGATAGACCGCTAGCAAGACTAATAAAGAAAAAAAGAGAGAACAACCAAATAGACACAATAAAAAATGATAAAGGGGATATCACCACCGATCCCACAGAAATACAAACTACCATCAGAGAATACTACAAACACCTCTACGCAAATAAACTAGAAAATCTAGAAGAAATGGATAAATTCCTCGACACATACACTCTCCCAAGACTAAACCAGGAAGAAGTTGAATCTCTGAATAGACCAATAACAGGAGCTGAAATTCTAGCAATAATCAATAGTTTACCAACCAAAAAGAGTCCAGGACCAGATGGATTCACAGCCGAATTCTACCAGAGGTACAAGGAGGAACTGGTACCATTCCTTCTGAAACTATTCCAATCAATAGAAAAAGAGGGAATCCTCCCTAACTCATTTTATGAGGCCAGCATCATTCTGATACCAAAGCCGGGCAGAGACACAACCAAAAAAGAGAATTTTAGACCAATATCCTTCATGAACATTGATGCAAAAATCCTCAATAAAATACTGGCAAAACGAATCCAGCAGCACATCAAAAAGCTTATCCACCATGATCAAGTGGGCTTCATCCCTGGGATGCAAGGCTGGTTCAATACACGCAAATCAATAAATGTAATCCAGCATATAAACAGAGCCAAAGACAAAAACCACATGATTATCTCAATAGATGCAGAAAAAGCCTTTGACAAAATTCAACAACCTTCATGCTAAAAACTCTCAATAAATTAGGTATTGATGGGATGTATTTCAAAATAATAAGAGCTATCTATGACAAACCCACAGCCAATATCATACTGAATGGGCAAAAACTGGAAGCATTCCCTTTGAAAACTGGCACAAGACAGGGATGCCCTCTCTCACCACTCCTATTCAACATAGTGTTGGAAGTTCTGGCCAGGGCAATTAGGCAGGAGAAGGAAATAAGGGGTATTCAATTAGGAAAGAGGAAGTCAAATTGTCCCTGTTTGCAGACGACATGATTGTATATCTAGAAAACCCCATTGTCTCAGCCCAAAATCTCCTTAAGCTGATAAGCAACTTCAGCAAAGCCTCAGGATACAAAATCAATGTACAAAAATCACAAGCATTCTTATACACCAACAACAGACAAACAGAGAGCCAAATCAAGAGCGAACTCCCATTCACAATTGCTTCAAAGAGAATAAAATACCTAGGAATCCAACTTACAAGGGATGTGAAGGACCTCTTCAAGGAGAACTACAAACCACTGCTCAAGGAAATAAAAGAGGATACAAACAAATGGGAGAACATTCCATGCTAATGGGTAGGAAGAATCAATATCGTGAAAATGGCCATACTGCCCAAGGTAATTTACAGATTCAATGCCATCCCCATCAAGCTACCAATGCCTTTCTTCACAGAATTGGAAAAAACTACTTTAAAGTTCATATGGAACCAAAAAAGAGCCCGCATTGCCAAGTCAATCCTAAGCCAAAAGAACAAAGCTGGAGGAATCACACTACCTGACTTCAAACTATACTACAGGGCTACAGTAACCAAAACAGCATGGTACTGGTACCAAAACAGAGATATAGATCAATGGAACAGAACAGAGCCCTCAGAAATAACGCCACGTACCTATAACTATCTGATCTTTGACAAACCTGACAAAAACAAGCAATGGGGAAAGGATTCCCTATTTAATAAATGGTGCTGGGAAAACTGGCTAGCCATATGTAGGAAGCTGAAACTGGATCCCTTCCTTACACCTTATACAAAAATCAATTCAAGATGGATTAAAGATTTAAACGTTAGACCTAAAATCATAAAAACCCTAGAAGAAAACCTAGGCATTACCATTCAGGACATAGGCATGGGCAAGGACTTCATGTCCAAAACACCAAAAGCAATGGCAACAAAAGCCAAAATTGACAAATGGGATCTAATTAAACTAAAGAGCTTCTGCACAGCAAAAGAAACTACCATCAGAGTGAACAGGCAACCTACAAAATGGGAGAAAATTTTCGCAACCTACTCATCTGATAAAGGACTAATATCCAGAATCTACAATGAACTCAAACAAATTTACAAGAAAAAAACAAACAACCCCATCAAGAAGTGGGCGAAGGACATGAACAGACACTTCTCAAAAGAAGACATTTATGCAGCCGAAAAACACATGAAAAAATGCTCATCATCACTGGCCATCAGAGAAATGCAAATCGAAATCACTATGAGATACCATCTCACACCAGTTAGAATGGTAATCATTAAAAAGTCAGGAAACAACAGGTGCTGGAGAGGATGTGGAGAAATAGGAACACTTTTACACTGTTGGTGGGACTGTAAACTGGTTCAACCATTGTGGAAGTCAGTGTGGCGATTCCTCAGGGATCTAGAACTAGAAATACCATTTGACCCAGCCATCCCATTACTGGGTATATACCCAAAGGACTATAAATCATGCTGCTATAAAGACACATGCACATGTATGTTTATTGCGGCATTATTCACAATAGCAAAGACTTGGAACCAACCCAAATGTCCAACAATGATAGACTGGATTAAGAAAATGTGGCACATATACACCATGGAATACTATGCAGCCATAAAAAAGGATGAGTTCATGTCCTTTGTAGGGACATGGATGAAATTGGAAATCATCATTCTCAGTAAACTATCGCAAGAACAAAAAACCAAACACCGCATATTCTCACTCATAGGTGGGAATTGAACAATGAGATCACATGGACACAGGAAGGGGAATATCACACTCTGGGGACTGTGGTGGGGTCGGGGGAGGGGGGAGGGATAGCATTGGGAGATATACCTAATGCTAGATGACGAGTTAGTGGGTGCTGGGCACCAGCACGGCACATGTATACATATGTAACTAACCTGCACAATGTGCACATGTACCCTAAAACTTAAAGTATAATAAAAAAAAAAGTAAAAAAAAAGAAAATAAAAATATATAAATAAATAAAATGAAAGTTTACTAGTTTGAAAAAAAAATAAAAAAAATAAAAAAATAAAAGATATAAGACAAAAACAAAACAAATGGCAAAATGGCAGAAGTACATCTTTATAGACTGGATAAAGAAAATGTGGTACAGATAGACCATGGAATATTATGCATCCATTAAAAAAGAAGAATATCATGTCCTTTGCAGGGACATGGATGGAGCTGGAGATCATTATCCTTAGCAAACCAACGCAGGAACAGTAAACCAAATACCACGTGTTCTCACTCACAGGTGAGAGCTAAATGATGGGAACACTGGACACATAGAGGGGAACAGCACACACTCTCAGAGGGTGGAGGGCGTTAGGAGGGAGAGGATCAGGAAAAGTAACTAAGTGGGTACTAGGCTTAATACCTGGTGACAAAATAATCTATTCAACAAATCTCCATGACACAAGTTCACCTATGTAACGAATCTGCTCATGTACCCCTTAAAATAAAAGTTAAAAAAAATTACATGTAAATGGATTAAGAGTTTCCATCAAAAAGCAAAGGTTGGAACAATTAATTTTTTAAAAAAACAAACATGAACCAAGTGTATGCTTTCTATGAGAGACTTAACAATAGATTCAAAGGCACAAATAGGCTTCAAGTGAAAAGATGGAAAAATATATTCTGTACAAACAATAACCAAAAGTGAGCTGGAGTGGCTATACTAACACCAGACAGAATAGACTTTAAGTAAAAAACTGTTACAAGAGACAAAGGACTTTATATAATGTTAAAGGGGTTAATATATAATATAACAATTGTAAACATACACACATCTAACAACAGAGCCTCAAAATACAAGGAGAAACACTAACAGAACTGAAAGGATAAAATTCAACAGTAATATGTGGGGACTGCAATATTCCACTTTCAATAATAGAAACGACGACTAGATAGAAGATCAATGATGCAATAGGAGACTTGCACAACACTATAAGCCAAGTAGACCTAACAGACAATTATAAAACACTTTATTCATCAACAGCAAATAAACATTCTTCTCAAGTGCACATGGAGCATTCTCAGGGTAGAATATATATTAAGCCACAAAATGTGTCAATACATTTAAAAAGATTAAAACAATAAAAATATGCCCTGGGCGCGGAGGCTCACGCCTGTAATCCCAGCATTTTGGGAGGCCGAGGTGGGTGGATCACAAGGTCAGAAGATCGAGGCCATCCTGGCTAACGCAGTGAAACGCTGTCTCTTCTAAAAATACAAAAAATTAGCCGGGCATGGTGGCGTGCACCTATAATCCCAGCTACTCAGGAGGCTGAGGCAGGAGAATCGCTTGAACCCGGGAGGCAGAGGTTGCAGTGAGCCGAGATCATGCCACTGCACTCCAGCCTGGGTGACAGAGTGAGACTCATCTCAAAAAAAAAAAAAAAAAAAGCTCTGTGACTACATGTAATTAAACCATAAAGCAGTAACAGAAAGCCATGTCAAAAATCCACGAATATGTTCAAATTAAACAATAATGAATAAAAAAATTACAAGAGCAAACAGAAAATACTTTGGAATGAGCAAAAACATACTAAAACTTAAGAGATGCAGTAAAATCAGTGCTCAGAGAGAAATTTATAGCTGTGAATACCTACATTAAAAAAGAAATGATACCAAATCAATAACCTAATTTCTCATCCTAAGAAACTAGAAGAGCAAACAAAACCCAAAACAAAAAAAAGAGAAAGGAAGAATAAAAATTTCAGCTGAGACAAACAAAAAGAGTACAAAAAAGAATACAGAGAATCAATGAAATCAATTCTAGTAATGTTACTAAGTATTTTCAAATTAAAGAATTCTTTAAAATCAGGAAGGAAATAATGTCAGATGCAGTAGAAATCGGCCAAGGTGTGAAAACAGAAATACAAATTGAACACTGTGGACAAAAATATAAAGTTATTTAATGTTGACTCCTTGATCTATATTGAAAGGGGTAAATATAAAGAACTAAGATAGGTTCCTTCTGGAAGGACAAGGATCAAAGGAAACAAATAGAGAAAGTTTTACGCCGTATGGCATCAAGCAGTGATAACTGAAAGGAAATTGCTGACTTTTAACATGGTTCTGATTTCAGGGGACATTGTATAGTCTAGGAGAATATCAACTAGAATCACACCACAACCGAAAGTTTCAAAGGTGCCAAAGGAAGCCCAGGTCATTAAACCACTCCCCACATTGCTATGATAGATATTGAACGGACCTACAGTGGAGGACTAATATAGTCCCACAATGTCAGATGTCTGGATGATTTAAGGAATGGGAACAAAATGAGTAGATTTTTGGTGTCCGTAGATAAGGGAATCCAAAAATCCTTGGTTCTTCACATTTGTTGCCTCTCTTACAGACACTGAGCAGTGAAAATAATCATTAAGCTGTGGCCACTTCTCTCTAATACCTCCTGTGAAAAATTGTGGACAGGGAGACCATAAAAGCAACCTCTCGCCATGTCCTGAGACTAAAGACCACATGGCTTGGACTTCTTTCTTGCCCATGTGTGCAAATAACTCTAGAGACAGGTGTATACTGAATGAGTTCTCTTGTTTTTAAAGCACCAGTAATTCTACTTTTACAATATTCCCCCATCCCTCGACTTCTCTAAGAATCACCAAAACAATAAATAAAACAATTATGTGCCACTTTCACTGATAAAACTGGCAGTATTTAAAAATATACACATATATTATACAGATTTGGTAATTGTGCCTAAAAGCAGCCACTCTCAGTATAATGCTAGTTCAAACAAATATTTATATAAGCTTTTCGTTGAATAAAATAAATTAAGAGTGGTGTAGCCTCAAAACTACAATACTTCCTGAAGTAGGAGATTATTCTAAGGAAATAGTAATGTCGTCAAAAAAAGTTTTGTGTTTCTAATAACAGCAAAAACTACCAAAAACATTAAAATCCAATGGGATATTCTTAAATATGCCCTACAGAAAAGGGAATACATGCTCACTATAAAATTCTTTGCATTTTTAGGTATATAAAATAGTTTAAATTTGAAATACTCTCAATTTTCTCTTTTTCCTTCTCTCCAGTGGCAATTAAGATCATAAATTCTGAGTTTTATAATGTAATACATATAATTTATAATAGTAACTCATACATAATATTTGTAATTTAAATTATTTTAACTAATTTCCATGTAATAAACTAACTTGTTTTGTTATATTCAAAATTATATTTTTGAGATCCAACTATTGACAAAGACTCTCTCCTATGACCAAAACTTTAGTTGGGCCCCTTTGAGTCATCTGCTGGGTTTCCCTCTCTGACCTTGCAGAATCCAGTTTGAGCAAGAATCCTGCCATGTCAGTTAGTGAAAACCCTCCAACCTTGGTATCTCGCCACCCTCATTATCTGATATCACCCTGGCTTGCTTTCAACAAGAATTTTGTTGAGTCTTTCTAGCAAAAGTTACCTTACCCCTGATGTTTTCCTTACTAATCTTTCATCCACTGATGCCCACCCTGTTCCTTGGCTATAAATCCCTACCTGTCCTTGTTGGACCTGAAACTGACTTCAGTCTCTCTCCCTAATGGCAGGACTCCATTGCAGTGGCCCCTGTGTCTATCACCTTGGCCCCCACTAAGCTTACCATCTTTAACAAATGCCAAGAATTATTTTTTCTTTAACATTATATTAACATATATAAATCTAATTTATTTATTTTTAACTGTAGTATTCCACTGTATCATTGTATAATGCACAATTTATTTACTCACTCTCTTACTGTGGACCATTTAAATTGTTTCCAAATTTTCAATATAACAGCATCATAATAAACATCTGCATATAGCTTCACAATTTATGTGTCAGTATTTCTCTAAGGCGGCAACACAAACTTTTTGGCCTAGGACTTTTTGCACTCTTAAAAATTATTGAGAATGCCAAAGAGTGTTGTCTATGTGGATTATATTTATCAATATTTAAAGTATTAGAAGTTAAAATAGAAATTTAAAAAATATTTATTAGTCTGTTTTAAAAATAACAAGCCCATTATAGCTGAACACAGGTAGCATATTCTATTAAAATAACTATATTTTACAAAAAAAGAAAAATACAATTTTTTACATTTTTTCAAATCTCTCTCACTAAAGCCTCATTTAATAGAACAAAATTGGATCATAATATTTGCTTCTGCATTCACCCTGTAGTGATATGCATCTTTGGTTGAAAGAAATCCTGATTCACACAGATGTCTTGTTGGAAAAGAGAAATAGATTTCAATAGCCTTTTTTGATTATTTTAGGTATTCTTCTTTGATACTATACAAAGTGGTATTTCTAAAAGATTCATTACAATATAAATCTGAAATCATAACAATATACTTCTCATACAGTTTTGTTAAAATCTATTGGTCTATCTTGTATGTTGAATTGATCTGTGCCATGATTTTCTAACATCATACATTGATCATTTGGAAAATACTGCTTCACTGAGTTTGCAGATCTTCTAAATGAGGACACATTTCATTTATACAATATTTAAAAATCGTATTTGTTAATATCACACAAGTTTCATCAGGTAAAGTTTACACTAACAGCTGTTAATCTCACAGTAGCTAATACAACCTTACCAAAATTCTAATTTTTGGCCCGGGGATGGTGGCTCACTCCTGTAATCCCAGAACTTTGGGAGACTGAGGCACAAGGATCAGTTGAGGTCAGGAGCTTGAGACTAGCCTGGCCAACATGGCGAAACCCTGTCTCTACTAAAAATACAAAAATTAGCCAGGTGTGGTGGCACACGCCTGTAATTCTAGGTACTTGGGAGGCTGAAACAGTAGAATCGCTTGAACCCAGGAGGCAGAGGTTGCAGTGAGCCAAGATCTTCCCACTGCAATGCAGCCTGGGCAACAGAGTGAGACTCCGCCTCAAAAAAAAAAAATCTAATTTTTGCCTAGAAGCTTAGATTTTTATTGTATCATTGGTACAAACATAATCCATGTTTGTCTTGAAATGACAAATTCACTTTGTTCATTTTAATGTCTGCTATGTATCTTCCTGAATAAGTGTAACTTGTCAGTCATTCTTTCAAGTAAAAATGGTGTCCCATAAATAAAAGCAGCTAATTCAGCTCATAACTTAATCACACAAGTGTTCTATACTCTTTAGTATACAACAGAAATATTTCATGCTTAATTGCAATTTTTTCACATAGAATATTAAAAGGATGTGCATTCAAGATGCAAAATGTTAGAAATTTAATAATTTTTACTGATTTATGAAGGATATTTGTAAGTAAACCTATTTTTGAACTGCAAGTGCACAGTGGTGAAGAACTTGAACTGTAGTACACTTTTGTGCTTCTGCCTTGATTTGTGCTAACCGTTTTTTGTTTTTGTTTTTTTGTTTGTTTATCTTCCATTGCTTTAAACCATCAGTGCAAATGTCAACACAGAGAAAAAGACAAACATGGCCTTCATATTATAATAAAACTAATTTTGACTTTCAGACAGTCTGAAAAGATCTCAGCATCCCCCAGGGGTCTGTGAACCACACTTAGAAAACTACTGCTCTAAGATATATAGTTAGAAAAGGAATCATTGGGATGAAGAATGAGAGCTTGGTCAGCTTTCTGAGATTACTAAACTGATGTCTATGTTTCCAGCAGCCATGCTTGAATATTCACTTTTTCTGTCCATCCTTTGCAACCACTGGTTTTTATCACATTTAAGAACTTTGGCCACGCTCTTGGGGCTACACAAATGACTGTGTTGTTTAATTTCATTTTTTGAGACAGAGTTTCGCTCTTGTTGCCCAGGCTGGAGTGCAATGGCGGGATCTCAGCTCACTGCAACCTCTGCCTCCCGGATTCAAGTGATTTCCCTGTCTCAGCCTCCTGAGTAGCTGGGATTACAGGTACCCGCCACCACATCCAGCTAATTTTTGTATTTTTAGTAGAGACAGGGTTTCGCCATGTTGGTCAGGCTGGTCTGGAACTCCTGGCCTCAGGTTATCCGCCTGCCTCGGCCACCTAAAGTACTGGATTACAGGCGTGAGCCACCGCGCCTGGCAGACTCTGTTGTTTTAGTTTTACTTCTGTAGTTGTCAGCTTTTGATTTTGTGCCAATATATATAAAAGTTGCCATATATGAAATTATATATGTAATTTTTATATAAAATTTATATAATATATACTGTATTTCATATATAGAGAGAGAGAGAAAGAAAGGAAAGAGAGAGAGAGAGTCCCTTTGGGTATCTTTGGTTAATTTTGTACTTATAAACCCTTTACTCATTTTCCTTTCTTGTCTTTTTTTAATTTATCTTTAGTGCTTAGTATATGCTTTTGTTACCTCTGATCCTTCATATGTTGTGTATTTTGCAAATATATTCTCCCAGTATTCTTTATCCTTTATATTTTGATTATATAGGCTTTTCTTTGTTTTATAGAAGTTTTAATCTCTAATTTGATTAAATTTATTAGTCTTTCACATGCAATTTTTGTTTTTTGAAACTCATTTTCAAAATTCTTCATGAACCCAAGTTCATAAACATAATTCTCTTACATTTCCTTCTAATAATTTTAAGTTTTGTTTTACATATTTAGTTCTTTAAATCACCTAAATATAGATAGTAAATCAGCCCTCTAATTATATCATCTAAACTGTCTACATAGTATTTTTTTTTTGTCTGCTCACTCTATTGGTTTCTGTTGAGAGAAATGTTAAAATCTTCTACTAGTATTGGGAATTTCTTTCTCTAATTCAGTCAGCTATTTATATAGTTCAAGTCTTTCTGTTAGGTGCATATAAGTTAATGATTCTTACATCTTCTTGTAGAAACGCTTCTTTCTAACATTATGTGGTGTTCCTTTTCATTCTTGATAAAACTTTCCAAAATTATTATTCCTCCACCCATTAATTTTAGTTAATATTTCCCTGATATATTTTTCTTTTGCTTTGCTTTCAATCTAATTATTTGTTTGTTTGTTCATTTATGTATGTGTGTATGTTTTCATGAAATTTTTATTTACTATGAATCAAGAACTGTCCTAAGTGCTTTACAAGTATCTCCTCAATCTTTCATCATTGTTCAGAAGTATTTTTTGTAAATGGCATATAGGTGAATTATATTTAATTCAATCTGATACTTTGCTTTATAATAGATAATTGTAATTTCTTTATAGATATTGTGATATTGACAATAGGTGACTCATTTATACCATTGCATTCTAGGGTTTTGATGCTATTTCTTTGAATTTTTTTTTATTGCTCTCTACTAGAATAATAATTTTGTCTTTATTCTCTTCTATCCCAGCTAATTCAAAATACATAGAAGGTAGTTCCATTTCTTAATTTAACACTTCAACGTATATATAAATCTTTGAAAACATTCCCTATATTGGGAGGATTGAGTGTATTATGAGTCCCTTCTCTTTCAAGTTGATGTGTGAAGCTTCCACTCCAAGCCTCCCATGCTCTTCTGGTGCCAGTATATTACTTAGGCTTCACTAATCAGATCTTCTGTTGCAAGTCTTCAATTCAGAAGAAACCAGAGGGACAGTGATATTGTTTGGCCGTGTGCCCACCCAAATCTCATCTTGAATGTTAGCTCCCATAATTCCCATGTGTTGTGGGAGGGACCCCGTGGGGGTTAACTGAATGAATCATGGGGATGGTTTTCCCCATACTGTTCTCATGGTAGTGAATAAGTCTCACAAGAGCTGATGGTTTTGTAAGGGGAAACCCCTTTCACTTGGTTCTCATTTTCTGTCTTGCCACCACCATGTAAGATGTGCCTTTCACCTTCTGCCATGATTGGGAGGCCTCCCCAGCCACATGGAACTGTGAGTCCGTTAAACCTCTTTTCTTTATAAATTACTCAGTCTCAGGTATGTTTTTATCAGCAGTGTGAAAACAGTGTGACTAATACAGTAAATTGGTATCAGTAGAGAAGAGTGCTGCTGTAAAGATTTTTAAAAACGTGGAAGTAACTTTGAAACTGGGTAACAGTCAGAGGTTGGAACAGTTTGGAGGGCTCAGAAGAAGACAGGAAAATATGGGACAGTTTGAAACTTCGTAGAGACTTGTTGAATGGCTTTGACCAAAATGCTGATAATGATATGAACAATGAAATCCAGGCTGAGGTGATCTCAGATGGAGATGAGGAACTTGTTGGGAACTGAAGCAAAGGTGACTCTTGTTATGTTTTAGCAAAGAGACTGGCAGCATTTTGCCTCTATCTGAGAGATCTGTGGAACTTTGAACTTGAGAGAGATGATTTAGGGTATCTGGTGGAGGAAATTTCTAAGCAGCAAAGCATCCAAAAGGTGACTTGGGTGCTGTTAAAAGCAGTTTTAAAAGAGAAACAGAGCATAAATGTTTGGAAAATTTCCAGCCTGATGATGTGAGAGAAAACAAAAAACCATTTTCTGAGGAGAAATTCAAGCCAGATGCAGAAATTTCCATAAGGAATAGGAGCCAAATGTGATTCACCAAGAAAATAAGGAAAATGTCTCCAGGGTATGTCAGGGACCTTTGCAGCAGCACCTCTTATCACAGACCCAGAGGCTTAGGAGGAAAAAATGGTTTCCTGGGCAGGATGTGGGGCCCCACTGCTCTATGCAGCCTAGGGACTTTGTGCCCTGCATCCTACCCCCTCCATCCATTGCTAAAAAAGGCCAAAGTACAGCTTGGGCCATGGCTTCAGAGGGTGCAAGCCCCAAGCCTTGGCAGCTTCCACATGGTGTTGAGCCTGTGGGTGCACAGAAGTCAAGAATTGAGGTTTGGGAATCTCTGCCTAGATTTCAGAGGATGTATAGAAATGCCTGGATGTCCACGCAGAAGTTTGCTGCAGGAGTGGGGTGCTCATGGGGAACCTCTGCTACGGTAGTGCAGAAGGAAAACATGGGGTATAAGCCCCCCTCACAGAGTCCCTACTGGGATACCACCTAGTGCAGCTGTGAGAAGAGGGCTACCATCCTCCAGACCAAGAATGATAGATCCACCAACACCTTGCACTGTGAACCTGGAAAAGCCACAGACACTCAACATCAGACTGTGAAAGCAGCCAGGAGGGGGCCTATACCCTGCAAAGCCATAGAGGCGGAGCTGCCCAAGGCTGTGGGAACCTACCTCTTGCATCAGCAGGACCTGGATGCGAGACATGGAGTCAAAGGAGATCATTTTGGAGCTTTAAGATTTGACTGCCCTAGTGGATTTCAGACTTGCATGGGGCCTGTAGCCCCTTTGTTTTGGCCAATTTCTCCCATTTGGAATGGCTGTATTTACCTAATGCCTGTACCCTGGTTGAATCTAGGAAGTAACTAACTTGCTTTTGATTTTACAGGCTCATAGGTGGAAGGGTCTTGCCTTGTCTCAGATGAGATTTTGGACTGTGGACTTTTGAGTTAATGCTGAAATGATTGAAGACTTTGGGGTACTGTTGGGAAGGCACGATTGGTTTTGAAACGTGAAGACATGAGATTTGGGAGGGTCCACGGGAGAATGATATGGTTTGGCTGTGTCCCCACCCAAATCTCATCTCGAATTGTAGCTCCCATAATTCTCACATGTTGTGGGAGGGACCCACTGGGAGTTAATGGAATCATGGGGGGCAGTTTCCCCATACTGCTCTCGTGGTAGTGAATAAGTCTCATGAGATCTGATGGTTTTCTAAGGGGAAACTCCTTTTACTTGGTTCTCATTTTCTCACTTGCCACTGCCAGTAAGTGGCCACCACCGCTTTCTGCCATGATTGTGAGGCCTCCCCAGCCACATGGAACTGTGAATCCATTAAACCTCTTTTTCTTTATAAATTACCCAGTCTCGGGTATGTCTTTATCAGCAGTGTGAAAACAGACTAATACAGAGAGAATGGTCTCTTAAGGTATCTATCTTTTGTTAAAGCATGCTGCAAAGTTAACTGGCAAAAACTTCTGAAAGACTACTTTTAGGATAATTAGCTGGAACTGTGGCGGCAAGTGGCAGGAGCTGTGATGGCTTAGGAGGAGCAGCCTGGTGATGGCATTTGGCCCTCTGTTCATAATTGCAAAGCTTCAAAACTGGATTTCTTTGCTCTTGCAGAGTCTATAAGTGATTTGGTATTCTTCAATAAATTCATTCTCTAATCAGACTATCTGGGGTAAGTTTTTCTTTACAACTACAAACCTTATATATATATATATTATATATAAATATATAATTATTAACTTGTATAGTTGTCTATATATTATATAATTATTAAGCTGTGTAATTATATCATAATTATATAATTTTTCTAGTGAAATCTGAAGTAATTTGGTATATCTGTTGTTTATTGAATCAGCTTTCCTCTACCAGTGAATATTTTACAGTATCCATATACACGAAGTAGCAGTGAACTTCCTTGAACACTTCTCCTTTAACACATATGCATGAGATTTTATTTTTAATTTCTTTAAGGTTATACACCTAGGAGAGGAAGTCTGTGTGAAAGCTTATGCACATATTCAGATTTACTGAAGAATGCCAAACAGTTCTCCAATGTTCATTCACACCAGCAGTGACACACCAGCAGAACAGAGTTCCTGTTTCTCTACACCCTTGCCAATATGGGATCCAATTTTCCGATAGGATACCTGTAACACAGTAGCTTATGGTAGTCCTAGATTACATTTTCCTGATGACTAATGAGATTTAACATCTTTTTATACATTTAATTGCCATTTGGTTTTCTACTTAAGTATATTTCCTGTTCACATTATGTTCTATTTGGTGGTATGTTGACTTGTAGAAACCCTTTATGTAGTAAAGAAACAAATCTTTTGTTGGTTATCTAGATTACCATGTCCTTCCTTCCTCTCTCTCTTTTTCTGTCTCTCTCTCTCTCTTTCTCCTTCCTTCCCTCCTACCTTCCTTCTTTCCTCCCTCCCTCCTTCTCTCCCTCCCTCCCTTCCTTCCTTCTCTTTCTTCTCTCTTTTTCTTTCGCTTCCCAACAATTCATCTTTTGTTTTGTTTAGATATCTTTTTTTTTTTTTTTTTTTTTTTTGAGACGGAGTTTCACTCTTCTCGCCCAGGCTGGAGTGCAGTGGTGTGATCTCGGCTCACCACAACCTCTGCCTCCTGGGTTCAACCGATTTTCCCGCCTCAGCCTCCCGAATAGCTGGGATTACAGGTGCCTGCACCGCGCCCGGCTAATTTTTGTAGTTTTTAGTAGAGACGGGGTTTCGCCATCTTGGCTAGGCTGGTGTCAAACTCCTGACCTCGTGATCTGCCCGTCTCGGCCTCCCAAAGTGCTGGGATTACAGGCATGAGCCACCGCGCCTGGCCTGTTTAGGTTTCTTTTGTAGAGAATTTCCCAGCTTTGATGTAAGTAAATATGAGTTATTTTCCTTCTAGGTATTAGTGTCTTATTAAAAAATTCTCCCTACTGCAATGTCATAAATATATTCTTTTTTCCTTAAAATTGCCTTTTTTTTTTTTTCCACAAACAGGTCATTGATCCGCATGAAATCATTTTTTTATGTGGTGAAACAAGGTTAATTTTAGTTTTTGTTTCCATTTTTATAACCAATTTTATCAGTACCAGTTATGGAATAGTACATCTTCATTCTTAATTATTTTAAATATACCAGTTTTTATCATACATCAAGAACCTCTCTTCAGTTCTAATTCATTAGAGTATTTATCAGTCCTAAACCAATACCACATTATCTTAATCAAAAAGCTTTCTAATAATCCTTAGAGTTGAACAATTCTATTCATCATATTGTTCTTTGTTTGTTTGTTTACCTTAGGCCCTTTGCACTAGCATTTAAATTTTGGAATCAATTTGGCAAGCGAATAGGATTAAGGCCCTCTGCATTAAAAATGGCTTCATGCAGAGTTCAGCTTTCCTGCCCTTCCAGCCCCAACAAGATGCCATCTTGAAAGCAGGGAGCAGCGCTTACCAGACACCGAACCTGCTGTCCCTTGATCTTGGACTCCCAGCCTCCAAAACTGTAAAACATACATTTTTGTTCTTTATAAATTTCTCAGTCTCAGGTATTTTGTTGTAACGGCACAAATGGGCTACAAGCTTTATTTCTAGTTTCCTTAGAGTTCTATTTAAAACACAGTGAATAAATAATGTTAATTTTTATCAACTGCTTTTTCTGAATTTATTAACATGATCAGAGAGTTTGCGTTATTCTGCTAATGTATGCATTATAGTAATATTTCTACTGTTAAGGCAATTTGGCAATGATGTATTTTAAAATACATCGTCTATTTAGTTTTCTAGTACATTATAGTATTGTTTTCATCTACCTTCATAGGTAAGACGGCCTTATAATTTCCCTTTTTTATATATTATTCTCTGCTATCCAGGTTTCAGTATCCCCATAAACTGAACTGAGAAATATTTCCTCTTTTTCTATTTGTTCATTTGTAACCATTTGTATCATATTGGAATTATCACTTTTTGAAACGTTTGGTAGAATATCTGAGGCCAATTTTTGTTTGTTTGGTGGCAGGGCGCATACTTTAAAATACTGATTTGATTGGTTTAATCGTTGTAAGCCTAATCATGTTTTCTGCTTGCTCTGAGCCAGTTATGGCAAATCATGCTGATGTTAGATAATTGTGCACGTTTCTATTTTATATATTTATTAGTACAAAGTTATTTATAACATTCCTTTATGATTTTCTTGTTCTCTGCATTATTTAGACTTACACCCAATTTTTATCCTTAATATCACTTCTTCACATTCTGTTTTCTTATACTCTGTGCTAATTCTTTTCTCTAACTTTTTGAGTGGTAGGATGATCTCATAAATTTTTAGTTTTTCTTCTTTTCGAATAAAATCCTTTATGGCTATGACCTTATCTCTAAGTTCCATTTAGTTGAATCCCTCAAGCTTTGATATGTAATTGTTAACTGGTTAACACTGTTAAATATTATATATTTTATATTAAATTAAATATTGTGTTAAATATTTATAACTTAAATATTTAAATATTTTATAGTTTCTATTATAATGCATTTTTCACTAATCATTATTTCCAATATAATTTTAAGTTTCCAAGTGTCACCTTTTCTCTTCATCTGCTGTAGACAATATTTAAGTGTTACTTAGCATCCCTCTTATTCTAATAACATTTTGTGCCTTTCCCTTTATTTTGTTTGATATTAATTTAACTCTACCAGGCTTTGTATTTTGTGAATTGTTTGCTTGGCATGTATTCTTTGCCCTTTAACCTGACACTTTCTGTGTTCTTATCCTTTCTGTGTGTCTCCTATGAACTGCATTTAGCAAAATTTTCATGTATGTGTATATAGTTATCCGCTTCAAAATATCTGCATTTTAACGGCTGAATTAAAAGACATTGATAAACTGATATTGTTAGATTCATTTCTATCATTTTTACTTAGTGTTTTCCTATGCACCATGTATTTCCTATGCTTTTCCTCATTTATAACCTGCCTTTTAGTAATTTTTTAAATTTCCTGTACTTTTTTGTTTTTTCATCTAATGTCAGCTATAGTTTAGAAATTATACTAAATATATAATATATACTATATATTATATAATTATATATAATATAGATTAACTATATACATATAAACATTTTTCTATATAAATATATATTTTAATACAAATTTTATATTAAATATAAATATATAAATATATATTAAATCATGTATGCTTAATTAACATACACTGAAATTAGTCAATATACTTAATGCCGGGTGAGATGTCAGAGCCCCAGCATTGGAAAGTGGTCGACTTCCAGGTTGTTAAGAAGGATTTACCAACGGCATTATAGGTTTGAAAAAGGAAAGTTTTATTAGAAAGAAAGAATCCTGCCTAAGAGTGCAGCAGGGTGCCTTAGCAATAGGACTGAGTGCACCGCACCAAGGTGCATTTTTCATAGGGGTATTTATGGATCTTATGTGGGAGCTTAAGGGTAATTTAGATGATATTAGCCACGTAGATCATGATAAGATTACATTTGTAGACATTTTGGTGCCTTAATGTCAGCAAGGATTGCATGATAAGTTTTGATATGCATGATGCATTCCAGAGATTCATAGAAATTCTAGTTACTTCTAAGTTCTTGAGAAAGAAACCTGGAACCAGATGCGTACTTTAGATAATAGGGAAGTCTAATTACTTCTGAATTCCTCAGATAAAGAGTTTTGTCTCTGGATGGCCTGCTTGTTGGTCATCAGGTGATCTTTGCTGTCCTCACTTAAATTCTAAACAATATAAGAATCTAAAGATTTTATCTTCATCTACTCTGATCATAAATAATTTGTTTGATATTTCAGTTCTATCTTAATAACCTTCAAGTTAGTCAATATTATTACTTTATATAGTTAAAGTTTATTAGACTTCACAGTTTCTTAAAAACTTCAAACTATACTACAAGGCTACAGTAACCAAAACAGCATGGTACTGGTACCAAAACAGAGATATAGATCAATGGAACAGAACAGAGCCCTCAGAAATAACGCTGCATATCTACAACTATCTGATCTTTGACAAACCTGACAAAAACAAGCAATGGGGAAAGGATTAGCTATTTAATAAATGGTGCTGGGAAAACTGGCTAGCCATATGTAGAAAGCTGAAACTGGATCCCTTCCTTACACCTTATACAAAAATCAATTCAAGATGGATTAAAGACTTACATGTTAGACCTAAAACCATAAAAACCCTAGAAGAAAACCTAGGCATTACCATTCAGGACATAGGCATGGGCAAGGACTTCATGTCTAAAACACCAAAAGCAATGGCAACAAAAGACAAAATTGACAAATGGGATCTAATTAAACTAAAGAGCTTCTGCACAGCAAAAGAAACTACCATCAGAGTGAACAGGCAACCTACAAAATGGGAGAAAATTTTCCCAACCTACTCATCTGACGAAGGGCTAATATCCAGAATCTACAATGAACTGAAACAAATTTACAAGAAAAAAACAAACAACCCCATCAAAAAGTGGGCGAAGGACATAAACAGACACTTCTCAAAAGAAGACATTTATGCAGCCAAAAAACACATGAAAAAATGCTCATCATCACTGGCCATCAGAGAAATGCAAATCAAAACCACAATGAGATACCATCTCACACCAGTTAGAATGGCAATCATTAAAAAGTCAGGAAACAACAGGTGCTGGAGAGGATGTGGAGAAATAGGAACACTTTTACACTGTTGGTGGGACTGTAAACTAGTTCAACCATTGTGGAAGTCGGTGTGGCGATTCCTCAGGGATCTAGAACTGGAAATACCATTTGACCCAGCCATCCCGTTACTGGGTATATACCCAAAGGACTATAAATCATGCTGCTGTAAAGACACATGCACACGTATGTTTATGCGGCATTATTCACAATAGCAAAGACGTGGAACCAACCCAAATGTCCAACAATGATAGACTGGATTAAGAAAATGTGGCACATATACACCATGGAATACTATGCAGCCATAAAAAATGATGAGTTCATGTCCTTTGTAGGGACATGGATGAAATTGGAAATCATCATTCTCACCAAACTATCGCAAGAACAAAAAACCAAACACCGCATATTCTCACTCATAGGTGGGAATTGAACAATGAGATCACATGGACACAGGAAGGGGAATATCACACTCTGGGGACTGTTGTGGGGTGGGGGGAGGGGAGGGGGGAGATATACCTAATGCTAGATGACGAGTTAGTGGGTGCAGCGCACCAGCATGGCACATGTATACATAGGTAACTAACCTGCACAATGTGCACATGTACCCTAAAACTTAAAGTATAATAAAAAAAAAAACTAATTCTTCTTTGTGGGTCACTTTCTTCCTGAAATATATATTTTAGGTAATTTTTTAAGTCTACTGTTGATTTCTCCCAGTGTATGATTGTCTGAAAATTATTTCATTTGGCCCTGTTTTTTCCTGAAAATTTAGCTGGATATAGAATTTGGATTATAAACCATTTCCCTATAGATCTTTTGGTATAATTACAATATCCTCTTGCTAGTTTCATGAAGTTTAGATGCCTGTTTTTTGGCTAACTGTTGCTCTTTGAGAAAAATCTTTCTTTGGTATTACCTTTAAGATTTTCTCGCAGTCTATGTTACAATGAGATTGAGCCTAGCGGCACATTCACTTTTATTCCACTCAGGACTAACCGTGCTGTTTAAATATGCCTATTCATGCTTTTTTCTTCAATCTTGGAAAATAATTGTATTACTATTCCCCCTTCTCTCTGTTTCATCTGCTAAGAAATTTCATTAACATGTATTGGACTTTCTCTATGTTTCCTTCTTATATGTTAATCTCCCTTTTATTTGTTTATTTTTCATCTTGTTTCTTCTCTGGGCTCTGCCTTCTGAATAATTTCCTAAGCACTGTGCACCTGTTCACAAATTCTTTGTTCAGTTGTGCTTAAACTGCTGTTTAAACTATTCATTGAGATTTTATTCCATAAACTATGTTTTCCCACTTCTGAAAATAGTTTGTGCATTGTCCATGGAGTCATATGTCTTTCTGTGTTTTTATCCACTTTCATAACTTTCATCTTTTTACATACATTTACTTCATAGTCTTTATTATGTGACATTTAATGGGTTTAATTGTGCTATTTACTCTGATTACTTTCTTTTGTTTAAAGTGAATTTAAAAAGACATTTTATGATATAGATAGCTCATCTTTAGCAGGGTTATACCAGGTAAGATCTTATTAAGCATGTTAGGGTATAGCTATCCAGAGCACTTCTAGATTTAATTGTTACAGATGGTCCAAGGGTATTATAAGCCTGAGACAGTTTAGGTGGGTTAATTTCTCTTAGATTGTAGATTCCACATTAAGACTTTTTATTAGGCCCCTGGTTATGAAATCCTACGGGAGACTTCCCTCTTACCTCTCCCCAAGTAGAACCCTAGCATGACAGACAAACTTCCTCAATGCCTTTCTGAGACAACAATGGGTGGTCTTAAAGCTCTTCTTTTCTACCAAGGGTACATGCATTCAAAGACCTCAGCTCTGTTTTCCATTTAAAGTCTCCATCTTTTCTGATCCAGTCCTCATGTCCTGTCTCCTTGTAGCACATTAATCTTCAGAAACCACGTCCTGCTTCTCTGGATTGCTTCTAAAACACTGTGCTTATCCTCTGACTCAGTTCAATTTCTTTTGTTTTTGGCCTCTGGAGATAATCCTACTTACGAGTTTAAAAAAAAGTTTGCTGTGTTTATCTGAAATACATTGTTGTTTTATTATTGTGTTTTTAAAATATTTATCTAGCATTAACTCTTAAATACATGAAATTATTGTTATTTTTAGGCAACAATTAATTAGATTTATAAACATTTTCCAAATGTCCATGCTTATCATTGTTTTAAAATCCCATTTCTTCCCTATTCTTTTTTGCAAAGTATATTCATTATTTTAAAATCTTATAGTTTGTAGGAAATCTATTCTTTTAGGTATGCAAAACAAGTAGTCATTTTTTTGCCTTTACTCTTGAATGACAATTTAACTGCATATTTAATTCTAATTCGACAGTTTATTTTTCCTCAATACTTTGAAGATATTCCTTCATTGTTTTCTGGCATCCATTATTGCTAATAAAAATCTTTGGCATGTAATTGTTTTTCTACTATATAAATTTGCAAGAGAAATCAAGATATAAGGCTGCATTCATAGTGTAATTCCAAGTTTCAAAAACATATGTATAAGAATTATTCACTATCTAATTCTTAAATTTCAATAGTGAGAGTTCGGAGAGTAAGGAATAACCATTATGTGAATTCATTTGTGCCCAAGTTTCAGTTGTAAGTATTGGATATTTATGTCATTTTCTGGAAGCCAATTTAACAATATGTCAAAGGCCTTCAAGAAGCTTAACCCAATAATTTCACTTTTTAAGAGATACAGAGAGACCTTTATTTATAAAATTGTTCATTGCTAGATTTTATGTCAAAAAATGGAAATAATGTAAAAGTACAAAATATTTTAATAGAATATTATGAAGTCATTAAAATTATACTCTTGAAGAATTATTAATTATATGTAAAGTCACACATTGCACTGTTTTTTAAATTAAAAGTATCGAACAACATATTATGATTACATAGTGTTAAGGAATAAGCATACATATATTTCTATACATATATCTCTGTGATTTGTTAAGAGTACTTTTTTCTGAATGCTGGGATTGTGTATAACATTTAGTTTCTTTATATTTTTTAAACAATTTTCTAAGTTCCAAGTTCTATATAGTAAAAAAGTAACGTTTCTATAATTTAAAACAAAATAAGAAGTTACTAAAATGCATGCACATCATAACCCTTGTTACTAGGTAACTTAGAATACGACATTGTTGATCACATCATTGAAGTATGGCAATGGGAATGCGGTCTGTCTATAATTTTTTTTTCTCACACCCAAATGAATGCAGGCTAGCCTCGCGCCTTGATGGTTTTTCTACCAATGCTAGAAGTACGTGGCTCATTAAGTGCTCCCTTTACACATATAGGGTCCTGAATCACTGTGTCACTCTTACTTGTTCCAGGCTTCCTTGTTTCCTTGTTAGATCTGTTCTTCACTCTCCCAGTTACATAACTGGTATGTTACCATCTTCTTTTAAGTAGACAGTAGACCCTATTTTCTCTGCCCTGGTCACATTCCTCTCCTTCTTGGCTAAGACTGCCCATGTCTAGGTGGCCGGTATTTACATTGCTGGTTCTTCTGCTCCACAGATTACCTAAGGAAATCCCCCTCCTGGCTAACCAGTCTCTATATGTCATCCTTGTCACTTTCCATTTCCCATTTGTATTCCTTCTCTCCCATATCCTTGTCTTTTCAGCTGCTACTGTTATAGAATGGTATACTATGCATAAAACCAAGTTATCAACCATTTTTTAATTAAATGTTTTATCAATTAAACTAAAGAAAAAATACTTCATGCTTCTATATTTAAAAAATAATAACATCTTAAATTTTGAAAGAAATTTATCTTCAGTGAAATATATAAATGGGTGAAAGATTTCATTTCTGTTAACATTATAAAACTTCCCATTTCTCTTTTTGCCAAGGTGAACTGATGTAATCCAGGATTTTGTTCTTTTCAAGAGAAGATAAGCAACTTCATAAGAAACCTTAAGGGAGAGAGAGAGAGAGAGGAAAAAAAAAAAACTTCTTGTATAACAAGTACAGCTTAGGTAACTGGTATTTTTACATGAGGATTTTTGGCTCAATAGAAGGAAGAGGATTTTACAGCCCCAAATAGCAATCAGAAATCCTCAGACTGATGGAGGCACATTTGAATATTAGGGATTCTGAATGATTTCTTTTAAAACTAGGCAAAATTGAATTTTGATATCTCTTTTTTAAAATTAATCTGTCCTGAGAGAATATCAAACAATTGTACCCCAACTATATAAAACTCTTAGCGTTCTATGTCTCCTGTTCAAAAACTGCATATTATTTTGATATTAATGATAAGATTTGAGATGTAAAACTTAAATTCATGTTTTGGGCTTGGAATTTCAAGGTGCTTCTTTAGAAGGGAATTTTAATACTAATCCTGGCTTCTTCATAGTGTCACTGTGAGGGGAAAAAATCAGATAAAGTGTATAAAAGTGCATTGTAAGCTTTCAAGCAGTCTCTGGATCCATGATTAATATCCAGATAGGACATCCTTTCTTATGAAATTTTCTGTAACAAAAAATACCCCCTACATGTTCAACCACATCTTGGCCAATAACGTTTTCAAGCACCTGGCTCAAATATTCAATCATCGATTGTTTTACTAGAAATATTTTCTTATCTTTCATGGGTCAAGCAGGTTCGCCTTTAGGTGTCACTTTTCTGCTTCCCAAGTAGTAAAAGAACTGGTAATAGCAATGTCCAGGGCACCAGTATCACCTTATAATTTGCCTAATGATGATATTCATAATTTTGAAAATAACAGTTGATCTTTGAGTGTGCTACTTGTGCTTCAGGCACTGTGCTAACAGTTTTAGAGGCATTATTTTATTTAATTCTCAAAAACAAACTATAAGATTGATATAATTCCCACTTTTACTGAGATGATACTAAAATTCAGGGAAGTTCATTCATTCATTTAATCAATTTGTATTGAGTGCCAAATATGTACCAGCTTCTGAGCTAGATAGGGAAGAAAGAGCAGTAATGAAGATGAAAACAGGTCCTTGAACCCATGGGATTTATATTACAGTTGAAAGAAAGAAAACAGAAAAATGTGTACCACATAGAAAGTAATTAGTATTCTGCTGAGCATTGAAACTGAGTGGCTACTTTAGAAAGAGGTTAAAGAAGAACTTCCTGAGAGTGTCCTGAAAATAGAGCCTGAGTGACAGGAAGGGGCCAGGCATGTGAAGAAGTCAGCAGGAAGAACACTGGGCTGAGGGGACAGTACACAGGAAGGTCCCGAGATGGGAATAAGGGCCATGATGATGGGGTGATGAGAATCCTGGATTCTCATGATGTGGATGGAACTGGATATGTTTTGGAGTTAGAAATGATAGCTTTTCTGTTGGACTGGACTGGAGGTAGGGCAAGGGAATTAGATGAATCAAGGGTATTTTGTTTGTTGGTTTATTTGGAATAAAATACTAGGTTATTGATGGGCTATTTGGGGATGATGGAGAGGAGTGGGTAGGTTTGGGGAAAGAACATCAGTTCTTTTTGTTGTTGTTTCAACTCTTTTATGGTGGTAAAATTTACATAAGATTTACCATTTTTAAGTGTACAGTCCATGGGCATTAAGTACATTCACATTGTTGTGCAATCATCACCACCATCCGTCTCCAAAACTTTTTCATCTTCCCATACTGAAATTTTATAACAATTAAACAATAATTCTCCGTTTCTTTCTCCCTTCATTCTCTGGCAACTACCATTCACTTTCTGTCTGTATGAATTGGACTACTTCAGGTACCTCATGTAAGTGGAGTCATACAGTATTTGTGTGTGTGTGTAACTGGTTAATTTCACTTAGCATAATGTCCTCAAGTTTCATCCACATAGTAGCATGTGTCAGAATTTCCTTCCTTTTTATTATTATTATTATTATTTTTATTATTATACTTTAAGTTTTAGGGTACATGTGCACATTGTGCAGGTTAGTTACATATGTATACATGTGCCGTGCTGGTGCTCTGCACCCACTAACTCGTCATCTAGCATTAGGTATATCTCCCAGTGCTATCCCTCCCCCTTCCCCCCACCCCACAACAGTCCCCAGAGTGTGATGTTCCCCTTCCTGTGTCCATGTGTTCTCATTGTTCAATTCCCACCTATGAGTGAGAATATGCGGTGTTTGGTTTTTTGTTCTTGCGATAGTTTACTGAGAATGATGATTTCCAATTTCATCCATGTCCCTACAAAGGACATGAACTCATCATTTTTTATGGCTGCATAGTATTCCATGGTGTATATGTGCCACATTTTCTTAATCCAGTCTATCATTGTTGGACATTTGGGTTGGTTCCAAGTCTTTGCTATTGTGAATAATGCCGCAATAAACATACGTGTGCATGTGTCTTTATAGCAGCATGATCTATAGTCCTTTGGGTATATACCCAGTAACGGGATGGCTGGGTCAAATGGTATTTCCAGTTCTAGATCCCTGAGGAATCGCCACACTGACTTCCACAATGGTTGAACTAGTTTCCAGTCCCACCAACAGTGTAAAAATGTTCCTATTTCTCCACATCCTCTCCAGCACCTGTTGTTTCCTGACTTTTTAATGATTGCCATTCTAACTGGTGTGAGATGGTATCTCATTGTGGTTTTGATTTGCATTTCTCTGATGGCCAGTGATGATGAGCATTTTTTCATGTGTTTTTTGGCTGCATAAATGTCTTCTTTTGAGAGTGTCTGTTCATGTCCTTCGCCCACTTTTTGATGGGGTTGTTTGTTTTTTTCTTGTAAATTTGTTTGAGTTCATTGTAGATTCTGGATATTAGCCCTTTGTCAGATGAGTAGGTTGCGAAAATTTTCTCCCATTTTGTAGGTTGCCTGTTCACTCTGATGGTAGTTTCTTTTGCTGTACAGAAGCTCTTTAGTTTAATTAGATCCCATTTGTCAATTTTGTCTTTTGTTGCCATTGCTTTTGGTGTTTTAGACATGAAGTCCTTGCCCATGCCTATGTCCTGAATGGTAATGCCTAGGTTTTCTTCTAGGGTTTTTATGGTTTTAGGTCTAACATGTAAGTCTTTAATCCATCTTGAATTGATTTTTGTATAAGGTGTAAGGAAGGGATCCAGTTTCAGCTTTCTACATATGGCTAGCCAGTTTTCCCAGCACCATTTATTAAATAGGGAATCCTTTCCCCATTGCTTGTTTTTGTCAGGTTTGTCAAAGATCAGATAGTTGTAGATATGCGGTGTTATTTCTGAGGGCTCTGTTCTGTTCCATAGATCTATATCTCTGTTTTGGTACCGAAAATCTAGAAGAAATGGATAAATTCCTCAACACATACACTTTCCCAAGACTAAACCAGGAAGAAATTGAATCTCTGAATAGACCAATAACAGGATCTGAAATTGTGGCAATAATCAATAGCTTACCAACCAAAAAGAGTCCAGGACCAGACGGATTCACAGCCGAATTCTAACAGAGGTACAAGGAGGAACTGGTACCATTCCTTCTGAAACTATCCCAATCAATAGAAAAAGAGGGAATCCTCCCTAACCCATTTTATGAGGCCAGCATCATTCTGATACCAAAGCCGGGCAGAGACACAACAAAAAAAGAGAATTTTAGACCAATATCCTTCATGAACATTGATGCAAAAATCCTCAATAAAATACTGGCAAAACGAATCCAGCAGCACATCAAAAAGCTTATCCACCATGATCAAGTGGGCTTCATCCCTGGGATGCAAGGCTGGTTCAACATACGCAAATCAATAAATGTAATCCAGCATATAAACAGAGCCAAAGGCAAAAACCACATGATTATCTCAATAGATGCAGAAAAGGCCTTTGACAAAATTCAACAACCCTTCATGCTAAAAACTCTCAATAAATTAGGTATTGATGGGACGTATTTCAAAATAATAAGAGCTATCTATGACAAACCCACAGCCAATATCATACTGAATGGGCAAAAACCGGAAGCATTCCCTTTGAAAACTGGCACGATACAGGGATGCCCTCTCTCACCACTCCTATTCAACATAGTGTTGGAAGTTCTGGCCAGGGTAATGAGGCAGGAGAAGGAAATAAAGGGTATTTGATTAGGAAAAGAGGAAGTCAAACTGTCCCTGTTTGCAGACGACGTGATTGTATATCTAGAAAACCCCATTGTCTCAGCCCAAAATCTCCTTAAGCTGATAAGCAACTTCAGCAAAGTCTCAGGATACAAAATCAATGTACAAAAATCACAAGCATTCTTATACACCAACAACAGAGAGCCAAATCATGAGTGAACTCCCATTCACAATTGCTTCAAAGAGAAGAAAATACCTAGGAATCCAACTTACAAGGGATGTGAAGGACCTCTTCAAGGAGAACTACAAACCACTACTCAAGGAAATAAAAGAGGGTACAAACAAATGGAAGAACATTCCATGCTCATGGGCAGGAAGAATCAATATTGTGAAAATGGCCATACTGCCCAAGGTAATTTACAGATTCAATGCCATCCCCATCAAGCTACCAATGCCTTTCTTCACACAATTGGAAAAAACTGCTTTAAAGTTCATATGGAACCAAAAAAGAGCCCGCATCGCCAAGTCAATCCTAAGTCAAAAGAACAAAGCTGGAGGCATCACACTACCTGACTTCAAACTATACTACAAGGCTACAGTAACCTTTCTTTTTCTTTTACTTCTTCAATGGTCTTTATTTTTTAGATCAGTTTTAGGTTTACAGCAAAGTTGAACAAAAAGTACAGAGAGTCCACATATCCCCTGTCCCTTCACATCCACAGCCTACCCTACTGTCAACATCTTGCACCAGAGTGGTACATTTGTTACAATTGATGAACCTGCATTAGGAGTTACCTTTTGACTTGAAGATATCAGGGGGCCTAATGAGAGGGTGCTCTGAAGGTCTAGCTCAGGAGTCAGAGACGGTATGCAAAGCTAAGGCCTGAATGAGATCACCCGGGCAGAGTGTGTAAAGGAAAGGAAGGGACCCGGAGGGGAAAAAAAGATCTTCGGCACTTCTGTGTTTAGAAGCCAAGCAGAGACAAGAGACAGCAACAAGGATGGAGGAGGAAAGACTAGGTATATTGTATAGAAGAAAAGCCAGGAGGAGACAAGAGTGTCAGGGAATCCAAAAGAAGCAGCACCTCAAAAATGGTGCCATGAAATATAGTAGATGCTAATGGGAGGTCAGTCAAGCAAAATTTGCGTGAGAAGTGGCCATTGGATTTGGCAATATGAACATGCGTAGTGACCTTGACAACAGCAAATTCAGTAGGATACTAGGGATGGATGACCAAGTTGCCCAAAGGCATATAATCAGTAAGTGGAATAATTTAAATGCCAACCTGGGTAGTCTGTCTCCAGAGTCTGTGAACTCAGCCATTCATAATATGACCTCTCAAAGACAGTGCCTCACCCTGTGGTAATGCTCTTTGAATATCTGTGTCTAGATACAATGCATAGATTATTATTCTAAGCAGAATATTTTGAACGAGAACAACGAGAACATGAACAATCTCTCCTCATATGTTCAGTATCAATTATGTTTGTCTCTGACAACTGCAATTCTGTTTGTCAACCTGGAAAAGATGCCTCCATTATCCAATTAGTTTTGCCAAATTGGTGGCTTCTTGCTGTGTTGCAATGAGCATTTCTTTCCGTATTTCATGAAGATTCTCACAGATTCCTCTTATTTTTCTTTTTTATTCCACCAGTTGTGCTGGAGAGTTTTGGTTGGATCTCAGCTCCACATTTACCCTTTGCTTCCACCAGAGCTGGAAGCTTGCAAACTGTGTTTCCCAGACTCCTTTCCCAGCTGAATTCTGCTGTTTTTCCATTGGGGGATATTGTGAGAGGTTCGAATTGGGAAGGGCAAAGCCACTGTTTTCTTTCTTTTGTCAGTACCTGTGGGAGTGGCTGCAGCAAAGCTAGGCCACTGGGCTCCAGTGAGTCAGTGGGTTTCAGCCCACTTGTCTGGGGCACAGAGGCAGTGGGATGTATGGGCTCTTGTGTGGGTTCTCAGAGGAGGAAGCTGATTCCTAAGCTATTGATAATAGCATCCTCTTCTCTTTTTCTCTTGAAATATACTTTTGCCCCTTTTGTTATTCAGCCCTTCTAACAAATTAATAGTCACTTGTCTGTGTTAAATTTTTCTCATCTGGATTATTCTGCGTTTCTTGTACACACTGACCTATACACCAATACAACAACATAATAGAATGTGAAATTTAAAAATAACAAAATCCACACACTTGCTCCAACAACAATAAATAAAACTACTTCATTTTCTCATGAAAATAAAACATTTTCTTTCCTTGTGTCTAAGACTGAATAGATTTTAGGTGTTTCTCTCTCTAATAGTTTTTAAAATTTAGACTCACTTCAGAGATCAGCATATTAATTGGTGGTAAACTTCCAAGTTATTCTGATGCCTTAGAATCTAGATGATGATTTGATTTGGACTTTTTACTTATTCTCTAAATAATATGTCCACATACACCATCCCTATCTACTCAGTACTACAGATTCCATGGTGTAAGAAAGACAAAGAAAGAAAATGATGAGTTCCCATCCTATTTGTGTAAACTGATGACCTCAGTTTCTGCATGATGTGAAAGAAGTAGCAATCATTCGTGTTATCACCCAGTGTCTAGACCTTCCCTTACTAGGGACACATCACTAAAATTAAGGAGTTAAAAACAGCAAACATTAGTTTTGCTCCTCCCAGGTTTTAGCTAAGGTTTACTTGAGTTTGTTTACTTGATTCATTTCTTTGTTTTTTTTTATTTTTATTTTTTAAATTCAATAGGTTTTGGGGGAACGGGTAGTGTTTGGTTACATGAATAAGTTCTTAGTGGTGATTTCTGAGATTTTGGTGCACCTGTCACCCAGGCAGTGTACCCTGTACCCAATGTGCAGTCATTTATCCCTCACCCCCCTCCCACCATTTACCCTGAGTCCCCAAAGTCCAGCCCAAATGCCCATCAATCAACAATTGGATAAAGAAAATGTGGTATATATATACCATGGAATACTCCTCAGCCACGAAAAGAAAGGAAATAATGGCTTTCGCAGCAACCTGGATGGAATTGGACACCGTTATTCTAAGTGAAGTAACTCAGGAATGGAAAACCAAACATTGTGTGTTTCACTCACAAGCGGGAGCTAAGCTATGAGGATACAAAAGCATGAGAAGGATACAATGAAATGATACAATGATTTATTTTTTATTAGCTCAATAACTTAAGAAATGTATTAATGCTCTCATTCTCAATTTCCTAACTGCAAAATGGGAATAATAATGTCTACCAATAGGATTGTTTAGAAAACTATATATCTGTGTGCCTGGTAACTAATATAATTAATAATATTTTTTCTCAGTTCTCAATTGCTATTGATTTTAAGATGCACAGTTGTGTTAAAATGCTTTTAGGACCACGAGGTTGTATGAAGAACTTCATTGGAGTGAATGTATACATGAAGTACAAAGGAATCACTTAAATATTATTCATATTTTTTAAAAGGTCTTAGAGGAGAGCAAGGTATTTCTCAGTCACTTTTATGGAGGCAAACCTCTTGTTTGATTAACTTATCTTTGCATACTTTGCCCCTTCTTTTATGGTGGAAAACTATTGTAGAGATTTAAATTATTGGCCCCTAAATAAGAAGGTAGAAAGAGGAGTGAAATATAATTAATAACTTTTGGATTATTTTCTTTCTCTATACCAGCTCTATCCAGTACAGTAGCCACTAGCCACATGTAGCTATTCAACAGGTGAAAAGTGGCTGGTCTGATGAAGTGTAAACATGCATCAAATTTTGAAAGTTTAGTACAAAAGCGAGGATGTAAAATATTATATTAATATTTTGTACTGGGTAATTGTTTAAATGATCATTTATTTTCACTTTTTAATTTTTAAAAATTTTTGTAAAATTCACATAAAATTTACCATCTTACTATTTTTATGTGTATAGTTCAGTGGCATTACATTCACACTGCTGTCCTACCATCACCACCATCCACCCACAGAATTCTCTCTATCTTACGAAACCGACACTCTGTACCCATCAAATAACAACTCCTTATTTTTCCCTTCTCTAAGCCCCAGGAAACTATCATTTTACTTTCTGCCTTTATAAATTTGGCTACTCTAGGTTAAAATAAGATTTAATGTATATTAGCAAACATATAAAAATATTATTTAAATTTCCTTTTATTTTTGTTTTTACTTTTTAAAATACGGCTACTAGAAAATTTAAAATTACATCTGTGTGTCACAGTATATTTCTATTGGATATTGCTACTCTTCCAATGCTGTCAGATAGAGTAGCCATTAGCCACGTACAGTTTTTTAAATTTAAATCAATTAACATTAAATAGAATTACATTTTCAATTTCTCATTTGCACCAGCCAAATTTCAAGAGCTCAATAGCCATATGTGGCCAGTGGCTACCATATTGAACAATGCAGACAAAAAACATTTCTTATCATTGCAGTGTATTCTGTTGAACAGTGCTGCTCTAGATATTCCAACCAAATAAACGGCCAAAGGAAAACAAATAAATCTGAAACAAGGTCGGTGTGGTTGAGCAAATGGTTCTCGCAACCAACAAGAGAAAATGACAATTAAATTTATTATACAAAGATTAAAAAGTATTATGAAATTTGCAGGTTGCATTATTTATTGTAAAACAGTAGGGCAACATCAACAGACAGCTTCAGATGTTTTTCCCATGAAATTGTAGATGTTGCTACCAAACGTACAACACACGACTGTGTACTGTCATAAGTCGGCTAAAACACATGTAAACATATGTCATGTCAGTTATTAAGAAGAAGGGTATAATTACACTTTTAAATGTGGCAAAGCATTTTGGAAGTAGCATATAATTTTCCAGAGCCTTTGTGAACACATCTTTCTCTGAGTGTTTATACAGCCTGACATCTTCAGGTTTGTTCATATCAAAAGCCCCACTGTGAACAAGCCAGCTGCAGTCAAAAGAAGTAATTTGTTTTGTAGGTGCCATTTCATTGAAGAGAACCAAAAAGAAGAAGCGAGATAGAGTCACAGAGTCACAGACCGACAGAAAATCAAGGCAGGCAGGAGTACTACCAGATTAGAGCAAGCAGCCAAAAACTTTCTGAGTTCTGCTAATATTAAAAGAACGAATGTTTAATAATTGCCTGTGACCAAGATGCTGTCATAGCAAATGTAGAGTTTATTCTTCAAAAAATCAATACCTTTGCACTTCTGATTCAATAATGTACAATATGTCTCATCAAGGGCCTCATAATTTAGCATCTATACTTTTACAATTTCTGCTTTCATTTTCTGTCTCCCATTACTCTCTGAGCTTGAATGCAAGCTCTTTGAGGGCAGCTACCTTGTCTCTTTTGTTTCCTCCCTATCCTCAGTACCACAGCAAATATCATGACACACAATTAGCAGGAACACTATTCGCGTCCCCATCTTATGCTGCAGATCTGCCCTGGCATGTAACAGGTGCACAATAAATACGTGTTAACAGATACTTTAATACAAGGAGGCCAAGTTTGTTTTTCTATCCTCTGCCAGATTGTCAACTTGAAGATGAGTGCCTTTTTTTGGTTGACAGATAAAGGAATCGTGACACCTAGCATAGTAAGTTGTGTACTTTAGTGCTCGATAAATATTTATTGAATTAAATAGAGGGGAAAGGTGAAGTTATATAGAAACCTCCCAAACAGGAAGAAGACTGAATTTTTCTCAAGAGTTTTTTTGATGATAATTTAAGATATAAGATGTAGTTGGCAATGGAAAAAAACAACCATTGCTCATTATTATGATTGTTCACAAAAGCTACCCAGGAACTAATTATTCAGAGTAAAGAATTTTGTTGTATTTTTATTCAATTAACTGAAATGCTAGCCTATGCTGAACATTCAAATGCAGATAAATGATGATTATTTTGGTTTTCTTTTTCATTTATTTGTTATAAAAAATGCCAAGTAATGCTGCTATTCTAGGGACTAAAAAAGAAACAAAACAAAGCAACAAAATAAAACCCAGAAATAAAGGCCCCTTACTCTGTTTACAAGTATCACAGTGTAGAGTGGTGTCTGCTGTGTTAGAGGTGTATGTACACAACCACAATTTTTGAATGCCTTTTGAAGGCAGTCAAAAGACATCCTTTTCACTTTCATTTTGCCCTTTCTTGTCTTATTTTGTTTGAATTGTGTTCTTTGTAAACTTTATATTGCTGGATTCTTTCTCTCTTTGTTTAGTTTTTCATGTACTCAATCCAGTGCCTTCACCTTTTAACAAGGAAATTTAATCCATTCACATTGATTGGGAATACCATCAAGAAATGTTATCAATAACTCTGCTCACTTTCCCTCTTCTCAATGAAGTTTACCTTGCCACCCATACTGCAGACCCTCCTCACAATTAAAATCTTCCTCTCCTAGTGTCCCAGAATTATTATTAAATGATATTGGAATGTCCATATCATTACTCCATGGCCTTTATATTTTATTTTATCCTTTCAATTTCTTTATTCTCCTACATTGATACTAATAGAATCATTTTACTTGATGTCTCAGCTTATGACTTTATTTTACCATTTCATCAAAGTTTTAATTTCATTTACTCCATTGATCTCTAGTAGACAGGTTTTTAAAACCAGCTCTTATCTCATGAAGAGTCCTCTCACATTCCTCTAGGGACTAATTATACTTCTTCTGAACGCTCCTTTGACTTACATAATTAATTCTATTTCTCTGAAGTTTTAGCTCTCCTGCTTGTATTTCCTGTGCTTTCTACTGGTTTTCCTAAAATGTGTATGATTCTTGATCACATGCTCACCTGTGCATTTAATATTGTTGGTGTTTGTGTGTTAGTAGGGATGGCACAAGGCACTTCCTATGTCTTTTACCATTAGAATATGACAATTGAATTCAACAGTCCTGAGTTTGAACCATGACTCTGCTAATGTTTTTGAAGAGTATATAAATTACTATAACTTTTTTGGAAGGCAATTTAGAAAATGAAAATAAATTGTTGTTAGGCTTAAAGTGAGCCCATAAGGATAACAAGGTTAATTACTATAATTCATTAATTTGAACCTATATTAATTTTCTATTATATGGAAATATGGAGTAGAAAATATCAATTACTGGAAAAATTCAGAAGAGGATTTATTATATAAGTCCTGGAAAAGTATTAATTTTTTGTCAGTAGGAATAAAATGATTAAGTAAAATAATCACCAAACATATTCTGGAAAGCTGGATCTCATAAAATGGAGATAAAACAGGAAGTGGGAACTGCTAAAATTGTGGAATATTTTGTTTCATTGATGGCAGGAGTGGAGTGAACCAGGAATTCAGTGGTACTTTTGCCAGGAGGGGTTAAGATTTTAGTAAAGGCGACACCACACATAAATCTCTCCTGCTATTCCTGGCTACAAGGGGATCTCTATAGGCCACTAGCATTTTAATAAGAAAAACCGATGTGTAAATTAAACAGTCATTTGTAGGAGAAACTTTTTTGGAGAAAGACCTGGGGAGGAATTTGGAGGGGTTTATGTCTTTTAAAGAAGGTGTTGAGGGAAAGAATTGAAATCCTGTTTATAAGGGTTAATGAGAGGGTGCACGCCTGCCAAGTATTTGGTGCAGCTCATACCCATTGCTTGAACAACATAGTTGTATTTCACTGTGGTATGATCTGTTTATTGGCTGGAAGGAATCAGTTCCTGAGAAATGAGAGTGCTCACTCTTCCGGCTGTCTACATACGTTGTCTTGAGTAAGGTACACTTGAAGCAACGTGCCTTATGCATTTCTCTTCCTCCCCATTGCTTGCCATTGGGTTTTGAGAGAAGAAAGGGAATGGAATAGAAAGAGAAAATTCCACTGTAGAAACCAAAAGTTACATAATACTCCTCAATCTATAGGTAAGAATTTAGAAGTGACCTTTCTTTTACAAACAATATTTTCTTGGCCATATCTACCAAATATTAACATTTTCCCAAGCTATGTAATCATGCCCAAAAACTTCAAAACACTGCTTCATTGATATTGGTCCTATTTTTGTTCCAGAACAAATGGCACACTCTTGAAATTGAATAATGAGTTCTATAAGCATTCTGGTTAGAAATCTGTGGATTTTGTATGTAACCATTTTCACAGCTTACATCACAGCTTACCCTTGGGAAGTCTGCTTATAAAAGACCGCTAGAAGCACATTTCAGTATTCGTAGTTACCAAGTTGCTTCCCAAATGACGCTTAGAACATCTCTATGGATATGCAAGTTATTGCAAAAAAAATGCATGGTGGTGGGACCTTTTGTAGAGATAACCAACTGGATAGTGACGACTTAAAGCCCATAAGGCTACCTTCTGGAATCCCTCCCTTATCTTCCCTTCTATTGGCCTTGTTGTTTTGGGTGTGAGCTATTGTCATGACTACCTGATGTTTTCTCATCTACTCTCAGTCTTCTAGATTAATCAGTTTCTATCATGTGAGTCTGTCCTCAGCAACCTTCAATAGTTTCCCAGTGCCTACAAAATAAAAATCAAACCTTTTGGCTTAGTATCAAAGCTGATGCAGAAACCCCTGCTTCCTAAAATACATCTCTGTGCCATCACAGCTTCCATTCAGCTTTTTCCTCCAGGGGCTTTATAGTATTTGCCCTCCTTATTTTTCCTGGTTCAATTTATCTGAGTGGAACGCTCTAGTGAAACCACTACATCCATGGAAATTCTACCTATACTTTCAACCTATACTTTTTCCTCTAATTACGTAGACAGTTGTTATGTCTCTTAATCTCTTCTAACAGTTGTCTGTGTAATACCTAGAAGGAATTTAAAACAGTGTCTAGCATATAATAGGTGCTTATTACTGAAATGATCATAAACAGCCCTGTTCTATACTTATTTTCTACTTTTCTCCCTTTATGGTTGTATGTTTTCAAGGACAGCTACCATCTCTAACTCATTTTTGAACAAGCACAGTACCTAATCTAATGGCTCCTCACCGTAATCCTTAATAAAGATTTGTTGAACAACTTAAATGGTGACATTTACTATTTGGTGGCAATTATTTATAGATTTCTTCACTGACACAAATGGAAAAACATTTACAGGAGAGCTAGCTGTTCATCAAACACATAGATACAGCATTGCTATTGGCAACTAAGATTGCCCTTTGGCACAAGTTCATTGGCTGGGTCATCATAAGCTTTTTTTCTTCGTGGCTCAATCTTGGTTATTCATATCTCACTCTGCTTCTGACTTTTTCAGTATCAATGCTATTCTCTTCCTGTTCTTGTCTCATTCCTTACATTTGATGCCACTGTTTCCCTGAAACCCCCCAAATGGTCTTGGTTCTTCCAATAAGGATTTTGGAAACCAATTTTGCCAAATTTTTCATGGCTTCAATATTCTATGGCCTTTCAACATTCTCTAATCCCTTTTTTCTGAATTCTACTCCCTCCAGAGGACTAGCTTCAATTCACCAGAGGCGAGACCCAGCGAATTGATAAACTTGGTAGAAACTTTTCTTTGTATATTTCTCAAAGAACATTATACCTGCTTTATTTTTTTTGTGTGGAAATATAAGGGAAACAAATCAGTGTGTAAGATAAGGTACAAATTCTAAGTCCAGAGTTATACAAATCAATGGCATTATTTTAAAATTATGCTATTAAATATATTCCTTGGTAGCATATCCCTTTAGCACCTAACAATGGGTATCCTTGGCAAGAAACACATTTACAAAGAATACAATTTTTACCTTGCAATGAAATTCTGTTTAGTCTATCTTATATTGCTAGACTTGGGCTTTACACTGGCATTAGTCAAGGCAGTAATGATAATTACAGAAACTGAGCAAAAAAAAAAAAAGAGTCATTTTCTAAGCTAGATGAATGGGAGAAAGTCTAAACCTCTGACAGAAAGATTTTACCGTATGTGAAAATCCCTCTTACTGGGTCACCATTACTCAAAGGAGGGCTTGCTGAAAGTAAGAAATTCACAGCTATCCTGCTGACATGGAGAGAAAGAAAACTTTAAAGCAAACCTTGGAGAAATGATTTTTAAAGTAGTAGAGTTGAGGCTTGACCCAGTAATAGATTTTGAAAGGGTGTTTGGTATCTCTGTGGTAAGTCGGGCTGTCCAACAGACAAGGCTCCGAACTCGAATACAACAAAGCTGGAGGCGCCTTAATAGCGATATTGATTGACTATAAACAAAGACAGGAGAAAGTAACCAGGATAGCGGAGAAAAATGTATTTGGGGAAAAAGGTTATTATCCTCCTTCGGGATGACTAATACCATAGCCAGAGAAATTCATTTTACAACAAATATTTTTTGAGACCCTACAATGTGCCAGGCACTGGATAAAAGACACGTTTCTAACCCTCAAGGCATTTGTAGGCTAGTTTATGTGTTTCAGGGAGGTTGGTGGAAGCAGGGAAGAATCCATGGCCTATACACAAAAATCAAACCTGCCACTTTTAACATTATCAGTAACCCACACGCTACTGAATTGCTCTGAAACAAGAACTATATACCACACAGAAAGACTCTCATTTTGTTTCTGCCACAAAATAGCTGGGTAACATAGAGCGGTTACTTCACTTTTCTGAGCCTTAATTTCCTGTTGGCCACACATGGGGCTGGCTGAAGAGGGTTGATGGGAGGATGAGTTCCAAATCTGCTTCCCATTCTAAAATGTAAATTTGGTTGGAAATTGGTATACAACACAATATTAGAATGTGATCTCTAATGATGTCTGTGAACAGAATACAAACTTTGCGAGAATTTTTTTTTTGTTTTGAGACAGAGTCTCACTCTGTCATCCAGGCTGGAGTGCGGTGGCATAATCTCGGCTCGCTGCAACCCTGCCTCTCAGGATCAAGTGATCCTCCTGCCTCAGCCTCCCGAGTAGCTGGGATTACAGGTGGGTACCACCACGCCCTGCTAACTTTTGTACTTTTAGTAGAGACGGGGTTTCGCCATGTTGGCCAGACTGGTCACAAACTCCTGACCTCAAGTAATCTCCCTGCCTCGGCCTCCCGAAGTGCTGGGATTACAGGCATGAGCCACAGCACCCTGCCAAGAATCAATTTTTACCAGACCTGTCGGTTGAGTTATTCAAGACAGGTAGGGGTTTTGAAACAGTGCCACTTTTCTTACCATCAGCATGCTTCCCCCTAGTTTCAAATTTCTGTTTCTGAGATTTGCAGAAAGCTTCATAAACAATAAGATGAGTGGCCCAGCATCAGTCAGGGGAAAAATGTGGAGCTGGGAGAGGCCCTTTTTCTTTTGCTCCTGAATGTATACTTTCCAAAGAATGGGATTTAATGGGTTACTTTGGAATCATCCAATGTGGAGTGACTGCACCTGATAGAATACTTCATGGTGGCTGAGAAATCAACATTTCTCTTGATCTATGTGTATAGTTGCCTTCCAGCCTTGAAATGGTCTTCTGTCCAATCTGCTGCAGCTACTGTATTCCCTCAGTAGCAGACTGTGTGAACTTCAGCATTGAAAGTGGAAAAACCAAATGCAAAAAATCTAGTCTCACCCACCATCTTAAAGAGGCAACCACATACACGGCAGACACTTGGGACTTCACAGTCACTCCTCAATGAAAAAATGTTTAAGCATCTAGTGTAAGGCAGATAGATTTCCATAACTGAAGTGGTGGCAGTTTAAAAAGAAAAAGACAACTTGATCTTGCAGTCTAATGGGTGAGAAAGGCAATACACACATGAAAAATACAATAAAAAAGGAACTTCAGAGAGCAGTGAGCGCTATTACAATCACAGCTCCACCCTGAATCTGGCGTGGCTGTGGCAATTGCTTCTATGTAAGCTTTAACCAGCTTCATACAAGTAGAGCTTGCAGGGGGCCTCACTGTGGGCCTGCGCTATGGACCCCCAATGCCCTGCCTAGAGCTACTCAGCTTGGACCCCTGTGGCAACCCCCTAGGCACTGATTCATGGAACTGCCACCCTTGAGCAATGAGTAATGGAAACCCCGGTGATAGAAGACAAATGTGATTCCTAGGTCATCTCCATAAAGAAAAGTTCTAAGATGCATTTCCTTAGGCACCTCAGAAGGTTCCACCAGAATGAAAATGACTTCTTGTATTTGCTTTCCTTCCCTACTTCACTCTCCTGCCCCTCACACTGGCTCCTTGGAACCATTTGCAAATAAAATACCTTCCCACAGGCTTTGCTTTAGGGAGATACCAGGCTACTGCACCATACAAAGTCCTTGTGCATCTGCGGCGTTGCCCAGCGACGTATTCAATCTGGCAGTGCAGAATACACTCAGGGGTGAGGGAGGGTGCAGAGAGGGAGCTGGAGCAACAGACTTCGGGATTGTTTTGCAAGTATGAGATTTCTTTGAAGCTGGGTGCTTTATATTTAAAATCCTTGTGAATTTTGCCTTTTTCTTCACAATATTTCCATGTATGTGTTAATATGAAAATATTAGCTTTGCAACACCTCCATAATGACTGGAGACTTACAACAGCTGACTGGCTGGCCTCACTGTTCCCAGCACTGTCCCCATCGAAGTCATGCTTCCTCTCATTCTAATATGCAAATTTGCTCAAGTATCAAATAACTCCTGGCTGAAAACTTTTAAAGGGACTGACCTGACCCTTGGATGAAGTTCTGATGAAGTTCAAACTCCTTAACATGATTTACAAGGTCTTGCATAATTTGGCCCAGGCATACTTCCCCGGTCATTTGCTATCCTCTCCTTGACATTTATCATCCAGCCATAATGAATTTCTTTTAATCTCTTTGACTCTCCATGTTCTCTTGCCTCCAGGCATTTGCTCATTCTGTTGAATCAGCCTGCAGTCCTCACCCCACTGCTGTGCAACCTGCCCTTGTACCCCTTCTTCAGTCCTCAGCTGCCTCCTGGAAAGATGGTACCCTGTTTTTGTCTGGGCTAGAAGCCTACCTGTGAGCTCCTGTCACATTCTCATCTTCTGTCACAGCACATGTTTTACCCTTTTGTTCTTGTCTCTTATTAGTCTGGGTCGCCAATGGAACAGAAGCATGGGGCAACAGGTCCTGCCATTGCTTCCTGTTGTCTAGCGCCTTGTGCAAGTACTAGGAGCAAAGGTGGATTGTAAAGTTAGGGTCCTTAGAGTCATTAAGTTCAAATATTTTTCCTAATACCTACTTGCTTGCAACTCTTTTAAGATTTTTTAGTGTTTTCATCTGGATATAGTGGGAAATAATATCCTGATTTTAGAATGATTAGAAATAAATCTTTCATGCAATTTAGCACAATGACCCATAGAAAGCACTTAATAAATGACAGCTACTATGATTATAATTATATCCTAATAATTATTTTTATTTTTCTGTATTAATAGGTATTCAATATATAAGCATAAAATGATTGAACAAAGGCAAAGCAACAGAAAATCTTAGATACTTTCTCTCATTTGTTAAAGAGCAAATCATTACTTATTCAGAGATAGGGTCTTACTCTGACACACAGGCTGCAGTGCAGTGGCACCCTCATAGCTCACTGTAGCCTCAAACTCCTGGGATTAAGCAATCCTCTCATTTCAGCCCCCTGAGTAGCTAGGACTACAGGTATGCACCACTATGCCTGGCTAATTCTTAAAATTTTTTGTAGTGACAGGGTCTTGCAATGTTGCCCAGTCTGGTCTCAAATTCCTGGCCTCGAGTGATACTCCAGGTTTATCCTCCCAAAGTGCTGTGATTACAGGCATGAGTCACCACACCCAGCCAAAGTAGTTTTTCAGTGTCTATTGATTTATTTTAAAATGGAGCTAACTGACTAAGCTGATGATACATATAAGATTCAGCAGCATCCAGGAAAATTTTCTTCACTGCTCCAGTGTCACAAATGCACATACATATGTGGATATGACTGGCATTAGTTTTTTCAGGTTTTTAATAACCAGATAATTAGGATGATAGCAAAAGAGAATGTGGTAGGTACAACAAGGCCCCTTTCTCTCCCCTATGAAAGTGTCTACATTCTAATCACTGGCACCTGTGAATCTGTTATGTTACATGGTAAGAGAAACTTTATGGCTGGCATTAAATCATCGATTTTGAAGTGATTATGCTGTATTATTTAGGTGGGCCCCATATAATCACAAAGGTCTTCATAAGAGGCAGGCGGGAGGATCCAAGTCAGAGAGAAAAGGTGCATGGTGATGGAAGGAGGGAACAAAAAGGCTGTATGACCTGGCGTCAGTCAAAGAATGAGAACAGCCTCTGGAAACCAGAGGAGGGAAGAAACAGATTCTCCCCAGAGCCTCCAGAAGGAGACAGTCCTGTCAACATCTTGATTTTAGCTCTTTAAGACTAAGTTAGGACTCTGACCTCAAGAACTCTAAGGAATAAATGTATATTGCTTGAAACTATTGTTTATTGTTTGTGGTAATTTGTTACAGCAGTAACAGGAAACAAATATAGATTTGAGCTATACAGAATACTGACTACAAAGCGATTGATTTAGCTCAGTATTTTGGAGATTTTTAAGGATGGAGAGATTGACAAACATACATTTATACTGAAGAGACAGTCGTTTTTTATGTAAAATGAGCTGAAGACATTCTGGAGATATAATTCCATCTTTTGCTGGTCATTTAAAGAAGCGGGAAGTGCTGACCTTTTCTTATTCCAAACTCCAGAATATATTAATATACATTAGGGTCTGTGATATGGTTTGGCTGTGTCCCCACCCAAGTCTCAACTTGAATTGTAGCTCCCATAATCCCCACATGCCGTGGGAGGTAATTGAATCATGGAGATGGGTTTTTCCCATGATAGTGGTGATAGTGAATAAATCTCATGAGATCTGATGTTTTTATAAATGGGAGTTCCGTTACACATGCTTTCTTGCCTTTTGCCATGTAAGATGTGCCTTTGCTCCTCCTTTGCCTTCCACCATGATTGTGAGGCCTCCTCAGCCATGTGAAACTGTGAGTCCATTAAACCTCTTTTTCTTTATAAATTACCCAGTCTCAGTTATTTCTTCATAGCAGTATGAGAATAGACTAATACAGGCTGTAGCCATGCTGTTTTAAATATTGTGGATCTGTAATATATTTTAATATATGATAGAATGAGCCTTAACTCATATTTGTCCTTTCAGAAAGTTTCTGACTACTGCGCATTTATGCATTCAGGTTAATTTAGAAATATTTTTGTCATTCCAAAATAATAATATTTTTAATTTTACTTCAGTTTCAGTTGACTTTGGAGGAATTTTAGTAAGTATAAGCATCTTAATTTTATTAAGACTTCTTAATCATGAATTAGGCATATATACACATTTAGCCAACTCTTCCTCTATGTGCCCCATTTGCATTATCTTTTCTTCAGAATGGTTCTGCATTTTTAGCATTTGATTTGTTTCTAGATATTTTGTTGCTGTTCTTATGAATGGAAGCTTTTCTTCTGTTGTCACATTGTCTTTTCATCACATTTTGTTGTCAAAAGGTCTCATGTTTGATCTCTTCTTTTTCTACTTTAAGTTCCCATCTTGTAGAGTCTATGTTTTATTTCCATGAGAAATGCATTTGTTGCTCACAATTTTCTTTTGTTTTCTGAGATAAATCTTCTGTTGCAGTACATTCTTCAGCTTTCTCTCGTGTGCTATATTCCTTTCTGTTTCGCCTTTTTATTTCTAAAGAAATTTGGCCTTCCGTGCTTATCCCAATTTAAAAAATAACTTATCTATTTCTGATGGGTGTAATTTTGAGCATTTTATTTGCCCTCTAATAATGTATGGTGTTTTCCTTGACTTCTCTACTAGATTTTATATCCCATTGCTATCTTTCCTTTACAATAAAATTTAAGAAACCGCCTAGGTCTGTTTCCCCTCAGTTCTTCTGCAGCTTGGGAAGGGCAGGGATGCAGTAGAATAGCAGGTCTTGGCAGCTGCAATTGGGAATGGGGACTTTTTTTTCCCCAAATGGGTAGCCTAGTATAAAATACTTTGTTCTGTGATAATTAGATTCAGGAAGGCATGTGAAGATTTCCTGTCACAGCTCTAACTAAGGATATCAATATGCATGCACCATTGGTAAGATCATGTTACCATCCCAACCAATTCCAGAAGACCCTTGGCACCTGGTTTTTAACCACATATCTTCACATGACAAAGTAACAGTATTTTCCATTTTTTTACAGATTTCTTTTTTTTTCTCCGGACTTAACATTTTTCTCACAAAAATACATTTGTGTTATCGCATGTATGAAATTGAATGGATAATATGAAACCTTGTTGAGATGCAGACTCTGCACAATTTGTTAGCTGCTTTCACTAGTAAAATGGCATTCATACAAACTAGCATCTTTGTCTATGTCAATTTAATTTTTTGCTGCAGCAAAATTACCAGTCACTCTATGTCTTGCACCTTCTACACCAATAATCAACGCTGTGAATGCTAAAATAGTGAATGTTGAAGGTCTACTGTATTCACTCTAGCTTTCTAGACTTTGAAATTGCGTAAGTAGGTAAGATATTCCATGATAAGCCCTGTAATCATGCTAATTCAGATCATTTCATAGATAGAAAAGAGTTTTTAAAGTAAATTTTATGATTTAAGGTAAAATCATTATGTATGCAGAGATAGTTATCATATAAATAGAAGATGGCTCTTCCAAGAAATTTCTGTTCATAAAATAGACCCACTTTTCCATAGAATTGTGAGGAAAATATCTGAAATATGGTTTAAGGGTCCAGAGACTAAATAGAAATGGAGAAAGACAAGATAGGGGAAGTTAGAGAAGATTTAGACTATTCAATTTTCTATGGTAGTACTCAAGTTTTTCTGTTCACAGGCCTGAGGAAACCATTCTTTCCTGATGTCTCAGCCACTTAGATTTGCACATGGAGCTAAAATAGGCCTAGCAGGGAGACTGTAAAGGTCATTGAAAGAGAAAGCCTTTGGAATCCAGCTTACTCCACAGGACCAGTGCTTAACTGATTTCCTATGTCACAAGGAACAAGTTTTGAAATACCACATTTAAAGGAAATAAAATTATTCCTAGAGGAGATTTTTCATTGTCTCTCCACTTATTATAGAACATACTGAAATAAGTATGTGAGCAAAATTCCTACAAAGAAATAGTCAACAGGATAGGACATGTGGACACTCAGTAAAGTCCTTTGAAACATTCAGTGAGAAAGTAAGCTTAAAGAGGTCCTTGAACTTTAGAGGAGCAACCAACTAGTTATCACACCCTGTGCAATATGGAGAAATGCACCCCAAACTGTGGTACTATCTTACACTTCGTCCTGTGCTAACTCTAATCCCACTCACTGCCTCCCATGTCCTCATGCTCCTTCATCATGTAATGCAATAAAAACACATCTCATTCACCACAAATGAAGAAATCCTCTACAAACCTAAGAGAAAGTGATGATTATAAGGTCTTATACATCTATTTCAAAGCATTCTGTTTCACTGCAGGATACCTCATTGCTGGAAGAGAAATTATTACATATTAGCAGGTGCAATTTTATTTGGATGTAATATCCTTGACCAAGTAGATGGTTGCAGTTTTCTGACGTACCAAACTGACAGCTTCTTCTATGACCTTTAGTTATCTCTGTGCAGTCAACAGTAATGCTATTTATTTGACTCACAGCATTTCCCATGGTTGTGCTCACCACTGACACATCTGTATAGATAGAGGTCTTCTTCCGCATCAAAAGGAAAAGATGGATCTTGAAGGAAACATTCTTGAGTTGACATTTAAACAAGTAATTTGATTTGGGGGAGAGAAATAATTTTAATTTATTGTCATTTTGAATCTGTATCACCCTGGTGAAACTGATAGCAAGGCATGATAAAGCTTTTCAAAAATACCCATGGCTATATAGAGATTATGTATCAGAATGTCCTTGCCTTTAACGATAAAGTGTACTATATTAATATGGTTTTATACATATATAAAAATGTGTACATATATGTATATATGCACATGCTTATATTTATGCACATAAAGAATGCACATATGAAGGAAAAATATAAAAATATTAACAATTGTTTGCCTACATATAAATATGCAAAGTTACTTGTATATTTACTTCAATTTTGGAATACCTAATTTTTTCATATTTAAAAAAATTAAAAAATACTGATACCTAGATACAAATTTCAAGGCACATACAATTTATGTTAGAGTTTTTTCCCCTTATGTAAGGCCATGGGCTGTAGAATGAAAGATACATATTAAATACCCAGAAAGACACCCAGCAAGGCAGTTCGATTTTGGAAAGAGGCTGCAGCATGGCATGGCAGGACTCAGGATCTTGAAACAGCAGTCAAGCACACATCCTTCCTTTCTTGCCTTCATGCTTCCTGGTTCCGTCTGCTGCCTGCTTCCCTGCAGTCATAGCCAATAACATGCTTGGGATAGAATCGGAACTCTTTTCAACTGGAGTCTCCCATATGTTCATTATAGAAAATGTGTTTGCATTTTCACTGCAACACACCGCATATACTGACACTGCCTGACTGTGAATTCGTAGCTGGGAGAGAAGAGGGACTGGCAGCTGAAGTGAAAGAAAGTTGGTGAGACATAGAATTCTAGCCCAAGAGTTTCAGAGTTTCACAGGACTTTGAAGCTCTTCTGTTTGGCATAGTTCTCCTTACAGAATGCCTGGGTTATTGTTTTTTTCCCCTTCAGGCCCTTTTCCACATGGATATGCCTATAATTTCTTCAGCTATATTGACAAATAAACTTTCTCAGCATGAGAACCTATGTGAGACAAATGTGTCTAATTTCTGGTTAGTTGAAGTCTTTCTTTAAAGTGATTTTCTTTTCTCCCGGCCATGACTCTATTGACTATTTCATGGATGTCTGTAGATTCAGTGTCCCTGTCATATTCTGATTTAATTCTATGTTATGTAAATGAATGACTGGATGAGAGATGAAAGAATGGGTAGATAGATAGATGGATGAGGGGATGGACATATGTGGGAAAGGGAGGTAGAGAAAGAGAGAGGTAGGTAACTAGTTTTTCTCTTACTTTTAGCTGATTATAGAGTCTACTATTACAGAACAAATGAAGAAGGTCTAGCATACAAAAAAATGAGTAAACTTTATTTACTGAATCCATGTTTTTGTGCTGTTTCCAACAGACAGCTGTTTGGAGCTTTGTAGCACCTGTCTTCATAAAGTCCATGACCTCTAAGGTTTCTAACGTCTACTAAAATGGGCTAAAACTGCCATATTATGACCAAATTTATTTTGTTATGAGTTACTTAAGATTTTCAACTGCCCATTGTATTAGCTTGCTAGGGCTGCCATAAAAAAGTACCGCAAACTGGGTGGCTTAAAACAACAGAAATGTGTTCTCTCACAATTTGGAAAAGTAGAAGTCTGAAATCAAGGTCTCAGCAGGGTCCTCTTCCCTCTAGATTCTACAGAGGAATTCTTCCTTGCCTCTTCCTAGCTTCTGGTGGTTACTAGAAATCCTATGTGCTCTCTGGTTTGCAGATTCTTCGCTCTGATTTCTGATTTCATTTTCACATGACCATCTTCCCTCAGTGTCTATCTCTGTGTCTTCATATGGCCTTTTTTCTCTTTCCATGTGGAGTCTCACCCTGTCACCCAGGCTGGAATGCAATGGCACTATCTCGGCTCACTGCATCCTCTGCCTCCCAGGTTCAAACGATTCTCCTGCCTCAGCCTCCCAAGTAGGTGGGATTACAAGCACCCGCCACCCCGCCCAGCTAATTTTTTTGTATTTTTAGTAGAGACAAGGTTTCACCATGTTGGCCAGGCTGGTCTCAAACTCCTGACCTTGTGACCCACCCGCGTCGGCCTCCCACAATGCTGGGATTACAGGTGCGAGCCACCGCATGCAACCCATATGGCCTTTTTATAAAGGCACCAATCATTGGATTAAAGGCTTACCCTAATACATTAGATTTTATGTTATCTGCATTTGCAAAGCCCCTGTTTCCAAATAAGGTCACATTCTTAAGTTCTGAGTGAGCAAGAATTTTAGACAGACATTATTTAACCTCCTACACACACCAAGAAATAAATATATCTTTCGGGGATATGGGTTTCTATTTTGAAAAATTCAGAGTAAATGCTCTTGTACTTAAGGGTTTTTAAATATATATGTGTGTAAGTATATATATATATATATATATAATTTCCCTTTTTTCTCAGAGATGAAGTTATTTCCTTTATTTCTTCTCATCTTGTCATTCTACAGATTGAATTTCTAAATTTTATTTTAGTTGTGAAAGATGTAGACTGTTTCCAAGAGTAGTCCATTACTTCTGATTGTTCCTTCAGTAATAAAATGTATTATTTGATTCACATGACACTGCTTATAATTTACGGGGTCAGTTTCACCCCCATACTCTCCTTGCATGAATGCCACCACCCCAGGTTCTGGTGGTGGATATCAGCTGCACTCTGCAACCTCACACCTCCCTGCCTCTCTTCTCGCTATTCCTTCCACTTGCAATGGAAGTCATTATTATCAAAATCCCACTCATTCTTCAATGATCCGGCTAAAAGGCTTCTCTCCCCAGTGTTCTCTTTCCTACCCTGTCTTCCCCAAGACAGAATTAATCTCTCTGTCCTCTACCCTTGTATGAAAGAAGTCCGTCTTTGACCTCAGTTTCTTCAGTGTTAGCTCTAGCACCGCTGTTCTCTACCTAAGTGGCCTTACAGAATTTACCTAGCCTTTCTTGGGCCTTGGTAAATTGGAGATAATCATATATACTTCTATGTAAATTGCTTAACAGAATGTGTGACACGAGGTAAAAAGTCAATAAATCTTAGTTCTCCTTTGTAGTCATTTCCTTCTTTGTCCTGTGGTTATTTGTGAACAAACGTGCATGCCTCACTAGACAGTGAACTATTGGAAGCCAGGGGCTGTGCTTTATCTGTCTTAGCATGCCATATGCCATCAAGTACATGCTTGTTATGTAGCTGTGCTCAGTACAATTTGCAGATTTGATAGAGAAAGGAACGCTTTTTAGATTTTGTCTGAATTCTTAACTAACATGACAAGCTTTCTCTTGTTTTCTAATGGAGTTCTGGCAGAAACTTTTTCTTCTGCAGAGTTCACATGAGACACTTGCATCAAACATTTTGTGTATTTTTTATACACAAAATTTATTTATAGTAGTATATACTAATTATAATATCAATACAGATATATTTTTATTTCTTAGACAATATCTTCTAGGCATACATAATACTTTATTTTGATTTCTCATCTTCATAAGAGCTATGCAATATTTTTGCTACTTTTCCAGATTTACAGAATATAAAACAAAGCTCGGAGAAGCTAAACCAGCTATGGATGTGGAAGGCCAGAGTTACAACATGGGACAAGGCTCTAAAGATCTTAATCTTTCTTCTCTGCCTTCTTTCTGTCATAACATTACAAAAAAATTGAGAACTAGGGGTAATTATCTACTATAATTTTAACTCCTCATCACAATTGCTGTCTCCATTTTGCATATTATGTTCTAGTCTTCTCCACAGCCTGTCAGTTGGATGCAATTGATAGCAGGGTACACCTGTGCACCTACAATTGATAGCAGGGTACCATTCTGTGACTTGTTTGTTTCACCATACCCAGTACTTTTTACTAGATATTTGTTCTATACCATGCACCCATTATCACGATGTTTCTTTTACTTTGAGTGACAAGCAAAACAGGTGGACAATCAAATAGAGACCTTGGTGTGGGTATTTTGTTCATACTCACTGTGTATTGACCTAGTTTAGATTTTATTTTTTCCTTTCACAAAAGGAGAATTCAGAAGGAAACTCAAGAAAGTCACAAAGGAGAGCATTGCCCTAGATGAAGACAAGATGAGTTTGCTCTGAGTTCAGAAGGGATAGTTTCCTGTTGTCTGAATAATATTATCACCCCTTCAACACTCCTAGGTTTTACTTTCTACAGGAAAACGAACACAAAATAAAACTACCACATATCTTCATTGCACAAACACATACATCCTTCACAGAGGGAGAGAAAGAGAGAATTACAATTTCAACAAAACTTTAAAAAGTAGAAACCACTGAATCTGTTGGGTTACCTATATTTTAAATTAAATTAAATCTGAATGAAAATTATTTGACTCCCAAAGGAGAAAATCTTAATCTCTGTGGCAAGTAATTACTGAATTATTTTGTGACATATTCACTACTATGAAAAATAAATAAGGAAGATTAAGTGTTCTATGCATTTTTTCCTTTATCAAAGTCAAGAGCTTCTCTGATTCGAGGGCAGCTGAACAGTCTAAATCAGAAGATGTTTGAGGACAGACCCTTTTCAAGCCTTGATAAAAGCATAAATTCATGGGAGACATTATCCCAGGAGATCCAGAGAGAGAGGGAGAGCTCTTTTGAGGTGAGTGTGGGAAGAGAAGAATAGTAAGTGAGATTCAGTGGATAAGGAGGGAGGAACAGGGAGGAAAGGGGACAGGAAAGGAGGTGGGAGAGAGGGGGAAAGAAAAAAGAAGTCTTTGTGTTTATGGTTCTGTCTTTTCTTTTGACAGGCTTCTGTTGCTGAAGATCACTAAAAGATCACTCTTTTGACCCTGAGTGTGTTTGTGTTCTATAGAGATCATCTTAGCCACCCACTCTCAGGGACTTCTGGTGGACACTCTTCTTTGCATCAGTAATGTGCCTTACAGATGAGCTCTCGTCCTACCTGTGGGCTCCTGCCCTCTGGAGGTGCACCCATACCCCAACCATGTTGCTTCTGGGAGCACAATTGAGCTATTGCTTGTCCTCCAATGTTTTTACCTTTAACCATTTATCTACAATTCCAAGAAAATAATGACAGTCACATTCCACAGCCTATTACATTTTTTTTTTTGAGATGGAGTCTCACTCTGTCACCAGGCTGGAGTGCAGTGGTGCGATCTTGGCTCACTGCAACCTCCGCCTTCTGGGTTCAAGCAATTGTCATGCCTCAGCCTCCCGAGTAGCTGGGATTACAGGCACGTGCCACCACACCCAGCTAATTTTTGTATTTTTAGTAGAGATGGGGTTTCATCATGTTGGCCGGGATGGTCTCGATCTCCTGACCTCATGATCTGCCCACCTCAGCCTCTCAAAGTGCTGGGATTACAGGCATGAGCCACCATGCCCAGCCAGCGTTATTATATATTTTTATTTACATATACATATTAAATTCAACTTGATTAGTTTTTTGACAATTGCAAACTCATGATAAATTTAATCAGTGCAGAAAATGACAAAGCATAGATTAAGAAATTTACCAATAATCCAACCTCTTGGTAATTACCATGTTTAATGTTAAGTGGCTATCATCCTCAATATGTCCCCATATGATTCTAGAGAAAGATGAACAGGAGGAGAGACAGCGTTTTGCAAAATATAAGTTCACATAGTAGTGAATATGTCACAAAATAATAATTCAGTAACTACTTGCCATATGATTCTAGAGAAAGATGAACAAGAGGACAGAGTTTTGCAAATATAAGGTTATTCTATGTGTAGTATTTTTTAAAATAATTTCTATTAAATTTAATTTTCCTAAAATATAATGGAAGAAAAAACCCAATTAAAAGTGTGTTAAGGCTAGGTGCAGTGGCTCACGCCTGTAATCCCAGCACTTCCGGAGGCCAAGGCAGGTGAATCACTTGAGGTCAGGAGTTCGAGACCAACCTGGCCAACATAGCAACACCCTGTCTCTGCTAAGAATACCAAAATTAGCCAGGCATGGTGGTGCATGCCTGTAATCCCAGCTACTCAGGAGGCTGAGGCAGAGGAATGGCTTGAACCTAGGAGGTGGAGGTTGCAGTGAACCGAGATCATGCCAACGCACTTCAGCTTAGGTGATAGGGTGAGACTCCATCTCAAAAAAAAAAAAAAAATTAAATTAAAAAAATCAAAGTGGGTTAAATTCTCAAAAATATTTTTATCACTATGAGTTCCCAAAAACATCTCCATAAGATTAAGAAAAGTAATTATCAAAAACAATGAGGATGGAGTCATATCATGAATTTTTTAATTTTTTGTTTTTAGACAGGTTAAAGATTAGTTCTTGCCATGAAAAATTGGGAAATTAGCACATACACCCTACATCTTATTTTTCTCTCCCTTCTTTCTTATTTCATCATTCAGTATTTTCTCCTTGTCAAAGTTAATAATATTTATTTCCTTTTATGTGACTATAATATTCATAATTGTTCATATTTCCAATACTTTTGCAACCACGATTCTTTTTCCAGTCATGCACAACCACCAGGTCAGCATTCTCCCCCTACAGCTTAATTGAGATACAATCCACAGTCTGTACAGTTCAATGACTTTTAGCATATTTACAGAATTGTGCAACTGTCACTACTATTTAACTAAAATATTTTTATCATCCCACAAAGGGGCCAGGCACGGTGGCTCACACCTGTAACCCCAGCACTTTGGGAGGACAAGGCTGGAGGATGTCTGGAGACCAGGAGTTTAAGATCAGTCTGGGCAGCATAGCAAGACTCCATCTCTACAAAAAATTAAAAAAAGAAAATTAGCTGGGCTTATTGGCATGCACCTGTTCTCCCAGCCACTTGGGAGGATGAGGTGGAAGGATCACTCGAGCCCAGGAGTTTGAGGCTGCAATGAGCTATGATAGCACCACTGCACTCCAGCCTCAGCAACAGAGTGAGATCCTGTCTCTAAAAAACTCCCCCTCCAAAAAACAAAAACAAAAACAAAATCCAGAAAGCAAAAATCTCAAGCTAAAGGAACCTAGTAGCCTTTAGCAATTACCCCCTATCCTGCCCCTTCTCCCATCCCTAGGCACCCACTATTCTTCTTTCTGTAGATTAGTGGGGAGGTGGGAAAGTGAGAGTCACTTTCTGTAGATTATTGGGGAGGTGGGAAATGAAGAGAGTCAACACAGATGTCTTATCAAGAAAGTTCCACCAGGAGTGACTAGAACCAAATTCCTCCAGGAAAAGTCCGGAATCCAGTTTAAAATGCACCCTCAGAGACAATCAGCCAAGTGAAAAAGAAGCCGGATTAAACATTTAAACACCAACTTTTGTCATTCAGTGATGATGCCAGCGCCTGGGGGTTTTCCTCACTGGTCTTTGAGGCCTGTGGTGCAAGGGCAGAGTGACACTCCCTGGTTAAGGGAAAGCCTTCCGGAACGAAGATGCAGATGGGCCATTGAGTCATACCTTCCACAGGCACCAAGATTCACAGACAGTGTGAATGTCCAGAGGCTGACTCTCCCACTGTTTCCCTATATAAAAGTTATTATTAATATTTCTCCTTGCTCCCTTTTTACCTTACTCTTGAAATCTTAGACTTTGGTATTGTTTGCCAGGCTATTCTTTCCTTCCGTCCTGTAATACTGCCAAGCGTCCTTGAAAATGGCAGTTCTGACTTGATCGTTACCTTCAGTCTGGTTGTACTCTCACTATAACCAGCTGAAATTCTTCCTTTCTATTACATGGTTACGTTTTTCCATGGTTGATCGTCATTTTTTCTTTTAAAATCATTTTTTTGTTATTCCAGTGAATTTCTTGGAAAATGATTTGCAAGCCAGTATGCATGGTACCATTTTCCCCGAACATTCTTAATAGTAGTTTTACCTTGGCCTTAATTACTCAGCAGTACGAAGGTAATCTGCAAGAATTTGTAGAATGATATAAATCGAAGAAGTGTTTCTAAAAGCCAGATGCACTCTTCTGTGTGTCAATATTGTCAAACAGAAATATAACATAGGCTACACATCTAGTTTATTTTTTCTTTTCTTTTTTAGAGACAGGGTCTTGTTACGTCACCCAGGCTAACGTGCAGTGGTGTGATCATGGCTCACAGCAGCCTCAAACTCCCAAGCTCAAGCAATCCTCCTACCTCAGCTTCCCAAATATCTGGAACTACAGGTCCATACCACTACATATGGCTAATTAAAAAAAAAAAAAATGAGAGATGGGGTCTTGCTATGTTGCCCAAGCTGGTCTTGAACTCTTGCCCTTAAGTAGTCCTCCTGCCTCAGCCTCCCAAGTAGCTGGGATTACAGGCACAGGCCACCACACCTGGCTTACATATGTAATTTTAATTCTCTAGGAGCCACAATTAAAAAAAATTAAAAGCAGGTGAAATTAATTTTAGTAATATATTTTATCTAACCCAATATATCAAAAATACTATTTCAACATGTAATTGATAGAAAAAATTAGTAGTGAGATAGTTTATATTATTTTTGTCAGCTAAGTCTTCAGTATCAAGTGTTTAAGTTTACAGAACATTTCCATTCAGCCTTGCCACCTTTTAATAGCCACATGTGTCTAGTGGGTATTATATTGGACTGCACAGCTCTATGTAACAGAAATCTGCATTTTTAGCTCTTAAAGTTACCTTGTAATTATTCTTAATCTGATCATCACACTTTAAAATGAGAGAAAAAGTATTTAGTGGGGTTCAGCAATGAGTCCAATAATGCAAAGCCAGGTAACTGAAATCTAGGAGTCTGGGACTAATATTACACAGGTCTCTTCAACCTTGGGTTAGTGTCTTTTCCATATTTGCTTCTCTTTGTGGTAATTATGGCTGGTTGCCTGCCACATATCCATTTTCTCCTTCTTTTTAATAACTAAATCATAATACTGGGAGAGAAAAGGCAGTAAGATGCTCTGCCAAAAACCTATACTTCCCAGATTCCCTTGTTCACAGGGCTGTTCATGAGACACAGTCTGGCCAATGTGTTAAAAGCAGAAATAAAAAGGAGATTGTAGGGTAAGCTTCACTTTCTGAAATAATGCCTCAACTCTGTCTCTTGTTCTTTATTGTTTTCTCCTTCCACCTCCTGGGAATGCAAAGAAGAGACTGGAAGTGAGGTCACGATCACAAGCCACACTTTTTGAATGGTGGTTACAAAGGGTGGAAGGAGTGTGTTGATATCATCAGGGAGCTGGTGCACCAGCCATAAACTGTACACTTGTTACTCTGTAAGAAGTATAAGCTCTTGTATGATAAATCCTTTGTAGTTTCATGCCAGATTATAACTCTTGAATGATATTCTCATTTCAAACGTCATTATGTCATTTCAAGATCAATAGGCTTTTTCTCACTGGGTGTGGTTAAAATTTAAAAATCAGCTAAACACTGATAATGCTCACTAGGCTAATATTTATTAGCAAATAAGACAAATACAGGAAAAAACATTTCACCTTTGCAATATAGTCTTGCAAAGAATTTTTAAAAACTCTTTACATTGCTGTACAGTTACTAGAACAAAATATGTTTATGTCATCACTGTAGTATGACATCATGTTCATCCACATCAACACCTGTTGAAATGGCTAAAGAGCTGTCTTCTGGGTTGATGATGTACTAGGAGTTATGAGATCCTGGTTCTTTTCATGCTTCTGTCACAAACAACCTGTCTTTGTGCGATTATGCTAGCTTCTCTCTAACTCAGTTTCCTCACCTGTAAAGCAAAAGATTAAAGTAGTGGAATCCTAAATTCCTTTGCAGCTTTAGCATTCTACGAATCTATGGAAGCATTTCTTCCAGGAGACAGGATTCACAGCCCAATTTCATTCGATGTTTGGCCTTTGGGTCTGTGCTAGTTTAAATCGTTACATTAAATTTTTGGCAGTGATAATGCTTGAACATCCACCATTTGCAACTCTGACAACATTCCTTCTGCTACGGAACCTACTCTTTTAGAAGACTCAACTTATTCAGTACTGCATAAAGCACCTTCATAAAATTTCAAGTGAAAAGGATTTCAAGGAAATCAGATTTAGTACCTATGCTCTCTTTCAAAGGTTCTGGGAAATCATTTTCAGTGAGCTAAGAAAACAGAGACTATTCATAAAATTTAACATTGCATGTGTGTGTGTTTTAAAACGCGTGTCTTACTTCTTTTGTTCTATTTACTATTAGGCGTTATTAAAAATCCTAGCTTTTTTCATTTGCTCTTAAAAAAAAATACTCCAAGAGTCTCTTTCCAACTCTGAAAACTCTTGGCTAAATACTGGTGCTATTTTCAACTTATAGTAACTGGCAACCTTACATTTTGTAAAGTTCAGGAAGAGCAGAAACTCAGCTTCCAAATATGCCACTCTGTCAGCAGGTTTGAATGTACAGGAAGCAGACAATGGAAGGCAAATGTCTGGAACCCAAATGCTTCTTTCCTGTAGAGAAGAAGACTCAAATGAAGACTAGCTTCTAAATCTCATCTTTCACCTGATTCGGTAGGGGTGGATGGTACCCAGTTCTAGCCATTCTTCTTCTATCCAGAAGAATAACATCTTTTATTAAGCCTCTTCTTTTAAGTACTACTTATTTTAATGCTACCGCTATCAGAAAGCATTTATTCTACCTCACAATATGCCTGCAAACTGTGGTTCCAAGGAGGCAGTATTGTCTACTGGTTAAAAGTGCAAGGATAGTAGGAAAACAGATCTGTCATGTTGAGAAAACATTCAACCTTTACTAAGCCTTATTTTTCTAATTTGTGAAGTGAGGACCATAATAGTCCCTAACTCACAGGATTATTGTGATGACAATGTAAGATACTATATGTAAAGCACGCACTCCTGGTACATGATCATTATTCAATAACTATATGTTAGTATCATTATTTCCATTATCATTATTGTTTGAAGTAGTAACAATATTCATAGCACTACTATTTCTCAAAATAGTTTCCCCTGATAATACCACTAAACGTGTACTTCTCTACTATTATATAAACTAGGTAGATTTCTAGAGTCATCCCAATCAACTTAATTTTAATGTTTTTATTGGTTTCCTGAAATAGTTCATCCAGGATTCTTGAAAGTAGGCATACAGCTATATTTATCATTGTATTTTCAATGCATATTGCAATACCTAATGTATAAATGTTTATTGAAAAAATCACATTTGGGTGACCAGCAATAGACAGGCTTTCTGGCATTTTTACTCTGTTTCATAAAATTTGTTGATTCTAATGTCACACAATTGTAAATCAGGCTCTGTCATTGCCTGAGAACTGAGGCAAAAATCTCTAAATTGAGAATAGTACATGCCAAGTACCTTCTCATTCCAAAGAGAGCCACTAAAAATCTGAAATATATCCTTGCAGTATTTATTAAAGCAGCAAATCTGGTCCTGTGACCATCACTGCCCATCCCCTCCAAGTCTCTGTCAGAGACACATACCAATAATTTGGGGGGAATGGAGTCAGGAAACTAGGGCACAAGTACTCCCAGGTGGAGGAGGGTCCACCTCTCTAAGTAAGCCAGGGAGAGGTCTGCAGGAGAACTGCCTGTAGAGATGGGGGTTGGCAAGAAGGTAATGTTAGTGTCTCATATTTTGATGAGCATCTGCTTCTACAGTGGACTTGCTGGGCTTTCTCTGTCCTATGTGAGACAAAGAGAGAGAGGAAAAAATGTAATTGGAGATAAGATGAAGGATGAAATGAGAGTGAAGAAGAGTAGACTCCACCGTCACCTTCTGACGAGACACGACCCAGGAGTTTCTCATGAGCTCAAGTGACCTGTAGCAAGGAGCCCGCCTGGAGCCATCTTGTTGATGACCCCCTCAGGAGGACTCCAACCGTAAGAATTGAGTACAAGGAGTTGCTCAGTGATGTGAAGCTGAAGAGGGCATCTGAGGAGATGAGCTGTAAAACATATTCACAAGAGGGACGTGTGAAGGGAGTGACCATTCCGAAGAACCCAGACAGCTGCCCACAGGAGAAGGATGCCATCCCAAAGATGGTACCCAGTAAGTGAAAAGACTTTGGCTTTTCCCTTGAGTTCTCCTCTCTAATCCCTGCCTTCAGAGGGGTGGGCAGAAAGGCAAGGGAGAAGTTGAGCAGCCAAATGGTATCAAAGAGAGAAGCCTTGAAATGGATAAAAACTGAAAGTTTTGAGACTGGATCAAAGCTTTTTCCTATTTCAGTATTAACAATTCCAAGATGAGACTGTTCTTATACCAAAAGCTATCAGTTCTTTATAGAACCTATGCCAAGTGTTATCAAGGGCTACGAAAAGGAAGTTCAAAAGAGCAAACCAGGAGGCCGTGATGAAAAGAAAAAAATAAATCTGTTTCCTATGCAGTCAAAGCTATTTATTACACCAATTACACTCATAACCCCGTAAGGGAGAGAAGGGAGAGAGATATGAAGATGGCTAGTGGGCAGGCCAGTCAGACAAGCTCAGCTGTTAATTCACCCTATGCCATTCCAAGTGAGCTGGCAGAAGTAGGGATTCTGAAGCGGAACTTCGGACTCTGGGCCAAGTGTTCCTTCCATTGCACTGCACCACCTCCCCATAATAAGGGCTTCCGTTTTTTATTGCACTTTAAAATTAACAAAGCACTTGGGTGAACCACTGCCTTGCCAAGAATGTTTAGTCTGAAGAAAATTCTGTTAAACAAGGGTGTCAAAACAACCATTAAAGATGCTTCTAAGAGCATTATCTTAGCTCTGCAGGGAGTCAGCACAATGTAGAGAAAATACAAGATTGAGAATCCAAAGGCTCATGTTCGTTCTGGTTGTAGCGCAACGAAGAGCTTTAAGAAAGGAGCGTGGCATTTGGCTTCAGATTGAGATTCAAATTCTGGCTCTGCTATTTAGCAGCTGTGTGACCTAAGGCACAATTCTTAACCTCTTTAATCCTCGATTTTTTCATGCATAAAATAGGAAAATGCCACCTACTTCCCAGGATTGCTGAGAGGAATAATGAGATAATATCAAAGCCTGGGAATGTGTCTGGAACTCAACAGGGGTCCAATAAGTACGAGTTTTATCGAATCACCTATCAGTACATTTTCTGCTCTGCCAACCTAAGAGAACTCTGGTGTTGATGAAATACAACAATATGTATGAGAAAAACTCTTTACAGTGAGTTACTTTAAAATATTTATTTTTCTTGTTCTCTTCCTGGGTGATATCTTTCTTTCAACTATGGGAGCTCAGAGTCAATGTGAGATGGGAAAATTCCTTTTTGTCTTTTTGAAAGCAAATTCCAATCTCTTAAAACCAGTTTTCTCTACAGTTCTTACTACAGTTATTTTTGTTAGTACTTTTAGATACATATCATTTTTCACAATTATAAAAGACATACATATTCATTATAGGAGATGTGAAAAATATTACAAAGTATTTCCTTTCAGTTATTTCTAGACAAGAATATTTTTAAGAATTGGGTTTATTATGTATATACAGTTTAATAATAGGATTTTTTGATTAAACATTTGATACTTGGTTGAATGTATCTGTGTCAGTAAATAAAAAGAGGAAGTGTAATTCATTAACAAGAAATAGAGAATGTGAAGATAGTTTCTTACTGGTGTTTATTTTTGTGAACTATAACCTAGCCACAGAAGACAATGTGAAATGTATGTGTACACTTTATACAAACACAAGAAACCAAACACCTGACCAACTATTATACAGGTTTATGAATAAAATATTTTTAGTTCTTTAGAAGCCCACTAGGGCGTGTTCTCTCTGTTGCATCTTTCTACATATTCCAAGAAGTAACCTCTGTCCTCAAGTGTGATCCTCAAAATGCTTAACAATTGTCGTGGTATGTCATCTGTCACTGCCAAAATTGTGTTTTTTCCATCCAGGGTTCCAGAGGCCAGCAGGCAACAGGGCAGGGAAGCTGTCCCCTAACACTTCTCTTGTCTTTTTATTTTGCTTATTGTGTTCTTTCTCATGTCATTAATTTAAATTAATATTTAATTGAGTTAGGCAACCTTTTCTCTTATTGTCTGTTTTTCGTTTGTTTATGTATTTGTTTTGGTATAGCTAGAAAGGCTTTCCACACATCTAGATTATAAAGGAGTAAATTAATGTTTTCTTGTAGTACTTTTATGGTTTTGTTTTCTACATGTAGATCCCTGATGGATTAGTAGTTCATTCTGGTGTATGGTATGAGGTATAAATTCATTTTTCTTCTATTTCAATAATTTCTGATGACACTTTCATTAACACTAACTAGAATGGGTCTATATATCTTCTTTTATGTTCATTGTTATGTTTGTTTAAGCACCAATACCACACTGTTTTTATTATAAGGGGCTTTGTAGTATCACTTAATATCTGATATGACTAGCTTCCCTCATTGCTCTCTCGCCCTTTTTCAAGATTTTTCCAACAAAGTTTTTAAGTTTATCTTCTATGTGAACTTTATAATCAATTTGTCTAGTCCCCCCCAAAAACAAAACAAATACCTGAGATTGGATTAAATTTATATATTAACTCGTGGCACTGCCCACAAAGATAAGATCTCTATTTTTTCTAGGATAGTTTTGTGTCTTTCAAAGATATTTTGAAGTTCATCTCTTATAGCTTTTGTCTATTTTATGCTAATTTTGTTTCTACCAATTTTGTCACTAATATGCTATAGGATTTAATGTATCTTCTACATGATTATAGTTTGTAGATATTAAGGCTATGGATTTTTTGATAACTTTACAGTATACTATTTATTGGTTTGTTTATTGGTTATATGAATTGCATTATTTATTCTCAAGGATTTTCCAGGTATACTGTCATATCATGTACAAATAGAAATAGTTTTATTTCTTTTCCAATTCTCACACCTCTAATATTTTATACAGCAGTAAAGGTAGTCGGTATTCTTCCCTTTTCTTGACTTTAGGAAAATATTTCTAGTGCTTTCCCATTAAATTAGATGCTGGCTTTAGAAGAGATAAAGTTGGCATGCACACACACACACACGCACACACACACACACTTTCAAATCTGTAGACCAATCTTAGATGTATCAATGCAAAAATTTAAAATAAAATATTATCAAATAGAATCCAAAAACATTGAAAAATAATGCACTGTGAACAAGTGGATTTTTCTAGAAATGTAGGAACAGTTCAGAAAAAAAATTCTTATATTTACCATAGTTATGGCTAAAAAGAAATCATATGATAATCTCTCTAGATGCTGGCAGAAAGTCCAACAAAATTTGACCAAAATCCCTGATGGAAAAAATGCTCGATGAAAATAGAAATTTACGAATACCATCTCAACACAATTAATATATCTGTACCTATAATTATATTCATATCTAGGTAGATTTAGATAAACAGAGAAATAAAACTAGTTCTAATGGGAAAATGCCATGGACATTTTCCCACGGCCAAGAATTATTGATAAACATTGTGTTAAAGTATTAGCCAATGCAAGCCAACAAGGGTTATGATGTTATTTAAGCCTGAGCAACTTGGACTTGCAGAAACATGCACAATTATGACTGTTACACCCACAGATTGGTTATGGGTTGGTTGATACCCATTTGAGTAAAAGTAGAATAAGGATGAATTTATAGTGAAACAAAGGGATATTTCTCACACCCATAGATTAGAGTGATGATTCTTGCTGGGATTCAAATCACCCAGGGAGCATATACATCCCTATATATTATACATATTTTATGTCTGGAAATACAGATTTCCAGTCCTGATCACAGAAGTTCCAGATTCAGTAGGTCTAGGGTTTGACCTTGGAAGTTTTGTTCTTTCTTACTGTGTATTTCAGTGTGTAGACATGGTTTTAGGTACTATTATTTTATAAAGCTTTATTTACTTGATTATTTACTCATATGTTTATTTCCCTTCTAGTTTCGGAATGTGTTTAAGTTAGCTTACTGGAACATATAAAGTACAGCAAAATTAATGTAAATTTTAAAAAGGAAAATAAATTAAAATTAAGAAGGTTAAATGTTGGCATAGATGACACTAATATAAAAAAAGCCCACCACAGTGAGTTAGAAACAATAAGGTCATTTGCAGAAGTTGAGACACAAGGCCATTCCTGGGTTGTCATGTGAAGTAAATTATATTACAGTTCCTCTTTCTCCACAACTGGTAGCATTTGCTTGTGCATAAAATCGTTTAAAATAAACACTAAGAGCTGTCTCTAGGTAGAACAGTGGCATATAAATTCATCATATATCTGTAGATGTGCATATGCAAAAGATTGGTGTGAAAGCACAGACACCTTGGTTATTAGACAGTGGCGTGGGGCTTAGATTGTAGGCATAGCACCTTTGATCTTTATATATTTAACATTTTCAGCATGGGTCAGCAGAGTAATCTATTTCATCTCCAGTACCTGTATCTATTAAGGTACATTTATTATCTATACATTACTAATACCATAAAGAATTTAAGAAGGGTTAAACAACAACAAATACACTTATGACAGAACAATTAAAACACAGATAGAAAAGGAAATCAGAAATCATATAAAGTAGGAGAAGTCAGACAAATCTGCCAGATGCAATTTTAACTGCAATGGATTATTACATTTAGATTTTCATTGACTATCCTCTACAGCTATAAAGAAAACACGATAGAGATCACTCTTCTCTGATAAAAAGAAAAATTGTACATTTCTTTATAAGATTTGTTCCCACTATTAAATTCTAAGAAAAATATATCAAATAGAGCCTATCCATGAATAGTATGCAGTCATAATTCCACAGCCTTTACCATCCCCAAACCTAGCTCAGGAGATGGCTTTTATCTCACTAGTTTATAGTTAGTTCTTTAGTTAGCTCTGTACATATGTTTTTTTCTTATCTAGATTAAGGGCTTGAGGATATGTCTGTTCATCTTCCTAATGTTGCACTTTTCTGATACAACAGGCACTAGCAAATGTTCATCAAGTGAATGAATGAATAATCAATGAATAGACAAACAAATAATACTTTGTACAGCCAATTGCATGTCCTAGCTCTCACCCAAATCACTGGGCTTGGGTTATTTAATAGTTTTGCTATTTATTTATTTATTTTTGAGACAGAGTCTTATTCTGTCACCCAGGCTGGAGTGCAGTGGCACAATCTCCACTCACTGCAGCCTGTGCCTCCCAGATTCAAGCAATTCTTGTGCCGCAGCCTCCGGAGTAGCAGGGATTGCACACGTGTGCCACAATGCCCAGCTAATTTTTGTATTTTCAGTAGAGACAGGGTTTCACCATGTTGGACAGGCTGCTCACAAACTCCTGGGCTCAAGTGACCTGCCCTCCTTGGCCTCCCAAAATGCTAGGATTACAGGCATAAGCCACCGAGCCAAGCCAACAGTTTGTTTTTTTTCAACAAATATTTATTGAGCACCTACTGCATGCCAGGTGCTGCTTTTAGTACTTATTAGGTTGGTGCATAAAAAGTAATGGCAGGACCTGCAATTACTTTATAGTTATGGCCAATAAGCAAAAGAGGCAAAAACAATTTTCGTTATAGTTCTTATTTTCTACATTGGGGGAATAAATGATTGAAGTGTGTAATGTGTTAGATGGCAAGAAGTACTTTGAAGAAGAAAAAAAACTTGACAGTGCAGTAAAAAGAGATAAAGAGTCCTGAACTCCATGTAAGTGTGTTGTGTATGTGTGTGTGTATATGTGTGTGTGTGTGTGTGTGTGTGTGTGTGTGTGTGTGTGTGTACAAGAGAGAGATAGAGACTGGGAATATAAATCCAGGAGAAAAGGCATGACTGGGGCATCCTGGCTTCTTATGGTAACTGATGTAAACAGAAATAAAAAGCTTAATGATTTAACCCTAATGGTCTCAAGGCAGGTAATGTTGTGGCTGAGAGTTCTGGGGATAGAAGGAAGTTTAACTTATTTCCAAGAATACACAGTATTATGGGTATTTGCCTCACTTTGTTGCACAGAGAGAGTGGTGGATGTACCCAAATAATCATTCCAATCAACAATGATAGGTATCCAACCTATCATTCCAAGCTGGTGAAATGCATGCATTTTGGGGATTAGGTTAGGGAAAGAGGCTGAGGAGAAGGCTAGGAGGAGGAAGAAATTCTCACACACAATGGGACCTGTTACTGCAGCAGCACTACACCAGAAATAGTTTTCAAGGAAGAACTTGAGAATTAATTTCAAATTGAAGTCTAAGTGCAATTTAGGTAGGCAAAAAGTAATTTCCTGGGTTGGATTTGGGCCAGGGCATTGGACTTAACACCTCTTCTCTTGCAAAAATTGCCAGGGGATCTTTGATAATTATAAGAGAGCATGGCCTTAGATTTACAGCTCCAGCATAGGCTGGTATGTATCTTCAGAGGGCAGTGTCACTTAGCACTCAGAACAGACTCCAGTTGATGAATGATAGCCTAATGCCACTTACTGATTTACATGCCCTCTGTGCTTCCAACAGCACCTGCGCTTTTCCAAGAGTGCTTCTTTGCCTAAGGACTGCCAAGACTTTGCTCTGTCAAATAGCACAAGAACAGATCAATTGATACTAAAGAACTTCTGCAGCTCAGAAACTTAAAAAAAAATGGGTCAAGAGATGCTTGCTGAAGTGATTGTTATTTTTAAGCAGGTAAATATGTCAATACGAGTACTGCAGGAATAATAAAGGTAGTGAACACTGAAGAATCCCAGACTGGGCTTTCATCTCTGCAGCTACCAAACTATGTAAAATCCAGCAAGTCATTTCACCTCACCAAATCTCAGTTTTCTTGTTTCTACGAACCTGAATAAAATCCAAACAGTTTGCCTATTCTAAACGACCACCACCTAATTTACCATCTGGTGGTCTACTCTGACTTTAGAATCCTTTCCTATCTCCCTCTCCCTGTGACCCCAGTCATACTGGCCTTCTTTTTGTTCTGCAAATCTACCAAATTTGCCTGTAGTCAGGGCCTCAGTGGTTGCTCTTCCTACCACACAGAATTCTTCTCCCCCAGAGCATTATATGGCTGGCTTCTTCCCATCATTCAAATATCCTTTCTCAGAGGTGCTATCTCAACATCCAATCAAAGATTGTCCCTTGCCCTTCATTTTTTTTCTCTTTTAGCTTCTCATTTGATTAACATCATAGTATTTATCACTTTCCAAAATTATATTTTTTGTGTCACTGTTTACGTGTTCAATGTTCATCAACAACCCTTCCTCACCATTATAGAATCAGAGTTTCCATGAGCAAAAGAGCCTTGTGAGTCGTCGGCAAAGCCTGAGTCCTGTCCTTTCGCTCTCCTCCCCCGACAGTATGAGCTTCACCACTCGCTCCACCTTCTCCACCAACTACCGGTCCCTGGGCTCTGTCCAGGCGCCCAGCTACGGCGCCCGGCCTGTCAGGAGCACAGCCAGCGTCTATGCGGGCGCCAGGGGTTTGGATTCCCAGATATCCGTGTCCTGCTCCACCAGCTTCAGGGGCAGCATGGGGTCCGGGGGCCTGGCCGCGGGGATGGCCGGGGGTCTGGCAGGAATGTGAGGCATCCAGAACGAGAAGGAGACCATGAAAAGCCTGAACGACCGCCTGGCCCCCTACCTGGACAGAGTGAGAAGCCTGGAGACCAATAACTGGAAGCTGGAGAGCAAAATCTGGGAGCACCTGGAGAAGAAGAGACCCTAGATCAGAGACTAGAGCCATTACTTCAAGACCACTGAGTACCTGAGGGCTCAGATCTTCGCAAATACTGTGGACAATGCCCATGTCGTTCTGCAGATAGACAATGCCCATCTTGCTGCTGATGACTGTAGAGTCAAGTATGAGACAGAACTGGCCATGCACCAGTCTGTGGAGAAAGACATCCATGGGCTCCACAAGGTCATCGATGACACCAATGTCACTTGGCTGCAGGTGGAGACACAGATCGAGGCTCTCAAGGAGGAGCTCTTTCATGAAGAAGAACCACGAATAGGAAATAAAAGGCCCACAAGCTCAGATTGCCAGCTCTGGGTTGACAGTGGAGGTAGATGCCCCCAAATCTCAGGACCTCGCCAAGACCATGGCAGACATCTGGGCCCAATATGACGAGCTGGCTTGGAAGAACTGAGAGGAGCTGGACAAGTAGTGGTCTCAGCAGATTGAGGAGAGCACCACAGTGGTCCCCATGCAGCCCGCCAAGGTCGGAGCTGCTGAGATGATGCTCACTGAGCCGAGATGCACAGTCCAGTCTTCGGAGGTCGACCTGGAATCGATGAGAAATCTGAAGGCTAGCTTGGGGAACAGCCTGAGGGAGGTGGAGGCCTGCTACACCGTGAAGATGGAGCAGCTCGACGGAATCGTGCCACACTTGGAGTCAGAGCTGGCACAGACCTGGGCAGAGGAACAGTGCCAGGCCCAGCAGTACGAGGCCCTGATGAACATCAAGGTCAAGTTGGAGGCTGAGATCACCACCTACTGCTGCCTGCTGAAAGATGGCGAGGACGTCAATCTTGGTGATACCCTGGACAGCAGCAACTCCATGCAAACCATCCAAAAGACCACCACCTGCCAGACAGTGGATGGCAAAGTGGTGTCTGAGACCAAAGATACCAAAGTTCTGAGGCATTACACCAGCAGAAGTAGGATACCCTTTGGGGAGCAGCAGGCCAATAAAAAGTTCAGAGGCAAAAAAAAAAAAAAGTCTAGTGTATATTTTTCACCAGTCTATTCCCAGTATTCAGGGTAGTGCCTAGTGAAGAGCAGATCCTTAATAAATATGGAAGAATGGAAGACAATGGATTCAGTGATTTGCCTGCCATCCCAGCTCCAGCAGTCTGGGGGCCAGTGCACCTTTAGCTAGGATAATTCAGCTCCAGGAATTACCATGACCTGGGATAGTTGTTTTTAGTGACTTTCCCTGGCTGTCCTCATCCCTTGCCTATTCTGGATATAACCTTCATCTCCTGAAGGCACTGTTGTTAGTTAGAGTCAATTACATATAAAGGAAGATTATGGGGTAAGGGTAGCATGAGATGGAATGAATTAAAACATTTCAAACAGTGCCTAGCTCTTCTCCCCCTTTCTCCCTACTTAGCAATGGTGAAATTTGATGTATACATTAAATAAAATATGGAGTAGTTGAGTATGTTTTAATATTATTAATAAAATAAGATTGAAAAATTTAACTATGAAAACTTTCAAAATAATGGATTTCTAATAATTGATTCTCAAATGCCATCTGTTTCTCACTACACGGTAGGAAGGACAGGAATTGATGAAGAATAAGTGAGGTTGAGAATGAGCACAGAACTTAAGGGTGTGACCAGGATGTGAGGTAGGATCCATGAAACCATAAAACCTGTAAGCCAAAAATAAAATTTGAAGACACCCTAACCATTTGAATAAACTTCCTCCTCAGCCAGCGCACTCTTAAAATTTAAGCTGAAAGACTGGTTCAGGCCATGACAGGAAGTGGGGTTTGGCATGCCTCATTATACCTCCCTGGCATTAACACCAACACAGACCTCAAGTCTGATAGAAAGCATTTACAATCTGTGCTCTCCAAAGTTTGTTACCTGAAGCCTTCATCTGCAAAATAAGAACTTTGGTCTCCACAATCCCTTATCTTAACCCAGACATTTTCTTTCTGTTGACCTTAGGTCTTTAGATAAATTGAACCAAGTGTCAACCAGTTAGTTTATAAATTTGCCTATAACCAGAAGCACCCCCAACATCCCACATTGAGCTGTCCCACTTTCTGGACCAAACAAATGTATTTCTTAAATGTATTTGATTAAAGGCTCATGTCACCCTAAAATGTAGAAAACCAAGATGTACCCCAACCAGCTTTGGCACATGTTCTCAGGATCTTCTGAGGGGTGTGTCATGGGCCATGGTCACTCATATTTGGCTCAGAATAGATTTCTTCAAATATTTTACAAAGTTTGACTCTTTTCATCAACAAATCCAAGGCAAGAATGTGGCAGATCATGGTAGTGAAAAGTGTGGCACAGAAAGGTTGGGAATATGGAAGAAGCAGCAGTTCGGTTTTATATGGCTCATATACAGTCATTAGTTTAAAAACAAAAATGATATATTTCCAGTCAAGGCACACACTCTTCATTTTATCAAAGTGCCCTCCACCTTTTCACTGATTTTCATAATTTTGCTATGCCCCAAAGTTCTTTCTAGATTACAACTGCATGGCCCAGGAAAGGCGCAATGGCAAAGAAACAGGAAGTGATTCTTACAGTGGGGAACCCCTGGAAGCTGAGGATGCCAAAGCCGTAAGTAAGGGATGATCAAAATTGGCCAAACAAAACAACCACTATTTGCATTAATACAATTTCTGGAGCACTGATGTATTTTTAAGTAGTTGGCTCTGAATATCTAGATTTACGTCTCTTCTGTCCAAACGTAATGTCTAAAGTTGCCTCCTTCCTCTTAAACAGGTGTTAATATCAGGTAAGTTCTAACAGATTTAATCCAAAGTCACAGGAGACATTTTCAGGCCATAGGAAAGAAGGCACTTAATCTCTGACTGTGCCTAGTTTAGCCCATGGACAACTTCTTCTCAGAAAAGAGAACATTCACTTGACAGTTTTATCAGTCAGAGAACATCTAAGAAACAAAGCTCACCACACCGGGGAATTCAATAGGAGTAATTTAATATGGGTAATCGGTTACTAGATTACAAGAGCTGAAGATCAATTGAGGAAAAATGAGGTAGCACTGACATTAGCAACTGCAGGAAGCTGTGACCTTGAGGACTATGATAGAGGCACGAGGCAGAGAAATTCTAGGCAGACAGGGACAGGTCCCCGACAAAGCCCAACCTTCCAGCTGAAAAGCCTAAAACCTGCAGTTCAAAGCGAGAACTTCTATCCTTATTTGCCTGCTCTGTCTTGATTGGTTCTTTCAACACTTATGAATAGTAAAAACCATGCACTTTTAAAATGTGCTCAATGTGTATTTACATAATAGCCTGTAAGAGTTCCACTGTCAAGTAAATAGTACTGTAGTTGCCTTTAAAAGTCTTTAATTACCTACAGTATTTGCAAAGTATATTGTAATGGATTTACAAGAATAATGTCTTTTTACCAATTGAAAGTCGCTTTTTCCAAAACTACCCATGGCCCTCTCTGCCCCCCATCCTTTGCCTATAAAGACCCCAGACTCAGTTGGTAGAGGGAGAGAAGCAGCTTGACTGGAGATTGGTGACTTGACTTCAGAGGGACAGCTGGACTTCAGAGGAAAGATGGCTTAACTTTGGAGAGATGGCTTGACTACAGGAAAGAACTGGCCAGAGACAGCCAGACTGCAAGGGAAGATTACCTGCCCATCCCATCCCCTCTCTAGCTCCCCACTCCACCAAGAGCCTTTTTCCATCACTTAATAAAATTCTCCACCTTCACCATCCTTCAAGTGTCTGTGCAACCTCATTCTTCTCGGATGCTGGATGAGAGCTTGAGGCCCACCAAGTGCAGGTACCCAAAAAAGGCTGTCACACTGGTCCTTTACCCTTGCCAGCAGAGGGGAGCTGCCCCACACTATGAGGCAAGGGGCCCACTGAGCTGATAATACACTGCTGTCCCTAGATGGCAGAGCTAAGAGAGCACTGTAACATGCCTCTGGGGCTTCAGAGGTCACAGGCATCCCCACCTGGGTACCACCATGGGGCCCACATGGAGCCTGCTCCTGCCGGCACCCAAAGTGGCCAGCCAGATCTCACACTTGCTCACTCACATGCTGTCTCCCACAAGGGATTGAGCATCCCAGGCCGAGTAAACAGGACACCCCAGTCTCAAGTCTGTTGAAAGGATTGAGAAAAATCCTGCATCAACTGGAGGGAGGAAACTGTGTGACTAGAGCCCAGGTGCCTGGACCACAGATAGCTTCTGGAACCATGGAGAACTGTGGGGTGGGCTAGAAGGTGAGACAGAGGTGTGGGGTGCCTTAGCCACTGGTGAATGTATCCTGAGCAGAGAGAAAAGGGAAGAAATCAGACTTATACCTTCTTCCTGCCTTCCAGCCTCCAGTCAGTACTCCCCATGCCCTAAAAGAGCCAGAAACTACTTGGTAAGAGAGACTAGGGCCATAGTTTGTGGGGGTCAGATCCCTGTGATACAGTGGAAGAATAGGAACAGCCTGGGAGAGGGTGGAAACATTGGCTGCAGTTCGCCAAAGCATATTCTGCCCACAATCAACAGCCCCGTCACCCCACCTTGCAGCGGCTCTCTTCTTTGTTTACTTGTTTTCATGTATAAGATGCTCTTCATGGGTGCAACATCAGCATGATATTGCCATCTCACTTTAAAAGTTTCCTTTCCACAGAAGTGAAACCATTCAAGACCATTCTACCTAGATGTGTGGTTTATTTCAATGCCAATTTAAAATTATTTTCATAAATATATATATGTATTTGAAATCAGGGAAGAAAAGGAACAAATTTGAGAAGAGAGTGGAGTGCTAACACAAACCAGAAATCCATTACAACATACTTTGCAAATACTGCAGGTGATTAAAGACTTTTAAGGGCAACTACAGTATTATTTACTTGACAGTGGAACTCTTACAGGCTATTATGTAAATACACGTTGATCACATTTTAAAAGTGCATGCTATTTACTATTCGTAAGTGTTGTTAATATGCATTTCATTTAACCCTAAGCAGCCATTTCAGTCTCTTGTGTGAATTTACATTTATGAATGTTTTTATAAAATGCATATTATTTACCCAATAGGCAGCTCTGCCATAAGAAATGCTAGAGCTGATTGCCAATTTAACTTCGCATGAGTTTCCATGCAATTGTTCCTTAGGTCTGCCTGCATGCTTGGGCATCCATAAATAGTCCTTCCCTTCAGAATCCTGCAAGTCAAGACCCATGAGCTGTTCAAATGAAGGGATTTTCTAGTCTGTTTTGGTGGTTCTGGGGATTTTAGTGTCACATAAAAAGAAGCCAGGATATGTCTCATCTTAGAAAATAAAATAAAGATTTCAGCACTGAAGATGGCAGTCTATAAAGTATATGCGTGTAATCACCTTGTTTACTCTGCGAACTGAAGACCACATCTACAAAATAAAGATGAGCAAGCTCTAGACTAAGATACCTAAAATGTAAATTTTCTTCCTCCCTCCTTCTTCTTCCCCTCCTGCCTCCCTTTCTTCTTTCCCTCCTCCTTTCCTCTCTCTCTCTCTCTTCCTCCCTCCTTCTCATCCCTTCCTTCCTTCCTTGCCTCCTTCATCCCTCCCTCCCTCCCTCCCTCCCTCCCTCCCTTCCTTCCTTCCTGCCTGCCTGCCTGCCTTTCTTCCTTCTTCCATGTCAGGATAGAATCTTTCCTGCCCCAGCCATTTAAATTGAAACACCAATGACCCCAGCACCAAGACACATAGACTATATGCAGAATTTACGAGGAGAATACGGATTCCCTGCCAATGCATATACCATACGCAGAATTTACAAATGGAATTTGTTCTGTGACTTTTGTATCCCTCTGCCAGATCAAAGGCATAAACAGGAATCAGAAAAAAAAAATATTAAAGAGCACAGACTAGTGATAATGTTTCTTTGGAGAGAGTCTCTCTAGGCTGAAAGTCGCCACCCCTTCTTTTGGAGGAGGAGTGGATTGGAGTGCCACTTTCTAACCTAAAGCATAAAGGGAAACACTGAAAGCTTTGAAATGTGTTCATATGGGAGAAAAAGACTTGGTGCTGGCCTTAAGACTAATAAAGCAAACATCGATTAAGGAATTGAGGACTGAGGTCTAATTCTCATCCAGGAAATCTAAGGGCGGGAGAAAGGCTACTAAGCTGCTTTGGTGGTAGATCCAGAAGACTTTTGCTCTGCTGAGATGTCCTGCAGTCCTAAAGAGAGTAGGTGTCAGGTTGTTTTGGGTCCTACTTGAGAGTCTGGAGGTATAAATCTGGATGCCTAGGAGCCAAAGGAGGACACAAAAGCAGCCAGCAGACTACAGCTGTATCTGGCCAAGGTTAAGGACAAGAGAGATCTCTAGTAGAGACAGCCATTGAGGAGGCCATGGCTGCATCTCATGCAAGAGTCAACCTTAATCATTCCAGGTCTAGGGAGCTAGAAGTCACCCTGCTGAGTAAAAACTGATCCTCTCACCTCTCTTCCCTTTCCTCATTATTCTATTTATTTATTTATCTTTTTTGACACTAGCAGAAAGTCAATAGTAGCTAGTGATATGGAGAGGATATGAGAGCAAAAAATGTTAAATAGAAGTTTAAGTTATTTGTGATAGATTGTAAAAGCCATATGAAATTGCCATTCTTATAAGTCAACAATTTATAAATATTAGAAATTTTATATGGTCCAGTCTAATAGTCACAATGTATAGCAATGTACAGGCTGATCGACACGAGGAAGAGTAGAAAAGAAAAAGAAATAAGTGAAATTTGGCAGACACTGTCGATTTGTTGATTGGTAACCCAATACTTTCGCAGTATTTCTTTACCTCCTCTCTCCTACAGTTCCTACAGAGTTTGGAAAATAAATTTTATCTTTCCAGCCATTGTCAAGTATAGTCATATGACATTTTCCTGACATATACAGCATAAGCTGGGATCTGTAGATGAACATTTGCTCTCATAATGAAAGGGGTGGATGAGGCTAGCACCATGCTGTCCCTTCTCTCTTCTTCTTGTCTTAGGTATGATGCTGTAGCTGTCAACTGGCTAAAAGGTTAAACATGCTGATCAGAAGGATAGGAAGAAGCTGGGTCCATGATCACATCACAGAGCCATCACACCAGTGCTGGGCTTCCTACCTCCAGACTTTTATTATGTGAAGAAAAAAAAAAAAAAACCACCTTGCATTTACTTAAGCCATGACTAGCTGGGGTTTATGTAACTTTCAGCTGAAAATAAAATGTTCTAATTTATACGGTAGGAAATATGAACATGTATGTGTACATCTACTGTCTCAAGGAATTATCACAGCCTGGATAGTAAGAGTTTCAGTTACAAAATTCTATTAATGAGAGGAAAACTGCTGATTTTATTAGAATCAGTCTTTGTTAGAATCTTCATTAAATACATTAACAGTCTTTATTAGAATCTTCATTAAGTACATTACATTTCTCTGCTTAGTGACTATAGAAAGCACTATTTGGCTTTTAAAAAATGATACTTCAGCCATAACAATGCCAAACATTTGTCCTTCTGAAGATTACTATTAGGTTATATCTTATGAAGTAGCTGCTAGCCACCTGGTTTCAACCAATATAGATGACAATTTAGTATGGTTCAACATACTATATAGGACTGTTGCTACAGGAGTAATAACTTTCCGAGATTTGGCAGCAGCTGTCTGGATCCTGGAACATACTCTGGGAATAACATTTTAACATTTTATTTATTTATTAAATAAAGTAAAATTTGAAGTCAGCTTGTTTTTCTGAAATTTTCTTCTTTTATATGAAAGGAGAGTTTGGCAAAACATTAATTATGGTTTGGGATCCCATAGCAGTCAATATAGTGTACAATAACATTTACAACGCAAATCCTCAATTCATTATTAATTTAAATCTGATCATTGGAAATGGGTTTGTGTGTCTAAATACACACACACAGAGATATATATATATATCACATACATCTTATAGAGAATCTTTTTAGAACAAGTTAATTTTCAGGCATAATTAGAATTTGTTCAAAAACAAGAATTTATAAACCAAATTTTCTAAGCCTATTAAATGCCAGCAATAGTGACAATATCACCATAAGACATTTAGTAGCATTTTAGTGGTTATCTATTAATTTGTATTAGAATACAATAAATATTATTCAAGTGTTTTTTGACAATACACTCAGTTTTAAAAGCTGTCTGGACTGTCAAAAATAATATATTTTATGTGAGTTCTATATAAATTTTCATTGAATTCAAACTTTTAAATAAATCTTCCAATATCTAATGCATCATATTATCAAAGCACAAAAAACCATTATATGATTATAAGAAGAACCTCAGAACTCACTGTCTTCAAATTTAATGGACTCCCAATGCTTTTTCCCCCTGCAAAGACTGTTTTTAAGACATTTCACAGTATTTTATACATTATAAATGGATTCCATTCTTGGCTAAGTAATTCACCTAATGGACAATGGATACAAAAAAGCTGTAACTCCAGGGACATTAAATTGGTTCTTAACTCTGAAAATTACAGCTTTTACAAAAAGAAGAAAATACTAAAAACATGTCTAATGCAACACTGCATCTAATTTTCCACTACCTCCAGATTGTGTCTAAAAGCTCCTAAACTTCTTAATGACACAATATGTTAAAATTGCGTTCCTTTATATTTAGATCTCAGAAAGATCTCACCCATTTTATAACCCTAAGGAGGGCTTACGAGCAAGGAGAGCTTGTGTGTGTGTGTGTGTGTGTGTGTGTGTGTGTGTGTGTGTGTGTGTGTGTGTGTTGGGAGGCAGAGGGAGGAACAAGTGGAAGGTGCTACTTCTATCCCAAGAGACTGTGAATTCTCATACTGAGGTAGGAAACTAACACCCTGTGTGGCATCCTTTTTCACTCACCAAGGTGATTACAAATCCACATTTCCATTTTAAGCACTGATCAATGGTATTTCAGTAAGGGAACAGAAGAGGAACAGAAAAAATTGCTTTCAAGACATACCTAGTATGTCTTAAGCCTTAAGACCAGCTTTTAATTTGATAACACCATTATTCAGATCTGTTTCCATTCCAAGAACATGAGCAATTCTCCCTGAAGCCAAACAATACATTCAAGCAGTCAGAGTAGAAAAATTATTCCACTGAACTGTAAATACAAAATGCTTCACATTTTGTCAATTCACGTGTGACTATAATAAAATACGACCAGTGTCTGAATGCAAACAGTCCGTGAATTGGCACAGATTCTAATAATGCTTACCTTGTAGTTAGTTATTTTATGAGCTATTCTAATTTCAAAGACGACTGTTCCCCACTCCCCTTCACCTCTCCCTTCTCCTAAAGAAATAAGTGGTTCAGAATACTATCACTGTAACATAAGTCCCTCCATCTAATCCTTTTATCTTTTCCTCTACCTTACTTTGAGATTAGTAACTTTCTTCCTCCAAGTAATTATTTTCTTGAGATTTCTCCCACATCTTTGCAAATAGCTAACATAAGAACAGCATGCAGAGATGCCCAGCTGATCACTTGGGTGTTTTACTTTACATCGGTTATTTGTGTTTGAGAAAATAATATTTCATTCTAGTTTTTACTCACTCCCTTTTAAACTACTGATAAATCTATGAGAAAGTCTGTACATCTTTCAGAGAATCTGTGTTTCTTTTAAATCAGCACCCTTTGACCACTTAAGTCAATAAAAACTTCTCTTTTCCTAACAACTTTTATTATTCTAAATTGACTTATTATAACAGAAACTTACCTAGACTGGGCATTTTGGCTGTGTGGATTTGAGCACTTCATCTTTCTTGTAATACATTGATAATGTGCAATTTTTTATGCTAAAGAAAAAAATACATTGCCAGCTTTCATTCCCAACTTCTCTCTTAATTTGCACCTATTCTTTCCTTAAAGGCTGCATGTTACCCTCTAGTCCTCAAGGAGAGCACTTGATTTTCTTAAGAAATTACATATTTCTGTTAGAAGCTTAGTTACCCTGTTCCTCCCTTGATTGGGTCTGTGAGATTTATCACAAGTGAATTTTTCCATCTTGTTCCTTAAAACTTCTTGGATACGTTTCATCATCAATGGCACACACTGCACCTCCGTATTATGCGAGGTAACTGCAGTAAACATTTCCCATCATTTTTACAAACATTATTTATGTGAAAATAGGCCTTACTTTCTCCACATTCTCATGCCCTTTGTCCCCTCCCTGCATTACCTATTATCTGTCATTTCCCAGAATTCTCTTGAATCTAAACATCTGAAATAATTTCACCATCTATCACCACCATCCAACATTTTCACAAAAATCCTGTGAATCCTAACTCCTAAATATCTCTAGAATCTGCTCCAAGTTTTCCCTCTTCCCTATAATTTTATGCACCCATAATGATAACTAATATCGATTACAAAGTTATAGTGCATTAATGTTTCATTATACTTTATTTTATTGTATCAAGTCATTCTTACAGTAGCTACTGGCACTCCTCTACTCTATAGCTAGCTAATTGTTTGAGGTCCCCAAATGAAGGCAGTAATTAACGTTTGAACCTAAGCAGACTGATTTCAGAGCCCATGCAACACAGTGTTCCAGCTTAGACTATTCCAAGATGCTCCAAATTGCGCTTCCAAGCTCTAGTTTCAGCTTCATCCCTTTTCTCCTCCACAGAGCCACTGAGCTGACTTTCTGAAACATGATTCTGAAAAATCATCCGTCTGCTAAAAAAAACTTCAGCAGCTTCCTGTTCTCTACAGGGCACTGCCCACTCTTCTCAGTGAGCATAAAAAGCCTTCTGCAGTCACACCTAACCTCTCCCACATGTTCTACCCCAACAACACCTGCTGCTCCAGCTACTGAAAGATCACCATTCCTTGGAGACATGCCCTTGCATGTCTTTCTGCCCAGAGTCACGCTCTGCCTGCAGCACTTTTCTCTGAACTCACTGCCTGGAGTGCTTCTGCTCAGCATGTGCACTGCTTGTGCACACCTGGTCATGAGCATCGCCTCTTTGATGAAGACTTCCTGAAATGATTTTGCACAAATCACTCTTCCTTCCACTGGGTTGCCTGAGACTTCTGTTCACAACTCTATTAGCGCACATAGATCTCTCTCCCTGATGGTGAACATGTCAAGGAACAGCTTTAAGGTCTTTAAGATCTTTTCTGTCTCTCCAGTGCTTCCTATATAATGTGATTAGTTAATAAATGTTCATCAAATAATGACCAAATCCTTCTCCCCTACCCCTTACCTTTCTAATATTATTTTTTCCTTGAATAAAAATCATAGGCTTAAAGATAATACCCAGGGATCTCTAATAAAAATATTAACTTTTAGCCAGACAGAATTTACACCTTGAGGGATATTTCATAAATTCTTTCCTTGAGTCACTCTTGGTTCCTCTCACTGAGATGTCTGATAATCTCTCAGTTACCAACCCTGCAGCATGGTGATCTCAAAGTGTGCTCTGGGAACCACTGGGGCCCCTGATACCTGGAGGTCTGTGAAGTCACAACTATTTTTGTGGTGATACTAGAAACTTATTTGCCTTTGCACTCTTGTTCTCTCATGAGTGTACAACGGAATTGTCTAAAAGGCTACCTGACGTGTTGATATTCTCAATCTGTTGGCTAATGGAATGTGTGCTTGTACATGCTTATGTTTTAGAAGTTTCTCAGTTTTATTTCCAATACAGTAAATATTAATAGTAGCTATATTCCACATAAAGAAAAGCTCTTTGGGTACTTCAAAATAATTTAATAATATAATAGGGTCCTAAGACCAAAAGTTGAAGAACCACGTCTCCAGTAGTATGCTGGAGAAAATTCTGGCGTGCTAAAAATGACATACAGAGTAGAATCACAATTTCAAAGTTTTCATGTGTATTTTTATTGTATATTATCCATCTTGCAATGCATCCTGAAATTTTTATTTTATCATATTTGAAGAATCTTGTCCAAAATCTACTTTCTGCAAAGCAATGTTGATCGTGACCCAGAATGGTGTGCTTTTATAGGGGATTATAAACTGCTTGATGGTTAGTTCCAGTATCTACCCAGTTATCAAAGTTAAACTGACTTCTCTACAAATATAAGATTTGTGCATTTTAAAAAGTAAGGAAGCACATAAATTTTCTTTCTTCAAGCTCCTAGAGAACTCAGTAATAGTGTCCCATAGTTTTCTTTTATTTATTATACTGATTTCTGAATCAGTCTCTGAAATATTTAATCTGTTTTTTAATGCAACAGGAAAAATTTATAATTCCTAAAGTTTTTTTTCATTTAGTCTAAATCTATAAACCTTTTTCAAGGTTATACCCTTTTCAAACAGCTCCCTTGCATTTTATAATTATGTACATTTTAAAATGAATTATCCTGTCTTTGTGTTCTTATATTTTCTTAAATGTAGTAACAAGAATATGTGAGAAAAAGTCTATTCTAGGATAAGCCTTTATGCCTTCTAATAATCCAGATTTAACATTTATGATTTTTCTTATGTAATTTCTTCTTTCACTAAGGCATACACAAAAAGAAGTGCTAAGAAATTTCTACTTATTTTGACTTCCTAAAAATATCATGCATATATTCATCTTGGCTAATCTTTCTGTATGAGGTTTCAAATAGATTGTGTTATAACATTTTCACTCGAATAAAAATCCTTTATGAGTTTTTACTGAGATATTAAACTTACATGGGACTTCAAATGCTTATGAGGGAGTGTTTGTTTCTTCTCAAGGTGATGCACTATAAAACAGCCTACCTCAAGAGATGATGTGATGAAATTCAACAAAAATAATAAATAATTAGGAAACTTAAACGTCTAATATCTACTGGAATCTCACGGAGCCTTCAAAAAACTGCATTGATTCCAGCAAAAAAGTAACAAAATGAATTTCCTCCCACCATTATCACTCTCACAAACACATCTAACTTTTGAAGATGTAGCTGGATAAGGTAGAAAAAAAAATCTAAAAATCTGATCAAGAAACCACATTGAGATAAGTTTTGTCAAGTTGGAAGCTTCCAGGATTACAGGTAATTCTCGAGCTCATTGCCATGATAGACTCTTTCACACGTAGCTGCCCTTTAGGGCTCTGCAGGACCCCACATAGACACCCTGTTGTTTCTCACATTTTCTTGTAATTTGAAGAGATAAATGGTGCCAGCTGGCTCCTGTTTGACTCAAGGCAACGTGATATTCAGCTCCTCAAAAACTTGGTACACACCTTAGAAAACTTGCCAGAAAGAATGAAGAGCAAGGGGTGTGTGTATTCAACTGGGGAGAGAAAAAGTCTAGAGGAAGAAATACCTGAATCAAGTCGCTGGAGTAGCATTCTTTGGGAATTTAATATGCAAATAAGCAGTAATGCTTATAAATCACTGGGGAACCATACAGGGTTGGACTAAAGCTCAATACACAAATATGAAAAAACAAGTATCTAACATATTTGGAAAAAAATTTACATCAATTTTACTTGGTTAAATCACTCTCATTTTCTCAGTTGGATAGATCCATTGGGGAAAGAAGGTGGCAGAGTGCTATAATTAAAATAAATCTTTAAATGGCTTTTCCTGTAGTAAAATTTATGTTGAAATAAATGAGAATATGTGCAGTTGAATGCCAACAAATAAATAAATGACACTTTTTGAGTGTTTAATGTGTGCCAAGCATTCTTCCAGGGGATTCACATGGAGTAACTAATTTAAATCTCACAAATACTCAATGCTATGGGTAACTATCATTACCTCCATTTCATAAATGAAATGAAGAAACTGAGGCAGAGAGAGTTTTAGTCCTTTTCCAGAGAGCACATGTAACCAGTGGTAGTGCTGGAATTTGAACTCAGGAAGTCTTGCTCCAGGGATCATACCCTTGCTCACTTCCTATTGCCTTGAGACCATGTGTAATGCCAAGGTGAAATTGCTTTGCCACTCTCTCATGACGTGTTTTATATTCTGTAATTGTATATGTTCCAATACTTACTACTTGCAGGTATTCTTTGTTGTTCTCATTTTCACCACTCTGATCCTCTTCCTCCCTGTCTTGAACATATATCAAGAGACCAAGCCTTGTAACAAATTCCACAAGAAATTCAAAGACTAACTCACACATAGCTGGTGGCTAGGAAAACATTTTTTAGTGATTAGATCATAAACTAGTCATCCGTACCATAAAACAAGTTTGCCATCATGTCCTCGTTCATGTGGTAGTTGGTAGTTTTTTTAATGAATACTTAAAAGTAAAGCTGACTTGTTTTCTAATTATAAAAGTATTGCATGCTTACTGTAAAACTCATAGAAAACACTGAAGTGGAAGGAAAAATTCCTAACCTGAAAAATCAGCCACTATTAGCATTTGGTCTGTCTCCACAAAGAAACTTCTAAGAATCAGGACTGTTCAACAGCAGGATTAGGAGTGAGCTTGATATTACTGGAAGCAGACCCCTGGAAGAGAGGGAGACGACTTAGCTCAATTGGTAGGTTACATAATGTCAGTGGAGTACTCTGTGACATTGGATCTTTGGGGGAAAAAATGTCCTGATTTGTAGTGTTGGCCAATTTCCATGGTGTAAATACTCCCCCCGTGGCCAATACCAAGCTATCAACATGCCACTGAATGTGGAGCTGGGATAGGTGAACACTTCAGCTCTTGCAATCTAGTACCAAACCAGACCCAGTACAGCACTGATAGTGTTCTCTAAACTTCTTTTTACCTCTAACAGTCTTGCATTCTTTTAGCCAAAATGTTATTTTCCCTTCTTTGTTACGAAGTTATTTTTCTGCTTCCCTTGCCAGAACCCAGCATTGGCCTCCCAAACTGGTTCACAAACATACTTGGCCCTCTTTCTATTCATCCTTTACAAGAAAACTGGAGAATCTTTTAAAAACACAAATCTGAACGTGCCCTTTTCCCTGCTTGAACAAATTCAATGGCTTCTGCGGTAGGCTGAATACCAGCCCCCCCATTATGTCCATGTCCTAATCTTCAGAAACAAAATGCTACCTTATATGGCAAAAGAGACTTTGCAATTGTGATTAATTAGGAACTTTGGATGGGTAGATTATCACGTATCATCTGGATGGGCCTGATAGACTCACAATGGTCCTTATAAAAAAGAGACAGGCGAGTTCAGGGTCAAAGCAGAAGGTGCTGTGATGACAGAATCAGAGATTGGGATGACGCACTTTGAAGACAGAGAATGAGGCGCAAGTCAAAAGATACAGGTGGCCACTAGAAGCCGAAAAAGTAAGGAAACAGGTCCTCTCCTCAGTGCCTTGAGAAGAACCAGCTTTGCCAACACTTTGATATTAACCCAGTGAAACTGATCTTAGACTTCTGACTTCCAGAACTATAATCAGAGAATATATTCGTGTTGTTTTAAGCCACTAAGTTTGTGCTAATTTTTTATAGCAGCAATAGGAAACTAATACAGTATCCCTTTCTATAAAGTAAAGACAAAGCCCCTTCCAATAGCCTTTGTCTCCTATATGGCCTCACCTGTACCTATTCTGTCAACTCATAGCACTTGTTCTCTTGTTTTTTTCCACTCCATTCCCACTGGTTTTCTTTCAGTCCACTATATTTTCCGTGCCTTGGCTGCAACAGTGCATTTTCCTATGCTGTTACTTCTGCCTGGAATGCTCTTCTCTCTGATTTTTTTTCTAGTTAATAGTTATTTCCTAATTATATGTCAATTTAAGCATAACTTACATAGAAAGGAATACACACACACACACACATATGCATACACACTCATATATTTATGTATGTATGAATACTAACATACATATGTATATATTGTGTATATATGCATATATTTATTATATAAATACAATAAACATAAATTTATAAATAAATGCATGCATATACAGTATATACACATATATGTATATGTATATATATATGACACACATAGAAGAGTGTCTCTCTTCTTCCTTGAATTTATAGCAATTGAAATTTTTACATGTATTTGTATGATTTTTAATTGCCTTTCTCCAGCACTGAGTAGCGTCTATGCTAGTTTTAACTTACTTGTGTATCCCAGGGGCCTGACACATATGAGGTATTAAATAAATATTTGATATGTGATTTAATACTTCCCAGCTCATTCCTCTCTGTGTGTTCAATACACTCTTTGTTCTATAGTCATGCATCCAACCAACATTTACCAAGAGTCAACTTTACACAAAGTTCTGATCTTATACATTCATGCAATTTCTAATAAAAAAGACATAGTAATAACAGCTAATCTCTATTGAGAATTTACTGTATCAAGCACTGTAATAAATATTTTAAGTATAGAAGCTTATCTTACCCTCATGAGTATAATTAAATTTTCAGATACGAAAAAATAGGCCCTAAAATATTTATGTAATTTTCAGTAGACCACATGATGAGAACTAGATTTGAGTGTGTAGATTTGACTGGCAAAACTTTCATTTCTTAGCACAATATTATTGTCCTTTTGAGGTTCCATACTTGTTTTTAAGAATGAATTACATATCTGTGTGTATTATGTATTAGCCCATTTTTGTTCTGTTTTTGCTTTTTTTTTCACTCTGTATTCTTTTTTTAAGAACAATCCATATTGCTGGAATACATTGGTTCTAACTGTTGCCGTGTTTTATTCAACAATATTTATTTATTACAATCTTACAACATCAGAAAGGCCTAATTCTTCTCTAATAGCCATTCCTTCTTCTTCCTTTAATAGTGATGGGCAGCTGAGCACATGGCCATTTAGTTAGGAATTTCACTTCCCAGCATCTGTTGAAGCTAGGTGTGGCCATGTGACTTACGTTCTGAATAATGAGATACGAGTGTTAGACAGGTGTCAGACTTCTAGGAATACTCTTAAATATAAGTGGTATGCCCTCCACTTTTTCTTTCCCCTCCTCCCACCAGCTGCAGCCAGAGCAATCATTTTAGACTAGGAGGCAGAGTAAGTGCTAAGTTGGCAGAGAACCAGAAGAGAGGGAATGTTAGCCACAGAAACCATGCAGCTGCCATATTAGCCTTGGACTTCCGACACTCAGATCTCTGTTACATGGAGATCTATACATCTCTGTCTTGTTTAAGTCACCGTAATTCCGGCTTTTCTTAGAGCAGTCGCACTGTATTCAAATCAAGATATTTATCCATTCCTCTGGTGAAAGACACTGAGTTTCCTCTAACTCTCTCCACCACACTAACAGTGCTTAAATAATATCTACACATTCCCTTTGTGGAGCTGTATGAGATGCCATCTAAGCTAGGGACTTGAGAGTAGGAGTTATGGGTCATAGCTTATAAGAATATTTAATTTGACCAAAAACTGCTAGACTGCTTTGCAGAAAGAGATTTTGTTCTTATTCGTTAGTGTATGCATCCTCCCCCTGAAATGTTCCTTAAACTCAACTGTTTTTGTTTTTGTTTTTGTTTGAGACAGAGTCTCACTTTGTTGCCCAGGCTGGAGTGCGGTGGTACGATCTTGGCTCACTGCAACCTCCACCTTCTGGGTTCAAGTGATTCTTCTACCTCAGCCTCCTGAGTAGCTGGGATTGCAGGTGCCCACCACCACACCCGGCTAATTTTTGTATTTTTAGTAGACATGGGGTTTCAACATGTTGACCAGGCTGGTCTCAAACTTCTGACCTCAAGTGATCTGCCTGCCTTGGCCTTCCAAAGTGCTGAGATTTGTGAGCCACCGCGCCCAACCTAAACTCTACTCTTATAATGTACAGCTTTAGTGATTCTAATCCTAACTTGGTTTAAATATAAGTTATTTCAAGGGGTAACAAAAGAAGATGGAGTAAAATTAGTGGAAACACAAGGAGAAGTGAAAATTTTCCAAACTCATTAGATCAGAAGTGAAATATTCTGCAGTAGCTTGGACTTCAGGTTTGCGTCTTATAATGAAAGAATATATACTATGCTATTTATGGATAACAACAGATTAATTCTATAATTCTTTATAGTTTAATCACTTGACTTCATGCTGAGAGGCTAATACGTCTTTGATAGTCTTGGATTATTAAAAAATAATGCTCAATCTCTACCACAAAGACTTAACTCTAGGAAGAAGCATCATGGCCTGATGATCTGTGACCTTGGGGTCACACTGACTTGGGGTCTTGCCTTTGCCACCATGTGGATGCAGGAACCTATAAAAGTCCCTCACCATCATTAGTCTTTGTTTCTCTCCTCATCCATAAGAGACAGACCCAAAAGGTCTCTAATTATATTTGCATGCATGCTTCACATGAAAAAAAAAACAAAATGACATAAGTGTTCACCAAATTCCAAATGCTGTGATAAGTGTTGCCTACACAAGATTAATGTGATGTAGCCTCTCCCCTAAATGGGCTTATCATCTAGGGATTAATGTAATCAAATGAACATATAATTCAATACGGCACTGTGACAGATGCCTCTTGGGCGCTTCTTAAATTCCTCTCAGCCTCACCTCTGATTCTAGGCAGGGCAAATGGTTCTGTATGAACCTATTAGTAAACTTACACACTGTAGATTGTGTAGACTATTGTGTCTCATGTTACTGTACACCACCTATTATCCACTGCAGAGAAACCACCAACCAGTCAGGTGGGTGGGATAACTCACTGTCTAGAGTCATTATATATAATATCATCTTAAAGTACGGGACCTATTTTATGCAAAGAAAGTGAGATATTGGACACATGATCAGAGGTCCACTAGTCCTGCTCTAGATTACGTTATCAGAAACAGCAAACCTATAATAAAACAACGACTAAGCTTCTGACTTGAGGGAAATAGCCTGCAGTATTTTCTCTGTCTTCCAGATGCCACGCAGCACCAGGTTAATGGCCAAATCCAGCACTCTGGTTTCATAGCTAGACTACATGAATCCAGAAATCAAGAGGTGGATGTTGCCTATCTCACCACTGCTCTCAGTGATCCACTAAGGAATCAGTGTTTCCTGTTCCCAAACCTTAGGACCTTTTCAATTTGCCACCATAGGTCCCAGGGAAGGAATGTTTCCATCAGCAGACACAGTAAGGATTCCACTGAACCTGAAATGGCAGCTCCCACCTGGTCATTTCAAGCAACTCATGCTGGTAGATCAGCTACCAAAAGCAAAAGAACAACAACAATGACAACAAAAGGAGTTACTCTGGGATGTATAATATTTGACAAAGAGTATCACGAGGACCTGGAGTTGCTGCTACGAAACCGGGCTGAGAGAAGCATGTCTGCAACTCTTCACTGGGGTGTTTTCTTTCTTTTACCCCTATGTCTCCTGGTAGCAATCAACAAAGATTGTAGCAAACATAGCCAAACAATGGCAAGGAACCAAAAAACTCGAGCTCTTTAGATATGAAGGCTGGGCTTACCCCGTCAAACAACTGAGACCAGATGAAGTGACGGAATGTGGAATGGATAGTTGAGAAGGAAGATTGTTGATGGGCCTTGGGACCATTTTCACCAAGATAGGCCTTGGGGCCATTTACAGCTGTGGCAACTGAAACTTGTTTCACTAATCCTTGTGTTAAGTATTTGTAGAGATTGAAACAGGCTAGCACCTTGACCACTCACAGACAGATTCGACTTCATGTAGGCATAAGTGGGTATGAGCAGTGTAAGGAGGGTCCTTTTTACTCAGACTCTTTACCTTAGCTCACCTCGGCTTCCAGCCATGGTTTCATCAGAGTGTTTCATATGAATCTCAACTCTATGCAATGGCAGCATCTTGCTGTGTCATGGTAAGTAGACATGTGCAGCATTTATTAGGAAGAGGAGCTAATCTACAGATATGCCTCAAATAATGGGGGTCCAGGAGCCAATGCATATCTGCTTTTCTTTTTCAAACTTTAAGTGGATAATCTGAAAGACATCCTGTAACTTAGAAGATAGAGGGAAAATTGAGCCCCAAGTGCTCACTGTGGTGATTAATTTGATTACAAGTGCTTACCAGCTTTTCCTTTTTCCTGTCTCACTCTTCTCACCCCTCACTCCAACTTCCTGGGATTATCTCCAGCACTCAAGTTCTTGCCTGCTTCTGGAGGGAACTCAAATTAAGTAATGAAAGCATATATAATGATGGGTGCTGATAGATATTATTGCTATCTTGGTCATTGTTTATTGCCTATATGCCCCTACTAGAATGAAAGTTTCCTATAAGCATATTTAATGGCTGTTTTCCTAGTGCCTAGTATAGTATCTGCACATAGAAGTTGCCTAAAACATAGTTGTTGGATGAATGAATGAATTCTTAATTTGGAGATAACATCCTAGGGAAAGAAATACCTTAATAGCACACTGGGCAGATAAAGCTTCAGACAGCCTGGCGTGAAAAAGATGCCATGTGTCTTGATCCTCCTAGATGTGGCCAAGAGAGTAGCTAGAGCCAGAGCATATGGACCCCAAGGGACTAGAGGGATAAGGTCAAGGGGTTGCTCAGACATGAACTCTATGGAAAGATCACTGAAGGCCATATGATACCAACAGATACCTCAGGGAACACCTGTGTGCACTGGACCATCTGCCCCTATGCTTGGTAAAAACTCAGTACTCAGAATTTAGATCCCAATCCACCAGAATTAGTTGATTCCCTTGGAGGAAAAAAAAAAAAAAAAAAAAAAAAAAACTTGATCTTTCTTTTGTCTCACTTTTCTCATCTGTTAAATTGGAAAGTGAGGAAGATTGGACAAAGATTAGATTCACTTTTACAAAGGTGTCTTCAAGAAGATAAGTAATATGCAAGGGTTTGTTAAGTAAAATAAAATATACCTCATACACCCGAGCTGTGGACTGGTACTTGGCCCATTCTGTGAATAATACGATTTTTACCAAAAGGTCACCTAAATTTAATTAGGCACTGTAAATATAAGACCAGTTTGAATAACTCTTACTTTGTTGTTTCATTCATTGAGGAAAATAATTATTACAGTTAGAAAGTTTGCAAACTTGTAACTGAGCTGTTAATCAAATTACCTGACTGGTTTTTTACATTGTTTCAAAACTACTAGCATTTAAGAAAAAAAGCAGTACTTTTGGTAAGTTTGCACTGGGAAATTCACTGGTTCACCCTTAACCTCCTCAGCATGTTTCTTCTCCTTCTAGGACTTAACATCTCCAAGTCATCATTCGAGGTGTTAATGCTGGAAGCTACAGAGAAGATGACAGGTTCCTCATTAATGTGATCATGAGACACGTCTCTGTACCACATACCTGCAGCACCACACAAAGCTCCAGTAGCAAATGGGTTCTGATCACGCAGCAATAGGCTGGCTGCTTCTAACCGTGCCTTGTTGGAAGGACAAAGTCATGCTGGGAGATAATTTTTATGTCATTAGTGGCCTAGGTTACAAGTCAGATGGGGGTGAGCAAACAGATCTTTTTAGGACTGTGTGATTACCTCTCACCTAAAGACACCTTTAAAAAAAAAACAATAAATAGGATTTGCCTCTCTCCAATATTTCCCCAAGACCACTTAGCGCTTATAAAAAAGCTTCTGTAGAAAACTTTCTGTAATAAAGGGTGTAAAAAGATCTAATTTTAATGAAAATAGACAAATGTTGTCTCTCTCTACCTGGAAGCCTTACCTCCCTTGAGCTCCACTTCAAGGCCCACAATAATCTGCCATTATCCTCTGCATTGAGTCAAATTTCTTTCTCTGATTTCTAAATGCTACCATCAATATTCTAACTAATGGAATAAATTAACATTTTTCCCTCATAAAAAATCTTTTATATACCCAGGCCCTGTGCACCTTTCCAGCCTCATCTCTCACCAACCCTGCCTGTGACCATTCCTCTTCCCAGATCTCTGACAATTCTAACCTGCTTGAGGCTTGTGTGAACTTGCCATGGGATGATGCTTCTCACTTCTGTGTCTTTGCACATAGTGCTCCCTCTTCTTGGAATGTTCTTCCCTCCTCTCCCCGCATCTGCTATGCTGAGTTCATTCCTGTTTGTCACTTGGACTCAGGGAAAAAGTTCAGTTAGGAAAAGCCTCGCAACTCCTGACCTGAATTCTGAAGGGTGAGTCTCTGTGTTCAGTTCTCTCACCTGCCAGATAACGTATTAACTATCTCTCAGAATAAGAAGGTGAATTCTGCCCCGAGCAGAACATGTCCTTTTGGTAATTGTTTAAGGACAAATGCAATTGTGCAAATCAAAGAAGAGTTGAAAGCCAGACAAACATTAGCCTGAAACTAGCCCTTTGACACACATTCTAAATGCCTGAACAATTATTTTCTTTTCTGCTGGCTCTTAAATAAACACATCACCAAGAATGACATTCAGCAGATGTGCACTGCTATTGAACTACTCCATAGCAGTTGGTAAAGAGCTGCTGTCCTGACCCGGAGGGTCACTGACCACCAAACCTTAGCTGCCTTGGTACCTCACTTTGGATACTTCCAAGAGCTCTTCTGCAGCCAAAGGGTTAAAGCCTGGCCTAGTAGGGGGCCTTCCAAAAACCAGCCCCAGAGCTCCTGCAGGTGTCCATTATAATTGGTTGGTGCCACACTAGTTATTAAAATACTTTAAATATAACTTCCTACAGATCACCAAATTTATGCAAGTTTTGAAGGAGCAATTGCAAAGATTCTCTGCTGACAAGTACAATAATAACACACAATGAGATAAGCCTGAATGTGACTGAAAATCAAATTTGCAGTTAGGAAAATATTCAATATAGCATCATGTCATGAGCCAAAGGAATCTAAGAGTCATGTTCAAACTACCAAGGAAAGGCAGCAAGGATTGAGGAAATGAGTGTTTTAAATTTCACATCTGAAACGGTTTAATTGAAATTATCAAATAGGATAAATACCTTTCATCATCAGACACTTTTATTTACTGCAGCAGTTCACAAGCGTAGGTGCTGAAGCACATTTTGGTTTAGTATTTAATAACTTGTCAAATGCATATTGAGCTTTTGTGAATTCAGATGCATCTGGCATGTGCAGGAGGCAATAATTACAGAAAATTTACAATTGGGGCAGTCCCATCATGTGACTCATTGGCATAATTAAGGATAGTGATGAAAAATAGAAGAGGTGGAAGGAAGAGGAGGTACACAAAGATTGTAAAGATAACACTGAGCCATATAATAATGCCTTCTGACTGTTGGAGATGCTTAACAGATAATATGTTGCTTCAGTTGTAGTGTTATTTATGGAAATAAAAAGAAATCCATAATAAATACACCAGAAATGAATAAAATACAATAACACATACACACAGAGAAATATGTTGATAAACAAATGTGCCAGAACCCACATTTATTAGGTGGAATCTGCATTGGCCCTGATAGGAGGGCAACTAGGGTGCTGTGTGAAGGAAATTCTTACCTTAGAACATCATTTCCTAACAGTTGGCCTCAGGAAAAGAAAGTAGACAAGCTGTAGAGGAGAGGATGTGGTTTTCAGAGGCCAAATGGACGTGTAAATTCCATGAAGAGATACTGAGATCCTACTATGTTCCGGATACTCTCCTTAGCCATGAAGGATACAGAGATGCAAGCAGCATGATCCTGTCCTTCAAGAATCCACAATTTAGTAGAGTAGAAAGAAATTTAAAAAATCCTAATAATCTACTTCAGGCTATAATGAGCAAAGCAATAGAGAGCTAGATGACACACAGAAGTGAGTCATTAATTCTGAACAAGAAATACTAGGCAAAATGGACATTTTGGATTTAGATAGGGACAGATGAGAAGGGTCTTCCTGAGCAGAGAAGGCGATGTATGATTCAGAGATGTAAAATCATTTACTTGGAGTGGCGGGGGACTAACTAGTTGTATATAAAACCTACACAAACCAGAGAAGGTGTAAAGAAAGCTTCTTCTATTCACATCATAAGAAACAGATCAAGGGGAATTTCAGCATGTTTCTACAATATTTTAAAATAAAGTGCCATACAATGACCAAGTTGTCTCTTTGGCAATAGTCCCTATCCCAGCAACACATGCCTGGCAACACTACTGGTGTATGCACCTGTAGAGTATCCCCCACCTTCGGAAATGCCCAGTGGGAACTGGTATCCATGGCACTGGGGCTGGAAAGAAAGAGTGGTATAAAAATAGAAAGAATGGAATTGCAGCCTCTTCATAAGGAGACACCACCATGGGGGAAAGAAATTAGGAGACTTAAGAGACGGTTGGACTGTGGCACCAATGAAGGCTTAGACTACAATGTCTAATTCTATGGCCACAATCTATGCATGGCTATTTAAATTTAAATCAATTAAATTTGAATTAAATTAAAAAGCCAGTTCCTCAGTTGTGCTAGCCAAATATCAAGTGCCCAATAGCCACAATGACTAGTGGCTACTGTGCTGATCAGCACAAATATAGAACATTTCCATCATTCTAGAGACTTCTATTGCACAGTGCTGGCTTACAACTTTAGAAGTAAAAGAGAAGAGAGGATTAAAGAAAGGATAAGCAGGGGGTAAAAATGAAGACAAAAAAAACTAAAAACCCACAAAACCTAAACAGGAATATTGAAAAAAAAGTAATAAAAAGAGTATTAGACCTTAAGAATGAACAAGACTAGCTAAGAACCTTTTTCTCATCTTATAAACTATTGTCAAAGGAGAAGTGGGACAAAGGCTGATTATAGGGTCAGGAACACATGAGATTCCTGGCCACATCAATCCAGTGCCAAAGAGAGGATGAGTAAGTGACAAAACAAGTTGGGAATGCAGTTGTTCTCATTTCCTCTTCATGCTGAGTTTACTAAGCTCTGCTGTTTCCTAGCCAGACCACTTAAACTCATTCATTTCACTTTTCCACTCATAAACTTGTGCTAATAACTTCACCTGTAGCACTGGTTTAAATGATTAAATGAGATAATGCATGTAAAATTTCCTTATAAACTGCTTGCTTCTTTGTAAAAGTTATTATAACTACTTTTTAGTTTTTCTTTTGCACCTTGATTAAATATAAAGATATTTTAGTTTTTCTTTTGCACCTTGATTAAATATAAAGATATTTTAGTTTTTCTTTTGCATCTTTATTAATTTTGTCTCTCTCTTTGGGCTATGAGATTATAATCTCATTATAATTAATTAATAATTAGATTCCTCATTCCACTTTGTCTCTCTCATTAGATGAGACTATATTCATTTTAATTCATTAAAATGAATTATAAGTGATATAACCTTATGATAAATTATGACTTTCATTCTTCCAACATGTCTTAGTTGTTTTTTAATGTTTTCTAACCATTTCTCTCTCACTAGATTGTAAGATGTTTGAGTTTAAGAACTCTTTCTAAGACGGTTCCTCATTTTTGATAAGGCCAGGTCAATAATTTGCAGAATATTCATTAAAATTATTTAGTGATCCAGTTAGTCAAACATTCCAGGGATATTTCAGATTTGGTGGCCCAGGATACCACCCTGAGATGGAGGTTAGCATGCAGGAGATTTAGTAGGAAGTTCTCATGGAATTCACATCTGTGCATGGAAGGGGATTTGAGCAGCAATATGGACTTGGCTAAGTGATCAGCCTATCTCAGAAAGCTGGAACAACTCTTCAGATTTGGAAATAAGAGGACTTTATACCCCTGTGTTGATAATATTTGATTGCAGCCTCTCCCGTGGTGAGGCAAGACCTCAGAAGAAGCAGTTGTTCACAACCAAGATACTGCCCAAACAGGGCAACTTCTGCCCAAACAGGGCAACATTAATGAAAGCAGCGTGGCAAGGGAGGAATGATGAGCGTGGATGGTTTTCAAAATCCAGGAAGCCAACTAAATGAGTACAGTGACAGCTGCTCTTTGAATCTTTGGATTAGGAGAAATGTCTTCAGAACTGTGGTTTGACTCTTTAGGAAGGCATGCCCTTCATGAATTTCAGGTTTTTTGCAGAAATTCTCAACAAGGCCACCACTTGCCAAGAATAAAACTTCATGACTTCATATAACAAGGGTCTTTATGGTGTACAGCAGTGGTGCCTTTAACGATATCAGATCTAATATTTTTCCTGGCCCCTATTTTCTTTCCTCCAGGCTCCCATTAGTGCTATTTCTTTGCCTACACATGTTTTGTTCACGCCACAAAACCTAATCCTAATCCATTAACTCCAACTAAAATTGTCATGTCCTGTAAAAAGCCTTTTTCATATCCCATTACTTCTCTGAATTTTCTAGCCCTTTATCTGAGTCTCTCACATTTTGGGTACTCATTTATTCAAAAAGTATTTGTCAAGTGTGAACAAGAGTAAGATAGGCAGTCTCTAAGGTGGCTTCGGAGACCCCTCCTCCTGCTTTCCATGCCCTTGTGTAATCACCTCCTTCCCTCAATTGTGGGGTATACTTTGTGGCTTGCTTCTAATGAACAGAATAAAGAAAAAGTAAGGAGTTCTCAGTTCTGAGATTAGATTACAAAAGACAGAGTCTTTCATCTCCCTTGCTCTCCCTTACCCTCTGAGGAGAGCCAGCACCATGTTGGGAGCTGCCCTGTGGAGAAGCCCACGTGTCAAATAACTCAGTCCAATAACCTATGAGGAACTGAATCCCACCAATAACCACATAAGCAAGCTGCGTCTAGATCCTTGACCTACAAAAATTTTGAGAAGGAATATTTGTTATTTAAAGCTGTTAAACTTTGGGGGTAATTTGTTACATAACTAAACTAAAACATAGAGCCAAGCACAACTACTAGGAAGTGATCACATCTTCTCTAAAATGGTCACTTTTTATTCCCATATATTTTGCTCCTATTGGCTCATAGGCCCCTTGAAGAAGGATTCTTCTTCTGGGAAATATGCACTATGTACATGAGGGTGTTCACAAAGTGCCCTCCTGTACCCAGCCCAGCCAAGTGAAGCCAGCTCAACTCACTTCCCACTTTGGCCACCATTTTCCCATGTTCACCACCCAAAAAAAGTCTATTTTGCCAGAAATGGTCAAAGATTTTTGTAACGCTCCATCAAGGAAGGGCATGGAAGAGACATCTGTGAGCCTAGAGGAGGAAGAAAAATCCTTAGCCAAAACTGCTAAAGAAGCTGGGAGGAGAGAGGAACCAGGAAAGAATGTAACTCAACAGCCAGAAGCAGAGAGGAGAGATGTTTTGGTGTGTTCACTAGTGAGATGCCAGAAAGATGTGCTTGAAAAGAACAAGAGGAATCATATAATAACAACAACCAACTGTGCTTCTTCAATTGCAAAACCAACCTAAAACCCAAACAATGGGCTTCGTTCAGCAGCATGCTCAGTCATTCATCCATTCTACAGGTATTTATTGAACACACTCTGCATTCATGGTGCTTACAGTCTGGTGGCTGTAAGCCATGGTGGAATAGGCTGAGGACAAGTCAATAAAATATTAATTTATGATATAATTATATAAACTTATCCGATTCCTTGTTATCTCTTTTGGCAACCAACAGATTGCTTTTGCTTAATAGAAAATAACATTTGTTGGATAAATGAATGAATGAGAGCCTACATTTTGCATATTTTAGTAGTACCATTTATTCATTATTATATAAGTCTTGTGCTATATGTATTAGCTTGCTAGGGCTACCATAACAAAATACCACAAACTGGGTGGCTTTAACAACAGATATTTGTTTTCATGCAGTTCTAGAGGCTGAAGTTTGACATCAAGGTGTTGGCAGGGCTGGTTTCTTCTGAGGCCTCTCTTCCTCCCTGGATTGTAGATGGCTGTCTTCTCCCTGTGTTTTCATATAAGTCTTCCTTCTCTACAAATCTGTGTCCTAGTTTTCTCTTCTTATAAATTCACTAGTTATTTTGAATTAGGGCCCACTTTAATGACCACATTTTAATTTAATCACTTTTTTTACAGATCTTATCTATAAATACTGTCAGATTCTGAGGTACTAGAAGTGAGGACTTCAGCATATTAATTTGGGGCAATATACAACTCAGCCCATAACACTACATAAGATGCAATCATTTATCTCAGCCAATAGAGAGTAACAGTTCAACTTAGACAATAAGATCAGAGAGCCTGAATCTGAGTACTGTGTGATCTGGGGCACGATCGTTAAACTCTTTGTTCTTTTGGTTTTCTCATCTGTAAAATGGTATCATAATAGAGTTTTCGAGAAGATTAAATAAATTAATTCACTAAAAGTTGTTAAAAACTCACTGACCCAGTAGGAATTCAAAAACAGTTTGCTGCTTATTATCTTATTCTATCAATGGGGAATTGAGACATCAACAGTAAAATGGCATGACCAAATGTAGAAACAATTATCAGTGACACAACAAGGAGAAAGCTCAAGTGTCCTAATACCAAGAGTAACGCTCTTTCTTTTGACCACAGCACATTATTCACGATTTTCTGGCAGGAGAAAGATTTGCTTCTGTGTATCTCCTAATGGGAGGCTCGTTTATCATGACTTTGAGGGTTTGGTTTTACTTTTCATCTTATCATAATTAATTTAAGAGACATGACTACAATAATTTACTCTCTCTAGTAAAGTACTAAATCTATCAGAATCTATTCTCATCTTCCTGCCTTCTTTCCTTTCTTCTTTTGTACATTTATTGAGCACCAGGTGTGTTACAGAACACAGGCTCAGTTCTGTAGATACAAGCAAGGCATGTTCTAATCTCCAAGGGACAAACAAATACATCCTTGTAGTACACTGTGATGAGGATGATCACCAAACCCACTGTAGCAGGACGAGCCACAGACAAAACCCCTCAGACACCAAGTTGTAGAAGGAAGGGCTTTATTCTGCTGGGAGCATCGGCAGACTCACATCTCCAAAAACCGAGCTCCCCGCGTGAGCAATTCCTGTCCCTCTTAAGAGCTTACAACTCTAAGGGGGTCCATGTGAGAGGGTCATGACTGATTTGAGCAAGCAGGGGGTATGTGACTGGGGGCTGCATGCACCGGTAATTAGAATGGAACAGAACAAGACAGGGATTTTCACAGTGCTTTTTCATACAATGTGTGTAATCTATAGATAACATAAGCGATTAGGTCAGGGGTTGATCTTTACCAGGCCCAGGGTGTGGCGCCAGGCTGTCTGCCTGAGGATTTCATTTCTGCCTTTTAGTTTTTACTTCCTTTTTTCTTTGGAGGCAGAAATTGGGCATAAGACAATATGAGGGGTGGTCTCCGCCCTTACCACGACAGGACAGGAAGAGATAATGCTGAGTCATGCTAGGGATGCAAAGATGTTACCAATAGGGCCATAGTATGACATTCATGTGTCCTTCGCACTTTTGCCTCTGTAATGCCCTTTCTTTTATTTACATGTTATTTATTACTTGTTAAATATTGCATATGATATATAATAACAACTTGTGACTGTGTTTGTAGAAAGATGAATGCATTGTTACATATTAAAACATTTTCTTTGACCTAGAAATTCACATTTTTCTTTCTGATTTTAAAAGAAATTAAAACATTTCGTAGGCCCCGAGAAGTATCAAGAGCCCTCAGCACTGTAACTACTGCTGGTAAGTTCATCCTGGTTAACTAAAGAAATGACTCAACTTGAATTTTGAAGCATGAGTAGCTGTCTAGAGTAGTAGATCTCAAACTTTACAGAACATGCAAATCATCTGAAGATCTTTTTAGACCACAGCCTCAGTTTCAGTATGTCGAGTTTGGAGTCCAAGATGTTGGATCCTGAAAGTTCTCAGGTGATGTTACTGTGTAGGGACCACACTTTAATAGTAAAGATCTAGAGCTATGTTTTCTACTATGTAGCTACCAGCCACATGATGCTATTTTAAATTTTAAACTAAATTAATTAAAATTAAATGAAATTAGAAGTTCAGTTCCTGCATTGTTCTAACCACATTTCAAGTGCTCAATAGACACATGTGATCATTGGCTACCTTAATAGTGCATTCATAGGGCATTTCTATAATTGCAGAAAGTTCCACTGAACATAATTTTTCTACAGGAAACACAGGGGGAAGGAAATGGTGTTCTAGATACAGAAGAGCAGGGAGAGGCCAGGCACGATGGGCCCCATAATTGAAGGCTATCAAAGCCAAGTAGAAGAATGTGTTTTTGTGGAGTAAAGCATCATAAACAGAATAGAGTCTTCTCAATTCAATCTATTTCTTTACTTGTAGTGAAACCATTGCTGCAGATCTGTTTCTTGTTACTGCCAGTGAATATTCATTCTTAAAGTCAGTTGCCCATATATGTGCTCTCAGGTGCCCTTTGGTTGGAAATTTAACTGGACTAAACCATTAGATGTTAGGCTTCTGCTAAAAGTATCGTGAGTTTGGAGCAAAGATCTATAAATCCAAAGGCAGCCGCTGTGTGTATGTACATGTGTGGTATGTGTATGTGTGTGTGTATGTGCGTAGACTGACAGCTTCATCCTTTGAACTTGATTTCAGCAAAACTAAATGTCCTTTCTGAGGAAAGTAAAGTGAATGGTCCCTGTCAGCAGTCCTTGTGACTTCTCTTGTCTCTCAGATTTATTCCACAGATGTGCTGAGCTGAGGACGTATTTTTCACTTGGTGACTGATTTATTTAGTTGCAACCTTTGTTATCTTTCAGGTTTATAAAGCAAATCAGAGTCCATGAAGAAAGTGCATTTGATCTCGTCAACATGCACCAAACACACGCAGGGCATCCACGCTACTGAATGCTTGTGCTCTAGGCTTTCATTGAAAGCTGGGACCTAACCATGCAGAAATCTCAGTCGACAACTCCTGGGAAGCATATTGAACAACAAAACTAACCCTCAAAGGTTGCTAGGGCTTCAGGTTAGGTTGAACATGTCCCTGTGCTGCTAATTGTCTTTGTGCTAACCATCCCACAATGATAAGGTGTTAGTTTTTTTCCCCATATGGCTCATTAAACCCAACACAAATAATGAAACCCAAAAGCTTTGTGCTTTGCATAATGTCAAGTGAATCTGATCACTTCACAGTCCATAAGCTTTAAAGATTTTGAGTCAGGATTGGTCCTGCTGAGGGAAAAATAAAAATAAAAACTCCAAAGGAGTATCATAGCACACTTTGGCTGCAGGACACGTGTGAACACAAAAAACACTCTCTCTTCTTTCAGCTTAAAGTGCATCTGACTGGGAACTTCTGCTGCAGCCTCTCCAATTTATCACTAAAATACCTATGAAGAAACAGAACAAGAGAAAAATTCACACCTCCCCAAAATGAAGACTGATAGAAAACCTATTACTTAAGCCTGGGAATTCCAATTACTACCCAGCTCTAGGTGCTAGATTAACAAAAAATAACAACAACAACAACAACAACAAACCACTTGTGACTTCACAAGCCATGTTTTATGAAACAAAAAATAAATAGTGTAGGAAGTTATTTCATCTCTCTTCACTGTCTGCTTCCTGACAAACAACAAAACCAGGTAGATATTCTTCTGCTTTTCGGGACAGAGAATGCTGACCCCACCACCAATCTTTCTACATCCATTCCAGGACTAAAACTGTACCAAAAAAGAGAGAAGAAAAGTGGTTATGCATAAATAAATATGTGTGTTTAGGGAATGGGTACACTGGGAGGTAAGAAATAACATCAGTGGGTATTTTGTCCCCAAATATTAGGTATAGCAAATGCAGGAATCTGTTTTTGTTCTTGTGTTTTAACAGTTTGGAGGGTTTCAGAACTAGACACAAAGATAAGAGGAAAATCTTACCTCATCTCAGTGGTATTTCAGAAGAATACCTGTGAGGCACTGACAATTGGGGTGCAAGCTCTACATAACTACCATTGTTTAAAACGACATTAAAAAGAGAATGTAAACTGACCCAAATTGGACAGTGTAGAGAGAAAACAAGAAATTCATTGCCCCAATGCTGTCAGTTATCCTGCGTATCTTTTTTTCTCATTCCAATATTTAAAAAGAAAAAGCAATCTGCACTCTTGCTTTTATTGCAGTGCTCTTCATAAAAGCCAGGATATGGAATCAACCTAGGTGTCCAACAACAGACAAATGAATAAAGAAAATGTTGCGTATAAATACAATGTAATACTATTCAGCCATAAAAAAGAACAAAATCCTGTTATTTGCAACAACATGAATGGAACTGGAGGACATTATTTTAAGTAAAATAAGCTTAGAACAGAAAGTTAAATGCCACATGTTCTCACTCATCACGGAAGCCAAAAAAAATTGATCTTATAGAAGTAAAAAGTAGAATAGAGCATACCAGAAGCTGGGAAGGTTGAGGGGAAGGTGGGATAAGGAGAGATTTCTTACATGATACAAAATTACAGCTAGATGAAAATAATAAGTTCTAGTGTTCTATACCACTATAGGATATCTATAGTTAACAATAACGTATTGTTTCAAATAGCTAAAAACTGCATATTGAATACACCCAACACAAAGAAATGATTAATGTTTGAGATGGTGGATATGCTAATTATCCTGATCTGATCACTATACATTATATGTATTGAAACATCACTATGTACCTCATTAATATGTACAATGATTATATGCAAATTTAAGACGGAAAAGCAAAAAAAAAAATGTCCTTAAAATGCCGCATAAACAAGGACAAAGAAGTATCATGAATATCTAGAAGAACAACAAATTCGCGAAGGTGATTTATAATAGAACCTAGAAGACATTGTTAGAAAACAAATCGATAGGCCGGGCGCGGTGGCTCACGCCTGTAATCCCAGCACTTTGGGAGGCCGAGGCGGGCGGATCACGAGGTCAGGAGATCGAGACCATCCTGGCTAACACAGTGAAACCCCGTCTCTACTAAAAATACAAAAAATTAGCCGGGCGTGGTAGCGGGCGCCTGTAGTCCCAGCTACTCGGGAGGCTGAGGCAGGAGAATGGCGTGAACCCGGGAGGCGGAGCTTGCAGTGAGCCGAGATCGCGCCACTGCACTCCAGCCTGGGCGACAGAGCGAGACTCCGTCTCAAAAAAAAAAAAAAAAAAAGAAAACAAATCGATATATCCAATAAGAAGACACATGTAATGGCGTCGCTTTAATAAAGACACTATCTAGTGGCATATGGTGAAATGAAATAATGGAATAACGAAATATGGAAGAATTGCAAGAATTAAAAGAAAATCAGAATTGAAATCAAAGGTGAGAATATTAAACAGTAAAATTAAAGATTTAGAAGATCAAATCAAACATGTTGAATAGTAATCTGAGAGCCTTTCTAGTTCACTGAAATTGTTTTTGAGTATACAATAAATTCCAGATACTGATCTAAGCGCTCGGGTGTGGTAATATCCCATAAAGATAAGGCATCTGTTCACATGAAACTTACATCTTAATGGCAATAATGTCAACAAAAAGTAAATCATAATTAAGTTCAGAAATGGATTAGTACTTCCAAGAACATAAAATAAGGTAATGGAATTGACACAGATGCCGAAAGAAATATTTTAGATTTAGCTGATCACAGAAGCCCCTCATAGTGACATCTGAGTTGATCTTCAATGAAGTGATACAGCAAGCCATGGACAATTTGCAGGAAACCTAGACCAGCCATAAAGACAATGAATACAGACACCTTAAGGAAGATAAACTTGGCCATATTCATGAAACAAAAATTTAAAAATCAATTAAGAAGGTGGAAGAACAGAGAGGCAGCTGAAAGATTACAATGTGAATTGTTTCTAGTACTGTCTAACTATGGGCTATGATTCCAGAAACATGAGTTCAATTCAAGCTCAAATACTTGTTAGCTCATGGAGAAAAGACAGCAGGAACTAGATGGATGAAGAGGAACAAATTCCTGAGGATATCATTTTAATTCTTAGATGTAATTACGACTGACGCCTGACTCATCCTAGAACTTCCCAGTTACAGGAGTTAACCCATTTTCATTTTTGCTTCATTTCATTTGGGTATTGTTTCTGTAATTTTCAACATAAAAATAATGTTGAAGTATTACTATTTGAATTTTTACATTTGATAATCAAAGAAATATACAATAAGACTCATTTAATTCAAAGTATGACAATCAGTAAAATCAAATGAGTATCTACTCCCCAGGTCACTGCAGCAACTATAGTCAAATAAAATATATTCCAATAACGAAAACAAAATAATACTAAACATCAAGGAAAGCATTAAATATTATCCATAAAACTTAAAAAGATTAAGATCAGACCTATCTGTTTTGATGATTATTGGGCATAATATAAATAGTCCAGTTCAAAGATGAGGGCTCTTTGGAAAAAAATGACAATATATAACAGTGTACTATCTACAAGAGCTATACCTAAAATAAAATGGGACAAAGTGGTCTTCAAAATGTTCAGAAAATATTCATTAGAAGAAAGAAAGTGTATATTGCCTACATAAAGTAAAATTTCAGAACCAAAAAAATGTTTTAAGTGGCTCAAAGAGGGTAACTTTATATTAATAAAAATGTCAAACAATAATAAAGCTATGACGACCATGAATTATCTGATTTGAGGAAGACAGCATAAAATGTATAAATCAAAAACCTTTAGAAAAATATATGAAATGGAATATTTTTACATATCTTCTCTAATCTTTTATAATTCATCTTAACAAAAATAAATATATCACTTGAATAATATATTTAGTGACATTGAATAAAAATATTTTGGACTTAGCTTATTTAAAGTGGAATATACATATCCAAGAGTCTATTAAAATTTTATATATTAGATTTGAGTGAACGCAAGAATTTCCAAAGTTCACAAATGACACAGACTGTATTCTCTAACAAAGAAATAAAACTGGATATAAAAATATTGACAAGTAGTTCTTGACTCAAAGAGGAAACAAAACAAAATCCACAGATAATTTAGAAAGTCATGACGGTAAGGATACTACTCCTGAGACTAAAAATTCTATAGCCTAACATGCTTCCACTAAGGAACTAATAGTCAATAATTAATTAAATATAGTCAATAATTAAATAAATAACTTGATTTTTGAATAAAAGTCAACATACAAAAGAAGACTTTATCAAATTTATTCTAGGAAAACAAATAAAATAGACAAAATTAGAAATCTAAAGATAATTTGACCACTATGAAAAAATTTAAATAGTATTTCTAGGAAAACATTTATAATTCTAAATTACCCTATTTTAAAATTTCAGTAAAGTATATAATCTTTGAGGAATATGAGATAGTAAAAATAACAAGTAAAATTTCTAAATAGATATTTAAATTACTGTGGATTAAAACTTAAAATGTGAACAGAAGTTGTCTTTATGCATTTCCTCATCACCAGGTTTTTGTTACCAATGGGATCTTTCAGACTTTTCAAAATTGAAAAAGATAAAACAGCACAGAAACAAAAATCACAGATATTTCTTATTATAAATAGATATAAAATAATAATAAACTGAAGGCAATAGTATATTTTTAAAAGTCTACTACTATGAGTATATAGGTATCAGTCCCGAAAATATGAGCTTTGTTTTAGTATTAAGAAGCTAATGTTAGGAAATCAATAAATTCAAGACAAAAAATGTATAATCTCAGGCTGGGCGTGGTGGCTCACGCCTGTAATCCCAGCACTTTGGGAGGCCGAGGCGGGTGGATCACGAGGTCATGAGTTCAAGACCAGCCTGGCCAAGATGGTGAAACCCCGTCTCTACTAAAAATACAAAAAATTAGCCAGGCATGGTGGCAGGTGCCTGTATCCCAGCTACTTGGGAGGCTGAGGCAGGAGCATTGCTTGAACTCGGAGGGCAGAGGTTGTAGTGAGCCGAGATTTTGCCACTGCACTCCAGCCTGGGTGACAGAGGGAGACTCCGTCTCAAAAAAAAAAAAAAAAAAAAAAAAAAAAAATATATATATATATAACCTTAGCAAATTTTAAATCACTTAAGGTTCATTTGAATAACTTTTTTAAAAAAATATAACTAGAAAACTTACTCAAAATTATTTAAAAATATTTATCATGAGCCAGTAACTATCTTATTTTACTGAAAAAATGGGAAGTGTATCTTTATTCTGTTAAAATGTCTCCTTAAACAATATATATCAACTATAATTCTATAATTGTGTAATAATCTCTATTTCCATTAAAATATGAAACAATATAAAGATACCTCACAGTAAGTAACATTATTCAAAATTGCAATAGAAACTCTGATCATTATAGAAATGTGAGAGTAATTAAAAAGCATATCTGTGGGAAAGAGAAGAAAGAGGGTCAATTCTTTGTGGGTTACATAATGACGCATAGAAAACACACACAAAACAATCAACCACATTATGTTTTAGAATAAGTCAGAGAGTTAAATAAAGTGAACGTTATGAGATGTTTATGTGGTATGTATGTATATATGAATATGTTTCTGTGTGAGAGATGTGTATATCTCTCACACACACAAGGTATAGCTTCTCAAATTGGTATCAGTGAAAATGGCTGAGTAACAAATCCAAAATTCTGTCCCTCCATAAAAGGAATAAATTTACTGGGAAACCTGTCAGAATCAACTTTTTCAGAACTCTGGGAACTAATTAAAAGCTACTAAGGGAACACTTAATTAGGAAAAAGAGCTGAATATCAGAAAGAACAGGGAGCTTTAAAATGTTTTAACTTATCCTGCTCTGATCTCCACTTCCCAGCTCAATGGCAGCCTTGAAGATCACAGTTCACACTCCTGGTACAGGTACTCATACTAGAGGAAGCAAAACAAACCTCACTTGCCAAAAATGACGGTTGTTTGTTTTGACTATCTGGTAGTTCCTCAGAGGACCAGCTTAATGGTACTTTCTCACCTAACTTGAACTCATCCAGTGGTCACCCAGAGTGGGTTTGTTAAAAATGTTTAGAAAGGCAAGTGTTTTAGTTACAGTTACCTGGCACTGTATAACAGTTGGGAAAAATAATAAACTAACCAAAAAGTTTAGGAGGAAAGAGTGAGGAATGAGAAGCTTTTGGGAATAAGGACTTTGAAAAGTTCTGGCAGAATCCTGGGAATCTAGAAGGTCATGTGCATCCCTAGAACTATTCATATAGCTCAAAAAATACCCGAGAAAGCCCTAAGCTCTTATTTCTGATTGACCTTAAGGCGCTACACAAGCAGAAGTGAGAGCTAAAGCAAAGTCGTAAATTGCCTGAATGAACACTGAAAGTGTGCCCCAACACACATGCAGAATCCAACTTAAATGACTGAGGGAGAAACATTTTTTGTTCCAGGGGCCTCAGAAAATCTGTCCAGTCAGTAGCTAAACACTAAGTCAATGAAACAGAGGCATTAGTGGCCACAAATGACAAAGAATACAGACTTTACAAAATAAGTTTAGAAAAGTAACTAAACAAACAAAAACTGCCACAATCAGCAAGAATCAATCCTAGAAACTGGGGAGAATCTAATTTCCAGCATTGCCACATTATAATATTTCAAATATCCAGTTTTCAACAAAGAAATATGAAGAATACAAAGAAACAGAAAACTATGTCCCATATAAAGGAATAAAATCAATTAATAGAAACTGTCCTTGAGAAAGCCCAGATATTGGATACTAAGAAAACACTTGAAAGCAACAGTGTTATATCTGATCAGGAGCTGAAGAAAACCATGGACAAAGAACTAAAGAAAATCATGAAAATGTGTCTCACCAAATAGTAAATATCAATAAAGAGATATAAATTCTAAAAGGAACAAAACAGAAATTCTGGAGTTGCTATCTATAATGACTGAAATAAGATATTCACTGAAGTTGTTTAACAGTAGATTTGAGCAGGCAGAGAAAAAAGTAGGTAGTGCGTGCAAAGGTAAGTTTATTGAGATTATACAGTATGAGAAACAGAAATACAAAAGAATGGCGAGAGGGAGAGGCAGAAAGAATATTTGAAGACATAATGGCCAAAAATTCCCCAAATTTGATGAAAACTTTATTTTACACGCTAAGAAGTTCCACCAACTCCAAGTGCAATGAACACAAAGAGATCTGCACCAAGACACATTAAAATCAAACTGTCAAAAGCCAAGGACAAAGAGAAAACACATAAAAGCAGCCAGAAAGAAGCATCTGCTATCTGCAAGTCATATCAATAAAATAAACAGATGATTTCTCATCAGAAACCACTAGAACCCAGTGGGATGGCATATTCAAAGTGCTGAAAAAAAATAGTCAACTAAGAATTATATACGCAGAAACATCCTTCAAAAATGAAAGAGAAACTAATGCATTCTAATATAAACAAAAATTGAGAGTTTTTTGATAATAGGCCTTCCCTACAAGAAATGCTAAAGGAAATCCTTCAGGCTAAAATGAAAGGACACTAGACAGCAATTCAAATTTTAAAAAGAAATAAAGAATGTAGATAAAAGTAACTATAGAGGTAGATATATAAAAGTCAGTGTTTGTGTTTTGTTTGCAACTTCTTTTTTTCTATGTAATTTTAAAAAATGACTATATAAAACAATATTAAATCTCAATTAAACTGTACATTCGTGTAACATAAGAAATAACAAAATAAAGAGGAAATATGGCTATATATTTATTTATACTATTTATACACAAATATGTCACCCCATACCCCCTTAATGTAGCAACATTTACGTACACTATTATAACTAAGTTACTATTAATTTGAACTAAACAGTTATAAATTTAAATGTTAATTATAATGCCCTGGGCAACTTTTTAAAATAACTAAAATATATATACTGGAAGAAATTAAAGTGAGTTAAAATTTTAGAAAATAACTGTTTAACAAAAGAAGACAGTAACGGAGAAATTAAGGAATAAAAAGATGTAAGATACATAAACAAACAGTAAAATGAGGAAATGACAGAAGTAAGTTCTTCCTTATCCATAACTTGATTAGCTGTAAATGGATTAAAATCTCAAATTAAAAGGCAGAGAGAGTACCAGAATGGATTTTTTTAAAGTGATTTAACTATATCTTGCCTATAAGAGACTCTTTTGCAATACAAAGAAACAAATAATTTGAAAGAAAAAATGGAAAAATGGTCCTCCATGCAGAGTAACAAAAAAAAAGAGAAAGAGAAGCTATATACTAATATCAAACTAGACTTTAACACAATCATTGATTTGAGAGACAAAGAAGGATATTAAATAAATACAATGGTCTATTTATCAATAAAGGGTAGAACAATTACAAACACATATGAACATAAAAACAAATCCCAAAATACAAGAAGCAAAAACTGAGTGTAAAGGGGAAAAAAGCCAATTTAACTGTAGTAGTCAGAGACTTCAATACCCCACTTTCAATAATGCACAGAACAATTAAACAGACTATCAGCCAATAAATACAATAATTAAAAACCACTGCACCATCAAGACCAAACAGACATCTGTAAAACACTCTGCCCAACAACATCAAACTAAACATTCTTCTCAAGTGCACAAGGAATGTTCTCCAGAATAAACCATATGTTGAGTCACAAAAGAAATCTTCATAAATTTAAAAATATCAAAATAATACAAAGTGTGTTATTTGTATGACAATAAAATAAAATTCGAAATCAATAACAAGAAAATTTGGGAAATATATGATATATATGTATATTGAACACTTTCTTAAATAATCAGTGGGGCAAATAAGCCAAAGACATCACAAGGAAATAAAAATACAAATCAATACTTTTCATGAGAGTACATGTAAAAATCATCAGTAAAACGCTAGCACAGTAAATACCACAGCATGGTAAAAAGATTAAATACCATGATCAAGTAAGATTTATCCCAGAAATGCTAGTATGGTTAAACATACAAACTCAATTAATATAATACACTATCTTGATAGAATGAAGAAAAAAAACTCCACATGATCATCTCAGTAGATCCAGAAAATCAAAATGTGTATTAATCAAAATGGATAAATCATCTTGATTTTTACAAAATGCAATACTCTTTTGGGATAAAAACAGAGAACAAACTAGGAATAAAAAGCTTTCTCAACTTGAGAAAGGTCATATGTAAAAATCCCACAGTTAACATAATACTTAATAGTGAAAGACTGAAAGCTTTCTTTTTCTGATCAGGAACAGGAAAAGGATGTTGACTCTCACCTCTTCTATTCAACATTGTAGTGGAAGTTCAAGCCAGGGAAATTAAGCAAAATAATAAGGTAATAAAAAAGAATCCAAATTGAATAGAAATTAGTAAAACTATTTAGAGATGGCATGATCACTATATACAGAAAAGCCTAAGGAATCTACTTTAAGAAATTATTGGAATTAACACCCTAGTTCGGCAAAGTAATAAGATATAAGATAAATACACAAAATCAATTGTATTTCTATATATATATGCAATGAGTAATCTGAAAATAAAATTAAGAAAATGTTTTCCTTTATAATAGCACCAAAAATGTTAAAATAGGAATAAATTCAATCAAAGAAGTACACTAAAAACTATAAAACATTTTTGATAGAAATTGAAGAAGCTATAAATATAAAAGGATATATCAAATTACTAGGTCAAAAGACTTAATAGTGTTAAGATAGCAATACTCTAAATTTATCTACAGATTCAATGCTGTCTCTGTCAAATTTCCAGTTGCTTTGTTTGTTTGTTTGTTTTCCCCAGAAATGGATAAGCCAATTCTAGAATTCATATGGAATTGCAAGGGACCCTGGATAGCCAAAACAATCTTGAAAAATAAGTACAAATTTGGAGGACTCACAGTTTTCTATTTCACAACTTACAAGGTTACATTAATCAAGTCAGTGTGATATTGGCATAAGTATAGACATATAGATCAATGGAATAAAATTTAGAGTTTGGAACTAAACCCATACATCTGTGATTAACTGGTTTTCACCAATTTTGTCAAGACCATTTACTGGGAAATAATAGTCTTCATAACACATGGTTCTGGAACTATGGGAGGAACACATGCCGAGGAATGAATTTGGTCTCCCACCTCACATCATATACAAAATTTAACTCAAAGGATATGAAAGGCCTAAATACAAGAGTTAAAACTGTAAAATCCTTAGAAGCAGTTTTTTGTGGCTTTTTGGCTAGGTAATGGTTTATTAAATATGACACCAAAAGCATAAGGAACAAATCAAAAATTAATTTGTCAAAATTAATATTTTTGTGTTTCAAAAGACACCATCAAGAATGCGAAAAGACAACCCACAGACCTGAAGAAAATATTTGCAAACCATATATGTGACAAAAGTCTAGTACCAAAAATATATGAAGAACTTTTAACATTTCAGCAACAAAAAGACCATCAATGGACAAAGGACTTGAATAGACATTTCACCAAAAAATGTATACTAATGTCCATTAAGTACCTGAAAAGGTGGTGAACATAATTAGTAATTAGGGAAATGCAAATCAAGACCACAATGAGCTATTACTTCACATTCATTAGGATGGCTATATTTAAAAAAAGAAAAAGCAGAATAACAACAACAACAACCTCAGTACTGATGAAGATGTGGAGAAGTTACGTTGCTGGTGGCAATGGAAAATGGTGCATCCACTGTGGAAAACATTTTGGCTTTTCCTCAAAAAGTTAAACGTAGAGTTACCTTACGACTCATTTGAAATTCCACTCCTAGGTATATACTCGAAATAATTAAAAACATATGTCCACAAAATCTCGTACATGTATGTTCATAACATTATTATTCATAATACCCAAAAAGTAAAAGCAATCCAAATGTTCATTATCTGATGAATAGATGAATGAAATGTGGTATAACTGTATAATGGCGTATCATTCAGTCATAAAAAAGAATGAAGTACTGATGCATGCTACAAACATAGATGAACGTTGAAATTATTATTCTAAATGAGAGAAGATAGTCATAAGAGGTCACATATTGTATGATTCCATTTATATGAAATGTTCAGAAAAGGCAAATCCATAGTTGCAGAAAAGTGGTTGCCAGTGGCTGGGGTAAGGGGCTGCTGGAGAGTGGCTGCTTAATGGATATATGATGTTTTGGGTAAGGTGATAAAAATGTTCTGGAATTAGATAACAGTGATTGTTGGACCATGTCACAAATATAATTTTAAAACTACTGAATTGTATACTCTAAAATGGTCAAGACGGTTAATTGTATGCTATGTGAAGCTTGCCTCAAAAATGGACACAGGAAGGGGAACATCACACTCTGGGGACTCTTGTGGGGTGGGGAGAGTGGGGAGGGATAGCATTAGGAGATATACCTAATGCTAAATGACGAGTTAATGGGTGCAGCGCACCAGCATGGCACATGTATACATATGTAACTAACCTGCACATTGTGCACATGTACCCTAAAACTTAAAGTATAATAATAATAAAATAAAAAAATTTAAAAAATAAAAAATAAAAATAAAAAATAAATAAATAAAAATAAATAAAACATAAAAAAGAATAGTGTTTTCATAGAAAAATGAATAAAAAACACATTTTATTCAAAATAATCACAAAAAAGTCATAGAAATGACTGGGAAATAGGTAGGCATGGTATGTTTTAAGGTGTCAGGAGACAGAGAAACTGTTTTCAGCTATACCTTAGTACTCACCCAAATTACTGGTCTTTGCCTTGTTTCATCATCATAGCAATAAAATTTGGAATGCTCTTCCCAGGCAATATTCATAGTAATGTTCTGGAGTTCAATACTGAGGCAGTCACTGGTTTAATATTGAGGAGAACAGAAACCTTCCCAGAATATTATTGCTCTAAGCATCTCCTCCGCTCAGAATATATGACCTTTCAGACATTTGGGAATATCGGGAATATAATTCTGGGGACAAATGCAGGAATATTTTTGGGTGGTTGAAATAGTACTGGCAGAAAAAAGTGTCTCTAACCAGACACAAGCTCCATGGGGTGAAAGGCTGCTGTCTGCCTGGCTGTGATCTCGATTCAGTCCTTGATCCCAGCTGTTCTCTTTAGTCATAGCCAATTAGTACTTTTTAGGGGCAAACTGAAACATACTATTTACAAATGGTCTCTGAATATATCAGGCTGGAAGATTGTATTTATCCCACTGAAATCTCCCTAACTGTCATCTTTTCTATCATATAATTGTATACTTTTATTGACAGAAAAGATGTTGGATTAGGGAAAACCTGCTGTTTTATTGATTTTTGACATCATTTCTTCATAACTGAAGTCACAAAGTGGTTTGCTTTCACTGCAAAAAAATAAGGCTTTGAACATTTATTTTTGTGGCTAAATTGGATGCTATCCACAGGAATAATCTCCATCCCAGAACTAGTGAACTTCAGACTTTTTCATTTATTTGTGTGTCTGATAAAAATTTAAGTGATTAGAAGTTCTCTCCTAAGATTATAAGGCAACGAGAGGAACTTAAATAGGACAAAGGAAGATGTCTTTGTGTGTTAAAACTATAGCAAAAAGAAAAATGTGCAGGAGCAAAAAGAAAAGGAACTAGCAAATTAAAAAAAACTGATGGAATATTAGATGTCAAACAGATAAAGGTAACTATTTTCCTCTGGTGGTAATTTTTTAATTGCATATCTAAACTCTGAATAATATAAAGAATTGTAGAGTATAATACGTTATAAAGTGTTTTCAAATACACTATTTAATCATCATTTTTTTTTCTAAATGAGACATGTAGAGCTTAGAAAGTTTATGTAATTTACCCAACATCATACAGTGAGTAAATGAAAAAGTGGAACTTAAATCTGGTCTTTTGAAGGAAGTTCAGAATCCTTTAGAGAATAGGTTTTTTAAATAAGAAAAATGTCGTTTCATACATTAAAATGACTCAAATCTAAGCTTCCTTTGCTGGGACACTGTATGTATGTGTGTGTATATATATATATATATATATATATATATATATATATATATATATATATGTACGTATATCAATATTACATGTTAACTCCTATTTATATTATTCTAAGTATGGAAATATATGCAACAAACACAAAACTTTGCATAAAATATCATGGCAGAGATGAAGAGTTGTTTTGATTATGACATAACAGCTGCTTCTATCTTTTCAATGAGCCACATCCTAACCCTCATCCTTTTCTAAGATTAAAGGCAGTGATACCCATATATTTAGGAAAGAATATTAAAAGCTATTATAGTGTCTTGAATTTTAGCTCAAGATGAAAATTAGTGCATATCATTTTATCCCATAGTAATGACTCAGATCACTGCTATTTTTCTTGTATGTTTCATCTATAGTAGTAAATTTAGTAAAATATTTGCACATGATATTTATACAGAACTATCTGTAATGTGATGGTATAGCATATTTTATTCCACATGGATCCATTCATGTGCAGCCATTGTCTTTTTTATTGTCCTCATAATCTATGGACCCAATTGTGAGTTGGTAATCCCTAGATATATGTCTTCCTGTGTGGATTCAGGCGATATCATCTAAATACGCTGGACAACTAAAGACAGAAGCAGACATAGACCATTGGAATACTTTCTCGCTCATAAACTGTAGGATCATGAAATCCTAGACTGAAATGCCTACCTTTCAAATAGTACTAGAAGTAAAACCTTAACTATTGAATGAAAGCCTAGCAGTAAACCCTTACAACTTCACCTGTTCTCTATCGCTTCGAGTTCTCTTTCCGTCAGTCCAAACATACCTGATTATCAAGATTTTTCACCTATTTCTATCAGTAAAAGATCCACCTAGAAATACAATATGACTTTAAATAATGTTAATATATTTAATTTGTGCAGCTTGCACTTCACAAAATAAAATCAGTTCATAAACTAAGGGAAAACCTGAGATAATGATGCCAGAAGGAAAGTGATAATAACATAGTGACATCAAATCTGTTCACTTAAAAGGCAAAGAGAGCAAGAGAAAGATATTTTCTGGCTATTAGGAAAGGGAGATATTTTCAGCATGACAGAGATGAGCAGATATTACCTGCTATGATAATAATGAAAGTTTCAACTGTAGTGATTTCAATCGCATGGAATTTATAGTAACTTTGTAAATAATACTAAAAATGTATTTAACAAGTGGAACTTTGAGGGCTTGAAACTAGATAATAAAAAAGCTGAGAGAAAGTGCCAAAGTAAAGTTATCATAATCAGGTTGAAAACAATATATACCAAATCTTTTTGTGCTTTGACTTTTTCTTTGTAAATCCTTGCTTCATTTGGTAGTATGAATAAAATGTGCTTTTTGTAGTGCATGTACTTATCTACATTTTGCTAGATAAATGTTGATACTAAAATACCAGCATTTTATTTCCTTGTGCTATTTAGTTTTCAGTGCACATTCATTCAGTAAATTCCCTCTACGAAGTTTTTTGGGGTGTCAATTGTGTGCAAGACACTTTGCCAGACACTGAAAGAGATGTGAATTTACAGAGTCCCTATTTTTTTGAAATCACATTTTCTAATAGTAAAAGTGAAACATATACTTAAAAATATTCTCAGTACAAAATAGAACAAGATAAGAATTATTTTATATATTACATAGGTGTTACACAGGACAATAAAGGAAAGAATAAACTTAATTTGGTTGTTATGGAAAGCATCAAAAAGATGATTTTGAGATAATATCATAAGAAATTGCTTAAGTAGAAGGTGGGAAGAGATGGGGAGCAAAGACCTATGGGGGAAAATAAAGAATACATGAGGCCACAGGTCAGGACAGTGTGTATGGCAGAGGCACATCTCTCATAGCCCTTGGGACTCCAACTTCAGTGGTCAACTTCTAACCATGAGTATCTTAACCTATTTGCTTGAGAGTGTTCTCCGAAGTGACTGGATGCCACTGTTTCCTATAGGTAGGCTGGCCAAAGAGCTGAGGAATTAATATCCCCTAAGAATTTGTGTATAAATGTCCAGCTCCCTTGCCACTGAAGACTCTACTCTGCCTTTCACGATTCTCCCAGTGAAATTCAGTTCCAGTTCCTTGTAATAGAAACAAATCTACAAGCCTTTATGTGTATTCCTTTATCAGTTTGTTTCCCTTTCCTGTCTAATTTTTCTGTTCTTTTACTGACGTTTCCTGTACCTTCCAAACAAACATGAATCCTTGCCCCAAGGCTGTTTCTGGGGTAACCTAAACCAGGACAATATATGTGTTCAAGAATGAGGAAAAGTTTTAAAAGTTGGGGGAACATGGCTCACATTAGGTGTCATAGAAGAAATGACAGAAAGATAAGGTGTATCCATTGTTTCATGACTCAAGCACTGTATCTACTATATTATTAGACAAAGTCATAATACATTAACTAAGGGTAGTGCCTAGGGATAAGAGGAAAATCAAGAGGAAAAAATAAATTATTTCTTTTACTTCAAATCATACAAATAGAAACAAGATTGCTCTCTCTATGCATCAACTAATGTTTTGTGTTGATGAATTCATATTGGTTGAGTGATGGAAGATGGAAGTGGAAGGGGGTTTGGCACGAGGTATTGGAAGATGTCTTCTGGTTTCCATTGGATTGTTAGTACCTGTTTTTTATAGGGAACGAATGTGTAAAACATTTTTTTCATTATATAATAGAGATATGCTCTACACAGTGCTTTGAACATAGCAGGTCCTCAATAAATATACATTTTAAATCGCTTTTCTAAAACGGATTAATTTCTCTTCATAAGGCCAACCACAAGGTACTTTTATTTCTTGAGACCATCTTTTAACCACCATAGTATCTCCCAACTTCCTAAAACAAAAAGGTTTTACATTTCCTGCTATGGTCGCTGCCCTTAAACCCTTGAGCAAATGTCTTCCCCCTTTTTTAGACTTACCTGCTCACATTTCATTGAGTTTTTACAAAAGTTTGAATGCATCTTAGCATTTGACAAATACTAACTTAACATCTATTAGCTTCTTCATATATATGGATCAATAAAATAGAGACATCACTTGGTATCTAAAGGGGTTGATTCCAGGACCACCAGTGAATACAAAAAATCTGTGGATGCTCAAGTCTCTGATATAAAATGGTGTTGTGCAGTCAGCTTTCCACATCCATGGGCTTAACATCTGCAGATAGGGATGACCAGCTGTACTATCAAATAACTTGTAGCTATCTTCCAAAATTATCAAGGAGGCCATGAATAATATCTCAGCCCTCAGTCCATGAAGTGGAGATTTATTTATTCACGAGTCATTTTTCTTACCTTTAATTTTAAACAATTCTGAAATTTCTATCTCAGAATTTTCAAATCTCTAGGAAGGAAATGAAAACAGTGAAAAGTATAATCTGGATTCATTTTAAACTCTCTTAAGACAGAAATAAAATGCAAGCTTTCTCATCATTGTATTAGAAGCTTCAGGTGTTGTTGGGATAGATAAAGGAGCATCTAGGAAGAGTGGACTTTGTACTTTTTCAGACATGCTCCTATTGGAGGTATGAAAAGCTTGTGTCACTTGTAAAATCAAAATGTGCAAGCATGATGTACAGAAAAAGTATCTCTGAAAGAAAGCCATGGCCATTAGGAGGAAATCAACCCAGGGAGTTGCTTCTTTATGCTTCAGAAGTTTCCTCCTCCTCTCCCTCCATTTCAGATTGCTCTTAAAGTGAGTTAACAAGCAATTATATATATTTTTAAAGGCCATCTCTCTAGAGATGAATGATGCAAAAGACACTGTAGTTAGTTATGGTTCTAGGTAGTGACTTTTCATCTCAGTTCTACAAAGAGAGTTGTGTTGTGTTTAACCTGCAGCAGTTATTTTAAAAAACAGATTTATATTTTGCTTTTCCTTCTGAATTTTACTTAATTTACTGTAATAAGGTGCTTCAGAATTATAGAAGTAACAGAGGCAATACCAGTAGCATATTTTCTTCCATCTTTTCTTTTTGTGGACATCATTAAAGCCAAACAGATAAACAAACAAACAAAAAAAAACCCGACCCAATTCTTTCCTGTTCACACTTTGAAAATGAGTTCTATGACCAAAGCTACAGCTGCTGGCACCAAACAGATGTGTTCTGTCAGAGCCTGACTCTGGCGCTGCAAGTTCAACTTACCCTGAGTTAATTCTCAGGGCATAGCAAGAATAAATTGCTACATTTATGATAATTTCTGCCCAGAAGGGAAATGATTTTGAAAGGAATTGAGTAGAAAATTCACCTTCAGGGACTGACAGGATATTGACAGCATTAGACATCAAAGTCAACCCCTATATAAGAGAAGGCATTTCTTGAACTTAAAAATGAAAGACAATTTGCCCAGGTTTAGTAAACATCCATTCCAACCTCTTTTTTAATGCCCTGAAAGCTAAAAGTTATATTTTCCATTGAGTCAGTGTTAAATTTCTTGGGTATGTTAACGGTATTATGGTTAAGTAGGGAAATGTCCTTGTTCTTAGGATATTCATGTTGAATGATTCATGATGAAGTGTCATGATGTCTGCAACTTACTTTCAAATAGTTCTGCAAAATCTAACTCACAGTAACAGGTGAAGGTAGGCAGAGAATAAAGCATTTATTTATATGAGAGAGAGAGAGAGAGCAAGTGTGGCAATAGTTTAATAGTGAAACAGGTGAATGGTTATCAGGTATTCAAACACTATTCTTTCAACTTTCTTGTAGCTTTACTTTCTTTCTTATTAAATAATATTTGAAAAAGTGCTAATTTTCTTTATAGTCGATAAACAAAAGCATATTTGATTTCATATCAAATTCTGGTCAGAATGTTCTCTCTTTAACTGAGAGTTTGTTAAATGTGAGTCATTGTTTTGTTTCCCGCCTTTGTTAGCCTTAGAAAAGAATGTCTTTCAATTATTGGGACTTTAATTTTTCTACCTGATATACTTCATTTCTAAAAATAAAAAAGCCAACATAAAATAAGTATAACCTTTATAAGATTTCTCAATATGTTTTATTTTTTATTTATTTATTTACTTTCATTTCTTGTGTGATTAGTAGAACACAAGAAACCAAAAGAACACTAACCAAATAGCATAATTATTATAAAGATTAAATAAAGCCTCTCTATTACTAAAAAACACTACCTTCCCAGATTCTTTTGTATCCAGGTTTCTCAATGTGATTTATATTCCACCAATCAATGTTCTTATGTAAATCTTGATCCCTAAAGTCATGTGAAAAGAGGGACGGGGTAGAGCATCTATTTAGCTGCATACAATATAGCAGATATGATGGTTCTAGAGCTGTCTCAGCAGTTTTCCATTCTGGCAGCTTATTTTCCTGGTTATGGCAGAAGTCATGTGTTTTGCAATCAGAAGTGCCAATAGTGGATTGAAAACTTTCTGTAGAGGGAGAAGTAAATTTTACAATTATGTCAGAGGTGAATTAGTTCTGAGCCTGGAAACTATTCCTTGAATTAAGTTGAGAGCTAAATAATTTTTTAAGTGTCTATTCTTACCGTAAAAATTCCCTTCTGATTAAACTAACTAGAGTGAATTCTGTTGTCTGCAATTTAACCTGAACAACATACAAGGCCTCTGCTTCAGCCATATACGAGCCATATAGGAGTTATTGCTCCTATCTAAATGCCATATAGGGGAATATTAGATAGGTGCTATCCTATCTAAACCCTTGGCAAATTTGTTTTAAATGTATTGTCTCTGGTCTCTTTCTCAATCTTTCTGCTTTGTCTTCTAAAAGAATAATTTAAATTTTATTTAATTAAATATCAATTAATTGTTTCTAATTATTTTCTCTTCTTCACTTTTAGATGGTTACATTTCTCCTCACTCATTAACATTAACTTACCATCTGACTTGCTTTGGCCCGTGGAATGTGATCAGAATATATGCTATGCCTGAGTTGATGCTTTATGAGTCATTGCCTTCTTCCACCATTTTTCTTTCCTTTCCCCAACAAAGATTATTTGCCTCACATAAGGGCTGCTCCCTTAGCTTGGAACCCAGGATTAAGAAGGTATACAGTATAGAACCATAGCCAAACCAAAGATGACAGGTAATGTGAGTATGATATAAATATTTGTTTTTAAAAACCATTTTGGGTTTGTTTAGTGAAAGCTGTGCTAATGTAGGTCCAGTATTTGAATGTATTCCTTAGTTCTTTCTCTGTTCTGTAATTTCTAAAATTTCTCTAAGCACAATTTAATTTAGAATTTATTATCAATCATCTTATTCATAGATCTTTTTGGAAGGGGTTCAATGAGGGCATAATTAAGGTTTTCTGCTTTGAACAAATGCTATGTACAGGGAAAATGAACTCTCCTCTCCTTTATAATTAGCCTTATTCTAATAAGCATATTTGTCAATTGTTTTCATTTACCTTTTATTCATCTTTATGTAGCTTATAGCCCAGTACTTGTTAGAAAATAGATGTTTAATGAATATATTCAGTGCATGAACGACTGAATAAATTAATTTCTCTCAAGATGTGTGGGAATTGGTTCGATCACAAAATTTTTAAGGCCTTAAAGGTGATCCATTTCTCCCAAACTAATCTTTTTATAAAAGTTTTTATGCTGATCCTAAATGATAAAAGAAAGCAGAGTTGTCATTGAAATGGAGGATTTAAAAGCAGGAAACATTCTTCTTACAGTTGTTTTAATTCCCTAATTATGGTTTCAACATCTTCTACCAGCTCTCTCTTTTAAGAAGAAATATATAGAAGGTTGTGGTTAGTGATAGGACCTCTTTTGCTTTCTTCTCACCTTCTATCTCCTTACCTTTCCAGGAGGACAATATGCCATTAAAAATATCAAGATGACACCCAAAATGTCAAACTTGTAATTTATTTTAGCTTCAGAAGTATCAAAGAGAGGTGTGACGTACTAAAAATCAATATAGTATAGATCGACCTCCCCACCCCCTAACCCTTTGCTATGAACCTCCTCTAAAGTGTCCAAAGGAATGTGGCCTCATCTATCTCTTCTGAATCACCAAATTATTTTTGCCTCTCAGATTCTTTTGTATACAGGTTCTACTGGTTGATTTATTTTACTAGGTTGATTTATTTTCTTTTAATCATCTTTTTTTTTTAATGGGCCTTTCTTATCTACCAAATCAAAACCTACTTAAAAGGAATTTTAAAAGGAATTTTAACAATGCCTTTAAAAACAGTAGGATATTTGTTGAATGAGAGTATGAATCCTCAATATGCATTTAAATTTTTGGGGTGAAATATGCTCCTGGGACTTAAGACAAAATAATTCTGTTTTGTTTGGACAATGCTAAGATCAGGCTGCACGAATGGGGGATCATCTTAGGGAGTCAGATGAATTTTCAAGACTATTTTGTTATTATATTTTTACATTAGCCAATCATATTTATCAAATGTCTATGGAAGTATTTTTCTGATATTCTTTCCCATTGTCCGAAACCATCAAAATACCCTGACTTCTACTATTCTAACATTTTAGTATCCTTGCTCTGCAAAGTACATTTCATACCCAGAAGAGGAAGGGCAATCTTTGTTTTTCCACCAGTCTCAACTTACGTTTCAGAAAACACAGGTACAAAGTAAAGAATAAGCTATTTAATTCTTTCTCTCTGAATTTTGTGATCATAAATATTAAAAACTCAACTAAAATATATCATGAAAACCAAGCTTAATGACAAATATAAATAGATTCTCATTTCTTATTACATGAAAGAAAAACACAGATTTAAAGTATGGTATAAAACGCCCCAAAAAGAATATCAGGGTAAAATAATTCCAAGCTTAAAGTAGTAGTTTTATTATAATTATTAGTGAGAAAAATTGCATTAGCATCAATAACACAGCTGTTGACATCTCATAACACATAACAAGCTGTATTGTTGCAAAGCAGCCAGAATGAGTGGGAGCGTAATAAGTGCTAACCCTGATAATAAATTAACATCGTGTTTTGAATACGCACAAAAAAATTGACCAACACAAGTAAAAATTTTTCCTCTTTCCCCCATGGAATTTTTTCCTGGCAGTAAAATAAATGAAACGATCATTTGACTCTCCTCACCTGGCACTAGGATCAGCTCTAGGTAAAATGTTGCTATCTGAAAGCCTCTGGTTCACTGAAATTTAGAACAGCATCTGCATCAACTTGGAGCTTGTTAGACATGCAGAATCTCAGGCACCATCCAGAACTGCTGAGTCTGAATCTGCATTTTCACAAGATCCTCCAGGAGATTGGTTTGCACATTAAAGTTTGACAAGCCCTGCTCTAGTTCATCTCACCTGTTGGTTTCTCTTTTTGATCCACTTCCCTACAGGGTGTTCTTGCCTGGATAAATCATTCTTTGTACAGGGCAAGTAGACAAGTGGCTATTTTACAGGCAGAACAATATGTTCATAACCTATGCTTGCTGTTTCTTTCTTCTTCTAACATCGTACCCATCAATGCCTTCCCTGAGTCATCAAGCATGCTGGCTTGATTCAGGGCAAACCAAAAGATTTTCATCTCTCTGTGAATGTTTCATCCTTTATTCACTAGAGCACAGAGAAAGAGAAGTCAATGTTGGCTGCTTCTTCTCTTCCTTGCCAACTTCCCTCTCCCCTGCTGCTTTCAGAAATAAGGGCAATTAATACCAGGGTGAGTTCAAAGAAAGCCCACTAGTATTTTCATCCATTTGCAAAATTACCAAAGAACCTTCCACTTTGAACAGTCACAGTAGTAGCTTCAAGCAAGCACACTGCTATCTAGAGGTCTGAACCATCCAGACGTAGAAATTATTGAATTTCCAGAGCAATGGACAATCTACAACTTGTGGTCATTTATATGTAAGGAGAACACACTTCCTGAATTGTGCTTGACAAACTCAAGTGTATATAAAATAATACAGAGCTAACTAGCTATGATTTGTTTTAATACTTCTGTAAGATTTTTTCTTTCTCTAAAGAAAATGTACACATTTCTGGTACAAAGCATGAGCTCCTAACATAGCAATCCTCCTACAAATAACAGTTATCAACCCTGGAAAAATCCAAAAAATAACTAATAGAAGGATTGGGAGGATCTGGAGTGACCTAGAGGGTGCTGGGACTAAAAGCAACAATATTTTGAAGGGGAGTTGGAAACTTAGAGAAAGGGCCCTGCATAGAATGCATTTTTTTATATTTTTACAACTTTGCCATGTGGTCAGCAATAGTTGCAGTGGTGGCTAAAACTCTGGTTACAAAAAACTAATCTTTTTACCCAGAGGAATCAGAGAAAAGGGCTCTAGGGCAAGCAGGACCAGAGGGTGATATGGGAACTCCAGAATGGAGACAGGCAGAGAAGAAAATCACTGGCCAACCTGGAATCAGCTTGCACAGGAAAGAGATAAAGCAGCTGGGACTGAAGCTTACATAACTGAATTTAGAACCGAGCCACCGCCCACCACAGGTGTGAAGATCCACAATTTAGATGACTAAGACACAATCACTGGTTACATGGAGCTGAGAGTACATAGCAGTGATTACCAGTGGAGGCATTTTGAATATTTGTTATCACATTTTTTGTTGCTATAATAATTATAGGATGCCATTAGCATTTTTTTTTTTTTTTTTTTGAGACAGAGTCTTGCTCTGTCGCCCAGGCTGGAGTGCAATGGTGTGATCTCGGCTCATTGCAAACTCTGCCTCCCAGGCTTAAGCAATTCTCATGCCTCAGCCTCCCAAGTAGCTGGTGCTACTGGCATGTGCAACTGCACCTGGCTAATTTTTTTTTTCTTTTTGTATTTTTAGTAGAGACAGGGTTTCACCATGTTGGCCAGGCTGGCCTCAAACTTTTGGCCTCAAGTGATCCACTTGTCTTGGCCTCACAAAGTATTGGGATTACAGGCATGAGCCACTGCACTTAGCCTTAAGATGTCATTAGCATTTAATGGGCAGAAGCTCAGGATGTCAGACATTCTGCAGAACACAGGATACTTCCACACGTGAAGAATGTCCCATGTCACACTTAACTTACCAGTCTCTTACTAAGTATTCATGTGGTGAAAACCAAGGTTATCTGAGCCCAGAAATTAACCAATGAACACAAAGAACTTTCATGTAGTTTTAATTTACAGCGAATTCTCCAAGAATACAACTACCATGAAAGTAAAGAAATAATTCTCTTTTCATCTGATTTCTTTTTAGAACTTACCAAGAGTTCTGCATGATTTCATAAACAAATGTCATAAACAGTAAGCCTGTTTTACAATATAAAACACACTTGTATTGTAGGTTTGCATACATAGCTGTCACATACTTAATGATTCTATTTATAGGAGCCAGTGTTTGAATATCCTAGTTGTCCTGACATATAATTATGTCCATATATTTACACATAGAATAAATATCATTTATTATTAATTCCTTTCCTTGTATTTCTTTATATATTATAGGTAACACATTTTCAAATTATGAATGTAGATGAACTTAATTTCAGTATAGTGGAAGGGGCATTAAAAGATAGATAGTTGGAACTGATGAGTAGAGATCCCCTAATCTAGTGGGAAGGCAAGTACACAGATGATTACAAAAGCCTGAAACACTTGCTATAATAGAGGTGCACAGTGTGGAGAAGGTGTTTTCATTTTCTATTGCTGCCATAACAAACTACTGCTAACTTAGTAGCTTAAAACAACAGAAATGTGGCTAGGACTGGTGACTCACACCTGTAATCCCTCCAACTGGGAGGCCGAGGTGGGAGGAAGGCTTGAGCCCAGGAATTCAAGACCAGCCTGAGTAATAGCCAGGCATAGTAGTACATGTCTGTAGTCCCAGCTACTCAGGAGACTGAGCTGGAGGATCACTTGAGCTGGGAGATCAAGGCTGCAGTGAACTGTGATCGTGCTACTGCACTCCAGCCTGGGCGACAGAGTGAGACCATGTCTCAAAAAAAAAAAAAAAAGAAAAGAAAAAGAAAAAACAATATAAATTTCTACTTCTCTGGAGGCCAGAGTCTAAAATGGGTTTAACTGGACCAAAATCAAAGTGTTGGTGAACCCACACTTCCTCTGGAGTCTCTAGAGGAGAAGTCACTTCCTTGCCTTTTCCAGCTTCTAGCAGCTGCCTGTATTCCTTGGCTTGTGACTGCTTCTTCCATCTTCAAAGTACATCATTCCAATGTTTGCATCTGTCATTACATAGCCTTTTCCTCTAAAGTCATATCTCCCTCTGCTTCTTTTTTACAAGGCATTTGTGGTTACATTTAATGTCATTGGATAACTTAGAATAATCACCTCATCCTTAAGAAGCTTAATTTAATCACATCAGCAAAGTCATTTCTGTCATATAAGGTAAGCTTAGCAGGTTCCAGGGATCAGGACTTGGACAACCTTGGGGGCACTAGTTAGCCTCCCATGGAGGGCTACATAATAAGGTCTGCCTAAGACAACCTACATAGTTAAGGCAAGCCTCACGCAGGATATAGTTACAGTAAAAGGGCTAACAAGCATTTATCTTGTAAATAATTAATAATGACAACATAGCAGAGGAGAGATTGGGTAGAGTTTAGAAGGGTTTTTCCAGACTGAGGAAAGCTGAGGGAAACATAGTGAGTCATGAGAAAGAATATTAGGTTTGGCCAGGTGTGGTGGCTCACGCCTGTAATCCCAGCACTTTGGGAAGCCGAGTCAGGTGGATCACCTGAGGTCAGGAGTTTGAGACCAGCCTGGCCAACATGGTGAAACCCCGTCTCTACTAAAAATATAAAAACTTAGCCAGGCATGGTGGCGGGTGCCTGTAATCCTAGCTTCTCGGGAAGCTGAGGCAGGAGAATTGCTTGAACCTGGGAGGTGGAGGCTGCAGTGAGCCGTGATCGTGCCAACGCACCACAGCCTGGGCAACAAAAGTGAATCTCAAAAAAAAAAAAAAAAATCAGGTTTGAAGGAAGAGTAGGAGCTTAGCGTTACTGCAACTTAAGACATAGTGGACAGTGAAATGAATCACGTGCAACCCTGTTTGGGATACAACACAAAAGGTAGTCTATTATTTTCCTGAAGAAAATGGTGAATTATTGAGGAATTCTAAGCAGGGCAGGAATAAAATCGTATTAGAAAGAGCACTTGGATGGGAGTGGAGCGAATTGAAGGGTCACTAAGACTGGAGGCTGCTAAGTAAACTGGACAGTAACGCAGGCTGGAGATAATGAGGAGCTGAAGAATATCCTCTAAGAATGTTTTCTTTTTTTTCTATTTCTATTTTCAAATAATCATCTTGTTTACCACCCTGTGTCTTTTAATGACAGCCACTAAATTGCAGAGCTTTAGTTTTTTTTAAACTGACTATCTCAGAATTTTAATATGCTGAGGGTCACACACCAGGAAACACCATCTCTGAAGATAGTCACAGAGCAGGAACAGGCCACCTCTCAGAAACCTCTGGGAAAATACAAATAAATCTCGAAAAGATCCATGTTGCTGAACCTTTGCCCTACTTGATGGGAATCACCTTTGAGAAACTTTATTTTCAATCCCGAAAGCCCCAAAGAAGGGCTGTTTGCCACATCATTGTATTTCTTAATGTTGTACTATTTTGCCTCTCAGAAAATTTTTCAAAGGAAAAGAGAATTTGTATTATAGTGTTTCCATTAACATCATCCCAAAATTAAAATGTGCTTCCATTTGAGAAATTCTCCAGAGGCTTCTCTTTCTATTCCCTTTGTGACAAAGTTAAGATTAAAAGTCAGAAAACTTGTCCTTGGAAGAAAAAAATGTTCAATTACTCAATATGACATTAAAAAGCATGTTTCTGAGTCTAAAACACAGTTCAGCTCTCAGAACCCCTTTTTGCATCTGTAAAGTTGGAAGAGTAGAAATGTCTTACATTCTCTCCAATTGATCTAGAATTCTACCAGTAGGCAGTAGTGATCATAATTTAACATTCTCAGATGTTCTTCATATCACTGGAATGTAAATTAATATAAACAGACATTATTTGCCTCACTAAACCCCCTTCCCTTCTTTCCCTTTTCTTCTTTCACTATATAACCTTCCCCTCTAATTTACTTTTAATCTAACATATTAAATAAGATTTACAGAAGAGGGAATTTAGGATAAGCAACGTTCACAACATCTTTTAATAATGTAAATCCTGCCATTGTTCAGATACTCATTTCGCCTAGTTCAATGAAAGGGAGGCAAGGAGGCAGCCACGGTGTCATAGGTCAGGGGTTCTCAAAGGGTAGTTCCTGTGACAGCAGCAATATGGCCTGGGAAGTTTATAGACATACAAATTCTTGGGTTCACCCCAGATTTACTGGAGCAGAAATTATGAGGGTGGGACCCATCTGGGTTTGATTTTTTTTGGTTTTTTTTTTTTTTGAGACGGAGTCTCACTCTGTTGCCCAGGCTGGAGTGCAGTGACGCAATCTCGGCTCATTGCAAGCTCTGCCTCCCGGGTTCACATCATTCTCCTACCTCAGCCTCCCAAGTAGCTGGGACTACAGGCACCCGCCACCACGCCCAGCTAATTTTTTGTATTTTTAGTAGAGACGGAGTTTCACCATGTTAGCCAGGATGGTCTCGATCTCCTGACCTCGTGATCCACCTGCCTCGGCCTTCCAAAGTGCTGGGATTACAGGCATAACCATCTGTGTTTTACATAGCCTTCCAGATGATATTGATACACCTTAAAGTTTCATAAGCAGTGCCATAGACACCCCAAGAAGCCTCAGATTACTATCTGCAAAAGGGGGATAATAATAGTAATGATAACTGCACAGGACTATTGTCATGCTTACAATGATAAAATTCTAGAAAGTACCTAACAAAGGTAATACAGGTGCTAAATACATTTTCATTCTGACCATAATAATTGCACATCTGCTGAATGTAAGGCACAACATTAGGTGCTGCAAAGGACAACGTTAATCAGACTTTTCCTTCAAAGAATCTTTGGTCTGGGCTGAGGTTGAGTGAGTAAGCAATTTGCTGCACTATGTTGGAAATTAGGAAATAAATGTCCTGTTAGGGTGCTCCAGAGAGACAAAATCAATAGGATATAGATAGATAGACAGACAGATGAGAGAGGGTTTATTAGGAGAATCAGCTCATGCAATTATGAAGGCTGAGAAGTCTCATGACAGGCACTCTGCAAGCTGGAGACCCTGGATGATAGCAGCATGGCTCGGTTCAAGTCCAAAAGCCTCAGAACCAGGCAACCTGATGGTGTAATTCGTAGTCTAAGATCTAAGGCCTGAGGACTGAGGTGACCACCACTAGTATTAGATCCTGGAGTCCCAAAGCCAAAGAGCCTGGAGTTATGATGTACAAGAACAGGAGAAGGAGAAGGTCCCAGCTCAAAGAGAGAGAGGAAGAAAAAAATGCTTTTCCCTCCTTTTTTGTTCTATCCAGGCCCCGAACTAATCGGATAGTGCCTATCAAACTGAGGGTGGATCTTTTTCATTAAGTTCATTGACTCACATGCCTGTCTGCTCTGGAAACACTCTCACAGACCCACCCAGAAGTAATGCTTTGCCAGTTCTCTAAGTATTCCTCAATCCAATCAAGTGGACATCTAAAATTAATCATCACATGCCCTGATGAAGGGGAAGATAAAGATCTGGCATGGGAGAAAACAAGCCTGCATCTGGTGGAGGCATTATTTGTTGGGTAGAGGAAGGCTTTGAAGGGTGGGTGGGATTTGAACCCATGAAGATGGAAATTAGGGCCTCCTAGACTTCTGAAGTGGATTGTACAAAGTTATGGAGGTTGAAGAATACTGAACACATATGGAGAATAATTTAGTCAATTAAAATGTGAGAAGCATACTTTGGAGAAGTAGAGAATGAAGTTGCAAAGTTAGATTAATAACAGGTTATGCAAGGTACGAGGCTCAGGATTTTCGCCTTTGTTATTGAGTAACAGGAATCCATTAACATTTTTTTTGGATAAGAAAGTGACATATATCAGAGAGTTTCTCGTGGTTTTAAAGTTGGGCATAGTGGCTCACACTTATAATCCCAGCACTTTGGGAGGCCAAGATGAGAGGACTGCTTGAGGCCAGGAGTTTGAGACCAGCCTGGGCAGCACAGTGAGACCCCGTGTCTGAAAAATTGCTGAGCATGGTGGTACGTTGTGCCTATAGTCCCAGCTTCTCGGGACTATAGAGAAACAGGAGCCTTGGGGGGTTTTTTGCACCTGGTAGACCCAGTAACTTTTGCAGTCCATATTTTTTGGGAGGTGGTTACCCAGAAATGACATCTTAGCAGTCTATTTCTTTGGCTATCTGGAGGGGTCACTTTGCTAAAGCAGTTACAGCATATTGGTAATATTTGATCCAAATAACCATAGATATTCTTGTCATATTGTCAATTAATAAACCTTTAGCACAAGCTCTACCTTGTAATTTTTAAGGTTGGTGTTTTCCCCCAGAGACCATAGTGAGATTTTAGTCATGGTGTCTCATGAATTCTGCTGCTGAATAGCTAGTTCTGGAAGCACAAAGAGGGCTGAGATGAAAAGTTAACCTCAATATAGGGGGAGAAGTTCCCCTCTCTGAACTATTTTTCCTTTAAAGTCCCTGTTTGTCAGGGAAACAGGCAGGAAATACTCAGTACTAAACTCACTTCTCTCAATAGTTTTCAGTGAGAGAAAGCAAAGCCTAAGGAATTATGAAATGAAAGGGGTTCAGTCATGAGGCATTTTAAGGTGTTCACTGAGGTGCGATTTACCACCAAAATGTAAGGAGTCAAGCTGGGACAAATAAGAGGCAAGGGGCCGGATGCGGGCTCACGCCTGTAATCCCAGCACTTTGGGAGGCCAAGGTGGGCGGATCACGAGGTCAGGAGATCGAGACCATCCTGGCCAACACGGTGAAACCCCGTCTGTACTAAAAAAAATACAATAAATGAGCCGGGCCTGGTGGCAGGCGCCTGTAGTCCCAGCTATTTGGGAGGCTGAGGCAGCAGAATGGCGTGAACCCGGGAGGCGGAGCTTGCAGTGAGCCGAAATCATGCCTCTGCACTCCAGCCTGGGCTACAGAGCTAGACTCCGTCTCAAATAAATAAATAAATAAATAAATAAATAAATAAATAAATAAATAAATAAATAAATAAAATTAAGAGGCAGTGGCAGGAAAGGCCTTAGTTCTAGGCAAGCAGCTTCTTCATTCTGCCTCTGCCACTGACTGGGTGAAAATAACTGTATTTGAGGCAGAGAAAATATTTTGCTCTTGACATTTTGAAACAATTTGCTGGTAGTTTCTTTTAATACCCCCACTCCCATTTTTTTCATGTCATCCGGCCTTATTTATTGGGCTTTTGTGGTCATGAATGAGCCAAATGATATGTTTATTACCTCTATTTTATCTGTAGTTTTTTCCACACTTTCTGCTTCTGTTAATAGCTTTTGAATCTTAAGACATTCGTCTATATTACTCAGAATCAAATTTGGAACTTTTACTAACGTTGAATGTATTGTCTCCAATTAAATCTACAATGGGTATATAGCACGAATGAGAAACAAAATTTTGTTCTTTTAAGCCACTGATATATACGGGTTTACTTGTTTATGTATTAAAAGCCTTTTCTAATTGATAGAGTATATTATTTCAACAGTTTAATGAAGACGGTTGCGCTCTAAGGAGAGTCCAAAGAAAACTAAAAAGTAGAGAGTATAAGAGATGTTTAAAGAACTTTAGTTTAGAACGATTCTTACTTTGCATCAGTTTCTCTAGAATTATCATCTAATCAGTTGTTTTCATATTTAATTTTGCATCGGGATTACCTAGAAATATTGTTAAAAATTCAGATTTCCGACTGCAATTGCAGGTTTTGTGATTCAGGAGGTTTGAAATGGACCGCAGAAATGTCTACTTCAGCACATCTCCATACCTAGGATCCTAATGACAGTGACCCATGGGCCATGCTTAAGAAACACAACTTTAGTTTTTCGGTAATTATAAATTATTTAAGTTCATTTTATAAAGGTTACCCTGCGGGAGATCTGGATGCATCGCGGCTGATGGGACACAACTTTCGGTTCCCATAATGATATAGTTTTCACTCTTTTAAGACAAAGACATTTATAACACACTTATGTGATTTCTGCCATCCAATATTGGTGGTCTCTGATGTTTATATGTGACCCAGACTGGCTGCAGTGATAACAGAAGTGAGATCCAGCAAATGCAATAATGCTCTCTATAGCCACTTAGCATGACTATTAAAGGAGAAGTAAAGAAGAACCCCTTAGCCAATTGAAGTGACAGCAGAGTGAGCTTCAGATTATCAGAGTATAATTGCATAAACTGAAATTGAGTCAGTAAGTGAAGGTCAACAGTGAAGGAAGAAACAAAACACAGGCAGAAAGGAAGTGTTTGCATGAAATATGTAACTGATTCTTTTTGTATTTTCACTAAAAACATTCCTTTATCTTCCTCCCAAACAGACTATAACTCACCGGGAGGAACGTTATCAGGCGCCAAAAGCCTTTTAAAACAGAGAACTCTGCTCGTGGAGTCACATATTCTGTTTTATCTGTACAAGGTAAGACACCCAAATCACACTTCAGAAGACGTGTGTTTTAGAGAATAGTTTTCTGATTTTGTAAAACCTTTCGTTTTACTGGCGTGAAACAGTCTAACTCTTCAGAACTCCTTTAGAGACAATGACACCACATGTGTTCCTTTATGTCCCTGGCACAGATGTGTTCTGTGTGGACTTTCCCTTTCTTTGTGAGGGGGAGTTTCTGCCTTGACTTAGAGGTGCTGGCAACTCTGATTATCATCTTCTGTGCGTCTGAGAGTGGTCTAACAAAGCAGAAGTGGAACCTTGAAAGAATAGGGATAGAGTTGGACCAAAATTTTATACCTGAAAACATCACCTTCTAATTAGAGTGAGCAGTTCTTTTGATGGCACACCAAATTAAGATGATTCTGAAAGTCTTTAACTATCACTAGAGAACCTTCTCTTGTGGCTTAAAGACTAGCCAAGGTATGCTAGTGTGCTTTATCTAAGTGAAGATTTTTTGCCTTGGGAAGTATTTGCCTATTGGTTTATTTCTGTATCTCTACATTTAAATTATGAACTCTTTGAGGACTGTAGTTTCATGCTCACTTTTGTGTTCTATTCTATGTCGTGTTAAGACTGTTTTGACTGAAACACATTGAAACTCATTTGAGATAATAAAAACAATTATTTTAATAACTCTAATTGAACCTGTAATCCCAGCTACTCCTTGGGGGACTTGAGCCAGCAAGTTCAAGGCTGCAGTGAGCTATGATTGCACCACTACACTCCAGCCTAGGTGACACAGCAGGAATCTGTCTCTTAAACACATACACACATACACACCCCAGTAAGAAAGAAAGGAGGAAAAAAAGAAAATTAAGAAAGGAAAGAAAAAACTCTAATTGATGAGGAAAATAAAATAATGGCTCACACAAGGATATACATTAAGGCTGTATTTAAGGGAAGGAAGTGAGGTGTAGCTGGGCCTCAAGAAGGATTATAATTGAATGCCAAGAATTGAAATCACTCTTTCCATATTTCTGTAACCCCGTTTCCTTTCGTACTTTTCCACTCTCTAAGAATCAGCTTCATTTTCCCTTTCTTCACAGCATCCTGTTGATTGTTCATGTTGCAAACACCCAGCTTGCCCCAATTCAACAAGACCTTCCAGATTCAATATTAAATACTGATCAGTGACTTCAAATTGCTGACAGAGTCAGTCTGATTTGTTCCATGCCTCTCTGTTTGTGGAGAGTCCTATCATTAGTTTGTATGTGGTTGCTCCCTTCAGGTCAATTGTAATGGCATAGTACATTGCTCACTGGCAAATTGGCAAAGGTTGTGTGACTGATCAGATTTTCTCATAAAGAAGCATAGATAACGTGGGACCCTCAAAAATGTCTAGCACTTATCTTCAATACCTATGGGCAAACAAAAGTATGTGTTGCATAAATGAACAAATAAAGGAGACAGACATTGTAGGTACCATGCCCAACAACAATTTTCCCTTCTTTCTCCCTAAAATAATCTGGATTTGGTTCAGATATTAGGTGGAGTTAGGCTCAGGGAAAAAGGACCCCAGTCCAATGGGTGCTGGAGATAATTCATTCTGGCTTGCATGAGCCTACTGTGCATCTCTCTTCCCAACTCTGCTTCAGCAAAGTCATGCTGGTAGCTTGAAATCAGCCAGGATGGAAGTGTTTGCACTACAGAAATCAGCCAATACTATGATCGAAGAGTGTCCTTTTTCCCCCTTTAGAGAACAGATTATTGCACATTTACCACATACCACTGGCCCACTCCTAAATTCATGATTAGTCTATGCTAATAATGGAAATCCCAAGTCTCCTTTGTCAGGAATTGGATAAGGAGTGAACCAGTGGCTCGGTTCTACCACTGTTACCTGGGGCTTTCTGGAATTTTCTTCCCAAATAAAAATGGAGACACCCAGATTTCTTATCTTGGAATATTGTCTTTTAAGAGTGTGATACTTGTAGTCAGTTTGCAGTCAGGAGAGGCAAGCTTAAAAATAAAAACTAACAGGCTTGAAATAAATGAAAGAAAATATCAAAGAAACCTGATACCTTGATGACACCATTGAATTACTGCACCAAACAAGGAACTTCCCTGCCCCAGGGTATCTTGTTATGAGTCAACAAATGGCCCTCCCTTAAGGCACTTTCAGGAGAATAATATGTAACTTGCAGCCAAAAGATTCTGATACAACTGATGGATGAATGGATGGATGAAAGGACAAATGGATGAATGAATGAATAAATAAATGAGGTCATTTATTTAGGTGTGTACTGGGCAAAAAATCCCTGAGACAACTACAAGTATGCACAGGTATGCAACACATGTCCCTCTGGATTTCTCTCTTATATTTTTAGTATTGTCAATATTATAAGCTTTCCTCATTGTTTTAAATCATGGATGAACAGAGACCTTCCTACTAAAGAAAAAGCATGCACACTGCTCTTTTATAAGGCTATATACATTTAGGAACATTATCAACGAAGAACATGTTGTTTTCTGTCACTCAATACCCACTAGAAAATATTCTAACTTTTTTAGTTAGTTTTTTTTTTTTTGAGACAGAGTCTCACTCTGTCACACTGGCGTGATCACGGCTCACTGCAACCTCCGCCTTCCGGGTTCAAGCCATTCTCCTGCCTCAGCCTCCTGAGTAGCTGGGACTACAGGCACACACCACCATGCCAAGCTAATTTTTGTATTTTTAGTAGAGACGGGGTTTCACCATGTTGGTCAGGCTGATCTCGAACTCCTGACCTCGTGATCTGCCCACCTTGGCCTCCCAACGTGTTGAGATTACAGGCGTGGCCACTGCACCCAGCCTATTCTAACTTTTAAGTAAAAAGATATAAAATGTATGAGATCATTAATTTTCTATATTAGCAATTTAAATTCTATGGGACAATTTATGTGTGTGCATGTATGTGCATGCATGTTTGTTAAGGATGACAATGTTATTTCATTTTATATCCATTACACAATTTCATGTTATTATAATGCTCAAGATAGAAATGAACGTTAAATGCATTGAGGATGCTTCATAGTATAATTTTTATTTTGACTTTTTTCTTCCTATATTTTGAGTCTAGGAGATTGGCTCAGGCAGCGCATCTTTGCGACTGGTAAGAGAGTTCACCTGCAAGGAATCATTGTTTTCATCCTATATTCATGTCAATAAATCCAACTTCTCTACAGAAACTCTACTGAGTTGTGACTCCAGAGAAGAGGAAAGGTATTCCAATATATGCTTGACCATGAATGCTATCTAAGAGGTGTCTAATGAAAGAAAATACATCAAAGCTGGCCACTTTATTCTTCTAGAAAACAAAACCAAAAAAAGTCAGGTAGCTGAGGTGAAAGCCTCTTTTACCAAGAGCTAGAAGGGTAAGTCCCCTATTACCCTTCTGAGGACTAGCTATATGCATAACAATAGCAAAAATGTTGTTCTGGATGTTGCTTCTTTCAGTTTCTATTAACGTTGTAATAGTGCCTGCTTCCATTATACATTTCCTTGTGTATTTCAATCAAAATGTCACTTAGCTGCTGTTCCTAGAGTGCACTTAATATTTTCATTAAAACCAATAGAACCAAGAAATGACAAGGGTGCAGGTGGGTGCAAGCAATTAAACTCCTCCTCTATGTATTGTGAAATAGCAGTTGGGGAAAGAAAGAAGCCCCATTGAACACCTGTCCCTTCTCCTGTGAATGGCAGCAAGCAGAAATCCACTTAGCTAGCTATTGTCTGCTTATTTTCCTGACAGATCATGTGAAGAAGCAGGCAGTTATGGGGCCAGTAATTCAGAATTAATTTTCCCTTCACTAAAGTGCTGTGGACACTGAGTGCAGTAATGGTGCCTGATCAGGATTCAGGGGGGTAAACAAGACAATTTGAGATGATGGGCAGGAGATAAAAGCCCTTGTAAGGGGCTGCTCCTCTTTCCAGTCTGATCTGTGGTTTTTGCTGGCACCTTTTATTATTATTATTTTTTAAAATCTGCCTCAATGAAAGTCTGAAGAGTTAATCATTAAACCATTTGTCTGGTGTGTGTGTGTGTGTGTGTATGTGTATGTGTTGAAAGATAAGACAAAAGAAAGAAAATTCTAAGTGTTGCTCTCCATCTTTTCCCACCTTATTAAAAATGTTAGTGGCTGCAAAAGACAGCTGTTAAGCCACACATTGAGATTGTTTACGGAGCTTCCTCCTGTGAGCTTCTACCTCAATTGAAAAAATTACCACATTTCCTCTAATGAACTGAGACCTTTTGCCAACCCACTATTATTGCTTATTCCACTCTGATAGGAAACACCCACCACTAACATGCACAACAAAAATTTGTTCTCACCAGATGGAATTAAAATTCTCTCCTGCTCTTATTCTTTCTCCCTCTCTCCTGTTCCCTCCCTCCTTCTTTTCTCCATTCTCCCTCTCCCTCACTTTCTCTCCTCGTTTTTCTAACTCCCTGTTTCTAAATACTAGCCACCCAAGTCATTTCACAGACCAGCCGAAAGAAGCCTCCCTGGGGATGAGCTAACGAGGAGGATTAGATACAACTGTTCTCTGGCCAGGTGTCAAGACCCTGTTGGCAGAGGAACGGCAGAGACATCTTGTGAATTATCTCCCAGTCACTGATGCAAACCACTCAGAATAAATCAGGATTGAAGATTGATTTCTACAAAATTGCTTTATTACTCAGGTAAAATTTATTGATCTGTTATAGAAAGAAAAAAAACATAATCGAAAGAGGATAGTCCATGCCTAAATAGCAAACATAAAACCTCCCATAAATCCTTTCATTTCAGATATTTGATATTTAGTGCAGAATATGTTCTTGGGGAAGTTCATCTTTGTGTAAATTATGTTGTCTGGGAGGAAACTTACAGAACTCAGGCATCTTAAAACCCATGAGTGAGTTATTAAAATATACACTGATAAGTATGGTGACCCTAATTTCCAAGCCCTAAATCAGGACACATAGTCACGAAATGGTTTTTCCCCCTCTCTTCTTTAAAAAATTATTCTGGTAATAGTTTTGCCCATGAAAACATTAAATCAGAATAAAATCACTTAAAGTTATGTCTACCCAGAATATCTGAGTTGTAGACTTTCTATTCATAGTTGCCACTCTACTCATCTCACAAACTTCTCAACACTATTTTTTCATACTCACTCATTTAATAAGCATCTCGTTCATTCATTCATTCATTCATCCCCTCAGCCTTCAATACATGACTACCCTATACATGGGCCTATGTTGCTACACTACCACTTTTATACCCTACAAATCCCCAAATATTTTTAAAACTTAATTCTGTATATGAATACAGCAGAGGAAAGTTGATGAGTTCTGCACCTGTGCATATCATAAATTCTTCTTCTTGGAACCACCCAGTGGGTTTTTCTTGCCCACTACCCAGATAGGGCCCATTTATCAGGGCAGGGGAATTGCAATAGAGAAAGACTTTTACATATGTAGAGCCAGCTAAATGCAAGACTGGAGTTTTATTATTACTCAAATCAGTCTCTCTGAAAATTCAAACATTTGAGAGCTAGGGTTTTTCAAAGATAGTTTGGGGGAAGAGGAGGGCATAGTTAGGCAATGTGTGCTTGCTCCTGATTGGCTGGGGGTGCAATCATAGGGGAGTGGGAAATGATCCTCATGCATGCTGAGTCACTTCTGGGGGGGGGCCACGGGAGCAGTGTGGAGGTGGAACCATCGGTCATCAGACATGCAAAAAACCTGAAAAGATATATTGAATGGCCAATCTTAGGTTCTACAATAGTGATGCTATCTGCAGGAGTAACTGAGGAAGTTGCATACCTTGCAACCTCTGGAATAATGGCTAGTAATAGTTTATGTCTACACCTTAGCCAAATTCACACCTTAGCAAATTCAGGGTGAATTTGGCTGAGGTGTAGATATAAACTATTCTCATTCTCCTAGTCTGGTGGCCTTTCATTAGCTTTACAAAGGCAGTTGAGTTTTGGGTAAGGGCTATTATCACTATGATATTATTTAATATCATTTAAACTATAAACTAAATGTCTCCCAAAGTTAGCTTCGTCCAAGTCCAGGAATAATTAAGAGCAACTTAAAGGCTAAAGACAAGATGTGGGTTGGCCAGATCAGATCGCCCCCACTGTCATAATTTTCTGTTATAATTTTGGCAAAAGTGGTTTCATTCTTTGTGGTGTTCCTTGCACAGCCATCCATGGGGATGAACAATAGGTAGTGGATAGATGCAGCTCTTCTTAACTGAATTACTCTAGAATTCCTATTCTACAGTTGGAACTTTATTTTCTAGTCCCCAAATTAGTCATTGTTTCCCTTCTCCCATATGAAAATAGACCTATGTGGATTGGTGTTCAAAATATATAGATTATGTCAGTATTTAGGAATATTATATTAGGCTATCTATAGGGTTTTTTAATTTTTAATTCTTAATTTCAATATGTTTTTGGGGAACACATGGTGTTTGGTTACACGTTTAAGTTCTTTAGTGGTGATTTCTGAGATTTTAGTGCACCCATCACCTGAGCAGTGTACACTGTACACAGTGAATAGTATTTTATCCCCCACCCTGCTCTCACCCTTTTCCCCAAGTTCCTAAAGTCCATTGTATCATTCTTATGCCTTTGTGTTCTCATAGCTTAGCTCCTGCTTATGAGTAAGAACATATGATATTTGGTTTTCTATTCCTGAATTACTTCACTTACAATAATGGTCACCAATTGCATCCAAGTTGCTGTGAATGCCATTATTTTGTTCCTTTTTATCACCGAGTAGTATTCCATGGTGTGTGTGTGTGTATGTATATATATATATATATATATATATATATATATATATATATATATATATCACATTTGCTTTATCCACTCATTGACTGATGGACATATGGGCTGTTTGCATATTTTGGCAGTTGTAAATTTTGCTGTTATAAACAGGTGTGTGCAAGTATAATTTTCATATAATGACTTGTTTTCCTCTGGGTAGATACCCAGTAGTGAAATTGCGCTGGATCAAATAAAAATCCACTTTTCATTCTTTGAGGAATCGCCACACTTTTTTCCATAGCGGTTGTAATATGTTTTTAAAAATGTACTCGTATAAGTACAAACAGTCCCTGACTTACAATGGTTCAAATTATGACTTTTTCAACTTTATGATGGTGTAAAGGCAATAGGCATTCATTAATAAGCATACTTTGAATTTTGAATTTTGATCTCTCAGGCTAGAGATATGTGATACAATACTCTCTCATAATGCTGAGCAGCGGCAAAGAGACACAGCTTCCAGACATGTGATCACCAAGGGAAACTGATACTCAACAGTGTACTGTGCTGCCAGATGATTTTGTCCAATTGTAGGCTAATTTAAGTGTTCTAAGCACATTTAAGGTAGGTCAGTAGGTTAGGTTTTTTATTGTTTGTTTGTTTGTTTGTTTGTTGAGACAGGGTCACACTCCATTGTCCAGGCTGGAGTCCAGTGGCACAATCACAGCTCCCTGCAGGCTTGATCTTCTGGTCTCAAGTGATTTTCCCACCTCAGCCTCCCAAGCAGCTGGGACTATAGGCACATGCCACCACACCCAGCTAATTTTTATATTTTTTTGTAGAGATGGGGTTGCCCAGACTGGTCTCAAACTCCAGAGTCCAAGCCATCTACCCACCTCAGCCTCCCAAAGTGCTGGGATTACAGGTGTGAGCCACCGCACCCAGTGAGGTTAGGTATATTTAATGCATTTTTGACTTAAGATATTTTCAATTTACTGTAGGTTTATCAGGATGTAGCCCCATCCTAAGTCAAGGAGCATATGTATAATGTATCTCAGACTTATCAAAGCTTTCTTCAATTAGTAGGAGAAATTTTGCATATCAACTAACAGTACTATGAACATTAATGAACATTGTTGAGTCTGCCCTGCAGACTCTGGCTGAGTGACGGGTGAGAGGAGTACTCAGACACAGGTATCCAGTGAAAGAGTGGGCTAGGGGACTGTTGGCACTAGGGGCTGAAGAGAGTTAGCAGCCCCCCTAAGCCGGCAACACTCACATTTATTCAGTACAGATTTAATGACAAAGGCATGGTGCAAACACAATTTGTGGGTAATAAACATTGTCAACCCCCCAAGTAGAGAGCAGTCCCATGCGCGAATGATCAAAGGTTGGTTTCTGGAGACAGGAGTAAACAAATTTATCTAGATAAGTTCCTTTACATTCTCTTGTTATCTGCCCTTTGCTCTTAGGCTCCAGATAAGAGAATCTGGCTGCCTTCAGCCAAATTTTCTTTTAAAGCTTTTGCAAAACTTCCTGGCCTTCCAAGAAGGTTTGCTTCTTTCCCTATAATTTATCCCACCACCCTGACCAATCTCCTACAGAACATCACACATTTTTAGCAGTTGGCAATAAAATAGCAGATGCATGATAATGGCTAGTCCAGGGAATGTTTGGGTACTGTTTGCTTCTTAGATGCAAGAAGCTTTAACTTTGGAAAGAATGAGGAAGTAGATCCATGAGTCAGTTACCCTCAAGCCTGACATGTTTTAGGATATCATTATCAAATACAAATATGTAAGCAGCTAATTTTATGTGTCATCAAACTTTGATGATATGCATATATTATAGCAATACTGCATAGTCAATGGGGTATAGTATATGGCAAACATCACAATAATAGAGATTTTATACCCATACCCCATCAACAACCACCACCCACCACTGATTTATTGATAAAAACGCACTCACCCCTTCATGCTTGCTGATGTATGAATGATATGATAAAAGATAAAATGAATCAAAATGTCTCTACATAATTGTGATTACTTGTGATGTTACTTTTATACGCATCATGAGAATCTTAATATGATAGGTAAATAAAATGTGACATACCCAAATTAGAAGGAAATATAGTGTAAGGCATATTTTAAAAAGCAGTATCTGTTCCTCATTATTTTTGTTACTTAAAAAATATACATTGAAGAAAATTCCTAATTGTAGGAAAATAAATTTTACACTTTTACATAAAATTTATGGTAACATTCATTCACTATTATGTAACATTGTCTGCTACTGGTTTATCACATCACTTTAAAATGTAGTATATAAATATATTATTACAGAACTTGAAAATTTCTACTATCTGAAATTTTATCTAAAAATGGTAGATGAGAAGACTATACATTGTGAAATACTCATCGATTAATCATATTTTAAGAAAAATTGCTAAAACATAAATGATGTATTTTATGTTACCAGAATACTTTTACAGCTTCCTAAAATTAATGATGATAGAAAACTATCAACTTCTTCAATATGTCCTTCTAAGCATCAGCATAGATTTTGGTAAAGAAGAAATAATAGGTTACATATCTTAAGACAATCTATCTTAATATGGAGATGAATCTTAACTTTAGTTACATCTTTGTTTATAATATTTGTATGGAGGGTGAGTTTTCATGGGCAAAATAAAAACATTCTATGTTAAAATCACTTCAGTTTTTCTTAATGATCAAATATAATGTCCATGAATATTTAAATTTGTGTTAATCATACGAAATAACTTTGCTTCCAGTTCTGAGGCCATATGTCTGTTTCAAAATAAAGATATCCAAAAACAAAATATCATGCGATAGTTGTATCTGATGAACATAGGAAAGATAGTAAAAGAATAGCAGAATGTTGCCCAAAACTCATCATTCTAAGTGCAGTTATAGAACAGATATTAATTTGTTTTCCGTGTGTGTGTGTGTGTGTGTGTGTGTGTGTGTGTGTGTGTGTTCATTTATCTGAGGGTGACTGTCTTAGTCCATTTGGGCTGCCATAACAAAATATTATAGATTTGGTAGCTTGTAAATAACAGAAATTTATTTCCCACAGTTCTGGAAGCTGGGAAGTCTAAGATCAAAGCAGAATTGGTGTCTGGTGAAGGGCCCACTTTCTCGCAGAAGGCAACTTTTGCTGTGTCCTCATCTGGTGGAAGAGAGAGGTCTTTGTGGGGCCTCTTTTATAAGGGCACTAATCCCTTACAATCCTCATGACCCAGTCATCTCCCAAAGGCCCCACCTCCTATTACCATCATCTTGGGAGTTAGGATTTCAACATATACATTTTGCAGGAAACAAATATTCAGACTGTAGCATTCCAAGCTTGGTCCCCCCAGATTCACATCCTTCTCCCACGCAAAATACTTCCATTCCATCCCAATAGCCTCAAAAGTTCTAAGTAGTTTCAGCATCAACTCAAAAGTCTAAAGTCTCATTTAAATATCATGTAAAGAAGATATGAGTGAGACTCAAAATAGGATTCACCTTGAGGTAAACTGCTCTCCAGCTGTGAACCTGTGAAACACAATTCCAGCATCCTCTAATTCATAGAAACCTCCAGGAGGATAGGATTGATTCTCACTTCCATGTTTCCTTCACAGAGTTAGCAAGTTGCACAGGCAAATCAAAGTTGATCCAAAAGCATTTGGTTTATTTGTACCGTTCAAAAATGTGCCAGTGGGAGAAAAACAAAACATGCCAAAATATGCCTGTAAGCTTGCAGATTACTGTTTTCTCTTTTACCCCTAATATGCATTTACAATCATGATCGTGGAATTTTGATTACTGTCTTCTCCTCAAACACTTCTGACTTGCCTGCCCAGTCCCCTTTCTCATGGCCCCAAGAATTGTCTCTTCCCCTTTCTCATTTCTGGATCAACTGTCTTTCTCACCAGTGATTTTTCTTCTCATTGACCATGACATATTTGTCTAAATCTATTGATTTGATGAAGCCTACTTCTACCAGTAAAATATAACATACAAAATATCTTCAAATGAATGATCAAATGCAGAAACTTTTACTATAAAGGCCATTTGCTATATATTTACATATATATAATATATTTCCAATTTGTTGCATTAAGATATGGAAAACATTAATTACATACACAAATTAAATATATAAATTATATACATAATACATAATCACATACATAAATTAACAATTTTTCCATATTTTAATGCAATAAATTCAAGCTAGCTTTATGGCGAGTCCTCTGATGTATAGCCTTTATCTTTTCTTTTGCCTGAGGTGAAGCCTCCCATCGAGAAGCCCTTCCCATTTACAAAAATTTGATGTCACACTTCCCATGGTTTCAGTCTCACATATGAGTACTTAACCAGGTGTATTATTCAGAGTTGCAAAGGTATTCATCTGAAAGAAAAATAAAACTACCTAATGCAATTACTATATATGTTATATATAATAATATAATTATTTTAAAAGTAGAGGAAAGGAATTGAAACAGTGTGGGAGGTAGTAAAAGTAAGTCTAATTGCTCATCTTTTATAGTACAATTCAAAGAAAAATTATAAATTTATACATCAAATAATAGGGCTACATGTAAGCCTGTTTTTTACAAGTGTGGTGATAACCACCAGATCAACAAAGATAGTTAAAACAGTTAAAGTTTCAAAATAGGAATGGGCATGAGAGTGGGAAAGTGAGATGGGGAGATAATTAGTTTACATTTTACACCCTTCTGTACTATTTGAACTCAAGAAAAAAAAAAAGTACATATAATTATTTTATTTTATGATACCCCCAAAATTAAAGAAATGTGTACTCCCTGTAACTAAACTTTGTATTACCTGAAAATAAATGTGCACTTACTTGTCAAGTTCATGCTGACTTCATTAATGATGTAAAGTCTGTCGTTGAATTTGCCTTCACTCTCACCAAATTGGTGGAAGGTCACCAAATCTGTCGTTTCTGATACACAGAGGAAAGATGAACCTTTCCACCAGCTTGTCTTGAATATATTTCCCTACCTGGCTTTTGAGGAGAATGCAGAACACACAAGGCCGTATCAGCAGCTGTGGGACAGTGGGAAGACAAAAATTACAGATTCAGGTCTTGAACTCAAGCTCTGGCTCTGCTGTGTGATCCTCAGTGGGTCACTTAATTTCTCCTGGCTTCAGTTTCTTTTGTGTAAAGCCAGAATAATATCACTCCAAGTTGTTGAGGGGATTAATGGAGGTAATAAGTAGGAGGGTATTTTCTTATTGTACATAATGAAATGCTGTTAAATATAGTGGCTCACATGTCATTTGTTTTCTTTGTAACCTGCCTCTTGGCAATCACTGCAGCTATTTGTTGGTGCCTCTGACCTCTTCCTTTTCCAATATCAGCCTAACAAGCAGTTTTCTCAGCTTAACTATAGCACAGTTATTCTTTTTGTTTCCAGCAGAGTGTAAGAGAAATGACTGCTTTTCTAACACACCCTGGTTCACCTGGGTACAGAGATAAAATTTCTTTATTATGTTATATTTTCAATCTAAATGATTTACATTTGCCTGGATGAAACATGGCTATAAGAACATGATAGGTTAATTCCTTCTCCCTCATAAAGAAAGTTGAACACTGCTTTGAATTATTGACCGAGAATGGCTTTTAAGGGTCATCTAAATAGTAAGTTGTGAACTGTAGCCTCCTTGTCTGAACCCAAAGGCTGGCTGTCTTCTTAAAAGTGGTTAAGTGGAAGTTATTGATGAGAGCTCTAGTGAGATTTGGCATTAGGCTTTAATTATACCTTGAAAGGCAAAGAAAATGGAAAATGAAGCCTAATTCAATTGAACAGTTGATCACTAGGTAATAATCACAACAAAAAATATTTCACCCAAGTGCAGCCCACATGGAAGATTGGTATCAGTAATTAGATTTATGCTGCTCTTAAGATTTTTTGGACCAAGAGAGGGATGTTTTATTTAACCTATTTGAAAATCTGTATGCATGGACATATAAACCTGGGATGTCCTTAAAATGCAAGAATGGAACTAAAGATACTCATTATTTTAAGGATACTCATTATTTTAAGTCTCCTAAGCACATTAATCTTGAGTTCCTGGTCAGTACCATCCATGTTAGAAATAGTCAAGGGGCAAAGCAGAGAGGCGTTACCAAATAAAGACTCATATTTTGGAAATAACTCATATTAAAAATTTAGAATATGATTACAATTACTGAACACACTAAAGGTATATTAAAATGTACTTAACACATCAACATTTCTACAAAATTTTCTGGCAGTTTAGTTTCTGCATTTTATTCATTGGGAAACATAGGTGTGTGCAGCTTGTTTGTTTCTGGTCTCTGCCATTATCCAGTCAAATGGAGCTACTTAAATCAAATATAGCATTGTTCTAAGACATTCCAAAATTCAAGAAACTCTTTGCAAGACTGCCACAACTTTACCATGTTGAATCATGTGATATTGCTGATGTCCAAACACTTTTTTTTACCTAAAAATATGGTGGTGTCATATGGTTCAACCTATTAGAAACAGACAAATTATGATCAAGTTTCTCTAATTCTTGAATAGAGTTGGATAGAGTTAAAGTTATCACATGACCTCCATTGTTTAGGGAAACCCTATCTGGTTGAAAAACCTCAGTGGCACTTATCTTTGCCTATTAAAGATGAACATTAAAAACCTTCATTAATTCACATGACTCTTCTCCTCCTCCTGAAGCAATTTCAAATGAAAAAGCAGTGACACTGAAAGATGTTAACAGAGTTATCTCTACAAATATAGGTTAATTTTTCCCATTTATAACTTGCCATATTTTCCACATTTCCATGATAAACAAGTATTTTAAAATCATAAACAGGTTTTTAAAAATTAAAGGAAGTTGAATTTTAAATATCACATTAAAATCTGAAAAGAGCAAGTTGTATAATAAATAGGACTATTCCTTCGGAAAAATACCTATGAATAATTCTGAGGAGTGACTTGTTTATTACCACCATCACCCACACCCCCAATTTCTCTTCCTGTTGACAAGTAGTCAGGGTAGTTGACACTTCCAGTTTCACTTGAGCTGATTTGTGACACTTGTTAGTCAACCAATTTAGGAGCCCAACGTGCTTTGGTGGTCTAATGCCACCTCTGGTCACATATTAACCTCATTTTGGCTTAAATGCTCCATTTAAATGGGAAACCCTATCCAGCTGGCAGGGGAATAGCACTTGCTTTAAATTGGATATTATTTTGAATTACAGTCAACTCTGTAATTCAGTGTGATGTGGCTGCTAAAAAGCCAAGGATCTTAGACTGCATTAATAAAAGTGTAATTTCTGGTTTATGGGAAGTAATCATCTTTCTATATTCTGATCAAACCACATCTGGAGTATTACGTTCAATTACAGGTCAACATTTTAAGTACCATGGCAAATTAGAATATGACCCGAAGAGGAAAATTAGGATGGGAAAGGGTCTGAAAGCCACTGTCATTTTTAAGGAACAGGAAATGGACAGAGGACTAGGTGGTACAGAGGACATAATAGCTGGCTTCAGATATTTGAACTGGCTGAATGTAAATGAGAGATGGAATCCTGCATTGTTCAGAAGCAATTTGAATATGGGTTTTACATGAATGCAAGAGCATATTAAAATGGAGCATCTTTTATCCCTCATTTGACTGAGACCACAAAAGGCTGGGGACAAGCCATTAAGTAGCAAGTGTTTCAACAACCCAAAGTGAGGTGCCTGATCGTCTGAGCTCCATGTGCAAAAAAGGTGGCCAACACAGTTTAATAGGTTACTATTGTAGTATCCGAGAGTGAAAGTTGTTTGAGAGAGTTGTTGGAGAGCAATAGCATTGCCCCTACCCTGCAGGAAGGAGGACCAGGGGTCCCAACCCTTCCCAGGAAGCAGAGTGAGACAGGTGGAAGCACTCAGAGAGCTTGATTTATGCCTCTGGAGTACATGGAGCACAGAGACTAACGCGAGACCCACACCGGCAAAAGCCCAGAGGTGGAGGCTGTGGTTAGCTAGCCACGCTGACCTCGGACAATAGAACAAGGAGAGGAAATGCACCAGGAACGACCTGAAGCCGGCCTTCCATGTGTGCTACATAAAGCTGCTCAACTGAGGTGGCAAGTAGAGGCTGAAAGACACCCTCTTCTCTGATCCACATGGATGGGGACACATCTACCCACTTGAATGGGGTGCATATTCACCGGGCACTTTTTTTTTTTTTGGTCAGGTGCCATGGTAGTTACTAGGATAAACTCCTGAGCAAAACAGATGCAAACCTTGCTATTACAGAGCCTACAGTATAGCTGAAAACACAGACATCAAACAAGGAATTATAAGTGTCATGAGGATAACAACAGTAACAAGGGATTATAATAACACCAGACATCACCTAAAAGCTGCTGTGTTCCAAACCTATAACAATACTGGGTGCAGATATGATAAGCAAGGACCCAAAATGAGAGAGAGGTTGATGAGCTGTCCTCCTAGGTACTAGCCTGTTTGGACCAGTTTGGCCAACCTATGAAGAAGCAATACAGCATTAGTGTTAAAAGTTTATAAAGTGAGGCTCACTCCATTACCAGATGTCTGTATTTTATTTTATCAAGGTAAGTGTAGGGAGGCATTGCAACATTTAACAAGAGATCTGAAAAGCATTCTGTTCCTCTCCTAGAACGTTTATTGCTGCAAATGCTCATCATTCTTATAGAGAGGTGAATGAAGACAGAGGAACAAAGACGTTTGCGATATGTGGGTTGTATTATATTAGTCAGCTTGGGCTGCTATAACAAAATACCACAGATTGGATGGCTTAAAGACATTCGTTTTCTCACAGTCCTGGAAGCTGAAAGTGCAAGATGAAGGGGCCAACGTGGTCAACTGCTGGTGAGGACTCTTTTCCTGCCTTACAGATGGCTGCCTTCTTGCTGTGTTCTTACAGAGTGGAGAGAGAGAGAGAGAGCTCTCTATTTTGGTATCTCTTCCTTTTCTTCTAAGGGCACCAGCCCTGTTAGGCTAGGGCCTCACCCTTGTGACCTCATTTAACCTTTATCACCTCCTCACAGGTCTTATTTCCAAATATAGTCACACTGGTGGTTAGGGCTTCAATATATAAAATTTGGGGAGAGGCAGTTCAATTTATAGAATGTATTTTTAAAAAGACCAAAAAGACCTGGCTAGAATTTTCTGACAATGAGTCCAGATAAGCAAACATTAATCAAAACTAAAACAAACAAGTGTCCTTGCCTTGCCCTGAGATATAGAGTGGGGCTGGAAAGCTGCTCTAGTAATCTTTTGTGACAGCAAAATAGAAGACTTTGAGACCAAATTCAAACATTTGAACAAATGCTCCAGCTTTCACAATGACTTTTTGATGAGAGTATGAGGTGGAGGGAGAAGCTGGGCATAGCATCTCCTGAGAAACTCTTTTTCCAGTCCATACTGGTGGAGACTTACCAGATCTCATTGCAAAGGTCTGGTATACACGGTCCACCTCTACCTCCTGCATTACTACTAGTGAACTGTGAGTAACAACAAACAGATTTTCTGTTTGAAAATAAGAGCAGAAGCTGAAGATATCCTCTTTTAAGCATGATCAGTGTGTGACAAAGCATTGCATTTCCCCATGAGGTTGGAGTCATTAATGAAAGTAGTGAACTGGGTAATAGACACAATTTGTAGTAAGATGTGTTGTCAACCTCTCCATAAGTGCTATAAAGCCACTCTGAGTGTTTTTGTGATTGGCCAAAGCTGGTATGTACGAGGTTGGTAATATACAAAGCCATGGAAAGACTAAGAAAGACTCAAAGACTGTGATGTTAGTAAATCTGCATGGGAATACAGCATTTGAATGTTAAATAAATAATTTGTCAAGCATGCTCTTTAAAAGGTTTCCTTAAAAAATAATTACACATATAATACTACAACAATCAAAAGCAAAAAAAAAAATGCTTCCAATCTCAATCTCATAATTACAACAAATCAATTCAGTGTCTCCTTTTCTCGTTGTCCATTTGAACAAGGAAATGTCATATACATAGAATAGAAAAAGGATGTTTTGGGACCCACAAAGTAAAGAACATCTGTATACTGTAAAATAATGTAATAAGGAATTATGACATTGGAAACACAGAGCCAAAGCGGTAGTAGAGTGACTGTAGCTTAGTGGAACCATGTGGAAGACTGACTTTCACTGCTTTTAAACCTTAAGAAATTACTGCCAGGAAAGTGACTCTGTTCTCAGTCACTACTGTGTTGTGGCAGTGCATAAATATCGACTGGTGTGCCAGCTGGTTAGCCATATGTCCCTGGGTCACCACGATGCTTCTGCTCATTCAAAAGGACTTTACCAGGCTTCAGTTGACTCATGTTCCACAGTGACACCAAATGGTAACAAGAGAAACAACAGCAGCATCAATTGTGACCTTCTTCAGATGATTATATTTCTTGGTTTTATTTCCTCCATGAACTTATCACCCATGAGTATTATTCTCTGAACCAGATAAACATATTTGAAATTTTTGAAAGTAACTTACAGGTTGGGATTAAATACAGAAGAAAGATTTTCCTGGGAGAAAAATAATGGGGGAGAGGAGGATAATAATGTTAAGTTGATTTCTTTGAATAAAACAGGGGAAGAAAAATATATAAAGGAGAAAAATAAAATGTGCACAAAGATCTCTGCCATCATAACACTTGTTGACATTTTAACAATTAAGAATTTTACACATATATGATTGGAAGATTCAAACTCTACAGGAAACTAGAAAATGAAAATTAAGTGTCTCCTTTACCCTTCTGCTCTGCTAGTGCATTTAACCAAGGAAAATGGGAAAATTCTGCCACTGCATTTAAACAAGGAAAATGGGAAAATTCTAGGTCCTCCCAGAAGCAGACACTGAGCTGGAACTAGATGTGCAAAAAATTTATTAGGGGAAGTACTTGTGAAAGAAAATAGGAAGAGAGTTGAGAGAAGCTTGCAGAGTAGCCAAAACATGATGCAGCTCTGACCTGAGGGAAGGAGGTGTGGAAGGAAAGAGGCTAAGTTACAGCTTCTTAAACTTGTGTACAGTTTTAGGGAAATTAAAGCAAGACAATTTAGAAGTCCTAAATCCAAGATCACTTGTCGAAGAAGATGCCTGTCTCAAGAGCAGGACTGCCTTAATATCCCTGCTGGACTCAGTCACTAGCCAGGAGCAACCAGTGAATGAGAAGCTTGGCCTTTAGCTCAATGCAGCAGTACGTTTTAAACTGCAGCAGTTGGGGTTTCCAGTCAGTTATGCTATCTGCAGCCAAGATTTGAGGGGGTGCTTTCTCTTGGCCATTCTTTTAAGCAATTTTTTGCCATTTCTCCCATAATTTTAAAAATAAATGTAGCTTCAATCAATCATCAATTTTTAATTATTTATAAAAATGACTCCAGTCCATAAACGGTTGTGCACCTTACTAACAATATAACATATCTTGCTATTTCCCTATGGCTTCACACAGAACTACCTACCTATTTTTATTATTTGCCTAGTATTGTATCTCATAGTTATAACATAATTTTTAACTAATTATGGACTGATAACACTTCTTTTTAACACACATTTTGCTACTAAAAACTTGTGTAATAAAAAATTCTCAAATTCCACAGTGATAATTTACAATTATATTGATAAGGTATAATGATGGGATCACTGAGTGCCACTTTTGCGTTCCTGCAGACTCTGAGAGAAAAATTAGCACGCAGGAGGTTTATTAAGGAAAGCTCTTAGAATTGGCACCCAAGGAAGTGGGGGAAAGGGCAAAGGATCAGGCAGTAGGAGAAGGTGGCACAGTCTCAGTGACCCTGTGGGGACTCTAAACTTGGATGGTCCTTCAGAGATGTCCCAAGTTAAAGCAAGGGGGTCTTCATATGCCCCAGTTGACTAATCCTTGGATATGAGTTGCTGTGAAAAGAGGCTATGACCTTGAACTAGGCAACTCTCTTCAGTTGGGGAATTTTCTAAGTGTGCTGACACCTGGGAGCTGTTGTCAGCTCTCCCAGCCCCTAGAGAAACAAATCCTTCTCCACTGAAGGGGGTTCTGGGCAGCATATCACAGACTCCATCATCCATACACCAGGTTTAAGTGTATGTGATTTTTTTTAAAAAAGAAAAAACAAACATCGCTCAATTCCCCTTCAGAAAATTCCAATTATAAAGGAATGCTTGCTTATTTCTCCAAATCTTTGGAAAATCAGCATATTATCATACTTTTATTAATAGTTTCACTGGTATAATAGATTAGAACTTGAATATCATTGCCATCTTTATTTGAAACTTTTAAAAAAATATGAATGATATTGAGCTTCTTCATATTAGACACTTATTTTTCCCTTTTCTGTAAACTGCCAGTTCAGATCATTTCTATAGTGTGTGTTAGTCTTTTTCTAATGATTTGTAAAAATTCTATGTTAAACTAGCAAAACTGACTTTGCCACCGTAAGTGTTGCAAATATGTTTCCCACTTTATTCGTGGTCTTTTTCGCTATAATAAAAATCTTAATTTCTATAAGTAGCATGTACGACTTTTCTTCATGAATTCTATAATTTTGTGCCTTCCTCTCTGCAAGTTAATATTTACCCAAGCTTTTATCTAGAAATCTCATATTTCTTCTGCTTTTAAAACTTTTGTTATTGTAAAATAATGTATATAGAAAAAATATAAAAGGCATAATTGTGCAGTTTAATGAATTATCACTAAGGAAACATCCTATGTAACCAGATACAGGTCACTGAGAGCATTGTCAGCAACCCAGAAACCTGTGTTTCTCTTTCTAATCATAGCCTCCTCTGCACCCCCAAACCATTACTTTGATTTTTATATTTATCCGCTTGTACCATTAATAAGTTTCATAAACCAAACATGGCCAAAATGGAACCCTTGTCCCATGTCCTCTTCCTGTCACCACAAGAAGACCCTGCTCCTTATCTGCTTTTTTCCCATCTTGGTAAATAACACGCTGTCTATCATAGCTCAAGTCATCCCTGATGGCTATCCTTCATTCCCACATTTGATCCTTCACTTACCCTGGTACAACTACCTGAAGACCATAGCCTAATTGGTATATTTCCATGACTAACTACCTGCGTCAAGCCACCACATCTCTTTTCTGGAGAACATCAAAAGCTTCCTTACTTGTCTCCCAGATTCTTTTATCTGCCTATCAGCCATTTTCAGTAGTGTGCTGGTAAATGTTTACTAGGGGAGGAAAACCTTGGCTTTCTAGCATTTGCCCATTTCCGCATTATAAATACTCCCAACACGGCTGATTTCAAGGATGTACATGTTAAGCAGAGGGCTTGCAAAATTCCTGTAAATTTAACAATAGACTCTTGGAGCCTATGAGTTCAGCTCCAGCATACCACTGTCCGGCCTTCATATCATACTCAGAGGGATCTTTGCAAAATGTGAACTTGATCCCCTTCCATGTCTTTCTATGATACTTAGCATAAGAATTTGGGATAGGGATTTACTAATTTTTATTTCTACTTAAAAGCTTTTCTTCCATTTTATAATCCATATTAAAATAAATAAAATCTGGAAGAGAACCAAATTACAACTACAAATTATTTTTTACACATATGTGTTCTCTTCAGATTTATTTTGAAATTAAATCATATTTATAATTTTTGTAATTCTATTTTACCAGATTTTATTCCTCACCAGAAAAAAAGTATAGCAATACTTCCAGGTTCCTAAATTCTCCACATTGATTCTTCTCTTAATCAAATATTTTTATCTACACATTATAAATTCATAGATCATTTGCGGGTGATATATGGTATGTATACTATTTACTTACTCACCTCTGTTCTCACCTATGTCTAAGAATCTTTCTGTCTCTTCCTTACATGAGGATAGCATGTGTAAGAAAATCTTGGGTTTGGTGGAGAGGTAGATATTCTTGCTAGAGAAGAGAAGAATGTGTTCTAATAATCTTGTAGAACATATTTTCTTTGCAGTAGAAAGATAACCAACAATTTTTCTAGGTTGTATTAACTATAGATCTTGCCTGTTCAATTCCAGAAATAGGCAGTATACAATTGGCAAAAGATCTCCTTGTTGTCTTTCAAGATAGAAACTATGCAGCAGGAACCATCAATGTGTCTGTCAGTTCAGTTCCATAGACCTAGTTAACAAGTGGACATCCCGACTGCAGTAGGACTGTTGCTCTTAATTACAGTAGTGTTGCAAATTTTCTTCTATTTTTCCCCCTGTGTTTTTAGGGGTGTTTTATTTAGAATTTTAGAGACTTTATATCAATGACTGTTAACCTGGTACTATTTTTCAATACACAATCTTAACCATCTTTGAATTCTGGTTGTCGAGTGGAGTACCTGAAACGTCAGCCCTAACCTCCAAACTTGCAGAGGATGACAATGCCCCTACAGTTCTAGGCCTGAGCAAATTGGGTAAAGTGTCCAAGTACTAGATAAAAGGCTAAAATTAGATGTGCTGATTGTTGGTCAGTTCAAACCAGAATCTTTGAGTTAGAGTCGAAAGTTAGGAGTAAGAAAGAGAGTAAAAACAAACTTTAAGATCATAGAGGCTGCTGAAAACTGGAAAGGAAACTGGATTTAAGAAAGACCAGGTTGGAAACAAGCAAGTTATGGGCAGTCTAGAATTATCATCATAAAAGTAATTAGAATTTCCTCATCTTAACTTCACTATTCAGTAGATGTCTGGTAAGTAGTATTTTCGGGTACAGAGTTGGAGAGAAATTCCTGGCCTATGGCAATGTTTCAGTATTTTAGCTCAAGTTTTTAAACAGCTGTGATGAATGTGCAAGTAGTTTATTAAGAAAGTCACCCCAAGAGGTATCAGTGAGGATATGGAGCAACATTATAGAGAAGCCAAAAAATAATAACTTTGGGTTATTTCCAGACCCAGCCTGATTCCACAAGAGATCTGAACATTCATGACATAACAGAGTTTGTCCTGTCTCAAAGCAAACAGATGGAATTTCAAAGCTGCCCTTAGTTAGTCATTGACTGAAGGCTGTCCCCGGAGGGTTATAAACTCCCCAGCACTTGCAGCTCTGTCCGGGGGAAGCTGTCCCTGGGGTTCACAGATAACATTGGAACAAAGTTGCAGGTACAAGTACTGATAAGTAATATGCAGTCAAGGACTGGGGGACAGGTATGGAGAACTGCAGGCATCTACTCTACTTCTTAAATGTTGGTAATTGTTGAATGGATGATGGGTGACCAATCAGAAAAGCCTCAGGACTTCAAGCAATATGCAGTGTGGTTAGGAGGGAGCAGGCAAGGTTTGGACAGATAATAAAATAAAAAGTGAAAAAAAAGAGGTACAGAGATAAACCTTCTTTCTCAAAATTATGCCACATCATGTACAAATTTACTTATACCTTCATTGGAAACATCCAATATGCTCGTTTCTTTCCTAACTCAAAAACCTGTCCTTGGTTCTTAGAATTTCTTTAAAACATTGTTAATATTGTTATAAAGGGTTTCCTCAGGTGAAATCCACTTCCTCTGTGATTTTTCTCTTCCTTTTTTTTTTGTCTTTTCTTGCAAGCTACCCAATCAGAGTCCTTCCTACACAGACATTTTTTTTTTCTCTGTTAGGGCCTTGCATCAGCAAATCCATGTAGGGTAGAATATAGAAAATTACTTTCATTCAATTATTCATTTGCTTGCTCATTCATTCAATGATAAATATGTATTGGGTCCATACTGTAAGACAGGAACTAGGAATGGAACGGTGAATGAGGCAGTTCTTTTCTCTCTAGCTTCCAGGGAAACACTTGTTTGTCATGACTTTCTTGGGAATGGGCAGAACTTCACAACCTCCTCAACAAGTTTATTTTGTGAATGTATTCAAAATAGTTTATTGAGCATGCACTAGGTGAAGACTATGATACATGTTATGATGAATAAACATCAGTCCTTTGTGGACATGGCTCTTCAGATGTTTATAGCCAGTTTGTAATTAATGAAAGATCTCCTTGTTGTCTTTCAAGATGAAAACTATGCAGCAGGAGCCACGAATGTGTCTGTCAGTTCAGATCCATAGACACGGTTACAAGTGGACATCCCTATTGTAGTAAGTTGACTCTCATTCTTAATTAGAATAGTTGGAAGTCTGGGAGTGGTGGGTAAGAAGATTATTAGGCAGCCTCAGCTCAGTCTCTGACTAATAGATCAATTGACAATAAAAGGAAATGGGGTGGCAGAATTGGTGTATTTTGACCATTTATTATATGTCAGGTTATGTTAAAAAAAAAAAAAGAAAAACCTTTATGTGTGTTGTCATTTAATATTAAGAAATGTGAATTACATTATTTTTATCCACATTTAGTAAATAAGGGAACAAAAACTGAAAAGATGTTTTATTTGTCCAACTTTACAATGTGAGTGGCTAAAATAGTCTTCAAACTAGGATATTTGACCATAAGCTCATGTTCTTCTAATACATCATGCTGTAGGTATGAGCTCAGTGGAGTATTTTAAAAAAAAAGTAAAAAAAATTAAAAATAATACATCATGCTGGACACTGGAGAGTATCTGAAATATTTCTTACCCTCCCACACTAGGAAAAAAAAATCTATTTAAGAACTCTCTAGAACTAATTGGGCTGAAACGTCATAGAAGGGAATTTATAAATTAGCTAATTATGAGATTGTAGCTGGACGGAAGGCCTGGGAGAAAGGAAAACAAATATCACCAAGAAAATAATTGAGGTATAAGGGAAAGGTCTTCAGTGCTTTCACTAGTGAATGAACACTCTGAATGAGCATCTGGACTTTTGAACACTTGGAACACAACCAAAGCCCTGAATTTTCCAAAGTTTGACCACAACTAATGATTAGTCGGCCTAATAAATATAAGGTTGGATTATCATGTCCCCACTATGTGTGGAAGAAAAATCAATAATATCAGCTTCATATTAAATAAAAACACTTTTGGCTCTCAAACACAGCCTAAGGGCAGATACATTTATGAACTAAAAGTATGATGAACTCGGTGTTGGTCAAGGGGTCATCAGACTCAAGATATTCCTGAAATACCACATTGTTTATCATTTCTTACTAAATATATTCTAGGTTATAGGTCATTTAAAAAGTATATCAGCAACAAACAATTTAGCAACCCGTCATTGTAGAAATAGGTTAGAACCATGTGTCCTTTAAGTTTTCTGCTTAGCTGTTGAATTTCACATAGGCACTTTTGAGTTTATCAAACAGCATTACTGAGCGCCTAACATATGCTCATGTCTGTGCTAAATACTGTGAGAGACAGAATGATGTATTATCATTAGAAGATTATACTATAATTGAGGAGATCAGTGTAATATCAAATATCCTAGATTTTTCCAAAATAGATCCAATTTCAAACATTTTATGCCATTGGTAAAAATGTGTCTTCCTTTTTGGTTCAGAATATATGGGCAACATGGAAATTATTTCTAGATATATGAATAAAATTCTGAGCAATCGATGTTAAATGACAAGTGGTCCTACCTGTTAAATACCTTTCAAATCCATCCATTTCCCACCATCTTGATTGCCAGAATTCAGCCCTGGTCATCACCAATTGTTTTACCTGGATTGCAGTAATAGACATTTTTCTTATCTCCCCCCTCTTAAAAGACCTCAAAACCATTTTTTCTCCACCCTGCAGAAAGATTGTCTATGAATAATAAATCTTTGCTGAAAAGACTTTCCTTTGCCTTTAGGATAAAGTTTGAACTTCACAGCATATTTTACAAATTATTCAAGAGCCCTGTTGCTTGTCACCCTCTTTAGCCTTACCTAGTAGCAACCTACCTTGCTCAGTGTACCCTCTGGCCTTTCTGAGCTCTTTCAGCTCTTTCATTACTGTCTTTTATGTTGTATCTTAGTACTTTCTGTTACCTCTGACACTGTCACCCTCTCTCCCCTTGCCCCAATACACATTTTTCAGATAACGTAGACATTTTCTAGATAATTTCTACTCATCCTTCTAAACTCATCTTAAATGTTGTTTATTGGGGAAGGCCTTCTCTGTTTTCTATACTAATGTGTTATATAATTAAACTACCATCAGTGTGCTTCCATAATACCTCCCTGCTGTCTCTCTGCCCTGCAATCATCATAGTTTATTTTTGTTATTTGTTAATACACTGTTTTCTCTCCACAGAGGTAAGAATCATAGCTATCTCATTCAACATAATAATAACAACACGGTTCATGAAACATTTTAGGAACTAATTCATTAAAGTATTGATAAGGGTAGAGGATATTCAAAATACTAAATGACTAGTATGGTATATTAGTCCATTCTCACATTGCTATAAAGAAAATAAATACCTGAGACTGAGGAATTTATAAATAAAAGATATTGATTCACATTTCTGTACAGCTACAGAGGCGTCAGGAAACTTACAATCATGGCAGAAGGGGAAGCAAACATGTCCTTCTTCATAAGGTGGCAAGAGAGAGAAGTGCAGAGCCAAGGGTGAAAAGCCACCTATAAAACCATCAGATCTCATGAGGAGTCACTAACACAAGAACAGCATGGGGGAACCACCCCATGATTTAATCACCTCCCATGAGGTCCCTCCCCCAACACATGGGGATTACAATTCAAGATGAGATTTGGGTGGGGACACAGAGCCACAGCATGTCATTCTGCCCCTGGATCCTCCCAAATCTCATCTTTCTCACATTTCAAAAGACAATCATGCCTTCCCAACAGTCCCTCCAAAGTCTTAACTCATTCCAGCATTAACTCACAAGTTCACGTGCAAAGTTTCATCTGAGACAGAGCAAGTTCCTTTTGTCTAGGAGCCTAAAAAATCAAAAGCAAGTTAGTTACTTACTAAATACAATGGGGATACAGGTATTGGATAAATGCTCCCATTCCAAATGGGAGAATTTGGCCAAAACAAAGGAGCTACAGGCCCCATGCAAGTCTGAAATCCAGTGGTGCAGTCATTAAGTCTTAAAGCTCCAAAATGATCTCCCTTTGACTTCATGTTTCACCCATGTCATAGTGATACAACAGGTGGGCTCCCATGGTCTTGGGCAGCTCTGCCCATGTGGCTCTGTAGGGCACAGCCCCTGTGGCTGCTTTCACAGACTGGCATTGAGTGTCTGTGATTTTTCCAGGTGCACAGTGCAAGCTGTCAGTGGATCTACCACTCTGGGGTCTGGAGAATGGTGGCCCTCTTCTCACAGCTACACTAGGCAGTTTTCCAGTGGAGACTCTGTGTGTGGGCTCCAACCCCACATTTCCCTTCTGAACTCTCCCAGTAGAGGTTCTCCATGAGGGCTCCATCCCTGCAGCAAATTTCTACCTGGATATCGAGGTGTTTCTGAAATGTAGGCAGAGGTTCCCAAACCTCAATTCTTGACGTCTGAGTACCTGCAGGCCCAATACCATGTGGAAGCCACCAAGGCTTGGGGCTTGCACCTTCTGAAGTGATGGTCTGAGCTATACATTGGCCCCTTTAGGCACAGCTGGGATGCAGGGCACCAAGTCATGAGACCGTACAAAGCAGCAAGGTCCTGGGCCTGGCCCATGAAACCATTTTTCCCCACTAGGCCTCTGGGCCTGTGATGAGAGGGGCTGCTGTAAAGCCCTCTTACATGCCCTGGAGACATTTTCCCCATTGTCTTGGTGATTGACATTCAGCTCTTCGTTTTATATGCAAATTTCTGCAGCTGGCTTTAATTTCTCACTGGAAAATGGGTTTTTCTTTTCTACTACATTGTTAGTCAGGCTGTGAAATTTCTAAACTTTTGTGCTCTGCTCCCCTTTTAAACATAAGTTCCAATTTCAGATCATCTCTCTCAAGTTTACGGTTCCACAGATCTGTAGCACCAGGGCAAAATGCCACCAGTCTCTTTGCTAAAGCATAGCAAGACTGACCTTTGCTCCAATTCCCAATAAGTTTCTTATCTCCATCTGAGACCACCTCAGCCTGGACCTCATTGTCCATATCACTATCAGCATTTTGGTCAAAACCATTCAACAAGTCTCTAGGAGGTTCCAAACTTTCTCACATCTTCCTGTCTTCTTCTGAGTTCTCCAAACTCTTCCAACCTCTGCCCATCACCCAGTTTCAAAGTGACTTCCACATTTTCAGGTATCTTTATAGCACTGCCCCACTCCTGGTACCAATTTACTCTATTAGTCTGTTTTCACACTGCTATAAAAATTATACCTGAGACTGAGTAATATATAAATAGGTTCAATTAACTGACATTTCCGCATGGCTGGGGAGGCCTCAGGAAACATACGATAATGGTGAAAATTGAAGCAAACACATCCATCTTCATAAGGTGGCAGGAGAGAGAAATGCAGAGCCAAGGGGGAAGAGGCCCTTATAAAACCATCAGATCTCATGAGAACTCACTCACTACTATGAGAACAGCATGGGGGAAACCACCCCCATGATCTCGTCACCTCTCACCAGGTCCCACTCTCAACACATGGGGATTATGGGGGATTACAATTCAAGATGAGATTTGGGTGAGGACCCAGATCCTAACCATATCATTGTGTCCCTGGTCCCTCCCAAATCTCATGTCCTCATATTTCAAAACCCATTATGCCTCCCACAGTCCCCCAAAGTCTTATTTCAAAGTTCAGAGTCTCATCTGAGACAAGTCAAGTCCCTTCTGCCCAGTAGCCTGTAAAATAAAAAGCAAGTTAATTGCTTCCAAGATAAAATGGGGGTGCAGGCATTGGATAAATGTTACCATTCCAAATGGGAGAAACAAAAGGGCTTGCATGGGACCAGCAGCCAAAACAAAAGGGCTGCTGGTCCCATGCAAGTCCAAAATCCAAAGGGGTAGCTATTAAATCTTAAAGCTCTAAAATGATTTCCTTTGACTCCATGTCTCACATCCAGGTCATGCTGATGCAAGAGGTAGGCTCCCACAGCCTTAGGCAGCTCTGCCCCTGTAGCTTTGCAGGGTACAGGCCCCCACCCCAGCTGCCTTTACGGGCTGGTATGGAGGGTCTGTGATTTTTCCAGGCACACAGTGCAAGCTGTCAGTTGATCTGTCTGGGGTCTGGAGGATGGTAGCCCTCTTCTCACAGCTCCACTAGGCAGTGCTGCAGTGGGGACTCTGTGTAGGCACTCCAACTCCACATTTCCCTTCTGCATTGCCCTTGCAGAGATTCTTCATGAGAGCCTTGCCCCTGCAGCAAACCTCTGCCTGGACATCCAGGTGTTTCCATACATCCTCTGAAATCTTGGCAGAGGTTCCCAAACCTCAATTCTTGACTTCTGCTCACCTGCAGGACCAACACCATGTGGAAGCTGCCAAGGCTTGGAGCTTGCATCCTCTGAAGCAATGGCCCAAGCTGTCCCTTGGCCCCTTTTAGTCATAGCTGGAGTGGCTGGGGTGTAGGGCACCAAGTCCTGAGGCTGCACACAGGAGGTGGGCCCTGGACCTGGCCCATGAAACCATTTTTCCCTCCTAGACCTCCCGACCTATGATAATAGGGGCTGCTGAGAAGGTCTCTGACATGAACTGGAGACATTTTCCCCATTGTGTTGGTGTATTAGTCTGTTTTCAGGCTGCTGATAAAGACATACCTGAGACTGGGAAGAAAAAGAGGTTTAATTTGACTTACAGTTCTACAGGGCTGGGGAGGCCTCAGAATCATGGCGGGAGGCAAAAAGCACTTCTTATATGGTGGCAGCAAGAGAAAATGAGGAAGAAGCAAAAACAGAAACTCCTGAAAAAACCCATCAGATCTTGTAAGACTTATTCACTATCACAAGAATAGCACAGAAAAGACTGGCCCCCATGATTTAATTACCTCCCTTTGGGTCCCTCCCACAACATATGGGAATTCTGGAAGATACAATTCAAGTTGAGATTTTGGTGGGGACACAGACAAACCATATCATTCGGTGATCAATATTTGGATCCCTGTTACTTATGGAAATTTCTGCAGCTGGCTTGAATTTCTCCCCAGAAAATGGGATTTTCTTTTCTACCACTTTGTCAGGCTGCAAATTTTCCAAACTTTTATGCTTTGTCACCTCTTGAATGCTTTGCTGGTTAGAAATTTCTTCTACCAGATACCCTAAATTATCTCTCTCAAGTTCAAAGTTCCACAGATCTCCAGGGTGGGGGCACAATGCCACCAGTCTCTTTGCTAAAACATAGCAAGAATCACCTTTATTCCAGTTCCCAAGAAGTTATATCAGAGGAGTTTGAACCAGAGCAACTTCATCTTGAATAGGAGCTGGGTAAAATAAGGCTGAAACCTACTGGGCTGCAATTCCAGATAGTTAGGCATTCTAACTCACAGGATGAGCTAGGAGGTTGGCACAAGATATAGGTCATAAAGACCTTGCTGATAAAAATAGGTTGCAGTGCAGAAGCTGGCTAAAACCTGCCAAATCCAAGATGGTGATGAAAGTGACCTCTAGTTGTCCTCTCTAGTACACTCGCACCAGAATAGGAAGAGAGAACCCTGTGGAATGACTCTGGGTCTCCAAAATTAACTGTAGAATACTCAGAAAACCAAGTATTTTAAATAAGTTTATCCATTAAAGTAGTTTAACAGTTTACAAATGCCACGGCAACATTAGGAAGTTACCCTATATGGTCTGAAAAGGGGAGGCATGAATAATTCACCCCCTGTTCAGCATATAATCATTAAATAACAATAAAAATGGGCAACTAGCAGCCCTTGGACTGCTGTGCCTGTGGAGTGGCAATTCTTTATTCTTTTACATTCTTAATAAACTTGCTTTCACTTTATGGATTCATCTCAAATTCTTTCTTGTGTGAGATCCAAGAACCCTGTCTTGGGGTCTAGATCGGGGCCGCTTTCTGGTAACAGTTCCTCATCTCCGTCTGAGACCACCTCCATCTAGTCCTCATCTGGACTTCATTGTCCATATCACTATCAGCATTTTGGTCAAAGCCATTCAACAAGTCTCTAGGAAGTTCTAAACTTTCTCATGTCTTCCTGTCTTTTTCTGAGCCCTGCAAACTGTTCCATCCTCTGCCCATTACCCAGTTCCAAAGCTGCTTCCACATTCTCAGGTATCTTATAACAATACCCCACTACCTCAGTACCAATTTACTGTATTAGTTTGTTCACGCATTGCTATAATGAAATACTTGAGACCGGGTAATTTATAAAGGGAAGTGGTTTAATTGACTCACAGTACTGCATGGCTGGGAAGGCCTTAGGAAACTTATAATCATGGCAGAACAGGAAGAGGCATGTTTTACATGGCAGCACGTGAGAGAATGCGTAGTAGGAGGAACTGTCAAGCATTTATAAAACCATCAGATCTCGTGAGAGCTACTCAGTATCATGAGAACAGCATGGGAGAAACCACCCCTAAGATTCAATCACCTCCCACCAGGTCCCGCCCTCAACACGTGGGGATTATGAAGATCAAAATTCAAGATGAGATTTGGGTGGGGACACATTGCTTAACCATATCATATGGTATGGGCACCTCTTGTTTGGTGCATGAGTGATTGTAGTTGAAAGCCTGCCCTGAACACATGACCATAAAGAGTGATGACTACATCACTGCAGTTTAGGGTGGCTCAGCAAGATTTTATGTATAACAAAGAGTGCTTCTACTATTAAAAAAAAAAAAAAAAAAACCCTGCATCAAAACATGAAAAGTGTGGGCCTTTTTTTCCAGGTTATTAGTGCCGGAGAAATTGTTTGAATGAGTAAATGATTAAACGCATGGGCTCTGGATACAGAAATATTGCCTGGAGAATAGCAAGGAGTCCATGGCCATGGTGAAATATTCAGAGGAGAAACACACACTTCCAGGAAAGAGGTCTAAGCAACTTTGCCCTGTGGCCTTTTCATCAGCACCTTACCAACTGGTACATACCTGCATCCCACATCCAATAATATCCTCATCGTTCACCAGTAAGCACAGAATATCTAGCCAAACTCATGACTACTGAGCTTTAAGAATTTGAAAATGTGGTTTGTATCTAACTTGTGCTGGTATTGAAGAAGCTGGTATACTTTACTGAAGACTTGTGAAAGCAGGTTTTTCTCTGGGAGTCCCATTGACAGGTCTGGCTGTGATATCACCATCGTTGGAAGTGGAAGAGAAATGGGATGTGTATCTTCAGGGAACTGAGAATGGGCAGACACTGACATTCAAAATAAAAGGTTCCTCCTAAATATTTAGTTATGTCTTGATAGAGTGAATTATGTGTGAATTTTTTTGAAGATGAAACAGGAATTGACCCAAGACATCAAGTGTTTAAGGGTTAAATAAAGGGCTTGTTATCGAATTATAAAGCTTACTTGATTATAAAAATCTATACAACGTTAGGCCTTTAAGTGCAAACACAGAAAACAGTGCTTCTCTCAGTATTCATACAGTATGTCTATTTGCAGATGTTAAAGTGAATTTGACATAATGGTAAGTAGTTCAAACAATCTATATTGCTGGGAGCTTTTTCCTCACAAGAGATTGATTTTCTAGCACCATCAGCAGCAAGCCCAGAAATACCTTCAACTTTTGTTTACCATCCTGTAGGCCTTGGATTTTGTGTTTCATACTGTCTGCAGATATTAAGCAAACTTTTAAACATTTAACTGAAAAAGTTAATGAATTATTTTATTCTTAATTCTGAAATAACTTAAGACTCATTTTCCTAAAAAACTGCTCATTAAGAAAAGTTTGTTTTGAATAACCAGGAGGAGGAGAATACTGGAGATAACTACATTAAATTATCAATAGAAGTCCACTCAGAAAGATAATACATCCCAACAAGAATTTGAGGAGAGGGATTTTACTACTGGGGACTAGTTGCCAAAGAGCTGGGAGGCCCAGAGAGAAGGCCTTATGATGAGACAAGTGACAGGATAGCAACAGCAGAAGTCTCTTACCACCCCTAGGGCTGGAGAGACAACATGAGGAAATGTGGCTACCAGAGCTGATGATTTGAGGCCATCCAGTGGGCACAGGAACTATAGAAGAAGGTACCAGTGGGAGCTTTGATCACAAAAAGATGGCAGCCACCCGCAACAGAGAAAGAGAACTACATATACCCATTCATCCCTTCCTTCAATGTCCTACCTCCTTCTCACATTAATGGATCCCAGATGGAAGCTGTTGACCATGGAGTCTGGCAAATGAGGTGAGCATGGCCCAGTTGTTTGCAATACAAAGTAGAGTGGGGAGATGTTGGGGAATGGATCTGAGAGCAAACGAGCAGATGATCTGCACACCATTTTGCACACCACATGAGAAGAGAAAATGAGAAGACAGTGTCATGCTGGGAACTCAAAGGCAGGCCCAAGGTAGTACGGGTCCATGGCTAAGGGGGGCTGTCCATAAGTCCAGATGGAACTTGAAGTTAGGCCACTAGTTGCATGCCATTTTGGGTTTGCTACTGAGATTGGAGCAGGGTTCTGGACAACAGCTGTGGATAAAGTTCTTAATGAAAAAGAGAAGGAAAGACATAACCTGGACCAAAGTAGGAAGATAGATCCCTACGGAATGACTCAAGGTCTCCAAAATTAACCATAGTATACTCAGGAAACCAGGTATTTTTAATAAGTTTATCCATTAAAGTACTTTAACTGGAGAAGGGACATGAACATAGCTGTGTTTTGGAAAGACAGTCTGCTGGCATAAATCCTTAGAAGGAAGGGGCCAGGGATTTTTCCAGTGAGAGGAGCTTCAGTATTTCCTCTTTTGAGGGCACATCTTGCTCCAGGTGCTCAGAGAAGAAAACCAGATGTGTTATTAGTAGTGGCAATGGAAAGTCCCATCTTTGATATAATGCCCTTTTCCCCTATAACTGGCCCCAAAGTAAGCCCACTTCTAGAACTATCAGACTGGATCCAATATACCCTTGTCAGTAAATCTCAGAACCTTCACACATTCTGAGGGTGGTTCCATGTAGCAAAGAGGCATTTCTCTGCACGCCAGGCTCTGATATCTCTGTCTCATTAGAGCACCTGTAGATTTAGGTCTTACCCTGCATGTCATCTTACCAAAAGGGCAAAAGAAAGAGCACCTCCAACTTCTACCATTAGACCTTAGAAAATAACTTGGATTTTTACTCAGAGGCATACTGTCTCAGAGTTCAGCCCCTAACTCTGGTCTTGGGACTGGGTGATGTTTATCTTGTTTATGTTAGCATGAATTTAAGAGAAAGTGTTTTTCTCTCTACAGTATTTGTTTAATAAGCTTTATATCCAATTATGGTGTGATGAATTTTATTCTCTGAGGAATTTTAGGGGTAGAAAGAAGAGAAATTTTTGGAGGCAAAAGCTCTCAATGTTTAAGATGAGCTTCTTTCATAATTCCTGGGTTAAAATTGCAGACCATTTACTGACTTAATTTGTGTATTCTCAACTGACATTGTAATGATAATATTATATTAATCCACTCTTAATTCTCTACTTTAAATTTATAAGAAATATAATATAAATAAAAATGTAATATAAATAAAAATATAAAGAAAAATAAAAATGCATATTCAAAGGATAGCTTTCTTTCTTAAATACTTTTTTTATAACCTTGGAAATTTCAAACTATTTGCTGTCAGGGTGTGAAGAACTTTGGTGGAAGTGGCTGATTTGATGAATGCTGCTACAGGCTTTTATAATGGCTCTGAATTCATTTCAGATAATATAAAAGGAAGAGAAAACCAAAAAAGGGAAAGAATTTAAATAACAAGTTTGATCTTTTATGGTATTCCCAAGTTTGGGGCAATCACTCAATCTTCCATTGAATGATTCCTTCCAATAACAATACAGTCAAAATGTCCTGCAGACATTTCCAGGAGTGAAGACTGGGGAAAGGAGATCACATATATACAGATATAGGTATTACTTATTGTTAATAGTACTCTGCCCTATGGAGAAATATAATTTATTCACTTTGCTCCTAAGACATCTGGACATATGGGACTCTATACTTGGACTAATTTCAAGATGCTTAAAAGCTTTTCCTCTCCTTTATCTGTCTTTCCTCTTTATTTCTCCCCAACCCCATTTCCTTCTTCTACCTTTTTCTTTTATACTTGTCTTCATTCTGAAACATTATGTAAAGTGGTTTTATAAATACATAATACATTGTTATACTGTATATTATTTCAATATTAATATCTTTTAAAACGTGAATAATGTAGTAAAACAAAAGAGAAATGGGTAATAGCAATAAATATATGAACTGCATATTGAAAAATGTTCTTTTGCTAGAAGATGGTCATGAATTTGACTCTATATTTTCTAGCCATCTGTAAAGAGGAGAAATCAAAACCATTTCTGAATAAACAGAAAAACACAAAATCACAAAGAAATTTATCTCACTGATTTTATAGGAAGGATGTGAAGTTAGGTAATGAACACATCATTCTTACAACAACTAGAGAAACAAGAACCATTGAATTATTAGTAATGATATTCCTCAACCTAGGCACAATAGCAAAGACTTATTCTGAAAAGAGCAAATCTATACGAATAGTAAACTCATTAAGAGTATTCACTTTAACTTGAATTAAGCAGAACAAACTTTCCCAGACCTAGATCAGTACATAGTCCTAGAAATTGTTCCATAAAATGAATATTAAATGGTAAGAAAGTAAAAGATGAATGATTGGAGATGAGATCAGCTCTTTCTTCACTTGTCAAATGTATTCAAGTAAGTCCTCAAAACTGAATGTCTCATAATTGCATACCAAAGATTTCAATGCTTTTGTAGACTGTTTATTTTCAGGGAAACATAATCTCATACTTTGCAACTAAAATCTGGATACTTTCATTGGTTTTAAGTGAATTTACGTGGTTCTCTTCAGTTTTAGAGGGTCATTTTTACATATTGAAGATAAATATGTACTTATTCCAGTAGAATTGTCAGGCATATGCTGGATGTATTATCTGCTTCACATCTTTAAAAATGAATATTGCAAACACAACTGAGATCCAAAATAATTAGGCAAATATCAACATCTGAGTAAAGATACACTCATTCATTTTAACTCTGTTGCAATGAAATTGCTCCCTTTCCAAGTACTATCATTATATTATATTGAATTTCCACATAAAATGTGATCTCAGTTAAAAAAGAAAATATTAATTATATAAAAATAATACTTGCAAACTAGTATGTAGCATCTATTATATACTAGACACTGTCCTAAAATATTTACATATATTAACTTCTTTAGTTCTAATGAGAGCCTATGAAGCAGGTAAGTTGGCATTATAATAATATTGTTGGCAATATAATAATATTATAACATAATATAATATATAAAAGCAAAGGTTGGCAATCATCAATATTATCCAAAATAATAGTTTCATGTTTCACTCATGAGATATTTACTTAGCTCTTGAGATGTGCAAGACCACGAGAGTGCTGGGGATACTAATATGTATAATGAATAATGACTTTCCCAAGTCATTATGTGATTACCACCTCCCTGCCTCCAAAGAGGTCACAGTTTATTGGTCTCAATAGGCCTAGATGATTACTGTATATAGTGGAAGTGATATTTAAAAAATGATAACAGCATGGAGCTATTAACTTAAATTGTGAAACAAAACCAGAACATCAGGAAAGGCTTCCCAGAGAAGATACTACCAGAGCTGAATTTTAAATGACGCAAGGAAAACAGCTCACTTATCAGGATGCCACACGTACAAGAGGCATGGAGGTTAAAGATAGCTCAGTTTTCTCAGGGACTCCTAAAGGGTTAAGGCGCAAGACAGAGAGTAATGAAATGAGATGATGATAGGGAAGTGGAGACTGGCCAGATCACAGAAGGCCTCCCTGAGAAAAGTTTCCACTTCCCATCACTGGAGAGGGTGAGACAGTATGTAAAAGTTGTAGGCAGAGGAACGAGATAAGGAGGCTTGCATTCTAGAGAGATAATTCTGCCAGGAGAATGAAAAAAGAGAAAAAGATGGTAGGGAAACAAGACTGGAAAATGGAAGATGTGTTTGGAGGCTATTAAGGCAATCCAGCAAGAAGTGATGAGAGTGATTCTGAAGGCACTTCAAAAAGAGCTACAAAGAATGCTTTGAGAAATGGCAGTCCTGTTGATGCAAGTGTAGAGGCTGCCTGATGAGTACTTTTGAGAATCTGGAACTCATTTAGAAGTGTGTTCAGGCATTTTTGCATGTGTGACAAGGACAGTTTTCCAAACAATAGTCCTTGAAGAGAAAATTTACTCCTTGGAATGTGCATGATACTCATCACCATAGAGATTGCTTTTGCTAAACCTTTCAAGAAACAAGCTGCTTCTCCCTGAAAATCCCTTTATAAGCTCTTCTGTCTCTTAACAAGACATGTAGAGCCCCAAAGGTTGGCAGAGAGGAATGTTCTCTTTTATCTCCATCCAGAATTCTATCGAGTGGCACCTGAGATCGACCCTAGTGCAATGGCAAGAAGCGAATTAAATTGACTTCCGCCCCACCCCACAGGACCATTCCAGTCAACCTGAGGCAGAAACTGACACTGCAAATTTACTCAGTTACTGAGATCCCTTGCTTCCAAGAGCTGGAGCTCCTCCAGCAGCTTGGGAGTCTCATTAACATTCACATCTTTCCCAGCCTCATTATCTCGCCCAGATGTTTCTGTGACTGCCCCTTTAAAGCATCTCTGTCTATATTTTATTTACATTTGTTCAGCAATATTGATGCTTAATGAATAAATGCACTAAACTGTCAGTACTGGAGACTAATTAAATCTATGTATGAGCCTGAGAAGCTGATTGAAAAATTTGCAAGTAACTAAACTGGGTTTAAATAAACACTTTAGTGTAGTGCTTTAATTACACTTTAGTTTGTAATGTAATTTTTGGCTGTTTAAACTATGATTTAGGCTGAGCTAATTACAAATGATTTTCTACTCTGTAATTAATAATAACAAAATTGTAATTAGACAGCTGCTCTGGATCAGGACGACAGTTTGTATGTGCTGGCTCAGGATGATGGGTCTGGCAGAGGCACAAGAAGAGCACTTGGGGATTGCAGCAGCCAGCCCCTCTCCAAGGTTCATTATTGAAGAACAAGGCCAGAGCATCTAGGTGAGTTTTACAATCCCAGCTGATGCTAGGGAAAAGGGTTTTTTATTTGTTATACACTAAATGTCCCCAGACGTTCTCAGTCCTCTGAAAAAGCACTGATGATACCAAATTTCCTTTCATTCCTAACTGTAGCTTCCAACTCACTCACTTTGCCTTTTTGTCAGAGATTAAATCAACTGGTATTAGTGTGTCCACTAATAAGTCAATTCATCATCATCATCATGGTAATGATGATCATACCTTCGATTTTTTTTATCTGGTTATGTTTGCTGCATAACACATCATCCCAAATTATAGGTCATAAAACAGCTATTTCATTATGGTGTAAGACTCTATGGGTCAAGAACTTGGACTGGGTGCAGTGGGTGTGGTTTGTCTTTGCTTCATGAAGTCTGGAGCCTCAGCTGAGAAGGCAAGAATGACTGATGACACTGGTATCATCTAGAGGCATTTTTAGTCAGCACTTCTACCCTGACTGTCCACGCGGCCAGTGATTCCTCGAAGTGTGGCAACCTGGGGTAGTTGAACTTAGTTCATGGGAGCTCAGGGACCTCATGAGTGAATTCTAGAAAACAACGTGGAGTCTGTATTGCCTCTCATGACCTAGCCTTGAAAGTCACATAGCATCACATCCGCCATACTTTGTTGTTTGTATCAACAAGTCCATCCAGATTCTAGGGGTGACATAGCAAGACGGGTGACTAGCAAGGTGCTGTAGGCTGAATGCTTGTGTCCCCCCAGAGTTCCTGTGTTAAATGCTAATGCCCAATAGGATGGTGTTATGAGATCGGGTTTTGGGAGGTGATTAGGTCATGAGGGTGGAACCCTTGTAAGTGGAATTGGTGCCCTTAGAGACTTAAGAAAGCTTCCTTGCCTCTTCCATTATGTGAGGACACAGGAAGAAGACGGTTATCTACAAACCAGGAAGTGAACCCTCACCAGACACCTAATGTATCAATACCTTGATCTTGTGCTTCTCAGCCTCCAGAACTGTGAGAGATAAACACAGGTTGTTTATAAGCCCCCCTCCTCCCAGTCCCAGTTTATGATAGTTTGTTATAGCAGCCTGAACAGAGTAAGACACAAGGTCACACTGCCAAAGGTCACGTGGGATGAAGATGCTGCAGCCATCTTTGGAAAATGCCACCTGCCACAGATTTGCAGATTTTATAGTTTTTGAAGTGCGTTTGTTACGTAACTGGATATTTAAAACCACATTGATATAGGCAGGACAGTAAATACCACCTTCATTTCACAAATTGTGTTCTGTGAAAGATAAATAATTAGGCCTTTGGTATGTGGCAAAGGTGGATAAGACCTAAGATTCAAACACTTTATATGTCCAACTGCTAACGAGAATTATGTAAAAAGAAAGACCTGGTTCTTTGTCTCTTATCATAGACTTAATTCTGAATAGCTTACTTCAGCCCATTTATCTCATTTGAAGCATTTCTGCTTCCAGATCGTCACCTTGTTTCTTTGTTGTTCACTGCTCCATTTTTGTCCTCTGTCACCCTTTCTGATTGTAACTCATGACATTTTAAAAAGAACATCATGTTTGTCATTCACATAATGTTCTTGTTCAAATGTCAGTTGAGGTGACCAAAGTTAATTTAACAAGTAATCCTTGGAAAATTCATTCTAGGAACTGGGTGCAGTGATAGTCTTACATACAGAAAAAACTAGAACAAAATTTCTAAACCTCTCTGCCTAGCACCCCCAACTCTCTCTGACACACATACACTCTGACACTCACAAAGACAAAGAACTTGCACAGGGGACACCTGAAGTTCTCCAAACAGGGGATGAAGCTCATCATCATGTTATGTTGTAGAGCAAAACTGAGGTCATGTAAGAAACCTATCCCTTGTCTTGTAAATTTCACCAGTAACATCAGAAAATTGTAAACAATTGAAGGCCATATATAATTAAGTGTCAAAATATGCAGGGAAAATGGCTATGTAAATTCAGGTAGACAGATATCAATAGGAGAGGAAAATGGACAGGTGTCATGAAGGAGTTAGATCAGATTTGCATCTTACTCTGCTTTAACTGAATATGGGAGATTACAGAGGAAAACACTTTTTATGGGTAAGAGACCAGCATCAGTAAGAACACAAAGCAGAGAGTAAGCATGGCACATGGAGATGAATGTTTTAACAATGTTTATAATGGCAAAAAAACTGGGAAAACAGCCCAAATGTTCAACCATGAGGAATTGTTTAAACAAATTAATGTGTATCTATTTAATACAATATTTTCTAAATATCCCCTGGACAGAAAGAGGTGAGGTTATGTCATTTAATGAATCAAAAAGGGAAGGAATTGAGTGTATATGTGGAAGTGTAGAGTTTGGAGAGAATTAGATGTCCAGTTTCCCGAACTGAAAAGGATGGATGAAGGAATGGGTATAGAGAGTTTAGGGACAAAGGTAAATATGGAAGAACACTCCAATGGTTAACTTACCACTGAAATAAGATGAGAGGGCCTCTGCTTACAGAAGGTCTAGAGATGCATTAGCTTTTTGAGAATACCTTTCTCTAAGTTACCTGTACTCGTGAGTACACAAGTTTGATTGCTGTACCAAAGCCCTAAATATAAGATATAAATGCATTTCTCTTCCATTAAAGAGTGTGAGTGTGTCAGTAATCGGCAACTCGAGAATGTTGGGGAACCAGGTTCATACCCTCTTATTGCTCTGCTCTCCCACCATGCCACCCTCATGTTCCATTTAGTCCAAGATGGTTTACCACCAGGTTCTTGTCTCAATCAGTAGATATAGAAAGAAATTGTAATGGGAGACACAACTATATTTTTCTTTAATGATTTTTTGTAAAACCACTTTTACTTAGTTGTATGACCATGCCTAGGCCTGAAAGAAGCTGGGGAAAGTAGTTTTTAAATGAACATTCATGTAAATAAAAATATAATGCTATGGGAAAAGAAGGGAATATATACTGAGAGACAACAAGGAGTTTCTGACACAGTACTATTACCAAATAATTCAGTACAAGGAATAAAAAAATTTTTATGAGATCCAGCCTCTGTCTAGCATCAAAACACTCACTGGAGTCACTACATAGTCAGAATCCTCTCAGAATTAAATGTGAGTAGGACATATTTAACTTTAAAAGAAATACATCATACACACACACACATACACACACACACACACCCCTAAGAATCACCAAAGTGCTGGTCCTAGTTACAGCAGTAAACTGAGTCATGAGAATAGTAAATGCAGAAGCATGTTGAATTACAATTATATAAGTAGCATAAATGACACACTCTAGCTAAGGTTTTATGAATAAGACCTCAACTGAATATTGTTTACCATCTACCCTGCAATGTTTACATGTTGCTTTAGAAGTTTCATATCATTTTCTGAATGGAAGTTCTCGTTGCCATTCATTTCCTTTATTCTTTCACTCTGCAGCTCATGACACCCTTTCAAAAATTTAACACTTAATTTTTTTCTCAAACTTCTCACCCTATTTTAGTATGCACATATTTATTGTCTCTCAGCCAAACGCTGGACTTTCCTTTATTTTCTTCCAATATTATTAGTGATATTAGCATATCTCTAGATGTAATGTACCAGCATTTTCATTCATCATTTTTCACCATCCACCAACTCTGTTCACTTACCAATTTTTGTAACAGAAATATCTTTCACTTCATCTTGTGTCACAACTTTGGAATTTTTTATTGACTATCTCCTTTGCTTCAAACATATTTTATATGTCTCCAAATCCTATCAAGTCTCAAACTTCTCAGAAAATCATCCCTGCCTTCCTGATGTCTTTGCTGACTATTTTATGATTAGTCCTAAAATTATAATATATTTCATGGCAGTTCATCTAAATCCATCGATAACTGCTCCACTGTCTACATTTACAAATCAAACTCTTTGATCTGATCCTCGGGATCCTCCATAATTTGCTCTAAACTTATGTTACTCTAATTCACCATGTTAAGCATTTAGCCCCTCACTACTCAAAGTCTGTACTCTGACCAGAACAGATCAACCTCATCTTGAAGACTTACTGAATCAGAATTTGCCTTTGAACAAGACTCCTCCCTTTTCAGGTGGCAGATTAGTATTGGTTTTACCACACAATTCTTGGCACCAATGAAGACCTTACTCAATGTTATCACTATAACCTTGTGTTCATTCTTCTGTTGTTTTGTTCATTTGCACTGGGTAGACTGTAATCCAACTTTGTCACAGGCCCCAGTTTGCTTTTTCCTAAAAGCTAATTCAAGTTTTACCTCTAAGACTTTTTAATTTGGTAAATACTTGATTGCTGATGTGACAGTTTTCCAGTGTAATATTCAAGAAAATGGCAAGCCAGGGTCTCTGAGCTCTCATGAATTTACAGGTTCCTCCCTCCACACTGGCTCATGAGACCTTCAGTAATTGGGCTTGCCTCTGTGAAAACATTAGCTAGAGTGTGTCATCCTAGAACCGCATCCATTGACTTATAACCTTGAACTCTTGCCTGTCCTTTGCTTTGCTTATTTGCAGATTTGGTTGTAATTCAAAATAAAAACAACATTAATTTCATCCAATTTTTATTCTATTGTTAGCTACTCATCATTACTCTCATCATGTAATTATTGTTATGATGATTATGATTTAAGACCAAGATGTCATCATCTTGAACAAAAGGGTGAAAGTTGACTTTACATCTGATAATTGATGTATCATGGCCAAGGCTGATGATCGGTTAACAATAAGGATCTGGTCTCCATAGTGAATAAGCTTCTTAGAGATAGCCACTGACTCATTTTACCTGGATTATTTCTATAAGAAACATGGTATGTCATCTCATTATAGCCAGATAATGGTGGCTAACCGTCTACCTGTAGGAACAATACAGCCACAGAAGAGATGTCCTGCCTTTTCAGAAAAGCACAAACTAGAATTATACAAGATTTTACCAAAAAGGCTTTGAACTCACAAGTGTACAATATACTTAAGTATTCCCAAGGATTTTTTTTAATTAAATGTTACCACCTTTTATGAATTTGCATGGTAACTTCAGTCCTCAGACTATACTCTCTGGGTCCACTTATTCTCTCTCCATGAGCTCTCACACTCATGCCAGTCATGCTTTCATTCCCAAAACTGCATGGAAACTACTATCACAAGAGTCTGCATATCTTCAACTCCAAGCAAAATCGTTAATCCTCATTTACTTGAAGTTTGAATGGCATTTGACATCCTTAATCATTCCTTCCTTCCTGAGACTTTTTCTTCTCTTGGCTTTGTAAGATCAGGTTATCCTGAGTTTCCTTCTACCCCACTGGCTTCTCCTTTTCAGGCTTCTTTGTCAACTCCTTCTCCTTTTTCTAACTTCTAAATGTTGATGTTCCTTGGGATTAGTGCTCAATTTATTTCTTCTATATCAGATAAACTCAGCCAGTCCTATAATTTTCAATACCATTAAAACAAACATCAATAATCATTAATAGTTACATTTTTAGCACAGGCATTTTCCATAAACTTTAAATTTTTGTATCCAATAGGCTATCTGACTTTTACTTGAGTATCTACCAAACATATTAAACTTCACACATCCAAAACAACTCTTAATTTCCTCCTGCTATAGTTTGAGTGTTTGTTCCCTCAAAAACTCATGTTGAAATATAATTGTCATGGTATTGGGAGATGAGATCTTTATACATGATTAAGTCATGAGAGTTCCACCTTCATGAAAGGATTAATGCCTTTATTGTGGGAGTGGGTTCATTATCATAGGAGTGGGCTTGTTACAAAAGGATGAGTTTGGCCCCTTCCTCTCTCTCTCACTCTCTTTTTGCCCTTCTGCCTTCCACCATGCTAAAAGGCAATCATCAGGTGCCAGCTCCTTGAGCTTAGAATTTCCAGCCTCCAGAACTTGAGCCAACACATTCTGTTCACTATAAATTACCTAGTCTGTGGTATTCTGTTACAGCAGTACAACAAAGACTAAGACGCCCTCATCAGCTTTTAACATTTGCCAACTAAGCAAAAGGCAATACCAATTACCCAATTGTTCAGAGCAAAAACCTTGTAATGATCCTTGGCTCTTCTCTTTTTCACATACCTTGCTTCCCATCCATATGCAAATCCTGTTGGTTCTATATACAAAATATATTTCAACCCAATTACTTCTTAACAAATCCACCACACTACTGTGCAATACCTTTTGCTGAACTTCCACAATTTCTTTTAAATGGTCTTCTCATTTCCACTCTTGCCCTAATATAATCCATCCTCTTCCTACAGGCAGAGGGATTCTATTAACATGAGTCAGATCCTGTTACACATAGCTTAATACTCTCCATACTCTCCAGTGGCTTCTCTTTACACTTACAATAAAATCTAATCTCCTATCTTTGCTACCGTGGTGCATTCCCTAAGATATTTCTGTGGTGTATTTCCTGCCTTGCATTGCAATGATGTGCCTAGGTGAGATGGCAGAAATTGTTTAGTGTATCTTAAGCTGAATTTCAGAGCCGGAGCGCAGCCATTAGAAGCAATGTATCAGGGTGATCAACTTTTCCTAAGTTGACTGGGAAGATCCTGGTTTTAATATTAAAACCTTTGTATTCTTGGAAAATCCCCTCAGTCCCAGAGAAATTCAGACCATTGATCACAACACAATGTGTTCACACCTGTAATTATTGAGTCCTTTCTCACAGTGGATCAATAGAGTCACTGTCTTGTATTAATCATGTATTTAAATAGGCTTTTATGGGATCTAACCACAAATTTGCTGTACATTATAAACAACTACTCTAGATTGCACACAACCAGTTTTCAAGGTAAGAGAGAGACTACAATTTGTTTAGAAATTTGTATGTCTCCTGAATATGAATGAACACATAAAATCAAACGGTATTTTTTGTATAAATTTATGGGATACCAGTATAATTTTCTCACATGGATACACTGCATAGTGGTGAAGTCAGGGCTTTAGTGTATCCATCACTGGGGTAATGTACATTGTAATTCTCCCTTCCCACCCCACCCTTCTTAGTCTCTCTTGTCTATCATTCCACACTCTATATCCATGGTGTACATGTTATTTAGTGCTCACTTAAAAGTGAGAACATGTGATATTTGTCTTTCAGTATCTGGCTTGTTTCACTTAAGATAATGGCTCCATCCATGCTGCTACAACAGACATAATTTTATCCTTTTTTATGGCTGAATAGTATTCAATCACATATATATATTACATTTTCTTTATCCAGTCATCCATTGATGGACACAGGTTGATTCCATATCTTTGCTATTTTTAATAGTGCTATGATCAACATACAAGTGCAGCTATCTCTTTGATATAATGATTTCTTTTCTTGTGGGTAGATATCTAGTAGTGGATTATTCCATAGTTACATCTTGCAGGAATCACATTTACTCACTAGGACCCACAAATAAGGAAAGCATATCTTTTAACAATTAGATGAGAAAACACTTTTCCCATTAGTGCAATATTTAATATAGTTCTGTCAGTAGCAAGCTAGATATACACTAAGTACAATAATATACTTTTAATAAATCTCCAAATAAAATAAATATGAAAATACACAAGAATAGAGCTGTTATTTTAATTGTTTTCTACCCATAAGAAGTACTTTTGTGTTGAAGAAAGCTAAGAAAGAAAAGGAACAGATCCCTTGGAACAGGGTCTTCAACCCGCAGGCCACTGACCCTTTCTGGGCCACAAAGCAGGAGGTGAGTGGCAGGTGAGCGAGTGAAGCTCCATTCGTATTTACAGCTGCTCCCCATTGCTTGCATTACTGCCTAAGCTCCATCTTCTGTCAGATCAGGTGCAGCATTGGATTCTCATAGAAGCACTAACTCTATTGTAAACTGTGCAAGTGAGGGATCTAGGCTGTGAGCTCCTTATGAGAATCTAATGCCTGATGATCTGTCACTGTCTCCTATCATCTCCAGATGAAAAAGGAAAACAAGCTCAGGGATCCCACTGATTCTACATTATGGTGAGTTGTATAATTATTTCATTATATATTACAATGTAAGAATAGAAATAAAGTGTACAATAAATGTAATGTGCTTGAATCATCTGGAAACCATCCCCCCACCGATCCAGTCAGTAGAAAAATTGTCTTCTATGAAACCAGTTACTGGTGCCAAAAAGTTTGGGGACCGCTGCCTTAGAGGGTTGCAATTAAAGTTTTATTATTTTATTTTTGGCAGCTAAACAACTGAACTGCAAAAACACATTGATCCCCTATTTTCAGATTTGTAACAAAATAAAAACAATGCAAATGGGATGATAATAGATATCTGTTTCTAATGAAAAGTGTCTCTATATTATTTATATTAAGTATCTACTTATAAAACACTTACTTTATTACCATTACATGTTCATTATAGTGTCCCATTATACCAAATAATTTTAAAATTATTCATTTTAAAATACTTTTATTTAAAAAATTTATTAAAAGGAGACTAATGCCTTCATAGCCATGATTAGGCAGTATTTTTATAAATAACATTCTGTTTTCTTTCTAAATATACATACTATTTTTTCCTTAACTATTTACTGGTTCACAATAATTAAATTTTCTCATCTTCACATTTTTGAGGGATGTAACAAACTCTTTTGGTTAAAAGTGCCACCTTAAAATATTTATTAAACAAATCATAAATGTCTAATTCCTCCTTCCATTTAAATAAGCAGGAGAAAGAATTAAATAATTCTGATGACACGATCTGTGGTTTTTGCTGATTTTTGCCTTGCCTTAGTGGCTTATCATCTTTAGCCAGTGAATTATTCTTTCATTTTGAGCTCATCTTGTCCCTGATGGCCCAATTATTGCTTCTGGGTAATGACCCAGTCAGATCTTATTTAGAAAGAAACTTACTCTTAAACAGCACACAGCGATGCCTTTTTGACCTCAAAGAAGCCACAAAAGACATCTGCATTATCATACAGAGTAAAGTGGGTCCAGTAAAATTAGGTTCCAGCTGAGAAGAAAGCTTCCTGAAGACATTTGGTGCCTCAGAGTCATGGACTAGATCAAATTTTCCATTAGAAATTGTAATTGGTTTCATTCTTCATTCTCCCAGATGTCATTCATAAAAAATTATTAGGCGGTCATGTTTGACCACAAGGTAGACCGTTTTATGCAAACTTGAATCTGCTCTGTTACTTAGCTAAACAATCTAGTTCTTTAAAACAGTCCTCTTCAGATTTGTTTTCACCCCTTCATCATTACTGCACATGGTATTTTTTGTCTGTTCTGTTTTTCATGTTTTAAAAAGCAAAGACCAAAACTGGTTATAGCAAAAACTGATTTCTCCGCGCACTGGGGAGAAATGCCCTCTAGTGTAGATGCACAAAGAAGGAAGTGCTTGACTCTTCTTTTTATAGTGAGAAAATCTTAACTGAGAAAGATAGATTACATGGAAACACGTAATTGTTCAGTTTATGTTGAGACTTAGCCTCTGTTTTTTGAAAATTCACACAGTTCAAACAAAAATTCAAGATAAAGTTGAAAGCAGGGAGCATCTGGTTTTTGGGGACAGCTAATACACTTAGGCTGTGAGGAGCATAGGAATGCTAAGAGAGAATGAAGCGGTAACATTGATGGCAGTGAGAAGAAGCAGGGTGTCACACTAAGGCCAGCCAAGACCCATGCAGCATTAAGGCCATAGGCTTCCAAATGGGGACTTCCCTGGCTGATCTTTTATTAGTGTCACTTGAGTAGTTTTGTGTGTTCCTTGCCCCCTTGGCAAAAACTGAATCTATATCCTTCCCTGTCTTTTAGCTTTCTGCATCACTATTTCCACTCAAATGACAGTGTGATATTCTAAGGAAGTAATCAGTTAATAGCCAGATGTTATAGCCAAATTATGAATCTTTCTCTGATGAAAGGTGATCATAACTAATTTAACGTCAATAATTTTCTTTTCATCTTTTTGGTGCAGTAAGAGGTTGTCTTTTCATCCCTACATCATGAATGAATAAGTACAAAGTCCCCTAGTTCTCTTTACTGAAGTATGGCTAATTACCCTGAAAGGACGAAACAAATCATAGTTATGAGCAAGGTGAAGACATTTCCTTCCACCTCCGATCAAATTCATTTCTCTTCCTCCTGTAACCTTATAACTCCAACTCAAGGTGTATGTTTCCAAGGAAGGTCATGTTTTAAAATATGACTTTAAGCCCATAGATTTTATGCAACAGTCTCATCCTGAGCAAGCACACTACATAAATCCAGGTATTATTGCTGTTGTCATTAAATCATGTTAGTGGCTTAAAGCAACATTTCTCAAAATGTTGTCACCTGACCAATGCATTAGCATCATCTGGGAACTTGCTAGAAATGCAAATCCTTGGCCCCACTCAAAACCTGCTGAATTATAAACTCGAGGGGTGAGGCCCAGCAATCCGTTTTCACAAGCCTTCCAGCTGATTCTGATGTACAGCAATGTTTTGGCAATCACTGTCTTAAGAAATAACACAAAATATTTGAGTCAGGCAACACAGATGATTGCTAAGAGCTGTAGAATTAACAAAGACCACCCCGATGGGAACAAACAGATGATATTTATCAGAGCTTTCTAGAGCAAGGGAGTCAGCTACCACGAATTGAATTTGGCAGAAACTCAAAACAGGCAGGCAAGTGGGAAAGCTTTACAGTTTAGTTTGTTAAAAAGGCAGAGGGAGGGCTTCAGATATGCTTGGAGAAGCTGAAGTTGGGCTAACTAGTAGTGGGACATCTTATGTGATAGATTTCCGAACATATGTGACTTTACTTGATTTCGAGTTGGAAGCGGGGTCAAAAATAGAGAAGTTGGCAATCATTGACTAAGTTCTGACCATTCTGGGCCAACTGTGGCAAAGGTATAGTCTGGCTTACTAGATTGGATGCTATAGAGGTTTGCGGGTGAGGGTCCTACGTTTACATATGGAGGGTCTGGCCATTGTTTGTTGGTATGTTCAGTCTCACAGCCCCTCTTTTGGTCATTCTATCACTTGAGTGAGGTTGACAAATTCAGGGAAAGCTAAAGATCCAGATCTTTATTGCTTGAACATTGTCTGCTTGTCTCAACAGTTAATTGTATCATGAGGTCCTCTTGACCATTTTTTTGTTGTATTATTGTGGCAAGCATTTGCCAAGAAGGTTACTGCTCAGAATCACTTAAGACTCTGGACAGAATGTAACAAGCCAGCATCACAACCACTATGACCAAAACAAAAACAATTAAAAGTCACTGTAAGATCTTTGGAGAAAGGAACCCCAATTGCCCAACTCAGGCCAAGAGAACTAATCTCATAAGTCATGAGGATCAACTTTAGAAAGCCATGTAGCTGTATCCATAAGGCAATATATAAATAGCTGTTCTATCTTGCCAGTTTCATTGATCCATGTCCAGCAAGTAATATCAGCAATGGCAGAAGCACCAAAATGATTAGCCAACAAGAAATCTAAAGCAATGCAATTGTCTATCACTAATCATGCCCACAAGACTAATCTGTATTTAGGGCAAGGGGAGTATCATCAATGATATCTGTTAGTTAGTGATACATTTCTTAACTGTCTTTTCTCTTAGTATGATTACTACCATTGGTAGCATTACTCTGATTGCTTGCATGTACAGTGAGTCAGTCATTCTCCCAGGAGAACCACCTCACTAATTGAACATAATCTCTTTTTTGAAGCTCACACACAGTATAGAACTAGGTTCTTTGTGCACAAACCTCAGCATATTATTCCTAAGATGCATGAACTGCTGCTAGTACAAAGCAAGGAGTACCAGACATCCAGGCCCCCAAGTAGTATCCAGTAGGGGTACGTGAAGACTTTTTTTTCTTTTAAAGGAGTTGTTTGTGACAGAAGGTAAGAACCAAGGCCTTACATTAGCTGGATTTGGAGTGCTATTAATATTTTTCAGGTGGCAAGTATTTAGCTAATTGCCTTATAAAGGTTGTTGAATTCAAATTTGGACTTACCTGAGGTCCAATCAATAGATTTAAACAATTTGCTCTTTTTCTGAAAGGGAGGAACACTAGCAAAGTAACAGTTTTATTTGCTTAAGGTCATTTTGCTTAAGGTTGTTTACTTAAGGTCATTTTCCATGTAGATTCAAGTGGAAACACTGTCAGGTGTTATTTCCCATGGTTTTATTTCATGAGACTAGAATTTCCCAGAGATTTTTATCATGGTGATCCAGTGATGGACAGCATGTGCAGCAGTTGGTGAGATTGAAGGCAATGAAAACAGTTTGGAAACCTAAGAAGGGCATTAGAATGAGTATGTTCTGAACTAATAATTATAATAAAAAGGAAAGAAAAGAGGAAAAGATTATTAGAGTGAACAACAAGAAAGGGAAATGAAAAGAGATATTATTATAAGCAAACAGATGAAAACAAAACAGGAATTAGACAGGAACTGTGGTCTGATGTCTTGGGCAGAAGCTGCCCGCTTTCTGAAGTCATTGCCTTGTTCCATAGTTCTTAAGTCAGCTCTCCTTCTGAAGATCTGAAGATCCTTAATTGTATTCCATTATTAGAGTAGCCTCCTGATTGTGAGGAATTCTGAAGTGTTTTTTCAGTTGTGAAACATGTACCTAGGGATTGACCTTCTAGAGTTTCACTTCTATATTTGTTATTAATAGTACTTAATACAGCACTTCGGGAGGCCGAGTCGGGTGGATCATCAAGTCAGGAGATAGAGACCATCCTGGCTAACATGGTGAAACCCCATCTGTACTAAAAATACAAAAAAAAATTAGCCAGGCGTGGTTGGAGGGTGCCTGTAGTCCCAGCTGCTGGAGAGGCTGAGGCAGGAAAATGGGGTGAACCCAGGAGGCAGAGCTTGCAGTGAGCCGAGATTGTGCCACTGCACTCCAGCCTGGGCGACAGAGCGAGACTCCATCTCAAAAAAAAAAAAAAAAATAGTCCTTAATAAGGTTATTTCCTATGAATGTTCAAGAGCAGTTTTTCCCTGATATTTTCTCCAATAGACAAAAATCTCCCGGTTGAAAATTATTAAGCAGTAAAATTCATAAAGATGTTGTGGGGAGGCAGCCTTAACCTGTTGATAATAAGATTGGGTATAGTGCCTGAGTCCTTTGAAATATTTTGCTATGTCTGTGTGCAGCAGAGTCTAGGATCAGAAGTGAAATCACTAAATGCAAGGGCCTTTCAATTACCAGTTCATAGGCAGACAACTGATGTGTTCTCAAGGGAGTGAACCATGTGGCTATAAGGGGTAATGGGAGTACATTTGGCCAAAGAAACTCAAGGGTTTCTGAAAGATTTTCTAAGTGTACTTGACAGATGTCATTAGTTCTTTTCATCTTTTCAGAAGATTGTGAGTAGTAAGAGTAGTGTAGTTTTTGAGTAAGGAGTTACACCTTACAGAGTTCTTTTATAATGTTTCCCATAAATTGATGCCTCAGTCATTGAATATAGAAATTGATAAACCCAGGTTGGACACACAAGATCAAACAGCATTTTAGAGACTGTAAAATCTGTACCTTTTGAGCAAAGAAAGGGTTTAACACATCCTGAAAATAGACATTTGATAATGAGAACATATTCAGATCTCATGGAGAATGAAAGCTGGGGAGGGAAAAAGCCATCTGAGGTGGCCAAATGACCCTTTAGGCTTTGATTCATGTCCATGCTTTATCTTCAGTTTTTCTAGCATTGTATTTTTGACATGACATGATTGGAAAGCAAGCTATCCTGTTTTTTAAGTTTTCCAACCAATATTGATTTAAGACAATAAGCCATTTGTCTATAGCATGATTAATAGCTTTATGAAAAAATAGCTAATATCTATTTGAAATCATCTGATGCTACCAACCAGTGACCTTGTGATCATCAGAGATTATTTGAATGAAGGGTAGAACCAGATTTTTTCCATTCTTGCTTTACAAAATAAGGAGCTACACAATGATACTGCTTACTAACCTCTGAACCCTTCCAGAGGCTTATCCTTTAAGAGTGTATATAGGACTACAGCCTTGATTAAGGTTGCTTGTCTGACATAACCAACTTCTAGAGACTTCTCTTTTACCATCCATATTTTAACAGGCAGCTTCCTAGGAATTAAGAGTACATTTAAAAGTTCTCCAACTTGTCCATTTTGGTAGGTGTTTCAGTGGATGTAAAGATCCTCCTTTGTTTCCAAAACATCAGAAAGTCATGTATTACTCCAAAAACATACTTGCTATCTGTTTGTGTGCTTTGGCATAGTAAGGTTTAGTAAGTGCAATAAGTTTAGCAATCTAGGCTGATTTTACCCTATGTAGAGCACTATTTCAATAAGAAGAGCTTAATTTAATGAGACCATATCCTGATTGATAACCTCCATTTTCAGCTTTGAGGTATGATTCATAATCAAGTAATAGGTCTCAGTCATTAGTGAGAGATTCTAATAAGTGTAAGCAAGGTAGAGAAGTTTTCTTTCTGAGATGATATAATCACGAGGATCTTTTTTGCTGGTAGGGGCACAAGAGTAGTGTCAGGATTCAGGGTGTTGCATCAGTGAATAGTAATGAAAAAGGTAGAGAGTAACAGAATTTCAAGAGGTTTATTGGATGGCGGAGGGTGTGTGTTCTTAATCAATAGTGATGCTTTACTGTGTGAGAAACTATGAGGTCAAATGGGTTGCTAGAACTAGTTCAACAAAGCATTAACAAGTTTGAAGTGACAGCTATTGCTCCAAGGCAAGAGAGGTGAGACTTTGCAACCAAGTCAAGGGTGAAACTATTCTAAATGATGGTTTTTTTAAATGATTCCCACAATGTTAAGACCCCAAAGACTTGTCCAGATTGCATGTATATAAACAGAGGGCTTTTTGTAGGTAGGGAAGACTTGTTCATTTTTGAGCTCCTGGAGAAAGGAATTTATCTTATTGACAACTTACTCAATTTATAAACAGGTGTTGCAATCTCAGAAAAATTTGACACTCATTTCCTGCAGTATCCAAATAAGCTCAGAAATCTTCTCAACTGTCATTTTATTAAGAGTCTACGATAAGATTGGATGCTGTTTAGTCCATTTGAAGAGAAGTTTTCCCTCTTTAAATAGGTCACACCATAAATAATGGACTGTGCTTTGGCAAATTGGTAATTTATCTTTTGAAACTTTATGTCCATTTTCTGCTAAGACCAGATCAAGTAAATAGAATCTTTTTTTACAAGCTTCCTTGTTCTCTGAACAAAGTATTTTTTCTTTAAATAAATCATCTATGTATTGTTTGAGAACTGAGTCACACAGAAAATTTATGTGTTTTTAGTTTTGAATGAAGACCTAGGGTAAATAGAAGAGAGCTTCAGTAAACACCTGGAGCATAACTTTCCACAAATATCATTGTCCTCCATAAATTAAGGCAAAATGGTATTGATTGTCCTGGGCTAGGGGAACACTGAAATGGACAGAAAACAAGACCATTATGGTGAAAGAGGTTGCTTTAGGAATTGATGGCAGGATTGTATGTGGGTTAGGTACCACTGGGAAGAAAGAATGAATTTTGTGAAATAGCCTGATTTCATGAACAAATTGATATCCTTGTTCATTTGGTTTATTTACTGATGGAAGCATTATAAGGACTAGTGCAGACTACGAAATGGCTTTTAGATAGAACATCTTCAACTCTAGCTTTGAGTCTACTTTGACTGGCTTCAAGGGCTATTGCAGAAGTAAACAGTTTGGTAGGATCTTTCTGAACTTTAGTAAGTTCTTCACTAATTATTTTTCCTACTTCAGTGGAAATTTTACTCCACAAAGTATCAAGTATGGTGTCAAGATCTTTAACTGGTGCATCATCAAATATAATAGAGAAAGCAAAGGTATATCCAGAGCAGACACATCATGATTCTGAATATTGGAGTTCTCTGGAATCTCAAGAAATAGTCCCTCTGTACACTTAATATTATAATTCCATTTGCAAAGTAAATATCTTCCTTTTAAATTTTCAGGGTGGTATCACAGAGCAAAAAGTAGTGTTGTTCAATTGAAGGTCCATGGGTTACGTTTAAGGGCTAAAAGATGGGAAATATCTGTGGGTTATTATAAACACCTAGTACCTGTGTGCTATGTTTACTCCAAGGAAGAAGTTGAACAAAGATGAGAAAATTTAATGAAGGAAGAACAGTGCCCATAGCTACCAGGAATTGATGAGGTTGACCATCTATATTAATAGCTAATTCACCTTGACTTTTTAAAGGTAAGGCACAATACTGGGTGCTTTTTTTCTTTCCTTGGAGTACTCCCTTTGACCTGAGTTATGTTTATTTGTCTTGGTGTATGTTTTGTAAGATTGAAAAGTATTTTGTTTAAAATATCTCTTCTATTTAAAAGATCTACAAGTAACTGGGCATGGTAGCTCATGCTTGTAATCCCAGCACTTTAGGAGACTGAGGCAGGAGGGTCACTCGAAGCCAGGAGTTTGAGGCCAGCCAGGGCAACATAGTAAGATCTTGTCTCTACAATTTTTTTTTTAATTAGCCAGGAATGGTGGCACATGCCTGTAGACACAGCTACTCAGAAGGCTGAGGAAGGAGGATCCCTTGAGCCCAGGAGTTTGAGGCTATAGTGAACCGTGATTGTCCCACTGCACTCCAGACTGGGTGACAAAGCAAAACCCTGTCTGTAAAAATATATATATACAGATAGAATTATATCATATATATCTATATCTATCTACCTATATAGATATTGCTATAGATAGATCAGTACATAGAGATATCTACATCTTGTATATATATTATATACATATATTATATGTATTATCTATACATTGTATTATATAATATATAATATATATTATCTATACATTGTATTATATAATATATAATATATATTATCTATACATTGTATTATATAATATATAATATATATTATCTATACATTGTATTATATAATATATAATATATATTATCTATACATTGTATTATATAATATATAATATATATTATCTATACATTGTATTATATAATATATAATATATATTATCTATACATTGTATTATATAATATATAATATATATTATCTATACATTGTATTATATAATATATAATATATATTATCTATACATTGTATTATATAATATATAATATATATTATCTATACATTGTATTATATATATTATCTATACATTGTATTATATAATATATAATATATATTATCTATACATTGTATTATATAATATATAATATATATTATCTATACATTGTATTATATAATATATAATATATATTATATACATTGTATTTATAATATATAATATATACATTGTATTTATAATATATAATATATACATTATATATTATATACTTATACATATACATATATACGTATATATGTATATACATATATATGTATATATACGTATATATGTATATATATAAACAAGATATAGATATCTCTATATACAGATCTATGTATAGCAATATCTATATAGGTAGATAGATATAGATATATATATGATATAATTCTATCTGTATATATGTATAATTCTACCTGTATATTTGTATTTTTACAGACAGGGTTTTGCTTTGTCACCCAGTCTGGAGTGCAGTGGCACAATCATGGCTCACTGCAGCCTCAAACTTCTGGGCTCAAGGGATCCTCCTTCCTCCTCCTCAGCCTTCTGAGTAGAGTATATATATATATATAGAGAGAGAGAGCGAGAGAGAGAGAGAGAGAGACAGACAGACAGAGAGAGAGATCTATATATAGCCATAAGTGTCTTTGTCAATGGTGATCTGTTGGGAAATATGCCACCATCTGTTTGATCTGCAGGGTCAGAAGTTTATTTTGATTTCTGTGTCATATTGTTCAAGAACAACTGCAAAATGTTCTACAAGCTGTTAAAACACTTGTAGTTCAAGTAAAAGGGATACTTCCCATTCATATTTCATCCTTTCTCTAGTTGCGTGATGGAATTATGGCCTAATTTATTTTTATTGGAAATGTTTCAATTATGGCTTTTAGAAAATGTTCTCATGCTTTTGGACCTTTAAAAAAACTTTTGGGTTTATTGTAGAAAAAAGTATTTCTAGGTTAGTTCAATCACCTTCAGCCATCCAAGATTTCACATCTGACTTTCTGATCAATATGTGTACAAGTTGATACAGGTCAGGCAACTCTGGGTCATATGGATAAAAAAAAATTAAGTTCTTATACAAGTAATTTATGGTTTCCTCTGAGTTTAGGGAAAAATTTTAAATTTATATATAGCTTTTTATTTAGCATGGGTAAGGCTTAAATTCTACAGCTGCCTATAAACTTAGCTCATGGGAGAGATGGATCTTTAGAGGCAACTGGTATTCTTGGGTCTTAGAAGAGGCATTGGGAAAAGGTAAAGGGTCTGGACAAGAAGGGGAAGGAGTCAGTGGAGGTATAGATGGAGAGAAATCAGAAGGACAAAGGGAAGAAGAGTGCCAGATGCAAGGAATCAAATGAAGAACAAGAAGTCTGAAGATTTACTGGAGAAATAAATCTACAACTGCTCCTTGCTTTACAATGCGGTTACATCCTGATAAGCCCATCCTGAGTTTAAAATATTGTAAGTCCAGAAAGCACTTAATACACCTAATCTACCACATTTAGGTCTAGCCTACCTTAAATGTGCTCAGAACACTTACATTAGCCCACATTTGGGCAATATCATCTAACACTAAGTTTACTTTATAATAAAGTGTTGGCTATCTTATGTAAGAGTATTGTGCTATATATTGCTAGCACAGGAAAAGATCAAAATTCAAAATTTAAAGTTTGTTTTCTACGGAATCCTTAATCACTTTCACACCACCATAACGTCAGAAAATTTTAAGGTGAAACCATTGTAAGTTGGAGGCTGTCTGTAGTTTGTACTGCCTAAGTTTGTCAAATTGCCCATTGGATTTGGCCAAAGAAGCTGTTAGTGAAGCAATTTTTGAATCAGAATTTTGTGTGGTGGTCTCTATATACCAATTAAAAAATGCTGCTCATGTTCTCTTTGTTTTCTAAGGTGTTTCTCAAATAAGTAATGTTATTCCAGTTAAATATTCCCCAGCATGGACACTGAAAGCCCAGATTATAACTTCGGGAAAGTTATGCCATTCAGGGAGACATGCACAAGAATTAAAATTTTAATGAGAATGTATATATAAGAGGCAGGAATGTCTGCTGGAGGATGAGAGGATTTAGGCTTAGATGGTCTCATAAGATTTGGCAATAGCTGGTCAAAAAGTGATGCTTGTCCATTTCCTGTCTCAGGCACCAAATCTAATAGTTGGCCATTTTTAAATTCAGACTAGACAGTCTTCACTCCACATCAGAAAGAAAACCAGAAAGATTGTTCTTTCTGTGTCAAAGCCAAGACATCAGTACCAAAAATGTAGATGGAAAAAGAGCTTTGTCTAATATTACTGGTGACCCAGAGCAAAGTTTGTCCAAATGGATTCCTATCCAGTGAGAACAACACTCACCTGTTTGTGTGGCTGACTTATGTAACAGGGTTATAAGGCATGGTTGTGTTATAATCAGTGATTCTCCTTATGACTAATAACAATTTTAGACAGCACAAAACAGAAGCACAAAAGGGAGCAGAACAGGATGAAAATGAATGGCCTGATTCTAGCAAGAATGCCAAAAACCGGGAAGCGATAACAAAACCTGGGTGCCAAGCAGAATAAATAGCTGTAGAGCTCAACAAAAACACAGCAGAGTTCAGACCGGGTGCTGATGTACTCATTGATCTACTCATTGTGATCAACAAGATTCAGGGCACTCCATGGGTAATTTTACACCAAAGTGTGGGATCCATGGTGATGAATAGTTCAGGTTATATGTTGGTGGATCCTCCAGGAAAACTGTAGAAATACAGGAAGACCACCCAAGTGGGAACAAACAGAGGCTATATGTTTTAGAGCTTTCTATAGCAATGGAGTTACCATGATTTCAATTTGACAGAGATTCAAATGCAGGCAAAAGAGTGAAAAAGCTTTATAGTAAAAAAAAATGTGGAGGGAGGATTCAGGTACACTCTAATAGAGGTTGTTGGGATGGAGAAGCAAGAGCCAAACTAACTAGAGGTAGGATATCTTATATGATTGCTTTCAAGAACACGCATGTCTTCCTCTGGTTGAGTGAATGAGAAATTGAGAACCTGGTAGTCATTAGCCAAGTTTTGAGTACTCTGGTATGATTGCTACAGAAGTTGTGGTTTGGATTCATCGGCTAGTTGCTACAGAGGATTTGGACTCGAGTTCTATTGTCATATATGATCTGGTTTATAATCTAATTTTGTATCTTTGCTTTACTTATGTTTTTTAGGCTAGCAGGGGAAATGAGAACAGGAAGTTGGAATAAAGGATGATAATCATTCTATTGCAATAGACTCAGGAGATCATTCAGTGTATGTGCCTGTCTTCTATTAGAATGGGTAGCTATTGACTAAAAAGAGGAAAAGTGATGAGAGCAATAATTCTAAAGTTAAATAATAAAAACTACAGATTTACTAATGGTTTATCCCTTATTTTGTTCTATGGACCCTCTTTCTGTCATATACTAGATAATCTTTGGAACTCATATATACCTTAGAGTGGGAAATATATAAGAGGCCTACTCTTTACCCTTCTCACTCTATTCTTGTTCAGAGGACCTTGCACCCAACTCAAATATTCCACTCAAGTGTGTACACACAAGGACTTGGGCTCATTTATATTCTGATTCCAGCTTTACATCTGTAGATTCCATTTTATTTGGATCTATGTTATCTCATGCTTCCACACACTGGCGTCATTATCTTGAAGCACCTAGAATTATTTTGCAAAATGATATCACGTATGTCTCTAAGAGCCTAAGAAGGTTTTGTTGCCAGGTCAGTCCCCTCAAGGGAGGAACGGGGTGCAGGTGTGAAGGGTGGCCAGAAGAGTATTTGCATTTGGTAAAAACAGGGATGGTAGGTGCAGGTTAGGATGTCCTCACATGTGCACATAAAGCTTTTTCAGCATGTTAGTGTGAATATGTCTTGCTCTTGTCCCTTACATACTGTTTTAGTCCATTTTTACACTTCTATAAAGAACTACCTGAAACTGGGTAATATATGAAGAAAAAAAGGTTTAATTGACTGATAGTTCTGCATGGTTGGGGAGGCCTCAGGAAACTTACAATCATGACAGAAGGTAAAGGGGAAGCAAGGCACGTCTTCCATGGTGGCAGAAGAGAGATAGAGCGAGGAGAGAACTGCCAAACACTTTTAAACCATCAGATCTTCTGAGAACTCACTCACTACCATGAGCACAACATGGGAAAAACCACTCCCATGATCCAATCACCTCCCACCAGGTCTCTCCCTTGACACATGGGGATTACAATTTGAGATGAGATTTGGGTGGGGACACAGAGCCAGAACATACTGTTCCACCCCTGGAACATTTTTATTCCAAATCTCATATCCTTCTCACATTTCAAAACACAATCATGCCTTCCCAACAGTCTCCCAAAGTCTTAACTCATTCCAGCATTAACTCTAAAGTCCAAGTCCAAAGTCTTATCTGAGACAAGGCAAGTCCTTTCCACCTATGAGCCTGTAAAATCAAAAGCAAGTTAGGTACAATGGGGGTACAGGTATTGGATAAATGCTGCCACTCCAAATTGGAGAAATTGGTCAAAATAAAGGGCCCACAGGCCCCATGCAAGTCCAAAACCTGGCAGGGCGTACATTAAATCTTAAACCTCCAAAATAATCTCCTTTGACCCCATGTCTCACATCCAGGGCACGCTGATGCAAGAGGTAGGCTCCCATGGTTTGGACAGCTCTGCCCATGTGGGTCTGCAAGGTACAGCCCCTGTGGCTGCTTTCACAGGCTGGCGTTGTGTGCCTGCGGCTTTTCCAGGCACACAGAACAAGCTCTCAGTGTATCTACCATTCTGGGGTCTGCAGGACAGTGGCCTTCTTCTCACAGCCCCACTGGGCAGTGCCTCAGTGGAGACTCTGTGTCTCCAATCCCACATTTTCCCTCTGCATTGCCCTAGTAGAAGTTCTTTATGAGGCTCCACCCCTGCAGAAGACTTCTGCCTAGACATTCAGGCATTTCCATATATCCTCTGAAGTCTAGGTAGAGGCTCCCAAAGCTCAACTCTTATTTTCTGCATACCCAGAGACCCAACACCATGTGGAAGCCACCAAGGCTTGGGGCTTGCAACCTCTGAAGCAATGGTCCAAGCTGTACAGTGGCCCCCTCTTAGCCACAGTTGGAGCTGGAGTGGCTGGGATACAGGGCACTATGTCCCAAAGCTGCACAGAGCAGCAGGACCCTGTGCCTGGCCCACGAAACCATTTTTCCCTCCTAAACCTCTGGGCCTGTGATGGGGGGGGTGCTGCCATGATGATCTCTGAAATGCCCTGGAGACATTCTCCCCATTGTCTTGGCTATTAACATTTGGCTCCTTGTTACTTATGCAAATTTCTGCAGCCGGCTTGAATTTCTCCCCAGAAAATGGGTTTTTCTTTTCTAGCACATGGTTAGGCTGCAAATTTTCCACACTTTTACACTCTGCTTCCCTTTTAAACGTAAGTTCCAATTTCAGATCATCTTTCTGTGAATGCATATGACTATATGCTTTTAGAAACAGCCAGGTCAAACCTTGAATGCTTTGCTGCTTAGAAATTTTCTTCACCGGACACCCTAAATCATTTGAACTCTCAAGTTCAAAGTTCCATAGATCTCTATGGCAAGGGCAAAATGTTGCTGTTTAGTCTCTTTGCCAAAGCATAGCAAGAGTGACTTTTACTCCAGTTCCCAATAAGTTCCTCATCTCCATCTGAGACCACTTCTGCCTGGATTTATTGTCCATATCTTGAACAGAATTTTCGTGAAAACCATTCAACAAGTCTTTAGGAAGTTCAAAACTTTCCTACATCTTCCTGTCTTCTTCTGAACTCTTCAAACTATTCCAACCTCTGCCCGTTACCCAGGTCCCTGGTTGCTTCTACATTTTTAGGTTATCTTTACAGTAGTACCCCATTATTCCTGTACCAATTTTCTGTATTAATCAGTGTTCATACTGCTATAAAGAACTACCTGAGACTGGGTAATTTATAAAGAAAAAAGGTTTAATTGATTCACAGTTCTGCATGGCTGGGGAAGCCTCAGGAAACTTAAAATCATGGTAGAAGGCAAAGGGGAAGCAAGGCACATCTTCCATGGCAGCAGGACAGAGAGTGAGGGAGGAACTACCAAACACTTTTAAACCATCAGGTCTTGTGAGAACTCACTCACTATAATGAGAAGAGCATGAGGGAAAATGCCCCCATGATCAAATCACCTCCCACCACGCCCTTTCCTGGACACATGGGGATTAAAACTCAAAATGAGATTTGGGAGGGGACACAAAGCCAAACTTTATCAGGTACATTCAAACAACTGAGAAGTTCGATTTGGAAACCCACAGGCCTCCCTTTTTCTGTTCTATACGGCCTTGTTTTTTGTGATGTGTTCCAAGAATCATCAGTATCACCTGGGAGCTTGTTAGAACTGCAGAAGCTTAGTCCCCATTCCAGACATATTTAATCAATTATTTTACCAAGACCACCAACAAAGTGACTCATATGCTCCTTAAAATATAATAAACACTTCTATAATATGTTAGCTTTCTACTGTCTTATATTCACTTAAGACTGTTGGCCCCTTATCCACCCAGGGAGGGCAGGTTCCATGCCAGCTTACTTATTTGTCTTAAATGCTTAGGGTAGTCTAACTCACAGTATGCAGTTTGTAATTTAAATGAATTAATTGATGAATTATTGAAGTAGAGAGTGAGTGAGTTCCAGGTTTTTATAAAGTTGATACACTAATATTCAATTTGTTCTGTTAAGAAATGTATAAATTACCCACCTAAATGTCAAAATGCCACCATAGCATCATAACTAGACTAAGAGGCTAGATTTGACTACTCCAAGACCCACTGAATAGTTTTCTGTACAGGATTTGGTGAAATGAGGCCATCTTCAGTTTTTCCCTACACTACTCATAATAAAATATGCCTATGAACACCTGCCAGTAAACATAACTACTTTATGCTTTAAGAACTTCAGTAGGATACTGATATATAAGCAAAATTCCCCTGGACATGATGATAGTGTCTAAGCACTTTTCCCTATAATATCTCCAGTTTTATATAGTTCTCTTGTACTAAATTGGCAATGTAATTTTTTTAATATAATAAATAGTGTTTCTCTCCTTGAGCCTCGTGCAGTATTTCAGACAATAACATGACTTGTTTCTTCACACTGGTGTTACTTTATAATCAGCTTGCTATAAAGCTAATTATATGCTCCTCAACTATCTAGTTAGAACTTAGGAGGGAATGCTAATGTCTTCAAGTCCTAAAGTTGCATTTAAGAAATCAGGCATATTCAGTCACACGTTTGAATTTTTGTTTTTTTTTAAAAGTAGTGCCCATAACAAAATACTGGTTTGGAAAAATAAGGTAACAAACCTAAAGAATTTCTCAGTTTTAGCATATTTCATTAATTCAGTAATTGATTCATTAATTCATTCAGCGAATATTAACCAAAAGGCTTCTATTTATAAAACTCAGCACTAATCAATGTGAAAAATACAAAGCAAAATACAGTAATTCCTTCCTTCAGTGGGTCTCCAACATTTTCCTATACAATTCTTCCAGAATGATTGTAACTTTATTTTTTCGTATGTTTAGGAATTCCTGAAAATGATTAAATATACGATGTGGTTTAATATTTTAATGCCTTTACTCCACCATTCCCTGATAATTCATGCATTTATTCATTCAACAAATATTTTCTGGAATACAACAAATACCAATATGTTGGCCACACAGTGGTGAATGAGAACAACAATATTGCTAACCTCTTGGAACTTACAGTCTAGTGGAGAGAGACAGAAAATAAGTGTAACTAAACTGTATATGAGATCATTGCAGAAAGTGATAAATTCTATGAAAAAAGAAATAAGGACAATAGAAATAAAAATAACGGGGGGATATGGGCTCTTTTCGGCAGGAGAGTTAAGCTTTATCAGAGGAAGTGATTTAATTAGAGATTGAAGTAGTAACAAGGAGCCAGGCATGTGTTCATCCACGAGAAAGATGATCCAACCAGAGGAAGCAGCAAATATAAAGATATTAAAGTGAAAACAAGCGTAGTACAAAAACGTTCAAAACTGCATTCCCAAGTGAACCAGTTTCACAATGAAATATACTACGGTCTTTAAATGACAGACTCTGCAGAAATTACTTAAGATTTCTAAAACATAAATGGTCCTTCAATTTATATCATGAAGCTCTTATGATTTATTACCAAACTAGACAAATGAAGTACAAAAAAGACAGAATTATAATCATTATAGAAGAAGATAAAGAAAATTTCTCTGCATTCCAACTATCACATTTACCAACATATTTGCATCTGTATTTGTACACTCACTTTCTCTACCCCAATGTAAATTACTCCACTTACATGCTAACTAGATCTAAAATTTCTTGCTCATTCAGTGATTTAGTTCCAGCAATGCTATCTCTCTCTCAATTTCCAACTTTCTCCTGAATTATTCCCAGCCACATACAAAAATGATGTTTTTTCTTCCATCTTTTAAAAAATGTAAAAGCTCTTGATAGCACTCTTATTTAATTCCTGTCCTATTTTTCTGTTTCCCCTTATGAAATACTCAGGAAATGTTTTTGCACTCACCATCTCTAATTCCTCCTCTTCTATTCTTTCTTGAACCCAATATAATCAGGCTTGACATTCATATCACTTCATGAAAACACCTCTTGTCAAGATTGTTAATAGTCTCCCTGACCCCATTGTCAAGTCCAATGGCCAATTCTGTGTTCTCATCTTACTTGAGTAGTGGACAGCATGGTGCAATAGCTCACTCTCTTGCTCTTGGAGCATATATTTTACTTGCCCTCCAGAAGAGTGCTCACCCCTGATTCACTTCTAAATGTAGCCTATTTCACCAATATCTAACTTTAAAATTTTTTAATTTAATTTTTTTCTTTTTTCACTACACTTACTCCTAAGGTTAATTCAAGCTTTATGGTTTTATATATTATCCACATACCAACAACTCGCAACATGTATCTTCAGCCCACTGAATTTTATACTAACATAGGATCAATTCAACTGCATTTGACTCTCATAGGTGTCTCTAACTCTACATGCTCAGACTGATATCCTGCTTCTCCCCAATTCAAACCTATTCCTCTTTAGGCCTCCCCATTTCAGTAAAAATGGCAACTGCATTCTTAAAATTTAAAATGTGTTTCTTAAAAGATGCTTACTAGCTAATCAGTGGTCATACATAGGTTGAAAATGCCATGAGGCTTTATGTTTGTTTGATTTTTATAACTTACTGAACTTCAGTTTACTTATTGAACTTTTGAAATGATAAGATCTATTATCAAACTAGATAAAAAAGTATAAGGACTATTAGTTCTTACAGTTTTGTTGATTCTTTTGGGTTTTTTTGGTTGACAGTCATTTTCTTCACATAATTCACATGCTAGTTTTAGTCTTCCTTTCCAATATTAAAACTCATTTCTTTTAAATTTCAAATTATTAAAATAAAACTTTCAGAACAATGTTAAAAGACAGCACTCTTGTCAACCTTCTAGCTTTTAAAGACAACATTTCCGATGTACTTTAAAATATAATGCTGACTATTAATTGAAGACAAATAATCTTTATTATATTCAATAAATATTCTATTCTTAGTTTTCTAAGAATTTTATTAGACACAGCTGAATTTTATTAAAGGGCATTGTTTCAATGATGATCATGTTCTTTTAATTTATTAATGGGTTGAATTTTAATAACTGGATTAAGTCTTTCTTGGTCACTGTATAGTTTTCTTGTACCAACATGCCTAAATCAATTCAATTTAGGATTTTTTATGCATGTAAGTCGATTGATAAGTGAATCTTTTATTTATTTATTTATTTAGAGATGGCATCTTGCTCTCTTGCCCATGCTGGAGTGCAATGGCATGATCACAACTCACTTCATCTTTGAATTCCTGGGCTCAAGGGATCCTCCTGCCTCAGCCTCTCAAGTAGTTGGGACTACAGGCATGCCCCAGTTAATTTTTAAGAATTATTTTATTTATAGAGATGGGGGGGGTGGGTCTCACTGTCTTGCCCAGGCTGGTCTTGAACTCCTGGCGTCAAGCAATCCTCCTGCCTTGGCCTCTGAAAATGCTGGGATTACAGATGTGAGCAACCATGTGCCCAGCATATGCACTTTTCGAGCTGTCTTTGTCTGGTTTGAATAGGGTTATATTAGCTTTACAGGTTGAATTCAGAATCATGTCATCTTCTTCTACACAGAAGAATTAAGCCTTTTTAAATGTGTTTGTATAGTGGTGGGGGTGTAAATCTCACCTATAAAATCACATGGGCTACAGCCTTTGAGGGGAGCTATTTATTGCTAACCTTTTCAATCTCTTATTGTTCCATTTCTTTTATCAACTTCTTGTTGAGACAGTTTGGTTTACTTTGTATTATTCTTAAATTTTTCCATTTTGTCAAAACTGTTGAACTTATTGATATCAGCTTTAAAAGACACCTTCTTACAAGTATTTCAATGTATTTCCTACATGTGGCTCCATCTTCCCCCCACTTGAATATATTTTTGTTTTCTCACTGTTTCCCCAAGCAAACCTCCTGTGAGGTTGAGTATTTTTATTAACTTTTCAATTATTTATCAATGTATTTTTTTGGTTTCCTTAATCATTAACTTCTGGTTTTAGTTTTGCCAATTTTTTCTTTTCCTTTTTAATGTTTTAAAATTTTAGGTATTCTTTTTCTGCCACTTGCACTTGAATGTTTTATCTTATTTTCTCCTGTTTTATAATAAAGCAATTTCAGACTATGGATTTACCACTGAGTATAGCTTAATGTGTTGTTATTCCTTTTTTAACAGTGTACAATTACAGTTTTGATGTCATTTTAAGAGTTAATCTGGGTAGTAACTTTTATTTCTAAATGGTTTTTTTTTATTGTTGTGATTATTTTTTTCATTTGTGATTTCCAAAGGTAGATCACACAATTATATGTCATTGCAGTTGTGAACACACACACACACTCACCTCGTAGGCTTCATCATTAACCTGGGAGTAATTAAGAAACCCACAACAGAGTTTAACTATGAGCAGAACCAATCATATTTTTACTATAGGAAGCCTTTCTAATTTCCATGTGAAGAAGGCAGTTCAGAAGGGCAGAGAGACTTGTTAGGAATATGTAGAGTAATCCAGGCAAGAGATCATGGTATCCTGAAATAAAGGACTGTGGATATAGAGAAATATGGATACATTTATGAGATATATATCCTGTCAGTAGTATCGGCTAATGAAGGAGAGGGAGTAATAAAAGATGACACTGGGGATCCTGGCTTGAGCAACAGTTGATGCCATCCACTGAGATAAGGAGGAAGAAAGAGGAGCAAAGGTGGAGGGAGGAGAGAGTTGAGACAGGTCGTTTCCAATGCCTATAAATCTGTAAACTGAGATGATAAGGAGGCAGTAGAAAACACAAGTTTCAATAAAGAAAAATAAATCTGGCTATTTTATTGTATTTTTTTAAATGGGAAGAAAGAGAGAAAAGGTCTAGGTAAGAGATAAAGATTTGGGGGTCATCATTGTATGTCTGATAATAGAACTCAATGAATGAGTGAGATTATGTGGAAATAATCTGTAGGCTGAAAGAATAGCCTACAATTCAACCTTAAATTCTGAGAAAAATCTTTATTTCTTCTTTCTATTTTAAAAAAGGAAACACTTAAAATATTAATATATGGAATCTCATACATAATTGTTTACAGTATTTCAAAACGGAGTCATTTTATGCATACCTCTCTTAATCTCAACTTTCTTCCCCCAATTCATATCTTGTAATAATCCTTTAAAATGAGTTGGTCTGGCTCTATTTCATTCCTTTTAATGTCTGCATTATATTCCATAGGGGAGAGAACAATACATTATTGAACTATTTTCTTAGTTAAGCATTTTCTTTGTGTTCTGTTTTGTGCCAAGATAAATAATACTGTAATAAACATCTTGAAATGAGTCCTTACATATTAGTGGTTGGGCATGGTAAGTTCGCAATATCACATGGTGAAAACTCGACTCTAGCCTGTTTTTTCAGCTCTACACTAGCTTAAAAGATAGCAGCTTTTTCCCTGGTGTGATGAGAGTGCTAGCAGCAAAGCTTTATAATTTTGTCTCTAGGATGTGGCAAGTGGGTAACATGACCCCTTTATTCTGCATTCTCAATGGGGAAGTTCATGGTGGATTAGGCCATATTCTGGCTTGACTGAAAAGGCCGAGTTCAAATGATCAGGTTGACCAGGATTAATTGCCTTATGCACTTGGTTGTCACCAGTTTCCAGAGACTTTTCAGGAAACTACATCTTTTCCAGGAGGCTGGTCTACAGGAGGTCAGTCTTGGGCAGAACAATCCTTAACTCTTAATATCTTTAGCTAGTTTTCTTTTAATTTCTACTCTTCCCCTCTTCCATCTCTCTCTCTGTCTCTGTCTTCCCTTCTTCATAAATCATTTCAAAAACTCATAGATAATTGGTAGTTAAAGTGATTCAACCACTTTGGGAAACAGTTTGTCAGTTTATTTAAAAGCTAAACGTATGCTTACTACCCAGCCTGGGAATTCCATCCTAGGCATCTACCCAAGAAAAATAAAAATGTATGCCCACAAAAAGATATTTACATGTAAGTTCAAAGTGCATTAATCATGGTAGCCTGAAACTAGAATCAATCCAAATGCCCGTAAGGTAGTGAATGAATGAATATATATATATAGTCATTCTGTTATATATATATTCATTCATTCATTCATTCATTCAAGACTATTAATATGTTTCTACTAGATAGTGTCAGTCTGATTCAAGAATTCCATTTTCTTCTATCTATATATTATGCATAAGATAGCAAACTGCTCAGCAAAAGAAACTATGACACACAAAACACAGATGAACCTCAAAAATATTATACTCCATTTAAAAATATTATACTCCATTTAAAAAGTCAGACATTAGCCACTATAAACTATATTGTTTCTGTTACATAAAATTGTAGAAAAAGCAACATAATAGAAATTGAAAGCAGATCACTGGTTGTCTGACACCCAGGGATGACAGCAGGGATCGACTGCAAAGGGCCCAGATAAACACTTGAGAATTGTATCAGTTTCCTGTGGCTGCTGTAACAAATTACCACAAACTCAGTGGCTTACAACAAACAAACACAGCAATGTTCTTCCAGTTCTAAAGACCAGAAGTCCAAAATGAGTCTTAAAGGGTTAAAATGATGCAGAGCCACGCTCCAGTGGAGGGTTTAGGGAGAATGTTTTCTTGCCCTTTCCAGAGTTTAGAGCTGAGTTCCTTGCATCCCTTGGCTCATGGCCCCTTCCACCATCTTCAAAGCTAGTGGCATAAAATTTTTCTCTCTGACTCTGCTTCCGTTGTTTCTGTCACATGGTCTTTATCTGTTCTATCAAATCTCCTTATGTCTCCCTTGCCAAATTTAAAACAAACAAGAACCAATAAGGAAGAAGCCAACGTCAGAGAGACCCACAAGAAGAAATACACAATTTTTGCAGTAACACAATTAGTTCATAAAAGCTCTTGGATCTGCCAGTCTTATTCCATATGACCCCTGACATTCACTCTCCATTGCATTCTGTAAATATATTGACCCAAGGCTCCCTTGAAAGAGAAAAACATAAGGAGATTTGATAGACCGAAGGGCTAAAGATGTAAAAGATTTGATAGACAGAAGAGATAAAGTTGTATCTACAGAGGAGATAAACATGTAATTGCATTTGTTACAGCCAGCTGCTATCACAAACCAACCTGCAAATTTAGTGGCTAATGCAGTACATGTTTTTGTTCTTTTTCTTATCTAGAAGACTATTAATATGTTTCTACTAGATAGTGCCAGTCTAATTCAAGAATTCAATTTCCTTCTGTCTTGAAAAAACACACCTCATAACTATTAGCATCGCCTGGCTCAAAAGTGGAAAACTCACTTCTGTTCTGATTCCATTGGTAAGAACTAGACACATGCCCATACTTAAAATGCAAGAGGTGCTGAGAATTGAAGTCCTTGGATGGAAAGCTGCTCCCCAGGACATTTCTACACTGTGGAGTACAATAGTGCCAGTGCCAAATTTAAAGCAAATTTAAAAAGTAAGGAAGAAGCCAAAGTCAGAGAGACCCACAAGAAGAAATATACATTTTTTTCAGTAACACCCCAATTAGTCCATAAAAGCTCTTGGATCTGTCAGTCATATTCCATATGACCCCTGACATTCACTCTCAACTGCATTCTATAAATATATTGCCCCAAGGCTGATTTAGAGCAAGACATTTTTACAAAGACCTGACAATCCAATATCTTATCTTAATTTCATGCAGTTCATACTCTTCATCATATGATGGCCCACAGTCCATTACTGAAGGATCAGGTATTCCTAGTCTGTGAACAAGGAGAACGAAAAATATACTCCCAGTCTATCTTTAATTTCTTCTTCTAGTTCTAAGGTTTTTCTTGCACCACTTAACGATTTTCCAGTGCCAAATGCATCATGAAGTCATAGTAGAATCTATGTTATCTAAATTTTACTCTCAGAGTTCTGATTTTTTCTATCCAAAGGGTATGCAAAAGCCTGCCCATTCTGCCATATGGAGATAAATCAAGATTTCTAACATGTAATGAAGGAGTGACCAGACTCAAAGCTTTTGCCCATCTGACTTTATTCTAATTCTGGAGGAGAAACATGAATCTTCTACAAACTGAACTTATTAGCACAAAAGACAACAGTAGAATAAAAAAATAAAGGTTTTTGTAATTGTTTCATACCTAAATGCAAGTTACAAAAATAGAATGTCATTGTGTACAATTACTCTAGATTTGTGCCCAATTTGGGAGCACAAATCTAAGCTCTCATCTGTTCATACTTTTTCAGGTATGCAGGCACCATAAAAAATGTCCAAGCAGAAAATGAATTGAGCACTTCTCTGGGAACATATGTATTTCTTCAATCTGAGATGAAGTATAACTTCTGGAAAACATGCAGAAGGGAGAAGCCAATTTTTAACCTACATTTTAGGCATCACGGGCAGCTTTAAAATTAATTCAGATATGTAGCAGGCAAAGTTTTGACTAAATACATCATCACATAAAATGAGTTAAATATACTCTTTGCCTTCAAATATATAGTTTAGCTGTGAGGGGTAGATACTCCAAATATATATATACATACACACACACACGTATATATACATGTACATATACACACATATGTGTATATATATGCACTCACATATATGTGTATATATGTATGTATATATATGTGTGTGTATATATACCTTCTAACTAAAAATGTACACATGCTCATTCATAACACATCTATGAAAACTGTGAATGGACATTTTGAATATTTATGATTTGAAGATTACCAAAATACATGTTCATTTATGTTAACATACTCTATAAAGTCAAAATGTATACCAATAAATAGCTTACAGTTTGATTAGGTCACTCTCCACTGCTCCCTTTTTTGTTATTGTTTTTTGGTTTTTGTTTTGTTTTGTTTTTGTTTGTTTGAGTTCTTTTTCTTTCATTGCTCCCTTTATTCTGTGGTATAGACAGGTCAGAGTGCAAGAAGTATCATTCTTATCATATTCTTTGTGAATGGTGCTCCCCAGAGTTGTATAGTCCATCAGTGTCATGCTTAAGGCCAGCACTGAGCACTGTGGTAAGATGGACCGAGAAAGGAAAACTTTCTCTCTGCTACACTCATGATAGCTCATTTATTTACATGGCATCTATGATGTGTTCATTGGGTATTTAGTTAAAACATTTGTGCTCAAAACATGGTTTGGCCGTAGGCTAGATATTACAAAACTTATTTAAATTCTGATCTTTTTACCCAGTTTTTACACAGGAATAATGATACCTTCCATACATACTGTTATGAGGCTTGGATTAGACTAAAGTTGTCAAGCTAAAAAACCATGCTCAAGTGCTCAGAATTGATAGAGCCTACTATAGAGTTGAGGGTATATTCTCATGAGAAGAATAGAAACATATGGGATGTCTCAAACATAAAGGGATGTCTTAGGGTCATTTTTATTTACAGACTAGCCCTGGGGAATGCAATCTCTCACGAATATATTAAGTTTGTAAATCAGCAAGTGAGTGGGAATCTATCCATTTTGATTAGTGTCTCTACCCCCACAGACAGGAGATTTCGAATATCTCAAATGTCAGTGTTCCAGCGCTGAGCAAGCTGCTCTCAACTTCTATTCTGTTTGCCTTACTATTAATTAAGGCTTACAAAAAACCTGTCTCATGTCTTGCTATCCATGCACACATCTTTTGCCTTCCCAGATTGAAAGTGGCTTTTAATCCTTGATCACATCTTTCTTATCTTTTCACACTTCCGATTTTCAGCACACATCCTGTGAGCATAGTAAGTGCTCAATAAATGTTAGTTGAATTGAGGAGTGCTGAGAAGCAAAGTAAGTAACATGTTGGTGACGAAATATGTATTATAAGGCATTCTATACTTTGAAGGACTTGGAAATAAAACAAAGAATCTAGGGACTTTTAGTAATTGAGTTGGGGCTGTAGCTATGAGAGGGTTGCACACACAGAATCAAATCATATAGGCGAGTGTTGGCAGCAGCCTAGCAGGAAAGAACAGTCCTTGCTCTCCAGATACACACCAAACAAGTTTGGAGAAATATGGTAATTGTGACTAATATGAAATTGAAAAAAGAATGGGGAACCAGCTTGACATCTGATTACTACTTAGTCAATATTCAAGCTTATAAGAAAGTGAACAGATGTTAGCCAAAGCAGATGTGAAAATACCCATAATAAAGACTAAAGGGATTTGGCCACCTGCTTATAAAAATCTATATTTTGGATGAAAAAACATTCAAATTAATTCAACAAAATGAGGTGTATTTGGCTCATTTATTCCATTTTTGCTCATTTATTTCATTTCCAACAAAGTTTATCAAAAGTTTGAGATTAGGCAGTTGACAAAAATCTCTCACCAACTGCAGCTCAGCAGTCCAAAATCACTCCTCTCTTCCCTGGCAGGGTCCAACAAAGGACCTAAGTAGGGATTTCTTACTTATAACAAGCACGGTTATCAATACAAGTAGGATCAAAGAGTGGAAAATGTCAAGAACCTGAAGTTCAGAAGTCAGAAGGCTACAAAATCACGTGAGGCCCAAGTGTCAGTATTTGTTTTTAAGGATTCAGGTAATTCTAATGTATAGCTAATGTTTGAGAAATACTCAGTTAGAGATAAGACAGACCTTCCCAAAAGCTAATAATGGGACTTGAAAACTAAATTTTCAGCCATTCTCTGGAACCTAACTTGAGGGGGAAGAAAGTAGCAACAAATACTTCATGATATCAGCTCTAATCAAACACATTTGATTTCACAACTAGGCTCTGGGCAAGAAAGGACAAGAAGAAGGAGTTGTATAACATGGTGATACAGTTAATAACAATGTATTGTAGTCTTGAAAATTGCTAAGATTAGATATTAAGTGTTCTCAATGCACAAAAAAATTATGTCTGTGAAGTAATGCATGTTAATTAGCTCAATTTAGCCATTCCAGAATGTATACATATTGCAAAACAGTTGTATACTATATCTATGCAATTTTTATTTATCAATTAAATACATAAGTAAAAAAAGGAGAAAAAAGAGGAGGAAGAGGAGGAGGAAGAAGAAAGGGAAAGAGAAGTAGAAGGAAGAGAAAGAGCAGGAGGAGAAATAGGAAGAGGAAGAGGAAATATATTAATAACAGCAGCAAACACAAACTCTGTGCCAGGCACTGTTCTAGGTGCTTTGAACTCAAAAACTCAAAATAACCCCGTGTGGTTCATGGCTACTCTCTCTGGAAGGAGCTACATTTTCCAATTTTCTTCTTTGCTACATTTGAAATAGATGTTGGTATCCTTGGGAACTAAGCAAATTTTATAACCTGTTTCTTGCCCGTAGGATGTTGCGGCTCATCGGTCATTTTAAGTTTCCATTGGCCTGAGACACTGAGTCCTGGCTCATGGTTTCTTTGACAACACAACAGTCTCAAACATTTAGTAGACTTCTTACCTCTTTGATGGCAGTCAACTCATAAGCCAAAAGTCATAGCCATTTACTGTTTTTTTCTAGAGAGAGTTCTTGATCTGCTGCATTTCTTCACTCTTTCAATCCCTTATTTCTAGACTTAGTGATGAATAACTTGGGCTCATCTGGCTTCCTGGGTAGACCTGTACTTCCGGCCTTTTTTCCTAAGTGGTTTTGTCCAATTGATATCATTTGTGGATCATCACTTAACCCACTTAGACTTTTGAACAGTGAATGGGACAGCTGTACTCTTGCTTTGATGGCTACTATAAGTATTAACTTTAATCCACTTGATACCTCAAAGAATTTCTAGATCTTATATTTTTTATTTATTGTAAAGAAGAGTGCCTTTCCACTCTACATATTGCCAAATTTGTGGGTATTTTCTAACCCCTTTCATTCATGTTGCAAATCAGGGTGTTCTCTTCTGAGGTCATCTCTTTGACTAATACATTGTGAAATGTAGCCAACATCACCCAACACACACTGCTAATATTTATATTTCCAATGTATTTCCCTGGGACCATATGTTCATTAGTTACCTGATCTGCTTTCCATGTTATCAAAGATTTTACCAAATAACTTTCATTGAAAAGTAATGGAATATCATCCCTCTAAATTCTGATAATAGGCTTGCTGTCTGCATCCAGTTTTTTAAGGCAATGCCATATATTTACGTTTTTTGTCATGGCAGCATCTTACTTTGAGTTACCAATTAACCACCTTAAATACTCAGTGGCATAAAGTAGTATGGTTTATTTCTCACTCACATTTTATGTCCATTGCAGGTCAGCCAGGGCCTCTGCTCTATGTGGTCTTTACTCCTGACGATAGAGGAGTCACTATCTGAATTATTGTAAGTTGCTGTGGTGAAGTAAAAGTGCAGCTTTTCATTTCTGTTTCACAACAGAAATTAGATTCTCCATCTGAAAGTGAATGGGGTTCCTATCTTTTGCAACCCCTTGGCCAATATCAGTCACACAGTCCCACCTACAGGAGGGTCAGGCAACACAATCCTACCATTAGCCGAACAGCACTACTGAGGACAAATCTTGTCTCCACACTATTGCTAGAATGACCCAAGTAAATTATGTCAGATTGTGTCATTCAGAGCACCTCCAGTTGCTTCCCATACCACTCAGCAAAAGAGCCAAAGTTCAAACAATGGCCCTTCACAGCCCTCCATCATCTGGCCTCCTGCTACCTTTTGGCTGCATCTCCCATCCTTTCCCCTCCTCTCTGCTCCAGCTGCACCCAGTCTTTTTAAATACAACGTTCTTAAAAATTACTTTTATCTATTTTATTCACTGGAAGATCTTAAGAGCCTGGTACTACTAGTTGCTCAATGAATACTTCCTGGAGGGAGAAATGCATAAATCAATGAACACAATACTGGTTCCAGGGCAGCAAAGCACTGACTGGGACACAACATACCAGGAAGAGCCTCAGATTTTTTGGAGGAAAAGAAGAAAAGGAAAAAGAGAAAGATGAAAAGGAATTTAGCAAAAACAAAAAGGAAGTTTTTCTTTTTCCTAATTTTCCCTATGACTTATTCAGGTTTGTGAGAGGATCAATATTTAAGAGGACACAATATAATGAAGACAATATTTGGACCTAAATTTCTTCTTTCTTCTCTTCATTTTCCTCCCATGACTGTTGATCTCCCACTGATTTGAAAATCTGTCATGCTTGCATTACTGGCACTGAAAAATATGTGGTTAAGGAAAATAGAGATTTCCCTAAATTGTAAACTAAGGGAAGAGTCTGTAAACTCACAGAAAAGAAAGTGAAATATGAACTTTCTTGAAGTATGAATATGAACTATTTCGTATTTCAAAATATGAACAGGATATACTTTTACCTTGGAGATCTGTCATAATACCTCCCACATGTAGGATGGAGAGATCTAGAAGAAAGAGTCATCAATCTCCTTGACATAACAGGTGGTCTTTTCTCAGTTCAACAAAATAGAAAACTAAGGCATACAGCAGTCTAATGAATTGTCTAGAGTCACAGGAATTATGAGCAGCAGAAGTTAAGTCTCTATTACAATTGCTGAGCCCTGAATTATTTGTTTCTTTTCTGCCCTATAGTGCCCACAATAAGGTCTTATTCTAAATCCAACTGGAGGCAAGATTCGGTAATTTTTGGTTAGCACAGCAAACCTGAGTCAGACAGCAGAATTTGAATTTGAGAAATTAACATCACATTCTGAAATAATAGATTAAAATATTTAACATAAATCTTTGCAAAAATTTACATAAGACAGAAGTTTGATAGATGTTTGTGAATAAATAGTTTTATATCCTCCTTTTCCTAAGAGAGTAAAAATGGCTATAATTTTGTGTATTGCTCATCTTCCTTTTACCTCCTGGAACATAGGCTAAGTTTTCTGCTGAGCCAAAAACTGGCCCTAAGTATACACACCCACATAAAGACTTAGAGGCTGCCTGGCCCAGTATTTTCTGGACATTTTTAATCTGCAAACCCCATTCACATAACCTTTCAAAACATGAATTTTAAGTTATTTCAATGTTTTTGTATCCAAAAAGATGCAAATTTAGGTTAGAAATTTCACTTTGTAGATCAGTAAAAGTTGTTTTACTTAATATATAAATCAAAAGTGTTAACAATATATCATAGAGGCCCAAGAACATCAGAATACACATTCTTGAATACACATTCTTCTCAGATACACATAGAGCATTTACAAAGACTGGCCATAGTTAGGCCATAAGACGAGCCCTAATATACATAAAATAATTAAAATCATACTAAGTAAGACCACAATAAAATTAAAAATGAAATAACACAAGGATTTTAGAAAGTCACAATTATTTAGAAATTAAATGATGCATTCCTAATAACCAATGGGTCAGGAAGAAATCACAAGGGTAATTAGAAAATACCTTGAGATGAAAGAAAATAAAAGCACAACATACCAAAACTTGTAGCTATAGATAAATCAGTACTCAGATGTCACATATGCAGTGGCAGAAGTTCTGAGCTAATGACGAACTAAGTCATGAGCACACCTAACTGCAACTAACTATTCCCAGAACATGGACATGAACAGCATCAGACTGCCCTATTTAAAAGGAGCCTATCATCAACTGTGACTTGAACCACTTCTTACCTGTATCACCTAAGCATTTGCAAGCAGTTGATTTTGACCAACCAAGTCGTTACGCAGATAAAGAATCTGAGGTCTAGAAAGGATGACATTTGTTCACTGTCACACAGATGAGTAGTGACAGAGTCAGTAGGCAAAGCCAGGCTTTTGGTGACTTTTACATCCAACCATGCTTACACCAGTCACTTTTCACACATACATGGCTGCCAACTCATGAGTTTGGTGCTGTTATTAATAAAGCAAGATGGCTTATATTATGTTAGTTTCCATACCACACCATAAACAAACCATACCATGAAGGCACTCAAATTACATATAAATGATGTTTATCTTTCTGAGGTTAGTAAGTCACAATTTGTTTTCTTCTTGTATGATGAAATCGTCTTCTTGATTTTAGAAATTGCTTTCCTTTGGTCCAGCCTCTTGGGGTAAATACTTGCATGATTGTATGCAGTGGTACAGATAAAATATCTCCTGAAATTTGTCCAGCTGCTCTTTTTTGAAGTTATCTCTGGAGCTGATTATCTGGTATCATGACTACATAAGGACTGCAGGGTAAAAATATGTTTCCCCTTTTATTAGTAAATAGAACAATTGTGTCTTTGGCAGAAAATCCATATAGTTTCTTGCTCCCTTCTATGGACTACAGATCATGATGCCTGCGATCCTGGGATTTATCTTTCAAGGAAGGTTCAAAGGATTTATAGTAAGCTTGGATCTTATTCAAATCAGGATCAAATTCTTTTTGTCACATGCATATGGAAAACAGTAAATTGTTTGGAACTTTTTGGAGTTTGGTATGTTCTAACAGGAAGACTCTGTCCCCTGTTCTCCTCCCTTCTTATAGGGCAGGCACGACAACACACACACGTCAGTGGGGAAGTAGCAGAGTATTTGGGTGTGTGGCAGCCTTAGTGTTGCTGATAAGACTGGCTACTCAGCATACAGAAAGCTTGGGGCCCAGAGAAAGTTGCACTCATCCTGCTAGGAATAAAAATCTTTCTTTCCTATTGAAGTCAAACTCAAGAGCAACTCCTCCACTGGTAAAGGCGGAATGGCTACATTTGAACATACCATCTAGTATGTGCTCACAGAATCACTATAATCCTGTATGCTGAAACATGGGGACTTTTAAAGGCTTCAGTAGTAATACCACTCATCCTCACCTAGGTTTTGAGTAAAATGAGAAACAAAACAAAAAGTCCAATGGGAGACCCGATTATGACATTATTTCTGCTAAAGACTATGTGGGAAGATATAACTCAGGATGAGGCCATATGTGCTTCCTAATATTGAACTCTAGAATCAAATAGACTTTCCTACCCTGTCAGCAGCAATTCTGGACCTAGGAAGACTCTAGAGGGAAGACCCACAGCACCAAGGGGCTGAGAATATATGACCTCTAGGACCAGATCTGATCATGAGAGAGAAAGGGGAGCTGGGTCAAGCATGTTCCACTTTTTCTTCTCATTATTACCAATTTGAGAAATGATCATACCTTCCTTGGGGCACAGTGAGTGAAGGAGGTGAAGGCAGCTCAGGAGTGTTATACAAGTGGAGCTCATTCCCATGGAAGGTGACATCAGGAGTGAAAAACAAGCGGCCCATGCCAGGAGTATCCGATTTATTATTAATCTTTATTAAAGTATCCTACACCACAAGAGCGTATTTGCTAGAAAAATTTCATGTTTAAATCTGTGTGTAAGTTTACATCCAGTCAAGTCTGGGTTCTACGCTGATGATAACACATTCCTTGACAGGCTGTTCACTCAGCCATGGCACACTTGCACACAGGCTCCGATCATCCTTCCATAGGAAGTCATAGTCAGGAGCTTGTCTCCCAGTGATAACATCTTGGTTCCTTATCACCATGACCTTGGTATTTGAAGCCATCTCCCTTTAAAGAGCTAATCGAAATAGGAAGTCAGTTACATTGTGTCATCTTCGCCATGCTAGATCGAAGATAGGGGCTAATGGCACAGCCAGAGCTAAGGTAATTAGGAAATGTCTATATAATGCTAATATCTTTGTTCCAGCCAATGGACGGAGATGACATAAAGCATAGGCCCTTTTTGCAGATACATAAAGATGTAGTGTACAGGCATTTAGAAATAGGTGATTCAGTTCAACAATGTCAACAATTATAACAATAGATTTTTCACTTTTAAGAACTACTATTCCTCTAAAATTATTGTTCTTGAATCTGCTCCCTCTTTTGTCATGTCAATTCTGGCTTCCTCATCATTTGGTAATTGTCTTTAAGACTACTACATGTTTTTAGGTGTTTCCTCAGGATGTCAAACAGCATGTCTAATTTTTCTGAAGCACAAGGAATTCTTTTCCACTTTCATACTCCTTGGAGATCAGTAAAATAGTTCCACAACTGTCCCTCAAAATAATTTTTGCATAATGGTGTTGGTGTTTTCTTGATGTAATTAGCAAAATACCAAGTCTGAATTGGTAATTAAAAAACACTTTTAAAATTAAAAAAAAAAGTCAGGGTTAGAAGAGGTTATTATCTCTTTTTCTAGTATGGGGTGATCATAGAAGGATAAGGTTAATATTGGTAACAACAGTACAGTTTTTTTTTCTTTCCACTTATCTGAATTACTTGGATAAGTATTGCAAAGATGACTCATCAGGAACCAAGAAAAATGTCACATTCAAGATCACTCAATGAATAATACTTTTGGGACTTAAATTTTTATCAACTAAAAAAAGATCTCACAATATAAAAATTTCACTACCACCAAGAGAGCCAGATCGCATTCAGCAACTTTTAAAATGTGCACAACTTAACTTGTATAGAGTCATGGATTACTAAAAATGGAAGATTTTATTGTGCTACTTTGTCCATCCTGTGTCTCATATTCAGAAGACTTTCAATAACATCCCTGGTAAGTTTTAAACAATGGAGAGATCACAGTCTGAAGCCCTCAATCTATTATGTTAGAAAAGGCAAATAGACAATTTATCTTACTAGTATCTGATACATTCTATTATCTACTGTCATAATGTGTCTTCTGAAACAAAAGCAACTCAACCCTTTCATTACATGATTGGTGTCCTGTCTTCCTTAAACCTTTTCTTCTCCAAGGCAAATGTTCTGCTTCTTTAACTGCTCATGAGACTCATAAGGTAGCCATAATCAGCCTGAGAATGCTTTTTTTTAAAATTTCAACTAATAACTATTTAACTAAATAAAATGACCCTTGGGAAAAACTTTTTCCAAAAATTTAGTTTCTCAGAAGCCAACTCCAGTTTATCTCATCATTTTGTCTTATTTTTCCAAAGTGTATGTAAAGTAGACACTCATTTTTCTGGCACTCCCTGGAATCTTTACCATAATTTGGGGAATAACCATTTTGATTTTTCCAACTGTCCCTTGGCGATGTAACACAAGCACACTGTAACTCAATACTGTTCAGATAAGGTCTGGTCAAATAGATTGAGAAGTTCACATCAGAGTCAAACCAGGTCAATGAAATGAAAACCCGAGAATTGTCCTGGCATTCTCTTTAAGCTGGTGGATCAGAAGCCTGGAGCTGGCCCTCTTTGGGACAGCCTGCTTGAGAATGAAACCAATACCATCGAGAAAAAGAGAAGAGACTGAGTGAAACAATGTTCCAATGATCAGTATTTGAAGTTCTGGCTGAAGTTAGACTTGCTCTGTTAGCCTCTCAGTTACAAAAACACATCTGTCTTCTTTCCTGTTTAAACCAGATTAAGTAGCATTTTGGTCAATGTCTTCCAAAAGCTTCCTAATTAATATACTAGGTATGCTGATATATATGTTAAGATATATACATGTATGTGTATAATATATACAGAGAGTTTATTGAGAGAGAGAGATCCTTTTTGTAGCAATGTAGATATAACATTTGACTTCTGGTACATAGAACAAGATTTATCTTCTTCATCTGTAACATTGTGTTATTACTATATTATCATTGGTTCAAACATGTCTTCTTTTTATGTTTTATTGTATCAGATATTCCCCCTTCAAAGTCAGCCTTTCTGCATGCTTCTGCTCCCAATCCACCTCTCACAAATTTTACTTTTTATGTATACGTATGTCAACATACAATACCTAGCAACACTTTTAATATATTTTGTTTATTTGCATAAATAGCATTAAGCTATATGACCCTTCAGCTTATTGTTAATAGCATTTTGATCTATTCATATTATTACATGTACAACTAGTTCATTTATTTTGGGTCCGGTGTAGTAGGCCCTCATATGAAAATTTTACACTTTGTTTTCCCATTTATGCATTTCTAGTTTGTTTTCAAGTCTTTGCTACTTCAAACAATGCTATTATTAACATTCTCATATGTGTTTCTTTCAGTATCTGGGCAAGACATTTTCTGAAGTGCACACTTAAAGGTACAGTTGCTGGGTGTTTCAATATGCACATATTCAATTTCCCTCAATCCTGCCAAATTGTTCTCCAAAATAGCTGCACCATTTTCCCTTCTACAGATGTGCATAAAGGTTTCTTTTTCTCCATATCCTCCTGACCCCTTGGTTTATCTTATCTGGATATTCTTTCTCTCCCCTTGGTCACATATTAGTCCTTGAAATCATTTGCATAACTTGGGTTTTGTTTTCTGATTTGTTGGTCATGACTATGACTATAATTATAATTTGTCTCCTCAGAAAGCAATCTTCCCCAACCAGTCTCAGGCCATGACTGACAGCCTGCATTATTTCTTAATTCTATTTGAAATTTATTACTATCTTTTCAAGGAAGAGAAGAACAACTGTATAAATTGTGCAATTTCCTGTGACAGCATTTCCTAAAATCCTATGAAAAAAAGATCTTCATGCTTCTCAAACTCTTCCTAATGGCATTTTCTCTAAATTATCTTTTATGATTTATCATTTTTTATTGGATGATTCCCTCACACCTCATTTCCTTCACTGTACATAGTGTTATTTGACCAAGTGTAACATAAATTCCCCTTGCAAAAGAAAAATAGAAGAATCAGAAAAAATTAATTTTATTTTTCCAGCAATCACTTTGCAACTTCCTATGTTGCAAACACAGATAAGAATCCCAATATTCCCAGCCTGTCTGAGGGTCTGGGCCATGTTCCTCTTTTATCCTGGAAGTGAAACAAAGGAAACAGCCCATCTTGTAAAACACTCATTCAAATTCCACTCTCTATGTGATGGGCTTCCTACAACTGCTACATAAAGTGTCAATTGAAACCAGCCTTGTCATAGAGACTTTTACAAAATATGAACAGTGCTAAATACCTTAAAGTGAATCGATTTCTACTGAAAGTGTTTTAACCTCCTTTTAGGTCAAGAAATAGCAATTTTCTGAGCTTCACTGTAACCTGAGAATTAATCCTAAGAGGCAGGTGTGCACTGCATACATCATTTGTTCCATGAAATTTATTGAAGACGCCTTTGTGTAAGACTGTCCTAGTAACCCTTTTCCCTCCCTTCAGGCGGAGGTGTGGTTCTGGAGCAATGGAGTGGTGACACTTTGAGGGTATTCTTTCCACTAGAGATTGTTTATTTGTTACTTTCTTTTTTCTTTTCTTTTTTTTTTTTTTTTTTTTTTTTTTTAGACGGCGTCTCGTTCTGTCACCCAGGTTGCAGTGCAATGGCACAATCTCGGCTCACTGCAACATCTGCATCCTGGGTTCAAGCGCTTCTCATGCCTCAGCCTCCTGAGTAGCTGGGACTACAGGCACCCGCCACCATGCCCAGCTAATTTTTGTATTTTTAGTAGACACAGGGTTTCATCATGTTGGTCAGACTGGTCTTGAACTCCTGACCTCGTGATGCGCCCGCCTTGGCCTCCCAAAGTGCTGGGATTACAGGCGTGAGCCAACGTGCCCGGCCAATTTGTTACTTTCTTGAAAAACAAAATTAGATTTGACTCCAGGGCAACATAAGATGTGAGCCTCTTTTAAATTTGTAAAGATGGAATGGGCATTGGGTAAATTTTACAGATGAACGAACTGAGGCTCTGAGAGGTTAAATATTTTAGCAAGGATTCACAGCTGGGGTTATGACATACTAGACCCAAGCACAGGGCATAATCATGAACTGGAGGAGAAAGTACTTGGCAAATAATAAAGTGACACACACAATGGATAATGGTGATTGCTTCTGTATGGCCTATGCTCTGTAGGACTGACATCTCAGAGTGGGGGCTCATATGTATGGGACAGTAACAATGATGATAATTATTGGCTCTAACAGTGACTGCTCATTATGTGCCAGACACTATTACTAGTTCAGATACTTTATTAACTTACTGAATCCTTCCAACAGCTCTATGAATAACTGTTAATATCTACATTGTAATGTTAAAGAAATTCAGAGAACTTAAGCCAGCAACTCAGAATTACACAGTAAGAAGCCAAGCTGAGTGCATAATCACAGCTGAGCACCAGCACCTGTATGCTTCAAAACTGCATGCCTTGCCTCTGCAACCTAAACAGTACTACATATAAACTCTACATACGTGTTTTCTTGGATGGAAATATACCTATCCAAATATAGGCAGTATAAAATCATTGTTTCCTACAACCTAGCCAGTCTAGAAGTTGTGGTCTCTTACTCAGAGTCGAGAGACTCTTATATGTAGATCTCTTAAGCACCCATGGTTCAGTTTTTCTTTTCTTTACCTGTGCAAGACATGGAAGGGCAACACATATTTTTCTCTTATTTCACTCTTCATTAAATAATATTGTACAACCACTTCAGAAGCTAGACAGGACTCATTCTGTAGCAAAATTATCTTGGCTTCTTTCTTCCCTGGGCCCTGAAACACTGTTACTAATAAAAGCCTGTCTTTCTAGTACTGAGATGCCCAGTAGAGAGTGTCAATCAGCCCAGGAAATAAGTATTGGTCCGATGAAATCAGTCAGTCCCCTGACCCTCCTCAATTCTCAGATGACTTTTCTTCTCTCTGGCACATTAAATCATTTTTTCCCCTCTAAATGGTGATGCATTTACTGATCACTAATATAATTCTTCATTCCTGGGTCAAGGGGGTCAAGGGAGACTTTATGCTGACATATAGGTTGGAAGAAGGAATGGAAACAATTACTTATTTAGAAGAATGACTCAAATGCTCACTCATGTTTTCATTTTTTTCTACAGCTCTGGCGAAAGGTCCAAAATGATGTCCTAAGAAGGCTACAGGGGAAAACAGACACCAGTTATCTCTGCTGTTTGCTGTCAGTTGTGTCTGTCTTCTTCCATTTATTCATTAAAGAATAACTTATCTCTGGTCTGTAAGGAGGAATTCAGCAGAATGAGGAATATGTGTTGTACCAGGGAAAAACAAAATGGGAAAAGCAATGAACCAAGGACAGTAAGATGCTTCTACTCCAAAGCAACTGGGGAGAGAAAGCATTGCAAATTTAAATAAATAATGGCTATCTTCATTTGGTAGATGACAGTGGGGTATTATAATTTTTAAAGAACAAAAGACAAAGTCTTGCTATCGATGCAGACTTCCTTCCTAAGATCCAGAAGTATGGCTCATTCCAGTCATGAAACAAGATATTGAAAGTCTCTGGAATGATTCTGCTACTGCATGTGTAAATCTAGCCCTAATGCAACTTCTAAGCACTTAAAGTGAATAATAGGTACTATAAGTACCAGGTTTGCATAAAGCTAGGCACCAACATGAAGATACATGCTTGGTAATGGCAGTATTTGATGGAACAAAGCGGGTTCCCCCTCCTGAGTTCCTGAAGGAAAACAACACAGTGTTTAAGGTTACACGCCCAGATTCCGTACGGCCTAGGATCAACTCATGGTCCCGCCTTGCATTTGTGATCCCCATCATCCTAACCCTAAAGTATCTGATCCATAGATATTTAGACATTTATCTCCAAATTACCAATCCTCAGTATTACTTAATAATTATATGTATTGCTACCATTTATTACATGTTTATTTAATAAATTCTAGGTATTTTAAGAACCTTTCACACATTGGTAACTTTAGTCCTCCCAGAAACCCTGTGAGATAGCTACTGTTATTTTCATACCAGTTTTCAAATGAGTAACTGAGGAACAATATGGCTAAATAACTGCACATAGCATTTCCTCAGAAATTCTGAGGAAGGCCCAGATATTCTAACACAGTCTTCACTTCCCTCAAATGAGTTCTTCTACTATGCCACAGAGAAAGTAGTTACTTGCTTTCAAGAGCTATTAAATGATCATCCTTTTAAATAGTTTTATTCCAGATTTAAATTGGCTTTGTAATATTCATTCTATTTAACAACAATGTGGTGTGTTGTGGATTTATTTTGCCAACAAACGTATGAGATGAACAGCATTGCCAAGTCCATCTCCTTCAAAATTCTCTTTGTAATAATCTAGGAGGGCTTCCAGAGGAAGGAAAGTTGCTTTTACTCTAGGAGTACTTATTTAATTCAGCTAGACTTTTGTTGGTGTTAACACAATTGCACTGGATGGTTTGTGCATTCATTTTAGTTGCTATTCCTACTTATTGCCCCAAAGCTGGAAATGGGGAGAAGCTAGCATGAGTACTTCCTAGTTTTTGCACATTTGTAACATTATCCCCAGCCTGTCTGAGGGTCTGGGGTATGTTCCCCTTTTGTCCTGGAAGTGAAACAAAGGAAATAGCCCAATAGTTAGGTTAGAGAAGAAAGTTTGATAAGGTCCATAGACTACTTTTAAGGTCAAGGCACTTAGGCAAGGTAGAAAGTCAAGATATCACAGATAAGGTGAATAATCTGAGGAACCAAGGACACCACGGGGCTCTGTGTTACAAAAGGGAAACAAAAACCTACTAGTGATCCTGGAATTTAGTTCTTGTCAGCCCAGAACCTCCTACTCCACATGCCCAATCCAGAACTGCTAGAGCATGCAGGAAGTCTTACTGTTCACAGAAGATTGAAAGCAAGGATTACTAGAAGTTTCAATGGGGGGGTTATGTTAGATAATGATTTAGCAAGAAATTCAGAATACACCTAAACAAGTCCAATCTGTTTCTTCATCAACTTTGATGTTGGCTTTCATCACCCAAGCAATAAAGGAAGCATTCTTTGTTTTCTGTTAGCATTTGTTTTTCTGCAAGCCAAGAGAGGAAAAGAAAGCAGACACAGAGCCCTGAAACAACATTTGAACTTTCAATCATCCTCTTCCAGATTTCTAGCATGGACCCTGGTTGTCTACGGCCCATTAGCAGACCCTTCTTCATCAGGGCCAAGCTGGAGGTGAGAAGTAGAGAGTTGGAGATTGCTTTCAGCTCTGAGAATAAGATTCTTCAGATAGGAACTCATTTTTCCCTACTTTTCACAGAAGACCACAGCTCATCTTCTCACCATGCCTTACAATATCTCCAGGCCTTTCTCCTCATCTTCTTATACCTACATATCCTTCAAGACCCAATTCAACTCAGGCCTCTTCTCTGCCACAGAGGCAGACAGTTCAGATTTTGGCTCTACCAGTTCCTAGGTGTAAAACTGGACAAGTTACTCAACGTCTCTGACCATTGTAAGTTGTGGATCCATAATGCTCACCTTGTAATGCTGCTGTGAGGATTAAATGAGAAAAATGTGTATTGGTGCTTGGCATATTGGAGGTATCCACTAAATACTTTCTTTAGCTTGATATATGTGACTCTCCAAGTCTTCAAGTCAAGTACTCATCTCATCTGTTGTTAAAGATAAAAACTGCAGGTCAGCAAGGATTTTAGATCTCTAAATTACTTAAGAGAGGTCAGATTTCCCATTAGATGAAACTACAGTATGTTTATTTTTATTAGCATTATTATCATTATTATTAAAGCAGCATTAAAAGCTACTATTTAATGAGCACTTTTATTATTCCACTCAATCTTTTCAACAGCTTTGCTCTAGGTGTTTTTGTTATTTGTTGGAATTACTCCAAAGCCTAGCAGCTTAAAATAGCAACTAACTGGGCCGGGTGCAGTGGCTCACACCTGTAATCCCAGAACTTTGGGAGGCCGAGGCAGGCGGATCACAAGTTCAGGAGATCGAGACCATCCTGGCTAACACGGTGAAACCCTGTCTCTACTAAAAAAAAAAATACAAAAAATTAGCCAGGCGTGGTGGCGGGCACCTGTAGTCCCAGCTACTCGGGAGGCTGAGGCAGGAGAATGGCGTGAACCTGGGAGGCGGAGCTTGCAGTGAGCCAAGATCGTGCCACTGCACTCCAGCCTGGGAGACAGAGCGAGACTCCATCTCAAAAAAAAAATAAAATAAAATAGCAACTAACTGAGTATACCTCATGGATTTGTGGGTAAGAAATTTGAACAGGGCTCAGCAGGGCAGTTCTTCTGCTCCACGTGTATCAGCTGAAGTCACGTGGGACATTCAGCTGCTGGGTAGGCTTATTTGGAGGAACAAAGATGTCTTCATTACTGTGTCTGGTGTGGTGCCAGGGATGGCCGGAAGAATGTGCCCTGCTAAGGAAGTCAGTTGAAATGCTGACATAGCCTCTCCAGCTTTGTTGTTTTAGCATAGTCAGCCTTCTTAAGTGGCCACTTAGAACTCTTGAGCAGGAAACTTAAAAGACCAGTACAATATGGGATGGTACGTTGAGGGACTTTATGATGTTCTTGTTTCTTTTCTTGTGGTTATTTTGGGAAAAGAATCAAAGCTCTTCTAATTTACAGACATTATCTGCCAGTGCAATTTGGGTGGCATCAATTCCCTCTTCCAACAGTCCAACTCTCTTTGTTCTTTCTCTCTTAGTCTCATCACAAGGTTACCATTTGGTGAAAGTTAGAGCAATCTGCATCCTAGTCAGGAATTAAAAGCTTCCAGTTCCTTAAGGCCTGTATCCAGACATTGCATTTGGCAAATGCAATCCATGATTCATAATAGCATGGTGACTTACCCAAGATCATACATCTAGTGGTAGAATAATCTTTCAGAAAGGTCTGGCACCATGCATACTCTCAAGTCTTAGCCAGTCATTTGCATTAGATAGTCTCTCTCTCTCTCTCTCTCTGTCACACACACACACACACACACACACACACACACACACACACACCAGCAGAGCTGGAAATGAACGCTTATTCAAGCAGTTCTGTTACCTCTGTGGAGAAGTGCCATGGGAATTATAATGGCAATCAGCTTCCCTGCTGCAATTGAAAAGTTGGTTAATGTATTGGCACTAATACAGCACCTCTTCCCATCACAGCAGAATTGGCTGTTACTGTTATAGCTGGATTATGGCCACTTCTCCCTCCTTTGCAAAATTTAAGTCTGTGATGTTCTCGTCAAGGGAAATGATGATAGAGGTACAGCAGGCTGGTGATTACATTTGCTCAGCAACAATCCGTAAATAACCTACACATTCCATTTGCTGGCTTTGATTTGGTCCCTCACTTATACAAAGGGCAGACTTCTGGGTATTGCAAGGGAAAACAGGCTGGGGCATGGGCAGGGGTCTACATGGCAGGGGCAGGGGAGTAAAAGCATAATGTGAGAGTCAGGTTGGTCTCGCTTCAAATGAGAAGTTATAGGCTGGGTGTGATGGCTCATGCCTGTAATCCCAGCACTTTGGGAGGCCAAGGCGGGTGAATCACTTGAGGTCAGGAGTTCGAGACCAGCCTGGCCAACATGGCGTAACCCCGTCTCTACTAAAAATACAAAAATTAGCCGGGCATGGTGGCAGGTACCTGTAATCCCAGATACTCTGGAGGCTGAGGCATGAGAATCGATTGAACCTGGGAGGTAGAGGTTGCAGTGAGCCAAGATCGCCTCATTGCACCCCAGCCTGGGTGACAAGAGTAAAATTCCATCTCAAAAAAAAAAAAAAGGAATTTATAAGCAGACTGGCATCTTAAGCAACCTCAGGAAAATAACTGAAACTGGTCGGCCTCTCTTGCCCTTTTCAACTGTCTGCTCTAAATCTCTTTCCTCCTTTGCTCATGTTCTGCCTGTGGCAGGTGGGCTAGTACCACTCACTTCTATTTAGCTGGAGTCTGACAGTGGAATCCAGCCTCTGCTCTCCCTCATTGCAGGTGATTTCACTGAAGGGAGCAGAAGAAATGGGAGGCCATTATGCCTGGGTGATAAGATTCCATGAATCTCATTATAAGGATCTTCCTCAATTTTTTTTCTTTCATTGTGCAGAGGCCCCAAACTCTTAAAACTTATGTACAGAAAATGCATTTGTCTACAGCCATACCACCCTGAACACGCCTGATCTAATCTGATCTCAGAAAATGCATTTGCACTCCTGCTCTAAATGCCACCAAATGATAACCTGATGATAAAATAAGAGAGAAAGAACCAAGAGAGTTGGCCTGTGGACAGAGGGAATGGATGCAATACAAATTGCACTGGTGGGGAATTTCTATAAATTAGCACAGGTTTGATTCTTTTTATGAATTACAACCACGAGGAAAGAAACAAGGACATCATGAAGTCTCTCCATTCACAATCTCACACTGTATTGGTCTTTTAAGCTAAGCTGTCCTTTTTGCCTCTATATTGTTTCAAGGAAAGTAAACAGAGGGAAAAGCACCTTCTTTTTTAAAAAGTAGCTATATGAGGCATACTGTTTTTGTTCCACGCCATATAATTCAACTGTTTTAAGAGCACACTTTAACCATTTTTAATACATTTGCAGAGTTGGGCAACTATCACCACAATCTAATTTTAGAACATTTCCATCACCTAAAAAGACATGCTGTATGCACTTGCAGGCACTCCACATTCACATCTCCAGCTTCAGGCAACCAGCAATCTACTTTCTGACTCTCTAGTTTCACCTTTTCTGGACATTTCATATAAATGGGATTACATGGCTTAATAAATAAATTTATTTATTAAATATAAACAGGATAAATGTAATCTCTTATGTTTAGTTTCTCACTTAATTAAATCTTTTTCAGGTTCAACAATATCATATCATGTACTAATATTTCAATCCCTTTTATTGCCAACTATATTCCATTGTATGGATATACCACATTTTGTTTATCATTCACTAGCTGATGGACATATGTGTCATTTCCACCTTTTAGATATTCTGAACAACATTGCTATGAACATGCATGTTCTAGTCTTCATGTAGATACACATCTTAATTTCTCTTGGTCAAACATCTAGGAATAGAATTGCTAGATGATATAAAATATCTACAAATATATAAACATAGTTCACATTTTAAGAAACTGCCTAACAATTTGCCAAAGCAGCCGAGCCATTTCACAATTCCAGCAGCAATATATGAGAGTTCAAATTTCTCCATATCTTTACCAAGAATTGTTATTGTCTTTTTAAATTATAGCCATTCTATCGTCTGTGAAGTGGCATCTCATTGTGAAGTGAACATTCTTAGGATTCTTGTGTGTTACTTCTAAGATTGCTGCTGTTAATGAAGAAGATGAAATTCTTTCATATTGCAGTAAAAAAATCTGTCTCTTTTCTAGGCACTTAGAGACTCAAGGTAGAATTTTACAAACTATGTCTGGGGATTAATTCAAGTTATCTTGGTAAATAGATCCAATTATCTCAAAGATGTGCATATTAATAGACTGAAATTTTATTTTTAGTGTTGTTGGAAAATGTTGAATTTATAATTTTTGTTCATTACTGAAAGCATAGCTCCTATATATGGGAGATGTTTTAGTAAAAATGTTTACCTCCTACCACTTCCTACTAAACATGCCCAGGAACCCTTGTGTTATTTGCTTACATCTTATAAAACACTGATTGTAGCCAGGTATTGTGGCTCATGCCTATAATACCAACACTTTGGGAGGCTGACGGGGAGGAATGCTTTCGGCCAGGAGTTTGAAAGCAGCCTGGACAACATAGTGAGATCCCATCTCCACGCAGACAAAAAATTAACTGAGCATGGTGGCTCACACCTGTAGTCCCAGTTACTCAGGAGGCTGAGGTGGAAGGATTGCTTGAACCCAGGAGCTCGAGGTTATAGTGAGGTCCAGCAATTTATATATGTGAAAAACAAGGTTAAAAGTAAAATACTGATATAGCTTAATTCCATTTAAACACAGAAGTGTAAGGTATGAAATGCAGTTAATGAAAGAGAACAACCTTCCCAAGCAAAAACAAACACGCACACACATGCACACACACCACCAGTGCCACCACGACTACCACCCCATCATGTAATTGTTTAGCGAAGAATTATATTCAAACTTGAAAATCGACTCATAAGATTGGTTCTCTGCTTTTTAAAGCAAATGGCACTTATTTTGTTAGATACCAGGATTTCTCAACCTCTGCACTGTTGACATTTTGGCTGGATAATTCTTTGTTGTGAGGGGCTGCCTGTACATTATAGGATGTTTACCAGCATCCCTGGTCTCCATCTACTAGACACCAGAAATAACCACCCCCAATCCCACATTGTGACAACCAAAAAAAAAAAAAAAAATCTTCAGACATTGCCAAATGTCCCCCAGGGGTAAAATCACCCCTGTTCAGAACAACTGATGTAAACTGAAGGTATATGAACTAGATGGGAGAAATTTAATAAACACTGAAGTACTTATACAAAAATCACATTGCAACCGTTCTGTAATAGCTTACACACTTAGCTACAATTATTACTCATCGCATAAGGTATCTTTGCCCTTGAACAAAACAGAGAAACAGAGATTTTCTGCCAGCCCCATCCCTATTTCTTGGAAGTAATGCTGTTTCTTTGACCCTTGTTCTCTCTTGCAGTTCAAATGCAGCTTTTTTTACCAAAGTCACATTTGGAAAGTCATCCATCTGTAACAAGCAGTCAGGACTTTTGTTAATGTTTGCTATTTCAAAAGGTTTAGCTTGTCAAATCTTAAAAACTTCTCGGATATCAAAACCCCCCATCATTGTATGTTAGTTTCATTCATTCCAACATAGTTTCTACTAACAATGCAACACTTATTTGAAGCATTTTTGATAAAACACATCATGAGAAACTGAGGCAAAGACATTTCAAGAGCTTCTCGAAAGAAACAAGAATTGGAAGAAGCAAATATTTTCCGAAACATCATAAAGATTTGTGACTGTTTATCCTCCAAGAAACTCTTTTCTTTCTATGCATAATTGATTGATGTCCACTTACAAGAAGAAACTCAATGGAATTATTTAAAATACTAAATATAAGTGCTAAAGTATTGCATAGTTTCACATTCACATAGCCAACTACTCACTAGATAAACTCAAAAATCTTACAGTGTCTAAAACTCAATCTAGCTAAAGCTGAATTAATAATATGTCTCCTCACCACAAACAAAAATTATCTGTCTCAGCGAATGCATCACTTATTTCTTCTTACACTACCTGAAAACCTCAAAATTATATAGACCCAGTGAGTTTCTCATATTCATTTTTTTCATCTCACTGCCATGACCTTTGTGCAGGCCTCATATTCCATTTCTGTAATATTAAAAGAAATTAATAGTGTCCTTTTATGGGCTTAATTGTGTTTCCCCCAAATTCCTACTTTGAAGCCCCAAACCCCTAGTACTTGGAATGTGACTGTATTTGGAATACGGCCTGTAAAGAGGTAATTAAGTTAAAATAAGGTCTTTGAGGTTGGCCCTAATTCAATATGACTGATGTCCTAACAAGGAGATATTAGGACACACAAAGGGACATGTGAGGTCACAGCAAGAAGGGGGGCATGTGTAAGCCAAGGTGAGAGGCCTCAGGAGAAACCAAACCTGCCAACACCTTAGCCTCGAACTTCCAGTCAGAACTGTGAGAAATAAATTTCAGTGTAAGCCACCCAGACTCTGGTATTTTGCTATGGCAGCCCCAGCAAACTAACACATGTTGCAACTATTCTCTTTGGTGCTAGTTTGCCTCCCTCTAGTTTTCCCTCCACAGCACAAAAATAGTGGGGTGTTTGGTTTTGTTTTGTTTTTTTTTCCTGTCTAAACTTCATAACTAGCAGCTCCACATCCAAGCTTAAAACCCTCCAAAGACTCCCAAGTTCTTAGAACAGTGATGTCAAGTTTCATCAGATATGCAAACATCACTTGGTAGTGGTGCCAAGATACCCATGCTCAGAGGATTCAGAGAACACCATTGGACTTGGCAAGAAGAATGCCATAATGATTGACATGCAGGCTGTGCATGCGGATGAAGAATGTGATTGCATGCTTGCTTCCATTGCAATCTCCAGCTAGGGGCTAAAATATCTCCTTAGCTTGGCACACCAACACCTCCACCATCTGACCGTCTGAACCTCTACCACTCTTCTCATGCTTCCAGCTCTTGTACGCTACACTCTCACCCTAGTCACAGGTCTCTAGAATGTTATGTGATTCCGTGGTTCCATACTTCAGTGTCTGTTTCATTTCCTGATGGGAATATCTCTTCTGCATTACTCACCTTTTGTATATCTACTTCTATTTCTAACCCCAATTATGCAATTTTTTAAATAAAAAATATTTAATCACATCCAGCATGGAAAACTACTCTCACATTTTTGCCTTATTGTACTTCATCTACCCCAGCCCCAGAAACACTTTATTGTACTTCGTGTTTACATGGCTACCTTTACCACTAGACAGTGGCCTCCTTAAGATCAGGGATTGGGCCAGGCACAGTGGCTCTCGCCTGTAATCCCAGCACTTTGGGAGGCCGAGGTGGGCAGGTCACGAGGTCAAGAGATCAAGACCAGCCTGACCAACATGGTGAAACCCCGTCTCTACTAAAAATACAAAAATTAGCTGGGCGTGGTGGCGAGCGCCTGTAGTCCCAGCTACTCAGGAGGCTGAGGCAGGGGAATCGCTTGAAACCAGGAGGGAGAGGTTGCAGTGGGCTGAGATTGCTCACTGCACTCCAGCCTGGCAACAGAGCAAGATTCCATCTCAAAAAAAAACAAAAACAAAAAACAAACAAAAAAGATCAGAGAGATCATGTTTTATTCATCTCTATATTCTCATGTGCTCACATAATGTGTAGAGAATACATAAAATGAATGAAAGAATAACTGGATAAATGAACATGTAGCTTTGGGCTAAGTGAGTGAAAGTATTTCTGGTAAATGTCTGGTAAATATCTCCAAAAAATTCTTGTGATACCCATTCAGAAGGGTCTTCACACTTATGAAGTGCAAGAAAAGCTCTATAGATAAGTGGGTTTAATCCACAGCTAGAATACAGAAAATTCAAAATTAGGACTGCCATCCTTTGTCAAGATATACTCAAACGTAGTTGCATTCTTTGATCATAATGAGATGGAAATTTTAGAACCTCAAGAAAAAAGCGACCAATCAAAATGGTTTTTGTTAGTCCTGCATGACAGCTTTCTGCTGAAAGAGAATTCCTTCTAACATCCAAACAAAGTAGGAAATGTAGGCTTACTTTCCTCACTTGACTCTGTATGTGAACAATGAAGGGGCTAGTTTTAGACTAACTTCCTGGCATAACAAGGAGGCTGCTTCAAAAAGGAGAAGATATTCTAAACCATTGTATTACCTCCTCTGGGGCATGAACTGCCACATCCAGCCACGATATTATTACCTCATTTGGGGATCTGGCAAAAAAAAAAAAAAAAAAAAAAAAAAAACAATTTTTTTTTTTTTTTTTTTTTTTTGCAAAATGAGAATTTTCATGGAAGTTTCACCAACATGACATTTTCTTTTCTCTTATTATATTATGTATAATTTATCTTCTTGGAAAGAGGCCCAAATATCTTAGCAAACTTGCTTAATACTCAGTTTGTTATTTTTATATTCTTAAGAAAAATGAAGAGAGATTGTAACATGGTGATGTTAAAAACCTTCCTTGGGCAAACAAATCCTCTGATTTCTTCAAGTTTCACCTCCTAAATACACACACTGAAAGCAGCTACATAAGGTAATAGAGATAATGCTTTGCTATAAAGCTGTGTGTTTCCATTGCCTTCACTCCTATCTTTCTCCTTCCCATTCAAGCAGTGATGTTAGCTTCATATAAGTATTGTCCTCTGAGGGAGGGCAGACACCACCAAGGACCAAAATCCAAGTTCAGTTCTTAAATATATTTCTTAAAACCATAGCAGATAAAGTGTGAAGAGTATACACGTCATCTGGGTAATAGCTGGACTTTACTGAGAAAAAAGGAGGACTGATGGTTTCTCAGAGTTTCCAAAGATGGTATTAAATATCAATAACCAAGCTTAGAATACTGAGCAGACAGTGCACACTAGAAACCATACAGAAGAGTGCACAGTGAATGGAAAAATTATCTCCCCCACCCCAAAAGGTAATAAGTGCTCAACCGGTAGACTTCAAAAGAAAACTTCAGTGGGGAGGCTGAAATAAAGCAACTCGTGCTTGTATTATGAGCCACAGATCAGTTCCTTACCCAAACTCTTCTTAGACCCATAAATCAAAGATGGCGAAATGAGAGAGAAATCCAGTGTGGGTATGAGACATCCCAGAACAGTGGAGTTACTGCTGATTTCCCCAAAGCTTATCTCAGGCAGATTTCATATCTGCGAGCAAATCCCTGAGATGTGCATAGTGCTGGAGGCAACTGAATGTACAGGGAGCAACTTGATAATGACTGAAGCAAGTGTTCCAGCAGATTCTCTTGAAGGGAAAGAAACTCCAGAAAGTCCTTCATACCCCAGAGATGCACAGGACAGTAGCTGAGAATCCTGACCCTCCAGATAAGGGGCTCCGAGGACCATCAACTAGGAAAGTCCTGGGTTTGAACAACAAAATGCAGAGCATATGGGCCTCACAGCCAGAGCCACAGCAGAGTTCAGGCAGATCAAGCCATCCTGCCCTGGAAGCTACTGGGGTCAGAGGCAACCCAAGAAGCAACCAGACCCTACGCTTTCAATGCCCTGTGAGGAAACTGATCATGTCTTGGGACAAAGAAAAATGCTGAAATGGAGGGGCAAGTTTTTAAATTAACTGAACATTTACACAAAAGAGACAGGGGTTTAAAACTAAACAGATAGTGGAAACAGTTTAACTTTCAACAACAGTGTACATGTTGAGAGCAAATATAGACTAGTAGAGAAAATTGCCTTTTTGCACATCTGGGTTGATATTATAAGATTTAAGCAACTATAATATAAAATTCTATACACATAGGCAGTGAGAAAAAACTTTTATGGTCTGAAACAATTTTCATGCTATATGTCATAATAGAAGGTCTTCTAGAATCCATGTATGCCCAACAAAAGCCACTGAAGGGAAGCTTACCAGAGTGCCATCGAGTTCCTTCCCCTAAGGATCAGACTTCCAGACTCAAGGTACACCTTAGTTTTGTTTCTACTATACCTCTGCTCACTGATCCATTTGTGCTATTACGCCTGAAAGTAATCTGGAAACCTAATCAAAAGCCATCATTGTGCTCAGTGCTCTGAACGTCGAGGTAAACAAGGAAACAACAATGTTCTCAAGGACCTCAAAAATTGCCAGCAGCTACACACCCACCAGAATGATACAAAGGCAAAGGAGGGGCATATGAATCTGGTGAGATGTAAAACAACTGGAACTTCATTTAGTGCTGGCAGGGGTGGAAATAACCACCACTCTGGATATCTGTTTGGGAATGTTTACTCAAGATGAACTTTTCCAAACCCTTTGACCCAGCAATTCCACTCCAAAGTATGTACCCACCCAAAATATGTATGTATGTTTCTTCAAATGATCCACACGTGAGTGTTCAAAATAACATTACTCATAGTAGTGAAAAACAGCCTAAGTTCCCATAAAAAAAAAACAAAAACAAAAAAAAACAGCCTAAGTTCCCATAATGAAAAAACATTCAACAGTGAGGATGAATGAATTAAACTGAAATATAATAGTTATGAGTGGACCTTATAAACATGATGTTCAGTCTGGGATGCCAGACTCAAATGAGCACTAATAGTATAATTCCCTATTTGCAAACTGCACAAAAGGCAAAACAAATCTAGAAGACAGGAGAGTGACTAGAGGCTGAAAGGGGTCATGAGAGAGGCATACGGGTTTTACTTCTTGATCTTAGGGCTTTTACTCAGGTGTGTGTTCAGTTTGTAAAAATTCAGTGAGTTGTACATTTATGATAGACATACTTCTCTGTATAATACTTTACATTGTATTATATATTTCACTATATCAACATATATTTTATTATATTCCAGTGAAGTGTTTATAAAAATTAAAATTCCAAAAAACAAATATAAGTTAGTATAGAATCCCAGATCTATTTCCACCACTTATTAATGCAGAAACTGAGTTTGCTTCTCCCTGATATTTCCAAAGCTTCCAACTAAAACTGTCAAAGTTCTCTACAGCCAACCACATGAATATACAAAGGTTCTTGAAAGCAAAAATAGGCAGGAAATGTCAGAATACTCATATTGCGCTTCCTACCTTCCCGTTTTACTGAAAAGAACTTTGAGAACCCCAAACTGAATTTTTCCCTTTCCATCTCACAAGCTCTAAAATCATAGTCTGAAAAAGCATCATTTCAGAGAGAGACAGGCATACCAGCAGGTGCCATTTCTAATTCCTCCTGGCTACCGTCTGCATAGAGTGCTGAGGGATAAAAGCTGTGATGAGAGCATTCTTTCCACAATTTCATATTCATGGAATTTGTTGTTACTTAACTTTTCACAAATCGTTAGGCTGAAGTACCTCTCCATTTTTCCCCCAAATAGTGTCATTTGACCTGGTATCCAGCTTAATACAGCCTCTGCTTTTGAATAGATTTCCTTACAAGTGGCAATCTCTAATAGGGTCATGTCGAGAGGCAACCCGACTGCATACTACCTACTGCACGTTAACGTGATGAAGGTAATTTCAAATGGCATTCAATCAAAAAATCTGAAACTTTTATTAGTGAGGTTGGGGGCTTTCTCTGTTCAGATGAGGCTCATTGCAACTCAACTCCGATATTTTCAACTAAGATTTCAGAGGATGGAATTTTTTAAACTGTGCACGTACTCAATGGTCCACATTGCTTTACAGACCAAATAGTTGGCTGCGCTTTTAGAATATTGACTGCAAATTTCTTTTCTTCATCCAAAGAAATACAGCAGACCACTTGTCATTTAATCATCAATGCAGATGATCTCTGAATATGTGAGATAAATTACATGCTAAACCATGAAGATCAAAACATGTGTCTTGGTGGAAAATAACACTACCCCCTGGAATGCTGTAAAAATATGTGCTCATATTTTGTTACTGCATACCTCCTTTTTTCAGGATAGAACTGCTTGTGTGAGAAATTAGTTGCAGAAAGGGTTTGGAGGACTGGGATGGACCTGCTTGGCGTTTCCAATCTTTTCAAAGTCAAAAAGGATTTTGGGTAGAATCCAGACTTACTTGGAAAATATGCTGAAATAAACAAGCAATGATGCTATGTTTGAAGTAAGGGTGATGATGGCAAATATTTGCCTTCCCTGAGTACAATGAAGTTCAACCAAGCAGCAGTTACGTTTTAAGAAATTCGTGATCCTAAGTAGATTAGACAAAAACAAAAATGCTGTAAAATTGAAATTAGGTTATTATTCAGGCATTTTACAGATCAAGATCCCCTGAGAAGTGTGAGTCATTCTGAATTAAGTAGAGTAAGATCATTTAGATACTGGATTTAGTCTGTTTGTATCTTTACTCTTAAGTGACCTAGCACTGAGCCAGGTTGAGAAGACTTGCTAGAACTCAGGACAAGAATTCAGATTTCCAATGGTCTTGCTTCTACAACATCAATATCTTTTTAAAAATTTATTCTTTATTGATACATAATGGGTGTACATATTTTCAGGGTGTGTGATAATTTTATATATTTATATAATGTGTAAAGATCAAATCAAGGTAATTGAGATACTCATCACCTTAAATATTTATCTTTTCTTTATACTACAAACATTCAGGTACTCCCCTTCAGTTATTTAGAAATGTACAATATATTGCTGTAAACTATAGCCACCCTTCCCAGTATAGGAAGAAAGGATAGTGACATCATACACCCTCAGTACGATTTTAACCCCTGGTGGGTTCCTACTACAGTTTTTATGTTCGCTGAATATTCTGCCAAATGTTGACTCTGTTTTCTTGTGAGCTAAGCCGTGTGGAGCTAAGATGCAGCTCATCTCACCTTTAGACTTTATTCTTCAGACATTCATATATATTTGTCTTCCTAGTTCTTTTTATTATAAAATATTGTTAAAAATTGAGTAACTGGGGGAAAATGTGAAATTTTTTCTTCCATTTTCAACAAACAAAACATTTATCATCATTTTGGTACCTGCCTTATCATTACTTTTCATATGCATGTATAATTTTACATTATAGTAATTACATAAATTATATAAAATTGTATCCAATATGCAGATATATATTTAAGGGCATTTCTAGACTATGCAAAAACATGGAAGCTTAACACTGAAATCTCAACAATGGCCCCTAAATTTTGTAGGCTTGGTATGATAATATACTGGAACCCTTATTCTTTTTTTTTTTCTTTTTTGCTTTTTTTTTTTATTATACTTTAAGTTTTAGGGTACATGTGCATATTGTGCAGGTTAGTTACATATGTATACATGTGCCATGCTGGTGCGCTGCACCCACTAACTGGTCATCTAGCATTAGGTATATCTCCCAATGCTATCCCTCCCACCTCCCCCCACCCCACCACAGTCCCCAGAGTGTGATATTCCCCTTCCTGTGTCCATGAGATCTCACTGTTCAATTCCCACCTATGAGTGAGAATATGCGGTGTTTGGTTTTTTGTTCTTGCGATAGTTTACTGAGAATGATGATTTCCAATTTCATCCATGTCCCTACAAAGGACATGAACTCATCATTTTTTATGGCTGCATAGTATTCCATGGTGTATATGTGCCACATTTTCTTAATCCAGTCTATCATTGTTGGACATTTGGGTTGGTTCCAAGTCTTTGCTATTGTGAATAATGCCGCAATAAACATACGTGTGCATGTGTCTTTATAGCAGCATGATTTATAGTCCTCTGGGTATATACCCAGTAATGGGATGGCTGGGTCAAATGGTATTTCTAGTTCTAGATCCCTGAGGAATCTCCACACTGACTTCCACAATGGTTGAACTAGTTTACAATCCCACCAACAGTGTAAAAGTGTTCCTATTTCTCCACATCCTTTCCAGCACCTGTTGTTTCCTGACTTTTTAATGATTGCCATTCTAACTGGTGTGAGACAGTATCTCATTGTGGTTTTGATTTGCATTTCTCTGGTAGCCAGTGATGATGAGCATTTTTTCATGTGTCTTTTGGCTGCATAAATGTCTTCTTTTGAGAAGTGTCTGTTCATGTCCTTCGCCCACTTTTTGATGGGGTTGTTTGTTTTTTTCTTGTAAATTTGAGTTCATTGTAGATTCTGGATATTAGCCCTTTGTCAGATGAGTAGGTTGCAAAAATTTTCTCCCATTTTGTAGGTTGCCTGTTCACTCTGACGGTAGTTTCTTTTGCTGTGCAGAAGCTCTTTAGATTAATAAGATCCCATTTGTCAATTTTGTCTTTTGTTGCCATTGCTTTTGGTGTTTTGGACATGAAGTCCTTGCCCATGCCTATGTCCTGAATGGTGATGCCTAGGTTTTATTCTAGGGTTTTTATGGTTTTAGGTTTAATGTTTAAGTCTTTAATCCATCTTGAATTGATTTTTGTATAAGATGTAAGGAAGGGATCCAGTTTCAGCTTTCTACATATGGCTAGCCAGTTTTCCCAGCACCATTTATTGAATAGGGAATCCTTTCCCCATTGCTTGTTTTTGTCAGGTTTGTCAAAGATCAGATAGTTGTAGATATGCGGCGTTATTTCTGAGGGCTCTGTTCTGTTCCATTGATGTATATCTCTGTTTTGGTACCAGTACCATGCTGTTTTGGTTACTGTAGCCTTGTAGTATAGTTTGAAGTCAGGTAGTGTGATGCCTCCAGCTTTGTTCTTTTGGCTTAGGATTGCCTTGGCGATGCAGGCTCTTTTTTGGTTCCATATGAATTTTAAAGTAGTTTTTTCCAATTGTGTGAAGAAAGGCATTGGTAGCTTTATGGGGATGGCATTGAATCTGTAAATTACCTTGGGCAGTATGGTCATTTTCACGATATTGATTCTTCCTACCCATAAGCATGGAATGTTCTTCCATTTGTTTGTATCCTCTTTTATTTCCTTAGCAGTGGTTTGTAGTTCTCCTTGAAGAGGTCCTTCACATCCCTTGTAAGTTGGATTCCTAGGTATTTTATTCTCTTTGAAGCAATTGTGAATGGGAGTTCACTCATGATTTGGCTCTCTGTTTGTCTATTATTGGTGTATAAGAATGCTTGTGATTTTTGTACATTGATTTTGTATCCTGAGACTTTGCTGAAGTTGCTTATCAGCTTAAGGAGATTTTGGGCTGAGACAATGGGGTTTTCTGGATATACAATCATGTCATCTGCAAACAGGGACAATTTGACTTCCTCTTTTCCTAATTGAATACCCTTTATTTCCTTCTCCTGCCTAATTGCTCTGGCCAGAACTTCCAACACTATGTTGAATAGGAGTGGTGAGAGAGGGCATCCCTGTCTTGTGCCACTTTTCAAAGGGAATGCTTCCAGTTTTTGCCCATTCAGCATGATATTGGCTGTGGGTTTGTCATAGATAGCTCTTATTATTTCGAAATATGTCCCATCAATACCTTATTTATTGAGAGTTTTTAGCATGAAGGGTTGTTGAATTTTGCCAAAGGCTTTTTCTGCATCTATTGAGATAATCATGTGGTTTTTGTCTTTGGCTCTGTTTATATGCTGGATTACATTTATTGATTTGCGTATGTTGAACCAGCCTTGCATCCCAGGGATGAAGCCCACTTGATCATGGTGGATAAGCTTTTTGATGTGCTGCTAGATTCGTTTTGCCAGTATTTTATTGAGGATTTTTGCATCAATGTTCATCAAGGATATTGGTCTAAAATTCTCTTTTTTGGTTGTGTCTCTGCCCGGCTTTGGTATCAGAATTATGCTGGCCTCATAAAATGAGTTAGGGAGGATTCCCTCTTTTTCTGTTGATTGGAATAGTTTCAGAAGGAATGGTACCAGTTCCTCCATGTACCTCTGATAGAATTCGGCTGTGAATCCATCTGGTCCTGGACTCTTTTTGGTTGGTAAACTATTGATTATTGCCACAATTTCAGCTCCTGTTATTGGTCTATTCAGAGATTCAACTTCTTCCTGGTTTAGTCTTGGGAGAGTGTATGTGTGGAGGAATTTATCCATTTCTTCTAGATTTTCTAGTTTATTTGCATAGAGGTGTTTGTAGTATTCTCTGATGGTAGTTTGTATTTCTATGGGATCGGTGGTGATATCCCCTTTATCATTTTTTATTGTGTCCATTTGATTCTTCTCTCTTTTTTTCTTTATTAGTCTTGCTAGCGGTCTATCACTTTTGTTGATCCTTTCAAAAAACCAGCTCCTGGATTCATTAATTTTTTGAAGGGTTTTTTGTGTCTCTATTTCCTTCAGTTCTGCTCTGATTTTAGTTATTTCTTGCCTTCTGCTAGCTTTTGAATATGTTTGCTCTTGCTTTTCTAGTTCTTTTAATTGTGATGTTAGGGTGTCAATTTTGGATGTTTCCTGCTTTCTCTTGTGGGCATTTAGTGCTATAAATTTCCCTCTACACACTGCTTTGAATGAGTCACAGAGATTCTGGTATGTTGTGTCTTTGTTCTCGTTGGTTTCAAAGAACATCTTTATTTCTGCCTTCATTTCGTTATGTACCCAGTAGTCATTCAGGAGCAGGTTGTTCAGTTTCCATGTAGTTGAGCGGTTTTGAGTGAGATTCTTAATCCTGAGTTCTAGTTTGATTGCACTGTGGTCTGAGAGATAGTTTGTTATAATTTCTGTTCTTTTACATTTGCTGAGGAGAGCTTTACTTCCAACTATGTGGTCAATTTTGGAATAGGTGTGGTGTGGTGCTGAAAAAAATGTATATTCTGTTGATTTGGGGTGGAGAGTTCTGTAGACGTCTATTAGGTCCGCTTGGTGCAGAGCTAAGTTCAATTCCTGGGTATCCTTGTTGACTTTCTGTCTCGTTGATCTGTCTAATGTTGACAGTGGGGTGTTAAAGTCTCCCATTATTAATGTGTGGGAGTCTAAGTCTCTTTGTAGGTCACTCAGGACTTGCTTTATGAATCTGGGTTCTCCTGTATTGGGTGCATATATATTTAGGATAGTTAGCTCTTCTTGTTGAATTGATCCCTTTACCATTATGTAATGGCCTTCTTTGTCTCTTTGGATCTTTGTCAGTTTAAAGTCTGTTTTATCAGAGACTAGGATTGCAACCCCTGCCGTTTTTTGTTTTCCATTTGCTTGGTAGATCTTCCTCCATCCTTTTATTTTGAGCCTATGCGTGTCTCTGCACGTGAGATGGGTTTCCTGAATACAGCACACTGATGGATCTTGACTCTTTATCCAATTTGCCAGTCTGTGTCTTTTAATTGGAGCATTTAGTCCATTTACATTTAAAGTTAATATTGTTATGTGTGAATTTGATCCTGTCATGATGATGTTAGCTGGTTATTTTGCTCGTTAGTTGATGCAGTTTCTTCCTAGTCTCGATGGTCTTTACATTTTGGCATGTGGAACCCTTAATGAGCCTGTAATCATTGGCTTTCAAGCCTTGGTACAAAATATCTCCATGGCCCTTTCTCCCTTAGTTGAATTCAAGAAGCAGATAGACATTTGAAGAAAGCAACTCCAAAAGGCATAGCCTGGCTAAAAAATAGGTGCCAGACAGCTTTTCCCTGTTTGTCCTGCCAATTTTTCTTCTTTACATATAGAGGAATAATACTGGACCAGGAATATTCAGTTTTCCCTTCTGGGGGATTTATTCATTCCTGAGCTCTGAGCACATACTGTTCTGGAATGCCTACTTTGCTGAAAGCAATTCCCTCCCTCTTCCTAACCTACTGTATTTAGCCAGTTTTGCATCACTAATGAAGAAATACCTGAGGCTGGGTAATTTATGAAGAAAAGAGATTTATTTGGTTCACGGTTTTGTAGGTTGTACAAGAAGTATGGCGCCAGCATCTGCTCCTGGTCAGGACCTCAGGAAGCTTTAAATCATGGTGGAAGGGGAAGGGCGAGCAGATGTGTCATATGGTGAGGTGGGAGGAAGCAAGAGAGAGGAGGAGGTGACAAGCTATTTATTTATTTATTTATTTATATTTTATGGTTTTTTTTTAGACAGAGTCTTGCTCTGTCACCCAGGCTGGAGTGCAGTGGTGCCATGTCGGCTCATTGCAACCTCTGCCTCCAAAGTTCAAGACATTCTTGTGCCTCAGCCTCCCGAGTAGCTGGGACTACAGGTGTGTGCCACCACGTCTGGCTAATTTTTTGTATATTCAGTAGAGCCAGGGTTTCACCATGTTGGTCAGGCCGGTCTTGAACTCCTGACCTCAGGTGATCCACCCACCTCCGCCTCCCCAAATGCTGGGATGACAGGCGTGAGCCACCATGCCTGGCCTTAAGCTCTTTTGAACAACCAGCTCTCCCATGAATTAATAGAGTAACAATGCACTCATTACCACAGGGAGAGCACTAAGGGATTCATGAGGGATCTGCCCCCATGGCCTGAACCCCTCCCACTGGGCTCCACCTCCCACATTAGGGGTCAAATTTCAACAAGAGATTTGGAAGAGACAAATATTCAAACCATATCACTACCTTTGATTTTCCCCCTGCAAAGCCCAAAAATCACACACACACAAAAATGGTGAGGGTTCAATAGGGAAGGAATAAAGGAACAAGGAGGCCGGGACAAGAGGTCAGTACTGAGAAAGTCCAGCCTGGAAATTTTTGAGTCTTGGGAAAACTCGCCTTTATATTCAAGAATAAAATTACCCCCATTTATTTAAGTAGGTCTTGCCTTAACGGAAAGGGAGTCTATCTTCTCAAATAAGTGGGCTGAGCCAGCAGCTCATTTCTATCTTGTGTTTTTTAATTGAAAATTATTATTAGTATCACTTGATTTACTTTTACTGTTCATAACCAACATCGTGAAAAAGCTCAAATTTGAACAGTTAATGGAAATAATTAGGAAACGACTTCAGATATTTTTTAAGTTGCTTGCACCCTATTAAGCAAGTAGTAATATTGTGAAATATTGGAGTCTATCACTGTTGTTTGTTTAATAGACCATGCCTCCATTTTGTTTTACTGTTTATGCAGAACATTTTGACTTTCAGAGAGAAGAGATTTTCACAAATGCTATTTAAAATGCTTTGTAAGGAGAGTTTCTTTGGAGCTGCCACACCAAAAGTTTGATTTGGAGAGTCAGTTAAGTATGCCTGGAAGAAACTAAAATAAGTATTGCTGTCACTCCAAGCATGGCAATGGTCTCTAGAGGAAAATCCCTTAAGAAGATGAATTTTAAAATAATTAAGCCAGTTGTGTAATGGAAATAAAAAAAAATTTGCCCAGGGTCAAAATATCTTTTTTTTCCAAAATAATATGTCATGTGTCAAATGACTCTAAGCCTTATTTTTAACATATTTCTTTCTTTTGTCCCCCAGGCTGGAGTGCAATGGTGCTAACTCGGCTCACTGCAACTTCTGCCTCCTGGGTTCAAGCGATTCTCCTGCCTCAGCCTCCCAAGTAGCTGGGATTACAGGCGCCTGCCACCACGCCCGGCTAATCTTTGTATTTTTAGTAGAGACGGGGTTTCACCATGTTGGCCAGGCTGGTCTGGAACTCCTGACCTTGTGATCCACCTGCCTTGGCCCCCCAAAGTGCTGGGATTACAGGTGAGAGGCACTGCGCCCAACCTGCATATATTTTTATATGATGTCTGTTTCAGTGTAAAGACCATGTGAAAGCTCAAAGCACTTGGAAATTTTCTCATTGGATGTCTTCACATATTATTTTGTAAAGCCAAGAAGTAAATAACATGGCTGAGATGATGAAATTTTGAGGTCAATTAATTGTTCCCAGATCTCACAGCAAAATCATAACAGAATTGACTTTGCCTCAAACCTCAGTTTTCTTTTGCCCATCCTGTGTTACCGCTGGGGACCTGCAATAAAATCTTAGGTATTTAAGGTGGGTAGCATTTCTCCTACGTACTAACCAGTGGTGCCCACAATGCTCACCCCATTCTCATGCCTACAATAAAAAAGAACTGACAGTATTATCATCCTATCAGCATAAAAGGATCAAGAAATTTTTTTTCATATTTTACCTCACTGAATCACCAAAAAACTCTATAGTAGGAATTATGATCCCCTTCTTATAAGTGAGCTAACTGAGGGTGAAGTGTAGAATAACCTAATGTGATTAAAAATTACTGGGCAAGAATTCAAATATTTGCCTGATTCAAAACCTGTGCTCCCTCACCAGGCTATGGAAAGAAGCTTATTATCTTCCCTTTGCCAAAGAAATGTTTACAATACTTGCAGAATTACTCACAGGGGATCTCACGCCATATGGAAATTTCCCAGCAAGGTGGTTCCACATTTGCTTCCATGGCCTCAAGCTTTAGGACACATTCACTCTCATTAGGAAGAAAGAGATCTCTGTAAGTTGGTGTGGGGGATTTGTGGGTGCTACTTACAGAACTTATATTCTTCCTCTTCTAAGTGTTCTAAACAATTAATAGGAGGATTAAGATATAACATCATCTTCATTATCTGTTGTTTACATTGCCAAGTGCGAATCCATTATCTATTGTCTTCATTCTTCCTAACAGAACCCCAGTTTTGTTCAGTTATCTATGTCTCCTTTGCTACCAAAATCCATAGTTTCTACATCAACTGGCTTTATGGTCCTCCATTAAGACTTCAGTGCTGTGCAACTATTGAAACTGAAGCCAGTTTTCCACACCAACTTCCACTGAGTATGTTGTTAAGGTGAACTTGCTGCCTTTTTAAGCTTCAGATAAGGCTCCAAATGCCTCTTGGGGCTAAGTGCTGGTTGTGAGCCAAACAGAAATCAGAAATAGAAATGGTTCTCTATGCTACATTCAGACTTTGTGATTATTAGTTGCAATCCAGGATTCAGGAGAAAAGGCCAGGGCACAAGATGGTCAGGATGGGAACGTCTTGATACAGGAGAGGGAACATTATCCCTGGGATGGAGAGAACAGGAGATGCCTTTGAAAAAAAATCACTGGGATTTACCAATATTGAAGGCAGAAGAGCTGTATGGTATAACTGAAAAATACTGTGAAATTAGGCTTCAAATGACCTGAGGCAGAGTCCTAGGTATGCCATTTTCTGGTTGTGCAACTTAGGTACATTACTTTTCCTGACCCTCAGTCTTTGAAAGTGTTAATTAAGATTATCAATATTCAGCAGGATCATGAGACAGCCTAGATGGTCAATCATCTTCCATTCAAGTTCTGTTTTGTCTGTATCCCTTTTATCTCCTATTTTGACACCAGTGACCTTATACTTATGTTCATCATAAGTGTCATCTGGACCAGGGCTTCCATAGATTCATGGGCCACCACCCCCTGGAAGCCCCTGAGCCTGGAAAGTTAGACATGGCAATAACAACCCCACATATACCATTCATGTTCTGTTTTAGCTTATAAAATGCATTCACATACATTCTCATTTGGTCAACATAATAATCCCATGGGACCAGTAGTATTAAGACTTCCATTTTATAGATTATGATAAATTAGACTTAGAACATAGAAGCAATTTTCCCAAAGCCACTAGGCTAGGAAGTGGCAGAACAGGATAAAAATCCAGCCTGTTTGACAAAAATCCTCTGTTCTTCATGGTAGCTTAGAAGTGAAGATCAACATTATGGAACCAGGTTCTGTAGTACATGCTACTGATGCCTTGGTTTGATTTATTGTACCTGGCTGGCATCCCCACTCTCTCTCCTTCTGTGAGGGTTGGCTGCAACAGCTCAAAACCTTGTCCAGGTAACAGGTCTCCACAAAGTAAGCTACCTCCCACTGGAACATACCTGTGAGATTATGTCTTCTACTTCAGGGGCAGTCAACGGCCCACCAGAGATAGATTCTGGGGTACAAATTTCTGCCCCCATGCCTTAAGGTGGGACTACTCTGTACGGTTACTTACATTCCAGAGCTCCTTGTAGGATCAGACTGAGGCTAGACTTTAATTGAACTTCAACTGAATAATTGCCTAATTTATTCCACTTCTTTACCTTTCTTGGCTCACTCCCTCACAGGTCTCTCCTGAGCACACGGCTTCATAAACCAGCTGCACAAGCAACTGCATCTGGGGATCTGCTTCAAGAGAAACTTAACTAAAGCAAGAATGGGCTCTAACTTCAGGATACCTAGGATTCTAACCTCGTTCCATTACTTACCAACGATATGACCTGGGAAAAATTATATACCTGCTGTAAGCCTCAATGTCCTCATTTGAAATACACACATAATAGTAGGATCTCTCTTACAAGGTTGCTGAAAATATAAACAGTGGTTATCAATGGAAAAAGCTTCTCTCAGTGCTTGGCAAATAGGAAGCACTTAATAAGTGTTTTCCGGTATTTTTATGATTATCATCATTACTATAATTCCCAAGGCACCCAAAACCCATGCTAGTCCTCTGGAGACATGATTTCTCCAGCTCAATTCAACTAGGCTGCTGGCTGCTGAGAATAATAGAAGAGCTGCATTTTTAGAGACGGCAGCCAGGAGCTTGTGATAGAATGGGGAGAAACAGAATTCGAATGAGCAGAATCAGGAAGTCTGGATATTTCTGGATGTTTTCTGCTCATTCAAATAAATTTTGTAGACGTTTACAGAGTTCCATGTGCCAGGAACTGTGGTAGGTTCTAGATATCCAAGAGGAAATGTATTTTATTCTTTGCAAGGGGGGTTCATTTTGTGATGTAATAGTAACTCCCTCAAGTATTGGATACATAAAAGTATAAATGCTGGTTGTTAAATTATGACACACTGGAAATTCTCAGGTAAGTTTCTAGGAAGTGAAATAAATAGGCTTGGGGATACATCTAGTTGTAATATAATTAAGTTAGTTATATAAGCTTTTAATGGATTATATTTTTGTAAGTACCAATACTTGTAAAATTTTTGCTTTTAGCAAATTAGGTACCATTTGAATACACTGGCTGATGCTTAATAAGAATTAGAACTACATTTTGCTTGTTGTGTAAGTAAATATCACGTTACATGCTTGTTTAATGTTTGTGAAAACCATTCCAAACAATCTCTTTAGAATAAGAGTCTAATTACACATTTATCATTAAAATTACAGTGAGCTAATTGCCTTGGAGATATCTTTATCTCTCTTACAGCTTGCTTAATCCTAATGCATGTTTTAAATAATCATTTGTTATTTAATTAACTAATTAACAAACAATAACTGTCCTATGGAAAATCCTAAATTAAACACTTGAGACTTTTTAATTGAATGCTCAATAACCCAATATGGCACTTAATATTAGACCTTTTAAATATTGCAAAGATTCTATTGAATCACATATTAGTTTGCTCCTGTTATCTTTGGGGCTTAATTGGTAGAAACATAAACGGGCAGTTGATAATACACAAGGGGTAGCCAGCAAAGCAAGGCTCTCATGAAATAGAAAATATCCATTAATGGCTGCCAAGCAGCAAAGTGGGCCAGCCATACTGGCCAGCAACAAAGGCAGGCCATTCATTTAGGATACTCATGTCCTTGCCCCATGACATTAAAAAGCACAGTTTTAAAGATAAACACAAATAGGCCCAAAAGTCCATAGTCTGTGACGCAAAGCTGCTTTGAGCACACCTGGAGGATGGTATTTCCTCCTATGGTAATAGCAGTGGTAGATGGACTCAAGAGTATTCCTTTGTATCATATCCCCCCAGAATGATTGTTTTCCAAGTCTCCAGTCTAGCCCCCTCCATTTCAACTTTGAAAATGCTGCTAGAAAGAATTTCCTAAAAAGCGGATCTAATTATCAACTTCTTGTTATCACTTTCCCGTCACTTTCCAAGGGTTGCTTTCTAACCTCTTTGGTGTTTGCAGCTTACCATATTCTGAGCCCTGGTTTCCTAATGATTTCCTGACATCTCCAGCCATTTCTCCCTGTACCTTTTATTCCATTAGTGTCATTACCTTAAGTTTTCATGCTCATCTATTTTGTATATTACGTGCTCCTCTCTCTGGCTGTCCTACTTTTTTTTCATGGGTATATTCTTCAAAGAATTCTCTGCTCTTGAAACCAGGAGTCAGACGTACCGCCATCTTTTTCTATGTTTCCTTAATTATCTCCATTATATAGTATGTACTAAATTGTATTATAATTTTTTATATGTCTATCTCCCAGTTTAGACTATGGATATTAGAATTTACTTTCTCCTATCTTCAGTTTTTACATATGTAAAGTGGGTGGAATAATTGTACTTCACTGATAAGATTATTGAGACTTATATGGCATACTGCATATAAAATGCCAATAACAATGCCTGACATATGGTAAATTCTAAATCATTGTGAGTTTACTTTAATGTTCTTACGTATTCTATTTAATATTGTATTTCTTGTGTCCAATACAGTTTATGGCCATTGTATACATATGCACTAAGTAAATGTTACTAAATGGCTGGCTGCATGAGTGACTGCATGAATAAATAACTGTATGAATAGCTTGAAGCAGAAAGAGAAAGTCTTCAGGGTAATATGGAAGTTTTTATGTATTTATAAAATTATGTCCTGTAGCAAAGGGATCAGAATGTTTCCATGAGACTGTAGAGGGAGATCCCTGACCATAAAGTAAATCAATAGAGAAAAGGAGGTTGGTTCAATAAAATTTTCTAAAAATTGGTATATATTCAAAATAGAGTGGGCTTTCTATGAGTTTCCTTTATTTTGTGTGTTCAAGCAGAGACTGAACAATAAAATTGTTGAGGTGCTATAGAGCTTTAGGGCTGGATTATGTAACATCAAATGCTCTTTTATCTTTAATCAGTATATGACTCTATTTAGAGTTTTTAGATACTATATATATATATATATATATATATATATTTTTTTTTTTTTTTTTTTTTTTTTTTTTGAGACAGAGTCTTGCTCTGTCTCGCAGGCTGGAGCGCCATGCCGCAATCTCGGCTCATTGCAACCTCTACCTCCTGGGTTACATATTTTACAATAGTGCATGTTTTCACTGTTCTATTGGATATAGAATTTTTTCATCCATCCTCTACTCTGTTCAATGTTTAAACATATTAAAACATTGCTAACATTCCAAAGAACCTCTTTTTAAATTTGCTCAGTGACTCATTTCAATGAGTAATAGCTACAGTGACACCAGACTTATGCCTTCCTTGCGTGCTCTGTAGATAAGAAATTCCTGGGAAGAGTCTGAGCTTCTTGGCTTTGTAAAGCAAGCGACAGAAATGATGCATTCCAAGACATTGCCTTTGAGCCCATCTTTTCCCTTGCAAAATATTTCCAATGACTGTTTTCAAGTTTTAATATTGAAGTTTGCATTACTGGGCAATTTTTGATATTGCAGTTTGCATCATTGGGCATTTTTTTTTACCCAGCAAGTGAAATTCAAAATCTCCCAAGTTTGGTACAGTAATAATTTGAAGCAACTGCTCTAACTTTATGCTGAATTATTGACTAATAGGTTAGAAAATCTTATCAGTTGGAAATGTCATGCTTGGAAAGTGATGTACAGAGTAAGTTAAGTAAGTGAAAATCATCCACCCCCACCTTGAAAGCTTTAGGGGAGATAGAGTTCTGAGAAAGGCTGTTCATATAGGGCTTTCTCCAGGCAGCACCATGTCCTAATCTGACATTCTCTACTTTGTATTACTTATCACTACCTACAAGATAAATGCTAAAGTCATCACCTTTCAGAAGAAGCAGTAGTTTCCCTCCCTCCCAATAGCTCAACACTTATTTATAAAAATAAAAGCCCTGGAGACAGTCTGAACTTATTTCAAATTAATATTATACAGCAAAGTTTTACTGCAACTGTTCATAATTTACCTGTCAGAGATTGTGAAAGACATCATTATAATTCCAATCAAAGAATTTTCTTTTGCTTGTGTGTAGAATGATTTCTTCTAGTTTCAATAATGTTTTTGTTAAATCACACAGGGTGAGAAATAATAATAGGATATCGCTTAATTGAATATGTCACCATGACAGGAGGCACAATACTCCATTTTAAACACAACAGTTGCTTGCTGGCTACCAAGTTGGATTGATTGCCCTCATTATGTACATAGCCTGCATTTCCCTTTGCCTGCTCCACCCTCTCCAGCGCCCAGCTCCACTGAGCTGTTGAAATCCTGTATTTCAAATTAGCTGTGAACTTGCTCTTCTTAAGCATTGCTGCATTTGCATTGTGTTGGTACTATTTCAAATGCTGAGAGATTGGACAAAGTTCTGAACATTTACATTGAAAGCTATTTTTTAAATAATTTAGCATAAGAATCACAGCCTTTTCACCAAGGTAGCAATTAAGTCATCACCACTACTGGCCCTATAAAAATTGATTAGGGCTGTTTTTATCACCCATACTTTCTCAACTGCTTTCCTCTACAATCTGACACCCAAGTCAGAAATCACACAGGGAAAACTAGTACCAGGAAAAGAGAGAAAAGGTCATTAAATAAAACTTGTATTACGCTAATATTAACCCTGCAGAAAATGACCAGGCAGGTAATGTTTCAGGTACCCATGTAATTATCATTGCTGAAGACATTTGTCCAATCAAACATATTTTTCCTATTCAACTGGGAAAAATATACCAACTTGTACTTCAGAGATATCTCATATTTCAGGACAGCTCAGGTGGGAAAACCTTTCCTTGCCTGTTTTAAAAAATACTTAATTTACTTACGAGTAATATTTATACATATAGCATTTCTGACATGTCACGTCTCCCATCTCCCAATTATCTGTCCTTCTTTCTCTTGCATGGATGTCTCCATCCTATGATTTAACAAACTTCTACTGTAAATCCTGCTTATTATCCTGGCAGGTGTTTTGCTCTTCATAGTCCATGACTTCAACTCTCCATTTTTTAAGCTAAGTTCTATGGCTTGCAGGCAGCAGTCAGCAAAGAACATCAGCTGAGGCAGGCCTAGAACTTGGTCCTCATGCTTGGGTAACTTGCAGACATAGCTCCAACTCCGGCCTGACATTTACAAACAATTTCCTTGCAGTGTTGGTGCAGTTATGGGAGGGCTGGGTTCTACTTGCAGAGTGTTTAGGATTGTTAATGGCTTGCATTTTGCCACTGAATAAAATTAGACTGTCCCATTGCTTGAGAATACTTCTTTTTTTTTATTTTTATTTTTAAGCTAATATATTTTTTTTATAGTTTAAGTTCTAGGGTACATGTGCACATTGTGCAGGTTAGTTACATATGTATATATGTGCCATGCTGGTGCTCTGCACCCACTAACTCGTCATCTAGCATTAGGTATATCTCCCAATGCTATCCCTCCCACCTCCCCCCACCCCACCACAGTCCCCAGAGTGTGATATTCCCCTTCCTGTGTCCATGTGATCTCATTGTTCAATTCCCACCTATGAGTGAGAATATGCGGTGTTTGGTTTTTTGTTCTTGCGATAGTTTACTGAGAATGATGATTTCCAATTTCATCCATGTCCCTACAAAGGACATGAACTCATCATTTTTTATGGCTGCATAGTATTCCATGGTGTATATGTGCCACATATTCTTAATCCAGTCTATCATTGTTGGACATTTGGGTTGGTTCCAAGTCTTTGCTATTGTGAATAGTGCCGCAATAAACATACGTGTGCATGTGTCTTTATAGCAGCATGATTTATAGTCCTTTGGGTATATACCCAGTAATGGGATGGCTGGGTCAAATGGTATTTCTAGTTCTAGATCCCTGAGGAATCGCCACATTGACTTCCACAATGGTTGAACTAGTTTACAGTCCCACCAACGGATAGCAGCTATCACTTGGCTGGACAGCAATCATTCATATAGAATCACTGTAGTTGTTTTATTTATATTGTATATTTTAATCCTTATTACAACCTTGCAAAGTACATATTGTTAACCTCATTTTTCAGATTGGGAAACTGAGACTCAGAGATGAAAGATCATTTTCCCAAATACTCTAAAGCAGGAGGAAATGACCTTTAATCTACAACTGCACAACTCAGCGCTTCTCAAAATATAATGAGCATAGGAATCAGCTGGAGATTTTGCTGAAAGGCAGATTTTGAAAGTCTGGGGCGAGGCCTGAGATTTTGCATTCCCCAGTGATGTCTTGCTGCTGGTCCCTAGACCACACTTTGCTTAGCAAGGGTATAGGTTAGCTTTTATTAATAAAGGAAAACCTCTAGTGATGAATACCAGAAGAACGGTGAAGGGATGCCATGCATTGGCCCAGTGGACACGTAAAATCTTGAATCTCTGTTGCCAAACAAGGTACAGGTGGGTTGTGCTGGGAATCATGCCAGCCTCCCTGTCCGACAGACATTTTGCTCTCTGCCAGCAAGTTCCTTGGCTGAAATGGGAGATGCACATTTTTCTGGCCAGAATTTGAGATTTGTTCTCTTTATTTTTGTCCCCGGGAATGCCTTACAAGTCCCTTTTCTGCTTACAGATAACACAATATTTTAAAGTTAGTTATTATATAAAGAAGCTATAACAGAGAAAGTACTGTCCTTGAAGTCAAAAGACCTAGGTCTCCCTCTCATTTATGACATTTTCTAACTGTGCAATACATACTTGCACCAAACCTCTCTGGAATCAGTTTCTTCATTTGTAAAGTTGGAGTGAGAAACCTTATTTCATTTAGTGGTAGGTTTGTGGATACTTTTTACATTATTAAAAATTAATTAATTAAATAAAAGTGTGCCACGTGGACAAAACCACTTGGGGAAACATTTTGACAGTATCTATGGGCCAGGTACGGTGGCTCACTCCTGCATTCCCAGCACTTTAGGAGGCCAAGGCGGGTGGATCACCTGAGGTCAGGAGTTCAAGACCAGCCTGGCCAACATGGTGAAATTCTGTCTCTACTGAAAATACAAAAATTAGCCAGGGGTAGTGGCAGGTGCCTGTAATCCCAGCTACTTGGGAAGCTGAGGCAGGAGAATCACTTGAACCCAGGAGGCAGAGGTTGCAGCGAGCCGAGATGGCGCCACTGCACTCCAGCCTGGGTAACAGACTGAGACTCTGCCTCAAAAAAAAAAAAAAAAAAAAGAGACAGTAGCTATGAAAGCTAAACCTGTGCCTCATGCCATATGCCCCAAGAACTCCACCCCTGTGTATATTCTTAAGAAAAAATGAGTGCTTATCATGTTCAAGAACCTCCACAGATGCTTCATTCACAGTAGCCAAAACAATGGAAACAACCCAACGCCCACCAGTATCCAAATGTTACCACACAGCAGTAAAATAAAACACACCCCCGCTCCATGCAATGACTTGGATTGTGCACATAAGTTAAGCAAAGAAAAAGCCTGGCTCGTAAGAGTATTTACTATATAATTCAATTTATACAAAGTTTAATTGTATACAAACATTAATTCACAATTAAACTTTGTATACAATTATACAAAGTTTGATTATATAATAAACAATTATACAAATTATACATATTAATTAAACAATTATACAAAGTTTAATTCACAATTTAATTGTATACAAAGTTTAATTCACAAAAAATGTGAATTGTATGCACATAAGTTAAGCAAAAAAAAAGCCTGGCTCAAAAGAGTATGTACTATATAATTCAATTTATACAAAGTTTAAGAAAACTTGAGACTAATGTGTGTTGACAGAAGTCAGAACAGTGGTTATTCCTGAGTATTGATGGAGAAAGGCATGAAGGAACGTTATGAGGTGTTTAGAAACATTCTGCACCTTGATCTGTATGGTGGTTCTAAGAGTGTATACATATATAAAGTTAATCAAGTCTACACTTATGATTTGTACACGTTAGTGGTGTACCAAGGGCAGGGCCTAGACCTAGGCAATATGGGACCCAGGTAATAAGACCAGCCAAAAGTCAAGTCTTCTTTTTATTAATCACCATGTCTTTGTAATTCCAAACAATGCCAGTGATACAATGCGTCCTACTGAAGCCCAGACATTTCCCTCTGCCCTGTTTTAGGCACATCACTGGGGCAATTTACTGTAGGCATGCGGCTTTAACAACAACAAAATGTAAAAAGAGAAGTCACCTATGGATGGATTAAAAATTACGGTGTGTCAGGAGCCCAGGATCACGATTTCTCTAGTTTTGTGCATGTGAAGTACAACTGAGAAACAAAATAAATAAAATATTACTAACTTAAGGAGTTATGATCATTGGAAGACATACTGTATGTATTTTAAATAGTAAACTGCTTATAGATTTTTTGAAAACCAGGAGATTAAAGCTATACTGGTATTTTACAAAGGTCTCCTATACCAATCATTTTCTCTCTTTTTTTAATTATAGACACGATGAGCATACTTGGAAAGGAGTAGGTCAGGTAAAAGTCTCCATCAGAATGCCCCACTTTATTTATGTATGGAGTCTCATTTGAGGAATAAGTCATGGGCCCCCTCCCTAAATAACTTATCTTTGTTGTATTAACAATTTATATAGATGTGGACAGAGAGAGAATCAGGTGATTTTTGGGGAGGAAGGTAGATTGATTTCTGGGATGCTATTGGCAGACTGTCAATACAAGCAGATTCATATTGAGTGCTTATCATAAGTGTGAATTAACTCAAGCCTTGCATAAACCCCTTAAGGCAGGGACCATTATTTGCCCATTTTACAGTTGAGGAAACTGAGACACAAAGAGGTAAAGAAGCTGTAACTTTCCCAAGGCCACATAGCTAGCAAGTGCTATAGGCAAGGTTTGAACCCAAGCAGTCTGACTCCAGAATCTCTCTTGCTTCACCATTAGGTGTCTCCAAAGTCTTCAGGCAGAGGCAACAACCACCAGGCAAACTTGAAGAGTTCTTGAACTACTTTTGAGGTTCCTCCTCAATTTCACAGATATACCCTCCTCAGACTCCAGCCCCCAGTATCTAATGCCTGGAGCCTGAGTAGCAGGATGGGATTAAGTGACTTCTTGACTTGTGAACAAGATAAATGGAAGGTTCTGTTCAGAGGCTCTCAACTATTTTGTACTTGCAAAATATTAAACATGTTGTTAGCATATGTGAAATGATTCATTTGCACATGGTTCACCTTCAGGTTGGGCCTCTCATTTCCTGAATTGGCTGTCAGCCACCCAGGACAGAGTTTAACAAGAGAAGCCAACCCTCAGGGTGAGGAGGAGCAGGGACTTTGGTGAGAATGCTGGGTTCAAATCTGGGCTTCTGTAGTTATCTGCTATATGATCTCACAGAAGTAACCTAATCTCTCTGTTCTTCAATTTCCACATCAGCAAAACATACTTAATTATAACACCTTCCCCGTGGGAATACTGGAATTAATTAATTAATGTTTGTAAAGCATTTAGATAAATGCCTGGTACATGGTAAGCAATATTTTTTTAATGTTGTAATATATGTACCATCTTCTTTGGTATCAGCTTGATATGATGCTATTCATTTATTACTCTTGATCAATTATATCCCACCTCACAGAATCCATAATGTAAAGACAATCTATTCAACTCAACATTTTCCCCTGGCAGAACAGACATCATAGCAATGGTATTAAAACTCCGAGGGAGGGGAAAATAATTTTATATATTTATCAAAATTCCATAGCAAACCATAAAGTTTGAGATGCCAGCTGAGCTGGACACAGACCGACAAGTCCACAGTGGAGTATTTAGGGGAGATAATTCTGATAAGTCCCACAAGGTTTCTCCTGTACTAATATCTGGCTGGACTGTTTGATGCCTCATTTACATTTGATTTCAGCTGTCACAATTTCCCTCTAGACATGCCATGCCATTTCTACTTTACCCAAGCCACACCCCCAATGCATTCATGCATGCTCAGTCTCTCTCACTCCACTTAGCCTCCACATCCAACTGAGCACATGGGTTCACCCCAGAGTGGTCTCTGGAGTCTGTGTGCTCTTTTGCATTCCTGAGGATACATTTTTGCTTCAGTCCTTCCTGTCATCCTTTTCCTGGTCTATTTCACCTGGTCTCCTTGCCATTAGTATCTAGACCATTCTCCACAGTTACGTTCCTTTTTTTATATAATCTCTTTATAACATTTTCTAGTAATGTCTAGTATCCTCATTCCTTTGTTTTTCCACTCATTCACTAAACATTCATTTCTTAAGCCACTATCATATGCCAGTTATGATACAAGTTTTGGTGGTAAAGTGGATGCAGGCATGTCCGGGACCTCATGCAAGATCTCTTCTAGACTAACTGCCATCTTCCTCACTAGTGATGGAATTACTTCCTCCTCAGGATGCCTGAGCCATGTCCAGGTGCTCACTAAAAAAGGAGTACCCTCTCACTTCCATGGCTTTGCACATACTCTTTCCTCTGCCAAGAATTCCCTTCCATCCCATCTTCATCTGGTAAATACCTCCTCATTCATCAGGGATGCAGGGATGATAGCATTCCTCAGCTATCAAAGCAGAATTCAGATTCCTTCTTCTGTTCCCGCAGCACCCCTAAGGGTTCTTACTACCTTATTTATTATTGATCTTGACGTAATTGTAATTATCAATCTCAAAGATGGGAAAGTCTGCAATCTGGATACTGTCGTGTTTTTGTTTTCTCTATCATTTAACATGACATATCCCAACTGAGATACGGAGAAGGGAGGAAAAGTAAATTGTTTTGCTATTATTATTGTACTCAAGGGGAGTACAATGTTGAAAACAGCAGATGCCCATCTCCCAGGGATTAGGCCCGTCTGAAGCCCGGGCCACTTTTGGATACAGGTACCTATGTCCCTAACCTTTCAGCTTCCCGAGGAACTCTTAGGCCAGGCAACTGGAGAATATTCCCAGTCTTCACTTAGAGCAGCCAGTCTCTGAGAACAATGGGTTTGGGAAGGAGGCCTCATAAGTTAGAACAGTGTATCCTCTACATCGAACACACTCTATAGTGGAAAGTAGGTGTGTTCAAGGAAATGGGCAAGAATTTGAGGCAATATCCATTTTCACCAGGCAGGTAGTATACATGTGGTACAAGCCACAGAAGCTTCCTTTGGCCAAGCCACATAGCAAACATGGAAGGACCAGGGCACTGAAAGCATGTACTTAAGTCCTATGAGTAACAAGGCCTCATTCTTATATGGGGGGAAAATGCCATATTATTAAAAAAAGAAACAAAACAAATAGAAAAAAAGTATGGCTACATTTAGGCTTCTCTTAAACTTTAAGTTATAGCTATAAACATAAAACACATCAGGTATTCTAGGTTTTGGTATTATTCCAGGTGCAGGTGGCTGATAAGTTTAAAAAGAGAAGGTAAGCTCCAGGTATAGAAGGAGGAAGAGGTGGAGGAGCAGAAACACTAATTTACCTTCTTTAAAAGAACAAACCCTATACACCAGTCTCCTGGCTGCTTCTGACCCATCTCTCTACAATCTTTCTCCCTTCCATCTAGCCTTATTTTCCCCAAAAACAATACAATAAAGGGAAAAAGTCATATGTTAGTTGCTAATGCAGCTTTTAGAGATAGAAAAGCTTATCTCCCTAACCACAATTTTAAGTCCAAAAACTCTCTACAATCAACAAAATGCCACATAGTTAATCAAACAAGATGGAATGAATGCACTTGTGCTCTAGCCTGAGGGCACATTCCTTCTAGCCAGTCAGGAAAAGATGTTGGGATGGGGAGAAGAAAGAGGGTCCAATTGGCCTCCTCTGAGCTCCCATACATCAGGGAAAACCCTGGTACCCACACGAGCTTTGCCTGGCTTGCCTGTGGCATGAAACACAGGCAACTATAGAGAGCCATTGCCAGGAGCAGCCAATCCTCCTGTGGTTTGGCCTCTGCCCTGCCTGGCCCTCCTCTTCCACCTAATTCCCATAGGCACATCACCTCGTGACCCGAAATCCCCACTCCTCAAATGAACAACCAAATTGCCCTGACACTGTGTCTTTGTAGAAGCTGTCCCTCCCGGGAGCACGCCTCTGTGTGAGTGGGCTATGGAGAGTTGGGGAGCAAGAAAGGGCGACTGGGTTCAAAAGTAAAGTCATCAGAAATAACGAGGCTGTTCCGCCCAGCTCCCTGCCAGCCAGGCGAGCGGAGTGCCCTCTCCAGCGGGGTGTCCCAGCTCTGCCGCTGAAATAACTGGTCACGGAGAGCGGCAAGCAAATTGCTTTGACAAGGCCGTTGCTGTTGTAAGGGTTCAAGGGTGCCGGCCACTAGGTCAGCGGCTGCCAATCAAGCAGACAGAAAAAGCCGCTCATTGAGCCTGTGATTTCTACCTAGGCCGCAATTATCTCTGACTATTCCTGTACCTCAGCAGCTCCTCTGATTAAACCTGCCTCCCTTTTACATCTCTTTCAGAGTGCGCTTCACACACTAATTAGTTGCCTGCTCTCCACTGAGATGTCAGACCCTCCGTCAATTTATCTCTATTTCAGCCTGCTCAGAGTGACTTCCCCAGTTATCAAAATTTAATCATGCCTTCAAAAATGTTGAAAAGTGGTCATTAGAGGCAAAAGGCCACAGGATACAATATTCATTTTTCTCTATCTTCCAGCCATCCAGCTGGCATCTATAATGGATATCCTGGGGGCTGTGAGAACACGTTGATTTATGCAACCTCGGCCCTCCTCTCACTGTGCTCCACTGGCTGCTTGAGAGAACAGGTTTTAACAAGGTCTGAGGTGGGAGGACATTAATCACGGCAGCATTGTATGTGGAAAAGGGTGCTGTGTAGTGAAAGAACCCCCTACAGTAGGGCAGTTAGAGGTGTTTTTTTTTTTTTTTTTTCTTACCACCTTCTCGGTGATAAAAGAGAGTTTGACAATTGATTAGACCTTTCTGTAACCTTGCAGCCCAGCGAAATGATGAGAGAGAAAAGAGGGAGAGAATGATTCTCATACCGACAGTTTTAAATGTGCAATAACTTTATGATTCTTGACTGAAACTGGCTATCAAAATCAGTCCCAACTCAATACCATCTAAAAAAGAAGATCATTCTTGGAATAAGAGCCCTTTCGGTCGGATGTGTCAGAGCCAATCACAGGCTCCGGGGTCCCGTGGTGACTGCCGGCCGCCACATACGGTGGGTTCTGATAAAAATCACATCTGATAAATTCACTTCTGCTTGCCTGCTTGGCTGGAAAGAAGGTTTTAGTCCAAAATCAACAATGATGAACTGAAATCTATCGGCAGCTGGGAATTGCTTTTAGCCCTCCCTCTGGGCTGCCCCACTTCACTACTTTGCTTCTCCTTTTGCCTTCCCACATTGTCCCCAAGCCCAAGGAAGCAAAAGGTAGACACTGGGTGGGGCCCTTCCCTCTCTCTGCAGCAGTGGCAGAAGGAGCATGTCTCCTCACCCCTGATATGCCTGGCCTCGTGCTACCTGCAGCCCCTTTGCCGTCTTTTCCTGCCTTGGCTACTGAAAGCAACGTCTCCTGGCACCACAGAATATGCAAGGTGATTTCTCTGCCTTTTCACTTATGGCAGAAACGCCTTATGATAGCACCTTTTTTATCGTCATTCCTGTCTTTTTTTGATGCATGTGGTGAGGGAGAACAGTCAAATAAGAAGCCTTTGGAGAAACTTACAAAGGAGCTGTGTGTCATGGCAGAGATGGCTGATTGCAATGATTTAACTGCGAGCCTTTGTACCCACCCTCATGCTCTTACTCACTCTCACATCCTCATACTTCCACATCCTGAGCCCCAAAATGACTTTCTTTCTTTTTTCTCTGGGAATGGAGCCTGGGTCTGGACCAGGGAGTGGCTAGCCACAAAGAGAATAATTTGGAGGTGTATCCGGACCTCACAGTGGTAGGCTGGGCAGCCAAAGCAGTGAACAATGTCTTCTGTTTATGCTGGGGTGGGAGGGAAGATGAACCATTTGAAATGATGCACAGTTATAGAGTTCATGCCCTGGCCAGATTTTTCCCAGTCTCATTCTAGCATCAAAGAGGATCAGATTTACAAGCAAACCTAAAAGCAGGGCAGACTTGGAAAAAGGGAGGCAAATGGGAAGGAATCCTGATGTTGTTTCACTTATTTTGCTGAATTCCCACCCACCTGCAGCTGTCCCATTAAGGAATGAACACATTCCAAAGAGAAAGGCAAGAACATGGACCTGCTAATGATCATTTTGGATACAGAAAACTGATATGAAAGACTTGTACAAGTCTGGCTTGAAATAGTACTGGATCCTGGAACCACTGTCTTTAGGAACCAATCATGATGAACCCTGTATACCTGCAGCCACATTTGTTATCAAGCATGGAGCCTGTCCTGGTTCCTGCATTAGGCTTCACTTTCCAACCTATAATTGCATTCGTCCAGATACTTTGCCTTACATTTTTAATTCCACATTTAATGTGGACCAGAGGCTCTCTTCTTTTGGTAACATAGAATATCTACCCTTGCTACTTCTGGTTCTTCAGGAACTTGAGAACATACCCCTCTAGTGCTGAGCAGTGTGGCTAGTATTCACTCTAGGGGTAACCCTGACTCTGAGAATGGGGAAAAATATACATAAGTTTATAAACAAACCTCTATGAACCATTGATCCAATAAATGACCAAAATGATTAGCTGAATGATGTAATCTGTTACCACGTGACAATAGAAGGTCTGTCAAGTTTGTGAATCCAATGAGATATAAATGGAAAGAATAGCGTCATTGAGTAAAATGAAAAGAGGATGGCCTTATATATTTTCTTTTGCTGAGATCATAGCTCTGTATAGAAGTGGAGGACATTTTACATAAGCTGCAATGTATGTGATATAAAAACATAAATTTGTAAATTTGAATGCATATGAAGAAAAGCTTTTTTTAAATAACACTATCTGATTTTATATACTCTATCGAGAGGCATGCTTCTACTTTATTTGGGCTGTTTTGCTGTGACAGCCTTTAAAATGTATAAAAAATGATCTACGTTTCTCAAATTCAGTTACTATTATTTTAGAGTAGGGATACTTACTCTGAGACTCATAGACACCCCACCCACCCAGAGGTTCTTTGACATAATTCAGAGGGTCTGAGAATTTGAGTAGAAAAGCAATACATTTTCATTTTCACTACTCTCCGGCTGCAATTTAACATTTCATTCAGTTATGAATGTAGACCACAAAGTACACTGGCTTTGTCACTATCTGTGACTTTGTCACAAATACATACTACAGGTGTTCTCACATCACATTACAGTTATTCTAGATATCTCATCATTTATGTTATTTTATGTTATGTTATCTCTTCTTTCAAATTATAGCTGTTATTAAAGTTGCTATTAGATTTTGCTATTAGATACATAGAGAAGGACACACATTATTACTATATCACACAATTTTAATATTCATAATGGCATTTCGGTATAATTGATTTCCTTTGAAGTCCTATATATTTTCCTACGTATATTTATAGCTCTATTTTTAAAAGGGCTCCATGGGCTCTGTAGACTGTTAAATGGGTTAACGACACCAATGAACTAGTTAAGAATACTGGTAGTAAATAAATTCTGGTATTAGCCTGTCTTCCATTTCATTTAGTTAGTAGGAGAGATAGATTCTAGTGACTCTTCATCTATAAATGTGCTTTACAAACTCTTCTCATTCCACATACCAGCCAAAAGATTAAAGCAGATATTTTTTTTTGCATCTCATGGTACACATCAGTGCTAGAATGATGAGAAGCTCATTATAAGTCTCATTATCCAAATGTTGAATGTTTTTCATGGGATCTGTGGCTGTCAAAACCAAACACAAAACACACACAAAAAACACACCAACAAAGTATAATAACTAGGGTGACCATAAAATTTATTCTCTAAACCAGGAACGTTGAGAGTGGAAAGGACACTATTAATAATTTGCCAAGACAACAGTTGTAAACTGGAACTGTCTCCATGAACCGTGAGGTATGCCTAGTCACCCTAACAATAATTTAATTTCATGTAGTACTAATAACTTTTTTTTTGCCTATTTCCATCTTTGAGTCATGCAGCCAATCTCACTCATCATAAAATATATTAAGAAAAGAAGTGGGAAAAGTCTTCTGTTTACCCCTGCAGAGCTCTCAAGTGAATAAATCTTAGTTGCAGGACTCCAGATCTGAGTTAGGTGGAGTCAAGAAGACGGAGAATAGTACCTATGTCTTAGACTCCAGTCGCTACATTTTAATCTAGTCCAGCTGAACATACCCACTAATTCACCTCAATTCAGAGAGAGTTACACAGGATATTTTAAAATACATGCCATCAAGGCCGGGCATGGTGGCTCATGCCTGTAATCCCAGCACTTTGGGAGGCTGAGGCAGGCGGATCACGAGGTCAGGAGATCAAAACCATCCTGGCTAACACAGTGAAACCCCTTCTCTACTAAAAATCCAAAAAAATTAGCCAGGCGTGGTGGCAGGCGCCTGTAGTCCCAGCTACTCGGGAGGCTGAGACAGGAGAATGGCATGAACCCAGGAGGCGGAGCTTGCAGTGAGCCGAGATCGCGCCACTGCACTCCAGCCTGGGCGACAGACCCAGACTCCGTCTCAAAAAAAAAAAAAAAAAATACACGCCATCAAAGATTCCTTAGTAGTGGCTGATTTATAATGATTCTAGTATGCCATTTTTTGTTCACCTTATTTAAACAAGCATGACTATTTAATACTACATTAATATTACATTAAAGTCCTCAACTTTTCTATCAGGTCACTGTTGGCAAGAATTATCCCCCAGTAAGTCATATAATTAATTATATAGTATGCCAGCTGTTTCTATGTAATATACTTGATGTTTCATTACCGTCAACTGTGAGTATTAAAAAATATGAAGAAGAAGGTAGGCAACATTGGTGAACGGAGTTACAGTATATTCAGGCCACTAGCCAACAAATCATTGTGTAACATACAAATAATTGAATAGTAAAATAGTAAACGGTGTATAAAGTATTACCAATCATATCTATAGCTATTAGATTACATGGTCTTCACCTGTGTGTGGATTACCATTGCATATTCTTTATCCCAGACCAATCTGCAACTATTCCCACCTAACCACTTTGACCTACCTGATTCCTGTAGGTCCTTGTTACTCATATGGATGACAAAAGAATACTCTAAAGTGTCCAAGCAATACATGAATCTTCACCTGCCCAGGATGTAAAATAAGTGGGACATCCAGTTAGACAATTGCCAAAGTTCCTTGAAACTTAAAGATTCCATTATTTTGAAACCAATACAATAAATATGCTTATAAAAATATCTTTGAATACATTTCAGGATCTAATCCCAGCCTGTTAGGCTGGCCATGACATTGATTCTACCACATCAACACCTCCACTCATCAGTGGTTTTAATCAAGAGGTATCTCTTTTAAGGAAACTGTGAGTTGAAGGTGGTACATCACAATACTACTACCATTGTTCAAGAAAGCTGTATCCTTCCATCTGAAAACACTGAGCTTTCAAAATAAATGAGGAAGAATTATTGAAAAAAAACTTTTTCAAAAATTAGTCCAAGATTCTATATGAACTATAGGACGATGAAAAAAAATGTTTGCCAGAGTTTCAGAAATGCTCACTTCTAGGAAGATATAGTAGGTATACTTTGGCCCATATCTTCTACCAAGCACAACTAAAAACCCTGGAAATTACACATAAAACAAACATAAGAAGACTGTGAAAGTTGGAGACAAGGTAAACTGTTACTCAGCGCCTGAGTAACAACATGGTGGTGAGTTCCCTGGGTTTGCTTTTCTTTGTCCCATATATCCAGGACTTGAAGCAGAAGAAGCTATCAACCCAGAAATGTCAAAGGAAGCAGACAAAATGAAAGACTCAATGAAAACCTGCTGGTTCCAGCCAAAAGACCAAGAAAGGGACATCCTAACAAGACAGAAAACTTTGAGACAATAATTACTCTATACCAGCCAAACATCACAGGGTAAAAAACAAAAACAACTGTAGTCCCATCTTTCATCTGTACTAACAAAGGCCAAATGAGAAGACAACCACCCTTGCAAGGCTTTCACAATAAGCCTTAACACCCCTACTAGGACAGTTTCAGAGGCCAAGCAGAAAGTCAAGACTTTGATCACTACCAGCTGGTAACAACCCATCCCCACCATGGTGACAGTGGAGACCACCTTCAGTGCCTGGACTTTAACCCTCATCTGTTAGTAACAAGGCACATGGCTACCTCCCCACTCAGGTGGTATCACAGGGGGCCTAGAAGAGACCTAAATATTTTCCCATCTCCTGTTGTTAATAGGGCCACTCTCACAGCAGTCTCTGTAAATACCACATAGGAGACAAAACACCCACTCCTACCTAGAAGAAATAAGAAGCCCCGTCCCCACCCCTCAGGTGTTAACAGACTCTGAGTGGGGAACTTGGACTTCTACCTCTACCTGGAAGTAACAAAGTGATGTTCCTGTTTCCCATGCCATACCAGTGTCAGAGAAAGCTACCTAAAACAGAAAGCTTAAATAAGATCTAAAGTGTCATCATGTAATATGAAAATATCTAGGTTTCCATTAAAAAAATCACTACTCATTCCAAGTGCCGGGAAGATCTCAAACTGAATTTAAAAAAATAGATTCCAACACTGAGAAGATAGAGATGTTAGAATCATCAGAGATTTTAAAGAAGTCGTTATAAAAATGCTTTAATAAGCAATTAAAAGGAAATAACAGAAAAATTAGAAAGCCTTAACAAATCTTGTGTATCTGTGGGTGCTGCATCTATAGATTTGACCAACCACAGATCAAAAATATTTGGAAAAAAACAATAAAATATAAAATACAACAATAAAAATAATACAAGTTTAAAAATATAGTATAAGAACTATTTACGTAGCATTTACACTGTATTAGGTATTATAAGTAATCTAGAGATGATTTAAAATACATGGGAGGATTTGCACAGGTTATATGCAAATACTATACCATTTTGAATAACGGTTTTAAACATCCACAGATATTGGTGTATGAAGGTGGTCCTGGAATCAATCCCTCATGAATACCAAGGGATAAACCTATTAGTAAAAAATTAAAAGATATAAAGAAGAATCAAATGGAAATGTTAGAACTAAGGAACAAAATAACCAAAATAAACAGCTCAATGGATGGGCTGAAGAATAGAATAAAAGAAATAGAAGCGAGTATCATTGAATTGGAAGACAGAAAAGAGAAATTATCCAATCTAAACAATGGAGAGAGCAGACTGGAGGAAAACATGAACAGAGGCTCAGGCACCCGTGAGGTTATAACAGAAGATCTAACATTCATGCCAGCAAGTTCTAGAATAAGAAAAAGAGGGCAGGGATAAAAATATACTCAAAGAAATAATAGCTAAAACTTTTCAAATTTTTGAAGAGACACAGATCTACAGATACAAGAAGCTTACCAAATCCAAACAGGATAAATCAAAAGAAAGCCATGCCAAGACACATCATAATTGAACATCTAAAAACTAAAGACTAAGGAACAATCTTGAAAGCAACCAGAGAAAATTAATACCTTACTTACAGAAGAAAATTTTGAACAATATCAGAAGCTATGGAAGCCAGAAGGAAGTGGCAAAATATTTTTTAAATGCTAAAAGAACTGCCAATCCAGAATCCCATATTGAATATCCCTCAGGAATAAAGGAGAAATCAAAACACTTTCAGATGAAGAAAAACTAAGAGAATTTGTCATCATTAGGCAAACCCTATAGGAATAGGTACATGAAGTTCTCCAAAGAGAGAAAATGATACAACAAGAAACTTTGGAATGTCAGGAAAGAAGAAAGAACACAATAAGCAAACATTATGGGTAAATACAAAAGACTTTTCATCTCCTCTTGAGTTTTCTAAAGTATCTTTGATGACTGAAGCAAAAATGATAATACTGTATAATATGGTTTTAAATGTAAGACAATCATATCATAAATATGAGAGAGTTAAGGGATACAAAAGGAGGTAAAACTTCTGCACTTCACTCAAACTAATAAAATGTTAAAAACTAGTAGACAGGGATAAATCATATATATCACATACTACATAGAGCAGTCACAAAACAAAACAAAAAACTATACCAAAAGGTACACTCCAACACAGTATCAATAAATCAAAATGGATGGAATTCTAAAAAATATATTTAATAAACCACAAGAAGTTAGGAAACAGAAAGAGGAGAAACAAGCAAAAAGAAAAAAGAAACACCAAGAACAAGCAGAAAACTACAACAACAATAATAAGGCACACTTAAGCTTTAGCATATCAATAATTATATTAAATGTAAAAGGTCTACATACAATTAAAAGAGAGAGATTGACAGAGTGAATTGAAAAACATAACCCATTTATATGTTGTCTCAGGAAATTCACTTTTAATATAATGATATATTCAAGATGAAAGTAAAAGGTTAAAAAAGATATATTATGCAAACGTTAGTCAAAGGAAATCAGGCATGACTACATTAATATCAGATAAAGTAGACTTCTCAGCAATAAAAATTTCCTGAGACACAGAGAAACATTAAGTAATGATAAAAAGGGTCAGTGTATCAGGAAAACATAACAATGCTAAATGTTTATGCACCCAAACAACAAAGGTGTAATATATGTCAAATAAAAATAGATAAAAGTCAAAGGAGCAGTAAAAAAAAACCACAATTATAGTTGGAGATTTTAACATGCCTCTCTTAACAATTCATAAAGCAACTGGACAGAAAATCAGTAAGGATACAGAGAAACTCAACAACACCTTCAACCAACAGAATCTAATTGACACTAATAGAACCCAGCATCCCAAAACAACAGAATATGCATTCTTTTCAAGTGCCCATGAAACATATACCATGATAGAATATGCCCTGGGCCACAAAACAAACCTCAACAAATGTAAGATAATTGAAATCATACATAGTATGTTCTTTGATCACAGTGGAAACAAAACAGAAATCAATAACCAAAACATAATAGGAAAATCTCCAAGCACTTAGAGAGTAAACAACATAAGTAACTTTAGAAGTACATTAAACTGAATAAAAATGAAGATACAATATTTAAAAATGTGTCAGATACAACTGAAACAGTGCTGAGAGGAAAATGTATAATAAATGCATACATTAGAAAAGAGGAAAAGTCTCAAATCCGTAATCTAAGCTTCCTCGCCAACAACCTAGACAAAGAAAAGCAAAATGAACACAAAACAGAGGAAAAGAAATAGTAAAGAAAAGAGAAGAAATCAATAAAATTAAAAACAGAAAAACAATACAGAAATAATGAAACCAAGAGCTGGTTCTTGAAAAAAATCCAAAAAATGGTCCATCCTCTAGCACAACTAACAAAGAAAGAAGAAGACACAAATAAGGCAGTTGTGCTAGTAGAAGGAAACATTACCTCAGACAGACATAAAGAGATGCAGAAAGAAATAAAGAGCAACTGAAAGGTTATATATGTGAATGAATCTAAATAAATGTTTATTTTTAAAATCAATAATAATCTCTTACAGGATCTAAAATGTAAGAAAAATTTAAAACTACAACAATGATAACACCAAAGTCAGGAGGGGATTAACTGGGGTGTGCTGTTTTAAAACATGGCCACAAATCCTTTGATGCTGCCCTATCAAGGGGACTCTATTGCCTTTCCTTAAGTCTAGGTGGACTTGTGATTGCTTAAATCAATAGAGTATGGTAGAAGTGATAATTAGTGTCTTTCCAGGCTAAGTCATCAGAGGCTATGCAGCTTCTGCTTTGCTCTTTTGTTCTTTGAGCCCTGAATCACCATATAAAACTTCTGACTACTTAGGCCACCATGCTGGAGAGGCCACATAGGGGGTCCCTAATTAATAATTGCAGCTGAGCCTATCCTTCAGCCTTCCCAGCCCAGACACCATGCATGTGAGCAAAGATGCCATCTGTTTGGGTTATCCCCAGCCGTTCAAGTTATCCCAGCTGAAGCCCCAGACAACATGGAGTAGAATTAAGCCATCCCCATTGTGCCTTTTCAAAATTCCTAACAGAATCCACGAACATAACAAGTTCACTATTGCTTAATGCTACTAGATTTTAGGGTAGCTTGTTACATTGCAGAAATAACCAGAACATAGAGATAAAGTCATCTAATGCCCTAGAATTGTCTGGGAACTAAAACTCATTTATATTAGTCTGAGAAGTCAAAGAAGCATCTTATATTCATTAGATAATCTCTAAAGACATGGGGAAAGTAGACACAATTAAGATGCATGTACAATAGTTTTCATCAAACTCTTCATAAATTACATTTGCTACTTAGGTTTTTATTTGGGTTTTGAAGGTAGCCCCTTGAGAAGCTTTCCAGGATATATTAGTGCAATATTTTAGAGAAGGCTTACGAAATTGCCAGTGTCAGTTACCTGTACTACCTTCATATCATCACCATCACCAAACTGACACAGACTTTCTCACTATGGAAAGCTGTAACCAGCATGAATGATGTAAGTGGTGTGGTAATGCCCAATGGTAAATGTATTTCTAGATCTTATGGAAACTTAAGATTCTAAAATAAATATTGGAAAATATCTTTTTCAGTTTTAGGTCCAGTAAAAGGGAAAACTTGACATAGGAAGCTCAGTTCTAGCTCCACCTCTACCACGATCTTTGTGACCTGAAACGAAAAATCCTTTAAAATTTAAGATTCAGCTTTATAGAACTGAGAATTTTCCAACAAAAAGAGATAAACTTTTCCGACCCATTATACATTATAAACCATAAAATAAAGGAGTAGTACAGGATCATCACTAAAGCTCTTCAGATTCTAAAATTCAGTAGGAAAACTTTTGCCTGTGAAAAGAATCTAGGTTCTAGTCTCTAGACATAAAGCACTGAGAATTATAGTTAGATATTTAAATAAAAAGGGGGTTTTCCACCACTTTTACCAACTACTCTCTCTTACTCCTCTACATTCTCTCTCCCTTTCCCCACAACTACACATATGTATGAAAGCTATAATATTTATTAAAAGACTCATGTAGATTCATAGAAGAAGTTATACAGATTCCACAATTAAAGTGCAACCAGTAGAGGGGTGGAGCAAGATGGTCAAATAGAAGCCTCCACTGATCATCCCTGATGGCAAGGACACCAATTTAATTACTATCGAACCCTACCCCAACCCCGCGCACCACCCCCCCACAAAAAAAAAGCATTTTCATAAGAACCAAAAATCAGGTAAGCACTCATAGTACCTTGATTTAACTTCGTATTGCTGAAAAAGGATCTGAAGAGAATAGGAAAGACAGTCTTGAATTGCTGACATCATCCCTTCCCCATCTCCTGGTACTAGCTATGTGGTGTGAAGAGAAAATCTTTGTGCTTAGAAAAAGGAAAGCACAAGAATTGGCATACATTGCATTAAACTCAGTGCTGCCCTATCACAGCAGAAAGCAAAACCCGAACAAACTCAGCTGATGCCCCCACACAGAGGGAGCATTTAAACCAGCCCCAGTCAGAGGGGAGCTTGAGTGCTGGCAAGCTTGCCCATCCTAGTGGTTGGAGATTGAGTTCCAGCAAGCCTCACCACCTTGGGGTAAAGAGCTCTGGGTCTCTAAGTAAACTTGAAGGGCAAGCTAAGCCACAATGACTGCAACTCCTAGGTAAGTCCAAGTGCTGAACTGAGCTCAGAGTCAGTGAAGTTGGAGGGCACTCAACCTGCTGAGACACCAGCTGGGGCGGGTAAGGGAGCACTTATGCTACTCATCCTCCAACCTCAGACTGCACAGCTCATGGTTCCAAGAGACAATCCCTTCTTCTGCTTGAGGAGAGGAGAGGAAAGAGTAAAAAGGACTTTGTCTGGCATGTTGGATACTGGCTCAGCCACAGCAGGATAGGGCACTCATCAGAGTCATGAGGCCCCCTTTCCAGGCCCTAGTTCCTGGACTACATTTCTAGACACACCCTGGGCCAGAGGGGAAACTGCTGCCTTGAAGGGAAGGGTCCAATCCCAGCAGTATCCATCACCTGCTGACTAAAAAGCCCCTGGGCCCTGAATAACCAGCAGTGATACCAAGGTGGTATCTTGGTGTCCACCACTGTGGGCCTTGGGTGACATTCTAAGACTAATTGGCTTTAGGGGAGACTCAGCACATTCTCAGCTGTGGTGGCTAGAGGGAGAGACTCCTTCTGCTTGGGAAAAGCTGAGAGAAAAGTAAAGGGGACTTTGTCTTGCACCTTAGGTAGCCACTTGGCCACAGGAAGTTAGCGCACTTAGTGGACTCTTAGGGTCCCCAACTCCAGGCTTTGGCTTTTGAATGGTATGTCTGGACCTGTCCTGAGACAGAGAAGAGCCTACTGCCCTTCAGGGTGAGTCCCAGGATGGGCAGCAGTCACCACAAGGTGACTGAAGAGCCCTTGGGCCTTAAGGGAACATCAGTGGTAGTCCGGCAGTACTCCCTGTGGGCCTGTGATTATCATGGCCACAGGATGAGGTTCCTCTGCCTGTGGAAAGGGGAGGGAAGAGGAGGAAGAACTGCATCTCATGGTTTGAGTGTCAGCTCAGCCACAGTACAACAGAACACCAGGTAGATTTCTAAGGTTTTTGATGGTTGTCCCTGACCCGCACATGGCACCTCCAGACCCACTTAGGCCATGGGTGAAATCATGGCACCTCCAGACCCACTTAGGCCATGGGGGAAATCATGGCACCTCCAGACCCACTTAGGCCATGGGAGAAATCATGGCACCTCCAGACCCACTTAGGCCATGGGGGAAATCACCTCCCTGAAGGTGGGTGGCTTTGCCACCTGCTGATTGTAGAGTTTCAGGGCCTTGAGTGAACATAGGTGGTATCTAGGGAGTGGTTACAGCAGGCCTTGAATGGTTCAACATATGTAAATCAATCAGTGTGACACATCATATTAACAGAATGAAGATTTAAAACTATATGATCATTTCAATTGATGCTGAAAAAGCATTTGATAAAATTCAGCATTGCTTCATGATTTAAAAAAAGCCTCAAAAAACTGGGTATAGAAGAAACATACCTTAACATAATAAAAGCCATATATGACAGACCCATAGCTAATATCATACTAAGCGGGGAAAACCTGAAAGCCTTTCCTCTAAGATTGAATACATGACAAGAATGACCACTTTCGCCACTGTTATTCAACATAGTACTGGTTATCCTAGCTAGAGCAATCAGACAAGAGAAGGAAATAAAGGGCATCTGAATCAGAAAGAAAGAAGTCAAATTATCCTTGTTTGAAGATGATATGATCTTATATTTAGAAAAACCCAAAGACTCTACCAGAAAACTATTAGAACTGATAAACAAATTCAGTAGTTACAGGACACAAAATCAACACAGAAAAATCAGTAGCATGTCTAAATGCCAACAGTGAACAATCTGAAAAAGAAATCAAGAAAGTAATCATATTTACAATAGCCACAAATAAAATAAAATACCTAGGAATTTACCAAATAAGTGAAAGATGTCTACAATAAAAAACTATAAAACAATGATGCAAGAAATTAAAGAAGACACAAAAAATGAAGAATATTTCATGTTAATGGATTGCAAGAATCAATATTGTTAAAATGTCCATAGTACCCAAAGCAATCTACATACCTAATGCAATCCCTATCAAAATACCGACGACATTCTTCACAGAAATAAAAAAAAATCCTAAAATTTATATGGAACTACAAATGAACCAGCATAGCCAAAGCTATATTAAGCAAAAAGAACAAAACCGGAAGAATCTCATTACCAGACTTTAAATTATACTACAGAGCTATAGTAATCAAAACAGCATGGTACTGGCATAAAAACAGACACATAGATCAGTGGAACAGAAGAGAGAACTCAGATAACTTCATACATCCACAATGAACTCATTTTTCACAAAGGTGCCAAGAACATACATTGGAGAAAGGACAGTCTCTTCAATAAATGGTGATGGGAAAATTGGGTATCTATATGCAAAAGAGTGAGACTAGACTAATATCCCTCACCATATATAAAAATCAAATCCAAATGAAGTAAACATTTAAATCTAAGGCCTCAAACTATGAAACTACTACAAGAAAACATTGAAGAAGCTCTCCAGAATATTGAACTGGGCAAAGATTTCTTGAGTAATATCTCACAAGCACAGGCAACCAAAGCAAAAATGGGCAAATGCGATCCATATCAAGTTAAAAAGCTTCTGCACAGCTCAGGAAACAGTCAACAATGTGAAGAGGCAACTCACAGAATGGGAGAAAATATTTGCGAACTACCCATCTGACAAGGGATTAATAACCAAAATATATAAGCAGCTCAAACAACTCTATAGGAAAATGTCTAATAATCTGATTGAAAAATGGGCAAAAAACCTGAATAGGCATTTCTCAAAATAAGGCATACAAATGGCAAATAGATATATAAATAGATGCTCAACATCATGATCATCAAATAAATGCTAATTAAAACTAATGAGATATCATCTCACCCCAGTTAATATGGCTTTTATCCAAAAGTCAGGCAATAACAAATGCTGGTGAGGATTTGGAGAAAAAGGAACTCTTGTATACTGTTGGCGGGAATGCAAATTTGTAAAACCATTATAGAGAACAGTTTAAAGGTTCCTCAAAAAACTAAAAATGGAGTTACCATACAGGCCAGCAGTTGCGCTTCTAGGTATGTACACAAAAGAAAGGAAATTAGTATATTGAAGAGACATCTGCACTTCCATGTTATTGCAGCACTAGTCACAATAGCCAAGATATGGAAGCAACCTAAGTATCCATCAATATATGAATGGATAAAGAAAATGTGGTATACATACACAATGGAGTACTATTCAGCCATAAAAAAGAATGAGATCCTGTCATTTGCAACAACATGGATGGAAATGGATTTTATTATGTTAAGTGAAATAAGCCAGGCACAAAAAGAAAAATTTCACATGTTCTCACTTATTTGTGGGAGCTAAAAATGAAAATAATTGAACTCGTGGAGCTAGAAAGTAGAAGAATGGTTACCAGAGGCTGCAAAGTGTAGTGGAGGGTGTGGAATGGGGATGGTTAATGCATACAAAAAAGTAGTTAGAAAGAATGAATAAGACCTAGTATTTGCTAGTACAACAGGGTGACTGTAGTCAAAAATAATTTAATTGTTCATTTTAAATAACTAAAGAGTATAACTGGATTATTTGTAACATAAAGAATAAATGTTTGAGGTAATGGATACCCCATTTACCATGATGGGATTATTACACATTGCATGCCTGTATGAAAATATCCCATGCAACCCATAAATACATATGCCTATTATGTACCCACAAAAATTAAAAATAAAAAAATTAAAGTGCAAACAACCCACAAAATAAAGCTCATATAATATTTTTTCTAGTTTCTAGTTACATGTCAGCAAAATAAAAATGTGACAGGGCTGAATAATACATGCTTGAAAGAAATTTGGTGAATGCAAGAAAACTATCATTTCTACATCTCATTCTTTTTACTCAATGCACAGCAAATATGAAGATTCAAAATTGACTATAAAATATCCAGTGAAGATTAAGATTGGGGGGAATAAAAACAGTGAAGAAAGAGCATGACCATTTGAATAAATTACATTCTTTGAAAATATGCAACTCAGTGTGACAGGATATTAAGAGGTCTTCCTGCCTCCGTTTCATCCAAGGTGTGAAAATAACAGCAGATGTCAACAGGAGTTGAAAGGCTGTTGGGGACTTTCATGGAAGAAAGACTGAGGACATCTTGGAGGATTCTTTAACCCTTCACCCATAATGATGGTACCAAAATTGTTCAGAATCATGCAGAAAGTTTGACGGGAGCTCTGACAGGTGAACTCAAGGTGGCAGGTGAACTTGAGGAGAGCATATTGACTTAGCGAGTAGCCTCATCGGAGTTTGTTAGAAGCAGAAAAAACATGGGACTTTCTCATGGACTACATGTAGAGTCACGCATGAAATAATGTTGTGTTGGGTTGTTTTAGATTCAGTACAGAGAAGGCTGGCTTAAGGAAATCTCAGAAGATAGAAGCCAAAAAATGTTTAAGGGCTTTGGAAAGAGCAAGCAACCAGACAGAATACAGGTAGATCAATCAAACAGCAAGTAGGAGGAGCATGTTTCCCAAAGTACTCATGAAAGCACCCATGAGAAAAAGCTTCTCGTAACTGTCTAGGAATGTAAAGCAATATCCCAAGAATACCAGTCAAATATGAATCTTCTGGCATCTCATAAGTATATTTTCTTCTATTTCTCCAAATCTAGAGGGATCAGAGACCTCAGGAAACAAGCTGGGGAAAGAAGAACAAAGAAAGAAAGAAAAAGCCCTAGCTCGGATTGGAGAGAAAATAATCTTAATCAAGTTTGGAATTGTAATTATTACATGGACTGGATTTTTAATAACCTAAGAGTAATGAGAAATGTCATGAGAACACTGAGTTCTCATCCAGGGCAGGAAAAGAAGTTGCCACACTGAATATATTTTTAAAGAGCAGTGAGAGTCAAAATTAAGATGCCTCATGATCATATCCCAGTAATTCGGTTTGTCCAACCTACCAGTGCCATTAGTTATTTGAATATTTTAAGCCTTTTTGCCTGAATTACCCAAATTATTGTCTCAATTCCTCCTCACTTTACCTGTAGAAATGTAAACTGAAGATTTTGCTATTTCATTGTTTCACTTCTAGGAATTTTTTTTAAATAACAGTATAATAAGTTGGTATACAAGAATAGTGCAAAGAAAAGTAAAAGAAACCTCCTTAGACATAGCTATCTTTAAGGATGAGCAATTTCCTATTTAACAATGTTTATCAACATTTGTTACTAAATCAATTCACAGTATATATCTAGTACATGCTAAGTATTATGTTAGGCCTTTGAAGAAATGTAAAAGTACAGGCTATTTGCTGTGCTCAAGTGGTTGACCATCTATTTCCAAAATCATTGTTTAATAATATGCTGGTCTCACTATATGAGGGTAATGTACTGACCACTTGGTATCATTTCTCTGGTTGCTGTAATGGCTTTGTGCTTCAGACATCCTCTGCAGATCATCCAGTCCACCCTGAAAATCAGCAAAATGCATTGCACAAAGATCAGCTGGAATTGCCACCCCTGCTGCCAGGGCTGGAATAGGAAAAGAATCCTTTACCCACACAGGGGCAATATGTTATTAAAAAATCAGGGTCCATAAAGGTCTACCCTAAGGATTTTGCTTAAGTTATCTGGTGGTGTTTTTTGTTTGTTTGTTTGTTGGCAAACAATGTAAATCTCCCAGAGAAGGAAGAATCGTACATATTGATGTATTATTGTGGGCAAACAGAATCTGTTTTGACTACACGTATATTGTATCGAAAGACTAAGTGTATCATTTTAGCTACAGAAGAATAAATTAATTTGAGTGCTGTATATCTGTAACCCTTTAATGCCAATATGCAGTATTTCCCAGTTTGTATCAGGATACTTTCATTTTCATTAAGTGGATGGGCTACAACTCAGTGGTCAAATGCAATGATACCTGGTTATAATAACTGTATTTTATTTCCAGATAATGGAAAACATATCTCATTAATTTTATATTAGTTCCAGTGCTTACATTCCTGGAATCCAATGGCCTGCCCTATTTTTCCTCTTCTTCCCACAAGAAGTGCATTTTAAATAAGCAGATCTACATAAAATTCCACCGTGGAGCACACATAGTGGGTATTCAATTAATGCTTACTGGGCTGTGAAGAGCACTGTTGTATACAAACTCAATCAGTAAGTAAAGTGATGTGCACACTATACATAAGAGGGAATAGAGTCATTTTTGATTATGCATTTGTTGGTGTCAAGCAAATGATTCCATATGTATTTTTTATCAAGCTGATTACTCTCTGATGTATCTTCTCCTGATGGAGGTATGAAAGAGCATCCTGGACATATTTATGCTATAGATGAACAAAAACTACACTCATCTCTACTTATGAATACTGCACACCCATGAAGTAAGGGCCAATTTGTATATATGGAAAGCTTATTTTAAATTATCTATCTCCCTAAAGCCACATCATCAGAACAATGCAAGTCAAATTGTGTACATCACATATATAGGGACATTCCGACAGAAAACTTGTGACCTGGGCTTAACTAGTTTTTTTTTTTTTTTTAAGTTCTCTGTGGTTCAGGTTAGGATTTTGAATCAAGCAGCAGCTCAGCAAACTGAAATATCCAGGTGCACATTTTAGATGCACCTCGCTCACAATCCTCCTCTGCCAGGTTTACTTCCTTCTGAGTAAACAGAAATAAGAAGATGCAACTTCAATGCCTTCCCAACTCCCAAGTAAAATAAAAGGACACTTGAGTGAAGAGAGACAGGATAACATCACCTGCAACAAAGAAAGCCCTCAAGAAAGATAAAATAAGCCACATGTTCTAAAGTGATCCACGTACAGCAAAATTATGACCCTGCTATATTTACACACATGGGTACAGTTTTCATACACTATTATGGTCTCATATTATATATCTTTAAATCATCCAGCAAAAGTTTCTGCCTCCGCCTAATGCTGGCTCTAATTTAGGATGAACGACTACTCTCATAAAGAAAAACTGCTGCTGCTGCTGCTGTTTATTAGGCTGCAGAAAGGTCTCACTGACTAATGTCCCTGGATTAAATGAATGTGGAATAATAAGAGCTGATTTATTTGTGCTCTGCTAGGATAAAGCTGCCACTGATTTTACAAGAAACTATTCATCTGAGGCCCACTATAGCTAGTAAATTGTGGCTGTTGCTGAAATTAGTCTCCAGGCCTTCATGTAATCTACAGTGTGAAGTAGCAGTGTGGTAATAAAGACATTGTGGGCACTTGGTTTATTTAAAAGGTCCCCCTTTTATCCCCATCTTCAGGGATTCTAAAAGTCAACCTCTCAGATCTCTTTTGGAAATTCACCCATTCCTTGCCCACAAACTGCATTTCTAGCTGCAGAATTTAAAGCCAGAATTAAAAGTATATAGCCTCCAATAAATAAATACCAAGCAGTCACATTTCTCACCTCAGATTTTTCTTTTTGGCCCAGCATTCAAGCATTCCTCAGGTTCTGGGCATATATACCACTGTGTATGAGAATGAGGCCATTCCAAGACAAAAAGAGAGTAGCAAGAGAGAATGGTTGTTCCATCTCTTAAGAGTGTTTGGATCTTCTACCCTCCAAGCTCATCTCTCCAAACTTACTGACAGCCAGTTTATGCAGGGCTTTGATCTAGGCACTTCCATTAAATGAAACATTAAAACAAACCAAAGGAAAAGTCCAGCAAACGGAAATCAGCAATTGCTGAAACCACGACACCACTATGAATGCTACAGAAAACTCTGGAGCCAGCAGTGACCACCCTATATCCCCTCTGGAAGAAAAGCTTTTCAAGAGCAAGGCTCATATTTTAGACACTGCTGTCTAACTTATTCTGGCTCACTGTAGTTATTCAGTTGCTGAACTGAAAAAAAACAAACTGTATATTAAGAACCAATCAAAACAGCAATTGCTTCTCGGGAATGGTTTTCTCGGTGTTATAATTAACAGTGTTATCAGAAATCATTTTCAAGTTGCTTTATCCAGCCCTACTTGTCAGATTGTTTATGTAAGCATCATCTCTGCAGGCCTTATCATCAAAATGATGAAAATAATAATAACAATAACAGTACCAGCTAACCTGAATAGTACCTACCCTGTGCCCGGCATTGTTTTTAGCACTTTATCTAATGCTATCTCATTGGCTTTTCATAACAACCCTGTTAAGAAGGGGCCATGATTCTCTTCATTTTTTGATGAGGAGATTGGAGCACAAGAAGTTAGGAAATGCATCCATGATGCTTCAGCTGATAAGTGTCAGGAACAGCATTTTAACCCAGAAAGCCCAGCTCTCAAGTCAGTGTGCCTAAATACTAGGCTACAAAAAAAGCAAAAAAAGAAAAAAAGCATGGAAAATATAAGCATGTGGCCATAGAAACAACCTCATAGAGTTTGTTTCTGAAATAGTCTTTGATCAGAAGTAATCTTTGGTTATTCTTTGATCAGGTAATGCTTACCTGTCTTGGTTTCCCCACCAAGTTTCCTAACTTAACTTCCTCCTCCCACAATTGCTCATCTGGCCTCATGATCCAGCACCTAACTGTGTAAGGTAATTTGTAATTCCTAAACAGGTGCTGGCCCAGTCACATAATGAACGACTTCCCTGAGGAAAGAGAGGGGATGGAGAAAACCCAGCATCCCAGTCCTGGTGTGTTGCTATATCCCCTTACCCATTCTGACATCTTGACTTGAGCCACTGTTTTAGGAAAGGATGATGTGCTGGTATCCACTCTGACTACATACAGAGTTTTTCCTTCTTACCTAGACTGAAATGGACATAGGCCTCAATGTGCTTTTCTCCAAGGCATATAACAAATTTATCCTCACCCTTCATGGGTGAGATAATTTATTTATTTTATGGTGGCTCATTCTGATTTGTGCTAAATGGTACAATTTTATTATCAGCTTTGGAAGGACGGGGTTAGGAGAGCAAGTGGAATCCATTTAACTGCCAGCAACTTCAGCCTGGGACTTACCTGTGACTCTCATAGGTGCAAAGTATTTGCATGCTTCATGATATCCTCCTACCTAACATCAGTTCAGATTCCCATAGATAACATTTCTCACCCACTATGGAATTTATCTCTTGGCTTTAGCTACTGAAACACAGCTACAAGTAAATAGCAGTTTTGTGTTTATTGTTGTTATTTTCCTTTTTCTCATCAATTCTGTCTTTACTAACTCATAAACAAAGGCTGTGTTTCCAAGACCCACTTTTCCAACTCCTCCTGAATTTCAGAATCTCAATATAAACACTCTGTTCTGAGGTAAGAGCTAGTGCCTAGATCCCTGCTACTAAAACGTGGCTGGCCCTCAGATCATCAGCATTGGCATCACCTAAGAGCACAATGGAAGGCCTCGAATTAGATTGTACCTACTGAATCAGAGTATCGATTTAAACAAGATCTCCAGGAGATTCTTATGCAGACTGGAGTTCTGGAAGTACATGGAAATAATAGGAAGTTTTAAGTCCCTCATAAGAGACTGGGCAGGGCAGTGCTTTAGGTTAAACAACAACATCAGTCCTGTTACAGAGCTGAGTACTGGATTGGAAATAACCAGATTTGCAAACGTTGCAGGATGCACAAAAATAGCAGACCACTTCCCTAAATGTTATCACCTCCACTCAGGAGGGCTTCTGCAAAAGAAGCACAAAAAAAGATAGTTTTATATTGTTCATCCTCTCTTCTAAAAGATACCAACTCATACTTTCCAATGTTATTTTTTTAAACTCAGAAATGATAATTTAAAGGAGCAAGATGACCCTTTGATTCTCTCCCATGTGTCGCTGCAGTGTGTAGCCTGTGAGCATCTCCAAAGCTTTTCTCCATTCTAGAAAGAAGAATGGCAACACACACCACCTCTACAATCAACTGTTCCTAAGGTTTTTAAGAGTGTCTAGGAGACCTGCCAGTTCACCAAGAGAAAATTCTATCTCTTTTGACAGAGCCACATGCATATCTAATTCAGTTTTTCTTGGTACTATTTTATGCTTCTCTGGGTCTTCAATTTTATTATAATTTGACCATCTTTCTTAAAGTCACTTTGAGTTAGTACGCCTCTCCGAGGTTTCTCACTTAGCTATGCCAGTCTTTTAAGTAAGCCTTCTCAAAGATATTACGCAGAAAAATGCTATTATTTAAGAAAGTTATAACTTTTTATATAGTTAAAACTGACTGACGAAAGAACAATGAATACTTTCTTTGAGTTTGGTATTAGAGTCAATCTATTGAGTCATAGAATGCTACAATTTGTCTTGAAGCCGCCAAGCCAGAAAATGTATTAGATAAACATACCTATTAATCAGCATTTCCATAACCTCTCTTGAAAAGTAATCCACAACTACAACATAATCCTGGTAGCGAACATGCAGTTTATTCCAAAACATTTTACTGAGCACTATAGACATGAGTGACTTAATATTTACTTTGTTCTTAATAATCAAGTATAAGGTTAAGAGGGCAATCTTCCCAGTAAGATAGACCTACCCTTTTACCCCAACTTTAACACGCTCCTACCTCCCTGACTCAAAGTCAGTTGCAGGAGAAGCTTGTCTAGCCAATGAGATTGGGACTTGGAGTTAGTCAGCCAAATAAAATTTTGATTAAAGCAAGATATATATATATATATATATATATATATATATATATATATATATTATATATTAAATGTTTTCTTCCATTTTATTTTAGATAATCTAAATTCAGTTTTCGTTCTTTATTGTAGAGCACCATCTTTTGGAATAAGTCTGCTAATTGGAGTTCCACATTGATTTTCTTGCATAAATCTTATCCGTAATGAATCATCTGTAATTTTCAATTCTTGAATTTGATAAAGAACATTTGGCAATCAAGCTGAATGTAGGAATTTTTTGTATTTTTATCTCTTCCAACATTTTAATACACTTTTCCTACATCTAATATAATAACAATGTTTTAGCTACTTGTATGTAGACTCTCCATTTCTAACATAATTTTCATAGAAATAATAAACATGTCTTTGCATGCTAACAAGTAATCACTATACATAACTGAATGAAAATCATCATCAATACCTCCTCTAGATACAGAAACAGTGGATCCTGTTCTGGACCCATGCTTTAGGAGTCCAAATTTTGGTCTTGCTTTTGCCATGTTCCTCTCAATGGAGCCACACAACATACCCATCCAGAGCTCACATGCCCCTTTCTAAATCATGTTCCAGGTACAAAGTCCCTAAAATTCTCTGCCCAAATAGCAGTCAACGTTAGCAAAGTTTGGAAGCATGGGTCAGGGTGTTTGAATCCTACGTGAGACCCTTTTGGTGGGAGACACATTCGAGGTTGGAAGAGAGAGAGAGAGGCTGCAGAGCAAAGACTACATGCTCTAGATGAGATGGTGCCTCTTTCTGGGCCACCATGTTTTACACGGAGCACCAAAGATTTTGAGAACTGGAAATTTGAACTTGGCCTTCTCAACAACTTTGAAAATTTATTTGTCAAGTAAGGAGAATAAAACATACTTTCTTTAAGAGTTTGTTATTTTGAATTATATATTTCAATATTTAGATGCAAGGAATATGGGCCTCCATTTGTACTGTGTCCATGGGCCCATTAATGGTAGGGGTAGGCCTGATTGCAAGAAGAGATGTAAGTAGTTTGGGACACACAAAACTGACTCTTGGCAGGTCCATAACACAGCTGGTAGGAGCAGTAGTGACCAAAACATATACTAGAGCCTCCCTCTAGCCACAGACCTTAGGAAGCCATGGGGCCAGCTACAGGTGGAATGGAAAGGTGGCAAAATGGAAGCTGGTAAAAAGAGTTTCAACTGTACTCTTACCTCACTGAACCCTGGTCTTGGATCTGTAAAATGAAAATAGCCATGTCTAACCCACAGGCATATTGTGAGAAATAAGTAGATCAATATAGAGAGTGTTTCAAATGAAGGCCAAGCACATAACACATAGTAAAAAAATCACAGTTTTTTCCATCAAATTTTCCTAGTTAGAATATTAAACATACTACTTACTAATTATATAGCACTCTCCATGTGCCCTTGAGGATCCTCTTGTCATCCTAGTAAATGGTGGAGCCAGAATTCAGGCCTAGGCATCTGGCTCCAGAATCCATGTTTTTTGGTGAGTCCTTTCTCATTTTTTAAATCTCTCTTACTTGGATAGGACCCTCTTTTTATTTTTTATGCCTCCTTGAAATGATATTGTACCTTAGCTGAGCCTATTAGGAAAACATGCTGGCTACATCAAATAGACTGGTTATATGATATGAGTGCTTCATAAACTTTCAAGTATTACAGCCTATATGGTAAAGATAAAGACATTTTCTGACCTCTTCCTATACCCAAACTTTCCCTGGGTCACACAATTTATAAAAGATGACATTTAACTTCCAAGTCATTATGACTTCAAGGATATTTCTGGTCATTGTTTTTACGTACATCAGTTATTTTATGTTTACATTATAGGTGTGTGTTTCCTTTTTTTGATTCCTAAATGAGCAATTGTACTTCTAGCACTCGACCTTTAACTTGTTTATTTCAGCTAACTTTCACATTTATTATGGCAAATTCTGAATTGCTTACTACCCTCATCTAAGTCAAGGTTATCAAGAAATTTATAAGGCACCCTAGAATTTCCAAATATAGTACCTATGAGAATTACAAATAACCATATCAAATTCACTGGTTCCAAGTCACTATTTTATATATATCTAAACTGGACCTGTAGGAGACAATCATGAAGAAATATTCACCCCAATGAAAGACAAGCATAAAAGAAAATATCAGCATCAACATGATTAAATGAATTTTTCACTACAAGTATCTAGTTCAAAGATTTCAAGATTGTGGTCCTTAAGTTAAAATCAGCACAAACAGCTGGCTAGTCCACCGTGTTTCAAACTTGTTAGGTTAGGAGATTTTGCATAAAAACCCAGATTTCCAATTTCTCCTGAAAACTGTAAAATCTGTTCACCCACCTCAGATTCCCACATGGCAGCCATCAGCTGGAATGGAGCAGTTGCATGAATTCTCTTATTCTCTGCAGTCACCAGCATTCCCTAAAGTTTATGCCTTCTAGTTCAATTATCTAATTATCTACCTGCACCCAGGAGACATTTGAGAATAAACTCCTAATCTGGATGGCTTGGTGTAGTATAGATAAAACTAAAGTTTGATGTTTCAAGAAACTGGTTTGGTTTTTTTTTTGTTTTTTTTTTTGTTTGTTTGTTTTGTTTTGTTTTGTTTTGAGACACAGTCTCGCTCTGTCGTCCTGCCCAGGCTGGAGTACAGTGTTATGATCTCAGTTCACTGCAGCCTCCACCTCCCAGGTTCAAGTGATTCTCCTGCTCCAGCCTCCCGCGTAGCTGAGATTACAGGCATGCACCACCATGCCTGGCTAATTTTTGTATTTTTAGTAGAGACAGAGTTTCACCATTTTAGCCATGCTGGTCTCAAACTCCTGACCTCAGGTGATCTGCCTGCCTCAGCCTCCCAAAGTCCTGGGATTACAGGCATGAGCCACCATGCATGGCCTTAAGAAACTCTTTATCTCCCACAGATGTACGTGCTAGCCAAGATTTACTGATGACCAAATTATATAATTTAAATTCAGAAGTTTCACTAAAGTTATATTAAATTATATCAATTTTATTCCGCTTTATCTTTTTAAGTCACAGTCTTTCTTACTAGATCACAGCAAGAAGTTACATTTATCTAATAAAATTTATTCTTTACATTGATTATTACAATACAACTCATTCCTATGGAATGCCCCAGCCCATTACCCTATTTTTCCAATTCAGTAAGCTAAGATGATGCGTGATGATTTTCAGAATTGCTCAGAGCTGCCAGAATGAACACATTCTTCCTTTACATGATCCCAGTAATTTAAATGAGTTACTTCCATCATTATTTCAGCATTCGGAACAGATTTTACACAAGTGAACAAAACTCAAGCAAATTTGCCATGAAGGTAGTATGTCATGACCAAGGTTTCTTTGCATTGCAAATTATTTAAGCAACTATAAAATCTTAATAAATGGGCATTGTGACTTCTAATAGTAATAAATGGTAAAAGACTAAAATCTGATATTTTCTTCTATGATCATTCATAAGTAATAAATCAATTAATAACATGCATTCTTAGAATTACTGGGTTTTAAACCCAGCTCTAAAATTACGTTTAAGTCACTTAACAGAAGAATGTCTTAGATGGGAATTCTCTGGCAAAAATTCTAGCTTGTTAAATGGACCCTTTGTATAAATATATGCTAAATAAGATGTAATGTACAATAACTTGCTTGGGCAGAAAAATGAATAGAACAGGGTGAGACAAAATTTCACAAGAAAGCATATTAAGGTTTTAATCCTCTGCAGAGCCTTCTTTTTTGATTAAGACACTTAAAAAACCAGCTTTCTGGCTTTAACTAAGTCATTCAGATGAACTATGTATTACTATCACTAATTTTTCTGTTAACTTGCTGAGATGCTGAGAAAAACATGCTACCAATAACGTGCTTTTAGTCTCCAAGATGTTAAAACAACTGATACAATCAGTTGTCTGATTCAGTTGGTGTCATCCAAACAGCTGTCAACATATCCTGGCCTGACCTTCTGTGGACAGAGCAAGGGAACTGGCTAAAATTTCCATCATTTTGCCAAGGAACTGGATGCTATGTGTGGTGGTGGGGAAGGGAGGTCCAGATTGGGTCTGTTTCACCCATTAGGAAGTGAGTTTGGCAAGGGAACATAGGAAAATAGTCCATTGATTTCTACTCCATTTCAAGACAATAAATGAACCATCAAATGACCAGTGGGAAAAGTGAAAATCCCAGTCTCCCCCACAGAATGCCTACTGTGTCCTCACTTTTCTCTAGCTACAGTTCATTTTCTCTCTCCACTGTGCAAAATCTACCTACCTTGCAGGGCATCAGCTCCTTAGAAAAGGTCTATCTGCCTTGAGAATGTGCCAGAGCCACATTTTCTAAACATTCAGACCTTTACTCTGGGCTTATATTCAACTATGAAGTGGAACCAAGTGAAGAAAATAGGGCTGTGCAAAGGGCAATTGGAATTATTTTCAGACCTAAATAGGCCTCCAAAATTCTTCTCAAAACACACATGGCTGTTAAGCCCAGGGAGTCTTTTGGAATGTTGATCATACAGAGTTTGGTTTTGAATAAGGCAAAATCACCTCCCTGGATGCATAAAACAGGCCTCATGATATAAAGTAGACTGTTGGTTTGGAGGAACAAGTTCTAGGTACAGTCTAGAATTCAAAGACTCTATGTTCACTGTTGTCTGATGAGTTTAGGAGAGTAAGAATTAAAAAAAAAAAAGTGTAAAGCAAGTACAGCACTAAATCTCACAATCAGCAAAGGATCAACCTCTCTCCTGTCCTCCAGTCTGAGAGAAGACAAAAATCAATTAAAATGTGATTCTGGCTGGGCACAGGGGCTCACACCTGGAATCCCTGCACTCTGGGAGGCTGAGGTCAGGGAATTGCTTGAGTCTAGGAGTTCAAGGCCAACCTTGGCAACATAGAGAGATCCTGTCTCTACAAATAATTTAAAAATTAGCTGAGTGTGGTGGAGTGTTCCTAAAGTCCCAGTTACTCAGGAGGCTGAGGTGGGAGGATTGCCTGAGCTCGAAAGTTTGAGGCTATGGTGAGCCATGATTGGTGAGCCAAAACTAAGCCTGGAAAGAGGATATCTAACACTAAAAGTTATTTATCACAGGCTAACCTGTGATAATACAGAGACTCCAAAATACAATGGCTTAATTAATATAGTTGGCTTATTTCTCATGTAGCAGTACAGAGATAGGCAGCGAGTCATCTTCAATATGTGGTTTCTGTCCTTGGGTCCAAAATGACAACTTCAGGAAGTTGTCACCTTTTCTAAGCCAGCAGGGTAGAAAAGGAAGTAGGTGGAAAACAGCTTCTTAATTAACAACATGACATAGAAGTTGTACCCGTTACTTCTGCTCATATCCCTTCAGTCAAAGCTTAGTACATGGTCATCATACTGAGCTGCAAGAGAGGCTGGCAATAATTGACAGGCATTAAATGTTAAGTATGTCAAAAGCTACTCTGTGAGGGAGGACCTGCATTAGTCAGAATATGCAAGGTTTTAGTCTTGATCTAAGCCATGATGGTAGGAATTCTGTTATTAAAGTTAGAAGGAAAAATGGATATTTGGAGGTAATTAGCCATGTCTGCTACACAAGTAAGGATTCAGATTCCTTTGGTTTCTTCTTCAGATTCCTAAAGGCACACATATATGTGAATATATGGTCAATCATCAAGGGAAATAAAGATCCCCCAAAGGAAAAAATATATAAAATACACACATTCAATGAATTTTCTGGCTTTTCTGGAGTATATTTTCTCAAGTATATAATAGATATGCTAAAGCTAGCTCTCCCCTCTCTTAGCACATCTTATAACTGGCCACAGTTTTACCATTATTTCACATCCTCCCATTGGATCTTACCTTGCAAGATAAAATAAACATACTTCCATGAAAATCTCAGGGAGTTGCTTCCCTGCAACCTACATCTTTGTTGTCACATGCTCCCTCCCAAGACCAGAAAGAAAGGTGAAGCTAGGCATTGTTGCCTTATCATATCCCTGAGTACAATAAAATGAAGTCCTATTGTTCCATTCTATGAAAATAAAAAGTTTTCTTCTGTGTTCCACTTGAAAAATAATAACAATAAGGAGCAAACAAGTAGGATATATTAAAATGTCAACAAAATAGAGAAAATGATTATATATTACAATGAAGAGAAGAAAACATACAGTAGCACTTTGATGTGTAGAACAGACACATTAACAGAGCCTGCTCTGTAGATGTTGCAGAAATCAGTAGTGCTACTTGCCAAATATTCTCAGTTTCCCCGTTTGGGGCAAAAAAAAAAAAAAAAAAGATTTACTCATGGGCTCATTAGTGACTAGGAGTAGCCACGTGACTAGTTCCAGGCGGTGAGTTCTAAGCAGAAAGAAATGTGTGTCATTTCCAAACAGATCATTTAATTGCTGTTACAAATCTCTCCAGAGCTTTCCTTTCTGCTGCCATGATTTCCACATGGTGGTTCCCACTGGGCTTGAACCCCAGATGGAGGATCACATAAAGCATGACCATGTCCAAGTGACAACTGACCTCAGTGGACATGAAGTTTGATAGAGAAATAAACCTTTGCTCTTTAAAGCCACTGAGATTTAGGGCTTGAATGTTACCACAGAGAAACCTCACCTATGCTGACTGATGCAAACTCTCTGACAAAGGTACTGTCTTGAATTTTATAAATATTTAATGACTATCCATGATATGCCAAACACTGCTCGTTTCATTTTCATACTAACTCTATTGTATAGAGGAAACTGAGGCAAGGTTATACAGCAAGTCAGTGGTGGATTTAAGATCTGAATTCTGATTCCACGTCTAGCTCTCATTCAATTACACCCACGACTCCATTTATTCAATCATTGAAATGTTATAATCAGTCTTAGGGCACCACATTCAGTATCCAGAAGAGTCTGTGGTTCCCAGTATTCCTGTGCATTAGAGACATTTTCTTCTGCAAATTGGCACACACTGGCAAAATCTAACCTTTTAAAATTGCTGTCCTCACACAGCACAGAAAGAGTTCAAAAGTAGGAGTTAAAAGAACAATTTTCCTCTTAGTAATGTCTTTCCTCCCAGACAAGAGCCACAAAGGCAGCAATCTGAGTGATCAGCTCTCCTGGACTCCTTAGTAGCTGTCCACGGTGATCCCTGGCACAGGTTTTGCTCCACGCTGCCACCGTCACCATAGAAGCACTCATTTCCCCATTCTGGTGCTGAGCAGGTGATGGATAGAAAACTGGACGGTGACCCAATTTACTGTGCTGCAACAACAGAACAGCATCCCAGCCGGAGACAAGACATTTCAGCTTTGCTCTTTTCAGAGATATTTGTATAGATAAATGGAAGTTTACGTGAGCACAAAGAGGATATATTGTCCTCCTGATACACACGTGTAACTTCGATTCTGCCAGCAGTCATCATTATAATAAGTGAGGTTTATAAAAGATTCTTTATCCAGAAGGATCCCAAAGAGCTTCACAAAAACTTCACAAATTACAGGCAAAAAGCCTTCTTTCAGGTCCACATTGAGAACCTCATTGCTAATATTCTGCTTTCCCCACTGCAACACCTCCAGATGTCAATGAGAGATGACCCACATGCCAGGAGAATAGAATATTGGAGTCAAAACCAACCATGAGGCCAGGACAAGGGAAATTTTGCCCCAAATACATATAAAAACTGTGTCTCTGCCCACCTTGGGGATTGAAAATGACAGCTACTTAACAGTCACCCACAAGCATGGTGCACATGGCTCAACATTAAGACTCAAAACAACACTGCTGCACCCGCTGGAAAACTTCATGGCGAGGTTAGGCATAAAGAAGTAGAACTGGGCCTTTTTCCTCTTGCCAGGTGTGCCACAAGCTCACTCATTACAAATTTAATAATGTGTACAGATTAAGTTGGGATAAAAACCAACAACTCAACTGTGAAACAATTCATAAAATAAATCAGCTCCAGTAATGACTGAACTGGGGTTTTCTAGTTGTTGGGTTACAATTTGTTTACCAGTTTGCTACCAGATTAACAATTATGACTTGAGTTATAAGGGAAATTCAGTTAAATCTTGAAGTGCTGTCTAAAGAATTAAATCACCTTCTTTCGATGCACCTCAGGGAAACTCAGATTGAACTGGATTATGTATTAATTCAACTTTCAGAGGAAGGTGATATACTATCCCCATTTCCCAGATGTAGAAACTGAGGCTCACACTCACATAGCTGGTAAGTGGCAGAGCTGCGATTCAAGCTGAGTTCCTCTGACTCAAGCCCAGAGTCTTTATCAACTTTACATATTCTGGCAGAACTATAGTGGCTGTATATCTTCATATATAGCCTGTGTGTGTGTGTGTGTGTGTGTGTGTGTGTGTGTCCCTTTTGTAAAAAAGAGAAAGATTTGGTGTGTATTTTTTAAACCAGACAATCCCTTAAACCCCAACTATACTTGGTTAGGTACATGTTAGTAGTCATCACGTATTTTATTTCATGCCAAGGTGAGTCTCCATGTTCAAATCAGAGCCCATGCTTTGAGCTAGGACTAAATTATATTAGGAAGTAGGTGGGGTGTGGTAGTTCATGACTATAATCCCAGTAATTTGGGAGACCGAGGCAGGCAGATCACCTGAAGTCAGGAGTTCGAGACCAGCCTGGCCAACAGGGCAAAACCCCATCTTTACTAAAAATACAAAAATTAGCCGGACGTGGTGGCATGTGCCTGTAATCCCAGCTACTCGGGAGGCTGGGGCAGGAGAATCACTTGAACCCAGGAGGCAGAGGTTGCAGTGAACCAAGATCACACCACTGTCCTCCAGCCTGGTCAACAGAGTGAGATTTTGTTTAAAAAAAAAAGAAAAATTATATTAGGAAGCTTGAAATATTGTAAGGAAAGCTAAGTACATATTTTAAGCTCTATACTGGATAGTAAAATAAAACTAGATAGAAGCTATATTTTCGAGACTATGTGAAAAGAACTAAATTGGATGGATAGTAATGAAAATACTAACGCCTTCAACTGTTTAGAGAATCAAGCAATCAACATGGGATGGAAAAGCTGAGATATAAAACTTGAGTGGACCTCGAAGAATAAATCAAAGAGGCAGAGCAACAGAGAGTTATTTAGAGCTGATTGTTCCTGGCCTGTGCTGGCTCCATGGCCAGTGTACCCATCTGGCTGCCACCTGCCTCCCTCTTCTGCTCTCTCACTACGTCTAGCTCCTTCCTACACTGAAGGCCAACAAACACTGATGTGAGTAGGGAACAAGCCTGGGCAGCATGAAAATACCTAAACACCTTTTCCTAATCCTGTCTAATTCAATGGAATTAACTTTTGATTTTAGAAAGAAAGATTCAAGTGTGTAAAGTGCTCTGCTGAAAACCAGAACAGACTTTCGTTTCAAGATGACCACCTGAATATCCTTGCCGAAATGCTTGCCTCCACACTTACAAATGATTACTGAGATGACAAAAGTGATGCAAATAATAGAAGATCATCTGCTCCTTTTTTAAAAAATAATTATTATTATTATTATTTTGAGACAGAGTCTCACTCTGTCGCCCAGGCTGGAGTGCAGTGGCACGACCCCTGCTCACTGTAAGCTCCGCCTCCTGGGTTCACGCCATTCTCCTGCCTCAGCTTCCCAAGTAGGTGGGACTACAGGCACGTGCCACCATGCCCAGCTAATTTTTTGTGTTTTTAGTAGAGACGGGGTTTCACCATGTTAGCCAGGATGGTCTCAATCTCCTGCCCTCGTGATCCGCCCACCTCAGCCTCCCAAATCCTCAGCCTGGGATTACAGGCGTGAGCCACTGCGCCTGGCCTTGCTCCCTTTTTGAATTCCATATGTCAGAAGTTTGAACTGGAGGAAGACTTCCCAAGCATAGCACCAATGGAAAATATATATGTAAACAAAATATTAGTAGATGTGACTTCTGTGCATAAAAATATAAACTCTCTGGACATAAAAATAAACTAAGTTATGAACAAGATTGAAGACAAAGTACTAATGACAATACTCACAGCAGAAGTGATAGAATAAGAGGAATACATATAGGGCTTTTACAAATCAATAAGAAAATATGAATGCCCCATTATAACAATTAGACAAGGCAAAATGTATTTTAAAATGTTAAACCTCATTAATAATCAAAGAAATTATTATGAAAACAGTGATATGCTTTTTTTTACCTGCCATACTGGCATTTTAAAAAATTTACTCAAGAGTGTTATATTGCTGTGGGAAGTGTAAATAGTTACCATCTTTCTGAAGAAATGCTTGGAAATAATGAACAAACATTTTTGCATGCCATTTGACCTAGAAATTTTATTTTTATGAGCCTATTATAAAGAAATAGCCAGGAATGTATGCAAAAGCATACTCCAATAATAGTCAACACTTTTTATAATACTGCAAAATTGGAAACAACTTAAATGTCCACAACATGGGGTTCTCATTAAGTAAATCATAGTAAGTCTGTTTAAAACAATACTGCTTAGTCTTTTAACATAGCGATATAGCATTATGTTTTTAAAATAGAAAAATATTTAGGATATTCAATTTGTACATATAGCATGATCCCATCTCATTTCTAAGAAATAATACACACAGAAGGAAAGGGACCAAGAACAATGTTAATATCACTAGATGGTGAGATTACAGGTAATTTTCTACAATAAACATATATTACTTTTGTTACAACAGAAAAACGTTATTTAGAAAAAAAAGACACTGACATATATAACCATCTTAGAAGTGAACATTCAGCTATAATCTAGTCCCATCAGAAGCACTGGAATTTTGTGAGGATTACTCTTATGAGCGATCAGGCCTGACTCTCCAAAGGAAATAGTTACAGAGAGAAAATCCAAGCGATTATAGGAAATCAATACCCAAGAGCAATACTATTCCTACATTCAAACCTTTAGGTGAAACCAAGTCCTAAACTAGATTAGTGATTATTCACTCAACATTGTCTTCAGACTCTCAGCTTCATCCACTATTATGAACCAATCCTGAAAGAGATTTAATGCATGCAGCTATTAAGCTCTGGAATTAGTCTTGCTGCTGCCTTAAGCAATTAATATCCTCTTTGCCTGAGAGTGGAGTATCCTGACACTCCTAGGTGGCCACAGAGTCACAACCCTATTTTCAGTATCTGCCCAGGTGTCTAATAAGGACATCTATTTCTGCTATCATGCCTGACAGTATATCCCTACATTAATGCTAGTTTTCCTGTTATGGACTAAATGTTTGTGTTCCCGCTAAATTCATATGTTGAAGCCCTGACCCCCAGTGTGGCTGTATTTGGAGATGCTGCCTCTAGCAAAGTAATTAAGGTCAAATGAGATCATGAGAATGGGCCCTTATCTGATAGTATTAGTGTTCTTATAAGAGGAGACAATAGAGAACTCAGTCTCTTTCTCCACATATGTGCACGAAGAAAGTCCATCTGAGGACGCAGTGGGAAGGTGGCCATCTGTAAGCCAGAAAGAGAGCCCTCACCAAGAACTGAATTGACCAGAACCTTGATGTTAGATTTTCCAGCCTTCAGAATCGTGAGAAAATAAATTTATGTTGTTTAATCCACTCAGTCTATGGTGTTTTGTTATGGCAGCAGAGCAGGCTAAGACATCTCAACTTGAGACTCTTGAATGGAGCTCTTAGTAGGTTTCCCCCAAGTCTCACCATTATCTCTGTTTCCCCAGCAATGTGGTTACTGCAAACTTGTGGATACACTGAAGTCATAGCGTTTCCTTATTCCTCTTCTGTGGTTCTGTTACTACTTGAAACACATGCAGACATGATCTCCCTCCAAATTGTCCCATTTATGCCATTCTCATTCCCATACCCTCCCCAATCATCTCTTTTGGCTTCAAATGAAGCCTGAGATTTCTATGCCCTTAGACCCTGCAATTTGAATTGTTGTCCTCTCAAGCCTGAAGCCTAATCCTACAATTCTGTTAGTTCTAAAGCTGAATGACCAAGGCCTATGTCCTCTTCTTTTTCCCTTGCCTAGCCTGAAGCACAGAAGCCCAAGCATGGAGCGGTCAAGCCATTCAAGTTTGAAAAATAGTTCCCTTCTCTAGCCCTGATGTAAGAGCTAATCTAATTATCAAACCTTACTCTACTTCTCCATGGATGAGGCTGAGATTTTATTTTCTTTGGTGGGAGAGAAGAACAGAAGAAATACACAGTGAGTACTTTGGTGCACCATCTGGTGTGCCCCTTTAGGACCTAAGCACTGATCCCTGAGCTCTTAGAAATGCTGGCTTCTGATAACTCACAGCTGAATCACCTTCTAAGAACTGAATTGAACCCTACTGAAGAGAGCCACCACATTCAAGGTGATTCAGTTTCCTGGGGTAGCCTATGTCCAATTACAGGTAGATTTGGGGGCACCAACGCTAGCTGCCTTGCCTCAAGGTAGCATAAGTCAAAGAGCCATTGAAGGTTTAGAGCTCCCAGCAGGATTGGCTGGGGCCTTGGTTGAGATTGCATCTCAGTTCAATTTTCCCGTCTGCTCAATCCTAGTTCTTTCACTCACTCACAAGCACTGATTCTGAAGGTGTTCGCAATAAACCTCTGCAAATAAGTATTCACCTTAGAATCTATTTCCTGTGGAAGCCAACCTAAGACAGGTTAGGCAAACAACTAATACATTGCTAGTGGTATAAATTTTTCTTTAAGATATTCTAAAAGGAAGTTTACAAAGTTCTTTTCTCCTCTGCTCAACTGCCCATTGATCAAGAGCTCCATTCCATACCTTTCTTTACATTAATCCCTGGAGAGTGTTAGGCTTGCATAGTTCTGAGTTAAATTCCAATGCTTCCATGGTTGACTAAGGTCAGCTGAATTTATGGGTCACCCTTAAGTAGGTTAAGTAGATTGAGCAGTACACTGCCTGGCTTGCCTTAGGCTCTCAAAGGAATAAATATTCTTTTATAAAAACACACCACACCACTGCTCCAATTAGGATATGTGTTTCCTATTCTATCAGCCTTGTGCTTCATTCGCTATTTCAAAAATAATACGGTACCTTCTATGTGCAAGGCATTGTGCTTATCAGGGACTATGGAAGTACCAAAAATCTGTCACAAGCTTTTCTCTAAAAAATTGGATGCCATACTGAAAACAGTGAGAAGCATTCAGTAAATGTCAACTCAAGATGAGGCTCCAGGTTAGATACTGTAGGAGAGATTAGGGAATATAAGACAAAATGTGCCCTCAGATACAGTACCATCTAGTTGAGGAGAGAAGGCTTTCAGAAGGCAATATATGCCCAGCTCCAGAGGAATGTTTGCTACAAAAGCACAAAATGTGACAGCATTAAAAGGGGCAAAGAATAACAAAAAGAGACTCCCAGAAAGAGGGCAGCAATAAATAAAACGTCACCTCTATAAAGTGGCCTGGGCACAAATCAAGGCTAACTTTTCACTCGATTGCTCCATTTTACTTTCTCAGAAGAGATCTTTTTCCTTCTTTCACATAGAAGAAAATTGAATTTTTTTCTTGTTAGGAAGACCCTTCAACTTCAGACAGTAAACATTAACCTCCTGCATAATGAAACCTCAAGACTGGATCTCTAGGAAATTTTCTACTTTTGCCAGTCTTGTGAGGAAGGTGTTCATTTTCATGGCTGGATTGTCAACTTCTTCTGCTTTATAAACTTTTTGTTTCTAATGATAATTTTGGTAGACTTTGAAGGAAATCAGCTCAAATGTTGAACTTCATTTTCTGATTACTTATTACACACACACATACACAACAACCACTATTTGAAACTCATTTCCTGAAAGGTTAAGGTTTAAATGAAGATTGGCTGACCCATTTTAGAAGCACATTAAATGGGCTTGGATTGTCTGCATCATACAGTGGGCAGATTTCTCATGGTGAAGCAGGAGAATAGGGTCTAGAGGCAGGGAGCCTGGGGCTGTTTTGCCCCGACTTCCTGGAACTAAATTGAAAGGAAAACCCTAACTTTCCACGCCTGGGTAACAAAGGGACCAGAGGCTACTCCCTTTGCAAACCCCCAACCTTTTCTGCATGGCAGATGAGAAGTTAGCTTTCTGCAACCTATCAGACTGATTGCCGGTGGAGTCTTTGTTTGCAACTTTGTAAATTCACCTTAGCCTCTGATTGGTTGAAAAAAGCAACCAATCAGATGTTTGCACAGGAGTGTGACCTTTGTAACGCCACTTCAGCTTCTGATTGGTTGCTTTCGGCAACCAGTCATACCAATTGGGGTCCACCACTTCATTTACATGGGTGAGCATGAAGTGGCCAATGGGAAACCTGTAGGGGGTATTTGGACCGGAGAAGATTCTGTATCCAGGCCCTTGACCTGCTGCTCTGGCTGCTCCCGCACTGTGGAGTATACTTTCATTTCAATAAATTCCTGCTTTTGTTCTTTTGTTGCTTCATTCTTTCCTTGCTTTCTTGGGAGTTTTGTCCAATTCTTTGTTCAAAATGCCAAGAACCTGGACAGCTTGCAATCAAGACCCTCTACCAAGTGACAATGGCGTCCATTATTAAATGAATGACAAATGATTGGCACCCTTCCTTTCCGTGACCAAAACTATTGATAGGAGACACCTACTGGTGGTTTCTAGAAATTACAACAGCAGGTTCAGCATAAAGATCTCGGTGAGGGCTGATAACTGGATCTTTATGAGGGCCAAAAGTGCATGAGGCAATGTCGAGTTTTTTCAGGGAGGGAGGATATGGGATTCCTAGTTTAAATAAGGTAAAATCTTATACATTTCTCCAGTAACAGAAGTGCAATGTAACAATTTCATTTTCTCTACCACTTAAATGAAAGGAGAAAGAAGTAGATGCTTTAAAGTATATTTCATTGGTCAGGACTAACATAAAATAGTTCAACAATGATGTCACTCTTTTGAAGATCAGTATTTGAGTTAAAATCACAGTAAGAATATAAATTCAAGACTTGAAACCACTCTAAGAATATCCTTACTAGAGCTATTATAAACTTTCATTTTCTACCTGTAATTCATGAAATATATCCGTCCTCTTTGCACCTGATTTTCAAGTTAGCTTGCATCTCTGCACAGCTTTAATGTCACTGGTGACTGGTCATATATGGCACTTTTCTTCAATGGTAATCTTATTTTTTCTCCATTACTGAGTGTTTTCCATTTCAGCCTTCTACTAATAGTCTTGCTTTATTGAGTTTATTGGACTATCTGAGGCCATATTCCAGATATTTATTGGAATATCTGAAACTCCATTCCCCATGCACATTTCCTTTAAAGAAAATTGGGTATCCATGTGAAACATGTGGCAATTCCAGACAGGAATGTTCTCGAATACCAGAATCTTGACTTAAATTTGCAGGTAAGGCCATCAGAGCTGAGCTCACACTGGGGCATAAATACCATAAATCTGGCTAAATTAGTTATCTTAAGCACAGATATTTATGAAGTTTGTGCTTGTGCAGGTATGTGTGATGTAAATAAGTAGTGTGGGTCTGGTATTAATTTCAATACCTTCACGTCAGAAAATTAGAAAACCTCCTTAGAGGTTCTAATGAGGCCCAGATCGTTTGCTAGAAATGTTATCCAGGTTCAGTGTCTGTTGATTCCTTTCTATGCCCAACACTCTTCAGTGGAATAATAGTTTCCTCATATTAGGGCTTATACTCATTGCAGGGGAAATTATCACTCTTTGTCTTCAAGAGTTCAAGACTTTATGAGTTAATAAATTCCAATCCTCCAATTCTAGGGAACACAGAGATCAGGAGAAGAAACCTTACTTTCCACTACAGATGTTTCTTTAAGCGCCCACCTTATACTAAGCAATGGGCAGGAAAGTAGGAATACATAGTCTCTCGCTTTGAAATAATCACATTCCAAGGAAGGAGATAGTAAGTAACATAGGCAATTATGACGTGACACAAACAATTTCTTTGAAAGAGAGATATTTGCAAAGTGTGATCATTTTTCTAAAAGATGCAAAGCTAGTTAGTGGCAAAATGGGAATAAAGACTGGGTCTCTGCATTTCATTCTGCTGTGCCTTTCACAGCACCACAATGGCAACCCCAGAAGAAACTTCATGTTTTGTGATAGACACGCACGCACACAGCTCAGGGCCCTGAGGCATCTATAAATGCTGAAAAGCGCTGACAGGAGAACAGTATGCCTGCCATCAGCTGTATCAGACTTTCCTAAGACAAGATGAAGCCACAGCCTGGAGAGTGTATCTCCTTCTCACCCATCTCGCCCCAGGGTCATCGTAGCCATGGCCTAAAGCAATGTGCTCTGACATAAGGCATGGCAACCACAGCAGATAAAAAGGAAAAAAAAAATGGGGTAAGATTACTTTTTTTGCTATCCTTCCTCTCCGTGGATGTGAAGGATCCATTTATTAGTCTCCATTAAAATGCAGGGGAAAGACAGGTAGTATGATAGCTATATTGCATTTGCATGATCAAATTACATAAAGGCATCCTGTGTACATGCTTTCTACAACACACATGGTTACATTAACCTATAACGTAAGCGTCTATGAAATGTATGTGCCATCAACATCTTAGATGAAGGGTAAATAAATCTCATGGGTGAAGATAAAGGAATATATTCTTTCTCTACAAGTTTCCAATTGACACTTCTTTCCTCTAATGCCCATTTTTAAAATCTTATTTCTTCTTAAATTTCATCTACCACCTTCAAGTTTCTTGCAGATACCAACTAATAAACTGTTTAATTGGTGATAATGGTAAATTAGTACCAATGGCCTGGTAAATCCAACATAATGTGCAGACCTAAAGGATACTTCAGAACAAGTTAACTTTTAATTTCATGCCACCTCAAGTATTACCATTAAGATAAAAACTTTTGCACTGATTGAGCCATTCTGTCAAAGTGACACAATTCCTGTAAATACTATCCAGTTTTAGAAGCTTCAGCTTCTTTTTGTAGTTACTTATCTACATGTTGTAAAAATCTACACTGTCCCTAGCTAATCAGTCTCAGAAAATATGTAAAATTTACAATCTTACATGTTTTATTAATAAGTAGAAATTATAAATTCATTGAAACTGTAGTTTAAAAAATATCAGAAATACTGTACTATTCTTCCCATTAAAGACCAAGGCCAAGAATATCTTTATGATGTCAGAGTAGAGAAGGGTTTCTCAAAGAGAACCCAAAATCCATGATTCATAAAATAAAATCTTTTATATATATGTGTGTAAGGTGCAATATACACATATTTGTATACTTGAGGTGGCATGAAATTAAAAGTCATCTTGTTCTGAAGTATCCTTTAGGTCTGCACATTATGTCGGATTTACCAGGCCATTGGTACTAATTTACCATTATCACCAATTAAACAATTCATTAGTTGGTATCTGCAAGAAATTTGAAGGCCGTAGATGAAATTTAAGAAGAAATAAGATTTTAAAAATGGGCATTAGAGGAAAGAAGTGTACATATATACATACATATATATGTACGTACATATATACATACATATATACGTACGTACATATATATGTACGTACATATATACATACGTATATATGTACGTACATATATATGTATGTATATGTATACACATGTATATGCATATATACGTGTATAATTATACATGATTAATCAAATTATGGAAATTCTAAGGGCATCTAAACCAAGGAAAAAGACAAGGAAAATATTGGGAGATAATTTCACAATATATATAACAGGAAAATGTTAATGCTTAGAATACATAAAGAGCTCCTAAAAATAAATAGGAACAAAAAAAAAACCTAATAGAATCATAGACAAAGAATAAATATTCTCAGTAGAGAAAAGTATATCCCAATAGCCAAGAAAATGTTTTTAAGACTCCCAGCCGTTTAATCTATAAGAGTAATAGAAATTAAAATAACCCAATACTAATCTATCAGTTTTTAAACAATTCAAATATTTATAACTCTCAACTGCTGTGAGAACAGAGAAATTCTGGAGTCTGCACAATGCTAGTGGGATGATTAAAAAGGGGGTAATGGTGGAATTTGAGGAACAATTTGGCCACCTAAGCAAAATTAAAAGTATGCATATCCTTAAAAAAGAAGTAGGCACAGCCTATGATCCAGTGAAGACACTTGAAAAGAAGTCCATGCTTGCCCATAAGAAGAAAACATAAAGCATATTTATTGTGTTAATATTTGTAATTGGAACAAAACTAAAAACAACCCAAAAGCTCATGATTAGGGGAATTTACACATAAAACAACACTGTTACATACTTGACTAACATGTATCAATGAAAATTAATACTGTGGCCAGGCATGGTGGCTCACGCCTGTAATCCCAGCACTTTGGGAGGCTGAGGCGGGAGGATCACTTGAAGTCAGGAGTTTGAGACCAGCCTGGCCAACAGGGAGAAACTCTACCTCTGCTAAAAATACAAAAATTAGCCGGGCATGGTGGTGCATGCCTGTAATCCCAGCTACTCGGGAGGCTGAGGCAGGAGAATCCCTTGAACCCAGAAGACGGGAGTTGTGGTGAGCTGAGATGGTGCCACTGCACTCCAGCCTGGGAAGCAGAGTGAGACTCCATCTCAAAAATAAAAAATTAATACTTTATATCTACATATAGCAAAATAGATATATCTCAGGAGCATGTTGAGTCAACAAGGAAATTATAGAATAGTAAATCCAATATCATTTATATATTAAAAAAACAGTAATATGATCATATAAACAGTAGCGTATCATGATTCCCCATATTTTTGGTGCAGAACAAACCACCCCAAAACTTAGGTAACTTCCAATAATAGTATTTATTTTCTTCATTCTATGGACTAAATTAAGTCCCCTTATATGTTGAAGCCCTAATCCCCAATGTGACTGTATTTGAAATAAGAAAGTAATTAAGTTTAAAAGAAGTCAGAAGGTGGAGCCCTGATGTGATAGGACTAGTCTCCTTATGAGAGGAAACACCAGAGAGTTCACTCTGTCCTCTTGCCATGTGAGGACACGGAGAGATGAAGCTGTCTGCAAACCAGGAAGAGAGCCCTCACCAATAGCCAATCATGCTGGCACCCGGCTCTCAGACTTCCAACTTCCAAAACTGTGAGAAAATAAATTTCTGTTGTTTAAACCACCCGATCTATGGTATTTTGTTATGGCCGCCTGAGCTGACAAATATAGCTCACAAATTGCCAGTTGGACAGGTTTGATGGGGAAATCTCATTCTGCTCCACTCAGCATCAGCTGATGTGGCTCAAAGGCTAGAGGCTGAAGTCATCTGAAGCCTGGATCACTTATCGGCCTGACACCTGGGGACTAGAAAGGCTGGGATCCTTGGGCATCTCTCTATCCAGATATGGTGCCTCCAGGTAAGTTCTTCAGCATTGTGGCTTCAGCTGGACTCCTCATGTGTCAGCTCTGAGCTCCCAAGCTGTGCATCCTCACAGGGAGAATGCCAGGAACACACTCTATCCCCTGTGATGATCTAGGCTTAGAAGTCATGCAGTGTTCTTTCCACTGTACTTTAATTGTTAGCAGTCAGTTACTAAGGTCAGCCTATATTCAAGTTTAAGGGCTATTAGCAATGCCTTTTTCTTCTTCTTCTTCTTTTTTTTTTTTTTTTTTTTTTTTTTGAGACAGAGTCTCGCTCTGTTGCCCAGGCTGGAATGCAGTAGCATGATGTTGGCTCACTGCAACCTCCACCTCCCAGGTTCAAGCAATTCTCCTGCCTCAGCCTCCTGAGTAGCTGGGACTACAGGTGCTTACTGCCATGCCCGCCTAAATCTGTATTTTTAGTAGAGATGGGATTTCGCTATGTTGGCCAGACTGGTCTCGAACTCCTGACCTCAAGTGATCCACCTGCCTCAGACTTCCAAAGTGCTGGGATTACAGAAGTGAGCCACTGTGCCTGGCCAAGCACTACCTCTTAATAAGAGAAATGTCAAATAATTTGCAGACCTATTTTAAAACCACCAGTGTGTGTGGGGGGGGGGGTGGGGGGGTGGGGGGGGTGGGGCGGGGGGTGGTGCTTGTGTGTGTGCACCACACGTACAAAAGTATTTTTAAAATGTCCTGAACACACACCAAATTCATGATTGTGATTGCCCAGTGGGGAAGATGAATAGGGCCTACCAAAAAAGTCCAGGTCGATCTTTAATATTTTATTACTATTTTACTTGAGAATAATATGATAAAATGTTAATAAGTATCAATCCCATGAGATCAGGAATATTGTTTGTGCAGGTTAATTGCAATATTAGCCTTAATTAAAGGCCTCTCTATGTCCACACCTTCTACAATACCACTTCATAGTTGATACAATACCCATCAAGATATGGTGTCTATTTCTGCACTCCTTGAACAAGGCTGGATTACTGACTTGTTTGGGGTGATAAAAAGCAGAGAGTCCAGTGATGTGGCATTTCTGGGACAAGGTTTCAAGAGTCACGTACACTCCTGCTGTCTCTTTCTCAGACCCCTGCCTTCACCATGAGAACAACCCTGAACTGGTTTATTGGAGGATGAGAGACCATGTGGAGCATAGCTGAATCATTAAAGCTGCAGCCATCACAAACCAGCCAACTCTTGCCCCTTGTCACACAGAACTACCAGCTGACCACAGATGCATGAGCAAGCCCAGCCCCGATCAACAGAACTTCCCATGCAGCCCTGCAGTCATGAGAAATAATAAATGATTAATGTCTTAAGCAACTAAACATTGAGCTGGTATGTTACACAGCCATACTAACTGATGTAGAGTACTTGTTACATTATTCTCTAAACTTTTCAATATTTTTCCAGTTATTGAAGATGAAAAAGAAAGAGAGAGCACATACGTGGAACAGAAAGAAAAATTAAAGCCACATTGGTGGAAGTTTCAAAACCCAAAAGCGCAATTGATCCCTCATTTTGAATGCTTTGAGTAATAAAATTCCACAGATACTTATTAAATTATTTGTACCTGTCAGGAGAATGTTTGCTGATTCAAACACCACCATTAAGCATACCGAAACAACCAAACCACATTAATTACAATAAGAAAATTACACACTAGAAAATGCACTTTTGTTGGTATGTTGCTTTAATCTAACACAAAATACAGACAGTAATTAATCTTCAGTTATTCCCTGAAATGAAACAGGCATGAAGTGGACACTTACTATTTATGCTTTGCATATTATATAATGGCAGTTAAAAACAACACATAACAATGCCAAGGTCAATAAAATAGAGGCTTAGTAAACAAAGTTTTCTTAGCCCAAATCTACCAGGCTAGTGCAATGAGATTGAATAGTGGAAATCTTTATACTCATCCAGTAACATCTTTATGTTTGAATACATGTACATATATATGAAAATTTTGTAGTTTTTATAGTTTGGTAATTTATTTAAAAAAACAAAACATGGAAGTTTTCAATTCAAAGTGTTTCCTTCAAAAAAAATTCATATGTACCGTGCCCTCCACTGGTAGGGGTTCTGATATATGTATATTTCAAAGACACAGAAGCAAAGGCAGCAATAAATGGGAAAAAGCCTGTTATTCGCAACATTATCTCTGAGTCCTGAAATTCTGGGTTCTGGGGTATCTAGCCATATTCCTACTAAAAAGAATTGCTCAGCTTACTGAGAACACAGCATGAGCTCCAGTGACCAAAGCACTTTTTATATTTAGACAGAGGGGGTAGTTTTATTTCACCACCAATGAGTAAATAAGCATCTCCAATTTTGTACAACCACTGCAATTTCATTTAATTTTATTCTTTACAATAAAGGTAACATTACATTAATAACCCCAAATAATTTTGTTTTATTGTGCCACTCTTTTCATATCCAAGAGATTCACAGATCAGTGCAAAAATCTTTTAGCAGACCAGGTGACCTAATTTCTGGTTTGAAAAAATAAGAGGCATCATGTTCCCGTGTGTGTGCACGTGTGTGTGTGTGTGTGTGCGCGCGCGCGCGCGCACGCGTGCATGCTCACACACTGACCTAAAAGTTATTCTTTCAAGGGCTTCTATGAGGCTCATTACATAGAGATCAAAATTAATTGTTGAAGTAGGCAACTATTATGGTTCTGTCCTCTTGGACCAATACATATAAAGACAATGGTGGGAAATCAATAATGTCACTAGGTCAAGGACACTTGGTAGTACAGAGCCAATAAACGTTCTTTGTCCATATTTACACAGGACCGATCTTTAAAAAAAAAAAGAAAGAAAGAAAAGAAAAAGCGATTTCCAAAGCTATAATCTCTACTCATGTGAAAATCTCAAGGCTTTTGTGGAAGTTACTATCCAGTACGTATTTCTGCTGTCAGACTACTTCTGTCACTGCATTTAAACCATGAAGTGCATTTGCTGCTGATTCGACTATTATGGCAGGAAAATGACCTGTAAAGTTCTTTTGAGGAGCTTGGCATTTTGCATATATTATAGAAATACAAGAGAAGAAATGTGTTAAAAATGAAGTTTATGAAAAGTCATCCAACTAAACTTTACATTTTATAGAATACAGAGACTGCCTGATTTGTGAGACTAAGTGGGAAGGGGGGAAGAATTTGTCAAGACAGAAAATCTACACATTCTCATGTTTTCAAGGGCATTTATCAATTTTTTTTTCTATGTACAAAATCTCGATGGTAAGTGACAAAGTAAAAAATGTGCCAAACTGTATTATTTGAACTTTTTTTGTGGCTTTGATGTGCAAAGAAGGTAACAGATTGAAGCATATGCTTTATTGGGTGGGAGGCAGGGTGACAAATGTGTGGGGACTATGATCCGAGAGCAATCTGATTGAAAGCAACGACAAAAGCCTCAAATTTTTATGAGCTCTCCAAAGGAAGAGACCTTGGTTTCATGCAGGGGAGGTTAGAATTATATCCCTCATAGGTAATGTGAATATCTCTGCTTAATGTGTAGCAATCGAATTGTTGATTAAGATACAAAATTTCTGAGTCTGCATCGCAACCTGGTGCTAACTGAGTATTTTGTCATCACTGAGCATCTCTCATCATTGATAATGTCAAGTGAAAAAAAATCACTGGGGCCAAAGGGTGCTGCTATTTACCTCATCAAGACAGTTTGCCAAGGGACTTCACAGGCTTAGAGCCAGGTAGAACTATGGCCCTTCCTCAGTTATCCCCAACCAGGGAGTGGGGAGGAAGAAGAGGCAATTAACCATTTCACTGCTGGTCAGAGATAATTGTGCCACTAAAAGGTTTTCTTCTCCCATTTGAGTGGTCAGATATCAAACCCGCAACAGGACCCAGAACAGGAATTTTATTCCTTAATCATATCCCTGTGGCTGCTTCACTGACTAGCTTCAGTGAGAGCTCAGCACATTATTTACAAGAATTAAAGAGCTTGGGGAGTCAGGGTGGAGGGAGAAGGAGGAATTTTTATCGTAACAGCCCTCGCAAGCATCGATACTGCTAAAGGTCGGCCCACATTTCCATCAAAACCTCCTGATTCCAGACATTTATAACTGGGCTATAAAAATCACTCTTGGGCTGCAATTCGGCAAAGAGCTGAGGGGAAAATCGTCCCCTCTTGGTGGCTGTTGATTTGCTTTGGTTTGCCTTCTGTTTTAGTAATTTGCGGAAAATACACAGTTATTTGAAAGATGCTACCTAAATGTAATCCTCAGAAGGAGAAAATGTTAACACTTGGGAATGCAGTCATTTGTATTTTCACTTCCAGTGAAAGTGGTGAATTTGACTCCACAGTGAATCGTGTTGTGGTCCCAATTACTTTTGGCATTTTCAAGAAACAAAGACAATGGACAAAGCCTTTCACTCAAAGGCAGAAGGGCTCTACATGTTTGTGAAGCTTGTACATATTCCCCGGGCCATGTCGAAGGACAGGCTGTTGACTGTTAGTCTCCGAACTAATTTCCTCCTATAAAAACTGAGTCAGTGTGATCACACTGGAGAGCTCAGCATTTTTAATTGCCTCAAGGTGCTTATTTGCAGGGAAGGAATAAACTCGGGAGGATCAAATAAGAAAGGGAGGAAAACTTGGCTTATCCTTTCAGATGAATCCAATCATTTTCACCTCTCATCACTTTCACATCTGTGATTTTCCTCCTTCCTGGCAAGAAGGAGATATGCTTTTCTCTGCCATTAAGAAGAGATGATTACTAGGGCCTGAGTCACACATCTCAGCTTGTTTCGGGAGCCCTGACCGCCCTCTCCCTTGTACTTAGGAGAAGCCGGAAGCTGTTCTGGTCGTGCCCCTACAACCCCAGTGCAAAGCCACCTGGCCAGCTGGGGCCACCTTAGGGGAAAAACACATAGAGATTGAAAGCGCACTGGGGGAAAATAAGCCCTCAGTATTCAAGTCACTGGAGGAAGAACGTGATCGGCAGCGCTAGCATACTGGCTCTAAAGAGCAACTGGGTTTCCCTCTAGGAGTCCTGTGGAATTCACAGGCCCAAAGAAAGGGAGTCCTGGAGATCAACTTGCTGGGAATGGAGAAAAGGGGTTAGTGTTATTCCCTTACATTCATCAGCTCAGCGTACATGAATTCAGATTTCTGTAACTCAACATTTATCTTTTTTTAAATGTCCTTAGGTAACTACTCCCATTCCACCAATGAGGAAAGCAAAAACAGAAAAGCCAGCTGAATTTAGTCTCGTATGTCCACATATGGGACTTTAGCCCTCCTTGCCTGCGGGGTGGAGAAGGAGACCAGAACACCCTTTAAATCTTTCCTGGGTTCTAATAAAATGAAAAGAGAAGGTTTTAAGTCTTTCATTTGCAGTACTACACTTAGAGCATGGCCAAGGCTGCTGTCCTGGGACACACACATTCAAGGGCCCACTCTACGCCTCCAATGGCTGGTGCCTACACAAGGGAGAAGTCTGCAAGGCAAAGGGCTCATGCCCACCCAGAGCCTCTGCCCTGCCCCCATTCAAGACCATGAACTCAGCATCCGGAGCCCTGGGATTACTTACTCTTACTGGAGCAAGAATTACTATGACTGCTCCTACCATCATGGCCCCTAGCCATAATATGATTTATCTCCACACTAGCAGAAACTAACTGAGCCCCTTTTGATCTAACAGAGGGAGTCTCCTGCCCAAACACCTTCCAACTGCTCCAAACCTTCCCTCAACGATCTTTCTAAGTACAGACCATGCCAATAGGCACACCTTAGGCCCAAGATATAAAGAGGAAATAGTTGTTTTCTGGGGATGTAGAGAGAGCTTGAACATGCAGGCTGGAGTATCCACACATGTGTACGCAAAGCCCCTTGCAGAGCAGGACAAAGCAGAGTGGGAAGTGAACAGGAGTTAGCAAGGTATGGGGGCTGTTCTCCTTACATAGCCATATTCTGGCACAGAAGTCCAAGAATTCTACTTTTGAAGCTGGTCTTCTAGGATATTATAAAAGTATTTGTGTCAAGAAACAAGAAAGACAGAAGGATAGAAGAATATTTTATCAACTTGTGAGTTTGATGTAGGACTTTTGAGTATTTAGATCTCCATTTATACTCTTGCTCTAGGTTCTTTGGAGTTGGGGTGGGCCTGTTGCAAAGCTACACTAAGGATGAGCTGAGCTGTGCCTGGAGTTGTCATGAGTGTAACTATAAAGTCTAATTTTATTTTACTCTTTTTTCCTCTGTTGAAATCAGGTGTGTAATCGCTACTTCAATAATTGCCCAGAAGTCCACCTGCCATCTTATTTTGCCTTTACTATTTGTTTGGTTTCTAGTTCTCTTTATTTCCTGGCTTAGTGTTCCGCAATGGGCAGCTCTATGCAAATCTACTCCCAAAGGCTGAGGAAGCTGAGAGGCCGAAGAAAGAAACTGACAAATCCAGCTTCTTAGGAAGAAACATTTAATAGGCACTTACAAAGAGAAGCCATAGCTGTGTCTCAGGCGATGGGGAGACAAGATGGTGGGGTCCCCATGCTATGATTCCCCAGACCCAAGGCTCATAAACCATATGGAAGGAATTTGTAGGACAGCTGAAGTCAACCCCTCAGAGAAAGGCAAGAATGCAATGTGAATCTACCTAAGGACAGAATTTACAGTTCATGTTGTTTTGACCCAAGGGCAGGATTTACAGTAGGTACATGCTCTAAAAAAAAAGAACAGCAGATAAAATAGAGAACTTAGAGGCATTCCTAGAGCTGCAGTTAATCAGAAGTGAACATGGTGAATTAGCATCCAAGATGGAGTTGCTTTAGCCTCCACACTCAAATTTCTATTCACCCCTACCATATTCCCTTCTGTTTACCTGAAAGTTCTGATATTTTTTTAAATTTCTCTAATAGCTGTTTTTGTTCATACATTTTGTTCATTACATTGCTCTATTATTATATCAAAATTAAAATTAACCATAATCACACCACCCACCCACCTACCCCCAAAATAAAGCCTTTAAAAGGCTTTTGGCCTGGCATGGTGGCTCATGCCTGTAATCCCAGCACTTTGGGAGGCCAAGGCAGGTGGATCACGAGGTCAGGAGTTCAATATCAGCCTGGCCAAGATGGTGAAACTCCCATCTCTGCTAAAAATATAAAAAATTAGCCGTGTGGTGGCAGGCGCCTGTAGTCCCAGCTACCCAGGAGGCTGAGGCAGAGAACTGCTTGAACCCGGGAGGTGGAGGTTGCAGTGAGCCGAGATTGCACCACTGCACTCCAGCCTGGGCAAAAGAGCAAGACTCCATCTCAAGAAAAAAAAAAAAGCCTTTTGCTTCTTCACTCTCTTTCCTTTCTGACCCATTTCCAAATTCAGTGTTTTGCTTGGCTAGTTTAGCTTCAGGCTATTATTGAGTTTTAATTACTGTAGGTCCCTTCCAATCCAAGAATCCTTACTTGAAACATATAGAACCCCATCTGGCAGACCAAAACCTTGTTTCCCAACCTATATCAAATACAAAATCTAATTTCTGTTGGATTAAAGATTAACTGTATTGTGAAACCCATTTAGACTTACTTGACAAGGGTCTTGAAATGTCTTTTCAGGTGGATCTATAGATATCAGACAAAAGAGAATCAGGGATGTGAGCCATAATGAGGAAACATAAAATGTTGGCCAAGAACACAGAAGATAGCCAGCACTCAGGACATACACAGAAGTAAACACTAGGATGAGAAGTCTGTCCAGAGTCAGGGATCATGCCCCACTGGGGGCCAAGGAAAAGCAGCAGAGAGAGGGTGGGAGTCAGCAGGAACAGTGATGTGAACGTGCAGACACACTTTGAAATGGAGACCAAGAAGGAAGCAGTACCAACATGTCCAGCACATAGCAGAAGACACGAACTCCTTGTATTTCCACAGTACTTGGCAGGTTACAAAGTACTTCCATGTATAATATGGGATTTAATCCTTCTCACTAACGGCAAGCTAGGTACTACTAACCCCTATTTACAGACAAAGAAATAGAAGCTTAAAGAGTTTCCTTGTTTACTCAATGTAAGCCTGAAAGAGGTAAAAGCAGTTCTGGAGCCCAGGGTCTTCTGTTGCTTTACCCAGATGTGTCCTTTTCTACCTTACAGCACCAGGCTGTAAATGACAGCTCCCTGTTCAGTGATGCTCAGACATTCTGGATTCCCTTCTGTTATCTGTTGCAATTGGAGTGGGAGGGGCAAAAAGAAGGTTCATACTATTTCTGGTTGTCATTTTTCCGGGCAGCCATTTATGGTAGTTCCATGAGTCTGACCCCTGGCAGCACCCCAGACACACCATGCCAGCATTGGATTTATGACCGTCCTAACTACTGTCATCCAATCTGCTAAGCTGTGCAGGGCACAGACATCAGGAAATATGTCTTTCTGTAAATATAATACAGGGGAACTTATTTGTTGTGGCAGCAAGGAGCAGAGAAGGACATTGCTCTCTGGGCCCCAAAGGGAAAAAAAAGATGATGTACGATGTAAGGTAGGGTATTAATCATGTCCGACATCCCTGGATAATCAACTGGAGTCATCCTTGGGAACAATTTCTTTTCAAGGATAAAAAGGGAGAAAATAAATGGGGAGGGGCTTATCAAATGGGACCATATAACCTGAAAGGATGCTGAACTACTACGGCTCAGCATTCTTACTGGAAAGCTGGCTGGCAATTAGGTTCAAGAGTTTGAAGGTCATCAAAATGGTTGCTGAATATTTTCTCTTCCATTCATCTTATCTACACTGAAGTCATCCCCATGGAAGCTCAAAGTCTGAATTTAGTAGGTCAAAGCTATTATCCTCAAGGCTCATAACATCATGAAGCATTTCCTGTATCTCCAGTAGAAGGCTGGCATCATCTGCAACTCTCTAGGCCAGTTCAGGCAGAGGTAGATCTTATTTACGCCTGTGCCGAGATAACTGCACTATGGGATGCCTGATGAAACATGAAATACAACGCCCCCAGATGGGAACCTGGTGCCATGCTAACTATGGGAAGAGACTACTCTTCAATGCTGAGGAGTGACTCAAATTAACTTCAAGGCAGGGGAAAACCAATCTCTGCTCCACTAGAGCATAAAGAAGAAAAGGATAAACACACAGAAGTTACTGAGGAAAGATCTGGATTAAATCTTGTCCTTTCATAGCAAAATTCCACTAAGGTGAGTGGCAAGTTGCAAAACTGCAATAGCTCACAACGATATGATGTAATAAGGGCTATGATAGAGATGTGCACAAAATAGTAAATGAGCACAGATGGGGTCAAGTGACTTTCCCAAGGTCATGTTGTTGATACGCACTAAAGGAACGAACAGAGTCCACGGCTTCTGCCCCAAATCTGGAATGCTTTCCACTGTACCAAAGCTACTTTCCTATATCAGCTATACTTCTGGCCCTTAATTGGGTTTCCTTTTTATTAATTTAAAAATCATGCCTTATAAAATTGCTAATTTGCTCTTTTTTGTCCACGTCCCTCAGATTTCTTTCTCTATTTACATCTATACACTGGTTTCATTTTTCCCAGTCTTAGCCACTAAGTCCCAGGGGCCATGCTTGACCTTCTCTGACCTTTAGATTGTAACAGGATTCATCAGCCCCAGCCAACTGGAAAACCCTTTCCTTCTTACTCCTGCTTCATCTTCTATGCACTGCAGTTTGGTCTGAATCTACCAGGTGTGACTCTTCAGCAAAATGCTTCTAGATAGTTGTATTCCTTTCATACACTTGTGATACAATCATACACATCAGCCCTTTGAAATTAAGAGTAACAAAAATGACAGTGTCCAAATCTAACAAAATAAATGACTGTAGCACGGTAAAATCCTTTAGGCTGAATGTAAAACAGTGCAGCGCTGTTTAAAAAGTCTGGCAGTTCCTCAAAAGGCTAAAAGTAGAATAACCACATGACTTAGCTATTCCCCTCCTAAGTGTATACTAGAGAAATGAAAACATATGTCTCCACAAACATTTGTACATGAATGTTCATAGTAGCATTATTCATAATACACAACAGTAGAAACAACCCAAATGTCTGTCAACTGATGAACGGTTAAACAAATTGTGTTACATCCATACAGTGAAATATCATTCAACCATAAAAAAGAATGGACTACTGATACATACTACAATATGGCTGACCCTTAAAAACATTATGCTAAATGAAAGAAGCCAGTCATACAATCATAGAGTGAATGATTCCATTTATAGAGAATGTCCAGAATAGGCAAATATATTGAGATATAGAGGAGATTAATGGTTGTCTTGGGCTGAGGTGGTTGGGGGAAATGGGAAGTGAATGCTAATAGGTAGATTTTCTTTTTTTGGTAGGGTGATAAAAAATATTCTAAAATCTATTTTGGTGTTAGTTGTACAACTCTGTGAATATACTAAAATTCATTGAATTACACACCTTAAATGGGTGAAATCTGTGGCATGTGAATCATATCGCAATTGAGCTGTTATTTAAAAATCCTCCAAGCTATGTTCCATTGTCTCGCATCCCAAAACCATAAAATAAAAAAAATGAACAAAGTGCTCTATTGCTAAAATTATTTCTGGCAATAATGTCAACAATTAGCAGGTATTCTGTCAACACTGTGGTCTGGAGCTTTACATATGTTCTGTCTATTCATCACAATAGCATTGCAAAGAAGATATTTTTAGTAGACATCTAAGGTCTTCTCTGCCCAGCCTCCTCTCTGTCATTTGACACTGTAATTCAACCTTTAATTTAGAATAATGCTGTATATTCATAATGCCATTATGTATATATAACATCAACATTAGTGGAAAGGGGAAAAATAAAACAAAGAATAGGTAAAAATAATAAACTCTCAAATTAGAGCAACAAAAATAACTGTAAATAAATTGCAAATACAAAAAATAAATTTTTATTTAAAAATATAATTGTTTGCCTCTGTGAATTGAGTGGCTGGTAGCCCCTAAGTCACTGTGCTGTGACGCAGTGTCCATGTAAAATAATGTAATGTAGACCCTAGCACCCAGATTTTGGTCTCTAACTATCCCCCACTAAAAGGAACCAAAGTTCCATGGCAAATAGCTTCGAAATGGGAAAAATCAAAACAAGCCTGGGAAACCTTGCTAGAAAGTGAGAATACTTTCACAAGTAGCTGCATTTCAGGGGTTGGTTGGTACTGGTTGTCAGTGAAAGACCATGAGTCCATAATAATTACAAAGGATAAAATTGTAACATGTGCTGAAAAACACACACAAGAAAAAAACAGTGATCATTATTTACTATTGTGAGGCAAATGACCAATGCCAAATTTCTAATTTACCTTAAAAGAAGGGTTTATAATTAGAGCAAATCATTGAATTGAAAAATGAACATAAAGTAACCCCAATTTGTTTAACTGATACATTTCCTCCCCTTCATTAGGTAATTCAAAGTTACTGTAGAAACATCAATATGTTTTGTTTCATACTCTGGCTGAGATGTAAGAAATGTTTCTAAAAGACACAAAGACCAGGCCTGCTGAGTTGATACCCCTGAGGGAGCAAAGAAGTTGGCTGGAGGCTGGAGACCAAGGAGACTGCCCCTCTCTGACAGAGCATCTGCTTCAGATCTTGCTGGTGGTAGACAGTTGAGCCCTTTCCCTATTATACTTTCAATCGGAACTCATATTCTTCGTGTTGGCGTCCTCCATCCTTCCATCAGTAACATCATCAGCCCATTCTGCCAACCTCACTGTACCACTACATGCATGACCAGGATTCCAAAGTAAAACTGAAAAGGAAGTAGCTAAACGTAGCTGGAGATTAGGGAAGCCCGGTATATTTCAAGGTAAGAATTGAGGGAGAGAAGGTGGGAGAGTTAAGCCAGGCCAGAACCACAGCTTCTCTACCCTGGGAGAGGAGCTAAACTTTATTACTAAAACTACAGGGAGCCACTGAAAGATAATCTAATCTGTTTCACGCCTGTGTCATCTAGTACTGACAATAATGTATTTGGAAGAGCCACTGTGGTCAGAGATGGGCTAATGGTCACCAAAAAATAATCAAGTGGCCTACTGAACACACTCCTTCAGAGGGTTTTGAAAGCCAAACTGGAATCATTAATTTTCATGAGTAATTTTTTAAAGAAATTTTGTACATGGCATAAACCGAGTGAAGCCCGGTTTATGACTTAAACATGATAATTTCTTGAGAAAAGGGCCTTAGCATTCCACTTTCCACAAATCAATGTGTAGGTTAGATTGTCAATACTTTCTGGCAAAAATCCACCAGGAACACACTTGTCGTTGAATAAGTTGGGTATGTTTCTCACTGCCATGAAGAAGAATGTGCTGATGGAGAACTATGGGGTACATAAAAAAGAGCATGTTGGAAAGGACTTGCAGGATTTGGATTCATGTTAGGTGATTTCGGGGAAGATTTCATAATGTCGAACCATGCTCTAGATTGAATGTTGTCAGAGATTCTATAATTTGGTATCTTAATAGTTCTTAACTAGAAGGAGAAGAAGATTAAAGCCAGGCTAAAGCTGTAATTGGTAAAGCAACATTAGTCCCTTGTATTAGCCAGGATAGGGGGATGTGTTCGTGTGGTTTCATGTGACTTCGTTTTTGTATTAGACAAAATTGCAAGAATGATCTTGCTTTTGTTCCACTTATTCGTGGTTGTCACTGAGTGGGCCTGTCCATGTGGGTTTTCTATGAGATTACATCCCACAGAGACACCAAGGCCTGGATGAGAATGCCAGGCGGCCTGTCAGAGGTTAGGTGGTGGCTTTCCTCTTTTTTAAGTTGCAAGTGAAGAAATCTCAGTACACTGAACTTACATGTTGCAAAAAGCCATATGTCTGGAAAGTCTTAAATTATTTAAAAGACACATATATATTTGTTTGGTTACATGTTATAACTTTCCCATAAGCCTTTTTAACAGTTCAGATGTCCGTGAAACAAGGCAAAGATGAGGAAGTTTGTGTTTATTTAAAGACAATGTATTTCTTTTCATCTTCCCTGCCTTAACTTGTAAAATGAGATCCTTAATTTCTCACAACTAAAAAAAAAAAATTATATTAAAAAATACCACCTACTCTCATGTTCTTTAATGTTAAAATACTGTTGACAATCGTTCCTAGCTATTTACATGAAACTTTGAACAAAACCATTTAATTACTTGCAATTAGGAACAATACTGGTCCTGGCTTGTTAGTATGATTGGGAATAAGCTAAAGGGAGAATGGTGGAGGAAAAACCAGAAGGCAAGAACTGGATTAAGTTCGGTAATTTATAAGAAATAAGAATTTTTGTAGTATATCAGTAATACAAAAGATTGTTAAAGACAAAGTAGACTAAATTTCTCTTCCAAAGGAAAATCTCATATCTAAAACCTTCAGATATAATCCTCTTGGTCATGTTTCTTTTTTTAAAAAAGGACTGTCTTTGATGTCCTGTATTTTTGTGTTTTTCCTATTCAATGTCCAGTTCCTTTTATAGACTGTAAACTGTGTATGAGTAAAAACATGTTTATTTCATCATCAACCCTACATAAAATATGGAGATAGATAGTTAAATATGTTGCATGAATGCATGAGAGAACAAAGTGATTTTTATAAGTTAGATATCTCTTTAATGCTTCATCTTTGCTTCTCATTTGAAGGTTTCAACATTTCATTGCTATTCTTTCTAAATTTCCCCCTGCATTAAGGACAAAATATGGTAATAGCAAATAACCAATTGTTTTCCTTTCAGAACATCAATATTTTCCATGTTTTATTATTCTGGAAACTTTGAAACATACAGAAAAGTTGAAAAATGGTACAATAAGTATCTTTAGAGTAACCACATAGCACTCTTTGCTAAATAGTGCCCTGGTACACACCTGCCATCCTGGTGTCATTTTAATAATATCACCTTTCTCTCTCAAAATTGTCCCAGTTTGGATGACCATTCAATCTATAAATCGCTACCTAGAATCCACAATTTGTAAAAAAAAAAAAAAAAAAAAAAAAAAAAAAAAAAAAAAGCAAAAAAAGGGTAATTATAGATTAAAAGAGAGTTAAGAAACTTATATATAGCAACTAAATATGATGCAACATTTGTTTGAATTCTGACTGAAGCAAATTCTTTAAACATTTATATGATAGTTGAGAAAACTTGAATGCTATTTTTTGATGACATTAAGGAACTATTAATGTTTAAGTGTGCAATGGTATGGTGGTTATATTTCAAAATTTGTATCTTTTAGTGATATATACTGAAACATATAATGTGTAAAATTGGCCTTAAAAAGTATTCATGGCTGGGCCGGGTGCAGTGGCTCACGCCTGTAACCCCAGCACTTTGAGAGACCAAGGCAGGTGGATCATGAGGTCAGGAGATCGAGACCATCCTGGCTAACACGGTGAAACCCCGTCTCTACTAAAAATACAAAAAATTAGCCGGGCATGGTGGCAGGCGCCTGTAATCCCAGCTACTCGGGAGGCTGAGGCAGGAGAATGGCGTGAACCAGGGAGGCAGAGCTTGCAGTGAGCAGAGATTGCGCCACTGCACTCCAGTCTGGGCGGCAGAACGACACTCCATCTCAAAAAAAATAAAAAAAAATAAAAAATAAAAAAGTATTCATGGCTGGGGATGAAGGGGTGAAAATTGGAGGTGAAAACAGATTGGCCATTTGTGTTTTTTTGTTTGTTAATTTTGGGTGGTTTTGTTTTGATTTTTTGGAGACAGCATTCCTCTCTGTCCCTCGCGCTGGAGTACAGTGGCATGACCCTGGCTCACTGCAGCCTCGATGACCTCCTAGGCTCAAGTGATCCTTCCACCTGGGACTACAGGCACATGCCACTACACCAGCTAATTTTTGTATTTTTTGTAGAGACGGGGTCTCACTGTGTTGCCCAGGCTTGTCTTGAATTCCTGGGCTCAAGCAATCCTCCTGCCTTGGCCTCCCAGAGTGTTGGAATTATAGATTATGAGTTTCTGCACCTACTATGTTTGAAATTATCCATTAAAAAAAAAAAGCTGTAGCAACATAATGACCAAAGGTAATGCATGAATCTTGATTGAATCCTAGAGACAACTGAGGATATTTGAATATTAACTAAATGTTACATATTTGGAAATAACTGTTAACTTGCTTAGGTTTGATATTATCACTACAGTTATGTTAAAGAGTATCCTTATTCTTAGAAATTGCATGTTGCATGATTTAGGGATGATATGTTATGACATCTGCAATTTACTCTCCAAAGGTTTACTCAGTGGTGTGCCTAGCACATTGTGTTTTTTTATAATCATGGAATAATTAGCAATAACAATTTTCTTGAATTGCTCTTTACTTTAAAGACTATTAGCAATTTCAAAAAGAATAAAATTCAGTTTTAAAGACAAATTCCATAAAATTTCATTTCTAAACTGAAATTTGCACTTAACCAGAAAAAATTCTATAGCATTCAGATTGTATAGTTTTACAAATTGAAACTCTAAGTGGTCAGATTGAATAACAGAAGTAAAGTAACATGCTCTGTTTTTTTGGTCTTTATAAATACTGTGCTCTCATTGCTAATTCTGAATCTTCCACTTAAACATAAAGATATGTAGTTCCATGGGGGCTGCAGACATGAACTGCTCCTAAGGCAAGCTTGAGTGATTTTAAGCTATCATGAACTTACTACTATTGAAACACATACATATAGCCAGCTATATGTATGTGTGTGGGGGGGTGACTATGAAATAGTTCTCCAAATTAACTTTCATGTACAATACAATGTTCATTAAAAGTAATTAAAATGTGCAAATTTGAAGTTTACACAAATATTATTAAAAATCAGAAGCAAGCACAACTATTTTTAAGAACTCGAGGCCAGGTACAGTGGCTCATGCCTGTAATCCCAGCACTTTGGGAGACTGAGGCGGGCGGATCACGAGGTCAGGAGATCGAGACCATCCTGGCTAACACGGTGAAACGCCGTCTCTACTAAAAATACAAAAAAAAATTAGCCAGGTGTGGTGGCAGGTGCCTGTAGTCCCAGCTACTCGGGAGGCTGAGGCAGGAAAATGGTGTGAACCCAGGAGGCGAAGCTTGCAGTGAGCCAAGATGGCGCCACTGCACTCCAATCTGGGCGACAAAGCGAGACTCTGTCTCAAAAAAATGAAAATAAATAACTCGAATCCAAAAAGATATTTGGAGGGAAAATAACTAACACTAATTAGAATTGCTAGTGCATAGTAATAATAAAAAGCAGACTTGCTTTTAGTCCATTTTATTGTCATATAGTTCTCTACAAATAGTCTACCCTATATTATAGCACAAAAGCAGCTGTAGACAATAGATAAGTAAATCTGCATGGCTGTATTCCAATAAAACTTCATTTATGTACATTAAAATTTGAATTTTTAAATAATTTTTACATGTCATAAAACATTGTTTTTCTTTTGGCTTATTTTTCAAACACCTAAACATGTAAAAACATTCCTAGGTTCCTCAATAGGTTCATACAGAATTTACCATATGACCCAGTAATTCCTAGGTATGTACCAAAAAAGAATTGAAAACAGGTAAACATATACACGAATGTCTATAGCAGCTTGATTCTCAAAAGCCAAAAGGTAGAAACAACCCAAATGTCCAGCAGCAGATGAATGGATAAACAAAAGGTGGTATATCCATACAATGGGTACTAATTAACCATAGAAAGAAATGAAGTGCTGATACACGCTACAACATGGGTGAGCCTTGAAAACATTGCTAAGAGAAGCCAGACACAAAAGGCCACAGATTGTATGATTCCATTTATAGGACATATTCAGAGTAGGCCAATCTAGAGAGACTGAAAACAGATGAGTGGTTGCCAGTGGGTGGAGGTTGTGGGGTGTGGAGTCCAACTACTTACTGGGTCTGGGGTTTCCTTTTGGAGTGATAAAAAAGTTCTGGAACTAGATAGTGGTGACGGTTGTGGAACATTGCTTGTTAATATACTTAATGCTACTGAAAAGTGTATTTTAAAATGATTGCAATGGTAAATTTTTATGTGTATTTTACTACAAATTTTTTAAAAAATTACTTAGCTTACAAGCTGTACAAAAACATGGCAAACTAGATTTGGTTCCTAGGCTAAATTTTACTGACTCATGGTATAGATCACTGACCAAAAATGTGGTCAATTTTGAGCTAAAGCTAAGTCTAGTGTACTGTGATTATTCTTCGATATCCACACCCATTTCTCTTGTCAACTACTCCACTTTTATTATCCATACTGCTTTCACGTGAGGTGGAAGAAGTTCAATCTGCCTATGGCATTAGATGGGGGCATGGTTCACAGGCCCAAACAAATCAATATAATCCTATGTCCTGGCCCCAGCTTGAAGTGGCCAGATGATCCACTGTATGCCAATGAGAATGAAGAAAGCATTTGCTAAACATACTCAGGAAACCCTGTCTCTCTCCTTTAGTCTGAAAGGATGTGAGTGTAACACTCAGAAATCCTAGAGGCCATTTTTTTCTCCTTAAGGAAAACAGCGTCAGAATGAGTCTAATACCCCAGAAGGTATAATATGGAGTTGGAAAGAAAAAGAGACTTGATGGTCATTGTCAAACTGCTTTTGCAAGCCAGAGATTCATTCTAAGATTTTCCAGTTATGTGACCTCATAAATTATACCCATTTTAAGCACAATTGAGCTAGATTTTCTGTCATTTGCAATATAGTAAATAGTAGGTGATAAACTTGGGTTCTCTATCACTTTTCTTTCCCAAATTCACCCGAACCTCCCTCCCCACCCTCTGAAAAAGACATTATTATTGCCACTCCTAATCAAAAACGCAAATTGAATTATATGAAGAGATGAACAGTATGGGAGGGCATAGGAAGTAGAGGGGCTGAGGTAAAGAATATTCCATATATTCAGTACAGGTTTCTAGTATGCTTTTTCTAAAATCAACTAGCTTTCCCTTAAATATCGCAGGATAAAATAACAGCTAAAAACATGGACTTCGGAGACAAAGTACTTGAGTTCAAATCCCAGCTTTACTACATACTTAACCTCTCTGTACCTCCCTTTCCTCAACTGTGAAATGGGTATAATAAGAGTACCAACCTCAAAGAATGCTTGCATTTTGTTTTGTTTGACACAGGGTCTCGCTTTGTCTCCCAGGCTAGAGTGCAGTGGCACAGTCATGGCTCACTGCGGCTTCAACTTCCTGGGCTCAAGTGATCCTCCCACCACAGCCACCTCAGTAGCTGGGATTACAGGCCTGGCCAGTTTTTATTTTTACTTTGTATTTTTTTGTAGAAATGGGGGTCTCACTATGTTTCCCAGGCTGATCACAAACTCCTGGGCTTAAGAATTCCTACTGCCTCAGCCCCACAATATGCTGGGATTACAGGCATGAGCCACAATGCCCAGCTGGTTGTAATCTTTAAGTGACTTACCATGTATAAAGCAATTAGAAAATGCCTCATATATAGTAAGCATGTTACAAATGTTTGCCATTATTATTTTTCCTACATCTCAGATGCCTTACTATGGCTTCTGCTAGAGAAAGTTCACCAATCCTCTATGAGGAGTGCATTCTGTATGTGTAGATGTTCTCTTTACCACAGAAGCAAAAGGCAATTCACGTTGTATTTTTCCTCAACTTTCAAATGTTTTTATAAGCAAGATAAAGTTAAACTAAATATCAAGAGTAACCTTTTGAGACAAATGGAAAACATGGGTTATTGATTTCCATATAACATTAACTCATCTCCTTTTGGAATAGGGTTTACTTAAGTCATTCAGAGAAAATTTGATTTTCTCCTTCTCTGCCCTTTTGTCTCTTGGTTGTCAATTAGGATCCTTTGTATTGTAAGCAACATAAAATCCAATCAACCTGTTTAGGCAATAAGGAAATACAGTAGCTTAAGTTTCTGTTAAGCCCAGAGAGTGTCTTCAAGCACAGTTTGCGAACAAGGAGTTCTCTTGACTTGGCACTCTTCTGTCAGTTTCATAAACAAGCTAGATTATCAGCTGGTGACAACATGGCTGCCAGCAACTATTGAGGCTATAGAAAGAAGGAAAAAGAGCATTTATTTTCATGATTTTTTTAAGTCATGAGCTTTGCTCTGACTGATACATCTTAGGTAATTTGCATACTATAAATCACAGTAGACAGGTAAATGTCCTTTGCACCAATAGTTTTGACAAGGCACAAAATACTTAAACCAACTAGGGATCTTGCCTGCAAATAGGAACAGGTGGAATCAATACAACCCAAGCAGCAGGGCCACTGCAGAATGGAGCCATGTGATGCACTCAGAATGATCACCACCACTGTCTACACCTCAGGGCACCTGACATCTCCCACATGGCTCTTCCTGTGTGATACTGTCAGAACTGCCCACCTATGCAACGTACATACATAACTAGTACCTTATATAACTCAACAATTTATACTATATAAAGCATTTCATATATACCTGATACTCCCAAACTATGAGGAAGGCAAAATAATATTATTACTAGAGTCATTTTAGGTCATACCCAAACTCAGACCTTGTCTGAGATTTTTAACATTTCTATCTTTGCAAATAATGGTTCACCAGGCAATGTAGTTAACAAGAATATCATAGATTTAAACAACATAATCAACTTTGTTTTACCAGATATATGTAGAACACTTCCTTAAAAAGTCAGAGAAGGCCAGGCACAGTGGTTCATGCCTGTAATCTCAGCACTTTGGGAGGCCCAGGTGGGAGGATCACTTGAACCTAGAAGTTTGAGACCAGCCTGGGCAACATAGAGAGACCTCAACTCTACTAAAAACAACAACAAAAAAAAAATTTTAATTAAAAAAAAATATCAGGTCGGTGTGGTACAGTGTGCCTGTAGCCCCAGCTACTTGGAAAGCTGAGGTAAGAGGATTGCTTGAGCCTGGGAGATCAAGGCTGCAGTGAGCCGTGATTAGCCACTGCACTACAGCCTGGGCAACGGAGTGGGACCCAGTGTCAAAAAAAAAAAAAAGTTAAGGAATACATATTTCAAGCACATTTGGAAACATTATAAAACCGGAAGCTATACTAGGCCACGAAAGAAGTATCATGAAATACTAAAGAAATCAGTAAAGATTAAAATAAATGGAATAAAAATAAAAGTCTATAAACAACTGTAAGCCACTATATAAAATGGACATTAAGTAAGAAGGGAGGATTTAACACAATTGAAGGAATAGAAAATATGAATAGACTTATAGCTACTAAATATATTAAATTGGCAGTAAAATATCTTCTTTCCCCAGTCAAAGGAATCTATCAGGTATAGAGATGTTTTTTAGATGAGTTAATCTAGTAGACAAGTAACAGGTAATTCAAGTCTAGTTTAAATTACTCTGGAGCATAGGAAGAAAAAGAGCTCTCTGTTCTATTAGATCAGTAATACATCGAGATATTCAACACAAAGACAATACATAAAAGAAAGATTTTTGACCTATTTTTCTGTTGAAGAGATCCTCAAAAACCCTAAGCAAAATATTTAGCTAACTTAATCCAGCAATGTTTCAAAGATTCTGTCAAGCACATAAGACAAGGCAAGGCCAAAGCCAAGCCCTGACGGTTATGATCAGTAAAGACACTTGAAGCCACTTTTCCTTTCAGGAAATGTACTTACAAAGACAGTGAAAGGAAGAGTAGCCAAAGGTGCCAACTCTCCATGGTGCTTGTCCCACACACCAAAAGTGACAGCACTGGAACAAAGAGCCAATCCAATGATTGCAATACAAGTTGTGGGATACTCACTGCAGCTAAGCTGTTTTATACTCTGCAGCTCTTTTCTAAAGAAGACCAGACAGGAAACATCATGCTTCAAAAGAACTCAGGAAGACAGGAAAAACCGTCCCATTATAGCTTCAGCGGGGAGCTAGGAGGTGAGTAGGAGACATCACCTCCCAACCCTCCTATCCTCTAGCATTCTGCGGATCACAAGGTGATCTTGGAAGACTCAGATAAGCTGTATTCCAAACCTTTGCCCTTCCTGTCTATGTGAACATGTTCAAGGTCACCAGCAGCCATGAGGGAGCTGTTCCCATACACATGCATCATAGAAAAATCATTTTTATCTAGAAAACAAAATAGTATTAAGAAAGTTTTTCATGTAATTATCTACACTAACAGATCGTAGAAGCAAAATGTCATATTAACATCTTCACTTCTGGAAAAAAAAGAAAATATGTGATCAAATTCAGTATCTGTTCCTAGATGGTGGTGGGGGTGGGGCACTTAGAGCATCAGGAATTGAAGGAAATGTCTTTAATTTGGTAAAATCTATTTCCCTAAGCCTTACAGCAAATTTAATGGTAAATTATTTGAAGCATTTCCCTCAAAAGCAAAAATAAGACAACAATGCTGGCCATCACCTCTCCTATTCAACATCATATGGAAGATGCTAGCTGACTTAGGTTTAATGAGATAACAGAAAGAAATCAAAGAATAACAGTTGAAACAAAGCTATTTTTATTCCTTCATAAAGCTTGTTCATTATATTGTTCAGATCCCAAATATCCTTTCTAAAACAAATACTAAAAATTGTCAATTGCTTAATCTCAATGGTGATGACACAAAAGTCCATTATATCAGGGGACCCCAATCCTGGTATCAGTGCATGACCTATTAGCAACTGGGCTGCACAGCAAGAAGCAAGTAGAAAGCAAGCTAGTGAAGTTTTGCCTGTATTTACAGCTGCTCCCCATCGCTGGCATTACCACCTGAGTTCTGCTTCCTGTCAGATCACCAGCCACTGACATTAGATTCTCACAGGAGCACAAACCCTGTTGTGAACTGTGCATATGAGATCTAGGTTGCACACTCCTTTTGAGAATCTAATGCCTGATGATCTGTCACTGTCTCCCATCACCTCCAGATGGGACCATTTAGTTGCAGAAAAACAAGCTCAGGGATCCCACTGATTCTGCATTATGGTGAGTTGTATAATTATTTCATTATATATTACAGTGTAATAATCATAAAGTGCACAATACACGTAATGTGTTTGAATCATCTCGAAACCACCTACCCCTGATCTATGGAAAAATTGTCTTCCACAAAACTGGTTCCTAGTGCCAAAAAGGTCAGGGACCTCTGCATTACATGATTGATTTTTGTACTTTATGTTTACAATAATTTGCCTTTTAAATGTATTTTTTAACTTAAGAGAGTTTTTAAATTTTTGCATGCTGCTGAAGTAAAAATAATCTCCAGAATCGTCTCTTTAGTTGATATGGTTTGCTGTGTCCCCACCCAAATCTTATCTTAAATTGTAGTTCCCATAATCCCCATGTGTCATGTGAGGGACCAGATGGAGATAATTGAATCATGGGGGTGGTTTCCCCCATCCTGTTCTCATGATAGTGAGTGAATTCTCATGAGATCTGATGATTTTATAAGGGGCATTTTCCCGTTTTGCTCTGCACTTCTCCTTGCTGCCGCCATGTGAAGAAGGATGTGTTTGCTTCCCCTTCTGCCATGATTTTAAGTTTTCTGAGGCCTCCCCAGCCATGACAAACTGTGAGCCACTAAACCCCTTTCCTTTATAAATTACCCAGTCTTGGGTATGTCTTTATTAACAGCATGAAAATTGACTAATACATTAATACATTCATGCATTATCATGCAACTTAAAGAAATAATTTTAATCATTAACCCTTTAACTATTAAGTAACAGCAATAAAGATCAATTAAAATAACATGTAATATAGATTAAAACAATGCCTTAAAAACAACTGCAGTAACAGGATTGATTTCATATTTTGTAAATTTTCCTTTTGACTTATGGTTTAAGACATAAAAGTCTAGAACAGAGCTATCCACCTGTGAAAGTGTGGGCTCAGCTGGCTTTGAGATACGAAAAGCAAGATCTAGTAAGATCGAAAATCAATTGTCATTTATTTATGGACACTAAAAACTGCAAACAAGGCTAAGCCTCTTACAAAGCATTTGGGAAATCAGAATTAAAATATGAAGAAAAGAATAGTTTATGACTTGGCTAATTGTTTTTTCCTCAGCAATCATAAATTTATACATGTGCATATGTAACATTGATAATCCTTCACTAATACAGAAAATGCTTTACAAATATTTCCCAATCTCACCATTCTCTACAGTTGTAGTTCTCAACCTGAAAGTGACCCCTTGACCCCTCAGAGTGTGGGTCATATACAGAAGAGGAGGCTGGGAACCGCCTATGCCCCATAGCTAACCATAGCTCTACAGTTCCTGAGAACATCACCTCAGTGACAGAATCCTGAAGGAAGGGGAACTTTAACCTTCAGTTTGAGGAAAGGTCAAACCTTCATGTTTGAAACATTATCTAAGTTATCAAATTATTATGGGGAGAAATGTGGCCTTCTGCTGCTTTGAACTGGAGATGATTAGAACAGAGTACAGATGCCAGTGAATGATGCTAAAGCCACGTTTTACACGACTTGGTTTGCTGCCAGTATTTGTAGAAGTCAGATTTAATTTTAGTGACACTATGAAATGTAGTGTGCTGTGCATAAAATATTAATATAGTGCATAATTGGCCAGTCCAAAATAACCAAGTCTATGTACACTGATAAATACTGACTGGATGAAACGTTCTGTCATTTATAAACATCCTCCCTGCCCATCCCAAGAAAGTAAATTATAATATCTATTCTAATTCCAACTTGCACATACTTCCTCTGATGTTTTTCTCCTGGTGATGCACATTAGAAGAACCCAACCAGTTTATAAGAACAAACCCTGTTTATCAGCATAATAAGAGAGTGGCTCATACAATATTGGATTAGACAAATTAATACACTCCACCAGGAAACAGCAATAAAGCCTTCCTCCAGTGTTTTCATCCATGGGTTAGCTAAGGGAGCTCGCCTCAGAATATACTCTCATCACCTGGTCTGTGTGAATTTATCACTGACCTGTGAGTTTACTCTGGACTGTTTCAAATTTGCTAATAAATATCTACTTTATGGGGCCAAAAGAAAGAGATTGACCATAAATAATACAGTATTAGAAAGAAACTTTCAAAGAGCAAGTAAATTTTTCAACCCACCTCTCTCTCTCTCTGGTCTAAGGAGTGTAGCTCATGAAAGAGTCATTTTCACAACCCTCAAATATGCTAAGACAGCAAGATATTGTGAGCTGCTCTTGACGATTTCTGAAATTTTCACTTGAGATGTTGCTCTTCTTGTAAGGATAAAGTGTTTTCATGCATCCCTGCTTTGATTATCATTTATCTTTGTTTTATTTCCGCTATCCTCTTCACATAACACTTGGAACAATGCCTTAGTAGGCTGTTTGCTTAGGGTTGAGAAATTGCATCTTAAAATATTTCCCCATCCAGTCTGCTGTCTTCACAGCACATGGGGACATATGGAAGTCTCTATGTACACAGTACCTCTTGGACAAGCCTCTTCTAGTGCTTCATTCATGTTATGTAAGAAAAACTAAAAAAATTGATCAAGTCCTCAAAAGTAGATACCACTATGTCTGTGGTCTTTTGTAACTAGTGTAGTTCCATGAAAATTAGAAAATTGCGTAAGTTCTTACTGGCAGTATGGGTGTAATGGACAAAATAGTGATTCCAGCCTTAGAGAGATTAACGTCAATGCTAGCTTTGACTTGTCTAAGCTGAAGACCTGCCAAAAGTATTTTATTTTCCTCTTGAGCTTTCCAAAGGGATGTTTTCAACTCTCTTGATATCTTTTAAGCTTTCAAACAGTAGTAACTATTCCTTTCTCAGCAAAGACTCTACCTCAAACTTCTCAGAGAAAATAGATCTCCCTCAGCTCCCTACTCCACTCCCCGCCTACTAACTTACTACAAGCTAGGTACCCTTCCTACCTCCTGCTTCCCTGTCCCAGTGAAAAGAGCTGTGACCTTTCTTCTGCCTATGGGTATGTGCTTAACCTTGTCCCTGGAACCTGTTTTTGACCACTTTTTCTGAGATCTTCCTCCAACAATGACCCTGCTTTGACACATCATCAATATTTCCTCTTGAAAAGTATGCTATTAGAATGTAAATATTATCTAATCTCGCTCTTTTTATTAAAACACATCACACATACCCCCATCTATTTCTTTTCTCCACCTCACAATCATATTTCTCAAAAGAGATGTCAAAACTCATCCTCTACCATACTCCTCTATTCACTACAAATAGGATTTACTTCATTCCATAAATTCCTACAAATTAAAAAACTAAAAATAAAAATAAACAATCAAAAGGAAAAAAAGGATTTACTCTCTACCCTTGCCCTGATATTGTTCCATCCAAAATCAGTGATCAAAAAGTCACGGACACAGTATTAGATACTGTTGATTTTGTCTTTTACTGGATCAATTCCTTGTCTTCCATGGCATTACTTCTCTTGTTTCTGCGTACCTCTCTGTGGCTTCCTTCATGGAAATCACTTTCTTCACCTATACCTTAGGTATCAAGATTCCCTGGGGTTCATTTCTGAGCTGCTTCTTTTCTTCTTACTCTCCTTGGTAAATTTCTTTCATGCCTCTACCTTTGATTATACTTCAAAAATGTTAATGATCAATAAATCTTGGTGGCTGGCCTGAATTACTCTCCTGAGTACCTAACCAGAAGATGTCCACCTGAACATCTAGCTCCATCTGGATATTGACACATATTTTATCCTTGATGTATCTAAAATGGGATTTTTCTTCCCTGCCCCATCCCCACCAGCCTGCTTTTCCATTTCAACCCTGTCTTCAGTTGAAACACAGTCATCTACACCAATTCCATACCAGTCAGCTGAGAGCCATTTCTACTTCTCCCCTTTCGTCTTCTACTTGTGGATTAAATCAATTTCTAGATCCTGGTGATATCTAGATCCTCTAGATATAAGAAAATGATGAATACTGTTTCCTTAATACCTCTTAAATCTGTCCAGTTTTTAACCTGAATAATCCCTGTGTTCTTTTAGACTGCCACTGCTGCTTGACTGGGTTACTATAACAGCCTCCTATCTCCTGACTGTCACTTCCTTCTAAACCAAGATTCAGCAAACTACAGCCCATTGACCACATCCAACATCTGGCCTATTTTTACAAATAAAGTTTTCTTGGGATATAGCTATGTCAATTTATTTACATATTATCTATGGTAGCTTTTGTGCTAGAATAACAGCAGCAAGACAGAGTAGTTAAAACAGCAATATTATGGCCCATAAAGCAGAAAATATTTACTATATAGTCCATTAAAGAAAAACTTTGCCATACCCTGCTCTAAGATATTCTCTATCCCTTCTAAAACAGAAATAAGATAATTCACTCCTTTGCCTGAAATGGCTCCCAAATGCTTACAAAGCAAAATTCAAGATTCTTAGCACATCAGCTAGGGTGATTCAGTATCTGATGTACACTTGTCTTTTCGGACACATCCCTTGCTCCCCGTCAAACCTTATTCTCTACCCTTATTGAGTGTGTCATGCTAATTTAAGGCTCAGACTTGTACATGACATCTTTCTCCCTTGAAATCCAGCCTCACCTCCCTCTCCCTTTACCTGGCCACTTCTTACTTTCTCTTTAGGATTCAAATTAGATGTCACTTTCTCATGGAAACCCTTCCTAGTTGCCACATTTTAATCAAGTGTCCCTCTTCCTGACTCCCAAAACTCCCTGTGCTTCCCTCTCGAACCTCACTCTAGAATAATTGGCCCTTTATTTCTTTGTCTTTGTCCCTTAACTATAACGTTCTGAAGACAGGAATTATAACTTGTTGACCACTGTACCTGCAGCAACTATCACAGTGTCTGGCAGGTAGGCTATGCTTAAGAAATATTTACTCACTAAATGAATACATGAATGAATGGTATTTATCATCTCTGAACTTCTCTTCAACTGTGAACTGGAAATAATAAAATCTTACCTATAAGACTATTTGATAATTAAAATATGTATATCTTATATACGATATATATATCTAAGATACATATTATATATCTTGTATCTTATATATGTATGATTACATTTATTGAGTGCTTAGCAAAATAGGTGGTAGGTATGTTCCAAGGGCATATATATATGTCCCCTTGGAACATATATATATATATCTTAAATATATATATCATATATATAATACATATATACCATATATATAATACATATCATATATATCATATATAATACATATCATATATATCATATATAATACATACATATCATATATAATATATAATACATATCATATATATCACATATAATACATATCATATATATCATATATAATACATATATATCATATATAATACATATCATATATATCATATATAATACATATCATATATATCATATATAATACATATCATATATATCATATATATATAATACATATCATATATATCATATATATATAATACATATCATATATATCATATATATATAATACATATCATATATATCATATATGATACATATATATCTCATATATAATACATATATATCATATATAATACATATCATATATAATACATATCATATATAATACATATCATATATATCATATATAATACATATCATATATATCATATATAATACATATCATATATATCATATATAATACATATGTATCATATATATAATACATATCATATATATCATTCATATATATATATACACACACACACATACACACACACACACACACACACACACACACCCCCTTGGAACATACCTACCACCTATTTTGCTAAGCACTCAATAAATGTAAGTCTGTGGTCCACACTTCCCACAAATTGACTAGGGTTCTATTCTACTCAGTCCAACAAATATCTACTGACTTAAAAGAATAAAAATATGAGTATACACAGCCTTCGTCTTTGAGAAACTTAAAAATTCATGTAAGTTTCTCATCAATGGTAAGAAAACAAATCACCACAATTCAAAGTACATTAAGTGATTTCCTGAGACACACAAAAATCAGGATGGCACTTGCACGCAGATTGTTTTACATAACAGATGATAACCAGTTCATTGTTTTTTTTAAATGTGTTGGATTAATATTGAAATGCTACCTTCTGGAGTTATAACAACAAAAATAACAAACAAGAATGGTGAATTTAATTTATGAATAGAAGTAGCAGCTTTAAGAATAAGTACAAGAACAATGTAAAGAGCATCTCACAAGTATTTTACCTCAAATTATAGAAAACAAAAATTATATTGGGCTTAAAGTATGCCTTGCCAAAGGACAAAAGCAGCAAGTTCACCAATACAGAAATACCAGTGACTCATTAGTAAAAACAAATTTCAAACTTCTGAGTGGGGATTGTGGCCTCAGACAGACTCAAGATAGAGTCTGTCTTATTAGCTATGAAACCTCTGAGCCTCAACTTCATCCTGTCTGTTAGATGGGATGCTTGCAGTTCCAATAAACAGAAATGCCAACTCAAAAAATCAATTAAGCAGTAAGATACATTACATCACACTCAGTGATGTCTAAAAAAAAAAAGAAAGAAACAGCCTCCTCTTGGGATTCTTAAGATCACCCAGCGAACTTTCCTTTGTGTCTTGTTGTCCAGAACTTAGTAACCAATACATGGCTGAACTAATCAGGAATGGAGTTCCTCTTAGATCTCTTGGGCCCATCCCTGAAGTTAGAGGTGGGGACAGCTTCCCCTGAGACACAGATTGCAAAGAAGAGAGGTGGATTCCGGAAAAAACTGCAGTTCTTTTAGAAAGTTGGAGAGAAAAATGGAGACCTTATAGATGACCAGCAGTATCTACTAAGAATACTAACCTCGTGGGCTTGATACAAACAGTAAGTGAAAATATACACCTAAAGAATGTTGCACAGGATTGGTATACGGATATATGTTAAATCTTTAGTAAATATTAGTTTTTTTAAATATTTCCTTATTCAAAGACTTGGCCTCTGTATCTATCATGGATTAGATTTCCCGCATGCCTCTTTTATCTCAACAAACAATAAATGTAGCTATTTTAATTACAATAATAGTAATAGTATCTATGCATAAAGTGTGAAAATATATACACCCAAATATTAAAAATAGCCTTCAATTAGAAATTGAATCATAGATGGTTTAAATATATAATTTCATTTTTGCTTATCTTTGCTTTAAGCATCCTGCACTTAAAAGTATGTTATTCATGAATAACAAATGTTTTAAGATTTTCTCTTTCTCCCCCACAGATTACAAAGTTGTCTATTACAAATGTTTCATTATAATTTGTGAAGTTGTTAATATTTGTCTTCCCATGTTTTCTTTTCCTCTGTTTTAAGCAGGTAGCCAGGCACTTAGTATTTCCTTGCTTCAGGGATATGTGTAGCTACAAAGCAGAAACTACTTGAAGACAAAAGTTCCTTTTTTCTTTTCTAAAATAGAAACTTTTTTCAGAGATATTTATCTTTTGGAGAGGGCAGAGAGAAAGAAGAGCGTCTTGGAGGAATACTGAAAAAGAGGAGAGAATTTTATCTCTTAGATTGTTGAACAAGACAAGAAATTCAGAGGACTCAGGACAGCAGAGACCCTGTATGGTAGTTTCTGGGGAGGTCATCAAGAAGGAAATGCCTTCCTGACTCACCAGGGAAGAAGGACTTTAGACGCTGGCTCCAGCCTTAGCACAAAGACCTATGCTTCAAGCATGACACACGAGCCCTGAGACACAGGGCATCATGCCATCAGGCCAGTGGACACAGTAGCATTTTAGTGCTGACCAGTGTGGTCCTATGGCTGATAATTCCAGAATTTGCTAATGTTCTGGCACTGAAAAAGGCAGTGAAATATATTAATACATCTGTGTGGGGAATGTTAACACCAATGATGTCTGAGATTGAACATCACATGGGCCACATGAGAGCTCAGAGTCACATGTAGATTGATTTAAACACAGCAATACAATTACTTCTTACATACCTGATTTTGAGAATTAAAAAGAATTTGTCTCACTGAAAAGAACTTTGGTAGTATGTTTATAGTACTACAGAGGTGGGGTAAAACTGAGAGGTAATCTGTCCAACCCATCTGCTTTAAGGATAAGGAATCTGATTCAGGAGAAGGAATTGTCTTGCTCCTGATTATACTGCTTACTGGTCACACACACCTAGGCCTAGAGCTCAGGTATCCTGACTTCCATACCAGAGTTCTTTGCATTACATCCATAATGCCTCATCTTCTACAAAGAAAAGTTATAAGAGTAAAGGCATTTTTTTTTTGGCAAGAGGATTACTCACTACTCAAATAAATGCTCAAAGTAGATCTATAATTGTCCATCCTATGCTTCTGATGACTGCAGCAATTTCTGATTGCATTACATAACTAATGTGGATTTGGAGACATCAGAAGATCTCATCACAAAGATGTCACAGAAGGGAAGGAGCATCATTAAAACCTTCTCATTCTGTCGCCAGTTCACCTTCCCCTCCCAGCATCAAATGACCCTCTTAGGAAATGTGGTATGGCTCGTGAGCTGAGACCACAGGAGCCAGACACCTTTGCCTTCTATTTGGGGATCTGACACACAGACTCCCTTAGTGGCCGTGGCCAGTCCATTAACTTTCCTGCCTTGTTCATTCTGGACTCCCAGATGATATAATATTGCCTGCAGGAGGATGGCTGAATAATGGGAGGCATCAACAGCACTCATAGGGGATTACACACAATCTCCTTGTTCTTTAGATAAATACTTTCTTCAGTGTTTAATTAGAAATAACAGATTTTTTTCTCAGCTCCTGTTTTTTGGGCCATCAATCTGCATGCATGACAGGGGTCAAACAAGTACTCGGTATTGAAAGGCCTTGTGTATTGCAAAAACTGTACAGATGTATTCTATTTTACGTCAAACCATTTCTCTGATTCATACATTGTTTCTATGGGATCTGTTGAGTAGAAATCAGTGTAGAAATGTTTCTGTTATTCCATAGAGCAGAGACAAGACAAAGGGTTTCTCAGTACCCAGCACTTTGGGAGGCCAAGGCGGGTGGATCACTTGAGGTCAGGAGTTCAAGACAAGTCTGGCGAACATGGTGAAACCTTGTCTCTACTGAAAAAAAAATACAAAAATTAGCTGGGCATGGTGGCAGGTGCTACAGGGAGGCTGAGGAAGGAGAATCGCTTGAACCCCGGTGGCAGAGTTTGCAGTGAGCTGAGATTGTGCCACCGCACTCCAGCCTGGCAACACAGGAAGACTCCACCTCAAAAAAAAAAAAAAAAAGAAGAAGAAGAAGAAGAGAAAGGGTTTCAATTCATTAGACAGCTAAATTTGCCTCAGTGTAAAGAAGAGAGTTCTAATATTTGTATCAGTATTTATCATAGTTTTTTTTAAAACAGTAGTCCTCTAAGACGCCTTGGGAGGAAATGTTACATAGAAAAACACTGCACAGCACAGCGCTTTTTTAGAAAATCACAATGCTTATGAAAATATGATGGGTCTAAAAAGCTGTATAATAAAGAAATCTGTATAACTTTGTTGAACCTGGAACTCTGTAAATTTCCTTACAACACATTATTCCTCAATCAAGCATGAATTAGCCATATCAATGAACTGGTCAAAACACATGTTTTGGGAAATGCTGGATTGAAAGGAACTTTCTCAAATAGGGAAGGGTTTTTTTCTCACTAGAGTTTCCAGCATGACTGTGTGATCAAGTGACAGGAAGTTTCTGCGGAATTCTGCATTGGATGGGAAAATAACTAGGAGATTCTAAGATCCCTTTCAATTCCCAAGATCCAGTGAATCTCTTCCACTGTAAATCAGTAACATTATTTAGTGCCTTGTGACTCTACTGTTAGACACAAAGAATAATATCTTTTGAGTCTGCTATTAGACAGAAATGCCACAAATTGTACTAGAAAGGTCTCTCAGATTTCTTCATCTGTGTTATAACCCTGAAAGGAAGGTATTACAACCCCACTTCACAGATGAAAAACAAACTGAATGTTAAAGAGCTTAAATAAATTGCCCACAAACACATAGCTAAGTAAGTGGCATAGCAAGGATTGGAAGCAAGGCCCATGTATTTCTTACTATGTAGTACCACTTCCCTAAAACATATCAATCTCAAAGGCAACCATAGGAGATATAATTGGACATGGAGTATTGACAACTCAAGAATATGAGACAAAATTTTTGATATTAGCTTCTGTAGTCATTAGTAGTCATATAGAAATAATGCACAATTTCTCTGGGCTCATAGGATCAATTACCTTTTACTTCCATTTACTTCTATCTCTGGACATAAGCAAAGAGCAGAGAGTTACTTAATCTTGATTCATGGCCTTCATACTTGCTGTTACCTTTTTCTGAAATTTTTTTTTACAGGGCTGACTCTTGCTCATCCATCGAGTCTCAACTTTCATGAAGTGGCTTCAAGCCAGCCTTTTCTGCTCACCTGTTACGCTTCTCCTTCTAAGCACATGGTAGCATTGCTCTTCCTGGGCCCCTTGGGATCAGGTGCAGCCATGGAACTAGCACTTTCCAACTGGTTGTGAACAGAAGTGATGTGTATCACCTCCTCACTGGAACATCAAGTTACAAGACCCCCTTTCTTGTTCTCATAACAACCATGGATGCTTTCAATGATGGCAGCTACTGCACCCTGAGCCACTAAAAGACTAGGAAGAAAAGAGGCCCCTGCTGGTGGATCATGAGTGTGCAACATGAAACTATTTTCAACTTTCAGTTTTCAGGGTCATTGCATAACCTGGCCCAGTGCATCACAAATTTTAGGTGCAAAGGAATCACCTAGAGAGCTCCTTTCCCAAAGAGATTGATTCAGTAAGTCTTGCATCTTTAGATCAAATTTCTTGTAGATGTTTGGAAATTTGGATTTCTAAAAACCTCCTAGGTGATTCTGATGCTCTCAGACCACACTTTGAGTAGCACTGACCCTGCCAGTCCTGCCTGATACATTCTCTCATCTAAAGTACTACCTCTCTGTTGCTAGTCAGGCTCCATCTTATCACCATTCCACTTGTTCTATATTGCTTACACAACTACCATTATGTATTTACAAATTGTCTATCTCTCCCATTATGACATAAACTCCATGAAGACTGAGACTTTGTCTTTTTGTTCACTGTCATAACTCCAAAATGCTGAACAGCATCTAGAACACGTTGGTGCAAAAATAATTGCAGTTTTTGTCATTACTTTTTTTTTTTTTTTTTTGAGACAGAGCCTCGCTCTATTTCCCAGGCTGGAGTGCAGTGCCACCATCTCAGCTCACTGAAACCTTCGCCTCCCATGTTAAAGTGATTCTCTTGCCTCAGCCTCCCAAGTAGCTGGGATTACAGGCACCTGCCACCATGCCCAGCTAATTTTTTTGTACTTTTAGTAGAGACAGGGTTTCATCATGTTGGCCAGGCTGGTCTCAAACTCCTGACCTCTGGTGATACACCTGCCTTGGCCTCCCAAAGTGCTGGCGTCACAGGCATGAGCCACCATGCCCGGCAGGTTTTTGTTATTAATTTTATTTCCAAAACCACAACTACTTTTGCACAAACCTAATATAAACTAAATAAAGGAATGGATGAGTCATCAAAAATTATGTTTTAAATATCAACTATTCATTCTAATGTCTGTTCAGGCCCTAATCTCTCAAGTACCTTCTTTTGATAATGAGACGCTAAAACAAAAAAACACATGAGCAGCTCTAGCTAAATGAAGCCTCAATTCCATCCATCAACCCCCTTTATGGGTTCAGAGTCATTTGAAGGGGCCATCAGTAGAGGTTGCTGAGATCGTGTATGTAAAATGACTCTCTTCTCTGCCTTGACTCCAAAACCATGAGGACAAGTGAAGCTACAGAAGCCAGGACTGCAGAACAGAGTTGGATTTTTCTTTGCATGTGTTTCTTCCTCAGATCTCCATGGAGGGGTCAAGCCTTTGAGGACACAATGCCCAGACTCAGCATGAGAGTGCTTGTCAGTGAACCATGCCCACTGGTAGCCCAATCTGTATTTAAATTGCATGCAAATTTTATGAGTTTTGTATAAGCAATTGTCATTACATAGTCCCTTGTCTTTTATATAGATCCCTATTGGGTGCTGGAAAAGATAGCAGAGGAAAAGCCAGCATTAAGAAGCACAGCCAGCACACGGTCAAGCCATCATTCATGACCACTGCTGGGTCTACCTATTTCACAAACAGGATTTCTGCTGACACCGGAAAAATCCATAGCATGCTCACGGATCTTCCTGTAGTCTCTCAATCATTTCTCAGAATTAATGGGGAAAAACCTTTTGAATGTTTGCTATATATAGGAACCATGTGGAAAAATTGGAAATCATCTAGAGATATTTAAAAGGAGACTCAGATTTACATACAATGATATGTTTGAAGTTTGCTTTGAAATACTATATTCTCCCTTACCCTCTTCCCCCACCAGAAAACCTGTGGAGTAACAAAAATGGAATAAATACGATTTGCCATGATGTAATAATCACCTGATGAGTTCTTCCTGCCCACCACACAGACAAAATCAATTCACCAAGACTGTGACATTGCAATAGAGAAAGACTTTAATTGACGCCAGTCTGGCCCATGGGAGAGAACTGGAGTTATCACTAAAATCAGTCTCCGTAAAGGCTCACGGTTAGGGTTTTTATGGACAATTTGGTGAGTAGGGAGCTAGGCAATGGATGCTGCTGATTGGTTGGTGCTAAAATCATAGAGGTATGAAAAATGGTTCTCATGCACTGAGTTCACCTCCGGGTGGGGCCTCAGGACCAGTTAAGTCATGAGTCACTGGTCCTGGTAGGATCCTTCTGGAAAAAATTCTTGCAAAAACAATCTACAATAGTGATGCTATTATGGGAACAGCTAGGGAAGCCACAAATCCTGTCACCTCTGGCCACATGACTCCTGAGTGGTAAGGGATTACAAAAACTACACCTATTTCTTATCAGAGTTCATGCCCTTCCTATAGTCCTATTCTTGTAGCCTTTCATTAATTTAACAAAGATGGTGTTTGTTCCCGAGCAAGCAGGGAAGATTTAGGGGGGATTATTATCATCCTTGCTTTCAAGTTAAACTATAAGCTAAATTTCTCCCAAAATTAGCTTGACCTCTGTCCAGGAATGACCAAGGACAGCTTGGAGGTCAGAAGCAAGATGGAGTCAATTACATTCAGACATCTCTTACTTGTCTCTTACTTGCAAAGGATGTTTCAATCAGTTAGCAACTGTTGAAGCAAAATGAAAAACTGGGGGTTAAGTATGAGATTCTCTCTAAATTTGTGTGCTTGAACATTTTTGCAATAAAAAGCTTTTAAAAATTCACATGCAGTATATCAAAAAGAAAAAAATCCCAGAGCAATTTACTAGCTAGGAAAACAAGCAGATCCCACAATATCAAAGGTAGCCTCTATGAACCTGACATGTTTTCAGAAAAATAAAAATTTAAATTTAAATTTTTTTTAAAAGGACAGCCTCAGGTGGTTGCTGGGATGGAAGTGCATGGGTATATTTTGACATTGTTTACATTCTCTATATTAATACAGTATAATAGAGCAAAGTATATTCTCAACAATTGTCAGTGTGGGAAGAAATGCATTTGTAAAAACTTGTTGTCTTTAATGCTTGATATTTCAGAGTTATCCTTAGAGTAAAATCAAAGATATTTTCTGTGTTGAAGTAATTTTATATGCTCCTGCTGTTAAGCAAGATTTTCTTTTATCTCTTCTGCAATAATTTTGGTGGGGAAACTTCGTACTTGAATTTTTAAAAAATGCATGGAAAGTGTGTTGCCCCAAATTCCCACTTTAAATAATTAATCATGTAAGTGTTATCACAAAAATGTAATGTCAGCTGCAACTTTTACTAGAACTAATTCTAACTTATACCTAGATGGTGACTTTATATTTTTAATGAAAAGAAAGTTTAAACTAAAAAAAAAAAAAACTCAGGGAAATGGATAAATAGATGTTGCAAATTAACTTCATGATTCTAAACGCTTGCTCACCCTACACGCCCTGATTGTCCAGCCCTTGCCCATAGTAGAAGGAGAGAGTTGCCATAATTTGTAGGCTGTCCTTCATAACTCCTTTGCACCCAGGGAAAAGAGCCAGTATGGGAAAGAAAGAGGCTCCTTTTGAGAGTCAGTCTCAGGCTGGAATTCTAGCTCCATCTCTTCCTAGTTGTGTGACCTTGAATGGCTTACTTTACCTTCCTAAATCTCATCTGTAAAACAGGGAACGATATTACCTCTTCACATCATTGAATCACAGTAGAGTATTGATTAGAGAAGAATCTATGGTTTGGGAGGAGAGGAGATTGTGCTACAGAAACTTTGCAGGGCAGCCTGTCCTTGGGGTGGGGGTTGGAGGGAGGAAGACAAAATGAGAAAAAAACAAGAAAGCACTGGGATTGTTTGCATTGTTTTGCCTCCAGGAGGAAGGTAGTCAAAAGCAAAGAAAGACTGAGAGGTCAAGCCCCAGTTCTTGGTTTAGTCTGTACTGAGCATATTCCATTACCCAGATGCCCTGGCAAGATGCCTCTGATTTATGGTAATTGCATGATAATGAGGCACCACATGAAAATGAAATAAGCCATAATTAGGGGTGACACCAGAGTCTACTTAGCTCTACTTGGGGAAGAATCTGGGAAGGTGATTGTGCATGTCATAAAGGGGAAGAATATGAGTTACCTATTAAAGGGTCAACTTCAACTATGCACCTAGAAGAGAGGTTTATATGCCATCTGTAACTACTTCTACTGACTGTGTTTAGTCAACATTGGGTAATAAACTTATGTTCTTGTATCAAGTTTATGCCACTGTTATTGCTTAGAAGGAAAAGCCAAAAATAAGCAAGCTAGGGCTTAGGAAAGAGGATGCTAACTCTCTGAGTGCCTGTTAGGGGTTCAGAACAATCCAGGGAGTGAGGTGAAGACAGAGACATAGCAGGGAGTCAACAGTCCCACTTCTACAGAGTTGCAAAACTTAAATAAGTTAACGTATATGGGGTACTTGGAACATAGTAGGCTTTCAACAAATGCCAGCTCATATAACTATCATTGTTGTTACTACTATAACTGCTATTCTTCCAATCCAGATATAAGCTTCTTCCTGCTTATAGACTCTGCTTTTGCCTTCAACCTTAATGTCAACCTCAACACCTACAGACTGCAAAAGTAACCCACATGCACCCAAAACACTGAGGAACAATGGAGGATTCCCAAAGATGTGGCAAAAGGAAAGACTTCACATCACATTACCAATCACAACCACAGCAAAATTCCATCCAGACACAACAGCTGTCCCCAGTCTGGTTTCTTCTCCTCCGCTTTTCCCTGATTCCTGTCCAGCATCACTGATTGTCTCCTTCCCAGCTCTGCAGATCCCCTAGGTATTTCCTGGCCTGTGCATTGTCTTAGGAACTTCCGTTGCTTCCTCCCTTCATCATTCAGAGCTGCCCAAGCTTCTGGCTCTAATTTACATATCCCATCCAGCAGCAAAGAAAAGGTCTTCAGCTACAAGAAACTCTATTCAAAGGAAGTAATTTAAAATAGCATGTTTAGTTACATCATCGTCATCAATCATTACATTTAGTTCAAATCTCACTTTGCTAATCATTCAACCTCATAGTGATTCATTCTCTGTCCTTTCCTCAGAATTACTTATTAGCAAAACTTTGCTTTCCAAATCTTATTCCAGGCACTGTTCAATTCCGGCCTCTTAAGGAATTCCCATGGTGCCTGCCTTTCACCATTAATCCTGTGTCTGAATTTCCTGTAGCTCCAGGATGTCAATTAGTTAAATCTGGAAATTCAATCTGTGTTTAGTTGCTGTGAGAAGAGAAAAGACAAGGCAAGAAAATTAGGTGAAGGAATTAAGTTTCTGCCAAACTTGAAACCAGACAAAAAGTAAATCCTTATTTCTCAGCTTTGAATCACTTGGTGGTCTGGAATTCGATCTGCATATTCCAATGTTCATGTCCATCAGTGTACACATGCACTCAAGTGTACAAAACAGAAAAAGCAATCTTAAGGACCAAAATTGCCGTCAATATAAATGGGCTGGCTCATCTGAATAAATAATTACTATCCTATAATATACTTCTCTCAAATCTATGCCAACTCAGCATTTATTAACTGAGATACATCAAATCACAGTATTCTTTCTTGTGGAGTTTCTGTACCTTCTTCCCTGTTCCACTAAAGAAGATTTAATTCCAAACACAGGAGGAAGAAAAGGAAAAATGAGAGCAGACATAACCCAGTCAAAAAACGTGGATTTATGGAGTTCAACCTTGAAAATATTTTTTTGAAACATCAAGCATGAGAATTAAAGCTCCCACCAGGCAGCTATAATTTATACAGCAAGCACTTGGCAGGTAATCCGAGCACACTGTGATAACAGTAGCAAGGGGAGCATCTTCACAGAACACCAGACCCTCTGTGTGAATGGCCAGGGGGTGAGAAAGACACACACTAACTTTGCAGCTAGAATACGGTATTTCCTATTTAATAGACATTTGGAAATGAAAAAAGAACATGAAAATACCTAAGAAGAAAAGAAGTGGCTCCCACCCAGAGTGTAAATGAGACAGCCAGGTGGAAGGGGTCCCTGGAAAAACTCTAACTGGCCTGCGCACTGGGGTGGAGCTTGGGGAAGTTCCTGCTGTTGCAGCAGGGAGGGGCCTGGCCCCTCCTCTTCCTGTGCGGAACCTGGGATTCAAGCTGAGCTCTGGAAGTGCTCTAGCAGGGGACTCTGGCCTCACAGAGGGCGCCTGTTTCCCCCTTTTCTTCCTTTTCACCTCATAAAACCCTGTCTTACTCATCCTTCAAACAGTCTGTGAGCCTAAATTTTTGTGGCCATGGGACAAAGACCCCATCTTTAGCTGAACTAAGGAGAAGTCCTGCAACATAAACATGACCCCATGAAAAGCAAAAGGCAATGAGACAAAGGAAGTTGGCCCCAAACAGTGACCTAACCATAGTCATAAAATGTCAGACAAACCAAGTAAAAGAGAATGAAAACATAATGCAGTGGAACGCTTTTGACATTTTTCAAGTTAATTATTTCATTTGTTTAGATATGTTTTTCAAACAATCCATTTTATTTTTAGGGATGTAAGAAAAAATAGCTTCAAAATAATATTTAATTTCTTATTTGATTGCAAGCAATAAGCACACTTCTGCTCTGAAGGCTTATATATTTTCACAGCTAGCCTGATTCAAACCACACTATTCTAAAAACACAAGCAAAAAAAAAAAAAAAATTCTTTGCACCTTAGATTTGGCAAAAACATGCGAAGTTTGCCTGCAAGGCCATATTTATTTATAACAGAGCATAGATCACAGGTCTCTGCCACTCTACTCCCTACCCCTTGAAGGCAGACACCACATATAGGAATGGTGGAGAATTCCTGAAACTAAGGGTGGTGGTACACACAAAGGACACCAGTGGATTTCATGTGAGCAGTAACAATTATAAGTATTCACTGAGCCTAGAGAGCCCTATTTTCTCGTTTTTATGGTTAACTGGCTTGATCTTCCTTGAGTGGCATTTACCCAGTTTTTTAAGCATGGTGTCCAATACAATGGTTACTCTCTCTTGTTCAGTTCTAATCAGTTGTTCTCTCACTGATGAGCTCTTTGTAGCCTAGTGCTAAATTATTCCTGACTTTAGGTTTTGACTTCTCTCTTTCCTCTGCTCGATGCTTTTCTCAGACAAAAGAGGAAGCTCAAAGTTCTAAAGAAGAAAGGCAAGTGGAAACATGGCAATGAAGAAAAATACTAAACGAGGAGCCAGAAGCCCTAGATCCTTTCTGGGCCCTGCTTTGGCATTGACTCAGTTACATTATATCCAGGATGCATTTACATCACTGAAAGGGTAAAGGCTCTATGCTTTTAAAAACAACAACAAAAACCGTGAAGTTATTATCACAAAAATCAGACTTCTAAACTGGCAACCTTTGCACCCTACCTGCCCTGTTGCATTTGGCCAATAAATATGCTAATTTTTTAGCCAACATATTTCAAGTAAAAATGTAGATTTACAGATCCCTTTGAAAACTCATCAAATCTTCTGAAATAAGTCTATGTGTGTGCTTGTCAAGAATTGCCGGCTGTCCAGAGAGCCTGGGCTCTCCAATTTCCTGTATCTGTGCCATTCACAGTGATTTATATATACTTAGCTCAGCTCACTTGCCGCCTTTAGGTTACCTACATAGAAGGTGAATTAAAGCATTTGAATTTACTACGCCTCATCTAGAAGAGGCAAAGGTAGGTTAACAAGTGATTCCAAGGTAACAAAGAGCACAGACATGCCATAGATGCACATCAGATGTCAAAGGCTTGAGCCTGTAGGCACATTTACAAACAGATCACAGCTTCCCATTAGTTGAGCAGGCTCCCCCTTAACTGCTGGCTATGCAATAGATAAATAAATGGCAAGAATACTTGTGATATATATTTAGATTGCACATTAGACTTTAAAATCTGTGCCTAACTGAATGCATTAGCCCGTGTTTCCTGTTTATTTCTCCTCAATGCCATGGAAACACAGGGTGGCATCCTAATGCACCTCTCCTGGCAATAAATAAACAAAGTCTTTGTCTATTCATGTTTCAATTTCTTTTTTTAATGTAATTTACAATTTCAAAAAAGAAAACAGATTGGTGGTGTCTTGTTGCTTTTTTTCTCCTTCCCCCTTCCAGTTTCCTGTTTCACAATGCACATCTGCAAGAAATGCAAAATGCACCTTCTAGCGGTTACGGAAATCCTAACCAGCATTGTCAGCACTGAGAGAGCAGGATTCTCCCAACTGCACTCATCTTTCCCATTTATAAAATGCCATGATAATTAAACTCTATAATGAGGTTCTCTAAGCATTTCAGTCTAACCCAAAGAGCACTTAATATAGTTGTTTAAGGTTGAAAGCTGATGTAAGACAGACATTAAAATCTGGTGGCTTTCAATGCCCTCCCCTGTCTAAAAGGCGATATCCAGTCCATTTCTATAGAGATAGCAACAGTAGTCATAGTCCTTAAACGGCTCCACGATGGCAGCGACACGTTCTCGCCTCCCTGTCTCCACAGCATGTGAGGCAGACAAGTCACTCGCTGCCACTGCCATCACCCTAATGTGCAGGGCCAAGGTGAAACTTGAAGCTCAAAGTGCTAGGAGCACAGTGTCTCCTACAGCCACTCTCTGCTGTCTGGCACCTGCTGTTCCCTCCCAGGCGGTAACCCAAGAACTCGAAAGGCAGATTAGTATCTGCATGAAGAAGTGGGAAGATTTGATTAAGTGGCTCAAATCTGCAGAGTCCCCTGAACCCAACTGCAAGGACCTGAGTCACAGGAGGAAGGAGAGACGGGCAGGTCAAGCGCTGCTTCTCCAGCAACCATCGGGGTGAGTTCCTACAGTGACCTTTGCTACTGACTGGGGAGCCTCACGTCACAAAGCCTGGTGATCCCACTGGCAGGATTCACTGCCTTGGGTCTCTCAGGGTGCATCCCAATCACAGACTGCACGCGGTAACCCTCACGACCAGGGGCGATGTCTATTTTCATCAGTCATAAAAAGCAGTCTGTGGACCAGATTTCAAAGCACCCACAAAATAGATCTGTCATAGCATCCGCCCAAGGAGAGGAACTTTTTATCTAGAGCTTTCAAGTGCTGGACCTTTACTCAGAAAGCAAAGCGTCCAGAGAAATGCCTTCCTAGATAATAATCAAATGTTATGGTCTTTGATTTCCTAAAGTGGGATATAATAACCTGTCCATCTGAATTATGTTTTCACATCTTTGGCAAAATAATAACAACAACAGTATTACCATATAACATTATCAGGTACTTACCTTGTGCTTCTGAGATAGTTATTATTACTCCTTTGTTACAGACAAAGCAAAGTCTAAAGAGGTAAATAACATGTCCAAGGTCAGAACACTAATAAATCGCTGAGCTGGGCTGAAAACCAGGTCATCTGACTGCAAAGCCTGTATTTCTTCCTCCCACATTTTCTGAGTACCTACTGTGACCTCTGCTCAGTGCTGGAATGCTTTCTCCATATAGTATCAACTTTTTATTTATTTATTTTATTGTATTTTTCTCTTAGAGACAAGATCTGGCCCTGTTGCCCATCCTGGAGTGCAGTGGTGTAATCATAGCTCACTGCAACCTCGAACCCCTGGGCTGAAGCGATCCTCCCACCTCAGCCTCCCCAGCAGCTGGGATTAGAGGCGCTTGCCACCTCACCCACTTAAATCTTTTTTTCTTTCTTTTTGTAGATTACTTTTATAGACAGGGTTCTCACTTTGGGTATTAACTTTAATTTCTGTGATTCATTTCATACCAAAATAAAACTCTGTTAAAATTGTTTTCTTCTTTCTATCTTAAGTGCCAGGTAACTGTGACCAGTTTTATTTATTAGTACTTCTTCCATTTGAGGACAAGTATTTGTTGTCATTCTGTGCATTTTGTTCATAATTTCTCCATCCTCTTTTTTCCTCAGATATTCTTTTACGTCCTACGCTTTTGCTTTGCATCATGTTTATCTTAGAAGCTACTTTTTACAAATAGGCAAAGTATAAATACAAGCATTCCTGCTTTATTGTCATAAATGGGTTCTGGAAAAAGCTCACATTCAACATAATTATGCCCTAAAAGTAACAGAATGTATGGGGAAAATACAAACAGGACAGATGAACTCAAAATCTACAGAGCATTGTTAACAAGTACCCTATCCCAAATAATAGCAATATTAGAATTACAGCCCAGTTAACTCTCCACAGACATGTGCACTTAGAATCTCATTCATTCTTTGCATACTTCTATTCTGGGCTCTGTTTTCTCATGCTGGTCCTTGATAACACTCCTGTAATAGAGACCAATTTCATAAAATCCAAAATATGGTCCAGGGCAATTATCTTCATTGATCTCTTTTTAGAGGAGTGAGGGTTAGTTACATGGGTGGAATTGCTTTCCCAGCTTTTTCATCTGTACTGGCAGCCTCTCCAGAGAGCAAACTGTGGTGGTTCTGGATGACATCAAACCAGCCACATTTGCACTGAAAGAAGGGTGTCTATATTTTGAGTTTCTTACTTTCTTCACATGTTCCTAAGATTTTCCCTTTATTGTGAAAAAAAAAAAAACCTGCTCCTAATTTCAAAATATTAACATGCTAACAAACATCCTATATGAACTTACTTACTAGAATTTCAAGTTATTCTGATATTAGGGACAGATGCAGGTTTTGTGGGACTTGACGGTTCTACTACCTTCAAAGTCCTTTAAGAAACAGAATGTAAAATTACAAATATCACATTTCGTTTAAGTGACTATTCATTTAGAATTTAGAATAGTGGGAAAATTACAATAATTTACAACTTTCAAAATGCTGATAATTGTCAAAAACCTCACAAGATCCAGAAAAATTATATATTTTCTTTAATTAACTGACCTGGTCCACATCTGTAATATTTTGCTAACTATATTTTTGTTTGTATCCTCTTTGTTTCTGCATGACAACAAAACAATATTTTCTATAGAGAAAATAAAACTGAATTTCTCCTCAAGCAAGGTCAACGAAAATTTATGGGTTTTTTTCTTTTTACTAGTTTAAAAAAATTTCTTTTGACTGCACCATTTGTTATTGTAATATCATGTGCATGCTTAGAATTATTGGGGAAAATATTTATCAAGTTTCTCTCATATGTAAACTGTAAGACTGAGAGATTGTTGGGCCTGTCACCTTTCCCTGTGCAGTGAATGGTCTTAAATGTACTTGGGATTTTCAACACTCATTAACAAGTTAGTAGATGTCCTTGCTTTAGCGGCATGAGTTATGTTATCTTTGCCAATGACCGTCCTTTGTATCAAATCATCAGGAAATCTTAATATTTCTCCAACGTGTTCATATGGTTCTCTGTTTTCATTAACTGGATTATCAAACAACCCAAGAGCCTAGTCATTTATTGTATCAAAAATGTATCTCTTGCTCTCAATGATTCCCTGCTGTTGGTATGTTCTGAATATGATCTACCAGCTCCCAGTCCTTGCTGGTTGCTCATTATAAAAGTACCAACTCCGAGTTTTAGTTATTGCATACTTTGCAGAGGAGTTTGACAGGGTGGGCCAGGAAGAGGGTGTTTAATCCATGGAAGTGAATGTACCAAATTTTAGTAAATTTTACAGAAACACATCATCATGTGAATATAATGTTTTATTAGCTTTATGGTAAATCTGCCTCTGCTGACACCATTTTATTTACATTCTCATAAGAACTAAGTTGCGTTAAAGAAATCCAAGGTGTAGAACAGAGCACATGAAATAAATGAATTAACAAAAATAATCAATAAAAGGCATATTGCCACAGTTGTGCCCTTTGCCAATACTGAAATTATAGATTCAAAAAGAAATCCAATTGCTATACTATTCAGCTCATTAACAAGAACAATAAAAATAAATTGGTAATTTTGATTAAGCAGGCCGATACAACTAGTTTGGCAATTTAAAAAAAAAAAATTGGATTAGCACTTTCACTAAATCACCAAAACTCATACTTTGTGTTGTTTAAGACTACCTGTTGGTAATAAAGTGAGCTGCATTTTGGGAAAGCTCTCTTGATCTTGCCTTGCCTGACTTTGCTTCTTTATTCATTTTTTGGAATTAATAACCTATGGAAACTTGTTAAAATGTTAAAACAAATTGGAAGAGGCTAAAAAGTCAAGAAAGTTCTTGTATTTAAGCATTGACTATTTTATCAGAGGAGACTAACCAGTATAGTGCTCTAAGGAAAAGAAACTTATAAATAGCAAGCTTTAAATGGGGATGGTTGCCCAAGAAACTCTGCAAATTGAGATTCCATTTTGAGAGGAAAGCTCTACTGTGAGATTACGAAGTCCACAATGGTCACACGAATTCAGGAGGACCTTGGGTATCTCTGGAAAAGATGGAAATAGAATCTGCTTATTCTACCTGTTAAGAGAATCATTAAATGAAAACAGCTGTTCTACTTCTGTTTTCTCAGAAATCTTTTATTATTCCATGTATGTTTCTGCCTATAATAACATAAGCACAACAAAGGCAATGAAACCTGGCAACACAAGACTTTTATAGTTTAAATTTGTTTCTTAAAGCACACTCCCAAACCAGCAACATAGGCAACACCTGGGAGCTTGTGAGAAATGTAGAGTTTCAGGCCCCACCTTAAACCTGCCAGATGATATGCAGAGGTACACAGGTGATGCAGATGCATATTACAGCTGGGAAGGCACTGGGTTTTTATTTTTAATACTGATGGTTGATATAACTTCCAAGTCAATTAAATGATAATTTCTGTTTTCTTTTTTTTTTCTTTTTTTCAGACAGAGACTCGCTCTGTTGCCCAGGCTGGAATGCAGTGGTGCGATCGCAGCTCACTGTGTCCTCTGCCTCCTGGGTTCAAGTGATTCTCCTGCCTAAGCTTCCCAAGTAGCTGGGATTACAGGCGCCTGCCACCATGCCTGGCTAATTTTTGTATTTTTAGTAGAGACGGGGTTTCACCATGTTGGCCAGGCTGGTCTCGAACCCTTGACCTCAGGTGATCTGCCTGCCTGGCCCTCTCAAAATGCTGGGATTACAGGCATGAGCCACCATGCCTAGCCTTTTCATTTTTAGTAGACTTTATGTGTTTTTATCAGATAATGAAAATAGAACGTGCTCATTGTAAAAACAACAAAAACACAGACACTACAAAATGTTTCCAAATAACAAAGTAAAAATCATCTAGAAAATCATCGCCAGAAATAAATGCAGTTAGCAACTTGATACAGATCTCTCCAGCCCCTTTCTAAACATATTATGTATTAAAAATAAAGCTGCATAGCTGTTTATAACCTGCTTTTTATACTTAGCAATAACATAAGAATTTTCTTCCATGTTAATACATGTTTCTGATTCATCATTTTAATTTTCACAGAATATAAAAATTCTGTGTGTTCTATTGCATGGTGAAACATAATTCATTTAAGTAGTCTCATCCTCATGGACAAAGAACATGTATTTTATTTTTAAAAAATAAATTCCTAAAAATAGAGTTTCAGGGTCAAAGGATAGACACATTTAAATTTATATATACTTTGCAAGATGGCCTTGCAGAAAGTGTAAGTGGTATAAATCTCCTAAATCCTTGCTAATCAGATAAGTGGACAATTGTACCTTATTATTGTCAAATGTCTTTAAGTCATATCCTAAATTTAGGTGTTTGTTGATATGTGTATTTTTGATGTCATTAATATTAATCAAAAATATAACATTGTTTTTTACTTTCAAGCTAAATAATCCACTCTATTCAGAAAACCAGTAACCTAAAAGATAAAACTACAAGATGTGAATCAGTCTAGATTCTCTGAAATGGAAAGCTTTATAATTAAGGCTATGCTATCCCTCTCTCAGTTCTTTTTCTTTCTTGCTGTATAAATCTCTTTAGTTTTCTTGGTGAGTTTCCATGCCAGCTTCTTACATGTGATTCTACCCCTGCGGATACTCATTTGGCTTTTATATTCTCCCTCTGTACTATACCCACTCCTGGGTCATCAAACTACCCACCTCTCTGCCTAGCCTAGATCTTGGCCAGTCCTCCTTGCCTGTGCATGGCTATTTCCCTTAGCTTACATAATCTTCTTTATGCAAAGGTCTTTCAAGACTCAGCTCAAATATTACATCCTCTGTAAAGCCTCACCCAACTCTGTGGCATTGCTGAGGCTCTCTCCTCAGGCCCCACCCTACATGGCTGAGTCTTCGTGTCTGCTTCATCACAGTGGATGAATATGTGTGAGTGTCTATGAATGTGCAATCAGTTAGCCCTGTGCCCTCTTCTTACAGGCAAAGCTCATTCTCCCATATCTGTTTTCTTGAGTAACACCACCAAACCTGGCATAAAGTAAGTGATCAGTACTGTTTTTTAAAACGAATTCATAAATGAAACTACAAACGATTTACTAGTTCCCTATACCCCAAATTAGGAAAAACTAAAATCAAACACATTAAAAACAAAAGAGAGAAAAACTTTCTGGGTGAAAACACTTTAGAGGACTGTATTATTTACTAACTAAATACATTTCCTTAATTAAAGTGCTTACTTTCCAATAAAGAACATAAATGAAGAACATGTTTTCAGAGAGAAGAGGAAAAACACAATTTTCTGATCATAGTACTCCACGGCTAATGACAAAGGAAAAAAAAGCATTTTTCTTTCCTTGTTGTCCCCCCATGTCTTGAAAACACCAACCATTATTTAAAATTCTCTTCCCATCACTCAAAGAAACAGAGACAGGTGTTCATTCTGAGTTAGGTGTTTGCTTATCTGACCAGCAGGGTCAGGATAAGAAATCACACAACCCCTAGGGAGCAATAAAATGTTTAATGGATTTCTGCAGTTACCAGGGGAAAAAAATATAAAATCTTTCAGAATTCAATTCACTTTCAAATACTGCACAGTACTTAAGACAACATGATGATTGTATATAGGTGATGCAGATGAAAGGAAAGAAAATCAGAGAAATGATGTTTCCATTGAAGAAAAAAATACTGTTCATTTTTCAAACATCTTGTGAAAAGAACCATTTCTTTCCCCATTCCTGTAAACAAGTCTTAAACATTCCCTCAGCCCAAACGCCATTCCCAGCGTCCTCTGGCAGCATCTTTTCCACTGCTGGTGGTGACGGCTGTGTTGCCTCTGCAGCCAACAGCTATCTGGGCTATCGCTTCCAAGGCCTCCTTAGGTGTAGAAGCAATAGGGAGCAGGGCCGAATGTCCACTGCTCTGCTATCGGGCACAAGGCAGAAGGACGGTGATGAACTTGAGAATGGAGCACGCTACGGGAATTCAGGACAAGGACACGCAAACACATTTCTGACAAGGTTTTAAGTCTACATCTCACAATTCTAAACTCACGATACCCAGGGAATGCACTAGATGTTGCTTCAAAGAGTGCTTCTGAATGCAGGGAGTGTTTCTTTTGCATTCTGCATTATAAAATAAAGCCCAAAGGAAAAGAATTAAGATGAAGCTGCTGAATAATTAGTTTCTTATCTGAGAGAAAGAACTATTTTACTGACTATTCATCACACAGAACTTACATTGTAATATTTCTTAGGTGTCAGAATATAAGTTGTCCGTGGACCTTACAAAACCATCCCATAGAAGCTTTCATCCCAATTGAGTGTAAAATATTTTTCCTTTCCCTACTCCACATTTGCTCTGTGGTCTTCAGAAAAATATGTAACATTTCTGTTTCTCAAGTAGTCTGTCAGGCTATCCTTGCTTTTGTATCTGCTTCATCCTAAGAAATGGGGAGAATATCTGATGCCAGAATAATCTAATTTGTAAAGGAGGTTATATGCAAGATACAAGTTTTATATATTATAGCTAGGAAACATATGTGAAGCTCCTAGAATTGTGTCTGGCACATCTGAGTTATTTAACAAGTGTTATTTACAGCCCCCTTCTCCACCAGAGAAAATTAATTATACATTTTTGCTGTGCGTTCACTGAACACAAAATAAGAATAAAATTGATTTTATTTTTCTATAATCATGGTATCATTCTTCCCTATTTTTGCCTTTTTGTAATGTATTTTCTGTGCACATAGACCTATGAAGTACTCAACATTATAGAAATAAGGTACTGATTACATGTTCATGAATCTGGAGATCAGCAACCTGATACAAACCAGATTTTGAAACGATGTTAGAAATGCTGTCACCTCTGAGCAAAGAACTTCCGACGGAAGTCTCAGAATGACCATACTTGGGAGGGCTTGGGTGTAGATGTGCTGCAGTTTTGCCTCAGCTGGTCTGAAATCCAAGCACATAACAACATTTCTGCTTCTTTTACAAGATTTCCTGGAGTTTGCACTCCCTTCATGATCTTGGCAGAGATTTTACTGCTAAAATAACATATAGAGTCCTCACCAAAACGGTGTGCTGCTGAAATGCCAGAAAACCGCTAGTGTGGGCAAAACCTGCGAGTGACAGTCCCCACCTCCTACCCGGCCAGCCTCATCTCACAGGTCCCTAAAGTTTTCTTGGAAGGAGTGTTATTCTTTTCCCTCTAAAATAAAAATAGAATTTCCAGTTCTAGAATTCGCTGATTCTTTCTCACCTCCCATCTCTTAGTAAGCTCTATAAATGACCTGGTTCAAAAATGAACTAAAACTCCTTACTGAATGTCTCATACAAATTAAAAACCCTGAATGCAACCTTAATGTCTTCAGTGCTAAAATAAAGTGCCCCCGTTTCTAATGTTAACCAAGTCATGGTATTCTTTAAAATCCACAACCAAAAGATTATCCTGCCTATTTGACAAACATCAACTTCTTGTTAAAAATAGGAAGCTGGTCTTTCCTTAACTATAATCAGTCAGCATTTAAATACCCAATTTACACTTAGCAAATTCAAGATTTAACAGGGCCGTATTCTTTCCAAAGACATTTAATTCATTTTTTCACCAATAGATATGTATTAAGTGCCTTCTATATGCCAGACGCTGTTCTTAATGCTAGATATGGCCATGGAAATGACAATCCCTGCTTCAGAAAGTGTCCATTCCAGTGAGAGCAGTTAATAAATGCATGTATATGTAACATGCTAGATAGTGCGTGCTAAGATCAAGAATAAAGTGGAGGAAGTGCACAGGAAGTGGTGGAGTAGTAGTTACTATTCTACATGGGGTCAGGGAAGCCTCCATAATAAGACTGATACGTGAGCAGCAGACACCTGGGAAGAGGGCATCCCAAGGCGGGATCTTGCAGCAGAAACTTCGTGTACTCATGGAAAGCAAGGAGGAGCCAGGTGGCTCATAGAAAGCAGGTAGTGCAGTCCAGATGTGTAGGACCAGTTAGGTCACGACGGCAACTTTGAATGAATTTGAGTGAGTTGGGAAGCCAACAGAGAGCTTGAAGTAGAGCGAAATGATGTGACATATTTTAAAAGACCATCCTGGTTGTTGTGCAGTGAATAGATCCCAGAGAAATAAGGGCAGAATAAAAAAGAGCCACTAAGAGGAGCTTCTTAGGGAAGTGTTAATAGCAATGGAGGGGATGAGAAGTGGTCAGATTCAGAATGTGTTTCAATTTATTTCCCATCCCACTAGATGTGAAATGTGAAAAAAAAAGTGAGAAATCAATGATGATTCCAAGGATCTTGGTCTGAGCAAGTGATAGAAGAGATTTGCCATTTACCAAGCAGTGAAGTAGTTTGGGGTTGTGGGGAGGGGAATCAAGAGTGCATGTTTGAATGTGTTACATTTGAGTTGCCTATTGGAGACCAAAGTTGGCATGTCAAATAGGCAGTTGCATACATGAGAATGCCACTTAGAAGAGGTGTCCAGGCTGGAATAGTAAATCAAATACCATCCGTAACTATAGCATGTATTATAACCCAACTGTGCTGTTCACCTACTGCTGTGATAATGCTCCATAACGAACCACCCCATAACTAGGTGGCCTACAACAACAGGCAGATCTTTTTCTGGCTTATTGGTCTGTGGGTTGGCTTTGATGAGTACTTCAGGCTGCAGTGTGGTGGACTTGGCTCTAAGCCTTGGATCAGGTTTAGTTCTGCTCCACGTGTCATATTCTGGGACCTACCCTCAAGGGGCAGCAGACAGCTGAAGCATGTCCTTCTACAGTGGTCACACAAACTGAAGACAGACACAAGAAATACACAATGCCTCTGAGGCTTTGTCACAGAGACCGGAACACTGGCATGTCTGCCCATATTCTACTGGCCAGTGCAAGTCATTTGGTGAAGCCCGACATCAACGAGGTAGGGTAACACTTGACATTTAGTGGTAGCAAGTGCAAACTCACATGGCAAAGGGCATGGGTGCATCCTTTGAATACAGGGAGGGCCTGAAGAATCAGAACAGTACGATCTACCTTTCCACATACACTGTAGTCTTAGTTACAGCTACAGTTCACGATAAAAGACTTTTTTTCAGATTCTCTAAACTTTGACCCAATGAGTTTCTTCAAATGTCTGTTTTTGAAAGCCATTTTACAAATGTGTTTGAGGTAATTATGCTTGGATTTATTTTGTGAACAGGAAAAACAGCTTGATATTTTCTAACATGATGCACATCGTACTTTAAATGCCATTTCTTTAAAAAACTGTCTTGATCAGTGCTTCTCAGACTATCTGTGGAGAAGCACTATTTTTTATTTCAATAAGACATGGACCTATAATTTTATAAAATACAATAAAATTGCTAAGACTGAAACTTTTTTTTAAAAAAAAAAAATAAGATACACAAAATTAAAGCCCATGTTTTCAGGGAAGTACTTTGTGACATTGCTATCAAAGTTTCTAAACACTTATTCTCAACTTATTCTGTACTTATCTGGCCAATGATAGTTTATGGAATGGCACTGGACCCTGGACCACACTTTGAGAAGCACTGTCCTAGGTGTTTCTGCCATAACCATACCCCTTTACCCCAACCCTTAGTATCGCTGAATAGTAGTCTGAACACAAAACTAACTTACTAGGGATTTCAAATTGAGTTTGACTTACAGCCAAGTTTACTCAACTATTCAATTTGTCAGGCTTTTTTAGTCCCCAGGATTTCATGGCTCCATTATTAAACAAAATGAAAGAAAAGTCTGTGTTAAATAGCCATATCCTGTTTATGATTTTTAGTGTTTTTCTTGATTCTTATGGCAATGTATTTTAAAATTTTTGTCCATGCTCTACACACACAAATTACTAAAATCTCCCGGCCACATCCTGAGGCTACCTTAATTGACTGTTGTCAAGCTGTGCTTTTTAAATGTTCCAGCATTTGATCTTTTTAAAATGCTCTGAGACTTAACTGATGTCAAACTGCCTGGTCTAATTTCCTGCTATGTCTTTAGATCCTTCTTTAAAAATAATTGGGTGTTGAATTAAGGCTTTTTCTTTCTTTCTCAAGGGATTAGTACTAAATTTAGTTAAGTTCTGACCAAAAAAAAATTATTTTGTCCCATTAAGGTTCTATACTTGGACTTGCTGTCTCTTATGTCACAAGCTACTCTGGAGTCCAGAACAAATTAAATCATGTTTACTTAGCCCCAGTGAAGGGTTACTTTTTAGGCCTAGATGTATTTGGATGACCCAGATACTGAATTTGTGAATGGGATGTAAAAAACATTGTCTGGATAAAACAGCAGCATCCAGAAGTCCTTTAGATGGTAAAAGATGAAGATCAAAGAGTGGCCAGATTAGTACTGATGCTGAAACAATGGCTTCTTTGCATAAACATTCCCAGCAAAACATGCACCATGCCTGACCAAGGCTCACAACCAGGAACCAAACCTTCTCAACCCTCCACAGTGCAGAGAGGGCCCTTAGAAGCATTCAAGGCGTATGGCAAATCTCTCAATTGCTCCTAAGCTTTTTTCTTTTACTATGATAGTTGCTGATTTGAAGCAAAAGAAAATTTATAAATATTGGATCATTTTTATTCTCTCTTGAAAATTCTTCCTAAAACGTAATGAACAGCTTATGATCAAATTCTTCAGAGCAAGAAATGTTTATTTTGGGCTATATCTATGTAATGCCAACAAATCAATTGATTAAGTCAAAGCTATTGAAGAAAAAATAAAATCAGTTTGAGGTTTAGCTAAAATGTCCGGGCAATTCAGACAAAAGAGTTGATCCTGTAGACAACTGAGACACAATTTTCATGACATGTTGTTCTCATTTATTATACCTTATTCTTGCAGCCTCATTGAGCACAACATATAATTCGCTTTTTATCTCTCAAAGAAGTTTGCATTAATAGGATCTAAGGTAATTAGACATTATTAAAAGAAGTTTGTATTTTCAAAAGATTTAACAAAAAAGTACAATTGTAGGTGAAATTCACAGTAAGAAAATATTTAGATGTTTTGTAAAATCAAAATGTTAAGTAGTTTCACTTGGTTCTCAGGTTTTCTTAGAATGACAACAATTTCCAATTGCATACTCCTCACCTCATCTCCGCTTAGTCATGTTTGCCACAGATGACCCTAGGGAGGTCCATCTTCCCTTCTCATCAGCCTTGGCTCACATTTTCTAGCTCTGCTCAAGGAAGAAGCGCCAAGCCATGTGGCGTCCTATACCTTAGACGAAGCAGGAAATTCTGGCTTATACTCTGCTTGATGAAGCTTCATGTTAGATGCCACAGAGAAACTCAGAAGAATGGCTATAGCATATTTTGAGGTATACTTTTACATCCGACATAAATTATTATGTAAAAAAGTGCAGCCCACACTTAAAATATAAAATCAAAATAATCCAAATTTATGTAATGGCACTATATACATATATATTTACGTAAATGGAGATTTCTATTAATAGAATAAATTCGTGAAAGCAAGTCTAGATCTCAGAGGAGATCCCAATTAATCTAAGAATGTTATTGCATTAGTCTGTTCAGGCTACCAATATAAAATGTTACAGACTCAATGAATCAAAGAACACAAATTTATTTCTCTCAGTTCTGTAGGCTTGGAGTCTAAGATCAAAATGTTGTGAGGATGGGTTTCTTCTATGACCTCTGTGCCTAGCTTGTAGATGGCCACACTCTGTGTCCTCATGTGGTGGAGAAAGGACTCCGGTGTCTCTTTTTCTGGGCTCCAGTCCTAGCAGATTAGAGCCCTACTCTCATGACCTTATTTAACCTTAGTTACCTCCCCAGAGGCCCTATCTCCAAATAGTCACATTGAAGGTTAGGGCTTCAACATCTAAATTTGTGGGGGTATAATTCAGTCCATTACACTGGTGGGTCACAAAATAAGCATATCCAATGGGAGTCTTTCTTTAATAAATGATATGAAGAAAACTATGCTTTACTCCATAATTAATTCTAAGTAGATTAAAATTAAATCACAAGAAATAAGGAAAACTATCACAACTAAGAGAATTAAAAATAAAAGGAGAAATTATAAAAGATCAAAATGGGTAACGTTAAGAAAATTAACACACATTTATAGAATAAAACATAACATTTAAATAAAATGGAAAACAACAGGTTGGTAGAAATGACACAAATAGGAAAAGAATAGCAAGAACATAAAAATATAATTTTATATATTGTCATAAATAAAATATATCATAGATTTTATACAAAATATATTTTATATGTTATATTAGGATATATATGACATTATAAAATATATTTTACATATTTATAATATATAATATATTGTTATATATATTGAAATGTTATATATAAATAACACATTTGTTACATGTATTATAAATATGTTATATATTATAAATACATAAAACATATTTTATGTCATATAACCTGTATAACATAGAACATAATCTATTTTATATCATATAATATAATCGAGTATTATTTTATATTTTACATAATATATTGAATCTGTAAAATGTTTAAGAACACTAAGATTTCATTAAAGAAATGCACAAAAAGGAAACACAAATATAAACAAATATCACAAAAGGTTATTCTATTTATCAAAAAATAAATATTACAGCAATAATGAGTAACTTTTTTTTTTTTTTTTTTTTTTGAGACGGAGTCTCACTCTGTCACCCAGGCTGGAATGCAATGACATAGTCTCAGCTCACTGCAACTTCCACTTCCCAGGTTCAAGTGATTCTCCCGCCTCAGCCTCCCGAGTAGTGGGGACTACAGGCACGCACCATCACACCCGGCTAATTTTTGTATTTTTAGTAAAGATGGGGTTTCACTATGTTGGCCAGGCTGGTCTCGAACTCCTGAACTCATGATCCGCCGACCTCAGCCTCCCAAAGTGCTGGGATTACAGGCATGAGCCACCGTACCCGGCCATGAGTAACATTTTACACCTACCAAACAAGTAATTTTTTAACAAACATAATGCTGGGCTAATGTAGGAAACATACTCTAAAACAATGTTAGACACTATGCCAATTATAAAAGAATTTTATGAAAGCATTTGAAAAATACATATCAAAACTTCTGAATATTTTACATCAGTTGAACTCAATAACCCATAGCTGAGAATCTCCTCCTATTAAAAACATCAAAAACATTGTATAATGATGTTCCTCACCTTTGAAGCAGATACTGTTGGCTACCTATCTAGCCTCCCATGATGGATAATTTCACTGGTCAACTTGACTGCCCCACAATGTGCCTAGATATTTGGCCAAATATTTTGGGAGTTTCTGTGAGGACATTTTGGATGAAATTAACATTTAAATTGGCTTAAATTATGGTAAAAGATGCTTTCTCTTAACTTCAGATACAAATATACCAACTTCTAGTATTTATTTACTTTTTTACTTATTTATAAGGGCCAAAAATTTATAATTATCTAAACCAGATGGGAATAGTAAAGCAAACTATCATATATCAACTCAGTGGGAGATTATCTAGGCATTATAAAAGCTCAATACTAAAACCATGCAACAACATGGCAAAAAGTGTCTCAGGTAAAGGATGTTTATAAAATAATGCTAAATCTTGCTCAATAAAATTTAAATAGAAGAAAGTTATGAATACACATGCAAGCATAATGTTAAGTGTGAAAAGACAATTACATAGTGTTATTAACTGTATAATACAGTTTAAATACATTTTTAAAAATACACAACTATATCAAATAGAGACTTCTGTGTCATAAAAGCACAATAATATGATTCAGACACACGCCAAATGCATATTAGGTGTTGCCTTTGTGTAGAGTGTGAAAGAATTGGATCAGGGATAATAGAAAAATGTGTCTACTGTTTATTTCTTTAAAAGTGAACAAGTTTTTATTGATACATAATATTTGTACATCTTTATGAGATATATGTGATTTTTGTTACATGCTGAGAATGTGAAATGATCAAGTCAGGGTATTTAGGACATCTATCACCTTGGGTATATATCCCTTCTAGGTACTGGGAGCATTTCAAGCTTTTTTCTAGCTATTTTGAATCATACATAACGTTGTTAACTGTAGTCACCCTACTCTGTTATCAAACATTAGAACTTATCCTTCTATCTAGCACTATGTTTGTATCTATTAACCAATTATCTTCACCCCCACACCACACATATCCTTTCCAGCCTCTGATACCTATCATTCCACACTCTACTTCAGGGAGGTAAACTTTCTTAGCTTCCACATGAGCAAAAACATGCAATCTTTCTCTTTCTGTGTCTACCTTATTTCATTTAACATAATGACCTCCAGTTCTATCCATGTTGCTGAAAATGACATAATTTTATTTTTTATGGCCAAATAGTATTCCATTGTATATATACCACATTTTCTTTATCTGTTCCTCCACTGAGGGACACAGGTTGATTCTGTATCTTTTCTATTGTGAATACTGCTGCAATAAACATGGGGTGCAGGTATCCCTTTAATACAGTGACTTCTTTTCCTTTAGATAAATACCCAATAGTAGATTCCTGGATCATATGGTAGTTCTATTTTTATTTTTTGGAGGAGCATACATACTGTTTTCCATAGTGGTTGTACTAATTTATATTACCACCAACAATGTGTAAGAGATCTCTTTTCTCCACATTCTCATCAGCATCTGCTATTTTTTGTCTTTTTAATCATAGCCATTCTAAGTGGGGTAAGGTGATATCTCATTGTGTTTTTGATCTGGATTTCCATAATGATTACTGATTTGAGCATTTTTCATATAACTCTTGGCCATTTGGAAGTCTTCTTTTGAGAAAGATCTATTCATGTCCTTTGTCCACTTTTCAATGTGATTGTTTTTATTGTTGAGTTTCTTATATATTCTGAATAATAGTCCTTTGTCAGATGAATAGTTTGCAAATATTTTCTGCCGTTCATCAGGCTGTGTCTTTACCCTGTAGTTTACTTTGTGGTACAGAAGCTCTTCGGTTTAAAATAGTTTTATTTGTCTATTTTTGCTTTTGTGGCCTGTGCTTTTGAGGTCTTAGCCATAAAATCTTTGCCTAGACCAATGTACTGACACATTTCCTCTATGTTTTCTAATAGTTTTATAATTTCAAATTTTACATTTAGTTTTTAATCTATCCTGAGTTGATTTTTGTATGTGATGAGAGATAGGGGTCCAGTTCATTCTTCTGCATATAGGATATCTGCTTTTTCCAGCACCATTTATTGAAGACGGTTCCCCAGTGTATGTTCTTGGTGCCTTTGTTGAAAATCAATTGGCTGTAAATAAGTGGATTTATTTCTGAGTTCTCCATTCTGCTTCATTGGTGTATGTGTCTGTTTTTATACCAATACCATGCTTGTTTGGCTACTATAGTCTTATAACATAGTTTGAAGTCAGGTCATGTGATGCCTCCACTTTGTTCTTTTTGCTCAGTATTGCTTTGGCTCTTTGGGTTTTCTAGTTCCATACAAATTTTAAGATATTTTTTTCTATTTCTGCGAATAAGTGAACAAATTTTAAGCAATATTATAAATGCTAACATTTATTTTAAGTAGTAGATACGTATGCTATTTTTATTTTACAGTTTATTAAATTTTAAGTAAACTAAATATAATACATATAGATAAGCAAACATGAACAATTTTAAGAATCATCATGATGGAAAAATTAACAGTTTGGTTTCTCAGCATTACATTTTAAAAATATAAGCTATGTAAAGTATTACTCAACAAACCGTAAAAGACTTGTAGTTAAAAGGCAGTGCACTGATTGTTGTGACCTGTTTTCTAGCTCTTACTCTGCGACTAATGTGTAACAGTAGTCATTTAGCCCTTTTTCACTGAAGGAAACAGAAAAAAATTCAACCTTAAGATAAAAGGAATCCACCACAAAGTTACAAGGGAATCATGGAAACCCATGGGGGAGGGATATAGCTGAACAAAATGGGAAAAGGACCTTAATACCCTTTAAGTTAGCCTGTGTACTCTCTTGTGCATTTATGCTTTTTTTTCTTTTTTTTTTTTTTGAGATGGAGTTTCACTCTTGTCAGCCAGGCTGGAGTGCAGTGGCGTGATCTTGGCTCACTGCAACCTCTGCCTCACAGGTTCAAGCAATTCTCCTGCCTCAGCTTCCCGAGTAGCTGGGATTACAGGCGCCCACTGCCACGCCTGGCTAATTTTTGTATTTTTAGCAGAGACGGGGTTTCACCATGTTGGTCAGGCTGGTCTCGAACTCCTGACCTCAGGTGATCCACCCACCTCAGCCTCCCAAAGTTCTGGTATTACAGGTATGAGTCACTGTGCCCAGCCTGCTTTTTTTTTCTTTCAGCCTCCAGATAGGCTTTCTTTGCTTCTTTGGTCCACATGGACTAAAAACATATTACTTACATCTTATATATGTCTAGTTTTATAGTGATAAAGAAAGTAAGCAAGAGAAAGAAGGAAAGACTGAATTTCCTGATCTCAATATCATACTCCCAAGGAAAGAAATTCAATTAGAGCAATCTGGATCAGATGCTCACGGATGGTCTAATATACTATGGCAAGAAGTTTGGCATCCAGCTGTCCTGATGGCTTTGCTACAACTGTAAACGTGCAAAATGGGAGGGAGGTTAGGGAGGAGCAACTCCCAAAAGAAAAAGGATAAACAAAAACAACCCACATCAATCTGTTAAAATATACTTTATATTTTTGAGCCTCAGCTTTCTGATCTTAAAAAAAGTGTCAAGTGAGTGTTTGCTTAAAAATTTTTTAAAATGTTGATCACACTCTATCTCTAACAATTTCATTAAAATATTTAATATTTATTAAACTAATTTCAAGATGTAAATGCTACTTCCTTATTCCTTTCTTGGTGGGTCATGGGGCTTTATAAAGGCTCTCACAAGAACCACAAAAAAAGAAAAAAGAAACAGTGGTTTTATTTAAATGGAATGTCCCATACTTTTCTGACCAAGGAATAATTTTTGGAGGAATACCTGGAGATGCTTTAAGAATCACTTCACTTTACCATTTATATGAGCCCTACATTTCAGATCACAAGCTTTTGTAGGAAATACAATTTTAAGAAAACAATAACTGTACCATAAATCATTTATGTTACTTATTGTTTTCTGTCATATGCTTGAGGCCTCTGAAAAACAAAATTGCTCAAATAATTGCTCTTCTGAATCTGTGGAACTTGGGATAAACTTTTATTGGTATGAGAGCTCCCCATATCTTCCTATCTTTTTCTAATAGAATTGGTCTCTCATTGTTGGCAAAATCGTAAAGAACCCAGAGAGAGATTTCTATTCACAGTACCAAGAAAGAGGTTTCAGAAAGGAGCTGAATACAGAAACTAAAATCGGACAGCAGTTTCTCAGTGGGGTTAAGGCAGAATTTAAACTTTAGAGCACTTATTGATGTTAAGTGGAGATTCTACGGTTAAATGACAATGTCCTTTCAGTTCCTTCATTTGCAGTCAGGTTTATTTTTAAAACTTATATAGAGCATCCCCATCTCCTGCATGATGAATCAACGTAGACTTTAGCTGTGTCTTGCACGAGTGGCCAACCAATACATTTAGCCCTTTATTCCTGGAGGGGATCTACAGTTGCTGTCTTTATTACAACACTTTATTGAAAATGTGTAATTTCAGTTCCCAGTTTCAAATTGTATTTTATTAGTAAGAATTATTTGCTGTTCACTAGAAAGTGATTTGAAGCCTGAGATAATTATAGAATCATGGAACTATAAAGCGCATCCAGAGGTCACCAAGCTCACGCTCTACTCTGAAAGCAGACCTATGCCTTGGCTAAGCAAGTTATATTTCAAGCCACTTTGCCCCAGAGGAAATAATTACACATGTTCCAAATGCAGTTTAAACTCATGTTTAAAACTTTTGACCAGTTAGTGTGGCTCATCTTCACATTGGGAAGAATTAATGGAAACCCTGCAATCTAATAGGAGACTCCTTGCCATTCCCTCCTCTGTTCTACCAGGCTTTCTAAGGGCTTGGGGGTTGATACTACTGATTTAGTTCTTAGAGTATTCGGACTTTTCTTTGAGTAAAATGCTATCTAACATTTATTTCATTTCATGTATATATCACTTGAGCTGTCTTTCTTTTCTTACAGTTATCTTCAGTTGGTAAATAATGTCACCGTTTTCCTGGTCACCCAAGCTTAAACTTAAATTTATGTTGGAGTCCTTCCTTTTCCTCCAATCACACATTCAAACAGTAATTGTCTTGTGATTTCTATCCCCCAATGTATCTTCTGTTTACTATTCTTTTCCATTTCTAGTGATGCTGCCCCTACCACAGTCCAGCTTCATACAGCTTTCTCATTTGCTTCTCACCCTTGCAAAACTTCCTAGTTGGTGATAATTAGTCAGTTACAGATTGAATTCAGCTGCATGTAACACAAAACATTAGCCATATATACAGCAACTTGGAAAGCAAATAGGGAGTTTTCTGTCACATCACAATACACATGGCAGTAGGCAGCGGGATAATGTAATGGTTCCACAATATAAGGAATTCAAGATACTGTTGCCTTTCCATGCTTATATCCTTAAGGTCTTAAGCAGCTTTATCACTTAATGCTACTTCCACTTTTGAAGAGCATTTTTGGAAGACCCACTCTAAGACTTCAGCTTATATGACATTGGCCAAAACTAGATACTGCCATTCCTTTCTTCAAAGGAGAAATGCAAAAGTGGTCACTTTCTAAAAATTGTTTTCTGTTTCCTTTTTACGTTGTTGCATCACCATCCCCAACAAAACCAGTGTCCTGTAAAGAAGGGGAGGAGATCTACTGGGCAGGGGATCAGCAGAATCTGCCAGAGCATCTTTGAGTTCAGATTTCACAGAGCAACATGAATCTTACTGCGAGACTGATCTCAAAATACAACTCCAACCATGTCGAAGCTTGTCAAAACCATTCAATTCTTCAACTGCGTTGTGAATAAAGTCCAAGTTTCTTGGACTAACCAATTTAAAGGAACAATAATCAGGCCCCAAACTATTTTTTCATTATTCTTGGACACTTAAAATTAAGCTGAACCAATTATTATGATGGTGGTTTTCTAAACATGGCATGTACCAATCAGTTTCATCATTTCAAAACACGTGGAACATTCCCTCTGCTGCCATCTTCATTTGTTGAAAACCTCTCGTTCTTGAAGGCTCAACTTAAATCTCACCTCTTCAGAGTTCCTGATCACTCCGTTTCTACTTGCCTTTAATGAACCTCTAATAATAGTAACATAAAGAGCTGAGTTAAATTTCATTCATTTCTGTTTTAAACTCTTTATGTATACTACCTCATTTAATACTAACTATTTCCTGGAAGATAAGTTTTATTATCCCCATTTCATGGACAAGACATTTGAGACTCAATATAAGAAACTTGCTTTCAAGGTCACACTACTAGAAAATAATAGTAGTCAAATTCAGTACCATGCAATGGCAAAACTTGGGGTCTTCCCAATGCATGAAGATAATTTCCTCTACTAAAGGACCAAGCTCACGGTCTGAAAGTCTCTACAATTTTTTTTCTTCCAAGGAGCATGTGGTATTGATCTTTCTAGTCCCCGTAACTATAAAAAAGCATTACCAAATAGGTTCATAAATTGAATGTCCCTTTATAGGAAAAGGTAAATACCTCTAAATAGTTAGAAATGTGTCTGAGGCTTCTGCTTTGAAGATATTTTTTATCCTGTTAACTTTTATTTAATCTACTTCTTTGGCTCCTCATTTTATGCACTATAAATCTCTCATTTCAAAAAATACTTTCAATATCACTGTTTTTAAGAGGAGTAATACCATGAAAACTTCTTTCTTCTACTTTCCATTGAGAACATTTTCAAACTTATAGAAAAGTAGAGCATACTATAATGAATCCTGTATGCTCAATGCCCACATTTAACCATTTTTGAAAAATTTTGCAGTTTTTGCTTCATGTATTGTTTTGCTGAAGTAGTATAAAGTAAGTAACAGACATGATGACATTTCTTCCCTATGTACTTCAGTATGCAATTCTAAAACAAAACTCAGGTAAGTATATTCTGTTCTTTAATCACAATACCATTATCGCATCTACCAAAATTCACAAGAATTTCTCAATAACAGCTAATATCCAGTCTGTACTGAATTTTAGCTTCTCAAAAATGCAGACTTGATTAAACCAGGGTTCAAACAATTACCACATTTTCCTTTTCCATTGGTCATTATGTCTCTTAAGTCTCTTGTAATCTAGAAAATTCCCCTTTCCATCCCCCTCATTTTTCCTGTAGCATTCCAGAGATAAGGTCAGTTGTCCTTTAGAATAATGTCCTACTGTCTGCATGCATCTGATTGCTTCCCCCTTTTAAACTGTGTGTCCCATAAACTAGAATTTAGATTTAAAATCTTGATTCAGTCAGGTTGCACATTTGTGGCAAAAATGCATGAAGGTAAGGAGTAATGTCAGCAAGATAGAAGAAAAGGAGGTCTCAGGCCTCAATCATCCCCACACACAGAAAGTCCTACTAACAACTGTGCACAGCCAAGAACACCTCTGTGAAAACCCTAAAACTTGGGAATGTGACTGAAACATTCATGTGGACCACAGAACTGAATAAATCACCAAGGGGTAAGAAGAACAGCCTCATGTTGACTGCATTGTCCCTCTCCACCCTCAAGTTGGCACAGTGACAGAGAGGAGGATGTCTGGGAATCACAGTTTATACAGTGGGAAGTGAACAAGAGGCAGACATCTAGCTTCCCTATCATTCAGAGATGCTTCCCAGGAAGCTCACTCCTATCTCTCTTTATGGGAAACACCAGGACTAATAGCAGGGCCAGACCACTTGCAGCCAGACAGAAATAGAGACAGGAGGCAGAGCTCACAGCAACCAGCATGCAGATCTTAGTGGTAGTCCTGTGTTCCTCCTAGCAGTGGCACCTGATCATGATGCTGGCCAAGAGCATACCTTACCCACAAAACTGAGCTGGTTACTCCAAGAAACATGATAGGAAGTTCAACCTGGCTTGAGTCCTTAGACATCCAGCCTCCACATCCAACCAACAGCCTACCTCAAGGCCCCACCCAGGAAGGGATATTTCCACCTGGAAGCATATCAGCAGAGTGCATCGGCTAGACATGCCCAACCTGAGAGTCTAAACAATGGCTCAGATCAGCCTCAGAACCCACCCCAATTCCCTGCCCAGGTAAAAGAACCACAATGCATTTCTGTGGAGTAAAGGGGTTGGACCTGCCTCACTTAGGAGTCCAATCAGCAGCTCAGCTTAGCCTCAGAGCCCACCCCAAGGCCATGCCCAGGCAGGGAGAAAACTTCAACCAATAATTCTATGAAACATAGCCTTTGGACCCATCTGTACAGAACAGCAACTCTACCTAACCACAGATCTCAGCCTGTAGCCCTGCCCAACTGCAGAACCCAAATAGCATTTCCCCCTGGCCAGGGAATACACTCTTCAGCCCTGCTCAATCAGAAGTAATTATAGCACCCAGCCAATGATCTCATCAAGCCAGGATACTCAGTCAGCAGACCCACCTGATCTCAGAGCAAATGAAGCAACCTAGGCAACTAGAAAACCCAACAGCAAGCTCTGTCTGCCTAGGGCTGTTACTAGCTGGAACAACTACAGCCACAGGCTAGATGAAATAATGAAGGTCTATCCCTGCCAAAGAATACCTGAAAGGGCCAGAAGAGATGGCTGTCTCCTCAAATACATAGATGTCAATGCAAGGACACACGATTACAAAGAATCAGGAAATCATGACACCACCAAAAAAATACACCAAAACTTCAATAATGGCCTCTAAAGAAATTGAGATGTATGAAATAACAAATAATTCAGAATAATCTATTCTTAAAGAAGTCCAGCAAACTATAAAAATATATGGATAGAAAATTAAATGAAACTTAGAAAACAATGCAGAACAAAACAAGATGATAGACAAACAGAAACAATTTTTAAAAATGAAATTCTAGGCTGGGCACAGTGGCTCATGCCTATAATCCCAGCATTTTGGAAGGCAGCAGATCACTTGAGGCCAGGAGTTTGAGACCAGCCTGGCCAACATGGTGAAACCCCATCTCTATTAAAAATACAAAAAAATTTAGCTGGGTGTGGTGGCACACGCCTGTAATCCCAGGTACTTGTGAGGCTGAGGCAGGAGAATTGCTTGAACTTGAGAGGCAGAGGTTGCAGTGAGCTCAGATTACGCCACTGCAGCCTGGGTAACAGAATGAGATTCTGTATTTTTTAAAAAAATGAAATTCTAGAGATGAGGCACACGATAACTGAACTGAAAAATTCCAAAATTTTCTTTTCAAAAAATGCTTCAAAAATAGACTCAGTCAAGCAGAAGAATCAATGAGCTAGGACATTTGAAATTGCCCAGAGAAGCAAAAAGAGGCAAGAATTTAAAATAAATAGTCATGGGAATTATATGACACCAGTAAGAGAAGTAAATTTATATAAGCTTCAGAAGCAGAAAAAAGATTAAAAGAGCCAGAAAGCATATTGAAAGAAATAATGAATAAAATTTTCTCAAATCTAGGAAAGGGTGCTAATATCCACGTATAGGAAGCATAGAGGTCTCCAATCAAATTCAACCCAAACAGAGCTCACCAAGACACATAATATCAAAAAGCAAAAGCAAAAAAAGAAAATTCTGGGAGCAGCGAGAACTAAGAAACTTTTTTTTTTTTTTTTTTTTTTTTTTGAGACAGAGTCTCACGTCTCACTGTTGCCCAGGACGGAGTGCAGTGGCGCTATCTCAGCTTACTGCAAGCTCCACCTCCCAGGTTCACGCCATTCTCCTGCCTCAGCCTCCCGAGTAGCTGAGACTACAGGCACCCACCACCATGCCCGGCTAATTTTTTGTATTTTTAGTAGAGACAGGGTTTTACCGTGTTAGCCAAGATGGTCTCGATCTCCTGACCTTGTGATCTGCCTGCCTCAGACTCCCAAAGTGCTGGGATTACAGGCATAAGCCACCATGCCCGGCCAAGAAACATTTTACAAATGAGGGAGTCTCAATACAGCAATCAAAAGATTTATTAATAATAATATCCACCATTGATTAAGCATCTACTACATGTTAGGCACTGTAATCTCAGTTCATAGGAGTTTCTTGTTAATAATTTGATGAATGGCTATATTAACAAATCAATTAATTAATGAAAAAAATATTTCTTAGCAGAAACCTTGCAGGCCATAAGAGAGTGGGATGATAGAGTGCAGAAGGAAAAATGCTGTCAACCAAGAATCCTTTACCTGGCAAAGCTATCCTTCAGAAATGAGGGATAAATAAAAACTTTACCAAGCAAATGAAAGCTAAGAGAGTTCATTACCACTAGGCCTATCTTATAGGATTTGAAAAAGGGTGTTCTGTTAACCTGAAATAAAAGGCTGCTAACTAATAACATAAAATAGATGAGAGCACAAACTCAATAGTATAAGTAATGCAAAGTAATATTCAGAGCACTATAGAACTGTAATGATGGTATGCAAGCAATTTTATCTCCACTATTAGGATTAACAGAAAGCTATTAAAAATAACTATAGTCAAATTAAATTGATATGGGATAGAAATTACCAAAAGATATAAATTTTGACATAAAAAATATAAAATGCAGGGGTAGGGGAAGTGTAGAATTGTCATATAAAACCAAAGTTAAGTTGTTATCAGCTTGAAAGAACTGGGTTTAAGTATAATATGGTTTATGTAAGCTTTGAGTAACCACAAGCCATAAACCTTAGTGTTAGATGCACAAAATACAAATAGAATTTAAAGCATACCACTGCAGAAAATTATTAATTCACAAAAGAAGACAGCAAGCAAGCAAGAAACAAAGTTTCAAGCAAACAAACAGAAAACAATTTACAAAATGTCAGCAGGAAGTCCTTACCTATCAATAATTACTTTGAACATATGCTCATTACATTAAAGGCACAGAGTGGCTGGATGGAATTTTTTAAACAGAATATGCTGACTATAAGGCGACTCAACTCATTTTTAAAGACACACATAGACTGAAAGTGAAAGGAAGGAAAAAATATTCCATGCAAAGGGAAATAAAATGAGAGCAGGGGTAGCAACACTTATATCAGACAAAATCTGATTTTAAAAAAGAGACAAGAAAGGATAATATATAATGATAATGGAGGTGATTCATCAAGAGGATGTAAGGATTGCAAATACATATGTATCGGGCATCAGAGCACCTAAAAATATAAGGCAGATATTAAAGGATCTGAAAGGAGAGCTAGATTACAATACAATAATACTAGGAGATTTCAATACTCTACTTTTAATAATGTACAGATTATCTAGACAGAAAATTCATAAGGAAACATTGGATTTTAACTACACTTTAGGCCAAATGGACCTAACAGACATATGTAGAACATTCCATCCAACAGCAACAGAATACACATTCTTCTCAAGCACACACGGAATATTCTCCAGGATAGATCATATGTTGGGACATAAAATAAGCCTGAACAAATTAAAAGGATTGAAATCATGTCAAGTATCTTTTCTGATCACAATGGTATAAAACTAGCAATCAATAACAGGAGATATGTCAAAATTAAACAACATGTTCCTGAACAACCAGTTGGTGAGAGAATACATAAAAAGGAAAATTAAAAAATCTCTCAAGGCAAATGAAAATGAAAACACAACATACCAAAACTTATGGGACATAGCAAAAGCAGTTCTAAGAGGGAAATGTATAGCTATAAATGCCTATATCATAAAAGAAGAAAGAACACAACTTAGTTCCTCAAGGAGCTAACAAAAAGAAAAGCAAACTAAGCCCAAAGTTAGTAGAAGGAAGGAGATAATAACAATCAGAGCAGAAATAAATAAAAGGGAGACCAGAAAAAGCATTTTTAAAAATCAACAAAACTAAGTTGGTTTTTTTAAACAAAAGCTAAATTGGAAAACTCTTAGTTAGGCTAAGAAAAAAAATAGAGAAGACTCAAATAAAACCAGAAATGAAAGAGATTACAACTGATATCACAAAAATACAAATGATCATAAGATATTATGAACAATTATATGCCAAAAAATTGAACAACCTAGAAGAAATAAATTCCTAGAAACATAACCCACCAAGACGGAATCATGAAGAAACAGAAAATCTAAAGAGTTCAATAATGAGTAAGGGAATTGAATCAGTAATAACAAAGTACATCAAAGAAAAATGCAGGAGCTGATGGCTTCACTGCTATATTCTACCAAACATTTAAAGAAAACCTATTACCAATTGTTCTCAAACTCTTCAAATAATTAAAGAATAGGGAAGACTTCCAAACTCCTTTTATAAGGCCGGTGCTACCCTGATATCAAAACTAGACAAAAATATTACAAGAAAATTAGTTTACAGGGCCAATATCTCTAATGTACATAAATGCAAACATCTTCAACAAAATACTACCAAACCAGATTCAACAGTACATTAAGAGGATTATTCATCACGACCAACTGGGATTTAACCCTATGATGCAAGAATGATTCAATATATGCAAATTAATACATGTGATACAAAATATTAACAAAACAAGAAACAACACATAATCACTTCAATCAGTGAAGAGCATTTGACAAAATTCACCATTTTTTCATGATTAAAAAAAACTCTCAACAAATGAAGTATAGAAGGAATATACCTCAACACAAGGAAGACCATATACAATAAGCCCACAGCTTACATTACACTCAATGGAGAAAAATTAAAAGCTTTCCATCTAAGATCAGGACTAAGACAAGAGTGCCCACTCTCACCAATTCTATTCAACATAGTACAGGAAATCCTTGCCAGAGAAATTAGGCAAAAGAAAAAATTAAAAGATGTTCAAAATAGGAAAGGAAGAGGTTAAATTATCTTTTTTTTCTTTGCTGACAACATGATCTAATATATACAAAATCCTAAAGACTGTAACAAAAACCTGTTAGAACTAATAAATACAGCAAAGTTGCAGGACACAAAATCAATATACAAAAATCAATAGCATTTCTATAAACAAAAATGGACTATGCATTAAAAACAATCAAGAAAACAATCCCATTTATAATAGTTACAAAACCTAAAATACTTAGGAATAAATTTAGCCAACATGGTGAAAGATCTGTACACTGAAAACTATAAAACATTGATGAAGAAAATTGCAGACACAAATGAATGGAAAGATATTCCCTGTTCATGGATTGAACAAAATAATATGTTTTAAATCTCTATACTGCCAAAAACAATCTACAGGTTCAATGCAATCCCTATCAAAATTTTAATGTCATTTTTCACAGAAATAGAATAAACAACCCTAAAATTTATGTGGAACCACAAACACACACACACAAATATCCAAGGCAAACTTAAGCAAAAAGAACAAAGCTAGAGGCATCACATTACCTGATTTCAAACTACATTACAAAGCTATAGTAATTAGGACAGCCTGGTACTAGCATAAAATAGACACATCGATGAATGGAAGAGAATAGAGAACCCAAATGTTAGCCCATGCATTTATGGTCTATTGATGTACAGCAATGATGCCAAAAACATGCAATGGAAAAAAGGCAGTCTCTTCAACAAAGTGTGTTGGAAAAACTGGATATTCACCTCCAGAAAAATGAATTTGGACCCTCATCTCATACCATATACAAAAGTCAACTCGAAATCAATGAAAGAATTATGAAACATAAGACATGAAACTGTAAAACTACTAGAGAAAAAACATGGGGAAATTTACATTAGTCTGATCACTGACTTTTTGGCTTTAACTGCAAAAGCTCAGGCAACGCAAGAAAAATAGACAAATGAGATTACATCAAACTGAAAAGCTTCTGCACAGAAAAGGAAACAATTATTAGAGTGAATAGACAGCCTACAGATTGGAACAAAATATTTGCAAGCTTTACTCCTGTAAGGAGTTAATGTCCAAATATATAAAGAACTCAATAGCAAGAAAACAAATAACCTGATTAAAAAATGAGCAAAAGACCTGAACAGATATTTCTTAGACGACGACATACAAATGACCAATAGGTACATATAAAAATGCTCAAAATTACTAATCACTAAAAAATGAAAATTAAAACCCCAAACCCCAATATTACAGATATATGAGAAAAACTCAACATCCCTAATTATTAAAGGAATGCAAATTAAAGTCACAATGATATATCATCTTCTACCTGTCAGAATAGCTATTACCAAAAAGATGAAAGATAAGCATTGGCAAGCAAATGGAGAAAAGGGAATCCTTGTACACTGTTGGTGGGAATATAAATTAGTACAGCCATTTTGTAAACTGTACGGTGGTTCCTCAAAAAACTAAAAATAGAACTGCTGCATCATCCAGCAATCCCACTTCTGGGTATATATCCAAAAGATTTGAAATTAGCATGTCGAAGCGGTATCTGTACTCCCATGTTCATTGTAGCATTATTCACAATAGTCAAATTACAGAATCAGTGTAAGTGTTCATCAATCGATCGATGGAGAAAGAAAAAGTGGTATTTATACACAATGGCAAACTATTCTGCCTTAAAGAAGGAATCTTTTCATTTGCAACAACATGGATGAACCTGTAGGATATTGTGCTAATTGAAACCACCTAGGCACAGAAGGACTAATGCCACATGATCACACATGTGAAATCTAAAACAATCAAATTCAGAAGCAGAAAGTAGAATGGAGGTTATCAGAGGCTGGAGGGTGGAAGAAATGGAAAGATGCCAAAACGTACAAAGTTTCAGTAAGAGGAATAATTTTTTTGAGATCTATTGCATAGCCTAGTGACTAGTTAATAATAATGTATTATATATTTTAAGATTGCTAAGAGAGTAAATTTCAAATGTTCTCATCAGATAATAGTATTTGAGGTAATGAGTATTCAAATTACCTTGATTTAATCATTTACACTGTATACATATATAATAACATCACTTTGTACCCCATAAATATACACAATTATATTTTTTCAATTTATAATTTTAAAAAAGAATGCAAGAAGGCATATATTACATCTTGTTCAAGAACATATAGTGATAACAGTAGGAAACAAGTGAGAATGACTGCAAATGCTTTAATTCAATTAGGGCATTGTCTCTATCTTTTTACTGTGTGAATAGAATTTCTGAGAATGTATGAGTATTTTCCAAGAATTGCAGTATATTATAGATCTCAATCTTCACTCCAACAAGTTGCCTCAAAGAAAAATAAAAGAACAAAATGAGAAAAAAAAAACAAAATTCCGATCAAGTATTATCTTCCCATGTGATCATTTATGACAGCTTGAGAATGAAATTGAGCCTAAAACGCCAGCAGCTATATTTTCGTAAGTGAAGGCCCCACACTGATTGCCAGTGGTAATACAGTACAATAAAAAAAGGAAAACAATGTGAACTGCTCACATTAACACCAAGCAGCTTTTCCAGTTTGCTTTGTTTAGTCTCTCTTTCACTGTTGTAGAAACAACACTTCAGTCTGGTGAGACGGCTCTTTTATTACAACACAATACAATTCTTTCATAGTGACTTTTATATAAATAATAGGCCACAATCTTTTAAAAATATACTACCCACACTCCAGATACGGCATTAATAATATCCAAGTAATAAACAGCTGCATGGCTTATGACACATGAAATTCTGACTTGTGATAATAGGCTGGCCGATTATAGTGGGGCACAAAGAGGTTTCAAGCACATAATGTCTTCTATTTCCTGATCTCACTGTTTATCAAGAGTGTTGGTGTTCATATTACAACCTAACATAGATTTCAAAATGTTTTGTTACAACTAATTATTTGGCATACTAATACTACTAACCAATTATAATAGCTAATATCAATTTAGAGGTTACAACATGCTGGGCTATATACGTAGTACTTTGCAAGCATTACCTCATACTTCATTTAATCCTCAAAAAATAAAAATACAAACTATGCTATAAATATTATCATTATGCTCTTTCTGCTGATAAAGAAACTAGAACTTTGAGAGTTTTAATAAATACGCAAGCTGTATGACTCCAAAGACTGTGCTCATAAAGTGGTATCGTGGGGGAGAGACGATATTATGACCATTGCTTTGGGTCCAAGAAGGTGTCAGTTACGGATCCTCCTGAGACCAAACAGAAAATTAGCCATTCTAACTTCTTCCAAAATTTACTTATTTGGCCTTGTCATCACTGAGTCATGAGCCCCACAGCTAGAGACTAAAGATAGGTGAAGTGCGCACTACTAAGGTTATTACTGAGTAATAGGATATTTCCCATCAGTTTCCAAACTACGATATCCCAAAGTGAGCACATCCTTTTGATAGAATCAGCATGGATGCTTACTCACCAGGGAAAGTTCATTCTCCCCTGTCCTCTAACAGCATTCAAATTTAACACCTAAATTTCAGCACCACAGAGGAGGAAGGGAAGGTTGGGGCAACAAAGGAAAAAGGTAACTTGTGTTTCCAATAATAGAATAACCGAAATAACCAAAAACTTTACAGTTATTATATATCTGTAAAAAATTATACATAAATGTAACACGTATCTTCTTAAATACACTCCTAAGTTCAACAGAAAAGGAAAATGTCCAGAAGAAACACAGAGAAAGCACAGATCACCAGAACCTAAATCTATGGCTGTTTCAGGATGAGAGATGAGATTACATACCAGCTATCAGTTATAACCCGATCATTTGGATTTTAGAAAACACCTAAAAATAGTATCTAAGGTCTCAGATCACCATCATTAGGTTGTTGTGGTTACAAATTCTACGTAAAGCCAGAAGCTCAGGACTCACAGGAAAGATCAACCAACAAACCCGAAGAGATGACAATACAATTTATCTGTCTTCGACTAAACTCAAGTGGAAAAATTAGTCTTCCCTGAGAACTCATAATCGTATATGTGAGTCTCAGGTGTGAATTTATACTCTTTGTGAATATACTTCGTGCATTACTGCTAGTCCCCATGAATAATATATATTACTATTATTGCTTATTCATACACAGTACATTCACATATAACAATACATTACAAATCCAGTCCACATGCATATAAGCACGTATTAATAATTCTTTAATCAAGTATCACACATCTACTATTGACTGTACAAACTTAATCCACATGGATATTGACCTGTACTATAAAAACCCGTACAATGTAAATTGATGTTACATAGTACATACATTCGTTCATCGGACATAGCACATTTTAGTCAAGACATCCCTCATCAACATGGATATCCCCTGCCAATTTTTGGTCTACTTAATCTACCAACCTCTGAGAAATCATCATCCTGCTCAAGAAATCATCATCCCGCTCAGGGGTGCTACGCTCCTTGCTCAGGCCCATGACACTTGGGGGTGACTATACTGAAACTATACCTGGCATCTGGTTGTTACTTCAGGGCCATAACACTAAGATCGCCCACACATTCCCCTTAAATAAGACATCTCGATGGACTGGTGACTACCACCCTATTAACCAGTCACGGGAGCACTGTCATGCATTTGGTATTTTTAACTTTAGGGGATGCTATCCCTCACCATGGCGGCAGGCCAAGTCCCTGCCGAATCCACTGTAGACAAACTCAGAATTGATTCTTGCCAAATCAATTGTAGAACCTGAGCTTATATTGAATATTTCGGGCTGGTATAATAACCATAAACTGTTCATTAATTCATGCTTGAAAGACGTAACAATCAACAGACGCTCCCGCACGTACGCTGACGTACACACGCTCACCCAATTTCAAGAACGATTTCTGATTAAATCTGCAATCCTTCCCATCTCTGACTTTACCATCGACCTAGGTAGACGTACCCTTGCCAAACCTCAAAAACGAGAGACTAAAATGCAACCCAGTCAGAGCCCAGAAATCATATTTTAACCACGAACCCCCCAACAGCTACCCCTCGATTGATGTAATTTTTCTAAAAAATCTTAAGACCCTCCTACCAAATTATTCCTCCTTTTATTCCTCCTACCAAATTATTCCTCGTTTTGTATAATAAATGTAACTAAGTTTCCGCCCTAATACTAATACCTTAAGCATATCCCTCTGAAAGTGCTGCCCCATTATATCATACCCTAAATCAACCGTACTCTATGAGTAATCCTCTCAGCCAAACCTCTGCAAATTCAACTTTAAAGACCCTGAATTTCCAGAACTGTAAATGACTATTTAAACTTCTTTCTTTCTCATATTTTAATTTTCCACTAAGTATTTATGTAGTCAATGTAGCTTTATTATTCAAAGTAAGACACTGAAAATGTCTAGATGGGCCCACACAACACCATAAACAAATAGGTTTGGTCCTGGCCTTTTTATTAGCTCTTAGTAACATTACACATGCAAGCATCCCCGCCCCAGTGAAAATGCCCTCTAGATCACCTGGATCAAAAGGAGAAGGTATCAAGCACGCATGAATGCAGCTCAAAACACTTTGCTTAACCACACCTCCATGGGAAACGCAGTAATAAATTTTTAGTAATAAATGAAAGTTTGACTAAGCTATACTAATATGTAGGGTTGGTTAATTTTGTGCCAGCCACAGCAGCCATACAATGAACCTGAGCTAATAGAACTCGGCATAAAGAGAGTTTAAGATCTACCCTCAGTGAAGCTAAACTCTCTAAGTTGTGAAAAACTCCAGCTGAGCCGGGCACCGTGCCTCACGCCTGTAATCCCAGCACTTTGGGAGGCCATAGCAGGTGGATCACAAGGTCAGGAGATTGAGACCATCCCGGCCAATATGGTGAAACCCTGTCTCTACTAAATACAAAAGTTAGCTGGGCGTGGTGTCGCACGCCTATAATCTCAGCTACTTGGGAGGCTGAGGCAGGAGAATTGCTTGAACCAGGGAGTTGGAGGTTGCAGTGACCCTAGATCGCCACTGTGCTCCAGCCTGGATGATAGAGCCAGACGTCCTAGAGTAAGGTCAGTTAAATAAGCTAACGGGCCCATACCCCGAAAATGTTAGTTACACCCTTCCTGTACTAATTAATTCCTTAGCCCAACTTATTATTTCCCTTACTATTTTCACAGGAATTCTTATCACAATGCTAGGCTCACAGTGATTTCTCATCTGAGCAGGCCTAGAAATAAACATAACAGCCTTTATCCCAATCTTAATTAAAAAAAAAAATCCCGGCTCTACAGAAGCAGCCACCAAGTATTTCCTTACACAAGCAACGGCATCTATAATTCTCATGATAGGTATCCTTTCCAATAACCTGTCCTCCAGACAATGAACAATAATAAACACTATTAATCAATTTTCATCCATAATAATAATAGTGACCCTAGTAATAAATGAATAGCTCCCTTTCACTTCTGAGTCCCAGAGGTAACCCAAGTAATCTCTCTAACGTCTGGTATACTTCTCTTCACATGACAAAAACTAGCCCCTATCTCGATTACGTTTCAAATTTTCCCATCATCAAACACGAACATCCTCCTATCTATCACAATCCTATCCATTATAGTGGGTAGTTGAGGAGGACATAAGGAAACACAACTGCATAAAATCCCAGCCTACTCCTCAATCACTCACATAGGTTGAATAATAGCAGTACTAATCTGTCACCCAAACATTACCATTCTAAACCTGATTACTTACCTCATCTTAACAACAATCACATTTCTAGCATTCAACCTGAGTATAAGTACCACAACCCTGTCACTATCTCATGCCTGAAACACATTAACACGCTTCACACCTATAATTCCACTAATTCTACTCTCTCTAGGTTTATCCCTATTAACAGGGTTCCTGCCTAAATGAATCATCATCCAAGAATTACAAAAAGCCTTATTAATCTGACCCTTATAGCTACCATAACCCTACTCAACCTGTACTTTTACATAAATCTAATTTATTCCATCTCAGTGACACTATTCCCCACATCTAACAATATGAAAATAAAATGACAATTTGAAAACACAAAACCCATACTGTCTTCCCCCCACTTGTCATCTCTTCTAACCTCCTCTTACCCATCTCTCCATTAATACTAATTATAACTTAGAAATTTAGGTTAAATAAGACAAAGGGCCTTCAAAGCCCTTAGTAAGTAGGTTACACTTAATTTCTATAACAGATCTAAGGACTGCAAGACTCTATTCTGCATCAATTGAACACAAATCAACCACTTTAATTAAGCTAAGCTCTTGCTAGATTGATGGAATTCAAACCCACAAAAATTTAGTTAACAGCTAAACACCTTAATCAACTGGTCTCAATCTCCTTCTCCCGCCACTGGGGGAGAAAGGCCAGAGAAGCTCCGGCAGGACTGAAGCTGCTCCTTTGAATTTATAACTCAACATGAGAAATCACCTCAGGGCTGATAAAAAGGCCTTGACCTCTGTCTTTAAATTTACAGTCTAATGTTTACTCAGCCATTTTACATTTTTTTCCCACTTATGTTCATCAATCGTTGATTGTTTTCAACTAACCACAAAGATACTGGAACACTACACCTGCTATTTGCCACATGAACGGGGATAGTAGGCACGGCCTTAAGCCTTCTAATTCGAGCAGAATTAGGCCAACCAGGAACTCTGCTAGGAGATGACCAGATCTACAATGTTATTGTTACCTCCCATGCATTCGTTATAATCGTCTTTATGGTAATACCAATCATGATTGGGGGTTTCAGCAACTGGCTAGTCCCCCTAATAATTGGTACACCTGATATGGCATTCCCCCGGATAAACACTATGAGCTTCTGACTTCTCTTCTGAAGTATATATCTTATTCAAAGTTGTTCTAAGTCCAGTTAAGATTTAGGACACCAAAGAAAGCCCAGAAAATGAAAGACCATTTCTCTATAGGAATGATAAAGAAAAGTGAATACCAAGAAGCCTTCCTAAACTAAATTCAAGAGAGAAATGAGCTCTTCATAGGTTTAGGGACAGCTGTGGCAACTCCTATACCTTGGGGGTGGGGAGGAAAAGTATGTAGATATCATTAGATGGAGGAACATACCTCACAAAGAATGGAAGACTTTGCAGCAGTAAGAAACAAGCAGAGCCTTAGATGACAGCGTGAGCTGGCAAGATGGATTTGAGTCTAGAAGCTGAGTGCAAATCACAACACCTGACAATTTATCCATACGCATTACTCATGTTCCACTTTGCATTTTGCGAGAAAGTAAGCAATGAAAGAAGGGCTCAAAATCTAAGGTATTTTAGAGACCCACTCATTCCACAGGGCTGGCATTCCAAAGCCCAGTTAGAGTTTAATCTAAGGTTAAAATAAAAATATCTGAGACTTCAGCTCAACTCTTTTAACGCACATATTTACAAGATCAAAAATGGGTCAAGAATGACAACTGGGTTAATCATTGGCAAACTCAATATAGTCAAAACAACAGACCAGCCATAGTAAAACTCAAATCTAGGAGGACTCTGTAACATCAGTCCTCATTCTACCTTCAATTTAGAATAACAAACTCTCATTATCTGGAAAATAAAAAACACCCCAAATCATACATCTTCCTCCATTGTTATTTTACATACAAAGTATAGAATACAATACAAAATTATTAAATTTAAAAATAATCAATATGATCTGAAATTTTCTAAAATTTTAAATACATACAGTCAACAGGAGTAAATCCATGGAAGACCTCATTATTGAAATTAGAAGTCAACAGATTTAAAACAACTATTATAATGTGTTTTAAAAATTACAGTAAAAAAGATATTATGGGTAAATATGTTTTTTGAAGAAAAGTCAAAACTCTCATTGGGAACCAAATGGAACTCCAGAACTAGAGAACATAATATCTGAATAAAACAAAATAAAATTTTACAGTATATTATTTATTTGATGGGCATAACAATATTAGACACTGCAGGAAAAAGAATTAGTGAACTTGAAGAGAGGTTATTACAAATTATTCATAATGAATCATGGAAAGAAAAAATTTACTAAATGAACAGAGCATCAGTGAACCCAATGTGTCTACAATGCATTTAATTGAAGTTCCAAAGAGAAGAGAAAAGTTTTTAAAGAAATAGTAGTGTAAATTTTGTAAAAGTTGATGAAAAACACTAACCCCCAGATCCAAGAATCTAAATGAATCCTAAGCAGAGTAAATATATGAAAAACAAAACCAAACCACTTAGGTTCAAAGTCAAATTAAAGGGAACCAATCATAAAGGAAAACGTTAAAAGCATTCAGAAATAAAAAGACACCTTACATTCAAAGGAACAATCACAAAAAGGAAAGCAGACTCCACATCAGAAGAAATGTATTCAGAAAACAAATGGAATAACCTATTTTAAAATCTAAAAAAAAAAAAAGTTATCTCCAGGAAAAATATCCCTTGAAAACGGAAGGTGAATTAAAGATAATTTTGGTTAAGCAAAGGGTGAGAGCATTTGTTACCAGCAGGCCTATACTATAAGAAATGCTAAAATAAAATTCTTCAGTTTGATGAGAAACCATACCAGATGAAAATGCGGATCTGCAAAGAATGAATGCTGTAAATAGTAAAAACATATGGAGTAAAAGAAAATTTGCCCTCTTAATTTTAAACAATGATCTTTAAAGTGAAAGCAAAAACATTCTACTGTAAGGCTTATAAAAGTGTAGAAAAATAGATATCAATAAGAGCACAAAGAATAGAGAAGGTAATAGGAAAGACATTGTTATACAGTTTTTATAGTATACATGAAGTAGTATTTTATTAATTCATGGGAGACTGTAATAGGTTAACACCGTATATTGTAAACTCTGAAGCCTACATCAGCACATATTTTAAATAAATCTTAAAAGAAAATAGAGATAAAATGGAATACTAAATAATATTTAATTTACTCAAAAAGATAACGTGAAAGGAAATACAAAAGCAGATGAGAGAAAAATAGTAAGATTTAAACATGATCATATTAACAATTACATTGAAAACATAGAACACACATGACAAATTCAAGGCAAAAAATTATCCGACTGCATAAAAACTAGCAAGAAATAACTACTACTATATAATAGTTGTATTGCTCAACGGAATAGTATAGAGAAATCCAAAAACAGACCTACACTTATATGATCAATTGATTTTTGACAAACTACCGAAACAATTTTATGACAAAGAATACATCGTTTCAATAAAGATGCTGGAACATCTATCCATAGTTTTAAAAAATAATAATAATCTTTAGCCTTTACACCTTCCAGTATACATGAAAATAATTTTTTTTATTATTATACTTTAAGTTTTAGGGTACATGTGCACATTGTGCAGGTTAGTTACATATGTATACATGTGCCATGCTGGTGCGCTGCACCCACTAACTCGTCATCTAGCATTAGGTATATCTCCCAATGCTATCCCTCCCACCTCCCCCCACCCCACAACAGTCCCCAGAGTGTGATATTCCCCTTCCTGTGTCCATGTGATCTCATTGTTCAATTCCCACCTATGAGTGAGAATATGCGGTGTTTGGTTTTTTGTTCTTGCGATAGTTTACTGAGAATGATGATTTCCAATTTCATCCATGACCCTACAAAGGACATGAACTCATCATTTTTTATGGCTGCATAGTATTCCATGGTGTATATGTGCCACATTTTCTTAATCCAGTCTATCATTGTTGGACATTTGGGTTGGTTCCAAGTCTTTGCTATTGTGAATAATGCCACAATAAACATACGTGTGCATGTGTCTTTATAGCAGCATGATCTATAGTCCTTTGGGTATACACCCAGTAATGGGATGGCTGGGTCAAATGGTATTTCCAGTTCTAGATCCCTGAGGAATCACCACACTGACTTCCACAATGGTTGAACTAGTTTACAGTCCCACCAACAGTGTAAAAGTGTTCCTATTTCTCCACATCCTCTCCAGCACCTGCTGTTTCCTGACTTTTTAATGATTGCCATTCTAACTGGTGTGAGATGGTATTACCATTCAGAACATAGGCATGGGCAAGGACTTCATGTCTAAAACACCAAAAGCAGTGGCAACAAAAGACAAAATTGACAAATGGGATCTAATTAAACTAAAGAGCTTCTGCACAGCAAAAGAAACTACCATCAGAGTGAACAAGCAACCTACAAAATGGGAGAAAATTTTCGCAACCTACTCATCTGACAAAGGGCTAATATCCAGAATCTACAATGAACTCAAACAAATTTACAAGAAAAAAACAAACAACCCCATCAAAAAGTGGGCGAAGGACATGAACAGACACTTCTCAAAAGAAGACATTTATGCAGCCAAAAAACACATGAAAAAACGCTCATCATCACTGGCCATCAGAGAAATGCAAATCAAAACCACAATGAAAATAAATTTGAGAGCACTCATAGACGTAAACATAAAAGCTCTTTAGAAAAAGGAGCAACATTTTAGAAGAAATAAAGGAGAATGTCTTCATGATCTAAAGGTAAGGAAAGATTTCTTAGAACACAAAAATAAAACTCTAAAGGAAAAGAAATAATATACTGGACTTCATCAAAATTAACATTTATATTTTTCAAAACACTTAAAAATTGATTGCATGTATGTCTTTTTTTGATAAGTATCCCTGTTCATGTCTTTTGCCCACTTTTTAATAGGGTTGTTCTTTTCTTGTAAATTTAAGTTCCTTATTAATGCTGGATATTAGACTTTTGTCAGAGGCATAGTTTGCAAAAGTTTTCTCCCATTCTGTAGGTTGTCTGTTTACTCTGTTGATAGTTTCTTTTGCTGTGCAGAAGCTCTTTAGTTTAATTAGATCCCATTTGTCAATGTTTGCTTTTGTTGCAATTGTTTTTGGTGTCTTTGTCATGAAATCTTTGCCTGTGCCTATATCCTGAATGATACTATGTAGGTTGTCTTCCAGGATTTACTTTTGGGTTTTATGTTTAAGTCTTTTATTCATCGAGTTGATTTTTGTATATATGGTGTAAGGAAGGGGTCCAGTTTCAATTGTCTGCATATGGCTAGCCAGTTATCCCAGGAGCATTTATTGAATAGGACATCCTTCCCCCACTGCTTGTTTTTGTCAAGTTTGTCAAAGATCAGATAGTTGTAGGTGTGTGGTCTTATTTTTGGGTTCTTTATTCTGTCCCATTGGACTACGTGTCTGTTTTTATACCTCTACCATGCTGTTTGGATTACTGTATCCCTGTAATATAGTTTGAAATCCCTTTGCATTGATGACTCCAGCTTTATTCTTTTTGCTTAGGATTGCCTTAGCTTTTTTGATTCCATATGAATTTAAAAATCTTTTTCTAGTTCTATGAAGAATGTCAATAGTCGCTTAATGGGAATAGCATTGAATCTATAAATTGCTTTGGAGAGTATAAATTGCTTTGGGTAGTAATGGTATAAAAAAGCTCAACATCATTGATCATTAGAGAAATGTAAATCAAAACCACAATGAGATACCATCTCATACTAGTCAGAATGCCTATTATTTAAAAGTCTACAAATAACAGATCCTGGCAAGGTTGTTTAAAAAAAAAAAAAAAGGAACACTTTTACACTGTTGGTGGGACTGTAAATTAGTTCAACCATTGTGGAAGACAGTGTGGTGATTCCTCAAAAACCTAGACAGAAATATCATTTGACCCAACAATCCCATTACCGGGTGTATACCCTAAGGAATGTAAATCTTTCTATTATAAAGACATATGCGGCCGGGCGCGGTGGCTCACGCCTGTAATCCCAGCACTTTGGGAGGCCGAGACGGGCGGATCACGAGGTCAGGAGATCGAGACCATCCTGGCTAACACGGTGAAACCCCGTCTCTACTAAAAATACAAAAATTAGCCGGGCATGGTGGCGCGCACCTGTAGTCCCAGCTACACGGGAGGCTGAGGCAGGAGAATGGCGTGAACCAGGGAGGCGGAGCTTGCAGTGAGTCGAGATCGCGCCACTGCACTCCAGCCTGGGCGACAGAGCGAAACTCCGTCTCAAAAAAAAAAAAAAAAAAACAAAGACATATGCACATGTATGTTCACTGCAGCACTACTGACAATACCAAAGACATGAAATCAACCTAAGTGCCCATCAACGACAGACTGGATTTTTAAAATGTGTTACATAAACACCATGGAATACTATGCAGTTATAAAATAGAATGAGATCGTGTCCTCTGCAGGGACGTGGATGGAGCTACAGGCCATTATCCTTAGTAAACTAATGCAGGAACAGAAAACCAAATACAGTATGTTCTCACTTACAGGTGGGAGCTAAATGATGAGAACACATGGACACATAGAGGGAAAAAACACACACTGGAGCCTATAAGAGGGTGGAGGGTGGGAGGAGGGAGATGGTCAGGAAAAATAACTAATGGGTTCTAGGCTTAATACCGGGTGATGAAATAATCTGTACAACAAACCCCCCTTGATATATGTTTACCTATGTAACAAAGCTGCACATGCACCACTGAACTTAAACATTTTAAAAAATACATGAATACATAAAGTGAATATTGTAGCTAAAAAATTGATTCAAAAGCCACAGATTGGAAGAGAGGGAACATAGACAGTATATACATGTATATATACAGAGAGAGGGAAGGGACAGTGAGAGAGAGAGAGAGAAAGGACATATATCTAGAATATAAAAATAATTTCCCAATATTATGAATAAAGAGAAAACACAATCCAAAAAATTTTGATGGACAAACAACATGAATATGCTTATTAGTAAGCACATAAAAAGATACTCAACATCATTAGTCATTAAAAATATAAACATGTAAAACTACAATAAATAATAATTAGGATGGCTAAAATTTAAAATATCAAGCGTTAGTAAGGATACAGAATAACTGAAACACTCATACTTTGGTGGTGGGAATTTAAAATTGTACAGTCCTGTAGAAAACTGAAAGTTTACTTTGAGGAGTTAAACATACATTTACCAAATGGCCCAACAATTCCACTTTTAGGTATTTTCCCAAAAATAAATACAACATATCCACCCAAAAATGTGTATACCAATGTTCATAATAACCAGTTTAATCATAACAACCAAAAACTGATAATAACCATAACATCTACGAACAGGTGAAAGGACAAATTGTGGCATACCCATACAGTGGACCCCTCAGCAATAAAAAACAAAACTTAACCATCAATACATCTATCAACATGGGTAAATCTGAAAAACATGCTGAGTGAAATAAGCCAGACATAAAATAGTACATAATATACGATTCCACTTAGGAAATTCTAGAACAGGAAAAACTACCGTAGGTGAGATAGCAAGCTGAACAGTGATGAGACGACCTGTTTCATAGGGGCATGAATAAACTTTCTAGGATGATGGAGATATTTATTTATTTATTTATTTATTTTATTTATTTATTTTTTTTTTTGAGACGGAGTGTTGCTCTGTTGCCCAGGCTGGAGTGCAACGGCGTGATCTCGGCTCACTGCAAGCTCCGCCTTCCTGGGTTCACGCCACTCTCCTGCCTCAGGGACCACAGGTGCCCGCCACCACGCCCGGCTAATTTTTTGTATTTTTAGTAGAGACGGGGTTTCACCATGTTAGCCAGGATGGTCTCGATCTCCTGACCTCGTGATCCGCCCCACTTCAGCCTCCCAAAGTGCTGGGATTACAGGTGTGAGCCACTGCACCCAGCCGAGATATTTATTTTGACAAGGGTAAGAGTTTCATAAATGTATACATTTGTCAAAACTTATTGAACTGCACAATAAGATCTACGCATTTCACTTCATATAAATAATACTGCAAATTTTAAAGGATATTTTAAGCTGGTTATATCCCTAGGATATCTGGAAAAAAAAAAAAAAAAAAAAAAAACATGGCTTAGAATGGTATTTCATCAAGCCAGACTACACGAGTCTTACAGATTAAGCACCACTTAATTATCAGATAGAATCTCAATTCAAATTGTTTTAAAAAGAGAAAGCAATTATCTTTAGATAATAGTCAGCAGACAATATAGATGGCAGATTAAAATTGTCATATTTTCGTACAGAATTTTCTGATAAACTTGATTAAAAATTTTAAATATCACTAAAGACAGAAGAAATAAATTTAAAACTTCACAAAAAATAAAGTACAGTGAATGAAGGTGTACTTGAAAAAAGAACTGAATAAGTATTCTACATATAAAAAATATTTTCCGAAATTAAATCAATACACTGAACAGCAATTCAGAGGGGATTGATGATCTAGAAGAAACACTGGAAAAAATTAATGATTCAATACAGAGACATAAAAAGATTGAAAGAATGGTTAAGAGACAAAGAATAGAATGAAAAGAGTTAAATGTCTAATAAAGATTTTAAAAGTAAAAAGGAGGATTCTAACAGTTTTGCATACGTTATGCCATTTAATTAACATAACACTGTGAAGGAGGTATTATTTTCCCAATTTATGCAAAGAGGAGCACTGAGGCTCAGAAAAGTCTAATAAAATATCAAATTTACAGAGATGCTGGATGCCAAAGCCTAGATTCAAATTAAGATCTGGCCAACTTCAAATTCTTTTTTTTTTAAAAAAAATAAAAAAATAAAAAACAGAAAGCATTATTTTTTCCCTACCCAAAACACTCAATCTGGGGAACCCCAGTTTGATTCACTCTATTTGATTCACTTTATGCATGCAGAGACATTAGCAAATTATCCACACAAGTATCATCATTTAGAGGTATGTAAGCAAAATACAATTTCTATGAAACCAGAAGTTCAGTCATGGCTAATTTAATAGTCATATACATTTATGAATAGCAAAAGTGCAATTATGGTTTTTTATGGCGTAACAGATTAAAGACAAAAGCCATTTAGCACTGCAGTAGTTAGTTCTATGTGTCAATTTGAGTAGGCCACAGAGTGCCCAAACATTTGGGCAAACATCACTCTGAGTGTGTCTATGAGGGCATTTCTGGATGAAATTAACATTTGGATTGATAGACTGAGTAAAGCAGATTACCTTCTGCAACATGGGTGGACACCATCCGATCAGTTGAAGGGCTGATCAGAACAAAAAGGTGGACCCCTCCATAGGTAGGGGGGAAATTTCCTCTGGCCTGACTACCTTGAGCTGGAACACTAGTTTTTTCCTTCCTTTGGACTTGAACTGAAACATTAGTTCTTCCTGGGCATTCAGACCGGAATTATACTATCAGCTCTCCTGGTTCGCAGGCCTTTGGATTCAGATTGGAATTACAACATGGATGCTCCTGAGCCCTCAACTTGCCAACTGCAGATTTGGGTCTTGCCAGCCTCTGTAACTGCTTGAGTCAAAAAAAAATCTCTTTCTATATGTATACACATATACATCCAATGGGTTCTGTTTCTCTGTAAAACCCTGGCTAATACAAGCCCCATTGCTTTTAGAATTAAAGTCGGTGAGGGACACAGCTAGACAGCTTAAATCAATAAAGAAGAATTGAAGAAGCAGATGTGATAATCTAATTTTACATAAGAATAAAGCTTATATTCAAAAAGCAACTCTCCACAAAGTTGTAAAGCTACTTAATGTTACTAAATTGATGGAAAATCTTTATTGAAAATAATACTATAGAGAACATGGAGGTGCATGTATGAGACCCAGTGGCACATTTCAGTTTTGTCTATTAAATATTGTTCCACTCAAACCTCCATAAGAAAGAAACACTTGCATTTTGGAGCTGGATAAAATTAGTAGGTTAGATCGGGAAAGACTCTCCTATCCATCTTTCATATAAAGTGATAAGATAGGCTTTCCAAGAACATAGGGTTGGTAAACATCCAATTCACCAGCCTCAGCAGCACTGGCTCCTACCCAGCTTTAGATAGAAATCTTGCAAATAAGATAGGACAGCAGGATTTACCCCTGCCCTTCAGGAAGAGGTAGCCAAGCTGACCACTACTACAACAACCAAAGACAAACTAATAAACAATGAAAGTGTGAAAGATCTAATAGGAATTACAATCTGGAGCATATCCTGTAGCATTTGGGATGCTTAGCAGAACAAATGGATGACATTTAATGTGTCTATATTAGAAAGTGTTAATTAAAAAAAAAAAATATATATATATATATATAACTTTTAACTTAATGCTACATTTAAGAAGTGCACACCAAAAAGGTTTGGGGTTTTTGTTGCTGTTATTTTGTTTGGAACATTCTTTTGTTTATGTTGTGATTTGTTGAAAACAAATGGCAGTCTGACAAGTAACACCTATCTATTTCTGAATGTATCTTTAATGAAAGACAAATTTTGCCCAGATTGGAAAATGATACATTGATAGCATGGAGAACTATATAAAACAATGCGCTTGAAAGAACCGAATTTGTATTTGTGGTTTGCAACTATTTGTATCATCATAGCCAATAATAACACTAAAAGAAGGCATCATTTACTGGTAGTTTGTTATGGGCAGCAGTTGGCTCATATATTATGAACATATATTATTGCTTTTAATTCTTATGACAATCCTGTGAGTTTGATATTATTTCCATTTTTTAAAATGAAACTGAAGTTCAAACAGGTTAAGTGCATTTCCCAAGATCACTTAGCCTTTTAAGACCTTAGATTCCTTATTCATAAAGGTTAGGGATTGGACTCACAACCTCAAAAAATTCCTTCCAGCCCTAAGATGTCTGATTTTAAGAGGCTCTTAGAAAAGAGACTATCCCTATTAACATCCCACATGATGGTCAGCACAATTTACACATTGCAATGACCAGTAGGTATTAGTTTAATTTTGCCTAGGTTCATATTTTTAAGAAGTCAACCTATAATTTTTATAGTGTTCTTCTTTTAATTTACATGTAATAATTATACATATTTATGAAATACAGAGTGATATTTTCATAGATGTATATAATGTGTAATAATCAAATCAGGGTAATTACTTTATAACCTAAAATATTGATTTTTTTTGTATAAGGAACATTCAAACTCCTCTCTTCTAGCTTTTTGAAAATATACAATAAATTATTAACTATATTCATCCTGCAATGCTATGAAACACTAGAACTTATTTCTCCCATATAGCTATAATTTTGTATCTGTTAACCAATCACCCCGTTTCCCCATCCCCCTACCCTTCTTGGCCTCAAATAGCCATAATTCTACTCTCTAGTTTTTCAAATTAATTTATAATTGACACATAAAAACTGTACACATTTATGAGGCACAGTGTGATGTTTCATTGCATGCATTGTATAATGATCAAAATAGAGTAATCACCATATACATCACTTTAAACTTTTATCATTTCTTTGTAGTGATAACATTCAAAATTTTCTATCTTAAAATATACTACATTGTTATTATAGTCACCCAACTTGTGTAAAAGAAAACCAAAACTTATTCTTCCAGTCTAACTGTACCTTTTTTCCGGTTGACCAACCTCTCCTGTTCCCCTCCTACTCCCTACTCTCCCAGCCTCTGGTAATCACTATCCTACTCTCTGTTTCTATGAAATCATCTTGTTGAGATTCCATATATGAGGGAGATCATGCGGTATTTCTTTTTCTGTATCTGGCTTAATTCACTTTAGATAGTATCCTCCAGGTTGATCCATGCTGCTGTAAATGACATGATTACAGTTTAAGGCCAAATATTCACATATATAAAAATATATATATATGTAACATTTTCTTTATCCATTCATCTGTAGATGGCCATTTAGGTTAATCCCATATATTGACTATTGTGAATTGTGCTGCAATGAACATGGAACTGCAGATAACTCTGAAATGCTTGTTTCATTTCCTTTAGATATATATCCAGAAATGGGATTGCTGGATCATATGGTGGTTCTATTTTTAATTTTTTGAGCAATATCCATAGTGTTTTTCTTAATGGTTGCACTAATTTACATTCCCATCAACACTGCGTAACAGTTCCCATTTCTCCACATCTTTATCAGTATTATTTTGATAATAGCCATTCTAACTGGTTGAGATGATATCTCATTGTGGTTTTGATTTGCATTTCCCTGATTAGTGATGTTGAGCATTTTTTCATGTATCTGTATGTAAGTCGCCTTTGGAGAAATGTCTATTCAGATACTTTGCCCATTTTTTAATTGAGTTATTTGGCTTTTTTCTCTTTGCCTTTCTTATGTATTCTGGATATGAAGCCCTTGTTGGATGAATAGTTTTCAAATATTTTTCCCATTTTACATATTGTCTCTATGCTCTGTTGTTTCCTTTGCTGTGCAGAAGTTCTTTAGCTGAATATAATCCCATATGTCTATTTCAGTTTTTGTTGCCTGCGCCTTTGAAGTATTATGCATAAAATCAGTGCCTAGACCAGTATACTGAACAATTACCCTATATTTTCTTCCAGTAGTTTTGTAGTGTTGGGTCCTATATTTAAGTATTGAATCCATCTTGAATTTATTGTTGTGTATGGTGAGAGATAGGGGCCTAGTTTCATTCTTCCTCATACAGATATCCAGTTTTCCTAGCACCAGTTACTGAAGAGGATGTCCTTTCTTCAGTGTATGTTCTTGGTTGAAAATCTGTTGGCTAAAAATATGTGAATTTACGTCTGAGTTCTCTAGTCTGTTCCATAAGTCTATGTATCTGTTTTTATACCAATACCATGCTGTTTTGGTTATATAGCTTTGTAATATATTTTGAAGTTGGGTAGTATGAGGCTTCCAGCTCTTTTGTTTACTTCTTTTGATTTTGCTCAGTATTACTTTGGCTATTCAGAATCTTTTGTGGTTCCATACAAGTTTCAGGCTTTTTTCTATTTCTGTGAAGAATGTCATTGGTATTTTGATAGGGATTACAGTGAATCTATAGAGTGTTTTGGTTAATAGGGTCATTTTAACAATATTAATTTTTCTAATCCATGAGTATGTCTTTCCATTTTTGTGTGTCCTATTTTTTACATCCATGTTTGCTAGTTTTCATTGTGGTGATCTTTCAATTCCTTGGTTAAATTTATTCCTATTTTTTATAGCTAATGTAAATGGGATTGCTTTCTTGACTTCCTTTTTGGATAGTTGTTATTAGCATATAGAAATGCTACTAATTTTTGTACAATTATTTTGTTACCTGCAACTTTACCAAACTTATCAATTCTAAAAGATTTTTAATAGTCTTTAAGTTTTTCTTTAAAAAAGATCATGTCATCTGCAATCAGGGACATTTTCACATCTTCTTTTCCAATTTGAATGCCCTTTATTTCTCTTGACTAATTGTTCCACCAGGACTTCCAATATTATGTTGAATAAAAGTGGTGAAAGCTGGCATCCTTGTCTTGTTATAGATCTTAGAAGAAAGGCTTTCAATTTTTCCCCATTTTGTTGGCTGTGGGTTTGTCATATTTGACCTTCATTTTGAGGCATGCTTCTTTTATACACAGTTTGTGAGGGTTTTTATTATCAAGGGATGTCAAATTTTATCAAATGCTTGTTCTGTATCTATTGAAATGATTGTATGGTTTCTGTCCTTACTTCTGTTGATGTGGCGTATCACAGTTATTGATTTGCATATGTCGAACCATCCTTGCCTTCCTAGGATAAATCCCACTTGATCTTGTTGTATTATCTTTTTGATGTACTGTTGGATTTGGTTTGCTAGTATTTTGCTGAGGATGTTTGCATCCATGTTCATCAAGGATACTGGCCTATAGTTTTCTTTTTTAGGGTGTCCTTGTCTGATTTTTGGCATCAGGATGATGCTGGCTTCACAGAACAAGTTAGAAAGAATTCCTTCTTCAGTATACTGTAATAGTTTGGGGAAAATTGGTGTTAGTTCTCCTTTAAAAGTTTGGTAGAATTCAGCAGTAAAGCCACCTGAGCTTTTCTTTTTTGAGAGACATTTTATTACTGATTTAATATTTTTGCTTATTACTGGTCTGTTCAGGTTTTCTATTTCTTCCTGGTTCAATCTCAGTATTCATTCCCTCCAGGTTTTCCAATTTTTGGGAAATTGCATAGTTGTTCATAATAGTCTCTAATGAACCTTTGTATTTCTGTGGTACTCATTGTAATGTCTCCTTCATTTCTGGTTTTAATTGGATAGTCTCTTTTTCTTAGTCTAATAGTTTGCCAATTTTGTTTACCTCTTTTTAAAAAACAGCTACATTTAATCTTTTGTAGTTTCTTATCTGTATTTTGTTCAGTTCTGCTCTCTATTTCTTTCCATCTACTAACTTTGAATTTGGTTTGCTCTTGCTTTTCTAGTTCCTTTTAGTGTTCTGTTGGGTTTTTCACTTAAAATCTTTCTACTTTTTTGATGTAGGCATTTATTGCTTTAAACATCCCTCTTGATACTGTTTTGACTAAATGGCACAGATTTTGGTATACTGTGTATATATTTTCATTTGTTACAAGTTTTTATATTTCCTTTTTGACGAAATGGTCATTCAGCAGCATGTTGTTTAATTCCCATGTTACCTGAGCCTTTGAAGTCTTACCTATAAAATATTTGCCTAGGCAAAGATTTGTATAGTATCCAAAGTTCCTCTTATTTATATCTAGTTTTATCCCATTATGGTCTAAGAAGATACTCAATATGATTTTGATTTTTAAAAGTTGGTTGAGATTAGGTTTGTTGCCTAACGTATGGTATACCTTAGAAAATGTTCCATCTGCTGATGAGAATGTGTTTTCTGTAACCATTTGATAAAATGTTCTGGAAATGCTGTTAGCTCCATTTGATCTATAATGTGGTTTATTTTCAGTTTTAGTTTTTTGTGTACATAATCTAGCCAATGCTAAAAGTAGTGTGTTGAAGTCCTCAGTTTTTATCTTGGAGTCTGTATCTGGCTCTAATATTTGCTTTATATATCTGGTGCTTCAGTGTAGGGTGCATATATATTTACAATTGTTCCATCCTCTGGTTAAACTGATCCCTGATACAGTTAGCCTGTGTCTCCACTCAAAATCTCATCTTGAATTTTAATCCACATAATCCCCATATGTCAAGGGCAGGACCAAGGATGGAGGTAATTGGATCATGAGGATGGTTTCCCCCATGCTGTTCTCATGACAGTGAGTCTCAGGAAATCTGATGGTTTTATAAGCATTTGGCATTTCCCCTGCTTGCATTCATTCCATCCTGCCACCCTGTAAAGAAGGTGCCTGCTTCTCCTTTGGCTTCCACCATGATTGTAAGTTTCCTGAGGCCTCCACAGAAATGCAGAACTGTGAGTCAAACCTCTTCTCTTTATAAATTGCCCAGTCTCAGGTATTTCTTCATAGCAATGTAAGAACAGGCTAACATAACCCCTTTATCATTACATAATGACCTTTCTTATATCCTTTTATGTTTTAGATTCAAAGTCTATGTTTTTAGATTTGTTGTCTGATTTAAGTATAGCTACCCCTGAACACTTTTGGTTTCCATTTTTGTGGAATATCTTTTCCTTAATCCCTTCATTTCCAGTCTGTATGTGCCTTTCACAGGTGAACTGAGTTTTTTGTAGGTAGCATATAGCTAGGCTTTTTTTGGTAATTCATTCAACCCATCTATGTCTTTAATTGGGGAATTTAAACCTTTTACATTCAAGGTTGTTACTGGTGATCTTACTCCTGTTATTTTGTTAATTGTTCTGTTTTGCATATCCTTTCTCTTTATTTTTGCAGTTTGGTGATTGTAGTGATAATGTTTGATTTCTCTTTCTTATTTGTATATCTGCTCTATCAGTGAGTTTAATATATCATGTGTTTTCTCCATGGTAGATATCTTTTCACTTCCAGTTATAGGACTCACTTTAGTATTTCTAGTCATGAATTCCCTCAGTTTTTGTTTGTCTGCAAAATACTTTATTTGTTCTTCATTTATGATGGATAACTTTGCTAGATATAGTGTCCTTTTCTGAAAGCTGTTTTCTCTTTCAGCACTTTGAATATATCACTTTATTCTTTCCTGGCTTATAAGGTTTCTGTGCCAAGAAATGTGCTGTGAGTCTAATGCAGACTTCCTTACATGTGACTTGATGCTTTTCTTTTGCTGTTTTTAGAATTCTGTTTTTGTCTTTGACTTTTAACTATAATGTGCCTCAGAGAACCATTTTGGGTTAAATTTATTTGGGGATTTTTGAACTTCCTGTTTATATATCTCTCTCAAGACTTGGGGGATTTTCAGTTATTGTTTCATTAAATAGGTTTTCTATGTCTTTTCTCATCTCTTCTCCATCTGGAACTTCCAAATTTTGAGTATTTGTTCACTTAATGGTGTCACGTATGTCACATAGGCTTTCTTCATTTTTAAATTTTTAGGGAAGGGGGGTGGAGGGAGATCTGAGTGGTTTATTTCAAAAGGCCTATCTTCAAGTTCAAAAATTATTTACTCTGCTTGATCTAGTCTATTGTTGAAGCTCTTGATGGTTTTTTAATTTTATTCATTGAAGTCTTCAGTTCCATAATTTCTCTTTGGTTCTTTATCTGTCTCTTTGTTAGATTTCCCATTTAGGTGATGAATTATTTTCTGGATTTTGTTGAATTGTCTGTGTTCTCCTGTAACTCACTAGTTTCCTTAAGATCACTGTTCCGAATTCCTTTTCCAGCATTTTATAGAATTCCTTTCCTTTGAGACCAATTACTGGAATATCATTATGCTCCTTTGGTGATGTCACATTTTCTTGCTTTTTCATGTTTCTTATGTCCCTATGTTGATATCTGTGTCTGGTGTAACACTCACTCTTTCCAATGTTATGAAGTAGATTTAAAGACTTTTCTGGCAGATGTACCTACAGTGTCAGTTGAGAAGGGTGCTTTGGCTTTGGCTCTTGGTGGGTGCAGTCATATAGTTTCCGTATGATTTTTTTTCAGCTATAATAAACATCAGTGTTGTCTGCAAGTTCCACAGTGGCCAATGCTGCGGTTGTTTGTGGAGGCTGTGGTTTGGCTTTGCTGGGAACAGAAACACTGGGTAGGCCAGTCCTTGGGCACCTGGCAGATATACATGGGTGTGTGGTAGCCCTGCCACTGGAGGGGATAAGGTAGTCAGCAGTAGGGATAGCAAACTCCAGATGGACCTTAGGCCCCTTAGTATCATTCCTAGGTGCCAGCAGTGGCAGTAGTGGCCAGTAGTGGCAGTAGTAGGGCCAGTTATTGAGCCCCTGCAGGGCACACATGGGTACATATCAGCTCCACTGCTGGAGGGGCAGGGTTACTGTTGGTGGTGGAAGACCCATGTGGGCAACTCTCAGGCCCCAGTGAATGCACACTTCAGCTCCCAGTGTCCTTGGGGCAGCCTCTCTGATGTGCTGGAGTATCTGTTTCCCAGGATACAGGGCACTGCATGGGGTCAAGTGCTGGGTCCAGCTGGTCTCACAATGCTGTGGCTGTTTAAGTAGATGTGGGTGATCTTAGTGGGACCCCATGTGGAAATATAGGGGCTAGGGGGCCCCAGGGCAGGATGCAGTCTCTGTTGTCTCTATTCTCAATATGGTACCATGCTGCAGCAGCTTGGATCCCAGTGGTGGGGGTGACCCAATATGAATTTCCTCTCTGGAACAATGCAGTCACATAGACTTTAAGCAGCTCTCTATACTAGACTCAGGGCCTGTGAGGGCTGAGGGGCTCCACTGCAACTAAGACTGCAGGTATCTGTGGTGAGAATGTAGACTTCTGGGGATCTTCCACCTGCCTTTTCCCCACAATTGGGAGTCCCTCTTGACTCTGAGCTAATTTTGTCCAGCTGCTTTTCTTCCTTCTCTGTGCAGCCATCTCAAGTTTCTGTGCCTCAGAGGATCTTCGTCCCTTTCTTGTTGAATTCCCGTATTCTCCCTTGGACACTCTATTCCATGTGAGGTTACCTAATGGTTACTTTGGTCCTTTTTTGTGGAGGAAATGAGTGTTGGGCACCTCTAGTTAGCCATCTTCACATTTCAGTTTTTATTAAACCAAAAAAATAAAATTAGTAATCATAGTTATAGGCTTTAAACATGCAGCCACTTCAAAGTAAAATAAATATTTGCCATAAACCAAGTAAGGTCCAGGATGTAATAATGAATTCACAACATTTACACTTATTCAGGGTTACAGCGGTGACTCCAGTGGGGGATTTACTGAGCAAAAACATAGTGGAGTATTAATGTCCATATCTAACTTTTTAATGTTTTGATTTGTGTATTCAGCAAATAGAATGAATGGCTTTGTAAATATTTTTTCTCAGTAGGTTTAGGGGCCTTCATTAGGAAGGCTTTGGCCATGATTCATTTATTGTCATAGTCATCCTCTGCTCTATTTAGGTCCACTAGGACCCAACTAACTCCAGAAATAGGATTTTATTTGGAATCGGGGGGCACTGAACAATGACCTAAATGTAAAACATAATCCTGGAGGAACGAAGGAGAAGCAATAGAGAGCCACTGAAAAACAAAATCAATGTCAACATCCTGTAAAAGGAGTGATAAAAGTGCAAATCTGGAGTTGTCTGAAAAACCAAAAGGTAGAGTTATAAAGCCAAGAGGGAAAACAAAATGTTTCCTGGAACCCAATGTCCATATGATGGAAAGGTAAAAAGCCGAAAACTTCAGAAAGTGATGAGAAATGATAGATTCATTAGGAAAAAAAAATAGAACAAAAATGTGAGTGAAACCGTAATTTCAGGTGGTGCTAAGTACAGTGGGGACCACGACTTATTAGCTATCAACAAAAAGAAAATCTGAACCTAGGATCTGAATTAGATTTAGAATCTCCTAAAGGAGGAATAAACAAAATGAAAATGTTACTTAATTACTACTCTTGAATATATTCTTTATGACACATATTTCCTTTTTATCTGTTAAAAATATCTTGTAGAACTTGAACATTTTATTCACCCATACAACTTTAAAAAATCATTCTAATCCACACCAGCTTTGCCTGAATAATTTTTTTTTAAAGTTAATTTTATATTTTAAGCCACTCATTCTACAAATATATTGAACACCTACGGTTAGTTACCTTGCTTACCATTGGGGGAAAAAAAGGTGAAGTTTTAAATTTTTGCTCTTGAGTAACTCACAGTCTAATGGGGGAGACAGATGATTATAGTTAATTTCAACACAATTTTTAAAGTGCCATGATAAGTGTGACATCGTGCTACAACCAAGTTCTGTCCTAAGAGCATGGAAACCTGCATTGCTCAAGGTAGAGGCAATCTGCTACTTTAAAGCTGCCAGCAATTTTCTTAATCATTTTTGGAGAAGGCAGGCTCCCCTTTTGGAAGGCATATGCAGGGGTGGGTGCAGAGGGGATTAGGGGAAGGAGTAGATTTTTGCAGGGGAAGAGAGGGTGGCTTATATTATGTTACTGGGCCATTTAGTAAAGCAAAGGACAGCTATCATCCTCTTCATTGAGACAATGAGTAGTGAAACTCCTTTGTCTCTGTTTAATAACAGCTCACGTCATGTGCTGGACATTGTCCTAAGTTCCTTATATGTATTACTTGCCACGACTCTATAAGGTAGGGACCCTCTATGCAGGTATGAAGTAGAGTATTAGTTCTGTTTTTTAAAATGAGAAAACTGAGGCACAGACAGTTGACTTTCCGCAGGGCACATAGCAAGTAAATAGTGGAGTCAGGATACTAACTTGTGAAGTTGCCAGAGCCTAGATGTTTGACTGCTACTCCATACTGCCCCCACCACCTTCATTGTCAGCAGACTGGCTTTTCTGCAGAAAGTTATTACTATGATCAATCAAAGATGTCCACTAACTATTCAACACTGCCCTCAGCAGGAGTGGAGGAACTTTAAACCTTCTCTTTGAATTTGGGCAGGTCCTATGTCCACTATGACATGCAACAGAATATGACAGAAGTGTCATGTGCCTGTTTCCAGGTCTTCACAGACTGGCAGCTTCCACTTCCTCTCTCCTGGAACACTAAATTTTTAAAAGCTGAAAAAGCAAATATGTGCTATAAAGAATATATTTAAGAGTAGTGAGCCCTAAGACGATCACTAAGAAGTCTGACTACCCTGTTTAAGAGACCATGGAGAGGTCTCAAGATTTTTATGAGACTACATGGAGGAAGGAGGGGAACCACTTGAATCCAGCCTTTCAGCAATGCCCTTGGAGGCAATGGGCACTTTTGGTCCCGCCAGACCAGCCCTGCCTCCAGCCAGATAAAACACCACATGATCCCAGTCAGTGCAATGTAGAGAAGCTTAGCATCATGCAAAATGCTAACCTTCAAAATCATGATATGTTAAAAAAAAAAAAAAGGAGAAAAAATGTTATTTTAAACCACTGAAGTTTGGGGTAGTTTGTTACTCAGCCATAGATAACCAGAACAAATACATTGACTTAGAACTGGTTATGAGATAGGGAGAAGAGGAATAAGGAACCCCAAAGAAAGGTAGCACACTGGGACCTGGGATGATGCTGTTCCTACTGGTAGGAGGGGGAATCATAGGGGTTCAAGTGGGGGTGGAAGGATATCACCAGAGAATGAACATCTTTTTGTTCTTAATCTAAGCTTTGTTTTCTGCATGTGAGTTTTCCCATTACTTAATTCTTCGGTAAGGTTTTAATAAACACTACAGCGTGGATTAGGGAGAAGAAAATGGCACAACAGGAGAGAGAAGAGATAAGCAAATCATTCACCACATTCTGTATAGCATAGAATAAATGCCCTCGTTCTTCAGGCAGACTGTCTGGGTTCAAATCGCAGCTCTACAAATTACTTGTTTTATTCCCTTGGAAAAATTACTTGAACCCTTTGTGACTCTGTTGCCCCATCTGTAAAATTAGAGTTGGTACTGACTCACTTATGTCTCCTATCCCCATCAGCAAGGGAGAAGAAACCCTCCCCATCCTCCTCCTCAGCACTCACAGCCTTGCCTCCACTATCTTCCATGAGTCTTAGCTCGAGGGGAATGAGGAGAAGGGTCTAGAAACCTGGAGAGTGACTAAAACATGAGTAGATAACAAGCACTTTAGGCAGAGGGGGCAGCATGAGAAAACACCTGTGGGTGAGAGAGAGCAATGTGTCTTTGGAGAACCACAAGCAGATCAAAATGATGTTATGTCTGGTGTGCAGCATAGAAGGTGTAGGTGGTGGAATGAGCAGAAGGAGACGCACTGGAGAGGGAAAAGCAAGAGCCAGGCCTTATTTTCCATGGCAAGTAGTTTGGGCTTTAGTGTAATAGCAAGAGGAAAGACAATGACTCAAAATCTGAAACTGTAGATATATTGTACCTATCATGCACTAATATTCAATCTTCATAAGAAATCTGCAAGGTAAGTAGGAAATATATCATTATTCATTACTAATTTTAAAAACTGAGATCTAGAGGTATAGCCGCTAGGACTCAACAGATTTGTTGAGGCTTCTCAGGCCCAAGCAACCTGAGGGAGGAAACAAAGTGCTGGAGACAGAAGCCCATTTAAAATATACACATGTAAACAGAACGGCCATTTTATAAGTTCTTTTTCTCATTGCCCAGATGCTGTGGTCTGAATGTTTGTGTTTTCCCCACACTTTTCTATTGGAATCTAATTCCCACTGTAATTTTATTAAGTTGTGGGGACATTGAGAGTTGGGGACTGGTGTCCTTACAAAACAGGCCAAAGGGAGTTCACATATCCCCTTCCACCACGTGAGGTTACAAGAATATGGCCTTGCCAGGCACCACATCTGCCAACACCTTGCTCTTAGAGTTCCCAGCGTCTAGAACTGTGAGAAATAAACTGTTGTTTATAAGCCACCCAGTTTATGCTATTTTGGTATAGCAGCCAAATAGACTAAGACACTGTTTACTGTACAGGAAAAGAAAAAAAAATTCTAGGCAATCCAGCTCGTGTACCTAGATTTACCTTCCACACTATATAGTATCAAGCTAAACAGAAGCTGGCTGTCTACTATATATGCCAAACTTTCCAAATGATTCTTCTCAACAAAGTATTTCTGTCTTATGCTATAAAACAAGAAGAAACTTTTGTTCAACTAGACAATACTGCCCATATAAAAAACAGCAAATGATTGTGATGGCCATATCACATATCAGGGCTAAGAGTGGATAAATCAACATTACAGCCTGACAATTAGGTATAAATAATTTTTTTTTAATTCTCAGCTTATCTTGTCCCGTGTTAGCAATATGAATGAAATTCATATTTTTTTCCTGAGCCAAAAGACGTTTAAATCCAAGTCTGCCTGACCTGGTCCAATTTTTTATGTTTCCATTTCATCTACCATGCTTTATTCAAAACTATTAAGGCATAAAGAAATATAGTCAGTCTTTCTATGATCATTAACCTTTAAAGTTTCTAATCTAGCCAGAGTGCCTTCTTAAGACTCAGAATGATTTAGTTAGAAATATTGGCATTTTTCAATAAAATGAGACCTGTATTTTTAACAGCATCCCTCTATTTGTCAAATATTAAACCCTACCAATAACTAGAACCAATAACCGAAACTTTGTTCACATGAACAATAGTATTAAAGTACTAATGAAAGGAAATGGTATTATTGGAAGTCTCCCTCATCTAAGGAAGAAAGAACAAAAGACATTATTATTCTATTATTTGTTGGTGGCTAGGAATTCAGCAGATGAAAAGAATGAAGTTTCAGACCATTCTAAACTCTATGACCTCTCACTAGGTGCTTTCACCACAACACAACAAAAATTTTAAAACCAACCATTACTACTTCTCTAGTATTGAGTCAGGAAATGAGTATTTTATCATTGCTACCCTCAGAAGAGTCCCACTACCTTTGGGAAGCCAAGGCGGGCAGATCACGAGGTCAGGAGTTCAAGACCAGCCTGACCAACGTGGTGAAACCCCGTCTCTACTAAAAAAAAATACAAAAATTAGCCAGGCTTGGTGGCACATGCCTGTAATCCCAGCTGCTCCGGAGGCTGAGGTGGGAGAATTGCTTAAACCTGGGAGGCGGAGGTTATAGTGAGCCAAGATCCCACCACTGCACTCCAGCCTGGGTGACAGAGCAAGACTCCATCTAAAATAAAATAAAATAAAATAAAATTTTAAAAAAGCGTTCTATTACCTCCACATTCCTTAGACTCCATTCTCCTTCACCAAACTCTCTCACCATTGCCACAATTCATTCATTTATTAAGTCTTTTGATAGTTCCTTAAATTTTCTTACGTGGAACCATCACCATTAGAAATACCTTATTTCAGGCTCTTGCTGTAAACAGTTCAAACCACTCCGTGATTTCTTTTTGTTCTACTCATTCTCTATTCAAGCAGTCAATATGATCTTTCCAAACTGTAATCCTCATTATAGATCTTTTGACTTCAAAATCCTAAGACAATTCTCACATTCTTGAAAATAAGCTTTAAATTTCTTAATATGTCCCTTCTCATTGCCTATGACTTAGCTGTGATTCCAGCCCTAGGGTAAAGGGTGAGGTGATACAGTCTATGCTATTGGCACATGAAGCTAGCAGAAGTAGTCTAAAGCCAAGTGCAAGCAATTGTTTAAGTTTAACATTTTAGATTCCAGAGCTTAAGAAGAAATCCAGGCTCCTCAACTGGCCTGAGGTAATCCAGGCTCTTCAACTGGCCTGAGGTCTTCTGTTGAGAATTTGGAGGCATCATACAGTGTCACATGAAATAGATGTCATGGTTGCCTACCAAAGAGTAGGTCTCCAATTCTTCCATTTTTCCTTTCTTCTATTGGCAAACAACTGAGCAGCTGAAACTGGATTCTCTCCAGAATGCTCTGATTGATCTAATCCAAGTGAGATTATGGCTTCTTTCTTGCCATGGTGAATGGTTCAGGTAAGGGTATATAACCTATTTCTAATCCAAGCAGCCCACGGCTTTCCTCTGGCCCCAAGGATTGCTTCAGATGCAAGTACATCATCTAAGATGCCCCAATCATAATAATAAAGCTCTAGACTTTAATAAATGCGGGAAGACATTCTGTCTCTTCCCTTGGCTATGAAAATGGAGTTTGTAGACTGGAGCTGTTGGCAGATACTTTGCCACTACTATAAAGTCAGCCTAAGAATAAACTCAATACATATGTGGGCAGAGGGTGAGGCAAAATAAAGAGGCACAGAAACATGGAGCTGCATTCCTGAAGACATTATGGACAAGTGGGTGGTTTATTATGTGAGCCAATAAATTCCCTCTATTGTTTAAGCACAGACCTACCACCTCAACCATTCTTATCTTACATCCTCTTTTTTTCCTAACAAAGCCCCCTAATCCTTGTAAATTTTTTTCTTCCATATCCACATTTCACCTATATTATCACCTCAGGAGAGGCCATCAGCATTTGATTTCTTCTTTGGAGCTAGTTGAGGGCTAAAAGTGGGCAGGTGCTTCCTAACGTATAGAAAAAGGAGATGAGAGGCTAAGAATCTTCCATACAGACCCCTCTTTCTCCCTATCTTCAGCAGTTATTATGTTAAAAACGTTTAGTCTTTTGCCAACTCGAATTGTGTTCCCAAGAGCCCCCTCTGTCAACTTGACTTTAGCACACAGCAAGCCCTAGGAAATCCGGGGAGAAAGTGAGAGGTAGGGAAAGGAGAAAAACTCCTCACTCCACAGTGCACACCAAATTGCTCATGGTACCCTGAAAAGAAATAAGTGTTAAACAGTTCTGTGCTCTTCCTCTGCCTACAATCTCTTTACCTGGCTCACGGCCTTACAGATCTTGGCCCACCTTTTAAGACTTAGCTTAAGGATAAGGTTATGAAGCCACAAGTACAACTGGGCATTTTCTCCTTCATGTCCCCATTCTGGAACACATACTTCTATCATAGTTCTTGTTATCCTTTTTTTTACACTTACTTATGTTCTATTCTGACCCTCCAAGAATTCCCAATTAGCCACTTAAAAATGAAGTCCCTGTCAAATAGTAAGGACTCAAACACTTTGAATGCTGAATCTCTGTTATGATATAAGTTAAAATATGGAAAGAATTGGTGCTAGACCTACATAATGCGAGTCCCCAGTGAATACTATAGACCGGGGAAAAGAGAAAGAAAGAACATCTTTGAAAAAGGCAAGATATATAAACACTTTCAAGAAATGGTAAGAACAAGCTTTCCATTCATGCCTGAAGTACATGACCCATGTGCTGAATCACCCAGCAGCAAACCACCCAGTAGGTCTACCCCCTCTCCATTTAATCAATCACCAGCCTAGATTCCTTCTAGTCAACCAAAATGCTGCCTCATTTAAATTTAACCTCACAAATCCTATACTCATCTCGAACTCTACATAAACCCTGGCTTTTGCTTTCTTCAAAAGGCTGTACGTTCATTTGTAGCTCAGTCTTGGAACATAATAAATAAATTCAATTTTGTCTTTCATATTTGAGTCCCAAGTCTTACGATCTGTGAATCCCTTTAACAAATTACAGTCTTACTTGTTAGAGAGCTTGAAAACATACCCGAGCTATAATGAATGGGGTATATTTCAGGTAGGTGAAATAAAACATTTTCCACCTAATGTTACCAAGCCATTCCCACGTTTTCCATCCTGCCCCTCCAACCTCTCTCCAAGTATTTTGTTTTCTATTTTATCTTACCTGCTTCCTTTCTTTTCTAGTCAACAAAGCTCAAGGCCATTGTTTAAAGTTGTAATAATTACTTGAAAAAAGCTCTAGAGGAACTATACTTATCTGTCTTAGTATAGTCAGTTTTGCTACAACAAAACACCACATACCAAGTAATTTATAATGAACAGAAATGAATTGGTTCACAGTTCTGGAGGCTGGGAAGTTCAATATCAAGGTGCTAGCATCTGCTGAGGGCTTTCTTGCTGCATCATAACATGGTGAAGGCATCAAATGGTAGAAGGGCAAAGCGGGGCTAAAGAGAGTGAGGGGGCAAACTCACTCCCACGATAATGACATTAAACCATTCATGAGGTCAGAGCCTCCTTAACTCAAACACTTCTCAAAGGTTTTGCCTTGTAAACTTACCTGACAAATTTCAACATGAGTTTTGGAGAGGACAAACATTCAAAGCATAGCAGAGTATAAAATATGTTTAATCCAAAAATTAACCATTTTTTTGCCCTGTTGCCCAACAGCAGTAGGGAGAGACATCCCCAAAGTGTCTGAGCTGCATGAGATTTAACATTCAATGCAGAACTTCAAAAATAACTTTAATATAGATTTCCAGGCTGGGTGCGGTGGCTCAAGCCTGTAATCCCAGCACTTTGGGAGGCCGAGGCAGGCAGATCACAAGGTCAGAAGTTCAAGACCAGCCTGGCCAACATAGTGAAACCCCATCTCTACTAAAAATACAAAAAATTAGCTGGGTGTGGTGGTATGTGCCTGTAGTCCCCGCTACTCAGGAGGCTGAGGCAGGAGAATCGTGTGAACCCAGGAGGCAGAGGTTGCAGTGAGCCGAGATTGTGCCATTGCACTCCAACCTGGGCAACAGTGCGAGACACCATCTCAAAAAAAAAAAAAAAATATATATATATATATATATGTATATATATGTATATATTTCTAGCAGCAAATTAATATTTTCCTAAAGGATTTTTTATATGTCCATCTGTTATTTTAATTCCCGAAGAGATTTTACTGCTGGCATTTTTTAATACACTCCTCTTTGTAATTTCATTCAAGCTATTTATCTAATGTATCATCTTTTAAATTCTTCCTAAAAATTCAATGCAGAGTTACAAATACTACAAAAAAGTGACTAGGAAATTCCCACTATGTGCTTTGGCTCTGACATTTCACTTAAAGTGGGCTTGGCAGATGGAGAATTGAGGCTGGGGTCTGTTTTGACTAATTAATAGTAAAGTGGTTTGATTCTAGGAATCTTCCTGTTCTTCCTCTTTGCTGGCAATTAAGATAGCATAAGAAAGCACTAATACAGTGTCCCGCACACATAAGCCACTCAGTAAACATTCTGTGGAAAAAAAAAAAAAACCCTAACATAAGAGAAATAAATATTGTAGTAGCTGTTTGCCAAAAATTTCTCATTGTCTCCCTTCCCAGTATATAGTGGGACTCCACTTGCTTCTTTATGGTCGGGTGGGGTGAAAAGATGTAAGAGAAGTCACTTCTAAAGCATTTAATTATCCCCACAAGATTCCCCAGAGCCTTCTTATTCCTCTGAGTGATGACTGGCTATTTTATCAGACTGGATCTCTCAAAGATTATGATGACCAGAGCCTTCTAATGATCTGTGGGAACATGAAACATGAGCAAAAAATAAACCTTTGTTGTTTTAAGCCATGGAAAATATGAGATTATTTGCTACTGCAGTAAGACACAGCCTGTTTTTGACTGATTCAAGTGTAATATAACCCATCCAAGAATGTGAAGTTTATTCAGGCACCAAAAATACACGCTGACAGAGGGATTTCACTCAAAAGTAATATTTTTGGACACTGATAACATTATATTAAGCATAGATTATGTATCAATTAACATTCTTGGAATTAAGAAACTTCCAGTACAAATAGCATGAAAATGGCCTCTCATTTCACCTAATATCAGAATCTCAACTGATAAAATAAACTCTAACATTAGACGCCACAGTTAAAATAGCTGCACCCCTCACCATATACTTTATGATCCAGCCCCAGTAATTGAGGTTTGTCTGCTGACTCCAGCTCCTCCAGATGCTGTCACTAATAATTATAACCAGGTCTTTTTTTCCCCCTTTGCTCATTTCCTTCTTAGCATGAGTCAACAAACTTCGTTTTATGCTCTATAAGGGGCACTAGTCTTTCTTTTGTTCTTGGCAGAGGGAGGAATATTTTTAGAAAAGAACCTTACTATTTTCAGAGGGGGGTCATTATCCACCACAAAATGAGAAGAGTATGTGTCTGGGAGGACTGAGATACCCAGTTAGCAAATTCAAGCTCTCTGACTCCAAACCACAGAAGCCTCACCATTCTGATTAGCTTTGGTTGCAGAAGCAATTCAGGATGATACATCCCCTCTCTTACTACCTTGGCCTTTGTTTCTGGGGAACAAACAGGGTTTGGAGTTTTAGAGCTAAAATCACATTAACGTTGAGCATCATAAATCTTGACTTCAGCAAATGGGTACACCACCACAAATTTCCCAGAGATCAGCTAATCCTTGTGACAGAAATGTAGTGCAGTGTCTCTCTGCTGGGGATAGTGTGGACATTAAGTCTCGTTGGCTCCTTCAGCTCAGAAAACTCAATCTGTGCAATTGACACTGTGTGCCTGGACATCACCAGCATCTAGAAGAAAAGACTATGTAAATGTTCTGAACGGATTTGTAAATTAGACTCCTCAGACCCTTCCCTCTCCCCCTTTCCCTTCTTGTAATGGAAACACAGCACTCCAGAATCAAACTCTCCCTTTCCAGAGTTCGTTAACATTTTCTCAAAGAACAGTCCTACATAACTCCTAAATTGAGCTTGCCTTCTTTTACGCTGTGGCAAAGTGCAATTACAGTTTAAAGGGAATATTTATGTACATTAGTTAACGACATCATTGCAACTTACTGCTCACACATCAACACTTAATTAGTGTAAGCATAAATGACATAATTGCTACAAGGCATGCATTTACTAGTAATGTGAGGTAATTTCATGCACTATGCACATTTTAAATATCTACTTTACACTTTGTCAGACTGAATTTTTTTTAATCAATAAGAGATATTTACATGGATCAGAAAGTGGTCATCTTTCCTATTGTAGGCAAATATGCTGTTCTAACTTTGGAAGCATTTAGTATTCTACAGAATTTTTAAAGCCAGAAAGGTTAAAGATGGTCTACAGACTCTGCCCTTGGGGATAAAGAATCCCCTAATGCACGTGGCATCATCCACATTAATTATGTGTTGTCCTCTTTCATTTACAACTATTTGACATGCATTTAAAAATCTCCCCAGGCATTACAAATTCTACATTAGGGATATTGTTTTGAAATATAGTGGTCCTGTGAAATGGGGAGTTTCAAAGCACTCTCAAAAATTGCAAATACTCCTAAGAAATTATGAAGAATGACCTTTCTGAAATGCATATTTATTCAAATCCAATCCCTGCAGAGAATTCTGTAGTGGCTTTTCTTATGCTTCATGGTCAAGTCCAAACCTCAGCAAGAGACACAAGACCCTTACTGATCTGGCCCTTGTCCACTTTGTGGTCTCCTGAGACAGTGTGTCCAAATCATACCAAGGATTCTGGTCTCCTCTCACTGCCATGGCTCATGCCAGGCTCCCCTCCTGCCAGGGTCCCTGCTTTCCCTCTCATCTCTCTCCAGTCCTGCGTCCCTGATGTGAGCAACTCTCTCTCCTGGCATGGCATCAATCACATGGCCTAGTGTTACTCACAAATCTGTCTCCTCTACCGGATATTGGACGAATTGGATTTCACTTAGCTAATCTCCATGTAACTAAGGTGAATAAAATTTCCAACAGGGACAGAATGGCATACTGAATAAGAACCTGGGCTTGAGAGTAAACGGTCCTCAATTCAAGGTGACTTTAGCCAAAGGGCTTCTCTGTGCTTCAGGTTCCTCACATTTAAAAGGGGGAGAAGCGGCCTAAACACCAGCCTCATAGATTGGCGGGCCCTAGTTGGGCTTCCCAAGCTACAGACACGGATTTTTCTCCCTGGTTGTCTCTTTGATACACAAGCCCCATTCCTTCCCTGATTCTCATCAACAGGGCTGCCCTACCCCCATCACACACTCAGCTCTGATTCTCAGCATCCCAGCCCAGGTTAGCAACTTAGGCTCCCTACTGCTCTGCTACAAAGTATTAACACTGATGTCCACAGCAATGCTGTGTTTCAAAATTATCTTTTTCCCCCTCAGGAAAGCAATCAACACTTCACCTCAAGATAGCAGTAGCCTAGATTTAAATTCCAGCTCAGCCACTATGTAAGTTATTTAGCAATTATTTAATTGCCAACCATATACCACACAATGCATTAGCTGCTTAAGATGCCATGGTGAGTGAAAACCACCTCCTTGAGCAAAACTGGTTCCAGTTGGGTCTAGGGACAGGTTTGGAACCTGTTGGAGGCTGCTTCCTTATAGTGGAGAAAAGAATCTCCTATTTGTAAGCTTGTTATGAGGCTAAAAAGAGAAAACATACATGGGAATATATTACAAACTATGGAGTTTTATGCAAAATCAGGATTATACAATTCTTATCTCTTCTGAAGTCTCTTCCAATTCTAAGTCCAGATAACCTAACAGGGTGGGTCGCACAGCTAAATGCACTTTCCTCTACAGTTTCTATGCTGTATTCCCCATAAGTTCACATCTTCCTGCTTGACAGGCTGATGTGCTGTTGCCATCCCCCTCGATATTAGTCTAATTCTGATTTGAGGCTACAGAAGTGACAAGTGAAGCTATTTTAGAGGTGCCTGGGGTCGTAAAACATTTTGAAAATTATTTGGTTGTCGAAGTCATGTCAGAGTAGATCTGCATGAAGTTTCTGTGGTTCTGAAGTGAACATGAGGTGCCTTTCCGCTTGTGCTCTGGAGAGAGCTGCCATGATAAACGGAGCCATCATCAGTCACTTTGCTGCATGCCAGAGAGGCCTGCTCTGAGCCCACTAACCCAGTGCATTGGGGACTCACTCAGCAGCTCTGATGAAGCTTTGCAACCAAGAAGGCCTAGAAGGATCCAGGAATAGGAAACAAAAAGTCTCTTTCCATGAAAAGATACTTTTTTTAAGTGTCAGAAATGGATGTCTTTTTTCAACAGGAGAGATCCCAAAAGCACTGAGACGGATTATCCATCCCGTACTTTCTCAAAGAATGGTGTAGAAAAGTTGCAAAAATCAGAATTGAAATTCTCTGGCCATTTATTCTTTCCCACCAGTTTGTGCATTGAGCCTAGCTGCCCCCTTTAAATAATAATAATACATCCAGTGAACACGGGAGGAGACTGACAAAATATTGATCATTTTTCTTAGCAGCTTCAAACCAGTAGTTTTCAAACAGAGGAAGCCTAGAGGGGCCATGTATTAGTCCATCTTAACTCTACTGATACAGACATACCGGAAACTGGGCAATTTACAAAAAAGGTTTAATTGGACTTGCAGTTCCATGTAGCTAGGGAAGCCTCACAATCACGGCGGAAGGCAAGGAGGAGCAAGTCACGTCTTACATGGGTGGCAGCAGGCAAGGAGAGAGCTTGTGCAGGAAAACTACCTCTTATAGTAACGATCAGATCTCTTGAGACTTACTATGATGAGAACAGCACAGGAAAGACTTGCCCCCATGATTCAATTACCTCTCACCAGGTCCCTCCCACAACATGTGGGAATTCAAGATGAGATTTGGGTGGAGACACAGCCAAACCATATCAGGCCATGAAGGTGGGAGAAGAAGGTAAGGAGACTCTGGTGGGACCAGAGTCTGTACTACAAATGCCAGGCCCGAAAAGGTAACCCCTTCTTTACTTTTTATCTGTGTATATTGAGGGGGATCCAGACAATCATTTAGATCTAAAATATCTAAATGACTGAAAAAGACTCAGGTAATTTCTAAACATATTCCTCTAAACCTCACACAGTCAGCTGTAAATTCCTTTAGGATTAGAACCATACGTTATCCATTCCTGTATCCACCATGTCACATAATGCCTTGCACATAGAATATCCTCCATAGGCACTTGGTAAATGAATGAATAATGAACGAATAGTTATGAAAGAACCAGGAGAAAGAAAGAGGAAGGAGATACAGAAAAGAGGAGATAGAAATGGAAGAAGAGAGAAAAAGACAAATTGGGTAGAGAATAATTAACATATAAAATTAATAAATAAAAATCAGAAAATGTGGTGGTTTGTCAAGTGTAAGTGGCTTGACTGATAAAAAGCAATCAGGGATGCCTTGTTCTTTGTCAATGGAAGCGGAAATCATTGCCACACCCTCTCCCTGTACCCTGCTCCTTGTTTATCTTCCTCCCCCACCACAGACCCTACTGAACCATAGAGAAAACAGAAAGGCACATTTCAGACAAAAATCTCTCTTGCACATGACAAATTTATCTTAGTTTCCTTGTTCCTACAGCCTTCTATACGTAGATCTGTAGTTCTAGACTATGGTGGCTGAAATTATTCTGCCTATTTCTATCACCTAATTCTATGCACAAAGATCATTTGCACAGTAGAGCCGCTGTCATATAAGTCTACCCCGCTAATGCACTAGCAGGATTCAAAGTGGTGTATCAGACTCAGCAGCTTTCAAAGATTATTTTTAATGCACTGTAGCAAAGTAAGTGTCGATGGTGCTTTTGACCTTAATTATTTGTGATAACTAGCTTAATAGAACCACATGGTTCTCAGAGCTGAAAAAGCGTATTTCCACAAACCTCCATCAAGTAATAATTATTGATGATTCCAATCTCTTTCAATAAATATTTCAGAGCATCACAGAGTCATGGTGTCAGCAGCAGACATGCTCAAAATGTCCTCCCGGATATGGGCTATTATTTTTTTAGTTGCACAAAACAGAGCTTTTATCCTCCTCCTCAGTGGACTGATTTATTTATCTTGCAAGCCTGTGCTTAAAAATTATAATGTCTAAGAAATTATCACTCCATGTCTTCTTCCAAACAACTAAAACCACTCTTGCCCTCCATTGTGCTTCATTTATGTCAAATGATACCTGTCTACCACCTTCAAAAGCACTATCTCTAGGCCCCGGGGAATAGTTGTATTTGAATAATCCTTGATCTAAACCTGGTATAGACTAAAACTTCTTAAGATTAGTCTGGATAAGCATAAATGAACTCCAAAATACAGCCAGCCCATTGTTATATAACTCATGATCTCAGTTTGGCCTGTCATTAGGTTTCTAAATCACCATGTACAATTCACAATAAAATATTTGTCATGTTACTTACAGACAAAAACTGACATCCCTTTTCCTTTAAAATAACAATACCTAGTTTATCTAAAACTTGTGACTATCCTCTGACTTTTTAGTGATGAAAATAAACACAACAGAATTCAAAATATAAACTGTCAGTACAGGTCAAAGGCTCAGGCCAATTATATTTTACCTCTGAAAGATCTGGATGGGTTACACCCTTCAGTTCAGCTCTGCCATGCTTCAGTAAATGGTGGGCACTCAGTAATTCTCACTGACCTCATGTGCATTAAGAATTAAAAGCTTCAGCTAAGGTTTGGCAGAATATTAAGAATGGAAGCCAAGTTAAAAAAGCAGACACACAGAATCACATAGATCCTACCTCCAATTTGTCTCTCACAATTCCTCATTTCACTTCTATGTGCCTGATTCAGACATTATCTCTGGCCTGGCAATAGCTCTTGCTTTCAAGCAGCTTCTAGAACTGTAAACCAAGGCAAGGGCCATCTATGAAACAAATAAATATATACAGGATCAGATTGACATCAGACTTCTCATCAGCAACTCTGAACATTACAAGATAAAGATGTATTCAAAGTTCTACAAGATTCTTAACCTAAAATTCTACAGCCATACAAAATATCAATCAAGCCTGAGGATAAAATATACATATGTTTAGATATGCACAGCTTCAGAACATTGGTAACCCAAGTGCCATTTGTGAGGAGAATTTTGAGTATGTATTCCAGATAAGAAAATGAAGTTGAAACCAAAAAATGGAAGACATGGGATACCAAAAAAAAAGCTAACCCAGGAGGGCAAGATGCACTGATATTGTTCCTAACAATTCTTTGAACAGTAAGTGAATCAAGGCAGTGACCAGCCCCGGTTACAGCAGAAAGCTGAAGTGATCCTGAAAGGTTTTCTTTGGAAAGAAGTATACTTAGTGCAATAGATGAGCCTGAGTAATTTTAAGAATATGGTAAAAATTCATTTTTAACTTGACAACAATGGCAATAAAATAAATTACATAAGACAATAAATTGATTGATGAAGTCAATTAAAAAAACAAACAAACAGGAACTCTTCCTCCATCATGGTATTTTTTGGAGCCTCCAAAAAAAAAAAAAAAAAAAGAGGAAAGAAAGAAACAGGAGTAGCTACTTTTGAATGAGTCATTCTAAAATATTTTAAAAATGTAACAAAAGTGAACCCATTTGAGTTGGACATTAGGAATTTTCTTCCTCCAATTGTAAAAACATTGTAACACTGGATGTAAAAAGAAGAAAATGAATGCAATGCCTTTAATTGAATTTGTGGTAAACGGTATGTACATGGCCACAGAAACAAATGGTATTTATTGGTCTTTAGTCTTCACTTCAGTAAAAGCTAAAGACAAAGCACATAACAATTACAGTTTCAGAAAGGGAGAGAACTGTTTCACTGTGACTATGTAAAATTAAAGAAGAGTCACCAGAAATTAGGTAGTAGCAGGGCAAGAGAGGAAATAGGAGGAAGAGTAAGAATAGAAGCATAATCATGAGATGTATAAAAGTAACCACAAAGGGAACTAAAAATAGCAGAGTATAAAAGTGGTTGCCTTTGGGGAGTGAAACTGAGGTTGAAGAAGAATAAGCAGAAAAAATATGCTTTCCATTTCAAACTCCTCTTCACTTGGGAAAAGTAAATTAATATACATTATGTATTTCCTTTAAGATGATATAAGTAAAATATATTAACACAGACAAAAGAAACAGGAGTCCTTAAGTGAACAACGCATAGCACGATCAGAACTATTGGTTTCTAAGGGCACACATATGCTTGGGGAAAAACCTCAAAGGACAGATACAAAATCATTCATGGTTCTTACATTTAGAAAGTTAATTACTGGTGATTTTCGTTTTCTTCTTTACAACCTCCTTACATAGTACCTAATTCCTTTTTTGCAATGATCACATATCTTAAACACACAAAAAAGGTTTTACTATTGCAAATCAAATTTTAAAATGTGGCCAGAATCCTATAATTAGCCAATTATAAAATATCCATACACTTGCTTCTAAATTTTGTATATATTTTTAAATATTTTAAATATTAAGTGGGATTATGAATATATATTCTCTATAAAATGGGATCATACAGAACATGTCACAATTTTTTCAAGCTATTTACCATCCATTTATTTACAACATGTTCATGCCTCCATTATATCACTATTGCACAAACTGGCAGGCACATTCACTTGTCCAATATGTCTGTTTTCCCCCGAGTATAAGATCCTGAAGCTAAGAACTATGATTTAATAATTCCGTACCCCTAATCTTTTACCCAGGAAAGGCATGTAATACATACGTTGATCAACCTGACAATAAGTTTGACGTACTTCCCTCCTGTGCATGCAGTTACCAAACATTCCCTTTCAGAAATATTAATGTTCGTGCACACAACAAAAGTAGCAGGGCGGCCGGGCGCGGTAGCTCACGCCTGTAAGTAATCCCCACACTTTGGGAGGCTGAGACAGGCGGATCACGAGGCCAGGAGTTCGAGACCAGCCTGGCCAACATGGTGAAACCCCGTCTCTACTAAAAATACAAAAATTAGCTGGGCGTAGGGGTGGGTGACTGTGATCCCAGCTACTCATGAAACTGAGACAGGAGAATCGCTTGAACCAAGGAGGCAGAGGTTGCAGTGAGCCGAGATTATGCCATTGCACACCAGCCTGGGCAACAGGAGTGAAACTCCATGTCAAAAAAAAAAAAAAAAAGTAGCAGGGTGACTATGCCAATATGATGGCTTCCACATGGAGTTCTCAACAGCATAACTACTGATATTTTGACCTGGGTAATGCTTTATGGTAGTGGCTGCCCTCTGCGTGGTAGCAGGTTTAGCAGCATCCCCAGCATTGGGGCAGTAACATCATTCTCCCAGTTATAACAACTGAAATTGCAAGTTGTCTTCTGGAGGCCAAATTCACCCTGCTTGAGAACTACTAACATAGAGACTGTGTACATCATTCTTGAGCAGCCTCATCAGAGTTCACCTTCAAACCTTTCACTGGGTGAGGTATCCCCTTGCTTAGTCTAGATGTCACCTGGGTGGGATATCTGACCCATCCTTTACCTACTGTAGTCTTTTTTACGTGCAGCCACACTAACAGTTGTGGTTCTCTTTTGAACTATCCAGGAACAGTAGAAAATTGGAATGAGGGTGATCCTCATCTTTTTCATTAAAGATATGACATCAGCATTCCTTCTGCACTGCTACTGTACAATATTTCAGTAAAAATTTAGCCTTCAGAAATTCTAGGCAAGAAAGTGCCATCTCTATGTCTGTAGGCATCCCCAAAACTCCAGGGTATACATTTCAAAGTCTCCCAAGAACTCTTTTCCATGCACTGCTCCATACATTACACAGCTCAGCAAGGATTCAGGGAAGGAATGAGATGTCTTCTCCTCCTGCCTCTCTAAAAGTATATCCCAATCAGTATGAATGACTCTCAAAGCCCCTCTCTTGGCTTTAGGGTAAAAATTCACTCCTCTATTCTTCATGATGGGGAAAGAAAACAATCACTTTTCATCTTTGTATTAGTCTGTTTTCATGCTGCTGATAGAGACATACCCAAGACTAGGAAGAAAAAGAGGTTTAATTGGACCTACAGTTCCACATGGCTGGGGAGGCCTCAGAATCATGGCAGGAAGCAAAAGGCACTTTTTTTTTTTTTTTTTTTTTTTGGGAGACAGAGTCTCGCTCTGTTGCCCAGGCTGGAGTGCAGTGGTGCGATCTCGGCTCACTGCAAGCTCCGCCGCCTGGGTTCACGCCATTCTCCTGCCTCAGCCTCCCGAGTAGCTGGGACTACAGGCGCCTGCCACCACACCCAGCTTATTTTTTAGTATTTTTAGTAGAGACGGGGTTTCACTGTGTTGGCCAGGATGGTCTCGATCTCCTGACATTGTGATCTGCCCACCTTGGCCTCCCAAAGTGCTGGGATTACAGGTGTCAGCCACCATGCCCAGACAAAAGGCATTTCTTACATGGTGGCAGCAAGAGAAAATGAGGAGGATGCAAAAGCAGAAACCCCTAATAAAACCATCAGATCTCATGAGACTTACTCACTATCAGGAGAACAGTGTGGGGGAAACGGACCCCATAATTCAAATTATCTCCCACTGGGTCCCTCCTGCAACATGTGGGAATTATGGGAGTAAAACGCAAGATGAGATTTGGGTTGGGACACAGCCAAACCATATCATTTTGCCCCTGGCCCCTCCAAATCTCATGTCCTCACATTTCAAAACCAATCATGCCTTCCCAGCTGTCCCCCAAAGTCTTAACTCATTTCAGCATTAACCCAAAAGTCCACAGTCCAAAGTCTCATCTGAGACAAGGCAAGTCTCTTCCACCTATGAGCCTGTAAAATCAAAAGTAAGCTAGTTACTTCCTGGATGCAATGGAGGTACAGGTAAATATAGCCATTCCAAATTGGAGAAATTGGCCACAACAAAGGGGTTACAGGGCCCATGCAAGTCTGAAATCCAGTGGGGCAAATTCTAAAGCTCCAAAATGATCTCCTTTGACTCCATGTCTCACATCCAAGTCACACTGATGCAAGAGGTGGGTTCCCATAGTCTTGGGCAGCTCCACCCTGTGGTTTTGCAGGGTACAGCCCCCCTCCCAACTGCTTTCACAGGCTGGCGTTGAGTGTCCATGGCTTTTCCAGGCACACGGTGCAAGCTTGTCGGCAGATCTACCATTCTGGGTTCTGGAGGATGGTGGCCCTCTTCTCACAGCTCCACTAGGTGGTGCCCTAGCAGGGACTCTGTGTGGTGGCTCCAATCCCACATTTCCCTTCCGTACTACCCTGGCAGAGGTTCCCCATGAGGCCCCCACCCTTGCAACAAACTATTGCCTGGGCATCCAGGTGTTTCCATACATCTCCTGAAATACAGGTGGAGGTTCCCAAACCTCAATTCTTGACTTCTGCGCACCCCTAGGCTCAACTTCATGTGCAAGCTGCCAAGGTTTGGGGCTTGCATCCTCTGAAACCATGGGACAAGCTGTACCTTGGCCCCTTTTAGTAACAGCTACAGTGGCTGGGATGCAGGGCATCAAGTCCCTAGGCTGCACACAGCATGGGGACCTTGGGCCTTGCCTGCAAAACCATTTTCTCCTCCTAGGTTTTTGGGTCTGTGATGGGAAGGGCTGCCATGAAGACCTCTGACATGCCCTGGAGACATTTTCCCCATTGTCTTGGGGATTAACATGGGGCTCCTGTTACTTATACAAATTTCTGCAGCTGGCTTGAATTTCTCCTCAAAAAATGGGTTTTTCTTTTCTACTGCATCATTACGCTGCAAATTTTCTGAACTTTTATGCTGTTTCCCTTTTAAAACAAAATGCTTTTAACAGCACCCAAGTCACATTTTGGATGCTTTGCTGTTTAGAAATTTCTTCTGCCAGATACCCTAAATCATCTCTCTCAAATTCAAAGTTCCACAAATCTCTAGGGCAGGGGCAAAATGCACCAGCCTCTTTGCTAAAGCCTTATAAGAGTCATCTTTGCTCCAGTTTCCAACAAGTTCCTCATTTCCATCTGACACCACCTCAGCCTGGACCTTATTGTTCATATCACTATCAGCATTTTGGTCAAAGACATTCAACAAGTCTCTAGGAAGTTCGAAACTTTCTCACATTTTCCCGTCTTCTCAGCCCTCCAAACTGTTCCAATCTCTGCCTGATACCCAGTTCCAAAGTCGCTTCCACATTTTCGGGTATCTTTTCAGCGCCCCACTCTACTGGTACCAGTTTACCTTATTGGCCTGTTTTCACACTGCTGATAAAGACATACTGGAGTCTGGGAAGAAAAAGATTTAATTGGACTTACAGTTCCACATGGCAAGGGAGGCCTCAGAATCATGGTGGGAGGTGAAAGAAACTTCTTACGTGGTGACAGCAAGAGAAAAATGAGGATACAAAAGCGGAAACCCCTGATAAAACCATCAGATCTCTTGAGACTTATTCACTACCATGAGAACAGTATGGGGGAAACCTCTGCCATGATTCAAAGTATCTCCCACCGGGTCCCTCCCACAACAGGAGGGAATTATGGGAGCACAATTCAAGATGAGATTTGGGTGGGGACACAGAGCCAAACCATATAAAGCTTGAATATAATACTTCTTAGAAGACTGCCAATCTCAGTAGTTATCTCCCTTTCCCAGTAATTATGGGCCAAATGGTATCCTTAAAAAATTTATATATTAAAGTTTGAATGTGATTGCATGCAGAGAAAGGGTCTTTAAACAGGTAAGTTAAAATCACATCATTAAAGTAGACATCGTAGAGTGGATCTTAACCCAGTAAGACTTGTGTCCTTATAATAAGAGGAGATTAGAATACAGACAAATACAGAGGGAAGTTCATGTGTTCAAGCTAAGTCAAAGGGAGGTGGCAACCTACAATTCAAGGAGAAAAACCTCAGAGGAAACCCAAACTGCTGATACCTCAAACTCAAACTTGCGACCTTTAGAACCATGAGAAAATAACTTCTATTGTATAAGCCACACAGTCTGTGGTACTTTGTTACAGCAGTTCTAGCAAACTAATACACACCAGTCTTGGGGTGGGGGAATGGTTGAATGAGAAGGGCAGGTTGTGTCTCTGCTTATTAAGCCCTAGAGAGGTATCTAGCCTCGGTTTTTTGTCGCTTCATTTAAATAAGGAACACTTGGACCTTCTTCAACTCTGAGATCTTATCACCAATTCTGGAGCAATAGAAAAAGAAAATTCCGACTTATTGTCATGTTATATATGCGTCTAGTGGGATTTTAACAGCATCCAAAAGGAAAGCCAAATTTTCAGCAATGCAAAGAGAAAAATGGCTCCTTTGTTGTCCATTGCTGCTATACATCTCATAAACACCACTTAAGGCAATAGCACCTTGCCTATATGAACCTGGGTGAAGGTTCTATGATGCAGTGACATGTCTGCTCAGTGATTTCATGGACGATATACCATAAACATGGCTGACTTGTGAAATTATCTCTTTGCATTGCTGGCTAGAAAATTGTTTTCAAACACTGGTCAAGGTCTGGATGGCATCCTTCTAAGTAGACATAAATCACTACCTTGAGTGCTCTGAACAATACTGAGACAGGAAATGATCTTGGCAGTCACTTAACCCAATCCTTCATCTGATGTTTCAGTGACTTCTTTCTGCCTATGGCCATGTTAGGTTATACATAAAGCAGAATGCTTGATAAATATAACCAGACTAGGATTCCATATACAGAAGTCCTATCCAGAGAGTGAATGAAGCCTTATGCATTTTCACACCTAAAACATTGTTTCTAAAGCTGGTCATCAAGATTCTTGGTTGAATAAGAAAACATTATCTACATTTATACTCTACTCCCTCAACACTTTACCATTCTACACCCACTGTAAGACTGGGGTCCACTAGTGAGTAGCATTTAGAGTAAAAAGAAGACACCACAAGAATTTGATAGTCTATTCGTAACCTAAGAAAAGCAGTTTGTTGAATATCTGACCTTGGGCAAGTCCATTAACCACTTTTGACTTTTTGTTTCTTCATCTTAAAACAAGAGGATAAAGAGTAAAGTAAAAAAAAAAAGTAAATAGCCATGAATGTTGCTTTCAGTTGTTAAATTCCCCAAATCTCACAATATGTGGTGTGTGTGTGTGTGTGTGTGTGTGTATTTTTTTTTCCCAAAACCCTTCATCCTATACTATTCTGCTCATCTAATTTTGCCTACATCCTTCTGCTAAACTTCTTCTAGCTATATTACCTAAGTATCTATACCCACAAGCCTTTCCACCCTGGGTGATGTTATCTCTGTGAAGCATCCTCGAAACTACAACTAACTTTCATAAAGACTGGAAAGAAATGCTAAAGGGGTGAGGCAGTGTGTTATTTTTCTATCACTATCATAGCAAATTAATCCACAGAGTGACTAAAAACACAAATTCATTATCTCACAGTTCTGTAGGTCAGAAGTTGAGGTTGGCTCAACTGGTCTCTCTGACCTAGGTTTCACATCTTCAGATGTGAAAATCTAGAGGTTGGCCTTATCAGGAGGCTCTGGAAAGAATTTGCTTTCCAGCTCATTCAGATTGTTGGAAGTTTCCTGTTTCTTGTGATTCTAGGATTAGGGTCCTATCAGCTGGAGTCATCCTTAGCTCCTAGAGAGCTCTCTACAGTTCTTGCACCCTGATCCCTGTATCTCAAAGCCAACAGCAGCTGGTTGAATCCTTCTCATGCTTGAAAACTCTGACTTCAACTTCTGCTGAATCTCCTGTTTCCAGCCAGAGAAAGTTCTCCGCTTTTCAAGGTTCATGTTAGAATGAGTCCATGGGGATAATCCAAGATAGTCCCTTCTCTCAAAGTCCTTAATTACAACTGCAAAGTCCTTGAGACTCAATCTATTCACAGGTTCCAAGCATTAAGACATGGACATTTTGCAGGCAGGGGGCATTATTCTGCCCACCCGGGGTGATGAGAGGAGAAAAGGAACTGGTGGTACAGAAACAATTTTCTCTGTAGTGCTGGTCTGTCCAGGGGCTTTTCTTTTCTCTAATTCAACCAGACACTTATAACAGTAACTCACATTTAATGTACATAATTTTACATGTGCAGCACTTTATTCATGTAGGCAAACCTTATTTTATTGTGCTTTGCTTTATTGAGCTTTACAGATATTGCATTTTTTACAAATTGAAGGGTTGTGGCAACCCTGCATCAAGTAAATGTATCTGTGCCATTTTTCCAACAGCATGTGCTCACTTCACATCTCTGTGTCACATTTTTTAGCAATAAAGTATTCTTTAATTAAGGTATGTACTTTTTAAAGACATACTGCTATTGTACACTTAACAGACTATACTATAGTGTAAATGTAACTTTTATATGCACTGGAAAACCAAAAAACTCATGTGACTCACTTTATTGTGATTCTTTATTGCAGTGGTCTGGAACTGAACTCACAGTATCTCCAACGTATGCCTGTATTTAAATGCATTCCTATTTTTAATCCCCACAAAATCAAATGCAGCAAATCTATTGTTTTCCCCATTTTATATTTGAGGCAGCTGAGGCTCACAACCTTCTCCACACAACAAGTAAATACCTTCTCCACATAACAAGTAAAAGAGTCAAGATTTCAACCCAGTTTCTGTGACTTCAGAGCCCACACTCTCAACATTGTATGTCAGAGAAGTCAGAGGTTCTCAGAGATCCCGTGACTTCGCCAAGATGGTTAATGAAAGTGTTGGAAAATAAATCAGATCTACACTAGCCTTGGCACAACCTGCTCCTCCATCTCACACGTGCTTCATGCCCTTCCGTCAGGTTGCTCCTGTCACACACTGTTATTTTTTGTTTTGTTTTTTTGTTGTTGTTGTTGTTGTTTTTAGACAGAGTCTCGCTCTGTCACCCAGGCTAGAGTGCAGTGGCGTGATCTCAGCTCACTGCAACCTTCACCTCCTGGGTTCAAGCAATTTTCCTGTCTCAACCTCCTAAGTAGCTGGGATTATAGGCACCCACCATCACACCTGGCTAATTTTTGTATTTTTAGCAGAGACAGGGTTTCATCATATTAGTCAGGCTGGTCTTGAACTACTGACCTCAGGTGATTCATCTACCTCGGCCTCCCAAAGTGCTGTGATTACAGGCATGAGCCACCATGCCCGGCCACACATTTGTTCTTATGTCACTAATTTTTATTACCCTATTCTCCCCATGACTGAAAGTACAGCTTCTTTTGTGGTCATAGTTTTGGGAATAGTGAGACATTTAAAAAATACTCTAAATGGGCTGGGTGCATTGGCTTATGCCTATAATCCCAGCACTTTGGGAGGCCAAGGTGGGCGGATCACTTGAGGTCAGGAGTTCGAGATCAGCCTGGCCAACATGGTGAAACCCTGTCGCTACTAAAGATACAAAAATTAGCTGGGTGTGGTGACACACACCTGTAGTCCCAGCTACTTGGGATGGTGAGACAGGAGAATCGCTTGAACCCAGGAGGCGGAGGTTGCAGTGAGCCGAGATCGCACCATTGCACTTTAGCCTGGGCATCACAGGGAGATTCTGTCTCAAAAAAAAAAAATTACTCTAAATGTCACACATAATGCTAAAATATAAACTTGATAGAACTAGTTTTTGGAGCTTGGACTCCAGTAATTACCTTCCAGCATAGTAGGCAGAAAAGATAGTAGCTACTCTGACCAAAAGGAAATGGAAGGATAGCACACCACCAAGATTTTGTACAAATGACAAGAGCTTATAATATTTGCTCTTGTTTCATTTGTACACACTTGCTCAAGCTTATAAACAGGGAAGTGGTCCTAAAACTGTTGTGGCCCACTGTACAATTGATCACACACACTACTGAGGATGTATTCATGTCCCTAGGGCTGAATATTCATTTGAACATAATATAGAGAGTAATTAATAAGCTCTTTCCCTAACTCATTGGTAAGGCATTTTGAAATTTTACTGAAGTTTCTTTCAAGGGTGGATGTTGACATCCTGGCCAATGCTGTGAAGAGCACTATTTTTAAACACATTCAGCAAATCAGGAAGTTGTTGGGTAAGCCTCATTTATTCCATATTATTAAGGAATTGGGCATTGGTATAAATTAATTGTTCATGATTATTCCTACGTAGCCAATCAGTTAATGATAATTTTTACATACACGTTCTCATTTAATCACCAAAGCAGCCCATACTAGATGAGTGTTTTAATACCCAATATGCACATGACACACTATGGCCTAGAAAACATAAGTAGCTTATCCAAAATTAGACAACTAGGAAGAGGCAAAATTCAGGATTCCAAACCATATCAGTCTGATGCCAAAGCCCCTACTCCCTTTCCCTGCTCCTGAATCAGTAGCATCTCAAGAGCCAAAATTTTTAAGCAAAGTTTGGTATTTCTTCTAAACTGTTCTCAGATTCCTGTCTTTTGAAGCAACAGTTCTTTCACATAATTTAACAATTATTTTAAGTAATGGATCTAAAGATTTTGATGATGGCTCTTTTGTTTACTTCCAGGTTAGAAATGTCTTCTGGATAGCAGAACTTCTGGGAAATCTGACAGCTTGATAATATGGGATGTTTCTCTATATTAAAAGTTTTAAACATTTTCCTACTTTTTAAATCACTTTTGTTTATATTCCCCCTCCACCTAGTCTTTTCAAAATGTCTTGTCATCTTTCGTTTTAATTTGCAAAATAGAGCTATTAGTCACTACAACTAAACATGCCAGCAAGTCATGCTGAGAAATTTAAAGAAGAAATATGGTTTAGCCAACCTTTAACTTCTCCAAAAAAGGAAGGCTTGACAAAGTACAATTATAGAATGTTGGCATCATGGCTCTATTATATCTAGGGTGAAGGCACTGGAATAAGAATTAAAATAATATTATACTTCAAATTAGCTATGCAAGCTAGAACTGATAGACTTGTTTAAAATATAATTACCTGAGAAGTTCTGTTTATCCAAATCCATACATAAATGTGTAAGTATTCTGATTTCATAACGGAATCTATTTCACAAGTCTTAAATATCTCATCTTGCCACTAAAATAATTTTTAAAAGTAGAAAAATATAAAGATCTCAAGATCACATCAAAATTAAAACAGCCTCCAACTATTGCCACAATCTTAGAAGAAATCCCACTTACTACTCAGATGAATTGAAAATCTTCCCTGGGGCCTGAGCTAGGCTGTGCTGGTGGGAGTTGAGCAGGCTGACCAGTCCTAAAGATGTTGGGCCATTGGAGGGGGTTTTATTTGTTCCCCACTCTCTTCTGCTTAGTTAGATGCTCAAGATTCAGTTGAACCAGGAAATAGATGGCTATTTGCCATTCTGTTGCACAATGACAGGTTTTAAGGTGGCTGGTGTCCTGTTATTCCTCCCCTAATCAACACCAGGCTCTTCTGTAATTCTGCCACCTTGCGCCTATAATTTCTCTTACTCAACAAGATGGAAGTTGAGGTAAATCAGAAGACTGGGCTCAAAAAAAGAGAAGAGAAAAGGTATGATCTCAGAAGCAGACCGGAGTATCCCCCGCCCTCCAACTTCAAGGGCTGGGGTCAGATAAGGAGCAACAGAGGACAACAAAACCTATTCCTTGCTGGGCAAAGGGAAGGAGACAATATCTGAAGGAGATAAGATCTGAGAGTGAACTAGAGACAGTTTTTAACCAGGGTTCACTCTCCAAGATTCTACCCAGTGGTGGAAAACGAACTTTGAGAATCCTTAATAAACAAAACATAAATCCACTGTATATTTTTGCCCATGAAATTGGGACTTTTCAATCAACTGGTCATTCGTGCCAGAATTGCATACCCCCCATTCACCATTTTGAGGTGACCCCTAATCTAGTGCCCATTGCTTTGATGTTGTCATTTCAAAAAAGTTATATAAATAGAATCATGTAGTATATAACCTTTTGAGACTGGCTTTTTTCATCCAGCATAATCCACCTGGATATCCATCAAGTTTTATGTATCAGTAGTTTGCTACTTCTTATTGCTAAATATTATTCCATGGTATGGGTATATATCAATTTGTTTAACCATTCACCCATTGACCAAGGGCCAACTTTAAAAACACAGTAGGGTTTTTGAACTTGCCTACCTCATGAAAAAAGATCTATCAACTTACCTAAAGAGATTTGCTTTGGTTATGTATAAGGAAAAATAAATTCACCTGAAGTTTGAGAAAATGGAAGGAATTAGCAATTGTTAAGTACTTATTAAATGGTTGACATTTAGTTTTCAAAGTAAGCCTAGACTAGATATTATATTCATTTTACCAGTAATAAAAGCAAGGTTCAGAATGGCTAAATACATTCCCACAATTACTAGGTAGTTGATGTATGATTAAACCAAAGTCTTTCCCAATCAAATTCTATAGACTCTGAACTCCACTACGCCACACTGTGCTATGGAAGAGAGAAACCGATGGGCCACCATGAATTAAGAAATAGCACTCATCCCAGAAGAACAGTGAAATAAGCCACAAGTGAATTGAGAGAATAAAAATTTGATTGCTGCCTTTCCAGTTTATTTTGATGACAATGGCTTTTTCAAATTTGAATTCTTTTACTTAATATTCCCGTAACTCAGAACTATAAACCAAAAATTCTCTTACTTCCAACAAAAACAACAGGGAAAAAAATGAATTAAAAAGCTAGAATCAATTGGTGGTATTTGTGGCAAATACAGTATGGCAAAGAATTCTCTGATAAGGGTGCTCCCATAAGGAAGGAAGTGCTTGCAGATGAAATAGTCCCCCTTCAGTTCCTCCCACATGCTGACATGGCACTGCTCCATAATTTTTTTTCACAGCTTTCAGATGAGTCGTTAGAACCACTACCTCTCTTGTCAAGCTGGTTTCAGATGACACCAGAGCACGGCGCTGGGGTCGCAGGGCTGTCCCCTGCTGGCTTGTGCATGGCCACACCCCCACGCACCTTGCAGAAGACAGTGTCTTGCTTACTAGACAGAGATAAATCCCTCTTTGGCACACTCATCACACACTAAGCCAAACTCATCTCCTTCCTCCTCTTCTTTCCTCCCTCACTCTGGTTATTTATAGAGATCACAGGTGAATCGAGGGAAATTATTACAGCGCAATGACTGCTGAAAGGCTAGAAGCTAAAGAAGATGGATTATCATGGCTCTGACATGATTTGTATGGATTTCCAAAATTAAGCTGTTCGCTTAGAGTGACCACCCTCCTCCCGCCCCAGGCTTTGCAGCCACCCTGGTGATAACCTTCATCTGTGCTTGTGAGCCCAGAAAGCTGAGCACGTTTCCCATTACCTTTCAAGCGAGTGTGTAGGGTTCTTCTGGCCCCTCAGTAATAGCAGGGCTGCTGGGGAACAGAGTGATAAACACCTACTGAGAGGGATGTAGCGTGAAAAGATCTCATCACCTGCCATTAGCTCCCCAATGAATAATGCAGCATTTTCCATGGCAGGTGTCAGGGGTGGGGAGGGAGAATTGCTCCCGTGAATGCTCTGGTGAGCACATCAGCGCAATGTAAGAGGTGAAAGCAACAGATGCATGTGACAAAATTACACAAGCTATTGTGTTTTAAAAGAAAGAGGAACTTTTACTTCCCATATACCTGGCAGGTTTTCTTTCTTTCTTTTTTTTTTTTTTCTCTACCTTTACAGTCAGGACATGGCAAATGCTGCTTTCTCGTCAACTCTTACCATTTTCATCTGGACCCTTTGCAAAAGGATAGTTTCTCTTTGATTTTGTTGCTCACCTAACAGCGTATTTCTCCCTCTGCTTCTAGTTTTTCTCTGGCTTGTCTATCTTGGACTAGATGTGTATATTGGGATTTTTTGTATTTTTATTAATGTTTATAGGCTTGGGTTAAATAGAAATGCTAAAAAAAGAACAAATAATTTATGTGTGCATTTGTACACACATTTGCATGCACACACGTGAAAGTTGCAATTTTTGGCCAAAAGAATGGGTAGCTAATAGACATGTTGCCTTTGAGAACCTGCCTGAAGACAATATTAGACCAGCAGAATCTAAGGCAAAAATGGGATCCATTATCGGTTATTCCAGCACACAAATTGATTTGTCCTGAGAGCCACAAATGGAAGTGATTTGTAGCCTCAGTTCACAATTTGAGAAAAACTTCTGATGAGCTTTAGGTCAACTTCCCTCAAAATTGGCACAATTTCCGAGCACTTACAGGTAGATTTTGCATTTTGGGGGCAGTTGCCATATAACTTCCAAGGTAGCCAGACATGAGAATTAAATTCTAGGACTACTTAGCCACCACCCTCTCCCATAAATCCCGCATTTTCTGAGGCTAATATGTAGAATTATTTTGTTGTATTAAGCTTAACCATTGAAGGCGATGAAGAAAATAAAGACAGAAATAGTTCTGTGTTTAAAATTAGGCTAGGGAATTTTAAAATGTGGTACACACTACTACCACAAATAGTTACTGAATAAGACTGGCAGTGGCTTACTCCCTACACCTAATTCTGGACCTGCCCCATCAGTGCAGCAAATAAAGTTCCCATCCTTTCTCCACATCATGAGGGATAAGAAAGAGCTGGACCAGATTAAAGCAACTTGATAACTTAAAACAAAGCTTGCTTTTGACTACTGATGCCCTTTCCCCATCACTTTGGCCATTATTTTTTGGAACAAGTATATTGACAAGGGTAAGAGTGGTTAGACAGTTGACAGGACAAAAATGAAAGTGTCCCAGAGAAGCAGGGACATATAACCAACATATCACCTCTTTTACCTTGTTATCCCAAGAGACCAAGACCCATATATTGCCTTCAGCTGTTCAATAATATTCTAGTTCAGTCTTACTCTCCTCCAAAATATACAGATTGACATATTACCAATAGTTCCTTACTTCCTCAAAATTCCCAGCCCTTTATTAGACAAGCTATGAGAATCCATTCATTAATTCAACAATATCCATTAAGCACATATAATGTGTCACATAATGCAGCTAAGTGTCAGAGCTGTCATGTCCCTGCCCAAAGAAGAAGTACATGCTAACAGAGGAAACAGGTAATAAATAAATAACCAAAAAAAAAACAAGTACTTAAGTATTGTGAAAATTTCCATAAAGGAAATAAAACAGCCAGCAAGATGATGTGCTAAACAGTAACCAAGAAAGGGGGCTACATTTGTGAAGTTAGTTACAGAAGACCATGTAGAAGTGGGCACTTACATAGACAGTAAAGAAAATAATGCCAGCTGCATTAGTCCAGGTCCTCTGAGAAGCAGATGCCAAGATGGGATTAAAGATGCAAGGATTTTATTGGAGAAAATGCCTGAGATGAAAGGAAAGAGGAAGGGAGCAGGGGAAAGCTGAGATTGTCATCATACCACAATGCAAGTTTGACCACAGGTGAAGGAGAGAGGGAGAGAAGGTTGGTGAGAAGAGTCCTGGTCTGCCATGAAATCTAAGAAAGTTTCAGGAGAGCTGTCATGGATTCCTGGAGCCAAAGTCAGCAGGCAAAGTAGCCCTACATCTCCCAGGAATGCAGCTGTCCTAGTATCCCCACCACACTTGACTGTTGGTGGTGAGCAGCACAGAGAGGCATGACCTCGAGACAGAATTGGTGACAGGCTTCAGAGCACAGCATCCGGGGCCCCACACCCTCAGATGATCTGTGAGGCTCGTTCTCATGGCTGCTATAACAACTATGTGAAGGGCAGGAGGAAGACAATTCCAGGGAGAGGGAAAAGCAAGGGTAACTGCCTGGGGGTCAAAAACTCCTGGAATAAATGAAAGGAGTTTGGGCAGATTTGACAACAGTAGTAAAGTACACGAGGGCCAGATTACACGGGGGTTTATAAATTAAAGAAATAATAGGCTGGGTGCGGTGGCTCAGGCCTGTAATCCCAGCACTTTGGGAGGCTGAGGCGGGCAGATCACGAGGTCAGGAGATCGAGACCGTACTGGCTAACACGGTGAAACCCCACCTCTACTAAAAATACAAAAAATTAGCTAGGCATGGTGGCGAGCACCTGTAGTCCCAGCTACTCAGGAGGCTGAGGCAGGAGAACGGCATGAACCCAGGAGGCAGAGCTTGCAGTGAGCCGAGATCGTATCACTGCACTCCAGCCTGGGCGACAGAGTGAGACTCCATCTCAAAAATAAAAATAAATAAAAAAAGAAAAATAATAACGGTTTAGTTATTAAGTGTACACCATTGGCTAGGCATTGCTCTAGCTGTTTTACATAAACTGTTCATTTTCCATATTTTTATAAGGTGCTATTATTATCCTAATTCTACAAGTAAGCAAAGTGAAACCAGAAAGGTGAAGAAATTCACTCAAGGTTAGATTAGTTTGTAAGTGACAGAGCTGAGATACAAACACACAGCCTACTCGCAACCAGCAGGCTTACATCATCTCTAATAAGGATTTTGAATTTTATCCTAAGAAAAATAGGAAGACACTGAAGCGGCATAAACAGAATTAATTAATATAGACTAACATGTGGTTCCAGGGCATCTGCTTATCCTCTTAGCCATTTGAGAATCTTTTTACATAAAACTAAAATAATTGCTTATACTTTGAACAAAATATGCAACCATGGAAGCTGTTATGATACGTTAACCCATTTACAGAACGACCCCAAAGGCTGTCGGTTTTGCACAGGCTGAAAACAGGGGAAGATTCTGCAGCAGGTCCAGCATTCCACGTAGGCTGCTCTACCATATGGGCCATACTAGATCTTTGAGGTCCCTGTGACAGATTGGAAGACTAGATGATGCTTTTGGAAGGTTCCTAAGTCAGGCCTATAGATGATTCACACACAGATCTTCAGGATTTTGGAGCAAAGCCATGTCATCCTCTGCAGATTACTACTCTTCTGAGAAAGAGCTTTTGGCTTGCTACTGGGCTCAGCAGAGATTATGCAAACTGAGCTGCTCATCATGAACAGGGTGGTGTTGTTTGATCCACAAAGCCATAAAGTTATATGCACACAGCAGAGCTATCATCAAATGTAAGTGGCATATACAAGATGAAACTTGGGCAGGTCCTGAAGGAAAAGCAAGTTGCAAGAGGAAGCAGTCTAAATGATCATACTTTTATGATCCCTACTTCTTTTTTTTTTTTTTTTTTTTTTTTTGAGGCAGGGGCTTGTTCTGTCACCCAGGCTGGAGTGCAGGTTCAGTGGCATGATCATGGCTCACTGCAGCCTTGACTTCTCGGGCTCAAGCAATCCTCCCACCTCAGCTTCCTGAGTAGCTGGGACTATAGGCACGCACGACCATGCCCAACTAATTTTTTGTGTATTTTGTAGAAATCAGGTTGTGCCACATTGCCCAGGCTGGTCTCAAACGCCTGTGCTTGAGTGATCCACCCACCTCACCCTCCCAAAGTGTTGGACCTACTCTTGATTCATTGCCTCTTCCTTAACACAGACCTTTGACCTCATGGGGAGTTCTTCATGACCAGTTAATAGATGGTTTACAGAGAGTTTGCATGATATGCCAGCAATATCCAGAAGTGGATGACTACAGCATTACAGCCCCTCTTGGGTTTGCCCCTAAAGGACAGTGGTGAAGAAAAAGCTTTCCATTGGGCAGAACTTCAGTGTAGCTGGTTGTTCACTTTGTCTAAAAGGAGAGACGTCCAGAGGCATAGGTCCGCAATGATTTATGGGCTATAGCTAACAAGTTGGCTCATGGCCAAGGGCTTATAAAGAACACAGTTGGAAAACTAATGACAAGGAGATCTAAGGAAGAGATATACTGAATGATGGCCCCACAAAGACATCTTAACCCCTGGAACCTGGAAGTGTTACCTTACATGGCAAAAGAAACTACAGATGTGATTCAGGTTAGGAATTTGATATTGGGAGATTATGGTGGATTATCTGGGTGGGCCCAACCTAATCTCATTGTTTCTTAAAAGTGTAGAACCTCTCCAGGGCCAGGTCAGGGTCTGAGTCAGAGGGAGAAGTGACTATGGAGGAATGGTCAGAGAGATTGCACATAGCTGGTCTTTGAAGATCAAGAAAGGGTACCATAAACCAAAGAAATGAGCAACCTCTAGAAGCTAAAAAAGGCAAGGTAATCGATTCTCCCCAGGGCCTCCAGAAAGAAATGCAGACCTACCAGCACTCTTATTTTAACCCAGGGAGACCTGTTTCAGACTTCTGGCCGACCTGTAAGACAATTAATACCACCATCATAGTATTCTATACAGAACAGTTTTTGAGCAAGAACTCATTTCACAGCAAATGAAATGTGACAATGGAACCATACTCATGGAATTCACTGGTCTTATCATGCTCCTCATTACTCGAAAGCAGCTGGCTGGATAGAAAATGGAATAACCTTTTGAATACTCAGTTATAGTGCCAGGTAGGTGACAACACTTTGAGAGATGGGGGCAATCCTCCAGGATCCAGTATGTGCTCCAAATCAGTGTTCAATATATGGTGCTATTTCTTCCATAGTCAGAATTCCCAGACATGGAAAATGGGAAAGGCTTATCTCACTGTTATACCTAATGACCCACTAGCAAAATTGTTGCTTCCCGTTCCTTTGAATTAAGGTTCTGATGCTCTAGAAGTCTTAGCTTCCAAGGAATAAATGCTTCCACAGGGGACATAAGAGTAATTCCATTGAGCTGAAAGTTGAGCCTGTCACCCAGCCACTTTGAGAGCTCATGCCAGTGGAATAACAGGGCAAATATCAAAGGGCTATTAGTTGAAGAAATTGATTGTCACTCTCAAGGAAAAATTAAGTTGCTACTGAAAAACAAGAGTGTGCTTTTAGTACTTCAATGTCCTGTGATTAAAGTCAATGCTTGGATATACATATGCAAAGAAAGGGCGCAATACAATGTTTAAAACTCAGAAAACTAACCATTTGATAAGTCTATTATCAAATAATCTCTTTGACTGCCTTCTCCACTAAGTAAAATATTTAGAGGTTGCTTTTTTTAAAAAGTAATAGGTGATCAAAAGAAGTTAAATACACTAATAAAAACACAATTTAGGCCTCTTTTATGTAATTACCCCCAATTAAGTCCAATGTAAACAATAAGCTTTCTCAATTCAGAAAAACAATCCAGTGAAATTACTCATAAATCTGTACTGCATGCATCTAAGGTTGAACAACGTCTTCCTTCATACCTCTCAGGAGCAGAAACAATATGTTAATGGAATTGGTTAGGATTCTGGTAAAAAATGTGCCTAATGGTCATTTGTAGCATCTTAATACCCTTCCTCTTGACTGCTGTGATTCTACCCAATGTCTGAATCAGTTTCCAGCTTTCAAATCAATTCTCTAAACCATATGTGGTAAAAAGCTTCCAAAATGCCTCCCAGTGCTCGCCGCCTCCTCATATTAATGCCCTTGTGTAATCTCCCCACTCCTTGTGTGTGGGCTAAACTTAGGGATTTGCTTCTAATGATCAGAAATGGAAAAGGCAATGGGTTATCACTTTTGAGATTAGGTTATACAAAACTGACTTTCATCTTGTTCACACACACTTTATCTCTGCCTCTTCTTACTTCTTTCCTCTGATGAAGTAAGCTGCTATGTTGTAAGATGGCTTACAGAGAGACCCAATTAGCAGGGAACCGAGAGAAGCCTCCAGCTACAGCCCATGAGGAACTGAAGCCCTCAGTTTAATAGTTCTTAACTGGATCATGCTAATAAACAGAAGAATAAGTCTGGAAACAGATTTTTCCCCATTTGAGCCTTGAGATACCCACAGCCATTGCCAAAACCTTAATTTCAATCCTGTAGGAGACCCTGAACTGGAGAACCCAGCCAAATTGTGCTGAGATTCCTGGGTCACAGAATCTGTGAGATGAAAAATGATTCAGTGGTTCCCTGGAAAAAGTGCTCTACTTGGCATGTATCATTCGGGGACACAGGCTAAAGAAACAGCATCTACCTGGGAAATATTCTCAGACCACTACAAAGTAAGAAATGAAGCCCAAACACATAAGCCCATTTCAAGCTTCTACTCATATCATGTTTGCCAAGATTCCATTGGTCAAAGCAAGCCTTATGGCCAAGCCCAAAGTCAAGATGTGGGAATGTACCATATGTCTACCACAAGGCAATGGTAGGGGTACAGACATATATTAGTATGACAGGGCCATAAAGCATTTAGATCAATGCTTCCATCTGCCATACATCCAAAAATTTTTCTTTTTAAATTATCTATAATGGTTTTCTGTTAGTCTGCAACCAAGAATCCTTACTGATACAATGTTTTAAAGTAAAAGGAAGCAGTAAAATGAGGAAAAGTGGAAACAGTACACAAGTTCAACAACAGGGTAACGATCACTTAAAACCATGGCATATTCATGAATGAAATGCTGTGTGGTCAATAATGTGGATTTTAAAGCAAGTAATTTCAATGTCTCTCTTCCTACACAGACACACACACACACACCAACACACATTTCACACTCACAGGAAAAGCTCTAAATTTGTCAGGTTTAAGGATGCTAGCCACTTTGCTAGTGCGAAGAGTATGTCACTGTTTTAGCAAAAGAGATGAAAGTCAAGTACACAGGTAAAGAGGCAGAAGTGCCCATTTTTATTGAACTGGCACCTTTCTATGGGAAATCAAGACTTATTTGTCTGGGGATCTGGTACCTCATCTAAAAAGAAATTATTAAAGTAACAAAGAGACGGCCAGGTGCGGTGGCTCACGCCTGTAATCCCAGCACTTTGGGAGGCCAAGGCAGGGGGATTACAAGGTCAGGAGATTGAAATCATCCTGGCAAACACGGTGAAACCCCGTCTCCACTAAAAATGCAAAAAAAAAAAAAAAAATTAGCTGGGTGTGATGGTGGGCACCTGTAGCCCAGCTACTCAGGAGGCTGAGGCAGGAGGCAGAGCTCGCAGTGAGCGGAGATCATGCCACTGCACTCCAGCCTGGGCGACAGAGCGAGACTCCGTCTCAAAAATAAATAAATAAATAAATAAAAAATAAAGTAACAAAGAGACAGCCATGCTGAAAGATGAAAGACTGACATGGAGCAAAAGAAAAAGGGGTGAAAAATCTAGATCTATACTGGATATACACCCAAACTAAGCTTAGAGCACTGATGTCTCAGACACTTAACTATATGAACAGAGTGGCCACCAAGCTAATTTTCTCTGAGATGAACTAGTTTGGAAAATGGTTAATTGGTTAATCTAGTTTGTGATATTATACTTCTATTTTAAAATAATTGGAAAACAGTTATTTGTGATTCTATAGTGCAAATAGATTGAAGTAAAGATGTACATCTTTTCTGTTTAGTTACCCTGAGATCTTAAGACTCTTGCTTGCCCTTAGTGGGAATCAAAGACTTGTTTCTTGAACTAAGTTTTCATCTATTAAATGGATGAAAGCATTGTCCAATGGAAATATCAGATGTTGCCCACTAAAGATTGTGTTAGATATTTTTCCCTAATAACTTCACACAGCTACCTGTGGGAGTGTTTAAACTCACTGATTTTTTTTATTCATTTCATTGATTTATTGATTTTTTTTTTTTTTGAGATGGGGTCTTGCTCTATCGCCCAGGCTGCAGTGCAGTGGCACCATCTCAACTCATCACAACCTCCACCTCCTGGGTTCAAGTGATTCTCCCACCTCAGCCACCTGAGTAGCTGGGATTACGGGCATGAGCCACCGTGCCTGGCTAATTTTCGTATTTTTAGTAGAGTTGGGGTTTCACCATGTTGGCCAGGCTGGTCTCGAACTCCTGACCTCAGGTGATCCACCCACCTCAGCATCCCAAAGTGCTGGGATTACAGGTATGAGCTGGAGTGCAGTGGTACAATCACAGCAGTGGCTGGAGTGCAGTGGTACAATCACAGCTCTGCAGCTTCGTGCTCCTGGGCTCAGCTGATCCTCCCACCTCAGCCTCCCCAGTAGTTGGGACTATACAGGCATGGCCACCATGCCTGGCTAAATTTTGTAGAGACAGGGCTTCCCTATGTTGCCCAGACTTTTACTGATTTTGTTAACAAATATAGTTCTTGTTGATCATTGATAATTTTTAAAGTTCTGCTCAATAATCAAGTCTACTGAAGAAATCTGAGAAAGCAGAATTTGGATTTTAGTGATGAAATAGAAGAAAGAAGTCATGTGAGTCAAACAGAGCTGTAGAGCAAAACCCAGTTGTAACGAGTTGAGCTCTGTTCCCCAGAAAAGATAAATTCAAGTCCTTCAAATGTGACCTTATATGGAAATAGCGTCTTTGCAAGTGTAGTTAAGATGCAAGTTGAGGTCATGCTGGATTATGGCAAGTACTATGTCCACTCACTGATGTCTTTATAAGAAGAAAGAGACATACAGATACACACAGAAAAGAAGATCATGTGATGGTGGAAGCAGAGACTGGAGTGACAAGCTAAGGAATGCCAAGGGTTATTAGCAACCATCAGAAGATACCAGGAGGACGTGGGACAGGTTCTCTTTCGGAGCCTCCAGAATGAACTAACCCTGTCAACATCTTGATTTTGGATTTCTAGACTCCAGAATGTAAAAAAAAAAAAAAAAAAAAAATACATATCTGTTATTTCATATCATCAAGCTAGTGGTAATTTATTATGGCAGCCCAAGGAATCTAATACACAGTGGTTTGTTTTATGTTTTGTTCATTTCTGTTTTATGTTTTGTTCATTTCTGTTCTTGATCCACGTTACAAAGTGCTTAACAAATAACAAAAAACTAATTTTTAGATGGTTAAATTAAAATAGAAGGCCATGCGTAGAGGGCCATATCCTTGACACATGTCCTCTGTCACAATGGGCTTGAAGTCTACCAGAGCCAGAGCACATACCAAGGGGCTAGGCCCCACCATCTTACATTCTAGCCTTTTCAGATGTGCAATCCACCATTCATAATGCTTAGTGAATGCTGCCTTGATGAATAGCATTCAGAGCACTTGGAAACAAAACAAAACAAAACAGGCCAGAGCCTCATCAACTTTGAGCAGCTGTTGGGAAGCCAGCAAGATTGGGCCATGTGAACATGTCTCACCAGGTTCATTAGGACATGCCAGTACACATTATTATAACTGAAAATCAGAAGCCAGAACAGACTCTTTATGGAATAGGTTATTATCACCAGGCTGTTCAGTAACACAGCTTCTCACAGATGTTGTTAGCTATATCCACTATCCTTGGACAAAGCTGAACTAAGATGACCCTCTTTTCAAATTATAACAATCACATCTTTGTATGCCATTATTCTTGAAATGTGATGAATTCGTGAGTTTATCAAAAGCCTGTTCTCAAAAATGTTAGCATTTCTCCTGGCAAAATCTATGGCTCTGTAAAGACTTTCCCAGTGTTAGGAATAAAAAATAGAAAATATTTGGAAAAAATAAATGTATGCTACTGTTAATGTTCTTGCTCTTGTTGGCTTCTTAAATTATCTGGGGACAAACTTAACCATTCTCTTATATTTGAGAAAATGGCTTTTTTTAAGATATTAGACTTCCTAAAACATACGTGCATGTGTGTGTATATATACACAAACACGTGCGCATGCACACATATATGTAAACGGCATACAGAAAAAGAAAAAAGATGTGAAGTACATAAAAATGAGACGTATTTTGGTATTTCCACATCTTGAAATAAATTAAAACTTTCAGTTTCAAGAAAATTTAAACAGTTGGACTTTAAGCACATACTTCATTTTAATATAAATGATGCCAAATAAATTGCTTTGAGATACCACATCTATGTAGAATCATTCCCTTAATGAATGTAGTAGGTTTCTTTGTCAGCTTTGATAACCAAAAGCAAAACAAAAGAACAAAGGATTGACTTCTGCAATAGCTGATAAAAGGAAAATGTTATAAAAGAATTATTTAACAGTACTTAAAATATTGTCAAATGTAACAATACTTATCAAATATATACTTGAGGCTGGAGGCTAGAGGACAGCAGGACATAGTTTTTTGTTAAAAATGTTGAACAGTAAAGATGTAGCCTAGGGCAATAGCTTGGGTATGGGGAAGCTCTGCTTTTGGTTTTCCAAAAGAATATTTTTATAAATTTCAAGATTCTATTGTATGATAAAAAGTATCTAAAGTTCTACATTTCAGTAGTATTTAAGATAGTTTCTAGCTAGCCTATATAAAGAAATTTGTTATATTCTGGAAAGTACAACTTCCACAAAGTAAAGCAATATAGAGACTAGCCTCCAAAGAGGATGGACTATTTAGCCAACACTTACTTTGGGTTTATCTGCCCAAATTTTCCCTCTCAACACATACAATTAAGCCCTGGGTCCCCAGAAGCCATGTCCTTAAAATGTGACATTGCCTGCCTGGTCCAATTGGATTGGACATGGGTTGGGCCTTTCATTCCACTACGCAATGAGTTTCTTTCCAGGATACTGGAATTAGGCATGCCATACTATAAACATAGTTTGGCTGATTTCTTGAAGAGAGGAAATGCAAACTTAGGAACATCGAGTAGCTCTTTTCTATTATGTCTATGGCAAGCTTGTCTAGCTCATGGCCCACAAGCCACATGCAGCCCAGGATGGCTTTGAATGTGGCCCAACACAAATTCATAAACCTTCTTAAAACATTAGATTTTCTTTTAAAGATCATCAGCTGTCTTTAGTGTTCATGTATTTTATGTGTGGACCAAGACAATTCTTCTTCTTCCAATGTGGCCCAGGGAAGCCAAAAGATTGAACACCCCTGGTCTATGGGATAGTTATGAGTCTGCAGGAAACGAGGAAAAAAAGAAAAATGAAAAGGAGTAGAAAAAGCAGTAGATGCATGAAGAAAGGGAAGATAAAAGAAAAGTTTATCTAGCATTTCAGTTTCTGGTTCAGTTTGTTCCTGAGAACCACATGCAACATATATTCCAAGAGCTGATTTTTATATTCATTTTCACCATTTATTTAAGATATTTTGGGTGAGCTTTTAATATTTTTCAGTTAGAGAGTGCCAATAATACAGAAATTGGTAGAAAGATGAGTTAACTGGTAAAACTGAATGAGTTAAGACAGAATGATGTGGTTAATGTTTCACCAATTCCAGGATGGGATATTCACAACCTTTGTCATACCTTATAATACAAACCAGACCTATGCACACATACACACAAATTTGGACATGGTGGCTCACGCCTATCATCCCAGCACTTCAGGAGGTGGCGGCGGGTGGATCACCTAAGGTCAGGAGTTCGAGACCAGCCTGGCCAACATGGTGAAACCTCATCTCTACTAAAAATATAAAAATTATCCAGGTGTGGTGGAAGATGCCTGTAGTCCCAGCTACTTGGGAGGCTGAGGCAGGAGAATTGCTTGAACCCGGGAGGCGGAGGTTGCAGTGAGCTGAGATCACGTCACTGTACTACATCCTGGGCAACAGAGCGAGACTCCGTGTCAAGAAATTAAAAAACAGACATATGCACATAAGACAACTCAAAAACAAATAATAACAATAATAACAAAGAATCTTAAAAACAAAGATAAAAGATACTTTACATTCAAAGAAGCAACAATAAGACTGACATCTGGCTTCTCAACAGAAACAATACAAGCCAGAAGGTAATAGGGTATCATCTTTAAATTTCTGAAAGAAAAGAATTGCCAACCTAGAACTCAAAACCTAGTGAGAATATCCTTCAAAAGTGAAGGTAAAAATAAAAACATTCTAAGAACGGCAAAAACTAAGTGAATTTTTCAACATACTAGCTCTACAGTGGGAGAAGGAGAGAGGGAAGGGGGAGAAGGAGGGAAGGGGGAGAAAGGGAGAAAAGGAAGGGGAGGAAGAGAGAGGAAGGAAGCAGAGGAAGGAGGGAAGCGGGGGCAGGGAGGAAAGAAGAGAGGAAGAAAACTCTTCCTTATAGTAAAAGCCCAGCAAATAAACATGAAGGATTTTAGGATTCTCGTGGTGCTAAGTATCACCTCACCACCACACATGTTAAGGATAGAGGGGAAACTGTATTTCTATAATAAGAGACTAAGATTGCATCACCTATAAAACATTCTTGCAAAAAAACATTAATCTGAATATAATCAAGCCTCTAGATCTACCTTCCTGTTTACTAACATTTTACCAGTTACAGCAACAAGTTAAATTAGAAACAAGTCAAACGTGGAAACAACCAGACAAATTCACAATAAGCTTTAATCCTACCAGCCTGGACTCTTCAAAACGTCAAGGTCAGCATGTTAAGTGAAAGCCAGGAACAGAAAGACAAATACCACATGTTCTTACGCATAGGAGAAAGCTAAAACGGTTAATCTCATGGAAGCAGAGAGTAGAGAGTAGAATAGTAGTTACTAGGGGCTGGAAAAGGGAGGCAGAGGTAAAGAGACGTTGGATAAAGGATACAAAATTACAGCTAGCTCAGATAGACAGGAGGAATAGATCCTAATCCTCCATAGCACTCAGTGACTACAGTTTACAATTCTTATATATTTTCAAATAGCTAGAAAAGAAGACTTTAAATGTTCCCAACACAAATAATTGTTTGAAGTGATGGATATTCTAATTACCCTGATTTGATCACTACACATTGTATATATCAAAATATCCTTATGTACCCCATAAATATGTACAATTATTAAATGACAATTAAAAATATGAATTTTAAAATAGTTTTTTTAAAAATGTAAAGGTCAATGTCATTTTATTAAAAAAGATGGGAAAGAGTTCTAGACTAAAGAGATATAATAATCAAAGTCAATGGGTAAACCTTAATAGGATCTTTATTCTGGTAAAAAAAAAAAAAAAATCCATAAAGGGCACACTTGGGAAATTGGAGAACTTTAAATATGGACTGAATATTCGAAATGTATTATTGTTAATTTTCTTAAGTATGATAACATTGTGTTTATGCACAACTATTTTTATGATATATATATGCGTATATACATATTATACATATTAAGTAATGTGTCAATTATATACATATTAAGTAATGTGCACATGCATATATACATATTATATACATATTAATATACACATGCATATATACATATTATACATATTGTACATATTAAGTAACGTGTCACACTATCTAAACCGTACTTTCAAGTGGTGCAGCAAAGATGAAAGAGAAAGAGTTGAAATCTGAGTGGAGAATATATGGGAATCCATTTTGCTATTCTTCCTCTTTTCTGTATGTTTGAAACTTTCCCTAATTAAAAAATGGAGATGGGAAATAATTTTATTTAAATCTCTAATGAAAGCAATTTAACAAATAGTGTAAGGATCTATCAGTCAGTTCTTTATCTGCTGTAAGTGACAGAGGCCACATTGCAAAATGACTTGTAGTTAGGGGGAGCATTTTATTGTTTCTCAGAATAGATATGATTCTGTATGTATTTTTGGATGCAGATGCTTAAATATTGTCACCACAAGTCTTTCTGGTCCATCTCTTGGCTCTGGATTCTCCTAAGCTTGGAAGGAGCATGGGAACCAACAGCAGCCTCTCCCTTACAGCCTACTTGCTTAGCAGCTCTGGCAAAAACAGGGGGCTGCTTCCAAATAGTCCTAGTCAAAGTATCTCACATCAGCTTAGGTCAGATGTCTGAACAAATCAATGTGTGCAGCATAACTGAACATACCAATGGGCCAGTTCTGAAATACACACCTACCCTTGGAATTGCAAGTGGTGTCAACTACACTGACTGAAGTCATTAGGTCCTTATGCAAAGGTTACTAAAAATAATAATAATAATAATAAAAAATCTGACTGTTGCCATCAAAAAGGGTGGGGTGAGTTAGAAAATGAGCAGAAAAAAAAAACAACAGATGAGCAATAGGTAACTAATAATCTGTCACTCTAAGGGAGGGTGGTGGATGCCAATAATGACCAATCGCAGATTCTTCCCTCTTTAATGGGGGCATGGACAGTCAGAGACCTGGGCTATATATAGGGCATGGGACGCAGGGACTAACATCTCCACTGGGGAAGGCCCAGAGAGAGGAGATCTGTGGCAGGAATTTATTTTATGATGATGAATGCATTAAATAGGAAGCTTTCAACTATAAGACACAGAATTTCTGAGTAGAATGTCCTAAAAAGGAGGTTCCTGCTGCTGAGGAATTTTGGAAGCATTCGCAGAGGCAATGTCTCCTCTGTTGGCCATAACAACTGCCCTCATCACCTGGTTTTCAAGGATCCACTCCACTGACTCTCTCTCTAGGCTCAATTGCCCTCCCAGGTGGCCCTCTCGGCCAAAGTCCCTGCATGTTAATTACATACCAGCTCTTTCTATGGAACAGCCCCCATCAGGTCCAGACAGAACACTCACGCATCACTGGTACCAGAAAAACTACTCATTGCCATGAAACCACCTTTTTGCTTGGCTGTGAGGGTAGCCTGCTAGCATGACAAGGGCCAAATACCAGTCCCTTGTGCTCTTTAACATCAAAGGTACCAATAAGATCTCTGTACTCCTCTAAAAACCTTCTCACTTGAAGTGAGGAGAAATTCCCACCCACAATGAGAAAGTAAAATGCCACTGTTCTCCATCAGCCACTTCCAGGAAATTCTCTCTCTCCTCATTTTAACCTTCATATTATCATGAAGAGGGATGTTAAGTGAGAGTTTATAAAACTGGATGTTTTGATAGTTTCTTTGCAAACCAAGCATTGGTGATCTGGCATCCACCTCCCTGCCTTAGAGTGACAGACCCTATTGCTTTTGTTCTTGGGTCTTCAGACAATACTGAGATGCAAAGCATCCCATATTAACATCCGATTACATCTGACTGGCTTAGCCCAGGAAGGATTTATTCCCAGGCACTGATAATCTTACCAACCAAACAAAAATGGAGTTACAACTTTAAAGGAAAAAACCTATTTGATAGGCAACCAAATGTATACCACATAGCAGAATTCACATTTTTTAAAATCTAGAATGGGACCTATTTGCCTTCAAATGGTTTGAGATAAGTGGAAGGTTTAGGAAGAGGTATTGTCTTGGGAATAGAAATATTTGAAATGTGACTGTGTTTGTTTTTTATTCAAAACAAAACAAAAAACAGGCCACTAGATTCTGAGCTTTTAAACTTCCCTCTGTTTTCTGACCACCATATTTTCAGTACCTGGAATGAAGCCCAAGGTCTTATAAATACTTATTGATTGTCTGACTACAGACCAGTTACTTCATTATAAAAGAGTTTGTTTGCAAAGGACTCATTAATGCCAGTATCCTTGCATATGTGATTGCATAGTATAAACATGGACAATGCATTCTATATATTGTAATCTTGTTCTTGGAATGTTTCTGCTGCACTGTGCATTTGTCAAGAGTTAAAATTTAAGAGTTTCTGTGTAAATGCCATTTAAATCCACAATCCAATTAATGCATTAAAAGCTGACAGCGTTTTTGCTAAAAATCACCATTTGTCATGTATTCTGTGCCCTGGTATTATCCCTACAGATATATGAGGCTAAAAAAGGCCACCTATTACTGTAGAGATGTATCTAAAAAATCTCTCAGGCTGCCTGTAATAATCTCCATTATGTATAATGACCATTTTGATAATAGTCTTTAGAAGAGGTAATGGCCCTGCTGAACGGTTATTACCTGTCTGTTCATGCTGGAAGCAAGATGCAGAAGCCAGAGGGGACAGTCAAATGGTCCTTGTGGTGTATTCTGAGGAAATAAGAAATATTTAACAGAATGCAAGAAACAGACAAGCGAGTGCCTTTTGCGGCAGGACTGGCCGCCTCTCTGCCACAAGCCTTCTGAATTTCATAATTTAAAGCAAATGCTCCCAATAATGGACCTGCTCTCAGCCTTCAGACCAATTTTGTCCAGAGCATCACCACCTGGCCTATTAAGAGGAAGAGGAAAAGACAACTGAATGTTATCATATTCCTTCCCATATTGTTGGTAGTGGGATAAAGTGATGTCAACAGCTACTCCAGTGGGGGGATAGAGATAGTTGATTGTTTCTAATCAGCCCTCAAAAGGGAGGCCTACCTGTGGCTTAGGTCAAACTGTGGATATGCCCAATTTTATCCAGATTCAGCTGCAGCTATGAGAAAACATACATTGCCCCTGAAGACGGTAATTTCAGAGATTCAATTGTTTCATGTCCATGGGGCAAATTTCATGCCCTGTCTCTGGGAGCACAACAGATTTTGTAAAACTTAATGGAGGCTCCCCTTTATTCTGACGTACATCATCTTATGCCTCCCCTGAAATAGACGAGGGGAACTAATAGGCTAAAGGTATAAAATAGGTTTTTAATGAGGTAAAAGGTCTAAAGGAGACTTTTTTCCCAAAAGGGTTGAGGATGAGGTCACAAACTGTTCATAGGCATTATTGAGGGGAGGATGGAGTGCAGATGCCATGGTTAAGTTCTGAGTAAAATCAATGCAAACAGGTGTTGCTTGTTTGTTTTTGTAGTACTGCTTCTTATAGCCTTTAACCTGTCCATCTGTATTGTGAATCTCTAAAAAAGAAATAATATAATACTGGATAATACCATAATTTTATCAAAACCATTTATCTAAGGGCACCTTTTTTATTTATGGAAATATGAGAGATAACTCTGTCATTGGTTTATATCTGCATTGCATGATATGGTAGCCACTGACCACATATGACTACTTAAATTTAAATTAATTAAAATGAAAATTAAAACTTACTCCTCAGTCACACAAGCCTATTTCAAAGGCTCAATTAGCCACAGTGGCTAGTGGCTAGTGCCTACCATATTAGTGCAGATACAGGACATTTTTATCATTGCAGGAAGTTTTATTGGGCAGCACTGCTCTAAATAATATGCCATTTTACATTGAATTTGAAATGCAGCTTTTTACCTCTCAAACAATAATTGTTCTAAAACATACATTCATTCTCAAAATGAATTTTCACTCCACAGAAAACAGAATGAGAAATACAGCAGAATATCCAATATCCATATTCATTCTAAATTCACACAAATTACAACACCTATGGGGATAAAAATCTCAGTAATTCCGAAAATTGAAGAAAGTCAGGAAGGTCTGAAATCATGGAAACTTCTAAGCAAAGCAGCAGAGAAGGCCTTAAGGGTGAGAAGAAAGCTAACTCAGTGGAAAAGTATTTCTGGCACAGATATTAAAAGAACCACGTAGGTCTGTTCAAACTAATCAGTGATCCATAACTGAAGCATCCTTTGTAAAATTCCAAGTTGTGAATAGTGCTGTCTTCTAGGAGCTATAATTTAGGAAATATTGGTATTGATATTTGCTGGGTCCAAGGAGGGAAAATTGAACTACATGACCCTTAGCATAGTTCTTGGCACACAGTAATTATTTAAAACATGTAAGTGGAAGGACAGGAGAAATTCAATACAACAAATATTTTTAAGCATCTCATGTGCTAAACACTACGCTAAGGATGATACAAAGATACATGAGGTTTAGCCCTTGTCCTCAAAGAGCTGTTGTTCAGTAGCAGAAGGTTATGTACAGAGACATAAATAATGCATGTAGAAATTCAGATGAGGTTGATCACTTCCAGACAGGAAGATGAGAAAGAGTTTCATGGAGAATGTGACATTTGAAATAGATCTTCAACGATTAAAGTTTTGATTGAAATGGAAGAACAAAGGTGTGTATGTTGTGGAAAAACTGAGAAACAATCTTTATAGTGAAACTTAAGCTTCAACTTCTCCAAGAAGCCTGAGCTATCAATCTTCACAGATCTAATGGAGATAAACTATGTTGGTTGTCTACATGATCTAGAATTGGAAGTATCTATGACTCCTAAAATAACACTTGAAGTTGGACACTCAAAATCTGCATTACTCTATTGAGAAATAGGCATGGAATCTGCTTAAAAGGGATGGCTATAAACCTCTGACCACAGAAGATGAAATTCCTGTCCACAGAAATCCTTTCATTTTCCAGACTCATGCTTTCTTACACAAAAATAATCTAGAGTTTGTATAACATCAAAGTCTCCTATTCTCTGGAATAAAGACTTGGATTTTACCAAATCAAGATTTCTAGAAGCAAAACATTAAAGAGATCAATTGCTTTACAGGATGAAATAAGTAATGAACCTGAAAATCAGTACCTGAGATAGAATATGAGTTCAGGAAGAAAAGACAAGGAATGGAAGCAACTAAAGCAGTTCAAGTTTATCCTGGAACTGGGCAAGGTCAAATTTTAAAAATTAACAGAGGCAGAAAAAAAGAAAATCAATATTAATGAGCAACTTTTATGTACTAAGCAATATCTTTGTCTGTGTTCCCTAGACAAAGGAGACTGAAACAAGAATTAAATGTCCATGCTTTTGAGAGGTGATTCTCAGGTTGCGAAAGTGAAGGAATAATGAAAGAGATATTAAGGGATAGGGGGAGATGCAAGGTATTGCATTTTCATGCTGGTCACAGGTCATGATGATCCATGAAGGAATGTAGCCTGCTTTGCTAGTAAATTCAGCTCAGCCCTACAGGATTTCTCCAGACAGGATTTCTCCAGACAGGATATACGGAGAAACTTGGCCAAGAAACAGTCTATGGGAGGGAGGGATGGAGGAGATAAATTTATCTTCCATGTTTCCCCCATGTCCTGTTGCCTACTGGTTAAATGTGTGCCAAAAGGAGTTAGCTGCCCCACATTTCTGGATAACATCAACCCATATCCCACACACTCTGGTGTGGGATCCAAGTCCGGATGTGGCAAAAGAAGTCAGAACCATGGGGCACAGGGCTATTCCATCCAGCTACTCGGTGACAACCGAGGAAGTTTAAGGACTTCCAAGAACACAGGCATCAAGTTAGTGATAGTATTAGACCTTCTCCTAAAGTTGCAGAATGATTCTCTAGTTCTGAGGCTGGAATTACAAAGATAATCCAAAGTCAGATAACACATATAGGAAGGCAAATTTGCATTCCCTTCCAGGGTTAAGGTCTAGAGGAAGTATGAATATAACATATTTCAGTTAAGCTCAACAGATACAAGTTTATAAAACAAAAACTACTTTGTTAACTTCTGAAGCTCATGCATACTTGCATCATTTCTGGAAATAAAAATATGGTTGACATATTTGAAGTGAAAATAAAAATAGAGACAAATTTTACCTATCAAGTGCGCATGAACCGTTTCATGTTTGCTTTTATTTTTTCATTTGAAGGTGGAAATTTCAATTTGAAGAGGAATAAAAAGTTCCTCATTAGCTCTTTAAGACATGCACTTCTTAAGTGTGTTTCAATCCCTTGGGTCAATATTTCTATTTCTGATAAAATGCAAATAGCCTGAGAAGGCTAAGAGTTTTATTTGTTGTCCAGTTTTAACAATTTAAGCTACTATGAGGGTAAGATTCCATTGTTGAGAACAGGTTTAGGAAAAGAACCTGAGGCAGAAAAAAAAAAAAAAGGTTCCTCAACAGATGGCTGGGTCTTCAATAACAAATATCACCTGCTTCACACTTTTTCCTACAGTCAGCATGACATGTCACCATCAGAAAAAAACACATCTCAGCAAGATCTTATAATAATGAGGGGCTGTTTACAGGATATGCTCCTTCTTAGCACCAAATCATATTTACAATTGACAGGTGAAATATACCTGTCCACCTGTCTTCTCCTAAGCAATTTGAGCTATAATGTCATTTTCCTACATCAAAAAATTTCAGTCTTGCTTTCAGCAATTTCTCAAAGACTTTAAGGACAGAGCCTTCAACAACTACATTTCTACCATCGTAGCCACCCATGGTTCTATAACACTCTGCACAGCTCCGTGCACATGCTAGAAATTTAGATGTGGACTCTGCAACATATTTCTAAGGAGATGCATCTCCTGACTGGGGGGCATGTCTGCCACCACTCTCTGACTTACACTGTTTTAAGTCTCTTTGCAGGCTGCTGTTGCCTTTTTAATTTGAAGAGAATAGTGAGGGCAGAGAACAATAAGAAAAAATCTCCCCCAAAGCTCAGAAGTCATAAAATCTGTCATCCTTTCTGAATCATATTATTGAAACTACCTTTCCTCTCTGATGCCTTCCCTGTATTTTGTATTTAAACAATTTTCTGACCATGCCTCCTTTGTGAAGGCCCCACTACTGGAACTGAACAGCAAAGCACAGAAGATGTACAGTAATTTTAGTTACCACAGAAAGGGGGTTGACCAAGGATGCCATAGGTTATATCCCAAAATTTAGCTGGACACCCTTTCTAACCACTGCATCATGGCCCTTTAGGTAATTTCTTACTAAATTTTTATATCCATTCCAGGTAAATACTCATTTCATGGGAATTTGGAGTTTGAATTAATATGCTTGCAAACTCAACCAGTTTTAGATTATGTCCATTACTTCTGAGGTAGGTGATTTTGAATATGTCACTGTCTTTAAGAATTGAGAGCAGTATGAAAAAAACCATTGGGATATAGAGAAGAACTCTCTTCAGCCTCAATTTTCTCATCTATGAGATGATCTTTCAAGCTCTTCCAATATTAATATTTAATCCCTCTGAAGAATTAAGCAGCTATTTGATGCACATGCTGGTCACTACTGAACAGTAATAAGACATAATGGAAAATAGAACAATAGAAGACTTAAAAGATTCACTGTTTAAGTAGTTTTTAAAGAATACAGTAAAATATTAACATTTTAACTTCTGGGGCTATTATTTGAAGGACATAAATCTGTTTTAAAAATCAGTAGGAACAAAGATTTCATATTTTTATGATGCTTTCTTTTAAGTAAGTAATGAAATCCATAGAGAACTCAATTGCAACAAACTGAATAAATTAAAATGCATTATACATGATATAAAAGGTATGTACTATACATAGTAAAATAGATGTAATTAACATATAAACAAATGAACTAAACATAGTCTAATCTGTCTGACATTAATTTAACATGAAAGCTAAATTGCTATTATAAAACTTTACAGAATTCAGTTAACTTTCATCCTCACATTCACTACTAGATAATTTGAAGGTGCCGTCATGTCTTCCCTGGTTATACATTTAAAAAAACGTTTCTCAGACCAGTCAATGGGAGTTTATACAATGCTGCCTTGAAGGAAAAACCTCAGCTGGAATTTTGTCTGCAAAGCTTTGAGAAAAGGCCCTATAATAGAAACAAAATTAAGGCAACTAAGAGCAATGATCTTTCCCTCGGGACCAATAGTATAGTCACGACCAGACTCTCGTCCCTTCCAAATCTTGTGACGCTCTTCAATTACTTGGATTTCTAAAGCAACTGTGAAAAGGAATAAAGATCTGAAAATAAGATGGGGAAAGAGAAGTCAGGAGTACGTGATTAGTCTGTTTTTACGGATATTGCCAACAGTAAGAAAAATCAGTAAGTGTTGGTACCCAGAATCTTTCTAGGAATTAATATATGATTTGACCAGGTGTTCATAAAAAGAAAAAAAAAATTATATCCTCAAGTCTTAAACTATTTGTGATTTCCAAGATTGTTAACACTTGGATTACAAAACTAATATTGAATGGTATTTTTAACTACGGATATTACTTGATTGAAGCAGGAAAAAATGCCACATTAGGCCAAGCACAAAGGCGAGTTCTCATTCTTGATTTCTCTTTTCTCTTGTATTCCCATCCCCACCATCAGCAAGTCCTGTTGGCTCAACCTCTAGAAACCATCTAACTGTGGTGGCAATAGCAATAGGGAAAAGTTGATGGTTTCAGGGGGGATAGGAAAGCCTGAGGGGAGAAAAATGGGAAAATCAAGAGTTCTGTTTTATCTATGATTAGCTTTGAGATGCTTGTTAGACTTAAGTAAAGATGTCAAGGAGGTGGTTGGATACATGAATGTGGAGTTCAGTGATCAAGGCTAAAGATATAAACTCAGGAGTTATAGGTATTAAATTTATGATGCTATGAATAGCTGCTCACAACGTGCTCATTGGTCAAGCGATGATGGTCTCATCTATTCCACTTTATCAGCATGATTCCTGTCACTTAGTAGATACTCAATTGTTTTCTTTATTGCCCTGAACTATACTGGAATGCTTCACAGTTGTGATGGTTAATACTGAGTGTCAACTTGATTGGATTGAATGATGCAACGTATTGATCCTGGGTGTGTCTGTGAGGGTGTTGTCAAAGGAGATTAACATTTGAGTCAGTGGGCTGGGAAAGGCAGATGCACCCTTAATCTGGGTGGGCACCATCTAATCAGCTGCCAGCACAGCTAGAATTTAAAGTAAGCAGAAAAACATGAAAAGACTAGACTGGCCTAGCCTTTAACATCAGACTCCGACTTCCTGCCCTCAAACATCAGACTCCAAGTTCTTCAGTTTTAGGACTCAGACTGGCTCTCCTTGCTCTCAGCTTGCAGACAGCCTATTGTAGGGGCTTGTGATCGTGCAGGGTTGATATTTAATAAACTCCCCTTTACATACACATATACATATATATCCTATTAGTTCTTCCCTCTAGAGAACCCTGACTAATACAATAGTACTAAGGATAAGTGTATAAGTTCCAAGTATTTTGGCTGTTCCCTACCAAAAAAAAACGAGCAGCCCAGTTTCCTTGTGTCTTCTGCTCTGCCATTCCTCAAATATTTACACAAGAAAGCTCAAACAACCCACATTGCAGCCAGTAGGAAGGGGAAGAGGTGGAGGGGGGGCATACTCCCTCCCTTGAAGAAAGGCCCCTGGAAATACAACTCCCTCCTGCTCACATATCACTGCCAAGATCTTATCTTCACATAAGAAGTGGAGATTGGACAGCACTGAGTTGTATCTACCACATGCCTATTTTGTTTTAATCTTCCTCCATCATTCAATTATTTGAAAAGCTAGCAAGGGCATACGATAAAAAAATTTCAAAAAGTACTAAAGAGTCTACGTTACAAAGCAAGTCTCCCTCTAGCCACTATCCTCCAGTTCCCCAACTTCTCTACCCAGAGACCATTTCTTCTGTCTTTGCAGTCTATTCATCAAATAGACATCAAAATTTTAAACATTTTCTGTTATGAACCTGTCTTTCTGCCAGTCTCAACTAATTCCAGGCTTTTATCTCTTGAAATTACTCTCACAGATTCCTGCTACTCTTCTTGGCCAGCATTCTTTCCATCACCAAGTCACCCTTTCCCTCACTCTTGCAATTTTATGGCTTGTATAGTTTATGCGTAATTTAAAACAGTCCATTTAACCCATATGAATCAACCAACTTGAGCCCACTTAATATCAGGTTCTTATCAAAAGAGATGAGGGACCAATATATTGATGACTACACTAGGACAGTGAACGATGTAGCATTGATCCTTGTCATCCTGTTTCCCCAGCTCTGGTTCCAGATCCAAATATTTTTTTTACAATATGAGGATGAGCATGTTCTTCCTTTAAAGAGTTGATAGTTCAGTTTGAAACTAGTTAGAGAAATCACTGTGGACATCAACCCATTCTCTAAACATGATGGATAAGAAATCTGAATACAGCCCTGCCCAAGACCAGGTCTCGCAACTCTTTCAGTGTTCCCTTTCCTGCCCCAATCCTGTGCAATACAGTAGGCCAGAACCCACCATCCTCCAGGACGGCTGTCTCAGAAGTGGGAGGAAAGCCTTCTGTTGCCTCATTTACTCCTCAGATGAACTCAAAGAAGTAGCAGCTCAGTAATGGCTGGGGCACCAGCTTTAGCTTATTTGGGGAGACAAAGTTAATCAAATACTAGAAATCAAAATGTTTCACGGCCACTTAGTGTTAGTCTGTAACAAGTTATCTTAGAATTCTGCTTTCCTAAAATACATAATTTATATCAAAATGTTATTTTACTTTTACTCATAGTTGAATTGACCACAACAAACATTATTAGTTGTGAAATTCCCCCATGCAATGTTAAGATTTTAACATTTTAAATGCAATTAACATTTAAATGCAATTTTAAGAGCTTCACCTTGCTCATGATTTGGTTCTAATTTCTAATATCTACCTTTCCTAAATCTAGGATTCTCTGACTGTGTCTCTAGAAATATATTTGCATGTTTCTAGTGTTTCAAATCACACACAATTTTTGGCACACAACAGGAAGGAATGTAGTAAATTGTTTTCCAAACTGTTCCTCTCATTTGATCAGGATTAGATTGAGAGTAGTGATCCCACTGTTAGTTCTTCAGAAAGATCACTTTACTGAGTAAAGTGAATAAAAATGATTGAAAGTTCTATTTTCAGCTGAGTGAGACTTCCAAACAGTATCCCAATCATAGCACTACCCCATCACTATTATACCCAGTCTCTTTGATAGTTCTGTGATTAAATCTGGAATGACTGGCCAAAGAGCCTGTAGTATGTCCTGCAGAAATACCACTTCCATTCCTTTCTACTTTTATGTTCATTCAGTTACTCCATAATGAGAGCCACTCCTGGAACTTGAGAGCCACTCCTGGAACTTATGGCTTACTAGTAAATGTAAATCTGCCTTCTGCTAGATAGCTTCTACTATATTGGTATGGCATCTACAACGCAACCCATCCCATCAATCTCTTGATACCTACCATTTTGTGTTTACTGCTTGGTGTTGAAATCTCAAGATCATCTCCCCACTGACAGACAATTCAATTACAGTATCTTAAACAAGTTTTTTAGATGTTTCCTTCTATGCATAATAGGAACGTCCCCTCCTGAGGTATTTTTATTTCTCTACCCAAAACCAACCTATTATTTATCTGTATGATTTATCAAGACATTAGCCTAGTTTCCTTTTCCATTTAAAACTCTTGAGTTTATCTAATTCGCTGACATTTCTCAGGTCATGAATCAAAGATGACTTCATGGGCAGAAGAGCGTGAGGGGAATCCCATTCATGGAGCAAACGCCGGAGAAATAAAACCATGAGGAAACTTTGAGAGGAGAAGGATATCATGGACAAAGAGGGATTTGCAGGAAGTATGATGAATCACCAAATGCTAATGCACAGTCTTCACTTTAACTTTAGGAGGGCACATGGACGACATCATTCAAGAAAGATCCTGCATCATAGCTCTACGAAACATCAAAGTTGATCATTTCACCAATACCTTGTGAATTTCCAGCGAATTAATTTTTCTAGGCATCCCAAATATAATTTTTATTTTCTCAGGTGTTTGCCAATTTCTACATTTTACTTAACAATTAACATTGTACTTAAACAATTACCAAGTATTACATCTCTGACCATGACTCGGTATCCTGTAAGATACCATCTTTAGAAACCAGAACCAAACTTGCTCGCTGCAAGAAAGGGAATCAATCCACTCAATAGTCAACATAATCCTGTTTACAACTCTGCTTAAAATATTTCTTAAAAATCCAAGAGCTCCTCCCCAAAATAGGAATGTTTTGAAAATAAAACACATCATTGGCTTGTTTTTGCAATTAAATGAGATAACGAACATAAAGAGATACTACAATATAGGGTATATTATGCGCCCACAATCAATGTTTATGATCAACATTAGCTATATATATCTTATCCTGTATACATTCAATTTAAAATGATCACAGAACATGTTCTAAATTAGATGAGAAACATAAGAACATGAAAATGACTGCATGTGAAAGCTATAGATAAAATATCACCATTGCAAAAGCCAGAAAGAGACCAGTTTTTACCGTCTTCCCTACTGCCTAACTCTTAGGATACAACAGCATCAAAATTGGGAAACAGACTTGCTCATTGGGGAGTTCATGACAAATTCAGTTTATAAAATAAAATCAGAGGAATTCTAGAGACACTTTCCCTGGGATATATTTCATTTTTAAAAAAAGAAGAAATGATTTTAGCTCTTACCCCTAGCAGCTTGGCAATGAGCTAGTACGTTATTAAGATATCTGTCAAAAACAGCTCAGTTAGCAGGAACGGAGCTATAGAATGTATCCTTAGGGAACTTTCAAACCAATGCCATTAATGTAATATTACAAAACAGGAAACAAAATAGACAACACAAAAATAAAGGGTGAAGGCAAAACAACCTCATTATTAGCTGTAGGGTGAGACCTGAAAATTTCAGGCCATGTGATTCTTCAAAGGATGACTCATGATACCTGAAACGTGTAAATGACCCATGAGATAGGAATGTGGCCAGGAGAAGAAAAAAAAATAAAAATGCATAAAGACAAAGGAAGTCTGCTGCTCAGGCATAAAAATAAAAATAAAATAAAATAAAAAAATAAAAGAAACACTCCGTTTTTGCTTCCAAGGGCAAGCAATGGATATTTGAGAATGAACTCTTTCATCTCAACCACGTCCCAGTTCTCAGCAGGGCCCAAAGAGCTTCAGTCTAACAATGCTGGTTCTAGCCTGATATGTTCTCACCTTGAGACAGGCTATTCATGGCAAAAAAGAGGCAGGGCTGCTCAAGACAGGACAGGCATCCCACAAACATATCAGGAAAAGGACCATGACATTTCAGAAGGCCAAAGCACTCCAGTCCCTAAGAGCTGTTTAATTTGTTCTCCATCTATCTAATGGCATATATTTGGCCTCCTCTCCCTTGGACCACTGCTCCCAGTATCAGAGCCCAGGCATCTGAGGAGAGACTTTGGCCCGGTGCTTCCTCATATTTTCAGGTCCTCTTTCACTTCCATTCTTTGGCTTCAAAATGAGTACAAATTGACAAAATGGAATCATTTCTGCTTGGCACAGAGCTTGGCAACCAGATAACACCGGCAAAAAGCACCCGCATTTGCTCTCCCCAACATCCATCGGCATGCAAAGTTCCAAGATGGAAATTTGTTTCTCCTGCAGTTTTATGACACTTCTACTGCCTGATTATCCCACTTTATGGCAATTTGCATCGTTACGGGCCTGCGGCAAATGAAACAAATTGCCATAAAATGTTGGGAAAATCCTAAATCATGGCTCTGTCTGGCCTGCTGAATGATGACGCTGGGGTTGAATTCAGATGGTTCAGTTCATTTTGCTACAAACAGTCATGCCGGCCTTAATGGGTGTCACTGGCTCACACATCAGGCTGCGTGGTGACTACTAAATGAGGCAAACTAATAGAATTTTTTTTCCAATGCACTAAGCAAGTCTTCAGTAAAGAAAAACACATTGATTCCGAAGTTGTTTACTACCAACTAAATAGAACTCCTATAGCTTTTCCCACGCAGCCCACATTACAGCTAAATTAACAGCCCTCATATGTATCCATTCTACTAGTAGCAGACAAAAGTGCTTACACCATTAAGAATGTAAGTTGCCTCAGTCTAAATCATGATACAGAAGATTGTCTTTCTCATTTAACTGCCTAGCTATCAAAAGTTGTAATAGCAAGCATAGACAAGCCTTTCAAGAAAAAAATAAATGCACTGAAAGGTCATAAATAATTGCTACATTTTAATTTAATGGTGATGTGTAAGCTTTAAAATAAAGGAACAGGGGCTGATGGCTAGACATGCAAAAATGAGAGAGATTCAGGAAGGATGACAACTTTGATAAGTATTATGATCCATGTTGATCACAATCTTGGCTCTGCTTTTGACAACTTCTCACAGGAGTAAATTTATGAGAGGAGAATCTTCGTAGTAAGAAACTCTCTTGGCTCACAATATGGAAGATTCATTTGGACAATGAGGCTGAAATAAAAGCAATGAATTTTATTTCTCGGAACCTCCCGTATGTCACATCCTACTAATCTCTGAGTCATCCTCAATGTCCCAACACAAGAACCTTGCAGGGAATACTCAGCTTTTTCCACCCACAGAGATAACTCTTTCAGAACCACCCTTTCTTCCTCCATCTCCATCATGGATGTGTCTAGTGTCATGTAAAACAAATAGCCGAGAATACCTAGATGTGAAGAGAACCTGAAGGTGACATAGAGTCCTGGGTAGGGGATTCAAATCATGAGGAACAAGCTACATCAAGAATTTGCTTTCCAGACAATTGTATATGTTCTAGAAAGCAGAGAGCTTTTATGGAGACTGGTTTCACATTTCTTAAGACCCACACGCTTTTCATGTAATATTTGACTAAGAAGAGTCATTAAATTAACAATTATCATTTACATGGATTTAGTACATGCCAAGGAGTGTACTGAGAGGTTTAAATGATTAGTTGATTTAATTAGTCCACCTCTCCTTTAACCACTTATAGATAAGTAACCTAATTCTTAGGCTAAGTGACTTTCTCAAGGATGCATGGATAGTAAGTGGAAGGTCTAGAATCTAAACCAAGATCTAATCTCACCATTAATGACATGCTCTTCACCACTGCGCCACACAGCTGCATTGTAAAAATCAACTTTTCTGCTAAATTAATATTATTATTAGCTCAACAATAAAGTCCACAAGGATAAAAGATCCTTGCATAATTTTAACAAGTATCACACATTTGGCTTCTCCTGGATGATTTTTATGACTCATTAGTCTAGCCAATTTTTTTTCTAACTCATTTATCCTTTTCTATTTTGCTGTCATTTTCTAGATAAAGTATCAAATTCTCTCAATACAGAAAAATGAAAAATTTTTGACTCTGGCCTTTACTTTCCTTCTTGAACTTGCTCATTTTAGGTACAGAAACTACACCTGGTAAGCCAAGCCTGTAACACTAAGCAACTTAAAGTTCTTGAGTATTTGCTATTTATGGCAGTTCGAATTCTTGTTATATGTGACAAATAAAGGTGAATATTTCAAGACTCTACATATTTATTCTGATTTCCCTGAGGTTTCACATACATCCCTATCTGTTTGGTTTCTGAAGTGGGAAGCATAAAAGAATTTCTAGAAATCTACACTGCCTTGAACCACGGGTCCTGGTTTGCAGTTTCTAAAGCACTTGTTAAGTTTGTGAATCTATATTATATTTAGATTTTGAAGCATCACTTTGGCACATACTACATATTCAATCTCCTATTTGAGAGGAGCATAATTGAGCTAACATTATGTAGTGCCAACCAGATTTGTGTTTGACTTTAAACCAAGGGCTTGGTAGTTTTGGAACCCACCTGCATTGTTCAGTGGTAGTTTCCATCCATCAATACAGACACACTGGCAATTCCTCAGGAAATGCTCCCGATGCTTGTGTGCCATCAATATGACCCATGGGAACCAGACAAGCCACAAGTTTCCAATCTTTCTCTCAACTCTCCAAATGGGTAGCACAAATGCAAATTTATTTATCTTTTTTTGTGAGAAACAACCCAAATTATTTCGTGGTTCAAATATCTCTATTTAAAATATGCATTTGTAAAGATGCAAACTCATTAAACATTTTCTGTTTGAAACAACATTCATCAATTAACCTGCAGAAATAATAGCCACATCATGCTATCAATAATACTTTAAAACTTGCTTTCATTTTGAGGACTTGACCTATTGCTTATCATACATTGTAGGCAATCTCTAATAGGTTTTACCTATCAGAATCCTAGCTGAAATTTTCAAAGAATCCAGTCCATTAACAAGTTGTCTTAGAACTCTCATGAGTTGAGAGGAAGTGTATTATGGAGTTAAGAGCGCAGATTTGAATCTCTTTGGCTCAAAATTGTAATTCTGAATTGTGTGACTTTGGGCAGGTTACTTGCTTTTCAGATAAACTTCATATGTAAAATGGGAACATTAATAGCACCTACCTTATAAGATTACTGTGGAGATTAAACAGCATATAGGTGGTAGACACATCTAACTGTCTAATAAAACTTGTGTTCCCCCTTAGTATGATATTGTAAGTGGGAAGCAACTTCCTAGGCAGGAATCACATCTACCAATCACTCCTTGCATCCAGGGGTAATATGTCACCACCTTTCCCCAGTGAAATGCGAGGAGAAGTGATATATTTCTCTTCCAGGCCAGGACTTTTAAGTACCAACGTGTCCTGTCCCTAGCTTCTACTAGCTGAAGGCAAAGGATAACAATGTCCTGTGGGAAGATGTCTTCATGTGATAGAAACAGCCTGGATCACCGAGACACTATGAAAAGGAAAGTCACTCATCAACCAGGAGCACCCATGAGCTAAGAAAAACTTGTATTGTGAGAAGCCACTAAAATTTTGAGCTTTATTATAGCAGACAACATTATCCTACCTAATTCAACCTGCAAAGAGTTTAGCATAGAGCCTGGCATGTAATAGTTTTCAGAATGTTTGCATGCCTTTGACCACAACCTAAACACTGGGATCAGATTCAGGATGTTAAATTTTCTTTTTTTTTCTTTTTTCTTTTTTTTTTTTTTTCTCAGACAGAGTCTCACTGTTATTTAGGCTGGAGTGCACTGGCACAATCTTGGCTTACTGCAACCTCCGCCACCTGGGTTCAAGCAATTCTACCTCAGCCTCCCTAGTAGCTGGGATTACAGGCATGCGCCACCACACCCAGCTAATTTTTGTATTTTTAGTAAAGATGGGGTTTCACCATGTCGGCCACGCTGGTCTCAAACTCCTGACCTCAAGTGATCCACCCGCCTCAGCCTCCCAAAGTGCCAGGATTACAGGTGTGAGCCTCTGCACCCTGCCTCAGGATGCTAAATTTTCAAAATGACTCCCACCTTGATTCACATTATAGTTCAACCATGTTCACTAAATATTTGCTGAGAAGCTACTATAGTCTAGGCACAATTTTCTGAGGATATAGTGGTAACTAAGTACATTCCAGTCTTCATTGGAGCTTCTATTCTAGTCTGGCAACACACAATATAAATATGTAAATACTGGATAAATAAGTAAAGTGATTCTGGATAGACTGTGATAGAGAATGGCTTAAATGGCTTGGGGTAAGAGAGGCCATTTTAGAAAGAATTTTTAGAGAAGTGTTTCTGAAGATGAAAAACTGTTAATAGCTAACATCATGCAGTGTATTCATACTATATCAACTTAACTAAGCTGGAATCTACATTTCCTAGAATTCCTTTCCTTGCATAGTTCCAGGTTAATATGAGACAAAAGAGATGTTACACAAATTTGGAAAGCGGAAGTGAGGCAGCCATATTCTCTTGTGCTCAGAAGCACAGAGTGGTACACCAGGCACTGTTGCAACTCACACAATTTGCTGCTGATCTGCTGCTGATCTGCTGCCTCACTTTGTTGGCAGGGGCCACTGACTAACCATGTTGCTCTGTTAGCTATTGCAGGATCTTGTTCTTCAATTTCTCCTACTCCTGGGCCATGCGTGTTTGGCTCTGAAAGGAGGAGATTGACATCACTGCAGTGGGAAGCTTCGAGTAAGTGAGCCACCAAACCCAAGTTTCAGTTCTCCCTTGTGTGTTCTCCTTTCTCCTTGCCCTCTCCCACTTTACATTCATCTTTCCTTCCTAATACTTTTCCCAAATGACTTTAGGTCCAACACTAGATACAGAAGCAGCAGCTTCCAGAAATTGTCTGGAATCCCCTTTGATAAGCCCTATGTTCGTATCATTTCTAAAGTTCTCTTTATTTGATCAAACCCTGAGTGTTACACATAGGTTGCATCCTCTCTATGAAAAATACATACTTCTAAGGGCTTTATAAGATGATCTCCTTTAATCATCATAGCAACTATGGAGCATGTACTAGTAGGATCCCCTTTACAGATGAAGAAACAGGGCTCACAAAGACCAAAGCACCTACCCTATATCACACACCTAGTGAGTGGTAAACCTGAGACTCAAACCCTGGGAACGTGATAAGAGAGTCTAACAGTTAGATGCTATGTTGCCACCCCTAGTTATGCTCTGTAAAGCTGTTGTGTAAAGTTTTGGAGTTCACCACATGTTCTTCTCACCTGAGATTTAGCTCAGAAATCTCTGGACTCATCGCTGAGAAAATGCAACTGATGAGGGAATAGAATTTGAGAGATGGAAAGGAATTTAAAAATCATTTAGCCCAATTATATATAAAAGAAAATAAATCTCAGAGAAGAGATTGTTCAAATTAAGCAAAGTCCCTTGATTAGGGGCTCTGCCTAAACTCTGTGGCTTTCTGCCATGCCACACTTCAGACAGGAGCAAGCTTAGGTCCACCTGCTTGACGTGGTGATGTAGAGGTCTGAGACATACCACAGAGCATTTTGTGAGCCAGAATTAGCACTTAAGATTTTTTATGTGTGTGTGATTATCTCTCTGGCGTCCTTTGGCCCAGGGTAAAATAACTATTTCTTTATTCTTGTATTGTAAGGACCCTTTCTGCTATTAATCCAAGTCTTTCTTAACACTTCAAATGAAGTACTGTTAGGAAAATACCTTTCAATACTTCTGCTAATAGTTTCCAGCAAACTTAAACCTAGAGCAGCCTTTGACTGAATTTATCTGTAGTGGGCTTTTTCAAGAATCAATAAGTCATTCTGATTCATTCTCAGTTTCTAGAGGAAAGTATTTATTTTCTAAGGATGAGACTGAACAGAAATGGGAATCATTTGTATGGAGTGAAGCATAGCTTGCCCACTAAGATTACCTCATTTTCTCTTATTACTCCTAAAGGATTAAGCCATGGGACACTTGGAATTTAAAGCTGCAGATCTCCTCATGGGAATCTCTCTAAAATATTATAGAAGCACTTAATATCCCCCATGGAATTCTAAAAACTCACACCAGTTTGAGGTTAAATTTTTGTCTGAAAAAATACTTTGAAGGACTAGCTGGTTGAAAACTAGACCATGCTTGATCTGCTAGTATATAAATACATAAAAATGTACCCAGAAAAAAAAATCAATTCTCTTATTTATTCCAGTGAACATAAATAACAAAAATACAAGTCTTACCATTTGAAGGGAAATGGAGAAGGCTAATAACTGATTCTTGTACTCAAATCTATGATTTTTCAATAATGAACATTGTACAATAATAAAAAGGTTTTACAAGAGAAAGCATTCTCCCGTGGAATTTAGATTAAGAACAAACCCCAAAAGATCAGGGGTCTCTGTGAGATCATGTTCATTTATTTTTACCTTATAGAGATCTCAATGCATTGCAATGGATTTGTGTCTGTCAGCTTGGAAGAAATGGCTATTAAAACTTCAGAACATCCCACTAGGAATTTTTTAACATACCTGGGAATTAACCAAGACTGAATTAATAGAATTGAAATGGCATTTAATTTTGATTTTTTCTCAACAGGTGGTTATAAAAAAGTATATTCTTATATCAAAGAAAAAAAGGACAGTAAAAAATAGCAGTAAAAAAAAAGAAAGAAAAGAAAAAAATGACAAATGGCATCACATAAATGATAAAGAGTTCAATTCAACAAGAAGGCTTAACTACCCTAAATATAGATGCACCCAACATTGGAGCACCCAGCTTTATAAAACAAGTACTTCCAGACCTACAAAAATATTTAGCCAGACAATTATAATGGAGGACCTCAACACCCCACTGACAGTGTTAGATCATCAAGGCAGAAAACTAACAGAAGTTCTGAACTTAAATTTGACACTCAACCAAATGAACTGTGTAGACATCTACCAAATACTCCACCTATCAACCACAGAATATACCTTCTCATCTGCACAATGAACATACTGTAAGATTGATCACATGCTTGGTCATAAAGCTAGTCTCTGTAAATTCAAAAAAAATCAAAATCTCACCAAACATACACTTGCACCAGCGTGGAATAAAAATAGAACCCAATACAAAGAAGATCTCTCAAAAGCACACAATTACAGGGAAATTAAACAACTTGCTCCTGAATGACTTTTGGATAAACAATGAAATTAAAGCAGAAATAAAAAAGATCATTGAAATAAGTAAAGACAGATACACAACATATCAAAATCTCTGGGATGCAGCAAAAGCAGTATTAAGAAGAAAGGTTACAGTGCTAAACACCTACATCAAAAAGTTAGAAAGATCTCAAATTAATGATCTAACATCATTCCTACAGGAACACAGAAACAAACTAATCCCAAAGGTAGCAGAAAAAAAAAAAAAACTAAAATCAGAGCAGAAATGAATAAAATTGAGACTCAAAAACCTATACAAAGGATCACCAAAACCAAAAGTTGTTCTTTCAACGAATAAACAAGATTGATAGACTGTTGCTAGATTAACAAAGAAAAAGAGCCAGGTACGGTTGCTCATGCCTGTAATGCCAGCACTTTGGGAGGACAAGGGGGGGCAGATCATTTGAAGTCAGGAGTTCGACACCAACCTGGCCAACATGGTGAAACCCTGTCTTTACTAAAAATACAAAAAGTAGCTGGGCATGTTGGTGCACACCTGTAATCCCAGTTACTTGGGAAGCTGGAGCAGGAGAATTGCTTGAACACAGGAGGTAGAGGTTGCAGTGAGTCAAGATCATGCCACTGCACTCCAGCCTGGGCAACAAAGCGAGACTCCATCTCATAAAAAGAAAAGCCAAAGAAAAAGATAGAAGATATTTTATTTGGATAAGCGCAATTAGAATGACAAAGCTGACATTACAACAAGCCCTCAGAAATACAAAAGACCCACAGAAACTATTATAAGCACCTCTACGCACACGAACTAGAACATCTAGAGAAAATGGATAAATTCTTGGAAACACATAATCTCCCAAGATTGAATCAGGAATACACTGAAACTCTGAACTGGCCAGTATTGAATTCTGAAATTGAATCAGTAATAAAAAACCTGCCAACCAAAAAAACCCCTGAACCAGAGGGATTCACAGCCAAATTCTACCAGATATACAAAGAAGAGCCAGTACCAATTCTACTGAAACTATTCCAAAATATTGACAGAAAGAGAGAGAGCATCCTGCCTAACTCATTCTATGAAGCCAGCATTACCCTGATACCAAAATCTGGCAAAGACACAACAAAAAAGAAAACTTCAGGTCAATATCCCTGATAAACATAGATACAAAAATTCTCAACAAAATACTAGCAAACAGAATGCAGCAGCACATCAAAAAGTTAATTCGCTGGTGTTGCCTTTGCCTCTGAAATACAGTAATCATGCTTATGGGGCTTGTTTTCCTTCTGATGCTTGAGAATATAGGTGTTGACCTCTTCAGCTTCTGAATATTTTCTCCCTAAGATAAATCAGATTTACTTAAAAAAATAGTTAATACACAATGACAAAGTAGACTCCATCACTGGGATCCAAGGTTGGTTCAACATACACAAATCAATAAATGTGATTCACCAGATAAACAGAACTAAAGCAAAAAACCATAGGACCATCTTAATAGATGCAGAAAACGCTTTCAATAAAATCCAGCATTGCTTCATAATAAAAACTCTCAACAAACTAGGTATTAAAAGAAAACACCTCAAAATAGTAAGAACCATCTATGGCAAACCCATAGCCAATATCATAATAAATGGGCAAAAGCTGAAAGCATTCCCCTTAAGAATAGGACCAAGACAAGGATGGCCAGAAGTCTTAGCTAGAACAATCAGGCAAGAGAAAGAAATGAAAGGCATACGAACAGGAAAAAATATAAGCCAAATTATCTCTGTTCACTGACAACAAAATTCTATACCTAGAAAACCCTCAAGACTCCACAAACAGGCTCCTAGAACTAATAAACAAGTTCAGTAAAGTTTCAGGATACAAAACTCAATGTACAAGAATCAGTAGCATTTCTACACACCAATAACATTCAAGCTAAGAGCCAAATCAAGAACATTTCCATTTACAATAGCCACCCCCCAAACAAACCTTGGACTACATCTAACAAAAGAGGTGAAAGATCTTTACAAGGAGAACTACAACACTGTGCTGAAAGAAATCACAGGTGACACAAACAAATGGAAAAACATTCCATGCTCATGGATTGGAAGAATCAATATCGGTAAAATGACCATACTGCCTAGAGCATTCTACTTATTCAACACCATTCTTATCAAACTACCAGTGACATTTTTTACAGAATTAGAAGAAAACTATTCTAAATTTCATGTAGAACCAAAGAAAGGGTTCAAATAGCCAAAGCAACCCTAAGCAAAAAGTACAGAGCCAGAGGCATCAGACTACTCAACTTCAAACTAATCATCAGAGAAATGCAAATCAAACCTGCAATGAGATACCACCTCACACCAGTCAGAATGGCTTTTATGAGAAAGTCAAAAAATAACAGATGTTGGCAAGGCTGTGGAGAAAAGGGAATGCTTATGCACTGTTGGTGGGAATGTAAATTAGTTCAACCATTGTGGAAAGCAATTTGGAGATTTCACAAGAACTTAAAACAGAATTACCATTCAATCCAGCAATCCATTACTAGGTATGTACCTAAATATACACAGTGTATAAATACCCAAATGAAAAGAAATCATTCTACCAAGAAGACATCTGCACTCATATGTTCATCACAGCACTATTCATAACATCAAAGACATGGAATCAACCTAGGTGCCCACCAATGGTGGGCTGGATAAAGAAAATGTGGTACATATACACCATGAAATAATACACAGCAGTGAATAATTGCAGAACAGAAAACTCAATACTGCATGTTCTCGCTTATGAGTGGGGCTGGACATTGGGTACTCATGGACATAAAGATGGCAACAATAGACACTTGGGACTACTAGATGACGGAGAGAGGTGGGGGACAAGGGGTGAAAAGCTGCCTATTGGATACTGTGCTTACTACCTGGGTGATGGGATCATTTGTACCCCAAATCTTAGCATCATACAATATACCCATGTAACAAACCTGTACATGTACCTCCTGAATCTAAAATAAAAGTTGAAATTATAATTTTTTTCAAATGTGAGACTTAAGGCTCCTAGGAGTCAATTGTAAAACCCATCTGACTGTCCTTTGGACTAGACCATCTTAAAATTAAAATATGCCTCTGCCACTTGGGAAAAACATGAATAACAAGATCTATGAAGCCCAAAGCCTTAGTCTGGCCCTGGTCTTCACAGACACAAAGATGTATGCATGAACAGATTGTAGGACACCTAAGGAAAGAAGCCCTTTTCAGAGATTCTGCCAGGTGTAGCCGCTTAGGGGAAGAACAAAATATATAGCATCCCATGGTTCCTGAAATGGAGGGGTTTGGGGAAGAAGAAATGTCCTGAGAAGGGGCCAAGCACAAAAGACCCCCACAGTAGGATTTTGTCTCTTATCATATAATTCAGGACAACTCTGCCAGCAATGTGAACAATTACAAATCAGCCAGAAAGATAGCAGAATACAGAATGCAGCACCTACTGCCAGGCCATGATCTTTCCCTGGGGTGCAGCACCTACTCCAGACCAATTTTACCATTGACTTTAGCTACTAGGAGGTGAGAGAAAGCTGAAATTACAGAAATTCAATAATTTTTAAAAATATTTTTATTTATAAAGTATTTCAAATGATACATAAATAATATTGAAAGCGTAACGGAAACACATGTATGTACTCACCAACCAGAGTTAACGTATATTAACATTTTGCTATGTTTACAGAGGCTTTTTCTTTTCTTTACAGACACAGTTAAAGCCTAATCATAGCCCCCACCTTACTGCCCCACCTTCACCTTCCTGTCCTTCTACCTCACCAAGTTTACTGCAATCTTGAAGTTGGTATGTATCAATCCCAGGGATGATGGTCAATTTTAAGTAAATATGTAGAACTTCATTAAAATATATACAGTATATTTTTGCAGGATCCAAAATCAACATGTAAAAAATCAGTACTGTTTCTATACAATAAGATGAACTATCCAAAAAAATGTAAACACATTTACAAAAAATATAAAATACTTAGGAATAAATTAACCAAGGATGTGAAAGAACTGTACATTGAAAACTACGTATCATTGATAAAAGCAACACCAGACAAAAATAAATGAAAATGTATTAATATTGTTGAAATATCCATACCACTCAAAGCAACCTACAGATTTAGTGCAATACCTATCAAAATTCCAATGATATTTTTCACAAAAATAGAGGAAACAATTCTAAAAGTTGTATAGAACCGCAGAAGTTTCCAAATAGCCAAAACAATCTTGAGTAAAAAGAACAAAGCTGCAGGGAATTTTACTACCCAATTTCAAACTACATACAAAGCTATAGTAACCAAAACAGGATAGTATGGCAAAGAAAACAGACATACAGACCCAATGGAACAAAACAGAGCACTCAGAGATAAATGTATGCATTTAGAGCTAGTTAATTTTTTTAACTGATAAAAGACTTCAGTACAATTGATTTTCAACAAAGATGCCAAGAATACACAATGAGAAAAGGACAGCTTTTTCAATAAATGATGCTGAGAAAATTGGATATCCTCATCCAAAAGAATAATATTGGACCCTTATCTCATACTAGAAGCAAAAATCAACTCAAAATGGATTAAAAACTTAAACAGAAGACCTGAAACTGTAAAACAACTAGAGGTAAACTCAGGGAAAAGCTACATAACATTGGTCTGGCCAATTTTTAAGAAAAAATTGACCCCCAAATCTCAGGCAATGAAAGCAAAGATAGACAAATGGCTTACATCAAACTAAAAAGCTTCTGAACAGTAAAGGAAGCAAGGAACAGGGAGGGTAAAGAGATAACCTATAAAATGGGAGAAAATATTTGCAAACCATATGTCTGATAAGCCGTTAAGATCCAAATATATAAGGAACTCAAGCAACTCAAGAGCAGGAAAACAACCCAATTAAAAAGTCAGCAAAGGAGTAGGACAGGTATTTCTCAAAATGACATTCAAATGGCCAACAGGTATATGAAAAAATATTCAAAATCACTAATTATTAGGAAAATACAAATAAAAATCATAATGAAATATCACCTCACCTCTGTCAGAATGACTATCACTGATAAGACGAAAGATAGCAAGTGTGGGCAAGGCTGTGGAGAAAAGGGAACCCTTGTAGATGCTTAGTGGAGATGTAAATTAGTACAGCCACTATGGAAAACTGTATAGATATTCCTCATAAAGTTAAAAATAGAGCTACCATATGATCCAGCAACCCCACTTCTGAATATATATCCAAAAGATTTGAAATTAGCATGTTGAAGAGATGTATGAAAGACCATGTTCACTGCAGGATTATTCACAATAGCCAAGATATAGAATTAACCTAAAATTAACCTACGTGTTCATCAGCAGATGAATGGATAAAGAAAGTGTGGTATATATACACAGTGGAATACTCTTCAGCTTTTTAAAAGATGGAAACTATTATTTGCAACAATATGAATGAAAGTGGAGGACGTTAAGTGAAATAAGGCAGCCACAAAAAGATCACATGATCTCACTTATATGTGGAATCTAAAAAAGCTGAACTAATAAAAGCAGAGAGTAGAATGTTGGTTACTAGAGGCTTGAGGGAAGAATAGGGCAGTTTGGGGAGATGTTGCTCAAAGAATACAAAATTTCAGATAGGAGGAATAAGTTCTAAAGCTCTATTGCATAGCATGGTGACTACAGTTCATAACAATGCATTGTATTCTTGAAAGTCACTGAGAGTAAACTAAGTGTTCTTACCACAAAAAGTGACAATCATATAGATAATGCATACATTAATTTGCTCTATTTAGCCATTCCAAAATGTACACATATTTCAAAACATGTTGTAATAATATATGCAGTTTTTCAATTCAAAATAATTAAAATTAAATATGTAAGTAGTATATAAAGAGTACGGTTTTGTATACTTTTTAACTCATAGAAATTACATTCTATACTAGGATTTTTCAACCTTGGCATTATGAACATTAGGGGCTGTGTATTAGTTTATATTACTACCATAATTACTACAGGCTTAGTGGCTTGAAACACAAATCCATTGTCTTAATAGTTCTGGAGGTTAGAAGTTTGAAATGTGTCTTGGCTGACATCAATGTGTCAGTAGGGCTGGCTCCTTCTGCAGGCTCTAGGAGATAATCCATTTCCTTGCCTCTTCCAGATTCTAGAAGCTATCCACATTCCTTAGCTTGCGGCCCCTCAACACATGACCTTTTCTCCCTCTGTTCCATCATCAAGTCACCTTCTTCCTTCTTTGACCTTCTTATTGCCCTCTTATAAGAACTTTGTGACTATACTTACTTATGGCCCACCAGGATGATCTAGAATATCCCTATATCAAGATCCTGGACTTCATCACATCTCTAAACCCCCTTTTACCATCAAAGTATTAAAAAAAAAAACTTTAGATACAGTAAGTTTAACACAGTTAACTTTGAGCAAATAATAATTCATGAGTCAGGCAGGATTCAGACGGTGAAGAGGTACAGAAAGCTCCACCCAGCAGTGTGAGCAACATCTTCTGTGAATCAAAAATGGAGACAAAGTAGAAAAATCACCTGATTAGCTACCACAAGGCCTCTGCCTTATTTGGGCATGCTGTGATCAGCTGGCTGCCTGTGACTGGCTGAAGCTCTGCTATTTGTTACAAAATATATACTTCAGCAGTTTATTGTATGCAGTAAGTCCCCAGTTAATATCATTGATAGGTTCTTGGAAGAACCTGAGGCTTTAACTGATATGATATATAGCGGAAATAACATTATCTCATTCAACATCATTTCTTTATAACACTAACGAGAAAAAAATTTGGTGTCATATGTCATTTGGCTTAAAGTCAATTTCCAAGAACCTACCAATGACATTAAGTGAGGACTTACTATATTTGCTCTTAGATGTCTTAAAATATTTTGTTATTCTTAATGATATTTCTAATTGCACTCTCTAATTGTTCCTTCTGTATAGGAATTCTTTTTTTTATTTTATTTTATTATTATTATACTTTAAGTTTTAGGGTACATGTGCACAATATGCAGGTTAGTTACATATGTATACATGTGTTATGCTGGTGTGCTGCACCCATTAACTCGTCATTTAGCATTAGGTATATCTCCTAAAGCTATCCCTCCCCCCTCTCCACACCCCACAACAGTCCCCAGAGTGTGATGTTCCCCTTCCTGTGTCCATGTGTTCTCATTGTTCAATTCCCACCTATGAGTGAGAATATGCGGTGTTTGGTTTTTTGTTCTTGCAATAGTTTACTGAGAATGATGATTTCCAATTTCATCCATGTCCCTACAAAGGACATGGACTCATCATTTTTTATGGCTGCATAGTATTCCATGGTGTATATGTGCCACATTTTCTTAATCCAGTCTATCATTGTTGGACATTTGGGTTGGTTCCAAGTCTTTGCTATTGTGAATAGTGCCGCAATAAACATACGTGTGCATGTGTCTTTATAGCAGCATGATTTATAGTCCTTTGGGTATATACCAAGTAATGGGATGGCTGGGTCAAATGGTATTTCCAGTTCTAGATCCCTGAGGAATTGCCACACTGATTTCCACAATGGTTGAACTAGTTTACAGTCCCACCAACAGTGTAAAAGTGTTCCTGTTTCTCCACATCCTCTCCAGCACCTGTTGCTTCCTGACTTTTTAATGATTGCCATTCTAACTGGTGTGAGATGGTATCTCATTGTGGTTTGGATTTGCATTTCTCTGATGGCCAGTGATGGTGAGCATTTTTTCATGTGTTTTTTGGCTGCATAAATGTCTTCTTTTGAGAAATGTCTGTTCATGTCCTTTGACCACTTTTTGATGGGTTTGTTTGTTTGTTTCTTGTGAATTTGTTTGAGTTCATTGTAGATTCTGGATATTAGCCCTTTGTCAGATGAGTAGGTTGCGAAAATTTTCTCCCATTTTGTAGGTTGCCTGTTCACTCTGATGGTAGTTTCTTTTGCTGTGCAGAAGCTCTTTAGTTTAATTAGATCCCATTTGTCAATTTTGGCTTTTGTTGCCATTGCTTTTGGTGTTTTAGACATGAAGTCCTTGCCCATGCCTATGTCCTGAATGGTAATGCCTAGGTTTTCTTCTAGGGTTTTTATGGTTTTAGGTCTAACATTTAAGTCTTTAATCCATCTTGAATTAATTTTTGTATAAGGTGTAAGGAAGGGACACAGTTTCAGCTTTCTACATATGGCTAGCCAGTTTTCCCAGCACCATTTATTAAATAGGGAATCCTTTCCCCATTGCTTGTTTTTCTCAGGTTTGTCAAAGATCAGATAGTTGTAGATATGCGGCGTTATTTCTGAGGGCTCTGTTCTGTTCCATTGATCTATATCTCTGTTTTGGTACCAGTACCATGCTGTTTTGGTTACTGTAGCCTTGTAGTATAGTTTGAAGTCAGGTAGCGTGATGCCTCCAGCGGACCTAATAGACGTCTACAGAACTCTCCACCCCAAATCAACAGAATATACATTTTTTTCAGCACCACACCACACCTATTCCAAAATTGACCACATACTTGGAAGTAAAGCTCTCCTCAGCAAATGTAAAAGATCAGAAATTATAACAAACTGTCTCTCAGACCACAGTGCAATCAAACTAGAACTCAGGATTCAGAAACTCACTCAAAACCACTCAACTACATGGAAACTGAACAACCTGCTCCTGAATGACTACTGGGTACATAACGAAATGAAGGCAGAAATAAAGATGTTCTTTGAAACCAACGAGAACAAAGACACAACATACCAGAATCTCTGGGACGCATTCAAAGCAGTGTGTAGAGGGAAATTTATAGCACTAAATGACCATAAGAGAAAGCAGGAAAGATCCAAAATTGACACCCTAACATCACAATTAAAAGAACTAGAAAAGCAAGAGCAAACACATTCAAAAGCTAGCAGAAGGCAAGAAATAACTAAAATCAGAGCAGAACTGAAGGAAATAGAGACACAAAAAATCCTTCAAAAAATTAATGAATCCAGGAGCTGGTTTTTTGAAAGGATCAACAAAACTGATAGACCGCTAGCAAGACTAATAAAGAAGAAAAGAGAGAAGAATCAAATAGACGCAATAAAAAATGATAAAGGGGATATCGCCACCGATCCCACAGAAATACAAACTACCATCAGAGAATACTATAAACACCTCTATGCAAATAAACTAGAAAATCTAGAAGAAATGGATAAATTCCTCAACACATACACCCTCCCAAGACTAAACCAGGAAGAAGTTGACTCTCTGAATAGACCAATAACAGGCTCTGAAATTGTGGCAATAATCAATAGCTTACCAACCAAAAAGAGTCCAGGACCAGATGCATTCACAGCCCAATTCTACCAGAGGTACAAGGAGGAACTGGTACCATTCCTTCTGAAACTATTCCAATCAATAGAAAAAGAGGGAATCCTCCCGAACTCATTTTATGAGGCCAGCATCATCCTGATACCAAAGCCGGGCAGAGACACAACCAAAAAAGAGAATTTTAGACCAATATCCTTGATGAACATTGATGCAAAAATCCTCAATAAAATACTGGCAAACCGAATCCAGCAGCCCATCAAAAAGCTTATCCACCATGATCAAGTGGGCTTCATCCCTGGGATGCAAGACTGGTTCAATATACACAAATCAATAAATGTAATCCAGCATATAAACAGAACCAAAGACAAAAAACACATGATTATCTCAATAGATGCAGAAAAGGCCTTTGACAAAATTCAACAACGCTTCATGCTAAAAACTCTCAATAAATTAGGTATTAATGGGACATATCTCAAAATAATAAGAGCTATCTATGACAAACCCACAGCCAATATCATACTGAATGGGCAAAAACTGGAAGCATTCCCTGTGAAAACTGGCACAAGACAGGGATGCCCTCTCTCACCACTCCTATTCAACATAGTGTTGGAAGTTCTGGCCAGGGCAATGAGGCAGGAGAAGGAAATAAAGGGTATTCAATTAGGAAAAGAGGAAGTCAAATTGTCCCTGTTTGCAGATGACATGATTGTGTATCTAGAAAACCCCATTGTCTCAGCCCAAAATCTCCTTAAACTGATAAGCAACTTCAGCAAAGTCTCAGGATACAAAATCAATGTACAAAAATCACAAGCATTCTTATACACCAATAACAGACACAGAGCCAAATCATGAGTGAACTCCCATTCACAATTGCTTCAAAGAGAATAAAATACCTAGGAATCCAACTTACAAGGGACGTGAAGGACCTCTTCAAGGAGAACTATAAACCATTGCTCTACGAAATAAAAGAGGATACAAACAAATGGAAGAACATTCCATGCTAATGGGTAGGAAGAATCAATATCATGAAAATGGCCATACTGCCCAAGGTGATTTACAGATTCAATGCCATCCCCATCAAGCTACCAATGACTTTCTTCACAGAATTGGAAAAAACTACTTTAAAGTTCATATGGAACCAAAAAAGAGCCCGCATCGCCAAGTCAATCCTAAGCCAAAAGAACAAAGCTGGAGGCATCACGCTACCTGTATAGGAGTTCTATTCATGTCTTTAAATGAATATTGTATCTAGCAGCCTTGTGGAACTCCCTGAATAGTTTGAATAGTTTGATTCACATGAGTTTTTCTTGATAAACAATATTATTACCTGCAAATAATGATATATGTTTTTTTCCTTTTCTATTCTCATGCTTTGTCTTATCATGCTAAGATCTCCTGTGCTACACTGAGGGGAGTTGTTGACAGTTGGAATCCTTGACTTGTCCTGGCTTTGAATATGTTGCTTTTGTTGTGTCATGATTAAACATAATATTTTCTACAGCCTTTTAAATTACCATTTATCAGATTAAGAAAGTTTGCTAAGAGATGTTACTAAATGTTGTATGTAACTAAACATGTGTCTTGCATTTCTTGGTAGATACAATTTTTAAGATGTTAATGAGGTAAATTACACTGATTTTCATTTTAAGACAGACTTTTATTGAAGTTATAGATTAACATGTTTTAAAGAATCAAATGACTATTTGTTATGAAACACAGCAGGCTCCTCATCATTTCCTCATCCACAAAGGCAATAATTTTTATATATTTTAACTGATTATTTCAGTACCTATTTTTAAATAACATCCTTGCATTGCTGCTTCTTGATTTTTCACTTTTAATCTTCTATTAACTTTCCTCTGTATGACCAGCTCTGGCTCCTAGCTCCCATCACACTCATTCTCTCCTGTCCCTCTATCATCCTAATAGAGCTATATGTTTAGATTACTTAAATATTCTGTGTTTATATGTACACAAACACTATTCATAACTAAACCATGTAGCAAACTATGATTATTTTTCTTTTGCTAACAACTTTGTTTTCTCAGCATATACTGTCTCGTTTTTATTTGCTAAGTTTTCTATCAATTTATAATTAATTCAAGAACAAACTCTTCACTGTCTAAAATGTATTTTGAGATGATCAGATATATGAGAATATCAGCTATTCCATCAAATTTACCTTCCTGAAGAAGTCTTTCCAAGATCCTCTAACTGCTCCAATCTGGATGGTTGCCCAGCACGCCTGATGCACAGCTATGATCTTAGAATCATCTTTGCTGTCATCCCAGATATTTCCTTTGCATTTCTTCTAAGATAAATCTCGTATATCCTGTATCTTATACCTTTACTCTTTTGTTTTCATTCTATGCCTTCGTTCTTTGGTTTATTCTTCATTTCTTGAAGCACATTTTCCAGCAAATTCCAGAGAAGGAACATATGGCAAAATAATAACATGGCTGAGCATAAAAATCTGGGAGGGAAAATATTTTTCTTCAGAATTTTGAAACATGCCATTTTTTTCTACCTTTTAATGTTTATGTTGAAAAACCAGAAGCCAGTGCTTTCTGATCTTTTGTACTAGATCTTAGTTTTTTTTCTTTCTATAACCTTGATAATCATCAGTCTGGCCCCACTGTACTGAAATTCTAAAGTCATTTGTGTTGGTTGGTATGGGTCTCTTTATATCTGTTGTACTTACTGATCTCTCTGGTGCTTTGAAGCTCATGTCCTTCAGTTTGAGAGAATTGTTTAATCTTTTGGTTGATAATATTAATCCACTTTTTCCTTCCTTTTCTAGACTTCTACCATTTGGATGTTGTACTGGTCTTCTAATTTCTTATCTTTTACTTTTTAATATTTACCTTTATTATACTTTAAGTTCTGGGATATGTGCACAGAATGTGCAGGTTTGTTACATAGGTATACACGTGCCATGGTGGTTTGCTGTACCTATCAACCCATCATCTACATTACGTATTTCTCCTAATGCTACCCCTCCCCTAGCCCTCCACCCTGACAGGCCCCAGTGTGTGATGTTCCCCTCCCTGTGTCCATGTGTTCTCATTGTTCAACTTCCACTTATGAGTGAGAACATGAGGTGTTTGGTTTTCTGTTCCTGTGTTAGTTTGCTGAAAATGATGGTTTCCAGCTTTATCCATGTCCCTGCAAAGGACATGAACTTGTCCTTTTTTATGGCTGCATAGTATTCCACAGGGTATATGTGCCACATTTTCTTTATCCAGTCCATCATTGATGGGCATTTGGGTTGGTTCCAAGTCTTTGCTATTGTGAGTAGTGCTGCAATAAACATATGTGTGCATGTGTCTTTAGAGCAGAATGATTTATAATCCTTTAGGTATATACCCAGTAATGGGATTGCTGGATCAAATGGTATTTCTGGTTCTAGATCCTTGAGGAATTGCCACACTGTCTTCCACATGGTTGAACTAATTTACACTCCCATCAACAGTGTACAAACGTTCCTATTTTTCCACATCCTCTCCAGCACCTGTTGTTTCCTGACTTTAAAGATCACCATTCTAACTGGAGTGAGATGGTAACTCATTGTGGTTTTGATTTGCATTTCTCTAATTACCAGTGATGAGCTTTTTTTTCATGTGTTTGTTCGCTGCATAAATGTCTTTTTTTTTTTAGAAGAGTCTGTTCATATCCTTCACCCACTTTTTGATGGAGTTGTTTTTTTCTTGTAAATTTTTTTAAGTTCCTGGTAGATTCTGGATATTAGCCCTTTGTCAGATGGATAGATTGCAAAAATTTTCTCCCATTCTGTAGGTTACCTGTCCACTCTGATGACAGTTTCTTTCGCTGTGCAGAAACTCTTTAGTTTAATTAGATCCTATATGTCCATTTTGGCTTTTGTCGCCATCGCTTTTGGTGTTTTAGTTATGAATTCTTTGCCTATGCCTATGTCTTGAGTGGTATTTCCTAGGTTTCCTTCTAGGGTTTTTATGGTTTTACGTCTTAGATTTAAGTCTTTAATCCATCCTGAGTTAATTTTTGTATAAGGTATAAGGAAGGGGTCCAATTTCAGTTTTCTGCATATGACTAGCCAGTTTTCCCAACACCATTTATTAAATAGGGAATCCTTTCCCCATTGCTTGTTTTTGTCAGGTTTGTCAAAGATCAAATGGTTGTAGATGTGTGGCATTATTTCTGATACCTCTGTCCTGTTCCATTAGTCTATATATCTGTTTTGGTATCAATACCATGCTGTTTTGATTACTGTAGCCTTGTAGTACAGTTTGAAGTCAGGTAACACGATACCTCCAGCTTTGATCTTTTTGCTTAGGATTGTCTTAGCTATACAGGCCCTTTTTTGGTTCCATATGAAATTTAAAGTAGTTTTTTCTAATTATGTGAAGAAAGTCAATGGTGGCTTGATGGGGATAGCATTGAATCTGTAAATTAGTTTGGGCAGTATCTCCATTTTCACGATATTGATTTTTCCTGACAGATTGTCTTAATATTCTATATTGATCTAATTTTTAGAACAGAATTCTATATATGTGCATTTGATTGATTTTATAATTACTTTGTTCTATCTTTTCTTATTAATTTCTGCATGCTTAATCTACCAACTGCTGAGAGCAACACAGTCATGAAAATCTCTTTTCATGACTTAAGACTTGATAATACCTTTGTAAAATTCTGTCAATTTTTAATGTATACTGAGCCTATGTTTTGAAGTGTTAACAGAATCTAATGAATTGTTATGTTATGTAATGATTCTGTACTTAGTAAGGATAATATATATAGCTACACTTATTTTTTCCTAGTCAATATTAGACTGACATATTGTTTCCTTTCTTCTACTTGCAACCTGTATCATTAGGCTTTAGGTGTTTCTCTTTGAAATAACATATAGGTAGGTTTTGCTTTTCTTCAATCAGAAAATCTCTACTTTGGTAAAAATTGTGATTTATATTTTTGTTACTTTAGATATATTTAGATTATTTTGTGCTTTTAATTTGTCATGTCTTTTCATATGTGTTATCCTTCCATGCCTTGTGTCAAATAGTCAAGTTTTATTTATTTGTTTTTTACTCCTTCCCCTACCATTACACAGTGGAATTCTTGCTATTAAGAATTGTCCCAGAAGGAAGCCTCTTAAAGAATGAAGTTTCTGTACTGGCTGAAATGACCAATTCTAACAATCATGGGGAACTTGGGTTGCTCTCTACACAATGGGGAAATGGAGTCTACGCCTGTAATCTAGGAGCTCCTCTAAGAAGCCTCTTAATACATCTATGTCCAATAGAATAGCAACTTTAAAGAGTTTTATTTTAAAGTCAATACCATTGAGGATTAAGCTATTTTTGAAATACTCAGTTAACCCAGCCAGTTAAAAAAAATCTAACCAGTGTCTCCTCCATTCTACCTATAGTCTTCTCAAACTCACTTAAAAGTTATAGAATAGAGAATATACATAATATATATATATATAACTCATATCTCTGACCTCTCTTCATTTCATTGTGCTAAAGCTAAGGTATTCTCTTTATATATGTCTTCTAATATATAAATTCTATCTTCAGCTGTGTCTAAATGGATATTTAACTTCTCTATTGAATTTTAACTTTAAATTCCCCATTTTTTTTTTCATTTCTAAAAGTTCAATATTATTTCCTTTTTTAAAACCTGCCCTGATATTATCTCACCTGTTTTTTTCTTATATTTCTTGGTCCTTCTCTTTTCTTTGTTACTCATTTAAAAGATACTAATTTTATAGCTTTTGATTATTGCTTAATCTCAGAATTTGGCATGCTAAACTTTTTTCTGCTAACTCTAATTCATAAGATTGTTCTTAATATTTTTAGGGTAAGTTTATTTTAACTGGGAATATTTTTTCCAGTGGCCTGGATTATGGGAAATTCTCTCTAAGCATGTTTGCATTTATTTCTTGCTGGTATTGTAGGGATATCACCAGCCTGGGGACTACTAATTTATCAGTTTGGTAATATGGAAAAGCATAGGTTTAACCCAAGTATGGCACACATTTTGGGTCTAATATGCCTCTCCTACACCATTAAATATAATGCACTTTACTTTTGGATGTGAACTAGTCACACCGTAAAACTCCAATTTTCACCTAATTGTTTCAGTGACACTCTTTTGCCAATTGCCAGAGCAAAGTCCACTCGAACTCTAGTGTATGAGAAGATATATAAACAAATGAACAATAGAAAGTAGTTGATATTACTACGGAAGTATTCATTTTCAAATAGCTATTTTACCATGATCAAAGTGGGAGTTAGTTATAGTATATTAGGAAGGGAGAAGAGCAAATCCAAAGGCACAGAAGAATGCAAGCCTGGCATTTTCAGAAACAGGAAAGAGTGCTAGAAGTTGGAAGACAAAAGATGTGATTGATATGGGGAGACTTATAGATAAGGATGGACTAGTTGACTACAGTGATCTTATGAAAGCCTCTTATCCATAGAAGAGTTATTGAAGTTGTGATTAGTTTATATATCTTGTTTTCATGGAAACATGAATAATTACACATAGATGCTATTTTTGATAAACTAAATCATTTTAAACCTGGATTACATATATAATTAATAGGCTTTTGTAGTAAAAGTTGGCGATTTCTGGATTAATACTAGCTCTTCGTTAGGTTCTTGAGGAGGAGGAGGAGCAGCTAAGCAGGATATTTCTATTGGTCACTGCCCAAGGAAAGGGTTAAAGAGGAGGATGGGGGCTAAACCCAGCCTTGTCAGTATGAAGACAGAGCATAAAACAGGAGGGAATAAAACTTTTTTTTTTTTTTTTTTTGAGACTGAGTCTCTCTCTGTCGCCAGGCTGGAGTGCAGTGGCGTGAGGGAATAAAACACTTTCTAAGGTATATTGCCAGCTATGCTTTTCAGAGTATGAGAGAATTGAGAAATTCCTGTGCTTTCAAAGAATGGACAATGAACATATACACATACTTGAGTTGTAAATTATATAAATCTGATACCTTTTTCCTAAGGAATATCCTGATTTTATACACAATAGGCAGAATAAAAATAGAATGAACACTATTCTGTGACAATGTGAACCCATGGTTTCCTAATCTGGCTTTACTCTCAAAATTATCTAGAGCATTTTTTAAAATGTAAATGCCTAGAACCTACCATAGAAACTAGAGTTCCTTATCCTTTTCTTTATGTTCTCCATGTGATTCTTGTGCAACTAGCCCAGACTGAGTCAGCAGACCAGGAAAAATACAGATATGATGCTCTGTGATTATACTCTAACTTTTGCACTCTCTTTAAGTTTTTTTAATTAGTTATCTTTATCTGTAAATGCTGTCTGTTTTTAAAAATATTTTAGAAATAGCTATTCACTTATTCTTCCAGAGATTAAAAGTGATTACATTAAATTTTTTCAAAATTTTTGCCTCATTTTTCCTCATTGTAAATATTTTATGTGATAATAAAGATAGAATTCTAAGCCAGTAAAGATTATTAATCAATGGTTTGTGACATTAGGTAGCCATCTGGAAAAAAAGTAAATTAGATTTATTCCTCATACCTTACTCCAAAATAGATTTCAGAATTATCAACATTGTAAACCTTAAAAATTAAATAAAACATACTAAATATCTTTAAATCTCTGAATTGGAAGAAAGATTTTTAAGTATAATAGAAAACCTAGAAGCCATAAAAGATAATAACTGATAAATTTGAAAACAAAACTGAATATGCTACATGGTACAAAAAAAGTCATTTTTAAAATCTTAAAAGATAAATCACAAATTGGAAAAAGATATTTGCAACTCATCACAGAAAAGGGGCATCTATATTTACAACTAGCTATTTAGATGGATACATAGATATAGAGACAGAGATGTATAAGTAGGCTTAATATAAAGAGTTCTTAACATCAATAAGATAGACAAAAAAAAAATCAAGTAAAAAAATGACCAAAATGTAACAATAGTTCTCACAGAAAAAGAAACAAAAGCCTTTTAAAAGTATGACAAGATGCTAAACTTCATTATATATAAATACATATAATCATATGAATGCAAATAAACAGATATAAACTTTAACCCCTCAAAATTGAAAGATCAGAGTTTGATAACAGATAGTATTTATAAGAGTGTAGGGAAACTGAATCCTTCACACACTCTTTGTAAGAGTATAAAATGGTACAACCTCCATGGAGGAAAATTTAGCAGTATCTACAAGAACATTTTTTCTTTTTTTTTTTTTTTGAGATGGAGTTTTGCTCTTGTTGCCCAGGCTAGAGTACAATGGCAACCTCGACTCACCGCAACCTCCACCTGCCGGGTTCCAGTGATTCTCCTGCCTCAGCCTCCCAAGTTGCTGGGATTACAGGAATGCACCACCACTTCCAGCTAATTTTGTATTTTTAGTAGAGACCGGGTTTCTCCATGTTGGTCAGGCCGGTCTTGAACTCCCAACCTCAGGTGATATGCCTGCCTTAGCCTCCCAAAATGCTGGGATTACAGGCATGAGCCACTGCACCTGGCCAGAACTTTTAAAATATAGATGGAGACTCAGATTTCACATCCAAGAAATTACGCTACAGCTATAGTCACAAATGTGCAAGATTACATATGTACATACTAGAATATTCACTACATCATTAACAAAAATTAGAAGCAACTGAAATACTCAAGAGGGAATTTGATAATACAATGCTGCCTTTACAAAGAACAAGACAGTCTTGAGATAGAGAAAAATGTACCAATTATAGAGAAAAATGTACCAATTATGTTTTTAAAAATTACACTATATATAGTTTTTATTGTCATCTTTTGTATATTTTGAATTTTGTAGCGTGTGGATATATGACTTACTCTAAAACTTTCAGATGCAAAGTTATGGCATTTCTGTCAAACATATGCAGTGGGATGGTAAATGAAAAGCAATACTATAAAAATTATAATGATGTTATAGTGATCAGATTATGAAGTTTTACTTTGAAAAATTTTAATACTTTATGTACTTACAATAAGAAAATAAAGTGAGGAATTATAAACTTTAAAAAAATATATGTTCTTGCTCATTATAGATGGGTTGTAAAATCATGAATAGTAGAGAAAGAAAAAGAAAAAAAATACATTCATGACAATTTTCCCTCCTGTAATATATAATCATTATTAGCATGGTTTGATGTTTTTCTATTTCTATATGTACTTGCCTGCTTGTGATTGTGTGTATGGTATGTTAAAATCAATATACATAGACATGTACATATATATTGTTGAAGGCAATGTGGCAGTATGTTCTTTATACTGGTTTTTAAAGTTAGTTTGAAGGATTTAAATGATAGAACTATAAATTAAAATATAATACAAAAATTAAAATGAAGGCTCTGAACAATATTTGTGTGTTTACTATTTATATTTATTTGGGGGAGTTAATTAGCCTAATATTAGTAGATATGTACTCCAACTGTAAACCTTAAAGAATACTCCTTTGACCAATAATACATTTGCAGTTCCTTAAAAGCAATAGCAGAATCTTGAACAATGGGCTCTTGAGAAATAAGTTAAATGTTAATAATATATTACTACCACTAAGAATGCATACTTTTAATAATCTAGTTCTTGTCCTAAACCACCTACTAATAGTAATCTTGTGAAATAAGTACTATAAGGAATTAACGGGCACTTCACATTGCAACCATCAGCAGGGTAATGGTTAATTTAGAAGTATTGAATTAAACTTTTCTCATTTTATAGTTACATTTTAGGAATAGGATCAAAACTGTTTTAGTGCTTTGTGATACTATAGAGAAGAAATCAATTATACTACAAATTATTTATTGGATTTTTGTTTTATTTGTATCTATCAAAAAATGCAAACCAAAAAGTAGAAAATAATATAGAGAGTACTTTATAATTCCATAATTCCATTATAACTTCTGGGAAGGCACTGTTTCAACATATGAATTCTATTTTCACACTGAATTAAAGATTAATGTGTTTCCCTTAATATTAGGTTTTATTAACTTGATAAAGAAATAAAGTGTTTTTTCCATCTTGAAAAGCTGGCGACCAATGTTGTTGCAAAATGTGATGTTAAAGATTTTATGTAAAATTTATAGACTGAAGTCTTGACTTGTAAAGCTTTTTAGAAGTCCCTGATGTTGTTATTCTTAATTCCAGACTTTCCATTTTTACATATGCCATTTCCCCCTTATCTTTCATGCCCTTTAGACATTCAAAATCCGACTTTAAGATTCACACCTTCCAATCAGTCCTCCCTGTTACAGTTCTTCCATCCTAACTCCATTTGCGGGTGTCGGTTTCCGCCTTTCTGAACTGAAAAACCCTCGATTAGGAATAATATCATGCCTTGTCATGTTTTTACATCCTTTTTTATAATACCTACTTCATCGATCTGCACGCAGTAGGCACTTAATGAATGTATTTAGTGATAGGTTCAAGGATCCTACAGATACTTGAGTTAGTAACAGCCATGTGAATTGCCACATGGTAGACTTTAATATCACTTTCCTCTTTGTAGGGAGATGGAAGTGGGTGTTAAAGAAACCCAGCTAAGTGTTCAATCTACTTTATCATAATTCCCCTTAACAACTGTGTTCCAGGTCCAAAATTGTTTGATTCTCACCAAGATCTTATTTAGAAAAGCTGTAAAGCTCAACCCTACTTTATCAAGCCATATTGTCCTCTTCCATCGTGACTTTTTTTCTCTGACACAGAAAGAACAGAGTACTCCAGGATAAGCTATCTACATTAACAAGTTAACCCCTAAACCTCAGTGACTTAGCACAACAAATGTTTATTTCTCACTCATGCTGTGTCCACATGGGTTGAGGAATGGGCTGGCTCTGCTTACATATGTAGACAAAGGGAATCTCCACTTTGTCAACACTGTGCAGGGAAAGAGGGAGCTGGAGAGTCTCACATTATGCCCAGAAACGAACAGCTTTCCTGCACCTCTACCTAAGGGCCGAAAGTTGCTCATGGCCCTACCTAATGCAAAGGGACTGGGAAATGAGCAGCACACGCATATTCAGTGAACAGCAACCATCTCCCCCATAAGGATAAATACCTCATTCATCCTAATTCTGCCTGGCAGTGTCACTGTAGAATCTTGGCCATCATGTGTGCCACTTATCTTTACAATCATTCCCAAGTGAGTCCTAAATTTTAAAGATGCCAAATGACTAGTTTGTGTTCTTCAATCCTCAGTTCTCAATTAGACACACTGTTACCAGACACACCTGTTTTAATGTTTTCTTTTGTATACTTCACATCTTGACTAGACAATAAACTTGACTCATTCATTTTTCCTTTTCCTTTCAGAAACATTATGTCTTTTTTGCTCTAATAGCCTGTGTCTTCCAGATCCTTTGAGAAGTATCACAATCATAACCAACTCAGAGAAAAAAAAAAACAAACCCTTCTTGCCCTTTGCTTTTCATCTTCCTATCAGGATGTTGTTTTTAACTGGGTTCTGACTTACCTTCTTTGGTCTCTTTCCTTTTCTTATTCTGTAATAGGATTTGACACAGCATGGACTCTTCTTTCCCTTTGCTAATCATCTCCCTCCATCCCTTTAATGCATCAATTCCTAACTGTGGATACACATTAGAATCACCTGGCCACCTTTTTTTTTTTTTTTAAAAAAAAAAAGACAGGTCTCACTCCATCACCCAGGCTGAAGTGCAGTGGCGTAATCTCAGCTCACTGCAACCTGCGCCTCGCGGATTCAAGCAATTCTTCTGTCTCAGCCTCCTGAGTAGCTGGGACTACAGGCAACTGCCACCATGCCTGGCTAATTTTTGTATTTTTAGTAGAGACGGGGTTTCACCTTGTTGGTCAGGCTGTTCTCAAACTCCTGACCTCAGGTTATCCACCCGCCTTGGCTTCTCACATTGCTGGGATTACAGGCATGAGCCACCGCGCCCCACCTGGCCAGCTTTTAAAAATGACTCATGCTCCAGGTTCTGGGGCCCAAAAAAGGGAGCCTAGGTGTCTGCCCTAGAATGTAGGAAGAGTTTTAGAAAAGGCTGTGCCAAGGAAGTGCCACTGGAGACAAATCTTTAAGATGAGTAGGAGTTGACCAGGTAAAGAAGGGAACTATCTCAGGTAGTGATAATATCAGATGAGCTCCCCCAGAGCAGGGCTATGGCAGTAGGATCTGTGTGTTGAGAAATGATCCCACTGGAGCGTACACAAGACACAGAATGGAGAGAAAAGACAGTAGGTCTGCACAGCAGAGAGGGAATTGATAGGATAGCCTTGGCAAGAGGTGGGCACAACCTCCCTCTATCACCATATTTATTCAAAAATAATTGCTTATTTGTGTGTCCACATATGCATAAATTATCTCAGCTTGAGATGTGTTCAGCTTTAAGTAGCACAATCACCTAAATGACCATAGCTTAAACAAATAAAGGTTTATTTTTATCATACACACAAACATGCAATTTTAATGCTTGGATTTCACTTAAACCAATTAGCATCTCTAGGGTTTCCCACAGCAGTCATCTGCTCACCGATGTACTCCCAATTTGTTTTGCTTTCTTCTCTCTCTCATTCCCCCACTCCTTCATAGCCCTTTTGCGATCACTCCCAAATACAGTTGGCCCTTAAACAACACAAGTTTGACCTTCACAGGTCTATGTATATGTGGATTTTCATCCACCTCTGCCTCTCTTGAGACAACATGACCAACTCCTCCTCCTCCTCCTCCTCAGCCTACTCAATGTGAAAAACACATAGATGAAGGCCTTTATGATGATCCACTTCCACTTAATCAATAGTAAAGTATATTTTTTCTTCCTTATGATTTCCTTAATGACACTTTCTTTTATCTAGCTTAGTTGATTGTAAGAATACAGTATATAATACATATAACACACAAAATATGTGTTAATCACTGGTTTACATTATGGGTAAGGCTTCCAGTAAACAGTTGGCTCTTAGTATTTAAGTTTTCAGGGAGTCAAAAGTCATATACAAATTTTTGACTACACAGGGGGCTGTTGTCCCCAACCCTTATGTTGTTCAAGGGTCAACTATAAATCATTTGGACCTAAATCTTTGTTATATTATCTGCTTTGAAAAACGGGAATAATAGTGCCTATCACATATGATTGCTGGAAGGATTAAGTGAGCTGATATATGTGAAACATGTGTTACCTGTACCTTCTCTTCCCTCCTCCTAGCGAGCTCCAGTCCACACTCCAGCAGGGCTGGCTTCTACCTTTTACCTCAGCTTAAACATCCCCTCCTCAAAGAAGCTTTTCTGTGACCTGAAGTCCACTCTTGTTTTCTCTCACACTATTGATTGTTTTTCTTTCTTAATACTCAATACTTGTAATCACGTGTGCTTGTTTGCTTGTTTTTTAAATCTGTCTCCTCCCATTGGAATGAAAGCTTGAATAACAGAAAATAGGTACACTGACTTGTTCACTACAAGTTACTAGTGTTCACTAGTTTACTGTTGTCTGACCCATCATAGGGGCCCAATGCAGAATTGTTGAGTAAATGCCATCTAGATATATGGCTTTACTATACTACACATCCTATAACTTTTCTAAAACTCCAGGTAAAGAACAAATTAGGAAAAATTAGAAGTTAGTAACCTATTGTGGCAGGCAGAATAATGGCACCAAAAAAAACAATGTTCATGCCTTAATCCCTGGAAGCTGTTAATATTTTACTTTACAGAGCAAAAAATAAAAATTAAAAAATTAAAAAAGCATTGCACATATAACAGATCTTAAAGTAGGGAAATTATCCTGGATTACCCCAGTGGGCCCAATCTAATCAAGTGAGCCCTTAAAAGCCAAGAATGTTCTCTAGCTCATTACAAAAGAGGTCACCAAAAGAAGATGGAGAAGAGGAGCCAAAGAGATTCCAAGTATGAGAAGATTCTATCATACTTGCTGGAGTGGGGCCACATAGAAAACAGGCAAACTCTGCCAGCTCTGAATGCAGACAGCAAGGAAACAGGGACCTCAGTCCTACAACTACCAGAAACTACATTTGGTCAACCACTTGGATGAGCTTGGAAATGAACTCATTCCTGGAGCTTTCAGAAAGGAAAGCTTTGCTGACACCTTGAGTTCTGCCTTGTGAAACTCTAAGCAGAAAACACAGGCCATGCTCTGAGTTTGCTGAGCTGTGAGATAATAGGTATTGTTCTAACCTGCTAGGTTTGTGAAAATTCGTTATGGAAGTAACAGAAAACTGCATCATCTAACCCTAAAACTCTCTTGGTGAGTTATGTCTAAAAGAGAAAGAGAACTGAAAGTCCATTATTCCAGAGTAGTAACAGATCCAAGGGAATGTCTGCAGTAAGTAAAGATACAGTCCTCAATAAAGATTCTTTAACTCCAGAAGACAATGTGTTTCTGGAAACCAAGAATGAATACTATTTCCTGTGCCTATGTGTTTTCTCATAGACACTGTCACTTAGGGTACAAAGAGGTGGTCATCCTGAGGTGATGTACAAGACGCAAATCTATCAAGACACTCAGCAACATTTAATGTTCTTCCTGCCTGGTTAGTGACTGCTAATTAGGAAGAGATCAACACTAATTAATGCCATAGTAAATATAAGATGTTGACAACAATGAGAGGTACCTTAATACTCCATTTCTCAGAATCAAACTATCCTCAAACATGAAGTACTCATGCGAGTGTGTACAAATGCAGAGGTACTATGTATCAAATCTAAAGTGGTCTTTTTCAGATTTTGATATACTTTCACTTAGGATGTGTCTTAAAAATAGTGTATACTCTCCAAATGGTGACTTTTCTCCCCAAAAAGCTATTTTTAAAGGAAGATTAATTTCATAGAGCGAAGAAATATGGTATTTAGCACTTAAGTGATAACACGGTGTCTAAGTCTGTTTCAACTGCTGTAACAAAATACCACAGACTGGGTGGCTTAAATAACAAATTTTCTCACAGTCCCAGCAGCTGGAAGTTCGAATCAAGGTGTTTGCAGGTTTTTGTTTCTCCTTAGGCTGTTCTTCGCGGCTTGTAGATGGCTGTCTTCTTGTTGAGTTCTCACATAGCCTTTCCTCTGTGTATGAGCATCCCTGGTGTCTCTCTCCTCTTGTAAGGACACTAGTCATATTGGATTAAGGCCCCACCCCTATTACCTCATTTAACTTTAATGACCTCCTTTAAGGCCCTATTGCCAAACACAGTGACATTGGGGGTTAGGGCTTTAAAATATGAATGAGAGGGCATAATTAGGTCCATAACATATAGAGAACTGAAACTAGTGATTTGAGTAAGGAAAAGCAGAGCTAAAATGGAAATTGGATTTTGCCTTTCCACAGCTGACCTTCCCCTGTGGTCTCCTGGAATGTTGGATGGCTTTCTGGACAGACAGGGTCCAGTGGGCACATTTCATCAAAGCTCAGCCACAGAGAATTGGTAAGGAAGGCTGTCGAGACTGCACAGAAGGAAACTGATGTGGGAGGCAGCATGAGGAGCTAGATCAGAGCAAAGAGTTTTTCTGGGAGCAGACGTTTTATCTCACAGAACAATTTTCAGCCAGATTGCTAAGCCAGGTTAACCCCATTCCCCTCTTGGTAGAAGTTTGAAAGTGTTTAGAAACTTGTCCTGAATATAGCATGTCTTGATGTCAGCAAAACACTTAGAACAACTTCATGGTGGGAACTTTGTGGTAGATGAAAACACTCAAACTCAGTGTCAAGCTTCAGCTGTATCTAAAGCTGAGTGCTGCAGAGTTCTTTCCTTGGTTCTTTTTTGAAACTTGGTGCCAATGATTTAGATAAAAATGTAAAACACACCTACAAAATTTTCACTATCAAAACATTGAGAGGAATGAGTATTATGCTGTATCAAAGATTCAAGATCCAAAGAGATCTTGGTAAGATGGAATGTTCAGACAAAGCCAACACAATGAAATTTAACCACAGTAAGAAGTCCTGTACTAGAGGAGGACAACCATGGAACAACAAGATTGAACAAACCCCACTCAACAGCAGGAAGAAAGATCTATTTAAATTGGGAATAATGGAAAGCGAAGCATGGTAAAAGCAGGACCCTACACTCAACCCATCTGACAAAGAAATGGTGCAAGACAAGAACTTACTGGAGCTAGAATCAAAATTCTTTGCATGATAATTTACTTATCTATCCCCCACCCACTGTTCTTTAACTTTTAATAAAAAGGAATATCAATAATCCCATTTGTTTCTATTTATAGCAAGCAAATACCAAGATTAAAGAGAGGGTCAGCCAGTTCATCATCATCACATATTCCACAGTGAAACATTCTAAATTCTCACACACTTAGGCTTGGAAGGAATTGTGAATACTTGGATCTTTTCCTCTCCTTGGAATGCCCTCCTCCCACCTTCTTTGAAGACATACCCTTATTTCTTTTTCTGTTTGTTTTGTTTTGTTTTTTGTTATTTTGTTTTTTGAGATGGAGTCTCACTTGGTCATCCAGGCTGGAGTACAATGGTGCAATCTCTGCTCACTGCAACCTCCACCTCCCAGGTTCAAGCAATTCCCCTGCCTCAGCCTCCCGAGTAGCTGGGATTACAGGCGCCCACCACCATGTCCAGCTACTTTATGTATTTTTAGTAGAGACGGGGTTTTACCATGTTGGCCAGGCTGGTTTCGAACTCCTGACCTCAGATGATCTGCCTGCCTCGGCCCCCCAAAGTGCTGGGATTACAGGCATGAGCCACCGCACCCAGCCGACATACCCTTATTTCAAGGTGCAATACAAATGCTGCTTGTGGATACAGTTTCATGATATCTTTCCACACTTCATTTCTTATAATCCCAAGTCAATGCCCCTTCTCTTTTGAATTTGTAAACATTTATAGCAAATACATATGCTTCCTTATGACACTCAACATGTTATGTCTACATAGGGGAGGGTGTCTTTGTCATGAGGATCTCTAAGCATGAGGCCCAGTTTTCCCCCTGTTGCTTACACAGGAAATGACCAGCCAGCTTCTCTGCCCACCCTAGCAGTCATGTTCCCCTCTTACTCTCTAAGCTTCTTACCATGGAGGTGGCAAACCACATCTCACCCATCAAAGCCTAAAACCTTTGTTTTCTCTTATGTAAAGCTTTTTTCTGTCCATCCCAAGCAGAGATCATCATTCCTTTGTATCATGCCTTCACCTAACACATGCTTCTATTAGACAGGTTTATAATACTGAAATAGCCATGTTCCCTCAGTTATAAAACTATGTTTATAAAACACCAACGATTTATATATAGGATATAACATCAAATGCTGTATTAACACTGCATGTCAGTTGTGAGATACATAATGACTTTAAAAGTGATTAAATACTTTAAAATATGCATCCTATGGTCGAAGAATATAATAATTGTTGATTTGTATGCCTTATCCAATAGATTGGCAGGTCTTCAGCAGGCAGCAGGAATCACATCACATTTATCTTATTATCAGTGTTTGCCCAGTGGCTAGTATGTAGCATTGGCTTAAGACATATTTGTTGTGTGAAAGAATGAATTAAATAAATAAGTTTTTAGCTGACTGTAAATTAAATTTGGTTCAACATTCTGGTCTGGCCTCTAAGAAAATTCACATAATATAGGACTGCATCATAGTAGGATGTTCAGAGGATAGAAAGCAATAATCGTAAAAAGATCCAATCACATTAGGAATATGGTATTCAATATTTTCACTGTGTTGAATATTTTAAAGGGAACATTGACTGTCCAAGACAATCAGGATGATGAGAGGCTCAGAAAATCTTTTCATATAAAAGAAAGCCTGAAAGAACTGGGTATATATAGCCTGCAAAAGAGAAGCAAGTATAAAACATGATAGCTGTCTTCACACCTTCGGAAGATTCTACATAAGTGTAAAAAGGCCTGATGTGTGGAGCTCCAGAGAAGCAAAGACCAGTGTGATGATAATTCCAGGAGTAGACCTGATTCTCTATACAAAATACCTTTACAAAATGCTACTCTAAAGCAATGGAACAGGTTGTCCTGTGATAGCCTGTATGTCTTAAACCCAATCTCAGGACACCAAAGTAGAACCTTAAAGGTTAAGAGTTATTCAGCATTGGATAGAATGGTAGACCAGATGTCTCATTAGGCAACTTGCAGTTTCAAAATTTTATGATTTTTATCAATATTAATTTCTTTTCTAGAGAGGACCACCATAAGAATGGGCACAACTGAAAAATGGCAGGTCTTCTAGGGGATGACCTGAAAGTTTCCAGCCTCAGATGTGTTATAGATTATCAATGAACATGCATCTATCCATCCATTCATTTACATATGCAACCAACCAACAATCACTGAATGTCTACTAAATGGCAAGCGCTGTCCAAAGCCCTAGATACAGTAGTGAGCAAAACAGGCAGTTACTACATTCATGAACTTAATGCCTAGTGTAGACAATAATAAGAACACATAGAAATAACGACCCCTAGTAAGTGCTATGAAGAAAGGCATGAGATAAGACAAGAGCCAGTTGAGCTAGTTGGAGGGTTCAGAGAAGGCTGCTTTGCCACTTAAGATAAGAACTAGGGCAAGTCCTTTAACTCTCCATTCATTCACAAAGATTGCTGTTAAATGGGGCAGAATATTCTTGCCTCACCATGACTTTGAGGGATTTAGTTACTATCTGGGGCACTCATCGTCTTTATAGCCTTGAAGAAGGTCATTTGACTTCTGTAAACCTCAGTTTCCTCATCCACAAAATGGGAAGCATAACAGCACCTAGGTCAGGATGCTGTCAGATCATGCATGCAAAGCCAGTGTCTGCCATGGAGTCAATCTTCAATAGGTGGCAACTACTGTTGTTAAAATACATAGGAAACATTCTGAGTGCTTAGAAGGAAAAATGCCACACACGTTTTAAATGTTGTTATTTTTACTCTTCTAAAATCCCCAGGCTGTTGGGTGAGAAGGAGGAATTAGATAGCCAGAAGGCATGGTGATAATTTATCTCAACCACATTTGAGGGATCAGCAGTCTCTCTTTGCACCACGCTTCCCTCCTTAGAGTCAGTTGTCCACTATAAGATGAAAAACATCCTCCTTTCTTTCATGTTCAACTTTCCTCTGTTTAAAACATCAGAGAAGGTTAGAAAGAATACTCCTGGAGAAACAAGACCACCTCTGCCTCAGCTGGTGCAGCCACCAAATGAAAATTCATGGCAGCGGCTCCCTGGCGTTCCAGGAGGAGACCAGCCCAGTGTGAATAAATAATCCACATTTCAAGCAGGATTACGGATATAAATGAAAGACGAAAAGCACATCAGGGTACCAATTTTTCACACATCTTCACACATCTCCACACAAAAGCGCAACCTTGTTTCTCTCCTCATCCCCGGCTTACCCAACTTCCCACCGCACTTTGCGGCCAAGCATGCACAACTTTGAAAAAGATAAAGAAAAAAGTAGGGCAGAGAGATACTCAGACATCCAGACAGACAAGTGACTGCAGTGGGTCTGCGAGTGAGACCCATAGCCTCCTTTCCTGTCAGACTCCATGGGCCCACTTGAACTTTTGCGGTCAGATGGTATCCACCAGAGCTTGACTGGCACCATAGCCAGTGATATCACAGGGCGCCCTGCCACGGTCTCCTGGGAACCTGCCCCTGCACAGGCTGTGGGTTTATCTCTCTCTTGTCTTGATAGCTAATACAGTTCCTACAGCGGCTGTATCCCATTAGGTCACAGCAATGAAAACGAATGCCATTTTCTTGATGGCTTATGCAGAATTGCTGTAATTTGAAGCAAGCCTCTCTGGCCCAGCTTCTTCTGTCTCCATCCCTCACCCCTGGAACCCCACCCCCTCACTTGCCTTACTGCTCCCCTTCCCCAGCTGCCATCCCCTACCTCCTGGTCTCTGTTTGTCCTTCTCTCTTTTCATACTGAATATATTGGGGCCCTGGCAGGCTGCCATTCTAACTGCACATTAGAAATGGTAGAGTTTTCCTCTATCTGATTCTATAAAATGAGTTCACCAGAAGGTGCAGACCCAGCACATTCGTGGTTTTTCCTATAAATTACTTTAACACTGTGTCCAATCATATATATAATTTCAGATTTTCAATTTCAACTCACTGCTGTGTCAGCACAGACTCCACTGATATGTCTAACGTATTTAGCTTAAAATGAAACGGATGGCATTTCATTACCGGGAAGATAATATTTTTGAATATGTTTCCTGCATGGCGGGATCCATCATTATTCTGCCATTTTATGTTCAGTGTGTGTAATAGCTTTTTAATGCTTTGACGTATTTTATTTATATGTGTAATATTTTTCTAATATCATAGGACAGTTTAACTCATTGGACACATTAGAAAATCTTAATTGAATGCTTTTAAATATTAACAAAAGGGGAAAAGGCTGAACAAATTGCCAATATTTTTATTTAAGATTTCATAAAGAGTAACAAAAAAGGCACAAAAAATTGTTCAACCCTTGTTCTTTTTTCTATTCTCCCCAACCTTCTCCCTGCCCCTCCCACTCAGCAGTCGCCCATAAATATACACACTCTGGAGAGGAAATAAAAAGATAAAGAAAAATCCCCTAGTCTCCTGAGACTTACAAGCTGTCAGGGTGAGAGCAAGGAACACAAGAAATAGTGAGCACACCCCGGCGTGAATGACAGGAACCCTCTCATTGGCTGAAGCTTCTGACAGCACTGAAATCTTTCATACCAGGTTCTCGGCTCTTTGACCAAAGTCATGGAGTGCTTGAAAGCAGACTGTTCTCAAAAGATGCCTTTGCAAAGAAAATGCAAAGGAAAGTGTTTCACCTTAAAAACTTGCAGGTAGCCGACTTTGCTAAAGGCATTTCAAGCTAACAGGTAAGAGCTAGAGTGAGCACTTCTCCATTCTCGTTCTTTCCCTCTTCTTTCAAAGCACTACCTTACTCCAAATAAAAATTTGGGAGTCATTGTGGGAAAAGTGGTTTGCTTTTCTCAGTTTAAGTCAAAACAGTTTAGTGGGCTACTGGCCACTGCACATTGCTGGAAGCCCCTAGTTTAGGGGTCACTCACAAGGGAAGGATGTGAGAATTAACATTGTCTTTTCAGGGAAACACTGCCTTTACTGTATTCAAAGTATAACTCCTGTTTCTCTAACTCCTGTTGTTCTAGGGAAGAGCAAATAGAAATGGATTCTAATTGTGGGCCACCTCTTATCTCCTATGGGACCCCGAGCAAGTTATTTGAAGTCTGCTGAGCACAAGGGGATTTATCTGTAAAATTGAGATAATAATTCCTGCTTTGGAGGTTGCTGTAATAAGATATAGTTCATGTAGGCACCTGGCCCAATTCATAGCTTATACAGTAAACACAATACTTATTTTTGCTATAATTAAAAAATTGTTTTGGTGTTAAAAGTCAGCCAACTTCCCCCAATCCTTCAAATTCTGTAACCTGAAACCAAATTCCAATCTGCATGCTGATAAAATAAACTCCCTCCTATAAATAAAAGTTTTAAGGGCACAAACAATTATGGTATTTTTGTTACTCAAACAAAGCTCATTTTGGAGTGAAACTTTCCAACTTCATATTGAGGATACTTTAAAGAGTTTTGCTGCTTGCTAGCCTGGAGTGTAGAAATACCTATATTTATGTTTATTTACCTTTTTGTTCTTAAAAGAATAGAAAATCATGGCATAAAATCCTGAATAGAACATGTCACTAACAATTCCTCATATCAAATTTACTTACTTGAAACTTCTTGTAACTTTTTCTAGTTCTCAAAGAGTTGGAAAACAAGGCTCTAAAACAGAGGTGAACAAACTTTTCTCTGAAGGGCCAGATAGTAAATATTTCTGGCTTTGCTAGCTCAATTCTGCTATTGTTACTCCAAATAGCTGTGGAAAATAAATGAACAAGCTGTGTTCTAATAAAACTTTATTCACAAAAACAGGCAGCTGGCTTAGTTTGCAGACTAACACCTGCTTTAGGACATTAATATATCTTAATTTTTGTATTTCTCAAGAATCAGAAGTCCTAGAGAATATAATCACAGAATCAGGTGCAGAGAAAAGGAAATTCAACATCATAACCCTTTAGGTTGAACACAGGAATTTTAAGAATCATATTATAGGATACTCTATCTTCTATTCTTATATATTTTAGATGTTCACAATTTTATAGAAATTTGCCAAAATGAAGTTTCAGTTTTTCACCCCAAGACTCTGTTATAGATAAGTCAAAGTTAGCCTAATTTAATGACCAGATGGACAATTTTGATCAAGATAAAAATAGCATAAATAATTTATACATTCAACAAACACTGAACAACCACTATGCACTAGGCACAGCCAAAAGGCAGAGTACAAGAAAGACAAAATCCACATCACCACACATTTAGGTTTTAGTCACAAGAGACAGACAATATATAACTAAACAAGTAAAGAACAAAATAAATCGATTTACCAATAAGTGCTAATGACAATCCAAAAGGCTGCTGTGACAGAAAGCAATGGGGTTGAAGGAAGAGGGGAGTCCTGGGAGAGTAGACTCTAAGAAGAGGGGATAATCTGATATTTGAAAGGAAAATAGTAGGCCAGGCATGGTAGCTCATGTCTATAATCCCAGCACTTTGGGAGGCTGAAGTGGGTGGATCACCTGAGGTTGGGAGCTCAAGACCAGCCTGACCACAATGGAGAAACCCTGTCTCTACTAAAAATACAAAAAATTAGCCAGGCATGGTGGTACATGCCTGTAATCCCAGCTACTCAGGAGGCTGAGGTAGGAGAATCGTTTGAAACTGGGAGGCAGAGGTTGCGGTGAGCCGAGATCGCGCCATTGCGCTCCAGCCTGGGCAACCAGAGCGAAACTCCGTCTCGAAAAAAAAAAAAAAAAAGGGACCATGCTCAGCACTTTGAAAAGATAGAAACAACAATGCAAAAGTCATTAAGAAAAATAAAAGAGTTTGAAGAGTAGAAGGAAAAGAAAGGAAGCCAATGTGGTTGAAATATGGGAAATCACAGGCACATAGATAGTTAGATTTGCAAAATTATAAAGACTAGATTTTGTCCTCATCAGTAGAAAAGTGTTTGCACTGGGTTAATTCCCAGTTATGTTCTTTGTTGACAACATTGGAGAAATTATCTTGAAATGAAGCCATGAGCCAACTACAGAAGAAAAATCAGAAATTCCTTATTATTCTGTTACAGGCCTCCTTCTGAATCAAATTTCTAAATTCCTGCTGTCTAAATTTCTGCTCTTCTAAATGGAGTTGGAAACATTTAGATAGGTATGTGCAGATCAGCATTGCCTTATTTGGAGTTGCTCTTTCAGGAAACAAGGCAGAAGCTATTTAATAATATTCCTCTTCAAAGTTATATGGCACTTTTCATCTAAGAATATCAGAGCACTCTGCCGCAATTAAATTATTAATCCTCCTGACAACTCCATCAAGGAAGTATCTGCTTTATTATCAGTGAGAACACTTGGCATTTACATGCTCGCCTTGAGAATGCTATTCAATCATACGCAGTTAATTAACGCGTACAACACATTCAGGAGGCAGGTCAGCATTCTGGTCCCAAGTTTCAGATAAAGAAACTGAGGCCCCAAAATGACAAGTTGTTTCCAGACAACTTACCCAAGTGAGACTGGTAATAAAAATTACGTGCTGCCTTAATCTTGGTGAAGAGTCATTTATACATTGAGCTCTCAAACATTTAAATACCTATAACTGTATAGCTCGTTATAAAATCATCAACTAAATTGGCATCAACCTCAGGGCAGGAACCTAGCCTTCTTTAATAGTCCCAATAACAATATCTTTATAGCAATATAAATTTTGCATAATATTTCCACACACAGTTCTCATTTGACTTTTATTATGACCTTAGGAGGTTGATGTCATTGATTTTGCAAGTGAAGAAATGGAGTCTCAAAGAGAATACAAGATTTGCCCATCATTATATGGATAGTAAATTAAAAAGGCAGTCTTGAATTCAGGAATTTTGTTTTTAAGCATAGTGCTATTTCTCCTGTACCAGTGTTTCTCCTCTAACCTCTCAGATGTTTATTATAAAATGATTTGCCCTTGACCTCCATCCAAGGTATTTTGTTTTCTGACCCCCAAGGTGGTGCTAATCATATTTTTATGTCACCTATAAAGTTGTTCCATGGTATGGACTTTGACAAAAGGGTTATAATAAAAGTTTCTTTCAGTTGATAACAAAATCTGCCATAAACAAAAGAAAGAAAAGCTGCACTATTGTTGCTTTTAACTCAACATGTTGTATTTCGGTATATTCAGTCAAAAAAATTGAAACCATTCTGGGAATTTCAAACAGAGGGAACTTAACTCAGGGAATTGACAAAATATGCTGAAAGGCTGCAAGAGCAGAGGGGAGAGGGGGCTAAATTTGAAAATAATAATAATAATAAGAGTGGTAAGACCCAGATGCTGATAATGGCTCTTAGCTGAATGAAACCCATGAACTGAATTGGTGCTAAAGAGTTGGAGGCACCAACTGCAGTCAATTTTAGATTTAGAGAAGAGGCATCTCCTCAGCTAAGCATGTGAGCACTAAGACAGTGCTGTTCTGCCTGGAATTCATAATTACACCCCAGCAATCACCACACTGAGTGAGCCCAAAGCCACAAGCTTCTTTCTTCTTCCCATCTGTTGATCCCTTACCAGTGCCTCCTAATGGTAGATGCCAAAAGAAAGCCAGCTGGAAAGGGAGCTGGGAAAAGTAGACTCTGAGACTCTTCCCTAGCAGGGCATAGGATGGAGAGGTGAGTATGAGTCTGGGAGACCTTGGGGAAATCAATGGCATGTTGTACATTGTAAAGGCTCAGGCAGATGAAGCAGGGAGTGCCAGAGCTCTCCTCAACCCCAGGCAGTGCTCTGCACCTCAATGACAGGCAGGGAAGGCATTACAAAGGCTATTCCCACAACCACCCTGAAAAGGCTGAAAATAAAACATGCCCGCCAGGAAAACAATATATGCTGAACGAAAAGGTTAGTGTTCTTTGTACCATAAAATCCATAGGGGAAGATAAGGAGCCCATCTAGGCAAGAAGATAGTTGTCATTAATACAAAAATATGTCATGTGAGTCCTTGAGAAGAATATGGATCTCTGCTATACAGAAGCCAATAGTGACAGTGGGAAGAAAAAAAATAAAACAAGACACATATGATGTTGGCTAAAAGAGTTCTGAGGAGTAAGGTGGGAGAAGGATAGGTGACCTGCAAGAAGAGCCAGAGTTAGAGAGAAACCAGGATGTCTTTTCAGAGTGGAACAAACGAAGAAAAGACTTCAGGAAGAACCTATGGCCAAGGACAGAGACGGGAAGAGAGAGAGACCCAAAATGGATTCACAGAGCTGGACAGGTTGACAGCAAGCCAGAAGAGCTTACAAGAAAGCATCAAGCTTAAGGCCAGCAAATGTCCAGCAAGGTCTGAAGGACAAAGCTCAGGGGAATAACAACCAAATGCAATATGCTGCCTCAGTTTCCCAGAGATGATTAGCCCCAAGGGAATGAAGACACCAGCTTCTAAGAGAGACTCTGAAGCAAGCACAATGCTCATTTATGGCCACTGCACCACCACCCTCTACACCTCAATCCCCGGACCCACTGACACCATACATTAGAGAACTGCCCTTCCAATGTCTAGCTCTCCTCATTTAGTATATACACAGATGGTCATTGGAACACTCATTTTCTTTGTTAAGTATCTTGTGTAGTATAGGTTTCTCAGAATTATACATTGATTTTCTAAAACCAACGAGTGACCATTGCTAGGAGGTGTCTGGTTTCTTCCATTTAACAGCTTAGCTAGTTACACATGAAGTTCTTTCTTCTATCAACCTTCATTTCCTAAGGTCTCAGACACATACAAAGATTACAGAGTTGGAGAGATCAAGGTCCCTTTCACTGATTGTAGCCATAAACCCCACTATGTGACTACAGAATCTAGAAATGTCCCATAAGGTAAGTGGAAATACGGTTCAAGACACCCACAATTAGTTTTGGGGAGAAACTTTCTTTGCTCAGGATGAGTTTACCCCTCCTCACTTGGAGTGCACAATTAATGCAAGCCGATAGGTAGTGATATGGCTGGGTGTGTATGTAGAGACGGTGGGAGATGAAGCTGAAATTTTTAGTCTGTGTTAGGATCTGAAGAAACTTGAGTGCTTTGCTAAGAAAAATTAAACCTTATATGGTAAGAAATAAGGAACACACCAGAGTACTTCTACTATCATGAAGAAAATGTCACAAATCCCATACAAGTAAGTCTGGATGTGCAGCTAGAAATCACATCTTAAATCAGTCATTCCCTGCTCCATGGTCCCTCAGCACCTTGTACATAGCAAGAGAGAGAAGTGCTCTTAGAATCTGTGCCTCCCAGCTGGGCGCAATAGCTCACACCTGTAATCCCAGCACTTTGGGAGGCCAAGGCGGGCGGATCACGAGGTCAGCAGTTTGACATCAGCCTGGCCAATATGGTGAAACCCTGTCTCTATTAAAAATACAAAAAAAAAATTAGCCGGGCATGGTGGCGGGTGCCTGTAGTCCCAGCTACTCAGGAGGCTGAGACAGAAGAATCACTTGAACCTGGGAGGCAGGGGTTGCAGTGAGCCGAGATGGTGCCACTGCACTCCAGCCTGGGCAACAGAAGGACATTCTGTCTCCAAAAATAAAAAAAATAAAAAATAAATCTGTGCCTCCTTCTCCAACAAGCATTTTCCTTTCTCTTGGTAACTTTCCAAATTTTTATTTAGACATCCACACACCCTCATGCGTCCTACATTGTTGGGGGTATGAGGCCAATTCAGAGGTGGACACAGTCCCCAAATCAAGCCAAACATGCAGCAGGAGAAAGTTTGCTGCTCACTTTGGAGAAAGAAACTTCCCTGTTCATAAGAAAGCTCTTAGCAAAGGAAAAAGAAGGATAAACCTTCTTGCAAACATGAGAAGTCAGTTTTTTTAATGACATTGATATTATGGAAGACAATCATGAGAAAGAATCCTGAAGGATATCCTTGATCCTAAATCCAACATTAACTCAATCAAGCTAGATAGACATATTATATAAAAATTTTTTAAAAGACCATTATTGTTTAAGTCAATTGTAGTTCAGTTTTCTGTTACAAGCAATGAAAAACCACTCTAATTCATACAAGTGCCTATACCACACCATATGTTATGTGTGTGTCCTTCTCCCTCAGAAGACCATGAGCTCCCATCATGCAGGGAAAAGCCCTAATATCATTTTCAAATCACCAGCATCTGGTCCACATTAAATGGTCCCCAAAATGTTGTTGGACATATTGAATTGAGGTAGTTACCTCAATTCCATGAGGAATTAGCATGGAACTTACCATAGCAACTTACCATGAGGCAGTTCTGAAGCAATGTGATGACATCTTGCCTTCTTCACTTCTCAGCAGAGTCCCAGCCTGCCCTTTCTTCCATCTCTGGGATCAGCACTCTCATCTCCCGGTTGCCCAAGCCTCTAACACCTCCTTCTATTCCACACTTCAAAACCTCACTGTCAGCCAGTCACGGTGGCTCATGTCTGTAATCTCAGCACTTTGGGAGGGCAAGGTGGGTAATTCGCTTGAACTTAGGAGTTTGATACCAGCCTGGGCAACATGGTGAATCCCTGTCTCTACAAACACAGAAAAATTAGTGGGGCATGGTGGTGTGTGCTTGTAGTCCCAGCTACTTAGGAGGCTGAGATGGAAGAATCACTTGAGCCCAGAAGGCCGAGGCTGCAGTGAGGTAACATCATGCCACTGCACTCCAGTCTGGATGATAGAGTAACTCTCTGCCTCAAAAAAATAAAAATAAACTCACTGCCACTTAAAGGCCAATTGATTCTAAATCCTCAAAACTAAGGCCCCCTGCTTCTCTCTCCTCAATTCTAACACCTTGTTCTGACCACCCTGATAACGATTTCAGATGAAAGAAACTGTCTCCAAAACTGGTTCCCTGACTCAGGTCTTGCCTCCCTTCCCTTTCTTCTCCAGTCTGCAGCCAGACTGATTTTTAAATGCATATCTGGTTATGGTGTTTCCATGACTGGGAGACTTTCCTGGCTTGTCACTACTCTCAGGTTAAAACCCAGAGTCAGGGCGGGCACAGTGGCTCACGCCTGTAATCCCAGCACTTTGGGAGGCTGAGGCGGGCAGGTCATCTGAGGTCAGGAGTTCGAGACCAGCCTGACCAACACGGTAAAACCCCATTTCTACTAAAAATACAAAAATTAGCTGGGCATGATGACGCGCACCTGTAATCCCAGCTACTCAGGAGGCTGAGGCCAGAGAATCGTTCGAACCCAGGAAGTGGAGGTTGCAGCGAGCCGAGATCGTGCTATTGCACTCCAGCCTGGGCAACAGAGTGAGACTTCGTCTCAACAAACAAAACAAAACAAAACAAAACAAAACCACCCTAGAGTCTTCCTTATTACAAGGAGCCCCTGGTGATCTGGTCCCTTTCATATTTTGCCAGAGCCATTTTTTCTGTACCCTACCCTTCACCACATACTATAATACACCTTTAGACTACCACCAGCACCCTAACACAATGAGTCCTCCCCCAAGGCCTTCAAATAAGCTGCCCTGAGATACACTTCCTGCAATGTTTCATCTATACAAATCTGTCTCCAGAGCTCAGCCATCACCTCCTCTAAGAAACCTTCTCATTCTCTCCTTGCCACCCAGTCTGTTAGCAGCCCCTCCAAAACAATCCAAATGTACCTATCTCATAGCACTTGTCATATTGTATTATCTTCAACTATTTATATGTATTTTCTGTCAGGCTTTCAACCACTTTTTAGAAGCCAACTCCAGGCAGAAACCTTGTCATATTCATCATTGAATGCCCAGGACCATGGTTAGTTCACAGCAGATGATCAGAAAACTATTAAGATGAATCAATGAAGAAGCAAATATTGGACAGTCAAAAACATTCCAGCTTCTTTTTCTCACTTTAAGACCTACAAAAATATGTTTTTTTCCAAAATTGTATTCTAAAACAACTGAATTTATTCAGGGGCCCACAAAATAGTGTCCCCAAAGCCAATAGAAATCATTATCAAACATTTTTGTGGCCCAACTTCGCACTTCACTACTGTACTGCCATCTTTCCACTACACTTGAATGTCTGCATACAACCAGTTAAAGATAAATTTTCAGGTTGGAGTGGTTGGCTGGCCATACATAGAAAACACAGACCATGAGTATATGCAACAGCAAGTCCCAAGGCAGCTCTCTTTTTCTCTAGTATCAGTGGGAAAAAAAGGGGAGTGACATATTCTAAGTTCTCGGTGCTCCCAACAGAACTTGCTGCATACTGGTAGGATGGAGGCCTTGTTTCAGTCTGCAGATCTCCACAGAGCCTGGTGGAAAACAGCTCCTCACCAGCAGATCTCCTTGGGAGGACAGCAGCACCCCAGGCCTCAGGCTGCCCTGGAGGGTTGACCACAGACTGCTCTGTTACCAGGACAACAGAGAGTTATTCTTCCTCTTAAGGAGAAGGGCCTGGTATTTTGAAGCAAGGTTGCCCAGGCAGAAGTGAATGTTCCCCACACACACACATCCATCCACTCCCTTAAAATATTTACCTAAGAGCCAATTACACTCTTACAATTTAAAGTTCGTATGGCACTATATTTGCCAGATAAAATACTGGACTCCCAGTTAAAATTGAATTTTATTTTGAATAAAATTGAATTTTATTTTGAATAAAATTGAATTTTATTTCAATTAAAATTGAATTTTTAAAAAAACAAATATTTTTAGTGTAAGTATTTAGTTGAACAATGGATTTTACATAGACATATGGCCCATGCAATACTTGAGACATATTTATTCTAAAAAAAATTCACTGTTTATCTGAAATTCAAATTTTATGGGGAGCCCGGTATTTTTATTTTCTAAAGCTGCCAAGTCCATATTGCATCAAAATTCAAACTGCTACATTTAATCAGCTACTTTTTACACTTCAAGGTCTGCAGATTTCAAGTAACGTAATAGATAGTCTTGAAAAAGATTTTGAGACATAGCAACAATTTTGTGTGTGTGTGTGTGTGTGTGTGTGTGTGTGTGTGTGTGGACACGGAGACTTGCTCTGTCACCCAGGCTGGAGTCCAGTGGCGCGATCTCCGCTCACTATAAGCTCCGCCTCCTGGGTTCATGCCATTCTCCTGCCTCAGCCTCCTGAGTAGCTGGAACTACAGGCACCCGCCACCATGCCCGGCTAATTTTTTTGTATGTTTAGTAGAGATGGGGTTTCACCATGTTAGCCAGGCTGGTCTCCATCTTCTGACCTCATGATCCACCTGCCTTGGCCTCCCAAAGTGCTGGGATTACAGGCATGAGCCACGGCGCCCAGGAGAGACATAGCAACAATTCTAAAAGGGGATTACCCTAGAGATCCTTACCAACACAATGACTCAATGAGGGCATATAATACAGATTTGTTTGTTGATTTGCTTGCTTCAGTGAAAGAATGAATTATGGTGAGCTTTTTTACCCCCTTTCATTTAGGAGTTCTGTGCAAGTTTTATACAACTTGAGCTACCAGCTTTCCCCAAGAGCCAAATATTAAATACAGAGGACTGTGAGACCTTCACTCTTCCCTCTCGGAATCATCAAAAGCTGACCGTGTGCTTTCTGAGAGTTCATCCTCTCATTTACTGATCCTTCCAGATCCAGAGATGGATGAGTAACCATACAAGCAAGAAAAGAACTGGGTTGCATGAACAAAAAGACACTATGGAAATTCTCCCAGGACTCCTCAAAAGAAAACGAGTCCAACCCTCTGCATTAGTTAGCTTGACTCATTTGCTGTTCATGGCGAGGACTGAATTACAGCAGCCTATAATAGTCACATAGTAATGTTTGCTTTGGCTCATTGCTCAGTGGTGAAATTTCCTCTGCAGTAACTGATGCCATCCCCAGCACCCTAAATCTCAAAATGTGTGCCCCATTCTCTCTGCTGGTACACTCACCGGCTGTTGGATAAGGTGTCTCTATCGGGGTCTTCAGGTAAGTACCCTGTCATTTGCCTTTCATTTTCTATGCACCATCTAAAAAATAGTCTCAATTCAAAACGCATTTCCAGTCAGAAAGTAAGATTCTTTAAGTCTCTTTTCTAAAGCAGAGACATCTTCTTCCCTTTTCCTGATGTGTCATCAGCGACTTTAAAAGCAATCCCCTTGTGTCTGTCACAGTGACTCAAAAACTAGGCCAGTGATGATTCTGTCATTTAGTGGTTCTGCAGCATGTGTGCCCCACTGTCTTTCATTTCTATGCTTTGAAATACTAAGTGGGCCACACGGAGACATCTTTTTATCACAAAGTACTCCATGTAATGACTTTGGAACACCAGGAGAAAATTGGAGCTGCAGGGAGGGGGGTGACTTTTGCATAATTGCTGTTTATTTCTGTGGCAAGTCACTAGTTGGGAAAACATGTATTTGAGGGACACTTAAGGTCTGGCATTTCAATCCTTGACTTCAGTCCTTGTAACTGCCTTTTGCGTGATGACATTTGAAACTTGACCACCCTAGACCACCTGGTTGCCAAATAGCAGCCACTTTGGCATGAAGTAACTCCAGAGGGATGGGAAGAGGCTGTCTTCTAAGAAAAGAAAAGAAGAGAGAAGAGAAGAGGAAAAAGAAAAAGAAAGAAAGAAAAAGAATAAATGTCTGCTCGGGCCCTGTATCATCCCAAACAAGCAGCTGCAGTCAAAAGGTTTCTCCTATCTTGTACAGCCAGAAAAGGTGAGCTGTTCCAGACAAGGCCAGAGAAAAATACACTAAAATGTGTAAGGGCGGGCAGCAGGAGGGGGTACCACTTATTTTTTAAAGGAACTTGAAAGGGTTCAATTGTAGGATAAGAACAGTACTTTCCACCCCCATTCAACCCCCTTTTCAGTGTGTCTGAGCACATAGCACACAGTTAGAATCTGCAAACTCTGCCCAGATCCTGGTTATCATGAAGGCCTGACACTGGCATAAGTCCCTTTCAGCTGAGACCATCATGTTCCCCGTGTATGTCACAGCCCCTATTCTCCTTAGATTGCTGTAAGGAGAGAAGTTAATTGAAACTCTTTTCTTTAGTTTCATCCTTGGCTCTTATCCCTGCAACTCTATCGTAACTTCTCCATTCACCTGTTTCCCTTTCTTGACCCCCAAAAAAACAATTAAAGAGAGGCAAGATAGGTTGGGCGCAGTGGCTCATGCCTGAAATCCCAGCACTTTGGGAGGCTGAGGCAAGTAGATCACCTGAGGTCAGGAGTTTGAGACCAGCCTGGGCAACATGGTGAAACCCTGTTACTAAAAATTAGCTGGGCATGGTGGTGCACGCCTGTAATCCCAGCTACTCAGGAGGCTGAGGAAGGAGAACCGCTTGAACCCAGGAGGCAGAGGTTGCAGCGAGCTGAGACTGCACCACTGGACTCCAGCCTGGGCGACAGAGCAAGACTATGAGAAAAAAAAAAGAGAGAGAGAGAGAGAGAGGCAAGATAGAGTCAAATAGAAGAGGAGTGAGTATTGAGGGAACAGAAAAGGCCTGAAGAAAGTCTGTAGAGCACACTTGCAGCTCAGGTTTTCACTCCCTGAGAAGCCAGAAGAAATCAAAACAAAAAAAAGATTACAGACCACTCCTCTCTCCTATAATAACAATAATAAACATGAATATAAAGGTTACATTGTTCTAAGCACTTCACATATGTTACCAGGTTTAATCCTCACATGCCCTATGAGGTAGATATTAACATTATCCCGTTTAGCAGGGGAGGAGACAGGCCCAGAGAAGTTAAGTAATTTGCTTGGCATCACACAGCATATATGTTGAAGAAGAACCTGAAGAACCACTCAAACCCTGCAGCCTGACTCTGCCATCTCTAGCCTGCCTCCTGTGGGTTGAAAGTGTTCACTTCTGGCCATACTGTTCTCCCACTCTGTTAATATCCCATGTTTCTCTTCTCTTGGGGATTAAATATGAAGAGGCAGATTTACTGCCTCATAGATTTCCCTGGATGTTTCTACGGACCAGAAATGAGGACTGTAGGGCTGGGCACAGTGGCTCAAGCCTGTATGCTTGTAATCCTGGCACTTTGGGAGGCTGGGGTGGGCAGATTGCTTGAGGTCAGGAGTTTGAAATCAGCCTGGCCAACATGGTGAAACCCCATCTCCACTAAAAATACAAAAATTAGCCAGGTGCAGTGGCAGGTGCCTATAATCCCAGCTACTCGGGAGGCTGAGACAGGAGAATCGCTTGAACCTGGGAAGCAGAGGTTGCAGTAAGCCGAGATGGCAAGATCACACCACTGCACTCAAGCCTCCGTCTCAAAAGAAAAAAAAAAAAAAAAAAAAAAATCAGGGCTGTAACAACAGAAGACAGGAACTGTGCCAGCTTAAATCCACAAATCAAGGTCATCCCCAGTGTACTTGTATTCTTTGGTCATTTAATCAGAAAAGCAGTGAAAATTACGAATAAGATCAAACCTTGGCTGGCTGATGGAAGTAGGCTGGTGTGAGTGGGGATGAGTTTGTTGCACGATTTAACTTGTGCAATTGTAGGAGCTGGTTAAGCCACCTCTATAAGGCCATTGTCCTTGGGAGTACTTTAGAAGCCTGAAAGCAGAAGCAGTCAGAACTCTGAAATTTCAGAATTTCCTGAAAGCAGGAAAGGTTGGAACCCCACAAGGTATAAAGCCCATGAAAGTTCTTATTGACTTTGACCTTGACCTTAATAGTATGAGTGTCCTGCAGTAGCTGGTAGTGGGGCCAGCATTTGTCATCAACATACACACTTGGCACAGGAGTTGGAAGAGCTGAAGGAGGATACAGGGGGCAGTGAGCAGATCTAAGCTCAGCCACTGTCTCGCACTAATGAGGTGAGCCAGCAGAGAAGGGGTACCCACCGCATGGGAGCTGCAACGTGGCTGCTGCTTCCCTTCCACCCTCTGAATCTCCCACAGGCTACCTCTTATGGCCCACCCTATGTGGCTGAACACAGGGAAGGGAGTTCTGGAAAATGTGGCTCAGGCTAGCCAAATCAACAACCACCAAGCCACCATGCAACCTAATTGAAACTGTTCCACACCACGGTGCCTGTGTAGTAATTTTATCATCTAACCAACTTCACCACTCAGTAAATAGGGAAGGCAGAATAGTCAAACGATTGAGACACAGACTCAGGAACGAAAGAGACCTAAGTTCAAATCCTAGCCCCAAGAGTTACTCACTGTGTGACTCCTATAGGCTTTAATTTCCTCATTTGTAACATAGGCTTAACAATAATGCTGTCTTAATTGAATACAGTAAAGACTGTATTCATAGTAAAGACTGTGAGAGTATACCTGTAAAGTGCTAGTTTCTACATCTAGGGCCTAGTAAATATTCAGGAATACTTACATGTAATATAAAGTAACACATACATTACATACATAAGTAGTAATAAAGTAATCGTTTTTATTAATAATTTCTAATTTTGCAATAAATTATACAATGACCAGATTGTGTTTTTTTTTCTCTCAGCCAAATAGAGTTCTTATTATACTTCACGAAGAACAACAACCTATGAGGTCTCCTGACTTGGTGTCCCCATATATTTAGAGTTTTCATATAAGATGTATATTAATATCGAAATGAAAAGTATTCCTTACTAAAATGTGGCTAGGGAGTCACTTGAGTATTTGAATGGTTTCTGTTGAGGATCTTTGATCTAAATATGCTTATTTTAAGCCAGGAGAAATCAGTAACAGGAAGACAAAGAGAAAGAACCACAGATAGCTTGGATCCACCCCATAAAGTAAGTTCATGATTTGTAAGGGTCATGTGATCTCTGTGAGTTACAGAATCCCTGAAACTCAAAATTGGTATGAACCACAGAAGCAGTTTAATCAAACCCTGCTCTGACACATCAATCTTCTCTATACCACTCTTGATAAGTCTGGGACTTAGAAATGTCAAGTGATCAGAAATACCACTCCTGCAGGCCAGACCAGTCCATATAAAGACAACTCCAATTTTTAAAATGTTATTGCTTATATAGTCGGATGTTGCCTCCTTGCAACTTAGAGCTATTAGTCATTGTTCTGCCCTCTTTAGCCACACAGGGAAAAGTATAGCACATTGGTCTTTAGTCTTTGAGAATCTCATTAATTCTATGGACCTACTCCACCCAAAGGTATAAATGTTCCCATTCACACAAACTGCATGTAAGCTCAGAGGCTTCTCTATCTCCTTTAACTCCTGCTGACCAAGTCTCCACATGACCTCCCTTCCTTAATCCAAAGACAACTGTCAAGTTCTTCCCAAGTCCTCCTTTGCGCAAAGATCCATCAACTGTTTTTTGGCATGATTTCGAAATCTCTTACTATCATGGGCCTGTTTCCACGAATCAGCTCTTCCTTCCAATGTCCCTCTTAATTAGTTGCACTCAGAAATAAACACAATGCTATAAGAGCAACCTGGGCAGTTCAGAATATAGGGAAACCATCACCATTTGTGTAATCATGTTCCAATTCAGCCCAATATTGCATGAGCTTTCTTGGTCATCAATTGTGGTGCTAGTTCAATTTATAGTAAGCAGAGCTTCAGTTTTCTATTTTGCAGGATAAGATGGTTTGAAAAGAACATCTCTGAGTACCTTCCACCCCTAAACTGTATAGGTCTACTGAAAAGGACCCCCTAAAGGTGATAATCTCACCAACAAATTCCAGGGCTAAAGCATTGCTTAAGGGAGACATGGAAGAAAATAATGGTGAAGACATATTGGGTAAGTTGTTACATTTTTTTTAAGGCTTTGGCTGTGGTTATAATGAGAATAGGTATAAAATGGAAAGATTTGTGGTATTTACTAAAATGCCACATTAAGGGTAAAAAAGCTTTTCCCATATTACCTTTGAAGAGCATTTTCAGATTAATAAAGAGCTTTCATAAACATTAATTCAAACTATCTTGTTTGGAAGACTACTTCTGAAGCTTTATTACACTGTCCTAATTAACACTCAGCAAAGAAACACTGTACTGGCTTATCAGTCTCTCAGAAATGAGGGGCTCCCAATCATTACCAAGCTTATCATTTAGCATTTATGCATGTGTAGGAAGCATATGAATTTGTAGGCTCCAGTTCAGCTGGTGTTCTATAGCTGAACTCCACTAATTTAAACGACTTGAGGCCACATGTGTCGTAAAGTGGCGATTTATCTAGATTAGTCATTGAACATTGATAGCCACGATCCTTTCTGCAAAATGCACAGCACATTCTTATCCTAAGATGCCTCAACATTATGAATTCCTTTCACTTGGTTGAGTGTTTCATTTGCCTGCTAATACAAAATTCATTGAGGCAGCAGGCAGCATTGGGAGCTGTTGGGAGTTCTAGTTCAACGCACCACAGTCCCATTGCAGTAAGACTAATGGCAAAGAGGGCACCTCAGAATAACCCACTTGCCTGTCTGGCATAACAGTAGGCTTTTTGTATATGTGAAGTACAGGTACAGGATTTACAATGATTGGGGATAAATTTGCAAATCTGACCACCAGAGACCAGGACTGTTTCCACTGCGGTTCTGAAACTACTTAGCAAAAATGCTTCAGAGTGTTCAGCAGGGAGAGGAAATGTGATAATTGTGGGAAGATTGGACATTATATTAGAGTGAGCTCTTTGGCACAAAAGAATAATGTCTGTGAAATGCTAGTTTCAGGTTGCGTAACACTGAATTTTCATCATGCTGCTTTAAGGATGCAAAATGAGGGGGCAACAGGCAGTAAGGCTTTAAATCTGAACCAACTGGGCGACTGTTTGAGGGTTCTGCATCAAAGAATGGAGATAGCTGGATGGGGACAAGAAGACTCAAGGTTATTCTATGAGCTACAGAACTGTAACTTCCAGCTGCCAGACTTGAAGCGTGGCGTTTCAGCTCATCAAGGCATGAATGAGGCTTGTGTCTTCCACATTCGCAAGAGATTAGTTTGTGTGTGAAACACAACAGAATAATTTCCAGAGAAAAATAGAGAAACCATTTTGGAGAACTAAAATAAGATGTTTCCTTGGTAATTATGTTGTCTTGGAGCAGAGAGGGCTTTAATGGGATTTATCTCCCTCAAGTTTTTCTGGACTCATAGCCTCCCTCTTTATAGTAAAAATTAAAAAACATTACCTAGTACTTACCTTCAGGTTTCTTTGAACTAATGCCTGAAGTCACACAATTAGTAAGTGATAGAACTGAAGTTCCAAGTAGTACTCTTGGACTACAAAACTTTTGTCCTTTAGTCTTCACTATTCCATTTCACTGAGTAATTATTTTTTAAGCACATTAATTGACAAATATTTTTCATCAATGCATTAGTCAGGATAGACTTGGCTAGGTTGCAGGAACAAATAATACCTTCAATCTTACTGGCTTGATATTTCACACAATCTACTTTAGGGCATGCAGTTCTTCCAGAAAGCTCTTCTCCAAGTACAGACTTAAGAACCCATACAGTTTTCATCTTGTAACTACATTATCTAGAAACATTGGCTTCCAAAATCTGAAAGGAGAACATCACATTGGTGATACTTCAGTCACATGACTCTTGTCCCGGTAACTACAACGCAATGAAAAGCGGGAGTATGAATACTTCAGCTTTCTTGTTAGGAGGAGGCAGAGTTCTGCTTCTCAATGTAATAGTGTATTCTCCCTCGGTACTAAGGGGGATTGGAAGCTGGACAGCCAAAAAATTGTAAAATGTCCATTTTATTCACAATATGTAGCTTATTGTGCTAGAAGCTATACAGGATATAAGTAATGCATGACTACAGCTTCGAAAGAAAATCATCTTCAAGAAGTCTGACACATTGATCTACAGAATCAGCTATAATTTCAAAGACAAGTCAGTAAAACGATGGAGAGGAGGCATGACAAGTGCTGTTTATAGAACTTGCCAGTCTCAAAATTTGAACTGGTATATTTACAATTTCTCTTAAGTGATAAGGCCTCCTCATTTATTCAGAATGGAATGGAAAAAATGTCTAAAAAGAGAAAATGATTCACTTATTAGAAAATTTGAAAACAAAAGCTTTTTTTCTCTTGAACTTACTGCTTTTTCATTAACATCACCGAAACCCAGTTTTCTAATCTGGAAAATTATTATAATATATGCTATACTTTTCCTTGGGTGATGCCTACTATGTAAATAGTAGCATAGATAGTATTTCTCTCCATTTTCTTGGCCCTTGGTCATTTTTTACTGCATTAAGGAAATAGTGATTGTACGTGCCATAGTTGGGTCTCCTGAATTTATTCTTTGACTTCAGTCTCATTGTCAAATCCTACTCTGTTATAGGTCACATTCACTTCCCTAGGGTCTTATTAAGTGGATGGCAAGGCAATTTGATGAAATATTTTTGCTATTGTTTTAATGGATGATAATTTATTGGTGTATTAGTCCTCCAAAGTAAAATATATATGAACACTGGTCCTCACTGTCTCAAATCAACGTTATAAATAAATAGTAAGATTTTTTGACAATGTGTCAGCCCCGGAGGGCAATTATATCCATGTCAGGAATTCTCAACCTCAGCACTATTGACATCTGGGGCAAGATAACTCTTTGTTGTGGTGGGGGGCTGTCCTGTGCATTGCAAGATGCATTCCCGGTCTCTACTCACCCAAAACCAGTAGCAGCCTCTCCCACCCCCACAAATGTGACCAAGAATGTCTCTAGACATTGCAAATGCTCCCTGTTGGTAGGGAGGCCAAAATTGTCCCTTCCTCCCCATGCTGACAGTTGATAATCACCAATCTAGATAAAGGAATATTTGTATTCTCTTTATGCCCAACACTGATGTTGCCTTCCAAAAGTCATTACATATTTTTGCCCATAATAACAGAATCCTGATTTCACTGTGGTACACACCTTCCAGAGATGAGGGTGATCCTATTCCAAAATCAGAGTTAAGTCCTCAAAGCTTAATCCAACATGGTAATCCCAATGCCTTCCTCAGAAGTGGTTTAGGGATAGTCATGTGACTCAACCCTGGCTAGTAAGAAATAAAGAGGACACTTCTGCCAGGCTCCTGGGATAGGTTTTGTTGCTGTCAAAAACACAGGAATACCTGTCCTCTTTTTCCATTCGATATTATTGTGCCTGCGTACGATTACTAGAACCACTAAAAATCATGAAGATTTTAGCTAGCAGGAGAACAAAGGCAACAAGCTAAAAGCAAAGAACCTAGGTCTTTGATGTCATCGAAACAGGAATTTAATTGATCCTGGAGCTACGCCACCTCCAGACTTCTTGCAAAGTATATTAAAAATTTGCCCTTTTATTTAAGCCAGTCAGTCTGGGTTTCAGATTAATTAGAGCTAAGCATCCTGTCTCACACACTCCACATATCATATCAATATAGTCAGCATCGACTCCAGCCTGTAGGGCCTACTTGACCAAGGCTGTTTCTATATAATTAAAAGAAACAGATCATATAAAAAACTGGCAATTCAGTGTTTCTTCTTCGTCAATGAATCATATAAAAAACATTTTTAGTGACTCTTTCCTCCTTCACTCACCAGATAAGCATGTACTATTGTGCCTCCCCTGACAAAAAAAAAAAAAAAAGAAAACTGTACTAGGTATGACAAATGTCTTCAGATCAGATCTGCATTAAAATTACCCACATATAAAAGGATTTGTTTAACAGGTACTTACTGAATACTTATTTCATAAAAGTTACTCCATGGATGTCAGGGAGGATAAACATATTAGGTCAAAATTCTTCCTCCCCTCAAGTTGCTCACAGTGCACTAAAGAGAAAGCATGTGCAAAAATTACTATAATTCCGGGGTTTTGATCATTAGGAATCATAAGAGTGGTGGAGATAGAACATAATAGGAATTCAGATGAAGACAATGTTGCTTACAGACTGTGTCAATCAAGGAATTCAAGGAATGTTTCATTATGAAGGTGTAATTTTTTTTTTTTTAAGACAAAGTCTTGCTCTGTCACCAAGGCTGGAGTGCAGCGGCGCAATCTGGGCTCACTGCAACCTCCGTGATTGCAGGTTCGAGCGATTCTCCTGCCTCAGCCTCCCAAGTACGTACCTCCACGCTTCGCTAATTTTTACAGGCACATACCTCCACGGTTGGCTAATGTTTTAGTAGAGAGGGGGTGTCAACATGTTGGTCAGGTCTCGAACTGCTGACTTCAAGTGGTCTGCCCGCCTCAGCCTCTGAAAGTGCCAGGATTACAGGTGTGAGCCACCACACTTGGCCATGAAGGAGTAATATTTTAACTGAGCCTTGAAGTATGGGTAATACTTATTTGTTTAGACAGGGAAGTGTCATGGGTTGTGAGGCAGGAAGCAACAACCAGTCACAGACAACAGATACAATAGCCTATATGAGGAGCTCTGAGACATTCAGTTTAGCTGTATGTCTCAGAGACACTCAGGAGAAAGGAGATGAAGATGTGGACAGTACTAATGGCCACAAAGGAGGTCATGATTGTGCCCAGATGATGAGCAGTCTTAAACATCATGGTAAGGAAAGCTAGAGGCGAGGAAAGCACAAAAAAAGCAAATGAAAATTAAAGAGAATGAAGATCCCAAATGTTACAAGTTAGGGATACATTTATTTCCTTATGATCAAAAGAAAGATAAAACTAGGAAAGAGGAGTATCAGAATACTTTGATTTAGGAAAAATAATGTTAATCCAATTATCTCTAATTAGCTTCTCAATACGAGAGACCAAGATGAGCAATTCATGGTGTATCTAGTGGACTTTGCACCTTTTTCAGCATCACAGAATTGACGCAGCAGCAAGCTATAAACCAGAATAGGTTATAAATAATCTAGGTACACTTCTAAAACTTTCGCCCCCTCTCTCTACCCCAGAAAAATTCTTATACATAGCCTATTTTCTTTGAAGCTGTGCAAGTTTTCAGCCCTCAAGTAAACATAGACAGTGTTAGCTTTTTAAATAAAGATGATTTGGTTTCTAGTCCTACTCCCAAGTTGATTCAGTAATTCAACATAGATTCTGCTCTCAAATTATAGCATAAATCATTTACTATATAGTAGGTGGTTTAATGATTTCACAGAAAATGTAAAATCAATTTCAATGCAAATGTAACTTCAATAGAAATCACCACTTCCCGCACTTATCAACCGTGTGACTTTGGAGATATTATCTAACCTTTCCGAGTCTATTTCCTCATGAAAAAATGAAATAACCATATCTACCTTTGAATGTTGGTGATACTGTTGAATAAAATGATATGCCTAAACCACCAAAACAAATTCTGTGACATGTTAAGAGTTCAGCCAAAGCTGGCAGGGGTGGAGCTGGGGAAAACGGAAATCATTTAATCAAAGCCTCAGAAACAGCCACTCAAAACAGAATAAAGGAAAGGGAGCATTTGTAAAAGGATAAATATCTCATAGAAACCAGGAGAAGAAACTACAGCAGGGACTCACGAGTGACTGAGGCTAGTAAACGGAAAGTCAGAATCTGAACCCACTGAATCTTCTCTTTCAGACTGTGGTATCTCTCATTCACGTGTCTGCGTATCTACTATTTGGCTCCTTTTCACTTGCAGACTAGCCACTCCTGCTTCACTGAGCACAGGGCAGAACTTAGCAGCCCAAGCCCAGCTATATATCACCTTATATGCAAATATCAAGCAAGGCTTCAAACTATGTGGGGAGCACATATGTGGACCAAACTGTGTTGGTCCCACCCGGGTCTGGTGTACATCAACCATTCAATCCACTGGGCATGCTCATTCATTTCTGAGAAAGGGTTCTCTAGGAAGAAAGACGCACTTGTCAGCTCTAGTATATCAACAAAAAGAAAATCCAATAATGCCCGACTTTAATATCCTCTGCATAGCATTAAACAAAGAAAATAGTGGACTGTGGTATCCCTAGAAGAATCCTGTTTCAGAATCCACAGGAGCTAAAGAGCTTTCAACAATGGCCTCTGCCAACTGCTTAGTTTCAGCTGAGGCTGCTCAAGAACAACCCCAGCTTCTCTCCTCCCAATAATATATTCAGGTCTCCCTCTTCCATTACGGCTGTGTGTGTATTTCAGTTTGGCATCTCCCTCTGTAGTGAAGCGGAGGTGATCATATTTCAGGAGGTGCTAGTTCCTGCGTGTGGAGTTGCTTCTGTGTTATAATTGCTTTCCGCCATGCAGCTGCCGCACATGAGCTAATCTACATGCTGTATTGCTTCGTTTACAGCAAGCTGGCCTCACACTGAGTTTAAAAAGAGGCAGGCACCACCAGCAAATCTTGCTTCCTGAAGCATGTCATTTCTTTGGACGATTTGCAGCCCGATAATGACCATGTCATGATTGTGCAGTGATAGTTCCAAATGCCCCAACACACTTGATGGATCTTAGCATAAATTGGCCATTTATCAACATGTAGGACCATCAGAATTTCCATATTTGAGCCCTTATGCCATAATGTTGATTAATTGTTTGAGGCCCCAATGTAACCTCTGCATCCTGTGTTACTGGGAGGTTATAGCTACCCACGTCGCTTAAATAGATTTGCCTGAGAGGAAAGTAGTGCTAGATACTCTTCAATAATAGGCAATAATCTTTGGTTTCTCAGTGAATTCACAGGTTTCTTAAAGGAAAGCATCTAAGTACTTCTGTATATCACCTATAGTCTCTTTGGAAAGAAGAAAGTCCCTTTGAAGATATTAACAAGGTACAGTTTGCAGACTTTTAAATCAGAAGGAAAAACAAAGCACAAAGCTATCACTATATTCAAAATATGCCTTGCTCCCAATTTAATGAATCTGAATTGATTATTCAGGTTGGTTTTTTTTTCATAATTTCTAATTTACTTATTGCTAGTATCTTTGTCATTAATAAAAGATATTCATCTATGCAACAAATATTGATGAAGTACCTAAATATTACTAAGTACCAGAGTCAGGAACAATATTCAGGGATGGTGTAGAATGAATTCTGACGTTCATTACAAGATCAATCACAATGGCCCCTGCTAATTCTAAGCTTCTGTTCCTTCTAAACAAGTATCTGTTAACATTCTCCATTCTGCCAATCAAGGAAAGAGAAAAAAATGTATACAGCTGTTTCACATACTTCAAGCATAAGAAAATGCTAAAGTATGCTTCTTCCTTCACAGTGTTTTTTCTATCCTTTTTTCCTTCATGGATTCTGGTGTCTTATTTTCCCTTCTTACTGGTTTCTGCTTTTACAAACTTTATCTTCAGTAAGCCCTACATTTCACACTCAAATCATGGTTAGTAGTCATCTTTTTTTGCATATCACTATCTGATTTTAGAATTTTCTAGTGACCCTTCAAACATTATATGTTCATAGCTTCAACAGAAGTTATTGCTAAAAGGGATCTGTATTAGCTTCCCATTGCTGCTGTAACAAATTGCCAAAGTTTCAGTAGCTTAAAAACAGTACAAATATATTGTATTGTCTGTTCTCATGCTGCTAATAAAGACATACCTGAGACTGGGTCATTTATGAATAAAAAGAGGTTTAAAGGACTCACAGTTCCACATGGCTGGGGAGGCCTCACAATCATGGCAGAAAGCAAAGGAGAAGCAAAGTCACGTCTTATCTGGCAGCAGGCAAGAGAGCTTGCGCAGGGGAACTCCCATTTATAAAACCATCAGTTCACATGATACTTATTCACTACCACAAGAAGAGTGTGGAGGAAAGCCCCATGATTCAATTATCTCCACCTGGCCCCACCCTTGACAGGTGGGGATTATTACAATTCAAGGTGCGATATGGGTGAGGACACGGCCAAACCATATCATGTATTATCTTGCAGCTTTGGAGGTCAGAAGTTCAAACTGGGTTTCTCAGGGCTAAGACCAAGCAAGGCTGTGTTTCTTCTGAAGGCTCAGCAGGAAGAAGTCATGTCCTTGCCTTTTCCAGCTTCCGGAGGCTGCCCACATTCCTTGGCTGATGGCCTCCTTCCATCTTCAAAGCCACCAATGACAGATTGGTGTTCTTCTCACATTGCTTCACTCCAACCCTGCTTCCACTGTCACATCTCCTTCTCTGACTCTGCCCACCTCTCATCTTTTAAGAATCCTGTTATTACATTTGGGCCCACACAAATAATCCAGGATAAAAGGATAATTTTTCTATCTTAACATCCTATCTTAATCACATCTGCAAAATCCCTCTTGCCATGGAACATAACACATTCACAGACTCCAGAGATTCTAGTGTGGACTGTTTGGGAAGCTATCGTTTTCCCTACCATAGGAGCTCAATATATTGGCTAGTGAAGTCTTCCATTTCACAGGTGAAGAACAAGCGGCAAGGAGATGGAAGTTCTTGCTCACCAAAACGCCCTGGGTTAGAATCAGAACTACAATCCACATTGCCCACATTCCATCCCAGTACTCTAGAATACCCCAGTAAAACTATAATTTAAGATGAACCTAGTAACTAAAAAGAATATCATTAAAGCAACTATCTTTCTAGGACTGAAAAAGTTTTCCCAAATTCTATAAATTATTCTGTGATTTAACAGTTTTCTAATTATTAAGTATTTTAAGGTAATTCCTTGGCTGCCTAAAAGAGTTAATATTTCCTTTTAAATGTACTTGATTTGCAGAAAGAATTCTCATTTCATGCCATAAAGAAGGCTGAGGAAGGTCAAATTCACTTACTTTATAAAAGAATCTTCTAAATCAAATAAATTGCTTCATTTTATTTCACTTACTGTGATTAATATTTGGACAGTGGTTATAATTCCCTCTTTAGTTTTTTTGTTTTGTTTTGTTTTTTAATGGACTTTATTTTTTAAAGTAGTTTTAGGTTCACAGCAAAACTGAGAGGAAGGTACGTACAGAGAGTTCCCATGTACCCTCTCCCCTCACACACATAACAGCCTCCTTTATTAAAAATATTTCCCACCAGTATGGTATGTTTGTTACAACTGAGGAACCCACATTGACACATCATTATCCCCCAAAGTTCATAGTTTACATTAGGGTTCACTCTTGATGTTGTACATTCCGTGGGCCATAAGGGGTCAATCCATCCTCGTGGGATCGTAAATAGGTAATGTGAAGCTTCCCATCTGACTGGGAGCCACCTGGGCTAAGGTCTTTTGACAGCAGGCGATGTTTCATGGATGCTTAGTGAATTGAAGATGAGCAAAAAATGCCCATTAGTTGCCTCTTTGGGCCCCAGCTCCTCTTTCCATGCAACAAAAAATGGCAACAAACAATCCCCCTGAATCGCCCCCCACCCCCTGCCATGGAAGAGATGAGCACCATCAAGGACAGGCAGCACTCACTCCCTCCAAGTACCTTCTTGTTTCCTAATGAACTTCAGCATTTCAATTCTTGGTATACACATCTTTAAAATGCCAGGCACCAGGCACCAAGCAATCCTCAAAAAAACAGACTTTTCCACAGTCTCCACCAAGGACTGCAGTCACCAGGGTGGTGAAATGGTCCAAGAACCTCTGACTGACAGCCCTGCCACAGAGCAGCACTTTGGGATTACTCCCACAACATCTTGCCTCCCCATCCACTTGACAGTTAAACAATACTTAGCGGAACGTGGTTTACAGTACAACTTAAAGTCAACAGTGGACTACGAGCCAGGGCCTGATAAGAAAAGAAAAAAATTAAACAAATCAATCATGAAGCTAATGTTAGAAAGGGAATGGAACTCGACAACAGAAACAAGGGAATGGAGATGCATCGCCAGTTGAAATTTGAGCAGAAATACAAAGTTGATGAAGCAGAAAGAGGCCAGAAACTCTTTGACATGAGGCTAAGCTGCCCTGCCTTTCTGCCCAGAACCAAGGCAAAGCTTTGCACATCTCCTGCAGTTCCTTTCTCTTGCACATCTGGGCTTCCCGCAGCCTAGGCAGCCACGGAGCACTTGGACGCCCTTAATAATAATGCTGGGTGCAGCCTTGTGTGCATCAGATATGAGGCTCCTCTCCAAGCAGAGCCCTCTGCCAAATGGGCCCCAGCACCTTGCCCCTTGCAGCCTGCTGATAATCTGCAGCTTGTCTGTAATTGTTGCGGGAACATGCACTTTCTTTCGCTGATGATTTTGGCATCCTCGCAGGACTCTACCCAAAAAGGCACTGAACAATGGGATGTGATTGTTTTGAAATGTACCCAACAGGAAGCCCTCCTCCGACACGCACTCAGGCCCCAGGCTTTAGGGATTGAACGGATTAATGGAGTTCAGCTGCAGTTTACAGTTTATCATCAACCAAGTGCTGCTCTGGCTGCCTGTCTTCCCTTCTCCAGCTTCTAAAGAAAAATAAAGGGAAAGAAGAAAGGAAGGAAAAGCAGCAGCCCCAGCACATTCACTGTATAACAATCTGAACAACGGAAAGGAAAAAAAATGCCCTCAGTGACCATGAAACTGACAAGGCTCCCCAAAATGGCTTCCAGCTTTCAGTTTGTCATGCAGAGCTGTCTCCCCTTCACTCTCCCAACCCTCTCCCCCGTTTATAATCATCGTTCAAAGTGGTGAAAGGCCTAATTGCCCCGAGCAGTGTGGTCAATCTTCCTGGAGATTTAGCTGCCTGCTTTCATCTGGCAGCCTGGGAGGGAACTCAGTATTTCCCTCCAGGCAATCTATATGGTCTAGCAGTTCACTGCGGAAAGTGGTGCCTTATCGATTTCTGCCATAGCATCCATGGCTGACTCAAGGATCAGAGGCTCTGACAATGACTAACAAGTTTAAACCATTAGTCCCATTTGTAACTACTCAGCGAAAGGCTTGTCAGTCACCGCGTACCATATACTGCAGCTTTTAGCAGATTTCTAATCCCATTCATTTTGCCACAATGACCCCTGTAGTTAATGGGGGTTATCGGAAAGTGGTGCCTTTTTCTTCTTCTTCTTCTTCTTTTAGGAACATAAAAACCATTTCGGTTCTGATGTTTCAAAATAGTGATGCAGGAAATGATCAGTGTCCCTCTTAGGAGAAAACCTGTATCCTGGTGTACGGTACGATATGTCTGATCCTGAAAACGCAGACAGAGTCAGGTGGCAGAGAGTGATTCATCAGAAACAGATCCTCTCTGTCTTACCCCTGTCTTACTTTTATAGAGGTTTGTCTTAACACCTGTTTTCTCCTCCCTCTGACCTAGAAGTGGATCATTTTCCTGTGAGAAACTTCTCTCTTTCTGGATAACTAATCACCCCACAGGCTAAAGCCTGTTACGTAAAGTGTGGTCCCCTGAATCAGCATCACCCAAGAGCTCGTTATAAATGCACAATTTCAAGCCTAGCCTTAGACATTCTGACTTACAATCTGTGTTCTAACCAAATCCCTGGATGATGGCTGTGCATTTGAAGGCTTGAGAATCACTGGTCTAAAGAAGCTATGTTTTTTCACTTTTACATTAAATACAGCAAAATTTAACATTTCCACTATATATTAGGATATTTTTAAGAAAAAAATGAGATTTTCTGCATAATAGTTCCAGTGATAGTCTCCTTGTAGTTCTGACAATCGAATGTTTTTCATCTTCATATCCACAGTCACTAATCCAGTACCTGGTGGAGGGTTAGTACAAGATAAATAGTTGTTGAACTATTCATGAACATATGTTGAATTCACAAGAATGAACAAATGAATGAGAATGAAGAAAGAAATGTGATGTGTCTCTCAGTGATATAGAGAGCCAGGACTGACGAAAAATGAGAAAGCTGGCTCAGAGGACAAGCCTCTCCATTCATTTTTTATGGATATTTAATAGTTACATATATTTTGGGGGTACATATGATTTTGATACCTGTATACAATGTACAATGATCAAATCAGGGTAATTGGAATATCCATCACCTCAAACATTATTCTTTCTGTTGGGAACATTATAACTTTTCTATCTATTTTGAAATATACAATAAATTGTTGTTAACAATAATTTCCCTGCCATACTTTTGAATACTAGAACTTATTTCTTCTAACTGTATGTTTATACTTGCCCATCAACCAACCTGTCTTCATACCCTTCTCCACACCGCCTTCTTCCCAGCCTCTGAAAACCATCATTCTACTCTCAATTGTCATGAGATCCACTTTCTAGCTCCCTCATATGAGTGAGAACATGCAGTATTTGTTTTGCTGTGCCTGGTTTATTGTCCTTAACATAAGGACCATCTGTGTTGCTGCAAATGACAGGATTTCACTCTTGTTTATAGCTGAATAATATTCCATTATGTATATGTACCACATTATCTTTATCCATTTATCCATTGATGGACACTTAGGTTGCTTCCAAATTTTGGCTATTGTGTATAGTGCTGTCATAAGCATGGGAGTGCAGATGATATCTCTTAGATATAAGGATTTTCTTTCTTTTGGATATATGACCAGCAGTGGGAATGCTGGATCATATGGTAATTCTATTTTCAGTTTTTTGAGAGTCCATTTTTTATTGTCTAAACTAAATGCTCACACCACCAAGTTGATCCCATCCTAAGAATGGACTGAGACAATGCACTAGGTGGGGCTTTTCCTAGAGCATCTCTTTCTTTCCACGTCTTGGTCATTCTCCTCCCATTTCTGCTGCTTACTCTCTCTCCTCTCACCATCATACAGAGTCTCTCATATGTTTGTTTGTTCTGATCATCAGTCTCCATCTCTTAAAATCCTGTGCTCAGCCAGATAGACTAAAGTATCTGAAAACCAACACACTAAAATGGAAGTGACAGTTAAGAAGAGACTATGTTGAGGGCTATTTCTTGACAACCTGGAAATCATACCACCTAGGTAGTCTATTTTATCTAGGAGGCAGATCAGCTCTATTGCTGCCAAATTAACACCAGAAAAAGGCAAAGTAACTTTCCTACATGACGTTTATGGAAGAGATTTCCTTATGTAGCTGCTTCTTCTCTAAAGCCTGGCCCCTCAAATTTCCAAGGAATGTGTTTCCATAATGTGACCACCTTGGCTCGTGTTTAGACACTGGTCATAAAAAAGTATTTGTGGGGAAGACTTGCTTCCATCTTATCTCAAAAAAATTAAAACATATAAATTTAAATGTAGGGCAAATTTGATGGGAAAGTTAAAGACCAAAGCCATCTGAATCTTCAGGCTGAATTGTTTTTTAAGCCTAAGACAAGGACTTGGGAAATAAAATTATCTTCTTCCAGTGATTACCTTTGGAAACAATTATTTCTGGAGCTTTCATCTATGGACTGCCATGTTGTGACTACTTAATTGCTGCCTGAAAAATAGAAAGCTGATTATGTGTTTTTATTTTAAGGTAATCCTTTGACATTTTGAATAGTTACAAAAATAGGTTGTTTTGTGAGTTGCTAGCGAGAACCAGCAGGAAATTATTTCATTCGGGGGCAGATGGTGCTGGTGACTATACAAAAAGGGCTGGGTAGACAGCAGGGCAAGAGTAGACAAGTACACACACGCACAGAAGCTGAGGATGCCACAATTCTATGTTGTCTGAATTCTCAGCCTGCATCTGTATACCTTAAATAAATTATTCATAGATTTCCCACATCCAAGTTAAAAAGTGCTTTCAGAGTCAGGGTCTCCTCCCCACAACCCACCCACTATAAGTTTTAATATGTAATTGGAGAGCATGTAAAATAAATGGAAATGTCATTTGGCTTGTAACAAAAGACCTAAATCATAACGGATTATTGAGCGGCATCTTGTGGTCCAAAGTGAGTATGACACTCACGGAAAGCCAGTTGGCTTGCTGGCATGCCACTCCAAAATGTGTTAACGTCACCTCATATCTGGCTTTTGATAAAGTTAATAAGGGGCTGTGCAAGGTTATCAATGCAGCCTTATCATTATGCCACCTTAAAATATTTTTGTGAATGAGCATATTAACTTATAATTAATCATCATGCATTAATGTAAATGTATCCATGTAGGCACGTTTAATCAGCGCTCTTTCTCTTTCACAATATTTTAATAACAGAGCACTAAAGGAGACTTGCAAGATATGAAGTAACAAGAGCAGTGTTTATAATCTAAGCCACTTCAGCAGAATTTAAAAATTAATGTTTTTCTATGAGATGATATATGAAACCATTCAGTCATTTACTAAGTAAAATCCACTTTCTCTATATTCTACAAAACCATAGGAAAAGAAGAAACTACCCCTCCTTAGTATCTTTCTTCCCTGTGTCCCAGAGAATCATGTGGATTTTGACTATGAAATAAGTTAATGGACCTTCATAAACAGAGAGACAGAACCCAGACACAGCAGCTATATATCCAATAGGCTTTTTTTTTTTTTTTAATTCAGGCTCTTGCTCTGTCACACAGACTGGAGTGCAGCGGTGTGATCACGGCTCACACGTACCCTTGAACTCCTGGCTCAAGTGATCCTTCCACCTCAGCCTCCTGGGTAGCTAGGCTCAGCTCAGGCGCACTGCTGTGCCTGGATAATCTTTAAATGTTTTGTAGAGACAAGGTCTCGCTATATTGCCCAGGCTGGTCTCAAACAACTGGCTTCCAGATATCTTCCTACCTCGGCCTTCCAAGATACTGGAATTACAGGCATGAGCCACTGCAGCCGACATCCAGGGGTGTTATTTTTATAAGACAGTAAGACAGCCAGCTGACTGCCAGTTCAATTTTCAAAAATCTATTCAATATTTTAAAATTTCTCATTGTAGACATGATTTGGCCACCATGGCATCATAAACAAAAAAAAATACCTAAACAAAGGCAGAATATGAGCTATCAAGTCGAAACTCAGATATCAAAAAAGTACTGAGGGCATTCAGTAGTTCTAATAAATTCTATATTATTTCTAGCTCAAAATATTAATGTGTGGGTCAAAAATCCCAGTATATGCTGGGAAAGCATTATTGCTTTTCACCAACCTACTATAACAAATTGCTTACGCTTTCTGGCACTTTAATTCTTCTTCTGAATAAAGAGAGGGCTTTCTATCGCTAACACATCATATTATTTTAAATTTTGTAAGCTCTGACATTAAAAGTGCTACCGAAAACAAAAGACACCTGTGTAAATAAATTTGCTATATGTATCAGATAAGGTCTAAATGGGGGAAAAAGCATTCAAATATGTAAAGCAGAAAGAATTTAGTACAGAGAATTGGTGACACTGGTGATAGAAGAACTGAGAAGCTCAGTGACAAATGTCAAACAGTGAAGCAACCCAGAGATTAGCAACAACAGGAAGCCAATACCACCCCTTCTTTTTTATTTTTATTATTTATTTATTTATTTTTAAGACAGAGTCTCGCTCTGTTGCCCAGGCTGGAGTACAGTGGCATGATCTCAGCTCACTACAACCTCTGCCTCCTGGGTTCAAGCGATTCTCCTGCCTCAGCCTCCTAAGTAGCTGGGATTACAGGCACCTGCCACCACTCCTGGCTAATTGTTGTGTTTTTAGTAGAGACGGGGTTTCACCATGTTGGCCAGGCTGGTCTCTAACTCCTGACCTTGTGATCCGCCCGCCTTGGCCTCCTAAAGTGCTGGGATTACAGGAGTGAGCCACCGCGCCTGGCCACCACCCCTTCAATAGAGGGACAACTGGAGGAGGCAAGGGAAGAGATATTCCCAAGGCCACAGAAGAAAAGATGAAAAACCATGACTTCTTCCTTCCACCAATCCTCTGAGCTCTCTTCAGTGCTTCCCACTGGCTAAATACTGCTGGAAAACAGCATGTTAACTAGTGACTCTCCAAGAAAAACAAGCCCTGATTCGTAGCATTTGCTGATTTCCATAGCATGAATACTCTCACTTGGCAAATTTCAAGCTACTGCTTGTATGCTCCATGAATGTGAAGTTGAGGAGAGATGCACAATGATGGCACACTGTTATGTAGTGTTTCCCATAAATACAGATATACCATAACCTCTAGAGCGCAGACAGTCAAAAGAAGGGTAGCAAAATAATTAGGAAATGATACATTTGGAATAGATATTACCATTGCTTTTTAGTATACAATAACTTATTTAACGTAAGTTTAGATAACTTAATTTTAATGGTGATATTAACCAGTGTGAACAACCAGTTCACAGGATCTCTGAATATTTGTCAACTGGCTCTCACACATTGAAAAGAGCCAGCTCCTGCAAACCCTGTCAGATAACAAGGAACCCTAGAAAAAGTCGTCTAAAAGTGGTCCATCCAATACAATGCAGGACAGAGCAGGAAAGAGCATGGAATAAAGCTGAGGGCAAACAGATGCAGAAATGGTGCATTATAAATCAGCACACGCCAAACACTGCTTAAATCCAGCGAACAAGAAGGAACTGAGCATCTCTATAACTGACTACCTGCTAAACCCTGGTTAGATGGATCATAATTAGGTTCACAAAATACTTACCAGGAGAAATACGTGCCTATGGGTTGATCCCACTGGTCATTTACAATTATTTTGTCTGTTTTATTTTTTCTATTGTCTTTTGAAGATGTCAATCTTCAGAGCATCACATATTAAGAAGTAGAAAGTGTACCAGTAATTTCTGCAATGAAATTTTGATTGATTTCTCTATCACATTTTTTGGCAAATTGATTCATCATGATGAGTCTGTGATGAGATGCCCAGTGACAGAAAGAACTCAGAAATGTTTAGAGAAATAAAGAGTGTTGTTTAGGTATGGTTTGTTTTCTCTTTTGTGAACCTTGGGAAAGTCACTTAGCCTCCCAGGCCTCAGTTTCCTCATTTATAAAATGAGAAGTGAAGAAGTTCAATTAGATAATCTCTATGGTGGTGTCTGGCAATTATGCTCCGTGATTTTATTATGGTGTGTGTGAATTCAGGATGAATATTTTGTTCTATTTCTTTTCCCTTTTTTAAAAATTCTTCTCACCGACCTACTGTATTTGGCATAGATCAGTCCTTTTGATCAAAAGCATAAGCCGAGTGGACATAAAAATAGAAAAAGCAAGGAAAGATAAGTGAGCGGTTCCAATGACAATCAGGAATCTTTTGTAAATGGCCACATCTTGGGAAAGCCTGATCCAGCTTATTTTCTGGGAACTAATGATCAGCTGAGATGAGTTGCTGATAGGCTGCAAAGGCAAGGACCATTAACACTTGATTGTCACTAATTCTGAGTCAATGTCCCATTTCAAAGTCATTAGTGGTATTAAAAACTGCAACAGCGCATACACACAAAGAAAAAAGAAAGAGAGAAAGCATTAGGATATTCTTAAGATTAACATATTATTACTGAAATACAAAAGAAATTTTAATGAAGATCCTTAATGTTATAAATGCCTATTCAGAGACTTCTTTGTGTAAATTTTATATTAAGCATTATATGAGATATAAAAATAGAAAATACTTCCTCTACCTTTAAAAAGTTTAGATTCTACACAATATTATGTTCATATGGATTTGTACTTATTTGGCATTGATGCTCTTATAAAAACTTCCCATTTCTTTTTTTTTAATTGCATCACATAAGCCACTAGCCTCAAAAGCCTTTCGGAGCATGTTTCATAATGGGCTTAAGTCTATATATTCTTCCTGTCCTACAGGAAATACATGTTTGATTACCTGCCAAGTGCCAGTCATGTGCTAACGAAGTTAACCATCCAATGGGGACAAACAAGTAAGAATTGCGTTGAGTGCTACAAAAAGGAAAAAAACAGATGACAATTATAGCAGTGCATGGGAAGTCCGCTAATTCAAATTTGAGGGGTCTGAAATCGCTTCTATGGTAGCCATCTACTATTTTTGCCTGCCCAGCATCTTTTTCTCTCTCTTTGAGCCATAGCCCCTAATTTATCCTTGAAAACTCTCTTATTTCATGGCAGTTGGGAAACTCCTCCCATTAACTGCCGAGAGCAGCCCTCTGCTTATGGAGTGGATCTGTGACCCAAGCTACACCAACTATGAGGCATTTTCTCCAAGAAATATCAATCCTGAGTAGTACAATCCAAGATCGAAAACGGCTAGAGTTCTTCCAATGGCAGAAACTTGAAGAGACATATGTTAGGTCCTACCTCCTCAATTCCTGAAGCAGCCTCATTTCTATCTCTCCCAAGTCCTGAGTTTTTAGCTTTTTGTTTCTTTGTTCTACCCTGTGTCCTTCCAAACAATTTTTTCTCAGTATGATAAGCCAGAGTCTGTTGCTCTTTCTTGCAACCTACTACTCTAATAGATACTTATTCCCAGTGGAAACTCTGAGATAAGCCCGAGAGATATTGCTGCCTTAGTAAAGCTGGGGGTGGTAGTGGTAGCATTGGTACCTTTAAAAAGCTGAAAGAAACTCTTCCTGGTAAGACTATAAAGCACGAGATGGAATTTCATGAGAGAAGACAAAAGTACGCAGAAAATGAATCACACAGGTCTTTTTAAACATGTTAAAGCCAAAGGGAAACCATTGAAAATATTTTGTAAAGAAAAATGTTTTAGAAAGACTGCTATGATGTCAACATGGAAGATAGAAGGCATTAGACTAGTGATGGGAAACCAGCAAGACAACTGTTTCAATAATCCATTCCAGATATGATAATGGCTTGACTTAGGGTGGTGGGAATGGAAATAGAGATGGTAGCTAGATGTCCAGGAAATTGAGGAGTTTGACTCAACAGGACATAGAGATTGAGTGGATGCTGAGGTCAGGGATAGGAAGAACTCAAAGATAATTTCCTGACTTGAGTTTTAGCTGACTCAATAGGTAATTGTCCCATTCACTGAAATAGAGAATATAAAAAGATTCTGGTTTTCTGAAGAAGACAAGCAATTTCTTATTTTAACAGCCAAACAGATACGTCAGGTAGGTAGGTAGATATGTAAATTTGATTCTCAGGAGCAGTCTGACTAGAATATATAGGTTTGAATTTAGGAATCATCAATATGTAGCTGAAAGTAGAGCTAAGGCTGTAAATGCAATCGCCTAAGGAGAGTACATAGAGTAAGCAAAGATGATAACCCAGAACAGAATCCCTGTGATGTATAAACATTTTAGGGATAGAAGAAACAAGAACCTGGGATAGCCATAAAAGTCAGAGAAAAACTAAAAGACTACAATGTTATGGAGGCTAATTTTTTTTTAATTTCCAAAAAAACGATATAGATAATGCTGCCAAGAAAGTAAGAAAAATAAAGATTAAGAAGCATCATTAGATTTAGCAAGGAGGCTATTAGAAACATTAGTCAGAGCACTGGGACAAAAACTGGACTGCAGTAGGTTGAGAAGTGGGTGGATGAAACAGAGACCGAAGTGTAGACAATGCTTTTAGAAAGTATAGCTACAAGTGGGATGTAAAAAGAGAGAGCTGAACAAAAAGGGGGCAGGGAAGAAAGATTTCAAGGAATGTGCTTTAAAGGAAAGATAAACATATCACGAGTAGGTTGAAATGTTGGAGAAAAAAATAAAAATTGAGATGAAGTGGTGGCAAATACAGGAGAGAGGAGGAGTAGTCAATGGACCGAAATCTCTTCAAAAGTTGTATGGGGTGTGATCCAGAACTCAGATAAAAGGATTATCCTCAAATAGAAGTAGCAGACATTTTTCATCAGGAAAGAAGGAAGAAAAGAAAATTGTGGAGTTTAATTTATAGGCTTCAATGTGGAATATTGAAGAAACTCCTGTCTAATGACCTCTAATTTCTCTTCAAATGGGCGAGAAAGTCATCTTCTGAGAGTCAGTGTTTTAGTCCATTTTGTGCTGCTATGATAGAATAACTGAGACCGGGTAATTTATAAAGAAAAGAAATTTATTTCTCTCAGTTCTGGAGGCTGGAAAGTCCAAGATCAAGATGCTGGCATCTTGTGCGGGCTTTCTCACTGCATCCTCACATAGCAGAAGATGAAAGGGCAAGAGAGAGTGAACCCACTCCTGCAAGCCCTATTTACAGCAGCATGAATCCATTCATGAAAATGAAGCCCTTAGGACCTCAACGCCTCCCAAAAGGCCCCATTTCCCAACAATTAAGTTCCCAGCACATAGAATTTTGGGGAACACATTTAGACCACAGCATTCTGCTCCTGCCCTCAAAAAGTCATGTCTTTCTCAAGTATCATTTCTTCCCAATAGCCCCAAACGTCTTTACTCATTTCTGCATCAAATTTTCCTCCAGTTGTTAGCATGTGAAATCAGAAAGTTATGTGCTCTCAAATTACAACAGTGGGACAAGCACAGCATAGACATTCCTGTTCCAAAGGGAGAAATTTTAAAAAAGAGGAAGAAGAAAGGACTAACTTCCTAAGCAAGCCCAAAACCCAGCAGGGCAAGCAACATTAAATCTTAAGGCTTGAGAATAATGTTCTTTGAATCCATCTCACCTTCTGGACACACTGGGGCAGAGGTTTCGTCCCCAAGGTCCCAGCCCCACTTCCATGGCTTTGCTGGGTGCAGGCCATATTTTAGCTCTAACACATTGAAATCACATGCCTGTGGCTCTCTCAGGCTGACACTCGTTGCATTCCAGTGGCACTACAGCTCCAGAGTAACAGGAGCAGCCAGCTTTCATGGCTCTACTAGGCACTGTCCTAGTGGGGACTCTGCGGCAGCTTCACCCATGCCTGGGCCGTAAGGCTGTCTGAGATATCCTTTGAAAGCTAGGTAGAGGAGGCCATGCCTCCACAGCTTTTGCACTCTGCATGCCTACAGAATTAGCACCACATGGGTGCCTCCAAGGCTCACTGCTTGTGCCTTCTGGAGTGGTGATCCAAGCCACACCTGGACCCACTTGAGCCATAGCTGGGGCAGCTGGGGAGCACTATGCTGGAAATTGGGGAGCAGAGACCCAATGCAACCCTGAGTAGTGAGCCTTAAGTTTCTACAAGCACTCTGAGCCCCTCCCTTTAAACCATCCTACCCTCAAATCCCCAGCTCTCTAGGCCTGAGATGGGCATGGAGCCCCCAGATCTTTTCAAAATGCCTTTGGGGTCATTATTCCATTGTCTTGAAAATAGTACCTGGCTTCCTTCTATTCATACTAATCAGACCATAGCACACGGTTTGTTTCTATAAAATTACTGATTACGTGCACATTCAAAGCCTCTGTGAGAATATAATTTTTGATTCCAGTTCTTTTTCTTCTTGTTTCTGCAGTCTGAGCCTCTACGCCATAGCAACCTTTTTGTCTGTAGGATCAATCAAGAAGCAATAAGAAATAAAATGGTGCAATATAAGCAATCAAGGGCAGCCCCTCAGTGTGAGCCTTCTCTTGCCTTTGAGTTTCTCTAGCTTTGTCCTGCAGTAATTTAGGAAGATTTTCACCAGCAAAGGAATGTTACTGAAGACTGGTTTTTCTTCTGACTATTTATTATTGCCCTATGTAGGCTTCTGATATAAAGGAATCTGGATAATAACAAGGAATGGGCATTGATTCCATTGCAATATAAGAATTAAATAATTCATTCATTTAAGAAATATTTGTTGTGTGCCTACTAGGTGCCAGGCATTTTCTAGGCATAAGGGCTAATAAATAAGACAAAAGTCCTTGGCCTCATGGAGCTTATATGGTTGGCAGCCAAACAACAATCATGTAAATAAATAAAACGGTTTCCAGTAGTGATAAGAGCCATGAAAAAAAATGTTAGCATAAAAAAGAACAAGTGAAGAGGAAAGAGGGATTATTTTGATAGAGTGGTCAGGACGGATTTCTCTGAGAAGGTGATTTTGGAGCTGGCACCTGAACTGTAAGAACAAAGGGATCATTCAAAGCTCTAGACCTTAGAGTTTACAGAGAGATCTTTGCTGACAGCTGGTGCAAAGTCTTCAAGCAAGATGGACTCATCTTGTTTGAGACAGAGGGACAAAAATGAAGCTGGAGAGGAGAAAAAGGGGAGATCATGTTAACTCTTGAAAGTTAGGATAAGGAGCGTATATTTCTTGCTTACTAAAATAAGTGGTCAATGGAGGATTTAAGTAGGGAAGCAATGTAATCTGATTCACTTATCACTACTATAAAAAAAACTAAGTCTCCATCCTAAAATTTGGGCAGATCCTATGCTTCAAAGGGTAAGACAAAACATATTAAAGAGTCTTAATCAGTCAACCTGCTTCTTGCACTTTACGTGCTAGGAATTTTCATTCTATTTTGAAAAGTGAAAACTTTGAACAATTGCATTCTGTATTTCTCACCATTCATTTTATCCCAACTATTCAGCATAATTGTGATTAAGTCTTTTGCCAAGTCCTCTCCACCTAAATCACTGGATAAACTCAAGGAATTGTCATCTTTTTTATCATGAGAGCCATCAAGGTTGTTTACAAACTCAGATTTTCACCAAAAAAAGATCAAGAGCCTGGTAAGGATACTGTAAATTTCACTCAGTATTCTTCTTTATTTGAAAAATTTGAATTCTAAACTATTATGCTTCTTGAAATCCTTGTTAATTAATATTAGACTTACTCATTTTCATTTGTTTTTAGAGGTCCAATATTTAAACTATAACACCTAATGAGTAATTAGAATTTTGAGGTATTACATTGAATAGTTATTAAGAATCTAAAATACATAAACCACTACAATTATTAACACAATTCTAATATAATCTTATAAAAACAGAATGAAAACCAATGACTGCAAAATCCCTGTGATCATATTGTTAAACTTTAATATAAAATAAAAAATCAATGCCGTTACAGCTTTTCAGGTTCAACATTTTGATTAATGACTTGCGGGAAGGCATTAATGTCAGTCTGATCCAATCTGTACATGAAATGAAACTGAAAAAATAAATACTAACTTGAAAATTCTCAAAGCTGAGTAATGGACATGAGTGATGGACCAAATATGTTCAGACAGAAATTAGTAAGACCATAAAAGGATAGGATGGGGAAGATGTGTCTCAATCAACAGCCACTACACACAGCTAAAACTCAGCTATAAGCCCAGTGGTTTAATATATTTTAACATGAAGTTAGCAGAAGTATTTCAGTGTCTCAAATAAGGAAGCAAGTGATCTTCTGTAATTCACCAATTCAGTCCTGAGGACTAAGGGGTGATGCTCACAAACTGAAATGCATGCAGATTAGATCTATAGTTTGGCAAGAAGTCATATGAGGAAATACAAAGACAATTTATGACATTGGGCTGAAAAGAAAAAGAAGTGAGGAGAATTAAATACTGGCCCTTTGAAATGCTACAGAATTCCTGTGTAGGAGTCAACAAGAAGAGGAATAAAATTTCTTTTGATGCAGCCTTGGATGGGAGTCCTATGACCAGTGAGTGGAAGTTGTAAAGAGATGGATTATGAGCCAATGTAAGGGAAAACTTTCTAACAGTTGGATATGGTACAAAATAGATTGGCTTCCTCAGTCCCTGGGTAGTTCTCTGTCACATGGATCATTCCAGGCATCCAGAGTTGAGGATATTGTTTGGGTTAGGATGGGATCAAATGTTAAGATCCTTTTCCATCTCAAGGTTTTACATATACTATTAGAGCTTAGTTGTTAACATGATAGCAATATGTGTTAAGAACAAGATCCTCCAGACACTACAGTATTTGCTGAATATTTATTGCAGAAGGTAGAAATTGAAAGGCAATTCCAGTTATGTTGCAAAAACAACCAGTAAACATAACTTTCATATTATTTCTCCACGTGTCCTTTGAGAAATTGTTAAATGCCTCCACAACGATGAAAGTCACACAGGTGATATTTCTGAAAATTAAGCAATGAGTGTGAGTATTGTTCCTTCATAGAGATGTTTCCATTCCTCATCATAAGCCTAATAGCTCTTGGGAGATAACTGTTTTATACTAGGAAAATTCAGGGTCCAAAGAATTGAAATCACTAAACAAGTTAAGTACAGGTGTTATCAACAGAATTCCCAAAGACAATCTGAGCCATTCCAATGAATTTAGTCATTGAATTGATTTATCTGTAACCCATCATTATATATTTGCTTTCAGGTAAGAAAATAAGATTTTGAGCACTTACTCAAAAAGACGCCTTTAACCATGGACTGATTAATCATAAAATCAAGGTAAATAGTGGACTATATTTGAAGCTACTGACCTTGTCATAAAAGATATAGCATTCAAATGAAACTGGTTAATCAATCTCTAAAGCAGCATTTCCTAAACTGTGAAATCAATATTCACAGAGAAAGAGAAAAGATTAATTGGTTAAAACAAAAGTTTTGGAAACACTATGCTAATATGATGCTAAACTGGCTTCTCTACTGAAGGACTTCTCAGAGCTTTTAATGTTTCCTGTGAATTTCCAAGAAAGTCTGTGCTATGCAGGAAATATATTCTATGTTTAGAACAAGGCACTTCAAGACACAACAGTTACGCTTTTAGGAAACAGTGTCAGAAAGGAGAGAACAGAATGCAGTTCTGATTATGTTGCATAAATAATCAGAAATCATGTATAACAAGTGGTGGGCTGGTAAACTTTTAACAACCAGTTCTGTGGGTGGAAAATACATGCAAATATACACATACATACATAACTTTGTCATAAATGTTTTTCACATAAATGGTATTAGCACACAATTAACAAATACTATAAAATATACAACACTGTTATAAATTTCATATGGCCAATGAATTCTCCCAGAATACGTTCTAGGTTTTTTGCCTGACTCATAGCTGTAGCCAATTTATGGTTGCAAATTAATAAACAGGTGTATCTCTAACATAAATGTTGGCTGATATGTTTGCCTATTTTAATGAGTAACACAAAAGTGAAACAACAAAGACATATGTCAGAACATTGTTGAGCAATTTCCTTGTTAAATCAGGCAGTAGTTTTGAACACTGGGAAACTATATTTTCTCAATTTTTTGTGTTTTGTACAATGTAATGGCTACATAAGCAAGAAGTTATTAAGTTTAATTTGCATTATTAACATTTCCTTCAATACATTCTTCAGTCTGGACAATCAGCAAAACAATAAATCCCATCCCCAATTTATAATGTCTTCTAATTTCTACGATGTAAATATTCTCACCATGCTCAATTTCAGACTATCAACATGATGTCACTGGAAGCAGGGCTGAACCAAGATTTACAGCAGCACACTATTATATAGTGTTTCTATCACATAGATATAATATTAGATATAATATTAATAGATATAATATTAATAAATAACTTCGGGGCATAGTTACAAGATGTAGTAAGATAAAAAGGAAGAAATAAGTTTTGAAATTTTATCACCTTTGTTTTAAATATGACTTATTTAATTGTAAGTTTACATAATTTATTATTTAACAACAGCTGTGTAATAACTACCAGCTTAATGAATTCTTGAACATTTAACAATCAGCATTTGTTATCTAGTGTGAGCTGGTTCCAGCACATCACTCATGTGACCAGAAAACTCTTTTGTCTCTAAGGAAGCCTTCATGAGATATATAGACCAAGGTCCCTAACCCTCTTTAGCTTTCACACTTCACACTTAGCCTCTCTCCCTTTCTCTCTCTCTCCCTCTACATATATAAGTATATGTATGTGCCTTCAAGATATATATAGAGTTATTTTTTAAAGTAATAATTTTCTTTCATATTCCTATTAGAACTTTGTTAAACATAGCTCTTGGCATACAAAAATAGGCTTTACGGTTTAAAATACCTATTGAATTGCTCATTTTATGCTTCAGTGAATGTTTATGTTACAAAGAACTGAATATATTAAAAGAAAATGTTCATGCAATAGAGAGTATACAAAAACCTACTCATAAGATTCACATATAAAGCATATTTACAAAACATATTTATCTTGAAAATTCTAGAGTTTCTGGTTTAGACAAAAGAATCACTTGGGCAACAGCAGTTGCTTAAACCAATAATGAAACAGAGCCATTCAAAATTCCCTTTGAAACAAGGGAAAAAAAATGTCTTGGGTTTCTTGCTGGGGTTCTGGTGTTCAGTAATTGGTTTATTTGAAGATTAGATTAATGCTGCCGGTAATTCATTTCTAAATTGAGATTATCTTGGTAGAAAGAAATCTAGGCAATGGGGAAGAACATGGAGAAAAGCTTCCTTCTGGATGGTCATGTCTCGTTGCTTTGGCTGGTGAAGGTGCGCCAAGGAAGTTGTTGGGGAAAAGCAACCTTGGAGTGTGGGAAAAGCAGGATCCACACGTATTCTGGGAGGAGGGGATTCCAAACAATCCCCTCCCCATGAACAGTGTCCTTGGATCCACTGTCCCTACTAGACCTCATGGTGGAGTGGGAGATAAGTAAACATATCCTGGAAGCAAAGATAAAAGCCTGAACGGAGGAGAGAGAAGCCTTCCTTTCAGGAGACCAGCTCATTTACTTATGAGGAACCAGAGGCAAAATGCTGGCTAGTGAATGTGCTATTTGGAAAAAGCACTCATGGACTTTTATGTCTCCTTCATGCTTATAATGTCATCCATCAACTCATCTTTTTCTGAGCATTTGGATTTCTCTTTTATTTCAGTTATTTTTCAAGAGAAGTTATTTCATGCTTAAGTACAAAGTTGATTGTATCTAGGTTTCCATAAGCTTCCTCCAGACTTGGAACTTTTGATGGCTCTCTCTCGAGGCTGGCATCAGTTAACGATGATTCTGGTCCTTTATACTCTTTTCTTTTTTAAATAAGGCTAAGCTTGTCAAGAATTTTACATCTTTCTTTGATTTCTTCGGCAAGTTTTATAGGCAAGCTGTTTTCCTCTTCTTAAATAACATCCTATGTTTAACTGATCTAAAAACTTCTGAACAAGAGAATTATAAATAGTGCAATGATTGCTGCACCTACCACTACCTCCCAGAGCCCTCTGCCATATCTTTAGGCAACCCTACTGTTTTCATCTGTTTTGTGCTGCTATAACAGAATACTTGAGACTGGGTAATTTATAATGAACAGAAATGTATTGGCTCACAATTCTGGAGGCTGGAAAGTACAACGTCTATGCACCTAGCATCTGGTGAGGGCCTTCTTGCTGTGTCATCACATGGCAGAAGGCAAGAAGGCAAGAGAGAATTAAAAAGGGCTGAACTTGCCCTTTTGTAATAATAACAATCCCACCCATGAGGGTGGAGCTCTCATGGCCTAAACACCTCTTAATGGCCTCACCTCAATATTGTTAAAATGGCAGTTAAATTTCAACATGATGTTGAAAAGGGGACAAATATTCAAACTGCAGCACCTACCAGAACCCAGTGCAGCTTCTCAAAGATCAGCCCCCAAGTAAGGCTTAACTCCTTTCTACAGGCACTCCTGGCCCCCAACCTCTCACCAGAACTCCCACCAGGAGCCATAGATCCATCAAGCCCAAGAAGACACCCCCGACCACCATCACTAATACATAGCATTTTCCCAAGAACCCAAATCCACATCTGATAACTGGAACAAACTAAGCAAGGATTGTTTAGTGAGAAGAACAAGAACAAAAAAGAATTCACATGCCCACTCTACAGCCTAGTGTTCTCTCTTTTCTCTCCTTTGATATTAACATTTTAAAGAATAAAATACATAGAAAATAATGCACAAATCATGAGTGTATACTTTGATTAATTATCAGAAACTGGACACAGCCATATAGTGACCACCCAGGTCAAGAAGTACAGTAACACCTCCTGCCCCCCAGAAATCCTACTCTTGTCCCATTGAAACCTCTGTATCTTCTTTTTCCAAGATAACAAATATTCTGACACCAAATATCATAGATTCATTTCAGCTGTTTCTGAGTATACAGTACCTATTCTTTAAGTCCAGCTTTTTTTGCAAAACCTTAAGTTTGTGTGATCAATCCATGTTGCATGCAGCAATATTTCATTCATTTTCATTATTGTATAGCATTTCATTAAATGAGCATATCACAATAGATTTATCCCACCATTGATGAACATTTGGGTCCTTTCCAGTTTCTACTACAAAAAAAAAAGTGTTGCTATGAACATTTATTTTATATATCTTGTTAGGAACATATGTATGCATTTGTGTTGGATATATTCCTAGGAATGAAATCGCAAGGTCACAGGGTAGGCATATATAGTAGATATTGTCAATTTCCAGAGTGGTTGACTAACTTCCACTCTTACCAACAACTGTGAGAGTTCTAACTGCTCTATCTATGTCCTCACCAACTCGTTAGTATTAAACTCTACATTTAGCCTTCCTCATGGTTGTGATTTTAAAATATTCACAATATTTTAAATATTGTGATTTTAAATTGCATTTTCCTATTTACTAATGAGATTCAGCACCTTTCCACATCTTTATCTTTCATCATCTTTTGTGAAGAGCCACAGTTCTCTCACTTCTTTTTCCAGTGGGCTCTCTTTTCCTTATTGACATAGGAATTTATTATACATGCCCTTTTTCAGTTCTCCATGTTCCAAATACCTCCTCTCAAATTGAAACTTCTGTTTTTCAGTCTCTAAATAGGGAATTTTTATACAATGAAATTCTTACTATTGATATGGACAAATTTAACAATCTTTTCCTTTGGAGTCCATGTTTTTCATGCCTTGTTTAAACATCTTTGCCTACTCCCAGGTCATAACGTTTTTCTCCTAAATTACCTTCTAGGAACTCTATCATTTTATCATTATGTCTACTATCCACCCGGATTGATTTTTGTATTGGTATGAGGTAGCAGTTAGGCTTCTATTTTTCATACGGACATATAATCAAGAAAGCATCATTTATTAAATATAAAAGTGTTCTTTCTCCACAGACCTGAAGTGTAAACTTTGAATAAGTAAAGTCTACATTTATTCATGAGTCTGATCCTGGACTCTAATCCATTAGAATATTATATATCTGTATGCCAATATCATACTGTTTTGATTACTGTAGGTTTATTATAAATCTTTATATAAGGTAAAATCATCCAACTGTACTCAAGATTGTCTTTGCTGTTCTTGGTCCTTTGTATTGCCAAAAGAATTTTAGAATTCAGTTTTTTAATTTATATACAAGTACACATTAAAAAGAAAAAAAATGCTGGGTTTTGATACATATAGTCTTGAATCTATAGATCAACTCTGAGAAAGTTGTGTCTTCACAATAATGAGTCTCCCAATCCATGAACACAATATATTCTTCTATTTATTTGGGTCTTCCATATTTTTTCAATGTTTTATAAGGATTATGCAGAACTTTCTATTTCCTCTAGTGTCAGTTTTGGTAGGTAGTGTTTTTCAACAGATTTTTCTGTTACATCACAATTTTCAAATGTACTGCATTAAGTTGTATGATGATGCACCATTTATAATTCCTGATATTGTCTCGCCTTTTGATGGTTGGAAAACTTGTCAGAACTTATAAACTTTATTAGTCTCCTAGAAAAAATTGGCTTTGTGATCTACTCTATTTATTAATTTCCTATTTCATTTATTTCTAAATTTGCCTTTATTATTTTCTCCCCTCTGTAAATTTTAGTTTAACTTGCCATTCTTTTGCTGAGATCTTGAGAGAATACTCTTACATAATTTATATGTAGCCATTTTTTTATTCTAATACAGGCATTTAAGACTGTACGTTCTCTCTACACATGGCTTTACCTGTATTCCACAAGTTCTGATATGTCATTTTTATTATCATTCATTTTAAAATATTTTCTAGTTTACACTGTGATTTCCTTTTTGATCCATGATAATTTAGAAGTGTTTAATATACAGGTATTTTTCTAGCTATCTTTTTATTAATTTCTAGTTTAATTCTACTGTGGAATTTAAACATTTTAAATTGTTTGCAATTTGTTGAGACTTGATTTATAGCTCTGTAAGTGAACCAAGTGCACATGAATAAAATGCACAGTCATTTGTAAGTATAGGATTCTATATGTGAGTATTGCATCATATTTGTTAGACATTGTATAAATCTTCTATATCCTTATTGACGTTTGCCTTTTTACTTTTTCAGTTACTGAAAGAAGTCTGTTAAAATTTCCTAATATGCTTGAGGATTTCTCTTTGGTAGATAGATGATAGACAGACAGAGAGAGAGAGGGAGAGAGAGAGAGAGATAAATAGAAGCAGAGACACACACAGAAATACTGAAAGATGGTGACACAGAGACAATACTTTGCATGCAAATTTAATGCATAGCATACAAATTTAGAATTTTCTGATTTTTGTGTCCATTCTTTTTGTTTCCTTATATTTTGAGTAGCATGTTTGTGTTTTGCATTTAATCCAACCAGTCAACATGGAAGTATTTCTCTGTATACATTTAATAAAATTATCGATGTATTTGGGTTTAAGTCTACCCATCTTACTATTTTTCTGCCTGTTTCTCTTGCTTTGTGATCCTCTTTCTTTTCTTCTTGCCTTATTTCCAGTTGACTACATATTACATATTATTCTATATTTTTGTCCTAATTTGCTTGCTAAATATGTATTCTAATATTTCAGAGTTTCCCCTAGAAGTTACTATATGTATCTTCAATTTATTGACATCTAATATAAACTACTGTTTTAATATTTCATTAATATTTCAATATATTATTTTCATAATACAAAACTACATTTAATCCATTTAATCTCACTAAAATATAACATAATTTTTTAGTGAGAGCAAGGTGATTAAAATGCTTCATTATCTATGAAAATCCAGATTTAACACTTTGAGATACAATTAGAATATCTGAATTTAAACTCAAGCTCATGTCAATATTTAGCTGTCTGACATAAAAAACCTACCTCAGAAAGGTATGTAGATCAAAATGGAAAAACTACCCACACTTGCTAAAATCTGACATATCTTTCAGTCTTCATCCTTCAATTAGGCAAAGGTTGTGTGGATATTTAGCTGGCAAATTTATGTATTCCCTAAATGCAGGCATTTGTTTCTACAAATTAATTAGCAAGTGTAACAGTCTTAGTTTAAAAAATTGTTTTGAGCATCAGTAATATGATTCAAAGAGTCAGAATATTTTTCAAATGTTATGTTGATAGAATCTCAGACCATTTTCCTCAACAAAATCACATAGCAATTATAACCTTTCCAAATGCCATTTTTCAAAATGCTCTTTCCATAACATGAGTATCTTTTGAAAAACAATTGCTTTCTCATTCACAACTAAAATATCACCCTTATGTTGAATAGACTAATTAAAAGTGTATGTTTTTAAAATATCTTCTAGGGAATGTACTAAAGAAAACCAATTGTTATCATATGAAAGGTCAGCAAATTTGGAGCATTTCTGTGTTTGTAAAACAATAAAGTGTAACTTATCTTTCGGGTTTACTTCTCTTTTAAATAATTTGCCACATGATCAAGAACAAACTTACATGTGGTTAAAACTATTTTCATGGCCACTCTTCATCTCATTACAAACACTGTAAAGATGCAATATTTCAAAGTCTTATTTTAAAAAGAAAAAAATTAACCACATCAATGAACCATGTAGCACTTTGGTTATATTCAGCTTCAACTTCTTCCCTGCAATATTTCTGCTTATGCATTTTGCAGGAAATGAATTGCCCTCATGATTCTTACTCTGTGATTTTACTTCCAGAATCCTTTCTTTTTAAAATTCCAGTCAAAGCAGCTATACTCACCCAGCCTTTCCAGAAAATTGTTTTAAAGAAGTCAGTTAATCTACAAAAAGCATCTTATTTGATACTTCCTTCTTTTTTGGGTCGCAGAGTAGTTTTTTTTTATGTTCTTTAATGAAACAAAGCCTAATAAATACTATAAACTGAGACATGATCAAGCCAGCTGTACCTTGAGGCAGCTATATAGTAAACGTTCTATGTTTACTCTAATACTTGTTTCTTCAAATGATCAGCCGTGTTTTCTCTGAGCTTTCCAATAGCATTTGCTGGCAAAGGAATGCATTTTAGTTTATTGCCATATTGTTTGCCAAACACAGTGTTAGCCATTTTCACCATAACTATAAGAATAAGGTATTTCCCACTGGCATGTAAAATTATTGTTTTTCACTGTTCATTACTATGTTATTTATTCATTTAATACATACATTGATTGTCTACTACATGCCACATACTTTTCTAAGTTCTTAGGGTATTGCATTAAACCAAATTGAAAAATGCTGCCTGCACTCAGAAGGCTATCCTTTAAACCTCAAAAGTTGCTTCTAAACATTTAAGATGAAGTTCAGTAAATTTTAGTAAAAGATTGAATAACTCATGATTTTAAATATCCTTGAACATGCTACAGGTTTTTCCTTATGTTTTGGTTGCTTTGTTTTTAATTGTCTTGGTAATTGTTTCATCTTCTTATTGTCATTAATTCATATCCAAAGCACAATATAAACCAGAGGTGAGATTTATCCTTAACAGTAGTGATTTTCCAAGCTTCCTTTTTCAACATATTACTTCTATGATTAGATCATTGTGGTTTTCATATTGTCAGCACCACCCTTTTCTTGTTACCTGATGTTTACATGATTAACCTGTATTTTATAGTGTCTGTATAAGGTGGGGCCCAAGCAACAAACAAACCACTCTAGTTATTTTGACAGATAATTTAATAAAGGAAATTGGCTCAAGAGGCATTTAGGACTTAAAAGGGGAAAGGGGACGCTGTGGTCTCAGAGACCACATTAACTTAGGAAGCAGCTTCCACTCCCAGGGCAGGAAATCAAAGGGAAGAAGTCGGGGTTAACAGACCCCAAAGCCTGGGGGAGGCTGGGTGTCTTGGGACCCAGATCCCTGAAGAGGTATTGGTGCTGTTTCCTCAGGTGCTCAAAGGAGGAGCCCACAGGGTAGGGCTCAGACCTCCAAGGAGGGAGCACAGCCTGGCTGGAGCTGCCACATTGGAGTTTCTGAGTGTGGAAAGAAGCTGAGAACTGGAACCAACGGCTTTTGGAACCAACTGGGGTGACAACAGCAAAAGCAGCCGACAAGTAGGAAGGAACAAACTCTTGCTCTCTTCTCCTACCTTTCAGGTTGACAGAATTCGACATAGGGAACCAAGTGACAAGGCAGAACTGTGGCTTGTGGAGACCCAAGCCCTGAGTCACAGGGCAGAGTGAGGCAAGAGACGATAGCACAATACTCAGTCATGTCGCTCAGAAAAAGTTTTAATCACATGGAGGGTTAGTTTATTCAACAGAAACCTATTATTATAGGTAATTTAATTTATAAAATTACAAAACTAGGCTATATAGGCTATATTATGTCACAATGCATTAGGAAAAGGGAAAAAAATGCCTATGACCACCGCAGTACACAACCCTGGGTTGTGGAACTCTCAACTAACATATGTCACATGTGACCAGCCAACAAATGGACCCAGACAGAAGGAACCAATGCCAACTGGGATCATGGAGACAAGTAGAGATTACTGGATTCTTTTTCATAATGTAAATATAAACTGAAGTTCTGATGTTTTCCTACCATATTCATTGAATGGTCTTGTAAAAATGGCTGTCATCCCTCTGGAGACCATTGATCTAGACCAGGGCTTGGGAAACAAATGGCCCATGGGCCAAATCCCACCTGCTACCTGCATTTTAAACAAAATTTTATTAGAACACAACTATGCTTATTTGCTTATACATTGCCCATGAATGCTTTCACACTACAACTACAGAGTTGAGTAGCTATAACAGAGACTGTTTGTCCTGCAAAGTCTAAAATATTTGCCATTTGGCCTTTTACAGAAAAGTTTGCTGACCCCCGGTCTAGACATCAGTGTCCAACAGAGCTTTTGGCAATGATAGAATTCTTTTACATCTGTACTTTCCATAATGGTAGCATCTAGCCATTTGTGGCTACGGAGGACTTGAAATGCAGTGCAACTGAAGAACTAAATGTTTTATTTTGTTCTTATTTTAAAAGCTACATGTGGCTACTGTATTAAACAGTGCAAAAAACAAATAGAAACAGGAGCAGTGACGGCTCTAGAGGCATCTAGCATTGAATTTTGATTATACCTTAAAGTCTTAGAGAAAATATATTGGAGTATACATTTCTAGACCCCTGTGGCAGACATCCCTCATACATGCCAATCTCTTCCTTCCCTGTACATTGAGGATTACAATCCCTCATTCCTTTGAAGTTGTGTGACCATATGACTGGTTTTATATGACAAAATGTGAGCAGAAGTGATGTGCATCACTTCCAGGCCAAAGCATTTACGTGCCCACACTCACCTCCCAGCACATCCTTGTCTTGCTGAAGCAAATCCCAACACGCTGTGTTGAAAAGTCAGTGTCCTAAAATGGTGGTGTGATCTCTCTCCACCTGAGCCCTTGATTGACAACTGTATGGAGGAAGGCACTCCTCCAGCCCCTGGTGGACATGTGCATGAGTGATAAGGAAATGTTTTGTGTGTTAACAAATTAATATTTGGAAGTTATTTTTCACCCCAGCATCAGCTACTCAGCCCTGACAAGATCTACTAACAGCATTCAAATGGCCTCAGAAAATTCTACCTGTCTTCCTTGTCTAGCACATGCCAAATAAAGCTAGAGGTATCTTATGCAAGCCAGGGAGATGAGGCTGCAAAGTTGGTGATCTATTAGTTCTGAGTTTCTTTGGAAATAGTGAGTTCCTAGAGCTCTGTGTCATGGTGATTTGGAGTCAGTTTGCCACCTGGTGCAATAAGTGATTTTTTAAAGGTCTGTTCTTGGCCCTCCGGGTCCCTACTTCCTGTTGTACTGGTGTAGAAGGTGAGGATTGGTTAGGGAGTCAGTCTTATGAAACACTGAGTCCTGACTCTGCCATTTAATAGCTCCAAGACTTTGGCTTCAAGTCTCAATTCCCCCTTGAATGAAACATTTATAAGTATAGAAACTTTTCCTAATTGTTACAAGCATCAGCAATGACTTAAAATAACTGTTAGTGTACCCCTCAATCCAAAAAACAGTCCTTTGCCCCTGCTCCTCCTTTCACTGGAAATACCCTCAGCATTCCAAGTTGCCTCTTCTTAAATGTTATGTCCCTCTTACTCAGCAACATTTTCTCTTGCTGCGTCAGTTGGCCGTGATGTCTTCCTCTTCTTTAACTCTGTCTCTCAACTTTTGGTAGCTCCTACTCTTCGATCAAAATCCATCTCAAAAGTCACCTTCTCAGTAAAAACATCCCCAATGTGGGACAAAGTTTGCCCTGCTCTTCCCACCCAACCCTTGCTCTGAGCACCTGTCGTGCCCTGCACAGCTTCTAGGATTGCATTTGACACAACTGCATTGCTGTTTTTCACTTACTCTCTTGACAACTCCTTACTGGCAGCACTGTAGACTTCTCATCCTTGTATTCACACCCCATCCTCTTGTTGCACTAAGTAGAATTTCTGGCACAGAACAGGACGTCAGTAATTATGAAAATCAAGGAGGGAAAAGAGGAAGAAGACAAAAAGAGGAGGAAAAGAAAAGAAGAAGGGAATTAAGGAAAAAAGAAAAAATTAGGAAACTCTGATGTCTATGAAATAGAAAATACATAGAATGATAGTCTCCCCTTCCAAGAAAAGTGTACCTTCCTTTTAAAGAATTAGTTCAAAATCTTTCTCACTGAGTCATGCAGAATTTCTTAATGATGTTTGAGTTGACAGGTAATCTATAAAAGGAAAGAGTTCATACCCACATTTTTATAATTATTTATATTTCATTAATCTGTTAACTATAAAAAGAAACTCAAAATGCGAGAGGGAATATATTTGGTTACCCACATTACTAATGCCACAAAGAAAGAACTGGCAGAGATCTGATGGCTGAGGCCCAGCACTAATGCAGAAAAGCCTTCACAAAAGTTGTGTCAGTCCTTCTTTATTACAACCATGCTTTTTCTTTGGGAGGGAAATGTTCCCAGTAACACACTGTAATAAACCATCATTTAAAAAAAAATTAGAAAAAAATCAAACCTGATGACACATAACATAAAATGGAAGGAGAATCCTATAAGCATTTTAGGAGGCCACAAAAGGTTGTAGCCAGTGAGGTTATCATCAATTTTTATTTGCTGCTGCCCCAAATATTCTACCAGATCAAGTCGATGGCAGGTATAAGGGGAAGGTTATTCCTCCCAGTAAAGGACATGGGAGCAGTGACAAGAAAGAGAAAGAAACTAATATTGGTTATGAAACTCAAGGAAAATCTGTGTTGAATTATTTATGTCTAAGTTTGAATGTTCCTTTGCTGTTTTTAGCTTTCAGAAAGTCTAAAAAGAAAGTCACAGAATTTCCTCTCTCCAGCCAAGAGGACAGCTTCTTTGAAAAGGTGGCCCTTGGAGATGAAGCCCTAGAAGTCTCAAGGTACAGCATTGGGCACGAGGTTAGTTAGGGTTGAAGTTTAGATGAGAAGTATTTCCAGGTGCACCAAAAAGTCAGCACTATCAAATTGCTCTGGGACAAGAGTAGCCAACAGAAAATTATCTGTCATCCTGAGTAGTCCTTCCACGATGCTTCAGAGGCCATATGTCTCTCAATTTGTAAGATGGTCAGCAATTGTGTGCCATCGACCACGTTGTCTACATTTGAAATAATGAAAGAGACCAAAGTTCAAGATAGAGAGGTCAAACTGAACCTATTCAGCATCGAGGGAAGTTTTCTACTTCTTCATTAAGTGGATTGCACAGATTGGGTCTCAGCCTAACCAAGTGATGTTTCCCTGAACTGTGGAAGGTCATCATGTGCTGATGGCTTGGATTCAGCATTCGGTGAGATGAAAGAGAAGCCAAAGCTTTGTGACCATATGCATTGCTCTCGGGGACCTAAAAAGGAGATTTCCTGCCCCCATTTATTGGTGAACAACTGGATGGATGGTTGAACAAAAAAGAGCACTGTAGGTTTTCACCTCCACAGAAATCAGCTGCTGTAACTTTTGGAAGGCATAGGATATCATTCTAGAGGCTCTGACTGCAAGCCCCATGCCTACTGCAGTGAGACACTCGGCCACTATCAGTCAGGTATGCTGGAGAGCTAGAAGGAAAATAACTCTTATATTCTGGTACTCTCTATTAAGAGGAACAAATGTTGAAGGAAAATAAAATCAAGTGTATAGACACAAGAGGATAAGGAAAAAAAAGGATTTTTTATTTTTTGTCAATTTTAAAAATAAATAATTTGTTAACTATTTTTGTAAGGAACCGAGGAAAAGTTTGCAGTGGACAGAAATATATCATTAACTACTCATTCTTAACTGACTAAATATAATAAAATTGACTGTACTGTGAATGAAGTCATCTCTCCCAAAATACACTAAGCTATGAAGTTGAAATCTGATAACCTTTGTTATCTTCTGAAGATTGATGCAAATCTAGCCTCTCTACTCTGGCCTTATAATTCAAGGAACTATACATTCTGACTTTCCTGCGACAGTTTTCATTTCTGCCTATTGTCTCAGCAAAATTATTAACAGCATCTTCTTTCATTTTCAAAAGTGACGTGGTGTGAACAACTATATGATCATACTACTTATAAATGGTTTCCATTCAATATACATCCTTTGTTATTTCTTAATTGGGAGGTGAAGGGAGTTTCTTTGCAAATAGGAAAAGTCTCAATATAACACCATGTGTTATACAAAAGCACAAATAGGTTTAGCCTCACAACTGCACAGCAGAACAAAACATCACATGATGCTAAGATTAAGCTAACAAAATTATCCTCAATGCCTTTACCAGTGGAACTTCTCCCTCTAGCTCTCTTAGGTCACGTGGCATTTTTAAATTTGACATAATTGATGTGATCTTGTAATACGAACACCAGATTTACCGTAAAAAGAGAGAGAAGCTGCTGACAAAGCTCACATCTGTAGTGTACATGTGAACAGCACGTGCTGTTTTTTCCTGCACTTAAGTCGTCCTTTGAACATCTTCCATGTTTCAAGTTATGCCTTCAGAATTGCTCAAGACAGCTGGGCCTGTTGCCTGTTTCTTGTTAATTAATTCTTGTACTTAGGCCTCTGCTGTTTTTACCATTTGTTTATTGGCTGTTGTCATCATCATAATATTTGTTTATCTCTCTAAATAAGCTAAATACTAAGATTCTGAAGTGAATACAAGACAGTAATATAAAGCTTGTGAAGGAAATGAAAAGAGAATATTGGATAATCATTGTAGGAAATTTTGTTCCTGACAAACTACTTACAGGCATAGATTCTCATGACAGAGCAAAGGGAAAGAGGACATTTCAAAAGGCATACTTCCTTGCCTGGATATTGGCAGGCCCTTGTTAGGGAGGTCACTGAAGGTAGAGTGACAGGTTGCAGAACACTAATTCCTTTCACTAATGTTCAGTAGGACACTCCCTCTTTTGTCCAGATGAGGTCTGCAGGGTTGCCCCACCTCCAGGGATCCCATGAGAAAGGAGTAGGTGGGGACATCCTTTAATCCTCCACCCAAGGCAAAAGAGGTTCCACAATGCCACTCTCAAGTGACAGCATGCCGCGGAGACAGCCCAACACGTAGCAGAGCACTGGCTCCAAGAGTCTGCAGAGAGACTCATGCCAGAGTAGCTGTTCCAATTCTTTCTCCCCAGTGACCACTTCCACCAAACTATTATCACAGCATCTTGCTCTACTTTATCCACATGTGGTTTTCTCCCAAAGATTTGTCTTTCAAGTTTCCCTTGTAGGACAGGAAGTAGTAATGGCCCCAAACAATTACCCACTCAGTAAAAAATGGATTATGTTAGCAATGAAAAGCTTGGTTTTCATTCTTTTGATGCCAAAATGCCACCCTGATTCAAAGTCTAGTCTTTGCCTTAGTTAAGATAGTCTTTAATTAGGAGAAGAGAAGAATGAGAGAATCCACTAGAATAATGTGAGCCAAACCAGAAGTCAATCCAAGAATTAGATAAAAGCGAAATGTCACTATTGAACCTAAAAAGGAACTAGCCGTAAAAACCTCCTCATGATTTATCATTATTACCATTCATTTAGAAGCAGAAAGTCACTTTCTTTGTATGTGTATTGCTGAGGGAGCAGTCATCATGCATAGGCGATGTGCTAGACCCAGCAGATGTACTTTTTGGAGATAAACTTTAAATGTTAAGTACTAATTACTCTTCAGTATGGTTTTGGCGTATTTTCTGAAATTGCTTTTATTCCAGAAAAGAGGACATAAGAGGACATGGAGGGTAGAGAAAAGAGTTGTCACTCATGCCAAATTCTTCATTTTTCTAATTTCCACAGGCACTTGTAACTTTTACCTTTTAAGGAATTTACAGATTTTGATTCTTTTACAGTACTGAAAATGTTCATCTACACATGCCATTTCTCTCAGAATAGCCATTTTCTCTTCTTTCTAAGAACTTTTATACATATGAACTCAATTTATCTTCATAACAACCTTATAAGGTAGGCAGTGTTGTAACCTCACTTTACAAATGGAGAAAATAGAGCCAGAAAGGTTAAGTAACTTAGCTGAGATCACACTAGTTTGATTCCAGAGTCAAGCTCTTAACTGCCACACCAAGTTTAGTAGACAGGGATGGTAAAAGAGGTCTCTTGGATGTGCAACATACCAAAGGCAGCTCCAAATACAATTTGACTCAATTAAACAAACATTTATTGAGCACCTACTGTTACTGGTAGAGGGTGTTGACTGCAAGCTGTCCAGGTTCTTGGCATTTTGAACAAAGAATTGGACAAAATACACAGCAAAGCAAAGAAAGAATTAAGCAACAAAAGCGGAGATGTATAGAAAAAGAAAGTACACTCCACATGGTGGGAGCCCGCAAGCAGCAGCTCAAGGGCCCAGTTACAGAATTTTCTGGGGTTTAAATACCCTCTAGAGGTTTCCCATTGGTTACCTGGTGTACACCCTATGTAAATGAAGTAGTGGCCCACCATCAGTCTAATTGACTGTAGGAGGGGACCAATCATAGGCTAAAGCAAAGTTACAAAGTTACACCCTATGCAAACATCTGATTAGTTGTAGCTGAAGTGAAGTTATGAAGTTACATTCCTATGCAAACAAAGACTTGGCCTGCAATCAGTCTGATTGGTTGTGGTGGGGGACGAATCAGAGGTACTTTCAATTTTTCATCTACCACTCAGAAAAGGGGGGAGGTTGCAAAGGGAGTAGCCTCTGGTCCTTTTGTTACTTGGGCGTAGAAAGTTGGGGTTTTCCTTTTGATTTAGTGCTAGGAAGTCACCGTGAATCAGCCTTAGGTTCCCTGCCTCTAGACCCTATTCTCCTGCCTCACTACTACATGCCAGACATTGTACTATGTGGCAAGATCAACCAGCTTAACTAGACAAGGGGCACTTTGGAGAGGAGAGAATGCATACATTTGAGAAAGGGAGATGCTCGGTGAGGCCCACCGAGCATCCTGAGGTCAGAAAAGAAAAGGTACAAATGAGAACAAAGTGACTGGCCAAACAACACTGCTAAAGACATCTTACTAACTCTTTTGTTAAAACCTGTTTTCCCATGATTAATGTCTTTGCTTTTTTGCTACACTATACTTACCACCTCAAATTTACCAGCATTGATATATAAGAGAGACACAGTCCAGAATTTTCCTCTGACTCACCATTAATTAAATGCATTGTTAAAATAAAACGTGTTCCTTGTGTTTCAATCAGATTCTCCTACCTCCACAAACCCCCACTCAAATAACCTCTTTGTTTCTAGTGCCTCCTGGAGAGAGATTTTTCCCTCTCAGCCTTTACCGTTAAGTTTTGCAGACATTTATCAACTCTGTAGTTTCCAAGTCGGGATGTCTGTCACTTAACCTTCATCCTCCTTGAATTTTCATCCTGATAGGTTTGAATTAAACCACAGACTGATAAATGAGCATGGCTTTGGCGACACAAAAGAGCAGTCATTAAGGAAACCTCTCTGAAGGTATGAATCAAAGCCAGAAATCTTTTGTTACCCACCCCCTCCCCCCAACACCCCAGTTCACAGATCGCCTGCAGTAATACATTTTTATTATTTTTATTTATTTCTTTTTTCCCTTCAGTTTCCAAATGGTTTTCATCATTTCCTGCTTGTTTTTCTAAAAGAATATAAGTATCTCCTGATGGCAGACAGTTCTGTGTTTATTGCACTAATGTGGCTAGCAAAAGCATTTTATCAATTTGAAATTTAATCCAGGATTAGGAGGCCGGGTGAATAAAGGGGGATGAAGGTTAAGTAACAGGCCCCCTGATGTGAATAGTATGTTTCACTCAAAAAGACTTAGGATAATTAGGAAGGTGATTGGATTTTTTTCCCTAAGGCAACAGTTTTTGTTAAACTGGAGCTTGTAATAGGCACATTCCTTCTATTTATTTAGCTTCCAGTCTTCCAGTTCTTCAAACCATCATTTACTTACACATGGTGTTTGGTTTCTTTTTGGTTCTGGAAGTTGCACACCATCCCTCTCTGAATTTTTTTCCTCTCCGTCAAACCAAAAGAAACTAAATAGCAAAAAAGAAACCAGGGCTTGCCAAAGACAACAGTTGTTTTGGATGTGACACGAGAACATTGGAAAAGATTTTCATGAGCCGTATAAGAAAATAGTGTAGCGTGTGTCACAGTCACACCTGTGCATGCCTGCTTGCTCAGTTGCTTTGTCCATGCCTGAAAGAAAATGCCTTTGGAGTTACAGTAATGCCTTATTCTCTGATTGACGTTAGTTATAACCCGAATGTCAGCTGCCTGAATTTGCTTGAGCTTTTAGCAGTCATCTTATTTTTTAATATTTTAGCAAGATGGTTTTCAGAGGCTGGGAAGGGTAGTGGGGGCCTTGCAAAGAGGTAGGGATGGTTAATAGGTACAAAAAAAAATAGAAAGAGTAAACAAGATCTACTATTTGATAGCACAACAGGGTGACTATAGTCAAGATAATCAATAATAACTTAACTTTACACTTTTAAACGAAGAATATAATTGGATTATTTGCAGCTCAATGGATAAATGCTTGAGGGGATGGATAACCCATTCTTCATTATGTGATTATTATGCATTGTATGCCTGTATCAAAACATCTCATGTACCCCATAAATATATATACCTACTATGTACCCAAAAAATTAAAAGTAAAAAAAAACTTTTTTAGAGTCATCTGCAGAATCACATAGATTATTGTATACAAGAAATCAAATAGGCACAGGTAGCCCTCGAAGGTGGTGGTGCTCCCGAGTCACTACTCTGGCCAGTGGGATGGGCCTTATTCAGGTGGATGGGGCTTTCAAGCAGTGAGAGGGTAGGGAGCCAGGTTCTTCATTTCTAAAGGCACATGGGCTGGCGGAAGGCACTGATAGTTTATCTGCCTGGTTAGTTGCCCCTCTCCTTCTGGAACCGCCCCTCCTCCACTCCAATACAGGTCCCCTTTGGGAGCTGCCCTGTTCTTTATTTTTCAGTAAAAAAGTTTTAAAGAAAAGCTCAAAAAGAAAAAAAAAAAGATTTTAGCAAATCACCATTTATATAATATGAGAAACTCACTATCTCTTGACAGTCACTGGAAGTTTGGGGATGGAGTGGAGGGCAGACTTACATTTATCCTACTCACCTCTGTTCCCCATTCCACTGAATTCCTGGCTCCACTTCACATACATGCTAACTAATCCTGTTGGCCCTTTGTTGGTCCAGCTGGCATTTGTCCCCAAAGTCTTGCTGACACAAAGCTATGTGCAGCAAAGCTTTTTCCAAATTTGGGAAGCACAAAAGAGGATAATAAAAACCTACCACATGGGACTATTGACAAAGTTGAATGCCATAACTAGAAATCAGCCACATGAGGGCTTGGAAATAGTAAGCCACTGTGCTATATGTGTCTTCCACCTGCTTCATGCCTAACCTGGCGGTAGGGATGACATACAAGATCTCCTCTACTACATTTAACAAATAAGGAGACAAAGGAAGGAAAAAAAAATGACTTGTACAAGGGGGACATTTATTCGGCACACGTTTATCAATTTCTTGCCAAATTCTAGCTACCACCACACTACATTGCACAAGCAATGTTAAAGTAATACAATAAGCCCCATAACCAAAGAAAGTACCAAGTACTGCAGAATAAATCACCCAACAAAATTAATACTGCAACAGCTATACACCCAGCCTTCAGAAGAAATTCCCCTAAGCCTTTGGTTAAGGATTTCTGACAACCTGAATTCCACCTTAGCACTCAGGTTTCAGGTTGAAGACAATGGCAAAGGTGCATTGGGGACATAGGAGTCTGTGCCAAAAGACAGGCAAAGGGGGTGCTATGTAAGATGTTACCTCCAACAATAGGCTGGAAACTGTCTATAGACCACAGCACAAACAGAAGGAGTTTTCCAAGGTAAAGCATAGAAGTCCGTTGCTTCACTAGGGCCGGAGGCCCCTGTTCTCCCAAGAAGCTTTGGATCATACCATGAAGAGCCCAGCAATGCAAGCTGTAGAGGCTGGCTGCCTGAGATGGTGCACTCCACATTTATTATCATCAGCAAGAAATCCTGCATTTCAGCACCCAAAAGAAATAAGAAACTCCTGTCTGATTGCTGATGAGCACATGTACACTTCTCTAGGCTCCGAGTCCACTCCTGATAAACATCAAAGAACCAGCTGCTCTTACCAGGACCTCGTGGGGTTTTTACTTACCCTCCAATTCCAGCAATCCCAAGATGAGTCATATGTTTTTCATGAAGAGCAAAAAGAGGTGAATGAAACCACAGGCCAGGTAACAACGGTAACTTATTCCTGAAACAAATACTTCCAAGGACAAATACACAATAAATCATCTAAACTATACCAAAAGCCTCAGAGAAAGAAAAATCATGTGTCATTTCAAATAATTCACAAGTCTTAATTATCTCAATTTTTCTCCTTTAAGGAAAGTTTAAAATTCAAGATGCAACATCACAACCAAAGCTCTCATTGGGAATAAAACCTAACCCCTCACAGAATCAAACATCTGCAATCACATGAGTAACAGAATATGGGTAAATGGGGGGAAATGCAGAAAATACAAATACCATGAAAGTTGCATAGAAAGCATCAAAGTATCAGGCCAAGTTCACAGTCACTGAAAGCAGACAAAAAGTGAGACCAAATCCCAGCTCCATCACTTTCTGTGTGACCTAGGACAGGTTACTTAATCTTTATAAGCCACAGTTTCATCATCTATACGAAGAGTATAATAATATGTGCCTCTGTGTTTTGTAGGAATTAGATAATATGTCAAGTGCCTGGCTTATAGTAGATACTCAAAATTATTGAAAAACTCTCTTTTGAACTCCCAAGACCCTATCACAGCCACACAACTTTACAAGTATTAAAGACATGATTTAAAGGCAGTTTTAACTGTTTGATCCTTTTTCTGGTAGATGTTCAAGTGAGTTAAGTTTTTATTGGCATGCTAAGTTTCATGATCTGTGGATGCATTTCTCACAATTACCAAAAACTGTTCTCAAGTTACTCTCCAAAATTTGTTTCATTTCTCTCCCTACTTAACTTTTTCCTAGGGCCACATTTGATCAGATTTTCTTTTTCAACATTATCAAGGTAATGAGTTAGAGGAGGGCCTTTCATCCCCTACCAGATCACTGAAGGAAAACGGATACTTGTTGCTATCCAACAGCAACTCTTACAGATGACTGGCAGGCATGGCTCAAGACGAGGTGCAGCCTTTCCTGTGGTTCCTTTCTGTTCTGTTACCCTTCCTTTCCTGTGGTTTCAGAAAGGACTTCTTCCGGGCAGCAATCCCTAGCCCATGCAGGAATAATCCAGCCTGTGTGCAAGCAACTAAGTCACCCATAGTTTTTACCTGGCCTATTTTGGCCCCTTCAGTTTCACCGAACCAAAGTAAAATTTGACTTCTGTTCCTTTTAGTTTGGGATTTTTTGGAATCATGTGTAGTAAAGGTCTACACAGGAACCTATTCAGCTCCCTATCACTGCCTTTCTCATCCACATCATTTGGTAAACCAGGTATACGCACCCTCCCTCCCTTCCTCCCTTCCCTCCCTTCCTCCCTTCCCTCCCTTTCTCCCTTCCCTCCCTTCCTCTCTTTCTTCCCTCCCTTCCTCCTTCCCTTCCTCTTTTCTTTCTTTCAATCAGAAAGATAACTGCTATAGTGAGAATCAAGCTGTGCTATAGTCCCCACAGGTAATCACTTTGCATGTAAAATGGGTTTGCTTTACCAGGAGATGACAATTCTAATCCATACATTCAATCCAATAAACTGTTAATGAATTTTTAATGTGTGCCAGGCCCCATGCTATGTGCTGAGAATACAAGGATTATTGGAGACATGGTCCCTGTCCCCATGGAGTTTTAATAGAGAAGTAGAAAAGTCAATAATGTAGTGAGTTATTGTACTCTATTGTGTTATAATAATATAGTATAACAATACTACAATACTCTGTAATGCAGAATATAATAGGGTATATGGTGACTGTTTTGGGGGAAAGGGTCATTTTGCTGGAGAAGATCATCATGGAAAGCTGTTTTTAGTTAAGGATTTTATTGTCTGATGGAGAAAAATTGTCAAAACTTTCTAAAGTTTCTCCCAGATGGTTTCTCAAGCTACTCCAATAATCCTCCATGGTGTTGCCAGAATCATCTTTGTAAAACATAATTTAAGGCCAGGCACGGTGGCTCATGTCTGTAATCCCAGCACTTTGGGAAGCCAAGGTGGGCGGATCACTTGAGGTCAGGATTTCGAGACCAGTCTGGCCAACATAGCAAAACCCTGTCTCTACTGAAAATACAAAAATTAGCTGGGTATGATGGCATGCGCCTGTAATCCCAGCTACTCAGGAGGCTGAGGCACAAGAATAGCTTGAACCCGGGAGGGAGAGGTTGCAGTAAGCCGAAATCATGCCACTGCACTCCAGCCTGGGTGACAGAGTGAGACTCTGTCTCCAAACACACACACACACACACACACGCACACACACGCACACACACACAATTTAAGCCACACCTTTCTTAAATCATTTAAGGAAACCCTATATCTCCCTTACGATAAAACTCCAAAGGCTAACTCTCACGATGCATGCTCCATGCACACTTCATGGGCCTCTCTCCACTCTTCCACACTCTCTCACATCTCCACAGTCTTTCATGTGTTAATTCCTCTTTCTAGAAGTTTCTACATCCCTTCCACCTCTGACCCCTTTTCTACCTGGTGAAATCCTACATCTTCTTTGAGATCTACCTCAAATATCAGCTCCTCTGTGAACCCTTCTGTGACACCCTCCACCTGCTTTGCCCACCCAGGGAATTTGGCACCTCTAACAGACAATGTTGGTTGGCTAAGAGAATCCTGTTCCTCAACCCCACTATTTTATCAGTTAGAGTCTCCAACAGAAATAGATGGTACATTCAGATTAGGTCATTTGAGAAGAGCTTCATAAAGAGACTATTTACAAAGAAGTGGCAGCAGAGAAAGCCAGCGTGGTGGCTCACGCCTGTAATCCCAGGACTTTGGGAGGCCAAGGTGGACGGATCACGAGGTCAGGAGATTGAGACCATCCTGGCTAACACAGTGAAACCCCATCTCTACTAAAAATACAAAAAAATTAGCCGGGCGTGTTGGCAGGCCCCTATAGTCCCAGCTACTTGGGAGGCTGAGGCAGGAGAATGGCGTGAACCGGGGAGGCGGAGCTTGCAGTGAGCCGAAATAGTGCCACTGCACTCCAGCCTGGACAACAGAGCTAGACTCCGTCTCAAAAAAAAAAAAAAGCCTAATGGGTATTGCAGCACCCAGGGAGCCAGAGACAGCAGGGTGTCTCTAGGCCCACAAGGGAAAGGGGAGCTGGCCACTGCTGGCCCAGAAGGAGAGGACCACATGTCAGAAGCTTCCAAATGCAGCCTGCTGCTGCCACAAGGGAGAGAACAAGGGAAGTAAACAACCAACCAAAACCCCACCCTTGTTCTCCTCTTTCTCTGCATCTGTCCACTGTTCCCCGTTGCCCAAACCCAAGAGCAAGCAGACCCGTTGATGTCTTTTCTCTGTCAGCCTCCTGGTGTAGAAAGCAAGGTTTAGAAAAGAGAAGCGGGGGTCTGGAAACGCTACACTCTCATTTTGTGGTTCCTCTTGCAGCTGATGGGGAGAAGGGGGTGGCATTTGACATGGCTTGGGCTTATGTCACTGAAAGTCTGCCTTGAAGCTCATAGAATGGCTCTTACTTCCTTGATGAACAAGCCAATCCGGTCATCCCTGGCATTTCCCCTCCTCCACCCCGAAAGTGGATCTGACTCTAAAGCTATGGCTGCCATCTTGAAACACTGGGGGAGAGTCCAAGAAAATCACAGAGATACCAGATCTCATGTCATTGAGGCCTTAAACCCATACTAGCAGCTGCCTGCTTCCAGACTTCCTACTGTGTTAGAAATACATAACTCTATTGATTTATGCTATAATTTAGTGTTTTCTGTTACTTATAAAGGAAAGCATTCCTAACAGAGGTGGCTTCCATATATTATAGCAAGTCCTGTTGAAACCATCTGAATAGGTGTCTGTCTTCTCCCCTGGAATGTAAGTTCTGCAGAGTCAGGGCTGGCACAGGGCAGGCCCTAATTATTGCTCATGGAGTGAGTAAATGAAGCAATGCACGAAGCACTGCAGCTATATAAGTAGGATTCAATATCATCTTGATGCTTCTTCCAAACGCCATTTCTTCCCTTAGCGTTATTTTACGCTCTTAAATCCCTTGCTCCCTGTGTTTCCTCATCCTCCCTCTGCCCTCATACATCCATCGCGTATCAAGCAGACTTGCCTCATACAGATTATTTGCATTCTGTTTAATACCTATTTTTAAAAATGATTCTCGCTGTAAAAGAGATGCGCTGATTAATGTACTCAAAATATCTTGCACTACACAGCCAATTCCTTTATCCTTGTTCTATTCATAATGTATAACCCTTTTCTCTTCAAATGTGCATAAAAGGACCCGTTCCCCATCAGCTTATTTGTAACTGCAGAGCTTGAGGTGGTGCTAGATGTCAAAAATGAAAAATTGCTAAATTCAAAATTGCTTCTCTCTTTGTTTTAAAGGTGACCCGCAAGTAGTTTTTATATTTTTTAATGAGCTAATTGTAGGATTATATGCTGAATGCTCCAAATGCAGAGAGTGAGAGAAGAACACTCAGCACATACCTGCTACAAAATATCTGGTATTGTTTCCTCGCCTCTGCAACCCCAGAGTGCTGACACCCACATTCCCCACAGCCCTAGTGAGGAGACTGACTCAGAGGCAGCTCTGCTTTTGAATTGGGATAATGGGTGTCTAGAACAATGGTAAGCTGGGCTAGGAATGGGAAGGCACAATTTGGCTATTTGCTGGGTGACCTTGGGCAAGTTGTCTTAGCCAGAGCTCAGCCCCTCCACACCTGCCACGAGGGAACTGGCCTCTTCATTCCCTCCCTCTGAAGAACTGATGGTTATGACTTCGTGTTCAACATGTGCCTTCCATAAAGGGAGGCTATCAGAGCTGTAAATTATTTCCAAGACTCATCAGGCCCATACACATTTTATTTGATTGAAAACATTCTGGAATGTATGCAGTGATCCTATCTGTTCCTCAGTTCCAGACCCTGCTCTTTCTGGTTCCAAACACAGCCCGAGGCCAGGCTAGGATTTCGAAGATCTCAACTCTTGTCCTGCACTGAGATATAAAGACACTCCCTCAGAGTGACTCAGTCACTTCACAGGTCCACAGCCTTTTCCAGGTCATCTATGAATCTATTCAGGAAGAAAATCATGCCAAACAAGAAGTGGAAGTTCACTAGGTGACACTGTTTAAGGAAAATCACAGAATTTCATTAGCAATTTTTCATTTTTGACATCTTTCGTTTTTGACCCCCTCCTGATGAAAATGGCACCCTGGGATCGACGTGAAGTTCTGCCTTATTTACTCTGTCTCCAGTTACCTGTCACCTATTAAAATGTGGACAACCATTTGAGGGTAGCACATTAAATTATTCATTATCTACTATTACAGCTCAGACAGCATGAGTTGTTCACATTCTGTTCCAATGAGCTGGCCACTACAGCATCAACAGAACAGCAAGCAGGGCAATTTTGCTATGGAGTCCAAAGAAGGGAGAAAATCAGAGTGAGTAGAATCACAAAAGGAGGGTACCACCATGAGGGGTGCTGAGCACTTGTCATCCATCCACTCCTTCCCCCATCAAATATTAAGTGTCTACTGTGTGCCACGGAGTGTGCTAAGAGTGGATGATCCATTATAATGTGACTTCCTAATCACAAAGAAAACTAAGAACACTCAAGATCAATGTGGCCCACTTCCTGAAATCCTCCCAAGCCAGCACTTCATAATTATGCCTCTCTGGGAGCTGGAAAACTTTGGCTTCCATGCCCAGGGGACACAAGACCTCCACACTGGCCTCCTAAGAACCAAGCAACACTGACCATCTGAACACAGCTCCTCTTCCCCATCCCACACTGACCCTACTCTAGTTGTTTCCAAAAGACTGTGGCCTTCCTGTTCCTTCGCCCACTGATGTGGCAGCTGTGTGGGCCTGGCAAAGACACTAATGAAGGAACGCTGCTAATCTGGGAAAAGAGGAGGGCTGAATCACTATTCATGCCATGAATTTATCAGCCCTGCTTACATACAAAAACGAAAACAAATACACGATCAGGAGAGCCATGCTACGTGGATCCTGCAGAGACTCCATCTTGGTCCTCGGAGTTCTCTGTGAGCGCCTAAGATTTAGACAAGAACCCTGAGGGACGGAGTCCACCCTCTGCCCTCACAGCCTCTCCCCGGAGGCTTGCTAGACCCAGGGCTCTTTCAGACTCTATTTTGTTAAAGTGTTACATCTCCCAGTGGGAAAAGGTGGTGTGTGTTTGTTTGTTTTGTTTTGTTTTTGCCTTCCCATTAACGTATCAGAAAGATGTTGGAAACAAAAGCCCAGGTTTGGCCTTCTAGTGAAGTTACTTGAGCGTTGCCAAGTGCACACAGGGAAGCCAGCCACTTCAGGAGGTTAGAGCATCAGCAAGTTGGATTTGAGCATCAGCATCTGGATTTGAAAATGCCAAGCTGGTACTTGTGGGTCAAATGGAAATACCATGCTGAACTCTATGCCTTGGGAGCTTAAGACTGATTAAGTTACTGCTGAGACCTTACCTAGTCAGAATTCATCTGCAAAATGAACTACAAGAGCAAGCCATCCACACTCAGGTAATTCCTATCATAAACCTAATGAGAAAGTAACTCAGAAGCCACCAATGGCTTTTGCCTGAAGAGATGAATGACGTGGAGGAGAATCCTTGGCTGTAAGAAGAACAGAAGAAATTAATTGCTGAAACCTTCACAGCATGTTGAAAGCCAAGAATTATCCCCTGGATCTGCACTTATAATTTACAACAGCTGCCTCCTTCAGACAGGCCAAAGTGGCTCTTGGGCAGAGCACAAAGCCCAGCTGATTGCAGCAGTGAATCTGCATACAGGTCAACACTTAGCACTGCACAGATGACGCCCGTCCTTGGGCACATGCATAGAACCTAGCCGGGGCCAAAGACTGGAGCCCTTGCTCCCCTCACTCTCTGTAGCTAGCACTTCCCTTGTGACAAAGCATCATCCCACTCACGAGCTTATTGTCATGATAACATTTTTTAAAATTCCACTGAGAGATGGCTGAAGCACAGTCTATTTACTGATACTTTTTAGCTACTAGAAACTAGGATTGTCACGAATGCATCATGAAAGAACATCTTATGCCCTTTGGTGAACTCCTTGAGGGTGGTAATGGAAGGACCAGGGAACGACATCAGGAGATTCCTTTGGGGTAAATACCTAAAGTCAAGGCACTTAAAATATATATATAGGAAAAAAAATAGGATATAAGTAATCAGGAGAAAATGAAGCCAGAGAAGATGGAAAGTTGATATGCAAAAGATTTATTTAAAATAAATAACTTTTGTAAGGGGTAAAATTTGCAGAGGTAGAGTCTCAGAGAAGTGTGATTTCTACTAAAGATAAGTGCAGGTCTTGGGTAAAGCAGATCATAACCTCTGTAACACATATTTAACAACTTATTTTCTGATTCATACCGGAAACTAATGTTTCTATTTGAAGGACAAAGTTTTAAGATTCTACCCAATGTGAACTTGCCCAACAAGCCATTTCTACTTATCTAATTTGTAGCCTCCAGTGCTGAGAATACTATTTGGGAAAGAACGGAAATTCAGTGAAACCAAGATTTAAACAACATGAATACAAGTATGGAGCGGCAGATTTTGAAAAATTGCTTTAAAGACTTGCAGCCACTCTTCACGTGATCAGTTCTGAAAAACTGGGCTGCAGATTTCATTGTGGGTTCTCAGCAGAGAGAAATTGAAGGGCATTATTACAGAAAGCCCCAATTCTCCAGTCAAGCTCCCTTGAGAAGAACTTAACACAGCACAATGATCTCATGATTACCTAAAATTCCAAAATTAATAAGATGATTTATTTTGCTTACAGGGCCAGCTGCCCTTAACTTGATGTTCCTAAATTAGGTAAGACACTGAGTTTCTTCAGCTGTTTACACTTTGCTGTGAATGTGTTTATTAGACCCTTTTCTAAGAACAAGCAAAGCTAGGAAGAAAAAATATATGTGTGGTCCGTGGTTCTTGGGGATGAAGACCAGGGCATATATTTTATGGTGAGACCAGTTGCTCCCTCTAAGGGTATCAGATTTTTCCTTGGGTTATTCTACTAACATAGAGATGGAGACATTTTTCAAACTGCTTCGGTCATATTTTAGTGGCCATTTAATGCATCAAAATCAAGGGGGCAGACAATAGGATACTATACAGGATGGCCAACTTTCCTGGCTCTGCTGGCCTCATACCCCACCCAGATAAACTCCCTTCTTTCTCCTGTATCCATCACATCTTCCTTACCCTTATAGGATTGCAGTTGCACAGGACAACAGGAGTTTGGATCCATATACATATGTATAGATATAGATATAGCTGGCTGGGCACGGTGGCTCACACCTGTAATCCTAGCACTTTGGGAGGCCGAGGTGGGTGGATCACCTGAGGTCAGGAGTTCAAGACCAGCCTGGACAACATGGTGAAACCCCATCTCTACAAAAATACAAAAATTAGCCGGGCATGATGGTGGGTGCCTGTAATCCCAGCTACTCGGGAGGCTGAGGTGGGAGAACTGCTTGAACCCGGGAGGTAGAGGCTGCAGTGAGACAAGATTGCACCATTGCACTCCAGCCTGGGCAACAGAGGGAGACTCCATCTCAAGAATATATATAGATAAAGATATAGATATAGATACATAAAATACAGGAGCTTATATATATATAAGCTCCTGTGTCACCCCAGTGAATAATTCAGAGACACACTCCAACCTGAACCCATAGATAATTTAATTTATGGCCCGTTTCTGCTGTTGTTAGTACTTGTCCCTCCAGCAGCCTTCTCTATCAAATGTGCTAGGTATGAAACCACAAATTCTTGCCTAACCCCCTCAGCTTTTTTTTCCTTTTACCCAATAAAAAGGGTAACTCCATAATCCATCTGCCAACAACCTCCATCATGATCATTGCTAGACACAGGAATGAGACGTAGCCTTGGTGACGGAGCCATCTCCAGGGCATGATGGGCTGGCAAACAACATTGTGCAGGACTCGACCCCAGCAGTGACATCATGTGGCAGCAAGAAGCAATGGTCATAGTAGGCTTGCCACATAGACTCCATCCAGCTCCTTCCACATCGGGAGTGAGTTGGGGGGTCAAATGATCACCCACCACCTCTACTTATTGAACTGAGCCAGCTGCTGCAGCTCTTGTACAAACTTATAGGAGAGGAAAATGCTGGACTTTCTGGTAATAAAGCGAGCAGGTGCTCCTGCAATAATTGAGAAGATTACATTCTCATCACCCTCAAATTTATATCAAGTCCTTCTGTTCTACTTCCTTAAAAGGAGACATAAGATCAAATTTTAGCAATCCCGTAACATGACAAACATTTTGAGCAGCAGAATTAAAAACAACAACAGCATCTCCCAGTAAGACCCCCTTCTCCTTAGCCTCTCCACTCCTCTCCTTCAAGGTGCCTTTCCTGGCACTATCACCACCCTCACAACCCGCTGTGCTCCTCATTCCCCTCTCACACTCCATCAGTTTATTTCTGCTAAAATATTAACTGCTAATTAAACTGTCAGCTGATGCTAATGACTTCAGATGAACATATATCTGGGAGCATTGGCATTTGTAAAAAAAGACTTACAAAGAGCATTGCCTTCCTCTCCCTCATGTTGCTACTGTCTCAGGGGCTGTCCTGTGAACAGTTCCCACCCTTTCTTTCCTTTGCCCAAATAAGGAGTAGGATGAATTGAATTAAGCCTAGATATTCTATTTTTTTTTTTTTTGAGACAGAGTTTCACTCTGCCACCCAAGCTGGAGTGCAGTGGTACGATGGCTCATTGTAACCTCCGCTTTCTGAGTTCAAGCAATTCTACTGCCCCAGCCTTCCAAGCAGCTGGGACTACAGGCACACACCACCACGTCTGGCTAATTTTTTATATTTCTAGTAGAGAAGAGGTTTCCCCATGTTGGCCAGGCTGGTCTCGAACTCCTGACCTCAGGTGATCCACCTGTCTCAGCCTCCCAAAGTGCTGGGATTACAGGCGTGAGCCACTGCGCCCAGCTGATATTTTCCTCTTGAACAGTGCCATCCTTTGCACTAAATGAATCTGGCCTCATGATGCTTCATGGTACACTGGCCTCTATCTGTTGAATGTAAACAGTTTAGAACCATGATTTTCACTTATCTGTCATGGTATCTTCTATTGAGGAATTTTTCACACATACAAAGTGGGTCTGTAGCCCATTAGATCATGATTTCCCAGGAGAGCTCAAAGGCTTATGTGGAAAGCTCCAAGTTAGTGTCTAAAACCAAGGGTCCTAACCTTCATTCTGTGGTTTCCTGGAATCCTAGAGAGGAGAAGATTGCAGACAACAGCAGAATCCGTACCTTCCAGTGAAAACTTTTGAGTCCCTAGTTGAGGGTAGAGTGAGATTTCAGAGCAATCAGGAAGACTTCTTCCTCTTGAAAACTGCCCAGACTTTTTTCTTAGTGCCTTGCACTTTACTGAAATGTAAACATGCGTGTCTGGCTCCACGCACCTGGTGGTCCAAGGGAACAGGGTCTGATTTGTCTTTCCTTTGAAGCAGGGACTCAGTAAAGGTTTGTTGAGTGAGTATATAAACGATACATAAATAAACGAAAAACAATGAACAACCATTGCTTCTGATACTATCTGATACTAATAGAGGGGAAAAAAAGATGTTCATCAACTTATTCTCCAAAATAAGCCAATTACAACATGGAAAGTTTGCAGGACTCCCTATAATAAGGACATGCGGGCTTGATCGAGACGTTTTAGCCAGGCAGCACTGTGACGAGAAAGACAATTGCATATTTTAAGAATGAATTATTATGGAAATGTTTTCACAGGGATAAATAATAACAAATTTCTACATACTGTATTTTAGCATATTGTGAATTACATAATTCAGCAATGCACAAATTGGCGTATCAAGTGTGCTTTGCCTGAGAGCTGAAAGAAACTGAGAATCCCTTCACCCACATCTAAAACACCCCCAGTGTCACCAACTGCCTGAAATGTATGTTATGGCTAGAAGTGTGTCCCCAAAATCCATATGTTGAAGTCCTAACTCCCAGTACCTCAAAAACATGGCCTTCTTTGGAAATCAGGTAGTTGCAGGTGTCAGTAGTTAAAATGAGGTCATACTGGAGTAGGGTGGTCCCATGATACAATACATCTGGTGTGCTTATTTAAAGGGAAGATTTGGACACAGTCGAGCACATAGGGAGAACACCATGTCAAGGTAAAGAAAGAGATCGGGTGATACAGCAGAAGCCAGAGACACCAAAGATTCCAGCAAACAACCAGAGGCTGGGAGAGAGGGAGAGTGATAGATTTTGGATGTTTATCCCCTCCAAATCTATTTGAAATGTGGTCCCCTATGCTGGAGGTGGGGCATGATGAGAGCTGTATGGGTCATGGGAGCTGATCCCTCATGAATGACTTGATGTCCTGCCTATAGCAATGAATTCATGCAAGAGCTGGTTGTTAGAGAGCCTGGCACCTCCTCTCTCTCTTAGTCCTCTCTTGCCATGTGATGTGCCTGCTCCCACTATGCCTTCTGCCATAAGTAAAAGCGCTCTGAGACTTCACCAGAAGCTAAGCAGATGCCATGCTTATACAGCTTGCGGAACCATGAGGCAAATAAAACTCTTTTTTTTTTTTTTTTTTTTTTGTTTGAGAGGGAGTCTCGCTCTGTCGCCCAGGCTGGAGTGAGTGCAGTGGTGTGATCTCGGCTCACTGCAAGCTCCACCTCCCGGGTTCACACCATTCTCCTGCTTCAGCCTCCCAAGTAGCTGGGACTACAGGAACCCACCACCATGCCCAGCTAATTTTTTTTTATTTTTAGTGGAGATGGGGTTTCACCGTGTTAGCCAGGATGGTCTCGATCTCCTGACCTCGTGATCCACCCGCCTCGGCCTCCCAAAGTGCTGGGATTACAGATAAAACTCTTTTCTTTATAAATTACCCAGCCTTAGATAATGCAGAGAGGCATGGAGCAGATCCTTCTTCACAGCCCTCAGAAGGAACTAACCATGTGACACCTTGATCTCAGACTTTCAGTCTCCAGAACTGTGAGACAATAAATCTCTGCTGTTTTAAGCCATCCCATTTGTGGCAGTTTGTTACTGCAGCCCCAGGAAACTAACGCATGGTGCTACCTCTTGCTCTTTGCCTAACTCTTTTCTCTCATCTCTCCACCCCCCAATTAAATGAGCCCAGTGACACAAGAGTAGTTGCTCAGAGTGTCAGCCTGAATATCTTGGTTAATAATGGCCATCACAAAGTCAACTTCTATTCTTCTGAGTGAGGCAAAGTATCCATCATGTTGAATTTCTCATCAGGTTTTTGGAAGACTCCAGAATCTTCATCATGCTCACTCTTGCTTCCAACTCTGCCCTGTGTGCGCCAAGTTTAATCAGCTGGGCACCCCTGAGACAAGCACCAACACTTCTTTGTCTATATAGGTAGTATTATCTTATTGTTTTTCAACTTGGATAACTAAGAATCCTTCAGAAGTATAATTTATAAAATGTCCACGCCTAGACACCCCCGAAGTATGAGAGTACTTCAGGAGGTGTCTCCTGTGGTATTTCCATCTTCCCCTACTCTCATTCTCCAGGAGGGTGACAGATAGTGGATATCCAGAGAGTGGAGACACAAGGAGGCTGAGTGGTTGGGATGACTCAGTGCCCATATCTGAGCCTATATAAATATTTCAGCCACAGCAACAGATAAAGAGATGAGCTAAGTCTTCTTATATAGGACCAAACATCCCAATGAAATGAGGCCTTCTCCCTTCAGAAGGCCACAATAAACAAGAACCCACCAGAAAAGGGCCTCTGCTGCCACTTGCCATCTTACTTGACCACAAAAATATCAGTTAAACAATCACATAAATTCACTCAACCTTTGTGCAGAACTTATATGTGCCAGGCACGGTTCCAGGAACTGAGAATACAACAGTGACTAAGAAACAAAACCCGCCCCTCATGGAACTTAATCTAAATGGAAAGGGACAGAGAATAAACACGGTATAGAAATCAACACATTGACTATGTTAGTGATAAGCGTTTCACACAAGAAATAGGAGTGTCTAGCAGAAGTTATTTGAAGAGTGTTGCTTGTGTGTTTTGCCAGGTCAGACAGAGTGCTGGAAGAAGACGTGACAGAGAAGATGAGATTTAAGGAATGAACTGGAAGTCATCATGAGGGAGGAAGCCATGCAGCTATGCAAGGAAAGAATCTTTCAGGCAGAGGAGACAGCAAAGGCAAAAGTTTCAGTAGATGTGAAAAGTACAACACATTATGCAAATGCAAACTAACAGTGTTATTAGAGAGGAAGGTGAAAATCAATATTCAGTAAAATCTTCCATTTCAGAGGAAATAGAAGAAGAAAATAATTTTACACCAACTGAACACATGACTTCATTCTTTTGCTCCATAGAGACTTTTGCCTCACCTTGCATATCTTAGCCCTCAAAAATACAGGAAAACTACCCAAATTGTATTAAGGAAATAAAATTTCGAGTAACATTGGTAATAGGGTTGTTACCCCAGCAAAGCCCAGTCAATCCTGACTTATACAAGGGTGCAGAGAGTAACAAGAATTGAGCAAATTGCTAAAGAAAATAAGGTTTCTTTTACAAATAAAAATAATAGTAATAATATGATCTTCAACTATCTGTAAACATATGAAGTAGATGTAGTCTGGAATATTCTGGAAGTTAGATACAGAGTTGATAAGTAGATTTCAAATCATTCCAAAATAAATGCATAAATAAATAAATAAGTTTGTAATAATTAGACCAGCCCAATACTCACTGAGGAAACAGGCTTCAGCAGGAGATGTTGTGGAAGGAATGCTGGCACCAGCACCAGGAGTGTGGGCTGAACTAGGAGGGTTTATGGGAAATCCTTTCCTACTAGAAGTTTCAGAACTCCAGGAGTAGCCCTTTTGTTTTTTGGGGTTTTTTGTTTTTTGGAGTTTTTTGTTTTTTGGGTTTTTTGAGATGGAGTTTCACTCTTTTTGCCCAGGCTGGAGTGCAATGGCACAATGACTGCTCACTGCATCCTCCTCCTCCCGAGTTCAAGTGATTCCCCTGCCTCAGCCTCTCAAGTAGCTGGGATTAGAGGAGTGGGCCACCACACCCAGCTAATTTTGTAGTTTTAGTAGAGACGGGGTTTCACCATGTTGGCCAGGCTGATCTCAAACTCCTGACCTCGTGATCCACCTGCCTCAGCCTCCCAAAGTGCCGGGATTACAGATGTGAGCCCCCGCGCCCGGCCGCCCTTTTGTTTTTTAGCAGTCCCTCATTCCCTAATATCTCTTGGCTTTGACAGTGGTGTAACTAACATTCACCAATATTCAGATCACAGTGTCAAGGTTAGTGAGTTTCTTTTCATTTCAGCAGTCTAACTCACGGCTGTCATCATCAGGTGTCATTTAATACTGGGGGAAAATGTACTTGTGATTTCTGACCTTAGACAGTTATCAGAGTTTAGCCTTAATAATTGTGTCAGAGATAAGATCATTAACAGAGTTCAGATGGTGGCAAAGGAACCCTAAATAAATTTACTCTTTAAGAATATATTGGTATCTTTATCGGGGCTCTTCCTGAGACATTTCTGACAAACAAGAGATGAGGATATTTTCAGTGTATGTTCATGCTACAAATTAAACTCCCATCATGAGAAATGCAAATTTCTTTCCTGAGAGCTCTGCTCTCTTGTTTGCTTTAGAGGAGTCATGATTATGATGGTGTAAATACCAAGCTTAAGACCTTACCACTCAAATAATCACTCACTTACTCACTTCTTACACATGTCCACCTGCCACAGCAAAATTCACCTTTGCCTCCACGCATGTTAGGTTTATCTTTTCCCTCGAATGTATTTTCATACATTAGATTTTCACGCAGATACCAGCCCTGTACATGGTGGGGCCTCAATCAACGTAAAACAACAATATCTGCACACCTCTTAGGGAGCTACTTGATATGAAAAGTTTTTCATTACTTTTCTCACATTATCTTTTTTATTCAGCAAAGCCTACCCTACGGGTGTATTTTTTTTTCCCCTCAAAACGTCTTTATGCCGGATCCTTCTCTTCTCTGACTGAAATTCATCTGTGTTTATTCCTCAAGCTCTTGCACTTATATATTTTATTACAGCTTCTTCATACCCTTTCCCACTCCCAAACCTAATCCTTTTCTTCTTTACCCTGAGGGCCCCTGCCAATATAACTTCAGGTGAAACAAATGAAAATACTAGCTTTTGCCCCAGGCTTCAGCCTTCTTCCACCAAAATTAAAACGTAAAAACATCACATGGATATTAATATTATATTCCCTGCCCTGTAAACCTTCTATAACGTTCTGTGGTCTGTCAGTCAACAGCATTTATTGAGTGTCCACTATGAAAAGGAAGTCAGTGCCCTTTGGAGGACTAAAGGAAGAAAAAGTATTCTTTGCTTTCCTTTACTACCAGTAAAAGTTCCGTCTTGTTGTTTCCCTCCACTCGGAATTCCTCCACGCCCCCGTACCTGTCTGCAAACGCTGGACCAACACTTGCCCTAAGTGTTTTGTTCCTCTCAGGTACCCATTCTCCTGGTTTCCCAAAGAAATCTTCACCGTACCTATAAACTGTCCAATTCATAATAAGCTACGCCCCATCAGCTCCAAAAGGCCATGACAGAGGCAGTGAACTAAAATCTGTGAACCCTGCTGATGCGCCTGGAACTGTAGTAGACACTTTACGTTCCTAATAACATTCATTCCTAGAGCTAGTCTGCAAGATGAAAATTACTCCCATCTCTCAGATCTTGCCAATCAGAATCAGAAAGGCTCAGTAACTAGTTTGAAGGTTTTTAAAGTGGCAGAGTGGAGAGCAAATTCAGATCTGTTTGACTCTAAAAAGCTTCCAGAGGAAATACGTTTATTTTGCAATTTGGCCAAAGAAAATTGCCTATCCTTATCAAATTAGGAGTTGGGGATCAAGAAATTCAGATTTTGCTGGGCACGGTGGTGCGTGCCTGTAGTCCCAGCCATTTAGCAGGCTGAGGCAGGAGGATTGCTTGAGTCCAAAAGTTTGACTCCAGCCTAGGCAGAAAGAAAAGAAATTCACATTTTCTTAAGTGGTAGTGACAGAGGCCATTAAGCTACAAATGAAAGGGTTTGAGTTTAGAAATGGGCAGCAGCATGGGAAAGACAAAATAGAATGTACATTTGCAAGAGCTTTAGGAATAACAGTGAGATTTCAGCCGAAGAGTCAAAGGATTTCCTGGGAATTATCCAGTCATGGTTGGATGATCTTGGGAAGAGTATTGGAAAGAATGACAGAGGCTGTGGCCACACTGTTCTTGAGGACAGTCTTATTTCCCTCTGGAGATTCTCCCATATTAATGCCCATCCTGGTGTTTCAAGGTTCAAAGCCTCAGCCACAGCAACAAAATGGCTTCATGAAAGATAAAGAGGATCAAAAAACTCTCATACCTGGTGCTTTTGCTGTTAAACCAATCTCACCAGCCCATTCACAATCGCAGGGGGTCAGTGTAACATCAGTAAGCCACATCACCCAAAGCCCAGATGGTCCAAGTCATAGCCACATGTAGCTCCTTTATGGCATAAGAAATTATGTATCCCAAGAGTCAAAATGACTGGGGAGATGTTCACACAGGAATTCCAAAGTGAAAGCTGGGTTAGCTCCCACTACTCACCACAAAAGTCCTCTATTTATGCATTTATAAGGTGAGGTAAGGGTTGCCTACTCAAGTGCTGGCAGGGACAGGCAGGTCATGTGAGTGAGTGGTGACAGGAAATGGTAGGGTGATGGAGAATTTGAACACAGAACAAGGCTCTTAACTGTCCAATCCAATCCTACTGTCACTTTAATCCCTCATCTAAAGAGAGGAGCTGCAACCCAGTGAAGACGATTGTTGACCAGTGAGAATGGATACCCAGCATTGCCAGATCTTTCCATCTTTCGAGACAACCTGGAAAAATGTAGTTTGTGTGTGTTCTCTGGATTGTTTAATTGGTAACTAATAAAGCATTTTTAATAGGCAAAATTGAGCTGTGAACTGCTCCAGGCAGCCCCCACACCAGTTTGGATTGTCTCCAAAGTCCTCCTTCATCCTGAGCCTTCTGGCTCTGTCATTGGGTTGGATCCCTTTGTTCTCGAGGCAAGGTATTCCATCTACTAAACTAAAGGCAGGTATGTGTACCTCTGTAAAGCCTAAGCAGCTACTGAGTCCTGCCATGCTCCCTCCTCTCTCCTTCTTATATCTCTTTTATCAGTGTACAGTTAGTTCCACCTCAAGTATATCCATGTGCTCAAGTACATCTGTGTGCTCCCTTACCTGCTATGAACTGACAGCTGCCCAATTCCCAACAGATTTGCTATACCTCTTTTGGACTGTCACATAAGCTCTCTTAGCCATCAAATACAAACACATAATCGCCACTATCAAAAGTAAGCATTTGCAGTGCAGGCCGGGTGCAGTGGCTCACACCTGTAATCCCAGCACTTTGGGAGGCCTAAGTGGGTGGATTGCCTGAAGTCAGGAGTTTGAAACCAGCCTGGCCAGCGTGGTGAAACCCCATCTCAACTGAAAAATACAGAAATTAGCCAGGCGTGATAGAGCATGCCTGTAGTCTCAGCTACTCAGGAGGCTGAGGCAGAAGAATTGCCTGAGATCAGGAGGTGGAGGTTGCAGTGAGCTGAGATCATGCCACTGCACTCCAGCCTGGGTGACAGAGTGAGACTCTGTCTCCAAAAAAGCAAAAAAAGTAAGCATTTGTGAGGTACCCTCTACCAAGCTAGCTGGCTACGATCCAGCTTACTTCCCTACACAGGTAATGTTTATGGTGATTACCAGTGTGTTATCTGAGTCAGACTGCCTGGGTTTGAACCCCAACTCCTCTACCTACTAGGTGTGTCATTTGGAAAAATAAATGATACAACCCCTCTGTGCTTCAATGTCCTCAGCTATAGATGGAAATTACAACAATACCTACATCAAAGGTTGGTTGTAAGGATTAAATGAATTCTTATAGGTAGACCTCTCAAAATGGTGCCTGCCATACAAGTGTTCTATGGTTTTGCTAACATTATAATTCAAAAGGACCAACCAGCACTTTTGATGTAGGTAATACCAAAATGGGGTGTTAACTGATAGCGATGGAGAATACGAACACAGAACAAGGCTCTTAACTGCCTGATCCAATCTTACTATCACTCTCCCTCCATCAGTCAGTCCTCCCCACAAGGTCACAGAAGCAAAAAGCTGCACAAAGACAAAGCAAGTTCGCATCTTATTACCAGCCAGGACTGCGGCTAGCAGGGAGACTGAGGCTGAGATTGGTCTGGCTTGGAGCTGGATCACAGGCTGGGCTCTCAGACCTTAATGTGGAACTCTAGAGAAGTAGATTTAAATATACAGATGGACTTTTCAGTTTAGCCTCTATAGCTCTAAGTGGTCTAGCACCAAACTATAGAAAACACTAGAAAAGAGTGTTACACCTCCTTTCCTCCAAAACCAAAACTTAAATTTCAGACATAGCCCTAGCTAAAGAGAGGCAGGGCTTAATGCCAATTCCCCTCAATACACACACACACACACACACACACACACACACACACACAGACACACACACACACACACCCTTCTGGGGCAACAAATAAACAAGAATTCTCTGGCTTTTGTTGTACAGAAGGAAATTGGTATAAGCAGTTGTGTCTGGTCTCTCCCAGTTGGACAGCAATTTCCGGAAGGCTTTTGGGGAAACAGGCCCTCTCATTTCCCCAGGCTTCTGGAATGAAGAGAACAGCTTCTAAGAGTGGGAAATGCAAAGGCAGTCCCTCATCTAGTGCTGTGAACACTTCAGTGTCCTAGAACTTGGCCGTCGCCATCTCTTCCTCCCTAGAGTTGGAGTGACTGAAGCTATGTCCTGACTCATCTTCAGAAGTAGAGCAGGGCGGAAGGAGAAGAGAGGACCCCCGAGCTCCTGCCAGAGACCAGCTCTAAACAATAAATGTGAACAACAAACACAGCAGGAGTGACCTTGGGTCTACTTATGTGTAAATGAGGGTTGGACTCATGGTCTGTAAGTTCCTTCTCACTCTAACGCTTTATGAGCTATAAGGCCATGAGCTCAGGCACCACGTCATATGACTGCCTGAGTACAAACACTATATTTCTATGGCCTTGGCCTGTAGAGAAGCCACCACAAGTTCAGTCATTGAACTTCATCAACCTAATTTTATAGCTTGCTCCCATTCAAAAAGTGCCTTCTCTGTACTCCACCCATGTTCACTGAAAACCTTCCACCCACCTGGGGAGCTTTCAGATATGGAACTCTGAGTCAAGTGGAAAGCCACTGTGAAAAATCCAGCTCTCTGGCCCTTGAGGAGTAGAGCATTGTGTTGCTCAAGGGTACACTGATTCCAGGCACTTCTGATTTGCTGAAAACAATGACCACTTGTTCTGTAATTCCTCATGCTTGTTCTCAGCTCAAATTTCATCTAGATGTTTCAGAGTTAGTAGAGCATGTGAAAGGGTGTGTTTTTCACGCACACACACATTTTTCATGTGCTTTTTGTGATTGGATAACTCAAATATAGCTTTGTTTTAAACCTTCAGACATGCTGTGATATTAATGGAAGAAGGAAGTTTACAGGAAAGGGAGACATCTTGGCTTCTATGTGAAAGGGCAGACTTGAAGGTTGGCTTTATTTTATCAACCCAAATGTGACCTTTGAATGAAAGAGGTTACTCAGAGCATTACAAAGAAAATAGAACTTCAGAAGGAACATCACGTAGATACAATCAACAATGAAATTTCTAACAATCCCAGTCTCCAATGCAAGCACAGTTTTAGGTTATGCAAAATTTTTCTTTGCAATGAAAAGAAATCAAGAGCTGGCTGTAATTTCCAACGCACCATATTGCAGTGCCGTTATTTAGAAAACTAAACATATGTATATATAATTTTTAAACAAAGATGTTGTTGTTGTTGTTAAGTGTAAAGCCTACAGCAGTTATATTTGTTACAAACGTTGGGTCTAATCCAGGGAGGGGGGAAAATTACTTTTTCTGCCACAGGAAGTCTTACCTCTATTAGCTCTGGGACACGGTTTTTCAAAATTACAGTTTCCCTCCCTTTGGGCCCCAAGAAAATATGAGGATGGAGAATCGGCTTTGCATCTTTGCTCACATAAGTCACAACATTTTAGAGCAGAGGATTTTGGAATAATCCTTAGAACCAACTACTTTACCCTTCCATGTATTATTATTATAAGGTCCAAAAAAGAGAGCAAATCAAATAAAATGGGATGAATGTCAGAAGAACGTGACATTATTCTATAATGTGTTATTTATTACTGCTAATAAATAACAATCAATGAATACTTACTACGTGTAAGTCCCTGATGTAGGCACCCTTATGCATGTTAACTCATTTTTTAAGAGTTGGGGTTTTGCTCTGTCACCCAGGCTGATGTGCAGTTGCACAGTCACAGCTCACTGCAGCCTCAAGCTCCCAGGCTCAAGAGATCCTCCCATCTCAGCCACTGGAGTAGCCAAAACTGCAGTCATGAGCCACTGTGCCTGGCAACTCATTTAATCCATCCAACAACCTTCTGAGACTAAGTGCTATTATTACACCCATTTTATACATGAGGAAACTGAAGTCTAGTGAGATTCAGTAACTTTCATGGCAAGTGAGAACACTAGAATTCAAACCTGGGCAATGTGGTTCCACATTTTTAACCACTGTGTTTTTAAATTGTGTACTCACTGTGTGCAATTCTAAGGCTTTGCTAGATGCTTCAAATTTATTGTCTCATTTAATTACCATAGCACTGTAGATTTCCACACCCCAATTTACAGATGACCAACTACAGATCAAAGAGACCAAGTAACTAAACAAGGGGCACACAGTAGGCAAGTAGCAGAACAAAGATTGGAACCCAGGCCTACCAGGTCTCAAAGTTTATATGAAGTTACGTGTCAAGTACCCTGTGCTAGGAGCTAGGAATTCATAGTAAACATGTGACATGGTTCCTGCATTCCTAAAGATTATGTCTCCACCTTTCTGGGAAGGAAGATAGAGAAAGAAAAAGATGTTACAGTATAATGTGATTATTGAAAAAGGCCCTAATTTTGTAAGCAAAATTACACCCTGAGATCTTGGAGTTCAACAGTAGAGTCTTGCTCCCTTTATAACGGTCCAATTTTTTTTTTTTTTTTCTGAGATGGAGTCTCACTCTGTCTTCCAGGCTGGAGTGCAATGGCGCAATCTCAGCTCGCTGCAAGCTCTGCTTCCCGGGTTCATGCCATTCTCCTGTCTCAGCCTCCCGAGTAGCTGGGACTACAGGCGCCCGCCACCGCACCCAGCTAATTTTTTTGTATTTTTAGTAGAGACGAGGTTTCACCATGTTAGCTGGGATGGTCTCCATCTCCTGACCTTGTGATCTGCCTGCCTTGGCCTCTCAAAGTGCTGGAATTACAGGCGTGAGCCACAGTGCCCGGCCTATAACAGTCCAATCTAATGTGACTCCTGAATGAAAGTAGGCCCACCCTATTTGCTTAGGTGATCTGAAGAAGCCATTCCAGAGAATCTGTGAGCCTCTCTTATGCATCCAGGGGTGAAAATGGAAACAGAGTACAAAATCTGACTATTTAACTTTACCAACCAAACAAGCTTAGCTGAGCTTTCAAAATAAACTTAGTAGTTCTGAGAAATAAGAAGAGTTACTTACATATGAAGAGCTCTAAGGCAACTGGAGACTGGAAGAAATAATGGGAAGGAAGGAACCAGGGGGTCCTACCAATTTGGCGACTAGGACCCTATTCTTCATTAAGTTTCTAAATTTGGTCCCACAAGTGTGAGCAGAATGAGGAAACACTGCCTGTGTGGATGAACGCTGGTCTTTCTGGCTTCCAGGTGTGAGTCAAAGGGTGAAAAGGGAGTGAAAAACTTACATATCTGTCCAGATGACTGATGGTGGGGAAAAATCCCATTTTTCACAAGTTATGGGCCGTTTTTTTTTTTACTGCTAGTAGTGCACAGAAGATTAAAGTGAAGTCTATATTTCACAAATGGGAGGACCAAATGATTTAAAACCTTTGTTATAATGACCTACTTCGAAGTGAAGAATCAATTTCTTTTACAGCAAGAACCTGTTAATTTAGGAAAAGGGAAAGAGGAAGGAAGCACGTGAATGGAGCATAAGAGAAAAAGAGGAAAAGGCGGGGAGAGAAAATAGCTAAGGAGGTTAGGTAGAGTTTTTCTGATTCTATTTTTATATGTCAAGCAATGTAGAGGTCACTTTGCATAGTGAAGAGAGGATGAACTTCGGATTCTGTTTTTAACTCCATCTGCCCCTTAAAACCCCCAATGGCTGCTGTAACAAATCAGCCCATATTTAGTGGCTTAAGACAACCAAATATATTATGTTAGAGTCAGAAGGCTGATGCAGGTCTCCTGGGGCGTTAGCAGGGCCTTGTGACTTGTTCCTTGTTGAGACTCTGGGGAAGAAAGTGTTTCCTTGCTTTTCCAGCTTCTTGAGGCTGCCCACATTCCTCAACTCGTGGCCTGCTTTCTTCCACAAAGCCAAGCCAGCAATGGCCAGTAGAGTTTCCTCACATCACATTCCTTTAACATTGACTCTCCTCTTCCCTCCTGCTTCCACTTTTTAAGGACACTTGTGATTACATTGGGCTCACCTGGATGAGCCAGGATCATCTCCCACTTTTTGAGGTCAGCTGTTTCCTCCTTAATTCCGTCTGCAAACTGCCTTTTCCATGTAACCCAACATATTCACAGGTTCTGGAGCTTAGGACACAGACATCTTTGTGGGGGTGGGGGGCATTATTCTGCCTACCACAGGGGCTGAGGGACCCTGGCAACTTACTTAGCTACTGACTCTCAGTTTCCTTATCTATCAAATGAGAATAAACACTTGCTTCAGGATTTCTGCAAAAATTAAATGATATTACATCAGTAACTCATCTGTAAGAGTGGGCCCTTGGTAAATACTACCTATTGTTATCTTTGTTAACTCTTATTAGTCCGTTTTCACACTTCTATAAAGATACTACCCGAGACTGGGTAATTTATAAAGCAAAGAGGCTTAATGCACTCACAGTTCTGCATGGCTAGTGAGGCTTCAGGAAACTTACAATCATAGTGGAAGACAAAGGAGTGGCAAGGCACGTCTTACATGGTGCAAGTGAGACAAAGAGTGCAGGGGAAATGCCAGACACTTATCAAACTACCAGATCTCATAAGGACTCCACTATCACAAGATCAGCATGGGGGAAACGACCCCCATAATCCAGTCACCTCCCACCAGGTCCTTCCCTCAACACCTGGGGATTACAATTCGAGATGAGATTTGGTTAGGGACACAGGGCCAAACCATATCACTTAATAAACCTATTAGAGAAGGCAACAATGTCTATAAAAAGCTTTTCTAATGACCCAAGCAGTCATTTAACAGTATATGCTGACAATTCTATTTTGAGTTGTTTTTTTTTTTTTTTTTTTTGTCTTCGTTTTTCATTATATGAAACTCCCTGGAATGCGTCCTGCAAGCTGTCATCAGCATACGTACATCAATCAACATGTTCTTGCTGCCTGGCACAGGACTGGCAGGAAACAACAAACTTAAGCCAAGAGGGCTTTCTCCACCTTTGCTTTTTACACAGAACCCTGCCTGGAGTCAAGGGGAGCTCAGAAAATGAAAAAGAAGTTAAAGTGGTATCTTAAGTGATTTTACTTCTCCTGTCACACAAAGCAATAGGATCTTTCTGGCAGGAGCCCCTTCAGATATCAGTAGATCCAAAGCACTCCGAGTGACCTGTTGGGAAAATGGCGGTGTCTTATGTTGTAAAGACTGAAAGTTCTAAATTTTAGACGATAAAAATTAGAGAATCGCCAAGCAAAGGTACCTTGCTCCTTTCAGTATTATAGTATTACAGCCACCAAATATTGCCTACTTATTATCCAAATGTTCTGAGCAAGCTTTTCTTCAGCAAAGCTAAGTATTGCTGGAAGTTCTGCCAGGTACCTACCAATTAACTACATCTTTTACTTCACAGCTGCTGAGATAGTAGGAAATTCAAGGCAGTTGTTCCCAGGAGCTAGCCAAGTATAAGATTCCACTGAAGATGAAGAGAGAGCATTTGGAGGTGCAGCTAAGCTACAATTCATCTAAGATGAGAAGTAAGAGGTTTCTTCATGGTTACCATAAAGTTGGTCACCTCTAACAAGCATGGCCAGATCAAATTATTCTGTTCTCTACAAGCATAAAATATTAGGTTGGTGCAAAAGTAATTGTGGATTTTGCCATTACTTTTGCACCAACCTATTACTAGGACAAGTCGCTGCAGACACAAGCCACAGAGCTCCAGGGATCTTAACTCTCTACAGCTTCTCCATGGTCTGGGGAGAACTTGTCCTGATAGCTCTAACCACAGAGACTTTATATTGGGGCAGCAGCCTTCCTGTCACACTTCACTTTTTGTTGGGGTAGAATAAATTTTCAGCCATAGTTATATATAATGAAACAGAGCAGAACTTGGACTTAAGTTGCATCTTCTGATTCTGTGGCTTTTCCCTACCACAGCAGGGTGCCCCTTTAAATTAAAAAAACAGAGAGAGAGAGAAGAAAAAGAAAGAAAGGAGTAGCTGCCAGAATATGCTCAGGCTAGTATACTACAATATTTGAAACAAAATGGATGCTGCTTTTAAGTATGTGATGTTGTTTAACTTTCACAAGAAAAACATCTTTGTTAAGTGTTCATAATTTGTGGACAGTTTGTTTTCTGAGAAAAAACAAACTCTCCAAAAGTATCTGTGCCCTGACCTTGCCCTCTTGCTCATTCTGGAAGGTTCAGGGAATAGCACTACTCCATAGAGTTTGCATTCAGTATCTTGGGAATCAGAAAACTTCCAAGAGTGGCACGGGCAGTAGTGGGTGGAGACAGAGCCCTCCAGCCAAACACTCTCACTAACACATACTCCCTCGGGCAGCTGAGGCTGCAGCCAGAAGAAGGAGAGGCAAGATCCAAGGGCAAAGAGAGGGGTTCTTGGCCAACCATCCATGCATCAAAGGACAAATAGCTATCTCCCTCGACACATGCATGGAAAAATGGAGCAGGCAGAAAACAATAAATTGTCAAAATGGCAGCTCTATGTAATCACCAAGAGAGCTAATTGGGTTACAGAAAGAAAACACACACACACACACACACACACACACACACACACAGTCATAGAGACGGAGTCCTGTGAAATACAACCTAATGCTTCCTTATGAATTTTCATACTCCTCTGTGATCCATCACAGCAGATATTACACCCCAAACTATCATCCATCATGAACACCACAAGCCAGCAGGGAAGCACAGCACCAAGGCGACTCGTGACTTCTGCTCCCTGAAGTGCCTCCCCTACCTCCTGCAACCTATAACTTGGGAACTCACTAAGGAACAAAGTGCTAAGGCAGCATGCATTTAGTGGCACCTATGCTTGCATGGGAGTGGCGGTGCCAGGGCATTCTCCTGTTTGCCGGGGAATCCATTTGCACCACACGTGCAAAGCTGGGGTGTAGAGCATCTCCTCAGCAGGAGATTTCTACTAAACAAAGTTTTGCCTTCTGTGCAAGATGCTCTCACACCTCAGAGGCCCTGGTAATCTCCAAGTTCCAGATTTTCCCATTAAGCCTTCATTCAATGAAGTAGGCTCTGTCTTTTTGTTGTAAGAAATTCTAATTTAAGACTCCAATACTTCCATAGGATCCTTCCCTAGCGTATCAACCTAGGGACCCAGGAGAAGCAGTGGGAAAAGTAAACAAAGAAGAATGAAGAAGAATAATGGAGGAACAGTTGAAAGAGAGATTAAATATGTCAGGTACCTTCATATACATCATCTTGTCTTTGCAACAACACTAACAAGAGAATTTCATTTACTCTCATTCCAATTTTAGTATATGTGCTGCCGAAGCAAGCACAGAATTTTATTTACTCTCATTTTGCAAAGGAAAGACCTGAGAATCAGAAAAGTTACTCAGCTTTTCTATGTAGAAAGATTATTTTGTGTTTTCTTTATTGTCTCAGAAGGCTGGTAAAGCTAAGTACAATAGGCTGTGGGTACCCCACCTTGTTCTCAAGAGGAGCTGCTAGACCTATTCCTGCAGGTTTTGCTAAGAGGTGGCCACACCTGTGCTTGGATCCCACCATCCCATTCAACCTGTGTAAGCAGAGTCTGAGGCTTGTTGAGAAGGAGAACAGGTGCAAGAGTCATCCACCCAAATGGGATTTCTACAGGATGAGGGGACTGAGGTTCTAGTCCTTGGCTGGAGGTCAAGTCAAACAAACTCATCAGTCTGCCCTGGTGCAGTCACAAACATGAATAGGATGCATTTCGAGAATGTTAGGAAAAGCTAGATATTTCTTCCTTGGAGTATGTGGGCTTACCAAACCTCAGTGTTGTTGCTGCCTCAAGCCCAGAAATTCATACACTTCTGAATACAGTAGGGTTCCAGCTTGTCCTCCTAGCATGTGGCATGGCAAGTATATGTGGGCTCCCATGGGCCCAGTACAGACTAAGAAGGGGACTTGGTCCTATTTGTCCTTGTGGAATTCAAAAGAGCTTCCTGCCAGGGCAAGAAGACCTCAGCACTAAGAGGCTGTGGGGTAGCCCACCACAGGCAAGACTTGAGGAGGGATTTAAGAGAACAGCAGAACAGCATGAGGATTTTGTATACCACAGGGGTCCCTGTGAGGTACCTCTGAAGGACCCAGGGATGGCATGGAGGACCTGAGAGTTGTGCATGTTGGCCAAGGAAAACTGCAAATAGCACCAGCTAGCTAGAGACTTTTGCCTCTTTTCGTCTGCATTTTGCTCCCCCTGCCCCAACTCTAGAGGGCCCAGAAGATAGGGAGGGACAAAGAACAAAGAATGTAGAGGATATAGGAAACCATGCTAACATGGTTTGTCTCTGTGTCCCCACCCAAATCTCATCTCAAATTGTAATCCCCTCATGTCGAGGGAGGGACCTGGTGAGAGGTGACTGGATCATGGGGGCAGTTTTCCCCATGCTGTTCTAGTGATAGTGAGTGAGTTCTCCTAAGATCTGATGGTTTTATAAGGGGATCTTCCCACTACTCTCTCTCTCTTTCTCACCTGCCACCATGTAAGATGTGCCTGCTTCCCCTATTGTCATGATTGTAAGTTTCCTGCGGCCTCCCTAGCCATGTGGAACTGTGAGTCAATTAAACCTCTTTGCTTTATAAATTACCCAGTCTCAGGTATCTCTTTATAGCAGTGTGAGAACAGGCTAATACAAATGCCTACCTCCTCACTACAGGGCTGCGCTGAACCTGGGCTGGTAGGGATGGGGAGAAAGGATGGGGAGGAAGAAGAAAGCTTCCAATTATAAGTGAGCTTCAAGTTTTAGAATGGACTGAACTAAAAACATAAAATGGATTGAACTAAAAAATTTTAATGGCTAAAAATGAGCTTTAATTATCAACATAAATTACGATTACTGAACAGTTGTCAACAACTGAAAAGCTTTGGGATTCTACGGTAGGAAAGTGGGGTTCATCATAGCTTGAATGAAGGTGGTATTGTGATAAAAAAAATTTTTTTTTTGAGACAGAGTCTCACTCTGTTGCCCAGCCTGGAGGGCGGTGGCGCAATCTGCTCACTGAAACCTCTACCTCCTGGGCTCAAGTGATTCTCCTGTAACAGCCTCCCAAACAGCTGGGATTACAGGCGCTTGCCACCACGCCTGGCTAATTTTTGTATTTTTAGTAGAGATGGGATTTCACCATGTTGGCCAGGCTGGTCTTGAACTCCTGACCTCAAGGGATCTGCCCACCTCAGCCTCCCAAAATGCAGGATTACACATATGAGCCACCATGCCCGGCCTGGAGAAAAATTTAAAAACAGTATTTTCCGACTTGGACCCTCTCAAAGTCTGCTAAGCTAATAGGTTAATCACATCGAATATCCCAGATGTTTGCAAAGTCAGCATTTGAACTTTATTTTCCAACTGCAAAGGCAGAGGATCATTCTCGTGCTATGGGGATAGAAATCGAAGTCAGCTGAGGTTGTAAAACTTAGAGTTAAACAGATGTCCTGGAATCACTTTTCTTTATGGTTATCAGCAGCAGCATAAATCTGTTTCTTACAGGAATTAGAGAGATTTGTTTAGGAATTTCAATAGGAGTCTATGGTGCAAATCAGTCCAGTTCCATATAATTTTGTCCACCATTGTGTCAAAGTTGGTAGCAGGAGAATACGCTGGCTGACCAACTTAGTGGAAGACACCAAGAAGTAAGTACTGACAAAGACTCCCTCTTTTACCAAACTTTTGTTAGGTTCCTCTGAGCCCTCCGGACAAAGCCTCCACCTCTGCCTGTGTTCAGCAATTCTTCTAAGTCAGCTTGGCAAAAATCCCCCTACCCATGGCAGCTCCTGTTAGTAATTTTCCATGTACTGAGCCCTTCACTCTGTTTCTAAAGCCCCAGCTATCTTTGCTGTGTTCAGAGTTGAGCTCAGTCACTCCTCGATTGCAGTAGTCTCCCCTGCGCTGCCACAGGCTTGAAGAAAATACATCTCGCCATCTTTAACAAGTGTACAGTGAATAAGTTTTCATTAACTGTACTGACTCCAGTTACCTTACTGGCTTGAACAGCGTCAAAAAGTAACAAGACAACTGCCTCTATTTCTTGTGTCTGTGGTTTTGTCAAGGCTGTTTTATTCCACTGTTGTCAAGTACATTTTTAATTTTCTCATTCTTTTTTGTTGTTTGAATTAAGGGAAAAGAGGGAAAAGATTTGAAAAAAAAAAAACATTTTAAAAACATTACAAAGGGACTGAGGGAAAGGACCAATTAGTATGCATGACAAAGAAAGGCTCTGCATGAAAGGCTGGGGAGGAAGAGAAAGGAAAGGGCTCGGGGAGGGAGAAGAGAAATGAAGCGGGTTTAGCCAAGTCAGGCTTATGTACTAAATGTTATAGCTTTATAAATTCCCAGAAGTGCAAAAAAGATCTTAGTGTATATAATGCTTTAAAAAGTCACAGAAGGAAAAAGGAAATGAATTCAACTCACTTGCTTTCGGGGCTGTCTTAAAAAAAAAAAAGAGGCAGGTAAATGCTGCTAACAGAGCTCTTTGCAATGTTTCAAAATGAATAAATAAAACCTTCCCTGCCAACATTTTTTTATTATTATGTCTGTCTCTGACTTTTTAAATGCTTTCCTTAAAAATGTTTTCATGCTTCCTTTTCCCTCAACGTTTTACAGTTCGCGTTCTTAAATTTCACTGGAGACCTGCATATCAAGTCGCATCTTGCTGATTTGATAGCTGCTTTTACGCAGCCCAGCGGAAGGCAATGCCTTAGCATCACTCTTGCTGGGAAGAGAGTTTATTAGCAAGGCCTCCCCGGCTTGGCTGGCAGGAGGACATGCTAGGAAGGCCAGACTAGGCTTGGTCTGGCCCAGGGGCCAGCCAGCAGGTGACTGGCTCAGGCGGAGCAGGCCACTCAGCGGTGACCTTCAGTCTCATAGCAACAACAAAGGAAATCACCTCTTTCCCCAAACATCATTAGAGACCCTTGCTTTTCCACCCAGGTTGGAAGAGAGGAAGGGAAAGTGGACAGAGGCAGGAGAAGAAAAATCCTTGTTTTGCAATCCTAGTAATTAGTCCTAGAGGATTTCTCCAACTGCTACTGCTGGCAGGAAGGCCTAGAAAGTGGAGTCGTCAGGCTCACTGCACCGGCCACCGCAGTGCCGGCTCCCTACTTGAAATTCAAATGAGAGCTGCTCTGACCTTTCCTGTCACATATTTTATTTCAGAGACAGTTTACAAGGCCTCTCCACCATGCAGGTCATGTTTTAGTTTAAACAGAAATACTCTCGTAGGTGTTAGATGCGAGTTAATGATTACACTGAAATCATCCTAATTAGGCTCTGTTGTTACACACTGCCCTTTGGGGGCTGCCGCTGTTGTCACATAAAGTATTTTGTAGAAAAATAATTGGTCTGAGCTCTCTTTCTCCCTCTTTTCGCACACCCATCCACTCTCTTCCTCTTTTTTCAAAAAAAAAACAAAACAATAATTATTATTGATCTTTCAGCACTTGATTGGGAAGATCATTCACCTCTCGGTCCCTATGATCCTTCAGGAAGGCCTTAGGCTGTCAGCGGCTGCCGAGGGAGGTCACCTCCGCTGGTCGTTTGGCAGCATAGGCCTGCGTCACTTCATCAGGGGGGAAATGAGAATTAGATCCCTATTAGAGTTCCTCCAAAGCAGCCTTACACTTTTTGTTTTATTCTGCTCTGTTTTGGGGGGAGCCCCCAAGAGGAACGGCTGACTTATTCCAAGAGGCTTGTCACCTTCCTGCACTGTGCACTGGTATGAGGAATGATTCAGTGCAGTGGGTGGTGCTCATGTCTCTGTATAATTTCTTTGTCATTTACCTACATCTATATACATACACCATGCACAGTTCACTCTCCAGCAATTTTATATCTTGTTACCGCCAGGATAATCCAATATTGACTTTTTTCCCTCTCAACTTTTCTTTGTTTCTTCTCATTTACCCTCAATAATTGACCCAAATGCCTTACAGAAAAAAGCACTTAGCTATTTAAAGGGATATACTTAACACTAGAGGAAGAGGAAACAAATTTGGGGAAAATGAACAGGGTTTATTCTGAAAAATGGACAATGCTGATGAAGATAAAATGGACCATCACTTGGAGAAAAAAAAAAAACAAAAAAACAAATTTTGTCCTGAACTTCTGACAGTTAAAAGTTGGCTGAAGAGTTGAAAGGAGAAAGGAAGAGGCTTCAAACGAAGAGGCAAAGATTCAAGCTGGGAAGGGTGTGCTAACCTAATACCAGGAGTAGGCTGAGTGCTTAACATCCTTTCCTACAATTGAGAGTCCTGACTACACTTTTTAAGGTTGTTTCCAATCATAAAAGTTTTGGAAAAAGTTATCCCAAGGCCAACTGTCTCAGCCACTTTAAATCTAGATTCAGTGTCATCAGAGAATTTGGGAAACAAAAAATTTTAATGAAGTTTATGCAGCAAAAAGTTGTCTGAGGCAAGTTGGCAAGAAATTTTCTCATCCTGATTTTTAAAAAAAGTGTAAAGAATCAACAAAATTATAAAAACATCACTACTGTTTACCTACCTTAAACATTCAGAATGTCTAGGATTTGCTGTCTGGACCAATAATCCTTTCCACTCAAAGTGTGGTTCACAGACCAGCAGTGCCAGCCTCACCTGGGGGTTTGTCAGAAATGCGGAATCTCAGGCCCCACCCCAGATGTGCAGAATCAGAATTTTTACTCTAACAAAATCCCCAAGTGATTCACGCATGCATTCAGTCTGAGACGCTTATTATACTATATTCTTACCTTCAGAGGCCCAGGACATTTTTCTCCCCCTTAAAGATTCCCTGACTCAACTTGAGTCCTGTGAAATCCACCTTACATTTCATGCCACCATGGGGAGAGACATATGAGCTCTGACTCCTCACTCGGTTTCCCCAAGAAGAGGAAAAGTATAAGACACAGACATTAATTGGGTTTTCAAGAAAAAAAAAAGAGTAGTACTGAAAACTTCCTTGAGAAATATGTTGTTGTAATGTTTTGCTTTTATTTTCTTTTGACATTGGGAAGGTTGGGGTGGGTTACAGGGACAGGATTCAGGGAGCCTTGAATCCCTTTGAAGGAAGTCATAAAAATTAAAATACTAAGTTAGAGACCTTTTGTTCTTTTTCTCTTTACTTAAGAGCTAAAGTAAGTTGTCAGTCCACAAAAACCCTTGCTATATGAATAAACATTCCACCGGCAATGCTAAACATTCAATTAATGTCCTATGCAAGTATGAAAGAACTAGTTTCTCACTGGTTTGATTAGCTTACATCTTGTTAGGATTTAGTTTTAGAGGTTTTATATACACACACACACATCGATATATGTATATGTATATATACTGTGCCTATATATATATGGTAAAGACACTTGCTGTCTCTCCTAAACAATTAAAAGCAAGTTTATTTCATGACCCCCACCAACCTTAGACTGCAGCCTGGCAGCCTCATGCCTGCCAAGGCCTCCAACTGCAGTGTTTGTTGGCAACACCTTTGTCACTGCCTAAACAAGGCATCAATAATTAAATTCCCATTTATAAAAAGAGGAAATTATTCATGCCATCAGCACTCCCCATCAATAACAGGAGGAAACCTAACTATCTCATTACCCCATCACACTGTGTGCAAACAGAACTGCCCGTTGTTGACAATAAATATTTGATAAGTGAGGAAACAGGAAGGATAAACCAAGGGTGCAGAGTGGAGCTGCACAGTTGCCAGGAGACTTGGCCTCGGTGACTGTGGTTTACCTCCCAGGTCATCCTGGAGATGCCTCCTGGATTAGCTGCAAACTGACCACAGCTGAATGAAAAGCAGGCCATGTGCCTGCTTCTGAATCACACAGCCTTTCTATCTTTATTCATGTCTAAAAATATAACAAATCTTGGTTCTCACTTTTCTTCCTTTGCTTTCTCAATACACTCCTAGAGAACTTTCTCAATCAAAGTTTTAAAATACGCTATTGTATTTGAAATATTCTACTATGCCTCAACATCCCAACTGGAAGTTTAGTGAAAAATGGACTGACCAAGTGGGTGGGCACTCAGGATTCAAGCTCAGCTTTCCCGCGGACCTGCTGGGAAGCCACGGGTAAGCTGCTTTATCTCTCTGTGCCTCAGTTTCCTCAAGTTGAAATTGAGATATTTGGAAAAGCTGATTTCTCTTTCAGCTCCTAAAAATAAAATGTTTCTTTTCATGGAAAGCCTTCCCTCATAATAATTTTTTAAAATACAGGAAAATCATAAGTCACCCCAAAGGAAAGATGCAGTGTAATTTTCAGTTTGGTACTAGCTTTGCTGCTGACCTTGGATAAATCATTAACCCCAGCCCCTACGTTTCTCCACTCTGTTGCATAGAGATAATGCCGATTATTTTCTTTTGCAAGGTTATTCTCTATTTCTACCCCTATCTATTTTCCACCCTACTCAGTCCTCCTTGGTATCTTTGGAAGCAGACACCATCACCCATGCTCCCCTCCTTTCTAACTTCCTGTTGGACTGGGCCAGTGGAAGTCTCCACCAAGAGACTGGAAGGCAAGAGTTGAGAGATGCTAGGATATTTCTTCGCCACTCCATCCCTGTTTCTGCAACCCTTCTGGGACAGCAGTCCTGTCTTTCCCTAACTAAAGCTCCCACCAGATGGTCCCTTGCCACAGCTCCTGTTCTCACTGGGCTCTGGAAACCTATTTCCTCCCCTTTCCCCCTCACCCCCAGGCATAGGAACAGCTTCCACAGTGGCCAGCCTCTGGTTTCTTTGTCTCTGCTCACATCTCTGTAAGTATGTGTTTCAGTAAAGCCCCCTATTCAAGCTACCAAAGCTCAGTTCCATTTAAAGACAAAACTCTGAGTGATACCCATAGTAAATATTAAGAATAATCCATCTAAAATACTTCTGGTGATGTATTAGTTCCTTAAGGCTGCCATAATAAAGCACAACAGACTGAATGGTGAAAGCAACAGAAATGTATTTTCTCATGGTTCTGGAGGCTGGAAGTCCAAGGTCAAGGTGTTGACAGGGTTGTTTCTTCTGAGGCCTCTATATTAGTCTGTCCTCACCCTGCTATAAGGACATACAAGAGACTGGGTAATTTATAAAGGAAAGAGATTTAATGGACTCACAGTTCCACATGGCTGGCGAGGCCACAATCATGGTGGAAGGTGAAGGAGGAGCAAAGGCATATCTTACATTGTGGCAGACAAGAGCGTGTGTGCAGGGGAACTGCCCTTTATCAAACCATCAGGTCTCATGAGACTTATTCACTATCACGAGAACAGCACAGGAAAACCTGCCCTCATGATTCAATTACCTCCCACCAGGTCCCTCCTACCACACTTAGGGATTGTGGGAGCTACAATTCAAGATGAGATTTGGGTGGGGGCACAGCCAAACCATATCAGCCTCTTTCCTTGGCTTGTAGATGGTCACCCTCTCCCTGTGTCTTCACATCATTTTTCTTCTGTTGTGTCTGTGTCCTAACCTCCTCTTCTTATAAGAACATCAGTCAGATTGGATTAGGATCCACCCCACTGACCTAATTTTAACTTAATCACCCTTTAAAGACCCTTAACATTCTGAGGAACTGGGAGTTAGGACTTCAATGTATTAATTTGGCAGGGATAAAATTCAGCACAAAAGGTACTTTCAATATAATTTCAGCAGGGACTTTCAACATAATAAGGCCACAAGTTTTTAAGAATGAAACCTGGCAGTATTTCTCACATATCCTTCAAGAGAGGTCTCCCAGATCATAAACCTAAACCACAACTAATAGCCATGCTATTCACGGGGTATGTGGTACCAGACATAAGCTCCAACCAAACAATGGTGACAATGTAGTACTGACTTTACCCACCTCAACCAGAGGAATCTGTGACCAGAATGGGAGCATGCCAGGCGGGAAAACATTAATTGGGAGGCAGAAGATGGGAGGTTCTGGCTGAGTGGCCTTGACTATCACTCAACATTTCAGAACCTCCATTTCTGCATTCATAAAATAATAATATCAACCACCTCATGAGGTTATTAAAAGAATCAAAGGAGACAGTAGATGTAAAAGTCCTTTGCAAACTTAAAATACTGTCCTGTAGAAATAATACACTTGTCCTAAGTTCAATTGTTATGTTTTCTGTTTTTTAGAGTATGAAGAGTTGAAAGACAATAAGCCCTTTGAAATCAGGAAACTTTTGTCATACGCTATTTTTATTCCTTCCACAGCTCCTAGCTGAGCACACAGTGGGTTTTCAATATATATTCATTGAAGTAAGTTTTCATCAGTGCAGTGCTTATCTATCTTCTTTTAATTAAAAACAAAAACATTGAGCAAACGCACCCAGTTCTAGAAGATGAAACTAGATATATCTATTAGTTTGCCCATTAAGTCAAGTTTATGAGAACTTCTCCACATTTTTGCCTATGTCTTTTAGTAATCAAAACACACCAAGACATTTAGGATGCATTCTGAAAATCATTTATCAATATTATTTCCAGGGGCCATTATGTATGGTCCATGATCCTTGTCTGAAGATGGGAGAACTTCTTCAGTTTCCTGATACAGTAGTCTCCCTTTATCCATGCGGCATATGTTCCAAGATCCCCAAGAGATGTCTGAAACCTCACATAATACTGAACCCCATATATTCTATGTTATGTTTTTACTTATACATACATACCTATGATAAAGCTTAATTTATAAATTAGGCACAGTAAGAAATTAACAATAACTAGTAATAAAATAGAATAATTATAACAATGTACTGTAATAAAAGTTATGTGAATGTGGTCTCTTTCTCTCTAAATATCTTATAGTACTGTACTCACGCTTCTTCCTGTGATGATGTGAGGTGATAAAATGCCTACATGATGACATGAAGTAAGGTGAATGACATAGGCATTGTGAGGTAGGGTTTAAAACTTATGAATTGTTTATTTCTGAAATTTTCCATTTAATACCTTCAGATCAAGGTTGACCTCAGGTAACTGAAAGCAACAAAAACAAAACTGCAGAGAAGAGGGACTACTGTAATTAGATGGAACTCTCAATGTAATTGGAGTTTGACCCGATAACAGCTCCATCCTCTAATCAACATATCATGGGTTCATGCCTACTCTGAAATTTTACTTTAAGGAAGACTGCGTTTTGCATCATTTTTACATTATACTAAGTGACTACTGAATGCTGGAATCCTAATTCTTCTTCAAATGCTTGAATAATAAAAAGTGTTATAAGAAATACCAAGGAAGTCTAACTAGAAGTAGAAATTATTGGATAATGAATAATGGGAATTATAAATTGGGATTTTTTTACTTAAGAAATACTTTCTTGAGTCTTTTGATCTTCACTTGATCTCTTTTTACAAATCCCTTAATTTCAATTCAATGTCACTCACCCAGAGCATTATAGTAGATAGTCTTTCCTTGAGTTAGGGCTGGTTTCTTTATAAATTACCCAGCCTCAGGTATTCCTTTATGGCAAGTTTGCCCAACCCATGGCCCATGGGCCTCATGTGGCCCAGGACAGCTTTGAATGAGGCCCAACACAAATTTGTAAACTTTCTTAAAACATTATGAGTTTTTTTTGTGAATTTTTTTGTGGCTCATTGGCTATCATTAGTATTAGTGTATTTTATGTGTGGCCCAAGACAATTATTCTTCTTCTAGTGTGGCCCAGGGAAGCCAAAAGTTTGGAAACCCCTGCTTTATGGGGACATAAAAAGGCCTAACACAATAAGAGACATATTCTATAAAAGGGATGGATTGGTCTGGCTCTTTCCAGCTCTCACATTCAATGCTCCTGTGAGGCCATCAGACCCTCCAAGCCCTTAGGCTACATACATTCTAAAACAGGAAGGAACCTGAAAGACCATATTTTCTTTTTTTTTTTTCTTTTTTTTTTTTTATTATACTTTAAGTTTTAGGGTACATGTGCACATTGTGCAGGTTAGTTACATATGTATACATGTGCCATGCTGGTGCGCTGCACCCACTAACTTGTCATCTAGCATTAGGTATATCTCCCAATGCTATCCCTCCCCCCTCCCCCCACCCCACCACAGTCCCCACAGTGTGGTATTCCCCTTCATGTGTCCAGGTGATCTCATTGTTCAATTCCCACCTATGAGTGAGAATATACGGTGTTTGGTTTTTTGTTCTTGCGATAGTTTACTGAGAATGATGATTTCCAATTTCATCCATGTCCCTACAAAGGATATGAACTCATCATTTTTTATGGCTGCATAGTATTCCATGGTGTATATGTGCCACATTTTCTTAATCCAGTCTATCATTGTTGGACATTTGGGTTGGTTCCAAGTCTTTGCTATCGTGAATAATGCCGCAATAAACATACGTGTGCATGTGTCTTTATAGCAGCATGATTTATAATCCTTTGGGTATATACCCAGTAATGGGATGGCTGGGTCAAATGGTATCTCTAGTTCTAGATCCCTGAGGAATCGCCACACTGACTTCCACAATGGTTGAACTAGTTTACAGTCCCACCAACAGTGTAAAAGTGTTCCTATTTCTCCACATCCTCTCCAGCACCTGTTGTTTCCTGACTTTTTAATGATTGCCATTCTAACTGGTGTGAGATGATATCTCATATTTTCTATTCCACATATTTTGTGATGAAGAGACTCAGAGAGATTAGCTTTGGCTGGATTTCTCATAAGGGACTATGTGTCAGGCATGGGCCTGGAGTGAGAACAACACCCCTGAGTATGGCCAGGCCTCTCCTCACTACATGCCCAGCCCATGTTGTCACCCATCTCATTATTTTACCCATGAGTTCCTTAACCCAGGATTCTAAAAATTAACTCATGCATGGCTAGATTTAAAAAAGTGATCTGAAAGACCAAAATGCAAGTTTTCTGAGGGCCCAAATCTTGTCTTTTTTTTTTCTTGTTAGTTGGATATATTTCTCAACCTCACCTTAACCTTTTTCTGTTTCTCCCAGAAAATCTAGCACTTTGCCTCACACAAAGCAGGTCTTAAAAAAAATAATAATAATGTTGTTTAAAAATGTTGGCTTCACTCAATTTGCAATGATATATTTATCATCATTCTTTCCTCACCCTTAGCATGATTTGACATATGGGTATAGGGAAAGATCACGGAAGAAATAGCTCACCATAAGAAATCTGAATTCCTGGTTATTTCAGAACTCCTATCATATTTTTATGCCCACATGTCTAAAAATAGAAATTAGCTTCCTGAGGGGCCACTGCATCACTGTACCATGATATTCCTCAATGTTCCACAAATGTGCACCACCAGTTGCCCACTTTGGAAACTATATCCACTAGCACATGTCTTAGTCCATTTGGGCTACTTTAACAAATACCATAAACTGGGTGGCTTATAAAACTAGAAATTTATTTCTCAGTTCTAGGGGATGGAAAGTCCAAGGTCAGGGTGCCAGCAGATTCTTGAGGGCCCACTCTCCAGTTTATAGATAGCACCTTCTAGCTGTCTCTTCACATGGTAGAAGGGGAGAACTGTTGATCTCCCCAGGACCTTACAAGGTTACTAATCCTGTTCATGGCAGCTCCACCTGCTCTCATGACCTAACTGCCTCCCAAAGGCCTCACCTTCTAATACTATTACATTGAGAATTAGGTTTCAACATATGAATTCTGGGGAGACACAAACATTCAATCCACAGCAGTACACATAAAATTACTTTGTCAAATCAAAAGGCGGTTTTGGCCACAAATTAAATGCAAACTTGGAATGGCTGCCAAATCCTATTTATCAATGTAACAAATAATATTTACCAATTGCTTCATTTCCCTAAATTGTTTTCCATCCTTAGGATATGTAGCTTGCATCTTAATTTAGCACTAATTTCTCCACACTAGAAACTTCTCCTGCGTGTTTTACCTTATTCCTGCTTCGACAAAAGTAAACACTGATTTGGACTCCTCTGGCAACTTGCTAATACAACAGATTAGTGCATTCTGCCTTAGGCAAAGTCTTTCCTTCTGCCTTTTAGGGATTGTGCAGCCATCAGATGTAATTTTGATGCTTGATATTTTAGCAGTCATGCATGGGACTTCTTTAGGCAAGCGAGACTGAAATATCTCTCTGACAACATGTTGGAATATGTCCCAGTCAAGGACACAAACACAGTTGCCTCTAAGACCAGGAATGCTGAAAGGGATGGTATAGTGGAAGAAGAATGAGAGAGAATCAACTCAGAATTTAGTTCTAAATCTGGGATATGATTATCATCTATGAATCATGGCTTGATTTTTTTTTGTCTCCATATGTACCACAACTGAGACATCGAAGACCAGAAACCTAGAAAACATGTGAGATAAGTAAAGATGACAATAAGACCTTAAAGCCAAATTAACACCTCCTTCATACAGACAATAAATATGTGATATGCCTCATGAATAGACAAAAATGCCCTCTCAGGGTGGCCCCAAATTAAGATCTTCAGGTGAGTCACATTAAGGAGACAAAAAATAGGGTACTCCGGTGACAAGGATTCTCTCCCTGACCAAAACTTTAGTCAGCTTCCTCTGAATCCTTTGCTTGATGAGGTCTGACATTGGGTTTCCCTTCCCATCCTTGCAGGATCCAGTTTGAGCAAGAATTCTGATCAGTCAGTTTAGGGAAAATCCCCCCGGGGCTTTCATATCTGACCACCCTGGATATGCTATCACCCTGCCTTCAGTAATAAACCTAGCAAGTCACTTTAGCCAGAAACACTTTATCTTTGAGGTTTTTCCTCTTAGTAATTTTCCATGCGCTGACACCCACCGTGCTGCTTGGTTATAAATCCCCACTTCTTTTTGTTAGAGTTGGAGTTCAGTGCCATCTCTCTCCCTCACTGCAAGACTCCATTGCAGTGGTCCCTGTACCTATGGCCAGGCTCCCCTCCCCCTGGGAATAAAGCCATTCTTATTATCTTTAACAAGTGTCGTGAATAATTTTTTCTTTAACACTGGCTTGGATTGGGGAGGGGGCATGTCAGCAATCAGATTGGTTGTTTTTTCCTCTAATCCAACCTGCTTGTTAATACAGGACAAATCCCCCTCCGGCCCTCATTTATCTTACTCATCAGTTTGATGAGCTCCGGGACTCCCTATCTCACCAATCCATAATCTCTCAGCTCAGTGTTTCCAACATGAGCATGCATCAGAATCCCCTGTAGACTGAAAAACTGACTACTGGGTACTATGTTTACTATTTGGATGACAGGTTTAGTAGAAACCCAAACCTCAGCATCACACAATATATCCCAGTAATAAACCTGTGCATGTACCCAGAATCTAACATTACATTTAAAAAAATCCCCTGTAGAGCTCACTCAGAATCCCCATTCTCAGGAAGTTGGGGTGCTGAGTGCCCCAGCATCTGCATTTTTTTTTTTCTGAGACAGAGTCTTGTTCTGTCACCCAGGTTGGAGTGCAGTGGCCCAGTCGCGGCTCACTTCAAGCTCTGCCTCCAGGTTCATGCCATTCTCCTGCCTCAGCCTCCCGAGTAGCTGAGACTACAGGCACCCACCACCACGCCTGGCTAATTTTTTGTATTTTTAGTAGAGACGAGGTTTCACCGTGTTAGCCAGGATGGTCTCTATCTCCTGACCTCGTGATCTGCCCGCCTCAGCCTCCCAAAGTGCTGAGATTACAGGCATGAGCCACAGCACCCGGCCTGCATCTATATTTTTAATAAGCTTTATAAGTGAATCCAACACTGATGCAGTTCATCTTACATATATAAAAATTGGTGATAACAGATGTTAATGAACTTGTCCCAGGCCACATGGCTAGTGCTAATTAGGTACACAGCTGGGCTCTGCTCTAGTCTCTAGTCTCCTCTTAATCTCCTGGTTGCAGTAATGAGCCTCTGCTTCTAATGGCATTGATAGTCAGTTCACCACCTGACTTTATAGGTCCTTCTTTTTATTATTTTTTATTTGCTTTGTGTGTGTGTGTGTGTGTGTGTGTGTGTGTGTGTGTATGTGTGTGTGTGTGTGTGTGACAGAGCCTTGCTCTGTCACCCAGGCCGGACTACAGTGGTACACTCTCAGCTCACTGCAACCTCTGCCTCCCAGGTTCAAGCAATTCTCCTGTCTCAGCCTCCTGAGTAACTGGGATTACAAATGCCTGCCACCATGCCTGGCTAATTTTTGTATTTTTAGTAGAGACAGGGTTTCGCCATGTTGGCCAGGCTGGTCTCGAACTCCTGACCTTAAGTGATCCTCCCACCTTGGCCTCCCAAAGTGCTGGGATTATAGGCATGAGCCACCGCACCAGGCCAGTCCTTCTTAATACAGTACCTTGCGCTAAACTCTCTCCAGTCACTCTCCTCCTACCTCCCCGACACCCTCTACTTTAGTCAAGCAGCCCTCCATGTTCTGTTCCCCTCACATGTTGTCATCTTCACGTGGAATATCCTCTCTTCTCTACCCAACAAGTTATTTCATCAATTCCTCAACTTTCTGCTCAGTTCCCACCTCTTCCTCAAGCCTATGTGACTGTTGTGCTTTCACTCTTCTCCCTCTTTTGCCCTCTAATTACACTTCTGTCCTTAGTGCACAGCTTGGCCATTAGCTATTTATTCTAATATAGTTGCTGTGATGGTTAATTTTATATGTCAGCTTGACTGGCATATTAGTTCATTTTTGCATTTCGATAAATAAATACCCGAGACTGGGTAAATTATAAAGAAAAGCAGTTTAATTGGCTCATGGTTCCACAGGCTGTCCAGGAGGCATGGCTGGGGAGGCCTCAGGGAGCTTTTATTCATGGCAGAAGGCAAAGCGGAGCAGGCATCTTCACATGGCCAGAGCAGGAAGAAGGGATGGTTGAGGGGAAGGCGCTACACACTTTTAAACAACCCCATCTCAAGAGAACTCTATCATGAGACCAGCACTAGGGGGATGGTGCCAAACGATTAGAAACCACCGCCATGATCCAATCGCCTCCTACCTCCCACCAGGCCTCACCTCCAACATTGGGAATTATCATTTGACATCAGATTTAGGCAGGGACACGATCCGAACCCTATCAACCGGACCGTGGGACACCCAGATCGCTGGCCAAACATTGTTTCTGGATACACCTGTGAGGGTATTTCTGGAAGAGATTAGCATTTGAATCAGTGGACTGAATAAAGCAGATGGCCTTCCCTTGTGTGTGTGGGCCTCATGCAATTCGTAGAAGGCCTGAATAAAACAAAAAGGTGAAGAAGCTTGAATTTACTCTCTGATGTTGAGCTGGGACATTGATCTTCTCCTGCCATTGGTGCTCCTGATTCTCAGGCCCTTAAACCAGGACTGGAATCTACACGATTGACTCTCCAGCTCTGAGGCCCCAAACTACACCACCAAATTTCCTGCATTTCAAGCTTGCAAACAGCAGATCATGGGACTTCTCAGCCTCCGTACATATAGCTTATTAAATCTATATCTATCTATCCTATCGGATAGGTATCCACACATATCTCCATCTGATTGGCTCTATTTCTCCAGAGAACCCTGACTAACATACTTTTGTTTCTTTTTTACTTATATTTTTTCTTTTAATTTTTATATTTCATTTCATATAGTATTATTGTTTCTTTTCATTTGTTTCTTATATTGTTATTGTCTCTTTTCATTTGTTTCTTATATTGTTGCTTTTGTTTCCTATGTTGTTATTGTTTCTTTTGATTATTTTGCCCAACTAGATCATGAGTTCACAAAGTCAGGGCCCATTCTCTGTATTTTTTCAGTATTCCTCATGGCTGCTAGCAAGGTGTTGAACAGGTAGTGGGTAATCAACAGATATCTGCTAGTAGCTTGTGATTATTCTGTTATTATTACATTGCCAATTGACATACGTTTGTCCTATTTGTAAGATGTAAACTCTTTGCCACACAGTGGCTCACACCTGTAATCCCAGCACTTTGGGAGGCTGAGGCAGGCGGATCATGAGGTCAAGAGATCGAGACCATCCTGGCCAACATGGTGAAACCCCGTCTCTACTATAAATACAAAAATTAGATGGGCGTGGCAGCGTGCGCCTGTAGTCCCAGCTACTCGGGAGGCTGAGTCAGAAGAATTGCTTGAACCCGGGAAGTGGAGGTTACAGTGAGCTGAGATCATGCCACTGCACTCTAGCCTGGTGACAGAGTGAGACTCCATCTCAAAAAAAAAAAAAAAAGATGTAACCTCTTTACATGAAGTTTTATTATTATTATTAGCGTATCACAGGCTATGGGGCACTTGGATATTAGCTTGGGAATTACAGGGTGCAGGGCACTTGGCCAAAGCCTATAAACTGCCAGTATTGTGATATATTTTATTTGTCCTCAGAATGATTTTAAAAATTGACCATTATTTCAATATTAGAACATTTCACATAAAATCTTAACTTCAAGCTTCTCCTAGAAAATCATAAAACCTGGGAATCCTCTGCTCACATTCTTGTAGGTCAGAAATGACCCTGGACTAAGTAAAACCAGTTGCCTCCTTTAGGCAGGACTTGTGTAGTCCAATTTGCCATAGTCATCACCCTTCCTATGGTGTCCCCAACTCTGAAAGTGAGTGTCAATAGCCATTCATCATCATGCTTGACTGCTGTTTTACAGCTAGTAGGAAAACAGCTGCTGGGACTATTGTTCTACCAAAGGAGAAAAATCAAAAGATATACCAAAAAGACTGCTCAGTAAAAACAATTAGAATAATGCCTTTGTAAAGGCAAGGAATATGCTTGTATGTTTGACATGCAAACAAAGCAAGTCAGTCTTTTTTTTTTCTTATGTCCTGCCTGCCTCAGTCACTCATCTTGGGTGTCATGTGCACTGACATCTGTAACCACTGATATAGGCCCTACGTGAATGACTGGCCTAGCTATCGTGTATTGACCAGATAGGCTAAGTTATGTTGCCATAAGAAGCCCAATAATAACAAATGTTATCTCTTATTTATCCAACATATCCTAAGAGTCAGCTGGGGGCTGACTGAGGTCTCTTCTCTCTTGCTGATAGAACAATAATCATCCCGAATATTGCCAGTCACATAAACAGAACAAAGCTCTGAAGAGTTCACACATAGGCAACTAAATGCTCCAATATGAAAATGATACATAATATTTCTACTCATAACTCCTTGGTCAAAATTAGTAAAGTGGCCCTAACTCAACCACAAGGAAACACAGCCCACTTTCTGCCTAAGGACAAAGGGCTGGAAATAAGTGATGAGCAGCACTGATGGACAACCCATAAAGCCAGCAATAACCTGACCTTAAGAAGACTAACCCTGCCCTTGGAGCATGACGACCAACCATTGGTGGTCACTTGCTGATGTGTGGCTTTGCTGGATGGCCAGAGTCCAACAGAGCTGTCATTCATTCAAAGTGTTTGCACAAAAGAGAGCCCAAAACTTTGTTGCTTATTTTTGAGTATTTCTAGAGAAGTATAAAGAACTGAATAATTCTTCAGATCTGTGGCTAACCATGAGTCCTATATATCTTAACCATCAATATCATATCAATAAGAATGATACTCTCCTCATGAATTTAAGATACTCTGTTATACCTGGGGCAATGGCAACATGAACTGATAACAAAGGCAAGATTTCCAAGCCACAGGGGTAAGAATTTTATCAAGAACAGTATAATTTGTTCAGGAGAGAAGCAAAATGAGAGGAAATACATGAGCTCACGGTGCAAAAACCATGTCTAATTCAACATTTTATGTGGCATCTTGCATATTAGTGCTTTAAACTTTTAACAACTTTAATAACATCCTTGAACCTTATTCTTCTCTGACAGGCACATCATAAAAGCCACCTTCAAAAGTGATGCCAGACAAACTACACTTGCTGCTTAGTGTTCTTTCTGACAAGTATCTGTATACTACTCGTAATATGTAAAAAATACTCATTTAATTTGCCTTTTCAATATCACAATGAAAAAGAAAACATAATCAAGGAATGAGAACACATCTTTGAAGGCTCTAACAGGGCCTGGCCATTAAGACTATCTATGTGAACACCTCTGCATCCATCTTTGGAAATCAGCAGTCTTGCTGAAATATACTTAGACTACCCAGCTCCTTTTTCACAGTATTGAAAACATACGCATATTTTTTTCTACATGAACTGACATTTCTCCCATAGTCTCCTTGTGTGTGAAGAAACATTTTAATCAGAACTCAATTTATCATATAGAATAATGAATGCTTTAAAAAAAAACACACACACAGATGAAGATACCTTTACAAATAAGCTAGGACTTTCATAAATTGCTACCTGCTGAAAGCACACAATGAGGGCCCTGTCATGAAATCACAGTGAGATAATAACAGTTTAATAAAATTTGGTGACCAATTGAATACATGTATTAAGAATTATGTAATAAGAATGCCTTTTTGTATATTTCCTGCGAGCCACAATTTCAAAAATCGAGTCTATCTTCCCAGCAAGCCAAGCTGGAGGATTCACAGTCCAAGACATCTTGAGGTCTGTATTAAAAGTTCAATCTGGCTGTTTGGTCCCTCTCAGTGCACGGCTCACACAGGCAAGACATCTGAAGGTTCTGAAGTATGGCTTAAGATTAGCATTACTGTCATAAAAGCAAAAAAAAAATCTTTTTAGAATTATTTTTATTTTTTTTTATTTTTTATTTTTGAGACTGAGTCTTGCTCTGTCGCCCAGCCTAGAGTGCAATGGTGCCATCTGGGCTCACTGCAACCTCTACCTCCCGGGTTCAGACGATTCTCTTGCCTCAGCCTCCTGAGTAGCTGGGACTATAGGTGCCTGCCACCACGCCCAGCTAATTTTTATATTTTTAGTAGAGATGGGCTTTCACCATATTGGCCAGGCTGGTCTCGAACTCTTGACTTTGTGATGTGATCTGCCTGCCTTGGCCTCCTAAAGTGCTGGGATTACAGGCATGAGCCACTGTGCCTGGCCTAGAATTCTTTTCAAATTGGAAACCAGATGTATATTCCAATATGACTTAAGAAATAAAAACAATGGAACAAACCACAGATGGCTACTTTAGGACCATGAAAACCTCAACTTTTAATATCACGAACAGATACTTTTCAAAATCACACACACACAACAACAACAACAACACAGAGATGCAAATCCCAGAACGTGCAGAATATTCTAGGATCACTCTAAGATCTTAAAGGACCTGATATTCCATTCCGATGGCCCCATTCTGCCATCACTTAGCCACATCAGGTTTCCAGAGAGCTTCAGCTTGTGATATCCCAAACCAGTGTAACAGTCCCAGAAGATTCCAAAGGATGATACAGACAGAGAGGTTTTTAAGCTCAATGATTTGGAACCGTCATGACATGTGGGGCCCCAGGAGTAAGTCTAGCAGGGAGAAGGTGGGGAATAAAGGAAGCCTGTGAGGCATTGGAGTGTCCCCTGGTACAAAAAGTTGATGCCCAATTAGATTTAGAAAAAGTGACAAAGAGTTGATGCCCAATTAGGTTTAGAAAAAGCTCTTCTCTGTAAACCTCAATTACCTGTGATGCCTTATGACATTCAGCATTTACAAAGTATAATTACACAATAGTGTCTGACATTTAACGTCTATGGATAATTTAAAAGACTTCTACTTCAAAAAGGCTGCTCATGAGCAACAGTAATCACTTCAATTAGCTTGGCACCATTACAATGTAACAAGACCATTTGACTGCCTATTAGAACCAGCCAAGCTCCTCAACTGTGTTAATTTAGCAGTCATTGCTAATTTCTGGGCTTTGCTACATTTGCATAGGAAAACACAGCCCTCTAAGCAAGAGAGGAAGTTTCATTCCTGAACTGGCTTTCTATTCTTAGAGGGGCTTTTTATATTTTCACATAAAAATCAGAAACACATTCAAAATGTAAGCATTTTTTAAGTAGTATTGGGTAAGATAAGACCCTGAACCAAATTGAAGCAACATGCTTGTTATCTTAGTTTTATGTCATATATACATATGCGTATGTGTGTATGCATGGACACACATTTATAAATACACATAAGTATATGATATATAAACATATATATAGGAAATTCTATAATAGCCAACATGCAACATACATTGGATAATAACCAACATATTTATAATATCCAATCTGTTTTTTAAAATGTATATTATCTAACATATAATATATACATTACAATATATTTAAAGTCAACTCGGCAAAATTGTGATTGGAAAAAATCGTAGGCTTTGTCCTGCAAAAAAATTTTTCAATGATAAGTCAATCCACTAGTACTGGAGCTATGGATACATAGTCTCCTCTATTATTTTTATTTTTGTTATTGTTATGCTTACTATTGGCACTACCTTGCATAAATTAGGCTTTATAAAAATAATATTCTTATACATGATGTAATTTGCTTCTCACCATAAAGAATCTATTTTATAGAAGAGGAAATTTATGCTCTGAGTTGGAGTATACAAAGTGACCCACACACCCAAACCTAGAGATTACAGCATGCGCCTTTTAGCGTCAACTTCAATAAAAAAGTATTCAACATATTCCATAGCTGAGCACTGCTAAGTACTAAATGCTTACGAACAGAAATTCTCATAAAATAACTTGAAATACTGTGGACTCCTGACGCAGTGCTCTTTTGGCAAGATGCAATAACCTTTTCCTAATTGGGGTCCTCCTGACTTGCCACGGTGTGAATATGGTTTGTTTGTCCCCACCAAAACTTGAAACTTGATCCCCAAAACTCCATACCATTTAGTAGTCACTCCCATTACCCTCTCCCCAAGGCCCTGACAACCACTAATCTTTATTCTATTATTTGCCCCTTCTGGACATTTCATATGAATGGAATCCTATAGTATGTGGTCTTTTCTGCCTTGCGTCCATCATGTAGCATATTTTCAGGGTTCAACTGTGCTGTACCATGTGTAAGTACTTTCTTCATTTTTATAACTGAATATTATTTTACAGTATGGTATATCACATTTTGTTTACCCATTTATCGGTTGATGGACATTTGAGATTTAGGTTGTACTTACTTTTTGGCTATTATGAATAATTCTGCTATTGTGTGAACGTATGTTTTCATCTTTGATGAGCATTACCTTGGAGTGGATTTGTTGGGTAACACGGTAACTCCATTTTTAACTATTTGAGGAAGTGTCAAACTGTTTTTCAAATTACACCATTTTACATTCTTAACAGCAACGTATGAAGGTTCCAGCTTCTCCACACCCTTGCCCATGCTTGTTATTGTCCATCTTTTGTATTATGGCATCCTACTGGGTATAAAGTAGTGTCTCACTGTGATTTTGATTTGTACTTCCTTATTGCCTAATGATGTTGAACATTATTGATGATTATTGATCATTTGTGTATCTTCTTTGAAGTGTGAACCCCGAAAATCTGAGACGGGTCTCAGTTAATTTAGAAAGTTTATTTTGCCAAGGTTGAGGATGTGTGCCCACAACACAGCCTCAGGAGGTCCTGACTACACGTGCCCAAGGTGCTCAGAGCACAGATTGGTTTTATACATTCCAGTGAGACATGAGACATCAATCAAATATGCAAGATGAACATTGATTTGGTCTGGAAAGGCAAGACACCTTGAAGCAAAGACAGGAAGACTCAAAGCGGGGAGGGGGCTTCCAGGTCATAGGTAGATAACAGACAAATGGTTGCATTCTTTTGAGTTTTTTGATTAGCCTCTCCAAATGAGGCAATCAGATATGTATTTATCTCAGTGAGCAGAGGAGTGCCTGAATAGAATGGGAGTCAGGTTGGTCCTAAGCTGTTCCCAGCTTGACTTTTCCCTTTAGCTTAGCGATTTGGGGGCCTCAAGATTTATTTTCCTTTCACAGAAGAAATCTTTAATTAAAATTTTTGACGCTTTTTTTCCTTTTCTTTTTTTTTTCTTAGAGATGGGGTCTTGCTCTGTTGCCCAGGCTGGAGTGCAATGGTGAGATCACAGCTCTCTGCAGTGTCAGCCTCCCAGGCTCAAGCAATCCTCTCACCTCAGCCTGCCAAGTAACTGGGACTACAGTGCTGCACACTACTATGCCTGGCTAAATTTTTGTTTAATTTTTTTGTAGAGGTGGGGTCTCACTACGTTTTCTAGCCTGGTCTTGAATTCCCGGCCTCAAGAAATCCTCTCACCTTGACCTCCCAAAGTGCTGGGATTACAGGTATAAGCCACCATGCCCAACCCTTTTGCCCATTTTTGATTAGGTTGTCTTCATATTATTTAGTCGTAAGAATTCTTTAAATATTCTTGATACTACCTCTTTATAATATTTATAATTTGCAAATATTTTCTCCCATTATGTTAACTGTCATTTCACTCTTTTAATAATGCTCTTTAAAACAAATACGTTTTTAATTTTTATGAAATCTTATGTATTATTCTTCACTAATTGTTTCGATTTATGTATCATATCTAGGAAACCATTGCCTGATCCAAGGTAATTGTATGATCAAAGGTCATGATGAGTTATAGTTATGTATTATCCTAAGAACTTTATAGTTTTAGCTCTTACATTTAAGTTTTTGATCTATTTTGAGTTAATTTTTATATATGGTATGAGTTAGGGGTCCAACTTCATTTTTTTTTTACATATGGACCTCTACTATCCCAGTAACATGTTGCAAAGACTATTCTTTCCCCCAACTAAATTGTCCTGGTACTCTTGTAGAAAATCATTTGTCCATAAATACATGGGTTTATTTCTGGATGCTGAATTTTATTTCATTAATCTACATGCCTATCATTATGCTAGTATGATACAGTCTTAAGTATAAGGCTTTGTAGTAACTTTTGAAATTTGGTAGTGTAAGTCCTCCAATCATTTTGAAGATTGTTTTGGCTCTTCAGGCCCCTTGAATTTCCAAATGGATGTCAAAATCAACTTGTCAATTCAAAAAAAATTATGCTGCAATTTTGAAAGAGATTCTCTTTGTCTGTCAATGTTGGATTAGTGTCAATGACCATATTAAGTGTTCCAATCTATGAACACAGGATGCCTTTCCATCAATTTGAAGATTTCTAAAACTTTCTTTCAACACTGTTTTTAGTTTTCAGTATACAAGTTTCACACTTCTTTTGTCAAACTTATTTCTAAATACTTTATTCTTTTGTGCTTTTTAAATAAAATTGTTTTATTTGCTTTTTGGATTACTCATGAATATACAAAAATACAATTAATTTTTGTATGTTGATACTTCATTCTGCAATCTTATAACTCATTTTTATAGCTTTAAAATTTTTTGTGAATTTCTTAGAATTCTCTACAAAAAAAAAAAAATCACATCATCTGTGAATAGAGTTTTATTTCTTTCTTCCCAATCTTGATGTCTTTTATTTTTTATTTCCTTACCCAACTCTCCTGGCTAACACCTCCAGTCAAATTTTGAGTAGAAGTGGCAAGAGACACTTTTTTTTTCAATTACTTTCCTAGTAGTTCCACTGGAGAGTACAATTAACATCTGAATTTATAATAATCTAGTTTAAATTAATATGAACTTAGTTTTAATAGTATACAAAAAACTTGATTCTATATAGCTGTATCATCTTTTCTTTGTGGTGTTATTGTCACACAAATGGCATCTTTATACATTGCACATATTTTCAAAATGCAGATTTATAATTATTACTCTATGCAGTTTCCCATAAATCACATGGGAGAAAAAGCTTACAAATAAAATATATATTTATCTGTCTTTTATATTCCAACATACCAATGCTTTCCATTTATTCATGCAGATCCAAGTTACTAATATCCTTTAATTTTAGCCTGAAGGACTTCCTTTACTATATCTTACACAAGAGATTTGCTAGTGACACATTCTTTCAGTTTTTGTTTATCTGACAGTCTTAATTTTTCCTTCATCTTTAAAGTTAGTTTTGCTGGACATACACTCTTGATTGACAGTTGTTTTCATTCAGTACTTTGAATATGTCATCCCATTGCCTCTGGCTTCCATGGATCCTGATGAGAAATTGGCTGTTAATCTATTAGGCATCATTTGCAATGCAGCTTCTACTTTGCTGCTTTAAAGATTTTCTGTTTGTTTTGGCTATCAGCAGTTTAATTATTTTATTTCTAGAAGTGGCTCTTTTTTAGTTTATCCTATATGATGTCATTGATATTCTTGGATCTATAGATTAGTGGTTTTTATCACATTTGGGAAGTTTTGGCCATTATTTCTTCAAGTATTCTTTCTGCTCCTTTATCTTTTTCTCTTTCATGTTTCTGTGTTTGCTCTACCGGTGGTTCTTATATTTTGATGTGTTTTCATGATGGTAGTTTTTGTTCTTTCTCTTCTGGGTGTAGGACTCCCTTATGCATTTCTCGTAGGATTGTTCAAGTGTTGATGAATTCCCTCAGCTTTTGCTTGTCTTGAAAAGACTTTATTTCTTCTTCGTTTAAGAAGTATAACTTTTCTGGCTATAGTATCCTTGGCCGACACTCTTTTTCTTTCACACTTTGAACCTATCATCCCATTCTCTCCTGGTCTGTAAGGTTTCTGCTGAGAAATCTGCTGTTAGTCGGGAGGGAGGTTTTTATAAGTGACTAGATGACTTTCTCTTGCTGGTTTTAGAGTTTTTCCATTGTCTTTGACTTTTGACAGTTTGACTGCCATGTGCTGTGGAGAAGACATTGAATTGTATCTATTTGGTTTTCTTTGCGCCTCCTGAATCTAGATATCTAAATTTCTTGGTGAACTTGAGAAGTCTTCATCTACTATTCTGTTAAATATGTTTTCTCTTTCATTTTCTCTTTGCCTTCTAAGACATCAAAAATTTGAATATTTGATTGCTTTATGGTGTCCCATATGTCATAAGGCTTTTTCATTCTTTTTTATTTTTGTCTGACTGGGTTATTTCAAAAGACTTGTCTTCAAGTTTTGAGAGTCTTTCTTCTGCCTGCTATATTCTACTGTTAAAGCTTTTGAAGGTATTTTGTATTTCATTCAACAGATTCTTCAGATTTTCTGTTTGGTTCTCTTTTGTAATATCTATTTCTTTGATAAATTTCTCATTCATATCCTGATTTGTTCTTCTAATTTCTTTGTATTGCTTTTCGATATCCTCTTATCTCATTGAGCTTATTTAGTGTCAAACTAAATTCTTTTTCTGTAATTTTTAAAAATTCTTTCTGATTTGGATCTCTTATTAGAGAATCCTTGTGTTCCTTGTCAACTAAGTGTGCCTGTCCCTGGGCCCTCGGGCAGTGTATACTGGCAACAGTGTTAGCAGGTTCAGGTAGGCTGATTCTTGGGCCTCCAGGAGACTTGCTTGCATGCTGGGAATGGCAGCAATTGGCCAGGCAGGTAGTTGAGCTCTCAATCTCCTGGGCAGTAGGTGTGGCATAAGCAATGGAAGTAACAATGGTGGGAGTAGGACAACCCTCTGGGACCCAAACTGTTTGCACTGGTGTTGGTGATGGCTGCAATGGGCTGGATGGGCCAGTCCCCAGACCCACATGTGGTGCATGCACATGGATGCCAGCTGTGGTGGCATCAGTAGGGTGAACGGGCCCAATCTCAGACCCTGGGAGGAATGCTCAAGTGCCAACATTGGTGGACTCAGCTGGGCAAGCTCCAGGCACCCAGACAATGTAGTCAGGTACTGGGAATGTGGAGCAGGTCCAGTGGACCCGCCCTCAGACCCCCCAGAGTTGTGTGGCAGGAGGGGTGGGGTGATCCCCAGGCCACCGGCAGAATGCTCAGGTAGGGCAGTAGCAGGTGCACTTCAGGCCTGACACAGAAGATGACAAGCTTGCTTTTAGTGGGAGCAGCTGTAAGCAGGTAGCTGAGTGGCTCAAGTTTCTCTTACACCTCAGCCCACAGCAGCCAAGAGCAACCGCAGTTGTGGACAGTGGAATTTGTCCTCAGGGCATGTGGAAATACATAGCTGCCTCTCCGTTGGGAGGAGGGCAAGGCGTGTTGCTGCCCATAGCTTCCATTCACTCCCCTCAACAGCAGTGGCTATGGGCAATGGGGATCCAGGAATGTGGAGATATAGAAGCTGTTGAGCCCAAGGGCAGGACAGTCAGGTGGGGCTGGGCTCTCAGAATGGCATCATGATGCATCTTCTTAGGACTAGGGATTTGTGAAACCCAGTGTGAGCTCTCTCTCTCTAGACCAATGCCTTCATGTGGTCTTCAGGCAGCTCCCTATGTTAGTCTTCAGGTCCTCTAGGGCCTAGGGGCTCTCCGGTGACTAAGATTATAGGAGTTTGTGGCAGGAATGTCGACCTCTGGGGGTCTCTCATTTACCCTTTCCCCAAATTAGGGAGCTTCTACAGACTCGCAGCCAATCCTGGCCAAACATGCTACCTCACTTCCCTCTCCTTTGCTTTCAGTGTTGCCCATCATTTCTCTGTTGAATTCCAGTGTCCTTTCTTAGATAATCTATTCAAAGTGTGATTATCTACTTGCTATTTTGGTTCCTCTCTGTGGAAGAGGTGAGTACCAAGTCTGGTCAGTCATCTTGAAGCCATTTTCTCTCAAATTTGCTTTTAAATCATGTGAATTATTTTATACGGTTATTTTGACTTTTCAACTCTAGAATTTCTATTTAGTTTTTTTATACATAATGTATATTTCTTTATTGTCACTCTCTATTTATTAAGACATTATTCTTATGCTTTTTTAGCTTTTTAGACAGTTTCCTTTAGCTCTTTAAACATATTTTAAGTATCTAATTTAAAGTCTTTGTTAAATAAATCCAGTATCTGGGCTTCCTCAAGGACACTTTCTGTTGATTATTTTTTTCATTTGTACAGACTATACTTTCTTATTTATTTGCCTGTCTCTAAATTTTTTTCTGAAAATTTATATTTTAAATTATATAATGTGGTTGTTCTGGATATCTGATTCAACCACTCTCCCCATGGTTTGATTTTGTTTTTTGTTGTTTCTGTTTGGTGACTTGTCATGAACTAATTATGTTAAGTCTGTATTCTCTGTCATGTGTGGCCACTGATATCTCTGATCAATTAACTTATTGGTAAGCTAATTACTGGACAGAGATTTTTTTTTTATACACCTGTAACCAATAAGTCTTCCAGGCTTGGCTGAAAGACTCTTTGTGTTGGAGTGTGCCTTCTTTATGCAGCCAGACAATTGACAACTCTGCCTTAGCCTTCATTTCCTGCCTACACAGAGCCTCAGGGTCATCCAGCAGTGAGAATTTACGGACTTCTCAGGTCTTTACTGATCATGTGTAAATCTCCTGGCATGCACACAGCCTACATCTGTATGTGGACTTATAGATTCCCAGGAATATATCAGAGGATTTCAAAGCCCCTATGGATATCTCACTCTCTAGCCTATTGTTTGCCCCAACTGCTATCTCCACCTCAGGCAGTGTCAAAGTAGAACAACTGCCTCTAAATAGTTTTGATAAATGCCCTTGGAGAAAGATTTTTTTTCACTGGATGAGCTCTGAGTTAAAACAAATAAAAGACGCCTTGCAAGTAGGTCCAGGGACCCACCAGACAAGTCAAATAACAACAATTCCCCAGGAATGAGGCTTTGGAGGAAGTCCAGTCCCATTCTGTCTCTTCTGGTGGTTGTCAGGCTGCTGGTTTTAATCTTGATTGTGGGATACTCTCTTTCAATGCCACCACAGAGCTGAAAAGACGTGAATAGGAATAAGGGAAGTTAAGATGCCATGAAGATCACTGTTCTTACTGAGATTCACCCAATTGTCTTGAATAAATGCTCTCTAGGTTGCTGTAAGCTTTTGGTTAATTTCCAGAGTTCTGAAAGCTAAATATGGCAATTTTTTCTAGGTTTCTCATTGCTTATATGGAGGAGAGAATTTTTGGAAGTTCTTACTCTACCATTTTCACTGAAATCTTTTCAAATATTTTTTTTTCTAACAAAAATCAAAATTCCTCAATTTGATTCAAATCTCTCCTCAAATTGTATCCTAGCCAAACTTACTTTCATCTCCTCACCCTCCTTCAATTACCTGAACTTTTACTTCAACCACGTTGGTTTCCTTCATGCTGCCAGAATATATGATGCCCATTCCTACCTGTGAATCTTTTTATATTTTTACTCTCAGTTGGACTGTTCCTTCCTTCCCCTCTGCCTTCAAAATGCCATCCATCCAGTGAGTCCTGTTGACATCCTCCCTCAGTTTCCCCAAGCACTCCTACCCATAAAGGTGCCATCTCCCTTCTGATGGCACCTAGAACCTCTTGCATTCATGGTCATCAGCTGACTTTACATTGTTTTATATTGCTCCTTTTTCTTGAATCAGATCTTGTTTAATAAACAAGGCTTTAAGATACTTGAGAATTAGTCCATATTTAAATTATAATTACTCCATAGCAGGTGTTCAATAAATTTTAACTGAATTGAATCAGGCAGAAATAGATGGTTTCTTTGAAACTAGTTCATAGTTCTCTTTATGCTTTCACTGTTATACTTGTACTTTGCTAAAGGCTCTTTTTCTTCTGGGCACCAATTAGATGCACTGACATTTCTTCTCAGCAACAGTGGTAGGGAAGACTTTAAAGGAACAGAATTGTCCTGACCGGCTCTTTTCTAAGATGAGCTTCAGAAAATAGTGGCACTAAACAAGACCTTGAAAAATATACGAATAAGAGTGAATATTTCTCAATTCTCCAAGCAGATAAATACGAAAAATGAACAAGCATTTTTGATTGATTTTGCCAACCTGGCATATGGTTTATTTAAACTAGTTCATATTTTTTCTTCTTATTTTCATTATGTGTGCCCAGGGATTTACTAATGATAGAGTAAATTCAAACCAATTCTTTTACTCATCCATTCTAATAATAAGGAGTATGTGTACATGTTTGTGTGTGTGTGCATTTAATGCTCTGTTAAGCACCTACTACATAGCAGTTAAATAAGAGATAATTAGAAATCATTATTAATATCATCAATAATAACAATGAGGAGAAATTCTCATCACTGAGATTCCCTGGGTCTTCACATTCAAATCCCAAGAAGAGTTTGACGTGGAAAAGAGAACAACTATTATAAGGAAATAATAGAATGAGCTCTAGTACTGTAACTGACAATAACAGAATATAATATGTAAAACAATTATTATATTATTATATGTACATTGTAAAAATAATTAATTAAATCTTGGCTGCCAGTGCACCAAGAAAATCAGCTCTCCTGTTGAGTGAAAGAAATAAAACATAATAGACACTTAGGGCCACATATCAACAGTCTCATGAAATAAAACTGCTCTATAATAAACTTATTCAAGTTGCTCTTCATAAGATGTAGAAAGACCAATTCTCTCAAGTTCCTTTTTATTCAATTTTTCAAATTATCCAGTGGTTCAGATTAAATAAAGACACATGTGGCCAGGCACCGTGGCTCACGCCTGTAATCCCAGCACTTTAGGAGGCTGAGGCAGGCAGACCATGAGGTCAAGAGATCATGACCATCCTGGCCAACATGGTGAAACCGCATCTCTACTAAAAATATAAAAATTAGCTGAGCGTGGTGGCATGCACCTGTAGTCCCAGCTACTTGGGAGGCTGAGGCAGGAGAATCGCTTGAACCCAGGAGGTGGAGGTTGCAGTGAGCTGAGATCGCACCACTGCACTCCAGCCTGACAACAGAGTGAGACTCCGTCACGGGAAAAAAAAAAAAAAAAAAAAAAAAAAAAAAAGACACCTGTGATCTTTATCTTTTAAGACTGTATTTTTCTGGTTTTACTGATGATTCAAACAAAACTTAATTTTGATTTGAATTATTAAATAATTCATGAGAGTGTATTTTCCTATGTTGAAGCACCAATACTTCTTCCACTTTGCCTTGCAGTAGCTTCTTCCAGCCTGACTTGGCTCCCCTTTCTGACCTCATGTGCAGCCATTCACTCTGGCACTGATTCCAGATATTTTGGCATTCACGGTCCTGCCTTGGAGCCTTTGAACTTAGTGTTGCCTCTGCCATGAGGGTGCTCCCTCAAGTCCTTGCAAGGTATGTTCGCTTCCCACTTTAGGTCTCTGTTCCAATGTTCCTCTGTCAGTAAGGCCTCCCCTGATGACTTATTACAATAGCAACCAACCCCCGTCAGCACTTTCTATCCCACTTTCCTGATTTAGTGTTTTCCTTAGTAGTCATCACTGACTGAAACACAATGTATCTTAAGTATGTATCTGCTTACTGTATGTTCCATACAACTTGAATGCAAACTATACAAGATTAGGGATTTGGGTCTCTCTTGTTCACTGCCTTATCCCTAACATCTGTATAGTGACTTGCACAGAGTAAGTGCCAAAAAGATAGAGAACTGAATGAGCAAATCACATATCACCAAATGCCTGTATTTCTGTATATGAAGGCATACCCAGTGGTGCTCATTACAAACTAAAATGCCTTTGGGGGCTGGGCAGGTGAAGTAAAAAGGAGAATAAACCAACAGGGAATGGTGAGGCTAGTTGATGAGGGCATGGCAAGACACTTCTCACACAATGTAAAAAAGCTATCTTCAAAGCTAAAATAAGTAAGACAGAATTATGGTGGCCCACAGAGCTACTGGACAAGATGTGTGCCCTCAGGCTAACAGCCAGTTTGTTTGTTTGTTTAAGGCCACCACAGAGACAAAAGCATGGCTTTAAATGCATTTTAACCAGAGCTGGAAACAATCACCTTGAAATGCTGTGAGTCTTGAAAAGCTGCTCCATCTGTGAAATTAGGATTTTTACAATAAATAAATACTCCTCTCACTAGCCCAGCCCTGAGAAAAAGCACTGTCCGTTTAGAAGTCTAAACTCTCCTTTGAATAAAGTAAAACAAAAACTTTTTATTCAAAATATATGGGAAAGTTTATATCCATAGATGTCTTCTGAGAGAAGTATGAAAGGATGCACATGAGTAAGAAGAAAACTGAAACTAAACATTTAGAGTGGGATGTGAGAAGCAATGATGAACAAGGAAATGGTAAAGAAGTTAGGAAAAAAGTATGAATTTAGGTTAACTATTAATAATATTGACTAATTCAAGGAGTTTCCTTTTTCATTGATATAAAATGGTTACACATATCTTTAGGGTATATATGATATTTTGGTACCTGTATACAGTGTGTAATAATCAAATCATGGTAATTGGGATATCCATCACATCAAATATTCACCTTTTCTTTGTGTTGGGAATATTATAATTCTTCTTGCTATTTTAAAATATATAATTAATTATTATTAACTAATTTTCCTAGTGTATTATCAAATATTAGAATTTATTCCTTCTAACTGTATTTTTGTACTCCTTAACCAACTTCCCATGATTCCCTCACCCCTCTTCCATTCTTAGATTCTATTAACCATCATTCTACTCTCTGCCTCCATAAGATCCACTTTTTTAGCCCCAACTTATGACTGAGAGAGAACATGTGATATTTGTCTTTCAGTGCCTGACTTATTTCACTTAATATAATAATCTCCAGGTCCATCTGTGTTGCTGCAAATGACAGAATTGTATTCTTTTTATGGATGAATAATATTCCATTGTGTGTATATTCCACATTTTCTTATCTCTGCGTCCATTGATGGGCACTTAGGTTGATTCTGTATCTTGCCTACTGTGAATTGTGCTACTATAAACATGGGAGTGCAAATATCTCTTGGAAATACTGATTTTCTTTCTTTTGGATTGTCCAGCAGTGGGACTGCTTGGTCGTATGGTAGTTTTATTTTTAGTTTTCTGAGGAACCTAGGAAGTTCCTTTTTAAATAAAGTAAAACTAGATATAAATAATATCAAATAATACAGGGAAAATACTGGAATTAAATTATTCTAAGGGCCTATAGTTTTCAAAGGAAAAATAGAGACACTGATGAATTTTGAGCTTCATTAAGTCAAGTATGTATAGAAGAATTTTTTCATCAGAAGAATGAAATGGTACATATAACTCCCAAATAGCAAATAATCTAAATTTGATTAATACAACCTAAGGGAGGAAAAAATTTAAAAATAAACAAAGCAAACGTATTTTAAATAGAGAACACAAAATAGAATGGTAGAATATATCAAAATTCTATCAGTATTTGCAATAAAAGTAAACAGAATAAACTCACCAATTCACAGAAAGTGATGCTGAGACTAGATTTTTTAAAAATCCTTACGTTGAATATATTCAATGTAAGTCATTACCTTGGGTAGGGAGGGAAGAGACTATTGATAGGAAAAAGCATATGGGAATGTTCTGAAGTGATGAAAATTTCTCATCTTCATCTAAGTGGTGGTTAGATGGATATATCCACATATAAAATTCAGAAGGCTTTACATTGAGATTTGCACATTTTACTATGTATACATTTTTAAAATAAATGATGTTATTGTTTCTGTGTAGTATTACATATATATACATATATGTATATATCTACACATACTGTGTGTGTATATATATATATGCACACATATATCATATATTTTAAAAGTTTCAAAGGAATTGAAACAATATAAAATGGATATTGAGTTGCCTGTTTCTTGTGAGATATCCTGAAAACCACACACCAAAAACACTTTAAAACGCTAAAAAGAAATTTAAACAGGAAAGACATGTTTTATATAAATTAAATATTTATGAATCTCAACATAACTAATTCCTCTAAGTATTTTAGAGAAAATACACTTTTGTCGATCTCCCTTGTACAATTTTTTTTTTTACCTCCAGCAGGTGGAAGCTGAAGAGATATATGCAAAAATAATCACTGAGAAGTGGTACAAAGCTGTTAGTGGAATTTAAAGTATGTGTTGTGGGAGAGCTTGCCTTTGGTAAGGAAGATCAAGGTTTGCTGCAAGGAGAAGGTGGTTTTAGAATCAAGCCATAAATACGACTGAGGTTATTATATGGGGCAGGTAAAGTGAAGACTAGCCATATGGGGAAGGTAAAGTAAAGACATGCCAAGTAGAGGACCCCTCATGAACAGGATCAAAGAGGGAATGATAGGGGGCGATTGGGACCAAGGGGCTCTGGGTATTGGGCAAGTGACAGTGTTCTAAGCAGAGGGCACTGCAAGAACAGAAGAGCAAAGGTAAGACCTGTTAAAAGAGCAGCCAGGATGGAGAATAGAGAGCAATGAAGAGGAAGGGAGAGCCCCAGAAGGTTTCTAAGCAGGAGAGAAACGTAGAGTCTGCAGCAGGGTGCAGTGGGTATGGATGGGTGTGGGGAGATTTTCTTGGCAAATTGCCCATAGCTGACCTCAAACCTGGACGCCTTGGTAGCAGTGGGCAGAGCCATCAGGCAAAGCCAACTTTCTCTGTTTAATTCACTTGACAATGTAGAAGAGCAGAAAGAAAACAGGTACTCAATTCTTTTATTTTATTTTTTTGAGACAGGATCTCACTCTCCCACCAAGGTTGGAGTGCAGTGCCACAATCACAGCTCCCGCAGTCTTGACCTCCCAGGTTCAAGTGATGCTCCCACCTCAGCCTACCAAGTAGCTGGCACTATAGACGTGCTATTACACTGGGCTAATTTTTTTCTTTTGTAGAGACAGAATCTCCATATGTTGCCCACAAAGGTCTTGAACTTCTGGGCTCAAGGAATCCTCCCACTTTGGCCTCCCAAAGTGTTGAGATTACAGGCGTGAGCCACCATACCCAACCTCAGTTCTTATAAACTCTTACGTGCCTAAGTGAGCATGTATGAACGTAGGGGTGATCCTCTGAAGCCAGAGATAAAGCAAGAGCAGGCATCTAGCAAGATAAGCTAGCCCTGCAGATCAATCTATCTCAAGGGTGAGCTTAGTCCTGATGCCAGATTCTAGTCTCAAGAATGAGAGCTTTGTTTCTAGAAACTTCACATTTTTGGAGCAGAAGGCATAACCTGAGGGCTATTCCCAGGTATAGAAGTGAACTAGGGCCCCCTTTAGGAAGCTATATCTCCAAAGGGCCACATGCACTAGAAAAGGGTTAGTTACAAATTCCAGCCAGGAATTTGTAACCATGGGCCAGCCCTCACACTTCTTAGGTATCCAAAAGAATCAGAAATTGAGAACTTAAAGCAGACCCAAGGTGAGAGTACCCCTAGGTCCCTGGAAGAAGTACCTATCAAAGCAGCTTCAAGGTTCCAAGTAACATGAACTCACAATGAAGTCTGAAAAACTCACAGTTAAAAAGATGCCGTCAATAAGAGTAAACAGAAACAACAATCAACAAAAGCATATCCAAAAGGCTAGATATTAGAATTGTCAACTATAATTTATATTGAATGTTTAATATGTCCAAAGAAATAAAAGCAAGAATTAAATCACATGATACAGTGTTCTGGGTTAAGAGGGCAGATTGAAGATACATTCAATTTTGCTCCCTTCCAAAAGCCAAATTATACTGCCAAAACCTTAAAAATCTAAGGAACAAGTAGCACCACCTACTTCTGGAACTAGAGGCTGGGAGTCTGGAAGGCTATAAGGAAAAGGACTGTGTGAAACCTGTTTGATAATCATTTAGATTCTAGATCTTCCGCTTCCTCTCCATACCAATGGGTAACTGCTTTTCACTGACCTCGCAAAGGTCCCCAAGCTTATTCACTGCATACAATGAAAGGTCTCTGGACTGGGGTTGAGGTCAGTATGGTTAAGGGCCCAAGTACTGTACCAGATATTTGTAAATTATTTACGATATGATGTAACACTGAGCCCCCTGCCTCCTTCCCAGTATCAATCCCCAGGAAAATTGACAGCCAGACCCTTATCTGGCAGCCAGACAGGGGATTAGGAGATAATTCTTTGGGAACATGACCTACCCACAGGAAAGACCTAAAGAAAATGACATCGGGGGTCCACAGTAAACAATCCACTGGATAACCACTTGTGTGATGCTCAGTCAGTTAAGTTCCATTCCCCACCTGCTTGGAGCCTCTGATTTACTTTTCAGCCCCATCATGAGCAAGCAGCCAAGAATTACCAGGTATCAAAAATAATCTTTAAAATGGAAAAAAAAGGTTAAAATAAATAAACAAAAATAATATAGAGGAAGGTAGACTTTGCAGGGAAAAATAAAGTTTAAAAACTGTCATCAGTATCCTTAAAGAGATAAGAGAACCTATTGAATCCATGAAATGAAAAGATGCTCTAACAAATCAAAAGAAGCACCATCAGAAGGATTTCTAAAACTTCAAATATTGGAGGAAAAAGAGTTAATACCTAATTAGACTGGCCTTACATTGTAATTTTTTCTTGAGGAACTTGGAACTTTTAAATTTACAGATTCTTAAAACTCAAGAGAAAGAGGCTTGTGTCCATTCCATAGATGTGAAGTCTGAAGAAGATCATAAAAATGATTAACTGTGTCCTGATTTGCCTTGGACAGTTCCTGATACATTATATGAACACCCTACTGATGTGGCACCCCAGTGCTAACAGCGATGGTCACTGCAGGCCCTATCCAAGTCATGGCCACTGTCCCTCAATGAGAATTGAAGCTCTCTTCCCTTTAGTATAACTTATAATCATAGGATTTGACTCTTTCATAATGATGCCCTTTATAAGTTATTAACTAAACAATGAAAATGACAGTCTCAAATTATAAAACCCACAAGACAGAGTCACAAACTCAAAACATGTTGTCTCAAAAGAACTAATATTTACCTTAGAAAAATAAATATCGTAGGTTGCCTTTTACTACACACAGGTGAAAGTCACGTGCACTGGAAACCGTGACAATATCACTGCTCTGTTATCACATAGTGCAAATCATGTGCCAATTCTAATAGCTGAGATGTCCTAGAAACACTTTTTGTACAATTCGTCTTCCTTGACCCCATAATGAAAGAAAAAAGAGGACAAGAAGGGAAAAGTGAAGGAGGAGGAGAAAAGCTTTGAAGTTCTCATTTTCTTAATCAGAAGTACTGACTTTAAGTCCCTGCTCAAAATAACCGTAACCAGTAGACATAGAACTTCTTATTGCTCCTAGTTTACAGATAGGAAAGCTGAGATTCAGAGACCTGATGAGTTTCCCAAAATCATATCACTAATATGCTAGAATACAAAAACCCACCACAGATTATTTGATTCTAGATACTGCATTCCAACTACAGTACCTCTTTCCTAAGTTTTAAAAAAAAAAAAGAGAGAGAGAGAATTTGGAAGACCTAGCTACTGCTAAAAGTCACTGGCAAGACTGTTTCAAGTTCTTTCCAGCAATGCTACTAACATCCTTGGATTATGGGTGCTTAGGCAAATCAACAAGAGCTCCATGTAATCAGCTTCTCCAGTCAACAACAATTATAAAAATATTAGCTAACATCTTTTTTTAAACATAAATGGCATGGTACACAAAGAAGTCACTCATACAGTATTTGTCAATTAAATGTTTTCATTAGGTGTTTATAATCCTATTTCAATGTAGCAAGGACAATTTTGGAATTTGGGTGTTGCTCCATTTGGGCTTTCGGATTCGATCTGTTCGGACATAAAAGGCTTTCAGATTTTTCCCATCTCATTCTCCTATCAGAGAGGGCCTGCTCATCCTTCCCCAGGAGGGCAGGACCATTCTGCAAGGAGATTCTTAGCATAACCAATATCCTGGGATATGCACTGCACCTTAGGACAGAGGAGGGAACTTTTCTTGGGCAAGCTCAACAAGTTTCCCCCTATTGTGTCCACGCTGAGTCACTTCCATAATTCTTTCCAGCTCAGCATCTGTTAGAAAGTCAAAACCCTGTTCTTACATGTAATCCCACCAAGACTCATTCAAACACAAATTTAAAAAGTGATTAACTATTACCCTTTGAAGAAGCTGCACAGTGAAACACAACATGAAAAGAGTTCAACTTGGGGCTTCCTTCAGTCAATCAACTAGAAAGGCAGTCATTAGAATTACCAGTCACTATACCAGGTTCTGGGGTCTCCTCTGTAATGGCACAAAATGGTGTTTCTCCCTAGGTGTGCTGCACTGTCATTACTGACTTTACCTCTTCTTGGTTCATTCTGGAACTTTTCTTACCCTCTTTTTTCTGGTAACAGGCATGACCAATCATACTCTATCCTCCATTCCTTCCCCTACATCATCAGCGATTGGTGTGGGATGTGGGTGTGTGATATTAGCATGATCCTCACTGTATAAACAATCTGAAGATAATGAACTGTTTCCATCTAAGTTATTAAACGGGACCATTGTAGCCTGGAGCTCCAGTGACCATCTCTCCTGACCACATGGAGGAAGGTTATCTGCAGAACAGGAAAAGGAGCCAAAACATATATATTGGTGTGCTTGGGCTGCTACAAAAAAATACTAGAGGCTAGATTGCTTAATCAACAGAGATTTATTTCTCATAGTTCTGGAGGCTGGTAAGTCCAATGTCAAGGTGCCAGCAAGGTAGATTTAATTCTGAGGCCTCTTCTCTGGCTTATAGGCAACTGCTGTCTCTCTGAGATCTTACCTGATCTCCTTGTAAGAAAGAAACCTCTCTGGTGTCTCTTCTTATAAGAACACTAATCCTATGGATCAAGGCCCCACCCTTGTGACCTCATTTAACCTTAATTACTTCCTTAGTGACCCCATCCCCAAATACAGTCACCCTAGGGGATAGAGCTTTAGCATATGAATTGGGAGCAGGGAGGACACAAATGTTCAGTCCATAGCAATACATCAAGTCAGATCCTAGCACAGATGAGAGACACCACACAGCTAGGCTTCATGTCCATGGCTCCAGGCCCCATGACCAAATTATTCTGAGTGAATCTTTCACGTTTGTGTGCCACTTTGGTATTTTTCCCAGCCATATGAACAGAATCATTCATTTTATACCCAAGCTATTTTTGGCTTGGTTTCTGCTGGTGACAACTAAAAATTTCCTAATTAATACATTGGATATATTGACAATCAGAATATAAAACCTCCAAACAAGAAATATGAGCACATTGTCTTCATTGAATGAACACCATCTTGCACAAGGGAAAGAATGGGACTGGCCAGGAAAAGCATTACCCAAGACCCATCCTCACTGTTGGTAGCAATCCTTGCTGAAGTTAAAACTCTCAGCATCACTTTCCATATAAGAGACAGAAAAGTTCTCTAGCTTTGCCTTCTTCCAAAGCAACAATTGAGGGAGTCTGATTTAGGAGTCAGAAGCACCCAACTTCAAATCCTGGACCTGCTTCTTACTGTGTGATGTCAGTTAGTTACTCAACACCTCTGAACATCACCCTCCCGAACAATGAAAATAATAGCACTGACCTCACTAGTATGGTGTGAGAAGAAATGAGAGAATATATGTGAAGAGCCCACCCTTGTGACAGGCACATAGAAATCACTCAAAAGAAGCCCGTTCCTCTTTGTGCAGATATACAGATTCCACCAAATCTGACATCAATCATGACGGGGCAGGAACTGCAGCATTTCTGTTTCCCTTACCTGCACCTCAAATCTCCCTGTGGGAAATTGCAGGCCTGCAAATATTCGTGGGGTTCATGAGCAGAGGCCAGACAAGCCTTGGAACAATAGCCTTTTTCATTCTCCTGCTAGAGAGTCCTGGGGCTCCATCCAGAACCTTTCACCCCAGTATCCGTAAGCCAAGTCTAAATTCAATTACTGTGAAGTTAACTAAGCATTAAACAAAAAATCCCAATCTGGAAGTCATCACTGCTAATTAACTGGTTTCCACTCACTGCTGCTGCCTTTCAGCGGTCAGCTGACAAGGAGAGCTGTCAAGAACTTGCCTGCGGGGTGGGCTTGAGCTGCCGTGACTTGATTTGAACTGACAAGGCACAGCAAGCTAATATCAGAGCCCTCTTTAGGCATCCCACGTGACACTGGAGGGGCACTCACAGAGTGAGTAAGGCACTGGATAAACAGACTGGCCCAGACCCAGAACAGAGACAGGTTGGGGAAAGGTGGGGGGTGTCAAAAAGGAAGATGTCCCTGAAACCAAGTGGGGTGCAGAAGTGATTAGTTAGGCTGTGAATGGGCTGCTTTTCAGCATGATAGCCTCATCCTGGTAGATTCATTATTTTGTCTTATAGCAAGAACACCATAAATATTGGATGGATGGATGGATGGATGGATGGATGGATGGATGGATGGATGGATAGATGGGTAGATGGTTGAATGGATACATTTTGGCAATTAATGGGTTCTGAAATTCTCCCAGGTTCTTGTTGTCCCAAGAGAACAAATTCTAGACTGTTACTGCAGAACCTTGCCCTCATCTCTACCCACCTTGCTCAAAAGAACAAACAAGCAAACAATTACCACCCAACAGTTATTCTGTGTTGTTCTGTGGCACATTTCTAGGGCTGCGGGCTGTGGGTTGTACCTGCTCAATTATTTTGTGTCCTCTTCTGTGGGAAGGAAAGAGGTTGAATAAAAACTTTCAGGCCAGAGTGATGATGGTACAAAGCCACCATCATAAACAGGGAGCCGGAAGTGGGTGTCTTCACCTTTTGATTCACCTCTTCCTGTTTTCTTCCCCTTTCAAGCCAAGGGTTAAACAGTTTATTAATTGCTAATGACTAAATGTACTGTGCTAATACATTGTAACAACAGTGACATTTCTAGAATTAGTTTGCAGGTCTGGAGTGATACTCAGTGATAGCCAAAGAGTCTACAGAAGTATATCAAGGGCTGTATTTGAAAGTTGAAGTGAGTCTGGTCTAAAATGAGCTGAAGCAGCACCAGGAAATATCTGTGGAAATAGGAGCTCCACGTATACGAGCTTCTGTTCACTTTGGAGGTGAGGGGCTCAGGCGTCCCCTGCCCAGAGTTGCCCTGCTAACCAGCTCTCCAGTATTTAACAAGCCCAGGTCAGGTTCTGAACAGATGTCCTCAGGGTGAGCATCCTCTGAGAGGCAGGAGAGTATGAATGGCTCCTCAAGTCCTCACATCAGAGCTTCTGCCTTTCTAAAGCTGGGCAGTGGTCCCTATCAACACGATGCCTGCTCTCTAACAATGCCATGAATCTTCTCAAATCAAGGCCCTTCTGTCTCAGAAATTGGCTTGCAGCCCCAGATGTGTGTGTCTTCTGACCCATAACATTTTTTAATTGAATGTTGATGTGTAAATACCCAGAGGCTTTGCCTATGTCTCCAACATTCAACTAGGTACCCAACATCTCTTGAAAACTGAGACATTTGGTTAACACTAGCCCTACAGTCCTCTGGCCACAGCAGCTGCCTCCTGAAGGGGGAGCATGGACTCTCCACATCGCCACAGTCTCCGCCTCTTATTGTCTGATTTTGTACTGGCTTCACCCATTTCTATTTCTTGCCAGACTCTGGCAGGCACCTGAATTTGTGGCTCCAGGCTTATGAATCTCTCTGCACAAAAATCTCTGAGAGCCAAGTTGGAAGTACAGGTTTCCAAGGGAAAAATAAATAAATTACAAGGCTTCTCTGCCACAAGTCTCACTACCATCTCCTTGTCACTCGTGGAGCCATCTTTCCTATCCTATGATATTCACACCTAGCTCAGGGGGCATCTTAGCTCAGGTAGCTATAATAAAATACATAGATTGGGTGGCTTAACAACAAACAGTCATTTCCCACAGTTCTGTAGGCTGAGATGTCCAAGATCAGAGTAATACTATGGCTGGATTCTGGTGAGGGGCTCTCTTCCAGGTTCCAGATAGCTGAGTTCTCATATCCTCACATGATGGGAAAAGAGCAAGATAGCTCTCTGTGGTCCCTTTAATAAGGGCACTCATCTCATTCATGAGGGCTCCATCCTCATGAACAAATCACCTCCCAAAGGCCCCACCTCCTAACACTATCACAATGGGAACCAGAATTTCAATATTTGGATTGGAGGGAGGAGATAATCAATTCGTACCAGTGGGAACTTAGAAAAATTAAATTACATTTATATTCGGGAACTACCCACTGAAGTGCCTACTATATATTACAAATGGATGCTGAATAAATATTAGTTCTCTTGTTTTTCATAGGAAATGGGGCTGGGTCTTCAATACTCTGGGAGTTTTTGTTTGTTGGTTTTTTCAGCTTCCCTCTTGACCCACCAAGAAGAGTGATTGTATATAATTTCTTAAAGCAGTGGCTAGTTCCACTTCACAGTTTACTCCCATTTGTTCTCATTCCTTGGTCTTGAGTTTCTTCCACCTTTCTTATTATGTTTTTCATTTTTCTCTACTGCATTTAGCATCAGACGCTCTCTCTGTTACTGTGCAGATGAAGGGTTATAAACTTAAAGACCTTCAGGGTTCAAATAGGCCATGAAAATGTGTGAAATTCCTGAGCTTAAGATGACAGTATGGCCTATAGTCATCTGGATCAGGCCATAGCCTAAAGTCATTTGCATATGACTTTGGAAGAAAGGAAGGAAGGAAGGAAGGAAATAAGGAAGGAAAGAAGGAAATAAGGAAGGAAGGAAGGAAGGAAAGAAGGCAGGCAGGCAGGCAGGTAGGCTGCCTAGCTGGCTGTTCTGAACAAACTAGTCTGTTGCTGGATTGGACTAGTGGCCACCAGTTTGCAAAGAGTATTTTAGCCATTCCAACATAAAATCTAGGTTTCAATCCAGAGTCTAGACCAGACGATTTCCAAGCTTTTTATTTTTGCATTCGGATTAGTAAATTACATTTAGCCCAAGTCTCATTATATGAACCTATGTTCATTTATAAAGTAAATTCATCTACCACTGTATTAATAAATTTTGAACATTGTAAAACAAATACAAGGACACCAAATGCCACAGACAATCTGATGCATCACTTGGATCCCTCCTTCAGGACCAAAAGGCTTGTTCCCTCAGCTGCTAGAGAAAACCTCCTTGCCCAAGATCAAACCCTATCCCAGTGGCCACTTGCAGGAGTATGAAGTGCTGGTGCCCTCTTAGAACTTGAGGGCTCAGGAGAACTCTGAAAAGCTTTCCCTGCTTCAGAGCTTTCTGTGAGTCAATGGAGGTGTTTACTGTAACTGCACCACAGCCAACATCTCCCTCCTTTCTCCGCCAGTCCTTCCTCTATGCACTCCAATTGCACTCCTCTACAGGTGTTGATCCTGATGATGATTCCTAATAAATTCCTCGCTTATTAAGCTCTATCTCAAAGTCTACTTCCTGGAACTAGATAATTAGAAGTTCTGATATGTCCCCTCTCCCCACAAGGCACTGTCTTACAGACATTTTGGGTTACTCTCATCTCACTCTGGAGAACAATGGTCTAAGCCAGTGCTGCCTGACAGAATGTTCTGGAATGATAGAAATGCCCAAAATGGCAGCCACTAGCCAACACGTGGTTATTGAGCACTTCAATGTGATTAGTTTAAATAAGGAAGTAAACTTTTAAAAATATTTTATTTTAATTTTAATTTAAATAGCCACATGTGACTTGGAATGACAAGTGCAGGAATAAGCTACTTGTATCCCAGATGGGCAGATTTAAAGGGTCCGGAGTTGTTATTACTCTCTTTTTCATTTTGAGAAAGTAAGTGTGCAGTAATGAATATAATATATATGCAGGGAGTCATTTAATTTAATCATTATATGTTGTTAAAAAAAAAAAAAAACCTTCATCCTCATGTCAGATAAAATATTCAGTAGCATCCCAGACTGCTTCTTTGAGCTGGAGACAGTCTTTGTGAGTTAGCCAGGGCAAGTGCTCAAGGGGCAGAGATAAGACCTGCCATCTGCTCTGGTTTGATCAGTTCAGTTCTGATGTAAGTGAACATTCCCCAATCAGTTTTTTCTGCACAAACGCTAAGCTTCCATTTAAGAGATCTGACCAAGAATCTGTCTCCTACCCTGGAAAAATGCTGCTGCTAAACCCCAGCAAAACTGCACAGAAATTTATTCATCAGTGACAGACTAATAATGTGGTAGGTTCCAGGGGTAGAAGGAATCCAAATCCAATTGCCTTATGATCTAAAGCGAGACATACCTAAGCAAGGTGAACCCGGGGAAAACAGTTCCGTTTCCATGAGAGGCACTTCCTCATCTCTCCCTCCACAGCCCTTTTTTCCAGTTTGAAATAATTTCCCAGGCTGTGATTATCAGAAGCAAATGGGAGATGCACTCAGACCTAGGAGACAGCAGATACCACCGTGCCCTGGGAGCTGGTGGAGTGGTTTGAAGTGTTAATGCATTATCTACTCCTCTGGAGAAAGGTTAAAGTTTGGGCTTGAATCACAAGTGAAAATGAGGTTGGTGGCCTGGTTGTCGCCCCTCATAGACATTTATCCACAGTATCGAAGCCTGGCCCAGCTGGTGGTCTCGGCTCATCAAAGCAGCAAGGCAAGAGAAAAGGGGGGTTAGAAGCCCAGAGAGCTTTAGAAGTGGAACACTGGCTCACTTTTGCTTAAAATGACAATTAAGCTATGCATGAGTAAGAATTCCTCTCCTAGGGAGCAAGCGAACCACAAGTTTTGCCCTTTCCTTTTCCAAAATGGCCTTGCCTCTAATGTGCCTGTGCCTCTGTGCATGATGACCCTAGTGTGCAGTGCTCTCTCTTCCTTCTTCCTTGGGCTAACTTGAACTTACTAACCAAAATTCAGCTCCTCCTCATGCTTTCATTCACAAAGAGTTCTTGGGTGCCTTCTATGAGCCAAGGGATACTATGATTACACAAACATTTCTTGGACACAGCTATATAGAGGTCAGACACAGTCCCTGCTCTCAGGGAGATTATAATCTGTCAGGAAAGATAGACGCTAATAAAAGCACTGTGAAGGAGGGCAGTAGGATGCAATGAGAAGATACAAGGAAGACCTGAGCAAGTCCAAGGCTTCACAGAAGCTTGGTTAGGGAAGAAATTGTTAAGCTGATGCTCACCGTGATCCATTTCTCCAACCTGAGGCTCAGTCTACCTCAGTGTTGATCAGTATCCTGTGCAAACCTTCATTGTAACATTTACTGTTGTATCATCATATCTTCTAGTACTGAGATTGTCTATTCCCTTCTCTGCATTGCAGCTGTCTATTTATATATGTGGTCATATGATTGCCCACAAACATCCTATTTCTCCTTCCCTCTGGGCACATTTTAGGATTGGGCGCTCTGTGCTCCCTTGGATGTAGTCTTTTGACTTGCTTAAGCCAATAAAATGCAAGCAGAAATGACACGTGTCTCTTCTGGGCAGAGCTTTGAAAGTAAGTGTGCAATTGGCTGTGGTCCTTTTCCCAGGTGCAGGGGAAAGGTGGCATTACATTGTAGATGAAGCTTCCAAAAGCCTGAGTCCCCGGGTACCTAAGGGACAAAGCCCCATCACTGACTTTTCTTGGATGTAAAGTATGAACATGAAATAAATGTTGGTCATGTTAAGCCACTGAGATTTGGAAGGGTTGTCTATTTTTGTCAATAATAGTCAACCTCGTCTGGTTGACTATTACAATATGTTAGCCCCCCTCAGGATTGGGCACTCCTATAAAATAAGAGGTACTTATATATCTTTGTATCACCAGTGCCTAGCACATGGTACATACTCAGTGAATGTTTGTTGAATTAATGTCAAAGTATACTTAGACTGTTTTTAAAAATCAGCCTAATGGAAACTCAGCTCAGATGTCTTTAAAAACGGTGAAATTGGGCCGGGCACGGTGGCTCACGCCTGTAATCCCAGCACTTTGGGAAGCCGAGGCGGGAGGATCACGAGGTCAGGAGATCCAGACCATCCTGGCTAACACGGTGAAACCCCATCTCTACTAAAAGTACAAAAAAATTAGCCAGGCGTGGTGGTGGGCGTAGTCCCAGCTACTCGGGAGGCTGAGACAGGAGAATGGCGTGAACCCAGGAGGCAGAGCTTGCAGTCAGTGGAGATAGCGCCACCGCACTCCAGCCTGGGCGACAGAGCAAGACTTTGTCTCTAAAAAAGAAAAAAAAAAAAAAAAAAGATGAAATTGTCAGAAACTGGATCACTGCAGACAGCTAAGATAGGAAATGATTGTTGTGGAATCCGTGGAAGCAATGTCATTGAATGTGATCACGTAGCATATGCTATGATACACAATGTTTATGAAAGTAGTTCAGTTATTTGCTCAGAATGCTGACTTGCATTGAATACAGATAAGAGCAAAGTAAAAAAAAAAAAAAAGGTTAATGATGTCCTGGATCACATCCATTATTTTTGTAATTGCATCTCTATCCAACTGACACTAGGGAGAATTAGCTTCATATTCACAAACCAGGGAGAAGGATAAGTAATTAGGAGAAGAACCAATTCCCCAAAGGTTTTAAATTCGGAATCTACTCAATTACTTCCCCCTTGAAAACTATATCCATTATTTGAAAGCACTTTTCAAGTTTCTGAGTCATCCTATTTATAATACTTTATCTTCAATTACTTTTCTCATTGTATCTTTCATGGAATACATTTCCAATTTCCTGCTTAATTCCCTGTCTACACCCATGAGTATCCCAGGCTAGTCACTTAAGGGTTGGAACATATGTGAAGTAATAATGCAATGCAATATTCCCCCAAATATTTAAGGGACAAATATTTGTTCCTCATTATACCTTGCATTACCCATTAATTTAAAAATAGATTCTTTGCAGAGAGGATAAAAAGAGAATCTGCCATAAATTTGGAAAGAGATGTCCTTTTTCAGAATATCTCTGTAAAAAGAAATCATTAATGATGTTAGCCTTTAGAACAGTTTTAATTTACGTGTAATTGAGGAATATGAATCACTGTGAATTCTAATTAAAGGGTCATTATTCAAGTCAGTGGTGAGGTAGGCTAATTGCTATAACAAATAGACCTAAACATCTGATGCTCAAAACAATAGAAATTTATTTCTTGCTCACTTGCCCCTGGACCAGTGTTCAGACATTCTGAATGCTGTCAGCCCTCCTCCACATGGTCATTCCAAGGCTTCTTCCACCATCTCATTGGTCTTTATTCTGATCCCCATCCCATCAGTGGGGACTAAAGAACACAGACTAGCATGCATGGAGGATTTCAGTGGGATGGGCCAAGTAGTAACACTCAGCCCTTCCACTAACATTGTTGTTGGCACAGTTCAATGGGCATATCTGATGCAAGAGAGGCTAAGAAAAAGAAGCAGTGGATTTCAGGAACACCTAGCAATCTTGCTCGCAATGCAACTTTGGGTTGATGTACAAATACCAGTGAAATTTAACAAAACAGATAAAAGAGACAGATGCAAATGAATTGAGCTTGTTTGCTCATTGGATTGGTGCATCCCAGTTACATCATCAGTCCTGCATGATAAAGTGAGGTTTGACCCAGTTTGATCAATTACATTTTCTCTCCCAGTATCACCACTAGAGGTAGGTAACGCAATACAATACTTATAGACTGACTATTATACCAGGAGTACTCCAAGTGTGATCTGCAGATATCTAGAAGTCTCTGAGATGCTTTCAGGAGACTAAAGAGGTAAAGAACATTTTTGTAATAATACTAGGCTGTTATTTGCCTTGTCTACTATGTTGACATTTCCACCAATGGTGCAAGATCGATGCCTGACCTTTTAGCATAATTTAAGGTATGAACTTACGGTTAAAAGAGGGATGTGGGAATTAGAGAAGTTTTACTTAAGAATCCTTGATGATGCAGTAAAAATTATATTTTTTAAGTATGAACTCTTGAGTACACATCTTTTTAATATTCTATATGACAAAATGGGAGGTATACATAAAGCACTTTTGATGCATACCCAACTATGATGACTGTCTCAAAGAAAAGCATATGTGAAATTGTTCGAATGGAAATCTGCACTAGCCAATTTTTTCATGAAACAACACTTTTACTTGAAAGAATGGCTGACAGTCATACCATAGTTATTCAAACTTGGGTACTGGCAGACATTTTATGAAAAATGAATGAAGCAAGCTAGTCACTGCTAGTGAAACACATGACAGTATTTATTGCTGTCATTATTGTTATTTATATGATGAAATATGAGCTTTCAACTAAAAATTCAAATTTTAGAAATTTTGGATACTCCACTATGAGCTTAACAACTTCCCAACACTTAAAGACTTCTGATAAAACTGGTGATGATATTAATGAATGTGAATTTTTTTTTTTTTTTTTTTGACAGTGTCTCGCTCTGTCACCCAGGCTGGAGTGCAGCGGCTCAATCTCGGCTTGCTGCAACCTCTGCCTCCCGGGTTCAAGCAATACTCCTGCCTCAGCCTCCAGTAGCTGGGATTACAGGCACATGCCACCATGCCTGGCTAATTTTTGCATTTTTAGTAGAGACAGTATTTCAACATGTTGGCCAGGCTTAGTCTCGAACTCCTGACCTCAGGCAATCTGCCCACCTCAGCCTCCCAAAGTGCTGGAATTATAGGCATGAGCCACCCCGCCCAGCCATTTGTTTTGTTTTTTCTACAGTGAACTGTGTCAGTAATTTGGAAACTCTGCATAACTCAGGAAAACAGTATTTTCCAAATGAACAATACATAATGCTGCAAAATTACACATGGGAAAAAGATTCATCCAAAGTGAAAAAATGACAGACTAATGGATTTTATTGTCACAGAGGAAGAAAATTTTATTAGTATGATTTCAGATTCCACATATCAACTAACTTTAAAGAAACTACCATTGTTCAAGTTCTAGTATAGTATCCAAAAATAATGTCCACAAAAAATTATATGAAAATACCGCTAAAATATTTCTCCCTTTTCCAACTACATAACTGTGTGAGGCCTGATTTTCTTCATATACTTCAACAAAAATAACATAGAACAATAGATGATGGAAAGTGGAAGCAGATACGAAAATCCAGCTATCATCTGTTAAGCCAGACCTGAAAGAGATTTGCAAATATCTAAAATAATATCACTCTTCTCACTTACGTATTTTTATTTTGGAAAATATAGTTATATTTTATAAATTATGTTACATATTAACATATGGTGAATATGTTATTATTTTTTCAATAAACCAAAAATTCCTTTTAGTTTCTCAGTGTATTTTTTGTTTGTTTATTTGTTTGGTTTTTTTTGAGACGGAGTTTCACTCTTTTCACCCAGGCTGGAGTGCAATGGCACGATCTCAGCTCACTGCAACCTCTGCTTCCCAGGTTCAAGCGATTCCCCTGCCTCAGCCTCCCAAGTAGCTGGGATTACAGGTGCGTTCCACCAAACCCAGCTAATTTTTATATTTTTAGTAGAGACGGGGTTTTGCCATGTTGGCCAACCTGGTCTCAAACTTCTGACCACAGGTGATCCACCCACCTCGGCCTCCCAAAGTGCTGGGATTACAGGCGTGAGCCACCGTGGCTGGTCCTCAGTTTTAATTTCTAATATGGTTAACATAACAAAAGTTCTTTGGGATCCTAGTCTCTTTCATTTTGTTGATGAAGAAATTTTGACATAATTAGGTTTATTCATTCAGGAAATATTGTGTATCTATTACGTTTTAGAACCTGTGGGGGTACGAAAATGAATAAAACATAATTTTTGCCATTAAATAACCTAAGACCATGTGTCAATTTTTAGACAGATACACAGTAACACAGAAGTTACGTAAGCTCCTGAGACACGTAGCCTCAGAACTGAGAAGGCTATCTGGAGCTAGATAAAAAACATTTGACTTGAGTTTACAAATCTGCTTTAAAAATATGGCTTAGTAGATTATATCTCAAAGCCTTAGCGTCCCCAATCCATAAAATGGAGAGCTCGCCTACCTCACAGAGCTGATGTGAGGATAAAATGTAGTGCTTGTGGAACTCTAAAGTGAGATACAAAACAACTATGTCATTATTGTCACTCTTTTCAAGAAATTCAGCAAGTTGATATGATAAAGTGAAGGGAATACATACATCAGTGTTTTTCTGTGTTACCATTATAACATCCAAAAACACTAAGTTTTGAAACAAATCTGACTCCAAGGCTTTCATATCAGAGACTGTAGACCCCTTACCTTAGCTCAAATCAAGACAGGACAAAGAGAAGATCAGAACACTTTTCCCAAAATTGGTATTAAACCATATTGTCTGCATGGATATCGTGAGTGACTGCTAAAACCCAAGTATGCTATGTCCACAACATTCCTATGATCTGGAAGCTTCCTTTTGTCTATTAAAAGAAGTATTCTGGCCAGGCATGGTGGCTCACACCTGTAATCCCAGCACTTTGGGAGGCTGAGGCAGGCAGATCATGAGGAAAGGAGTTTGAGACCAGCCTGGCCAACATAGTGAAACCCCATCTCCACTAAAAATAAAAAAAATTAGCCAGGCACGACGGCGCGTGCCTGTGGTCCCAGCTACTCAGGAGGCTGAGGCAGGAGAATCACTTGAGCCCGGGTGGCAGAGGTTGTGGTGAGCCTAGATTGTGCCACTGCACTCCAGCCTGGGCAACAGAGCAAGACTCTGTCTCAAAACTCTTGGCCGGGCACCGTGGCTCATGCCTGTAATCCTAACACTTTGGGAGACCAAGGCGGGTGGATCACTTGAGGCCAGGAGTTCGAGACCAGCCTGGCCAACATATCAAAACTCCGTCTCTACTTAAAAAAAAAAAAAATACAAAAAATTAGCTGGGTGTGGTGGTGCACACCTGTAATCCCAGCTACTTGGGAAGCTGAGGCATGAGAATCACTTGAACCTGGAAGGCAGAGGTTGCAGTGAGCCACCGCACTCCAGCGACTGAGCGAGACTCTGTCTCCAAAAAAAAAAGTATTCTTCAATTAGCTTGAAGTGACCAGTTCTCCAGGACCCCAAACTAGCCCACAGTAATAATCAGTTTCTCATATAAATAATCATAAATTATGTTTAAAATCTGTTTTATAATTTGAGAAATATCTCCATAAAACTCATTCACCCATGCTTTTTTACTCTAATTTGAAAAATCAGCAGTATTTAACGTATTCAGTTAATAAATACGTATTAAGCACCCACTTTGCATATGGCACTTTGCTAGGCAATGGGGGTGTTAGATAAATGTGATTCTTACTCTCTCAGATCTGAGAGTCTGGCAGAAAAAATAGGCAATGAGCAAAGAAATAGCATAAAATATAATGATTTGTGCTAATATGGGCAAGTTCAATGTTTTGGAAGCACATTTTAAAAGCACCCAACCAGTCTTGTAGAAAGATAAAGTGGAAAGAGTCATCATGGGAGGCTTCCTGGAATAAGAGGTGTTTCAGTCAAGATCTGAAGGGTGAGGGGATATTCAGTCAGGTAAGGAGAAAGGGGAACAGTATTTTAGTCAGAGAGCACAGCTGTTCACACCTTCTTTCCCTCCAGTTGTGACCTAAAGCTCTCCTCCTGTTCAGAGCAATGACCTTCTGGCCACCAAATCTGAGAGATACTTTCTAGCGGTGTCATGTTCATTGACCTCTCACATCTGTCTGGCATGAATTCTTTCTTGAAACCCTCATTTCTCTTAGCTTCTGTGACATCACAGTATACTACTTGTCCTCTCGGTACTTTAACTTTCTGTGCTTTTTATAATTCCATCCTCTACTCCCCCATTCAATGTTAACTTTCCTAAAGGCTTGAGCCTATGCTCTCTCTTCTTTATACTTATGTTCTTTCAAAGTCCATAGCTTCAATTATAACTTATACAAGATTTCTTACAGGTTTTTATGTCTCCAGCATGGACGTTCTCCGCTGAGCTCCAGAACGGTGGTTCTTACTGACTGTTTGACCTCTCCTCTTGTACAGATCAAAAGCTCCTCAGATTATCTGTGCAACATCAAACTCATCAACAAATCTGGTCTTCTTTCACAGTTTCCTCTTCATTGACTGTCCCCACCAGCCATCCAGTTATCCAGCCAGACTCCTGGGAGTTTTCTTTCGCATGCCCTTTTCTTCTCATGTCTCCTATCTTAATCCACCACCAAGTCCTACCAACTTTATCTCCCAAATATCTCTCAAATCAACCTACAACTCTCTACATCCTCCACAGCCACCCTAATCCAAACCAGACCATCCATTGCCTGGATTACTACAACAGCCCTGCCAAATGCTTTACCCAAATACTTTCAGCCTCCCTCTGCCAATTCCCACTGCAAACAGAATGATCTTGAAATATTCTATTCTACTAACTCTGCCTAAAATGTGTCTGTGACTCTGAACTTCCTTTAATACAGAGATACACAGTCCTTACCATAGCCCACAAAGCCTTGCATGATCTGACTTGCCTCCTATTCATTCCAGCCACACTGATTTTCTTCCAGTTCTTCATTATTATAAGGTTACCTTGCTGAATAGGACTTTGTAAATCTTGGGGGTTTTTTGGTTAGGAATAACCTTCTTCCTCCTTCTTCTAGCTAATGCTGATCATCCCCATCACTTTACCAGAGACTTTTTTTAACCTAGTTGACAAGGTCATTAAGCTCTCGTAGCATTATATTTCTCCCTATTCTTGTTCTAATATCATTGATTTGATCATTTAATGATCATTTAATAATCATCTTCCCATAAGGACTGAGATTCCTTCTGGGCTTATCCTTTGTATCCCCCAAAGTTTAATATAGGGCCAGGCTGAGTGAATAGATTTTTTTTAATTAATTAATATATGTGAAAAGGCTCAACAGAAGAGCAGGAAAAATGCATGCATGAAAGGCTGGGCAGAGTTCAGTAAAGATGAAGCCTCTAGGAAAGAAAGAGGAAGGTGGAAGGAAAAGAGTGAGTAAGGGTTAAGGCTGGAGAGGCTCACGTGAGTCCAGGCAAATAGCCACAGTAAAGAGTGAAATGAAAAATCCCTGCATTGGTTTGGACAAGGGAGTAAGATGATCAAATTTGCATCACTTTGGCTTCCGTGTGAATACATAGGAAAATTCAACTCTAGAGACAGAGAGAAGACTTCAGCTATTCAGAAATCTGGGAAATGAATGATTCATTGGGACATACAGACTAACAGTGGTGGCAGTAGGAATAGAGAAAATTGGATTGGTTTGGAAAACAGAACATGAGGAAGACTCAGCAAGCCTGTGACCTCTCTTTTCCAAATGCTTCTATAATCACCTACTAATTTCAAAACCCTAGACTGTGTCTCTTCTGGCAGAGACTTGAATTTCCTGCAAGCAGCCCAGGTCTCTCCTATAATCTTATATTTCCTCTTAAGTATGTCTTTGTAGATCACACTCCCTGGTAGAAAACACGGAAGCAAGGTTCTAATAGTTCTTCTAGCTCCTTGCCTTGTGCTAACGTTATGCCATCTGTCCCAATCATTGGGTTAATAATAGCTTTTTAAAGTGCTTTTAATTTTTTAATTATCTATACATTCTTCAAATATCTGAACTCAATGTTAATAGTATTCTTAAGAGTTCATTCCATTACATTTAAACATTTTATTGCAAGTATCAACCCTTTTAAATTTACCTGATTAAATTTGACCTTTCATCTGTTCACATTTTTTTCTCACTCCAGAGTTCATCAAAGAGTACCCTTCATTCAACCTTCCACCATCAATTTAGCATCTATTTTGTGCTAGACATTTTCTGGGCACTGCAGATAAAATGACGAATAATACATGGCTCTTAACTTCAATGAGTCATAGTCTAGTGGAAAAGATAGGAATATAAAGAAGCATTTAATCTATTTAATATATTTAAATTTTGCCCTATAAATGTACTAAAGACATATAAACACATGTTTTCAAAGCCCCAAGACCTCTCCTGGAGAATGCTTCATATAAGAGAGGTCTTTTGTTCTGAATCTTAAAGGATGCATAGAGTGTGACATGCAAAGAATATACGTGAAAGGCATGGAAGAGAGAACAGGACATTAAAGTCATGACACATACAATAATGTGATCTGATCAGATTTGTTTTTAGGAAATAATTCCATCAGTCACCATTGGTTCATCAGCTGCCTCATGGTTTTCTTCCTCAATGGTATTATTTAGGATTATACTATGAATTTCTTTTAGAGCATCTCTCTTTAGTATTTTCTTTTTTTTTTTTTTTGAGATGGAGTCTTGCTCTAGTCACCCAGGATGGAGTGCGGTGGCGCGATCTTGGCTCACTACAAGCTCCGCCTCCCGGGTTCATGCCATTCTCCTGCCTCAGCCTCCCGAGTAGCTGGGATTATAGGCGCCCACCACCAAGCCCGGCTAATTTTTTGTATTTTCAGTAGAGACGGGGTTTCACCGTGTTAGCCAGGATGGTCTCGATCTCCTGACCTTGTGATCCGCCTGCCTCAGCCTCCCAAAGTGCTGGGATTACAGGCATGAGCCACCGCGCCTGGCCTAGTATCTTCTCTTTCAGAAAAAAAAAAAAAAAAAAAAAAAACTAGTAAGAACAGCAGGATATACTGTTTCCTACACTTGTTTCACTAGACCAACCAGAATGACTTCTGTAGAATTTTGCTGATATGTCCTGAGTTGCTTTACATCAGCACTGGGTTGAGTCACTAAATCTGGCAGTGGGTCTTCAACAAGACAATACTTCATTTCTGAATAAAACTGTGCTTAGCTCACCAATTCCTAAAATCAGTTCAGGAGACAATTACATTGCAGCAACTCAAAAGAAAAAGAAAAAATATACTAACATGAATCACACATGCCCCAAGTGCCACATATACCATTCGAAGAAAAAAAAAAACAATTGTTTTTTTTTTTTTTAACCACTTCACTATTTAATTACAAGCAAAGTCCTCTGTGGTTCTCCTTGGTCTCCTCTCTCTAAAAAAAAAAAAAAAAAAAAAAAAAAAAAAAAAAAGAAGAAGAAGAAAAGAGAAAGGAAAATCACTTCCACCATTAACTCCTAATCTAAAAAGTAAATTCTGCCTTAAATAAAAATCTGGGTCTTTCTACTAAGCTAATTTAGTGTTCGCATCTTGTTACTGAATGATCTTAAACTTCTAGGGTCCCCACTCTATGTATCTGACAGCATCTCTCCTTCATATCCCAAAAGCCCACACACAGAAACACTTGCTCTCTCTTCATCCACTGGATGAACTCTTAATTCTCCTACCTCCATGAACCCTATGGCTGTCCCCCAACATAGGAGAAACCAAGGAATTCTTAAAGAACATGAAGAGAAAATGCCCCTTAATGAGACCAACAGCTCATCAGCCACTGTCTCCAGGGAAACCCACAAATGTGCCCCAGCTCAATCAGCATTCTCATTAGCTGCAATGGGAAGAAAAAGAACCAAGAGAGAAGGGTCAAGAGCAATTGTCTGCCACTGCCATGAAAAGACAGGTTTTTTAAGGCTTCGATTGGTCCCTATTGAAACTGTCACTCTCAGATTACAGCCAGCAGTACCAGGAGCATCCAGAAACCCAGAGAAAATCACCAAGCTGGTTTCTGTCTGGTTTCTGGGAATGACATGCAACCTGTCAGCAGGCATCTTAGCCCACCGAGCCCAGCAGCTGGGGTGGTGGTGGCAGCTACCCTGCTTGACAGCACCTTCTCCAGAGGCCCTGTATCATTACAGTCTGCCCTTCTGCTGGGGTAGAATTAACTTGTTGTGACTGTGTGACAGTTCTGACGACTACATAGTTTGAGGCAAGGAGCTGGGTCACACGCTGCTACATGCATGGGCTGTCACTAACTGCTCCACTAAAACCAGACAAAACCTTGTCAGGAGAGATCAACTCCTCTGGAGACAGAGGTAAGAGACTCAACTCATGGCCTGCTCATGAGGGTTTTGTTCAGTTCAAGGACAGCATCAACTGACAAGAGGACTTACTCAATGTTACAGGGAGACACAATCAATGCCAGCAAGAGGAAGGAGGCAGAGAGGCAGAAAGGGGAAAACACACCCGGACAAATTTGAGAGTGCTGAAGGAGACAGGCTGTTAAGAGGTGGCAAAAGAAGACAGTGTCCTCACTTTGGAAAATCGATGACATAAACTCCCAAATCACACCTATTTCACAGTCATAAAAGCTCCACCAAGAAACTAAAGCAATCAACCTTAGTGTTACTTAATACAGTATCTTCTCTATGCTTAACACTGTGCTAAGTATTATAAAAGCTACAAAAACACAACACATGACCCCTAACTTTAGCAACCTTACAATTTCGCTGTTGAGATAAGACATGCTCTCATAAAAATACACAATGTGGTCAACATACCCCTCTTTCCTCAGGCCTATACTCCCAGTGGGAACCTGAAGACCTAGTTCAACCTGCAGAAAGAGGAGAGGGCTCAAAGGACAGAGAGAGGCACAGTGTGAAGAAATCACAGGGAAGTTACCCCATAGCTCCTTTAAGAAATAACTTTGCCCATCCTTGGGCTACTACAGGAGGTCAAGATTCTTGCTGTCCTTTACTCTCTTTTGGCTACAGGAGGTCAAGATTCTTGCTGTCCTTTCCTCCCTTTTTGGCTGTACCTGAGGAAAGTCCCTCCAGGTCCCCAGACTTGGGTGTTAATTGACTCACAGTTCCACATGGCTAGGGAGGCCTCAGGAAACTTACAACTATGGCGGAGGGGAAGCATGCATGCCTTACATGGTGGCAGGCAAGAGGGAGCACGTGAAGGAGGAACTGTCAAACACTTATAAAACTGTCAGATATCCTGAGAACTACTATCACAAGAACAGCATAGGGGAAACCACACCCCCATGATTCAATCACCTTCCACCAGGTCCCTCCCTCGACACATAGGGATTATGGGGATTACAAATCAGGATGAGATTTGGGTAGGGATTCAGAGCCAAACCATATCAGTGAGCTTGCATACTTTTCATGCTATTACGGTGATGTGCTATTTAACTTACTCTTCCTTCTGCAAGTTGTCAGACTCAGGGATCCTGACAACTTTGTTAAACCCCAGGTTTCTTCCTCTTCTGTTCTCTCCATCCCCTATCCAACCTAAGCATATGCAAGAAAGTGATAGGAACAACCTGAGTTTGTCCAAATTAAAGAGATGGGCTTTGAGTTGTAAATATTGACCCTGAAACCCAACTGTGGATTTATTAGCTATGTAAATTTGGTCAACTTATTTAGTCTGAGTTTCTATTTTCTTAACTGCAAGATTAATGTAAAAAATAAACATATGAAAATACCTAGCATGGTATCTGGTACTTGGTAGGTAATTAATAAATGTTGGCCAGGCACAGTGGCTCATGCATGTAATTGCAGCACTTTGGGAGGCCAAGGCAGGAGGATGACTTGAGCCCAAGTTCAAAACCGGCCTAAAACATAGTGAGACCCCCATGTCTACAAAAAATTTTAAAAGTTAGCCAGACGTGGTGGTGTGTGGGAGGCTGAGGCTGGAGGATCACTTGAGCCCAGGAGGCTGAGGCTGCAGTGAGTTGTGATTGTGCCACTGCACTCCAGCCTCAGTAATAGAGTGAGAACCTCCCTCAAAAAACAACAACAACAAAATGTTGGTTTCTTTTTGTCTGTTTTAATCCTCTACTAGTGACACTGAATGCCCAATTAAGTGTAAATTTGTATGTACAGTCTTTATTCTTAATTAGTACACTTGATCCCCATTATTCACAGAGTCCATATTTGGGAGTTGACCTACTCACTATAATTTATTTGTAACCCCAAAATCAATACTTGCAGCACTACTAAAACCCTATGACTTTATTACTTGATTTGGGGCTATACCCACAGATATGCACAGAGTGACAAAAAATTTAAGTCACCCAATGAGCACATTCTTCACTGAGGCTGAATAAAGTGACACCCTGCCTTCTTGTTTCACCTCTTGTGCAGTAAATGAGTATTTTTCACAGTCTGTTTTAGGGATACGTTTTTTGTATTTTCATGCTTTTTGTTGGTGATTTTGCTGCTTAAAATGGCCCCTAGGTGTGCCTGTAATCCCAGCTACTTTGGAGGCTGACACAGGAGAATCACTTGAATCTGGGGGACAGAGATTGCAGTGAGCCGAGTTCGCACCACTGCACTCCAGCCTGGGCAACAGAACGAGACTCTGTCTCAAAAAAAAAAAAAAAAAAAATGACCCCTAAGCATAGTGCTGAAGTGCTGTCTAATGTTCCTAAGCATAAGGAGGCTGTGATGTGCCTTATGGAGAAAATGCATATGTTAGATAAGCTTCTTTCAGGCATGAGTTACAGCACTCAGTTACAGCACTGCTAGCTGTGAGTTTAACATTAATGAATTGACACCACATATTAAATAAGGTGTTTTTAAACAAACCCACATAAAACAAGGTTATGAATTGATTGGTTGTCAAAAGTGTTGTAACCAGAGGCCCACAGGAACCTAACTCTGCATTTCCTCTAGGAGCAGTGGGTTCAGTACTTGCTAATTCAGTGTTTGTAGTAATATCAGAGAACATAACCGCCAAGAATGATGAGAACTGATGTATGTCTTTTTCTCATTTAATTTCCACACTGATTCTCTGAGGCAAGAAGCTAATTAGCAGAGTCCATAATTGCATTATGAAAAAGAAAAAAACATTCACTTGATTTGGGTCTTGAAGGGTCTTAAGTACAAAAGAGCTCGGGAGAGAGGAGAGGTGCGTGGCAAAGTGAATCGGCAGGATCTGTTCATCGGAAAGTAAAGGGCTTCACTTACCAGATCATGAGGTGAATGTTGGGACTTTGTGGGACATTTTTACTTCTGGTACCTTCCTCAGTATTATTTATAAATCATTTTGGATGACTAGATGGATTATATTCATTTTTCTTTCCCTCAAATCTCCTCTAATGAGCTTAAGCATTGGTACTGCCTTGATCTATAATTAGTAAGATAGCAGGTGATACACTAATCTGGGATGAATTTCCCAAACCAGAGTCCGATGAGATAGCAAAGGCATCAGAGTTCTTTTTATCTAGTCAACCTCTCAGCTAACTCAGGCAAGAAGCATAAAAAGATTCAGTTTGTCTCTATCTGGTCATTATCTTTTCTTTAATGTATTTTCCTACCCTGAACACACACCTTCTCTCGGACAGTGTTAGGAATATAGACAACTCTAAATAAAATTCCATTCTTTCAGGAAAGTTTAGAGTCATTTTCTTAGGGACAAGAGGGGAACTTGATAGGCATGTTTCAATTCCCTCTATTTCAAATGAGAACTGTAAAGCTCTGGGAGTTCATGAGACAGACCGGGGACTACAGCCTGTTTCTTCCACCAGTTGAATGGACTTTCCATGCCTATAGCAATTATGTGTGTGGATTTTCCAGAAAAACCCTAATTTTTAAAATGTTTGGTTCCATCTTTGCTCTAAGAGTACTGATGCCTGTTAGTCTCTGGGCTCTGAATTTTGGGTCTGATGATAAGGTCACCACAATTATTATATCATGTTTTCTCTAAGTGATAGGAAGACTTTTCTTAGTTCTCATCCTCTTGCGGCAATTCATCCAGGCCTGTGGCATCCATTGTCACATCTGTGGGTATGATCCCCAAATCAAGTAATAAAGTCATAGGATTTTAGTAGCCAGATGAGTCATTTTACTGATAATGATGAAATTGAGTCCCCAAGAGGCCAAATCATAACTGAAATGACACAGCTAGCAAGAGATAGTGTCAGAATGTAACATAGGCATCTAAAAATATTATGAATATATAAAGAACTTGGTTGATATTAACTTGCTAGTTTAATATCACAATTGGTCTAAAGATTGCAAGAACCTTAAAAGCAGCATTAGTCATATATTCATACAAAACAAACATAATGGTTAAGACCTTTATTTGTCTCCAAATTGCGAGGCAATAGGCTCTGATTTTCTCATTAGAGTAATATTTATTGACCTATATCACCACGGAAAATGATTACCCTGAACACCTGCCTGCAAAAACAACCATGAAAACATTTATCAGGATTTGTATAACAAAAGGAACACTTTGAATGAAACACAAATACTTGGTCTACATTTTATTAGCACTTAAAACTCAATTATCATTTCACACCAGAAGTGAAGGCAGTGACATTGACAGGCTTTTAGCAATAAACCTACATACACAATTCTAGCTCTTAGGTCACTTGAAGAGCCTTCTCAAGCTGCTAGAGGCCAGCAGATCACACTGTAGGAAGAATTGTTCTAAATGATTAAGGAATCTGTACCATTAAAGAAAAGCATTGTTTAAAAGGCAAACTGTTTTCCAAATTAGGGGGTGCCACACAATGGAAGAGTATAAGAATTATCATCCTATTGCTCTCCCCCAACAAAGGATGCTCTGATAACTGGACTTTTTAGCTGCTTGCACAAAATAACTGAATTGCGGCAACAACCTCCCTGACTCATAATTCTTATCCTTCTAATCCATCCTACATTCTTCTGCCAGACATCTCGGCCTGAAATATCATGTTAATCATGCCAGCTCCTGCTCAAAATCCTCAGTGATCCAAAGGCCCAGAAAGTCACAGCTATTAGAAAGTATCATCTGGGACAAAACACTATTCCTGCATTCATGGCCTTCTGGGGACCTGTGGTCACAGGAAGATAAAGACCAACTTGGAAGTTTTTATCATCCTACTGCAGTCAAAAACTCAAATGGTTTACAGAGAGGTTGATCTTGTGCTTCCGTTTACCTGGGATTTCTCAGTTTGTGTCTGTTATCACAGCTAATAGCACTTCTGCTTGGTTTTCAAAAGTGTCCTGGTTTGGACAAAAAATTTTATAACATTAGTTATAGGCATTATGATACCACATGCCTGCGACCATTATAAACATTTTTTTACCAAAAGTTATAGACACTACAAGGACCTAATAACAGCTCATCACCCTCTTCTCATCTCATCCTCCACCCAGCACTGCATCGTAAGCATGAGTGAGGAGGATCATCATCAGGGCCAGCAGAGTAAAACACCTAGCTGATGCAAACTTTACTCCCACCCCATCCTGAGGTTGCTTCCCATCTTTTCCTGGTATGCTCTTAACATCTTGTGATTCTCCATCCAAAAACACAGAAGGATTCAGACCTGACAACACATCTTGATGCTCGACTGCCTCCGGAATGTCCGGTTTCACTAGGTCAGCAACTAAGCACCCAGAATCACACCAGCCCCATGTATTAGACAGGGAAGAGGCACATGCTTTCCACTACCTAGGAGAAAGAGCTTGTCACCAAGAGACCCTGGCTAATAGATTTAAAAAGAGAAAAATATAGGCCAGAAAGTATAATCTTCTTAATCCTGGAACATTTACAACTCCATATACTTGATGTTTCTATGGAAAACCTAGAATATTGCCCCTATCTATTCCTACTGAAGTCGCTCTAACAAAAAAGAATTCTAAAATAGAATTGAGTTCCCTCAAATATTATGAAAATAAGCTTTCATGGTCCTATTGTCCTATTTTATGTATTTCTTCCCAATCTCTGTCTTGCCTAAAAAGTTTTCACAGTCTGCATATAGTATATTTAAAATTTTATATCAAGCTTTAATCAAAACTTCTTTATATAGTTGCCAATTATAATTATAAAAGCATCTCAATGTTTTTTAGTTGATACATTACAATTTAATAATTTACCTGGTTTTATATTTAATTTCCTTCCATGTTTCTACAATTGCAAGGCATTTGGCTAAGCACTGGGAATAGTGAACTTTAAAAAAATAAAAATAAATGTTTTTACTAAAGTACAGAATATTGGACTCTTTTGGAAGACTAAATTTGAATTCTTGAGATATATTTTAATAGCTCTGGTACCATCATCACATATTAATCACAAACTTTAAGAAAATCAAAAAGAGAATAAGAAAATGAGGAAGAGAAGAGAAGGAAGAAGAGGACAGAGGGAAAGGGAGTGGGTAATGACAGAGCAGGGAGAAAACAGGAGGGAAGGACTTATAATTACAAGGATAAATTGAGGGTCTTACTTCTGTTCTGACATTTGCTTCATGTAAATGATGGAAATACCATACCAATTCATTTGAATACATGTCAAGTCCTTCCATGAATTATAATAAATGTCAGCATCATTCTAATATTTAAAAACAAAAGCTATCTATAATTCAGCCATGACTCTTTCCCTGTTGTCTACTCCATCATGTAAAATAGCCATTGCCTGGCCTTTAAGGTCTTATACACTCAGCCCAACAACCAAACTAATTTTTCTCCTTTTGTCTGCATAAAACCTCATCTCCAATCAGAGATACTTATTGGGAAACAAATATGGAGAGTTTGCATTTTCAGTAATGCAGGAATAGCTTTTATTAAAATAAACTTCTCACAGCTAAGAATTATAATCTCAGGATTAATTTTTTTAAAGAAAAGAACTATTTAAAGGCACAAGAGAATAAAAAAAAAATGCATAAATTGAAAGGTAGTAGACCTTGGAAAAAAGGGAACTGAACTGGGTGTGAACATCACTTTGATAGCTTTTCTTTTAAGAGAACTTCCCAGTCCAAGGGATGTTAGACAAATAGAATTCAAGCAGAATTATAGCCTTAACAGCTTGAAGTATCTGAGGACAGAGTTCACAGCCACCAGAGTGGCTGGCGATAAAGAAAGGAAATTCAAGTAAAGGAAGGATCCCCAAAATTTGCATGTAAACTCCCCTCAAATCTTTGTCTGATTTTTACATGACTTTTGCACACACACACACACACACAAAGACACAAGAAACCCAGCAGAGAGCAACAGCTAAAACGCTAAAAGAGTAGAGCAGAAATACCTGGTGCTGCCCACTGCACAGTAGGAAGAATCTGAAGTTTAGGTGTTTCCAAAGTAAGAGGGTTTGGGTAAACATCTTTGGTTTTCCACTAAAACCCCAGAAGGGCATATTTTAGGATGAAAATGTTTGTCTCTGAATTAAGGAATTTACCCTAGTAATACTAAGGGCAAAATCAACAGACCCACCTTAATAACACCAAGCTTCCAAGGAGATCAGCCAGTCATTTAATCACCTAGGTAAACAAAAACCAATACTCTTCACTGGAAGATAAAAACATCCAGAGATTTTACAATACATCATCCATAATGTCCAGTATATAGTAAAGAAACAGTAGACATGCAAAGAGTCAGGAGAATGTGACCCACTATCAAGAGAAAAGATAGTCAATAGAAATTGATCCTGAGATGACCTAAAGGTTGGAATTAGAAAACAAGGACTTTAAAGCACCTGCTTTAACACTGTCAAGGACTTAAAGGAAAAACTTGTCAGAATGGCTATACAAATAAGAAGATCAACTGGGAGATAGAAGATATAAAAAAGAACCAAAGGGAAACACTAGAACTGAAAAAGGGGGAACGGCTGAAATTTTAAAATTCACTGAAAGGGCGTAACAGCAGAAAAAGGGGCCACATAGGCTGCAGAAAAAATAAAAGCCAGTGAACTTAAAATAATAGTCAGTAAAAGTAATTCAACATGAAGAATAGAGAGAATAGAGATTCAGAACAGCAAAATAAAGCTACAGTGGCCTATGGGGCAATATTAAGTTATCAAACACAAATAATTACAGTCTCAGAAGCATAGGAGAGGAAATGAGGAAGAAAAAATACTTGAAGAAATTATCACTAAAAACTTTCTCAAATATGGTTAAAAAAATTAACTTACTGTTCCAAGAGAATATGTAATCCCAAGCAAAATTTTTAAAACAAACCCATATCTAGAAACATCATAAACTTTTAAACTAAAGGTAAAAAAAAAAAAAAAAAATCTTAACAGCATTTGGTGAGAGGGGGAAAGACACATTAAATACAGGAAAATGACAATAAAAATGAAGATTAAGTTGTCATTAATAATAGTAGAGGCCAGAAGAACAATATTTTTTTACTGCAAAATAAAGGAGAAGGGGCAGGTGGATGTACCAACCCAGACATCTATATCAAGTGAAAACATTTTTCAAAAATGAAAACATGATAACTACATTCATGATCAGCAATCATGAATTTTAAGAAACAATAAGGAAATTCTTTGGACTAAAGAGAAATGAAAGCAAATGGAAACTCATGTCTATAGGAATAAAGAACATTAAGAATGATAAATATGAGAATAATTATAAATGATTATTTTTCTTTTTAAAATTTCTTTAAAAGGCAAGTGTCAAGTTAAAGCAAATAATAACATATTGTTGTAGGCTTTATAGGCTTTAGAACACAGATACGTTTTTTTATTATTTTAAAATATTTTTATATTTTATAAAATACAAATATACACATATTTTAGAAAAAAATTACAGTTATATGACAAAGGTTGGGATAAATGAAATTATACTCTTGTATAGGTTCATATATTTTACAAAAAATGGTACAATATTCACTCTGTATTAAGTTAAGAATATTGCATACTGGCCAGGTGCAGTGGCTCACACCTGCAATCCCAGCACTTTGGGAGGCCAAGGCGGGTGGATCACCTGAAGTTGGGAGTTCGAGAAGAGCCTGACCAACATAGAGAAACCCCATATCTACTAAAAATACAAAAATTAGCCAGGCATGGTGGTGGGCGCCTATAGTTCCAGCTACTCAGGAGGCTGACGCAGGAGGAGCACTTGAACTCGGGAGGTGAAGGTTGCAGTGAGCCGAGATTACACCATTGCACTCCAGCCTGGGCAACAAGAGCAAAACTCCATCTCAAAAAAATATATATATTACATACTATAATACGTAGAATAGCTACAAAAATTAGACATATAAAATAGCTTACATGCCAGAAGAAATAAAATGGAAAGTTAAATATATGATTAACCTAAAAGAAAGCAGGAAAGGAAGACGGAGAAACAAAAAAATAATAATAATAAAACAAATAGAAAATTAATAGTCACTCTATATCCAGCCATATCAACAATTAGATAATTATAAAATGATAGACCTGAATTCTACAACATCGATAATTACATTAAAAGTAAGAGAACAGTTTCTAGTCCAACATGTAAAGAGCTTGGTAGTTATCACTCCTATCCTCCTCACAACAACAACAAAAAAGATGAAGCCAGGTGCAATGGCTTATGCCTGTAATCCCAGCTCTTTGATAGGCCAAGATGGGAGGGTCACTTGAAGCCAAGAGTTCAAGACCAGCCTGGGCAACATAGTGAGACCCTGTCTCTAAAAAAATAAAATACAAGAAATTAGCCATGCATGGTGGTAGGCACCTGTAGTGTCAGCTACTCAGGAGGCTGAGAAGGGAAGACTGCTTAAGCCTGGAAGTTCGAGACTACGTGAGCTATGATCATACCACTGCACTCCAGCCTGAGCAACAAAGCAAGACTCCTCTCATAGATAGGTAGATAGGTATATAGATAGATAGATAGATAGATAGATAGATAGATAGATAGATAGCAGCTCTTCATAGAGGTCATGAAACAAACTGCCATCTCGAAAACTAGAGAGGGAGGTGGATACAGGAGCCTGCAGCTGAAGCCAACATCCATAGGAACACTTTAAACCATAATTGACAAATTAACTCAGGTTGAACCAGCCTGAGAATTTAAAACTCCAAGGGTCTGGACGAACACAGGATCCCATGCTTAAATGAGTTTTACCTACCAGGTTCTCACTGTGAAAATCGACGAGAACTCTCCTTGTGCTTCAGGCAAGAGGAGGAGAAAATAAATCATTTTGAAATAATACCCAGAGCTTTCTGTTCCCCCTAACCAATCCTGCCCTCAAGGAAATCTATTTTGTTATAGCCAAATTGGCCGAGGTTTTACCAAAGCCTAAATGATCTGGAGGCAGGAGAATAACACGCTCCCAATGTGAGGAAAAGAAAATATCCAAGCATAGGACAATAGTACACTTCCCCTCTTCCCATACCTTACCACTGCATCAATATGACTGCTACATAATAGGAGAGGAGTAAAGCTAAAAGAACTGCAATTCTCATACTCTATTCAAAGAGTCTGTAGGGACACAAAAAGACAACAGGGTAGACAAAAACAAGCACACTAGAGGAAATTTTAGCCTCTGATACCACTGCTACAGCAAACAGTAAACAGTCTAACTCATAGCCAGATAAACAAACAAACCCTCACATTTGAGGCCTGATGCTCAGTTCTTGTTACCCAGCACATCATGTCCAGCTTTCAACAAAAAATTACAAGGCATACTAAAAGGCAAAACCATGGTCTGACAAGATTTTTTGTTAAAGCATCAAGAACAAGACTCAGATAATATATGGCAGAGGTTTTGGAATTATTAGACCAGGAATTCAAAATAACTGTCATTGCAGACATTCTTCATTTTATTGCACTTCACAGATACTGTATTTTTTTTTATTTTTTTATTTTTATTTTTTTTTACAAATGGAAGGTTTGTGGTAACCCTGAGTCAAGCAAATCTATCAGCACTGTAGAAGTAATGTCTAGCTTAAGGCCTTATTATTTAAAGGATACATTTTGTAAGGCTATAGCTGCCATACGTAGTGATTCCTCTGATGGATCTGGGCAAAGTAAATTGAAAACCTTCTGGAAAGGAGTCACCATTCTAGATGCCATTAAGAATGTTGGTGATTCATAGGAAGAAGTCAAAATATCGACATTAATCGGAGTTTGGAAGAAGTTGATTCCAACCCTCATGAATGAGGTAAAAGGGTTCAAGACTTCAGTGGAGGAAATAACTGAAGAGTGGTAGAGGCAACAAAAGAGAACTAGAATTAAAAGTAGAGCCTGAAGATGTGACTGAATTGCTGCAATATCATAAAATTTGAATGGATGAGGAGTTGCCTTCTTATGGATGAGCAAAGAATGTGACTGCCTGAGATAGAATCTATTCCTGAAGATGCTGTGAACATCACTGAAATGACCACAGATAATTTAGAATATTACATAAACTTACTAAGTTGATAAAGCAGCAGCAGGGATTGAGAGGATAAACTCTAATTTTGAAAGAAGTTCTACTCTGGGTAAAATGGGACCGAACAGCATGGCATGCCACAGAAAAATCTTTTGTAAAAGGAGGAGTCAAATCAATGGGGCAAACTTCACGTCTGTCTTATTTTAAGAAATTGCCACAGCCACCCAGCCTTCAATAACCACCACTCTAGTCAGTCCGCAGCCATTAATATTGAGGCAAGACCCTTCAGTAGCAAAAAGATTGTGACTCGCTGAATGTTCAAATGACCGTTAGCATTTTTTAGCAATAAAGTATTTTTGATTAAAGTGTTTGCATTGTTTTTAGAATAATGCTATTGCACACTTAATAGACTACAGTACAGTGTAAACATAAATTTTACATGCACTTAAAAAAATTCGTGTGACTTTCTTTATTGTGATATTTAATTTATTGCAGTGGTCTGGAACTAAACCCTCAATATCTTTGAGGTATGCTTGTAATATTCTAAGGGCTTTACTGGAAGGAGTAAACAGCATGCAAGAATAGATGGCTAATGTAAACAGAACAATGGAAACTCTAAGAAAGAATCAAAAGGAAATGCTAAAATCAAGGGTAAGTGAATGAAATATTTAAATTAAAGGCCAAAGACTGTCATGCTGAATTTATTAAAAGGTAATATTTATGTAATAAAGAGTCTGACACCATATTTTATGTTTGACTGCTGGCAGCTTTCAAGCTCTGCCACTTTTCATTCCCCTCCTAACCCACATCTGGGCAAGCTGATAAGAAAGCCAAGTGCTCCTTCCTTTGGCACTGGTGAAAAGTTCAAACCATACAGTCCCCAGTTCATGCACAGGAACCTTCATCCCAGCTTCACCTTCTAATCACAATAAAAGTCAAGGCAGTCTTTTTTTTTTTTCCCTAATTCTCAAGCCATTTGTTTTGCTAGTTTGGGTGCCAGCCCTGCCCTCCCCAGAAAGCCTCATCATGTGGTTATAAACCTTTTCACACACCCTCTTGGTGCATGTGTGGCATTGTGAGTCTTGACATGAAAACCTAATAGGAATGGCAGTGGGGAGTCTATCCCATCTATGTAAAGTAACCATTAAAAACTCTACTCTCCTCTCTCTACAAGAGACACAGTTTAAAAGAAGTACTTGATAAGAAGCATTATGAGAAAAAGCAGGATTATTTTTAATAATAAAAGGATCTATTCATAAGGAAGACATAGCAATCTTAAATGTGCATGCACCTAATAAAGGAATCTAAAATAAATGAGATAAAATGGACAGATGTCAAAGGAATGACATGCTGACACATGTCATGGTATGGTTGAACCTCAAAGGCATTATGATAAGTGAAAGAAGCCATACACAAAGTCACATATTACACAATTTCATTTTCATTAAATATCCAGAATAGGTAAAATTCATAGAGACAGAAAGCAGATGGGTAGTAAATAGGGACTGGAGAGAGGAGAGAATGAGGCACAGTGACTACAAAATGGCATGGGGTCGTCTTTGGCGATGATGAAAATGTTTTGAAACAAGACAGAAGTGATGGCTGCACAACCTTGTGAGTGCAGGCATGGTGGCTCACGCCTGTAATCCCAGCACTTTGGGAGGCCAAGGTGGGTGGATCACTTGAGGTCAGGAGTTCGAGACTAGCCTGGCCAACATGGTGATACCCCATCTCTACTAAAAATACAAAAATTAGCTGGGCATGATGGCAGGCGCCTGTAGTCCCAGCTACTTGGGAGGCTGAGGCAGGAGAATCACTTGAACCCGGGACGTAGGAGTTGTGGTGAGCTGACATTGTGCCCTGTACTCCATCCTGGGCAGCAGAGCAAGACTCTGTCAAAAAAAAAGAAGAAGAAGAAAAAGGAAACGGAAAGGAAGAAAGAAAGTTAGGGATATAAGTGCAAGAGCAGATTATGGAAGACCTTAGGGACCAGGCTGACACTTTTTGGTTTTTTATTTTTTTCCTCCATTCCGTAAGAATACCCTGGTAGAAAGCTCTTCTCCAACAGATTTTGTAAGTAGTAAGTCAAGAAATCATTTTCTAAGAACTGCTTAATAGCTGTAGTTAGGAAACTTAAAATAATGCAGTTATTTATTGTTTGTGAGAGAACTTTGACTTTACTTTTCATCACATTATGACTTATTATGTCTGTACAAATATGTCCTCATGAGAGGCCTCTACTCTGAATTTACTGTGGGTGGTCCATGTCACTGAGTTTTGTGGTTAAAAAAAAATAGCCACCATATCATCTATGTGCCATCAAGACACGTTTAGATAAATGAGAGAAACTCGTCATTTAGAAAACAAGAGAGTTTTCAATTTAATGGATATCCTCAGGATAATTTATTTGATCTCATTCTCAGCTCTCCTGAATTCAACTCTAACTAACCCCTAACCCATACAAAGATATCAGAAAGCTTTACCAAAAGAAACTACCCATTCGTTGGAGATAATGCCACAATGATCAAACATTACCATAGTTTTATTTTCCCCATCACAGGTTTACGACTGAGTTCAGCTATGAGAGAGAGACATAAGTTATTCTCAAGTTCAACCAGAAAGAAAATATTAGAGTGTTTATCAAAACTACAACAATAGTTGATCAACTAAAGCTCAAAAAAAATTAATCATCTGTACATTATATACAATGAAAAGTTGAAAGGTATGCCTTATTGCATGCTTTAGACCAATCTAATCCCCTTCTCTATTTAGATACAAATTTGCAAAAATAATTTTATACATTTTTTGAATTCAAAGCTTCGGGTACTACTGTTGACTGAAGCCCTTGAAATGTGCACTGATTACAGTGCCAATGTAATGTACATTAGCAGAGAGCTCAAGTATCATACAATAACCTTAAATCAGAGAGAGTTGTAAGAGGCTAATAATGAAGATGAAGTAACGCTGAAAGTACCAGCCTTTTATTCTGAACTCAAGAAATGCATTAGAAAATATGTTTTAAGAATAGGTCATAGAGAACATAAATGCAAAGTAGAAGAAAAGAAAAGGAAAAAAAAACTCTACTAGGCTCAGGGAGGAGAAACGGGCAGAGTGAGTGGGAGAGGCTGTACCTAAAAGGATATGCATAATTTAGAGAATAGAGATTGAAGAGACTCCAGGACGAAAGTACCATTCATTTAGATATAGTGGCAATGGTTTCAACAATAACCAAGAAGATGCCGCCTGCACTCTGTAAGAAGCAGCATTTGAATTTAAGAGCACATTTATTTGAAAATCTTTAATATTGCATTTCTATACCACGCTCCAAGAGGGCAACCCATTCTTTCTACCAACTGTTTAATTTCCAGTGACCCATAATAACTTACATGAATCTTATGATAAAGCATTTTAAAATAAAACAGAGAAGCTTTAAAAATAGAATATAAAATCATTTAGAAAGAAAAATAAGGGTTAAAAACAAAAGACTGCATGGGGAAATATTAGTCCATAAATTCTATGTCTTGGGATCTTAGACAAATGCTGGAGGTGGACTACAAATCTGGTCTGGGCTTTCTAGCTTCCAAAACAAAGGAAAAAAAAACACAGTTGGTTACAGCAATAGTTCTCAAACTTTTTGGCCTCGGGATCTATTTACATTTTTAAAACTTATTGAGGGCCTCAAAGAGCTGTTTATGTGGGTTATATCTACTGACATTTATCTTATTAGCAATCAAAACTGAGAAATTTTAAAAATAGTTATGAATTGATCTTGAAAATAGCAATAGACCTATTACATGTTAATATAAATAACATTTTATGGAAAATAACTAGATTTCTCCCCCCAAAAACATTAGAAGATTGTCATTGTTTCACATTTTTGCAAATCTTGTTAATATCTGGCTAAACAGAAAACAACTGTATTCTTGTGTCTGCTTCTGCATTCAACGTGTTGTGATACCACATATTCAGCAGCTTCCAGAAAACTCCACCATACACTCACAAGATAATGGGAATGCAAAAGCCGAATAGCTCTCATATTAGGAACATAGATTTTACCTCCAAGACTCCCTGAACTTGTCTCAGGGACCCACCATGGATCCCTGAAAGACACTTTAAGAAAACAAAGGTTACAGGAATCATAGATCGTGTAAGACAAAAACAAGTAAGAGATGTACAATATTTCAAGGAATGAGATCTGAAAGAAAAAAAAAACATATTCCCATGAATCCTTATAAAGAAAGGGTCATGTAATGTAGTGTAGTCCATCCTCAACACTACCCCAATAATGAACGCATTTGGAAGTGGTATATGATTAGACATCCAGACAGGAGTTGTACACACATTCCCCTATTTCCCATAATTTATAGCTCTGGATAAGATGTGAGTTAAAGAAATCAATATTTCCTGTAATTGATGTCGAGTGCAGTTTGTAATTATGTTTTGTGGCCTGTGACTTTTATGAGTTTGCTCTATAAAACAATTAACAACTCCATAAAAATAATACTTTTGACATTGTTATTTTCACTTACAGGCTTCTGCTAGATCCATATTGGGGATAAAGGGATATGATACCACAAAACTTTATAATTGATTTTCAATACAGGAAAAAAATTATTTTTCCTATCTCCAATGATTCTATTTTAATGTGCTTTTTAATTATAAATCCTTAATAGGAAAAATTGCATAGTAGTTAAGGGAATAACTTTGGAGTCAGATGCACCTGGGTTTTGATCCCAATTCTGCCTCTTGCTAGTTTTGTAAACTTGAACACTTTCACATTTTTGAACCTCAATGTCCTCCTATGGAAAATGGGAGTTGTAATAGCAGCCACCTCACTAGGTCATTGTGAGAATGACAGGTAATACAGATAAAACCATTAGCACTGTTCTTGGCATTTAAAAAGCACTGAGAATGTTAGCTATCATTAACTACAAGTATTACACATATCTCCCTGGCACCTTTTCCTCCCAGGATCACTCCTTTGGTCATCACTCTAGAGTCAAGGGCACACAAGGACCCAAAAGGAAGGTGGAAAGTGACAGAGGAATGGAGCCCAAGAGAAAAGAAGGCCAGAGAAGATATGGAGATAGAGACAGAGTCTTGGGACTGCAGCCAGATCAGTGGGGAACTAGAACAGGAATCAAGCAGACCCTGAGGATTTCCACTTCTGAACATTTCCTGTCCTTCCGTGAGTTAGGTAATGAACACCAGCTAACACTGAGGTTCTGTGCCTGTGCTTCTATTTCTTTTGAGTCCCTGTCATAATTAATGAATGCTATTAATGGAGTGCTGTGCCTAGCAATTACCACTAGGTTGCCTACAGGTCATGCTGGAGAAGAGAGAGTAACAGATGAATTATTGTTCAATAAACATTCACCGCCCTCCTCTTCCCACTGTGAGTGGAGTTTACTTCTCTACCTAACTTGTGTTTGGTTTGGCCATGTAACTTGTTTTGGCCAATGGGATGTTAGGAAATGGGGGTTAGGGGGTCACAGGACTTAATATGACTTGCTCTTGCTCTCTATTGATTCCCCATCAAAAGAGATGTCTACAGTAATTGCTGCCCAAGAGCCCATGCACCAGAACAAACACACCTGAAGCTGACTTGAACCCAACCTGCAGTCTGTAGCTATTCCCAGAAGCCCCTGAAGACTAAGGCACAGCTTCTCAGCCTACAACAGCCAAAGCACAGTCAACCCAGACTTATGAGCTTGAGAATATATGCTTTTTCTATAAGGGACAAATTTGGGGATATTTTATAACTCAGCATTATTGTGGCAATAGCTGACTAGTATTTTTGATTGGGCAAAGTGTCTGAGCAAGATTTTTCTAACTCCTATAAAGAGACACACTGGAAAAGAATTCTGGATGTGACATCTGGCCCTACTGCAGCCATTTTGCCACCATGAAGAAATCAGACTGACAGGGAAGACACCCTAACTTCAGTGTCATTAACACTGAGCCACTGACTGTAGAAGGTCTGTTGCTTGCCTTCCCTCTGTTGTGAAGATTTTGTTAAATGTTCTTAATTTTTATGTCATTTAAGACAATTTTCTATTTACTGCAGAACTCCTCTGATATTTTTATTTTGTTTAAAAAGAAAAACACAGTTACGCAATGCCAAGATCGTGTAAATACACACTGCTGACAAGAAAAGGATATAGCCACTATCTAATTCCTTATTATTCTATGGCCCTCCAGAAGGTTGCCTTGGGGCCTATTGATGTCAATAATCCTAATTCCTGATATTCTTTTCCTATAAGGCAATTTGATACAGTTTGGCTGTGTCCCCACCCAAATCTCATCTTGAATTACAGCTCCCATAATTCCCACATGTTGTGGAAAGGACTTGCTGGGAAATAATGGAATCATAGGGGTGGTTTCCCCCATACTGTTCTCATGGTAGTAAATAAGTCTCACGAGATCTGATGGTTTTATAAGGGGTTTCCCCTTTCCCTTGGTTCCCATTCTTTCTTGTCTGCTGCCATGTAAGACATGCCTTTCACCTTCCACCATGATTGTGAGGCCTCCCGAGCCACATGGAACTGTGAGTCCATTAAACCTCTTTTTCTCTATAAATTACCCAGTCTCTGGGATATCTTTATCAGCAGCATGAAAATGGACTAACATAATTTTAATTTTGACACAAAAAGAAAGTTCTAAAATAGTCAAATTCATAAAATCAAAGAGAGAAATTGTGGTTGCCAGGAGCTATGTGGGAGAGGGAAATGAGTTTCTAATCAAGGGGCATAAATTTGTAGTTATGCAACATGAATAAGTTCTAGAGATCTGCAGTACAACATTGTGTGTGTGTGTGTGTGTGTGTGTGTGTGTGTATATATATATATATATATATATATATATACATGGTTAGTAACACTGTATTATATACTTAACATTTTCTTAGCAGGGTAGCTCTCAAGTTCAGTGTTCTTACCACAGTAAAATAAAGTTATTTTTAAAATGAAGGTTCTGAGATGTGTGCTCATGCATGTCTGAGAGGCCAAGCTACTTTCCATACTAAGATTCTCCACAGTGCAATGGTCACTTGGAACCAAAGCATTTGAGGACTTTGGGGGGAAATGGAACGGTTCTGACCTGGGCACCTGGGCTCATACTGAAGCTGTATACCATAGTTTCCTCATTTGTTATGTTCCTTTTCACTAGGGTCCCTATCAGCTATAAAACTCCATACAATAAGCTTATCATGGAATTCTTGCCTACCATGTGCCCTAAGACCTCAGCATAACACTCAGCAACCTCAGATATTATAAAATCAGGCCTTGTGGACCACTAGGCATCCAAGATCTCAGCCCTGTCCTTCTTGCACTAGTTTGTCTGAACTTCTGTGCAACCCCCCACTGGTTTCTGGCCTCCTCATTCATCTTCCTGTTTCCCCGCTCTCTGTAACCCCTCTTCACATTCAGCCCTGCTTTTCCACTTGCAGTCCTCAAATTTCTCCCTCTTCTAGGGTTGCTGTGCCATGTCATTGGGACCAAGTCTGTCTGTATTTTTTTCCATTCCACCTTCCTTCTGGAAATCCTCTGTCCACAGCTATTTAAAGGCAGCACCTGGCCACCACCACTGCAGTTGATGTCTCACATGAAAACATCGGTCTGCAGAGAGTTGTTTTATTCTGGTGCCTTCCCTCAAGCCTTGGAATCTGAGGTGGAGTCAGAGGGAGAACAGCCCTCTCTCCTACTCTGCGCATTGTCATCTGAGCCCAGCGGAGACACTGTCATATACATAATGAGTGAAGAAAATTAATTGCATGGCAGTTTTTTTCAAAAGTCCCTATCAAATTTATGAAATCAACATTCAATTCTCCACCTTACAATAACATAGGAGACGCATACATTCAACCAAGGAAATTTGGGAAATGAAGTTGTAAGATTATAGCACCCTTTCATGGAGAGGCACTTGCCACTTGAAGAAGAAATTGGTTCTGCTGCCAGATTTGGTCTGGAGAAGGGAAAGAAAGATCCCTGGACTTCTCACTGACTGCTCAGCTCCTGTCGGAACACCACAAATATTATAATCCAATAACTCAGAGATTAAGGCATTCATGTTATCCGCTCTCACTTATATTCTTTGATCCTGTTGACTGCTTTGGTGCTTCTAGGTAGAATGCAATGGAATGCAGACCAGAATGACATCAGAGATTCCACATTACCAGACAAGGACTACATTGGTAGACTGGAGCACCACGAGGTCAAGTAACACCTCTCATGTTTAGACAGCAATTAGTGCTGATGGCTTTCCAAATCTAGGCATGCTGCCTTTGTGGGGAGGCCTATGTGCCTAATAACTTCTGTCCAGGTCTCCTGGGTACCTAGAATTCTTCTACCAGTAACATACACATGTGCATGCATGCACACACATACAAACACACACACATTTCCAGTGAATCAAAGGGGGCCATAATTATCAGACCAGGACCTGTCTCATTTGAGGAGTTTCCTAGCCTTTCTCAATGTTTGTGAACTTATTTCCAATTCTACCTTGTCTTTCAATAAACTTCGGTGTTTGGTTAATAATCCTGGCTTTACCCATCTAGCAAATGTTTACCAAACACCTACGTGCATTAGGCACCATGCTAATTATTAGAATCTTCACTAGACCTTGCAATTAACTACTGCCACATTTGCACAGTTGCCCCCTTTATCCTGCCAGGGTCAAAAGCAAATTCCTAAATACGCAGAGTTTTTGACACTCTTTCCTGGAACCCCTTATTTGATCACTGAAAGCACTATGCAGAAAATTAAACTGAGCTGTTAAACTGCATTTCTGTAACTGGTCTTTTTCTCCCAAAGACACTACTGACAACCAGAAGAAAGGAAAACATCATCTGTGCTCCCAGTTAGCTTACTTCCTGGAACTTCAGAGCAACTAGAGATCCATTTGCCATCAAGAATGGGAGACTCTCAGTCTCCCATCAATCAGTAATTAGCTATTCCACAGATTTATTAAACTTTGGCAGATTTCCCATAGAGCAGCCACAGTTATCTTTGTGAATTGTAAATAAGATAATGATACTGGTCTCTCAGAAGAAAACCTATATTTATTACTTGGAATTATAAGGCCTTTAATAAAAATCACCTTTCCCATTTGGTCTCTTCCACATCCCTATTACATAATGTTCTACCAATTATTGCTACCTAAAATTACTTAATTAATTTAATTGTCTCCCTCTACTAGAATAAGATCTTTGAGGGCAGCAGGTATGTCTGTCTCATTGTCATTTATTCGGTACCTAGTAGAGCACCTGGCTCATAGTAGGCACAGAATAAGTATTTTTAAATGAGTTACTTTTTTAATAAATGAGTAGTGCCTGGCTCTTCTTCATGTTTTATAAACACTCTTGGGGTCGGGGGGGCACCATCATCCATTTCCGGAATTTCTGTTCTTTCCATCAGGAATCTCCAGCAACCACTTTCTCAGTCGCCCTCCTGGGACTGGTCACGTTTACAATTATTCCCTTTAATACTTTTAGAAACCAATGAGCTCATTGAACTTGTGTGCATCAAAGAGCTTGAAAACCACCATGGAATTGTGGTTAAGCTCGACACAAGTTGCAGTTGCTGAGATATTTTTGGTTTACAGAGTGATTTTTTTTTCCTTCAGAGACACAAGATCCCCCCATCTAAACTCAAGCCAATAATGTACCTTCCTTCCTTTTCTCCAATAACCACAAAATATGATGCTGAACTTTTGTGGATTTTTGATGTTATTAGATCTGAGATCTTTTCCAGTTGTTATATGATAGCTCATCAGGTTACCAAATCACTCAGAATTCTTTAAAACATTTTGAAAACCATTAATTTATTAAGCATTAAGTTATAGCTATAGTTTAATTAACTTTAAAGTCAAAAGAACTTACTTTCTGGGGAAAGGGTAGAATTAAAGCATTCAGGCAGGCTTGCCTTAAAGATGTAATCAAAAAGGTGACATGCAGAATGAACTAGAATGTGGGGTTGTGCCAGCAGCTATTCCTATGCTTATGCTGCTCAGGGTTGTTTCCCTAACTATGGGGGTAGCTCAACATCCCATTCTTCCATGGGGATATGGATGAGTCATAGAAACAGCAAATGTACAAGCTGAACAAGAGCTTAGAAACAAGCTCTTAGGCATCAGCTTGTCCACACCTCCATTATAAACTGACCCAGAAATTTTTGCCCAGGAAAGAAAAGTCCACTGAGAATGGAAGAGTAACTGCCAAAAGACAGAATTTCTCTTACCACTGCCCCTGTCATGACCAAACCTGCCAGTCTGCTTCACTGTATGGAATTTGCAGAAGACTCATAGACCCTCAAAGATGCATTTGCTCTTGTTCCTTTCACTAAGAGACATGGTGAGATCTCAATGCAGTGAATAAACAGAGGTACAAGTCCAGTTTGTCACTGGGGATAGGAGGGAATAAGTGTGAAACAAAACCTCTGAAATCTGTCACCGCAAAGGGGAAAAACACAATGGCAGCTGTGGAAACACATGTGCAGATCCATAGAAGTGTTTCCTTCTTACTGATACCCCAGGATGTTCAATTCATTGCCTCTGAGAGATAAAAGGCAGGGAAAGTGCACGGAAAATGTCAGGACATCATGTGCTCTGGAGAAGGAATAGGCAGCCAGAGACCTGCTCCTTTTCATAATCATGGATGGAGTATTTTCAGAAGGCTACACTGCCTTTGTTACTAAGAAGCTGCACATCATCAAAGCAGGCAGTGAAAGGCCATATTCCTGTGGGGTTTCACCCTCCTTTTATGCAATGCCTAAGCAAGCTCATTTATTCCCATCTTATTCATTTCCCTCTAGCTGCTACCAAGAACCCCAAAATGTTCAGCTCCGAAGTTAATGCACATTTACAGCCTGGGAGTATTTTCCTTTCACTGAATTGGAAGAGAGGAGCAGGGAGGGAGAAGGGAGGTAATTTAAGTTGTTCTATTGTTGGGAGTGAGGGGAGTAATTCTTGCTTATATCAGCAGCTTGCCGAGTCCCACCATCATTCCTACCCCCCTTTATTTTATTTATCTCTTTATGGCCTATCTGATAATGCTAGAACCACTTCCTGTTGTATACTGGCTGAGGAAGCTTTCTCCAGGCCCAAGAGCAAATCAATAAAAGTAAGCCATAGCGATTCATAAAAATAAAATTGTCATCATTATTGTTCTATTATTGCTGTGTCTGTGGAAAGAATCTCCAGAACTGAAGGTTTCTTGGCTAATATTTATAATCTGCGTTGAATGGTGCTAATGAATGAGTGGGTGTGCATTAGACTGAAATGCGATGGTGTTTGATTTATACCAAGTCCAGGTCTGATTGCTAATGTTAAATCCATTAAAGTGTCTCTTAGATCTGCCTTAATGTACTCCCCTGCATATAATAGAGCTTAAACATACCCGTTTATTTAGCTTTTCATTATTGGTTGAATATTTGTCTTTATTACTTTATCCCCATGATAAATTTGACTTATGATAGTTTAAAAAAACAGCACTTCGAGAAAGCTAAGCTTTTAAAAAGCTACAGAAGTAACTCCAGATTCCCCAGTCTTCCCACAGATAAAAGAGCAGAATATCCTCAAATAATTATTATTTTTAAAAGTTCAAACTGTTAAATCCGAGCATGTCCCAGATCACAAAATCCAGACGCTTAGGGGAAGAAGAAATATTTTATCCTGGAAGGAAAATCACAAACAGAGAAATGAAAGCTATCTGCCTAAGCTGCCACCTTTGAGTGTCTCTGGGGTGGAAAGCTTTCTGTATTCCTTTAAAACGCTTCTCCCTGAAGGAATCCATAAAGCACAAGTGTAAATAGGAACAACAGGTTGAAAAGACTTAGGTGTAATCATCGAGAGTCCCCTCTAAGGTCAACCATTTCGCAGGGATTCTGAAAAGGATAGTAAGTATGAAATACACCCACTGCCTGTGCTCCCCTCCTTTAATCTACAAGAGTTTTCCATTCACAGCCCAGGCAGTCCCAGGCGACAGACGCCAAGTCAATTTGGGGTGTATTTCTGATGCTTCCCCTCAGTGCTTCACTGGCTTTACTTGAAAGCTTGACTTCCTGCTAAGTCCGTGTTTGCTGATGCGTATCTGGATTAGGACAAGGAACAGACTTCCTGTGTATTTCTGACAATGCTGCTGCTACCTCTGGCTTTGGTGGTCCAACCTATCCTCTTACAGGAGACCTGAGATGGACATGGGAGACACAGCAAGGCAAACGAACCATGAGGATCTGGATTTGATAAAGCAAGATAAAGAGATAGGTAAAAAGGAATAAATCCCCTCCACCCCAATAAAGCAGCTAAACACAAATCCTAAAGTAATAGGCAGATGATTCTCTAAATACCTCCATGGTTATTTGGTTCCTACTGGGGATGTGGACAAGATTGCTGCAATCAACAAGTATGGGGCACACCCATGCTGGGTAGTGCAGGAATAGACCATATAGCTCCTTTCCCCAGAAAGTTTATAGTTCTGTTTTGTTGAAGGAAATGAGAAAAATATTTCCTAAGTTGAATAACCAGAGATCAATAAGAAATAGAAACCACCACCTATTGCAATATGTCATGAACAGCCCAGAAAGTAAATGTCGTGCATATGACAGGTGGGGATGCAATGGTCCAGTTCTTGCAGGGGATTTTAGAGAACAAGATGGTCTCCAGATAGATGTGAAAGAGTGACTTTGTGGAAGAGGTAGGGAGACAGCTGTAGCAGTAGAGGGACATGTGCACAGAAATAGCAAAGTCTAGCATACATTTTAACTTAAATTGGGCAGAATCATATTTTAAAACTAAAACACATATACACATACATACAAATGAAATTACTAAAATCCAAGTATTTGTCACACTTTTCTCAATGAACCTGCGTATTTAGTACCACTTGACACTAAATATTTTGGATTTACATAAACAAATCTAATCCTGGCATGAATCTACAGTCTATTTTTGATGGCTTTGGATTTCATGATAAAATTTTTACACAGCTTATTATAAGACAAATACTAAAATTAGGCTTTATCAAACTATAAAGGTTTTGTACGTAGATTTAAGGTCACTGGATTCATTTATTTAGCTTTGTTCTATAATGTACTAAATAAGAATGGGAAAAGAATAATTCAAGCTTTGCAATATGTGTTGCCAAGCAGTTGCCATGTCATCTAGCCACTGAAACTCAAAAAAGAAACACTTTCCCCATCATAAAAATTAGCTGTAGAACAAAAAGGTCCTTCTTGGAATGATGTATAATGAAAAGAATTTTTTTAAACTGTACTGTCATTTGAAACAATGCTACTGATCTTCTCTCTGTAGGACATAAATTTTGAAGGTTCTCCCCAGGAACCAGGATGAATTTACTTTGATCCTTCCACTATCTCTCATTCCATTTTTCCTTATCTAATAGTGGCAGAAATTTGGAAGCTGACCAACCAGGTTAATGATGCATTAAATATCCAAACAAATACAGGACAAAGTATACACAAAGCAAGTATGCATCTTGAATTATAACACATACAAACAGAAGAGGTAGCCCAGGATAGTTGTCTAGATTATAGTCAAAGTTTTGCCAATAAGATAGATCCCTGAACCTAAGGGATTGTTGGATCTGATGGTCCCAGCATTTCCTTCAGTCTCTAAGGTCTCATCATTCTGTGATTCTTGAGTCAAGAAAGCAGAGATTCCTGACAAGGTCAGGAGAACAAAGAAAATGGAAGATGAGGACTGACATTTAACAAGCACCTACTATTGGCCAGGGAAGATGATAAATATTCTATACACAATCTCTAATTCCATCTTCCCAACAGCACCATTATTTTACTATTATTTTCCTATTTTACTGAGAGGTAAACTAAAGCTCAGGGAGGTTACTTAATAAACACACAGTCAAACAGCTACTAGGTGGCCACGCAAGGATTTTAGCCTCACTAAGTGTAACCAGGGTTGACACTCACAATATTTATCAGCCAGAGTGGTGTGGATAGTGGTGAATCGGGCAGATGCAGCAGCCAGTTGGAAAAGACACCCAACGTCGATGACCAGCACAGTCTTATCTGCAGGAATCAGCACAGGTTTAACTCAGCGCACAGGTTCTTCCATTAGCCATCAATGACACGCTTAAATTAAGTTCTCAAACTCTTGCTTTGTCTCTAAATTTGTATTCGCATTTACTGAAACAGTGAAGTGTGTGTTTGCTAATGAAAACATTTTAGGTGGAGATCTATCAATCTCCTTAAGTACCTCTTCTTTTGGGAAGAGGTGATGGTTCTCTGAATACAGTAAAGCAAAAACAAAAAAATTCCTATAACATTTTATCTGCACTGTAGTACACAGGACATGCTTCAGTTATCACTGGTAAATAGTCCAGTCTTCATTCACTTTCCTTACTGCTAACACAAAGTCCACCTGAAAAGCACCAAAATAAATTTGTTTTAAAATGTAGGGACTATGCCTTGTTAAAGTGAAATCTGCATTTATCTCTAAATTGTAAGCAATATCAAATCAAGATAAATTGACTAAGTTACCTTAAACTTATCCCAATTGAATATGATTCTGCAAATATTATTTATAACCCAAAAATATATCAATATAGGAAGAACCTACAGTAAAGGACTGGCCTTTTCCAATTCGCCATTCACACATAACATCAAAGATATTGACAGGTAGATGACAGATGGGTTAGATTAGATAAATGATAGATAGCTATTTCATTTTTCATGTAAATATATCATTGCTATCATCTGACTCTTTCAAAAATTAAGCAGTGACCTTGTATTCACCATGTAATTCAGGTTAATCTTTGACACTGAAATGTAGCACTTCAGAAGGGATACGGGCATAAACTGTGGCCATGATGAAAAAATTAAAGTTTTCTTTTAGGAGAAGCATGCCCTAAGACATACATACTTTGTACAGAGAAAATGAAAAACTGGTAGAGACAGTTAAAATCTTAAATAATTTTTTTAAAAAAACCACATAGCAAAACAATAATCCCTGTGTTCTCCAGCAAAATCTAGAAAGTAAATGTTCTTTCAGATCAAAAGTTCTAGATTTTCTAGGCCGGGCATGTTGGCTCATGCCTGTAATCCCAGGAATTTGGGAGGCGGAGGCAGGTGGATCACCTGAGGTTAGGAGTTTGAGACCAGCCTGGCTAACATGGCGAAACCCCGTCTCTACTAAAAATACAAAAGCTAGCCAGGTGCAGTGGTGTTGCACCTATAGTCCCAGCTACTCAGGAGGCTGAAACAGAAGAACTGCTTGAACCTGGGAAGCGGAGGTTGCAGTGAGCTGAGATCACACCACTGTACCCCAGCCTGGGCAACAGAGCAAGACTCCATCTCAAAAACAAAAAACAACAACAACAAAATTCTGGATTTTCCATGTAATCAACCACATTCTCCACGATAAATGGATTCTTGACTGGATAGGTTACAAGTAAATTCTCTAAAGAAATGCTAAACGTTCCAGAAGTTTCTTCAGGGGGGATTGTAATGAATATCCTGCCCTTCAGAGGCAAGTGGGCTTTGGCAGCAAGAGCAGAGGACAGAAGTAAGGAGGTGGAGCTTGAGTCCCAGCAACACCATAGCCCTGTGACCTTGGTCAAGTCACTTTCCTTCTATGTCTCAATTTCTCATCTATAAAATAAGACAGTTACCTCCTCCTACCGATATCCAGTGATCACTGTGAGGACTGATACTCAAAATACTTAACATCTAATGCAATATAAGCACTGAATAACAACCTTGTTTATCCTCTACCTCATTCCAGGAAGGACTCAAGGTAATCAACAGAAGAAACAATACCAAAAAACATCTATTAAGTTAGAGAAATTTAGGGCAAAGAAAACGAACTTCAACCATAAGATAAAACAGAGAATTAACATGTAAAAGAGCACCAAATTTGGGAAGACATTTCTTGCAAAGACCCTAGCAAGGGGAACATTGAGAAATGCTACATAGTAGAGAGATTCTTGATGTCTCATTTACACAATCTGTCAGCCTCTATTACGGTGATCTTTGGGTTTTTCTCCAGGTGTTCATTAAGCCTCTGAGAGAAGAAAGAAAAGAGACATGTATTTCACGTCCATTATTCCTGGTACAATGGTAGCCCTTTCTAAATGTTATCTAATCTTCACACCAACACTACTATAAATTAATTATCCTCATTTTACAGATTACAGGAAACAGGGGTCCCAAGAGGATGATTCTCACAGCAATCTGAGTATGAAGCCTCAAATGTCTGTTTACTTCATTGCTGTAGCCATGATTTCAGATGAATAAAATGGAAACAAATAACCTTAAATAATGAATTAATGAAGAACCCTGAACTCTACTACGGAAATACATCAGTGTCTCCAGCAGACATAGGTGAGGGGTGACATCCTTATGGTAATAATAGAGTAAACCAGGGGTCCCCAAGCCCCAGTCCATGGGACACCAGTCCATGGCCTGTTAGAAACTAGGCTGCACAGCAGGAGGTGAGTGGCAGGCAAGCAAGCGAAGCTTCATTTGTATTTACAGCTGCTCCTCATGGCTCACATTACCACCTGAGCTCTGCCTCCTGTCAGATCAGTGACAGCATTAGATTCTCATAGGAACACAAACCCTGTTGTGAACTGTGCACGTGAGGGATCTAGGTTGCATGCTCCTTATGAGAATCTAATGCCTGATGATCTGTCACTGTCTCCCAGAACACCCAGATGAGGTTGTCTAGTTGCAAGAAAACAAGCTCAGGGTTCCCACTGATTCTATATTATGGTGAGTTGTATAATTATTTCATTATATATTATAATGTAATAATAATAGAAATAAAGGGCACAATAAGTGCAATGCACTTGAATCATCCCAAAACCAACATCCCCCACCTCCCTACTCTGTGGAAAAATTGTCTTCCACAAAACGGGTCCCTGGTGCCAAAAAGGTTGGGGACTACTGCAGTAAACCATCAAGTAAGGTTGAATACTGACATAACAGATTTACTTCTACTGTTAAAATCTATGTTATTGACCCTAGAAAAGTATTTTCATTAAAGAACTAGCAGATATTTAAATTCATTTAAAATTCAAATTATAATTTACACCAGTTCATTCACATATTCATGAAATGCTTAATATGTATTAAGCATCATGTGAGATGTTGCAAATATAAAGGTAATAAAATGCAGTCTACACCCCAAAGAAACCTATATTATTTTAATAACCATATGTCTAGCTATAACAGATAATGAAATATGTTTGTCATATTTTTTATTTGGGTTTGGGGCATCATTTGAAATTTAAAAATAGGATTTTGATTAGTCTATAGAAGTGAAGATTCAGATATCTTAAAAACATAAAAATTAGATATTTGCTAAATATCCATTATGGTTCTAGCACTGGGTTAGGCATTAGGGAACTTATGAAACCATTAAACAAATGCAGAATCTGAGCTTGCCATCCTCTCCCCTTAAAGTTAGGCTGTGTCAGCTACTAGGATACTTAGCTTAGCAAGTCTACTGAAATGCCAACCACCGTTAACTGATTATTTTTACTTTTTATATCACAGCTATCTCTAAGCAACCTAGCTAGTCCCTCAATGTAAACAAAGCCTTTCAGTCTAATTCTCAGAGAAGCTTCTTGCTTCAATTTTCCTTCATTCTTAAGCCTCAGCATTCTTCTGTCTGGCGTCACCCCTGACTTATCTCAATAACATCTCCTTTCTGAAAGCTCAGGGCATTCACCCATTCAATCACTCTTTCTTTTCTCAGTTACCTGTTACCTACTTCCTGCTTCCTGGCTACCTCTCCATGCCACTCCACACTTTGGCATCTGGATCAGAGTCTTTGTCTCAGCCTGTCTCCTGTCATCATCATGGTCAAATTCAACATCCAGGTTCAATATACTTCCACATTTTGTATTAAATAGTAGCCACACCCAGCCTGGATTCAACTGCCTTCTTCTTTCTGCAATCCCTTTCCATAAGTTCATCCATTTCCATTGCCTCAAACCTCTAATGATGCCCAAATCTCTATCTGTACCCCAAAATAGGCCCCAGAACCTTAGACATAACATTTTCATCTGCTTGATAGCTATATTGGTAGATAATTTGGCATGTCCAAATTAAATGCATCGTCTTTCCTCAATTAACTCTCCAACCCCACCGTTCCCCTTCTCCTGTGTTCCCATGTCATACGGCCCCAGCATTCTCTTCCTCTTAGGGTTCATATCACTGGATTCACTCGAATGTTTCCAAATCCTATAGATTTCCCCCAAGCAATGTCTTTCTTCACTTTCCTGCTGCTGTCATTGGTGTCTCTAATATATTGTCAGCTCCTTAACAGCAATGATTATATTGTGGCCATCTTTGTGTTTGTCACAATACCTAGAACATTGTGAATGGCTAATAAGCATCTGTTAAACTCTGTTCTATAAAATGATTTCTCATGTATTACCAGAAATTGACCCAAGTTTTGGGTCCTGGTGTTTATACAACATAGAAAATGTCTTTTTTTTTTTTAAGTATACAACATTATGGATACAAAATTAGATACGGGGCTTTTGAAGGAGCACACATAAGTGAAGTGCCCTGAAGTTTAAGATTCACTGGCTTCATGGTAATGTATACTTTGGAAATGCAAATGAACCTTCTAATTGAGATGTAAGTTTATTGTAATTTTTTTTTTGGTTTATAAACAACAGAAATTTATTTCTCACAGTCCTAGAGGCTGGAAAGTCCAAGATCAAGGCTCCAGGAGATTCAGTGTCAAGTTAGGGTCCATTTTCTGGTTCATAGATGGCACCTTCTCATTGTGTCTTCACCTGGTGGAAGGAGCACATGAGCTCCCTTGGGCCTTTTTTTTTTTTTTTGTTATATAGGTACGTACATGCCATGGCAGCTTGCTGCACCCATCAACCCATCATCTACATCAGGTATTTCTCCTAATGCTATCCAACCCACACCCCGACAGGCCCTGGTGTGATGTTCCCCTCCCTGTTCAACTCCCACTTATGAGTGAGAACATGCAGTGTTTGGTTTACTCTTGTGTTAGTTAGCTGAGAATGATGGTTTCCAGCTTCATCCGTGTCCCTACAAAGGACATGAACTCATCCTTTTTTATGGCTGCATAGTATTCCATGGTGTATATGTGCCACATTTTCTTTATCTAGTCTATCATTGATGGGCATTTGGGTTGGTTCCAGGTCTTTGCTATTGTGAACAGTGCTGCAATAAACATACATATGCATGTGTCTTTATAGAAGCATGATTTATAATCCTTTGGGTATATACCCAGTAACTGGATTGCTGGGTCAAATGGTACTTTTGGCTCTAGATTATTGAGGAATCACCACACTGTATTCCACAATGGTTAAACTAATTTACACTCCCACCAACAGTGTAAAAGCATTCCTATTTCTCCACATCCTCTCCAGCATCTGTTGTTTCCTGACTTTTTAATGATTGCCATTCTAACTGGTGTGAGATGGTATCTCGTAGTTTTGATTTGCATTTCTCTAATTACCAGTGATGATGAGCTTTTTTTCACATATTTGTTGGCTGCATAAATGTCTTCTTTTGAGAAGTGCCTGTTCATATCCTTTGCCCACTTTTTGATAGGGTTTTTTCTTGTAAATTTAAGTTCCTTACAGATTATGGATATTAACCCTTTGTCAGACAGATAGATTGCAAAAATTTTCTTCCATTTTGTAGGTTGCCTGTTCACTCTGATGATAGTTTCTTTTGCTGTGCAGAAGCTCTTTAATTAGATCCCATTTGTCAATTCTGGCTTTTGTTGCCATTGCTTTTGGTGTTTTAGTCATGAAGTCTTTGCCCATGCCTATGTCCTGAATGGTATTGCCTAGGTTTTCTTATAGGGTTTTTATGGTTTCAGGTCTTAGGTTTAAGTCTTTAATCCATCTTGAATTACTTTTTGCATAAGGTATAAGGAAGGGGTCCAGTTTCAGTTTTCTGCATATGGCTAGCCAGTTTACTCAATACCATATATTAAATAAGGAATCCGTTCCCCATTGCTTGTTTTTGTCAGGTTTGTCAAAGATCAAATGGTTGTAAATGTGTGGTGTTATTTCCGAGGCCTCTGTTCTGTTCCATTGGTCTATATCTCTGTTTTGGTACCTGTACCATGCTGTTTTGGTTACTGTAGCCTTGTAGTATAGTTTGAAGTCAGGTAGCGTGATGCCTCCAGCTTTGTTCTTTTTGCTTAGGATTGTCTTGGCTATTTGGGCTCTTTTTTGGTTCCATATGAAATTTAAAGTAGTTTTTTCTAATTCTGTGAAGAAAGTCAATGGTAGCTTTATGAGATAGCATTAAATCTATAAATTACTTTGGGCAGTGTGGCCATTTTCACCATATGGATTCTTCCTTTCCGTGAGCATGGAATGTTTTTCCATTTGTTTGTGTCATCTCTTATTTTCTTGAGCAGTGGTTTGTAGTTCTCCTTGAAGGGGTCTGTCACATCCCTTGTAAGTTGGATTCCTAGGTATTTTATTCTCTTCGTAGCAATTGTGAATGGGAGTTCACTCATGATTTGGCTCTCTATTATTGGTGTATAGGAATGCTTGTGATTTTTGCACATTGATTTTATATCCTGAGACTTTGCTGAAGTTGCTTTTCAGCTTAAGGAGATTTTGGGCTGAGACAATGGGGTTTTCTAGTTTATTGTAATTTTCAACCCTAACATCTTCTACTAAAGTGATGCCTTGTACAGTCAATGATATACTAAAATCAAAACTTCTATTTTTTTAAACAACTACTGTTTTTATTTTTTTCCATAGGTTATTGGGGTATAGGTGGTGTTTGGTTACATGAGTAAGTTCTTTAGTGACTTATGAGATTTTGGTGCACTAATCACCCGAGCATTATACACTGTAGCCTATCTATGGTTTTTTACCCTTTCCCTTCTCCCAACCCTCCCCACAAGTCCCCAAAGCCCATTGTATCATTCTTATGCCTTTGCATCCTCATAGTTTAGCTTCTACATATCAGTGAGAACATGTGATGATGGTTTTCCATTCCTGAGTTACTTCACTTAGAATAATAGTCTCCAATCTCAGCGAGGTCACTGCAAATGCCATTAATTCATTCCCTTTTATGGCTGAGTAGTATTCCATCATATATACATATATATACCACAGTTTCTTTGTCCACTCGTTGATTGATGGGCATTTGGGTTGGTTCCACGATTTTGCAGTTGCGAACTGTGCTGCTATAAACATGCACGTGCAAGTATCTTTTTCATAAAATGACTTATTTTCCTCTGGGTAGATACCCAATAGTGGGATTACTGGATCAAATGGTAGTTCTACGTTTAGTTATTTAAGGAATCTCCACACTGTTTTCCATTGTGGTTGTACTAGTTTACATTCCCATCACCAGTGTAGAAGTGTTCCCTGATCACTACATACACACCAACATCTACTGTTTTTTATTTTTTGATTATGACCATTCTTGCAGGAGTAGGATGGTATCATTTGTGGTTTTGATTTGCATTTCCCTGATCATTAGTGATGTTGAGCATTTTTTCATATGTTTGTCGGCCATTTTTATATCCTCTTTTGAGAACTGTCTATTCATGTCCTTAGCCCACTTTTTGATGGGATTGTTTTTTTTCTTGAGGATTTGAGTTTGTTGTAGATTCTGGGTATTAGTCCTTTGTCAGATGTATAGCTTGTGAAGATTTTCTCCCACCCTTTGGGTTGTCTGTTTACTCTGCTGACTGTTCCTTTTGCTGTGCAGAAGCTCTTTAGTTTAATTAAGTCCCGGCTATTTATCTTTGCTTTTATTGCATTTGCTTTTGGGTTCTTAGTCATGAAATCCTTGCCTAGGCCAATGTCTAGAAGGGTTTTTCCAATGTTATTTTCTAGAATTTTTATAGTTTCAGATCTTAGATTTAAGTCATTAATCTATCTTGAGTTGATTTTTGTAAAAGGTGAGAGATGAGGATCCAGTTTCATTATCCTACATGTGGCTAGCCAATTATCCCAGCACCATTTGTTGAAAAGGGTGTCCTTTCCCCACTTATTTTGTTTTGTCAAAGATCAGTTGGCTGTACGTATTTGGATTTCTGGGTTGTCTATTCTGTTCTATTGGTCCATGTGCCTATTTTTATACATGTACCACGCTGTTTTGGTGATTGTGGACTTATAGTTTGAAATCAGGTAGCATGATGTCTCTAGATTTGTTATTTTTGCTTAGTCTTGCTTTGGCTATGTGTGCTCTTTTTTGGTTCCATATAAATTTCAGAATTGTTTTTTCTAATTCTGTGAAGAATGGTGGTGGTATTTTGATGAGGATTGCATTGAATTTGTAGATTGCTTTTGGCAGTATGGTCATTTTGACAGTATTGATTCTATCTATCCATGAGCATGGGGTGTGTTTCCATTTGTTTGTGTCACCTATGATTTCTTTAAGCAGTGTTTTGTAGTTTTCCTCATAGAAGTCTTTCACCTCCTTGGTTAGGTATATTCCTAAGTTATATTTTTTTATTTTATGGCAGCTATTGTGAAAGGGTTTGAGTTCTTGATTTGATTCTGTTTGGTTGTTCTTGGTGTATAGAAGAGCTACTTATTTGTGTGCTTTAATCTTGTGTTCAGAAACTTTGCTGAATTCTTTTATCAGTTCCAGGAGTTTTCTGAAGGGGTCTTTAGGGTTTTTGAGGTGAGCAATCATATCATCAGCAAACAGTGACAGCTTGACTTCCTCTTTACTAATTTGGATGCCATTTCTTTCTCTTGTCTGATTGCTCTAGCTAGGACTTCCAGTACTGTGCCAAAGAGGAGTGGTGAGAGTGGGCATCCTTCTCTTGTTCCAGTTCTCAGAGGGCATGCTTTCAACTTTTCCCCATTCAGTATTACGTTGGCTGTGGGTTTGTCATAGATGGCTTTTATGACATTGAAGTATGTCCCTGGTATGCTGATTTTGATGAGCGTTTTAATTATAAAGGAATGCTGGATTTTGTCGAATGGTTTTTCTTTATCTACCGAGATGATCATGTGATTTTTGTTTTTAATTCTGTCTATGTGGTGTATCACATTGATTGACTTGCATATGTTAAACCATCCCTGGCATGAAACCCACTTTATCGTGGAGGATTATCTTTTTGATATGTTGTTGGAGTCAGTTAGCAAGTATTTTGTTAAGGATTTTAGCATCTATGTTCATTAGGGATATTGGTCTGTAGTTTTCCTTTTCAGTTAGGTCCTTTTCTGGTTTTGGTATCAGGGTGATACTGGCTTCATAGAATGAATTAGTGAAGGTTCTCTCTTTATCTTGTGGAATAGTGTCAATAGGATTGGTACCAATTCTTTGACTGGTAGAATTCTGATGTGAATCCATCTGGTCCTGGACTTTTGTTAGTAATTTTTTAATTACCATTTCAATCTCGCTGCTTGTTATTGGTCTGTTCAGGGTATCTAATTCTTCCTGATTTAAGCTAGGAGAGTTGTATTTTTCCAGGAATTTATCCATCTCTTCTAGGCTTTCTTACTTATGCACATAAAGGTGTTCATAGTAGCCTTGAATGATCTTTTGTATCTCTGTGGTATCATTTGTAATATTTCCCGTTTTGCATCTCATTGAGGTTATTTGGATTTTCTAGCTTCTTTCCTTGGTTAATCTTGCTAATGGTCTATCAATTTTGTTTATCTTTTCGAAGAACCAGCTTTTTGTTTATATTTTGTAATTTTTATTGTTTCAATTTCATTTAGGTCTAATCTGATCTTGCTTATTTCCTTTCTTCTGCTGGGATTGGGTTTTGTTTGTTCTTGTTTCTCTAGTTCCTTGCAGTGTGACCTTAGATTGTCAGTTTGTGCTCTTTCAGTCTTTTTGATGTAGGCATCTAGGGCTATGAACTTTCCTATTAGCACCGCCTTTGCTGTATCCCAGAGGTTTTGATAGGCTGTGTCACTATTGTTGCTCAGTTTGAAAAATTTTTAAATTTCCATTTTGATTTCATTTTTGACCCAATGATCATTCAGGAGCAGGTTATTTAATTTCCATGTATTTGCACGGTTTTGAAGGTTCCTTTTGGGGTTGATTTCCAGTTTTATTCCACTGTGGTCTAAGAGAGTGATAAAATTTCAATTTTCTTAAATTTATTAAGGCTCATTTTGTGGCCTATCATATGGTCTACCTTGGAGAAAGTTCCATGTGCTGTTGAACAGAATGTGTATTCTGCATTTATTAGATGGAATGTTCTGCATATATCTGTTAAGTTCATTTGTTCCAAGGTATAGTTTAAGTCCATTGTTTCTTTGTTGACTTTCTGTCTTGATAACCTGTCTAGTGCTGTCAGTGGAGTACTGAAGTCCCCCACTATTATTCTGTTGCTGTCTATCTCATTTATTAGGTCTATTAGTAATTGTTTTATAAATTTGGAAGCTTCAGTGTTAGGTGCCTATATATTTACGATTGTGATATTTTGCTGTTGGGCAAGGCCTTTTACCATTATATAATGTCCCTCTTTGTATTTTTTTAACTGCTATTGCTTTAAAGTTTGTTTTGTCTGATATAAAAATAGCTACTCCTGCTCACTTTTGGTGTCCATTTGTATGAAATGGCTTTTTCCACCCCTTTTAAGTTTATGCGAGCATCACCAACCCCTGAGACTTAGTCACAATTCTGGACAAAGGAGAAGTCAGGGAACAAGTGGAATTGACTGAGACAAATTTTTTGTCATGCCAGAGTAACACAGTCATGTGTCACATAATAACATTTGGGTCACTGGCAGACCGAGTATACAACAGTGGTCAAATAAGATTGTAATGGAGCATATATTGAAACCTGACTTAGGCAGTTGATATTGACGTTGGTGATCAAGTAGGAGAAATGACTGATATTCAGTAATGATGCTGGGATATTTGATTTGCCATATGAAAAAAATGTATATAAATAAAAATATACTATCTAGGTTTGTGTAAGTACATTCTGATGTTCACATGAAAAAAAACACCTAATGACACATTTCTTAGAATATATCCCCATTGTTAAGCGGTATATGACTGTACAAGTTGAACTTCAGAAAAAAATAAGAAATATATGTTTCTTGCATACTATTATTCATACCCATTCAAGCGCTTACACAGCCTTAGAATTACATATTAAAGTTAGTCCAAATTTAAGGCATTAATGCCAGAAAAGTCATTTCAGAACTAGTAAAGAGGAGCCTCATTAGACCCCTCCATGTTTAACTGTACAGTTGGTTTCCTTTTAAAATACTTATGGCTGAAAACGTGGTCTGGGATAGGCTTTCTTCACTGGGAAGATGTACATTAGTGGAGGTTAGCACCTTGCCAACGTGGCCATTCTTTTCAAAATTCAGAGATATGTAGGTCTTTCCCTGCTAAACCACAAATCTAAAGACTGGAAAAAACTGATCAGCAAATAATTCTGCAAAGAAAACAGCAGTCTATTCTAGGTCAGATTTCGGTGACAGATATGCTTACTTTTGCTGGATAAGCACCAATAAATTATCTTTTTGGTAATGCACGGAAATGATTACCTTGTATAAATGTCATCCACCTAGATTTGTACAGGACAAAAGGGGAGATTCATTAATAAGAGAAAATTAGACATAGAAGACAACCCAATACGGAGAGATAAATGAGATATAATGCTGGCCAATCTACTGTGTACCATTTACAAAGAAGAATGGGCACTTGGTTTTAAAAATATAATTTCCCTACTTATTTTTTTCTATTTTGCAAAGTGCACCAAAGCACCGTTCAGCCATATTCCCATGACACTAATAGAAGAAAGAAGAGCATAGGAAAGTGATAATAATACAGCTGGACTTTGCTTTTATCTTCACGCCTTTCATCCAAGGATGTTTCTGCCCTTAAATAATAATTGATTAAACCTCACAATATCCCTACTGAAGGTATCTTCTGAGGGGCCCAGACAGAAGCAGAGAGAAATGGCAGGGATTGGATCACCCAGGTTCAGGCCACAGGGCTCTAACAGAGCCAGAAGCAGACCCAAGAGAAGCATCTCCCATCAACCACTTTTAATCACCTGGAAATGGCCAGGGCCCTTGAGATCGTTAGCCAGGCTACCTCCATTTTGGCATGAGCTATATTTTGTATTTAATTATTTTCAGGCCATCCACCTTTGACAGCTGTTCTTCTAAAAAATGGGACTAGAGAATTGTGAAAGGCTTGCCTATGGCCTCCAACAAGTGTCACTTCTCAGGATTGCTGCGGAGAGCCTGCAGGTAGCACATATCAAGTACAGTTCAGTAATTGGGGGGCTGCCGGAGAAGTACTTTCATGCTGACTAATTAATCTCTAGTAATTAGCACTCAGATGTAACAAGTGCAGTATTTAAGGGTCATAGCAAGGGAAATAAAATCTGCTCTTCAAAAATTTTCTCAAGAGTTTGATTGCCTTCTTTCAGATAAATAAGAGGATCCATCCACTCAGGCACAGAAACTGGAATAAAAAAGTTACTTCATATGCCCAATGCTAAACACTGCCCAAAATTACCTCCAAATAGTAATACTTGGTCTAATTCCTTTAAAATCTGAGCAAAAGTTATAGACTCCTTATTAAACTGGAAAAGACTTCAGAAATCATCTAGCCCAACTTTTTCTTCCTACAGATAAGGAAATAGAGGCCAGAGAGGTAAAGAAACTTTCCCAGGCCCCTGAAGCTGCTTGGGGCAAAGCTCCAGCTGGACCGAGGGTCACCAGGTCTGGAGTTTCACCATATCCCCTGTTTTCCTACATCAACAGGGGTCTGGATGCTGCTCAATGCTCAGCAACCTTACACACTGCATTTGAGAAACCGCACCTGCGCTGGTCCCTGGCCAGCTGCCGTGAGATCAGGACAAAGTCCGCCTGGCGCCCTGCTTCATCTCCCTCATCTAGGGCTCCTATGCCTCATCTTTGCCCTCCTATGCCTCCAGCCTCACCATCCAGCTCTTACACCCTGTGTCTCCTTCCTGCAGGTCCCCACTCTCAGACCTAAGTGTGATGTGATCCCTTCCGTGAGCTGGAAAAGCACACCCAGCCCAGGATGCAGCAGGACCCTGAGTCTAGGCATTTTCATCTGTCAAAGGGACCAAGCTATGTCATACACACATACACCTGCACACAGAGACAGATAGAGATCATGCCTCCTCTGAAAATCTCTAAGACCTTTCTAGATGGAGACACCTCTCTCTCTCCTGTTAACCTCAGAGTAAATGATGGCAACCATGGCAGAAGCATCTCCATTTATGCCTTCGACTCCCTCACTCGTCACTCCTCTGTCCATGTCTCTGCATCCTGGCCTCCTTCCCTGACTCCAGTTCTGATTCTTGTCCACATCCTTATCTGAACAAAATGATAAACTAAGGGAAGGCTCTAGTCCATGGAGTTTCTCTGAACATGAGAAAATGAGAAGCCTCGGCACCTGCTTCTGGGGGCCCCCTGCCCTGCCCTGGCACTGTGAGGAAAGGGATGGGGGCAGGAGACAGGGTTTGGACTTCTGCAGCCTCCACCCTGGGCAGCGCTGTCTTCACCATCCATCCACTATGGAAATCCAACTCCTGAGCAGGAGCCAGGCAGAAGGTTTTAAGTTGCTGGCCTTTGTTTTTGTTTTTCCTTCTCTGTGGTAAGAAGGGGTGAAGACAAATACAACTTTTCAGGACCTTCCCCTCCTCTTCTCGCCCCTTGAAGCCAGCTCTGCAGGAGTCAACCCCAACCTAGGAGAGGATGCGATGCGCTGAACAAAGCCCTGGAGGGGTCCAAAAGGGAATGCCTAATTCAGACAACTTCTTGTTTTTTGTTCTTTATTTTTTTGAGATGGAATCTTGCTCTGTTGCCAGGCTGCAGTGCAGTGGCATGATCTGGGCTCACTACAACCTACGCCTCCCAGGTTCAAGCGATTCTCCTGCCTCAGCCTCCCGAGTAGCTGGGATTACAGGCACATGCCACCACACCCAGCTAATTTTTATATTTTTAGAAGAGACAGGGTTTCACCATGTTGGCCAGTATGGTCTTGATCTCTTGACCTCCTGATCCACCTGCCTCAGCCTCCCGAAGTGCTGGGATTACAGGCATGACCCACTGTGCCTAGCCCTCATTTCTTTATGCCTCAGGCTTTACCTACAAAATAGGGGGCTTAGATGAGACATTCTCAAACCTTTCTTTTTGCTCTAAAATCTTAGTCCTGCTTTTTTTTTTTTTTGGCAAGTGTTTATTAAATGCCTATTTCTGCAAATCACTGCCCAAACTACAGGGAATACAGGGGTCAGATAAGCCACAGTGCCCACCCTCAAGGAGCTAATGTAAGTACAATGGGCACATGATTCGAGAAATTCTATGATAGAGCCTATCCAAATGCTGGGGGCAACTGCAGGGAAGCTGTGGGCAAGAATGGGGGAGAAATCATGGAGAACATCACAGAAGAAGGGACAAGTGTACTAGGCCATGAAAGGTGAGTTGGAGTTTCTAGGTGAACAAGGCCTGAGAGGAAGCAGAGGATGGAGAATGTTCCAGGTAGGAATGTTCCACAAACAAAGGCCCGGCATAAACATATACCAGGTGCAGGAAATGTCAGGAGGCATGGTGTGGCTACAGGGAGAGGAAAAGAAAAGGCCAAGTGAGTTTCCACATTGTACTGAGTGAGGAGTTTAGATGGGTTGTTGCAAAATGATTTTCTAAGATGCTAACGTGTCAGCAACATCTGTGAGAATAAATCTGATTTTTTTCCATTGGAAAGTGATACAGACGAGTGTTATGCGAAGCCCTCATAAAATCTTAACATCTTCTGACACTACTTCAAAATGATTCTTTTTCTTTTCTTGTGAAGAACAGGGTGCTAATAGACTCAGCCTATTGTTTTCAAGCAAGTTCCAACAAGATCCCTGAGATCCTTTCCCCAAAGATGATTTGCATGTAAAAATAAAGGAGGGGGCATGTAATGACTGCAGATTTTCTAGTTCAAAATTCCTTTTCACCTAAAGATCACACTTCTTTGCTTTTGTTTCAATTAAAGAAGAAAGAAATGGATCCCCCAGACTCCTAAAAGTAGTGGGAGGTATGCTCACAATTTCTGCCCCAGTGACCACCTACCCTCTTTTTTTGCAATCTCCCCACAAGCCCCCCAGAGCTTGGCTGTGGCTTGCAAGCACACCCCCTTGGTCTGCCTCTCCCACCTTTAAAGCATGCCAGTTTGGGGGTCCAGCATTGTTTAGACAATAAGGAAGCCCTACCCTAGGCTGAGGGCTCAAAGCAATGCAGATAATATCTTAATATGGCTGAGCACTGGGTTTTTTTTGTTTTTTTGTGTGTGGTGTTGTTTTTTTAAGACGGAGTTTTACTCTGTCCCCCAGGCTGGAATGCTGTGGTGTGATCCTGGCTCACTGCAACCTCTGCCTCCCAGGTTCAAGCTATTCTTGTGCCTCAGCCTCGCTAGTAGCTGGGATTACAGGTACACGCCACCATGCCTGGCTAATTTTTTTGTATTTTTATTAGCAACGGGGTTTCACCATGTTGATCAGGCCGGTCTCAAACTCCTGGCCTCAAGCCGTCCACCCACCTCAGCCTCACAAAGTGCTGGGATTACAAGCGTGAGCCACCGCACCCAGCCTGGGTTTTTAAAAAACAAAGGGACAGTAAAACCCTAGTGATTGGTACTCTCTCTCAACGTCCCGAAAACTGTTGTCCCATTGTAGCAGAGAGTAGGGCCTAGCCCAAGGGAGGACAGCATCCCTGAAAACAAAACAAATTCTAAAAACGTCTGCCATATTATTTCATAAACACCAGAAGTATAAAACAGTAAAAAGCTTCTCTTCAATTCTCAACTCAATTCCCACTTAGAAGTTTTTGTCAACAGTTTGTGGTACATCTTTCCAGACCATTTCCTCTATCCCCAAAAGAACTTTTTTACCCCTAGGTCAAGTACATTGTACATTGGGTTAATCAGCTTAATTAATTTAAAATTCTACATATGGTTCCAGGGCAGGGGTCAAAAAATGTTTCTGTAAAGGGCCTGATAGTAAATATTTTTGGCTTTGTGGACCATAGTCTATGGCAGCCACGAACTCCGCTGCTGTGGTGTGGAAGCAGCCACAGACACTATTTCAACAAATTGTCTGGGCTCCAATAAACCTTCACGAACAAAAACAGGCCCTGGCAGGATTTGGTCTGTGGGCAGGTTTGCTGGCCCCCGATCGGGGCATGACCTCCTATATTTTGTTTAAAGTAGAAGAGAATTTCCCGTGCTTGTAAAGATTCAAAACCTAGCGGAGTTTGAATATCTGAAACAATCACAGAGCAACACAAAACGGCAAACAGCACTTACGATATTGGGGACAGGCATTTCAATAGCCCCTAAGGTTCGGACCCCAGAACGGCATTGGGGTGGGGCCTGTGAAGGAGACAGGAGACACATTTCCAGTCTTCTTAATTAAGGCCATTCACAAATGGCTTGGAAAACGTTTGTGGAGTGAAGCAATTTGGGAAACCTGTGAAATGGACCAGACAACCATTAGCCTCTACCCCCGCCCCGCTTACTCTCCCGGCACCCCCAGCCCCCACCCCCAAGCGAACACACTGGCAAGTGGAAGCACACACAGGCATATTTCCGATGATTAATCTTACTGTTTCACTTTGAAACCTAAAAGAAACAAAACACTGGGAACATTCCTATTTCCCATTGAAAGTAATCACAGCTTTATATCCCTCGATGTTTCCATAAAGAGAGCTGTTTATTTAGAATCCTTGCTGATAAGGACACCACACGCTCATAACTTATTACATATTCTCTTTCCATTTTGTCTTTTTTTAAGGGGGGGGAGAATTATGTATATTTTATGATAACCCAAAGTGACTTATACATAAAAAATACAGACTTTAAAGATAAAAAGGATTAGTCGCAGGTAATGCATTTTCCATGAGTGGCTATAGGGCTCTAGGTTGCAAGCGGTACCGGCTGCATACAAATGAACTGATAAAAGTCTGGCACTGTGGATGGGTAGCAAGGCTCATGCTTTGCTGGAGATGATTCTTAAAGTTACAATAAATCAGACAGACAGTGTCGGCCTTTGAGGATAAACCTGTGATGGCTTGTTGTGCCTCTCTGAATCGCCTCAGAGGCCCAGGGACTAAAAGTGCCTAGATGTCACATTAAATCTACCGGGAGGATGGAGCACTTCAAAGAGGAACGCAATCAGATCTGATGGAAAATACATTTTCTGAAAGCTACTGACAAAAAAGTAATCTTTGATGTGGATGTTGAATAACAATTGATATTGTCTTTCCTGACATTTTTCATTATTGCCGTCTTATACAGCCTACTTCATGTATTAAAGCAATATTAACTGTTTGACAGGGACAAATCCTCCAACTATCACATAAGCAATTGTTTCTGAATTGTCCTAGCCCACTGCCTGTAAAACCTGTCCCAATAACTGCTTTTAAATATGATGGTAGACTCTTCTCCCTGACTAGCTAGACAGTGTCTGAGCTCCAGCATAGTTCAGTAGAGTCTGAGGAATATTAAAAATGGTTAGCTGGTTATGAGGTGTCATTTGATTATAAGGAAAGAGCAGGAGTGTTTTTTGAAGGTGAGTTTTAATGAGAGAGGTCTATAAAAGCTAGTCCTTATTATTCCCCCATCTTCGATACACATTTATGTCAAGTATATGTGTGCGAATCTTAGGCCTGCTGCAATTCTTGTAGCTCAAAGGGAGAAATAAAGGAATGTACAGAAGATCTTTGTTATTTATGCAATGAAATAAAGCAATCTCTGGCTGTGCAAGCACCTATAAAATATGCTGGAATTAAATCCCCCAATATGCTTCTGGGAAAAAAAAATGCAAGCAGATCTGGAAGGCACATGTCACTTTCAAAACCCAGGATACCTCCTGAGGTTTGATGTCTTAACCTTCAGCTGTGAATGTGTATGGTTTCATTGTAGGTATTTGTAAAGCTTAAAATCTCTAATTTTCTGATGACCTTGAGCTTCTTGAGAAATGGGGGGAAGTTCTATAAACGAAGAGCTGGGATTTTTTTCTATGAAATGGGGCTAATTGTACCCCAGAGTAAAAGATAGAAAATGAATACCCCACAATTCAAAATCGCAAAACCATAGAAAATGAATACCCCACAATTCAAAATCGCAAAACCATGACGACCCTGTGTTGTCAATGCTCAAAAGTTATCATTTGCACCTAAGAAACCTAGGGGATGAGATATATATTCTTCACTCACATGATTATTACATTCCCGTATTCCCTGGAGCTTCCAGCTTTCCCATGCCTTGCCAATACTGTAGCTCACCTTTATTTTTATGGTGTGGAAGTTTTACTCAAAGTCTACTTCTCTGCTGGGATTGGGGTGGGTGTGGCCTCCTTTACAATAATTGGAATAAGGAAGGCAATGGTGAGCAAAAAGAAAACAAAAATCACCCCCAAAAAATGAAGAATTGTAAGACACAACATTGCCACTTAGGAATATTTTGTGACGTTGGACAAGGTCTTGGCCACTCTCTGCTCTACGTGAGGAGTCAGTAAGCTTTTTCTTAAGGAGCCAGATAGTAAATAGTGGAGGCTTTGTGGGTCACGCTATCTCTACTACGAATACTCAGTGCTGTCATTGTAGCACAAAGCAGCCATAGACAATACATAAATGAACGGCGTGGCTGTGTTCAAATGAAACTTGAACTTCAAAAAGTTGGTGGTGAGCCAGATTTGGTCCACAGACCATAGTTCGCCAGCCCCTACTGTGGATCCCTTCTCTATAAAATCGGTGTCCTAAGATGAGATGAGATTTAGCACTCTTTACTGCTGAACACATTAAACTCATTAACAAATGGGACAGTACTTTTACTTGAGAGAGCAAAAGACACCAGGCATGGAGGTTCATGCCTATAATCCAGCATTTTGGGAGGCCAAGGTGGGAGAAGCGCTTGAGCCCAGGAGTTTGAGACCAGCCTGGGCAACATAGTGAGACTCTGTGATATGGTTTGGCTGTGTCCCCTCCCAAATCTCATATTGAATGGTAGTACTCATGATCCCCACATGTGGTGGGAGGGACCCAGTGGGAGGTAATTGAATCATGGGAGCAGTTTCCCCCATGCTATTCTTGTGATAGTAAGTTCTCACGAGATCTGATGGTTTTATAAGGGGGCTTCCCCCCTTGCTCAGCTCTCATTCTTCTCCTTCCTGCCGCCCTGTGAAGAAGGATGTGTTTGCTTCCCCTTCCACCATAATTTTAAGTTTCCTGAGGCCTCCTCAGCCATGCTGAACTGTGAGTCAACCAAACCCCTTTCCTTTATAATTACCCTGTCTTGGGTATGTTCTTATAGCAGTGTGAGAACGGAGTAATACACCCTGTCTCTACAAATAATTGTAAAAGTTAGCCAGGCATGGTGGTACATGCCTGTGGTCCCAGCTACTCCAGAGGCTGAGGTGGGAGGATCTCTTGAGCCCAGGCGAAGTCATAGTTACAGTGAGCTATGATCATGCCACTGCACTCCAGCCTGAGCAACAGTGCAAGACCCTGTCTCAAAAAAAAAAAAAAAAAAAGACAGAAAGCAAAAGACAATAGAAAAAAAATCCATAAGACAATGATAATTATCCTCCAGGAGATGTTTGATGAGTGTATTTATCTTCTCTCAATAAAATGAAAAAGCTACATCATTGCAGTGGCAACAGAATATTAATCCACTCAGCCAATTTTTTATATGTTTTAAGATTTAGCACAACTATCACCTCTTGAAGTTCTTTACAAACTCAGGAAATACATTATATACTTTCTCACAAAGTTGAAAGTGTGGGAAAGTAGTAAGATGTATCAAAATTGCTTAAGAAGAGAAATTTCTAGGTAGAAACAGAAAGTTGCCCTCAGGCAGGGCTTTTTCTTTCTTTTGAAGAGACAGGGCTCTGTGGCACAGGCAATAGGGGAGTGATGTGATCATGGCTCACTGCCACCTCAAACTCCTGGACTAAAGCAATCCTCCCACATCAGCCTCCCAAGTAGCTGGGACTATAGCTGCCAGCCACTACACCTGGTTAATTTTTTTAAATTTTTTGTAGAGACAGGGTTTCACTATGTTGCCCAAGCTGGTCTCAAACTCCTGAGTTCAAGCGATCCTCCCACCTTGGCCTCCCAAAGTGCTTGGATTATAGATGTGAGCCACTACACCCCATCAGGCAGGTCTTTTTTGAATGCTTGAGCAGCCCTTCCCAATAATATAAATGTGAAATGAACAAGTGTGTATTATTTATTAGGGTACAGCAAGAACTTGGGGCTAGATCTTCCTTTTGGATAGCAGGGATATGTCATTACATAAGGAACATATCAGGCAGGACCAGTAAGGCTGTGCTGCAATAACAAGTAAACTGCATCTCTCCATGGCCTAAAAACCAACAAAGAGGCGGGCAGATCACGAGGTCAAGAGATACAGACCATCCTTGCCAACATGGTGAAACCCTGTCTCTACTAAAAATACAAAAATTAGCTGGGTGTAGTGGCGTGCACCTGTAGTCCCAGCTACTCAGGAGATTGAGGCAGGAGAATCGCTTGAACCCAGGAGACAGAGGTTGCAGTGAGCCAAGATTGCACCACTGCACTCCAGCCTGGTGACAGAGTGAGACTCTACCTTAAAAAAAAAAAAAAAAAAAAAAAAAGGTTATTTTTTGGTTCCATGCTACATTTACATTTTGGGTCTGCAAGATGGCTCTGTCCATTGTAGGCACTTCTGGACCACCGTTAACAGCAGCACAATCTTGACACAGGCTTCCATAATCCAAAAGGCAGAGGAAAAGCAATCACGGAAAACTTTTCACAGACTCCTAAAAGTGGCACACATTGCACTTCCATCCACATTTCATTACCAAAGCGAGTCACAAGGCCAAGCCTTTTCTAGCCTCTGAAAGTCACCTCTCGTGGCCTTTCACGCCACCTGCCAGTCACCTGCAGCTGACCTCAGCTCACTTAATAGATTCTAATTAGACTGAAGCAATGGCTCAGTCCAAAGACCAGAGTATACCTTTGTTTCCAGCAACTCTCCTTTCCTCTTTCTGATACCACATGTGCCTTGCCAGGGTGACTTTCACAGCCAGCCACATGTCACGCTGCCCCTAGAGCACATGGCTTACACTGAAGAGCCTCAATGATTTGCACACAGGCTCTGTACTACAAGCTGTGTAGCCTTGGGCAAATCGCTTAATCTTTCTGTGCCTTGGTTTTCACATCTGTAAAGAGGAGGCTTAAATTAGTTAAACCTAAAGTATTGCTACTAATGCAGTCATTGCTGTAGCGTCAGCCATTGCTATCACCTGCATCTAAACACTCTTCCACATTAACATTTTTCATGCCACCCCTCTGTAGCCTTCCTGAGACAATGATAATGAACTTACTATTTATTGAGCAACTATTATATACTGGTAGATTAACATATTTCATCATTATATATGAATTTAATCCCAACCAGAGCCCTAGAAAGTAGACATGTGACCGGGCGCAGTGGCTCACGCCTATAATCCTAGCACTTTGGGAGGCCGAGGCGGGTGGATCATGAGGTCAGAAGTTGAAGGCCAGCCTGGCCAAGATGGTGAAACTGTCTCTAATAAAAATACAAAAACTTCGCCAGGCGTGGTGGCAGGTGCCCGTAATCCCAGCTACTCAGGAGGCTGAGGCAGGAGAATCACTTGAACTCGGGTGGCAAAGGTTGCAGTAAGCCGAGATCACACCCCTGCACTCCAGCCTGGGTGACAGAGTGAGACTCCATCTCAAAAAAAGAAAAAAAAAAAAAGAAAAGACAGAAAATGGACATATGTGTGCCCATCTTACGGATAAGGAAATGGGTTAAGAATCTTACCCAGATGCATAGCTAGAAAACTGATTCAGGACTCTGAAGAGCTTGTGTCCTCTCACTAGACTGTGCTGCTTCTCCCCTTCCCTGCCTGAGCCAAACAGAGCAAGAGGAGAGGTGGTGGTGAGAGAGAATAGACCTCCTTAATTGATGAATCCTTCTACAAAAATAAAGACGGGGGGAAGGGGAGGCAGGAGAGATGAGGAGGAGGATACTGCATTTCCAACTCTTTGAAAGGTGACTGTTTCTTACCTCTTTATTCCCTGAGGATTGGTAGCTTTGCTGTTTCACACAAGGAGGGGACAAACATATCCCCCATGAACATTTGTCTAAAGTTCATCTCAGCCCTCTCCACACTGCAGCCCCACAGCACGTTCTGAGAGAACCTCAGAGAACCTTCTTCCCTTCGCCAGCTTTCCTCCCCACTGGAGACAACACTCATCTGCATTTAACGTCCATCCCTGAGAGCTTCAAAACAAAGCAGCCCAACCAACTGAAACATCTTTGAAAGGTCCCAGAGGATGTGTGTGCTGCAGGCTTGGCGGAGACTCCGGCAGCCTGACGCATGGGCTTGTGGGCCAGGCCTGAATTCTAGTCCTGTCACTGACTCACTGGGGCAAAACTTCAACTCCTTCCAACTCTAAATGGCAAGTTCCAGACTAACCTCTTCCCTGATTAGATGTTCCAAACCTACCTCGTTAAGCTCTGGAAAATCCCAGTAAAATGGAGCACAACGTTGTCACTGTGAGATAGTGCTCTTGCCTTCACTTTATTCCTTTGAGTCAAATCGACTAATGTTAACGTAGGAGAGAAATGGTTTGTTGGTCTCAAATAACCAAATAATTCGGTAAATGTCACTGAGACACAGAAAATACAACAATCAAGTTTTGACGGATTCGCTGCGTGTATCAACACAAAGCAAAGCTCCCGTCCTGAAAGCAGCATAAGAAGAAAAACAATGTAAAGAAAGAGGAGATTCTGTGCCAAAATGAAATGAGAAGGTGTACACGACAATGCATGAAAGCCATCCAGCATACACAGTCACCTGATGCCTGGCGATGATAGGGCCGCTATGGTGCTAGCAATATCCTCAGACTTTAATTACCACTCTCCTTAAGTTATGAAGTTAAGCACATCCTCTCTCAGACGGGGAAAGACCTCTGTGGGACACCTACTCCATATCAGGCCCTGTGACAGGTGCTTACATACTTTGTCACAGATTCCTCACTCCCAGCCTCTAGAGAAAAGTACCCCTGTCCTTAGTTTTCAGAATGAGAATCTCAGGTTTGTAGAGGTCACCATGACTACAAAGCCACTCAGCCAGAGGCAGATTTGAAGTTCAGGTCTCCAGTTCCAAACACAAATATAGCAGACCCTGATTCCAACTGTGTCTGGAATTGGTGGGTTCTTGGTCTCACTGACTTCAAGAATGAAGCCGGGGACCCTCACAGTGAATGAGTGTTACAGTTCTTAAAGATGGCGTGTCTGGAGTTTGTTCCTTCTGATGTTCGGACATGTTCAGCGTTTTTTTTCTTCTGATGGATTTGTGGTCTCCCTGGCTTCAGGAATGAAGCTGCAGACCTTCGCGGTGAGTGTTACAGCTCTTCAGGCAGCGCGTCTGGAGTTCTCCGTTCCTCCCGTCCGGAGTTGTTCATTCCTCCCGGTGGGTTCGTGGTGTCGCTGGCCTCAGGAGTGAAGCTGCAGACCTTCATGGTGAGTGTTACAACTCATAAAGACAGTGCGGACCCAAAGAGTGAGCAGCAGCAACATTTATTGCAAACAGCAAAACAACTAAGCTTCCACACGGTGGAAGGTAACCCGAGCAGGTTGCCAGTGCTGCTTCAGGCAGCCTGCTTTTATTCCCTTATCTGGTCCCACCCACATCCTGCTGATTGGTCCATTTTACAGAGAGCTGATCGGTCTGTTTTACAGAGAGCTGATTGGTCCGTTTTGACAGGGTGCTGAGTGGTGCGTTTACAGTCCCTGAGCTAGACACAAAAGTTCTCCAAGTCCCCACCAGATTAGCTAGATACGGAATGCTGATTGGTGCATTTACAAACCTTGAGCTAGACACAGAGTGCTGATTGGTGTATTTACAATCCCTTAGCTAGACATAAAGGTTCTCCAAGTCCCCACTAGACTCAGGAGCTCTGCTGGCTTCATCTAGTGGATCTGGCATCGGGGTGCCGACAGAGCTGCCCGCCAGTCCCACGCCATGCACCCGCACTCCTCAGCCCTTGGGCAGTCAATGGGACTGGGTGCCACAGAGCAGGCGGTGGCGCTCCTCGGGGAGGCTCAGGCTGCGCAGGAGCCCACGTTGGGGGTGGGGAGGCTAGGGCATGGGGGCTGCAGGTCCCAAGCCCTGCCCCGCGGGGAGGCAGCTGAGGGCTGGCGAGAATTTGAGCGCAGCACCAGTGGGCCGGCACTGCTGGGGAACCCGGCGCACTCTCGCAGCTGCTGGCCCAGGTGCTAAGCCTCTCACTGCCCCGGGGCGGTGGCGCCGGCCGGCCAGCCGCTCCCAGTGCGGGGCCCACAGAGCCCACACCCACTCGGAACTCGCGCTGGCCTGCTAGCACCGCGCGCAGCCCCGGTTCCCGCCCGCACCTCTCCCTCCACACCTTCCCGCAACCAGAGGGAGCTGGCTCCCGGCCTCGACCAGCCCGGAGAGGGGCCCCCACAGCGCAGTGGCGGGCTGAAGGGCTCCTCGAGCATGGCCAGAGCGGACGCCGAGGCCGAAGAGGTGCTGAGAGCGAACGAGGGCCGCCCCTCGTTGTCACCTCTCACAACCACGCTGTCTCGTAAAAGGGCTGATGTTACATGTGACAAAACAATTAGAAAACAATATAGGGTGTACTGGACATCAGTTATTTTTGCTGCTCAATATCCATTTACCACTCTTTTGATTAAATAGAAGCCAGTGCTCAGTGGGCATATTCTGGTGCTGATGTTTCTACTTTCCAGGCTCAAGAGGTAGAAAATTGTGATCCCACCTGGCCATTGGGACCCTGATCTCCACCAACCACAGGGCCAGCTTCAGGAACAGCTGGATCCACCTGCTCCAATGAAACAGGTCTGATCTTTGTGGCCTTGGCTCCCATTTCAGGCAGCTGTTCCCACAAAGTAGCAAAGATCATCACCAACAGTTGTAAGCACATAACCTACCAGTTTAGCAACCCCAACAGATTTCTTTTTAAATACTTCTTTCCCCAAAACTCCAATAAAAGTCCTGAGCTGAATATGAATTGACCACTTTTGGTCACGTCCCTTTCTTGGAACCAATGGCGTTGCCAGATAAAATACAGGATGCCTCTCTAAATTTGAATTTCAGATAAACAATACATTGTTTTTAATATAAGTATTCTCCATGCAAAAGACATTAATAATAGTAATAAACATAATAGTAGTAAAAAAAAATCATAGTTGCTTATCTGAAATTTAACTGAGTATTTTGGTTTGTTTTTGCTGTTGATGTTTTGCTAATTCTGGCAACTCTTAAGAGCCAATCAACACAGCCAAGAGAGGCGGAAGAGGGTACCTTTAGGCCAGAGCTGGGATACGCACCCACCCCACAGCAGGAAAGTAGGGTCACCTCATCTAAGCCACATGGGCTGATATGGGGAAAAGGATAGGTCCCCAAAAGAAAACCAGGTACTCCTCCAAGGAGAGGGGGGATGGATGTTTAGAAGCCAAGACAACAGATGTGCGCTAGAATTGAAGTGGGTCCCTCTAAGGAAGAAGAGCATATGTTTTTGGCGGAGGTGAGGGGCCTGTGGACCAGCTGAGTGGGGAAGAGACAGCCTGAGCCCACTCCTCCTCAACCTTCTTTGTGTTTTTACCCACACACATTTGCCAGATTGCTTGAAAAAGGCAACAGCTGTGGAAACTGACAGTTTACAGTTGTGATAAATCGCATTAGTAAAGTATTTCAATTAAAGTGATATCTAACTAAAAAACAAGAAGGCATCTCTGAACAAATAAATTAGTCCTTCAATTTGTGGAGCCTTTGTGTGGAAGATCTCAGCCCTTACCTACTCTCCTATTGTTCTGCTTTTCTCCAGGAGAGGGCCTGCCACAGGGTGTGGGGATGCTTCATTATTTCCATTGAGGAAGGGGCGAAGACTAAGGATGCATGCAAAAACACAAAATCTGTAACTAGGCATTTATTTCATTCCCTTTGGGTATTTCTTAAGCACTAAAATCCAAACTCAGTCTCAGATTTGCTGTAATTTCCCTCATTGTGTTTCAGGAGAGAAGGCATTCAAGAGTCTCCCTGTGGGGTCCGCCTGTCCGGCCCCATCAGCGGGGTGGCCAGGCCCCACAGGGCTGTGTTCTCTTTCCTAAGCCAATTCATCTACATCTGTAACACTTTAAAAGGAACTCAGGGGCATGTCTTCCCCAGCAGATGCTTTTTCCTCGGTTTAGGGTTTAGAAAGTCATTCTCCTGCACAAAATGAATGGCCCAGAGACTCACTGAGCCCCTTGTTCTCCTAGGGTCAGGGCCAGCATAACCCCCAGACCGCAGGGGCCCAGGGCCCTACAATGGGCTCCACGCCTTCACCTCCCTTCCCTTCCCACCCCTCCTGCCCACGAAATCACATCCCCCTCTCCAAATTCTCCACTTCAGCTTAATTTTCAGCAGATCCATTACCCTGCCAGTTAGTAATTCAGGACTAATTAGGTGATTGCTTTCATTTATGGTAGCAATTGGGAGGGGGGATGAAATGGCATTGCCCCTATTCTTGTTGGAAAAATAAATTACGCCCATTGTTACTGGAGATCTTATTTTTCCCCCAATCAAGCAAATTAGCAGCTTGGTTCATTTTCCCAGCATTCACTCCTGAGCAGACGGCAGCGCCCTGGAATGTGGCTTAGAGCTGTGTGGTCAGTGCAATTGTTTGGAGCTGTTTGTGCCAACAATGAGAGGACCCGGCTGTCTCCCAAAGGACGAGTGGCACTTGTCTTCCTTAACCCAAGGAGTTGTTGCGAGCGGCAGCCAGGCCGGGCTTCTCAGGAAGACGTACACCGCCATCTAGTGGACACCGGGGATAACTGCAACGTGTTCGTTCCCTGCGTTTTCTTCTGGTCAGTGAGGACAAGCAATTATGTTTCTAGTAAGTTACTAAAAATAGGGTGGATTCTTTCAATCTCCGGGAGCGAGGAAATGTTTGCCTCAATAGCTGTAATGAAAGTGCAATTCAAGGCTTGCATAACGTCTCTTTTCTGGGTAGCTCGCCTCGGTACTGATTTTCTGGTCCAAAACAGGACTGTTGGCATGGTCTGAGTGAGGTGGGGCAGTTCTCCCGCGCTCAAGTCTAAACAGAGGACTGAGAGTGTCAGTACCTCCAGGCAAGTGGCTCCTTTATCTCAGCAGCCTCTCCATCATCATCACCCGTGTCTCACCATAGCAAGCCTATTTCTGAAGTGCGTGAAATACAGGCGTTCAAAAGCTGGCTTGCTCACACCCAGGGGCACAGCCACTTCCCAATGGAAGTCAGAGCCCCCCCAAATCCTAATACTGGGTGCTGAGGGGGTGCTCATTCTCCACCCCCTAACAACATATGCTTTCATGTCTTTTTTCTTTCCACTCATTCTACTTACAGAAACAACACATTTGTCTCTCCCTGGTTTACAACGAGAACCATGATTTGCCTGGGGTTTGTGAACAGGAAGGATAGCAGTGGGGGAACAAATACATCGCAGTATGGGTGGGATTCGGTCAATAGTTCTCTACCACGGGCGATTTTGCCCCCCCCGCCTCCTCCCCGGAGACATTTGGAAATGTCTTGGTACATTTTAGGTTGTCACAACTTGGGAGGCCAATAAATATTGTCCAATGCCCGGGAAAGTCCCCCCACCGCAAAGAATTATTCAGCCCAAAATGTCAATCCTGCTGAGGTTGAGGAAGCCTGGTTTAGGGTAACAAAGATTGCCCTGCAGTAATGGGGTTATGATAACATTGATTGTCCTCAAATGAGCCACACTGCAGAGACTAGATAATTCATCCTCTCCCAAGTCAGTATTTACCACCTTTTTTCTTTTAGACTCTTCCATTTTAAACATAATTTAGCTGTCTTTTTTAATTTTTTTTGTGTGTGCCGCTGGGAAGAAAAAGGATTGAAAGGGGGGAGGGGAAGGCGACAGAAAAGGAGGATTAGAAGCATGACCTGTTTCTCCTGGAAGAGCTCGGCACATTCCTGTCTCAGATGTGCTTTGTGACCGAGCAGGGTACAATTAAAAGCACAATAATTTGCTTGTTATTCAAGTCAGGCATTAGTCCGGGTAATGGCGTGCTTGGTGGAGAGATGGATTTCCTTGTTAGGAGCTAAGCACAGGATTAGCTGAATTCTCCATGGAGAAATCTTGATTTGTTCAAGGTCTTTCATGTTTTCTACAGAGAAGGGATTATGTCTTCTTAAAGAGGTTCCTTGCTTAAAAAGCTACAAAGTATAAGAAAAGGATTTAGGGCAGAGGGGCCTGTGGTTAAGTAGCTGAGGGGTATAGGGAATTTTAGAGCAAAGGATTATTTAAAGCCATAAAGTTCAAAAAATAATTGGTTTAGCACTACTGGGTCAGCGCTGGCAAGTGCGCGGTAAAGGCAGTTAAGCATGAGCTAATATTCATTTTACTTTGACTAATTATTGCATGGGTCCAGGAGAGAGACGCGAAAGAAAACATGGCCCCTCCTTGGCAATCAGAGCGTGCCTTGTTTTTAGTTTCTTTGCCTTACAGGCACACTTATATGTTGGGATGCCCAGAATCCATGCATCACAAGGCCCTTATTACATAAAACACAGGAAAATTGTTCTCTCAAAATAGAACAGCACATGCCGTGCTATCCCAGTGACCAAGAATAAACCACTATTAGTGTTAACTCTATTGATTTCATCAGCCAGAGAGGACATGAAGTAAAACAATCCTGACTGCACCCAATGCCCCTGCCTAAGTCTAGGTGAGCAGTTCTCAGCCAGGGGCAACTCTGTTCCTCAGGGGACACTTGGCAATGTCTGGGGACATTTTTAGTTGTCACTACTGGGGAGGTGCTGCTGGCATCCAGGATGCAGAGGCCAGGGATGCTGCATAACATCCTACAATGCACAGAATAGCCCTCACCACAAAGAATTGTCTGGCCCAAAATGTCAACACTACTGAAATTGAGAAATCCCGGTCTAGACAGAGGTGATGTTTTACTTTTAGTTAGTTAAAGGATTTCAGAATTCTCCCTTCCCCACATCCATAACTGATGATTATCAGATGACCATAATTATTGTTGACTGCCACACTTTTCTTCCCCTTTTCAACACTGGGCCTTGTTACAATTCTGGAAATAAAGTGCTGTCAAGGGAAACCTGCCCTCGGTATGCCAGGGCCATCCAAGATTTGTGGTTGTGCCTCCCTACTCCTTCCACAATGGACACACACCCAAGAAGAATAAAGCTGCCTTCTCTGCAATTTCCCCAGATTCTGAATTTTGAAGACTTTTCTTCCCTTTTCTAAGATTACTGTTCCTCCCTGCATGACAAGTGTTCAGTTAAATCATTTGTCCTGCGGCTTTAAAGGAGTTAAGAGCCCACAGCTTCAAGATATCCATTTTCTCCCTGGTGACTGATGATTCTTATCCCGAGGGAGGTGAATGCCTGGGACAGGAGCTTCTACAAACCTAGTTAAAGCCAAAGGGCTGTGAATCAGGACCATTCCAAGGCATAGCCATCAACTCTCTGGGACATCCTCAAGGATGTACTTAACCTCCAGCTACAGGAGAAGATGGGGGAAGACAGAGGGTTTCAGAAGGGGAGTTAGAGGGCACCTGGAGAATTAAAGGTGGACACACTAAAACTAAACCCTACCCCTGTTGCCTTGCACAGATCAACACAGAACAGCCCCGGGTCCCACCGGCCAGCCCTTCTCTGCACCCTGTCTAAGCTCATCTCTCTGCCTTGCCCTCACTCCCATTCAGTACATTCTCAGTGCAGTCGTCACCATGATCCTGAAAATCTCAAGTCCTATCATGTCACTTCCAAACTCAAAACCCCTCAAATGCTCCCATCTTGCTCCAAGTAAAAGCAAAAACCCTTCTTTTCACTCTCTCCCTTCCTTCCTTCCTTCCTCAATCTTCCTCCCCACAACACACCCCTGCTTCTCCTGGCCTCATCTTCCATTCTTCACCTACCTCACAGTCTTCTCACTTATTCTACCCTTGCTTAGAATGTTTTTCCTCTCCATATCTTCTGGGGCTGATCCCTCAAATCTGCCCAGATGTCCCCTTCTCGTTGGAGGCACGCCATCTTCCTCCTTCATGCTTTATTTTTCCACCACACTTATCATCTTGTAATATGCTGAGAGCTTTAGTTATTTTATTTCTGAGACTTTACCCCACCCCACCCCTCACTCCCAGATTGCAAGGGCAGGATCTTCGTATACTTTGTTTTCACTAGTATAGCTAGGACTAACTATAGTGCCTGACCCCAGGGAGGCACTCAAATATTTGTTGAATAACTGAGCAAATGGACCAGGCTACTTTGTGTCAGAAGCTCTATCACGAAAGTTTCCATCCGCCTCAGTTCTGCTAGTGGACTGGGGAACAGCAAGCTAACCATGAATCCGCTCTAAAGTGTGAATGACAAAAACACTCACTGTGCCTCCTGGAGGCTTGTTTCTTTAATTGTAGCAAAATGCACAAAACATAAAATGTACATCTTAACCTTTTTTTTTTTTTTTTGAGACACAGTCTTGCTCTTTTGCCCAGGCTGGAGTGCAGTGGCGCGATCTCGGCTCACCGCAAGCTCCGCCTCCCGGGTTCACGCCATTCCCCTGCCTCAGCCTCCGGAGTAGCTGGGACTACAGGCACCCGCCACCACGCCTGGCTATTTTTTTTTTGTTTGTTTGTATTTTTAGTAGAGACGGGTTTCACCGTGTTAGCCAGGATGGTCTCAATCTCCTGACCTCGTAATCCACCCGCCTCGGCCTCCCAAAGTGCTGGGATTACAGGCGTGAGCCACCGCGCCCGGTCTTAACCATTTTTAAATGTACAGCTCAGTAGTGCTAAGTGCATTCACATTGTTGTGCGACCCATCTTCAGGACTTTTTCATCCTGCAAAACTGAACCGCCGTACCCACTGACCAATAACTCTTTATTCCCCATCCCACCTCCCCTGCCAACCGCCTTTCTACTTTCCAAAAAATTCTGCAGAAGTGCAGCTGAAGTCACATGGAAGGCTTTTAGGCATGTTCCCTGCCACCTTTGTGTTCTCCCTCTTCCTTCATGTAGCCTTCCCTTTTTTACCCCCTTCCTCCAATGACATGTCTGGGGTAGGGTAAACTAAGGAAGCCACTTCTCCCTAACTTCCTATGGTAACACAAATGACGCTTCCAGCATCAAGTACCCCCCAAATACTTGGAGAAATAGTTTGCCCAATTTGGAGAAAGAAGCATTATTAAATTCCTAACTGAAGAAAAATTCCATTTGAGCCATGCTAGGATTCAGGTTCAAATTTGCATAATCACAAAGCCCACGTTCATGGACACTCTAGCCTCTTGCTTTTTTATGATATAGAAATTCTGGGAAAGGAAGGTCATCTCTGTTGTTAATTAGAAAATCATGATACCTTTGGAGTCTCAATGTTATTTATGAGATGAAAATGGACAGGCACAGTGCATTTCCAACATTAGTCCTGAAAATATTTTCGATGCTACTTTACATGAAAATAACACATAGAACACATGAAAGCAGTGCAGCTGTGACTGAAATGAGGGCAAGAGGCCCCCAACCCTGCCTGCTTGCCAATTCCCTCTTGTACCTTGACTTCTGGCCCTGCAAAGAGGTCCCACAGGGGCCATCCCTAGACCTTGCAGGATTCAGCCCAGGATTGATCTGGATGACCCTGGGCTCCCTTCTAGCTCAGTAAGTTTTTGTTTGCACAACTGTCTTTTCTAGACTCTAATTTCTTAAGAGTTCTTGACAATAGAGCCAATCACAGATCTCCATTTCACCATGGGGCTAGCATTGCCAAGAGATCACCAACATTTGTTTCATGCCTGTCCTAAGAGATTAACTGATTAAATGAGCGTGATTTAGGGGGCAATACACCACACTGGTAGTCAGGAACTCCAACATTCTGCCATTAAATATTTGAATGACTTTCGGCAAAGAGATTTCACCTCTCCAGACCTTTAATTTCTCCTCCTCAAATAAGAGAGTTGGACTACATCAATGTTTCCTAAAGTATGGTGTTTGTACCACTATGGAAATTACACAAAAGGTGGAACAAAGATAAATGCTTTAATATTTTTCTACCAAACATAAAAATACATACATAAGTAGCCCATCATCAGCCCCATGATTTGTTGGATATTATTGCTACCGCAGGGCTAAAGTGGGTGGTACCATGATGATCACATCACACACAAGCAAGGCAAGACCCCGGTGCTTGCACATGCTGTGAAGGTTTCAAACCTGCAGAAATTGTCCCTTTTTCCCAAGCTGTCCAGAAGAATCAATGACACGGATGAAATGGATTGTCAGGGTGGATTTTTATATACTGAACTTTCATGTGCATTGCTGGAAAGACCTTAACAATGCATCAGACCATCACTTCTGATGAATTGTGAATGGACCCAGCGCAGTGGCTCACACCTGTAAACCCAGCACTTTGGGAGGCCAAGGCAGGTGGATCACAAGGTCAGGAGTTCAAGACCAGCCTGGCCAAGATGGTGAAACCCAGTCTCTACTAAAAATACAAAAAATTAGCTGGGCATGGTGGCGGGCACCTGTAATCCCAGCTGCTCGGGAGGCTGAGGCAGGGAATTGCTTGAACCCAGGAGGCGGAGGTTGCAGTGAGCAGAGATGGCACCACTGCACTCCAGCCTGGGTGACAGAGTGAGACTCCATCTCAGAAAAAAAAAAAAAAAAGATTTTAAAATGGTTGATGTGATAAATGACTGCAGTTTGGGAAACCCAACACTTGATTTTAAGGTTTCTCCCACCCCTAACAGTCTATGATGTGTAACGCGCTTCTAGGAAGGCTGCTGTGCTCCATTCCTCCTGCATATCAGTCTTATATATAACCTGTGTTCGTCTCATTAAGGACAAATTTCCTAGTTCCAGAGGGGAAATCTGGAGCAGGCTCTTTTTTCTGTAAATGAATGGGCCTTTACACAAAGAACACAGACTTATATGTACAGGCTTAAACATATGCACACAAACATGCACGCACACACACACAAAAGTAAAGTCACATGATGTCTTTATTGTCAAGTTAGGCCCCAAAGTTATTACAGCATTACGCTAGACTTAGGGTGAGATTCTCACCTACTTGAGACTCTAGGCACGAGTGGCTTTGGTCACTACCTCTCTGTAAAGTTTGTGCAAAGTGGTGACTCTACTTTGCAGTGGCAATAGCAAAAGAAGAAAACTAGGACTTATAGGTGGTCGGCGGGAGATCCATACCAATGCATAAGCAATTTTTCTCACCATTTATTAGATAGCTCATCAAATAGGGAGAATCTAGGCACAAAGTGACACAAGCCAAAGATTTAAGCAACTCCAGTTTGGTTTACGTAGCAACTAAATCATAACATTCTTGAAGCTATTAGCTACCTACTCTATGTTCAGTACTACCCTAAACCCAACTCAGTCTGTGTAAGTTGCACTACTCCTGCCCTGTTTGCAGCTTTGTTCACTCATTCATTCACCCATATTATTGTGTCTACTCCGTATGTGTCAAGCACTGGGGTTATCACTAAAAGCAGTACAGTCTCTGTGTCTAACTAGGAAGATACATGAAACACTTAAATCCAAACACTGATTAAGTGTAAATACCAGTAGTAAAGACAAAAAAGTGCAAGAGCATCTTAGAAGGTGACCAGAAAGATGAGAGGGGCTTCATGGGTGAAGTGAGACTTAGGATGAACCTAAAGAACAGGTGGGATTTGGATAGTCTGCAAGGAAATGAGAATATTCCAGCTGGGCCTATTATATTTGGGGGACAGGGCAGAGTGTGAAGCATGGAGTTTGAATCAAGAAGTAGAAAGAGAAAATGTTTTAAAGGAGGCTTGGGTGGGGGAATTACAGGGATCTTGAATGTCTGGCTCTGGCATTTAAGCTTTATTCTGAGGCAGTAATATACTACAGAAGAGTTTATTTCATTGCAAAGTAAGATGTGATGCCTTAAGAAATTAATTGAAACAGAATAAATTAGAGACAAGCATACTAATTAAGGGACTACTAGGAGGAGGGGATAACCCAATGTATGATGGTGTCTTAATCTACTGAGCTGCCACAATACAATACTAGAGACTGGACGGTTTAAACAATAGAAATGTATTTTCTCATAGCCTGGATGCTCAAAGTTCAAGATAAATGTCCCAACAGGGTTGGTTTCTTCTGAGGCCTCTCCTTTTGGCCAACAAACTGCCACCTTTTTGCTGCATCCTCAAACGGCAATGTGAAAGTTGGAAATGTGATTGTGAAAGATCACAGAGAGTTCACTGGTGTCTCTTCCTCTTCTTATAAGCACATCAGTTTTATAGAATGAGGGTCCCACTTTTATGACCTCATTGAACATTTATTACCCCAAATACAGGCTCTATTTCCAAATACAGTGACATTGGGGGTTAGGACTTCAACATATGAATTTGAGATGAGGAGAGGGCACATTTAAGTGTAGAACACATGGTAAAAGCTTGAACTAAGGTAGTCATGATGGAAAAGCAAGACAAAGAACAAATGAGAATGACTCTGGAAAGCCAAATGCAAAATATTTATGAAAGATAAAGAAAAATCAAAGAAAATTTTAATATTACCAACCCAAAGGCATGGAGGGATAGAAGTGCCTCCCAGAACAGAGCAGCCTCCTTGTGTGTCTGGAATTGGTTCCTTCCGGTGGGTTCTTGGTCTTACTGACTTCAAGCATGAAGCCACGGACCCTCACAGTGAGTGTTACAGTTCTTAAAGATGGTGTGTCCGGAGTTTGTTCCCTCCGATGTTCAGATGTGTCCAGAGTTTCTTCCTTCCAGTGGGTTTGTGATCTCATTGACTTCAGGAGTGAAGCCGCAGACCTTCGCAGTGAGTGTTACAGCTCTTAAAGGTGGTGCATCCGGAGTTGTTTCTTCCTTCTAGTGGGTTCGTGGTCTGACTGACTTCAAGAATGAAGCCGCAGACCCTCGTGGTGAGTGTTACAGCTCATTAAGATAGTGTGGACCCAAAGAGTGAGCAGCAGCAAAATTTATTGTGAAGAGTGAAAGAACTAAGCTTCCACAATGTGGAAGGGGACCCCAGCAGGTTGCCCCTGCTGGCTGGGGTGGCCAGCTTTTATTCCCTTATTTGGCCCCGCCCATGTCCTGCTGATTGGTCCATTTTACAGAGTGCTGATTGGTCCATTTTACAGAGTGCTGATTCGTCCACTTACAATTTTAGCTAGGCACAGAGTGCTAATTGGTGCATTTACAAACCTTTAGCTAGACACAGAATGCTGATTGGTGCGTTTTTACAGAGTGCTGATTGGTGTGTTTACAAACCTTTAGCTAGACACAGAGTGCTGATTGGTGCGTTTTTACAGAGTGCTGATTGGCGTGTTTACAAACCTTTAGCTAGACACAGAGCACTGATTGGTGCGTTTACAATCCTTTAGCCAGACAGAAAAGTTCTTCAAGTCCCCACCGGACCCAGAAGCCCAGCTGGCTTCACCTCTCAGTTGCAGAGCTTAATATGCCATTATCCTCTCTCCCCTCCCTCCTGCAGGGTGACCCATGCATATTCCTATGCAAGAACAGTCTGTTCTTTTTATTATATGAGAATTGTTGTACCAAGTATAAAGAGTTTTTAGGATTCTGCAAGGGACTATAACTAGAAGAATTGGGATGAAATTAAATGAGGTGGATTTGGACTTCAGAAAAAAAATAGACCATGCAACGTTCATTCAGCAACCCAAAGCCAGTTTCAAAATTGCACAGAAGTGCATTCAGCAAACCACCATCAGAAGCACTAAAGGCCCTTTCTCTGTAATCTCATTACTGAGGTGCCTGAGATCCAATGATATTAGCCAGACCATTGAAATGTCCCAACTACCTAGCCATTATTGTAGCTCTTCATCACTTAAACTAAAAGATAATCCAATCAGAAATCTGAATGGTGTTCACAAACTGGCTTCAATTACACTTTCCAGGAGCAGACACTGAGATAAGCATTTGTATACTGCCTTAGTCAGATCAGGCTGCTAGAACAAAGTACCATAAACTGGGTGGCTTATAAACAATAGAAATTTATTTCTCATAGGTCTGAAAGTCCCGTATCAGTGCGCCCACCTGTGCCTACATGGTCAGGTTCTGGTGAGGGCCCTCTTCTAGGTTCCAGATTGCCATTTTAACATTGCATCCTCACCTGGTAAAAGGGGGGAAGAGGGCTCCTTGGCCTCTTCTTATAAGGGCACTAATCCCATCACAATGGCTCAAATCTCATCACCTCTCAAAGGCCCCACTTCCAAATACCATCACACTGACAATTGGCTTTCAACATAGGAATTTTGCGGGGGAAACAAACATTCAGTCCATACTGTGTACATGTGGTTTATTAAATACATGCTTCTCCAGGAGGCTGGCAAGTGACTGGAGGAAGCAGGACAGAAAAGGGGGAAGCCAAGCAAGGGTGCATGCCAGGCAGGTCACACAGAGGGAGCTTCATCCTTATTCTTGCTCTCAGGGGGACACTCAAGTGTTAGTTATGCCTCATAGTTAGAGCAAGAGAGCTGGGCTTCCTTATTCCTTTCTCTGCCTGTCTTAGGCCAAGGGCTGCACCAGAATGATTTCTAGGCACTTTAGTCTCCTGGGTGTTCGGGCAAATTCCAGTAGCCCAAGTACAGTTTTTCTAAAAGGAGCCCCAGGTACCTACCACTGTCAGTAAAAGCCCAACCAAGCCAGTGGGAACATGCACAAAAAAGAAAGGTAAAAGAGAATTCAAGGGGATCATATGGGATACCATAAAGCATCAAATACGTGAACTTTAGGATTCCAGAAGGAGAAGTGAGAAAAGACATAAAAAATCTATTTAATAAAATAATATCTGAAAACTTGTCAAGTCTTGCAAGAGATATAGACATCTAGATTCAAAAACACTCGCAGATCCCCAAATAGATTAATCCCAAAAAGATCTTCTACAAGGCACATTATAGTCAAACCGTCAAAAGTTAAAGAGAATCCTAAAAACAGAAAGAGTAAAGTGTCAAGTGACATTAAAGGAATCTCCATCAGACTAACAGCAGATTTCTCAACAGAAACCTTACAGGCCATGAGAAAATGGGATAATATAGTCAATGTGCTGAAAGAAAACAACTGTCAACCAAAAATAGTACACCCAGCAAGGCTATCCTTCAAAAATGAAGGAGAAATAAAGTCTTTCCTAGACAAGCAAAAACTGAGGGAATTCATTACCACTAGAATGGACCTACAAGAAATGCTGAAGAGTCCTACATCTGGAAATAAAAAGGCAATATTTACCATCATAAAAACACACAAAAGAATAAAATTCACTGGTAGAGCAGATACATGAACAAGAAAAAGGAAAGAGTCAAACTTTATCACTACAAAAAAAATCAACCAAATTGTAAATGTAAATGATAAAAGAGGAAGAGAGGAACAAAGACTATCAAAACACAAGAAAACAATGAACAAAATAATAGGAATAAGTCTTCACCCCTATCAATAACAACCTTGACTGTAAAATAATTAAATTCACCAATTGAAAAGATATATACTAACTGAATGGATTTAAAAAAAAAAAGACTCAATTATATACTGCCTACTAGAAACTTACTTCACCTGTAAAGACACGTAGACTGAAAGTGAAAGAATGGAAAAAAGTATTCCATGCAAACAGAAACCAAAAGCATTCAAGAGTAGCTATATTTCTATCAAACTAAATAGACTAAGTCAAAAAACATAAAAAGAGACAAAGAAGGTGATTACATAATGATAAAGTTATCAATTCAGCGAGAATATAAACAATTATAAATATATGTACCTAACACCAGAGTACCAGATATATAAGGCAAATGTTATTAGAGATAAAGAGACAGACCACATGACAATAAAGTTGAAAAGTTCAACATCCCACTTTCAGCGTTGGACAAATAATCTAGACAGAAAATCAACAAAGAAACATTGGCTTTAATCTACACTACACACCAAATACACCTAACAGACATTTATAGAACATTTCAACAGCTGTAGAATGCACATTCTTCTCATCAGCAGATGGAGCATTCTCCAGGATAGACTGTACGTTAAGCCACAAAACAAGTATCAACAAATTTTTTTAAATTAAAATCATATCAAAGGTCTTCTCAGTATAAATAAAACTAGAAATCAGGCCGGGCATGGTGACTTACGCCTGTAATCCCAGCACTTTGGGAGCCCGAAGCAGGTGGATCACTTGAGGTCAGGAGTTCAAGACCAGCCTGGCGAACATAGTAAAACTCCATCTCTACTAAAAATACAAAAATTAGCCGGGCATGGTGGTGTGCACCTGTAATCCCAGCTACTCAGGAGGCTGAGACAGGAGAATCACTTGAACCCAGGAGGCGGAGGTTGAAGTGAGCCAAGATCATGCCACTGCACTCCAGTCTGGGCAACAAAGAGTGAAACTGCATCTCAAAAAAAAAAAAAAAAAACTAGAAATCAATAACGAGAGGAACTTTGGAAACTATACAAATATATGGAAATTAAACAGCATGTTCCTGAATGACCACTAAGTCAATGAAGAAATTAAGAAGGAAATTTAAAAATTATTGAAACAAATGAAAATAGAAACACAACATACCTAAACTTATGAAATGCAGCAAAAGCAGTGCTAAGAGGGAAGATTATAGCAATAAATATCTACATCAGAAAGAAGATTTTAAATAATCAACCTAATTGTGTACCTCAAGGAAATAGAAAGCAAAAACAAACTAAACCGAAAAAATAGTAGAAGATAGAAATAAAGACCTGAGCAGAACTAAACAAAATATAGAGGCTAATAAAAAATAAGAGTCAATGAAATGGCAAGTTGTTTTTTGAAAACACAATCAAAATTGATAAACTCTAGCTAGACTAATCAAAAAAAAGGGGGGGAAGACCTAAATAAATAAAATTGGAAATGAAAAAGGAGGCATAACAACTGACATCACAGAAATACAAAGGATCAACAGAGACTATTATGAACAACTATATTCTAACAAATTGGAAAACCTACAGGACAAAGATAAATTCCTGGACACATACAACCTAACTAAGATTGAACCAAAAGAAATAGAAAGCCTGAATCGACCAATAACAGGTAATGAGACTGAATAAAGTCTCCCAACAAAGAAAAGCCCAGGACCAGATGGCTTTGCTGAATTCTACCAAGCTTATAGAAAAAAGCTAATACCAATTTTTCACAAACTACTCCAAAAAGTTGCAAGGAATGAATTCTTCCTAACTCAATCTATGAGGCCAGAATTATCCTGATACCAAAACCAAAGACACTACATACAGAAAAAGAAAACTACAGGCCAATATCCCTGATGAACATATATGCAAAAATCCTCAACAAAATACTAAAAAACTAAATCCAGCAACACATCAAAAAGATAATATACCATGATCAAGTGAGATATATCCAGGTATACAACAATGCGCCAACATAAGCAAATCAACAAATGTGATACATCACATCAATTCAATAAGGGACAAAAACCATATGATCATCTCAATAGATGTAGATAAAACATTTGATAAAACTCAACATCATTTCATAAGAAATTCTCAACAGATTAGGTATAGAAGGAACATACTTCAACATAATACAGATCAAATATGACAAACCTATAGCTAGTATCATACCGAATGGGGAAAAGCTGAATGCCTTTCCTGTAAGGACTGGAATAAGACAAGGATGCCTAGTTTTCACCACTCGTATTCCAAATAGTACTGGAAGTCCCAGCCAGAGCAATCAGGCAAAAGAAATAAAAGACATCCAAATTGGAAAAAAAAAAGTCAAATTGTTCCTGTTTGCTGATGATATATGAGCTTATATATAGAAAAACCTAAAGACTGCACTGAAAAACTCTTAGATCTGATAAGCTAATTCAGTAAAATTTCAGGATACAATATCAGCATACAAAATTTAGTAGTGTTTCTATACACCAATTATCAACTAGCTGGAAAAGAAATAAAGAAAGCAATCAGATAATAACTATAAGAAAAACAAAATGCCTAGGAATAAATTTAGCTAAGGTGAAAGACCTCTACAATGAAAATTACAAAACACCAATGAAAGAAAGTGAACACAAACAAATGGAAAGGCAGCCCATGCTCATGAATTAGAAGAATTAATATTATTAAAATGACCATACTCAAAGCAGTTGACAGATTCAATGGCAATCCTTATCAAAATACCAATTAGATTCTTCACAGAAATAGAAAATCCAATCATAAAACTTATTTGGAACCACAAAAGACCCTGCAAAGCCAAAGCAATATTAAGCAAAAAGAACAAAGCTGGAGGAATCACACTACCTGACTTCAAAATATACTACAGAGCTATAATAACCAAAATAGCATAATATCGGTATAAAACAGATACACAGATCAATGAAACAAAATAGAGAATTCAGAAATAAATCCACATATTTACAGCCTTTTGGACAAAGGCAGGAAGAATATACACTGGGAAAAGGATACCTTCTTCAATAAATGGTGCTGGGAATACAGCATATTCATTTGCACAAGAATAAAACTAGACATCTATCTCTCACCATATATAAAAATCAACTCAAAAGACTTAAATGTAAGACTCAAAACTATAAAACTACTAGAAAAAACACAGGGGAAACACTCCAGGACATTGGTCTAGGCAGAGATACTACGGCTAAGACCTCAAAAAAGCACAGGCAACAAAAACAAAAATAGACAAATGGGACTATATTAAACTAAGAAGCTTCTGCACAGCAAAGGAGACAACTAACAGGGTAAAGAGACAACCTGTAGAATGGGAATGAATATTTGCAAACTGTTTATCCCACAAGGGACTAATGCCATGAATATGGAGGAAACTGAAACAACTCAACAGAAAAAAAAAAGCATAAATAATCCCATTTAAAAGTAGTCAAAGAATCTGAATAGACATTTCTCAAAAGAAAACACAGAAATGGCCAGGTTCAGTGGCTAATGCCTGTAATCCTAGCACTTTGAGAGGCCAAGGTGGGAGGATCACTTGAGGCCAGGAGTCCGAGACCAGCCTGCCTGGGTAACATGGCAAAACCTGTCTCCACAAAAAATACAAAAATTAGCCGGGTGTGATGGCATGCACCTGTACTCCCAGCTACCCAGGAGGCTGAGATGGGAGGATGGTTTGAGCCCAGGAGGTGGAGGTTGCAGCGAGCCAAGATTTCACCATTGCACTCTAGCCTGGGTGACAGACCATCTCAAAAAAAAAGCAAAAAGAAAGCAAAAGCAAAAAAAAGAAAGCAAAAAGACTCTAACCTGGGTGACAGACCATCTCAAAAAAAAAGCAAAAAGAAAAAAAAATGACCAATAGGTATATGAAAAAACCATCAGGAATCAGAGAAATGCACATCAAAACCACAATGAGATATCATTTCACCCCAGTTAGAATGGCTATTATCAAAAAGACAATAAAAAATGCTGGTTGAGGCTAAGACAAATGGATCACTTGAGCCCACGAGTTTGAAACCAGCCTAGGTAACATAGTGAGACCCTGTCTCCTTAAAAAAAAAAAAAAAAACTCTGGTGAGGATGCAGAGAAAAGGAAACTCTTACACATTGTTGGGGGGAATGTAAATTAGTACATCTATTATAGAAAATTATATAGAGGCTATCCCATTTCTTGGCATTTATACAAAGGAAAAGAAATCAGTATATCAAAGGGATTCCTGCACTCCCGTGTTTATTGCAGTACTATTTACAACAGCCAAGCTATCAACTCCGTCTCAGTGTCCATCAATGGATAAATGGATAAAGAAATTGTAGCATATATAAACAATGAAATACTAGTCAGGCAGAATTCATACTAGAAGGCTAAGGCAAATGGATCCTGTCATTTGCAGCAACAAGGATGGAACTGGAGGTCATTATGTTAAGTGAAATAAGCCAGGCAGAAAAAGATAGATATCACATGTTCTCACTCACATTTGGGAGCTAAAAGAGTAGGCCTAATGGAGGTAGAGATTACAATGATAGTTACCAGAGGCTGGGAAGGGTAGGGGCAGGGATGAAGAGAGGTTGGTGAATGACTACAACTACACAGTTCGATAGAAGGAATAAGTTTTAGTTTTCAATAGCACAGTAGTGTGACTATAGGGAATAATTTATCGTATATTTCAAAATAACTAGAAGAGGCTGGGCACAGCGGCTCGTGCCTGTAATCCCAGCACTTTGGGAGGCCAAGGAGGGAGGATTACCTGAAGTCAGGAGTTTGAGACAAGCCTGGACAACATAGTGAAACCCTGTCTCTACTAAAAATACAAAAATTAGCTGGGCATGGTGGCGCACACCTGTAGTCCCAGCTACGCAGGAGGCTGAGGCAGGAGAATCATTTGAACTCATGAGGCGGAGGTTGCAGTGAGCTGAGATCACACCATTACACTCCAGCCTGGGCGACAGAGCAAGACCGTCTCAAAAATTAATAAATAAATAAATAACTAGAAGACTTGAAATGTTCCCAACACAAAGAAATGATAAATGTTTGCGGTGATCGATATCCTAAATACCTTAATATGATCACACTGTATACATGTATCACCATATCACATGTACCCCATAAATATATACAATTATTATGTATTTTTTTTAAAAAAACTCTTAGAAGGCTATACACTCATTTGTTAATAGCAGTTACCTCTATGTGGTGGCATTTTGTTTGGTTTTCATGATTTTCACGTTAAACTTTTACTTGTGTTTATATTTTCCAAAATTGTATAACAAATTGTATTACTTTGTAAAGAGAAAAATATCCATTTCCATGACCTTCATGCTTTTTAAGGGCCTGCATACTTCCCACATAAATTGCTTTTCCTATTAACCCTCCAAATTAGGCAGAATAACATTGATTCTTTTTTAATGAAAAAAAATCTAATGAAATAAAGTGGTCTGTCCAAATTCTCACGTAAGTTATTATAGGAGTTGATATGAAAATCAAGGTATCTCAGTTTCCATTACAATTCCATTGCAACACTCCCTGTTCCATCTTGCATTCCCCTTAGCTGGTAAGGAATATTCACAGTCTTTATACCCTTCCTCCAAAATCAGCATGGCCAAAGAGGCTTCTCCACTAGGCACCAAACAGGCTCAACATTTCAAAGATCTGCCGTTCCCTTTGCTTTCACACCAGAAGGAGTCTACTTGTTCCCTGATGAAGAGGAATATTAGTGACACCTAATAAATGAAGGTCACTGGGAAGGGCCCAGAAGTGATGCATGGCTAACAGCTGGTACTAACCCTGTTGGAACATGAAGTGTGGCTCCATTTCCATAAGCTGCTTTGTCATTCTTTCTTTATTAGTTTTTACGTGACAGAGAATTGATTCAACTGTCAGGGAGCAGGAACTTCTCACAGCTCACAGGCCCAAAGATGCGCTGAGCTGCCTTTCCTAGCCTCACTCCCCATCCACAGGGACACCAATCCACCCTATGGAAAAAATAGCATCAGGGAAAGATCAAAATACCAGATCTACATGAACCACCTTAGATGGAATTTAGAAAAATAATTGTCACATCCCCATCCTCATTACCAGCACCAAATCTCTCAAAATCCTAGGAATAGCCTTACGCATTTTCTAGGAAATGGTAGCTTTCCTGTAAATTAGGGACATTATTTTAAACTGTCCAGGACATAAGGAATACTAGAATTCTGAAGACTAATTAAAAATGTAAAGTATTTTTAGGGGACTGAGGACTTCACCAAACTTGTGTGGCTTCCACATCAGCCAACTTCTTGGAGGGCACTTTCCTGATATATGGCTGCATAGAGTGCTGTGTAGTTCAGCTACATGGAACGCTGGGCTCACCCAGTTCTGGGCACCTGGAAAGATTATAGTTCTGTGTTGCTTTTTTTTTTTTGAGGTTTTTTTTTTTTTTTTTTTTTTTGCTTTGGGATCATATGACTATTTCTGGCCAATTGGCTGTGAGTGGCAGTGATGTGAGTCGTTTCCAGGCCAAAGCACTCACTATCAGTGAGACCCTCCATCTGTCCCACCTACATCACAACCACAGATGTATGTATTGAGACGGGGTGCCATGAGGTCGAAGCAGCCTTTATCATTGAGCCACTCCTTGGAGGAATCTCCCAGACTGACGGCCAACATTAGGTAAAAATAAATAAATAAATGTTTATGTTTTAAAGATACTTAAACCCTGCATTGATTGTCATAACGACACAACTAGCCTACCTTGACTCACGCAAGGGCATACTCTAGGTCAGGCTCTGTGCTGGGCACTGTGTGTCCATTATCTCACTTACTCTTCAAAACAATCTGATGAGATGGAGTCCATGATGATTCCACTTCATTGATGAAGAAACACAGCAAGGTTCAGTAACTCGTCCAAGATCACACAGCAACTAAATGATGGAAGCAGAATTAAAACCAAGGCTTGACATCAAAACTTGCATCAGAACCACCATATTGCTACTGTGGAATACATAAGAGAAAAAAATAAAGAAGCCAAAGCTGATCTATATAATATAAAGCTGAATCAGGAGAAGGAGAGAAGAGAGAAAACAAGAGAATCTTAAGGACTGGAGTTGAGAGAAAAATTTGAGGATTAGAAGGAAAAGAAGTCACCTTCGAGAAAAGACCTAAGGCATCATCTCCCAAAATAACATTCAACAATTTAACTATACAAGGAGAAGTATCTCCGGGGTTAAAAAATACATACACACACACACACACACACACACACACACACACACATGCACACACACACACAAATGCATAAACTAGCAGTTCTCTTAACTGAATTACATCTATGTAAATGGAGAATATCACAATTACAAGGAATATGGAAAACTTTGCCTATTATAAATGCTAAGAACAGCAGTTCATGCCTGTAATCCCAGCACTTTGGGAGGCCAAGGCAGGTGGATCACTTGAGGCCAGGAGTTCAAGACCAACCTGGGCAACATGGCAAAACCCCATCTCTACAAAAATATGCAAATTAGCCAGGCATGTTGGTGTGCATCTGTAGTCCCAGCTGCTCTGGAGGCTGAGGGATGGCTTGAGCCCTGGAGGTGGAGGTTGCAGTGAGCTGAAATCATGCCACTGCACTCCAGCCTGGGTGACAGAATGAGACTTTGATTCAAAAAAAAAAAAAACGGCTAAGAACCATTACCTATTTTATCAGGTGTGAGAATGAGCCACTTTTCCCCACAAAATATTTCACTTCCAATGACTATCCAAATGCAAATCTTTATAGAACTTCGATAGAAATTTCAGAAAATTTTTATTTTTTGTTTAGAATGTAACCTGACTTACTGTCCCATCTGATGGTAAATTAAAGAACCCATAGCAATAATATTGAAACAGAGTGATCATGACATGCCTGAATATGTCAACACATGTGTTGCCACTTTTAAGAAATTCTTTCAAGCTGGCCAGGAGCAGTGGCTCATACCTGTACTCCCAGCACTTCGGGAGGCTGAGGTGGATGGATCACTTGAGGTCAGAAGTTCAAGACCACCCTAACCAACATGGTGAAATCCTGTCTTTACTAAAGATACCAAAATTAGCCAGGCATGGTGACACACGCCTCTAATCCCAGCTACCTGGGAGGCTGAGGCAGAAGAATCACTTGAACTCAGGAGGCGGAGGTTGCAGTGAGCTGAGATCGCGCCACTGCACTCCAGCCTGGGCAACAGAGTGAGACTCTGTCTTAAAAAAAAAGAAAAAGAAAAAGAAATTCTTTCAAGATGTGATTATAAATATATAGCCCCAGAAGTTAATAGAAACATATATCTAAATCTAAAATTTCAATCAGTAAGCATGAAGATGATTCTTCAGTAAATATTCACATTTCCTAACAATGTTAGAAAATATCTACACATATACATACTTATGTATATAATACTTTATTATGCTTTAAGGAAATTCAATTGGAAGAATCAAATCAATATACCAGGTCTTAATATTTTCAAAGTTTAACTCCTCCTGAATACTGACCATGAAAAGATCTATTTTGACACAAAACTATGAGTCTGCTTTAGAATTTACGGAATTGTGTTTTAATTCCTTAACTTGTCACAGTTTCAGAATCCACTCACCTTCCCCTCCTGTATTTTCATTCCTGGTTTTAATTGCCTTCTCTTTCTGGCCTATAGTTTTCATGCTTTTTTAGTCAGACTTGGGGCTGAACTTCAGCAAAGGACAAAGCCTTCCACTAGAAAAGAAAGGGGTTAGCTGTGCCTCTAACCACATACATAAATGCCCTAAGGAATAAACAAACAAAAACTCAAAGTGGGCTGTCACTGATGAGACAGTTACAGAAGGCTATGTCCATTGTGTGCAAACACTCTAAAATAATTCCAAACTTCTTGATGTCTCACATATTGTTACCTCTTTTTAGTAATTGAAAACACAAACAAAAAAAAAGATAAATAACAGGTGCTGGAGAGGATGTGGAGAAATAGGAACACTTTTACACTGTTGGTGGGACTGTAAACTAGTTCAACCATTGTGAAAGTCAGTGTGGCAATTCCTCAGGGATCTTGAACTAGAAATACCATTTGACCCAGCAATCACATTACTGGGTATGTACCCAAAGGATTATAAATCATGCTGCTATAAAGACACATGCACACGTATGTTTATTGTGGCACTATTCACAATAACAAAGACTTGGAACCAAGCCAAATGTCCAACAATGATTGACTGGATTAAGAAAATGTGGCACATATACACCATGGAATACTATGCAGCCATAAAAAATGATGAGTTCATGTCCTTTGTAGGGACATGGATGAAGCTGGAAACCATCATTCTCAGCAAACTATCGCAAGGACAAAAAACGAAACACCACATGTTTTCACTCATAGGTGGGAATTGAACAATGAGAACACATGGACACAGGAAGGGGAACATCACACACCGGGGCCTGTTGTGGGGTGGGGTGGGGAGGGATAGCATTAGGAGATATACCTAATGTTAAATGACGAGTTAATGGGTGCAGCACACCAACATGGCACATGTATACACATGTAACTAACCTGCACGTTGGGCACATGCACCCTAAAACTTAAAGTATAATAAAAGAAAAAAGATAAATATGGGAGGTTGGAGAAAATCCAGTAGAGAACAAAATCCCATCCATCCTCCTTTGCCACTTCTCTCCCATGCACGATTGTCACTCTGATTTGATCATTCAGGGATTCCCCAACTGACCACACCAGCGTTTATTCCCACGCTTTTGCAAATGCTCTTCCCCCAACTCCTCTTCCTATACAGATCTTACATATCCATTAGAGCCCAATTTAAGTACCACCTCCACCAAAGAGCCCCCAAGAAAGTTCAACACACTGGGGTCTTTCTTCCTCTCAATTTCCATTGCTCCAATCTTCTTCTATGACACACTTAGAAATGCTTACAAAACAAACCCATCCTATGTGATTAGTCTCATTCCTCCATCAAGAGAATATTTCTTTTTTTTCTTTTTTTTTCTTTTTTGAGACAGTCTCACTCTGTTGCCCAGGCTGGAGTGCAGTGGCATGATTTCAGCTCACTGCAACCTCTGCCTCCTGGGTTCAAGCAATTCTCCTGCCTTAGCCTCCCAAGTAGCTGGGATGACAGGCACGTGCCACCATGCCTAATTTTTGTATTTTTAGTAGAGACAGGGTTTCCCCATGTTGACCAGGCTGGTCTCAAACTCCTGACCTCAGGTGATCCAGCTGCCTCAGCCTCCCAAAATGCTGGGATTACAGGCTTCAGCTACCACACCCGGTTCAGAGTACTTCTTAGAGCCATCTCTCCTACATCAGTTTTATTCCCCAGCATACCTAGCATAATATTGATCACATAGAAAGGGTTCAGTTTAAATACATTGTTTGGATAATTATGTGAAATAATGGAATATTGAAAATGGAAGGACAAAAACAGAAATTTTGGGATTAAAATCCAGTTTCCTCAACACAAGCAAATATCAATCTTAATTGTGACAAACCCACCCCTAATGACGTAATTATTTAAGAACTCATAAATGAATAAGTTCCACTGCTTCTAGAAGGAGACAAAAGGTTACAGACTTGAACTTTGGCAGTGACCTACTAACCTGTTCTATCATTCTCTAGAACAATGTGGACTGGAAAAAGCAGCTTAAAATTCATGAATTACTTTATGAAGAGACTTGTATGGAAACAAGGGCTCCACAGTTGTAGTAATATCGATTCTCTAGAACATTTAGCTTTGGTAGTAAGCTTTTGTCCATTAAGCAGCACTCACTGCTGAGCATGTCAGACAAAAATTCTGAGACCCCAACATTAATGCACTTTCATGAGAAAATTTGAAATTCAGTTTAGTTGAAGTTCAGTTCGGTTCCTCAAACACTGAAAAGAAGCTGAAAATCTAATGATATGGCAACAGGTAACTTAAAAATAGTGGACACTGTAGATAACTTTCTTCCCATCACTCCCCCACTGTTTAGCAAGGAATATTGCTTGGGAAGAATTTCCCCCAGCCCCAATATAAGCCAAATTGCATCAGCTCATCCCCCATCCCCCAACCCCTAACCCCTTGCTATAGTGATTCTGTTAGCTGTGGGCAAAAACGCTGTTAATCAGTTCATGGCAATCCCTGGCTACGATGACTGGTTTCAGTTAGTCCAGTCAACATGAAAGCAGAGCTTTTGTTTGATAGTTTGGGGAAAAGATCTCTGGAAAGTTCAGTGCTACAAACTGAATTGTATCCCTCCAAAATTCATGGTGGTATTTTGGAGATGGGGACTTTTGGAGTTAATCAGGTTTAGAAGAGGTCATGAGGGTAGGGTCCCCATGATGGTAGGGTCCCCATGATGGGATTAGTGCCCTTTATAGCAGAGTTTGCTTCCTCTCTCCTTCACTCACATGCACCAAGGAAAGACCATTTGAGGGCATAGCAAGGTGCCATCTGCAACAAAAAGAGAGCCCTCGCCAGACGTCGACCCTGCTAGCACCCTGATCTTGGACTTCCAGCCTCCAGAACTCTGAGAAATAAACTCCAGTTGTTTAAACCACCCAGTCTGTGGTATTTTGTTATTACAGCCCAAGGTGCCTATGACATCTTGTATGTAGGTTGTATGATGGTGTGAAGCCTGAAACAGGAACAGCCATTTATATCCTCTGAAGAACACCAGCCTGAAGATAGAGCCTTCTAGAGAAGGGCAAGCTCCCAGGGAAACAGAAACCATGCCCTAAAGATATCACACCTAATCTCACTTAAAGTTTGGGTTTCTTTCACATGCAAATAAAATCTCCTTGTTTGTAGAAATTACAAACGCGTAAGAATAAATTCTAAAAGTGAGTAAGGAAACACAAAAGCAGATTGAATTTTGAAAGCAGGGAGATTGGTGGGTTTTCTCTTTTATTTGAAAATTGGATTACATTCATTAAGGCTTTACAGAGGATCAGGCATATGCATTATCTCATTTAATCTCCATTTTGCAAAGAGAAAACAACAAATGTTTTATTATTGTTTGTTCTAAAAACAAAAACTTACACAACTGTAATTGAACTGTTAAAAAGATTAATTTATCTGCTCCTGGAAACCATCCTCCTACAGAATGTAGCAGTACAAACATTGCTTGGTACAAAAGAATCACTCTCTACAATACTTGAATGGCAAGTGGACAATCTTTTTTTTTTTTTTTTTTTTGAGACAGAGTCCGGCTCTGTCACCCAGGCTGGAGTGCAGTGGCGCAATCTTGGCTCACTGCAACCTCTGCCTCCCAGGTTCAAGTGACTCTCCTGCCTCAGCCTCCTGAGTAGCTGGGATTACAGGCATGTGCTACCACGCCCAGCTAATTTTTTGTATTTTTAGTAGAGATGGGGTTTCACTGTGTTAGCCAGGATGGTCTCAATCTCCTGACCTCATGATCCACCTGTCTCCGCCTCCCAAAGTGCTGGGATTACAGACGTGAGCCACCACGCCTGGCCAAAAGTGTACAATCTTTTACCCAAATGAGTTTACAAATGAAAGATAGCTCCAGCTGACCCCAACATAAAAATTATTTAATCTTGCCCTCTATTACAGTAGCATTAATATAGTCCACAGATAAGATGACCACAATACTAGGGACATAGTAGGGATTCAATAAATATTGAATTTTATGAATTCTTAATCTTTTACAAGGTGTCGTTCCATTAATAGTGTTTATTCAAATGCTTCTGTTGAAAGTTTCAGTTTGAACATGACAGCATGCAAATGCTAGCAATTATACTTGACTGAACAATTCAGATCAAACTGGCATCTTATAACTTCAAATGTTGTGCTATATAACTTCTATTTTCCACTGTAAATCCATTCTCCACTTTCTCCACCCTGCTGACTATTATGGACTCCATTGACAGCCTTCCAGTTGAGTTTGATCAATGCAAAAGCCAGATAACAGAAAGAGAGACAAAGTCAGGGTATTTATTCCAATGACTTCTCCCCGGAAAGTGACCACAGGCTGGCTGCCTCCTGTCATCCACCTGTTCCATACAGCCTAGCCTATATCCAGATTCCAGGAGCCACTATCTCCACTCGCCCCTTCAGCCCTGGGGGTAGTAACAGACTCCCACGTCACTGCACTCTCTGTAGCTCTAGCATACTGCACAATCACTTGCGATTCTGCTCTACACCTACATAAATAATCTCTTTATTAAATTCACTACAAATTATCCATTTATGATATAACTTTTGATTCTGCGAGGACCACAACTGATTCTGTAACACAACTTGAGATCAGGAAAAATACAGGTGCTCTTTTAGCAAAATAAGACCTAAAAGTTATACAATTTTGAGAGATATGTCTCAGGCTGACACAGTGACAAGGTATTAAGTCTTACAGTAGAGACATCTAATTATTATTTAGATCACCATAGAAACCAAAAAGAGAAAAAAAAATTAGAGAAAAAAAAAATTAAGTCACTTTTCCAGTTAAAAGCTACCTTGACTTCTTTTCTCCCCTCCATCCTCCTCATGATTCTATTTCCTCCTACCTAGAAGTGAAAATGAGTATGGAGGACAGAAAATGAATATGGGGGACAGAAAACTGATTTATATACAACTTTGGGCTGGGCATGGTGGCTTATGCCTGTAATCCCAGCACTTTGGGAGGCAGAGGCAGGCAGATCACCTGAGGTCAGGAGTTTGAGACCAGCCTGGCCAATCTCTTTATTAAATTCACTACAAATTATCCATTTATGGTATAACATTTGATTCTGCCAGGACCACAACTGATTCTGTAATACAACTTGAGATCAGGAAAAATATAGGTGCTCTCTTAGCAAAATAAGACTTAAAAGTTATACAATTATGAGAGATATGTCTCATGGTGAAACCCCATCTCTACTAAAAATACAAAGATTAGCTGGGCATGGTGGCAGGCACCTGTAATCCCAGCTACTTGGGAGGCTGAGGCAGGAGAATCACTTGAACCAGGGAGGCAGAGGTTGCAGTGAGCCAAGACTGTGCCATTGCACTCCAGCCTGGGTAACAAGAGTGAAACTGTCTCAAAAAATATGTATATGTGTGTGTGTGTGTGTGTGTGTGTGTGTGTGTGTGTGTGTATCTATATACACATCTTTTGTAGACCAAAAGGTGGAGGAATCTGGGGGAAAGCCAAAGCTTAGAAACTGAAAGGAAGTGGTAACGTCAGGGGAAGGGAAAGTATTCAAAGGAACCACCTCTGAGGTTAAAGGTCATAGACCATGAGAAAGAGAAGGTGTGTCTATGATGAACACCCACCACTGGCTGCAGGAGCCTCCATGTGGAGACGCCCTGATACCAAAGCATCATGGTTGGATGTGCAGTTCCACCATACACCACGCTGCCCAGCTGGAAAGCCACAGACAGCAATCCTGCTAAAGGCCTGGCCATTCAGATCCTACACTCCCACGCCAGATGTTGGTATGTTAGCTAGACCAGATGCTCTGCCCTACTTTTCATTTGAAAGTGTCTGTCATTTGGGTTATACCATAATGAAGAATAGATTGAACTCTTGTTGGGGTTCTGTGTGTGTGTGCCTCAGCTTACTTCCAATCAAAAGGCTAGCAAGATTCCTTCACAATAGTAACAAACAGGGAAAGAGGGTTGCCATCGAGCTGCCCAGCAATGTGGTTGGGGTCTGTGTGCATACCTAATTTGAATTGCTTGCCAACCTAAAAATCTAGATCAGCCAGGCGCAGTAGCTCACGCCTGTAATCAACACTTTGGGAAGCTGAGCTGAGCGGTCACAAGGTCAGGAGTTCAAGACCAGCCTGGCCAACATGGTAAAACCCCATCTCTACTAAAAATACAAAAATTAGCCAGGCATGGTGGGGCACGCCTGTAATCCCAGCTACTCAGGAGGCTGAGGCAGCAGAATTGTTTGAACCCGGGAGGCAGAGGTTGCAGTGAGCCAAGATCGCACCATTGCACTCCAGCCTGGGCAACAGGGCGAGACTCCATCTCAAAAAAAAAAAAAAAATCTAGATCTCTTTCTTTTGAAAAAACTCATAAGAACTGGCAACACTGGGTCCTCATTTCCAAAAAGCCACATCACTGGGGCTAAGCACCAGCCTTGCCCTTGAGACCAGGCCTGAATTCTCCAGTTGCCATTGTCTCTACTATCTGCGACACTGACATGTTTACCATCTACATCACTGACATGTTTACCATCTGCCTCACTAACATGTTTTTTTGTTTGTCTTGTTTTGAGATGGAGTCTCACTCTGTCGCCCAGGCAGATAGGTCTGGAGGAAACTCCAAACTGGAGTGCAGTGGCGCGATCTCGGCTCACTGCAATTTCCGCCTCCCAGGTTCAAGTGATTCTTCTGCCTCAGCCTCCAAAGTAGTGGGGACCACAGGCATGCACCACCATGCCTGGCTAATTTTTGTATTTTTAGTAGAGACAGGGTTGCACTATGTTGGCCAGTCTGGTCGTGAACTAACCTCAGGTGATTTGCCCACCTTAGCCTCCCAAAGTGCTGGGATTACAGGTGTGAGCCACCGCGCCCAGCCCTTCGTGACATGTTAAGCACTATTTTCCAGAACTACCTGAATGGGCAACCCTGGAAACTCAAATAATGAGTTCTTTGATCTACCTCTTCTCCTTCCACAGGGAAGAACCACAAGATGCTGGTTTTAGGTCGATACAGAGACCTTTAAGTTTTACTTTAATAAGCGATGAAAATATTTAGACCCTCATGTGTTATAGAACCAAGCTGTAGTCCGGTCTACTCACCCTGTGTGATAAATCTACATATATATATATATGCACACACACATATATACATACATATATACACACATATATATACACATATACACATATATATACACATATACACATATATATACACATATATACACATATATACACATATATACATATATACACATATATACATATATACACATATATACATATATACACATATATACATATATACACATATATACATATATACACATATATACATATATACACATATAGTATGTGTATATATGTATATATATACACACACTATATATATGTATATATATACACACACTATATATATGTATATATATACACACTATATATATGTGTATATATACACACACTATATATATGTGTATATATACACACTATATATATATATGTATATATATACACACATATATATATACACACACACTAAGGTTTTACGGCAATAGAAAGAAAAATGTTTATTTGCCGGGTGCCAAGCAAGGAGGACTAAGCAGCTAAATGCTCAAATCCTGGCCTCACCGATGGCTTTCAGGCAAGTGTTTTTAAAAGCAGAAGCTACAGGCAATATTCTAAATCAACACACGGAGATGACACATTGGTTTAGGCCTAAAGAGGCAGATTATCCCGAAGCGCAGGCTTATTGGTAGTAGGCAGATTCAAAGCTTTGCTGGTTTGCAATTGGTTAAGGAAAAGAAACTTGGTTTTAAAATTTGGGGTTCGCAGAAAAATGTTAATTGGCTATATGGGGACGATGACTTTCTCCAAACCCTTCAGGAAGAAATTTAGAATAAAAAACATGGTCAAAGTTCAGTCTTCAATTCCCTTTTATCTGAAGTCTATGCGCAGGTAGATCAGTTTGTTGGGGTCCTCAGTGGGGATCTCTGAAAGACAACTCAGGGACATGTGTTAAGATGTTGTCTTTAGTTTCTATCAGGAAGGCAAATATCTCTGGAACTCTAACTTCCTTGGCTGTTGCTTTAGGCTACTCTTCCCTTCTGGTTTAACAAATTACTTATTTACTTCTGGGGCTAGCCAGGTGCCTGGAATTTCCTTTGAAGGACCTCAGAATTGTCCTTTATTTCCAAGTGTGGAGTCCACAGGCCCCTAAAAAGGGGTTTTCTGTTCCATCTCATGATTGAGAGACAGTCTTCTTGATTACGAGAAGTGGCATCAGCTTTACTGTGACCTGATTAATAAACAGTCATTTTCCTGGGTCATAAGAAGACTCTGAAAGAAAAATGTGTTCTTTAGGTTGCATGTGCTGGCCCATGCCTGTAATCTCAGCACTTTGAGAGGCTGAGGCAGGAGGATCCCTTGAGCTAAGGAGCTTGAGACCAGCCTAGGGCACATAGAGACCTCGTCTCCACTAAAAATAAAAAATTTTAAAAAAAATTAGCCCCGTGTGGTGACACATACCTGTGGTTCCAGTTACTTGGGAGGCTGAGGTGGAAGGATTGCTTGAGCCCAGGAAATCCAGGCTGCAGTGAGCCATGATTGCACCACTGCACTCCAGCCCCGGTGACAGAGTGAGACTGTCTCAAAAGCGGGAAGAAAAGGATGCTGTTTAAATTCCATTCTGCTTCCATCTCAGAATAAGATCTAGAGAATTCCAAAAACTCCTTAACTTTAAAGTGGTACATTGTTTTATGTTTTGTTCTGTATTGAAGTCAGACTGAGTCTCTGCCCACATTCTCTCCTTCATCCCACCCCTAATCCCATCCCCTTGAAAAGCTGAGAAAATGTGCCCTTCACCCTCAGTTCAGTCCCCTCTGGTTTGAGAGGCCCAGATTTGCCTGTCTGTGAAGCTTTACCTTGAGTTTCCACTGGGCCTCTGATGGCAACAGATGAGGAGAAAAACAAGAGCTTTTCCATGTAACATGGAAATGGGTTGGAAGCCACCTTTTTGAAACTCTGTCCAGGGTAAGCAGCTGCTTTTCATACTATTGTGTCCGGAATTGGTGGGTTCTTGGTCTCACTAACTTCAAGAATGAAGCCGCGGACGCTTGCGGTGAGTGTTATAGTTCTTAAAGGCGGCATGTCCGGAGTTTGTTCCTTCTGATGTTCAGATGTGTTCGGAGTTTCTTCTTTCTGGTGGGTTCGTGGTCTCGCTGGCTCAGGAGTGAAGCTGCAGACCTTCGTGGTGAGTGTTACAGCTCTTAAAGGCAGTGTGGACCCAAAGAGTGAGCAGCAGCAAGATTTATTACAAAGAGCGAAAGAACAAAGCTTCCACAGTGTGGAAGGGGACCCGTGCGGGTTTCTACGGCTGGCTTGGGCAGCCTGCTTTTATTCTCTTATCTGGCCCCACCCACATCCTGCTGATTGGTCCATTTTGCAGAGAGTTCAGTGGTCTGTTTTGACAGGGCTCTGACTGGTGTGTTTACAATCCCTGAGCTAGACACAAAGGTTCTCCACCTCCCCACTAAATTAGCTAGATACATAGTGTCCACACAAAGGTTCTCCAAGTCCCTACCAGAGTAGCTAGATACAGAGTGTTGATTGGTGCATTCACAAACCCTGAGCTAGACACAGGGTGCTGATTGGTGTGTTTACAAACCTTGAGCTAGATACAGAGTGCTGATTGGTGTATTTACAATCCCTCAGCTAGACATAAAGGTTCTCCAAGTCCCCACCAGGGTAGCTGGATACAGAGTGCCCACTGGTGCATTCACAAACCCTGAGCTAGACACAGGGTGCTTATTGGTGTGTTTATAAACCTTGAGCTAGACACAAAGTGCTGATTGGTGTATTTACAATCCCTTAGCTAGACATAAAGGTTCTCCAAGTTCCCACCAGAGTCAGGAGCCCAGCTGGCTTCACCCAGTGGATCCCGCACTGGGGCTGCAGGTGGAGCTGCCTGCCAGTCCCTCGCCCTGCGCCCGCACTTCTCAGCCCTTGGGTGGTCAATGGGACTGGGCGCCGTGGAGCAGGTGGTGGCACTCATCGGGGAGGCTCGGGCTGCACAGGAGCCCACGGAGCCGGAGAGGCTCAGGCATGGTGGGCTGCAGGTCCCGAGCCCTGCCCCACGGGGAGGCAGCTAAGGCCAGGCAAGAAATTGAGCACAGCGCCTGTGAGCCGGCACTGCTGGGGTACCCAGTACACCCTCCGCAGCCTTTGGCCCAGGTGCTAAGCCCCTCACTGCCCGGGCCGGCAGGGCCGGCCGGCCACTCCCAGTGCGGGGCCCGCTAAGCCAACGCCCACCCAGAACTCCAGTTGGCTGGCAAGCCTCATGCGCAGCCCCAGTTCCCACTTGCACCTCTCCCTCCACACCTCCCTGCAAGCTGAGGGAGCCGGCTCCGACCTTGGCCAGCCCAGAAAGGGGCTCCCACCATGCAGCGGCGGGCTGAAGGGCTCCTCAGGTGCCGCCAAAGTGGGAGCCCAGGCAGAGGAGGCACGGAGAGCGAGCGAGGGCTGTGAGGGCTGCCAGCACGCTGTCACCTCTCACTATCATGGTGAATAGAAAAATACACAGCCTGATGAAGAGTTGGTTAACTGCTCACCCAATAGCCCTGGAAAGAGAGAGAAGAACACATGTTTAACATTTCAATCAGGCTGACAGTAAGCCCTGAAGACTTGTTTGAGGGATAAGCCTAAGGCAAGGTAGAAAACTGGAATGGGAGTATGTCAGCTTGGCAAAAAGAACTGCAAAGAAGTTGAAAGGCACTTTAGGAGGTCAGGAGCTCAGTTTCTTAAATACCATTGACTGCTAGAGCTGAGTGGGACCTGAAATCTCATCCAACCCCTATTTAAAGGTCAGGAAATGGAGCCAAGAGCCATTAAATGGTTGAGGCTGCACGCTGTCTTGTTAACCTCTGTACTCCTGCACTCAGCCCAGTGCCTGGCACAAAATCGCAGTTGGCTGACTAGATGGTTGATTGAATGAATATATGACAAAACCTGAACTGACACTCAGGACAAAGATTTTATAGTCAATGATTCCCAACTCCACTGATCATCAGAATTGCCTATGGAAGCTTTATTAGAAAGATCCCTAGACCCTACCCCAGATCTCTCAGTCAGAGTCCTCAGATAGGGAAGCCTGGTGAGGTTAGAAACCTCCTCCTCCTCCAATTCGTCCTGATGATCACCCAGATTTACAAACCGTTGCCCTGAATGATACCGCCTCTCAATATCACACATCTAAAACAGTTGGTATTTATCCTACCACATGAGATCACCACGGACAGTGATCATCCCCTTCTAGAGGGGGAATAAATGACCTCACACACCACTACTGAAAATTTTTCTAAACATAGTACATGATTTTCAGGGCAGTTGCAACTTTTAAGCCAACTTGGAATCCAAGGGAAGTGCTGATTTTAAAGCAAAGGATTCCATGCACTAAAATGGCATAGGATTAATTATCAAGGAAAAAAATACATATGGATACACAGGACCTCAGGATGAAAGCTTTGTCACACAGACTGATAATGAGACATCACATGGTCTATACAGACGGGTCCTGGTAGATGCTCTAAACAAGGATTCAGAAAATAACATAACTATATTAGAGCTTCCTTTATTGTGACAAACAGCGTATTTTTTATTCAAAGGAAAATAACTACATTTTATGTCAATAGTAAGTGTGTGTGGTTTATTTATCCCCCATTACAAAGCTTTGTCTCACAGGAGGTCTGGCATTCATCATGAGCTTGTTCAGAGCTATCTGGGATCTCCTGTGAACAAGAGAAAGAAGCTAAGCATAGGCCATAACAAATTAGAGGGTATTATGTTAACCAGACACCATTCTCAAAGAGTCATCCCAAAGATAAATGCATTTATGTTCACAAGGTTCTTGAGCTCCAAGAAAGATGTGCTGTGCATTCAGTCCTATTAGTAACTTATTTGGTTTTCATTTATGCTTATACCCACAATAATAATAATAAAAAAAAAACTGAGCAGTCTGATTCATTCACTCACTTTACATAGGGAAAGTGAATACTGGGCCCTCTCACTTTTTTAAAAGCCTATATTCGTTTGTTTAAATAAAAGGGTAGAGGGGAGAAAACCAAATAAAATCGCTTTTCATCCTTGCTTTAACCCAAATCTCTAACCTCTTGTAATTAGTACATTCCAAAAGGCAAGTCTGCAGGCAGAAAGGAATTGCTCTGTTCTGGAGGCACCATCAATAATGCCTCATATTCCAGACACCTGTAATGTGTCTCTGTCATGGCCTCTGCCTACTATAGGAACTCTGCAAAGTCCAAACACAAGTTTTTAAGTTATCCGGCCCCCTGAACTCCTGAAGGAAAGGAAAGAAAAAAGTAAGGGACTGGGAGAGACTATGGTGGGGAGGATAGCGCTAAAGCAGAAACACAAACCAATAAACACAAGTTCGGAGTCAGAGCCACCACAGAGTCTTAAACCAGGCCCGTTGTGTTTTGATCTTGCAGAAGCACATATGGTCTTCCATTAACAGGTCTCAGAGCAGTGGGCAATGTTACCATACCATATGCGCTGATTGCAGCAACAGGGCTGATTTATGTTAGTGAGTGCAAGGTTTTTTCTTCGTATTTCATCTCCTTGTTATTTCAGGAGAAATGTAAGGGTAGATTTATTCTGCCATTACAAAGAGGCTTCCTAGAGTTTGTTTAAAGTTGACAGTTTCCAGTAGAGTGAAGCAGATCTGTTTCCCACAAAAATTTGGTGAAAGCTAGATGTTCCCTCTCCCTCTCTCCCCTGAAATAAAAGCAGATTTACCCTCATCCCTACGCACATTCATCCTAGAATCACGGACAAATAGACAATGCAAGAATATTGTAGAGTCACTCTGTAAGTTTGATATTTACACGCGGCCTCTCCTCTGTAGGTATCATACTTATAAGCTATCTCTTACAGGGATATTTGCATGTGACCTCTCCTCTGTGGCTCTCTCTTCCTTCTCTACTCCTTTGCTCACCCCAAGGAGTAAATCTGGCCAGGGTTGAGTGGCTGCACAAGAGAAATCAGAAAAATCCCAAGGATATCTCCCTAGCAGTATCTAAGATCCTCCCCACTTTGGCCAATAATTTCCCAGTAGTACAATCAAAATGGGTCAAAAGGAAAATGAAAGCCAAGAGTGAGGCAGGGTTTGGCCAATGCTAGTACACAAAGATAAAGGATATTGCTTGTGAAATGTGCAAACAAGATGTCAAGAGCTGCCGCCACATGCCCCACAGGGTTCAGTCACCTCTACTTCTCTGAGCGTAGAAACTGATTCATCTTGGGTGGCTCTGTGCCTGAGTTCCACTTGTGTCACAACCTTATATCTGAAGCCCAGCCAACCAGCACACTCCTACAGTACCTAACAGCATAAAACTTCACTGCCCTCCAATGCACTTCTCCAAAATTCCCTTTCATTATTAAATCTCCAGGAGGGAAGCATTCTAATAACTAATTGAGCCCCAAGGTTGAATGACTAACAGCCATTCTAAAGCTAGTCTCCATTTCAAAGTGGACAGTCGATAATAAGAATGGATTGCTAATTGATAAAAGGCCAAAGGTGAGATAAAAGGGAAAGAATCTTTTTAGGCATTGTGGGAAAGACTCATTTTTAGACTACTGTATAAATTTTATCAGACTGTCTTCACCTCCTAGAAATACCCCCACTTACCTCTCTCTTTTCCTTATTACCCTTTTCTAAAAGCTCGGGAATGGGATGCAGCTCTGAATTAGCAACAAAGTCAAGGGTGCTGATCACCCTTGACTTTTGACAAGTCTTTGTTTAGCTAACAAATCTCATTGCCTTACAATAGAAAATAGCATTCCCTTTCCCTCATCTACCTCTCTTTGAAATTAGGGAAGTTATTTAAAGAATCATTGTTTTCCAAGTCACCACCAAAATTTTTACTGAAAATGTAATGCATAGTTGCAGGGGTATTTGTTACATTTCAAGTCAGAACTAAAGCCTAGATGTTGATTTTGTTGCAATAAGACTGTGGTTTTATTTAAAGGGTGCCAGAAAGGACTACATTTTTTGACTTTGTGGTTTTTTTTGTGGCTTCAGTTAAAATCTACATTAGGAAACTTATCCAAAGGATGTTAAGAAATATTATATGGGATCTTCTGTCTTAATCTGGCCTAGGTTTTTTAACTCCGACCCTTTGATTGCTCCATTCTGAACCCACCTCTTTTATATAACAAGTATCCTGCAAAGCAAAATAAAGTGTTTAAAAACACGTGTTGTGAAGAAGTTACAATAACAGCTTTAGATTCAGACTCAAATTCAATATTGGGCTGTCATTTGATATCTGTGTGATTTAGAGTAGTTACTAACACTCTAAGTTTTAGTTTTCTCATCTGTAAATTGGGTTTACTAACACCTATGTTATGATGTGTGGAAAGGATTCAATGAGATAAAGTCTGAAGACACTTAGCAAAGTAACCAGCACATCCTGAGTGCTCAGTATAAATTAATTATTGTGGGGGGCTGGGATTGTAGCTATTGACACAGCCCATTCTCCCAACATTGAACTCCACTAGTGTGTAGAAAAGCATCGTGGCTGACTTCTCTTTGTCCCTTACCACAGGACCATGCACAGAGTGGATATACAATAAACACTTGCCAAATTGAGTAGCCAGCATAGTGGACACAGTTAATTAAGTCATTCAACAAGTACCTATTGCAGGCACCTGTTGCAGGGAATATCTTAACTCAGGATATACTTAGGATATAAAACTGCGATGAAAGGAGAAATTCTCTGCTTCTGTCGAAGTTACATTTTAGTGGTGAGAGGCAGATAAACAACAAGTAAACTAATAGATGATATATTTCAAATCATGTGGCAATATGAACTATTACTTGTTAAAGAGAATTACAGAATGGAGAATGACTTGGGGTGGGGAGCAACTTCATGTAGATTCATTTAAGAAATCATCTTTAAGGCCAGGCACGGTGGCTCACGCCTGTAATCCCAGCACTTTGGGAGGCCAAGGCAGGTGGATCACGAGGTCAGGAGATGGAGACCATCCTGGCTAACACAGTGAAACTCCGTCTCTACTAAAAATACAAAAAATTAGCCGGGCATGGTGGTGGGCGCCTGTGGTCCCAGCTACATGGGAGGCTGAGGCAGGAAAATGGCATGAACCCGGGAAGCAGAGCTTGCAGTGAGCCGAGATCACGCCACTGCACTCCAGCCTGGGAGATAGAGCAAGACTCCGTCTCAAAAAAAAATCATCTTTGAAGAAGTAATGTTACATCTAAGAACTGGATGTTAAAAAGGGGTTAACCAATCCCAGCACTTTGGGAGACTGAGGTGGGCAGATCACAAGGTCAGGAGTTTGAGACCAGCCTGACCAACATGGTGAAACCCCATCTCTACTAAAAATCCAAAACTTAGCTGGGCATGGTGGTGCATGCCTGTAATCCCAGCTATTCAGGAGGCTGAGGCAGGAAAATCGCTTGAACCTGGGAGGCAGAGGTTGCAGTGAGCCGAGATCACGCCATTGCACTCCAACCTGGGCAACAGAGCGACACTCCATCTCAAAAAAAAAAAAAAAAAAAACCACACACACACACAAAGGAAAAAAGGAGTTAACCATGTAGTGGGAGAGGGTCCTGGGCAGCAAGTACATAAACTGAGAGTCAGGTACAAGCTTTTAGTATTTAAATACCAGAAAAGCCACCAGTATGACTAAAGCAGAGTGAGTAAGATGGTAGGGGATGGGTCGGGGGCTGGCAAGCAGAACCAACAACAGCGGCTAAAGTAAGCTAGGGTAAATAGTTTGGATTTTCTTCTAATTATGATAAGAAGGCATCAGAAGGTTTTAAATAGCTTCTCAGGAAAGATGCCTGCTTGGTGGATGATTATGTGATGGAACAAGTGAGGCTATTCTGGCTCCTGCATAATTATTTCACGCTAATATAACATGCAAGATTGTCAAAGCAACCAGGTACCTCTGTGGCTGACATTTGGAGTTGTTGTATCTCAGAAACGTATTGCCTCAATTAGAAAGAAAAAAAATCAGGACTTGCTTATAATTCTAGAGAACAGAAAATTAGATCAAACCTATCAATTCATTCAATGGAAGAAGGCTATAAAGATTTAAGGGGGTGAGGTGGGAATCTTTCATTGAATCCCAAATGCCTTCTGAATCAGAAAAATTATAAACTCTTACCTCTATAAGCAACTGCTTTTCTCTCCTTTGTATTAGAATTAAAATACCATATTTATTAGCATTTATACCCTAATCTCCAGGAAGGTAATATAAGCCTCAATAACTCATAAAAATTCCTGGGAAAGAGAATGTGCCATAGCAATGCCAGATCGTTCAGTATATTATCAGGAAAACAGAAGCCATTCTACGTATTTCAAACAGAAGGAATTTGATACAGGAAACAGAAAAATCTGGTCAGGTGCGGTGGCTCACGCCTGTAATCCCAGCACTTTGGGAGGCCCAGGTGGGCAGATCACCTGAGGTCAGGAGTTCAATACCAGCCTAGCCAACAGGGTGAAACCCCGTCTCTACTAAAAATACAAAATACACCTGTAATCCCAGCTACTCAGGAGGCTGAGGCAGGAGAATTGCTTGAACCTGGGAGGCGGAGGTTGCAGTGAGCTGAGATCATGCCACTGCACTTCATCCTGGGTGACAGAGTGAGACTCCATCTCAAAAAAAAAAAAAAAAAAAGGAAGTAGAAAAATCTGGGAAGAGCAGGCAGATGAAAAAGGAAAAAGGTGAACTTAGCCAGAAGCTAGCAATTGCAAGAAGCTGCTCCCATACCCAGAACTGGAGCAACAAAAGGGAACGTGTAACTTAGAATCCATGATCTCTATGCCACTGAGGTTGGAAAGCACCCATTGCTGGTGCTGTTGGAACCACAGCCATGGTTGCTTTTGCAGGACGTCTGGAGCCTAAAGTTGCCCAAAGTAGTCATTGTTGCTGCTGGAGCCAAAGTCCACAGGTGCTTGGTGGCTGAGGCTTCTAGGGCATGTACTCCCTGGGCAGGAAGCTGGGAGTCAAGACTTGCCTTCCATCACTGCTGCCTCTGCTGCACTTACTTCTAGAAGCACCGAAAATATCTTCCTCCTTCCTCCTAATCTCCTGCCAGTGCCTCCCATTTGCAGAAGATAGCTAGAAGCTATCTGGCAAGAATGTTTCAGAAATATAGTTTGCAGACTTCTAACCTCTACCCCAAACCCACCCCCAGGAACACACAGAAGAAAACAAAAGGACAGGAAAGGGGCCAAGAGCCAACAAAGAGCACATCTTTTCCTCAGATTTCTACTGTTAGAAATCTTAGGAAACCGCTAGGCATGGTAGCTCATGCCTATAATCCCAGCACTTTGGGAGGCCAAGGCGGGAGGATCACTTGAGTCCTGGAGTTCAAGACCAGACTGGGCAACTTTGTGAGATCCCATCTCCATAAAAAATTTTTTAAAAAAATTAGCTGGGCATGGTGATGCATGCCTGTAGTCCCAGCTACTTGAGGGGCCAAGGTGGGAGGATTGCTTGAGCTTGGGAGTTTGAGGCTGCAGTGAGCCATGATTACACTACTGCACTCCAACCTGGGTGGCAGAGCTGAAAAAATAAAAAGCAGCAGCAGCACTGGCAAACCAAGCTAAATAAAAGCTGCCTGGAGATGTTCTGAAAAGTGTTTGGGACTAAATAGAAGAAAAGAGACAATCCAAACATCCAAGGAAGCAGGAACAGAAGCTCATGAAACAAGCAACAACTTTAGTGCTTCTTTAGCATCCTATCATCGTCTTAAGCTACCTTCCTTTACCAACCAATCTATTGTCAAGAAACCAAACAAGCCTCATCCACTGTAAAGTATAAGTGATTGATAATGGCTTCATGAACAACCAATATGGTAGACAAAAGAAATTTAGGAGTGACATCAACCAAAGTCATTTTTAATAAATAATTCTTAAGATGTTCTATAAGCAAGAAAATAAACTCCTGTCCTTTAGTTCACATAATCTAAAGAGGCAAATATATGGTTCAAATAAATAAAATGCCATGTGGAAGATATGTAAGAGATAAGTACAAAAGAATAGTAGTGTGAAAACTGATCTAAAGCAGAGTTTATCAAAGTCAGCACTACTGGAATTTTAGACCAGATAATTCTTTGTTGTGAGGTGCTGTCCTGGACACTGAAGGATGTTTAGAACCATCCCTGGCCATTAGCACCCCCAACTTGTGACAACCAGAAATTTCTCCAGACATTGCCAAATGTCTCCCAAGGAGCAAGATCTAAAGTATCTTGAAGAAACTTAAGCTGAGAATTAATATATATGTAGGAATTGCCTAACAAAAGAGAAAGATAGGGATTCTAGGCAGAGAAATTATATGCAAAGGTATGAAGGCATAAGAAAGCAATGGAGCTGGAGCCTAGAGTGTGAGGAGGATGAGGGGGAGTGCGAGGGCTATGAATCTTGAAGGCAGAAAGTATGTAATACACCAGAATAAAAGTTTAAACTTTAATCTTTAGGCAATGGAAAGTCATTGAAGGATTTTGAATAGGGCAATGATTTATTCAAATAAGCATTTTGGAGGCACTTCTCTAGTGGCTATTGAAATAACAGAGTAAGAGCAGAGGAGATTAAAATAAGGGAAACCCAGTTTCCTAACTAGTTGCCATCATTATGATCAGATAATGAGGATCAATATGAAGGCCATGAAGGCAAGATGAGAGATACTTAAGGAGAGGAAATCAATAGAATTTAGTGATTAAGTGAACATGGAAGGCAAAGAAAAGGAAGAATGCAAGAATTGCAGATTGCAGGCTGGAAACAGGAGTAAATGGAGCTGGCTGAAAAGTAGGTCATCCCTTAGATATGTGAAGTTTCAGCTGCCTGTAAGACATCCAGGTAAAGATATCTACTGGGTAACCTTACATGTGTGTAAACATATGTGTGTATGTACATATATGTCTATGTGTGCATATAAACTTGTTAGCAGAGACTGGGGCTAGATCTGTTTGAGAGTCTCCACAAGAGGCAGCAACTGACACATCCATGAATTACATCATGGAAGGAGAAGAGAAAACAGATTTCAGGGGAACATTATTAACATTTGGGAAAGGGAGAGGTCAGGGAAAAAGAAAAACTCCAAAATAATTCTGAAAAGAAACATGTTACCAAACCCAACTGGGATCCACTTAACTGGCACAGTAAAGCCAAACATCCACACCAAGGTTTTGCAGAGAGAAAAAGGAGAATTTGCAAGGCACCAAGAAAGCAGTGGGCAGCTTCAGTGATGGCTTACAGAATAGAAAAGAAAATAAAATTCTGTCCTTTAGTTCACATAGTCTAAACATGGAAGTGCAGGGTTCAAATAAACAAAATGCCATGTGGAAGATACGTAAGAGGTAAGTACAAAAGAATAGTAGTATGAAAACTGATCTAAAGCAGAGTCTATCAAACTCAGCACTATTGACATTTTAGACCAGATAATGGTCTAAGGGCAGGGGTAAATTTCAGGAAAGCAGAAGTTACAGACAAAATCATAAATCAACATATGAGGGTTACACACTGGTTTGGCCTAACAAGGCAGGCTATCATGAAGCAGAGATGTACAGGTGATAGGTGGATTCAAAGACTCTGATTTGTAATTAAGTGAAGCTTTGTCTAAAAATGTGGAGTCAGCAGAAAAAAAAAACTGTATTATTATCTGGACTGTGGGCATGACTTTCCCAGGACCCTCAGAAAGAAATTTAGAATAAAGAATGGTGATCAGAAGTCAGGTCAGCCCTCAGTTTTCCCTTGTCTGAGGTCTATGTGCCAGTGGATTCATTTGGTGGGGGTCTGGGTTTCTGAAAAACTTCTTGCTTCTCAGGTTGCTCATTTACTTCTCAGGGCTTGCTAGGTAACTGGAATTTCCCTTGAAGGAACTCAAGGTTTTCCTTTACTTCCGTGCTTGGGAAGCCTGGCAAGCCCCTAAGAGGGATGGATCCCTGCTCCATCTCAAATAGAGATAAAAGAAGTAAGATGTGATCAGAATGTTTGTGTCTCCCTAAAATTCATATGCTGAAACCTAACCCCCAAGGTGGTATTAAATAGTAAAGCCTATGGGAGGTGATAGAGTCATAAGGGTAGAGTCCTCATGAATGAGATTATTGTCCTTATAAAAGAGGCTTGAGGGAGTTTTGTTTGCTCTTTCCACCATATGAGGATGGATTAAGAAGACAGCATCTATGATCTGGCCCTCACCAGAGTGCTAGTGCCTTAATCTTTGACTTCTCAGCCTCCAGAGCTGTAAGAGATAAATTTCAGTTACTTATAAGCTACCCAGTTTATGGTATTTTGTATAGCAGTGCAAATTGACTAAGACATAAGAGATGATAGAATAACAGCAGCTAAAGAGAGAGAAAGAGACCATTTAAGAGAGAAGGAATAGTCAATGGTACAAAAAAGCCAAGCAAGGTAAGAGCTGAGTACTGGCCCTTGGATAGAGTGATCAGGAGCTTCTGGTAACCTTTGCCAAGGCAATGTTAGGAAGGTCCAAGAATCTGATTGCAACAAGCAGGGGAGTCAAGCAGACAACTCTTTCAAGAATCATAGCACTGTTATTATTTCAATAACAAGATTGAGCATGTTTGTCAGCTAAGAGAATGGACGCAGAGAAGGAGTGATTAATAGTAGTAAGTCCTCTAGGACAAGTTAGTGGAAATGAAGGATGTAGTTGGTGGAAGGGACTTACCTAAAAAGAGAGAAAGACATCTCTACACAAAGAGGGATTTGAAGGTGTGTGCGCATTACAGAAGATGTTCATGCCTCTGAGAAGAAGGCAAGGCCATCTGCTAAGAATTAGATCAAATAAAGTCCTTTGAGGGGAAAAGCTAGGTTGGGCACTCCAGAAGGGAATAAATATGTCTAATAACTATCACCAGAAATTGGAGAGAACTCAAACACAGAGAAAGCTGACCAGGCAGCTTTGAGGATGCAGTTGAGATCTGAACTCATTTGTTTGTAGTGGGGCCACTCTGGGGATGTGCAATTTTTCTGGGCTGCACTCAGCAGCTCAAATAAAGATGAAAGGAGAGGCAGAGATTGCTCATGTTTGGGGATTTGCAGGAGAATTCTGGCAGAAGGTCCAAGTAGTGGGGAACTCAGATTGTTGGTGAGAAACCAACTGACTGGATCAGGTGGGGGTGGGAAAAGAGAAGTCCAGAGGACTATGACAGGGAACTGGTGATGGATCATTTGGTGACACAGAAGTTGATTACAAATGGCCACAGGCTCTGACACCCGCCCATTTGCAAGCGTCTACTCCACCTCTTGAGCCTGGGTGGACTCTGCATTGTTTAATAGAGTATGGGGGAAATGAAATGATGCCATGGGAGCCAGGTCTTTAGACACTGGCAGCTTCTACTCCTGGTCTTTGGAAAATCCACTCTTAGAGCCCGAGCAGTCATGTTAGAAGGTCACCTACACTGCCAAAAAGAACACAGAGGGGAAGAAGAGCCCCCACAGAGCCATGCAGTCCAGCTAGCCCATAGAGGCACTGGGCATGTGAGCAAAACCAAGCTGGACCCTCCAGACCAGATGAGCACCACTGAGCAACCCAGTCCCTGCAACGTGGAGCAGTGGAGTCCAGCCCAAATTCCAGACTCACAGAATTGTGATGGAAAATGATAGGAAGTTGTGTTCTGGGTCGACCTGGAGACTCCAGAAATGAGGCTTTCCCAAGTTTCACAGGGGCCAGGGTCTCGCCATGGGGGTGGACTATCAAAGCAGGTGGTGAGAAAGATCTTGGCTCTTATTAATGTGTGGGAGAAAAATTATTACTGAAAGGCTGGGATGGGGTGTGGGGGATTTACTCAGGATCAAATTATTGCTAATCATCCCTGGCTGTTCTTATTCTGAATTTCAAAAAAGGGATGCAAGTGGGGAAATTACTCACCAGCAGTCACCTCAGCTGCCACTGTGATGCCTGGTGACACATAATTAGAAAACAAATGACAGATTAGTTTAATAATATTCATTAGCAACTAATGAAACTGACAGTGTTTCCTATTGAAAGCAGGTTGGGCTGTTAGTTGATTTTAAGCAAATTGTGCTCCACCCCCTGCACAGTCCGTCCCCCAACTGCCTTTCAGCTAAATGACAGGTTGGAGGTAGAATGAGGAGAGGATTGTAAATGGGTCATAAAATGGCATAAAGAGTGAGATGGTTGAGGGGACAAAGAGAATAAGAGAATACAAAATCAGAATGGGAGGGAAGAGATTCCTGGGATCCAGAGGGGAAGAAAGAGAAGGAAAGGGTTAGGCTTAAACTTTCCCTCCCAGGTATCTTCAGACATCTAACTGCTCTCAAAAGCAAATTTCCATTTGCCTCTGGGAGGAAATGGTTAAATGGAGAAAAATCAGTGCTTGCTTTCCGGCATTGTTGTTCTTTTCTTTATCCTTAAAAAAATAAAAATAAAAAAAATTCTCCTAAGTAAGAATTTTAACGATATGCAGAAATCATAGCTGTCTTGCTGAATCGCTGTAGGACTGACCCCCCTTGACAGTTCTTAAATTATTCAGCTATCAAGGGCCTGCTAAACATTAAATTAAGCATCCTCTCTCCCCTGTCCTAAACCATTCAGTTATGCAAATGCACAGATAATGGGGCATATGACAGCTGGAGGCATTAATCACGCAGCTCTGTCTCTGGGCTGTTTTTATGTAGGAACTGCATCTGCCAACAGACCGAGCAGCCACAATTAGATCTCACTTAATGGAATGAGGAGCCGCTACCTAGCCCTCCACACTCGTGTTAGGTTGTAGACCTGGGAGTGAATAAGGCACTTGGGAGATCTCACTGCTCTCATTCTTTCTCTCCCCAACCCTCTCTTTTAATACCTGCTCCTCCAATTGAAATGAAAAATTACCTGTAATTGTTATCATTTGCAAACAAAACCTGTCAGAAGACAAACCTGCTGTTTACAATGGATGTTTTTGTTGTTCCCCGGGAAGGTTCTTAGGGGAATTTCCTTCATTTGTTTTTTTTAACTAATTCTCCATCTCTGAGGGGAGGCTCAGGGCTGGGGAGTGGGAAGAAGAAAACAAACAGATTTCCCATTACAGTCTCCAAATTGCTGCCTTGAAGACGCAGACTGACTCACCCTGAAAGGCTGCTGGAGTACTCGCCAGCTTACCTGAAGTTCATTTGTGGCTGCTTTGCTTCCACGAAGATAATTGTAAAAGAAAGCAAGGCAGGCAGAGCCAAAGCATAAGCTACCAGCCTCTCCCCAACAGGAAGCCATGAATTAGACCGGCTGCAGAGACATCCCTATCTTCCAAAGAACTTGTGCTTCCTCATGATTTAACATACTCAATTTACAGCTTATGTATATGTTAAAATCCAAGTTGTTGAGCATTTGCACAGCGGTCTATGTTTTGTATTTTATCTGTTTTTTCCAATTTTACTTGATTAGGATATGAAGACAACACGGATAGCTTTCCGGAGTACATGATTTGCTAACAGTTGCCATCTGTATGGGACATAAGTTGGTGTATCTTTTTTATATACCAAAACGTTGGTTTCCAAATGGCTTCTCAAGAACAGTGCTCCATGGTTCCACACAGTACTTATGGGTAGAGAGGGGGCCCCATGTAGAAGTGGATCGTGATCATGACCCTCCCCACCCCCAAACAGCAAGAGCACCGTTTTTCACACAAAAGCTCAGTATGTGAAACAGTTACAAGGAATAAAAAAGTTCTGTTTCTAAAGTAGTTTCAAAACCACTGCTCTCAAATGAGGTTAAGGAGACATGCAGACTTGGTCTCTGGTGACATTCAATCTCAAATCTGCTCTCCCTGCTTGCTAAAAATAGAATCATCCAAATGGCTAACAATCAATGGCACTGTTTTTGCTCTTCCCATCAAAAGTTCTCCAACACTTTTAGAAAGTCTACATATGTTCATGAGCAAGAAACCAAGTGTAGAGAGGAGGGGTGATGATGTGCTAAAAATTGAAGCCAGCCACCCTCCCTTCCCCTCTAATCCCACTAACTACCATTTCAGGCCAATTAGCTCCAAGCTGGGTCAGTGCTCCCTGAATGTAGGCCTCACCTCTGACCTTGAAAATGCTTGCACAGTGAGAGTGAGCAGGCCAGCTCATGGAAATCTGTAATTACTACCGGGGGAGGAAACTCATGAAAAGGTTTATCTGGTCAGGTTCAGTAAAGTCAACTCAAGCATATACAGGACACGGGGTGCCCCTTCCCAGACTTCCAAGCCTGGCCATACTGTCTTTCTTTAAACCTTCAAACAGTTCTTCCTACTAAGGCCCTTCCAGAGCCTGAATAAATCCAGTTACAAGGTGACCTAACTCAGTCTCAGCTCCTTGTTTCATCTGGAACAAGATCTCAATGGCTATGGGACTGGTTTCTTGGATTTGAGACAGAGCAAGGAGCCCCTCTTAAAGGCCTGCTACCCAACCCCCCAAACATGGAAATATAGGGAAGTCTTGAGTTCCTTCAAGGGAAATTCCAGGTACCTAGCTAGCCCTGAGAAATAAATAAACAACTTGATAAGCAAGAAGGTAATAGTAGACTAAAACAATAGCCAAGAAATTTAGAGTCAGGAGATGTTCGATTCCCCTACAGAAAGTAAAAACAACATCTTAACATATGTCTGAGTTATTTTTCAGAAACTCCGACACCGCCCAAACATATCCACTAGCACATAGACCTCAAATAAGGGGGAGCTGGGGACTGTACTCTGGCCACAGTTCATTGTTCTAAGTTTCTTCCTGAGGGGCCTGGAGAAAGTCAAACTCACAAGAGATAACATTCCTTTCTGCTGACCCTATAATTGCCAGATGGTTTCTCCCTGTCTGCTGCACAGACAAAACCAGTTCATTGAGACTGTGGTATTGTAGTAAAGGAAGAGTTTAATTAACGTGAGGCTGGTCACACAGAAGATGGAGTTATGACTTAAATCAGTCTCCCCAAAGGCTCAGAGGTTAGGGTTTTCTGAGGATAGTTTAGTGGGCAGGGGACTAGAGAATGGGTGCTGCTGATTGGTTGGGGATGCAATCATAGGGGTGTAGCAAACAATCCTTGTGCACTGAGTCCACCTTTGGGCGGGGGTCCACAGGACTAGTTGAGTCATGGTTCATGAGTCCAGGTGGGCTCAGTCTGAAAAGCATCATGAAAGACCAATCTTAGGTTCTACAATACTGATGTTATCTATAGGTGCAACTGGGGAAGTCACAAATCTTGCAACTCTGACCCCATGACTCCTGAGCAGTAAGGGATTATAGAAACTATGCCTACATTTTAGCAGAATCCAGGACACTGTCATCATCCTAATCTCAGGGCTTCTCATTAGTTTTTGATCTCTGAGCAAGGAGGCAGTTAGTTTTAGGGAGGGACTATTATGCTTGCTGTCAAGTTAAACTATAAACTAAATCTCCTCCATGGCTAGCTTGGCCTATGCCCAGAAGTCAATAAAGACAGACAGCCCATGAGGCTAGAAGCAAGATAGAGTCAGCCACAAATCTGAGTGCTCCAAATGCAACCCTGTGTGACTCTTCTCTACTTAAAAATTGTAGGGGAGTAATAACAACCCCACAGGTTTGTAGAAAGAATGAATCTCTGTGTCAAAATACAGATTAACAAGAGAAAAATAAACATATGTTTATTAACATATACATGGGAGACATCCAGAGGATGAGTAGTTCTCAAAGAGGTGTCTTTGAATTCCGACTTTTATCACTTCTCTAAAAACTGTTCTTTGCTGAAGTAACAAGACAAAGGAAAAGTACTATAAACCAAAAATAAAACCCTGAGCACTTCCAAACAACAGAACAGATCATCTCTTGACCAAGAGGACCCCAGAGAAACCTGAAAAACTGAATTTCTGGCCACGTCGGGAAGAAGTAGGACATGCTTCATGATATCCCATCCCTTTTGGAGTTTAGGCACAACTGACCAGCATGAACGTGTGAACCCTGAAAATCTGAGACAGTTCTCAGTTAATTTAGAAAGTTTATTTTGCCCAGGTTGAGGATACACACCTGTGACACAGCCTCAGAAAGTCCTGAGGACATGTACTCAAGGTGGTCAGGGCATAACTTAGTTTTATACATTTTAGGGAGGCATGAGACATCAATCAATATAGTATAAGAAGTCTATTGGTTAGGTCTGGAAAGGCGGGACAACTTGAAGCAAAGGCAGGAAGACTCAAAGCAGAGAGGGGCTTCCAGGTCAAGGATAGGCGAGAGACAAATGGTTGCATTCTTTTGAGTTTCTGATTAGCCTTTCCAAAGGAGGCAATATGCATCTATCTCAGTGAGCAGAGGGATGACTTTGAATAGAAGGGGTGGCAGATTTGCCCTGAGCAGTTCCCAGCATGAAGGGGACCAAGATATTTCTCTTTCACAAATGTTAAAATAGAGATCATAGGACTGACAAAACAGACTCTGTAGTAATAAGATGCCAAATTACAAACAAGACCTAAGGCCACACAAGGCAAGGGGTGAAGTCATACCCTACAAACCATAAAATCTCATTAAAAGGCTTTTTTAACCTGATATGTGGCTTACTTTCTAACCTGATATAGCATGACAGATCTGTCACATGACAGCAGACTCTGAAGGAAATAAGAATTTTTTACCTCAAAATATATTTCTTTAACATATTTTGAAATGGCCCTACAAAGCCATCTTTTGCGGGGAAATTTTACACCTACAGTGAATCTCCATTATTGCAGCCAGGCCTTTTCTTCTAGGCCTTTCTAGGATCTAGGAGAGATTAAGAGTCTGATGCCTTTAAAAGTCTGAAAAGAGACATTTACAATCTATTCTCTGAGGTCTGTGACCTAAAAGGCTTCATCTACATAACAAGAACCATGGCCTCCACAACCCCTTTATCTTAATTCAAGAATTCTTTCTACTGATGATAGTTTGACTCTCTTCTCAACCAATTTTCAACTACATCCCTAAAACCTACCTATGACTTGCAAGCCCCCACTTTGAGATTCCCACCTTTTCGGGCTGAACCAGTGTATACCTCCCATGTATTGATTTGTGTCTTTGCCTGTAACTCCTGCCTACCTACATTGTGTAAAACCAAACTGATCTACCCACCTCAGGACCACTTACTCAAGGCTTCTTGGGTTTGTGTTTTCTCCAGTCCGTGGTCACTCATATCAGTGCTCAAAAAACCTCTTTAAAATATATTACAAAATTTGACTTTTCCATTAACAGTAATTTGAGTGTCTCTGGGCAGCAGCACAGGGAAAGACAAATAACTGGCAAATAACAGCTAGTTAGTAAAGCTTGCTATTACATGTTTCTCTTGTATCATCTCCAGGCCAATGGTGGGTCTAAAAGCTGTCCTCAGTGGTTAACATTTGTTCTCCCTGGTAGAGAGGGGGGCAGGATACCTTTGGTCTTTGTAAATTTATGTCCTGCTTCTATGCAAATAGAAGGACAGAGAGTTGTCCTGCATCTGTTTAATTATCTTCAACTTGATAATCCTTTATATTTTGGGGAGGCATGTTTTGGTCTCCCACTTCTCCACCAACAAACTTCTGACCCAGTTGAGGGCAGGTTCCAGCTTTATTCATTCTTACCTATGTTGCTGTCAGGGCAGAAAATCTTCCCTTCCACTTTCTCTGAAGTTTTGCTGGAGTGAACTGACAACAAACAACTTAGCAGGAGAAAAGGCATACAAATGTATTATGTGCATAAGCATGGTAGCCATACAAAATATGATACCCTGGCCTGGCACAGTGGCTCATGCCTGTAATCTCAGCATTTTGGGAGACTGAGGCAGACGGATCACCTGAGGTCAGGAGTTTGAGACCTGCCTGGCCAACATGGTGAAACCCCATCTCTACTAAAAATACAAAAATTAGCCAGACGTGGTGGTGTGCACCTGTAGTCCCAGCTACTCGGGAGGCTGAGACAGGAGAATCGCTTGAACCTGGGAGGTGGAGGTTGCAGTGAGCCGAGATCATGCCACTGCACTCCAGCCTGGGCAACAGAGTGAGACTCTCTCACACACACAAAAAAACAGAGACCCTAAGAAGGGCCAAATGCAGGCTTAAATACCCTCTTCACAGGGGAGAGGGAAGTAGGCACCTATAGGCAACTTTAGAGGAGAAGCACATTTTTAGGGCGAATGAATAGACCCAGGAGGCAGATATTATCTTATAAATGATTCTCTTTGGAATTTGAATGAACGGAGAGCAGACAACGTCTTGTGACAAAGTCTGTCTAGGTGTGGCTTCATTCCTCAGTTCTACCTGAGATGGATAATGAAATTTCAGGGAGGGAATGGAAGGCAATTGTGTCCTTTCAAGGGGGTCTAGTTTAAGGCAGATAAGGAAATTTCAGATAAATATTCCACCCTGCACTAGGGGGAGGGAGGAGACAAGAGAGGTGTGAGTGCTTAGTACACAATACAAGGTTTGAAAAATGGTCTTTCCATGTCCTGTCACTCCCGTCCCCCAATCCCGTATTAAATGAACAATTACATAACAATTCTCATATCTACTATACTCAAAGTAGAACTTGGGCTGCTTGTTAGAAGAAACAATTCAAGTGCACAAGCAAATGGATACCTAGCCCCCTTAGTTATGCATCTAGAGGCCCCACCTGGTGGATCTCAATAGAAACACTACTCCCCACTCCCTAAAATCTGTCAACCCTGTTACTCCCACCAGGTCTAGCAGTCATCTTCCTCTTCCTGTCCTGCAACACACAACACTGTAAGTGTGCTTTGTAGCACTTACTACTCATTTTAAAAGTCATTCTATTCATGTATCCCATTTCTCACTTATTGTTCATCTTCCCCTGCCTGTCCTGCAACACACAACACTGTAAGTGTGCTTTGTAGCACTTACTACTCATTTTAAAAGTCATTCTATTCATGTATCCCATTTCTCACTTATTGTTCATCTTCCCCTGCCTGTCCTGCAACACACAACACTGTAAGTATGCTTTGTAGCACTTACTACTCATTTTAAAAGTCATTCTATTCATGTATCCCATTTCTCACTTATTGTTCATCTTCCCCTGCCTGTCCTGCAACACACAACACTGTAAGTGTGCTTTGTAGCACTTACTACTCATTTTAAAAGTCATTCTATTCATGTATTCCATTTCTCACTTATTGTTCATCTTCCCACTAGAGGGTAAGGTCCAATGACACACATCTGTCTCAGGCTCCATCTCCTCATCTGTGCAGAATGCAGTGCCTTGCATTTAGGTATCTGAAGGGGGTGACTGCAGAAATGGTCATCTGCAAATTCCAGTGGGCCTAAACACTCCCTTGTCTAGAGGCTTTTGAACTACTCCGGCTCTTCTTCCTCTCCATAAACACTGTCTGAATAGCCTAAAGAGGCAAAAACGGCAGAGAGCCAATGGAAAATACCATGTTTTCATCCTGGAGCAGTGATAGAGATTTATCAGGCAAAGCACTTTGGTTGCTTTTAACCTCAGTTGGATTTTAAAATGTTGGAGTCCTCTGGAAATGCTGATTTGCATAAAGCAAACAAACAAGTATCATTCTTTTGTGATGATTTTCATTTTCAAAGATCCTAGTACCCACTGTGCTGCTAGCATGTGGTCTAAAGCTGAGCAAAGCTTTCCATTTTTGTCCCAATGCTTAAACCTTCTAGGAAGGCTGTTCAAGAAAGTGCCCACCCATGAAGTTTAGCTTGGGGGAAATAAAGCTGAAAGATGATTTCACTAAGGTAGCTTAGAAATTTAAAACAATACTTAAATTGAAGCAGATGTGATTTGCATTTTCTGGCTGCAAGGACTAGACCTAAATTAGGATACTGAAAGAGGTTTTACTGTCTTCCTTAATATTAAATTATACAAATATCAGATCATTTAATTGAACAGAGTAGGAGGGACAAGTACAGGCTTGCTGAGCAGCTAGTCTACATTTCTGGCACTCTATTTTGTTCAGAAATATTTCACGACTTAACTGACAGGAACCCAACTTATACTAGCATAAGTGAAAACAAAAGAAATTGATTGAATTGTAGAACTGAAAAGTTCACATAAAGGTCTAGCATCAGGTATAGCTGGATCCAGGTTCTTTACAGAAGGCAGGTGTTATAAGATCTTTAATTTTCAAGAGTTTTAGCATAATATTATGCATATGTTGATTAAGCTTCAATTCTAGAAAGAAGTTGTAGCTCTAATAGACACTTATATAAGAAAGGGAAGCTGCCAGAGGCATTAACTTTTTTTTTTTTTTTTTTTTGAGATGGAGTCTTACTCTGTCACCCAGGCTGGAGTCCAGTGGCATGATCTCGGCTCACTGCGACCTCTGTCTCCCAGGTTCCAGCAATTCTCCTGCCTCAGCCTCCCAAGTAGCTGGGACTAGAGGCACACGCCACTACACCCGGCTAATTTTTTGTATTTTAGTAGAAATGGGGTTTCACTGTGTTGCCTGGGCTGGTCACAAACTCCTGAGCTCAGGCAATCTGCCTGCCTCGGCCTCCCAAAGTGCTGGGATTACAGGCATGAGCCACCGTGCCCAGCCCTGGCAATAACTCTATATACTTCTATTATCCATATCTCCATCATCACTATGTTAATTGGCAAAGCCTTAGGTGTTAAGAAAATGCTAGCTGGTTAAGTAGCATGATGGGTGTTAGGAATGGGTTCTCAATGGTAAAATTAAGGCTATTCAAGATATGTGGGTTGGCCAAAGTAGTTTTGAGAGGCTCTTCCCTCTTGCAAGAACTGTGTATATCATTTCCTCAAGACCTACAGCTTTTACCCCTAGCGCTGGTCTCCAGTGCTTAATCTTTAACCAATCACGTGTCAAGCCATGTGTTTGGAGGATTTCTGGTTGTATCATGCTAACCTTAAGGTAAAAGAAATTGCCTCTGGGATACCATCATCTCTGTCTCGAGTGAAACTTTCATGCAAAGACACTGATGTGGCCACTCTGCAGACACAGGACAAACCCACACCCAAAGTTTGGTTCAGATATGGAGACTGATGATGCTCTCAAGCACACATCCCTACCCACCCATAATTGAGTTCCCTAGGGAGAGCAGGGCAGGCCTCTCAGGCTTGTTTGAACCTGCTTGAAAAGACAGTATCTCAGCCTGTACAGGCTGCTATGGCAAAAATACCATAAACAGGGAGGTTTATAAACAACAAATTTATTACTCACAGTTCTGGAGGCTGGGAAGTCCAAGATCAAGGCACTGGCAGACTTAGTATCTGATAAGGACCAGCTTTTTGGTTCATAGACAATGCCTGCTCACCATGTCTTCATATGATAAAAGGACCACAGTAAGGTTTTGGGTCTCCTAGAATCAATGTCATTTCAGAGACTGTGGCCAGTATTCCCCAAAAGTTCTAATTATGTTTTTTTCCCCAGTGCATAGTTACCATGGTAAAAGGCCACAAGTCCTTCCGGGGAAGGCTGGGAGAGTAATTACCAGTATGAGTTTTCAATAGTGTGTCAGGGTCCTTCCTCAAGTAGGCACAGTCTCTCCTTCATTCAAGGGGTTCTGGGTCTATAAACTTGTTCAAGTCCTAGAATTTACTGAAGGACCATGACTGTTTTAATTATTCAAGTTAGACTTTTGTTGATTTGACCTGAAATTTTTCTGCTTATAGAGATCAAGAATGTAATAGGCTTCCTATGTATTTCACTTCTAAGAACACCATGATTATTAACTAGCCATGCCATAGATATGTGTACATTGGACTACTCTGAATGCTACTTTGACTCCGCTGTCCATTTTGGTAACTATACCTACTTTGCCTTTGGTGGTTGTGTGTCACCAGCTGGCCCCTGCCACTCCAGGATCCAATCACTCCCACTGTATTAAGCTTTCCAAGTGAATGACTGTAGTTCCCCCGGTAAAGTCTGGCCTGCAGAAAAGAGTGATCACAAGGCTCTTCAGTGATACTTGGGCTCCCGTCACAAATTAATTTCTCAAAGTATTGGTGAAAGTTATATCTTCTGGACCCTCCCAGTGTGGGTAGGTCTTAAATGACAAATCTACTCTAACATTTTAATCTCCCCAAGCCTTTTAATCCCCTCCTCTACATTAAACCAAGAGAGATTGGACATTATCCAATTAGCTCACAGTGGGCCAATTTTTGATCCATGTTTCAGCCAAACGGAGCCCTTTCTAGCTCCCCAAGCTGTAACATTAAATTCAAAGTCTCTGCTTAGTGGGCCCACATCAATAAATTCATCCTGATCCAACTTTATGTTCCTTCCACCATATCCCACGCACTTAATATTCATTTTCACACATGCCATAAATTAGAAATTATTTATGCTTATATAAATTAGAAAACCTAGTTCTTTTGGAGTACAGTATACCTCCTCATGGGTCATACTTTGTACCTTATCTTTAGGTGACTGCTGGAACTTGAGTCTATAAGTTCTCAAGAGATCTCTATAAGCAGAAAAATTTCAGGTCAAATGAACAAAAGTCTAATTGAGTCTAGTTAAAGATCTAAAGCCAACGGGGCCAGCAGGGAAAGTCCTGAGGAGAATTAGCACCCTCTTGCATGGCAACTGTCTGAGAGGAAGCCATTACTACTATTTCCTCAGGTAATGCTGTGTTAATCCCTGAAGGCAGGAGGCTACTGTTACTGGCAAAAAAAAAGACTCATCAGAATTGAGGGGCTCAATGTCCCCCAGCTTCAACAGAGTCTTCCCACATTTCCCTATCCTAACTTACAGAAGCCCAATCAATGACCTCGCTTTAACAGTAGTCACCCTGCTAAGCTGGGAGTTCAACTTGCACTGTAATTCAGCCAGTCACAGGATAAGGTCCTACATTTGGTTTTTGGCAATTTCAGCCCCACAGCTCCAGGAAACAAGGCTTTCCCCTCAGACCTTAGGTCATTTATGTGGCATATGTGCTAAAAATTCAAATCCTTAAGCTTATCCTTCTCTTTCACCACTTTGCCCAGTAATGTTAGGAGAAAACAGTCAATGTCATTATATTCCTTACTTTTCCAAAAATGTTCAAGAGTATCATATACAGAGTTACTTAGCTCCTTGCTTCTTATAAGTGGTTGATTAGGAGTACCCAATGTAGATGTTTTGCATGTCTCTATAAACAGTTCATGCCATGGACTATCAGTGCTCTTTTTATTTCTGAAAATAGTCACTAACATATTTAAGTTGAATCACGTTAGAGAGACAATTTCAGAAACCACACAACCAATTCAGAACTCTCATCCTTAAAATTATGTTCCTCTAGAACCACTGTCAATACCAAAGTCTGTATTAGCCAGGGATCTCCAGAAAAACAGAACCAACAGGATATATAGAGATAAGAGAGGAGGTTTATCATGGGAATTGGCTCACATGATTATAAAAGCCAAGAAGTCTCAGGATATGCATTCTACAAGCTGGAGAGCCAGCAAAGCTAGTGATGCAATGCAGTCCAAGTCCAAAGGCCTGAGAATCAGAGGAGCCAATGGTGTAGCTCCCAGTCTCTGAGGTCAGAGGCCTGAGAACCAGTAGTCCACATCTGAGAGCAAGGGAAGATAGACTTCCCAGACCAAGAAGAGAGAATTCACCCTTCAGTTGCCTTTTTGTTCTATTTAGGCTCTTAATGGATTAGATAATGGCCACCTATATTGATGAGATTTTATTTATTCAGCTATTGTTTCAATTGATAATCTCCCCCAGGAACACCCTCACAAACACTCACAAATGTTTTATTGGCCACCTGGACTTCCTTAGCCCAATCAAGTTGATATAAAATCAATCATCACAAAAAAAGAAAGGAGACTGGCCTGGGTTTTTATTGTGATTAGGGACTGCTGCCAGGGAGAGAGTTCACACAAAGAGGCTCATGTGATTTGAATCTCCCTCCCCAACAAAGCAGGGAGCACCCAGGCCTTCTCATCAGCTTGCTCACATGTAGGGCGGGAGGAAAAGAATGAAGATGGAAGTGTAATTTGTCAGCAAAGATCAAAAAAGTGAAGTCAGACTCTATTGCAGACCTAAAAGAATAGAGATTTTGAAATTCATAAAGCTAATAAAACAAATTTGTTTAACTGGCTCTTGCTTGAAATAAAATATTTATTAACTGTCTGCCTATATGATAGAATTTGTTTGAGACTTGCTCTTATTATAATCCAGTAGCAACGTTAGCGTAGTTAACCTTATCCACCTTAAACCTTTCAGTGGCAACAATTATTAATCAAAAACAACTCATGGGTTTTAGTTGATCAAACTGTTTTAGGTAGGTTTGCAAATACCTCTGCATTCCTTTATGTCATGTCTGTTCTCAGGCAGCTTCTCTGCAAGTGGTGGCAAAAGCTTAGCACACTAGCATTGCAGTGACCCCAGCGAGGGAACAGGCCTCTTTTCTGATGAAGCCAACAACACTCTAGCTTGGCTCACATGCCTGAACTGGAACCAAACCTCTGATGGGCCGGGCCAGGCCAGACTCACCTGCTCTTCGTGAGAATCAGGTTACTCAACGAAAACCATAGGGCCTTCAAGTGAGAGAGAGGGCACACAACAAACCACAGTCGTCCACTTCACATGCTTTCCCAGTCAGGGATAAGACTGGTCCTTTCTTAATATAACTTGGCTTTCCAAAACTGCAATTGCCACATGGTATACACATACAATGGAACATTACTCAGCCATAAAAAGGAATGAAGTACTCACATGTACTACCACGTAGATAAACCTTGAAAACATTACACTAAGTGAAAGAAGCTAGACATTTTAAGAGCCACATATTGTGTGACTCTGTTTATATGAGATGTCGAAAAGAGGAAAATTCTGAGACAGAAAGTAGATTCACGGTTGCCATTAAGTGGAATGAAGCCTGCTGATAGGTATGGGGTTTCTTTTGAGGGTAATGCAAATGCTCTGGAATTAGTGTGATGGCTGTATAACCTTTTGAATGTACTAAAAAAACCACTGAATTGTATACTTTCAAGGGGCATTTTATGATTTATGAATTAAGTAACAAAAAATTAAAGCTTTTTTTTTTTAAGGCAGCAAATGTGACTTTACAGATAGAATCACTTCAAGCAGAGGGAAGCTGACACTACATGCCTTGGATCCCTTCTGTCTCAGTAATCAAGATAGCCCGAAGGGGCTCCAGTCACAAATGAAATGATACTTTATTCAGTGGCAGGTTATCCATAACCTTGCCTCTCCTAAGGCTTTGTTCCTTCAAAGCACAATTTCCCAAGCTAGTGTTCTACTGATCACCATTGCTCAGCAAATTCAGAAGCACTGGATGAATTAAACAAAGTCTAAAAACTTTCCTTCTGCAGAATTTCTGCAGCAGGGGGGACTCAACATGCTAATGAACATTGTGAATCACTAAGAAGAAAATGGGATATGTCTCCTACCGTTAATTTGACTATAGAACTATGTATTTGGTTTTTCTCTGAAGGAACATCCTTTGGAACTAATTTTTCATGGAAAGTGGTTTGAAAACCACCGCTCTCCAGCACTAACTGGCCCTTCATTTCTTTGGATTCTGAGAGATCCACCATAATAAGCAAATCTTATTACAATTGACCGTTTTTTCTTAAATTTACTCCAGGGTTTGATCCCTGGCCTTGTCCTTTGTTAACTGTGTGACTTTAAGCAAATTTCTTGGGTCCCTCTGCAATCCAGTTTTCCATCCATCAAATGGGGGATAATTCCAACCTCCCAGAGGTATTGGAACAATCAAATGAGGGGCAAAATAAGATGCCAAGCACAGTACCTAGTAAAAATCTAGTGCTTAATAACTGTGCATCTTCCTTATCAAATTTATTATAAGTTCTTCACAAAGAAGTAAGCCTGTGTCTAACTGCCGGTATGGTGCTATGCCCATCACAGACTCTGTGTTTGCTAAATGAGTGTGTAAATGCACCGCTGGACCCACATCCCTGAGCCACACAAATCCAGAGTAGACAGTCCATGACAAAGTGATGACCAGAAATGGGAAGAATTCTGGAGCTTACCACACATTCTGTACTAGAGGAAGTTTCACAAAACCCCCCACAAAATATACCTCTCTGCCTGGCTATACTTTGCCTTGCTTTTTAAGGATCTCAGTGTTCCAAAGCTTTGCTTGAGTACACTGATGATATGAGCTGCTTTTCTGATGCAGGCAGATGGATGATCCTAACGCAGAAAGCATTAAAGCAGAGAGAACAATCAGTCCACAGCCAGGAAAACCTAACACTGACACACAGAACGACATTCTTCATGAGGCATGCTGGTTAAGAACTTGGACTTGGGAACCAGATCACCTGTGTTTGAATTAGGCCCAGCCAAGTTGACCTTTAATAGATGCTTAACCTCTTAATGCCTCAGTTTCCAGTCTGAGCACTTACAGTGTTGTGATGAGGATTAGAATTAATAAGTGGGAAATGCTTGGGGCAAAATTTAGATCATAATAAGTACTCAGTAAGTATTGGTGGCTATTATACTCATAATAATTGGCATTATTATTATTAGTGCTTTATATCACAAGCCCTTTTCAGCCCTGTTCTACCCTTCTCATATCTAATAGTACTCTAACCTCATGGGTGAAACAGGAGAAGAGGGAAAAGTTATTAGACTGAAAAGACTCAAGCAATACCATCAGAATTACTAAAGAAACTTTGTTCATAGAACAAGTGTGAAAATTTCTTTTTATTAGTATTAAAAGGGAATTTTAAGGCTGTAAGACCTTAAAAGGAAGTAGTGGTTACTATAATGGTGTACTTTGAGCCACATGGCTAGTTAGCACCTTCCCTTTTCACTAGGAGCCATGAAATCTATTATGTTCCCTTAAGAGAACAGTTTTCAATGAGAAATTGCTGCATTTGTAAGGAACATATTGACCATGATAGAAAGATTTTATTCACATCTATGACAAAATTGGACATGACTAAAAGGTTTGGGCAGCTCAATTGTCAGCATCAAAACCTAGAAACAAATATCATGATACCCATAAAAATGCCTTATGTGTCACAGGACACTGATCTAAGCCTATAATTCACATTCCAGTGTAGGCGGCCCTGAAGGCATTTCAGATCAGTGGATTCAAGTATGTTTAGCAGAACGAGCCTCTTCTCAAAAAATCTTACAGAGAACCCAAATATGTAAACCTAAAAATAATATTGCTGAGTCACTCTGGGTTGAAAAACATAGAATGTCAGTTCCTTCCACCCAAGAGTGGCCCCTGAGCTCTTCAAATAAATGAAGTTTTCAGGCTTCTCAAAGAACTTTTCAGACTCCACGAGGTCATACAAGGTTCCATGAGCCACCCTCTGCCTCCACCCATAAACTCAGACATTAACTTGGAGAAGATCAAGGTGGGGAGGAGAGAGTATTGCCATAAAAAAGCCTGTACCATTATTCCCAAAATACAGATCGCCCTCTGAAGGGGCCTTTTACAATTATTAGATCATACTAAGTTCTAAACTGCATTAAACTAAATATCATTAAATTTTTTCCTTCTCATCAGTAAGTGGCAACTCTTGAATATCAGATCAGTTCTAGGCAGACTGAAGAAACTACCTTTTCTCTGTCCATTTCAGTAGCAGTTTAAGTACACTTGCAACATTGTGTACTTGCTAATGTCTTTTTCATTGTACTAATTTTTTGATGCGTGAAGGGGGCTGTCCTGTGCTTTATGAGATGTTCACCAGCATCCTTGGCTTCTACACACTAGATGCCAGTAAAAACCTCCAAGTTGTAACAACCTAAAATCTCCAGACATTGCCAAATGTCCCTTGGGAAGGAAAATACCTCCAGTTGAGAATCCTATTCCAGACTAACCCCCCTTCCAGACCATTTCCCACAGTGGCAGGAGAAATCTAAGATGTCAGTCTAACCAGGGTACTCCCTGGCTTGAAGTCCTTCCATTTGCTCATTTGGTCAGGTGGTAAACACTTGAGAGTACCTGCTGTGTGCAGAAACCTGCACCCAACCTTCAGAGGGCTCCCTTTGACTTTTGGCCTAAAAGTCTGAAACCATCTCAACTGGCACATTGACCACCTGCATCCCTTACCAACCCAGTCATCATGTAATACCTGAAGTCTGGTTCATACACTTGAGACTTTGCACTTGCTTTTCCCCATGTCTAGAAATCCCTTTCTTCAACCCATCTACCTACTTGGGAGCTTTTTTATTAAAACCATTTGACAAAGCTCCATCTATGTGACAGGCTCTGGGGATACAGTTAACGAACGAGACAATTCCTGCCATGCCAAGACTTGATTATTGCCCCAATATGATCAGACATATTTCACTCTGCACCTATTCTGTCCTGTTTTAATTGCAGGTTTGTGCATCTGCCTCTTTCTGGAGAGGCAGAAATACTCCTTGACAAGCTTCTATATGTTGTTCTGCACCCATCACTTCTGTTCAAAGAATGAATTCAGTAGTTTAGTGTTTTTCTTTATTCAAACTCAAAATTTTGAGGGTTACAACAATAGGAGAGAAAGATAATCCATAAAGGAATATTCAACCCAAAAAGGAACATTAAAATACATATTTTTATAGTACACTGTAATTACAGAAAAATGACAATAGCTATTAGAGTTGGAGAAATGAGTAATCAACTAATTTCAGTTCTACTGACTTTAAGATTGCTGGAGAAAAATAACCCTGGTTGAAGCTAATTTTGAGACTTCTCTTCAAAAGCTTTGTGCCAGCCAGAAGCTAGGTATTAGGCTACATCTCTGCTGGCTTCTCTAAATTTGTGTCCAGACAAATTGCAAACATCACACCATCCAGTGGTCACTGTGAGTCTGCTTTTAACAGACTGATTGATTTTTATAATGTTCCAGGCAATTTCAAGTTGTCAGTAAGAACTAATTCTGCCTCGTTACTGCCTTCACTCTTGGCAGCTCCGTGACCACTTATTGGTTTTTGTCTTCATGTTCATTTTCTTCTGCTAATTCTAAAGTCTTTTTTCCCTTCTCCAGCCCCATTCAAAGGTCTAAAGCTATAATCAGAGGGAGCCCCCCAGCACAATTACAGGTAAAAGTATCAGCTCTTTTTGTTGGCTCCAAAGTTGAACCCTAAAGCCTCATACCCCATGAAACCTTCTGCAAAACCAAAACCCATTAAGCCTCTGAAATACTATATTACTTAATCCATCCAGCCACTTGGTAGTTGAAGTCCTCTCTTAAGTTGATATTAAACCAACTTGTCAATCTGTAGTTCTCTTCATTTCATGCAGTTTGGGAATAGAAGCTGACTGGTGCTGACTCTCCATAAGTATCTCCATACAATCTAAAATAGGAATGGCTTATGAACTGCTTTACTCAGAAGTCATATGGTGAGTGAGGCCTCATAGTCAGATGAGAGCTCAACAAGTATATTACACAGTGGCAGAATTATTAAATATATTCCTAGTAGGGCTTACATACTCAAAATCAACTTCTTGCCATTAAGCAGAAACATGGGCAATTATTCCCATTTATGCCACACATACTTCTTAGGCAGTGGAAACTGCTGTAAGACCTTTACTCAGTATAAACACTAGTGCATAGCCTGCCAAATATTATAAAGAAAATACTCTATGCTTTTTCCCAGTTGATCAGATCTATACTTTAGGAGGAAAGAATGACAGATCCTCTAATTTACCAAGATTATATACGTGATACCCTATCCCATGTGATTACCAGGAGCCCAACATCACTCTTCAGGTAGAACCACTAAGATGAATAAGATACGCTTATGCCCTTGAGGAACTCAATCAACTGAAGCCCATAAAAACTGAGACAGTGCCATAAAAGAAGTATAGACTCTAGGGGCCCACAGAGGAGGCAGCCATTGATTCTATGGGAGGTAAATGTCAGGCAGAGTCCCACAGAGAAGATGAGAAGAAAGCTGTGTTGGGATGAGGGGTGGAGACTGAAAGGAAATCGAAGAGGAAGGAACAGCTGAAGAAAGATGGGGGCAACGCTTCAGACGATGGTTAAGGCACAGCCAAAAGGAGGCTGCTGGGAAAGAGTCATGATTACCCCACAGACATCAGAAATTTTAAATAAAGATGGTACCTGTTTTATAAATAATCAAGATGGCCTTAACACTCCCCTCAGCTTAACTAAACTTTACACAAGCTTCTTCCTGACTCTGGTCCCTCACAGTTCCTAACTGTAGACATGCATTACAACAGATCAGATACAACTAATTACTAAACATTTTTTAGAGCATTTGTTTTTCTTCTTTTTTTATTTTATTTTTTCCTGAGATGGAGTTTCACTCTTGTTGCCCAGGCTGGATTGCAATGGTGCAATCTCGGCTCACTGCAACCTCCACCTCCCAGGTTCAAGCAATTCTCCTGTGTCAGTCTCCCGAGTAGCTGGGATAACAGGTGTGTGCCACCATGCCCGCTATTTTTGTATTTTTAGTAGAGACAGGGCTTCACCATGTTGGTCAGGCTGGTCACGAACTGCTGGCCTCAGGTGATCCACTCGCCTTGGCCTCCCAAAGTGCTGGAATTACAGGCATGAGCCACTGCGCCCAGCCCATTTTTAAAGAAAACTTGTAACTGTCAATTTTTTCTCTGCCCATTTGAAGTGTACATAAACCTACACAAATCTTTTCGAAAGCCTCTTGCTGGTTTTTACGATCCAAGAATGTCTTTCTCAAGGGCCCAGGAACCATCTCTTTGAAATGACATCATCATTGACATTAAAGTTTACTTTTAAATTAAAAGTTTTACATTTGAGAATATTTTTAAAAAAAAGAAAAGAAAAAAGAAATTAAATCATCAAAGGAGATAGCACACCTATTTCCCTGTTTCTGTGGGAAGGTAGGAACCTAACTTCATTGGGCACCTTGATCCAAGTCCTCAAACTATTTCTTGTCCTAAAGATGGAGGAGTTTACTTTTCCTTTGGGGAAAGCCAATTTGCAAACACAAATGGCCTATTATCTCTCACTCACTCACCCCAGCCCTTAAAAACCCTACCACCCCCTGCTTCAGCAGAGTTGAGTTCAGACCTCTCTTCCCTAGCGCAACAGCCTTAAATAAAATCTTCCATGCCTGTTTAACTTTGTCAGGTAGAGTTTTTTTATGTTTTTTTTTTTTTTTTTTTTTTTTTTTTTTTTTTTTTTTTTTTTTTTTTTTTGAGACAGAGTCTCACTCTGTTGCCCAGGATGGAGTGCAGTGGCATGATCTCAGCTCACTGCAACCTCTGCCTTCTAGGTTCAAGCGATTTCTGGCTAATTTTTGTATTTTTAGTAGAGACGAGATTTCATCACGTTGGCCAGGATGGTCTTGAACTCCTGACCTCAAGTGATCTGCCCGCCTCTGCCTCCCAAAGTGCTAGGATTACAGGCGTGAGCCACCGCACCCGGCTGTCAGGTGCAATTTTTTGCTTTGACAAAATACTCTCCCTTCTTGGACCTTGCATTTCCTTTCGGCTCTCTCCTCATTCTGTTGCCCTCTGTACCAATATTCCTTCCAAAACTTCTCTTCTCCATTCTGACTGTTGCCCCCAACCCCCACCAAAACTGTCCTGTCAACCCCTTCAGTGACCTGACCTGACGAATCCAATGATCACATCTTTGTTTCCATGCCACTCGACCAATAAGCAGCACGTAACCCAGCGATCACTCTTTCCTCCTGGAAAGCCCTTTTCCTTCAGCTTCCAGCACTTCCGACTCTTCTTCCCTCTGGCTGCCCCTTCTCAGCCTCCTACTCATTTCTCCAACCTGTGAATGTTGAAGCACCCCAGACTCAGACCTTACACCTATTCTCTTTTCCACCTACACTCACTCCTAGGTGTTCTCATCCGCTCTCACTGCATTAAGTACAACATATGTGCTGACCACCTCCACTTACCTATCTGCAGCCTGCACCTTGTTCCTGAACTGTGGACATACATTTCAACAGATCACATGCAACCGATTTTTTTTTTCTTTTTCTTTTTCTTTTTTCTTTTTTTTTTTGAGACAGAGTCTCGCTCTGTCGCCCAGGCTGGAGTGCAGTGGTGCGATCTCAGCTCACTACAATCTCTGCCTCCCAGGTTCACGCCATTCTCCTGCCTCAGCCTCCCAAGTAGCTGGGACTACAGGCACCCGCCACCACACCCAGCTAATTTTTTTTTTTTTGTATTTTTAGTAGAGTTGGGTTTTCACCGCGTTAGCCAGGATGGTCTCAATCTCCTGACCTCGTGATCTGCCCGCCTCAGCCTCCCAAAGTGCTGTGATTACAGGTGTGAGCCACTGCACCCAGCCTACATGCAACTGATTCTTAACATTTGCCCTCGCACATCTAACAGACATCTCAAACTTAACTTGTCCGAGACTGACCTCTTCCCATGCCCTGCCCCAAACTTGTTCTTCCCACATTCTTCCCCATCTTAGGAAATGCCAACTCCATCCATCAAACTGGTTAAAAACCGAAACCTAGAGTCACCCTGATTCTACTCTTTCTCACATAACTGTAAGTAATTTGTCATGTCATCCTGCTGCACTTTCAAAATATGCCCAAATTCAATTAGTTCTCACTTCTCCCCTCCACCCTGGTCCAAGCCATCACCTCTCACCTCGATTATGGCAGCAACCTACTAATGGATCTCCTCCCTTCCCTTCCTTCCCCACCCCCAGTCTATTCTTATCCATCTCCAGCAAGCAGATGGAGCCTTTTAAAATACAGGTCTGCTCCATCACTCACCCTCTCCAAACTTCTCTAAGGGGTCCCATCTCATTCAAGGCATAGCCACAGCCCTGCAGTGGTCTAGAGAGCATCACATGACTGATGCCCACAGCTCAGCTGACCATGGCCCCCACAACTCTGAGAATGACTCTCACTCCAGTCATTCTCACTCCTTACCCTTCCTCAAACACAGGCCCTCTCCCATCTCAGAGCCCCTATACACGCTGTTCTCTCTCTCCCTGAGGCACTTTTCCTCAGATACCTTCACCCGCTTAGGCTTCTACCCAAATGTCACTTTTGCAGCAGGCCTTACCTGGCAATTCTATTCCAAATTGAACCTCCTCTCTTTTCCCTGGTTGATTTTTCTCCAAATTCTTATTCTCTAATATACTACATGTTTTTCTTTGTAGTTCTTTACTACATAGTTGTTTTTTGTTTTTTGTTTTTTTTTGTTTTGTTTTTTTTGACAGGGTCTTGCCCAGGTTGCAGTGCAGTTGTGCATCCATGGCTTACTACAGCCTCAACCTCTCAGGCCCAAGTGATCCTCATGCCTCGGCCTCCTAGCTGGGACTACAGGCATACACCACCACATCTGGCTAATTTTGTATTTTTTTTTGTAGAGATAGGGTTTCTCCATGTTGCCAAGGCTGGTCTTGAATTCCTGGGCTCAGGAGATCCATCCACCTCATCCTCCCGAAGTGCCGGGATTATAGGCATGAGCCATGGCATCTGGCCATGCGTACCTGTCTTGACTGAAATGTAAGCTCCATGAGGGTGGATATCTCCTGTTTTGTTTTTTGTCATGTCTCCAGCAACTGCAACGGTGCATAGCACCTACCAAGTGCTCAGCTGTGAGTGAATGAAGGCAACGAGAGAGATTAGTAGTCAAAGAGCATAGGGAATAAAGGGATGCAGCAATGCCAGAAGTAAGGCTACAGCGCAGGTCCAAACAAGAAAGGAGGAGGTCCTGAGCATGGGCTGTGGAAGAATAGACAAAACTGTAGACACAGAACCTAGTCTCTTCTGAGAAGGGGATGTGGTAGGAAGTGTTCTCAAACCTACTTGGCTGTGGAACGCTTTTGGGTGCAAGTATCTTTTATGTCTGTAATTCAACAGAATCCACCTTGGGAAACCCAGGATTCGATGTTCTCTGATGGTTTCTTTTCCCTCCAAAACTAAAGTTTGATGAGCCCAAGTCAGAATCATAGCAATTTGGGACATTAGGCTACATAGTCTCTTGGTTACATAGTAGCCACCATTATGGAAACCCATATGCTATGTGGGCATCCCACCTCAAAGACAAAGACTGGCCAGAAGTGGTGGCTCATGCCTGTAATTCCAGCATTTTGGGAGGCTGAGACAGGAGGATCGGCCAGGAGTTTGAAACCAGCCCGGGCAACATAGTGAAACCCTATCTCTACAGAAAAAAAAAAAAAAAAGTAATTGTAAAACATAGCCAGGCATGGTTGCACGTCTATGGTCCCAGCTACTTGGGAAGCTGAGGCAGGAGGATCACTTGAGCCCAGGAGGTTGAGGCTACAGTGAGCTATGATGGTACCACTGCACTGCTGCCTCAGTGACAGAGTGGGAACCCATCTCAAAAAAAAAAAAAAAGACAAGGACTAAAATTGCTCTATCAGTTTTAGAATCCTCTCAGTCTCCAGTGACAGAGAGCCTGACTGGCATGACAAAGACATCCCCAATTGTCTCATGTAACAGGAAATCTGGGAGAAAGCAGCCCAGATGCAGTGATAATCTAGTCTCAGGGATCCAACTAGCTTCTGTCCAATTTTCTTTTTTTGATAACTCAGGTTTGCAAACCGGCTGCTACTGCTCCGGGCATTGTATCATTGTAACAGTGTGCTACACTAGAAGAAAAGGGTGGGCAAAAAGCTTTCTCCTCAAAAAATAACTTTTATGCCTTTTTATCTGAGAAATTAAAAAGTCAGCTGGATATGGTTGCTCACACCTGTAATCCCAGCACTTTGGGATGCCAAGGCAAGGAGGTGCTCAGGAGTTTGAGACCAGCCTGGGTAACATGGCAAAAACCCCGTCTCTACTAAAAATACAAAAATTAGCCTGGTATGGTGGCACACATATGTAGTCTCAGCTACTCAGAAGGCTGAGGTGAGAGGATTCTTTAAGCCCGGGAGATGCAGGTTGCACAGTGAACTGAGATCACACCACTGCACTCCTGCCTGTGTGATAGAGTGAGACCCTGTCTCAAAATAATAATAAAAAAAAAAAGAAACAGAAAAAGAAGTCTTTCCCAGAAACTGCCAAGGGACTCAGCAGCCAGTGTCATGTAGCCACTTAGAGCTGCACAAAAGGCTGGCAAAAGGAAATGGGACTACTACAACTGGCCTAGACCTCCCTAAGCCATCCCCTAGGGCTGAAAAAGAGCCCTTATTCCCTAAGGTCAAGGGATCTCCACCCCTACCTCAACAAAATAGGGGAGACTTCATGAGAAAGAAGTGGGGGTAATGATAGGCTGTATGGGTCTCTGAGTCATAGCTCCCATGTGTCTAATGACTTTAATGGCCACCAGTAGCTCCTGATGGTCCATGAGATGCACATCACCCACCAGCCTTGACTGGCAGTGGCACCTGGAAGCACGGTGTTGGGAAGTGTCTACAAATGAAGCATTTGTAGGATCCAAGGAAGGAAGTGCTGTGCTTTATAGCAATGGCTGCAGTGCACATGGCATAGGGGACTCACAAGCAGCTGAGTGCTCTGTGTGACCATTCTTTTCTTTCTTTCCTCACAGAATAGTCCCCACCCTGTGACAGGTGAGCTTCAGTTCATCCTAGTCTAATGGCAATTCCTATTTTCTTCCCCAACAAAACTAGTCCCCACACCGTCTCTGCTTCTGCTGCTGGGTATCTGAATGTCATCTGCTCATATTGAGGAGGAAAGGATGAAGCCCCGGAGAGGCATCGGCAGGTGGAATCCCACATTCCTCCTGACATCTGATTGAAGCACAAGTAAAACAAGCCTAATGCTGTCCTCACCAAGTTCTAAAGATGACAAACTGTACTATATACACAACCCTTGAATCAGAACTTGAGATAAATCGATTTGGAAACTTTGTACCTGAAAAATTGTCTCAACCTAAGAGCACCAGTATGTCTGCATCATTTTTAGTATCTATTTTTACAAACCACTTTTCAGAGGCACTATAGCAATAAGTCTAAAGTGTTCCATTTCCAAATCTGAGCATTTTTATGCAAACTTTTCATCTTCCTGGGGCATACGAGTCCAAGAAAAGCATTTCATTTATTGAAAGGTCTGCATTGCAAAGCTTTGCCCTGCTAGAATGCAGGCTCTATGACAGTGGGACTTTTGCCTGGTCTGTTCATTCAGTATCCTCAGCACCTAAGCCACTGCCTTATCTAAAGCGTTCCATAACTACTTTTCAGATTAATGTCACAGGATGTCCATTCCTCCTGTGCTATGTGATGTGTCCTCTACCACTTTCCCCTTGAAAATTAAGGTCTTGATGGAGCATCCTTTGACATCAGTGGCATGCCCCAGATGAGAAACAGGGCTATGTAGAAGGCAGGCAGGTTGAGTCAAAGCCATCTATTCAGTGTTAGGTGAAAGACTCAGGAGACAGAGCATGCAGCACAGGCACTGGTTATAGGTCCATAGGAACAGCTTTCTTCATAAGGAGCCATGCTGTGCCAGGAAGTCACTTAATAACAGCAAACACTTATATAAGTGCCAGGCCCGGTTGAAAGTGCTTTATTTACATTACCTGGCTTAATCCTCACAACAAGTCTATCAGGGAGATGCTGTTACTGTCACATCCTTTAACAGATAAGAAAACCGAGGCACCAAGTTAAATCGGCTGCTTGACGACTATCACACACACAGCAGCAGAACCTAGTCTACAAAACTGTAGACACAGAACCTAGATTCCTGGCACCCTGGTTTAAGTATCTGTGTGCATGACGTCTTCATCACAAGGTGGCCACTTTGGCTTCCGGGACCTCAGCCTTCTCTTTGTCAAAGCCAGGAGAAAGCGGGGTAGGATGATCGATCAATGGCTTTCCAACCATCTCAGCTCTAGCACTGTTTTTCAAAATAAATCTTACATGACCGACCAAATTCATAAAAACACAAAAGAGGAAGGTGGTTTACCAGGGGTTTGGGATGGAAGGGTCGAACGGGGAGTGGTTATTCAAAGGGTATAGAGTTTGTTTTGCAAGTGGAATAGTTCTAGAGATCTGTTTCACAGCAATGTGAATATGCTTTACTGAACTGTACAACTAAAAGTGGTTAAGATGGTAAATTTTACCTTCTATGTTCTTTATCACAAGAAAAAGAAGAAATTTTACCTGGCAGCTCGATAAGAAAAACAGGGGCAGGGCTGCCTGATTTAGCGCAAGCAGGGGCCCAAGATCCTAGCCTCTTGGCTTTTCCCAGATCCTTTCACCACCTCCACAAGAGCAGCCCCTAAGGCGGTTCCTCAGAGTACACGTTTAAAACCACAACACAGGACAACCTCTAAATTCTTTTTATGGTGATTCCAAAGCCTCAGATCAGATCATGCCTTCAAAAATCTCAATCTCAAAAACCCGCGGGGCCCCTCCATGCATAGATCATTTATAACTCCCCATCATGGTTCTTGAGATCTTCCACAATGTGGCCCCAGCTTAAGTGACCCCCTGAATCCTCCACTCCAGTCACATCTGACTCCACTCTTCGGCTTACTGGGTCAGGCACTGGCACGCCAGACATCACGATGTCCAATTTCCTGCTCCCGTTGCCTGCTAAATCCCATTTCCCTAGACTCTCCTATTCCCCTGTACTCAGAAATTATCACAACTGTCTCTTGAGCCTCTGTTCATTGCCTGTCTCATCCTCATTTGTGAAACAAAGGTGGTGCACTCAACTGGTACCCCAGCTCCAAAGGCTCTTTTGATTCCTACCTTAGCTATGGGTGAGACTTGATCTTCATCTCACTGTCACTCTGACAAGCTGCCCAATTCCCCTACCCTCTGTCTGTCCTGAGGGTTTTACAAGTACCCGGGACTCTCGGATGGAAGAGTTGGTGGGGAACAGTTGGGAAGAGACTCAGGTACAGAGGAGCTGTTGGTGATACCTCCTGCCATGGTTCTGACCCCAAGGAACAGGGAGAAAGTGGATACTAGGGAAGACAACCTCAGCCATGATCAGCCTGTAGGAAGGAGCACCACAGAAGGTAAATGGGAACACAGAGTCTCATTTTGTTGCCCAGGCTGGAGTGCAATGGTGCAAACTCGGCTCACTGCAACCTGCCTCCCAGGTTCAAGCGATTCTCCTGCCTCAGCCTCCCAAGTAGCTGGGATTACAGGGCATCACCGCACTAATTTTTGTAATTTTAGTAGAGTTGGGGTTTCACCATGTTGCCCATGCGGGTCTCAAACTCCTGGCCTCAAGCAATCTGCCTGCCCCGGCTTTCCAAAGTGCTGGGATTACAGGCATGAGCCACTGTGCCCTGGCACACGTTTTTAAGAAATAATCCTGACTAAAGCACAGAACAATTCTTATCTTTGTCTGTGAAGCTCCTTGCATCTTCCTGGAGTCCTGCAGTGACTGATGTTTCCATCATGTGTTCGCTCCACCAGCAGCCACAGTTGCCTGCCACTCACTACAGCACCCCCATCGCATACTCTGACCCAGCCCACGTAGAGTTGGCCGGAAGAGGGTACAGAATAGGAAAATAAGGCATCTGAAAGGGAAATGCATGCTTCCTAGTTTAGATCTGCATCAACTCCTTTGCCCAATACAGGAAATTATTTGGCTACCCAAACACAGTAACCCATTTCTCTTTGTTTGGGAACATGGTGATTATATACACAGGAGAGGGAGTAAATAAGATAAAGGACATAATGTGAGCTAGATTTTTCATTTGGTGAGCAGAATGAAAATCATTTGAACATATCCCTATGGAAAAAATAATCAATTTTTCATAGACTTGCTATAGGTTTCATAAAATATATTGCACACATATTTTTAAAGTAAGAAAGTGGCTTTTTAATGATACTTAAAATATACAACATGGCAAGATTTAAAATGTGTTGGAGGCTTGAAGTTTGGTACTGCCTGCTAAAATATAGATGATATGGATAAGCCTGTCTTCTTGGGATAAATGTGAGAACTAGTTTATCTTATTATAAAGCTAATAGGAAGGAACTTGGTATTCAGGCAGTTGAGTAATTGGTATAAATCCTCCCAAGATAGTACATCCCCTAAACTTCTACCATTTAGCGGTTGCCTATTGGTCTGTGTGCATTAAATAACTACTCTTAACCCAGAGGCTAGCAAAATATTGTTCACGTAGAAAAAGTCAACCAAAAGCGGAGTAAGCATGGTCGCCACCAATAGAAGTATGAACACCACTCGTTCAACAGATACTTCCCAAGCAGTGCTCTAGGGCGAGAATATAGACACACAATCAAGGTGGTCTGGGTTTTCAATCCCTCTTCCAGGCAGACTAGCTCAGCTTTTATGAGCAACTGGCTCGATTTTCTACAGCGATGGGCAAGCTTTTCACAGGAACACATCTCCATTGAAAGTGAAAGTAGTGAAAGTCCATGCCCCATAGCTTTGTCCAGCCTCTTACAAGCATTTAACGCAGATCTACAGGGCACAGGTAAGAACATAGAGGACAAACGCAACTGGAGAAACAGACATCTTCAAAGCCACTGCTGGTGGGTCGTCAGGGCCCTCCCTGTCCACAGAGCACAGGCTGCCCATTTGTCACAGTTATAAAAATATCAAGGTTTTTTCTCCACTCTCTGCCAAATAGGGATGTGCCTGGCATGTAAATAGCACTTCGTATATATGAATGAATGGGTGGATTAAAGAGAGAGACAATAAAGATTTTTAAAATGTACTTGCAGCAGATCCAATAGATGAAGAGCCAAGTTTACCAGAAAAATCACTCAGGTTTGCTATTCTTTGTTACACAATAAGTTAAATACTATTTCACTCTTTTGTGTCTAGCACCTTGCTTCAAGGAGCTATGATGACATTAAACATCACTGACTTCAGAGAATTTAGAGTCTAGCTGAGAAGACAAGTAACATGCCAAACTTATGATACCAAAGGTCAAAGAATGAGGAGTTTGCAGAAGGAAAGGTCACTTCGGACCAAGTTGGCTGAGAGGACTTCTGGGAGCCTTAAGAAGGACTTTAACAAGGGCATGGAAATATGGTAGGCTTTGAGTTACTAAAGGGTCACAGGCGGCATTTCACAGAGGTAGAAAAACAGAAACTAAGAGAAGCAGAAATAAGCATAGAGTTGGCCCGATAGCAATGACAGACCGCACCTGTCCTAATCCAGAGCTGTAGGAAATAGAGCTCTTATAGGGTGGGACCTTCAAGTGGAAGAAAGGATAACAAGCTGCCTGTGAAGTTGATTTGTTACATCGGGGAGGCATTCTAGGATCTTGAGTATGAGCGACAGGGAGTTCCTTCAGCATGATGAGAATTCACTGTAGGATTCCTTTCAAAAGCATGCTCCCCCTGACATTGAGTTAATGATTTCATTTGCACTCAGCTTTTCAATATCCCATCTCAGTCGTTCCCAATTTATGGACCACAGAGTTATGGCAGAGGTCTCTGAAGTCATATAAGCACTGCCTAGAGAGCAAGGAAGAACTCGCTCCCATACAGTGCCACTATTTTGTTCCAATAGACGTAGATACTGTGTGAGACATAAAATGCAAATGCATTCAAAAGCAACAGTAACCTGAGTTGCCTCAGGCACAAGCCTATGGCTACATATGAAGTCACTTCATCAATAACCCAAATGTCACTGGCTCCAATCTTCCCTGCTGCTCAAGCAGGACCTCAGCCTCCAGTAAAATGCCCTCTCCGGCATCTCTAGGAGTTCCCAGGGATTTTGCACTCATCCCTGCAAACAATCCCGTCCTCACCAGACAGCCACTGGGTGGCGCTGTGTCTGCACGACTTCATCACACACTCCCAGACCTGGGACCCCAGCTTGGCTAAAGTTACAGGATGGTTTACTTGGCGTAATAGGCAGAAACTCCTCATTCCTCTTCTGAGCTATTACTCCCAAGTAATATTTGTGCTACAATATATTACTGAGGATTTTTTTTTTTTTTAGAAAAATAGCTCCCCCAGTTTTTACTTACAACCCCTCAGCCATAAATGAAAACGGTTTTTCAACATGAATCCAGTGGAGATGGGTCAGGAAGAAAAATACCAGGGACAGATCAATCCCATGCTATGCTCCCAATCGCCCCTCCCATAATCTGCTGTTAAAATTTGCATCCTCTTTCACCTAGCAAATTAAACTAAGTGAGCAAGGAAACAAAGTGTAGGAGGATTTTCACTGCAGATTATTTGCAAGAGTGAAAAACAAGAAACAACAGAAACATCTCCTGGTACAGAAATGGTTAAAATAACTCCAGAATATAGGCAGCTGTTAAGAACAATGAGGTTGGCTTGTAAATATTGCTACAGAAGATCTCTAAGATGCATTGTTAAATGGAACAAGCAAATCAGAAGACATTAGGTTTCGTGTGGCCCAATTTTTTTTTTTTTTTTTTTTTTTTTGAGACGCAGCCTCACTCTGTCACCCAGGCTGGACTGCAGTGGTGAAATCTCAGCTCCCTGCAACCTCCGCCTCCCAGGTTCCAGTGATTCTCCTGCCTCAGCCTCCCAAGTAGCTGGGATTACAGGCACGCACCACCATGCCCAGATAATTTGTGTATTTTTAGTAGAGACGGGGTTACCCCATGTTGACCAGGCTGGTCTCGAACTCCCGACCTCAGGTGATCTGCCCGCCTCGGGCTCCCAAAGTGCTGGGATTACAGGCATGAGCCACTGCACCTGGCCTAGTGTGGCCCCATTTTTAAAAATCGGTGAGGTAGATATACATAGCTACGTGTTCATGTCCAGAACAAAACCTACCGAAGTATTGACAACCTTTCTCCTTTCTTCCCCATCCCTAAAGAGAAGTGTTTCCTTACCACTTGGATCCCTCAAGAAGTGATTTGGGAGATAATAATAACAAGTGTTAGAGTCCTGGACTGGCCAGATGGTTTTACACGTAACAACATGAAAGAGGAGCTAGTGGATGAAGGGTAGCGTCTAGCTAGGAGGTAGAGAAAAAGAGGTACCTAAGAGCGTTTACAAGGAGAGGAAATGGAGATCTTGGAGCAACTGCCACAAGACTCGGCCCAGGGAAGAGAAAGCTGGGTAAAGTAGGGTTTAAGTAAATTTTGCTGTGTCATGCACCGTGTGATCCTTTCAGAGTCCGCAAGTAAATCTATAACAAAGATCTAGAACACCCACAGAGGTCTTGTGATCAGATTTGTGTTTCTTTTGCATGTTTCTGTGCTGCCCATTAAGTGAGAGCAAGAAGCCTAGCTTAACATTGCAAATGGATAAAAAATGCAAGGAAGGCTGGGCGTGGTGGCTCATGCCTGTAATCTCAGCACTTTGGGAGGCTGAGGTGGGTTGATCATCTGAGGTCAAGAGTTCAATATCAGCCTGACCAACATCGTGAATGAAACCCCATTCCTACTAAAAATACAAAATTTGCGGGGCATGGTGGTGCATGCCGCTGATCCCAGCTACTTAGGAGGCTGAGGCAGGAGAATCGCTTGAATCCGGACGGCAAAGGTTGCAGTGAGCCGAGATTGCGCCACTGCACTCCAGCCTGGGCGACAGAGAAAGACTCAGTCTCAAAACAAAACAAAACAAAAAAATGCAAGGAGGGCGGCCTAAGATACTGCCCAAGTGATCACACCTCTGCAAAATTAGGTATAGTGGGCTTTGCTACAATGAACATATATTGCATTTGTAATTTTAATAGGCACAGATTTTACTTACACTCAGGACCAGGAGTAGGGTGGGTGAGATAAATTTAACAAGACCCTCACTCTCAGGGTCTTGCCCACTCAGAGGAGGCATATGACCACCCCTGTAAGGAAGTGCCTCCTCAAATTTTGCACCCTGGCCACCCTGCTTGCTCCATGGTAGTCCTGGCCCTGCCTCCCCTCTTCTTGTGACCTATCACAGTCCTGGATCTCATTTAACTTCAATCTGGGACACCATCCCCTACACACATTATACACAGTACTTTGTCATTTCAAAAACACTTTCATACGCATATTTCACTGGCTATTCACAATAATCTCTGAGGATGACAAGACTGGTATTATAATTTCCATTCTACAGATGAAAGACCAGAAATCCCAAGGTCACACTGCTGGCAAGTGGCATCAAACTCAGCCCAGTTCAGCTGACTCCAATGCCTCTATCTCCTAGAGTTTTCTGATGCCAGGGACAAAACATAAAAAATAAAACTTATATTCTCTTATGTGTCTGAATGGGTGAATCTCTGAAGTGAAACAAGCCCAAAACCCAAATATTCACCTCTCCCATCAAATAAGGACCTGCATCTTCCCTCCCCACCCTCCCCTTGGAAACTATAGGATACAGAAGCCCACAGGTGATAAAGTTCTAGCCCCAACGGCTGCCTCACTAGGTAGGCTAGGTAGGCGCAGCCCCTCTGAATTTTTAATTAACTGCAGCCTTTCTAGGGGGCTTACTAAGCAGGGCCTGGCGGCTGAATGGCACCAGGTGTGAACCACAGGAACTCTTTGGGAGTTGGGGTGGGGCATCTGCCCAGGAGACATTAGTCTAAGAGAATCTCCTAGAGTCAGACAATCCCAGCAGGAACTCATGCAGCTAATTGCGGTCAGCATCTCTAGCTTTTCCCCTGGAATGACAGCAAAGAAATACTGTAGCAGCTAGCCCAGAGTCAGCCAGGTGGCCTGCTGCCCAGCAGTTTGCTTAGGGAGTTATCAGACCCTGAAGTACCCTGTGTCCATCCCGCTATGTTTTAGGGTATTAGCAAGATCCCAACATTGCATTTCATAAAAGTGAATATCCCTCCCCCTGCCCTCTGCAGAGTTTATTTTGGTTGTAAAAGAATACATGCTTATTCTCATAGATTTGGAAACTATTGAAAATTATATAGAAAATACTTAACCAAAAATACTACACAGAAATAATTGCTGTTAATTTATCAGTGTGTTATCGTCTATGTTTTGCTTTTCACTAAATAGGATTCACACTACATATTTCGGTTTTTAGTTTAGATTCATGGGGTACATGTGCAGGTTTGTTATGTGGGTATATTGCATGAGACTGAGGTTTGGGCTTCTAATGATCTTGTTGCCCAGGCAGTGAGCATAATACCAGCTGGTACTTTTTTAGAAACTGAAATTGAAATATTAAATCAGCAAAACACTCAATTTCCAATTTTTTTTTCTTAAAATCTAAATCATGCTTGGCAGAATTCATCCTGTTCTTGTTTACCTGATTCCCTAAAAAGAGTACAGATCCCTTTCCCTCTAGCCTGGTTCTTAGGTACACTATTTTTTATTGTATTTTATTTATTTAGTTATTAGACAAGCCTCTGCCTCCCTCTTCTGTTGAAAAGGGGAATAACTTGCAGCCAACACAAATTCTAAATTTGAGAAAACATTAAAACGAAACTCTATCCTGGGATGTTTATATAAGCTGTGCAAAGTGGCCGTAAAGAGGGTCTGGTATTACAGTACTATCCATATAACACTCAAATTAATACTTCCCAGAAAAAGTAAACTTTAAATCAGATAAGATCAGATCAGGATAAATTGTACACCCACCTGAGTAGCTGAACAAAATCAATGAAGTGATTCTTTGGTCACTGGACTAAGAGATTCAAGATTGATTTTTCCCCCTTTTAGTAAAATATGAAACTCCCTTGTAACTTGAAGTATTATTGGAGTCCTGTATCTTATGAGGATTTATGTGGCAAAGGCATAGCAATTTATCTAAAAACTTTCTTTCAACAGCTATACAGATGGCTGAATTTGCATGATCTCATCAGGCAGTGATTTCTAAAAGCATTAACCTCAGAAATAGGGGGGAAGAAAAGGTTTCCTGCTAAGTACCAGGGTTCTCAATCACAAAATTAAGTATTCCTTTGCAAACTCAGTTATATCCTAATCAGTTATGACCTCTTGCAATATTCAGTGGTCTGCAGGGAATTTTGAGTTTCTAAGGGGCTTTCTGCTGTCCTGGAAGCACTCTGTAATAAGATTGCTTTATAGGAAGTTTTTCTTTTTGACAGAGCTGCTTATGCACCGTGGAGTATTGTTGTAAAGACTTAGCCTGGCTCATCTTATCCATGAGTGGTTGCTGCCTTCGGATCATCTGATGTGTATACTGTGCTTCTCCTCTTACTGAGGGTTGCCAATATTAAGCACTGACCTTGTATTAGGCCCTCTGCATATATGTGCATGCTAACAATTAAACATCATTATCCTCATTTCTGAGGTAAATAAACCGAGGATTAAATGTAACTTACCTGAGATGGTGATCGTTCACAAGGCAGTGCTGAGAAGCAGACCCAGACAGTGAGAAGGAGAAGAGAAAAAAAAAAAAAAAAAAAAGTCTGTGCTCTTTTTAAAAGAGGAGTAGAGGAGCTCTACTCCTCTTTTAAAGGCTCTCCCTCACCTGGCAGGAAGGCACACCTGAGACCACTCCTTCCGTGGTGATGAGAATCACCTGCGAAGCTTGCTCAGCACAGCTTCCCACCCCCACCCCTCTCCCTCGCCCCAGAGATTCTGAATCAGTGGGTCTACACTGGGCCCAGAAATTGTCTTGTTAACAAATGATCCAGGTGATACTTATCATCAGGCAACTGTGGGAATGGTCTTAGACCACGAGTCACCAGCGTAAAGGGCTAGAGAGTATTTTTCTGTTGTCAGAGAGTTGAGTTCAGTACTCAACCTGGTAGTAGTGCCACACGAGCAGCCAGAGATCATTTGCAAATGAATAGGCATGATTGTTATCCAATATTTTACTTATAAAAACAGGTGGCTCCCAGGCGCAGTGGCTCACGCCTGTAATCCCAACACTTTGGGAGGCCGAGGCAGGCGGATCACGAGGTCAGGAGATTGAGACCATCCTGGCTAACATGGTGAAACTTCGTCTCTACTAAAAGTACAAAAATTAGCTGAGTGTGGTGGCACACGCCTGTAATCCCAGCTACTCAGGAGGCTGAGGCAGGAGAATCGCTTGAACCAGGGAGTCAGAGGCTGCAGTGAGCCGAGGTCACACTGCACACCAGCCTGGTGACAGAGTGAGGCAAGACTCCGTCTAAAAAAAAAAAAAAAAAAAAAACACCAGGTGGCTGGCTGTAGTTTGCTGACCCCTATCTTAGACCATTCATAATACCTTTTTAATACCATTTTTTTTTTGAGACAGAGTTTTGCTCTTGTTGCCCAGGCTGGAGTGCAGTGGTACAATCTCAGCTCACTGCAACCTTTGCCTCCCGGGTTCAAGCGATTCTCCTGTCTCAGCCTCCCAAGTAGCTGGGATTATAGGCGCCCGCAACCATGCCTGGCTAATTTTATATACATATATATATATATTTAGTAGAGGAGGGGTTTCACCACGTTAGCTGGGCTAGTTTCAAACTCCCGACTTCAGGTGATCTGTCCGCCTCGGCCTCCCAAAGTGCTAGGATTACAGGCATGAGCCACCACGCCCGGCCCATAATACCATTTTTAAAAAGCCTTTAATGCTCACTAGTGGTCAACTCACTAAGGTTGTGTCTTAACAGGCAACTGACTTACAAGGGCATCTTCCAAACGCCATGAAACATCACTCATGTTGAAGGATAAAGTCAGAGCTATATCTTCCCTCCCTCTTCAAGAAGCAGCACTTTTAATGTCAGATGGAGGTTGCTGATCTCCTCTGTCTACATAACTACAAGACACAGGGAGAAGACTTGGTAGGTCCAGCACAGACAGGTAAGCAAAGCTTGCAACTTGTCATATTGGTGAATGTGTTAGGCAGAATTCTAAGATGGCCTCCAAGATTGGCATATCCCGGTGTAGACACACTTCTTCAAATTATTTAACCACACTGATTTAGGTGCTACTCTGAAAGGATTTTACAGATGTAATTAAGGTCCCAAATCAGTTGACCTTAAGGTAGAGCAATTATCCTCATAGGCTTGATGGAATCAACGGAGCCCTTGAAACCTGAGTTAGGGGTCAGAGACAGGCCAGTCAGAGAGAATCACAGTGGAAGGAGGGGCCAAAGTAGAGGGGAGAGTGTCCATTGCTGGCTTAGAGATGAAGGGGTCTGTGGGGCAAGGAAGGTGGGTGGCTTCTAGGAACTGAGAGCACCCCAGCTGACAGCCAGCAAGAAACGGCTTCTAGTCCTGCAACCATAAGGAAATGAGTTCTGCCAACAGCTACTGAGCTTGGAAGAAGATTCCAAGCCCCAGATGAGATCCAGAGCCCTGGCCAATACCTTGACATCAGCCCAGTGAGTCACGGAGCACAGCAGAAAATTCAGCCACACCATGCCTATTCTTCTGACCTATAAAAATTGTGAGCTCATAAATTTTTATTGCAGTAAACTGCTACATTTCTGATACATAGCAACGGAAAACTAATACAGAGAGGCCTAGAGCTTTGATGTCTGAATTACTGCTGGTGATAATTAAGTTCAACAATTTCTGGTTTTAAGCGAAAATGGAAGTGTCCCCCTTAAAGCCATATTCATTCGTTGGACGTGGATTCTCACGTAACTCCAGCCGGAGTGCAAGCCCTCCTCTTACGAATGTGACTGTCAAGATGCAGACTGTGATACTTGCAAGCTTATTTCAATACACTTGTGATATGCAAAGACTCAAACCAAATCTCGGGATGAATGGATGAGAGAGTATGAAAAGATAAAAAAGGAGTTTACATCTTGGACAAGATACAGATATTTGAAAAATTAACTTTTAGGAAGTATGATAATTGAAATATAAGAAGACTGTACCAGAGCTCAGAAAACAGGGCAGTTAATTCTGAACAAGAGTTCCAGCTTACATGATAAGGACACAGTATAAACATAATAGAAACATACAGTATTTTAAAGGACTACGATGAAGCTTCAAGTGGAAAATGGTGGGGATTACAGGGAGCTTTGAACTATGCTCTTTACACAATGAACCACCCAGGGCCCCTCAAGCTACTCCTGCATCCCAGGATTTAGTAGCTCTGACCACCATGTAATCTTTTGGGGTACCTATTATTGTGTTTTTTCTGGGTTTTTTTGTTTGTTTGTTTGTTTGTTTGTTTTTTGAGACAGAGTCTCGCTCTGTCGCCCAGGCTGGAGTGCAGTGGCACGATCTCAGCTCTTTGCAAGCTCCGCCTCCTGGGTTCATGCCATTCTTCCGCCTCAGCCTCCCGAGTAGCTGGGACGACAGGAGCCCGCCACCACACCCGGCTAATTTTTTGTATTTTTTAGTAGAGACAGGGTTTCACCGTGTTAGCCAGGATGGTCTCGATCTCCTGACCTCATGATCCACCCGCCTCAGCCTCCCAAAGTGCTGGGATTACAGGCATGAGCCACAGCACCTGGCTGCTTTTTTTTTTTTTTAACTCTCTCATGAAGATGGCTGATGTTCAGTTGAGTCCAGAAAAGCATTTGATTTGCCTGTTGTTGTCTGGGGATGCCCTTACTGAATGCATGAGAAGTCATTCAACATCAAAGATCATTCAGCCATAGACGTGAGAGCCACTGTCACCTTATATAATTACAATAGCCAGTGTCCCCTTAAAATTTTCCCCAGAGCAAAATAACAGAGATGGGGAAGGCTGGAGGAATGTAGGAACATGGGCTTAATATGGAGGAGTTTCTATTGGCACCCGCTCCCAAGCAGCCTTTTAACAGAGATGTTTAATTGATCTTTATTGAGCAGCACCTTCCCTTCTGCTTATAAAAGAAATGACCACTCTTCCCCCTGTTTTTTTCTGAAGAAGTTAATAGCTCAGTTTTCTTTTTTTCTTTTTTTTTTGCTCTGTCTCCCAGGCTGGAGTGCAATGGCGTGATCTTGGCTTACTACAAGCTCCGCCTCCCGGGTTCATGCCATTCTCCTGCCTCAGCCTCCCAAGTAGCTGGGACTACAGGCGCCCGCCACCACGACTGGCTAATTTTTTTTTTTTTTTTTTTTTTTTTTTTTTTTTTTTTTTTTTAGCAGAGACAGGGTTTCACCGTATTAACCATGATGCTCTCGATCTCCTGAGCTCGTGATCCGCCTGCCTCGGCCTCCCAAAGTGCTGGGATTACAGGCGTGAGCCACTGCGCCTGGCCTCAGTTTTCTCTTACAGCAGAGATTTTTAATGACCGGGAGGCTATCATAAACAGAGGTTATTGTCCAAAATAGAAGCCACATCATAATCAGCCCTCACCGTTGAGACTGGTTCGCTTGCATCTGTTGATTTTCGGAGGGGCTTTTCCCAGCTCACAATTGCATTGTTCCTGCCACTCAGGGTCTGCTGTTCAATTAACAAATGCCTTCAGCAAAGTAATTTATAGGCTTTTGCCAAAGACCCTTGAGGATGCTGTAATGTGTATTGATTTGAGCCCATCATGCAGTGGCTCCCGGACGAGGCCTGAGCGCTGGACCCTAATCGTTTGCACACTTTGCACAAGAATATTTTGTGGGTATAAACAGGATCATTTCATACTTCCAGGATTCAGTGTAAATAGAGCTGCTGCTTGGTAGCTATGAAGAGTGGTTAAGAGCAAAAGTAATACTTTCCAAGTTACTTTAGTTCATTTTTAAATAAATAAAGGGCTTTATTGGTATTAGCATTAGTTCTTGAAATAACCTTCAAAGAAAACAAACAGGTATTAAAATGTCCATTTTACAGCTAGAAAATTGTGAATTCAGTGTTCCTTCTAGTAGACTCTTTGAGGAATAGAGTTATCAGTAAACTAGAGACTAGTGCTTGCTGCTACAGTAAACTATTATATCCCAGGACTTGTTCTAGAGTTACAGATTTTCTCTGCTCCTTCTCTGACGGCTGGCTTTACCTCCTGTCACCTGCCACTCCCTCCCCACCCCTCCAAGTTGCATCTTAAGTGCAGTAGGCACTGTGGCCATAATTTCTAAACCTAATTTGGGAGCCTGTTGTATGAAAATGACATGCTCTTAGGTGGACCACCAGACAAAAATGTTTAAAATCATGATTGTCCACAAAAATCTAAGATACATGATCACTGTCAGAGTGTGGCTCTAACCTGCCCCTCAATAGCTAGAAAAGGAAAGTGAAGGAAGGGAAACACCTACTGTTTATTGACATGGGAACATAAATAAGGTAGATGCAAAACTGGGCCTGAGCTCTTACCTTGAATCTGATGGAGAAGGAGAAGGGCTTTATGCCTGAGATTGTGGTTCTCATTTCACCTGGTATCACAGTTAAACACAGCCTATGTTAGGTTCTTTTTTTTTTTTTTTTTTTTTTTGAGACAGAGTCTCGCTCTGCCATCCAGGCTCGAATGCAATGGTGCAATCTCGGCTCACCGCAACCTCTGCCTCCCGGGTTCAAGCTATTCTCCTGCCTCAGCCTCCCAAGTAGCTGAGATTATAGGCAGACACCACCACGCCTGGCTAATTTTTGTATTTTTTTTATAGAGAGGGGGTTTTGCCATGTTGGCCAGGCTGGTCTCGAACTCCCAACCTCAAGTGATCCACCTGCCTTGGCCTTCCAAAGTGCTGGGATTACAGGCATGAGCCACCACGTCCAGCCTATGTTAGATTATTTCCCAGTGTTATAAACTGAATTGTGTCCCCCCCAAAATTCATCTGTTGAAGCCCTAACTCCCAGCACCTCAGAGTGTGACTGTATTGGTGATGGTGCCTTTAAAGAGGTAATTAAGTGAAAATAAGGCCAAAAGGGTGGGATCTAATCCAATCCAACTAGTGTCCTTATAAAGAAGAGGAGACACCAGGGATGTGTGAGCACAGAGAAAAAGGCATGTGGGGACACAGTGAGAAGGTGGCATCTGCAAGCCAAGGAGAGAGGACCCAGGAGAAACCAAACCTGCCAAAACTTTGATCTTGGACTTCCAGCCTCTGGAACTGTGAAAAAATTAATTTCTAATTGTAATTAATTTTTCGATGCCCATATAGACATCATTTTCTTTTAGACAGGCTCTCCCTGTTATTTAGGTTGGTATCAGGAATGGAGCAGGGATTGGAACTCAGGTCTCTCTGGCTTGAGATAGGAATCTACAGTTTTCTAACTCTTGAGCCCACGTACCCATCTGTTACCTGCCAGACACCGCATCTGACCCATTCTCATCTCCAGCAATCATTCTTAAACTCCATCAAGCATCAGAACAGCCTACACTGCTTCTTAAAACACGATCGCAGACCCTTCCCCAGTCTCAGACTTTTAGATTCAATGGATCAGGGATGTGGCCTGAGAATGTGCATTTCTAATAAGACTCTCGGTAAGTCTCCTGCTGCAGCTCCATGCTGGACCATGCTTTGAGAACCACAAACACCAGGCACTGCCTTACTCATAGAAGTACGAAGATAGAATTATTTATTTGTCTCTTGCCCTCCCCCGACTCTAAGCTCTTACAGATCAGGCTTGTATTGTTCAACATTTTCCTGCTGTATGGTCCAGGGACTAGAGTGGGCTTCTCCAACCAGCAGCCCATGGGCCACATGTGGTCCAAGATAGCTTTGAATGTAGCCCAACACAAATTTGTAAACTTTCTCTTTTTTTCTGAGACAGAGTTTCACTCTTGTCATCCAGGCTGGAGTATAATGGCATGATCTCGACTCACTGCAACCTCCACCTCCTGGATTCAAGCCTCCCAAGTAGCTGGGACTACAGGCATGTGCCACCACGCCTGGCTATTTCTGTATTTTTTGTAGAGATGGGGTTTCTTCAAAGAGGTAATTAAGTTAAAACAAGCCCACTAGGGTGGGCCCTAATCCAGTTTGACTGGTGTCCTTCTAAGAAGAGGAAATTTGGAAACACCAAGAGACACCAGACACAGGCACACACAGAGGGACAACGATGTCCACACAGTGAGAAGGTGGCATCTGCAAGCCAAGAAGGGGGGCCTCAGAAGAAAGCAAACCTGCTAGCACCTTAATCTTGGACTTCCAGACCCAGACCATGAGAAAATAAATTTCTGTTGTTTAAGCTCTCTGGTTGCTGGGCTCTGCCATATTTTGTTATGGCAGTCACAGCTAACTGAAAACATTGTTATGGGATCCTTACCGTGTCGCTTTGCCAGCTGGTAACCTCTGTGGCCAGTGGTGCCTTTGCCCTAGTTTTGCTCTGACCTGCTGGGCTTGTTCCGCCCACTCAGCCTGGCAGGCGCACTCAGCTCACGCTACTGGCCTGGATCCCATGCCTGCCAAAGGTGAGCCGAACGCAAAGTGGCGAGGGGTGTGTGAGCATGCTTGGGGTCTGGGCCACTGTGCACAGCCAGGCATACCGGCTGCAGCAGGGCGGGCAGCTCCAGGCACTGGCACAAGCGCCAGCTCCCTGCGAAGCTGCGGCCGGACCAGGCGTACCACAAGCAGTTCCCAGCTGACACCAGGGAACATGGTGGCACCCAGAAGCTTGAAGACTCCAGGAACCGCAGAGCCTTAAAGAGAGTGTCACATCCCTGGCTCAAGAAGCTCCTGGGTCTGGGCTCCTCGAAAAGCCGCAGCTCTTCTCTCGTTCTCTCTTCTCTCCTTGTCACCCTCAATGTGGTGAACAAGGGGTGTATTTCAGCCTTGTTTGTGTTACAGCTCTTGCATCCCTGCCTTTCGGCGGGTCCCAAGTTCTTGTCCTGCATCCAGGAAGAATGAGGTATTCTCCTCAGAAAGACAAGTGAGGATGAGCAAGACGAAGAGGAGCTTTATTGAATGATAGAGCAGCTCAGAGGAGACCTGCAGTGGGTAGTTCTTCTCTGTAGCCAGGGTGTCCAGACAAGTATTCAGCTCTCAGCAGAGACGGTAGCTCCTCTCTGCAGGCAGGTCATCCCGTCATCTCTTCAGCACTCAACAGAGAGAAGACCCTGGGGTAGATACCTTCCCTCCGCAGCTGGTTGGCCCAACGTCTCTTCTGGTCTGACTGCGTCTGGGGCTTTTCATGGGCCTCAGAGGGGAGGAAGTGTGTGCTGATTGGTCCATGGGAGGCCATGGGCGTGCCTGGGGAAAGCACCACAAGTTCCCGCGGGACCAGCAGCCAGGCCTCCAGGCTTCAGGCACTCCCCAGCCTAAAGGTGGGACTTCCCTGGGGACCCGCCCCGTTCCACTCAGGAGCCATTTGCCTCCCGCCACCGTTCATGGCGCCCAGGCTGTTCGTGCCAAGGGGGGCCTACAGGCCCACACCAAACTGCCCTCAGCCCTTGCTAGGCCTTCCTCCCATGCTAGTTGGTGCCCAAAGTCTGCCCATGGAGGGGGCCAAGATGGCAGGGGGCTGGCGTGTCAGCGCTGCCCCAATACTGTGCACACCCGGTCAGGCTGCAACAGTGCCCAGTCTTGGGCCCAGCCTTGCTCTGAGATTGGAGCAGGCAGCAGGAGTGGGGAGGGGCCAGGCACGGGGAGCAGACAACTCCGAGCCTGTTGGGGGAAACGGGGGCCCTTTCCAGACCTTCGAGAGTGCAGAGATGCCTGGGTCCACAGCCGCGACTTGGGTGGCTGCAGCTGCACCTGGGAGGGTGGGGCTCCTGCCTGCTCCTGGCTCCTACGGGCTCGGTGGAGTGCAGCACTGTTCTGGGCCCAGCTCCACCTCGGGGCCCCTCTCTGCCCACCCCTCCACGCTCGACCACGCTGCTCCCACAGCCACTCTTGCCGTCACTGCCTGTGCCTCCCTGCTGCAGCCAACGTGATGGTAGTGGCCGCTTTGGATGGCTTGCCACTGCCATCAAGAGTACCCAAAATATGAATGTGAAAGGAAGCCTAGATTAGCTAACACCTATGTGGTGTTTACTACATGCCAAAAGCTGCTCCGGATACATCACATGTATTAACTCAATCCTCACCAAAACCCTATGACATGGGCACTATTGTAATCAACCCCATTTTACAGATGAGAAAACTGAGGCACAGAGAGGTTCAGTGAACGGGCCATGCATCTGGCAAGTGGAAAAGCTGGGATTGAAACCCAGTCACCAGCTGGAGAATTCTCTGTTGTGTCTCAAAATTACTGCCCCATCCCCCAATTGATCATCCACAAAACCTTCCAAAACGGGTCTTGGAGGCAATGTGGAAGGCAAATCTGAGGATACTCTGTCCCGCTCTTCAGAGTCAAGGAATCACAAGTTGGGAAGGTTTGGAAAGACAAGGAAAGCCGGTTCATCTCAGAGGCCACAGGATGAAAAGAAGAGACACCTGAGCCTGATGAACTGAGGTCCCCAGGACAGGAAGGCTTTTCCCAGGATGGCTGCCACCCTGATCCTCCGCCCTGCCAGGGACATGGGCCTGCTGTCAGGTGGCCTTATGTTCCTCTGAGCGTGTTGGCCCCTGCAGGCACCTAGGGTGCGCCATGGGCTGCTAGGGCATAATGTCAGAAATGGTTCACATCCTCTCCAGCAGTCATTTATCCAGGACAAGCAGAGAAGAGATGTCAGACTGAGACACAGAGAACCTTGCCTTTATCCTCTGGACCAGAGCTTCTCCACCTCAGCACTAGTGTCATTGTGCGCTGGGTAATTCTTTGTCGTGGGAGGTTGCCATGAACACTGTAGGATGCTTCATAGCATCCTCAGCCTCTACCAACTAGATGCAAGAAGCACATTGCCTACTTGTGACACCAAAAATGTCTCTAGACATGGCCAAATATCCCCTAGGGGACAAAATAACTCCTGTTGAGAAACACTCTTCTACAGTATAAGAGAAACAGAAGAAAAAATACTACTTTAAGACATTTATTTCCATCCGTCAGAAAGTTATAAGATGTGTAAACATTCCTTGTTGTTTTCTTGAGACAGGATCTTGTTCTGTCACCCAGGCTGGAGTGCAGTGGCATGATCTCCACTCACTGCAACCTCTGCATCCCAGGTTCAAGCGATCCTCCCACCTCAGCCTCCAGAGTAGTTGGGACCACAGGCACACACCACCATGCCCGGCTAATTTTTGTATTTTTTGAAGAGACAGGTTTTCTTCATGTTGCCCAGGCTGGTCTCAAACTCCTGAGCTCAAGCAATCCACCTGCCTTGGCCTCCCAAAGTGCTGGGATTACAGGCATGAACCACCACACCTGGCAAGATACGTAAACATTCTATATCTATGGTATAAATTGGGCTGTCTTAGAGGCACCCCCCGCCGCCCCCGGCCCTTGCACAGTGCACAACCTGCCCAGTTGTACGCGGCAGTCCTCCCCTTCTCTCTCTCCTCAAGCCTGAAAGGAGAATGAGGCTAATCTGCCCTGCCTTTGATCATTTCTTTCTGCTTCACAAATTTCTAAGATGCTAAAGGAAACCCAAGAGCTGACAATACCATCAAAATTCAAGCCTCCTTGGGGTTTGGTTTGGGATTGACCTTTCTCCACTCTGGGGTGAAGATTCAGAAAATAAATCCCATACTGATCCTTCTGATTTTCTAGTCCAGCCACAAATGTGTGACAGGCATGAGATGCTAATAACATTTTTTTCTCCCTCATTGCTGAAGCAATAGATAAAACAATTTTATAGCTGTGTTCTGCTATCCCTAAAGCAGGCAGTATTAATTAGGAAATAAAGCAGTGACAGGGTGTGCGTTAATGGGCTATTAATGCCTGCCATGGGTGCCCCACACGGCCTGAAGCCAAAGGCCGAGTGATTTCCACCACCCAGTAAGTGCTCTAATAGCCAATTAAAGCCTATCCTGAATTGGCTCCTTTCTCTTGGTCAGGAATTTTTTCAACTTAAAAAGTCATGAAGTTTCCAAGTAAGCATAGATTTAGTTTTAATGCAAGTTCCTTCTCTCTTCCTGCAATAAAAGGGAAATCCACCCACAGAGGATAAGGGAGAGAAATCAAAGGGAAGCCTAGGGTGACAGGGACTGACATACCTGCCCTTGTAGTAATTCTTAGACCCTGTTTGCTGGAGGCAAGAGGTCCCTAGTGTGGGGTTATTTACTCTAGCCATTCCCTTCCTGTTTGTGCAAGCTTCAGGAAGAAAGGAGACTGACATTTTTGTAGGAGCTTTTGTTTTAGAGTATATTTAGTCCTGTTTACACTGTATCTTCTAACAATACCTGTCTCCTAATAAAAATAAGAGCTGAGATGACATACACTGCATGCTTACTTTGTTCTGGTGCTGCTACAGGCATGTATCTATTATCTCATTTAATTCCAATAATCCAGCCTCCTGGGGGAAGGTCTATTATTATGCCCATGCTGCTGATGGAGAGAGAGGCACAGAGAGGTTAAATAACTTACCCAAGATCACACAGCTAGCAACTGGGAGAATCAGTTTTTAAACCCAGATCATCTACCTCTAATTCTAGCAGCCTGGAGCTGGAGTCAAGGCCTACAGAGCTCTTCTGCTTACCTTGACTTTGTGGTACAGGCCAATGCTCATGAAGCAAATGGATTATAGTATTCACATTGCAGACATTTTCTACTCCTGGGGTCAGAATGCAAAATCAACACACAAAAATCAGTTGCATTTCTATACACTAACAATGAACAATCTGAAAAAGGAAATTAAGAAAATAAAGCCATCTATAATTACATCAAAAAGAACAAAATACCTAGGATTAACCAAGGAGACAAAACACTTGTATTCTAAAAACTACAAAACAAAGCTGAGTGAAATTAAAGAAGACACAAATAAGTGGAAAACATCCCATGTTCACGGATTGAAAGACTTAATATTGTTAAAATATCCATATTACCCAAAGCAACCTGTAGATCTAACACAACTCCTAAGAAAACCTCAATGGCATTTTTTTTTTGGCAGAAATAGGGGGAATATTTTTAAAATTCATATGAAATCCCAAAGAACCCTGAATAACCAAAACAATCTTGAGAAAGAAAAACAACCTAGAGGCCAGACATTTCATGATTTCAAAACATATTACAAATCTATGGTAATCAAAATAGTATGGTACTGGAATAAGGACAAACACATAGACCAATGGAACAGAATAAAGAATCCAAAAATAAGCCCTCACATATATGGTCAAATGATCTTCCACAATGGTGCCAAACTACAAAACACAGAAAGGATAGTCTCTTCAACAAATGGTGTTGTAAAAATGGAATATTCCCATGCAAAAGAATGAAATTGGACCCTTATATTATACCATATGCAAAAATTAACTGAAAATTAAAGTCCTGGCCAGGAGCAGTGCCTCACGCCTGTAATCCCAGCACTTTGGGAGGTCGAGGCGGGCAGATCACAAGGTCAGGAGTTCGAGACCAGCCTGGCAAATATGGTGAAACCGTGTCTCTACTAAAAATACAAAAATTAGCCAGGCATGGTGGCGGGTTCCTGTAATCCCAGCTGCTCAGGTGGATGAGGCAGGAGAATCGCTTGAACCCTGGGAGGCAGAGGTTGTAGTGAGCTGAGATTGTGCCACTGCCCTCCAGCCTGGGCGACAGAGTGAGATTCCGTCTCAAAAAAAAAAAATTAAAGTCCTAAGTATAAGATGTGAAACTATAAAACTTCTAGAAGAAAACATAGGGGAAAGGATTCATGACATTGGATTTGGTTTGGCATAATTTTTTGTATACAACACCAAAAGCACAGGCAACAAAAACAAAATAGATAAATGTGATTACATAAACTTTAACATTTCTGCCCATCAAAATAAACAGCAAAAAGGCAGTACAAAATGGTAAGAAATATTTGCAGACCATATAATATGGTAAATAACTGAATTAATATCCAGATTATTTAAACTATAACTGAGCAACAACAACAAAAATAACCTGGCTGGGTGTGGTGGTTCACGCCTGTAATCTCAACACTTTGGGAGGCCGAGGCAGGTGGATCACCTGAGGTCAGGAGTTCGAGACTAGCCTGGCCAACATGGTGAAACCCCATCTCTACTGAAAATAGAAAACTTAGGTGGGCATGTGGTGGCACATGCCTGTAATCCCAGCTACTCGGGAGGCTGAGGCAGGAGAATTGCTTGAACCTGGGAGGTGGAGGTTGCAGTGAGCTAAGATCATGCCACTGCACTCCAGCCTGAGCAACAAGAATGAAACTCTGTCTCAAAAATAAAAATTAAAAAAAAAAAACAATTTAACAATGAACAAACAACTTACATAGATATTTTTCCAAATAAAATATACAAATGAACAGCAAGCATATGAAAAAATGCTAAATATCCCTAACAATCCAGGAAATGCAAAGGTAAACCACAATGAGATATAACTTTACACCAATTAGTAAAACCACTACAAAAAAAAAAAAAGAAACAGAAAACAACAGGTGTTGGAGAGGATGCACAAAAACTGGAACCCTTGTGAACTATTAGTGGGAATGTAAAATGGTGCAATTGATATAGAAAACAGTATGAACATTCCTAGGAAAATTAAAAATAGAATTACTATATGATCCAAAAATCCCACTTCTGGAATATATCCAAAACAGTTAAAAACAGGGTTTTGAAGAGACATGGTACACCCATGTTCACAGCAGCATTATTCATAATAGCCAAGATGTGGAAGCAACCCAAATATTATTGATGGATGAATGGATAAACAAAATGGGGTCTATACATACAATGGAATATTATTTTGCCTTTAAAAGGAAGAAAATTCTATCACATGCAACAACATGGATGAATCTTGAGGACATTTTGCTAAGTGAAATAAGCAGATCATAAAAAAACAAATACTGCATATGAAGTACCTAACACAGTCAAACTCTTAGAAACAGGAAGTAAGGTGGTGGTTGTCAGGGGTTGGGAGGGAAGGAAGAAGGATGGTGGTTGTTCAATGGGCGTAGAGTTTCAGTTTAGCAAGATGAAAAAGTTCTAGAGATCTGTAGTACAGCACTGTGTGTATAGTTAACCCTACCATTCTAGACACTTAAAAATAGTTACGATGGTAAAGTTTGTTATGTGTTTTTTACCACAATAAAAAAACTGACATTAAAAAAGAGCACAAGGCAAAGGTGAGAAATGAATTCATATTGTGGAGTCTCTGAATTTGGAGACTTAAAGAAAAAGGAATCTGTTTTTCTGGGTTGCTTAAAACACAGTACCACCAGGTGTAGTAGGGAGTGAACAGAGGGCATCTCAAGGTCCCTTCTGGACTTAGGATTTAATGCCCATTTATTGAGAACCTCTTGGTGCGTTTGCTCAGTACTATATCAAGATGGAGTTGTTCCATGTGCCCTAAAAGCTTATGATCTAAAAAGGCCAGAGAAACGGCAGAGACATAAAAAATGCCAGAACAATGCAACAACCTTAATCAGACTGTCTTTGCTTTTCTTTGCTTCTAAGTCCCTGGCTTTAAATTTAATATTGTGTCATGTCTCTATTTTTCTTGAGTTTTCTTAAAAGATCATATAAAGATTTTCTTCCATGCTAAGGCTTTTATATTGTATTTTTCTTAAAATGGAGTGTGGTACATTTACCCTTCATCCAAGGATTGCTTATAACTCACCTTGCTTTATTAAGAATGCTGCTAGAGGCTTCTATGCCCCTAGTAATAAAAATGTATTTTCGGGCCCATTCAAACCAATGAACTTCTGAGTTTTCAGAGCACAAGATAATGAAAATTCTCTAGATCGGTGTCTTTTAGTACTTTTAATCTCTTAACAGATCCTGAGTGTCTCAGATGAAAGGGACTCTAGCGTGAATCGCTATCATTAATAGCATTCCATCCAGGTAATGCTTGATTATTCCAATTTCTCACAAATTTGGACACTTTTACTGTCTCTATAACATCTCTAGGGGGTGAGAAAGAAAAGGGACCAGTGCAATTTATTTCTCAAAATATACACAGAAATATAATTGCACATACATACAGGAAAGCATTATAAATAATGGATGAGTAGCAAGGGAATGCCAATAATAGAACTACTCATGTAGCAAGACAACACTCATCACTAAATGTCCCCTCACCAAAATGGATTGAGAATTCTTAGGGGCCACCAAGCCAGAGATGGAGATTTATAGAAATCTGGGATGTTTGAAAAGTGAGAGGTTGTGTAACCTCCTTGAATAAGATAGCAGTTATCTTCCAAAATTGCAAAAATGGTTCCAACTAGTCTCCTCCTTATATCCTCCCCCTTAGCAATGTGACTTTACAGCTTCTCCCATCAAGAGGTGGAGTCTGTTTCCCCATCCTGTGAATCTGGGTTGACTCTGACTTGCTTTGGCCAATAGAATGCAACAGAAATGGCCAGGTGCAGTGGCTTACACCTGTAGTCCCAGCATTTTGGGAGGCTGAGGCGGGCAGCTGGCTTGAGCCCAAGAGGTCAAGACCAGCCTGGGCAGCATGACAAAACCCCATATCTAGAAAAAATACAACAACAACAAAAAAATAGCAGGGCATGGTGGCACGCACCTATAGTCCCAGCTACTTGGGATGCTGAGGTGGAAGGATCGTTTGAGCCGGGGAGGTCGAGGCTACAGTGAGCTGAGATCACACCATTTCACTCTAGCCTGGGTGACAGCGAGATCCTGTCTCAAAAAAGAAAGAAAAAAAAAAAGAATGTAGCAGAAATGATGGTGGGCCACTTGGGAGCCTAGGCCTTTGGAAGACTTGCATCTGCTACTCTCCCACCTGGAGCCCTGCTGCAGCCACAAGCACAAGCCCCTGCGACCTGCTGGATGATGAGAGACATGTGGCTCATCAGCCCCATGAGCTGCGCTGACAGCCAACCCCTAGCTTACCCCACAGATGCAGAAGCAATTCCAGCCAGGATCAGCTAGGTTTTGGGAAAGAATTAAGAATTCACTCTTGTGGCCGGGCGCGGTGGCTCACGCCTGTAATCCCAGCACTTTGGGAGGCTGAGGCAGGCGGATCATGAGGTCAGGAGATCAAGACCATCCTGACTAACACGGTGAAACTCTGTCTCTACTAAAAATACAAAAAATTAGCCCAGCGTGGTGGCGGGCACCTGTAGTCCCAGCTACCCGGGAGGCGGAGGTTGCAGTGAGCCAAGATCGCGCCACTGCACTCCAGCCTGGGTGACAGAGTGAGACTCTGTCTCAAAAACAAACAAACAAACAAAAAGAATTCACTCTTGTATGTGAATATGCTGTATGAGCTCCTCTGCAAACAGACTATTTTTCAAAAGCATTTTTGTTATTGTGAATCCCTGTATGAACATATCAAAAATAGCACTTCAATGATTATTAGAGAGTAATGGTAAATTGAAATTGAGGGTAAAATATAATGATCTAACCAAACTCAAAAAATTTTTCTATATTTATATAAATATATACTTTTATATATTTATAGTAATTATGTATATTATATAAATATATATAAATTTTCTTCAGACAATCATCTGAAGAAAAACAGACTTGGATGAAAAAAGAGTCCAAAGAATAAGAGCAGTGAAGAAACAAGCTAATTTAACACCAACTGGTGCCTCTAGAATATAATGGGAAGTATATGTTTAGTTCTTTGTATAATTTTGATCACACATGCATTATATGAGTTGTACATATTTGGAAGAAAACACAGCATTAAGATCATCAATAAAGAAGGATGCCAGAAAGGTAGCCTAGGGCAGGAAGTCACTCCCCATGTTAAACTGATTGACAGGGCAACCCAAGGAAGTGGATATGAAGTTTAACTAGGGCTTGGCAGTAGGAAGAATCAGGGGACTATCCCTGGGCTGGTACTGACCTTCCTAAGAAATGAAAGGACAGAAAGCTGACTGGAATCAAAACAGAGAACCGCAAAGGGCAAGGTTGGGTGTGTAACATGTGGATCCCAGCATATGTGTCTCTACACCTCTGAGGCTCTGTGTGGCTGTTAATTTTTCCATCCTCCATGATGCCCATCAGTATAAATGACTCAGGGTTGGCTCACTTGGGTGTCCTCATCACTTCCACCTATCCATGGAGTTGACAGCCACTTGCTCAAAGTCCATCTCCCTGGGCTTACAGCCACCAGGGAGGGATGAGACCACCACAAGTCAGGGAGAAAAAAAGGTTGTCACCAACAACCAGATGAGAAGGAGGAAGACACGTTCCGTGGAGCAGCTGGGTGGACTGATGACATGGGGTTGAGTTCTGAAGGCCCAGAGGAGGTGGACGTAGGAAAAGAACAAGAGAAGGGCGATCATGAGGATACAGACAAGCCCCATAATATGGATATTTAATTTATATATCTTATATAAACTCAATTAAATTTGTTCTGAATTAAAAAGAGAGAAAATGATCATTGAAACCATGTCCATGATTTCACTCACCAATCTGCTCAATGAGTTCAGAGCATAGAGTCAGAGGGAAATGGGGAGTGTCAATCTGCTGTTCTCTCAAGAAGTCCCGGTCCTCGGGAGCCTCTCATTCCAGAAGCATCTTGCTTTTTGCATTTTTCAAGTGAAGGTTGACAGAATATGCATCCCAAAATATACCACACTGGTATAAGAATTATTTTGAGCAAAAGGTACTTTAAAAATAGCAGATGCAAGAAGAACATCCTAATCTTCCCATTTCTTCCTAAAAACAGAAGATAAAAACTCAAGCGTGAAAGATGTGCCACGGGAAAAGAAACATTCTTCGATGGGGAGCCATGGCCAGGAGATTTCTGTACGCACAGACCTTGTTCAAATAATTCTTATCTTCTTTTGGCCTCCCCATATAATTTAGTTACTTTTCTATAACTGCCTCTCTTTGTTCAACCTAATATAAAAGCATGTTGGTTTTGCCACTTCTTTGGGGCCTCATTTCTTTGTAAGGGCTCCCATGTCACATAAAACTGAAATGCTTTTCTCCTGTTCTTCTGTCTTATGTCAATTTAGTTCTCAAGCCCAGCCATGACCCTAAGAGTATACAGGTAGAGTTTTGCCTGCTCTACACAAGCAAAAATATTCCTAAGGGCAAGCGACCCCTTCATCTGGTTCTCAAAGAAACAGCAATCTCTCCTAATGAGAGGAGAAAAATGGACTACTTCGGCTCTTTGAGAAACAATCATGTAGGTCTCCCAAATGGTATAGGCCTAGGGAATTTTTCAAAAATAATTAACCATTATCAATGGAATTTTTTTGGTCTGATGTACTGATTCAAGAGCCTAACCTTCCCATAGTGGGAAGGGAAGGATAAGGAGAGATTTGTTAAAGGCTACAAAATTACAGCTAGACAGGAAGCATAAGTCCTAATGTTCAATACTAGTGTAGGATGACTATAGTTAAGGATGATATATAGTTTCAAATAGCCAGAAGAATATTGAACGGTCCCAGCACAAAGAAATGATAAATGTTTGAGATGATGGATATGCTAATTACCCTGATCTGATCACTGGACATCATATGTACCAAAATATCACCATGTACCCCATGAATATGTACAATTATTATTTGTCAATTAAAAAAAATTTATCACTGGGCACTGTGGCACGTGCCTATAGTCCCAGCTACTCGGGAAGCCAAAGCAAGAGGGTCTCTTGAGCTCACAAGCTCAAGACCAGCTTGAACAATATAGCAAAACCCCGTTTCTGAAAAAATATAATAATACTAATTAATTTTTCTGCAAAAGAATCTAACCTTCCCATAGCATATGACTTCGATGTACTGAAAGAGAAGAGAAAGAAAGGCAAATGAATCAAGGGCTGCCGACCCAAGGAGTCAAGGGGCACCCTCCAGAGAGCCTGTGGAAAACTAGAGAAAGGGAATGTCCACTTAGTGACATCCTAGAGAAGACATGAGCCCAGTGTCCCGTGGGCTCAGCAGGCCATCTTCTCTTCCTACATCCTACACTTTCCTTCTCTACTGACTCGACTCCTTCCCGCCCACATTGAAATAGCCACAGGCTCTACCCTGCAGGAAATGCCCTCCCTCTCCTCTGTCCTTGGCGTCCCTCTGTCCAGTACTCTAGTATTTCCCTCCACCACTGGGTTTCTCCACCTGCCTCCTGTTGCTCCCCTCCCCTCTCCCCTTCAGTCCACTGCAGTCTGGTTTCTGCCCCAATATTCTACAGGAACTGCTCTCCTTGAAGCCCGTGATGATTTGTTTGTTGACAAATCCAAAGCACTATGTCTCAATCCTTATCTTTTGTGACCTCCAAGCAGAGTTGAACCTCTTAAATGATGCCTCTAGCTTGAAAATAGCTCTTTCCTGGGTTTCTGTGCCACCACCCTCCTAATGGTTTTCTCCCTCACACCATGCCCTCTCGGTCTTCTTCTGAGCTTCTCTTTCCTTTTGGTGTTTCTCGGGTTCTGTGTCAGGTCCTCTGCTCTCTTCCTTGGCTGTCTTCCTGGAGGATTCCTCCGACTCCCCTGGCTGAAATCTGTCTCCCTCCAAGACCACTCTCCACAGCTTTAGACCTCTATATATGACTTCCTGTGAAATATCTCCCTTTGAATGTCTCATATGGACACTTGAAACTTAACTCACCCACATTAGTCAATGTTTGGTCAGAAAAACAGCCCACGAAAGGTCATTCAACGAAGCATATTTCACCTGATGATGGAAAAGCCAAAAGGCCAAACGGGAGGTCAAAACAGCCCAAAGAGTCACAACAGCTGGAAGCCACAGCCACCCCATGGCTGGGGGTGAATGAAGGAGATGGTGTGGCCACAGCCTTAGCACAGAGCTGCCCGGTGAGGGTAGGGACTCCAGAGACAGAGCAGCCAGTAGCCCTGCCACAGCTGCAGCTACTGGAACAGCCTGAGTAGACAGAGAGGAAGAAACACTCTGGCTTCTCTCTTGCTCCTGTTCTCCAGCCTCCTGCCAATGCTTTCCATTGGCTGAACCTACCTGGAAGAGTTGACAAAGAGCTCTGGAAGGTGACATTTTCAGGGCCAGCCCCCTGTGACACTGAACAGAGCAGTGGAAAGCCAGGAAGTGCATCTGAATCAAACAGGCGAATGATGCACAATACCCACTTCTTCCTGTGTCCCCTATTCCAGTGAATGGACCATCTTACAGTTGCAAGGTGTTAATATTTCATTTTGTGAATGTACCATAGTTTGTTGAACCATTTCCTCTGTTTGAGCATTTTGGGTAGTTTCTAATGTGTGGCAAGTATCAATAATGGTGCAGTCAAATAACTTTTTGTGCATATGTATTTTCATATTGTTAGAATTATGTCTTCAGGATAAGTTCCTAGACATGGGGTTGCCAGGTCAAATGTTAAATACACATATATTTGTTAAGATATTGCCAAATTACTGGTACCAAAACAGAGATATAGACCAATGGAACAGAACAGAGCCCTCAGAAATAATGCTGCATATCTACAACTATCTGATCTTTGACAAACCTGACAAAAACAAGCAATGGGGAAAGGATTCTCTGTTTAATAAATCGTGCTGGGAAAACTAGCTAGCCATATGTAGAAAGCTGAAACTGGATCCCTTCCTTACACCTTATACAAAAATTAATTCAAGATGGATTAAAGACTTAAACGTTAGACCTAAAACCATAAAAACCCTAGAAGAAAACCTAGGCGGTACCATTCAGGACATAGACATGGGCAAGGACTTCATGTCTAAAACACCAAAAGCAATGGCAATAAAAGCCAAAATTGACAAATGAGATCTAATTAAACTAAAGAGCTTCTTCTGCACAGCAAAAGAAACTACCATCAGAGTGAACAGGCAACCTACAGAATGGGAGAAAATTTTTGCAATCTACTCATCTGACAAAGGGCTAATATCCAGAATCTACAATGAACTCCAACAAATTTACAAGAAAAAAACAAACAACCCCATCAAAAAGTGGGCAAAGGATATGAACAGACACTTCTCAAAAGAAGACATTTATGCAGCCAAAAAACATATGAAAAAATGCTCATCATCACTAGCCACCAGAGAAATGCAAATCCAAACCACAATGAGATACCATCTCACACCAGTTAGAATGGCAATCATTAAAAAGTCAGGAAACAACAGGTGCTGGAGAGGATGTGGAGAAATAGGAACACTTTTACACTGTTGGTGGGACTGTAAACTAGTTCAACCATTGTGGAAGACAGTGTGGTGATTCCTCAAGGATCTAGAAGTAGAAATACCATTTGACCCAGCCATCCCATTACTGGGTATATACCCAAAGGATTATAAATCATGCTGCTATAAAGACACATGCACACATATGTTTATAGTGGCACTATTCACAATAGCAAAGACTTGGAACCAACCTAAATGTCCAACAACGATAGACTGGATTAAGAAAATGTGGCACATATACACCATGGAATACTATGCAGCCATAAAAAAGGATGAGTTCATGTCCTTTGTAGGGACATGGATGAAACTGGAAACCATCATTCTCAGCAAACTATCACAAGGACAAAAAACCAAACACTGCATGTTCTCACTCATAGGTGGGAATTGAATAATGAGAACACATGAACAAAGGAAGGGGAACATCACACATCAGGGACTGTTGTGGGGTGGGGGGAGGGGGGAGGGATAGCATTAGGAGATATACCTAATGCTAAATGACGAGTTACTGGGTGCAGCACACCAACATGGCACATGTATACATATGTAACTAACCTGCACATTATGCACATGTACCCTAAAACTTAAAGTATAATAATAATAAAATTTAAAAAAAAGATATTGCCAAATTGCCTTTCATCGGAGTTATACCTTTTTGTATTCCCATCAACAATATATGAGAGTGCTTCTTCCTGTGGCCACTTGCAAGAACGTCAGCCTCTGGAGGGTACCATATTGCTTGTACATTTTGAGTATCACATACCAACTCTCTTAAGAGAAAGTCAAATGAAAAATGTCCTTTCAAAGATGCCCAAATTGCTCATCTCTCCTTAATCGCTTTTCAAAAAAATTAACTCCTGCTCTACCATTCAGATCTGAGCTCAGATGTTACCTCCCACATCCCAGTTTGGATGGTGCCCCTCTGACATACAGTCTCACAGCTCTGTGTTGCTTCACTTCATATTTTACATCCAATTGTTTACTTGTTAATGTCTGGCTCTCCAGCTAGGCTGTAAGCTCTAAGAGGGCAAAAGAAAGCAGAGTTTATTTGGCGAACTACCCAGGCTTCCATTTGGTTTAGGTGTGCTTGACTCCACACCCAGCTCCAAGGTGGGCCCTGATTTTTATTTCTGCCAATTAGCATAGCCCTTCCTCATTGGTTTAGAAATGAGAATCTGACCTAAGATGGTCCAATCAGAACAAGCCTTGACACCATCACTGGGGAGGCTGAGATACCCGTTTTTGTCACCTGGGCAACCTCATATGAAGAGGCAATGTCAGGAATGTCTGTGCCCTGTGATTAGAATAAAACAAGACATGAAGAAGGGCAAAGTCACTGAGCCCTAAAAAAGCAGGCCCTTTGGAGCGAACCATACCTGGGGCTGGCCCTGAGTTCTGATTTAGATATCGTGTGTCTTTGCAAAATTCATGCTGAAATTTAATTGCCAATGTAAACGTGTTGAGAGGTGGTGGGATCTTTTTGGTTTGTTTGTTTGTTTGTTTGTTTGTTTAGATCCAGGGACAAACTGGAAAAGAGGCATTTGAGGCTTGAAGGATCCACCCTCATGAGGGATTAATTCAGTCTCTCTAGAGAGTGAGTTCTTGCTCTTGTGGGACTGGATCGTTGACTGCAAGAGCAGATTATATCAATCAACAATTTTTCTTCTTTTTTGGCTTTTGGTAGTTTGGATCAAGTTTTCTATTTATTGTGAACATCAAATCCTAATTGATACAAAACATTCATTGTTTTGTTTGTCCCTGTATCCACAAGAACCCTGCTCGTGGAAGATGCTGAGTAACTACTGTATCTGTTGTATAATGTGCAGCCGGGAGAATTTGGGGTGGCTTAATAGAGGGGGTGACAGCTGAAGCCTTAATTTGAACCTATTTCCTTAGAAAGTGTGTAACATTGCCCTAGATTTAAATGCATCTGAAATCCTAAAGTGTTTCCCTGTGTATTTTATAGCAGAATGTTTGCTACCTGAGATTAACCTGCTCACCTGTCGTTTCCCAATAACTCCTGAATATATTTCTGCTTCAGCCCTGGACTTTCAACCTCAAGAAACTAGGCTTTTAAACTTGGGGAAGGGAGCAGAAAGGAATGATTCGGCTCTATCTGATGTTCACTCTGCTGGATAAGATAATCTTTTTTTTTTCTCCCCCCAAATGACCTGTAAATTCTTAGATTTCAACTTCAAGTCTCGTTTCTCAGGCATTTAAGATGCCTTGGGCTTTTTACCCGGCTAGATGGAAGCCAAGATTTTATTATTCTATTGGGGACTATTCTGCTGAGCCAGAGCCATCAGAGGCAGCTTTAACTTTAGGCTGTTATATGATATCTTTCAAAGTATAATCAGGCTGTATGGCTCATGATCTGGCTATTCGATTAAAGGTATTTGTTGCCAAAGGGCTGCACTTCTGAAAATACTGAGAGATAAACAAACTTGACCAGACGGGGAATGAAAATTCTACAAGTTGAGTCCCTATATTTTGATCAGGGAATTCTTTTCCTCCTTTCCTGGTTCACCAAAAAGCACACTTGCCCAGACTATTTATATTCTCAAATGCATTTGTTACTCTCAGGGTTGCTGGAATATATGTCCTACTACTACTGATTTTTGACTTCCCAGTGTATCTTTTGCACACTTTTGCTTATACTTTAAGGTGTTTTTTTTTGGGAGGAGGAAGAATAGGTTGCAAGAAATACTGGTAGAAAAGCAGTAATAAATCACTTCACCTTTCCCATCAAATAATTCCTCTTGTATTATCCTTTTTGTGGAACGTCTATGCAATTTGTTTGGTGACTCTCAGGATATTTAGAGTCTTAAAACATCTCCTTATAATCACTTATTAACTACAAAGAGACAAGTAATAGCTTGATAGTGGAGAAACCTCGTGGACACCACATGAACCAAGACACCAGCGACTATATCACCGATAAGACGAACCAACATCAGGTGCCTCCTCCCAGGATGCACTGAGGAGGACACAGTATCACTTCCATGGTAACCCTGCCAAAAATGCTTAACCTGAAACAGTCATGAAGAACTAAATTTGAACAAACCCGAACTGAGAGATGCCACAACTTGCCTATACTTTCTTTTCTTTTCTTCTTTTTTTCTTTTCTTTCTTTTTCTTTTTTTTTTTTTTAAGACAGAGTCTCACTCTGTCACCCAGGCTGGAGTGCAGTGGAGCAATATGCAGCCCCAACCTCCTGGGCTCAAGTGATCCTCCAACCTCAGCCTCCAGAGTAGCTGGGACTATGGGCACACAGCACCCCTAAGCCCAGCTAATTTTTTTTTTTTTTTTTTTTTTTTTTTTTTTTTTTTTGGAGAGATGGGATCTCATTATGTTGCCCAAGCCAGTCTCAAACTCCTGGGCTTAAGGAATCCTCCCACCTTGGCCTCCCAAAGTGCTGGGATGCTGGGATTACAGGCGTGAGCCACTGTGCCCAGCCTGGCCTATACGTTTCAAAAATCGTCAATAAAATGAAGAGTGAAGAAGCCGATGAACTAGTTCATATTTAGATTAAGAGACATGAGAGGTAAGTGCAATGCATGACTGTGAACTGCATACTGAGCTCACAAAATAGCTACAAAAGATGTTACTGGGATAATTGGCTAACTTTGAATATGGCCTGTAGATTAGTTAAATGTATCAATGTTAAATTTCTGATTTAGATAATTGTGCTGTAATTATGTAGGAGAATGTCCTTGTTCTTAGGAAATAAACACTATTTAGAGATAAAAGGGCACAATGTCTTCAACTTATCCTTAAACAGTTCAGGAAAAAAATATGTATATATGAAAAGAGTAAATGCCAAAGGCAGTGAAGCTAAATGTTAATAATTGGTGAATATGGGTGAAGTAAAGAATAAGAGGTATTTGCACTAATCTTGCAAATTTTCTCTAAGTTTGAAATTTTATCTGTATAACATATAGAGATACAGATAGATAGCTGCAAATATGTAATATACACACCATTCAAAATAAGTTGATAACCGAGTGCATAAGTTGATAACCCAGTGCATCAACCTAAAATCCAACCTATTCCTCAGGTTAAGGTATTCTTTTTTAAAAAACAATTTTTTTAAATTATTATACTTTAAGTTCTAGGGTACATGTTCACAACGTGCAGGTTTGATACATAGGTATACATGTGCCATGTTGGTTTCCTGCACTCATCGACTCATCATTTTCATTAGGTATTTCTCATAATGCTATCCCTCCCCCAGCCTCCCACCCCATGACAGGCCCTGGTGTGTGATGTTCCCCACTATGTGTCCAAGTGATCTCATTGTTCAATTCCCACCTAGGAGTGAGAACATGCGGTGTTTGGTTTTCTGTCCTTGTGATAGATTGCTGAGAATGACAGTTTCCAGCTTCATCCACGTCCCTGCAAAGTACATGAACTCATCCTTTTTTATGGCTACATAGTAATTCATGGTGTATAAGTGCCACATTTTCTTTATCCAGTCTATCATTGATGAACATTTGGGTTGGTTCCAAGTCTTTGCTATTGTGAATAGTGCTGCAGTAAACATACATGTGCATGTGTCTTTATAGTAGCATGATTTATAGTCACTTGGGTATATACCCAGTAATGGGATCGCTGGGTCAAATGGTAATTCTAGTTCTAGATCCTTGAGGAATTGCCACACTGTCTTCCACAATGGTTGAACTAATTTACACTCCCACCAACAGTGTAAAAGCATTCTTATTTCTCCACATCCTCTCCAGCACCTGTTGTTTCCTGACTTTTTAATGATTGCCATTCTACTAGCGTGAGATGGTATCTCATTGTGGTTTTGATTTGCATTTCTCTGATGACCAGTGATGATGAGCATTTTTCATGTGTCTGTTGGCTACATAGATGTCTTCTTTTGAAAAGTGTCTGTTCATATCCTTTGCCCACTTTTTGATGGGGTTGTTTGTTTTTTTCTTGTAAATTTGTCTGAGTTCTTTGTAGATTCTGGATATTAGCCCTTTGTCAGATGAGTAGATTGCAAAAATTTTCTCCCATTCTGTAGGTTGCCTGTTCACTCTGATGGTAGTTTCTTTTGCTGTGCAGAAACTCTTTAGTTTAATTAGATACCATTTGTCTATTTTGGTTTTTGTTGCCATTGCTTTTGGTGTTTTAGTCATAAAGTCTTTTCCCATGCCTATGTCCTGAATGGTATTGCCTAGGTTTTCTTCTAGGGTTTTTATGGTTTTAGGTCTAACGTTTAAGTCTTTAATCCATCTTGAATTAATTTTTGTATAATGTGTAAGGAAGGGATCCAGTTTCAGCTTTCTACATATGGCTAGCCAGTTTTCCCAGCAACATTTATTAAATAGAGAATCGTTTCCCCATTGCTTGTTTTTGTCAGGTTTGTCAAAGATCAGATGATTGTAGACGTGTGGCATTATTTCTGAGACCTCTGTTCTGTTCCATTGGTCTATATATCTGTTTTGGTACCAGTACCATGCTGTTTTGGTTACTGTAGCCTTGTAGTATAGTTTGAAGTCAGGTAGTATGATGCCTCCAGCTTTGTTCTTTTTGCTTAGGATTGTCTCGGCAATGCGGGATCTTTTTTGGTTCCATATGAATTTTAAAGTAGATTTTTCCAATTCTGTGAAGAAAGTCATTGGTATCTTGATGGGGATGGCATTGAATCTATAAATTACTTTGGGCAGTATGGCCATTTTCATGATATCGATTCTTCCTATCCATGAGCATGGAATATTCTTCTATTTGTTTGTGTCCTCTTTTATTTCATTGAGCAGTGGTTTGTAGTTCTCCTTGAAGAGGTCCTTCACATCCCTTGTAAGTTGGATTCCTAGGTATTTTATTTTCTTTGTAGTAATTGTGAATGGGAGTTCACTCATGATTTGGCTCTCTGTCTGTTAATGGTGTATAGGAATGCTTGTGATTTTTGCACATTGATTTTCTATCTTGAGACTGCTGAAGTTGCTTATCAGCTTAAGGAGATTTTGGGCTGAGACAATGGGGTTTTCTAAATATACAGTCATGTCATCTGCAAACAGGGACAATTTGACTTCCTCATTTCCTAATTGAATATCCTTTATTTCTTTCTCTTACCTGATTGCCCTGGCCAGAACTTCCAACACTAGATTGAATAGGAGTGGTGAGAGAAGGCATCCTTGTCTTGTGCCAGTTTTCAAAGGGAATGCTTCCCCTTGCCCATTCAGTATGATATTGGCTGTGGGCTTGTCATAAATAGCTCTTATTATTTTGAGACATGTTCCATCAATACCTAATTTATTGAGAGTTTTTAGCATGAAAAGCTGTTGAATTTTGGCAAAGCCCTTTTCTGCCTCTAGTGAGATAATTATGTGGTTTTTGTCATTGGTTCTGTTTATGTGATGGATTACGTTTATTGATTTGCATGTGTTGAACCAGCCTTGCATTCCAGGGATGAAGCCAACTTGATCGTCATCGATAAGCCTTTTGATGTGCTGCTGGATTCAGTTTACCAGTATTTTATTGAGGATTTTTGCATTGATGGTCATCAGGGATATTGGTCTAAAATTCCCTCTTTTTTTTTTGTTGTTGTGTCTCTAGGTAGGCTTTGGTATCAGGATGATGTTGGCCTCATAAAATGAGTTAGGGAGGATTCCCTCTTTTACTCTTGATTGGAATAGTTTCAGAAGGAATAGTACCAGCTCCTCTTTGTACCTCTGGTAGAATTCAGCTGTGAATCCATCTAGCCCTGGACTTTTTTTGGTTGGTAGGCTATTAATTATTGCCTCAGTTTCAGCCTGTTATTCCTCTATTCAGAGATTCAACTTCTTCCTGGTTTAGTCTTGGGAGAGTATATGTGTCCAGGAATTTATCCATTTCTTCTAGATTTTCTAGTTTATTTGCGTAGAGGTGTTTATAGTATTCTCTGATGGTAGTTTGTATTTCTGTGGGATCGGTGGTGATATGCCCTTTATCATTTTTTACTGCATCTATTTGATTCTTCTCTCTTTTCTTCCTTATTAATCTTGCTAGCTGTCTATCAGTTTTGTTGATCTTTTCAAAAACCAGCTCCTGGATTCATTGATTTTTTTGAAGGGCTTTTTGTGTCTCTATCTCCTTCAGTTCTGCTCTGATTTTAGTTATTTCTTGCCTTCTGCTATCTTTTGAATTTGTTTGCTCTTGCTTCTCTAGTTCTTTTAATTGTGATGTTAAGGTGTTGATTTCAGATCTTTCCTGCTTTCTCTTGTGGGCATTTAGTGCTATAAATTTCCCTCTACACACTGCTTTAAATGTGTCCCAGAGATTCTGGTACGTTGTGTCTTTGTTCTCATTGGTTTCAAAGGACACCTTTATTTCTGCCTTCATTTCGTTATTTACCCAGTAGTCATTCAGGAGTAAGTTTTTCAGTTTCCATGTAGTTGTGCGGTTTTTAGTGAGTTTCTTAATCCTGAGTTCTAATTTGATTGCACTGTGGTCTGAGGGACAGTTTGTTGTCATTTCTGTTCTTTTACATTTGCTGATGAGTGCTTTACTTCCAATTATGTGGTCAATTTTAGAATAAGTGCAATGTGGTGCTGAGAAGAATGTATATTCTGTTGATTTGGAGAGGGGAACTCTATAGATGTCTGTTAGGTCTGCTTGTTGCAGAGCTGAGTTCAGGTCCTGAATATCTTTGTTAACCTTCTGTCTCGCTGATCTGTCTAATATTGACAGTGGGGTGTTAAAGTCTCCCATTATTATTGTGTTGGATTCTAAGTCTTTGTGTAGTTCCCTAAGGACTTGCTTTAAGAATCTGGGTGCTCCTGTATTGGGTATATATATATTTATGATAGTTAGCTCTTCTTGTTGAATTGATCCCTTTACCATTATGTAATGGCCTTCTTTGTCTCTTTTGATCTTTGTTGGTTTAAAGTCTGTTTTATCAGAGACTAGGATTGCAACCTGCTTCTTTTTGCTTTCCATTTGCTTGGTAGGTCTTCCTCCATCCCTTTATTTTTGAGCCTATGTGCGTCTTTGCACATGAGATGGGTCTTGACTCTTTATCCAATTTGCCAGTCTGTGTCTTTTAATTGGGGCATTTAGCCGAGTTACATTTAAAGTTAATATTGTTATTTGTGAATTTGATCCTGTCATTATGATGTTCACTGGTTATTTTGCCCATTAATTGATGAGGTTTCTTCATAGCATTGATGGTCTTTACAATTTGGCATGTTTTTGCAGTGGCTGGTACCACCTGTTTCTTTCCATGGTTAGTCCTTCCTTCAGGAGCTCCTGTAAGGTAGGCCTGGTGGTGACAAAATCTCTCAGCATTTGCTTGTCTGTATAGGATTTTATTTCTCCTTCACTTATGAACTTAGTTTGGCGGGATATGAAATTCTGGGTTCAAAATTATTTTTTTTAAGAATGTTGAGCTGGGCGCAGTGGCTCACGCCTGTAATCCCAGCAGTTTGGGAGGCTGAGGCGGGCAGATCATGAGGTCAGGAGATCGAGACCATCCTAGCAAACACGGTGAAACCCCGTCTCTACTAAAAAATACAAAAAAAAAAAAAAAATTAGCTGGGCATGGTGGCAGGCACCTGTAGTCCCAGCTACTTGGGAGGCTGAGGCAGGAGACTGGTGTGAACCTGGGAGGCGGAGCTTGCAGTGAGCAGAGATCACGCCACCGTACTCCAGCCTGGGTGACAGAGCGAGACTCCGTCTCAAAAAAAAAAAACAAAAAAAAAAATGTTGAATATTGGTACCCACTCTCTTCTGGCTTGTAGGGTTTCTGCTGAGATATCCGCAGTTAGTCTAATGGGCTTCTCTTTGTAGGTAACTTGACCTTTCTCTCTGGCTGCCCTTAACACTTTTTCCTTCATTTCAACCTTAGTGAATCTGATAATTATGTGTCTTGGGGTTGCTCTTCTCGAGGAGTATCTTTCTGGTGTTCTCTGTATTTCCTGAATTTGAATGTTGTCCTGCCTTGCTAGCTTGGGGAAGTTTTCCTGCATAATATCCTGAAGAGTGTCTTCCAACTTGGTTCCATTCTCCCCATCAATTTCAGGTACACCAATCAAACGTAGATTTGGTATTTTCACATAGTCCAATATTTCTTGGAGGCTTCGTTCGTTTCTTTTTACTCTTTTTTCTCTAACCTTGTCTTCTCACTTTATTTCATTAATTTGATCTTCAGTCACTGATATCCTTTCTTCCACCTGATCCAATCAGCTATTGAAGCTTTTGCATGCATCACGAAGTTCTCATGCCATGGTTTTCAGCTCCATCAGATCATTTAAGGTCTTCTCTACATTGTTTATTCCAGTTAGCCATTTCATCTAATCTTTTTTCAAGGTTTTTAGCTTCCTTGCAATGGGTTCAAACATCCTCCTTTAGCTCAGAGAAGTTTGTAATTTACCGACCTTCTGACCTACTTCTGTCAACTCGTCAAATTCATTCTCCATCCAGCTTTGTTCCGTTGCTGGCAAGGAGCTGCGATCCTTTGGAGGAGAAGTGGTGCTCTGATTTTTAGAATTTTCAGCTTTTCTGCTTGATTTCTCCCCATCTTTGTGATTTTTATCTACCTTTGGTCTTTGATGTTGGTGACCTACAGATCGGTTTTTGGTGCAGATGACCTTTTTGTTGATGTTGATGCTATTCCTTTCTGTTTGTTAGTTTTCCTTCTAACAGTCAGGTCCCTCAGCTGCAGGTCTGTTGGAGTTTGCTTGAGTTCCACTCCAGACCCTGTTTGCCTGGGTATCACCAGCGGAGGCTGCAGAACAGCAAATATTGCAGAGAGCAAATATTGCTGCCTGATCCTTCCTCTGGAAGCTTCATCCCAGAGGGGGAGCCACCTATATGAGGTGTCTGTTGTTCCCTACTGGGAGGTATCTCCCTGTTAGGCTACACAGGGTTCAGGGACCCACTTGAGGAGGCAGTCTGTCTGTTCTCAGAGCTCAAATGCTGTGCTGGGAGAGCCACTGCTCTCTTTAGAGCTGTCAGACAGGGATGTTTAAGTCTGCAGAAGTTGTCTGCTGCCTTTTGTTCAGCTATGCCCTGCCCATGGAGGTGGAGTCTAGAGGCAGTAGGCCTTGTTGAGCTGCGGTGATCTCCGCCCAGTTTGAGCTTCCTGGCCACATTTTTACCTACTCAAGCCTCAGCAATGGTGGACGCCCCTCCCCTAGCCAGGCTGCCGCCTCACAGATTGATCTCAGACTGCTGCGCTAGCAGTGAGCAAGGCTCTGTGGGCATGGGACCCACTGAGCCAGGCATGGGAGAGAATCACTTTGTCTGCTGGTTGCTAAGACCTTGGGAAAAGTGCAGTATTTGGGTGGGGAGTGTCTCATTTTCCCAGGTAGTCTGTCATGGCTTCCCTTGGCTAGGAAAGGGAAATCCCCTGACCTCTTGCACTTCCCGGGTGAGGTGACGCCCCGCCCTGCTTCAGCTCGCCCTCCATGGGCTGCACCCATGTCCAACCAGTCCCAATGAGATGAACCAAGTACCTCAGTTGGAAATGCAGAAATCACCCGTCTTCTGCGTCAATCATACCGGGAGCAGCAGACCAGAGCTGTCCCCATTAGGCCATCTTGGAACACCTCCCAGGTTCAGGTATTCTTAGGCAATATATATAGAAACAAAGGCAGGCTACCCACAGAGACAGGGTCAGTGGATACATTAATCAGGGCCCTGCCTATATTCCTATTAACTTATTTTGTCACTAGACTAAAACATTTTACACTTCCTTAAACCTAATGCAGATTTCTTATATGTTTAAACACTCAAAGCACAAATTCCATACTTGTCCCTAAGTGAGGTCTAAGTTTGTTAATATTCTCGTGTGTGCTAACAAATAAGCAGAGCTTTCTGCATAACCTAACTTTTGCAAACATAAACTTCTTCTAATATGCCTTATTTCCTATTTTCTTAGAAAATCCAATCGACATCTCTAGGATTTCAGATACCACAAGCTCTTATTTCTGTCACATCAAATGAACAATTTTATTCTTTAGCTTCTTAAAATAAATTCAATAAGCCTTTGCTCATTGCTAGCTTTTCTATCTCTCTTCCAATCTCTTTGATCAGGATCAAGACCAAGATTCTGTCCACTCTGGAATAATAATCCAGGGGTAATTAGAACTTCTTACCTTCTTTAGCCCAAAAGAAGCCAATTTATCACAAACTGTCAGGAATTCCATCTTTAAATTACCAAGAGCCCAATTACTGACAGAAACCAGGAATCTTCCTTCCAATTAAAATGATCGATTTCTTAGCAGACTCAGTAGCATTTCACTTTTTAATTATACTCATTCCCATCAAATGTGAAAAAATTCTTCCTCGTTTTATTTTCCTTCCAAAGAACGTGATACAACAAACATTAATCATGGAGGGCAAGGCCAGACCTGATAATGCCTTTGGTAGAATTGGACAACATCTAATGTTTTGTCCATTTTTATGTGTCTTCAGCTTGTAGAGCCCCTTCAGCTCTAAGAGGAGGGAGGAGGGACTACTTCTTTGTTACCTCACATAATTCACTTAAGTGCATGCCAAACCTGCCAGCTTCAGGTAAGTTATGATGAGACAGCATTAGGCATTTCAATCAATGGGCTCTAGCAGGGGATTTAGGCCTTAGGGACAGAACATGATTTTATTTCTCATGCAAAGAACAGAATTGTAGTATTGGAGACAAAGCAGGGCATAGAGGTAAACACAAGGAACACAAGAAAAAAATTTGGTTTTTCTTGGTTGTATGGCATTATAATGATTACATGTTGTAAATAATTGTATTTTATTTAATTAATTTATTTTTTTTGAGACAGAGTTTTGCTCTTGTTGCTCAGGCTAGAGTGTAATGGCACAATCTTGACTCACTGCAACCTCTGCCTCCCAAGTTCAAGTGATTCTCCTGTCTCAGCCTCCTGAGTAGCTGGGATTATAGGCATGTGCCACCACACCCAACTGATTTTGTATTTTTAGTAGAGACGGGGTTTCACCATGTTGGTCAGGCTGGTCTCGAACTCCTGACCTCAGGTGATCCGCCCACCTCAGCCTCCCAAAGTGCTGGGATTACAGGCATGGGCCACTGCACCCGGCCTTAACCAATTTTAAAAGAAAAAAAAAAGTTCCAAGTTCCATTTGGGGAAGAAGTACAATTTAGAGGCTCCAAAGGAATATGAGGCAGCCCCTCTCCCAGCCTCTGCAAGGCTGCAAAGACACCTGTCAATCTACCTTGCTTTCCATTTTAATCTTCAAGGAAAGACCAACCAGTTCTGACTCCTGCAGCTTGCTGACCCAGAAGCCTGTATCTTTATCTCCCCTTTTCACCCCTCTCTGCGTGATCAGCAGGTTGGCATCAGTTCATTCCCTCGAGACATACAAAGGTCAAGTTTTTTGCTCTGATGAATATTTTCCAGCAATATCTATTCCAGAACCTCCCTGTTTGGCCAGACACCAGTGATTACCCCTTGTCCGTATGTGGTAGTTAACCATTTTCCAAAAGCTTTCAGATTTATAAAGATGGTTCTGGGGGAACTCACAAGACACTAAATTTCCTCATTCAACCACAGAATCATATTTGACCATTTTAGTAGAAAACGAAATTGGATACTAAGCTCTTGAAAAAATATATATATTAAAAGTCCACGTATGTGGTGGTGGCTCATGCCTGTAATCACAGCACTTTGGGAGCACAAGGCAGGTGGATCACTTGAGGTCAGGAGTTCGAGACCAGCCTGGCCAACATGGTAAAACCCTGTCTCTACTAGAAATATAAAAGTTAGCCAGGCGTGGTGGCAAGTGCCTGTAATCCTAGCTACTTGGGAGGCTGAGGCAGGAGAATCACTTGAGCCTAGGAGGCAGAGGTTGCAGTGAGCCAAGATCACACCACTGTACTCTAGCCTGCACAACAGAGACAGACTCCATCAAAAAAAACAAAAGGTCCATGTTATGTGACAGATCATACCTCTCTGCCTTTACTCCAAGCTCAGTTTATGGTACTCAGAAAGACCAACGTGACCTACATTAAGATTTTTCATTCAGCCAGACGCAGTGGCTCTTGCCTGCAATCCCAGCACTTTGGGAGGCCAAGACAAAAGGATCACTTGCAGCCAGGAATTCAAGACTAGTCTGGGCAACATAGCGAGACCCTGTCTCTACAAAAAAATTTAAAAAGTTAGCCAGGCACAGTAACATACACCTGTAGTCCTAGCTACTGGGGAGGCTGAGGCAGGAGGATAACTTCAGCCTAGGAGGTCGAAGCTGCAGTGAGCTAGTATCACGCCACTGTACTCCAGTCTGGGTGACAAAGCGAGACCCTGTGTCTAAAAAGAACAGACTTCACTGGGCACCTCGAAGGGCAAGGCAGGACACTAGGTGCTTGAGGTAGAGAACCATCGTTCTTTCCATGCTGCTGTATGGGGAAGGCACATATGCAGCCACCTTGGCATAGTAAAGAACAAAACAGAGATGGTATAATGGGAGAAAAGGATCCCCCTGGTGAAAACAAAGGAAAAGAACATTGTCCCAATGGAAAGGACACAAATGAGTTTAGGAAGAGGTTGGCGGGTGTCATCTGGTCTTCCTGAGTGGGCACAGAAACTCCAGGCTTATGTCATAGTGTGGGCAAATGCATGCCACTTTCCAAGAATCACAAATGCAGGAGAGGTGCAAGAGGCCATGTCCCATGCTACAAAGTCCTGACTGCCAGGCTGGGAGTACTGGACTTTGTATGCATCAACAAAGAGCACAAGGGGAAGTCATAGTTCAACTGGCTGTGGTGGGAGGGGAATATGGGGGCAGAGAAGAGACTGCTGAATAATCCACTGAGGGCTGACATAGCAGAGCTGACATGGCAATGGAATGAAAATTAGCAGATATTTGAGAAGCACAGGTCTGATACAGATGACAGGGATGTGCAACCACATATGAAAGGGTGAGGAAGGAGGGGAGGCTGACTCTGAGCATGACTTTTATGTGTGAACACTTAGTTGGAATCCATGGACTGCCTGGCTTTTGCTACTTAAAACTTCATTGTGGTTATTATTCACATCCTGCATCGAGCCCTTGTTTTAAACTTTTAAACATCCTTAAGGTAAGTGGTGGGGGAGTTATTTCAACCCTCCTGTTACAGATGACAGAACCAAGCCTTGGAGCCTGTGACCTGAACAGGGGAGCCAACTAACCAGTGCAGAGATGGGACAAGACACTGGTGGAGTCCTCATTATGCAATCAAATAAACCAGGAAGATAGCTCAAAACAGTCCTAGTGGCATGTTTCTGGGGCAAATGGGACAAAGCTCATAGAACTTTACACCTTCAGAGCTGGGCACGGTGGCTCACGCCTGTAATCCCAGCACTTTGGGAGGCTGAGGTGGGCGGATCACCTAAGGTCGGGAGTTCGAGACCAGCCTGACCAACATGGTGAAACCCCGTCTCTACTAAAAATACAAAAATTAGCCATGCATGGTGGCTGGCACCTGTAGTCCCAGCTACACGGGAGGCTGAGGCAGGAGAATTGCTTGAACCTGGGAGGGGAGGTTTCAGTGAGTCGAGATTGCGCCACCACACTCTCCAGCCTGGGCGACAAAGCGAGCCTCCATCTAAAAAAAAAGAACTTTACACCTTCAGCTGCAATGGAAGGTGGTTTGCTGATAATGCCCATTCCAAAAGCAAATGGAAAGCTCCCACACCGTGTTGAATTTTTTTAAATGGATGCACAAGAATTAAGTCTTAGATCTTTGGTTGAACTAAATTACCCTTAGCAGGTGCTATTTTTAGACCTCAAGCTTTCCCATCATAAAGAACAATTTGTCTAAAAAGCAGGTAGAGAAATTCATTGACAAGGGCTTAGATGTTTTAGGACTTTAATGTTCTTTACATATTCAACATAAAATACTGACAATAGATAAACAATAGGGGAAAGACTTTTCAGCAAAGTATCACTCTCGTAGTCATACATTACAAAGAAAACAGTAGAGAACAAAGGATAGGGTAATTTAACAGAAATGTTTAGTTTAATGGCATAATTGAAAAACAACCAACCAATCAACTTTCTCTTCTACCTATGGAAAGAATGGTAAAAATGAATCAAGAACTTCTAGGTCTTTTTCATAAAACAGCTTAAAAAGAGGAAGGCGAAGACTGGGGAGGGGGTACAACTCTTGCTAATGGAATGCTATAATGCACAAGGTCAAGGATTTAATAAATTCTAAAAGTGTCTACATATATCAGTGATAACTGTATTATTAGAAATATAAATGTATAGAAATATAAAGTATATGGTATTAAAAACAGACCTTGCTAATATAAACATATATAAAGTATGTCACTTCTCCTGTAATAACAGCATAAAGATCGATCTACAGTTTGCCCTTCGCCTGGCACTCTTAAACCACTCCTCCAATGGTCAATGTTGACCTTGAATCAACAGCCGCTGAACCCAGGAGACCCCACAGATGTGTAGATTCAGCACCTAGAGGGCCCCCCTACCCTCTGTGCTGTGTGTTCCCATGACTCCAGAAATAATTAATCGCAACTTGCATTATTAAGTCCACAGGCAAGTTTGAAATCTAACTAGAAAAAGTAGCAGCAAAGGCAAAATACGCGGGAATTTGTTAGAAAAGCAACAAGATTTCTTAAAATGCTTCCAGTTCAAGTCAGAATTAAGGTGACATTAGGTCCCACCAGCTTTACAGAGTTGTGGATGTTTTGCTGTTGTTCTTTCAAAAAAGAAGAATCTGCAATAAACATGTTCATTTGAGAAAAATACTGTGTTAACTTTTTGTAGCCATCCCCAAGTTACTTTAAACTTTGTATGTTGTTCAAGAACAGAGTATATCCTGGTTAGGATGTGTTCATAGCTGATGCATCTCCAAAAATTTTTTCATGAAGGCGGCCAGCTTCTGAACGTCTTCAATTGTGACAGCATTATACAGAGAGGCCCGGATGCCTCCCACAGACCTAGAATGACCAAAGATCCAGGCATTGAGAACAAAAACGTCTAATTTCGCATCAAAACACCTTTTTCTAGCCACTGGCTCCTGAGAGTTGCAGCACCTGAGACCATCATTTCCGGTCTCCTACCTAAAAACTCCCGACACCTGGCACAGAGCTTCACACGTCTCAGTCATCAGAAAATTCTCCCTTAAGCTGTGAAGGTTCACCATGCTCACATTTAGAGTCATTCGAACTATTCACTCTTGGCAAAGAAAGCAAGCAAGATGTGGGGAAGAAAAGGTAAGTTGGAAGAAGATAGCGATTCTGTTCAACATTCATGAGCCTGTCGTGACAGTGCCAGCAAGATCGGGGCTGGGCTATTCTCATGTGAGGACATTCCCTGCTGCTATTCTCATGTGAGGACATTTATTTTTCATAGAGCATGCAAGACTAGCTACTAATTTGATGTTCAGTTGGAATAATAATGATTCTCTACCTCCAGAACAGAGTGGTGCTGGCCTCATCAGAGATGGAATGGCAACCTCTGTGCTATACGAGCAGTGTAAGAGATTTTCAAAGGTAATTTTGCCAAAACCCTCATGGAAGATGGAGCTCCATTATACTCTCAGCTGGGGAATTATGCAAAGGGTTCCATAAACAACAGGAAGAAGGCACATCCTTATAACAGCTGGGTTGGCCCAACAAATTACATAACTGCTACTCCAAGCTAAGCAGGCTCCTATAGATTTGTTTTATTCTGCATTTGAAAAACTAAGCTAATTCTTTGCCAAGCTCGTGCATTGCAGATGTACTCACCTATGCCCTTTCAAGGACAACATATTGAGTTCAAGAGCTTTATCAAGAAATCTTTTTTCTAAAGCATCATCTCCTTTGGCATTGCCAATGCGGAATGGAATATTCATCTTGCTTCTATTTTGGGGCTCCACTGGACAACTGAAAAACATGTTTATTATTCCAGCTACTTTTCTGAAATGTATGGGTTGTCATAAACAAATCAACAGATTTTTTTTTCTTAACACTTCCTAGATGCAAGCAGAAGATTTTTTAAAAAACAAAAAACAAAAAATCTGCCCCAGCACATTTATTGTTTACTTAGGGAAAACAAACTCTTGCATATGGAACAGTGGGTTATCATCCCCTTGTATGACTTGTACTTAATTTCCATCAGCCTCAGTTTCCTCACCTGAATACTGGGAATAATAATATCTCCATTTCAGACTAGTTGTGACGGTTTAGTGGTACTACATATATGAAGCTTCCAACACATGGCAGCTGCACGGCAAATGTGAGTGACCTCTTTCTCTGCAAGGCTGCAGAGAAATAATAAGTTGGTCCTATAGTGGCTGTAAGGCAAAAATAATGAGCAGCAACTTCCAAAGGACTTACCATGGTGTATTGCCCCAAGCTGTGTGACCCTGAGCAAGTTACTTAACCTCTCTGCTATGCCTCACCTTCCTCATCTGAACAGTGGGAATAATAGAGGAACCTACCTCAACCACCTCAAGTTGTTGTAAGCATTAAATAAGTCAGTCTTTATAGAGAATTTTTGTGGCCCATTTAAAAATAAGAAGAGGTGGAATCTAGTTTTCCATCTTTTGAATCTGGGCTGGCCTTTTGACTGGCTTTGGCCAAGAGTTTACAACAGACTCTTTGCACCTTCCAAGCCTAGGTCTCAAAAGACCTTACAGCCTCTCCTCCCGCTCTCTTAAAATATTGCTGTCATGGCCAAGCGCGGTGGCTCACACCTATAATCCCAGCACTTTGGGAAGCCGAGGCAGGTGGATCACGAGGTCAGGAGTTTGAGATCAGCCTGATTAACATGGTGAAACCCCATCTCGACTGAAAAAAAAAAATACAAAAATTAGCTGGGCGTGCTGGCACACACCTGTAATCCCAGCTACTCAGGAGGCTGAGGCAGGAGAATTGCTTGAACTCGGGAGGTGGAGATTGCAGTGAGCCAAGATTGTGCCACAGCACTCTAGCCTGGGCAACAGAGCAAGACTCTGTCTCAAAAAAAAAAAAAAAAAATATATATATATATATATATATTGCTGTCACTTAAGCATGTTTGAGCTAGAGTGCTGGAGATAAGTGTCCCAGCCAACAGCCAGCACCAACTGCCAGATATGTGAAACCACTGTAGACCATCTGGCTCCAAATGAATAACCAGATGACGACTTCAGTAGAATGAGGCATCCCAAGACCAGCAGAAGAACCCCCTAGCTGAGCTCAGCCCAACCTGCTGACCCAAAAAACTACGAGCAAGTGAATGGTGGTTGTTTTCAGTCACTTAAGTTTTAAGGTGTTCTATGATGCAGAAACAAATAACTGACACAATTTAAAACTATGTCTGCAACATATTAAATGCTATATAAGTACCTGTTAATACATCTATCTTTTTAAAAATTTTTATTTTAAATTTTTCTGGGTACATAGTAGGTGTACATATTTATGGGAATAAATTCATCTTTTTATTCCCAGCACTTTGCATAAGGTACATATCGACTCTCAAAAATGATTATGAGTGAATTTTTGTCTAGGAAAGGTTCGTGTTTGACTTCAGTTTCTGCTTTGGAAAATAAGCAGCCAAAATTATTTTTCACTGGCAACCAAAGGAGACAAATGGAAGAATAGCTGACATTACTCTGCAATTTTTTTAAAAAAAGGTACAATGTGTAATAACCCTCTCTTTCCCTTTGCTCAAGTATATCCTCTTTTATTCTTACACTTCTACGGGTGGAATTCATTAAAATTACAGCAAATAAAGGCAGTGTGAGAGGCCCCCTGAGGGCACATCTGTAATTCTTGTTAAAGTTAATGAGAGTCTAGTACACAGCTTCAAGCAAAAGAGAGGCCAAAGGGGGAAACAAATATGGGGAAAAGACTTTGAGCCTGAATTCCAGGCCCCACTATTCGAAGTGGTAGGTTTCACGGCTGACATTGAAAATAAACATTCAACGGCTACCCTCTTTTGATATTCCACTGCCTCAGGCTCCCAATGTGAGGCTCCAATCAGAGAGGTGGAGCAACAAAAAGCACATTTAACTTAACAGAAAAAAATTGAAAGCAGGAAGAATTAAGCATCCGTATTTACAGTTCCTCTCCCTGCAATTTACCCATCCTATCATGAAAGTAGAAGATATCACAAAGCAATAATGTCATAAAAGTGAGAAATTAAAGACTAAATTGTCATGCAACAAATATTTATGCACTACCCATGGGAGAGTGTCTCTAGTATGGGGCTGGGGGGAGAAAAAAAGATTAAGGGAAATTAACTGCTTCCAATCTACAGAGAGATGGCTCCGGAGGGAATCACAATTATACGTAGGAAGTGCTGTAACAGCCAAGGGCTGCAAAGGCAGAGAAGCCAGATAAGGAATTCAGCAGCGGCAAGGTTGACAGGTTTCAGGGGAGGGGACAAGGCATGGTTCCAACAGATGAGAAGAAAGGGCATCTGGCAGACAGCTGCATCTGCAAAGGCACAAAGGCTTCCGGCAAGTCTGCTGACTTAACTGGAGCACTGGCTTCCTGGCTGGGGTGGCTGGAAGACCTACAGGGCCGGGGCTGTGGAGTGCCCTGCTGGGAACTGGACTGGATCCTTGAGCAATGAGGAGTAATCCACAACAAAATGCGGTCTGTGTTTTAGAAAAATAATTACAGCACACAGAGGAGAGACTGGGGGGTGAAGAAACTGGGAACGCACAGACCTGCTGGAAAGCTCTTATGAAGAACTTTCTACGGTTCCAGTATCTAATATGGCCACAGTAGTCTTGATGACCAAAATCATTTTTTTCCATCTTTAGGAAGCTACATGGGAACAACCAGATCACACAGCCCTGAAGCTACTGTGCATGTGAATGAACCTGTCTTCTGCTTCATTCCTGAAAGCTGCACCTCTGTTTTGGATTCTATATTGTGTTTGTGTATTTACATTTTGATTCATAGTAATGTCTCATGCTATGGGTTTGCACTGAACGCAAACTGTAAATTAAAAAAAGGAAATGGCTGGAAACAAACAAAAAAAAAGCTTTCTAGGTCAAAAGAACTAGGGCCTGTACCAAGGTGCCGGCACCGAGGAGCTTCAAGCATGGGCGGCAAACTCTAAGCCAGCATGTCCCCGCACCACTCACATAAATGAGTAGGACGGGCCGGTGTGGAAGGTGCAAACAAGCTCTCTCACATTTTAAACGTGGAGGACTAGTCTGAAAAAGAGGCTCTCCCTTTTTTTTTTCCTGAAACATATGGCTATCCCTGTCAAAGTTTCTTTTTCCCATTTTCACAGGCACATGGATTATGGAATAAGAAACCAGATCTCTAAGTATCTTCCAAGAGCCCAATATTGGCTCAAGTTGTGTTTTTAAACATGGGTGACCCCGTCAAGCACCACTGTGGGCTGGATCTAGCCCCTGCTCCCCAGTGAGCAATCAATCCCTGGAGTTAACACCAAATTTCAGAGGTGACCAGGTCTGTTGTTTGAATGGGTTGAGGGCCGAGGTAGGAGAAGGGGCCAAGGCAGACTGAGAGGCTATGTGGGCTATGGATGGGCATGGAACCAGCTGGAAATCCCAGGGCTGCAAAGATTTAAGGAGAAAGTCCAAGTGGGAACCAGGGAAAGAGCCGCACTTCCCAACATCTTGGTGGAGCACGAAGATGTCAACAGGCATTCTGGGAAAGTGGTTCCATGGCCAGAGAAACTTAGGAAAGCTGCATTCACAGAGCTAGGCAGACCTCCTCACTCCTGACTTCCTGAAGCCTCTCAACAGCTCACCGACCACGTAAATGAGGAACCCCAGGAGGTCAGACAGGAACGCAGTGTTCCCCCATGACTGAAAAACCCTTCCTATTGTGGGGATGAGAGTTCCAGACAGTCCCCTCGGAGACACGCTGCTCAGGGACACACCGGGACTTTCCAAGGTACTGGAGGAGGGGAACATGGCAGAGGTACACCTTCAGCCAGGGACACCCATCCCACGAAGGTGGTAAGGCTCAGAAGGGAACGCAAGAAAGTCACAGGAGATGAGCAGGCAGTGAAGAAACATCACTCCACAGTCAGGCCCCTCTGAAAGGATGTGTCAGATACACAGGGAATGAGAAAGAAGAGTATGTGAAGAGAAGCCTACCAAATGCAACCCTATGTAGGCCTCTCCTTACTGCCTGGTTTTGTCAACAAAAAATTAATTTTAAATTTGTACATGATTATGAAAATCTAGAATAAAAATATGAAGATCTGCCACCCCTCTTCCCACAAGAGGTGGCTACCCTAATGGTCTGCTGTGCATTCCTGAAGATCATTTTAGATATACACATGTACGTCTGTGTGCATATGCATGTATACATGTATGTGTGTCTATGTGTAAATATGTATGTATATATAACTCTTGTAGTTTTGTTTTTGTTTTTGTTTGAGACAGGGTCTCACTCTGTCACCCAGGCTGGAGTGCAGTGGTCCAATCTCAGCTTACTGCAGCCTTGACCTCCTGGGATCAAGCGATCCTCCCGCCTCAGCTTCCCAAGCAGCTGGCACTACAGGCATGTACCACCACACCCGGCTAATTTTTTATTATTATTATTATTTGTAGAGACGAGGTCTCACTATGTTGCCCAGGCTGGTCTCAAACTCCTTGGGGTCAAACAATTCTCCCACCTTGGCCTCCCAAAGTGCTAGGATTACAAGCATCAGCCACTGTCCCTGGCCTTGTTGTAGTTTTTAAAGACTAATAGATTTGTCTTTTCCTACACTTGCTCTTGCTCCTTTTGGTCTGATGACATAACACAGTCATCTTCCCATGTCTGCTAAGAGACCCGCTTCATCCTTCTCAATGCAGTCATTCCATATTACCCACAGATCCTCATTGTTTTCATCAGACCCCTACTGATGGGCACAACTGCATATTTCCACCATTACATCTTACATTGGACTTGCTGGTCCCTAATTTTGTGCACACCACTGTACCCAGGCAGAGTGCTGGGGAAGGGTAAATCTGTAGACATCAAAATCCTTGGTCAAAGCCCATGTAAGTTTTGAATTATAATGAGCGCTGCAATCTTTGCTCCAAATTTGTCCAGATTTATACTCTCACCAAAAGTGCATGCCCTTGCTGGCACCAGATGTTATCAATCCTTTTAATGTATGCAGATGAAAGGCAAAACATATCTCATGGGTTTAATCTGCATTTCCTAAGGAACTAATGAAGGTGGCATCTTTCCATTTGTCTATGAGGCAGCTTGCATTTCTTCTGAGTTGTTTCCTCATACTGTTAGCAACCACCACACCCCCACTTTTATTTCCTTATCCTTTTTCATTCATCTGTGGGTTCTTGCCTAAATTAAGGATAGTAACCTTTATGTTTAATATACTACAAAATCTTTCTCATTCTGTCATTTTTGATTCTGTTTATGATGTCTTAAGCCATATAAAATTTTAAAATTTTCATGTAATTAAATACGTCATTCTTTTACTTTATAGCTTGAGTTGTATGTTTAAGGCCTTCTGCACTCCTGGACATAGACAGCAGCAGAGGTTCTGGAATGAGCCTTCCACCCCCATGTTCGTAGCCTGGCTGGTCCCACTTTCCAGCTGCATCCTTGTCCTATCTGTGCTTCTGCTGCATAGGCTCAATGTCTACTTCACAGGGTTGTGATGACAACAAAATGCATTCACATGTGTAAGGTGCCTAGGACTCTGCCTGCTTCATTTTATTTTAGGGTCTTCGCTAGACCCATCACGTGCCTCCTTCTCTTTCCTAAGGCCTGGTACCCACATAAGGTGATAAAGGTGACCTCAGATCCAGACATGGAATCTGTCACTTGGACATCCTTATATAATAAAATTAATATATATTATATACTTATATAATTAATTATATTACATAAGCTTATATAAGCACTGTGTGTCAGGAATATCATAATTGCTTTATATAACAATAACCACAAATAATGATATTAAGAGCTAACATGCAAGGAATGCTTCCTGTGTGCCAACCACTGTTTCTAGCACTTTATACAAATTAACCAGCACAAGAGTCCTCAATCCTTAATGTAAAAATGCTCTCAATCCTTATATTATATATTCTTGATTCAGAAGCATTTCCTTTTAATTCTCTTGACAATTTTAAGAAGTATGTATCATTACCTCCATTGTACAGATGAGAAAACTGTGGCTTAGAGCAGTTAGGTCATTTGCACGAGGTCACACGCACCACCGTGGCAAAATGGGGCTTCTAAGCCCAAGGTGCTAAACGGCCCACGTGGGCTCAACATGGGGTCAGTCAGCACAGTGTGGGTGACTGGGCTATGGAATCAACTTGGAGGCTTCGATGGTTGTCTTATCTAGTCCCAGAATTCCCTGCCAAGGTCACTGGCAGGGCTGGTGAAACCCCCAGCAAACAACCTGGAACTATGTTAAGGAGCTGGTTTACGAGTCAGGGGGCATGGAAGTGGGGAGGGGGTGCATCTTCTCAGAGACAAAAATGAGGAGCAAAGGTGGTGGTAAATTGCAAATTCTAATTCTAGGTATTCCTCTTTAAAAGTGGCCACCTCCCATGGGGCCATGTTGCTCAACTATTTCCATAGTTCCAAAGAAAAGAAGAATTTCCTGAAAATCTAAGTGAGTTCAGGCACAGCCTGGGAGTCTCCAGCTATAAACAGAGGAGAGACAGAGTACAGCCTCCTCTCTACTCCAGTAACAAGGTCCCACAGAACACCAAGTGCCTGGGATGACGCTTTCCAGGCAGGCAACTGAGGGGGTGGTGGGAGTTCCTAGAAAGAGGTTTATTCTTAAAAGGACTGGAAGTCCTGGGTCAAGGCAGTTCAGAAATGAGTGAAGAGCTCTGGGTGTGAAGGATGACCAGATTCCCCAGGAGATGACCTGCCCAGGAGATGACCTGCCTGCCACATTAGTTTGGCAGGCTGCCTTCTGGGAGAGGCCCAGGTTTAGTGCTTGGAGTTAAAGGACCTAGGCGTGGCGGGGGGGGATTCAGGAGAGTCCCAGAATTCCTTCTATGCTTTCTTATTTTGTTCCTGATGCCCTTAATTTTTTTCCCAGTGGTATCACCGTTCTTTCTGTCCTCTAACATCATGTCTACACATCTCCTGAGAAATGTATAGAGCTAAAAGCTAATAGAAAAATTGGTCTCCCGTCCACTATACCCACCAAGTGCTTTTACTCACATTCAGGTTCTCAGCACTTTTTAGGGAGCCAGGGAAGATGATTTATTCTTCTCGGTCTTCCAGGAGCCTAGAACAAGGCTAGTGTACAGAGCAGGTCCTCAGGAGCCATTTTATGGATGGATGGACGGTTGGATGGATGGACAGATGGATAGATGGATGGGTGGGTGGGTGGATGGGTGGGTGGGAGAATGGATGAGTGGATGGATGGATGGATGGACAAGTGGGTAGATAGATGGGCGGATAGGTGGAAGGGTGAATGGACAGATGAGTGGGTGGGCGGGTGGATGAATGAGTGGATGGATGGATGGATGGATAGATAGATGGGTAGATAGGTGGAAGGGTGAATGAATAGATGGGTGGGTGATGGATGGATAGATGGATGGGTGGGTGTGTAGGTAGATGGATAGATAGGTGGGTGTGTGGATGGGTGGGTGAATGGATGGATGGGTGGGCAGATGGATGGATGGATGGATGGATAGATGGATGGATGGAAGATTGATGGATGAGTGGATGGGTAGGTGAGTGGATGGATGAATGGATGGATGGATGAATGGGTGGACAGATGGATGTCTGGATGAGTGGATGGGTGAATGAATGGGCGGGTGGATAGATGGGTGGATGGGTGAATGGGTAGATGGGTGAATAGGTGGGTGGAAGGATGGGTGGGTAATGGATGGATAGATGGATGAGTGAGTGGGTAGATGGATGGATAGGTAGGCAGGTGGTAGATGAATAGATGGATGGGTGGGTCAATGGTGGATGGATGAGTGGATGAGTGGATGAATGTATAGATGAATGGGTAGACAGATGGATGAATGAATGAATGAGTGAATGAGTGGATGGATAGATGGGTAGGTGGGTGGATGGGTGGGTGAGTAGATGAATGAATGAATAAATAGGTGGACTAAACACGCCCTCACACACTTCCACGGACCTTCTTCCCAATCCCAGCATAAACCATGCCCTTCAAGCAGCCCATGTTCTGCTCCCCAAACACACTGTACACTCTTCCCTCAGTGCCTTTGCGGGGATGATTCTAACCTTTCTAAAAGTACTTCTGCCCTCTTCTCTGCCTAATTCCACTCATGACCAGGGCTCATAATAAGCTCATGCAAAAGCCCTCTCTTCACTCCAACCAAAGAGTATCCCCCTTTTCCAGGCTCATGCCACATTCTTTAGCCCTTGGCTATGAAATCTTTGGATACCTACTGCTGATCGTGCACTTTAAATGGCTTCAGTGAGCACAGGCAGGGTATCCTGGCCTCCAAACTCACACATCAAGGTCTAGTGTGGAAGCTTCCCCAGCACTGAGCCCCCAGCCTGCACTTGCTTCTCTGTTGCACAGAACCAGAGAACAGGCAGTAATGCAGAGTGTGTACCCCTTCCCTGAGATGGTGCCTGGGAAAGGAGCCCAAAGGCCAAGGCATCCCGCCAAGCCTAACTCCCCCTGGGCTTGCAGCTGGAGGAGGGCCACTGCATGTCAAGAGCTCACAGAAACAGGCAACAAGCATTGCAAGAACAAAGGTGACAGCAGCATGCCATCCAAAAAGTACACCAGCACTGCCCGCCCATGGGTGGTTATGGAGATGTGTTAGTTAAGTCTTGGCTAAAAAGTACAATCCTAAGTTAGGACAGAGGCATCGTTTTGTCGGTCCCATGTGGCCACTGAATTATCTGAGAGAGGGCAAATTTCCAACTTACCATCAAGCAGATATTTTTGTTACTATAGACTGAACCCCAAAGAGCAATGGCCACTAAGAAGGGGGTTCTCAGTTTGGTGAGTTTAAGCATTTATGTATATGTGTAGGCGCACATACATGTACACAGCAGGAAGTCTGGTCTTTGTATACCTGTAACCACCTTAAGGGAAAGGGAAAAGCAAATGAAGATACCACCTGTTACACTTCTCTGCATCCAAGGCACCGCACTAGGTGCTTCCCATCTGGCATTTTGGTGAAGGGCCTATTGTTGTGGATTGAATGGTGACCCTGAAAAGGTATGCGCATGTCCTAACCCCCAGAATCTGTGAATATGACCTATTTGGAAAAAAAGGACTTTGCAGATGTCATTATGTGAAGGATCTCGAGATGAGATGATCCTGGATTATCTGGACAGGCCCTAAATCCAAAGACCTCTCTTTTTAAGAGACAGAAGGGAAGACACGGCAGAAAGAAGGCCATGTGAAGACAGATGTGGAGGCTGGAGTGATGCAGCCACAAATCAAGGACCACCCTGAGCCACTAGAATCTAAAGGAGGCAAGGCATGGCTCTCTGGAGGGACCAAAACCCTGCTGACATTTTGATTTTGAACTTCTGGCCCCAGAAGAGTGAGAATCAGTTTTCTGATGTTTTGAGCCACTAAGTCTGTAGTACTTTGTTACACCAGCCCCAGGAAACTAATACAAGACCCAGACATTTTCTGCAGAATTCCCAGGTGCAGGGGCAGTGGTTAAGACATACTCATTAATCATTTGTTCATGGGAATATTTAAACTGGAGTCAGCCCATGCCAAAGCCAATTCCATTCACAGACTCTGGGATAACAGCATCTGTCTTATAATAAGGAAAGGAGTGAATTTTCTTAAAAAGGGAAATAACGCAGAAGAGGAGGACAGGAGTATTTGTCCCAAAGATCGCTAACAGGAGTCCTTAAATTGACACATTTCAGAAAGTACATTTGTTTTTTTCCCAGAAGATATACAAAGGAGGGAGTAGACGGGACCTACCCCAGGGAGTGAACTGAGATTCTTCCCCAGGGCGATGTCTTTGGTGTGAGAAACATCACCACCCACTGGGACACAGGTCCCAAAGCCTGAGAGCCCCAGGGTGAGGTACAGGAGGGAAGAACTCACCACCCACTCCCCTGCTCATGGGGCCCAGGACCACACACACTCACCAGTATTTTAATGTCTCAGAGAAAGGTGAATATGTCCACTTTTCAAAGGTACACAGTATATACACAGTTTTAAATTCACAAGAGGCAAAATAGGAGATAAAATCCATTGACTTACACGTAGAATCCTTGAGAATTATCAATAATCTCATAAATTGTTTGAGATTTGATGGAGCTAAGCTTCTCCATGGCCGCGGCACCTCCATTGTTTTTAATCCACTCCAGAACCAAGCCCATGACGTAGATGCTAAAATGAAGATTTTTAAAAAATCCGTTTAGCTCATCTTTGCAAAAGTAGAACTATATTCAAGCAAACTGCTGTTGAAGGTGCATTAAAACAGACTTAAACACATTATTTGAAATAGACAAGATAGTCAAATGCAGTGGCTCACGCCCGTAATCCCAACACTTTGGAAGGCCGAGGCCGAAGGATCGCTTGAAGCCAGGAGTTGGAAAGCAGCCTAGGCAACATAGCAAGACCCGTCTCCATAAAAATTGAAAAATTAGTTGGGTGTGATAGCATGTGCCTATAGTCCCAGCTACTTGGGAGGCAGAGCAGGGAGGAATGCTTGAGCCCAGGGGTTCGAGGCTGCAGTGAGCTATGATCACACCAATGCACTCTAGCCTGGGTGACAGAGCGAGATCCTGTCTCCAAAAAAAATAAAGAAAGAAAATACACAAGACAAAAGCAGGGCCCATGTGAACAAGAGCATGTCATCAAGCAAGGACTAGGGTCAACCCAATTCTAGATCCCTGAGGGCCATTCAGAAAAAGGTTTAATCAGATTTTTCACTAAACATCATATCAGTCCCTCCTTGTCCAGCTTAAGCCCTAATGTAAACTCTTCTTGAGAGCCAGAACACACTTCCTTATCTCCACCAGAAGGCATCAGCAGACCCCAATCCCACCCCTACCCAGAGCGAGCTCTTCACTTCCTGAACTCCCAGAGCGCCTTGCCCATATTACCTGCATAGTTTTTTTCCACTTGCTCTTTTAAGTTTCTGTGTGCCTGTTGTTTGGCCTCTGTGGTCTTGGAAGGCTAGAAGCCCACGCTGTTCATCTTTTCTACCCACATCCTTAGCACAGTGCCTTCCAGCCAGCAGAGAGCACTGTGGCCGAGGGGTTAAAAGGACGGGCTCCCCCTCCCAGTCCTGACTCCCATTGTAGGGCAGCCACTCACTAACAGACTACCCAGAATTAGTCACCTCGGTTTTCCCATCTGGAACCGGGAGATCCACCTACCTGTGGTGGACACCTGGCATTTTATCCACCCTGCTCTTCCCAACTCCACCCTCCAGCCAGTATGCAGGTCCAGCAAGGCCCCTTGGCTCCCTGGTCTCAGAGTTCGGCATAGGACCTAACTGGGCCAATCAGGGCCTTCCCTGAGATTTTCTGAATTGGGTGTGGGGAGAAAGAGTGGGGAGAGCAGAAAAAGCGGCAGAATATTAGTGCAACTGTGAGACAGGAGATGAGAGCCCTAGGGGATCATGTTTCTAGGAAACATCTGAAGAAGGCCCATCTGAAAATGAAGCCAACATTCCCGCTGAGAGAAGCCAGGATCAGAAGTGGAGAGCAGATGGAGGAGGATTTGTGTCCCTGGTTCCAGGAAGTCCAGCTGCACCTGGGCCCTTCCCGCAGCTCAGGACCATCCCTTTCTGAACCAAGTATTTCAACTTCTTCCTGCCAGACCAACGCTTAGCACAGGGCCTGGCACGTGGCAGGTGGGCCACACAAATGGCAGTCAGTAGTCCCTTCAAACTTAAGCTGAAAATATGAAACACTGAGGAGCGGTGCATGGTTTTCCCCAGTCTGAAAACCCCTCTCCTTAAGAAGGTGCTAAAGGCTCCACGTGTACTCAGTAAAAGCTCAGGGCACAGGAGGAGAGGTCGCCCAGGGAAGACACCATCTCCCTTGAGCTGGGAGTCTGGAGGTCAGCTGCCAACTATGCCCTCTCCAGAGGTGTGAATCAAAGATCCCCTATGGGAATTGTGCAAAAATTTACTGGGAGTCAATGCTCAGCTAAGATCTAGGGTGGGGATACCCAGCTGCTTCCTCCTTTATTAACAGGAGGGGACATTATGGGGTCTGGAAAATGCTCTAACAGCCAGCAGCTTGTCACAGGGAAGCCCCCTATACCAACTGGCTCATTCACTGTCTCAAGTGGGACCCAAGGCCTGGGTGCAGTGGCTCATGCCAGCTCATGTTGGCAAAAGCCAACACCGGGCTGCCCAGAGGGGCCTTAGGCAGGGAGCAGCCAGCAGCCACAAACATCCAACAACCTCTCCTGAAGCTTCCCCAGCCTACCTCCCCAGACAGCACTGGGAAGAAAGAGCAAGAGTGGCTGCTGGCAGAAAGGGAAGGCAGGGAGGAAGAGGAAACAGCCCCTGAGAATATCCACAGCCTCAGCGGTAGCTCTCTGGCTAACGTCCAAGAAGTCAGAGGGACAAAAGAGACAGAAGAGAGAAAGTAAGAGAAGGGAATGAGTACTTCCTGAAGTCTACTGTGGCCTCAGCCTATCTTTATTGATCACAATAATCCTCGGGTTAGAGCCACCGTCATCCCATTTTCCAGATGAGGAAACTGAGGCTCAGAGAGGTTAACTTTGCCTCAAGTCATCTGGCAAGCAGCTTAAAGCCAGGACTCCAACTCTAGCCTGTCTGACTCCAAGAATGCAAGCTCTTCCCACAAGTATGCAGGCCCTCTGCTTTGCCAGGGGCTGCAGGGCTCCAGCCACTAGCTCCCCTGCGAGTGGGACTGCAGAGCTATCACCACACACCAGTGACAGTGGCCAAGTCCAGCACACAGCACACATGCACGTGGGTGTGCATTCCAGACACGAGGCTGCCCAGCCCTCTGTTCATCAGATGCTCTGCAATTCCCACTTCACTTCCAACTGCTCCTCTCCCACACCTGCAGCCTGTTCACCCCCCACCTCCACACAGAACCACAGAAACACACCCTGCCATGTGATTGAATCCAAGCAGAGCCCAGGTCACCAACAATACTTCCAGGTGACCAAGCTTCCCTTTTGCCTGAAGCTCTGTGTTAGCCCAGGGTTTCAAAGCTGACATGGGCCCTTGCTGCACTGTGGATTTGGTTTGTCTAAATCCAAAGTGCAGCAAGGCCCATGTCAGGTCCACCGTCCTAGCCAGACCTCAGTACCGACGCCTGAACCCCTAGCTGACTGCTGTGCTCACACTCGCCGCCCATGATCTCTGGCTTTCTTAATGGGATCTGAGGAGGCAAGGCCAGCAGAAAGCTCACCCACTTTTAGGGGCTGCCTGGAGCCAGCACCCATAACTTGGCTCTATGAAGCCTAAACAAGAGGCAGACAACTCAGAAGCAAGCAAGCTGTCCTGAAGACTGAAGACATCCCTGGGATAGGAGGTCCTGCCTCCCCTCCCACCCAGCCCTCTGCAGAGCACTGATGTCTAGCCCCTGTGACTCTACTTAACACAAGATAGGAGGTCCTGCCTCCCCTCCCACCCAGCCCTCTGCAGAGCACTGATGTCTAGCCCCTGTGGCTCTACTTAACACAGGATAAGAGGTCCTGCCTCCCCTCCCACCCAGCCCTCTGCAGAGCACTGATGTCTAGCCCCTGTGACTCTACTTAACACAGGATAGGAGGTCCTGCCTCCCCTCCCACCCAGCCCTCTGCAGAGCACTGATGTCTAGCCCCTGTGGCTCTACTTAACACAGGACCCTCGTGGCTTCCAGTTCTTTATTAACTCATGTTTCAACTCCCATACCGTCTAAAATCTTGAAAACACAAGGGCTCTAAAACGCTTACACAGCTTATAGAGTGGTCTCAATTCTTCCCACTACCAGTGTGACATTTTTAAGACTTATGCCTTCATTTCTAAAATGCCACCTGCAAACACACAGGATAGGGTTCCTAACTCTGCCTATTAAATGATTAAATAAATCGAGGTATGTCCATTCTACAGGACACCATATATATTTTAAAACAAAAAAGGGCCAGGTGTGGTGGCTCATGCCTGTAATCCCAACACTTTGGACGGCCAGTGTGGGAGGACAGCTTGAGGCCAGGAGTTTGAGACCAGCCTGGACAACATATTGAGACCCTGTCGCCATAAATTTTTTTTTTAATGTAGCCAGGCATGGTGGCACTTGCCTGTAGTCCTAGCTACTTAGGAGGCTGAGGTGGGAGGATCACTTGAGCCTACGAGTTTGCGGTTTCTGAGAGCTATCATCACACTGCTGCACTCCAGCCTGCACAACAGAGCAAGACCCTGTCTCTAACAAAAATAAAATTTAAAAGTAAAAAATAAAAATAGGCATTTGAGCTGACATAGCAGAATGCCCATGGTATATTGTGGAGTGGAAAAATAGAATTCACAGAACAATTTGTATGGTAAAGTTCAAGTTCCATTTGCATGATTAAATATATGACTCTGTATATTTGCATATGCCCAGTTAAGAGTCTGTTAGGATACAAAGCAAGCAGTGAACAGTGGCTACCCTGGTGACTCTGCCCACCTGCAAGTCTTTGCTAAGAGTATGTTACTGTTTGTTTCTTTGTTTCTTTGTTTGTTTTTTGAGGCAGAGTTTTGCTGTCACCCCGGCTGGAGTGCAGTGGCACGATCTCAGCTCACTGCAACTTCCGCCTCCCAGGTTCAAGTGATCTCCCGCCTCAGCTTCCAGAGTAGCTGGGATTACAGGTGCACGCCACTACGCCCGGGTAATTTTTGTATTTTTAGTAGAGACAGGGTTTCACCATGTTGGCCAGGCTGGTCTCGAACTCCTGACCTCAGGTGATCTGCCCGCCTTGGCCTCCTGAAGTGCTGGGATTACAGGCGTGAGCCACCACACCCAGCCTAAGAGTATATCACTGTTATAAATTTTTTAAAGCAATACAAAATAGTCCCTGTGCACCAGGGCTTAGAAAAGGACACCAGAAAGTCCCCTGGAAAACTCTCCCTGGCTGTTCTAAGACTCCAGCTCTGCAGATGAGGTTCTGAAGTTGATGTTATGGCACAGTTTTCTCAGGAATCGGTGAATGTAGCCACTGAGTTGAGCACTTTTCCCAGAGGAAAGCTCCCAAAACTGGCTCCACTACACACCCCTCTGTGAATTCCAGGATTCCAGGCATCCCCATCCCACTGGGAGAAGGTAGTCTGGGACCAGTGAAGCCTTCCAAACAGGCCCACAAACTTAATTTGCATGCTCCCATTCTTTTATTTATTTATTATTATTATTATTTTTGAGATGGAGTTTTGCTCTTATTGCCCAGGCTGGAGTGCAATGGCACAATCTTGGCTCACTGCAACTTCTGCCCCCTGGATTCAAGTGATTCTCCTGCTTCAGCCTCCCGAGTAGCTTGGATTACAGGCATGTGCCACCATGCCTGGCTAATTTTTGTATTTTTAGTAGAGACGGGGTTTGTCCATGTTGGTCAGGGTGGTCTCGAACTCCCGACCTCAGGTGATCCACCTGCCTCGACCTCCCAAAGTGCTGGGATTACAGACATGAGCCACTGCGCCTGGCCTGTTCTCATTCTTTTAACAGGTGGCCTAAGATTAATGGTCTATTTGTTTTGTATTTTTATTAGTTACTTCACCTCATACTGCAGCTAAAACAAACGTATGCTTGTGTATTCAGTTAGTCATGGTAAGTAAAAAATATTTTGTGCAGTCAGAAGGGAAGTTTAGGGATCTTTTTCTCTATGCACTAATTGGGGTTAGTGTGTTCTACTGAAGGGTTAAAGAGAACAGCAGTGTGTTCTTTATTCCACTCTAGTTCATCACTCAGGGCTACGGAGCAACGATTTGAAGGCAGTTTTATCCAGCACAATTAAATCAAAGTTCCCAGGGCCTATGGTCATTAGACTCTGTGGGGAAAAAAAAAAAAAGGCGTCTTTTCAAAAGTGAGGCCTTTTCAAGAACTCTACTATGTGATACAAAGTTCTGAAGGGCTCCAGGTACCCCATCAGCCTCACATCACGGACTGGGGAGGGGATTTTGCACACATCTTGATGTCTCCATTTGCAGCTTGTTCTCATTGGGTGAGCAATGATTTTCTAACCTTGCATGGTTTTTGTTTTGTTTTTGTTTTTGTTTTTGTTTTTGTTTTCAGACAGTCTCACTCTGTCACCCAGGCTGGAGTGCACTGGCGTGATTTCGGCTCACTGCAACCTCTGCCTCCCAGGTTCAAGGGATTCTCCTGCCTCAGCCTCCTGAGTAGCTGGGACTACAGGCACCCGCCACCATGCCTGGCTAATTCTTGTATTTTTAGTAGAGACGGGGTTTCACCATGTTGGTCTGGCTGGTCTCGATTTCCTGACCTTGTGATCCACTCGCCTCGGCCTCCCAAAGTGCTGGGATTACAGGTGTGAGCCACCGCACCCGGCCGTGTTCATTCCTTTTTAAAAAAATGCTCTTCAAGGTAACCCTTGAAGAAGGTACCAGAGAGTGACTGTCTGCCCTGCCCCAAGCTGTACCCTGATCGCAACTTGCTGGCCTACAGGCTGTGGGACAGTTCAGGAACAGCACTCTTTCCCTGCCCCCTCCCACCTTCTCACTTCTGAAATGGGTGATGGTCTTGGGCTCCTCTGAAAGCCTCCTCTAGCTGCAAGGCAGGCCCTGGCCCCATCTCCAAACAGGTAAGGACAGCCTCCTGTACCTCTACCTGCCATGTGCAGCCTGACATCTCGGCCCCTTCCCCCGGAGGCCAGCACTTGAGGTCCCCAGCTGCACCCTCACCGCTCAGCCTGCCCAGTTCTTGTGTCCCAGTTGGCCAGTGACCACTGGTGCTTCCCCAGAGGTAAGACAGGCGAGTGGGAGGTAAGACTCAGCCCCACTCCCATCCCTACCATGCATTTTAGAAACATTTCAACCAAGGTAAAAGACAGTAGGGTTTAGAGGTGACCAGGAGAGTGCATCCCAGAACACTCCCCTGAGGAAAGTGGGAGACACAATGTGAGGAGCTGCTGCTCTGCATCGTGTGACCAAGCAGAAACCCAGCAGAATTTTCACCAGAATTCTAACATTGAAAAAAATTCCGGCGGTGGCTCACGCCTGTAATCCCAACACTCTGGGAGGCCGAGGCAGGTGGATCACCTGAGGTCAGGAGTTTGAGAGCAGCCTGGCCAACATGGTGGAACCCCGTCTCTACTAAAAATACGAAAAGTAGCCAGGCATGGTGGCAGGCGTCTGTACTCCCAGCTACTCGGGAGGCTGAGACAGAATTGCTTGAACCCGGGAGGCGGAGGTTGCAGCGAGCTGAGATCACGCCACTGCACTCCAGCCTGGGCAACAGAGCAAGATTCTGTCAAAAAAAAAAAAAATTCTTTCCTTTCCATAGTAAATTATGTAGAAGACATTTTCCCTAAGCAGCACCTGGAGGAGGGGAAGCTCTGACAAAATCCTGGCCCAGATGGAACCACTAACTGCACCAGCCTGAGCCCCCTCTTTCCTACGCTCCTTTAAGAGAACTTCCACCAAGACAAGAAAATCCTGTTGAGAGAAGAGCTGGACTCCAACAGTGAACTATTCTCCTAAGGCAGAATCCTGCAAACACACGCAAATCCACACTCATCCTTTTGCTGGTGAAGAGAGAGCACTAATGGCAGAATGTACATACCCAGGATCTAGAGTCAGATGGCCTGGGTTCACACCCCAGCCAGGCCACTTCCTAAAATATGACCTCGGCTTCCTCACTTGCAAAATGGGAATCATGATCATAACACTGGCTACCTACTAGGGTAGTTGGGAGGATTAAACGGTCATACACATAAAGCATCACCATTCTGCATCATAGTGGCCCTAGAAAGATAAATCTACAAACTCCAGCTCTTCCCTTGTGTCTGCTCCTGCTGAGGCTCTGAGAACTCACAATAACAATAACAACATAGCAGCTAATATTTATCAATCACCAAGTGCCAGGTACTCAGTGCAAAATTTAAAATTTTTATATATATACACAGATTTATTTATATGTATGTTAATCTTCACAGCAACCCAGTGAAAGGGGTACTATTATTACTTCTAGAACCTACCACACAGACATGTTAAGTGACTTGCCTAAGGTCACACAGCTAGTAAATACTAGACTCTCTTAGGCAATTGTAAATCTTAAGAGCCATGAAGATTTTCTCAAAATACCCAAGTTTGGGAGTTATAGGATCCTGAGGCAGGGCAACCCTGCTCTTCCTGAAGTGCTGCAACGCAGCCCCCAGTCAGCGAATGAGAGCCAGGCTAAAAGGACCCCTTCAGATTAGGCTAAAATACAGAAAGATGTTGGCCGGTTGTGGTGGCTCATGCCTGTAATCCCAACGCTTTAGAAGGCCAAAGCCGGCGGATAACCTGAGGTCAGGAGTTCAAGAGCAGCCTGACCAACATGGTGAAACTCCATCTCTACTAAAAATACAAAAATTAGCTGGGCGTAGTGGCACGCACCTGTAATCCCAGCTACTCGGGAGGCTGAGGCAGGAGAATCGCTTGAACCTGGGAGGTGGAGGTTGCAGTGAGCCGAGATCATGCCACTGCACTCCAGGCTGGCAACAGAGCGAGACTCCGTCTCAAAAAACAACAACAACAAAACCCAGAAAGGTATTTAAGCCAGTATGTTCTGTCAGGCAGCCAGCTTCCCGCAGGCCCGACAGAGAAAGAAATGAAGGCAGGGGAGGCCCAGCTTTTGAAAGTTCTTCTCCAAAGCTGCACTGGCTGTTTGAGATGCAGGCCACAGCACCTCATGTATAGAGAGCTTTTGGGTTAATGGTGAACCACCGGATCCTGGATTACCAAGACCAAACAAAAAACAACATCCCCAGAAAAGAACAAGAGGAAAAGCTGATCAAATGGTAAAGAGATGGTGCAGAGGGAGAGGTGAGCTGGGCAGAGAATCTGATAGGATATCTGGGGCATTTGATCACCGGCTCCTGGAAACATGCTTTACTTTATTTTACTTATTATTTGTTTGTTTGTTTGCTTATTTATTTATTTATTTTGAGATGGAGTCTCCCTCTGTCACCCAGGCTGGAGTGCAATGGTGCCATCTCGGCTCACTGCAATCTCCACCTCCCCGGTTCAAGAGATTCTCCTGCCTCAGCCTCCTTAGTAGCTGGGATTATAGGCATGTGCCACCACGCCTGGATAATTTTGTATTTTTGGTAAAGACAGGGTTTCACCATGTTGGTCAGGCTAGTCTCTAGCTCCTGACCTCAAGTGGTCCATCCACCTCAGCCTCCCAAATTGCTAAGATTACAGGTGTGAGCCACCGCGCCCAGGCTTACATGTTTTATTTTAAAATGTAACCTCCGCTTTGATGAAAAATAGTGAGACCCCTCCCTGGGTCCACAAGACTGACTCCCAGAGTTACCTGAAACATGGAGGCGTGTTGTACAAGGAGCTGTTTCCAGCCTGCACCTTGTATTCCAGGACCGAGGGGCACTCTCGGAGGGCAAACCCCAGCAGGTCATCACGGACAATCACCACGGTGACCCCAGCAGAGCCAACATTCTTCTGGGCACCAGCAAAAATCACACCAAACTTAAAAAGAGAAAGACATGCTGCTTAAGAAGGATTTGGCCATTTTTCATACATGTATGCAAACTTCCCAACTCTTCCCGAAGCACAATTTTTTTAAGGAAATGACTCTATCCTGTGTAGGGAGCAGTTCATGCTCTAAAGCAATCTCCATGTGGACAGCAAACCCATACTCAGAGTTCCAAAGCCTGAGGATGATCCGTCAGCCTGGTCCTCACCTGGATGGGGCTAACCCAAGCCCATCACTGCAAAGTCCTGGCACATATTCACATTCGCTCTGCACACCTCCTTTCTACCCCCAAAGTAGAAAGGAGTCTTTAACGTGGGGCCTCTAACTCTCCCTGGTTACCAAGAGAAGAAACATTTTTTTTTTCTTTTGAGACGGAGTCTTGCTCTGGCACCCAGGCTGGAGTGCAGTGGCGCAATCTCGGCTCACTGCAACCTCTGCCTCCCGGGTTCAAGCAATTTTCCTGCCTCAGCCTGCCGAGTAGCTGGGATTACAGCGTGTGCCACCATGCCCAGTGAATTTTTGTATTTTTAGTAAAGACGGGGTTTCACCATGTTGGCCAGGCTGGTCTTGAACTCCTGATCTCATGATCCACCCTCCTCGGCCTCCCAAAGTGCTGGGATTACAGGCCTGAGCCACTGCGCCTGGCCAAAACAGATTTTTTAATCTATTTACATTTGTATAAAAGAACAGTCAGAAGGTGCTGAGAAAGGGACTGTTATGACAAAGAGAAGGGATGGGACAAGCTGCCTGAGGGAGAAGAAATTATAGAAAACAGAGGCTTAAAGGTACTTTAGGTAATTCTGTTGTGCAAGATACAGAACCCTCTCCCATGCCTCTCTCCATGAAACCCTTAGGAAAATTGAGCGTTGGCAGGAAGTTGGGGGTGGGGGAAAGTAATTTATAGTTATTTAAAATTGCCAGTGCCTGGTGATAATAAAAAGCAGACCATAAACCAAATACAGTATATCTAAACAATTATTATTCAGCCTTTAAAAAGAAAGGAAGCTCTGACACACAGTACAACATGGACGAACCTTGAAGACATTCTGCTAAGTGCAATAGAACCTTGAAGACATTCTGCTAAGTGCAATAAGCCAGACACAAAAGGACAAATAGTACATGATTCACTTCTAGGAGATACCTAGAGTAGTCAAATTCACAGAGACAGAAACTAGAATGGAGGCTGCCAGGGGCTGGACGGTGGGGAGAGAGGGAGTTAGTGTTTAATGTACAGATTTCATCTGAGAAGATGTAAAAGTTCTGGAGATGGATGGTGGTGATGCCTGCACAACAATGTGAATGCTCTCAATGCCACTGACCAGTATATTTAAAAATGGTTAAAATGGTATATTTTATATTAAATGGTAAAATTTGTTATATTTTATCCCAATTAAAAAGGCAGAATACCACTCAGTCAGTTCAACTGTTGTTCTTAGATTCTCTACCCGCATCGCACCCTGGGGCATGTACCTACAGCGCCAGTCCCACTGCCCTGCCTTGGCAAGCCACTCATAAAACGGTATCCTGTTGATGCTTTTGGAGGTGGGTACCAGGCAAGGGGAAGCTCCCTCACATAGGTCCCCTGGGCTCGGGATAATCTGCATCTGCTCTTGAAGACAAGTCTCTCCCCGTCTGTTGACCAAACACGTTTCTAAGAACCACTCTCAAAAGCAGGTAGTTCCCCAAGGACTCGAGTGGGACCCTGTGAGGCAAACATCACCACGAGGCTGGGAACAGCAGGACTCAGGCACTGCAACAGCTGGGAATTCGCACCTGGCAGCCTGCTCACTGGCAGCTGCACTGGCTCAGGGGTTCTGCAGGCCTCAAACACCCATGGTTCTTCCCGCTCTTGTATATATTAAAATGTCCCTGCAGACACCGAGTCAGTGGGTTCCCCTCACCCTGCCTTTTATACTCTACCTTGGAAACATCCACTGGCTTGGACAGGAAGTTTGAGGACATGTCACAAACCAGTACTGCTCCCTTGACATCGGGTATAAAGTCAAACTCCACACCATGCACCGTCTCATTTGCGCAATAATACACGTAGGAGGCATCTGGGTTGAGGTTCCAGGTGCTTGGATCTGGAATTTCTATCACAGAAGACAAGTTTGAGACTTTGCACTTTTCACTCTCCTCTTTCCTTACATAGATGGGAGTCAACCAGGAGACTGACAGGCCTCCCCTAGCAGGGAAAGACTAACTGACTCCAAAGCATTGCACGAGTGAAAGCAACCTCCCAGCCTCATCCTTTGTTACCATCGTTATCAACATCCTGAGAGGATGAGCGATCCAACCTTTCGACTTTTACTGGGAACAAATCATCTTCAAAAATGGCATGGGAAGGTGGGCATGGTGGTATGTGCCCATAGTCCCAGATATTTAGGAGGCTAAGGTGGGAGGATCACTTGAGCCCAGGAGCTGGAGGCTACAGTGTGCTATGATCCTGCCTGTGAAGAGCCACTGTACTCCAACCCGGGCAACACAGAAAGACTCTGTCTCAACAAAATAAAATAAAGTAAATTTTTTCAAAAGGCATGGGAGATATCTGAGTTTTTACTTGTCGCCCAGTATCCATCTATCCTACATCCATTGATGGACTAGTAGTTTCTTCTTGGAACCCCAGCCCTCACCTACTCTCAGCCCACGTAGTTCCAGGGGAGCCAATGAAACCTACAGCCCAGAGGTAGAATGCAACTCAGGCATGGCCACAGGGACTGATTCAGAATGGGGCACAGGACATGAGACCGTTACTGGGAATGCTCCATAAAGGCATTGAAACTTGGGAGAATATAAGGTCAGGAGCAGCTGCAGCCACCTTTCAAGAAAGGGACAGCTTTTTCTGCCTGTGGAGCCACCAGGTCCTGGAGACATTGTTGGGGCCCCTGATCAAGCCATATCTAAAGCCAAACCAGCCCCTGGACTTTTTCAGCTAATTAGCTGAAAAACTACTACTAACTACTGACTAGCTTCTGCAAGAAGAGTATGCATAGGCCAGGCACAGTGGCTCACGCCTGTAATCCCAGCACTCTGGGAGGCCGAGGCAGGCGGATCACCTGAGGTCAGGAGTTCAAAAGCAGCCTGGCCAACATGGTTAAACTCTGTCTCTACTAAAAATACAAAAATTAGCCAGGCGTGGTGGCCAGCACCTGTAATCCCAGCTACTTGGGAGGCTGAGGCAGGAGAATCGCCTGAACCTGGGAGGCGGAGGTTGCAGTGAGCTGAGATTGCACCACTGCACTCCAGCCTGGGTGACAAAGCAAAACTCTGTCTAGAAAAAAAATAGAAAATAAAATAAAGTAAGAGTATGCATAGGCTCTAGTCTTAGCTAGTACAGCCACCCAATCTAAATGGTAATGAACTAACACTGTCAAGGGGAGAAAATAATTGAAAACTACAGATTGCCCTGGGTCGGGGTAACCCACCATTGAGCACGTCACCACCCAGCTCAGCTCCCAGAACTTACTTGTATAACTCCCAAGTTTAGGGTGAACGATATTTATAGTCCCAAACTTCTTGGCTTCTTCTGCGGCCTTAGCTGACCAAGCTCCTGTCACCACATAGTCAGCACACCTTCCTGCTTTCAAGCCAATGAGGTTTAAGGGGACAGCACTGAACTGGCCGCACCCACCTCCTTGCAGAAAAATCACCTTATAGTTGTCTGGAACAGCTCTGGGCAGAAGCATAGGTAACAGTCAATACATAAACTCATGTGGTCAAAGATTGAGAACAAGTGATGCTCTACCAAGTGCTTTAACTTGGGTGGATTTACTACAAGAAATATGGTAATGTTACAATACTACTTTGTCTTCCCTAATTCACTCATTTATTTATGCAATCCTTGGACAACTATTTACTGGAGACTGTGTTGAAAGCCTAGGGTTACTGTTTGACCTGAAGCTCTTCCTCCTCTTCTTAGTGACAACAGCCTGATGTTCCTTTAGGAAATTACCCCTCTGCCACTCTCAGTCGACATGGTTCAACTGTGGTCAACCCTGGCTCAAGGGGATGAGTACCTGCCCCAGGCTGGCCAATGGAATTTGGTACTGAGACCTTTACTCAAACTTCTAGGTAAGGAAAGCTGTTTCTATTGAGGGAAAGAAGAAACTTGTAGGAGCTAATCCTGCAACCAATGGTGGCCACCCAATGAAGAGAACACATAAGAAAGCAGAGCCAGAAGATGGGGGAAAATCACCTTCCTGCAGTCATTTAGAAGCACCTAAATTCTCCTGCATTTATCTGTTAGGTGAGATAATACATTTCTTTTTTACTTAAGCCAGTGAGTTGGGGGTCCTATAACTTGCAACCAATAATCCTGTGTTATGCAACATGCTATGAACCAGGTGGATGTTGGGCAGGGGGTTTCGATAATGTTTTAGGCCTACCCATGAAATCATGTATCTATTATACATCAAAATAAAAAGCAAAATTCTTTGACTCCAGGATGAAAAAGTAAGATAATGATGAGAATGGCTACAGGCAGTAGAAATAAGCCCAGCTCCAAAAGGACAAGGCCATGGAAACTGGACCCAAGCCACTGAGTAAGGTCAGAGCCTGGGAATAGGTGTACGGAAGCCAGATGGCCAGGGAACAGAGCTCCAGCAAAGATACAGAGGTAAATTAATAAAGGGCAGGGCAATGTGGCAGGGTCTTGGGGAATGGGGTGGTAGGAGTGTAAATATCTTGTCCTGAAAGATGTATGGCCTATATTCAGTGCTTAGTAGGATAGCAAGCAACCAGCAGGTCTTAGGAGACTCTGGCCATGAGGTTCTTAGCAGCTGGGAAGACTGATAACCCAAGACAGAGTTCCAGGTTCACATTATTCAGATGCAGGGCAGTTAACAAGGCCAAGAATTAGATGGAAAGAAACCAGGCCGAGGTCTAGGTACAGGTATACAAGGTGGGAACCAGGTTAGGAGAAGAAAAGATAGGCCCTTAAATTGAACTGGGACCCCAGTCAGAGGAAGTTCATAGCCATGTGGTCAAATGTCATCTCTCCCAGGCTGATGTTCCAAATACCCACTCCATGAAGGACAGGATTGTCCTATGAATGTGACATGATACTCAGCAGGCCAATGGACGAGAGAAGCCAAGCAGATGGCTACCAGCTCTGAACATTCACATTGCAATTAGCGTCTACAGCTCCTCACAGAAATATCACCAAGCCTGCCCCATCTGAATCATTTTATCAAGCAATTTGAAAAAGAAAACTTGAAATAATCAGTATAATTCCAATTTTGTTAATGTAATAATGCAAGAATGGGTCCTAACATATTAGTGATTATCCCTGATTAGTGGGGTTAAAGTTAATTTCAGTTTAGTTGTGAGCTACAGTGTTTTTCCTACCATAAATGTGCATTATTTCTGTGAGCAGGAAAAAAAATGGTATGCTTTCAAACTTGCTATATTCGTAGGTTTATGTGAACATGTTTATATAATATATAAAAATCTCTCCTTTAAATAGCAATCTATTTAAGAATAAGGGATTCTCTGGATAGGAAAGGCAGTACAGATAACCCAGGAGATTTCGTCTAAGCAGTAGTTCCTACAGTTCAGAACTCTTACAATTACCCAAAGAGCCTGTTAAAAATAAAGTCTCTCCAGAGATTCTGATTCAGCAGGACTAAGTGGTGCCCACCACTTGATTTTTTTTTTTTTTTTTTTTTTTTTTTTGAGACGGAGTCTCGCTTTGTCACCTAAGCTGGAATGCAGTGGCACGGTCTCGGCTCACTGCAAACTCCGCCTCCCTGGTTCAAGCGATTCTCCTGCCTCAGCCTCCCGAATAGCTGGGAATACAGGTATGCGCCACCATGCCCAGCTAATTTTTTCTTTTTTTGTATTTTTAGTAGATGGGGTTTCACCGTGGTAGCCAGCATGGTCTTGATCTCCTGATCTCACGATCCACCCGCCTCGGCCTCCCAAAGTGCTGGGATTACAGGCATGAGCCACCTTGCCCGGCCCCACTTGAATTTTTTAATATTCCCCCTAACCAGGTGACTCTGACAGATCGTATGAGACTCAAACTTCGAGAACACCTGAACTAGTTTATAGTCAATTATGCTGACAAAGATGACCATTTCTGTGTCATTTACATCTCTTTCACACCAGTTTAACTGCCACAGTGCTGAAAAATCATTCCTAGATACAATGATTTCAAATCTTTGGAAATATCACATAAAATAAAAACAAAAACATATAAACACGGGATGGGGAACAAATAAAAAGCGTTAGGTACTAATAGTGAATTGGAGAGAATCTTACAAGGATTATTTTAAATTATGAAATATTCTGAACAAACAATAGAGTGTAGAAAATACTGGAAGACATCCAGATTTAGGAAGTATCTAACAAAAGTAACATGATTTGGTCTTTTTAAAACTTACAGCAATTCCCGCACAAGATTCTCTGTATTGTTAATAATCTTGGCAAAATCTGATGACCTGTGACTCATTTCTGTGAAAGGAAAGATAAACAACAATAACAAATATTCCAGCTCAAAACCAAATGAACAGAAATACCTACGAAATTTGCAAGTAAACAACAATACAGGGAAATTTCAGTTATTCTGCATTCAAATTGTGGGCCAAGGCTCACTTAGTTTAGGGGACCATACAAACTGATTTTCAAATTGCAAACATTTTAGCTTTATAGTCATGGCAGAAGGATTTTTCAAGTGGTACATTCACTGAGCAAGTTATTTATTAATTCATCACTCCGTGATGCTCTCTGTGATTCTTCTTACCATCTCTTTCTCACAAACAGGAATCCATGTGCAACAGTTGCCCTTTAGGTCTGGAGCACAAAATTCCATGCTGTGATCTCACTTCACAGAAATCTAAGTATATGTCCCAAACCAACAGGAGCAAAATTTAACAGAAATAAGCAATATAGTTAACCCTATGGTCTCTTAATACCATGCAGTCTTCAGAACCGCCAAAAATAAAAGAAAATAAGTTTTAGAATGCAGAGGTCCTCTTCCCAAAAAATATAGGGGAAACTTAATAAGATTATCAATGTGCGAGGTCTTCATAAAAGGCTTATGTACTTTTAAACTTTAATGAGGTTGTATTTAAGTATAATAAAAACTGTAAATTGAATGTAAAGCAATATTATAAATGTTTGGAGGCACTGTTATGCAAATATACAGTATCTTCTGATCCTAAATCCTATGATTAGCAAAAACCAATTATGACAGGGTAAGCTGAGATGTCAGAACCTCTCACCAGCATTTATGCTATTTTCAAAATGGTTTCTATCAGACATGCAACCCAAGCTATTAAAGTTTAAAAATGTATCTATAAAGGCCTATAGGAAGACCCTATAGGCCCTGTAATTCTATATTTGATGCATTTAAATTAGTTCCCTTTGGGCCAGGGCTCAGTGGCTCAAGCCTGTAATCCCAAAACTTTGGGAGGCCAATGTGGGAGGATGGCTTCAGGCCACGAGTTTCAGATCAGCCTGGGCAACAAAGTGAGATCCCATCTCATGGGATCTTTAAAAAATGTTTTAAACATTTAAAAAAAATTAGCCAGGTGTGGTGATGTGTACCTATAGTCCTAGCTACTCAGGATGCTGAGGCAGGAGGGTCACTTGAGCCCAGGAGTTGGAGGCTGCAGTGAACTATGATCACGCCACTGTACTCCAGCCTGGGTGACAGAGCAGGACCCTGCCTCTAAAAAAAAAAAAAAAAAAAAAAGCTTCCTTTGAAACATGGACATTCACAGAATTCAAAAGTAAATCTTACCAAGAACACTAATGCCAACTCCTTTGTAGTCTAATAATTCCTTTTGTATCTCTAACAACACCTAGAAAAAAATAAAGGAAAATAGGGTTATTTAAATATGTTCTGCACTGCTTTCCCTCTGAACATACAAACCTGACGAGGGGACAAGGAAGGGTCTACAGTGAGGTCCCCAGGCTTCCATCCCCACCCACAGCCAGTCTCCTTCCTTCCCATGTCCACAAAGCCAGCGATTATGCAACTTACACACAAGGTAAGCATGAAATTAGGCAATGTGACTGATGTTGATACACTTTTTCCAAAGGCCCGAATTTACCGATTCCCTAGAAAATGTCCCCTTCACAAATCTCATTCACCACTCTCCTAAAGCTAAAGTAAAGAATGCATAAAGTTCTGGGTTAAAGGGACAACGATAAAAAAATTATGCCCAGATTATACAGGTAACTCAATTTTCCGATCTCTTTTGGTCTAAGGTGCTAGACTGGGAAGCGTGGGGTGGGCAGGAAGAAGGAAGAGCCTGCTGTGAATAAGATTCGTCCCAGGGTGCTGCAACAAGACTGGCACAATGTTGATAATTGTTGAGTCTCAGAGATGGGTCCTTGGAGGTTCATTACACTACTTTTATCTTTGTGTATGTGAGGATTCCCTTAATAAAAAATAAAGAGAAAAAGAAAAGCTTTAAAAATGAACACAAAATAAGTGCAAAAGCAACCAGCCAGAGAAGGTCTACAGATAGGAGGCACCTTTTTTTTTAAGATGCTTGCTAAGGAGGGCATCATTAAAACACAGCTATAACCTAAACTGGATTGCAACTTGTCTCAAAAAACAGTATTTTAACAATAAAGAATTAGACAAGGCCGGGCGTGGTGGCTCACGCCTGTAATCCCAGCACTTTGGGAGGCCAAGGCGGGCAGATCATGAGGTCAAGAGATTGAGACCATCTTGGCCAACATGGTGAAACCCCGTCTCTACTAAAAATACAAAAATTAGCTGGGCTTGGTGGTGGGTGCCTGTAATCCCAGTTACTCAGGAGGCGGAGGCAGAAGAATCGCTGGAACCCGGGAGGCGGAGGTTTCAGTGAGCCGAGACCAAGCGACTGCACTCCAGCCTCGTGACAGAGCTTGACTTCTCTCAAAAAAAAAAAAAAAAAAGAATTAGATTAAAAAAAAGACTGCCTTGACGACTGGGTCTAAGAATGTGTTATTGTTTTCTGAAATGTTGGATGCTTGTTAGCACCAGCTGATCAAATAAAATAGAGTGAATCTTTTCTTTTAGTAAAGAGAAACATTCATCTGTGAATAATCTTTGAACTTGCTCCTGAGACTGTATCTTTCTTATAGACAGCATTCATTGAAAATAGTTCTATAAAAGTTTATAACCAAAATAATTACAAACAGTTTTAAAGACTCCTACTGAAAAATCACACCTCCCTAATCCAGTAGGTTTTTTTTTTTCCAGTTGAAGAATGCATTGCTTTTGTGGATCATAACCAATTTTTTTTTTTTTTTTTTTTTTTTTTTTGTTAAGAGACAGGGTCTTGCTCTATCACCCAGCCTGGAATGCAGTGGGACAATCACAGTTCACTACAGCCTCAAACTCCTGGGCTCAAGAGATCCTCCCACCTTAGCCTCCTGAGTTGCTTGGATTACAGGCGTGCGCCACCACACCCAGCTCACGACTAATTTTTTTAATGAAACAGAACAGACTAGAGCAGGATAGAATACAAAATAGTGTATGTCACAGGTAATTAGGCTACACATCATTTCATAAGGCATTTATTTTTGTTACAATTGAATGTGTATACTTTGTCATTTTGTAAACATGTTTTTCACTGTAGGTTACAGTCAAAAGAAGTTTGAAAGCTTCTCTAATATTTACAATTCAACTAAATCAAGGAAATACATAAAAAGCAACATCTGCCTGCCCCCTCACCCTCCTGCCCCCCAGGTTACATGCAGTCCAAGGGCAAAAATCCTCCCAGAAAAATTAATAACAAATAATTGTATTACTGATGACAATTGCCATTACAATTATAGTAATAAATTAATAACGAAATACATAGGGAACAAACGTTGGGAACACTCCAAAACATGGGGGGTGCAGGAGGAGGCTACAGGAAACATCTCCACAGCTGGAGCAGGGAATCTCGCCTAAAATGAACTGTAACCACTGAGAAAAAATAAGCCCTGTCCTCTCAGCTACTGTGAGCGCTGCCCCTAGAAAAGTAAGAAGTCCTTTCCCCTTTAAAATTGGATTCTCTGTTCTTACCACAACACAGAGGAGGCTCTGTCCCAGGGAGATTTCTACTCTGCTCAACAATTGATAATTGTAAAATACTTGGCTATGCCTCATGCTGCTCCAACATATTATCAGCTCTATCCTGGTTAGAAAAATAAAAATCTAACGGCGGCGGCAGCCGCCTGACAATGGGCTCAAGGCACATCGGAGACTTTGCCTTCTTCACTGCGGGTGGGGCTGGGGACGGTGGGTTTGGCGGGGGAGGGGAGGAGCCGGGCTGGGGCCTGGGAAGGCAGAGAGTGAGTTCCACCAGCAAGATCTGATTGTGGCCCGGGAGAGAATTCAATCACTCGGTTTACTCCAGAACGAAATGAACAGGGAATTGGGTTAAGCAGCCCAAAGTCTACCAGAGTTAGAATACTCGAACGCCTTTAGGGGACAAGCAGGTTAAAAAAAGGAGGGGGGTGGGGAGAAAGGCTTTAGGAAAGGGTAGGTTCTATGGGGGACAAGGAGGGGAAAGCTGGACTGAAGGTTTTCAAATTTACATTTCTGAAAAGCAGTGTTCCTAAGTGCTGGCTAAAGCAAACACTGGTGTAAGGCGTAGGGGGGCACGCACACGCGGACCTTTAAGTTTGCAATCCCTTTCAGCTAACGTGATCCACTGCATATGCAAAACCTGTCATCGGTTCATTCCCGTTCATCACTCATTCACACTATGTCCATTCATGCATCCGCTCCACACTGCCCGGGCTCGCCGCACAGCTGCGCGAGGCGAAGGCAGAGATCAGAGCTTTTTCTTTTTCGCCCCGCCCCAGCCCCCGGACCGGCCCAGGAGATGGCACAGCCCGGGCGTCTGCAGGTGCGTGGCACCGGCGGGACAGCAGGCCCCGGCCAGCTGAGTCGTGCACTGCCTCGCACCAGCAGTCAGGGCCAGGGGCAGCTGCACGGGCACGCCTCGCCGAGCTTCCTCACCAACTGCATTCTTCCCGAAGCCCGCTTGCCGGAGCTGCTGATCCCGCTGTGCACGCTGATGCAAAGCGCCTAGGGGACTCAAGGCAGGGAGCGGGAATCCGACTGCCACACGCAGGGATGCAAACCCACCCGCGTGCGTGCTCCCGCCTGAACCTCACTCCCGGCGCCCGCTCGCGGGGACTTACTGAGTGCGGCAGCTTGGCGGGACCAGGCCCAAAGTTGACCACCTGCCTGGGGGCGTCCATGGTGCGGCGGCCAGGGCGGTGAGTCAGCCAAGGAGGACCGAACGCGTGAACGGCTGGCGTTCCTGGCCGCTGCGGTGAGAGTCTGCAGCCGGCCCCGAACCCCCGCCTTGTTCCTGCGCCGAGTCGGCGCCCCATTGGCCCGTGCTGTCGCAGGCCCTGCGCTAATTGGTTCGCGCGAAGGAGCTCACATCCCCATTGGTCGCGCTTCTGAGCCGAGTCGAAGCAGTTGCTCCTCCTCGCGTTTACTGTTTCAACCCCCATTTTTGATCAATGCAAGGAGCGCGCGAGATTGCGCCAGCCAGCCGAGCCGGCTCGGCTGCGCGCCCGCCCGAGGATTGTGGGCGGCGGGAAGAGGCTGCCCCTGCCAACCTGCCTTCGCCCCTTGAGCCCGCAATCTGGCCGGTTCCAGTCCTCCAACCCCAGAGGACCTCAGCTCCTCTCTCTTGGCTGAAAGGGCAGTTGCCGAGCAGATTTGTAGCCCCCATCCACCCACCTCTCCACCACCAGCCCCCAGTTTGGGCTGTGATGTATTTGTTCCAGAACCACCAGTCACTAATCTACCAAACTTTTCTAAGCACCCCCCACGGGCGTCAGATACCCCAGTGGAGAGAGAGGACCCCCCCAAGGTTGGAAGCGCAGGATGAAGAAGGGCCGGGGGTGGGTGGATACGGTTCTTTGTATTTGCACGTGGGTCCTGAGTTCCTGCAGGATTAAAGAACGGAGGTGGCCAAGGACGCAGGGAGGAGCGATAGCCTGGGAAGCGTGGATGCCCGCCAGGCAAGTCCTTTAAAGTCGCTGATTCTCCATTTCCTCCTTTGGGAAACGAGTGAGCTGGAAACCTGCGACAGCTCTCAGGTTGCGCCCGCGCTGACAAGCTGTGAGTTTAGAAACGTGAGGAGATATTAACAAGAACGCGATACCCATAGGGCGCTGCAGCCCAAACCAGAAGAAGGTGGCCCCTAGCCAGGCCAGGCGCAGGGCCAGAGCTGCTCAAACTTTTCCACAGAAGTGTCCTTCTCAAAAGAACTCCAGTGGAGACCCGCATGGGGTTCTGAAACAGAATACCCTCCCCCTACCCTGCAAGAAAGAAGTTCCTTTGAAGTCTGGAATTTCATCATTTTTAAACTGTGAATTTTGCATTCTCTACCATAATTTAACCTAGTTTCTTTTAATGTAAAAATATTTTCCCTGTCTGAGTAAAATTGATGCGCCAGGAATATATACAGTCCAACTGCCCCGTTTAGAGAAGGCTTGTAACTGGACAGGACTTTGGCTTTTGTTTGCTTTTCCTAATGAGAATGTGGGCGGTATGGGGCTGAGAGCAGAGGCACTGCTCTGGATCTGGGAATTGGAGGACAAAGTTTCCAGAAAAAGGCAAAATGAACAAGGCCCCTGCGTTCCTCAGCAACTTCATTAAGAAAACCGCGACATTCAAGACAGAATAAATCTCAGCCCAGAAACTCAGGCATGCAAGAAGCATCACATATCCATTATTTTACGTAAATAACTCAGTTATTATATATTAGTAGCTGCCCCTAGCAGCTTATCTACTGGAGACTAAGGGAGTCAGCCTTCATCCTTCCTGGAGTTAGTTCCTAACACCAGGGCTATACACAGTCCCATGTAGTGGGTTGGGAGAAGGGACAGCACATCCATTTGGTCCTCTGTTCCCAAAAGATATGGCTGAGTTGTTTCCACTGCCCAAGCTGATGTGGCTGCTTGGGTTGATGAGCAACCTACTACTTCTGTATCCCACTAGGGGCACAGGAATTTGGGGTGGGGTGGCGGTGGCTATTGTCTCATCTGCTAAGACATCCCCTGCAGCCATTCCTCCCGGGGGTCCTGCAGTTTCCAAGATGGTATTTCAGGGACACAAGTCACACATACAGTCAGCCTCAGGACCCACTGACCTCTGTTTGTCTTCCTCCCGCCCCTGGGCAATCTCCTTTTCAGTCTAGAGAAAATCTGTCTTTTCCATGTTTCTTCCTCACACTGTGCCCACAAACACCTTAAACCAGAGCCACAAACTCAAATGCCTCCAGGGGCCACTCAGGGATATGAAACAAGTAGTGGGAACTGTGGCAAATTGAGTTCACCTGTCCATTTGTGGCACAGGTGCACGCGGCCACTGCACATTTATGATTCCCCCATCCATGGGATAGGGTTGATGGCAGGAAGTGGCTGCTCAAACCGGCTTCATGTTTCCCAGCTCCCTTTGCATCTAGGTGAGCCACATGACTGGGTCCCCCCAGTGGAATGTGGGCCAAGTGGATGTGTGTCACTTTCAGGCCAGGGTGGTTGAGAAATGGGTGTGCTTCTCCACTTCCTTTTTCCCATTCCACAGGCTGAAAACAAAAAACTCCCTGGCCCCTAAGGACAGTGGAGACACAGCAAAGAGGGAGCCCCAGGTCCCTGAATCACCTGCACCAGACTTGTCATATGTAAGTGAGAAATCAGCTTCTTTTGTGCTATGTCACTGAAATATGAGAGGCGATTTGTTACAGCAGCTCACATTATCCTGATTATTATGCCATCCTAAATGCAACAGCTGAAGTTCAGATCCAGCTGGTTGTTGCCAAGCAGGCAAATGAAGTTGCTTGAGCTGTCTTCACGTTTTGAAAGAAAACCCAGGAACCCAGATTTTTATGTGACATCTCATTTTTAAACATCTACAAATGTAAATTTCAGCAAAACACTGTACAGATCAATATTTTGAGGGGCAAACTCCAGCTTATCTGAGGCCTTATTGAGCCTACAGGTAACAAGCTCTCTGAAGGACTGTTTATAGTGTTCTGCCCCCAAATTTCCTCCAGTTCAACAAGGAACACCCTCAGCTAAGTGCTTGAATAAAGCAGCAGCAAAGGAGGAAACATAATTTAATCTCAAAATATTATTTTGTCCTTCTTGCCTATTTTGCACTGATCTATAAAGACAGTCCAGGCCGGGCACGGTGGCTCACGCCTGTAATCCTAGCACTTTGGGAGGCGGAAGCAGGCAGATCATGAGGTCAGGAGATCGAGACCATCCTGGCTAACACGGTGAAACCCTGTCTCTACTAAAAATACAAAAAATTAGCTGGGCATGGTGGCGGGCGCCTGTAGTCCCAGCTACTTGGGAGGCTGAGGCAGGAGAATGGCATGAACCCGGGAGGCGGAGCTTGCAGTGAGCCAAGATCGCGCCACTGCACTCTAGCCTGGGAGACAGAGTGAGACTCCATCTCAAAAAAAAAAAAAAAAAAAAAGACAGTCCAGAGGAACCCCTGCATGTGGGAGGGATCCTTCCCTCTTAGTAGATTCTCATTTAGCAAGTACAAAGAAGCTTCTTTATGAAATACATATTTCGTAAAAAGGCAGAAATTCAATTTTCACAAGTATTATTCATTGAGTACTTCTATATGTGAAAGATGCTGGGCTCTGCTGCGATTGCCAATCAGACCCAGCCATCCTGTTTAGAGAGCAGTGAGAAGAGAAGTAGGCAACATGAGCAGGGGAGAAAATCTATTTGGAATGAGACAAGATTATTTCTGCTGCCCTTTTTGTAGTTGGAGCTAAAGATCCTTTTCCCTTATCATTATTCCCAGAGAACGTGAGGAAGGGAAGCTGGGCCCAGTGGCTGACGCCTATAATCCCAGCACTTTGGGAAGCCTAGGCAGGCGGATCACTTGAGGTCCGAAGTTTGAGACCAGTCTGGCCAACATGGTGAAACCCCGTCTCTACTAAAAAAAAAAAAAAAAAAAATTAAAAATTAGCCTTGCATGGTGTCCCGCACCCGTAGTCCCAGCTACTCAGGAGGCTGAGGGAGGAGAATTGCTGCCCCCAGCTCCAGCAACCACCATTCTACTTCCTGTCTCTATGAATCCGACCACTCTAAGTACCTCTTGTATGCGGAGTCATACAGAATGATTGATCCCGGGAGGCGGAGGTTGCAATAAGCCAAGATTGCGCCACTGGACTCCAGCCTGGGTGACAGAGTGAGACCCTGTCTCAAAAACAAACAACAATTTTAAAAAGTGGGAGAGAGGCAGTAATCATAGTTTATGTAGCAAAAAGAAACCAAAAGTCAAAGTCCTATTACTTTCTTTATTCTGACCCCAACAGATAGGAAAAGATATCCATCCTACTCTCTTTACCTCAGTTTATTTCCTTGCCTACTTTGCTTCATTTTTTTATTGACAAAATATGCATAACATAAAATTTACCATTTTCAAGTGTACAGTTAAGTGGCAGTAAGTACAGTCATATTTTTGTGCAATCGTCACCACCATCCACCACCAGAACCTTTTCATCTTCCCACACTGAAACTCTGTACACATTGAACTATAACTCCCGCCACTCCCCAGCTCCAGCAACTACCCTTCTACTTCCTGTCTGTATGAATTTGACCACTCTAAGTACCACCTGTAAGTGGAATCATAAGAATTTGCCCTTTTGTGTGACTGGTTTATTTCACTTAGCATAATGTCTTCAAGGTATACCCATTGTGCTTCATTTTTTTTTTGTAGAGATAGGGGTCTCGCTATGTTGCCCAGGATGGTCTCGAATTCCTGCCCTCAAGTGATCCTCCCACCTTGGTCCAACAAAGTCCTGGGATTACAGGCATGAGCCATTGCACCTGGCCTCATTTTGCTTTATTTTTAAAGATTAGTATAGATGTTTAAAAGATCTTTAAGCTCCGCACAAGTGAAATCCCTAAAGAGGTTATTTAAGAGGCACGCTCTCTGTGGACTAGTGGGCAGAATTACACAGGGGATGCACACTGCTTCTACCTCTTACATCCTTAAAAGATTTCAAAGTGGAAAAAGCATCAGAATTTATTTAACTTTTTTTTTTTTTTTTTTTTAGAGAAAGGGGCACAACTCCTGGCACCATCTCTAACGTGTTTACACACTGGTATTTTCCACTCCCAGCCCCGCTGGCTCTGCTCATACGCGTGTGCATTTTTGGGATCAGCACTCTTCATGAGGGCTGCCTCACAGAAGGGTTCCACATGGAAGCCTGAAAACTAGCCACAGACCACTCGTTTCACCACCTGTGCAAAGTCAACACATGCCTATTTCAGACAACCATCCAGGCTGTTTGAGAACGACTTTTGTAGAGTTAATAATCTGTGGGTTGTTTTGTTCTTTCCTTTTCTTTATGAGGCCAGAGGAAATACTAAGGCAAAGCACAGAGAGAGAAAATTCAGGGATGACGGGAGCAGAAGCCAGTTCAGGATGTGAAAAGTCTTGCTTTTTCCTCTTCTTTTTCTCATGCTTCAAACTGAGTGCCAGCTCCAAAGAACCACGCACACTGCCTCAGAGATAAGCAGGGACTGTCATTTAATTGTATTGTTTGGCTTATGTCTTGTATAGAAAGGCAGCAAAGATTAATTAAAAATAACAAGAATTCAAAGCTGCTGGGGGTGAGAGGCATTTCTGTAACCATCAAAACGAACTGGGCAGGGGCAAGGGGAGCAGCTGGCTTGAGGGGAGGGAGCTGGAGGGGAGGGAAGACTGGCTCAGCATGTTGTGGTGTGTGCATCTGAGGCATATCCAAGCAGGGTGTGTGTGAAGACTTTTTAATGACGTAAGAATACGCCTCATATGAAATATCAAAATGAAAGAAAAAGCTGCTTCTCATCAGCACAACAATTAACTATCTCCAAAAACAATTTTTTTAAGCCCACCTCCTTGGAGTCACAAATTCTACTCAAACTTAGACAACAAATTATAGTCCCAAACCAGAACATCAACAGATGTGTTCAGATTCATTCATTCAACAAGTACCGTCACGCATCGCTTAACAACAGGGATATGTTTTGAGAAATGCATCCTTGGGCGATTTCATCGTTGTGTGAACATCATAGAGTGTGCTTACACAAACCTAGATGGCACAGCCTGCACACACCTAGGCTATATGATACAGCCTAAGCCTATACAGCATGTTACTGTACTGAATACAGTGAAGATTTGTTGAATGAAAGAATGAGGTTACATATACTATACCTATTGTGATAATTCTGCTAAAACAAGGAGAGGTCTGTTCCAAAGTTGATGTCTTCACCCCTAGAGACAGAAAACTGCTTATTATTATTAATTATCCTGCACCCCTTTCAGCAGAGTTTCAAAGGAGGTTTCATCTTTCCTCATTCTCAAATTCAATCTGTTCTGCTTCACAATTTTTCTGTGCTCTATCGACTTCTATCTCCATGCTGCCTGCCTCGTCCAAGCTCCCATGATCTCTTCTAGACTCCTGGGCCTGGACTCCTTGCATTGACATCACTGACTTAGAATCCAATCTCCAAACTGCAACCACAGTGAACTTTTGAAAACATACGTAAGGTAGATCATGTAGCTCCTCTGCTCAAAGTCCTCTAACAGCTTCCCGTTACATTTAGAACAACAATCAGACTCCTAATGGGCCCACAAGACCATACTTAGCCTGGTTCTTGGTCATCTCTTGGCTCAGCCCTTGCTTGTTTCTCTGGAAACTCACCAGCCTCTGCAATAGTACTTGTTTGTTGTCCATTTCCACACTAGACCATAACTTCCCAGAGAAGCTGAGACTGCACCTGCCTTTTTCACTGCTGTATCCCCAGCATCAAGCATATTAGGTGCTTGATAAATATTTCTTGAGTGAATGTACAGGGCAGGAAGAAGGAAATTAATGAAAATGCTAACAGTCTGTTGCTGGGTTGATAATTCTAAAAGAGTGAGGTGAGGATAGGCATAAGACCACCAAAAACCCCTGAAGATCCTAGGACGCCACTCTGCACCCTTTGAGAGCCTGTGGTTCTTCAGGCCCATCCTCCCACAAGTCATTTCTGCCAAGGCTGAAGGCCTCATCGAGTCCTAACATGTCGCCATGCAATTAGGATTCTAGCTCAGTTTCTTCAATGCTGAGTGAAGCTGCATGTGGAAGCTTACCAAATGATATGGTTTGGCTCTATGTCCCCACTTAAATCTCATGCTGATTTGTAATTCCCAATATTGGGCGAGGGGCCTGGTGGGAGGTGATTGGATCATGGGGGCAGATTTCCCCCATGCTGTTCTCGTGCTAGTGAGTAAGTTCTCATGAGATCTGATGGTTTAAAAGTGTACAGCACTTCCCCCTACCACCCACCACCACTTTGCCATATTAAGACGTGCTTGTTTTCCCCTTGCCTTCTGCCATGATCATAAGTTTCCTGAGGCCTCCCAGCCATGCCTCCTGTACAGCCCATGGAACTCTGCATCAACTAAAACTCTTTTCTTTATAAATTACCCAGTCTCAGGTAGTTCTCAGCAGTGCGAGAGTGGACGAATACACCAAATAATTCACCTCCATTCAGCTTGCACTAGATGCAGTCACACTTATCTGAATTTGCACAACCACTCAAAGTTCATGGCAGACAATGGCAAGTTGCAGGTTGTTGAAGGGATGTATTTTGTGGAGGGAGAATAGTTAGTTAGAGAGCCAGGCCCACAGGGTAGCATATGTTTGTTTCTCAAACTCACAGAACTGGAAGGAATCTTGGAATGTCATTTAGAATCATCTACCCATGCATTCTGAGAACCAGTCTCTCCCAGCATTGTCCTGAGGCAGTGGGAAGGAGAAATTACATTGCCCTGTAAATCAGTACAAAGCCATTTCCAGATGACTGCCCAAGGATTTGGGTGGAGGTTTGCAGAACTGAGGAGTGAGATGAAAGAATTTTTAAAGTAATAACATTTATGCTGATTCTGTATATCCCAGCATACTTTAACTTTCATCGCCAAAATGGAACCCTTAGGTAACATAGAATGACTTGGTGTCCCCAGGCTGGCCCCAGTGTCTCAAGTCGTTAAACATGCATAAACCTCCTTGGACAGCCAAAGATGATTAATGAATCCTAATCAGGTATACTAATCATGTGGAATTAAGGAGCCAAAAGGAACTCTGTAAGCATTCTAAACTGTAAGGTTAGAGATCAAAGAAAATCACCAAGTGTGCTTATGACAAATAATGTCAAGAGCACCCACTCTCTTCCAGACAACACAGGGTCATTTTCATGTATGAAAATATGAAGTATTTCCAGTGTGTCTTACATACATTTTGGGGTGTTTGTGATTGAATTATCCAATTTGACTCACAAATCTCAGTTTAGGCCAACTCCTTCACTTTCTGATGAGAAAAATGGTGCAAGGAGGTAAAGTGATGCTGTGAGGCTGGGCCAGTTCTTCCACCTGTGGCTTCATACATGGACGTCCTGGAACCTATTGGTAACGTATTTTTCCATTTCATAGAAAGAAAAGCCAAAACTCAGATCCAGGATTTGTCCAGGATCACCAGGAGTCTGTTCTGGGCTTTGAACCACGGAGAGAACATCAAATCACTGCATTTCCATTCCAAAGAATACAACTCTTTCTGTTAGGCACACTGCCCTATTTTAAAAATGATGTAAAGGTGTCAGTAATTTAAATTGTCCCAGAAGAGAGCAAGCTCCGAGTAATACAAGCTGAACCTGAGCAATCAGATGGGATCTAAGAAGTCAAGGGTGTGAGCCGAGAAAGCTGTTGCACAAGCGTGTGACATGCCCTGTCTTGCCCTGCTGCCTGGGGATGCTGCCGCTCCCTCAATAAAATGCTGCATCCTTTCCAAACGGGAGACAAGGGCCTCAAAGAGTGCTCCTGTGGCTTTTTGCTGGTGATGCCCTTCTATCCCTCCACCCCCAGATTTTATCCAGAGTCTCTTAAGCAGCCTGGGTTAAGGTTTTCCATTTTTCTCTGTACGTTTCCTCTTTTCATGCTCAGCTAATTCTTACCTCTCATTGCCTAACATCAAGTTAGTTGTTGCCATTGTCCTGGACTTTGATGTTTCTGCGATTGCTGAGTGCCATAGGGAAATGTCTAACCATCCTAGGGGTATGGCTCAGAGGAGAAGCTATTGGTTTGCAATAAAAATCTTGAGATGTGTTTATGTAGAAGACCCAGTGAACGGAAGAGTCTCTCTCCTTCTCTAACTGGTTGAACTTGACATGTTTATACACTGTCTAGTACCTGTTTCTTCAGGTACTAAAATACTTTGCCTTTGTTTTTCTAGATCTCCTTATGTAGGAAAAATGTTAATAGCATTTGTTGTTCCATAACTGTTTTATCCCTTTTAAAGTTTCCTGAGGCAAATGTGACACATGATCACTTTCTTTTTTTTTTTTTTTTTTAGACGGAGTCTTGCTCTGTCGCCCAGGCTGGAGTGCAGTGGCGCGATCTCAGCTCACTGCAACCTCTGCCTCCTGGGTTCAAATGATTCTCCTGCCTCAGCCTCCTGAGCAGCTGGGATTACAGGCGTGTGCCACCATGCCCGGCTAATTTTTGTATTTTTAGTAGAGACAGGGTTTCACCATCTTGGTCAGGCTGGTCTCGAACTCCTGATTTCGTGATCCAACCACCTCGGCCTCCCAAAATGCTGGGATTACAGGCGTGAGCCACCATGCCTGGCCACATGATCACTTTTAAATGTTCAAATACACAGAAATTTGGAGTGTAGAAAGGGAAGAACCAGAAAGTAACTCATCCAAGATTAACCACACATTAACGGTGGGAGTGGAAACCAGATCTCTCTCGTTTGCTCTTAGTCTAGGGTTCAAGATACTTTTCGTGCTACTCCTTGTTTTCTCATGAAAAGCAGGCAATAGCCTAGTCTCCTCCACCCTATAGGAATGCTGGGTGGCCTGAGCCTGATGCCCTGAGCTGTACCCCTGGACTCTTTTAATTGAAAGTGACAGATATCCAACTCCAACCAGCTTGGGCAGAAGAGAAATGGATCCATGCATGGAACCTGAAACCAAACCTCAGGGTGGGCGGACAAGGGTAAGTAAGGCTGCACTTCTAGGTCAACCCAAACAGAAAACCCAAATGCTGTGAGGTATGCATCTCTGTATGTCTTTCTGTTTTGTTTGTTTGTTTAGAGACAGGGTATTGCTCTGTTGCTCAGGCTGGAGTCCAGTAGCATCACCACAGCACAATGCGGCCTTGAACTCCTGGACTCAAGCAATCCTCCCACCTCAGCCTTCCAACTGGCAAAGATTACAGGCACATGCCACTGCACCTGACCATCTGTGTATGTCTTTCTTTGGTTTTGTTTTCTTTTCTCTTTTCTTTCTCTCTCTCTTTTTTTTTTTGAAACAGGGTCTTACTCTGTTGCTCAGGCTGGAGTGCAGTGGCGCAATCTCAGCTCAATGCAACCTCCGCTTCCTGGGTTCAAGTGATTCTTCTGCCGCAGCCTCCCTAGTAGCTGGGATTACAGGCGCCCGCCACTGTCCTGGCTAATTTTTGTATTTTTAGTAGAGACAGGGTTTCACCATGTTGGCCAGGTTAGTCTTGAACTCCTGACTTCAGTGATCCGCCCGCCTTGGCCTCCCAAAGTGCAGGGACTACAGGCTTAAGCCACTTTACCCAGCCTATATCTTCCCTTTCTAACTTTGCTTCTCTCTTCACATCATTTTATCCACTCAAACTGGCATTCTCCTCAAGCCTATAACCATGGCCAGTGATTGTATCATCTTTGCTGTGAGAGAAGAAGGGACTCTCTTCCCTTGTTTCCAGGTTAAACATCATCTCTCAAGGATTTCAATGCCTTTGAGTCACACACCCATCCTGTACCCAGGAAAGCAGAGCAATCAGATTGGGACCCACTGAACCACAATACTGAAGTGAGGTAGAAACAGTTCAACCCCAAAAGGGGATGCTCTTGGCAGAAGAACCACAGAGGGCTGGGAAGGCAAATGCTGTATGTACCTCCCCTTCCCTCCTCCTTTACACAGCTCTGCCCAGTGACTCCATCTCAATTTTCATCAATAATCTGAATCCTGAGGTGTTTTGCTGATATACACTGTCTCCCAGACAGTCCAGTTCATCATCCACACAGGAAGACTACTTAGAATGAGTTACTAGCCCAGCAGAAATCTGAGTTTCAACAGAAAATCAATGATTAACATTTTATCCCAAAGTGCTAGGTAATATTACAAAAGCAAGAAGTTTTTATTTTAAAATCACTGAATCCTTATTGCTCTGAATTGCACATGACCTCAAATGGCTGAACTCAAAAGACCATACCTCATTGAGAAATATTTACCATGCAAGAATTCTTTATCTATCCCAGAGCTTTAGCAAAAAGCCCATCTTTCCTGCACTCCCTGTCCTGTCATCTCAGATTGTACTACTGAGATTTATTAGTTTTATATCTCTGACTAGGACAACTCAAAAATAATAAATATTTCACCTCTTTCTTTTGTTAGAAAACTACAGAATTGTTACTTCTGCAGAAATCTCAATGAATCTTCACTTCCATTTATGAATTGCATTGTTACAGATATTTTTCAGCCTCAGGATTCGAGCTTCCCCACATCTCACTAGTTTCAAATTATATGAAGGTCAGCAGTAGTGAACATTCAATGCTCTTCCCTCCACATGAATGCGGGCTCCTGTGTTCTGAGCTCACTGCCTGTTGGCCACGATTGGTTGCTTCAGGATGGATCTCCTGATCCAGGGGGTGTTCATCAAAAATCTTTCCCAAGATTTTTGTTTTAATTGTGGTAATAAACACCTAACATTAAATTTACAACTTTAAACATTTTTCAAGTGTATAGATCCGTTGTGTTAAGAACATTCACATTGTTGTTCAATCAATCTCTAGAACTTGTTCATCTTGCAAAGCTGAAACTCATTAAACATTAAAGCTGAAACCCATTAAACACCTCTCCATTCTCCTTTCTCCAGCCCCTGGCAACCACCATTCTACTTTCTGTCTCTATGAATTTGACTACTCCAGGTACCTCCCATAAGTGGTATCATATAGTATGTGTCTTTTTGTGACTGGCTTCTTTCACTTAGCATAAGGTCCTCAAGGTTCATCCATGTTGTAGCATGTGTCAGAACATCCTTCCTATTAAAGGCTGAAAAATATTTCATTGTATGTATTGTATATACCACATTTTAAAAATCCATTCATCCATCAGTGGACACCTTTGGGCTCTTGTGAATAATGCTGCTATCGACATGGGTGTACAAATATCTCTTCGAGCCCCTGCTTTCAATTCTTTTGGATATATACCTAAAAGTGGTATTACTGAATCATATGGTAGCTCTATTTTGATTTTTTGTTTGTTTTTGCATTTAAAGAAGTTTAAATAGACATAAGGTCTCACTTTGTTACTCAGGCTGGTCTCAAACTCCTGGCCTCAAGTAATCCTCTCAAAGTGCTACAATTATAGGAATGAGCCACCGTACCCTGTTCTATTTTATTTTAGTTTTTTAGGAAGCTTCATACTTTTTCCCATAGTGGCTACCTCATTTTACACTCTCATCAACAGTGCACAAGGATTCTAATTTCTTCATACCGTTGCTAACATTTATTGTCTGTTTTGTTTTGTTAATAGTAGCTATCCAAATAGATGTAAGACACTTTCCCAGGATTTTAAACTGGAACTGAGAAAATCAGTCTTTCCTATGACAGAAGGTATGCTGTGGAGGTGGAACTCTACAGTTAATTGTTATGTTTCTTTTTCTTTTTCTTTTTTTTTCTTTTTTTGAGTCAGCATCTCACTCTGTCGCCAAGGTGGTGCGATCACACACAGCTCACTGCAGCCTTGACCTCCCCAGGCTCAGGTGATCCTCCCACCTCAACCTCCCAAGTAGCTGGTGAGAGGTGAAGCTGGCTAGGCTTCTGGGTCGGGTGGGGACTTGGAGAACTTTTCTGTCTAGCTAAAGGATTGTAAACACACCAATCAGCGCTCTGTGTCTAGCTAAAGGTTTGCAAACACACCAATCAGCACTCTGTAAAAACACACCAATCAGCACTGTGTGTCTAGCTAAAGGTTTGTAAATGCACCAATCAGCACTCTGTAAAAACGCACCAATCAGCACTCTGTGTCTAGCTAAAGGTTTGTAAATGCACCAATTAGCACTCTGTAAAATGGACCAATCAGCACTCTGTAAAATGGACCAATCAGCAGGACGTTGGCAGGGCCAAATAAGAGAATAAAAGCTGGCCACTGGAGCCAGCAGCAGCAACCCCACCTGGGTCCCCTTCCACACTGTGGAAGTTTTGTTCTTTCGCTCTTCATAATAAATCTTGCTGCTGCTCATTCTTTGGGTCCGCACTACCTTTATGAGCTGTAACACTCACCGCGAGGGTCTGCGGTTTCATTCCTGAAGTCAGTGAGACCACAAACCCACCGGGAGGAACAAACAACTCTGGACGAGCCACCTTTAAGAGTTGTAACACTCACTGCAAAGCTCTGCGGCTTCACTCCTGAAGTCAGCGAGACTCCTGAAGTCAGCGAGACCATGAACCCACTGGAAGGAAGAAACTCCAGACACATCTGAACAGCTGAAGGAACAAACTCCGGACACACCATCTTTAAGAGCTGTAACACTCACTGCGAGGGTCTGCGGCTTCATTCCTGAAGTCAGCGAGACCATGAACCTACCGGGAGGAACAAACAACTCTGGGTGAGCCACCTTTAAGAGTTGTAACACTCACTGCGAAGCTTTGTGGTTTCACTCCTGAAGTCAGTGAGACTCCTGAAGTCAGCTAGACCATGAACCCACGGGAAGGAAGAAACTCCAGACACATCTGAACAGCTGAAGGAAAAAACTCTGGACACACCATCTTTAAGAACTGTAACACTCACTGCAAGGGTCTGCAGCTTCATTCCTGAAGTCAGCAAGACCACGAACCCACTGGAAGGAAGAAACTCCAGACACATCTGAACAGCTGAAGGGACAAACTCCGGACACATCATCTTTTAGAACTGTAACACTCACCGCAAGGGTCCGCGGCTTCATTCTTGAAGTCAGCGAGGCCAAGAACCCACCAGAAGGAACCAATTCCGGACACACTGGGACTATAGGTGTGTGCCACCAGACCTTCCTAATTTTTGTGTTTTTTGTAGAGACGGGGTTTTGCCATGTTGCTCAGGCTGGTCTCAAACTCCTGGGCTCAAGTGATCCACCTGCCTCTGCTTCCCAAAGTGCTGGGATTACAGGAGTGAGCCACCATGCCCAGTCACTGTCATATTTCTTGACATGTGAAGGAAGATGATCCATGTTGAGTGTTTAGGGTACTAATTAATACTAATTTAGAGGGGACTTTAAGGTCCCCTCTAAAGTTCTGAATTCAACTGAAACCTGTTCACAGCAGCACAATAGACTCAAATAAAGATGGTAATAGCAGCTTCAGTCCTTTTTAAGGTGGATTGGAGACTGTGACTGGAAGCCAAATCCAGGTTGGTCTTCCCATTCCTCTTCCCCCAGCAAATGGAATTTACTTACAAGGCAGTGACAAGCCTGCTATGTCCTGCCTTGCAACAGAGGCAGAGAAGGCCCCCATGAATCAACTACAGAAAATGAACAAGACCAAAGGGAAGACTGCATGCTACTTGGGGACAGGCAAGATCCAAAAGAGAACCAGAGGAAGGAGGCCAGTCTGCATATTGAGACTTTAGCAATCTCAGCAGCCTGAATGAGTCACTCCTTCATCCTGCGAGGATACAGGGAGTCTGAAAAGAAGAAGGCTTAGTCCCCAAAACATCTGAGGAAGGCAACACTCATCTTTATGGACTTAGGCTGACATCTGAAGAGAGAGGGAAATGTCCCTCTCCCTTGCCTCCCCAGTGTTTGGCTTATGTTTGGCTTTCTTAGTTTTTGTTTTTGTTTTTGTTTTGGAGATATGGTCTCGGTCTGTTGCCCAGGCTGGAATGCAATGGTACTATCACCATTCACTGCAACCTCCACCTCCCGGGCTCAAGTGATCCTCCTACCTCAGCCTCCCAAGTAGCTAGGATTACAGGCGTGGACCACCAGGCCTGGCTAATTTTTATTATTATTTTTAAAATTTGTATTTACTTTAAGTTCGGGGACACGTGCAGAATGTGCAGGTTTGTTACACAGGTACACGTGTACATTTTTAAACTTTTTGTAGAGACAGGGTCTTGCCATGTTGCCTAGGCTGGTCTCAAACTCCTAGATACAAGCAATCTACATGCCTAAACCTCCCAAAGTGCTGAGATTCCAAGTGTGAGCCATGGAGGGTTGGTGTGCTGGCTTCGTTTGGCTTTCTTAACCCCTAGGGCGCAGCACAGCCAGATGCAGCTGTTCCCCCTGGGTAAGGGTGCTGAGTGTCCCTGAGCCTTCCCCCTCACCTGGAAGCCTGCTCCGGGCCATCATCACGACTCCTTCAGGAGTCCTCCTGAGGTCAGTGATTGGACCCTGAAGGTTCTGAAATGGGTAAGAACAGAACATTGGCTGCATTTACTGAAGGTCATAAATGCCATAGGTTGGAAATTCACTCCGTAGTCTGTTCTTCATTTTACATTTCCTCAGGTAGGACATTCAATAGAGCTCACTGGAGATTATGCAGTGAACGCAAATGAAGGCATAAAACTTCTCCAAATAATAAATGCCAGCAATATTAAAATGCCCTGATTTGAACTATATGAAATACTTCACATTATTAAATTCTCAGGGAGGTATTAAGGTCTAAAAAAAAAAGGCATTTTTCTTGAAAACTGTGGTCTAAAGAAATTAAAAGTCCCAAACTTATTCTGTCCAATTTTTTTTTTTTTTGGTTTGGGGTCAGCCAGAGGGCTCATTTAGCAATGGTGGTAGACTCTGACTCCTTCTGCACAGCTGCAGTCCCCTGCAGAAGAACCTTGGCTTCAGGCTCTCCAAAATGCCACTCAAGATCTTGGGCAGCTGTCCTGAGTCCATGACTTATGAACTTAACTGGGAGAAATCCAGTCTTGTGAAGTCAGTCCTGCTGCTGTGGGGCCCTCCCCAACCCTGGCAGAAGTCCAGGGCTGGCTGAGGCCTGTGTTCCTGCTGGGGTAGCTCTCCTCTGAAGCTGCTGCTTCTCAAAACCATTAAAAGTAAACCCAAGAGGCTTCTCTGCCTCTTTTGAGGTAAGACTTCCCCAGCCCTAGCAAGCACCTGCCTCGTCCACGTGGGACCGTGAAGTCCTTGGAGAAATGAAGTTATTTCTCATTTCCCTGGGAGTTTCTCTTGATAGGAGGCTCACTAGTGCTTCAGCCTGCAGAGCTATGACAGATATAGGAGGCCAAGGACCAGCAAGGCCAATGCTTTCCAACTAAGGCCAAAGGCATGAGGCTTTTCCTTCTAGAGAGAACAGGTGAGATAGAATAGCCAGATGGGGAAGAACCCTGTTATGGTAGAGAAAAATCACAGTTTCCTGATGACAAACATGGAGAAATCCTAAATGATTATAACCTTTGTAAACTGTGAAGATGATTTAACTCAGATTTGTGGAAAGTTTCATCATGGTCCTCTTTAAGAAAGCAATCACTTGAAAAGCATGGCAAAATCACAGGCAATTGATGGTGGTGCCCGCCACCACGGCTGGCTAATTTTTTCTATTTTTAGTAGAGACGGGGTTTCACCATGTTAGCCAGGATGGTCTCAATGTCCTGACCTCATGATCTGTCCCCCTCGGCCTCCCAAAGTGCTGGGATTACAGGCTTGAGCCACCGCGCCCGGCCCAAATCTACTCTTATTAGTGAGAGAAAACACCGCACTGTAGCTTGTCTATTATATTCAACCACTAGGCCTTAAATACTATGGACTTCACATATAAGACAACTGATTTCCGGCTGGGCACAGTGGCTCATGCCTGTAATCCCAGCACTCTGGGAGTCTGAGGCAGGCAGATCACAAGGTCAAGAGATTGAGACCAGTCTGGCCAACATGGTGAAACCCCATCTCTACTAAAAATACAAAAATTAGCTGGGTGTGGTGATGTGCACCTGTAGTCCCAGCTACTCAGGAGGCTGAGGCAGGAGAATCGCTTGAATCCAGGAGGTGGAGGCTGCAGTGAGCCAGGATCGTGCCACTGCACTCCAGCCTGGCCACAGAGCAAGACTGTCTCAAAAAAAAAAAAAAAAAAGACTGATTTCAGCGAAAAGTTATTTAATATTTTTAAATATTTAATTTTTCAAAAACAAAAATGAATGGAATGGAAAGCCATAACAAAACATTTTGAGGCATTAGCCAATTTAAACTTGTAATTGTTATACCAACTAAATTGGAATTGGAAAAGAGAGCAACTGTAGAAAGTGATATAAGCCTAGGTGTCCCTAAAGAAGAGAAAATGAATACCATTTTTTTTTTTTTTTTGAGACAGAGTCTCGCTGTCACCCAGGCTGGAGTGCAGTGGCATGATCTCGGCTCACTGCAAGCTCTGCCTCCCGGGTTCACGCCATTCTCCTGCCTCAGCCTCCCGAGTAGCTGGGATTACAGGCGCCCGCCACCACGCCCGGCTAATTTTTTTGTATTTTTAGCAGAGACGGGTTTTCGCCGTGTTAGCCAGGATGGTCTCAATCTCCGGACCTCGTGATCTGCCCGCCTCGGCCTCCCAAAGTGCTGGGATTACAGGCGTGAGCCACCGCGCCCAGCCAATGAATACCATGCCTCACTTGCCGTTCCAGCCAGGCATCACAAAAACGGCCTGCAGTTTACTTGACTGTGAGCAGCAGTGTGGACCTGGGTAGAACTCACTCCTGCAGCCTCTCTGATACATAGTTCTGTTCTTTTATTATAGTTGGTGACAATAAATATTTGTGGAATAATATTTGTGTGGGAAAGATGCAAAGGCCACATGGTGAAGGAAGAAAACAGGTTTGGAAGTCAACAAATCCTGCTTTTGCCTTGTGCTACTTGAAGCCCTCAACCAAGTGAATCAATACCTCTCAGGCCTCATTCCTTCTTCTTTAAAATAATAACACCTTTTACTCCTTGTAGGTTTGCAATATTTGGAATAATATACAAAAGTGTCTCCTATCTGGTTACAATAAGGAACTCAATTCTTAGGTAAGATTTAGGTGAAGTTTGGCTTTGGTATAAAGAAATTAGAGCTGGTTATTTGGCAAACTGATTTTAGTGTTTTCAAACTCTACTCAAATTTTATCATTTAAGCTAGGATTATCTAGCTTTCAAGATTTTGTGGAGTTTTCTTGTTTTCTTAAGGAGATAAAAGCCGCCTTCACATTTCAAGGACTTTGAGGACCATCTTTCTAACACATTAAATAAACCAACTAATCTTCACTGGTCTCTCTGGAACAAGCTAATTATTATTTAATCTATAAGTGGGTCCTTATCTATTTCTAAACTACCAAGGTTGCCTTTTTTTTTTTTTTCAGTTCACAGTGGTTTAAAATGTACAAACTGTACTAAGAGAACTCGGGCATTCTCTGAGCCCTTTCAGCCCCTATCACTCACTATGTGCCTTTGTGAGCAGCCAGCCATACCTTCTGAGCACCTCAGTCACAGGGCAAAGTCTTCTTATTTTTTAACTTTTTGACCAAATTATATGTGAAAATTCTCAGGTAGATGTATCAGTTTGAAAACTCAGGTTTTCAGTGTCACAAAAGGGTTCTGAAAAGGGAAATCTAAAGAAAATTACCAGAAGACTATAGAGAGTTAAAGAGCTCAAGGAAGGTAGGCTTTGGAAGTAATTTGCAAATGCAGAAATGACTTTTAGCCATAAAATAAAACAAATGTGGGAAAGACTTGCATTGCCCCACGAGTAGCAGTTTTGTCAGGGGTAAACAGAGCAGATGTTTGAAACACTCTAGCCAGTGTTTCCAAACAGTAGGACATTACCCATTAGTGGATTGTGAAACATACTTCGTGAGTTGCCAACATAATTTTCTTTAAAGGCAAGGAATAGAACAGAACATGAATTAGTCACTAGAAGTACAATCAGAGTTGTTTGATGCAATTTTCCATTAATTATACGTGCACACAAGGAAGGTGGGGCCAGGACTACTACTTTTAACTTTGCAGAAAGCTTCATTTTTACTGTGGGTTGTGGTTAAGTTAAAAACATTTGACTATGCCATGTAGGCGACTCCAACACTTCAGGAATACAAAGCTCTGAAAAGAGGTTATGTAGCAAAGCTCATTTTCATTCACATTGATAATAGGTCAGACACATTTTTGAAGAAAAAAATGGACAGAGCGTAAAGGATAACAGAGTACACATTTTCATTTTCTATGATGAAAAGGAATTTTAAAAATTGTCTGTTGTACATAAAAACTTTTTTTTTAAACCAAACAACCTAGAATTAAATGGAGTAAAATGTGAGAAGCCCCCCTTTTTTCCTCCTTCAGCAGACAAAACCGCTGTCAATAGCTTGATATGTGTTATCACAGACTCTTTTCTAGGGTGCACACACGCATATATGCTACGTATAGGTAAACAAGTTTTAACTATACAAATGTAAACAGGAGTGCGTGGTTACTGTGCAACTTCTTCGTCCTGTCAATGTCTTAGAAATATTTTCATGTCCACACTAGAGAGCTATTGTCTTTATCTGCTGCAGAGTGTTATATGTCAGAAATTGGTATGTACTAATTCAACAATTTCTGCATTTCTGTACATTTATGCTGTTTCTAGTTTTTTATTATCTCAAAAAACACTTCACACAGTCTTGTATCTGACTCTTTGGGCACTTGTGTGAATATTTCTTCAGGCTGGATGCCTAAAATTAGTCATTAGATCAAAGGCTGGAGACATTTCACATGTTGATACACACTGTCAAACTGTCCATCCAAAAGCTGTATCAATTTCTACAATGACTGAGAATACTCCTTTCCTCACATTATCTCCAGCACTATCACCAATCTTTAATAATCTGCCATTTCAATGTATTGAAAAATAGTATCTCATTTTAACTTTAATTTTCCTGATTGCTTACGAGGTTGAAAGTTTATGTTTATAGTCTGTATTTCTTATTTATAAAATATTTTTATAGCCTTTGTCCAATTTTTGTTGTTTGTAGGTGCTCTTTATATTATCTTAAATCTTCTGTTCTATTACATGTATTTTCCCACTCCTTTATTTATGAAATCTAATTTTATCAAAGTTTTGTAAAAAGTGAAAGGTTTTACTTTTTAAAAATGTAGTCAAATCTATCTTTTTTTTCATGGCTACTGGGTTTTGTGTCTTGGTTGGGAATGCCTTTCTTACACATTTATTACAATTTTTTTCCAGTATTTTCTTCTAGTTATTTTTAATTTCCATGTTTAATTCATCTTGATTTTTTTCATCCATGATATGAAATAAGAAAAAGTAGTAAATAACCTCAACATCATTTACTGAATAGTTCAAACCCTTCTCTACTGACTTGTGATGCCATTTTTTAAATACATATATATATACATTGCTCTGTTCCTAGGTTCTCGGTTCTATACCTGTGATTATTCCTGTGTGAACAGCACATTTACCCTAACTCCATGGATTGTTTTGAGATGTAATCAAAATTGCTTTATGCCTGATGACTTTCAGATTAATGTTATAATCAGGTTATTACATCCATTTAAAAAGCTTTACTGTGGTTATATGAAATTGCTTTGAATTTATAAATTAATTTGGTAGAACTATTTATTATGTTGGGTCTTATACATGGCATACCTCTATTTTTGTGTTTCTTTTATACCCTCTAGCATAGATTTATCCTTTTATTTATATAGGCCTTACATTTCTCTTGTTAATCTTATTTCTAGATAATATTTACTTCTCGCAGCTATTGTGGATGAGAGTCTATTTCCTCATACATTTTCTAATTGGTTATTGCTGGTGTACACACTTTTCATACCGGTGTGTTGGTGTTGTGCACAGCCTCCTTATTCAGCTTTATTAGCTGTAATAGCATGCCAGTAGATCATCACAGGGGGTTTTTTGTCCAAAAAAAAAAAGACCCCATATTTACAAATAACGAGAGCCTTGTCTCATTTCCCAAAATGTGTACTTTTTAGTACCGTTTTTATCTTAGCAAAAACTTTTCACCAAGTTTGTTTCCTGTGGATTTCTGTTAGGTATATTTAATGAAGCCAAGAAGCTAAGCTAAGGAAGTTTCCTTCTATTTCGAGATTGTTAAGAATACCAGAGGATGTTGAATTTATCACATACTCTTTCAGCTTGTGAAGATGACTATACTTCTTTAATCTGTTAATTTAGTGAGCTACAGTGAGTTACTCTTCACTCAATCTTGCATGTTTTGGTACAAATCTTCCTTGAAAATGATATATCTTTTGCTACAATGCTGAATTCAAACTGCTAGTTTTATTTTGGATTTTTTGCACCTACATTAATTGAATTTGGTTTAGTTTTCCTTGTGTTTTATTTGTGCAGTTTGCTATAAGGATTACGCTAACCGTATGGAATGAATTAGGGAGCCTTACATCTCTTTTCTATCCTCTGGAATGGTTTACAAATAAATGTGCCCCTGGAAGGTTTTTCTTTTTCTCTTCTTGAGTCGGAGTCTCACTCTTGCCCAGGCTAGAGAGCAGTGGTGGCATGATCACAGCTCACTGCAGCCTCGAATCCCGGCCTCAAGCGATCCTCCCACTTCAGCCTCCTGAGTGGCTGGGACTACATGCACGCACCACCATGCCTGGCTAAGTTTTGGGTTTTTTTGTTTTGTTTTGTTTTTTAATTTTTGTAGAGATGAGGTCTTGCCCAGGCTGGTCTCAAACTGCTGGTCTCAGCAATGTTCCCACTTTGGTGTCCCAAAGTGCTGGGATTACAGACATGAGCCACCACACCTGGCCCCTTTAAAGTTTTTCTAACTGTATTTTTTTTTTTTTTTTTTTGGAGACAGAGTTTCCCTCTTGTCTCCCAGGCTAGAGTGCAACGGTGTGACCTCAGCTCACTGCAACCTCTGCCTCCCAGGTTCAAGCGACACTCATGCCTCAGACTCCTGAGTAGTTGGGATTACAAGTGCCCGCCACCAAGCCCGGCTAATTTTTGTATTTTTAGTAGAGACGGGGTTTCACCATGTTGGCCAGGCTGGTCTTGAACTCCTCATCTCAGGTGATCCGCCCACCTCGGCCTCCCAAAGTACTGGTATTACAGGCATGGGCCACCGCACCTGGCCTCTTTTTAAAAATAAGTTCTTGTCCTATTTTTTCAATTTCTCCTAAGATGTTTCGTTTATTTACATTTTCTATTTTTTATCAATTTTTACAATCCATATTTTTAAACAGTCACATTTCATCTAGTCTTTCAAATTTATTGGTTTAACACTACACAATTATTTATAGTAAATTATAAAAGTGCTCATAATTAAAAATATCTCTTCTAGTTGTAGGTATCCTTCTAAAATTATTCCTAATGCTGGCAATTTTTGTTAATTACTTCTTGCTTTTTTTTCTTTATCATATTTTACAAAGGTTTATCTTTCATTTTTAAAAACCTGTGTTTCACTGATCAAAATTTGCTATTTTATTCATTTCTGCTTTTACCAATTCCTCACCTTTCTTTTGGTTTATCTCTTTCTTAGCTTTAAATGTTTAATTCATCTCTTTTGTCTTCTTTCTTCCTGGAAAGTAAATCAAAATCTATACAATTTCCTCTAACACCTCTTTGGTAGAATTCCTCAGCTTTAGAGAAGTTTTTATTAATTCTAAATAATTTGCAATTTATTTTGATTTCTCCTTTAAATGAGTTATTTAGAAGATCATTTAAAAATTTCCAAGTGGACAGGCCTTTTGTTACTATTATTACATTATACAGAGCACATGATCTGTATGATCTTTGAATTTTGTAAGTTTTTTACCTTCATAGGAATCATTTATATGAATGTTCTATTGGTTTTCCAGGAGAATATACTTTGTATTCATCATGGATACAAAATATTTATGTTCAATGGTATCCTTCATATCCTGATCTACTGATGGGCAAGAGGGATGAATTTTTTAAGCTCTAATATTATTATAGAGTAAAACTAATTTTTTTGAGAGTATGCAGTTCTATAAATTTTAACATATGTATAGACTCACGTTACCACCACCGCAATCAGGATACAGAACTGTTCATCACCAAAACAAACAAACAAACAAACTCCCTTGTACAGCCTCTTTGTAATCAACTCCTCCCAACCCCAACACCTGGCAATCTCCAATCTGTTCTGTCACTATAGTTTTGTCTTTTCAAGAATGCCATATAAATGGAATCATACAGAATGTAGCCTTCCGAGACTGGCTTTTTCACTCAGCATATGATGTTGAGATTCATCCGAATTGTGGCATGTTTGCCACCATATGGATACATCGCTATCCATTCACCTGTTGGAAGACATCTTGGTCACTATGAATGGAGCTGCTATAAATATCCACGCACAGGTTTTGTGTGAACTAAGTTTTCATCTCTCTAAATACCCAGGAGTGGGACTGCTTGGTCATATGGTATGTGTATGTTAGCATTTAAAGAATCTGCCAAACTGTTTTGAGTGACTGAGTCATTTTGCATTCCTACCAGCTGTGAGGAACTCCAGTTGCTCTGCATATTTATCAGCATTTCAAAATGTTAGCCATTCTAGTGTGTGTGCAGCAGTCGATCCACTGATTCTGAAAAGAGATGTCTTAAAGCTTCTTGTTATAACTGGCTGGCCATTTTTCCTTGTATTTCTAAATTCTTACCCTATAATTTTAAGATGAAGGTTTTTGTTTGTTTGAGACGGAGTCTCCTCTATGGCCCAGGCTGGAGTGCAGCGGTGCCATCTCAGCTCACTGCAAACTCCGCCTCCCAGGTTCAAGCGATTCTCCTGCCTCAGCCTCCCGAGTAGCTGGGATTACAGGCATGCGCCATGACACCCAGCTAATTTTTTTTTTTTTTTTTTGTATTTTTAGTAGAGACGGAGTTTTGCCATGTTGGCCAGGCTGGTCTTGAACTTCTGACCTCAGGTGATCCACCCACCTCGGCCTCCCAAAGTGCTAGGATTACAGGCGTGAGCCGCTGCGCCCGGCCTAACATCAAGTTTTTAAATTGCAGATATATTTTTTTAAAAAATCTTCTGCAACACTGTACTTATCAGCCAAAAGAAGCTTTTGTCCCCTTTACCAATTTTCACCTTGGGTTCTATTTAGTCTGCAGCTAACACAGCCACATTTACTCTTTAGCATCTGCCTGGTATATTTTTGTTCATCTCTTTATAATCTATGACAGCGTTTTAGATTTTGCAAATAGCACACAGTGGGATTTCATGTTTTTACTCAAGCCTAAGGATTCCAGAATTTAACCTGTTCATGTTTATTATGAGTAAAAAACTTGATCTTGCTATATTGTGGATTTTTTATTTCTATGTAGCTTGTTTCTTTTTCTTTCCCGTCTTGTTGGACCTAAAAATTCCATTCCCTCTTTCCAGGTAGTTTTGTAGCTATTAAAGTTGTTGACATACATTTGCTTCCCTCTCTTCTCATGGCAAATGGCAATTCTGCACTTCCCTGGTCTGCTGAACTCAGGCATAACCATGTGACTTTCTTTGGCCAAAGAAATGTGAACAGAAGTGACATATGTCACATCTAGACAGAAGCTTTAAGTCACAATATATGCTGCATCATACTGTCTTTCCTTGGACACTGCAACCAGCAATGTTCCAAATAGTGACGTTCCACCAGCCTCGCTTCCAGATTGAGGTTGATGTTGAATAGGGGCCTCTAGCCAATCTGCCAAAGGCAAACTGCATGGGCACAAATAAACCTATGTTGTTGAAAGTAATTAAAATTTGGGAGCTGTTAATGCAACATCACCTAACCTATCCTTACTAACATACCCTTAACTTTATATATATTTTAATATATTTTTTCAATCAATACCTAGAATCAAACACTACCTGTATCCTTCCCATGAATAAGACAATATCTAGGACAAGCTTTCACTTTCTGTGTCCTGCCATGCCTCCATTCATGTTCAAACCTAGAACTTTGGTTGGACTTTGTTTTCATATGTCATTAGTATTTATTTAGACTTTTTCTGACTACAGGCACCTCTGGTGATTATAAAAGGGGATTTGCAGGTCACAAAGCTGAAGTAGTTTGTCTCATATCTTTATCAATATCTTTATCAGTTTATTTGATCTAAACATCTTTCATGGGGCTGGGCACAGTGGCTCAGGTCTGTAGTCTCAGCACTTTGGGAGGCCAAGGTGGGAGGATCATTTGAGGCCAGGAGTTCAAGACCAGCCTAAGAAAGAACCCATCTTGGCCGGATGCAGTGGCTCATGCCTGTAATCCCAGCACTTTGGGAGGCCGAGGTGGGTGAATCACCTGAGGTTAGGAGTTCGAGACCAGCCTGGCCAACATGGTGAAACCCCGTCTTTACTAAAAATACAAAAATTAGCCAGGCATGGTGGTGTGTGCCTGTAATCCCAGTTACTAGGGGGGCTGAGGCAGGAAGATCACTTCACGGTTGCAGTGAGCTGAGATCGAGGAGGTTGCAGTGAGCTGAGATTGTACCACTGCACTCCAGCCTGGGCAATAGAGCGAGACTCCGTCTCAAAAAAAAAAGAAAAAAAGAAAAAAAGAAAAGAAAGAAAGAACCCAACTCTACAATAATTTTTTAAAACTTCGGCATGGTGGTACATTGCAGCTACTTGGGAGGCTGAGGTGGGAAGATAATTTAAGCCCAATGGTTCATGGTTACAATAAGCTGTGATCCCATCACTACACCCCAGCCTGGGTGACATGAGTGAGACCTTGACTCAAAAAAAAAAAACCCAAAAAACAAAACCACACGTTAATGGGTTCATTGTTCATTTTGCTTAGTTACTCTGAGAAAGATTTTTTCTAAGTAATTAAGTTGCTGATGAAACGTCTAAGACCAATTAATACCTTCCATTTCATGAATTTAAGCTTCAAATGAATCCATTCTGCTGTGTAGTCCATCTTCTGAGTGTTTCAGTTTCATAATCAAATTTTTAATTTCCAGAAACTCTAAATATTTTTTTCATGGCATCCTATTCTTTATGAACACAGTATCTTTATGAATTGCTGAAGATTTTGATTCATTAATTTAAAAATTTCATGTTTCTCCTAGTAACTATCTTCTTGAACAGGTTAATTTTAATTTCATGCCTCCTTTTATGTTACTGGTTTTCTTCAAATTTGATGATTCTTGGTTGTCCATATTTATAAATGAGGGCCTAAGATTAAAGTTGGAAGTGTTATTTTTTCATCCAAATGGGAATTCTGGTTCACTTTTAATGAACACAAATGATTACAGGCACTTATATGGTGATTATAAACGGAAGTGGCAGGTCATCATAGTTAGAGAGATCATGTGGGCAGCTTAACTTCAGTTCCTCTTCGGAGCCATTTTGGATAATTCCCTTATTCTCCGATCCCAGCATTTCTTGGGTCAGAGCTCCCACTTCAGATAGCTGCTTTCTTAGCCTGGTGGCAAACTCCAGAATCAGATGCTCCAAAGATGAGTGGAATGGCTTAGCTGTTCCATCCTTTAATTAACTGGTACTTAAATCATCTGCTTCTTATCTTCCAGAAATTTCACTGTTCAAATTTCTGGTTTTCCAACTCTGCTATTATTTTTATTTTAATATTTCTCCAGTCATTTCAATGGGATTCTAGAAGCATAAAAGAATGTGTTCAGTCATCCATGTTAATGTTCCAGCATGTAGTTTATAATCAGAATTTTTCAAAAAACCAATCATCTCCTATCATGCCGATCCTCTGAAAATCAAGTGTTACTGTCTTGAGATTAGAGATTCTGTAAATACCCATTTGAAATTGGACGAACTCATTATTGGATATAGAACTGGATGGGCAAGCAAGAGTGATGATTTTTGACCACTAGTAATTATGTGTGAATTTAAGACAGGATGACAAGCTCTTTGCTACAGTATCACATCTGAATGTTTTCTGAAAAGGGTCCTGTTTGCATACAGATTGTATATGTGCTGGTAAGTACTCAGTAAAGGTGCATAGTAATTTCTCAGTAAAGGAACACACTTGTACCTTTCTCTAAACCAAATGAAAATACCATATTTCAAAATTAAATGATATTATTTCAGGTATATTGAAAGTTTAACAATTACTTGCAGGGCTAAAATTGTATATATTAAGCAGCAAAATATCCACATTTATAACTCTTAATGTTACGGTTTTAAATGTTTGATAAAATATATGTAAAATATGGAAGAATTTTAAAACTATAATTATGTGATTGTGTGTAGGTCTTGTAAAAATCCATGGTTAAAGAAAACTGGGGTTATCAGGTATAAACTCATTTAACTTCTAACTCTTCCCATTTTTGTCTCTGTCCACACTTCCCAGGATCCCCCAACTCTACAATAACTTTTACATATTTTACAATGTGACCCCATCCCTGATTTTATTTTCTAATCCATATTTCTTTCCCAGATTCTCTAAGTTACTTATCTAACCATTTTGCACTACATGTATGGGAGTCATCTCAAGTTCATCAAGAATTCAAATATGTACATCCCCATCTGTTCAGATCTGTTTCTTTTAGTCTTAAGAACATTAAAGTATCTCATGTCCCTGCTTGTCTGAGATCCTGCTGCATAAATGAGCCTCTCCTTCTTTACTTGGTTCTTTCCTTTCACCTTACAAACATTTAAGTCCTTAGTCTAAAAAATTCCTCTTCAGCTAACTCCATTTCCTCTTATCATCCAAACTCCTTCAAAGAGTAGTCCTATACCTAGTTTTCATTGCCCCCTCAGGGCATTCCTGCCCCTCAATTTACTGCAATCTGGCATTTTCATCAACCAATTCAGTGAATTGCTCTCATTAAGGTCACCTGGGACCTAACTGTCAAAATCCCGTGGACACTTATTCTCTGCCATGTGACACTGTATTCTACTTCTTCCTTCTTGACACTCTTATCACTTGTCTCTCTCAGAATCCTTTCTTTGCTTATCACTTAAACCTTGACAGTCCCCACAATTCTGTGTTCTCATCAACTTTATGATTTTAACTACTGCTTATATGTGCTGATGACTTTCAAATTCTTTATTTCCATGTCTTCATATGTACATCCAATCATCTACCAGTCATTTCCTCCTGAAATCTGCAGGTGATGTGTTCAACCTGCTCCAAACTAAACTCTTCTTTCCAAAGCAGTTCTTTATCCCATATTCTCAGCCTCAATGATACCACCACCCAACCTTAGTCACAGAAACACAAGTCCACCCACTGCCTCTTTTTTCCTTACTTCCCATAACCAAATCTTATTTAATTGCCAAAATAAGATTAAAACTTACTCCCTCCCTTCATCTATACCTTATTTTAGATCCCTTTCTCTTCTTGCTAAGTCGTAAGTTACTAAATTGGCATTTCGTGGCACCAGTTGTTAGGCACTCCTATTAAAAAAGGATTCTATAAACAAGTATATTTGAGAAGGGCTGCATACCATATGCCTGTCTTGAAGACTCAGAATGAACATTAGCCTCTAGCACCCTTGAGAAGTACTACTGTAAAGAAACCTGCGGCCAGGCATGGTAGCTCACGCCTGTAATCCCAGCACTTTGGGAGGCCAAGGTGGGTGGATCACGAGGTCAGGAGATCAAGATCATCCTGGCTAACACGGTGAAACCCCGTCTCTACGAAAAATACAAAAAATTAGCAGGGCATGGTGGCGGGCACCTCTAGTCCCAGCTACTGGGGAGGCTGAGGCGGAGCTTGCAGTGAGCCGAGATCGCACCACTGCACTCCAGCCTGGGCGACAGAGCAAGACTCCATCTCAAAAAAAAAAAAAAAAAAAAGAAAAGAAACCTGCTTAATTCTATTTATGCGAGGGTCTCCTTTATGTTTGTCTAAAAATTATTTCAGTAGGAGAGGAATTGGGAGGATAAGTCCCATTTAAAAATCAAAGACAAATGCTCTTCAGAAAAGTGTGGAAAACTGATCTCCACACTTCTTTAATGTATCAGCCTAAAGCTAATGATCTAAAATGCAAGCCTGAGCATATAACTTCCATTCTTTACTAGCTCATTATTTACTGAAGAAAAAGAACCAGCTCCATGCAACGTGGATTATAAGACTCGATCTTGTTCCCCTAGCTGCCTCCTTGAGCGACATCTGCTAGTGCCTGATGACATTTCGGTAACTCTCAACTACTTGTGTTTGTGGTTCCTCAAACGCACATACTCACACTCACGGCTCTGTACTTCTGCTCATGCTATTCCCTCTGCCCTGAGTATCCTTCCCCTTCACCTTCTTATTCACCAGCCTGTAACTCATTACTTTTAAGACTTAGCTTAGAAATTAACATGACCTTTGGTCTCTTTAGTTGGCCTTTCTTGGCCCCACTGCTCTCCTCCTTTTTCCCCACACTGACTAAACTCCCTCAGCATTTCCACCATAGAATGTAATATACGGTATTACGACATCTGCTTGTGTATCTCCCCTTCACTCAACTGTTAAAAAGCCAAGATTACATCTTGTTCATTGTTTCATTCCCATAAGTCAATCCATGATTAATGAACTCAGTAGTATTGTAGTAGCCCTTTTGATAACAATCAGGCAAGACCATCCAGAAGAAATCTGACGCTCCAGCTTTTCTCTCATCTCATCTCTCAAGTCATAGTCTGGTTGTAGGAAAGGACTTATCTATGCATATTTTACCAGGGAGGGGTATTTACTCCAAAGATTTATATCCATACTCTTACTAACTCTGCCTTTGAAAAATTCAACCCAGGTGTGCTTTCTGATAGCCCCACTCTTTTCTACTTATAGTGTTCATTGGCTTTTTTCTCAGAATCTTCCTTAAGTGGTTCCTCTCTTAACAGTGAAACAGGATAGCTCATTAAAGTATGGGTTCTGGTTGAGATCCCAGCCCTACCACCTATTTACAGCCGTGCAACTTTGGGCAATTCACATAATCTGTCTCCTTAGACACCTCATCTATAAAATGGACATAATAATATTAATAGTTCCCTATCTTATAGGGTTGCTATAATCCATGAACATGCTTAAGCATCTAGACATGTTTGCTGCTCTGGTTATATATTAGAATATGTCAATGGCTTCTGGCCATGTGATATATATTTATTTCCAAATTTAACCAAATGGTAAAATTATTCCATTTATTCACTCCCATCCCTTTCTATTCATCGTACTCTGCTTTGTTGTTCTGTTTTCTCCCTCCACAGAATGTTAGTTCCTTGAGATTAAAGGCTTTGTTTTGTTCACTGCTGAAAGCCATAGCACCCAGAATGATATTATACATACTAGCCCCTCAGTAAACAATTGCTGAATCAATGTTGTAAACTATCAAAGGGAAAAACAGACCAAAAATTTCACTATAATAAAAAGTATAGAGAAATCTTCCTTTAGTGGCTTCCAATCCTATATTTTAAGACACCATATGCCATAATAAAAACATAAGAAAATTTATTAAAATTTAAAGGTAAAAACATAGTTTCAAAAGATTTAGTCATATGAAAGGTGTGATAGAGAATGGATGCTTTCTTGAAATTCAAAATCACATCCAAGAGTATCACTTTCAGAATGTTCTAGTGGACTGGATTTACTTTTATTTGTCTTGGATGAAACAGTCACTATTCTATTTTCTTTCTTGACAGAAACGTATTTTTTCAAAGACCTACTTTTAATTGGTTCATTAACCAAAGAACTAGTTTCCCTAGTTTCTTTGCTTTTCTGGTTTTCAGGACAGTCAGATCAGGAATGCAGGTCCTTTCCAGGGTGTTGCTTATCAGAGTGTTTTTTGGTATATTCACCTGTTTTGGTCTTTTTCTCTGAAGAAGATCTGCTATTTCTGGACAACTCCTCTTCTTTTCTTTGACTTCCAGTTCCAGAAGTCGCATCTGGTGAAGGAGAACACATTCTAGCAATGAATCCTTCAAAAGACTCCTGCCGCTGCTCAGTAGCTGGGACTCCTAGGTTGTTGCTGGAAGTTCCTAAGCCCTCTGGAGTAGAAACTGGGACAGGAAAGGAGTCGAGAGGCAAAGGAATTCTAGCATCACCTGTAATTTTCTGAAACTAGAAGGAAAAACAAAACAAAAATTTAGTGACAAACAAAGCCATCCATTTAAAAATCGAGTTCAAAACGTCAATGTTATTCTGTGATCTTAGAAGATTTCCAGGTCATTTTTGCCCTAATTATATCTTGCCAAGTGATTGCCAACTTAACTTAGCTATAGCCAGGAGTAGGTCCAGCACATTTTCAGACTTCTGTGTTTTCTGTAATTATTACTAATTTATGTCTCCCTCATTAAAAAAAAAAGAACCTTATTCTATAAGAAAATTAGTATCTTTCCTATCCTCTATGCACATGTAAGCAGTATCCAATTTATAAGTAGACTGAGTTTTCAAGTCGTCAGTTGCCAAGACCAGTCTGAGACTGGCTGAGATGGCAGATGGGGGCTCCAAGTAAGGCCAGAGGAAAAGCAGCAGGGGACTCCTGTGGCAGACAGGTTTGCCCCTCCCATTCCCATAACTAGATGATGCCTATAATATACTGCCTGTTATATATGAATTACTTATTCTGAAAAATTATCTATATCAGTACTTGTACCTTCATTAGTGTTCCTTCATTGTAAGCTGACTGCATACAAATAGAAACCTAGATGGAATATGAATAGAATAGACATTTATAAAATTGAAAATTGAAAATCATTTCTCTAATCTTTCATTTCTTCACTGAGGATAGTCTACTTTAAATCATAAAGTTTCAAAAGAACTTTCTTATTTTTTATTTACAACAATACAATATAAGGAAATGGGCACAAACTTACTAATCTCAGTCTTGGAAAGGACCCCAAAGATGCTTCTGGTCCCTGAGCATGTGCACAGATCATTATTCTTTTCTCTCTGACTTAGTAATTCCCTTTTTTGCTAATCACTTGTAGAATCACTAAGTTCTGTTCTATTCATTTACCTGGATATTTTGCATTTGCCCTAGGGCATTCTGCTTCGGTTCTGGTTTTTCATCTTCAAGCGCCTTCTTTTCTTCTTTAGGTGGATTACTAACAGTAGAAGTCATCTGGGGATGACCTAGTAATTGAAAATCTGACTGATCTATCCCAGCCATTGTGGCAAGCTGCCCAAGCCTGGTCGAGAGAAGAAAAGGAGGAAAAGGCAAGGATTACTAGAAGCACATAAGAACAGCTTACATTTCCCCAAACCTACAATCATTAAATACTTCTAAAATCTTAAAACCCATTATCCTACTCCAGACTACACCCCCATCCCTCCCAATTTCTCAGACCTTCCCACATTTATTCTCTGAGACAAACCATATCATATCATCCAATCCTTTAAGCACTGTCTCTTCCCCCAACAATGTATTAGATACCTCTTGACTTCATTTCCTTACTTATTCCGTATTTTATATACTGTCTCAGTAGAAGCTGCAATTTCTACCACACACCTACTGCCTCTCACCTTCATCCCCACACATCTATACCACCTTTCCTCCAGTCCTCAAGAATATGTTTGTTCCTTTCCTCACCAAACCGTTCACCTACAAAACATAACTCTATCAATTATCTATCTCCAACTCTTTCTTTCAGTATATTCGTTCAGCAAAATCATTCTTGGTTGAGGACCACTGATCCATATCTATATCTATATCTACCCTGCAGATTAATAACAATTTTAATATCTCAAACTTAATTTTAATTCAAACTTATTTAACAAGCAAAGTGAATAAAAGAAAAATTCCTATACATTCCTGAATACTTTCAATTAAAACTACCTTCAATTTGGTCTTTAACAAGAATCACAGCTACCAATTACTCTATCTACAAGTTACTCTTTTTTTTTTTTTTTTTTTTAAGAGATGGGCTCTTGCTATGTTGCTCAGGCTAACCTTGAATTTCTGGGCTCAAGTGATCCTCCTGCCTCAGCCTCCCAAGTAGCTGGGATTACAGGTGCAAACCACCAAGCCAGATAAGTTTACTCTTTCATATTGGGCCCTCAACCAAGGCAGGTTTGTCATTTTGCATTTCTTTTAAAATTAATTCCACATTTAAAAAATCAAGTGTATTACTTATAATTACACAGTAAATATGACTTCAGAAAGCTATAAAAATTGCTCAAGTTCCTCAGCAAAACACCATTAAAGTCATGGAGGGACGAATGTCATAGGGAGAAAGTAACTAACCCAGCATCTTTAAGGAGATCCAAGAAAGCATGAAACTTCTGAAAAGAATTCTCAATGCTGCCCAAAACACCTTCATCATCCAGGATCATATTTGTCAATGACTGTGCATGAAGGGCTTCAGACAAAGAGAAATTTATATTTCTTAACTGGGCATTTTCATGTTCCAGCTATAAAAGAAGATTGAAAATGTGTGACATGATTTTCTCTCATTATCACCAAAATAGTTTTTATGAAACTAAAATAAAACATTTTAAAAATGTAATTAATTTGCAGTTAATCTAACTCTCTACCAGTAAAGACAGACCATATTAAATAACAATCAAAACCTGGAGATAACTGACAAAACCTCCTACATAAATAATATAAATAGTATTTCATTAATTATCTTTCAAAAAGATCACATTTCTAACAGCTTAAATACATACCTGGATCATTCTATATTTAAAAATTAGCTGTTTAAGGTTTCCCTTAAATTAGACAATGAAATAAAGAGTAAGCATTTTACAATTTGGCTGTTAAGGACTAATTTTTGCCAGTAAAATACTTAATATATAAATTTAAAAGTCCTAAATCATACCCAATTTACTAACTGTACAATTACCAATATTGCCCCTTTGCTTCTTGAAAATATGTACTCTCCTGTACACCAAATCTATTTATCTAATACTACACATAAGTCTAACTCTAGTATTTCTCAGAAAGGCCACTGTGTTCACAAAGCACCTTTTGCCTTATACAATCAGGTGCTCAACCTTTATTGAATGATTAACTGTCTTTCAAACCAATGCATATACTTTCAAAAATTCCTCCTTAAACTTGCTTTGTAATAATAAATTATAGTTATGTAGAACTTTCTAGTTTATGCCCTGCTCTTATGCACATTCACCTAATTTAGTCCTCATGGTATAGATTTTTATCTTTCATTGCATTCTTACCGGTTTTCCATTATCTTTTACCTTATTTATTCATTTTCCTAATTCCCCTTCAGTAGATAGTCTCATCCCCATCTTTTACGCAATTGTATATACAGTATAAGCCTAATAAATGCATTCTTGAATTGATGCATCATGAACAGAAAATAAGCTCCAGTCATATAAAAACAGAGGAAAAGAAAACAAACTACAATTTTTACATTTTTAAAAAACATGCTTTTTGGAATACAGATCACACGGTCACCAAATATAAGTAAATACAAACATTAACATACTGTGACCATTTGCAATACACTATATTTTCTCATTTTAAAGTTTATAAAGTGTGTGTATGTATGACTTAAAGTTAAACCAAAACCAAAACAAAAAACTCTCAAAAGGTAAGAAAACTTTTATTTACCTCACTGACTCGTTTATCAACCTTAAGCCTTATCACTCTTTCTTCCTTTAACTGCTTTAGGCACTCCTCCAGTTTTTCCTAGTATTAAGTAATAAAGTAAATATTATAATTAATTCCCAATATGATCCCCAAAACTCTTCCAGCTGTTGAGCTCACCAAGTGTTTAGGGACAGAGCCAGAAGTGAACTCAGATATCAGGATTATAGCCTACTGCTTGTATAATATCATACCATGCTAGGGAAATTAATTACCAAAAACATCAGATTCGCACATTACAGATTTATTTCCACTCTTTCCAAAATAAATTTATGACAGCTCACCATAGAAGGCATACACATATATTTATTGAGTCAAATAAAAATTAAGGCTATGAAAAAGAAATTCTATTCTTATTTGTGGATCCCTTATAATAGGAAGCCCTATTAACACACTTAACACACCTGAATTATGTAACAGCAAATTAAAAGTCAAGTAACCAATTAAAAGGGACAGGGCTCTTTCTGGTAAAGATTGAAATACAAAAGGAATTAGACATGATGGAGATTCTCCAATTCCTCCAGAGTGTTGAGGGAAGGAACTCTACCATACACTTACATTAGAAAAGGAAATTGGTGCCACTTTCTGGAGTAATCTTTAGTAAATACTACCAATTCAATGTCTGGGAATTTACCTTAAGGAAATCACCAAACATGTGGACAAAGATTTATCTACCAACATAATGTCACAGGACTGTTTACAACTAAAAGCCTCCAAATTGTGATTGGTAAAAAAAAAAAAAAAAATAGCACATCCCTATGATGAAATGCTCTATGGAGCCACTAAAAACAATGATATGGGTCTTAACCAGAGTTAATGAATGGTCGTTTTTCTTGGGAGATGGTCCATAAGCTAAGTAAGATTCTCTGATGTGGAAGAGCATTCAATGATGTGACAAAATATTTTGATATCTTTTTAAGATAAAAGGGCAAATTACAAAATATCCAGGTGTGTGTACCATGCAGAGGTGGTTTTTATTTCCCTCAATGTTTTTCACGATTTTCAAAAATTTTCTCAAAGGGCATATATTTTTATACTCAGAACACATTTGAAAAATCAGTAAATGCCCTAATAACTACAAATTCTTTAATGTTTCATTATCAGTTAAAGCCAACCAAGTTTTTATGGGAAAAAGGAAAAAGAAATTGCAAAATTCCTCTACTTATTATTTATATAATGGTTTTAATATTTAGAACTGTTATCAAAGAACTTCTAACCAAACATGGAAATAAGCAAAAAACTTATCACAATTGGAGAAAGAAGAATAAAATCCTCCATTCCTAACTAGTTCTAAAAATCACATCAAAGCACAATTACATGAAATTGTTTCTCCCTCTAGTGGAGGAAGTGAGAACATAATGTTACATATTTATGAAAGTTCCCTCCTCATTACTCCTTTAAAGAGTAATTCATGCTCCTTAAAGAAAATAAGGAAATATGAAATGAAACAATTAGAAAGTAAAATCACTTAACATTCCACTACTTAAAAACGACTAATGATAAAGTGTTGTAGTAATTTTCCTCCCTGACAGCTGCTCCCCTTTCTCCCTTCTACCCATGGAAAAGTTTATATTTTTTCTGGAACACAACCCCAGAAATATCAAATGTTATCCTGTACAACAACCCTTGAATATCAAGGGCTTGAAGTATGCAGGCCCATTATATGCAGATTTTTTTCAACCAAATGCAGATCAAAAATACAGTATTCTGGCTGAGCACGGTGGCTCATGCCTGTAATCCCAGCACTTTGGGAGGCCGAGGCAGGCAGATCACAAGGTCAGGAAATTGAGGCCAACATGGTGAAACCCCGTCTCTACTAAAAATATAAAAATTAGCTGGGTGTGGTGGTGCGCACCTGTAATCCCAGCTACTCGGGAGGCGGAGGCAGGAGAATCACTTGAACCCGGGAGGCAGAGGTTGCAGTGAGCTGAGATTGCGCCACTGCACTCCAGCCTGGCAACAGAGCGAGACTCCATCTCAAAACAAACAAACAAACAAAAACAAGTATTCTCCAACGCAAAAGTTCATAAGGAGGACTGACTTTTTATATACCCTGGTTCCACAGGTCAACTGTGGGGCCTGAGCATGCCTGCATGGATTTGGGTATATGCTGGAGGATGGGGTCATGGAATAACCCGAGTATGCTGAGGGAAGACTGTATATCCAATTTTATGTTAGACATTCTTCCATTTAACACTGAATCAGAGAACTCATAACTCTGACTTTTTTTTTTTTTTTTTTTGAGATGGAGTCTCGCTCTGTCGCCTAGGCTGGAGTACAGTGGCCTGATCTCGGCTCACTGCAAGCTCCACCTCCCAGGTTCACACCATTCTCCTGCTTCAGCCTCCTGAGTAGCTGGGACTACAGGTGTCCGCCACCACGCACAGCTAATTTTTTGTATTTTTAGTAGAGACAGGGTTTCACCATGTTAGCCAGGATGGTCTCGATCTCCTGAACTCATGATCCACCTGCCTTGGCCTCCCAAAGTGCTGGGATTACAGGCGTGAGCCACCGCACCTGGCCAACTTTGACTTTTTTAGTGGGCTAAATAAAATATTCTACTGAGCCAGCTTACTGGTTCATGTAATCATTCCTTTATGGCTAACAAGACTGTTTCCAACTTTCAACATTATAAGATAAAATAACCACTTTTAAGCATGAAGGTTTTGTTCTCCCATATTTAGAATAATTTTCTTGCAATAAATAAAAAAGGAATTTTAGGTCAAAGCAAATAAACATTTTTAAGGCTCTGCAATACTTACATCCAAATTGCTTTCCAAAAGATTTCTAAGATTTTATACTGCTACTGGCAATGAAACAGTCTATCACTTGGATATATCACCTCTACTCTGTTGACTTACCTTCCCACTTAAAGTGCAAGATATTCAAGAGAAGGAAGTATATTTTATTAAGTGTTTATCCCCAGCATTTATGTGTACCACAAAGCAGACAACCAATAAATAATTGCTGAATAAAGAAAATCCCTGCCAATATAAGATTTATGTGTGTGTTAAAGACAGAATGTGTGTTTTTCTCTAATAGATAAAAGGTTACTGTCTTCCTTAAATGTGCACTGTCTTCCTTAAATGTGCATTTCTTTGCTTACTAATTAGTACTTAAATTTCTCTTTTAGGTTATTTTTTGGAAATTCAGATTCTCTGAGGCAAAGTTCTGGCCCTACCCATCAGCTGTATAACCTTGGGCAAGTTCAGTAACTCTAGGTCTTAATTTCCTCATCTATAAAATGGAGATAAATTCATGTATCATAGGGCTCTTGAAAGGAGTAAATTAACACACATATAAAACTGAGAAGAGTGCCTGGTGTACAAAATATGATCAACGCAAAATGAATAAACATACGAACAGAATTAGTAGAGAAGAGCTTAAAATGAAAGTTAATCTCCTCCTCACTCACACATCCAGCTTCCCAGAGGCAACCATTTCTTTAAGCAGGTTTTTTAAATCACAAAATATGCTATACATACTGAAAAGTGCATAAAACACACTATCAGGGAATACTCATGTAACCATATACCCAAGTTTGCAAGTACAACTAGCTAGCATCTCTGAAATCCCCCATATCTTCTACTCATCACAAGCCCCTCTCCTTCTCCCAGAATTAAACACCGTCCTCATTTTCCTAATGATCATTTCCTTTATATGCATGCATCCCTAACAATCTAGTTTTGCCTACTTCTAACTTTATGCAAAGGGAATCATAGTGAATGCACACTTCTGCATCTTCTTTCTTTCAACATTGTTCTTACAATTCATCTGTTGTTGCCTGTAGCTCTTGTTCATTCAATTTTATTACTTTTATAGTTTTCTCAGTGTACAAATGCAATCTAATTTTTAATTCTTAATGGACATCGGGTTGTTTTCAGGTTGGACTATTACAAATAATGCACGTGGACCCTTTTGCACCTGTTTTTCTGGTGCATATACCCTCAGATGACTTGTTGGGTCCCAACGTATTTATATACTTTCCATTGATAGACAATGCTAAACGCTTTCCAAAGTAGGTGTGCTCACTTATACTTCCGGTGTAAGCAGGGTGGAAGATTCTTATTACACTCCAGATCTACAATACCTGCCACTATAAAATTTTATTTTTTGCCAATCTGATAGGAGTGTAGTTGCATCTCATACTGATTTCAGTTCATTTTTCTCTGATTACCTATATGGCTGAACACTTTTCCATACTTATGGGCTACTTGGATTTTTTTGTGTGTGAGGTTTAAGTCAACCATTCTTCTTTTTAATCCTTCTCTAGTTCTAAATAACGTATTAGGTAACTACATGACCGGATTTTAGACATTATTTACTAACTTCCTGCTTTACTAAGTAAGAGTTTGGTTCATTCTTACTTATTTACTTACTTATAGCCACTCCTCTCAATAAAGTTGTTATCACCATTAGTTTTTCCATTGGTCATGATCTCTTCAACTTCTAGTGATATACATTACTTAAAAATTTAAATTGTTTATCAACTCTAAATTCTCTCAATGCCCTGCTTTGTAAAATAGGGACATGTATACTTTTGTCCCTTCTTTCCACCTGTGTCCACCTTCCAAACTTAGCTTTTACACTGTTAAAGTTAATATTTATATTCTGTTCTATATGCAGAGCTGTTTGTTTTTTGAGAGACAGATAGATCAGTGTTTAAGAGAACAGGCAGAAAGCTTAAGCTCAAATCCCTGATCCAACTCTAAATTTAAGTACAGCTTGGGCTTACTTAAATTTAGCTTCTTTTCTGAAAAGTAGGACTAATAGTAACACCTACCACAGGTTATTCTGAGGATCAAATGAATTAATATAAGCAAAACACTTAGAACAGTGTCCAATACGTGCTAAATCTGATACAAGCTAGTTATTTTTGCTATCACATGCAAATTGATAATCAAAGCTACAGACCACGGCAGTATTTCCATTACTACGATTAAATTAATACTGCCTACTGCAGAGTTATATTGTAACTCTTGTGTATATACAGGTTACACCGCCTTCTATACAGTTTCAGTGCCACAGCCCTTGTATAGAGTGACCGCCTATCTTAAGTTGCCCTGGACTGTTCCAGTTTACAACCCTTGTCTTGATGTTAGTGTTAACAGCACCTGCTTACACTATTGAAAAGTGTTCTGGTTTGTACAACAAATTAGATAGGTGGTCACCGACTGCTGTGCCACTGAAAAGGGCGGACAAGCTCAAGTGGATTTTTTTCCCTTTTGTACATCAGTGGTAGCTCAAAAATCTGCCATAGTTTAATTTGTTTTATGTTCATGCCAACAGAACTTTCTCCTCTGGAGTTTGATTCCCTCCTTCCCTCTTTTCTCCTCTCTCTTTCCCCCTCCCTCATTCTAACAGTGCCTAATACATAGTAACATGCTTCAAGGATTTTTTAAGCTCTCAGTCACACAACCAATGGAAGCCTCTCAAATCCAGACCCGCTGCTCTCCACACTGAAACCACTGATCCCTGATATCCTATTATCTTCCTTCTTGGTTTATACCCTCATTTTGCGGGACTATGTTTTCAAATAACAAGAAAAAGTATAGCGCAGGAGGTCCAAAATGTCCTATTCAGCCCCCACTTAGATTGACAGTTTGGCTGGATGGGAATCTCCAGGTTGTCAATTATTTTAAAACTTTGGAGGTATCTTTCTAATTCCAGGATCCATGGTAGCTGATGAGAAGTATAATAAAGTCTGGTTTTTATGGTTTTTAAGTGACCGGTATTTTTCTCTTGGGATTTCTTTCTTTCCTCAGTATCTTGAAATTTTACAGTGAAGACTGTCTACTTACATGTGTCTATCTAAGGTAAACTTTCTTATAGTTTTTTTTTTTGTAATTTCCTTCCATCCATTTTTTTCTGTCCTCTGAGATTTCTTACAGTAACATGTTAGACCTCCTAGATGCAACCTCACTAGCATATGATTTCTGTTGTATTTTCCATTCCTGCCTTTCTGTTCTATCTACTGAGAAATTTCCTTAATTCCTACTGAATTTATTTCAACCATTATAATTTCCAAGAGACCACCCTTGCTTTCTGCTATTCCTTTTTAAACAACACCCTATTTCTTTTTTACAGGCACTGTATCTTTCTTTTGTACTTGTGCTTAACAAACCTAAGGATGTTAAGTAGAGTTTTTTTCTTAAAGTATTTTTGTTCTTTTAATCAGCTCTGGTCCTATCAGGACATATTTTTCATCTTTTATTTTCCCTGTCAAGTTGTGAGTTTTACTCAACTCTCAGGTGAACCATGGTTATTTTCTATTTAAGAATAAGGCTACTTGGGAGGCTGAGGCAGGAGAATGGCGTGAACCCGGAAGGCGGAGCTTGCAGTGAGCCGAGATCCCGCCACTGCATTCCAGCCTGGGCGACAGAGCGAGACTCCATCTCAAAAAAAAAAAAAAAAAAAAAAAAAATAAGGGAGCAGAGGATCACTGGGAGCTGATGACTAGCTTCTGTTATGCATGAAGAAGTGGGTAGCCAGTATGGCAGGATATTCTCAGCTACCCTTTTCTAGGGTGCAAAATCCACACTATCTACCCTAGTTCTCCCCAGTTACTTTACTGTTTTTCAAAGCCAAATGATCTCATTTCAGGAGAGTGAAGGTAAGGCTAGGAGTCAACTCTTCCATATACAAACTGTCAAGGAGCTCCCTCCATGTTAGTCACATTTCTAGCTCCCTTCCTTTTTCCTATATGCATATCTGTGTATGGAGCTGTTTCTGGAGTTAGATTAGATACCCTCTGAGCTGTAGGCTTCCCCTGTGTATATTCTAGGCGATGGTTTTCCTCTGTTCTACTGCATCGGTTTCATACTCATTTCCATCTGTCATCTCTATTTCAAAAATATGTTGAAATCTCTTCAATTATCTTGATTATTGTAGGCTTACGTATGTTAGAAATTTTGATAATATCGTTTTATGGAGTTCTTAAAATAGAAAAGAGCTAAGAGAATTCTCAGTGCATCTTGAATCAGAAATTCCCAAGTTGTATTTCCTAACCTTCTTGGTCTCCCCAATGGCTATAATCACTTTTAGAATAAAATTTCCTAATCCCCTGGTGAAGAAAATAAATACAACACATTTAAAACAATAATGAACATGAATCAGACATTCTAGGATTTTGTTTTTCCTCTGGAACTTAGTAATAAACCACTTAGGTGCTACAAACAAAAGGTGCTCATTTATAATAGGGACAATTCTACATTATCTATAGATTTTTCCCTCTAATATTCTATCATTTTTGTAATTATCTTAAAATTTCTCTATATAAATATCACTAATTTTAATTTAAAAAATGAAAATCAGGCTTCATTTTTTGAAAATCAAAAAGTGATTTCCATAGTCACATAAAAATAAGATAACTGCCCTTCCACCATGTGAGGACATGGTGAAAAGCCATCTATGAACCAGAAAGCAGGCCCTCGCCAGACACCAAATCTGCCTGAGCCTTGATCTTGGACTCTCCTGCCTCCAGAACTGTGAGACATACATTCCTGTTGTTTATAAGCTACATGTAAGTATATAAAAAAAGGATAATTACTTCTATATTTGTAAGTTTCATATAAAAGAAAATTGTATTAATTTTTAAAAATTAATTGTGGACTTCCTAGCACACACAAAAAGATAAGGCCTCCCAAAGAGCCCTGAATCAGCTGGTTACATTCATTCAGTGCTTAATTTCTTTGAGTTTATCTTATGATTATTAAGGCCTTCCCTAAATCTAATTAATATTCTATGATTCTAAGGAAAGGAAAATATATTACTGATGACATGTTTCAATTTTTATTTCTTAGAGTGCAGACGTCCTCCCTTTTACCTTGTTCTAAGATAAAGAACCATTCAAGGGATATGAGATAGAAGGAAGGCGAAAACAGAATTCCCATGCAAGCTGTCCAGTTCATAATCAAGCTTTCACCAAAAACTAACTAGAGTTTGAAATGATCTTCTCCATATCTTTAAAGTGATAGCTTTGTACCTGTAATGCTTCTTGTTCTATACTAGTTTTCTCAGGCACTTCATGAACACTCTCTGAAGAATCATCAACCTCTTCAACTTCAGAGGATGAAGGACTCTCTACTGTCACAGTCACAGGAAAACCTGGTTGCTTAAAAAAAGAGGACAAGATTGTATAATAATATAAACCGAATACCAAATACTAAAGGACATCTAATCAAAGTGATCTTTCTGAAGTGTTAAGTCATTCTCTATAAATGTCTATCACTACTCCTTAGTCTAACACAATCAATAACAAAGTAAAAAGACACTAACTTATTCTTGCTATGTCACTGAAATAATTCTCTCATATAAGGTTTATAATTAATACTGGAATCGCCCATATTTTTTTTTTCTTTTTTACATAAAATCTTTCCGAAAATAACCCATATTATTTTATTACACTTTTTTCACATAAACCAAGCAAGGAGGCAGGATAAACATTTTTTCTCAGATCAACTGCAGATGAGAAATTTATTCTCTACCATCACACACAGAGTCTTAAAGACAGGACGATTTTTAGGAGAAAAAATTCATCCGTGGAGGCCTCACAAAGAATTGGAAGAATAATTTAAATTGTGAATAATAAACACTAGAATGGCCTGTAATCCCAGCACTATGGGAGGCCAAGGCAGGAGTACTGCTTAAGGTCAGAAGTTCGAGACCAGCCTGAGCAACATAGCAAGACCCTGTCTCTACAAAATAAAAACTAGAATTAAAAAAAAAATTAACCAAATACATGCACACAACTAAAACTGAGACATCAAAAACCTCATCTTTTCCTCATTCTTAAGCCAAAACTACTGTAATAACAACGCAATTCTCCTGTCAAGTTTCAATGCCACTGGAATGTTGTCCAATACGTTTCCAAATATTTCAAAATTGACTGTGTCACAATCCCATAAAAAGTCCACAGATCAAAAAGAAAAGTGCCGGGATACATAACTGTACAGAAGAGAAGTCATGAGAATGCAGTATCAACTACAAGCATAAATCCTGCAGTACCTGAAAATCCTAGACGGTAGAATGAGATGCACGCCCCTACTTTTGGCTATGCGAGGGGCAGTACGGACACACAGGTGCTCCTTCATCTCAGTAGTGCTATCTTTTACAGAGAAATTACGGTCTCTAAAAACAACTGAAAAGGAAAATCTGATACTCTGACAGAATTCACTTGCTCTAATACCATGATGCAGAATGACAGGGAATGTGTTTGATCCTGACAAGGGAGAAAGAAAAGCTCTGAGAAAGCAGAGGCTTTAGGACTGGTTGCTTTGTTTTAGCTTTAGAATCTGGAAATATATATATACATATAAAATATGTATCCCCCAAGAACATTTCTTTTAAACTTAAGGACATTCTTGACTATGATAGCTCCATGTGTCGGGTGAGAAATGGTGGTCAAATTTGTTTTGCTGGAGGCAACAGCTGATTTGTGGACCCAGAGAAATGACTTCCTGTCTACACAGATGAAACCACAAGGCCTCCATTGTGTGACATATCCACACGCCTATACTGTGGCACCGGGAGAACCCAGAAAATTTTTAAAGAATTTACTTCAGGGAGGGAAATGTTTCTTACGACTCTATTCAATTTAAAGAGCACAGAGAATGATCTTCCACCCTTCCCATTCCAATCCCCTACATATTATAAACATGGTAACTACGTACCTGCAACTGATTACATATATCACGTGTTTTGATTAATGGGAAACCCCTAAAAAGATATCGATAAATTAAGTTATATTTTGATGTAAATACACCACCAGTTAACACTAGGTAATAACACTTGCTAGTATTATGTATACTATCCATACATAACTGTGCATAGAGATAAATCACTTCCAAATAAGGGCCTGGAAAGCTCTGCTATGGAGAAAATTGAACAATTTAGCAGAACGGCTTTGGGATAAGACTCTGAAGATGCAGGTACTTCTTATGTTTAGGATGGTTCAGATTTCTAATCTAACTTCTTTAACTGGTGATATTAATTGTTCTCTAATTCACAACTCCTTGTGACCAAGATGGGACTTGAAATTAGTAAGTATCTCAAGAAGATATGAAACTGTGAAGTTATTAAATGGAAGTGTAAAGACTGGGGCCTCAGCACTATAGTTTATGCAATAATAATTCACATTACCAGTTGTGAAATAAGTATAGTCATCAGTTGCCTAACAAAGATTATACATATTCAATTTAATCTGAGCAATTGAACAGATATTTTACATAGCACCTATTTCCAGTCCTATTTAAATTCAATCCTCTTTGTTTTCTTAAGCAATTGTTAATCTCCAATTTCTTGAATACTAAAAGTCAGTCATTCGAAAATAATTTATAGTAATCTAATTCATTTATTAAGCATAAAATTATAGTACAACATTTTTAAAAGACTTTTCTGACAAAAATTACTATGAATAGCTATCACCTAGGTAACTGGCTAAAACTAGTTATATCTGGTTTGATTCACTAAAATGAGTTAGGCCAGTTGGCTGAGTTAGATTAAGTCTAATCAACACTTCCTATCATTTTGCATTGAACAATTTCCTATGCTTTACAATGCCCTTTCCCCAGTCTTAAATATCCAAATTCCTATTTCTGCCCTATAGGACTTGGTTTAACTGCACATACTTTAAATGAAACCTTTTCTCACCTGCACAATTGGAGATAATTTCAGTTTCCTCTGGACTCCCACAGGGATACAGCTTGCTGTGACACTTAATAACTTGAAACCCTACTTAGGATTATTTTTTGTTTTTCTTCCTTAAAGGATTCATGAGGCAGAAGCCACATGAGTCATTTTTACCCTACAGACATAAGCAGAGAACTCTCACATAATAGAAGCTCCAAAATAAAGAATTTTGAATCCCATTTTTATCCTAAAAGATAGGAAATAAAAATACCCTACCTGTGTCTTTTTGCACGTTCTGCAGTACGCCACGGCAAGAAACCAGACACACCAGGTGGAAGAGGTGCGGGCGCATAATATTCTTTACCAAGGGAGTGTTTTCTGCCACTACTTACAGGTTTCTTTGTAGCCAATCCTACTTGAGAAGTGTTAAAAAGAAAGAATCAAGATGCACTAAAGGTCTACAGATGAATAGGCACATGTGCATACTCTTAAAAGAATACAAATGGGCACCTGACAATGACACCAAGTCCATTAAATCAGGATCAATTTGTAAATACCTTTTTACACAGGCCAGTAATAAATATAAGAATAAATATATTTTTAATATACTTAAATATAAGTAATAAATATATAAAAATATAAGTTGTCTAGAGTAACAAGTTATCACTTTAACTAAAATATAAGTTGAATATATGAGACATGCAGAGCACGCAAAGGTAAATAAAACATGTAACCCAAAGAATGAAAGATTATACGTGATACATTTCATTATGCATTATGCAGAAATTTTAAGTTATTAAATCTCAGAATATTTTTGGCATTCCTGAATCTCAAGGACAGAACATAGATACACCCATGACTCCTACCAAACAGAACCTTCTGAATTGGAAAAAAATTTCAATTTGAGATTAATTTTATCATGTAAAAGGTATTCAAGTTGTAAGACTAAAGGTAGCTGGATTAATTTTATCATGTAAAAACTATCCAAGTTGTAAGACTGAAGGTAGCTGGGTAGTAGGTGAGCCAATGTTGCCGCCTATAAGTCTGTCCACCTTCAGTGTTCATTTGCTTTTACAGAACACAAAGAAAACAAATGAAACCTACTGGATAATAGAACGAAGTATAAAGTCTTATCCTACATTTCAGTTTAAAGAGTCAAGTTTTTTTAAAGAAATATTTGGTAGTAAAAGCTAGACCTACCTATTAATATTAATAAAATTCACACTTAAATATATAATTGTTTCTGATATCACTGAGAACAAATAATATAACTTTATTAAAACGGTTATATTTATCCTTCCAATCTATTTTACTACGTAAGATCTACTTTAGCAGCTTTAGGACAGCATCTACAAGAACATGTATTTGGTAATACAGGACAAATATTTCCCGTGGTGTAACTTATTGATAATTACCACATTGTGCTGTGCAATTTCTCTGGACAAATTTATACACGTCTTATAAATATATAGGAGCTCAGTTCATTGTGTGCTGTTTTTAATTATCCTAAAAAAAAGTTACTGTGTATTGTTTGTAGTATGTGTAGAAAGTAATGCAAATATAAATTTTTTTTTTCTTTGGAGACAAGAGTCTCGCTCTGTCGCCCAGGCTGGAGTGCAGTGGCACAATCTTAGCTCACTGCAACCTCCGCCTCCCAGGTCCAAGCAATTCTTCTGCCTTAGCCTTTCGAGGAGCTTGGATTACAGGTGCACGCCGCCACGCCCGGCTAATTTTTTGTATTTTAGTAGAGACAGGGTTTTACTGTGTTGCCCAGGCTGGTCTCCAACTCCTGAGCTCAGGCAATCCACCCGCCTCGGCCTCCCAAAGTGCTGGGATTACAGGCGTGAGCCACCGTGCCCGGCCGCAAATATAAATTTTAATTAAAACCAAACTAATTTACTTATCTTGTTAGATGAAAAAAATTATAAAGTTTCCTATCTTCTGTCTGCACACGTAATTGCAATATGAATGTGACATAATTTACATAAATTATATAACCCCTATACTCACTGACACCTAACTATTAAATATAAAGCCAGACACTGATTTGGCTTACCTCTGTGTCTCCAAATTACTGAGGCAAATACAAAAAAAGCCCAAGAAATAAAGTTACTCTTAAAATAGCTCAGTGAGCTTGTAAACTTCAGTCACATTTCCAATTTCTTTAATCATGCTAAGAAAAAAGATTTTTGTTTTTTATTCTCATTCAATGATGTCCAATTATATACCACTAGCTACTAAAATTATAGAATTTCTAATGTTTTATATTTTATGTTAAATTGTTTTATATCTTAGCCATTTTTAAGTGTACAGTTCAGTGATATTAAGTCAAGTGATATCCTTCAAAAATTTAAAGTAGCATCCAAATAAAAGATTATCTGGTGTTAATTGTTTGGTGATCTTAATGTACAGGGTATGAACTAAAGTCACCACAAACCTTTTTCTGGGAAACTGGCAGATTATAAACATAAAAACATTAATTTTTTTCTCTGTAGTAGTCTTCATGGTTTTACTGTTTCAAAATTCAAAGTTACTTACAAGAAAAGGTCACTTTCACATTAGATTTGGCTTAACTTATTCCACTGTCACTCATTCTTATCAGTAAAAAAAGGCTACTTATGACTAAAGATAATGTGTTCTACAAAAGTTAAAGACTCTTTAAAAAAAAAAAGAAAATATCAGTAGAACTAGATTATACCAAATTTATGTATTCAGGAGAATGTAAAATTTATGCCATTAGCTGATAAACAGTTTATAAAGTCTTTTTTCATTATTCTTGGTCACAAAATTATAGACAATTTCAAAATTCTAGACTATTATTTGGCAGATTAAATAAACCATAAATAGCAAACATTTAGGGAATGTTTGTCTAAAATGTTCCATCTCTGGGTAATAAACTTACCTGCAGTATTGTTTTATAAGGATTACATATATTTTAAGGTTATTTCATCATTGAAAGAAGCAAGGTGCTACCTAATTCAACAACTTTGGGTAAGAATTTGCAAGGAAGGAGGAGGAAACAAGGGAAAAAAAATGGAACTGGGAAGAAATTTTGTTTTCTATCGTATGAAAGGATAATTCTTCATTAACAACAAAATCATACAAAAGCACTGCTAAAACTGTCATCAAAGTGCATCCCAAATTTCAATTGCAAAGTATCAAAAGTAATCATGAATCAGAAAACATATCCAAAATGATGAATATTGTATGAAAAACAAATAAGGGTAATTTTTTAAATGGAAGCACTAGCATCCCTTTCCTAATGATTCATTTACTATTTCTACATTCCATAAATTCTCATAATCTTATCAGAACAATTACAGACCTCATAATATGCACGGAGTCAATATTGGTTGTTACTGTCAATATCATACAATGAGAAGAGATTTTAATTTTAACACACTAGAACACTAGTAGCATTAAAAAGCCAAGACAGAAAAGGTTACCAATTCTAATAGTAGCTTTTCCTTTGTGACCACTTCCTAGAATTATAGTTCTCCTTTTCTGTTTAGCAGTTTTGGATGGTTCCTTCACTGATGGAGAAGTTATCCACTGGTACTAAAAGAGACAGAATAAACACTATATTTCAGTTACAGATCATTTATGAGGGCTACATCTTAAATGGAAATTGTTAAGATACTCTATGTTAATAAAAGGTTTGCAATCAGCAGTTCTGGGACCCAAAATTAAAGAATCATACGGTATTTACAAAAACAGAAAAGACATTTGATTTGACTGTAAATTTAAGATGGCAGAAAAGTGCCTTAATAGTTTCATTTTATTAAAAACAGACGAAAAGCTGGGCACAACGATATATACCTACAGTCCTAGCTACCTAGGAAGCTGGGAAGGGGGAAGATCACTGGAGCTCAGAAGTTTGAGGCCAGGCTGGGCAGTACAGTGAGATCCCAGAAGAAAAGCAATTAAATAAGAATTCTTTCTGGAGAAATAAAACATGATATACCTCTGATTTGGCACTCCTTCCATTCTGGAGGACTTTTTTGATAACTGCTTTCATCATAGAATGATCTAAAGTAAAATAAAAATTGAAATTATAGTAATTATTTCCCAATGAGTGGCTATTCCCATTTAAAAACAAAAGCCAACCAATTATTGCTTTTTCCCATGAAATTGAATATGAATTCCACATAATGTAATTAAATACCTTTTCCCCCTTTGAGTATTCTAACTTCTTCCTCAAAAACAAAGTATTCCTACACACATATTGTCCCTGATGGCTACTATTTTGGCAGCAGCAAAGATCAAATGTAAACACTTTGGAACTAAAGTAGCTTTAGATACCTCTAAATAGGAAATCAAAAGCCTAAACACTGTCCAGATACTTAGATGCTTAAAAGGCACCTAATATACCCAAATCAAAGTCATGATGCGCCCCCAAAGCTGCTCTTCTCCACAGCCTCCTTTTCTCTATAAACAGTACCACCCAGTTGTATGCAAAATCACCTAGGACTTTTTAAAAAAATTACTATTTCCTTTATACCCCACAAGTCTTGTTAGCTACACCTTGTTTCAACCACTTTTTACCACCTCCAACCTTCCACCCTAAGTGAAGCCATAGCCATCTCTAACTTGAACCAGTGTGAGTCTCCTAACTGGCCTCCCTCTTTCCCTTTTATAGCCCCCTACAAGTGTATTCTCCACACCAAGTCATCTGATTGAATTACTACTTGGAATATAACCCTTACCAGCTCAAAATCCTCCCATGGTTTTCAGCTCATTTAGAATTATCTAAGTCCTTACCGTGACCTTCAAACCTTACAAGATCAGGCCCCTGGCTAGTTGTCTGACTTTGTAGCATACCAGTCTCTTCATCACTCAGTGCCCCAACCATATTGGCCTTCTTGCTTTTCCTTAAATACTCCATCCACCCTGCCACCTATGTAACTACATATTCATTGCTTCCTCATCCTGGAAGGTACTTTATCTGCATCTTCCACGGCTTGTTCCCCTCCTAATCAGGTCTCTGTTCAAATGTCCCTTTTTCAGTGAAGCTGTCCCCTAAAAAACCTATCTAATATAGTCCCACCTGCCCCCATCTGTCTTCTTACCTTACGGTATTTTTGCACTTCCTACTATCTAAATTACATTACGTATAACTCCCCAACTAGAATGTAAGCTCTATGAGACCAAGAATTTGTCTAGCTGGTTTACTGCTGTATGTTTAGTGCTTAAACCAGTATCTAGCAGATAGAAGTATTCAAAAATTACTTGTCAAATCAACAAATGAATGAAATACTATTTCCAAGAATTCAGAAGTTCCACAAGAAGAAAATAATGCACTTGGTGGAAGCAGATTTATTATCTAGGTTCACTCCTATTCAGAGTAGCAGCCAAGAGCAATTTAAGTACAACTCTTTTCATCAGTAAATTATCTACTAAAAACATAAGAAAGTGCAAGATTACAAAAGTGTAAGATTAGGGAAGGAAACACATTAAGTTTTCAAAACTGTCAATACATGAGAAATTCTTTTTCTTTTGCTATTTGTTAGTCAATAAAAAATATTGTAGCGACATACCAATGAGTGGATTTTTTCTTATATCCAGAACGACCAGAGTTGTATTGGTTTCAAGGGCCTCTAGCAAAGCCTTTGCTCCTTCATTGGTGAGGCCGCACTGTTGCAGGTCAAGAGCTTTCGATGAAAGACAAAGGGTCACTTGCTAATTCTATACAGATTTTTTGTTTGTTTGTTTGTTTTTTTGAGACGGAGTCTCACTCTGTCACCCAGGCTGGAGTGCAGTGGCACTATCTCCGCTCACTGCAAGCTCTGCCTCCCAGGTTCACGCCATTCTCCTGCCTCAGCCACCTGAGTAGCTGGGACTACAGGCGCCCGCCACCACGCATGGCTAATTTTTTTGTATTTTTAGTAGAGACAGGGTTTCACCGTGTTAGCCAGGATGGTCTGGATCTCCTGACCTTGTGATCTGCCCACCTCGGCCTCCCAAAGTGCTGGGATTACAGGCGTGAGCCACCTCGCCCGGCCAATTCTATACAGATTTAACATACAGACAACTCCCACTTATTCATGCCTGGAAGACTCCTGCCCAAGACTACTCATGGCCAGTTTTTAATCTTGGGTATTGAAAAAATAAAAATAGAAAACCATATGCACACACATAATACAAAAAAGAAACCCTCTTCATAGATGTGTCATGATTACCCTCCCTTTAGTACCAATAAATTACCCAACATATTTTACAATTACAGAGTTGAAAAATAACTCTACATAAAACATCACAGAATGAATATTTGTTCATAATTAACAAGGATGCTAGTGGCAGTGTAAACATCACAGGCAAAAACTGGGTGGAGCTCAGAAATTGCACTAGATTCATCATCAAATTCAAATTCAAATTCCAAGTGACTCTCAAAAAATTACATTAAAAAAGTGAAAAGAAAATACAAAAATGTAAACTGTTAGTTTTAGAATAAAAATGACAAAGAAAGAACTCTAAGGAGATAGAAATAATGAATCCAAAGAATGTGTGAATAGAGATTATAGAGATTATATACTAAAAACCTATCATGAAAAAATAATGGTCAAGAACTCTCTCTCAAGTAAAAGGTCAAAGAACTAAACAAATGCTCATGAATACTAGTAATACTGAGGCTGAACAATCTACTCATTTCAACTCAAAAGGATTATCACAAAAGTACAGGCATAAAAAAAGATTACATCAGAGCAAAAGCACGTGTATACCATTACATTAAAATAACTGAAGTCTTTCAGAATCTCATTTTATGGACTACATGTCTGTATTCCCCAAAAATGTATATTGAAACCCTAATCCACAACAGGGTAGTAGTATTAGGAATTGGGGCCTTTGAGAGGTAATTAGGTTTAGTTGAGGTCTTGAGAGTGGAGCCATCATGGGATTAGTGTCCTTACAAGAAAAAAAAGAGACTAGAGTTCTCTCTCGCCACCATTTAAGGATATAAAAGCCTTCCATAAGCTAGGGAGAATGCCCTCACCTGACACCTATCTACTGGCATCTGGATCTTGGGCTTCTCGGACTCCAGAACTGTGAGAAATGAATGTCTTCTCTTTAAGCCACCCAGAATATAATTCTGTTATATGCTTCTATAATGGAGTTATATAATATATACTATATATAATATAGAATATTCTATGAAGCCCTAACTGACTAAGACACCACAAGACACACAGAAATAAGTCAGATATATGGATCTGATAGAATATGGTAAAACCTTTACAAACTCTTGCTGCAGAAGAATGAGCATAGGATGTAATTATCCACCTAGCCAAATTAATAAAAATAGCCAGTAAATCTCACTAGTAAATCAAATGAATATAAACTAAAACAATTAAATGTGATTATGCTTCTATCAGATTGGCGAAGGTCACATTTTAAAAAAACCTTTAAAATGTGCAGACTCTGTTAACACAGCAACTCTCCTTCTAAGAATTTACCAGAAGGAAATTATAAGAGACACGGGCAACAACACGTATCAAAGTACTGTTTATAACAATGAAAAACTGGAAATAGCTTATATATCTAATAGGAACGGATAAGCCAAGTGTACTATTGCATATTAACATAATGGAACCCTGAAGAGTCACTAAAAATGACATGGTAAATGTAAACTTACTGATTTAAGATATGCTAGACTGAGTGAAAAAAGCTGTAAAATTCAGAGACCAATCCCATTTGCATCAAAAAAGAAAAAGCAGGGGAGTTCTCATTTTTGTAAAGTTTAAGGTTTTAAAATAGACACAATCCAGCATTTATGAGACTATAATATGGCACAGCATTTCTGAAAGGCAATTTGGTGACATGCATCAAAAGTCTTTAAGAAATACATTATACTGAGTTACTCAACTTTAGTAATTTATCCTACAGGAGTAACTTCAGGCTGGGCACAGTGGCTCATGCCTGGAATCCCAGCACTTTGGGAGGCCAAGGCAAGAGAACTGTTTGGGCCCAGGAGTTTGAAACTAGCCTGGGCAACACAGCAAGACCCTGTCTCCACAAAAATTAGCCTGGCATGGTGGTGTGCACCTGTAGTGCCAGCTACTCGGAGGGTATAGTGGGAGGATACTTGAGCCAGGAGTTTAAGGCTACAGCGCGGTATGATTACACCATTGCACTCCAGCCTGGGCAACAGAGAAAGACCCTGTCTCAAAAAAAAAAAAAAAAAAAAAAAGTAACTTCAATGGACACAGAGATGTATACATAAGGAGTTTACTACAGAGTTGTTTATAACAGGGGAAAAGCACAAACTGCCTAAATATCAAATAGTAGGGAATTAAACTATTATGCCTCAATATAATAGAGTACTACATGATACATCATTAAATAAAAAAAGCAGGGTTACAAAATGGTAAGTGCACTATAGTTCTGTTCTTGTAACTCTAAGCACACAAATGTATCTGCAGGAAAAAACAATACTGAAAGTGTATACACCAAAATGAACAGTTTATCTCTAGGCATTGAGATTATATGTACTTTTTTTTTTTTTGTTACTTGGTATTTTCTATAAAGAATATATATAACTTTTATAAAGGCTTAAAAACAAAATAAAACCTATTAGAAAAAAGAGGCTTTTTAAAAAACCTTCGGACAACATTACTGTGCCAAGAGTTAAGCATATTTAATATCAAAAAATTCAATATTTTCCACCTTACAAGTTCATTTAACTTACCTCTCAGCCATAAATCCTCACTGAGAGAGTCTGCAAAAGCACATGCACCTAGGTCACCAATAAGTGTGTTGCAATTCAGTGTGATACGTCTTAAGCCAGCCATACAGTCAAGATCAGGTCTCCTATAGCGAAGACTCTCAGCCCAGGTTTCTTCATGCCTTCTCATGGTCTGATACTTCAAAGATTTAATAAGATGAAATTAATACACTTGGATAAAGAGATAGGAACACTAAAAGGAACTAAGTACAGCTGATTACATCAGAGCTTTACACACACACCAGGTACATATGCCAGGTGGGTTAATCTGACAGACTGATTAAATAGTAGATTTTGAGTAAGGAGTCCAGTGACCCAGATACTAGTCTGTCACTGACTAGCTATGTGACCCTAACCACTAATGACCTGTTACTGATTGCTTTATGTAAACTGACAACTTAGTTAACTTCTAAGAATTTTATTTTCTTTATATGCCAAGTGAAGGTACTGGTTCTAAATTCTATCATTGCTGAGCCTCTAAATCATATCATTCTGTCCTCCAGTGGTCTCTAAACACTTGACTGGACATCCCACAAGTAAACATTTAACATGTAAGTTATTTATTAATAAACTATATACAGGAATTTCTATATACATATTTTATGTATATTACAAATCAAACAGAAACAATAGGTATTTTTTAAATGATACAAAAATATAGAGGTTAATATTTTCTTCTCCTAACCCAAGGGATCTCACATATTTCTTAGGGTATGCACACCAAATTTAGAGGCCTAGAATATACAAAGCAAGGTTGATATGCCTTCGGAAATTGGTGGTTTGAGTTTTAACCACAGGTATTATCTTACAGACATAATCACTTCTCTTTATCCATAAAGTAAATTTCGGTAACAGGAAACACTGATTTTAAGAGAAAAAAAAATCTCATTACATTCTGAAACAAAAGATTCAAAGCTCCTATGACTCCGTCAAATGAAAACTGTCAGTGTCATTTGCTATTCATAATAACTGTATAAAAGCAATAAGAGGAAATAACAGCAAACACTTAGATAGCCAGGCACTATTTTATACACATTAGTTCATTAAATCCTAACAATGACAGACACAGTAGGTTTTCTTATTATACACATTTTATGGATAAGAAAACTGAGGAACAGAGCGGTTAACTAATTTGCCCATGGTCACAAGTTATTAAATGGGAGAGAGCTCGGGTTTTAGCCTAGGCCATCTGGCTTCAGAATCCACATGAGTAACCATTATCTATCCCACGGAGAGTGGGCTTACGCTGTAAAGGCCCCAAAATAAACATTTTCAGCTTTGTGGGTCATATAGTTTCTTTTGCAACTACTCAACTCTCCTAGTGTAGGGTGTAGCAATAGTTAATATGTAAACAAATGGGCATGACTATGTTTCAAAACTTTATTTACAAAAATAGGTGATAGGCTAGATTTGGTCCACAGGCCATAGTTTGACTACCCCGATCTACACCATCAAATTACTAAAAAGGCTTCATGTCACATTATTATGTAATTTTATCCTAAATACAGTAGTAATAACCACTATAAAGTTGTTAAGGCACCTTTAAAATTACTGTTTTACAAACTGTATTTACAGAAAAATCTAATTATTATATTTTAGGTCTTCTATTTCTAAGATTAAGCATACTACCTTTAATAAATGGTAGAACCCCAGGCTGAAAATTGGTCACATTCTTTAAACAAAACTAAAACTGCAATGCCCATATGTATCAAAAGACAAAAATAACTGCTGTCTTGTATCAAAATATTAACGTGTGGCAATCATATAACACATTTTCATGAAAGTTGGAACATAAAGTTACCTTTAAGATCTTGGCCATGTGATCTGCTCCCTGCCATGTCAGATTACATCCTGTGAAGTTGACTGTCTTAAGAGTGATAGAGCTCTTTATACCTTGACAAATAACTAAAATGGAAAAAAAAACCACATACAATAAGATGAAGAGCATATACAACCTAGTCAGTCTTGATTTATTTGCTCTTCTTATATCTTTTCTATTTTATAGTTGTATTCTTAAAATCACTATTTACAATCTACCTAAGCAACTGATTGGTACATTCTAAAATAAGTCAGTAACAAAGAGTTACTCCAGTTTATTGCAATAGTTCAATTCTATTTAGATGCCAAAATTGAATAGACTGAATATTGCAACCTTACTCCAGACCACAGTAAAGTTCTATATACTTTTTGAGACATCTGAAAGAAAAACATAAAAAAAATAAAACTCTTCCTATTTTCATTTCCAAGAGCAGACCTCAATCTGTTATTAACCAACAATTCAGTGTCAACTATAAACCCAGAATTTTATTAGGTGTTATACTAGAGCACCTAATGTACTAGAACAATAGAAGACAGAGGCCTTTTAACTCTCTGCTCCCTCAAATTGAAATGCAGGTTTCCTTACCCCTCCAGACCACTATTTCACACAACGAACACAAGACTTCAGGATCCCAACGAACAGTCACCTTCTGTGACTATTTCCATGATCCCAACCCTTTCCCCCCAAGTCTGTCAGCCTTTTATATGCTCCTATACAGCACTTTGCTTATATTTCCTATTTTGGAACATACCACAGTGCATTAAAATTGATTGTATATATGTTTTAATTATTTAAAGTAATGATGATTTTTTTTTTTTTGAGACGGAGTCTTGCTCTATCGCCCAGGCTAGAGTGCAGTGGTGTGATCTTGGCTCACTGCAACCTCTGCCTCCCAGGTTCACACCATTCTCCTGCCTCAGCCTCCTGAGTGGCTGGGACTATAGGCACCCGCCACCATGCCTGGTGAGTTTTTTTGTATTTTTTTAGTAGAGATGGGGTTTCACCATGTTAGCCAGGACAGTCTCAATCTCCTGACCTCATGATCCGCCCACGTCGGCCTCCCAAATTGCTGGGATCACAGGCGTGAGCCACCACGCCCGGCCTCTTTACATTTTGCTATTTCCTTCCCATAAATATTTCTTGAAGAAAAACTCTAAAAGATGAACAAACACAAAAAACAGAGAATACCAGATGGTATATATTTGTGTGGTCTGTGGTTTAACACAAACTTAAGTAAAGTTAGTTCAGATTACATTCAGCATGCCAAGCTTTCATGGTAGACTTGAGACTGGACCAAGGTTTGAACAAGCATATGAGGCAGTAGTAAGAAAAAAGGTACAGACAGGAATTAACATGGCATGTAGGGAAACATGAAACCAGCCTGATAGGACAAGAGTTAAATGAGATTTAAACTCACTTTCTAAACCTCCATCTCCAATTGGACAATTTGCAAGAGACAGGTGCACCAAAGAAGCCGATTTATTCAATCCCTTTAATGAGGGGGAAAAGTTAAAAATGTTATTGAGGTTTTTTTTCCTCTAAAAGCAACTATCAAATGTCTACAAGCCAAATGAGACAAAGCTTACCTTTGCTAGAATAGTTAAATCCCTCTCTCTCAGAATTAGTCCATTTAGCTCCAGGTTCTTTAGCACACTTGATATACTTAAACAGCCTTTAAGAGCTTTACACAACTGGAAGGTCACATCTTTGTATCTTATCGCAGGAACACGACTTCTGCAAAATTTATTCATGTCAGAACCTAAAACAAAGATAAAAGAAAGTTAGTGACTTCAATCATACAATGTATCATTCAAAAACATCTGCTCTGTGCTAAGACATAGAAATGAGCCATGTCCTTTAAAGTCCTCTTAAGCACAGACACATGTAAACTCAAGCCACATGGGATATACCAAACTATGTACATAGAGGTTCTTATGGAAGCAAAGAAGTTGCACTGAAAGGATGGCTTCAAGATAATCCTGAAGCTGAATCTAGAAAGATGAGAATGACAACATGGGGTGAGAGTGGGTGATGCATTAACCAGAGGGAGCAGCGAGAGCAAAGGCATCTAAGCCTGACACCTGCCGGGCACTGGAAAACTGCAGGTGGATCCGACTAAAGCCCAGAGCCGTAGCCGGAAGAGTCAGAAATTTACAAAGAGGCAGGGAGAAGCAAGCCTAGGAGAGTTCACTTTTACCTCACAGGTGATGAGGATCAGGGCTACCACTGACACATTAAGGATACCCCTAGCAGGTTAGAAAAATGTGCCTCACTGTTGGAGTATCAAAGAGATAAAGGAAATGAGAAAAAGCTCCCCTTCCTCAAGACCAACTAACCCCAGGAGGCTTAACAGAACACAGCTGAGATTTCAGTGCCTCTGTGCAGAACACAAGCAACCAATACACACTGGTCCTGCGTGGGCATGCCACTTTAAGCATGTCTTTTCCTTTTTGAAAGATCACTTGAACCAAAGTAGGCAGATGAACTGAGAAAAACCAAGCTCAACGGCAGCAAAACTAGCTAGGAGCGTCTGCAATAGTCCAGGCAAAATGTAATTAAGGATGGACAAGCAATATGTAGGAGGTTAAAATCTACAACCTAGACCCACTAGATGCAAGAGATAAAGAAGGTTCAGTGAAGAATATCTGACGAGAATGGTCTGTAATACATTTTTCTTACATTCAGTGCAAAATATTAGGCAAGATCTAGTAGGCTAGCCTTGACTCTGAGGTCCCTCCCATCTTTAATTTATTTTGGTTCCTGGTTTTTTTATTTTTTGTAGGGGGAGGGTCATGGACAGGGTCTTGCTCTGTCACCCAGGCTGGAGTACAGTGGCAAAATCATGGCTCACTGCAGCCTCAACCTCCCGGGCTCAAGAGATCCACCAAGCCCAGCTAATATTTTTTACTTTTTGTAGAGACAGGAGTCTCACTATGTTGCCCAGGCCAGTCACAAACTCCTGGCCTCCCAAAGTGTTAGGATTACCAGTGTGAGCCACCGCACCTGGCCTGGTTCCTGATATTATTTTGGTTAACTAAAGTCCATTCAGAGGTACAGAACAGTTCCTGCACCTGAATGAGATGTAGAGAATAATCTGACTTATTTTCAGAAGCAGATGTGTTGAACTGTCCTTGCAGAAGAGATGGTGCTAACCCCAGAGCCTAGAAAAGGGCCGGGCACACGACAAGTGGTCAGGTTGTTTTTAAATACATCAATAATCATTTCCTCTCCCAGATCGCACACCCTCCCTCTTTCTCTCAGCTTATAAACATGTTCACGTCCATATCCACTTAAAAAACACCTTTCAGACCTACAATTATCTGGATCTTCTTTGTGGGTAATCTAGGTCCCTCCCATGCCTTCAAATACCTGTCCTCCCACAAAGCCTAAATCTTGGGCCCAGATCTGCCTAGCAGACACATTTGGATGCCCCACAGGCCCCTCTTAAAACATTAAAGACAAACTGAGATCCTCCTCCCACCCCCAATCTCATTCGAGTTAACTCGGCTGTGTCATGGAAAGACGCTGCTGTGTTTCACTTACAGACGCTGCTGTAAACTGTCACCCATACTTGCTGCCCCCCTCTTCTAACTAGTCACCACGCCCATCCATTCTCTTAGATATCTGAAATCCTACCCTTCTTTTTTTTTTTTTTTGAGACAGAGTTTTGCTCTTGTTGCCCAGGCTGGAGTGCAACGGTGCAATCTCAGCTCACTGCGACCTCCACCTTCTGGGTTCAAGCAACTCTCGTGCCTCAGCCTCCCAAGTAGCTGGGATTACAGGTGCCCGCCACCACGCCCGGCTAATTTTTTTTTTTTTTTTTTTTGTATTTTTAGTACAGATGGGGTTTCACCATGTTGGTGAGCCTGGTCTCGAACTCCTGACCTCAGGTGATCCACACCCCCCCGCCTTGGCCTCCCAAAGTGCTGGGATTACAGGCATAAGCCACGGTGCCCGGCCCCAGCCCTTCTTTTCTATACCTTAGTTTGGGCCATTAGATTACAATTCACCATCCTTCCAATTTTAATTTGTCTTCCATATGGAGGCTAGACTGAGCTCCTACGGAAATTCCATCTCATCATCCTACAGCGGTTTCCCAAAACCTTCAGGATAAACATCCAACTCTATGACAGGACAAACGAGGACCCTCCCTGTTTGGCCCCCACAAGGTTTCCAGCCTCAACTCTCTCTGCTCTTTCTCAAACCTAAATTCCAGTCCTGTAACTCAGCTTGCATACTCTCTCCTATTTCCAAAACTTTTGCACAAACTGTTCCTTCCTGTTACCTAGCTAGCGTCTATAGGAAGCTGCCTCCATTATGTAGAAAATGCTAAGTGCTCAAAGGAATAACAGCATTTTGTCATATATCATAGTTGACCTAACATATTTTCCGAATAATCAGAGAGTCTGGATCCCTAATTATACCACTATACATTTACAAATGGCTTGTATTTGTAAAGCACTTTACAAACTTCTTATATACACCTTAAAAAATGAAGACAGGCCGGGCGCGGTGGCTCATGCCTGTAATCCCAGCACTTTGGAAGGCCGAAGCGGGCGGATCACCTGAGGTCAGGAGTTCGAGACCAGCCTGGCTAACATGGTGAAACCCCATCTCTACTAAAAATACAAAAATTAGCCGGGCATGGTGGCGCGCGCCTGTAATCCCAGCTACTCGGGAGGTTGAGGCAGGAGAATCACTTGAACCCGGGAGGCGGAGGTTGCAGTGAGCCGAGATCTTGCCACTGCATTCCAGCCTGGGCGACAGAGTGAAACAGTGTCTCAAAAAAAAAAAAAAAAAAAAAAAAAAAAAGACAAAGGCTGACATGTATTAATTTCCTACCTGCTTAGTTCTCTATCAGGCAAATCAAAGTCATTCAATAAAATAGGTAACATCTGTCAAATGTTTAATGATGTCCCAAACTGTGCTAAGAGCTCTGCAGGCATCAGCAGCGCAGGGAATCCTTGCGAAGGCGCACATAACCTGGGTCTCGTTATTAAGCCCATGTTACGGATGAGCACACTGAAGCCCTAGAGACCTTAAGCCACTCACCTAGCTCGTGAGTGTCCAGGCCGCACACCCCTTCTATTGCACACATACCCCGACAATGGACACCACTCACCTAAAAACCCACTTCGCCGCACCGACTGAGGGGCCCTGGAGGCGGGAACTACAAACCTGTGTCCCCCAGCCAGGGCTGGAAGAAGCTCTTGATGGAGACCAAGGGCAGGTCTTTATTGATCTTGAGGGTGCTCAGCAGAGGCGCCCAGTCCACCCCGCGGAGGCGGTCGGCGTTGAAATCCAGCACGCCCTCCCGGAGACAGGCGCGCACGGCGGGCAGCGGCACCGAGTTCTGCAGCGCGCACAGGTACTCGTAGTGGGAGAAGAAGTCCGCCGCGCTGTCGCGGCGCAGCTTCACGGAGTCGATCATGGCCCGAGGGCGGCCTCGGGGGATGCCCGCCGCGGAGACGCCGCCCGCGCCCACCCAAGAACGCTGAGTCGCAACCCGGCCGCTCCGGCACCCACGGCCAGGCGATAGCGGCAGCCCCGCACCGGGCTCAGGAGCGGTGATTCGGTCGGAAGACGCAAGGCCAGAGCCCCAAGCTAGGCCGGCCCCTCAACGCCCCACTCCCGCGCTGCCTCCCGCCCTGCGGCCCAAGCAGTTGGCGCCCGCCTCATAGTCCTCTGAGGCGCCGGGATTCAAGCCGGTGGGCGGTGCCGTGGAACGGTGCGCCAAGACGTCAACGTGCTCGCTGTGCGTCGGCACGCAGGTCCCGCCTCCTGAGGACGGGTGAGTTCGCTGCTACCTGAGATAGTGGTCGGGAGAGTTTGAGGGTTTGCGAAAGAGTTTACTGATCGATCCGAATAAAAGTGAAATGTGTGGTCGGGCGCGGTGGCCCACGCCTGTAATCCCAGCACTGTGTGAGGCGGGGGCGAGCGGATCACCTGGGGTCAGGAGTTCGAGACCAGCCTGGCCAACATGGCGAAACCCCGTCTCAATTAAAAATACAAACATTAGCCGGGCATGGTGGCGGGCGCCTGTAATCCCAGCTACTCGCCTGTAATCCCAGCTGAGGAAGGAAAATCGCTAGAACCCGGGAGGCGGAGGCTGCAGTGAGCCGAGATCTTGCCATTGCACTCCAGCCTGGGCGACAAGAGCGAAACTCCGTCTCAAAAAAAGAAAGAAAATAAAAAGTGAAATGTGGATGTAACAACGCACTTTTAAAAAAAGTCTAAACATCTGAGGAATGTGTCTGTGCTTGCAGTGTCCAGCCAGCACAGAGACTGCACTCAAGGGATGTGGGAACGGCTGATTGAACGTGAACTGCGGTCATTAAATCTTTTATGTCTGTGTTAATATCTACAAATAAGCCTTAATTTCTGTAGTTTCTGCATATCTCACACGGTTCCTGGCAAATTGAAGAGTGTTTCATGAATTCAGGACTTTATTGTGTTTGCTGTGAATCAGTTTGTTTTGTACTGACGATGATGTTGGCTAACTCCCTTGTAACTAGTACTTATTTGAAATAATGTCCTCGGGATTATTTTAAGCAATGTTTAAGTATGAAATCATTTCATTCTCCTAACATCTCAAGGAATATACTATTATATTCTACTTTACAAAAGGGGAAACTGAGGAACGGGGAAGTTAAGTGGAAGCTAAGTGGAAGAATCCAGATAATTGACCTCTCCTTCTATTGGTATGCAATTGCTAGAGCAATGATAGTCCTCCGGTAGAGCCTTAGACATTGTGTTTATTGCATTCCTGTTCCACCCACTGCATTCCGGATACTCCAACTTACTTCCAACACACATATGCAGGCGTCTCTAAAATTCCGGAGATATGGTCACCAATTATTTTTATGTGCGACATGCTCAAATCTTAATATAGTAAACGCTTGTATATTCATAAACCAGCTTAATAAATGAAACATTACCATTCCTGTTGAAGAGCTTTGTGTAACCACCTTCCCAATCACGACTACTCTCTGACTCTGAGATAACTGCTCTTCTGAACTTGGTATTCATCGTTGCAATGTATGTCTTTATATTTCTGCTACATATGTAAGTAAGCAGTATATAACATTCTATATTTTCTTTTCCTACTTTACTTATCGTTACCTTTACTAGGTCCATCCGTGTTGACATATAGAGATATTCATTTATTTTCCCTGTTGTTATATGGGAGTTCCATGTAGAAACATACAGTAATGTGTCTGTTTTTCTGTTGATGGTAATTTAAATTGTTTCCAACTTTACGATTTCTTTGTTGCTCTATCCATTTTCTTTCTAGTCTCCAGCATCAATTAATGTAGTGTCCATTACCTTTTTAAAGCTCCCTCCTCCCTGTTTCCCATGAAGCCACCTGATTTCTTTTTCTTTACCTCTCGAATTTCTTCTTCTCAGTCTCATTCTTTGGCTTCTCTTGCATATCCACTCTAAATATTGCTGTTCGTCAGGTTTCTACCCTCAGCTTTCACCCCTTCTGACATTTTACAGTTTCTCTGGGTGTTCTTGTCTTCTGCTCAGCCTTAACTTCCCCACTCTAGGCAGATTACTTCTAACACAGATAGATCTCTTCATCCATTAAATTGCCCCCTAGAAAGCCAAGATTTCTCACTGCCCTCAGTGTCAGATCTATGTCACGTAGCTTGACATACAAGCTCCTTCATAATTTGACTATCTCTGTTGTCTCTCTCCTTGCTACATTCTTCCTGGCATGTCTTCTCTAGATACACAGAACTGCTTGAACTTTCTGATGTCCTATTGTTGCTGTCTGGGTCTTTTCATAGGCTGCTCCTTTATTTAGTCGGCTAACTTCCATTCTTTTCCCAGCCTTGGTTTGGGGCACCTTCCCTAGAAAGCCTGTTTCTCTCTAACCCTCATCTCTCCTCCCTTGCTTGTTTAGCACCTCACTGCTGTGCTCCCTGACATCCCTGTAGCATAACACTTAGAACATCCAATGATAAACATCTTTTTAGATGGTTTTCCTTCCAGAGTCTGAAAGCCCTTTGAAGGCAAGAACCATGTCTCATTCATGCTTACATTCCCTATGCCTAGCACAGTGTTAGCACAGAGAAAGTGCTAACTAATGACTAATTGTAGGAACATTCTTCCCTATTATCCCCGCAAGCTATTGCCAGCACCCTGTAGCCACTGCCTATGAATGCAGCTCAGAGAAGTCTTCCTCATATTAATAATCATTTAACATATTCATTTAAAATTTATGTTTCCTGTGCTTACTTATTTTTAGTGTGGCAAGATTTCTTTCAAGGCTTGCCTGATAATCTCTTCTCTGCTTCAGTTAAATTATGACTTAATAGTTGCTTCAAAAAAAGAATGGCTCCAGTTCTCCTTTCAGCATCTGGTGGGTTCACCCACACACTTCCCTGAACACTGAATGAAAACTGTCTCTCTGTGGCACCTCTGGGATCCTCTGACAAACCAGGCTCACACCTGGCCCAAGACAAAATGCCTTGGCTTCATTGCAGGTGCATGACTTGGGAGGGACGTTCTACTGGGTGGTATAAGAGATGAGCTCTCCTCCTTCAGGGGATCTGGTGAGTGAGTGTTTGAGTAGAATACAGGTAAATGGTATCATTTAAGCACTTGTTCACTGTACTCTACTCCCAGTCAATCCAGACTGTTATACCCCGACTTCCTAGCCCACTTACCTTTCCATAGAACCACAATGCCATATCATCTGCTTATCTCTAACATTCATCCTCTCTGTACTTGCTTCCAGAGCAGTGAGGTTTGATGGATCCAGGCACAGAGCAATGTCAACCTGGCCAACAACATAAGCTGTCTTATGTTAACGGATGTGTGGTCCCCATTTCTTTTTCCCATTACCTTCCTTGTGGCTACTCACAGTGGTTGTTCCAATTCCTTCTCCTTCTTTCTTTTCATGTTGCTGCTTGATATGGTTTGGCTGTGTCCCCACACTTTACCTAGAATTGTAATAATCCCCACATGTCAAGGGCAGAGCCAGGTGGAAATAATTGAATCATGGGGGTGGTTCCCCCCATACTGTTCTTGTGAAAGTGAATAAGTCTCACGAGACCTGATGGTTTTATAAATCGGAGTTCCCCTGCTCAAGCTCTCTTGCCTGCCGCATGTAAGACGTGCCTTTGCTTCTCCTTTGCCGTCTGCCATGATTGTGAGGCCTCCCCAGCCATGTGGAACTGTGAGTCCATTAAACCTCTTTCCTTTATAAATTATCTAGTCTCAAGTATGTCTTTATTAGCAGCATGAGAACAGACTAATACACCATAACACTTCATTCTACATCCCTGAACAGGACACCTCTTACTTCATCAGGGAAAACAGTTCCAAATGTAAACTTTCTTGTCTTCTTTCTTCTGACTTCAGCTGCCTTCCAATCCATGCTCCACACTGCAGCCGCCACCACCTCCTCTGCAAATCCTTCTATGACTTCCCTTTGCTCTCGGGATAAAGACAAACTTCACAATGGTCTCAAATAGTGCTCCACTCAATGTGGAGTCCACAGACTAGCTATTGATTTTAGAACTGTTACTGTTCTTATAAGATGAGGAGCTCAATTCAGAATGTAAATCACACATGCACTAAACATACTGCTTAGATTTTTTTCATGAAAAGAGCAGTGTATTGCGTTACATTCTAGAACAAGCTCCTTATCTCATTGTCCAGTGGCACTTTGAGTAGCACTAGTCTCCAGGGTGCTGCATCCTCAGGGCATGATGGAGTATGATCTCTGCAGCTTTGTCTTGTGTCCTAGTCTCTTTCATTCTCAGCAGTCCAGCCTATAGTAGTCTCCTTTCAGGCCTGCACACTTAGAATAAACCACTGTCCATGCTGTCCGCTCTGCATGAGATGTCCTTCCCTTCATTCTGCACCTAATTAGTGCCTCCGCATCTTCTCATCTCAGCTCATGTGTCACTTTGTTGAGGAAGCATTTCCTCCCTCCCTGACTCATCACATCCCCTATCATAAGCTCTCATAATACCACGTAACTCTTGTTGATAGCCTTCATTCTATTTCGCATTCATTTTGAAATAAATGTTTACCATATGGTCCTTGAGGAAGGGATCGTGTCTGTTTTGCTTATTCTGTTGTTTTTGTTTTGTTTTTATTTTTTCCGAGACGGAGTCTTGCTCTGTCACCCAGGCTGGAGTGCAGTGGGGTGATCTCGGCTCACTGCAACCTCTGCCTCCCGGGTTCAAGCAATTCTCCTGTCTCAGCCTCCCGAGTAGCTGGGATTACAGGTGCAAGCCACCACGCTCGGCTGATTTTTGTATTTTTAGTAGAGATGGGGTTTTGCCATGTTGGCCAGGCTGGTCTCGAACTCCTGGCCTCGTGATCTGCCCACCTCAGCCTTGCAAAGTGCTGTGATTACAGGTGTGAGCCACCATGCCTGGCCTGAGCCACCACACCCTGCCACTTATTCTTGCATCCCCAGTAGCTAGCCCAATTCCTGACAATATTTGTTAAATGAATAAATGGATGTATCCAACCAATGACCAAGACTTCACAGTTTATCCTTTGTAGCATCTCTCATACTCTTCTTCCCTTCCTTCTATTTGCATTGCCATTATTCAGTTTTACCATTTATTATTTTACACATGAATTAAAATTATTGCTTCAGAGAATAGCATGTCTTCCTACATTCAGGCTCTCCCTACATCCCTTATTACACCTCCCATGGTTCTTTGCTTATGCCATTCCTTTGTTCCAAACCTTCCGTGACATGCACTGCCAACAGAATGTAGCCCAGATTCTTAAGATTGACATCCAAGACCCTCCATAATCCGACTTTTATTGAACTTTCCAGGCTTTTGTATCTCATGGGTCTAATTATATCTACATCTTTGTTCCCTTCCAGCTTTCTATAATACTATACATTCTTCTGGTTGCTACCCTTATATCTCATTTTCTGAAAAAATTTTACTGTGTATCCAAGCAAGATGTGGTTACCTTCTGTCTTCTGGACTTGCAAATGAGTGAGTGGAACACATCTGAAACTGCCACGAGGCATCTCTGTCTTATTTCCCTCTCTGGACTCTCAACTCTCTGAGAGGTTTGATCTCTGTGTTCTGTGCAGTCCTCAGTATGGTATTATATACAGAGTCAGCCTGATTAGTAAGTATTTCATGAATGAATGAATGAATCTCTGTGAGAAGGTATTCTCTGGCTCTTTCTCTATTTTTTTTACGTAGCAGTTTCTGTAGTTCGGGCTATGTGTGGACAGTGTGCTGCTTCATAGCAACACAATGCCCAAACTCACAGACAGTTGCAAACAGCTAAGAGCATTCCTTCGCCACGTTAGAACAGCTTATTTTCCCTCTCAAGTCGAGAGAGCAAGATCCAGTATTTTTTTTTTAGAAAGATCCAAATTTTTTAAGTGCCTTTGTTCACTTGGCATTTAGAGGCACCGGGTGCACCAAGGCTATACACTCAGTAAATGCCCATTTTAATTATAATTTTAATTTATAATTATAATTATAATTTCCCCTGTGAATAACTTCTATCTACAAAGATATTCCTATACAGTTTTTTTATCCTTTTAGATTTATTTTTTAAAAAAACATTTTATACAAGGAGAAACTGAATAGAAATAATTATTATATTTAACAAGAATTTATGAAGATGTTTTTATGGCACATTACCAAATTTATTTGGAGAATCCTTTAGCGTATGAAATGTTGAGGAGGTGCCAAGAGTTTAAGAATTCTCAAAAGTTTAAGAATTCTCAAAATTTCTAAGTACACAGTTGCTTCACATATAGGCATGGTGCTGACAACCTATGTAATAATGATTTGGAAGATGTATTAGTTAGTCCTTGTTGCAATAATGCTGTGGAACAAACCACCCCAAAATGCAATGACATATAAACAGTAAGAATTTGTTTTTCTTAAATCTGTGGGTTAGCTGTAGTGACTCTGCTTGAGACCCCCAGATAGCTGGGTTTTGCTCCATGCTTTGGGTCTGTCTTAGTTCTGTTCGCACATCTCACTCCAGGGTCTAACTATGGGGCAACAACTCCCAGGGCATGCAGTAGCTGAACCATACTCATTAAACACAAGAGGTGAGCCCAAACATGCAAGCCCATTTAAAGCCTTTGCTGGCATTACATCTGCTCACACTCCATGGGCCAAAACCTGTCACAGATATAATTTGTATTTACAGTATGTGTGGATATTTCAAGTGGCGTGAACTCACAGAAGAATATTGTATCTTGGACAATGTTACCATAACCTTTTCAAACGTATTTGCAAACTTGACAAACTTGGTGTAAGCTTTTTCACTTTTGAAAACGTTTTGAACTTGTGGAAGAATTTCTATGGGGAAAGAGAGAAATATACTTTGGAATTCAACTATTGCTATCACAGTGTTGGGAAATTCACTGACACCAGTTTGTAACTTGAATCTACAGGAAGAAATGAAGAGAGCCAAAAATGACAACAAATGGATTAACCCAACGAACTCCATAAATATTTATTTTTTCCCCTTTCTTTTCTCAGCTTCTTTAAAAGATGTAAGATGATATAAAGTAATAATAATAACAATGTACTGTTGGATATGTAAGATATATAAATGTAATAATGGCAAAAATGGTGGGAGGGCGTCAGGCGTCATGGCTCATGCCTGTAATCTCAGAACTTTGGGAGGCTGAGGCAGGCAGAACACTTGAGCCCAGGAGTTCAAGACCAGCCTAAGCAACATGGGGAGACCCTGTCTTTCCAAAAATACAAAAATTAGCCCAACATGGTGGCGTACACCAGTAGTCTCAGCTACTTGGGAGGTGGGAGGATTGCTTGAGCCTAGGAGGTTGAGGCTGCAGTGAGCCATGATTGTGCCACTGCACTCCAACCTGGGTGACAGAGTGAGATCTTGTCTTTAAAAAAAAAATGGTGGGAGAGAATGGAGCCATATAGAATACAGTTTCTATATTTCACTGGAATGAAGTTAGTATAAATCTAAAGTAGATTCTGATAAGATGAATACCATAAGCTTTAGGGCAACTATTAACTAAAGAAATACAATTAGAGATTATTAACACAATTACATGTTACACTAGAAAATATCCACTCAATATAAAAGGAAACAGGAAAGGAAGAATACAGGAACAATAATAAAGAAACCTGTAGAAAACAAAAGGCAAATGACAGACATAAATCCTACCATATCAATAGCAAAATTAAATGTGAATGCATAAACAATTGAATCAAAATGCAGATATTGTCAAACTGGATTTTTAAAAGATCAAAATATATGTTATCTGTAGAAGACACACATTACATTCAAAGATACAAATATATTCTAAGTAAAAGGGTGAAAAAATATATATCAGGCAAGTGGCCAAAATAAGAATGCTGGAATTGCTATACTAATACCAGAAAAACATAGATTTTAAAATGAAAAATATTATTAGCTATAAAGAGGAACATTTTATAATTAAAGAAGATCACTCCATCAGGAAACACAAAAATTGTAAACATATATGCACATAATAAGACAGTACCAAAATACATGAAGACCACTAACAGAATAGAAGGATGAAATAGATAATTCAATATTAGTTGAGGACGTCAATATACCACCGTTAGGGCTAGGCATGGTAGCTCACACCTGTAATCCCAGAGATGTGAAAGGCCGAGATGGGAGGGTTGCTTGAGGTCAGGATTTGGAGACCAACCTGGGCAATATAGTGTCATCTCATCTCTTAAAAAAAAAAAAAAAGCCAGGTGTGGTGGTGTGTACCTGTAGTCCTAGCTAGTAGGAAGGCTGAGGCAGGAAGATTACTTGAGCCCAGGAGTTCAAGGCTGCCACTACACACCAGCCGGAGTGACAGAATGTGACCCTGTCTCTAAATAAATAAATAAAATAAAAATTAAAAATACACCGCTGTAAATAGATGATAGATCAAGTAGGCAGAAGATTAACAAGGTTATAAAAGACTTGAACAACACAATAAATTAACTAGACCTAGCAAACATTTATAGAACGCTCAACCCAACAATAGCAAAATATTCTTCTCAAGTGCATATAAAACTTTCTCCAGGATAGATCATATGCTAGGTCTTTAAAAAAGATATTGAAACCCTCATACATTGCTGGTGGAAATGTAAAATGGTGCAGCCATTTTGCAGGACAGTTTGAGGGTTCCTCAAAATGTTAAACATAGACTTACCCTGACCCATCATTTCAACAGCTGGATGTATACTCAAGAAAAATAAAAACCTGTGTCCACACAAAAACATATACAAAGATGTTCATGGAAGTGTATTTATAATACCAAAAAGTGGAAATAACCCAAGTGTCAATCTACTGATGAATAAACAAAATCTATCAATGAAATATTATTCAGCCATAAAAAGAAAATAAAGTGTTGATATAAGTGACAGCATGGATGACTCATGAAAGCATTATGCAAAGTAAAAGAAGTCACTCACTGAAGAACATGCTATATGATTCCATGTATATGAAATGCCCAGAATAAGCAAATTTCTAGAGACAAAAAGTAGATGAGTGGTTGTCTAGGGCTGAGAAGGTTCCTGAGAATGGGGAATGAGTGTAATGTTTTTCTTTAGGAGGAGGATAAAAATCTTCTAAAATTGGATTATGGTAGTGGTTGCACAGCTTTGTGGATATAGTAAAAACCATTGAATTGTATATATTAAATAAATATAATTAAGGTATGTGAATTATAATTCAATAAAACTGTTAAAATTACAAATTTTGTGCTTTTCAATTGGAAAATTCATCCAAAATTACAAATTCTTAAAAGAATGCAACCTAGCTAGGAGTGGTGGTGGGCACCTGTAGTCCCAGCAACTTGGGAGGCTGAGGTGGGAGAATCACCTGAGGCCAGGAGGTCAAGGCTGCTGTGAGCCATGATCACATCACTGCACTCCAGCCTGGGCATCTGAGTGAGACCCCGGCTCAAAAAAAAAGCAACATAACAAAACTGACCCAAGGAAAAAAAGAGTATCTAACAATCCTATGTCTGTTCAGAAAACTGTTCGTGTGTGTGTGTGTGTGCGGATTTTTTTTTTTTTCATGTAGGGTCTCACTCTGTTGCCCAGGCTGAAGTGCACTGGCTGATCACAGCTCACTGAAGCCTTGATCTGAGATCAAGCAACCCTCCCTCCTCAATCCCCTGAGTAGCTGGGACTGCAGTGCGTGCCACTACACTTGGTTAATTTGTTTGTTTGTTTTGTTTTGTTTTTGTAAAGACAATCTTACTATGTTCCTCTGGCTGGTCTCAAACTCCTGGGCTCAAGCAATCCTCCCGCCTCCACCTTCCAAAGTGCTAGGATTACAGGGATAAGCCATAGCACCCATCCTAAATGCTTCCTGATGAAATAATATGCCACTGTCTATAGTCTTTCTTAAGGATTAATCAAGCCTCTGGATCCAGTTGTGACTTTACAGGAAATACAGAGGACAGAGGAACGTGCTGAACTGCATCATGCTTATGTATTCAGCAAAATCCCTGTTGTGGAAAACTCTACAGGTCAAATGGCCTGGATTTAGAAAACTACAGGCCAGATGATCTGACAAATTTAAGGGTAATAAAGGGATGAAGGCTGAGCTATAGATTAAAAGGAACTTGAATGTCATTATTAAAACTGGGCAAAACTAAAACATACTGTCTAGGGAGTCAAACTCAGGTGGTGCATTTATACAGAAATTTAAGGAACAGTTAATTACAAAAGTCAGGAAGTGTCATGCCTCTTGGAGGAGAGATTGGGTTATGATTGGTTTAGCACACATAGAGGGACTTCAGGCAAAGTTTTATTTCTTAACTTTGGTGGAAATGACAAGGGTGTTTGTCTTACAATACTGTTAAGCTACAAATTTGTCTTCTGTGTTTTCTGAATCTGTGTCTTATTTTACAATATGATGTTTTTTTAAATGTGGCCCAGCATGGTGGCTCACACCTGTAATCCCAGTGATTTAGGAGGCCAAAGCAGGAGGATTGCTTGAGGTTAGAAGTTCAAGACCAACTTGGGCAATATAACAAGACTCTGTCCCTACAAAAAAATTAGCTGGGCATGCTGGCAAGCACCTGTAGTCCTAACTACTTGGGAGGCTGAGGCAGGAGGATTACTTGAGCCGAGGAGTTCGAGGGTCCAGTGAGCTATGATCATGCCACTGCACTTCAGCCTGAGTGACAGAGTGAAACCCCATCTCAAAAAAAAAAAAAGGAAGGAAGGAAAAAAGAAAGAAAAACACACCTAGGAATAAATACAACAAAGAAAACAAAAAAAATTGTTTACAAAAATTTTATACATAAAACTAAAAAACTTTTTTGAGAGAAATCAGATCAGACTTAATTAAATGGACAGATACATCATGGTCATTGATTGAATAATTCAATATAGTAAGTCAATAATCTCCAAACTTCTATTAATTCAATGAAAGAGCAATCAAAATTTCTTTAGCTCGTGTGTGTGTGTGTGTGTGTGTGAATTGACAAGCTAAATCTAAAATGTATACTAAAATTTTGAGAGAATATTAAGACATTGTGAAAAAGTAGAACAAATCTGGAGGACATACACCATCAAACAGCAAAATTCATCAAAGCTATAATAATTTAAACAATGTGATATTGGCACAAGAATAGAAACAGAGCAATGAGACAGAATGGAAGGTTCAGACACTGACCTACACATATATAGTCACTTCATTTACGAAAAAGCTGACACTACAGTGGAGAAAGGATAGCTTTTTCAATAAACGTGATGTCAATGTTCTCATGGAAAAAATTAATTCTGATTCTTCTATTACCCTGTACACAAAAATCAATTCCAGATAGGTTGTTGATCTAAACATGAAAGGTAAAATAATAAAGCTTCTAGAAGCACACTCATAAGACATTTTAATAATCTAGGGGTAGGCAAATATTTCTCAAGCAGAAAATAAATCTTAACTATAATGGAAAATCTACATACATTGCAGTGCATTTAAAAGAAGAAATACTGGCCAGGCACAATGGCTCATGCCTGTAATAGTCCCAGAACTTTGGGATGCTTAGGTTGGCAGATCACTTGAGTCCAGGGGTTCCAGACCAGCCTGGACAACATGGTGAAAACCCATCTCTACAAAAAATACAAAAAAAAAAAAATTAGCCAGGCATGGTGGCATGCATCTGTAGTCCCAGCTACTTGGGAGGATAAGGTGGGGGGATTGTTTGAGCCCAGAAGGTCAAGGCTGCAGTGAGCCAAGATCGTGCCAATGCACTCCAGCCTGGGAGAAAGAGCAAGATTCTGTCTCAAAAAACAAAAAAGAAGAAGAAATATTAAGCACCACTAAAGAGTAAAAAGGCAAGCCAAAGAATGACAGGAGGCCTTTTCAAAACCTATTTGTGACAAGAAATTGATTCCAGCTTATGTAAGAATCCATTAGGAAAAAAAAGACAGTCAACAGCAAAAATGGGCACAGCTTGAACAAGCACTTTGCAAAAGAGAATATCCAAAATAAAAGACATGAAAAGGTGCTAATTTGTATTTCCCTAATGAAGGAAATGCAAATTAATTAATGTAATTAATCGAAGTTTTAAATGAAAAGTAAGTTGTTAATCAGGGAAATGAAGATTAAAACCATAATGTCACACCACTACATCCCCACCAAAATGGTTAAAATGCAAATGCCAGAGCTAATGAGGATCTGGAGCGACTGGAACTTTCATGAACTTCTGGTGGGAGAGTAAATTGGTGTCAGCACTTTAGAAACTGCCAGCAGTGTTCATAGCCTATGATCTGGCTATCATACTTCTAGTATATGGTCAGGATATGTGTGAACATATGCATTCCAAAAGGTGCAAGGAAAAATGTGTAAAGTAGCACTAGCTATGCAACCCCAAACTAGAAAAAATTCAAATGTCTGTCAAGAAGAGAATAAATAAATAAATTGTGACAAATTCATGAAATGGAATATAATGAAAGTGAATGAACTCTTGCTATATGCAAAAATATGACTGAATCTCAAATTTAATGTTGAATAAAAGAAGCCAGACACAAGTGAGTGCATATTATAAGTTAGCTATCTATTGCTCCACAACAAATTACCATATAACTTAGCATCTTAAAACAATAAACTTTGATTAACTCAGTTTCTGTGGGTCAGAAATGCAGGTGTAGGGTAGCTGGGTGTTTCAGCCTCAAGATTTCTCTCAAGGCTGTAATCAAAATGGCGGCCAGAGCTGAGGTCTCATTTAAAGACTCAAACGAGGGAGGATCTGCTTGTAAGTGCACTCCTGTGGTTGCTGGCAGGATTCAGTTTCTCCCAGGCTGTTGGACTGAGGGCTTCATTTCCTCACTGGCTGTTGGCTAGTGACCTCCCTCAGTTCCTTGCCACATGGCTTTCCCTATAGGACAGCTGATGACATGGCAGTTGTCTTCCGTCAGAGCAGCAAGCAAGAGAACAAGAAAGGGGTTTTTAATAACCCAATCGTGGAAGTGACACCTTGTCACTTTTGCCACATTCTCTTTCATAGAAGTAAATCACTAGTTCCAGCCCATACCAAGAGGAGAGGATTACACAAGGACATTAGTACTAGGAGGTAGGCGTCATTGGGACTCATTTAGAACCTGCCTACTACATGACATGATTTTATTTTTGAAGTCCAGAAATAGGTAAAATAAATCCATAGTGATAGAAGTTGGGATTATAGTGAATCTTGGTGGGGCTCAGGGTTGCTGGTAATGTTCTGAGTTTGGAGTGCTAAGGTCTGGTCACACTAGTATACTTTATAAAAATTCACTGATTTAAATTACTTCAGATTTTTGTATTTTTCTGTAGGAATGCTAAATTTCTATTTAAAAGCTTACTTAAACATAGGCTGTTATGGTGGCTCATGCCTATAATTGCAGCACTTTGGGAGACTGAAGTGGGAGGACTGCTTAAGGCCAGGAGTTCAAGACCAGCCTGGACAATATAATGAGACCCCTTCTCTACAAGGAAAAACAAAACAACAAAAAAGTAAAGAATTAGCTGGGCCTGGTAGTACACACCTGTAGTCCTAACTACTGGAGAGGCTGAGGTGGAAGGATCACTTAAGCCCAGGAGTTTAAGGCTACAGTAAGGTAAGATTGTGCCACTCTTCTCAAGCCTGGGTGACAGAACAAGACCCTGTCTCAAAAAATAAAATAAAATAAATAAAAACAAAAATTTACTTAAAAAATAAAGAGTTCACTTTGGGAGATTGAGGCGGGTAGATCACTTGAGACCAGGAGTTTGAGACCAGCCTGGCCAACATGGCAAAACCCCGTCTCTACTAAAAATACAAAAATTAGCCAGGCATGGTGGCACACGCCTGTAATCCCAGCTACTCAGGAGGCTTTGGCTAAGTTTTCTATTTTTAAATTTAAAAAACAGCTAATATTCTCTTGCAGAGGCCCATCCTGCTGACAAGCAACTTTCATTGCTCCTGTTCACTAGTCACTTCCCCTCTTCTGGGCCAGGCAGTAAAATCCAATCCCAATTTGTACTCTGCCTCTTAAAAATCTAATAAATTTAGCAAAAGTGCAGGCAGCACTGTTTATGTTTAGAAAAAATATGAGCTGAGGAGTGATATGTTTTGGCTGTATCCCCACCCAAATCTCATCTTGAATTCCCACATGTTGTGAGAGGGACCCTGCGAGAGGTAATTGAATCATGGGGGCAGGTCTTTTCCATGCTGTTCTCATGATAGTGAATAAGTCTCATGAGATCTGATGGCTTTATAAGGCAGAGTTTCCATGCTCAAGCTCTCTCTTTGCCTGCTGCCATCCATGTAAGACGTGACTTGCTCCTCCTTGCCTTCTGCCATGATGGTGAGGCTTCCCCAGCCACTGGAAACTGTAAGTCCATTAAACCTCTTTCTTTTGTAAATTGCCCAGTCTCAGGTATGTCTTTATCAGCAGTGTGAAAACAGACAAATACAAGGAGTCAGACCCCGGTTCAAATCCTGGTTTTATCACCTACTGATTGTGTGGCCTTAGTTTTCATTTTCCTCATCCATATTCTTGGTGTGATCAGAGGACAGCATGGCAAACTAACAGCTGGAAACCATACAATATACACGTATTGTAAAATAACCTGAAGTTTCCCCAAAGATTTGTACTGATTTGTAATTGCAACATCTGTTCAACCTTCATGCTCATTTTGGCCTGACTCCCAGACCTTTGTTCATCCATACCCAGACAGAATGTTCCTGAAACATTCTCTTAGGTTTAACATCGGGCAGACTGCTCTACTTATCTCCACACATCTTCATCCTAAAATAACCTTCTTTTGATTTGCCTCAGAGAATATACTCACACTAATATCTAAGGAAGTTTTTTGCTTCATTTTCTCCTCCAGTATTTTCTTTTAGAAATCAGTGTTTAATCAATAAGGAAAAGGTTAAACAAATTATGTTATCTCCATTTTATGGAATAGTATGTAGTCAATAAAACAGCAGCAGAGGATGTGGGAGGCAGATGAAAGTCTTGGCAGAGCTGGAAGGGAAATAGGATGTTCTATTTTCATTCTTGGGCAAGAAGTCTTTACAGTGACACCCAGATCACTCTCCAGCCAGGGACACAAAAATTTCCTCCTAGCCTCTGCCAGCTCGCTTGACCATCCACCCGTGGCAACTATGACAATAAAGAATATCTTTCTGAAAACTGTCTCTGTTTTTGTATTCTGACAAACATAGCCGATGTGCAGTATTCTGGTGGGGCTTGGGTGAGGGTGTGTGTTGCAGGTGGGGTGCTGTTCTGGTGTGGCTGGAAGAACCCAGGCAAAGCCTCAGAGGAGGAGCTGTCATGTCTGGAGTTTTCATCTGTCTGGCAACCCATCTGAACTCAAGCATGAGGTCCCTGCTGGCTAGGCATCTTCTCAGAGGGGAGGCCCTCCTCACAGAGTCCTTCCATGGTGCCTGGATTGGTGACTTCATGCAGAACAAAGGGATCACCCATCTCTCTATGGTGGGAGAATTCTCAGAGCAGCCACACGGAACCTGCAGGAAAATGAGAGAGTAAGGGAAAGATTGATGGATTGAGTGGGAAAGGAAAAGGGGTGAAAAAGAGAAAGAATGAGGCAAGAGAGGGAAGGTATTAGAATGTCCCCATCACATTTAACATGTCTCGTATTGTGTCTTTCCCTGCCCACCAAACTTGATCCAGGCCACATGACTTTGTGCCTGACCCAATCAGTGTGCATCACTTGGGTGCTGTCCCGACAGGGGCGTGAATGGCTTTATATGTGAATGCAACCA